>NC_000013.11:106252979-108978417 GCF_000001405.40 Homo sapiens
TCAGTTGATCCGCCCACCTTGGCCTCCCAAAATGCTGGGATTACAGGTGTGAGCCACCAGCCCCGGGCCAGAATTTTTTCTTAACGAAAAAGACAGGAAAATAAAAGCTATACAGGAAGAAAAATTCTTTGAGCTAAAAAAGGATTTGCAACCACAGGTTTAAAAATTCACTACATTTTAAGTAAAACAAAGAAAAATTTTATTATACCTAAGTACATTCTGGCCAAAAAAAAAAAAAAAAGTGATGACAAAGAGGTAAAACAAGAATTTCTACAGGCATGTAGGCAGAGTTAGGGGTTGAAAGAATGCAACTGCAAACAAATAACTATTAAAGGCCTTTTGGACTTCCCTATAAACACCTAAGACAATACCCAGAGTCCTCTGGGAAAGTTGTGATCCACCAACTTTTCACATGGCCAAGTTGTCTTTCGCTTATGAAATCAACAGAGAACTTTGAAAAGGCATCACGATGTGCCCTTTTATAATAATAAAATTGTCTGTGAAACCCATAACACCAAAAACTCCCCAAAGAAGTAATTGAGGCTTAAAAGGGTCTAAGTGTCTACCCAGGATGGTGGTGAAAAGCACTGAGTTTAACTCTAGCAGCCTCGTTTCAACTCCTGACATGTACAATAGCTGTGACTTTTAACAACTACAAACCTAGTTTCCCCTCTGTAAAATGAGAATAGTAGTCTCTACATCTAATTGTTGTAAAGCTCTTACGTATGGAAAACATTCACTATAGAGCCTATTGTATAGGACATACTCAGTAAATGTTTAACGACAGTATTACTGGTGCCATATACGTGTAATATTTAAGGCTAAAATGAAGTAGAATGCCTTGCAAAGGAGCTACTGAAATTGAAGCCAATCTTATCCATGGTCTATGTATTAGGTTGGTGCAAAAGTAATTATTTTAATGACAAAACCCGGAATTACTTTTGCACCAACCTAATATATATAGTCACCTTGAATAATATCTTTTTACTTCTGAAAACAGCACTTGAATGGTCCTCTCTCATATGAATATTATGTGCATGCATTTGTATAACATGTATACTTTGTGACTTATGTAAATATAGTTATAGGGTAAGGAATATGGTATAACAGACCTCTTACTAACTAATCAAGGTATACATCAATTGGTGGCAAAACTAACCACTGAGGAAGAGGGGCATCCCACCGTGGAATGAACACAGGGCCAGCTCAACACTACTCTGATAAGTGAAGTTTGCGTGAGCTGTTTAGGTAGGTAAGGGTGGCCCCCATCATGATTCATTGGCAGAGAAAGGCAGCAAAAGTGCTGAAATAAATTTCCCAAGTTTATCGGCATTGGTGGCTCAGATTCCACAGTAGAGATAAGTGGTGAGTGGTTATCTTTGGGGCCACCTTGAGAGGTAGCACCTGGCCAGTGCCTGAACCAGCCATGGCTTCCCTGCAGTAACAAATGGGAGTCCTTTGGGGATGGGTCAGTGCCCCCAAAGAACACTGCATAAGAGATAAGCCATCCCTCACATCTGGAAACAAGAGTCACTGGTTCCTTTGGAAACCTCAGCAGGCGGAAGACATTTGGAGCTCAAGAGAATAACCAGGAAAAAGAGCCATGCAATCGTATGTGTCCACAGTTGATGAATCAAGTCAGACTGGTTAAAAGTGTTTGCCAAATTAATGAATAAATGATCAATGTCAGGAGAGTCCATGTCTCCCCATCATCCCCGGCTTTCCCAGAGGAGGACCATGGCTGGTTTTCTTAATCTGATAAAATCATGCTTTAAAATGATGTAGTCCCCGTAGTTTAATTAAACCTGACTTCTTGCCAAGACTTTCTTAACATTTTCCAGGATATCACTCCTTTCGGACTTTAAGAAATGTTATGAGCGTAACATTCATTTCAAAAACAGTAATAATGCACTTTTCTAACATATTAGGTTGGTGCAAAAGTAATTGTGGCTTTTTCAATATATTCAAAACACAATATATTAATACAGCAACACTACTAATTCACATACACGTTACTGACATTCAGAGTTCATGGGGAAAGTGGAAAGTTATTCTTGCCTGCAATGAATCACCCATATATTGAGTCCTTTCTGATCTTCTGTCACAATTCAATTACACACATTCCCATCCTGGAAAACCTTACTCCAGGGTCTTCGTAACCCTTTAAACACCTAGTCAGATGAACTCCCAAATCCATTATGAATAACATTAGATTTATAGAAATTTGATATGTATCTTTCCTCAGATTCAGCAAGAGAATTTCTGAGAAAATCAATGACTGGAATTCCTCTGTTCCTCTTTCGATGGAAAATGTAAATATGAGGGCAATCCTAAGTGAAATTGTTAAACAGGCAAAGTGTCTCCAAGACTTCTTTCTTTCCAGGCATTCAATGTTGTCACATTGTCAAGTCTTGCCCTGTCATAAACAGAAGGAGCTGAAAAACTTATCCACAACCAAGGTGTTACAAATTGGCATTTATGTGATCTCAAACCTAAAATATGTACCCAAGATCATCCAGCCCAACCTTCTACTTAATTAGCAGACTTCTCTTCACTACCTTGAGAAGCAATCATTTCTGTCACCCCCAGTCATCAACTTCCTCCTCATTCCATTGCTGGACAAGCTCCCTAGAAAGCTTTGGCTCTTTGGGGGTCAAGGTTGCCTCCTTCATATTTCACCTATGACCCTTTGGCTCCACAGACACTGTCCATCCTTATGCGTGAAAGCTCTCCAAGTAGCTCAACAAAATGATTTCATTCTAATGTGACTTTTTCACTGACTTAATTAACTTCTTCAATTTCAACTTTTCCTCTTATGTCATGGTTTTTAAATGGCCACCATCTTGTTCACTCATGTTTCTATGCACTCCCATTTGTAAATGTCCTTCTCCAAGTATGTCTCCCAGAAAAAGCTTTATTCTGATAGCAATTTCTGGGGGAGATGTCATAGTATATTAGAAAAAGCACAGACTTTGAAACTATCTAGATTCCTGAGTCTGAATCCCAGCCCTTGAACTGCAAGCTAAGTGACCTTGAGTGAGTTATATAACTTCCCTGTTTTCTCACTTTAAAGGAGGAATTGTACCACCTGATAAAATGATAGTGAAGACTAGAGAAAATCAGTGTAGCATAAAACAAAGTATAGCCCTTAGCACAAAGTGGTAAACCCTCAATTAATGATATCTATCATTATTATATATCTCTATTGCAGGCTAGAAAACGATGACATCAAAAGATGACTAAGTTGCCTTGTGAGTCTATCTAGGTGAGTGTGTCCTTATTCTAGGAGCAAGAAACCTAGGTTTGATAGTCCCCAAGAGTGACTTCTCTGTTTTCAGTATTCTTTCCCCTGGCTCTAATCCAGGGGTACAGATTAATCCACTGCTCCTTGGTAAAGTGACACTTTCTGTATTTCGAATATTTCAGCTTTGGGAATAGAACAGTAAAGATTTTCAAAATCCCAAAGTAGTGCCTGAGTTTTCTGATTTTATTTGAAATGAATGGTCTCCCAAGTCATAAATTCTCCATATCATCAACTAGTTCTACTCGTGAGTGCTATGGGAGAGATTTGTGTTATTGCTGACACTAAATCTACACCAAACACCTCTTACTCTTGCTATAGAAATTACCATGAATATGGCACAATTTAGAAGTTCCACTTCTAAGTGTTCTATGGCAGGGCTAATGTCCAGAGAATGAATAGTGAGGGAGACAATGGCTCAACCCCACTAGATCTGCTCACTGGAAACTGAGAGGACCCCAGGCTACCCTGTAGGTCTCTACAGGGGGCCTCTGGGAGAGTGTGATCTAAAATGACATTAAAATTAAGGCAAATACTTTGGAATGCAGATGGAACTCATTTCAAATTTTGTGGGCAAAATTCTGACCTAAAGCTTCTTCTTACCTTGCCTGATTTGCCCCTCTTGAAATCTGCTGGTTTAGAGCTCAGAGAGAAGACAGAGGTAGAGGAGGAATCCTAAGATTGCAAAATTGAGAAAAGTCGTTCCAGCAGCCAAAAGAGAGAATGGTAGGTTGGAAGGGATTGAAGTAGCTGAGTTCATCAGTGCAGGCAAACAGAATCAGCAGACCTGACTGCACTTCCATTCCCAGAGAAGCCAGGGGGAACTCCCACCACCAGGCTTCAAGGCTCCTTATGGGTTCATAAGTGAGTGGTTCATCTACATCATTTTATCACTTCTCTTTCTGTGTTGTTACCAACTGTAAAAATATTTAGCACACATTAAAATGTTTTGTGAACTTACTTGGAAAAATAAATGACACTAAACGTTGCAGAATGCAGTGGACTTCAGAAAGGAACTCGTCAGAAGAGTGGCAGGTAACAGTATTGTGGCCAAGAAACCAGTTCCCAAGATGTGACACTAATTAGCAGTTTATGTTTAGTTGGCGCATTTGTTTCAAAAGCTCTTTTACATTCCTTATTTCACTTCAGGCTCACAAAGTACAGTAGGGGCACAGCCTACAAGGCACTATCATGAATGAAATAATGGGCCTGTCACAGCTGGGTACAAAGCAGGCAGGGGTTCAAAATCTGCTAAACAGGGTACCAGGGAAGAATTTTTCAAGGAAGCCAACCAGAAGCAGAGGTGAATGTTCCAAGAAGCCCTGGGTCATGACCAAGAACATCATGGTTATGACCTAGGCCCTAGACTAGGACCCTTGCACTGAATGCTCAGACCCTCCCTTCTACTGGCCGTTCTGCCCCAAGACTTGTGCATACAATGAAAATCACAACAGAGTCTAACTCATAGATTTGTGGGGAGGATTAAATGAATTAACAAGTGTACATCTACTCTTCAATCCTCTTGTAAGTAATCACCTTTTGTGGCTATGTAAACTCTCCTTCTTGCTTCTAGATTATTCCCATCCCCTTCTGTGAGTGGCCAACTATTAGCACGTAATGCTCTATGAATGCCAGCAAAACCATCAAGTCCATACTCTACTGGCCATTCCCCCAGTGCCCATGACTAAGGCCACTTGCCCCTCTGCCCTGCAAGAAGTTCTCCGCCCGAGCTCTAGAACCAAGCCCCAAGAGCGTGTAAAGACCTGGTTCTGGAGTCAGGTAGACCGGGCTTTGATTTTCAGATTCTGTTTCTAACTGGCTGTACAAACTTGAACAAGATACTAGTCCTCCATTTTCCTATCTGAAGTGTGGGGATAATAATGCTAGTGTTGCAGAAATTTTGCAAGTAACATCAATAATATACAAGCATCTAACAAGATGCCTGACAAGCTAAAAATTGCTGCTATTGTCATTGGTGTTGCTATTTTCCTTATGATTACTATGCCTAAGTCCACTGTCACTGCTGGTATTGCTTTAATCTTGCATCCACGTTCTAGTAACTGGGCTTCTCTGTGCCATACTTGCTGCCATTTTCTGCCTCTCCTCTTGCTTCTTCCAGAATGAGAGCACATATTTTGTGTAACATGTATCATGACTTCAGAGAAGAGCGACTTGTTAAAATAGCATTTGATAAAGCAGGGATTTGGGCAGCAAGTTGCTAACTTGCTTTTGTACATTTTGGGCTCCAGAATTATAACTTTAAAAGTTAAGTAGGATACCCCTAGTTCAGGTACTAAATATAACAATTGCAAAGGATGTTACACAAGCTTTAAAGAAGACAAAAAAAGTTATGATTAAAAATGGCTAAGTCTAAAATTCAGGGAGATATAGATACGGATATAGATATAGAGTTATTTCTTTTTGTGAATAATGATGCATAAAAGGCACCTATCAGATTTTCATGTCAGTGTTGGACTGCTCTTCTAAGCAGCTGGTGATAAACCTGAATTGTGTGTAAGCGCTGAGTTTCTGCACGGTTCATTTTGGTGCTCCTTGAGTGACTCACACTGCCTTGGTCACTGCCATTTGTGCTGGTATGCGTCTTCTTCCTGCAGGGTGGTGTCCTCAGCCATTGCTTGGGTACTTGCAGAAAATACAATCCGTACAAGCTGAGTCTTTGCATTTCATTTCTGTGAAAGTTTTTGCTCCCTTGAAATAAAATGTACCAGCTGCTGGCTGTGGCAATGCAACGCTACTCTGTTTGTCTGAGCTTGGTTCTCTGTGGCATCTATGTCTAGTGATCAATAAGGTCTCCCCTGGCCCCACTTTTAGAGAAACATGTTTGTTAGAACATCTCTCTCCACTACTGATGAGACGGGATTGTTCCCTTGACCTTGATCCCCTTCATGGGGCAGGAACTGGAGTGCCTCGTTTCACTCAGCTGGCCACTCCTGGTGAGAGGAAGCATGCAAGCAAGTGAGTGCGGGAACCAGAGGGAACGAATGTTGGAACCAGCCCGTGGCTCCTCTCTGGAGGAGCAGGCTCTGTGCAGGCCCCGCAGCAGCATCCGAGCCCCTGCTCTATGGTCACCTGGGTTCTTGTCCAGCGTCCAGGAAGAATCAGGTCACATGAAAGAATTAAAGATTAGTGTATGCAGAGGCTTTTATTGGATGACAAAAGTGGCTCTCTGTGGGATGGGGAATTGGAAAGGGGATGGTGCGGGAAGGTGTTCTTCCCCTGAAGACTCACCGTCTGAAGTTAGCTGCGTCTATCTGTAGTCTCCAGAGCTCAGTCGCTGCTTCTCTGCTCGCCGCTCAGCCACTTGTATCCCCAACACTCAGCCATTTGTGCTGCTGTGCGAGCTGAAGTCTCTGTATGGGCACAGGATAGGGGCATGGCAGACCAAAAAGGCAACATTTGGGTGGAAAAACAGGGCGGACTGTTTTCACTTAGGGCTGCAGTTCCAGGCTTAAGGGTGGGTTTAGCCCGGAGCCCAGCCATTCTGTATCACCATGACCACCCCCAAGCAGGCCACCACCTAAGAGGCACTACCGAATTCGTGCTTGGTGTGGGGGTGTGGGGGTGTGGGTTGAATTGTGGCCCCAAAAGACATGTGAAGTCCTGGCCTCCAGTACCTATCAATGTGACCTTATTCAGAAACAGGATCTTTGCAGATACCATCAGAACATCAGCTAAGATGAGAAAGTACTAGAGTAGGGAGGCTCTTATTCCAGTGACTGCTGTCGTCATCAGAAGACGCAGAAACCCACAGAGAGCGGAACAGCCTGCGAAGACACAGACGTGGGGAAGGCGCCCTGCGGCCATGGAGGCGCAGATTGCGGTGACAGGACTGCAGGTCAGGAGCGCCAGTGTCCTCCACCGAAGCTCGGAGAGAGAGCACGGCCCGCCCCCGTCAGACTTCTGGCCTCCAGAACCGTGACAGAATTGATTGTGTTGATGTAAGCCACCCGTTTTGTGGCAGTTAGCTACAGCAGGCACAGGAAAATGATACGGGTGTGTTAAATTTGTTACGTCTACTCCCCCCTGAGAAGCCAGTTTTCTGCTCTGAACCGGAGATCCAGAAGGACCCTCCAGGGATGACCTCCCAACTCTTTGCCTAGAGATCGGCAAGCACGTTGCCGGAGGCTCTGTCCAGAACATCCGCTCTGCGGCTCACTTTTCATGGTCCCACCTGAGGCCACGTCTGCCGAAGCTGCCTCCGATGTCGCTCACCTGCCATCGGGAGAGTATGCAGCCTTCCCGCCTGTGCCTCCTTCATCTCCGGCTGCTCGCATCCCCCAGGCACCGCCTCAACCCCGTGAGCACCTCCCTAAGTGAGAGGCCCTCCTAACCGGCCTTTCGCTGAGCCCACAAGGCTCTGAGTGTCCCTCTGGCCTCCACAGCGCCGCTTCTCCCTGACAGCCATGTCCTCAGGTATAATGAAAATTATAGACTTAGATTAAAGAGTTAGATTACAAACAAATCCAGAGCCCGAGGCTGGGCATAGAGAACCAGCCCTTCCTTCAGTCTGGTGATCCTGGCCCCTTCCCACCCCACCCCAGGCCTCTTCTGCAGCATTTCCATGAGCTGCAGAGAAGGCTTCACAAGCCTCTTAACCTGAAGTAAGACTTAATTGGTTAGTTTAGAAGTAATGTATGCCTTTCATGCATGCATTTTGAACAGATTAGAAAACTCCAGTATCTATCAATTTATTTTTTCCAAAAGGAGTTATTAAATATAATGTGGAAATGTCTACAGAGTAGGATCAATATTGATATATCGAGACAATCGCTCTCTGTGTCTCTTCCCAGTTGCCCTAAGTTGCTACTTAAATTCGCTTTTCCTTTTATCAGTAAAAATAGTTGGGAACATATTCCCCATAGCACCCATTTCTCGTATGTTTTTAGACATTCTGTGAAAACATCCCAGTTTAATTTCCAGGGGTAGGATTGTTGAGTCAAAGGTTTATGCATGCTTAATTGCATTAAATACAGACGAATTATTTCTCAAAAACTTAACTTACAATCCCACTAATGGTGGTTAAGAACGACATTTCCCCCTCACGTTTGCCACCACAGGGTATTATGTATATATTTCAACTCTGCCAACTGGTGAAATTGGCATTTGGGGGGTTTTGTTTTTTGTTTTTGTTTTTAATTTTTTCTCTGTTTTGGTTTGTGTGTCTGCATTTCTCTGACTACTGACATGAACATCTTCAGAAATGTATTCGTCATTTTCAATTTTTCTGCTGTAACTACCCCATCACTGGCGTGAACGTCTTCAGAAATGTATTCATCATTTGCAATTTCTCTGCTGTAACTACCCCACCACTGATCACTGACTTGAAGGTCTTCAGAAATGTATTTGTCATTTGCAATTTCTCTGCTGTAACTACCCCTATCACTGATGTGAACGTCTTCAGAAATGTATTTGTCATTTGCAATTTCTCTGCTGTAACTACCCTTATCATGCCTTTTTGCCTATACATATATCAAATCTCTTATATTTTTCTTATTCGTTTGCTTACTTTATCCTTCAAAAATCAAAGTACCGACTTGTGAATTACGTGGATAAGTTTGCTCATTCCAGTCTTCTTGGTAATGACCCCAAACCAGAACCAACCTGAAGCTCAGCAGCAGGATTCAATTGTTCAAATTATGGTGCCTACTTCTGGAATAATGCTCTTCAGGCCTTCAGAGATTGAGATCGATTTATCAATATTTGGAAGGAAATTCTTGATACATTTGTTCAGAAAAAAATAGTAGATTTTTCAATGTGACATGCAGAATAATCCATTTTATAAAACAAACAAAAAACAAAAGCACAAATTTGGAGACTCTTGGCCCCTCCCTTGTTCTTGGCTGCCACATCCCATCCATCACCAAGCCATGCCACTACTCTCTCCTAAATTTCTCTATCCTACCCACCAGTGTCCCTTGCCTTTATCCCTCATGCAAGACTCTCTCAGCTCTGCAGTGACTTGTTTCTCTGTCCAGACATGCTGCTTCCTCTGTGCCAAGCAGGCAGCTCCTGTTCCTGGACCAAAGTCTGCTTCTTCTCAGGCATCACCTTAGCTGAGGCTTCCCTCCTGGATCCTCAAGCCTGGCCATTTGCTCCCCAGGTACCCAGCAGTCTGGATAGCATTGTTTTCCCTTGTCTTCTCTGTACCTGAATTTGCCCTCTAAGCTGCTGTTTCCTCCACTAGAGTAAGGATGAGAAAAAACAGGGGCTGGGTTTCATTTGCTATTGGATTCTCAGAGATAGCTCTCTACACAAGACATGTAGGGACCCCAGGAAAGTTTGTCAAATTCCTTGTGTGTTGTTCTTTATACATGGAGGTAATGCTTATGCCATATTCTTGACAACACACATGCTTTGGAATGATGCATTTATGAGATTATTATTTTGTTCAAGTTCAAATTCTATAGCTGTGGAAGAGAACAAGTACATCTGTACCTTACAGTGACTGGCGCTAATATCTGGATCCTATTAACATATGGAAAACAATAGTAGCATCTAATATTTGTATGCTGGTTTACAGTGTACATATTCACCAACCTAATTAATCTTACTAGTATCATGCTGCTCTAATGGTGTATTATTCTTCATTCCAGGCCAATGTTTTTTCCTAAGAAGTCTTCTGGTCTCCTGTGAGAAACTTGATGAGTGACACGGCTAAGCCCGACAGGCCAAAGCAAATGGTGTTAATAATTCAACACATATTTTTCGACTTTGTTTTGCTCAAAGATGTCAACTCCAGATAGGGGGAAGAGCTGCTTCTCTGTCTTCCAAAAGCCTCAAATATTTCAGGCTCGCCACCGCCCATGAGCCGTGGTTCCTTCCACCTTCCACTTCAAGAGTAAGTATTCCATGCTGCCAGAGCAGTGAGTCATAAAGGTGGCCGTGTTGCATCCTCATCTTCCTCTTGGTTCCTTTCATTTTTCTCCCAACTCACCTCCCTGCCTCTGGCCTGAGCCCCTCTCATTCACTCTCCTCTTCCGCTCCAGTGATCTTTCAAAAATGTAAGATTACTATATCACAATATGCTTTCGTGTCCTGCAGAGGCTCTGAAACTTCCATCTGTTTAACCCCCTGTTCAGTGCTGTGACAACCCGGCCTCTCTTCCTCCTCTGGGTCCATCTCCCACTGTCCACCTTGCGTGGCCCCTGACCCCTGCACTCCACACTTCAGCCACATCAAGCCCTTCGTCATGAGTGAACACATCAGGCTGTTTTCTGCTTTTATGCATTTTCAAACACTTTTCTCTATTCGACATGTTCTTTCATGCTTAGTCAACATAGGAAATTTCCTATTGAGACTTCAAAAACCTCCCACTCTGTGAAGGCATCTCTACTTTCCAAGAAAAACTGGCCATTTCCATTTGAATCACCACGATGTTTTGTCTTCACTTGTTATCCTGTGGCGTGCCCATGGGCCTACACACCTGTCACTCCTTGCAGCTATGAGATACCAGAGTACAATTATGGATTTTATGTTTCATTGCATCCTCTTGCCTGGCACGTGATAGGTGTGTTTATTCAGTGAATGAATGAACAAACTAATCGACCACAGAATGAAGTAGAGCCTCGAACCTGCATTAGGATTCTTTGACCACATGAGCAAAGGCACGAACAATAATTCTAGAATTTGGCTCAAAGTTTTCACTTGGTTTTCATTAAGGCCAGAGGCACCCTGTGGAACAATCCAAGGAAAAATTGCAATGGTCATTAATCTCCCTAAGAAATTCTAACTTTTCCTGCCAAATGTTTTACTAAGTCTTATGACTATTCACCAGTCTAGCCCATTAAAAATCATAAGGACTCTTAGAAACTGCATGCTGCTCCAACTTGTCCTAAAGCACTGAAGTTACCAACTGAGAGCCAGTCAAAAGTCTACCATTCAACAAAGTAATACATGATTATAAGAAAAATTATAAAGTAAGGCCAAGAATTGATCTGAACACAAATATATATTTGTCTCAGAACTCAAGGAGCTTCTTAAAAGGAGGAGAAATACCACTCACAGGGTTCCATCAGCTCACTTTGCTGACGCATTTGCTTTTGCCAGTGTTGGCAGCATGTGCAGTTAATGCATATCTAGGAATTAGCATGGCAGGGGGAGAGTGGGGAAAACATAATTTCCTAGCTGTATGCTTCAATTGATGCAGTCTTACAGAAATTACATTTGATGGGAAGGAAAAGTATTTAATCACTCCCTCTATGATGGACAGTTCGTTATTCCGACGTGACACATCCACAGGAAAAAGAAAGGCACATGCCTTGAGACTCACTACCTGTCTGCAATCTATGAGCCTGACATTCTATAGCAATCCATTTGGTTTAATAAACCACAGAAACTGTTTCAAACTTCTAAGGGGGTGCCAAGTAAAATGAGATGATTTGACTGGAATAACATGTTCTAACTGCACTGCAATGTAGAGCGGTGTTATTCTACTTTCCATTGTGCACAATGCATTCCACAAAGTATGGTCCAGTTGTATTTAATGCTGTGGCCACAGCCTTTACAGAATTTTGCTCTTCTAAGGTCCAGTTTTTTCAAAGGGACAGTAAGCAATCAGACACTAGTTTTATCTGATTAGTTTCTTTGGGAAGGCTAGGGCTAGGATATCAATGTTTATCAAATATTTCTATACTTCGAAATAGGTTTTCATTCTAGTGGGAAACAATTCTATAAAACTGGATGTGCGCCTTGCATTGTTCTTTTCTACTTTGTGTGTTGCTTGTTTTTCAGGATGCACTCTAAAAGATAGCATATTTAATTAAAACCTAGAAATGAAAACAATCATACTTTTAAAAATTAATCCCTCAGCATGATCTAGAAGCATGTCAATACCTTGGCCGTGGCAGTGACCCATCCAAGGTGCTCCATTCCATGGCTTGAGCTCTGCAATAACCCTCAGTACATGAAAAAGATGTTGTGGAAAAAAAAGGCCTTTTGTCTCAAGACAAGTGTCATGAAATGTATTCACTGAGGGGGATAAAAGTATTCCCTTTCTTAATTTACTTTTGGATAAGTAGACACAATTAATGAGGATTATTTAATAGAAGATACCTACTGGTCTTTTTTAAACATATAAATTATATTATTAAAAGTGAAAAGTTGAAGTACTTCTCTTTTTGTCTTAATTATTCTAATGTGCATTTAATATAAAAACAAGGTTTTTTGAAATTATAATTAGCTGCTGACAAATATAAATAAAACTTGCCAAAGTGAAGGATTCCAGAGTTACACAGATTTAAAGTTAGAGCCTATAATCCCAGCACTTGGAGGCTGAGGAGAGAGGATCTCTTGAGCCCAGGAGTTCAAGACCAGCCTGGGCAACATAACGAAACCAGTCCGTACAAAACAGAAAAGTTAGTCAGGCATGCTGGTGCAGGCTTGTAGTCCCAACTACTCCAGAGGCTGAGGTGGGAAGATCATTTGAGCCCATGGAGGTCGAGGCTGAGGTGAGCCATGATCGCACCATTGCACTCCAGCCTGAGTGACAGAGCAAAACTCTGCCTCAAAATAATAATAATAATACAATACAATATAATACAATAAAGTTTAAAAAGTATAATTCCTTTACTATCAAGAATATATAAAATAATCTATAGCTTACAACGTACCATCTCGGGGATGTTTACTCCTGGTTTTTCCATGTGCTTTTCATCAATAATATATGAGTCAAATCAATCTTTAATATTCAGAAGAGAATTATCTTTTATCTAAATGCTTGTCGTAAAACTAAAATGTAAAATAAATGAACTCAAATCTGTTTTTTTCTTTCTGGGAGATTTATAATATGAAAAGTCAGTTGCAAACTAAGATTTTATTATGCCCAATCAAAGCAAAGCCTCACACCAAATGAAGAAAGGATTTTTAATCTATAAGCCAAAAAATAGAGAAAAAACCTCAATATTTCCCATCCAGGCAACACTTAGCTTATAATGAGGGATTTTAAACCTGTTAAAAATGAATTTGTATTTGCTCTAATTCCTTCATAAGAAACATACACCAAAGAAAAAGCTCTATTGACTGGTGAGTTGCTAATGTTATTCCCTGGATCAGATAAGTTCATGTAGAAATAAAACAAAGGAACAAAATCGATATGCTATCGTTGTGGAATTTTAGGTATGAGATAGTAACTGAAATTAGAAATCAATCAGGGTGAGCTTTTCAAGGGAAATTTAGCACGAGATCTTTAAATGGCCCAAGTAATAAGACACTCAGTCAATTTGCTTTTCTTTGTTGCCTTTCTTTCTTTCAGTCTACTTATTTTTTAACTAAGATAAGGGAAACAGCAACAACTGCTTAAGAGTAAGAGAAAAGAAAACTTTAACAGTACTGAGAAAGTGAAAAAAAAGCAATTGTAAGTTTTGGTAACAATTGAGTTTAACACATAGATTTCTCACGACTGTAACTTGTAAATCAAAATTTAATCCTTCACCCAATATGAACATAAAACAAGAGATATACCTAAATGTAGGCGGAATGTAAGAAGAGATTGCTTGTGGCCAAAGGGGAATTTGGCAACTTCTTTAAGCAGTAGGAATCTGAGACAGCCTACATGAAAAAAAAAAAAAAAAAAAAAAAAAGAGATTGTTCTTGTCCAATCAAAAATAGGAAGTGTACCTGGTTCTTAACATGATGCCTATACTGTAAGGAAAGCTGCCTAAGGATGTGATAATAACTGAGAAGATGGACTAGATCGTATTAATCAACCAATTAGGAAATAAAGCATGAAGTTCACTGATTTGTTCACATTGTGAAAGATGAACCGCAGAAGGAAGGATGGCCCTCCGATTGGCCAAAAGGCCTAGGGCCATAGGTGCACAAAGACATTAGTCATGGACCAGATAGGACAATAGGATTAAATCCATCCCATAACTATTTGTAAAGCAAAAACCCAAAACAATTTCTGCTGCAACCATACAGCAGAAATGCAGTCCGCAGGTTTGTACTCTGAGTGGGCAGCTTCCATCTATAGCAACAGGGGAGGAGTGAAAATAAGAAGATGGCCTCACACATGAGCATGCGGCAGCTGACAGAGATGTCCCCTTCATATGATTTATATTTTCCTTCTGTAACTTGCTTGTTTCTTTCTGTGAACACATTGCAGGACCCTTCACTTGAGACGGAAGACTTTTCCAGGATTTCAAGACAGGGAGGCTCAGAATTTGCCGTGATGTGTGTATCTAACTCCAGCCATGCATAAGAAATGGCAAAGCCAGAGCCTCTACATGAAATACTAAGTGTAAGAATTTAGTAGAATATTTATAGAACTAGGTAAGCAGATAAATATAATCTTTTAGTAAATTATGCACATATTCTTATCTTATCTGATAAAACTAGAAAATATACTAGAAAATAATTCTACTCCCTGCTTCAGCATAAAGGTATAACGTATATATTCTTTGGGCCCCTTTCCCCCCCTTTTTTTTAATGTTTCTTTAGCATAAAATGGATCTATTATCGAACATAAAGAAAACTTGCTATTTCATTTATGGTGTATGTCAGTTACTCATATTAAATATAAATCTCTTAGAATAGGAAATAGGCAATCTGAATAGCATTCTTGTCACCTGTGAATTAATTGCAAATTTAAAACTATGTGCTATTGTGGTGTGACACAAGAAACTATTTAATATGCTTCCCAAGTACTTTTTTCAGTCCTTAGAGTAAAAATCATCTCACTTAGCACAAAAAATTTGCAGTGGAGACTACATAATCATAATTATTCATGCAAAATACTTTACACAGCTTCTTACAAAAACAAAGTGATTAAAAGACTGCCATTGTGGTGGAAGAAGAAAAATGTTATAAATTTAGTAGTTTGGTTAAGATCATAATATATGTAAATCCAAGACCTCAAAATGAAAATAGAGCTGTGATTTAGTGAAGCCAAGACTTCGAATTGTGTCAAATTGATGCTCCTGAAAATGCAAACTCATTTTTCCCAAAGAGCAATCTGAGAGGAATTATGACCATCACCATCTCCCATCAACACCTACTCACTAAAGACACTGGAGCTTTTGCGGGTGCCTCATAATTCACTTTCTCTTCAAGCTGCTCTTGAATATAACATTGGTTGGCATTACTAAATCTATCAGGAGTTGACTTTAGAATAGTTTAGTTACTAGCAAGTCCTACATCAGTAGGCATTCTTCCATCCAGACCAGACCCCAGGCCATGCTGACATGAGCCCCAACAAGCCTTCTCTACGTCAGTGGTCTCAAAGTGAGGCCAGACCAGCAGCCACAGCCCCGGGAACTTGATAGAGATGCAAATTCTCAGCTCCAAACCTATTGGGCAAAAATTTCTTGAGATGGGGCCTGGCAGTCTGTGCTCTAACATGCTCTCCACAAGATTTTGATGTGATAGAGCTGAGGGTCACCTCTCTACATCATGGAACAACCTCCATAAGTACCGACGAGGAAGGCAGGGTGAAGAAGATTAGGCTAGAGAAGGAACCTTAAGTTCAGTTAAAAAATATAACAGCCATGGTATAAAACTGTATGGAGTTGTTTTCCACAATAAAACTAAAAATAGAATCATGACATGGTCTAGCAATCTCACTTCTGGGTGTATATCCAAAGGATTTGAAATCAGCATATTGAAGAAATATTTGCGCTCTCATGTTCATTGCAGCACTGTTGACAACAGCCAAGTGAGAGAATCAACCTAAGTATTCATCAATGGATAAATGGTGAAAGAAAATGTGGAATATCAACACAATGGAATAAAATCCAGCCTTTAAAAAGAGGGAAATTCTGGGCCGGGCGTGGTGGCTCACGCCTGTAATCCCAGCACTTTGGGAGGCCGAGGCGGGTGGATCACGAGGTCGGGAGATCGAGACCATCCTGGCTAACACGGTGAAACCCCGTCTCTACTAAAAATACAAAAAACAGCTGGGCGTGGTGGCGGGTGCCTGTAGTGCCAGCTACTCAGGAGGCTGAGGCCAGAGAATGGAGTGAACCCGGGAGGCGGAGCTTGCAGTGAGCCGAGATCATGTCACTGCAGTCCAGCCTGGGAGACACAGCGAGACTCCGTCTCAAAAAAAAAAGAAGGAAATTCTGTCATTTGCGACAAAATGCGTGAACTTGGAGGACAGTATGCTATGTGAAATAAGCCAGGCACAGAAAGAGAAATCCCACATGTTCTCACTTCCATGTGGAATCTAAAACAATCAAGCTCACAGAAGAAGAGAAGAGAATGGTTGTTATCTATCACGGGGAATAGGAGGAATGAGGAGATGTTGGACAAAGGGTACATACAGAATTTCAGTTACACTTGAGAATAAGTTTTTTGAGATTGTTTGCACAGCCTGGGGATGATAGTTAATAATAGCATACTGTATATTTCAAAATCGCGGAGAGAATAAATTTCAAATGTTCTCACCCTAAAAAAAGTGATAAACATTTGAGGGGATGACTTTCTTCATTAGCTTGATTTAATCACTCCACTTTGTATACACATATCATAACATCTCTTCATACCCCATAAATATATACCATTATAATTTGTCAATTTACAATCAAATGTTTAAAACATAACATGGTTTCAAGGTGGTGGCAGCTCTTTAAAGCCTAATTCTCTCTTTATAGGAAAGAACTAGTATAATGTCCTGGTTGGCCCAAAGCCCACCCCAGCTGCTATCATCACAGCCCATGTAGCCCTACTGCCATTCATTTTTCTTTCTCATTCAGAAAAAAATAGTCTTTTGGGGATCATGTACTACTTACCTTTTTCTCTTCCTTCTCTAATCACATAAGCTGAGAAAGCTTCCAATTTTTTTTCTTTCTTTACTTGTTTTGTTTTTTTTAATTTAGCCTATCTTTCTCTCTGGGCAAAATCTGGTTTTCTCAGCTTCCCTTCCTTTACTGACATCAGTCAATCTCTACAACTCTTTATCCAGTTTCCACTTTGACTATGGCAAACAAATTCCCCTCAGATCCTTTGTCCTCACTGTTTTTTTTTTTTTTTTAATGTGGAACATTCCAGAAGCCAGAACTTGTGAGGCCACTCCCTTCTGGTCATGCAAACTTCAACCTCAATATCCCCTCCTCTAAGAAACCACCCCAAGACCACACAGCAAACCTTAGCCTTGTCCATTCATGCTTCAGCATCTCACACTGTTAATTTATTATCCCTCTGAAACATTCTCCTTTTACTTAATTCTTTCTTTCTTTGGGCTCTCTGGGTACAGATGTGAACTTCATCAGAGCAAGGATCTTGTCAGTCTTGTTCCCATGGTATACTCAACACCAATGCCTGGCACCAAAGAGTAGACACTCTTCAAATATGTGTTCAATAAATGAATGAATACAGTGCCATTATTTCATGTTTTTCCATTAACTAGAATTCTTTTGATTGAAAGTAACAAATTATTTCAACCTAGGTTAGTCAAACAGAATATTTGTGAAAGGATACAAAAATATCTCTCAGAAATCCAGGAGAAAAGCATATTGAGACTTCAAAACATTGGGATAGAGCGTGGGATGCAAGCGCCGGCTCTGCCCTTCTCTACCTCTGCCGTGTTTTTGCCTTTTCTCTCTTGTCACGCTGCCGTACCTCACTCCCCTGGTCCACATGGCAGAAGACATGGCGCTGATACTGTTGAAGTTGTGCTGGTTCCCACCTGAGCCTGGTGGAGAAAGAATGGATTCTCATTCTCACTCCCAGCTCCACAATTTCCAGGGAAGCATTCTATTCGATCCAACTATGTCGGGTTCCCAATCGTAGCGGAAGGGCAGCAAGTGAGGGCAGAGGCTTTAACGTTGTACTATCATGAAAGTTTATTAGTACCCACTCAGGTTTCACAGGATAAAAAGGGCAGTTCTTCAAAAAAAGGAAGACAATTTTCAAGGAAAGAGAGGTGCTGAGTAGACAACACATTGGTTCTCACTCTAGTTGAGTATTATTAATTATGGCTTGGCCACTGGGATGCCCGTTGACAAACTAAGGGGCAATATAGTATTTGGTGAGGACTGTCAACTTTACAGCCCATCTTCTGGGGTTCAAATCTCAACCCTGCCACCTCAAAACTGTGTGGCCTGAATCAAGAATCGTCTCCTAGCTGTGCCTCAGTTGGTCCTCTGTGACATGGGGACAACACAAGTCCACTATGATGATTCGTGCATGAAGAGAAGTTCCAGTGGTGCCTAACATATAGTAAGTGTTCAATTTGTGTCAATTGTATTATTTTTACTGATTCTGTGTTTGAATGAGTTAATGTAGCATTCAAAAGAGCCTAAGAAACGAAGTTTTGACATTACAGAGTGCAACGAAACAGTGGTTACAGGCACAAACTAACAAACTATCTGCAAATGTATACTGTCAAAAGAAATGTTAGACACACTTCAGTTTTTTCAGAAACATTTCCACACATTAGTAGAAATACTGTCATCTTGATATAAAAATGGCAGTCATTTGAATATGTGAGTGTGGGTTTGTAACACAAGAAAGAAAAATAATTTTTTTCTATAAATGGACATGTGATGGGATCAGCTGTCACCAACTCCACTGCTCATTCTCCCCTCCTGACCCCACAGACAATGCTCTAGGTGTATCTCTTCCTCACATCAACACTTCTCACCCACAGGCTTGGTCATCCTCTGTGGAATCACTGAATCTGTGAGAGCTGCTCCAGGCAGAGGGATTCAGAGATGTACTTCAAGAGTCAGGCCATGCACGGTGGCTCAGGCCTGTAATCCCAGCACTTTGGGAGGCTGAGGCTGGCAGATCACTTCAGGTCAGGAGTTCAAGACCAGCATGGCCACCAGGGCAAAACCCCATCTCTACTAAGAGTACAAAAATTAATCGAGTGTGCTGATGCATGCCTGTAATCCCAGCTACTTGGGAGGCTGAGGCACGAATTCACTTGATGCCGAGACGCAGAGGCTGCAGTGAGCCGAGATGGCACCACTGCACTCCAGCCTGAGCAACAGAGACTCTGTGTCAGAAAACAACAACAAATTTCTTAAAGCCTGTTTCTCCATGGCTAGGTCTAAACGACAGTGGCCTGGGGAAACAGGGAAAAAACAAAAAACAAAAAAAAAAACAAGCATGTGGTCAGAGAGGAGGCAGCAGGGTCACCTTGAAGCTGAGCTGAAGCAGTTCCTCAAGAAGGTTCTGTGGAAACACGGAGCTACAGAGCCAGCTGTCCTCCTGTTTCCATCTGGGGACTCAACTGCCCCAGAGACACAGGGGCAGTGCCGTCTGTAGTAGCATGGTCAGCCCACAGGAACTCCACCCAGCAACTCCTCTGTCCACATGCGCTTCCTGGCTGAGTACTTGAGTTGACCATCTGTCCATTGGACACTTGCGTGCCTAAGAGCTTTGGCACCTCGGAGAGCAAGGAAAGCCTTTCCCCTGAACAGTGTCCTTACAAAAGCAATTCATAGGCCAGGCGCAGTGGCTGACACCTCTAATCCCAGCACTTTGGGAGGCCCAGGCAGGTGGATCTCCTGAGGTCAGGAGTTTGAGACCAGCCTGGCCAACATGAGGCAACCCCGTCTCTACTAAAAATACAAAAATTAGCCAGGCATGGTGGCACGTGCCTGTAATCCCAGTTGCTCTGGAGGCTGAGGCAGAAGAATCGCTTGAACCCAGGAGGTGGAGGTTGCAGTGAGCAGAGATTGCACCACTGCACTCCACCCTGGGAGACAGAGCGAGACTCCGTCTCAAAAAAAAAAAAAAAAAAAAAAAAAAAAGCGATTCATGAGTCTCCAGTGTGCACTAGCTATAGATTAAAGGACATCTACCATAACCACATTAGCTTGCATTTTCACAGAAAAAGATTTGATGGAGATCACAATCTGTGAATGAGGGTATGGCTGGAAAGACTGTCTAGTGCTCAATAGTTGACAAACACTATCAAGTAATTTGTAGCCACGCCAGCTATCTGTGTGATCGAGTGCTATTGCGGCTTTACTATCACGAGGAGAAAATTATCCTAAGGAAGGTAAACGAAATAACAAAACACTGCTAGTTTTCTGTTGTCATTTTCCCCCTTCCATTCCCTGATTTATTAATCTTTACATTCCTTGTAACTTTCTATTAATGTTTCTTGACTGTTTTTCTACTGGCAAATATTTCACCTGTTACAATTAAAACACGGTGGCAGTCCAACACATGTTGAGTGGTTAAACACCACAGTCTTCTCCACATCCACGTGAAGTTTCTATTTAAAATGTTAGTTTGAATTCCTTTATTCTCAGTTACTTGGGCTGCCCTGTTTTCTTCTAGATCTCAAAACAATTTCAGATAGCAAACATTTTCTGGCCGAAGAGAAAAGATGTAATTTTTAAAAGTTCAATCATTCTTAATTATTATTGTAAATGTAAACATACCCATATAAATAAACCACATATGTGGATATAACGTTATTTGGTAGGTTGCTACTTTCTGAAGGAACAGGACTTTCTCATTAACCTGTAATAATTTGACAAAATAATGTGTGAATCAGAATGAATACCATTACAAGATATTAGTCATTTTATTATTTTCAATAATTAAAATATCTACTTTTAAGTTAGTAAATTTACCTAAAATGAAAGTAAGCTCTAGCATTTTACATCAGTTACAAGGCACTGTTTTTTTAATATTCCAATTTGTGACCAGGAGGATGTTCATCTCACTCTTTCAAAGCCATCCAGAACCAAAGATGCTGGAGTTAAGGCAAATCAATCCTATTCCATCTGCTGGTCCCTCCTCCTGAAATCGAGGCTGCTGCTGTTGGCTCTTAACTTGAGCTCCCATTTGCCATTATTGGGTTGCTCAATGCTCAACAATTTGTATTTTGATACCTTTACTTAACCTTCGTAATTTGTTAATATTCACCCACTGCTTCTCTGAAGCATGCGGCTCCCTTCAGCCTTACTACGCTTCAACGTCGCTACGCTTCAACCTCAGCCAATGCAAAATATTTATTAGAAACATGCAAAGAACTGCTAAGGAGGGGCTTGATCTAAAATGACCTTCAAAGACCCTTTGAAAGCTAAGATTTTTATGACCCTACGGCTACATGAGGAGTCAAGATTAAACCCATCCAATGGTCGGCAATAAGAATTAGACTGTGCTCAGCTCCCACTCTACGTGAAGTTGCAGGCGCCCAACAGAAATGCGCCCTGAAAAGCATGGTCAAAGTCATTCACCAAAGTCTCAGTGGCATGTGTAACCCATAGAAAAAACCCAGGCATCAAAGTCACATTTGTGGTAACTCTAGAGATTAACACTGTCATCATTTCTTGTTCAAATATAAATAAAAATAGGAAACATGGTCAATATTTGATCGTCGTCAAATTTGCATTGGAGAGTTCTAGGGAAGACAAAGTTTGTTTTATATCTTATTCCAAGTCAGTGTTTCCACGTGGTTAGAGATACAGGATTACCTCAGTCTTGAAAACATACAACTGACCAGGAATGACTAAAACATTTTCCAATTTAAATGTTGAACAAACAGGTATGAATAACCTCAAAAATAATACTTTAAAAATTGAGGGTGCCTGCTGGTTGGACACATGGAAATAAAATGTTGACATTAACAACACTGCCAAGGACCTGCTACCCAATAGAAAATTTGAATTCACAATAGCAATGCAGTCAAGGGAGATGGAGCTGTGCCATTAAAGATACTTTTTTCCATGTAGCTGTATTTTAAGATTCTCCAGAGTGCTTGTGCCCACAACTTATGTTTTAAAAAATAGCAAGGTTGTCATGCTACATACCAGAATAGTGAGGCATCTTCCACCCAGGGCCTTGGGATAGGTTTTGCTGCATGGTACCATATCTCTTCAATGAACAGAAATTCATTTAATTTTCTCATCAAATCCCTGAATGTCTACAAAAGCTGGGGTAAGGGGGAGCCTTTGCATTTTTCTATCCCAGGGATGGAAACAGATATTCCATGCAAATGGAAACCCTGAAAGCAAGCAGGAGTAGCTATTCTTATATCAGACAAAACAGACTTTAAAGCAACAACGGTTAAAAGAGACAAAGAGGAACATTATATAATGATGAAAGGATTAGTCCAACAGGAAAATATCACAATCCTGAATATATATGCCCCTAACACTGGAGCTCCCAAATTTATAAAATGTTTTCCTATCCTACAAACCTAAGCATAAATTTTATCTTGAGCAAAATTCCACTCTGCCTCACCCCAAAGGTTTAAACAAATATGTGAGGTTTGTTCACAAAACTCCAACTGAAAACATAAGGCATAATAACCATTTCTAGGCAGCCAACTGCTGAAACTAGTCTATAGTTTATTTGTATTGCTCTTATCCTGCTTAAATAGGATTGAGGATGTCAGCCCCTTCTTGCCTCCTAACCCAGAATGCTGAATAGCAGTTTCAGCCACGGTCACATCAGTTTAATGTGAAACTACCCAGAGCCTAAGAATTGTACACCATCCAACTACCTCAGCCGTTAACTAAAATTGTCCCTCAGATATGCAGAACCACTGACCAAGATAACATATTTTACTGTTTACCATAATGAAGACACAGGCTAGTTTGTGACACATGCTTCTGTAAGGACACACAGCCTCAGTCAGGGTGGAGCGGAGTTGGGTGGGTGCAATTACCCACCCACGTAGCCCCAGCTTCCTTTACCAAATCACACATTGTGGCTAAAGTGCAGATTCTACTTGTGAAACTAAATATATTTCACATTTGCTGTGATTAGCCAGTGTATCATATTATTTCAAGTGATTACAGCTATTGGCAAGCAAAGGATTTTATTTTCTGAGCATTTTCATCCATTTTTAGGCCACAGAAACAGAATTTTCTAGAAATTCTTGTCTTGGAATATATTCTTAAAGAAGTGCCTATCTGAAGGAGCCATTTCTACCCAACCAATTTGATTACTGGATTACTTTTTTACATGTAACAACATGAAAACAACGTTCATCATGCCTTGAAAAATATAATAAAAACTAATAAATTCAAAAACACAGAAATATTTTCTAATATCCTTTTTTAATTTAGCAGTGATTCTTGTGTTTTCTCCAAACCAATTTTGCTTCAGATGTTCCAAAGAAAAAAAAATGCCTTCAAATCTTCAGAAAATAACTCAGATGCTTTTATTTAAAATGAGCTTTGCCATCAGGGAACTGTTAGTCTATAGGAAGCTGTCGTCAAATAGAAACTCTAATCACCTTGCTACCCACTTCACGAAAGTTCATAATAGTCAGTTACATGTGACCTTCCACAATTAGTTTATTTGGGATTACAGCTTGATTCCCCAAAGATTTGGATATTTAACAAGGAATTACTACTGACTTAAATAAGTTCACAGGAGATACTGAGTGTACTGTGTCTGCTATGCACACAAATGCAAAAAGGCCAACATCCCTATAAATGTGTGATTCATTTTAGCCTGATTAGCAACGGTTTTCAAAATGGCTCCATTAATCCTCACACAACCACCCCCCATCTCAACCCAGAATCAACAAAATCTTCAGCTTATTTAAGCTTGAAACTTGAGAAAATAATCTTACACTATATTGGAACCCCAAATGCAGCTGTAGGTATCCCTCTGAGACGGTCACAGGGTTAGTAGACACCTCAGTAAAAGAGTTTTATTAGCATTTAATTTATTTAATTTTGAAGGGATTAAATGAAATGTTAGCATAACTGACTACAATCCACATTCCACAATCAACAACCCGATACCATTCCTTCTTCCAAGAAAATGACCGTGTATTTTGAGAATAGCTTATATAGTCAGCATGTTTTACAGGTTTCTCTGGAAAGGGAAAAAAAAGATGATGAATAATACAAGGTTTTTCAGCTAACTAGCTACTTAAGAAGGAAGCAGTCATACGCCAAACCATAGTGAGTCATGTCAACCTGTTTGAAGACAAATCTATGCCTTCGATTCTCACTTCTATCTGAAAAATAAATTACTATTCTCTATTTATTACACATGCTTCTGTTCAGTGATGGACATGATGGGGGCTAAATTGGAGTGCATTGTAGAAAAACTTCCAGATCATAACTGAATATTTAAGCAGCTTTTCCTATTTCACTGACACAGTAAGAAAAGCACTAACCTTTGCCGTTAGGCCCTTTAGGCTCAATTTTTACCTGAACAAAATCAGCCAAAACTACATAGAAGGAATCTCACACTCACACAAATAATGTCAATGAAATGCATTTTTCACCAATTTTCTCCTTCTGTGCCTATTTATGTAACGATGTATAAAGGACACAGTATTTCCAGATATTATTTTCCAGCCAGAAAATTAATTGTGAATCATAAAAGGGAAAAAAAATCACTGCTCCAAACAAAGAAAATTACCTGCTGGTTTCATACAAATCAGGGCTGGCACTGGAAGCACAGGATGCTGGCTTTTCAGTGCAGCATCCATTTAAGCTGGCATCTGATGACAGTGAGCACGCTGCCAATATCAGCTGCATGCCAACCCTATCACTAGTGGGACTGGCAGCACCAAAATAAAACAAAGACCAGATTACCGGCCTTGAAAATATCAAGAGGGAGGAACTGCTGCTTAAGAGGCATTTAAATAATCTTCCTACGTTTCTTAACAAGATTACCCCTAAAAGCCCCCTGGGAAACCAACTCCTTCCTCCCTGCTGGTTTGTACCCCCCTGGATAGAAGGCTTTGCATCGAACTCTTCTTAGCGTACCTCTCCACCAAGTATGGAAGTTAAGCCGCACCCGACTGGCTGCCACTGTTAATGAGGTTGTTGTCAGCCAGCCGAAACCCACACTGAGAGATTACAGTTCAGTATTCCCCTCTCCAGGCCCAACAGGAGAAACTGAGCTGTCTCTGCACATTCAGGGCTGAGTTTATGTCCTTTGATTGTCCTAGCATTTTACTTTCACGAGTGTGTGCATCTACCCAGCAAACCTAGGAAGCAAGCTGAGGACTATTTTTCCCACTCATATATAGGGAAAAAAAAGGGGGTGGGGACTGCAAGAAGCCAGGTTTGCTGGTTTGTTCTCTTCCCACGTAGCACCCATCACCACCTCAAAAACACACATTGGGCACTTTTAAAGGTTGCTTTCCTTAAAGCTGTGAATGTGATCGATGTACACAATGTCTCAATGGCTAGGATCTGAGTTACCCATACATTCAAGTCCCATTCACCACTTGGATGAATGGCCCTTACTACTTCAGGTTGCGAATATCAACTAGATGAGCTGCTGGTGGATCCCCCTCCATGCTGGCAGAGAACTGTTTCCCCTTCACCACCTTCATCCGATGAGCAGCAGCATGAAGGTGAGAACACCTCTCCGCATCCTGCTAACTCTATTCATCAGTTTTAGACCTGTAATACATACGCTTTTAAATGCCTACCATTCTACTCAATGACTGCCCAGAAAGAATTTTAGACAGTAGAGAATCTAGGCCGTCATGGGAATAGCTGTATTACCTCAAAGATTCCCCTCCTAAATAATAACTTAAGTTTCTCAACATGTTCTACAGAACGCTGTAAAGGATTGCTTTTAGGATGACAATGCATAGCTATAAACAGCGAGTACGGAGAAGTTCAGGTCATTTTCTACATGCGTAGCCTATAAAATTTCATTTATTAGATTGAAAACCCCCCTAAAAAACATAGGACATAGATTTTTTAAATGCGGAAATAAAGATCAATTCTGCTGTAGAATTTTGAATTTCTAAGTTTAAGGTGAATCCTAAATTGCTTAGAAACATTGTTTGTCTTCAGTTATTGTAATATTCTCATTCAATTAAAAAAATTAGGTGCTGTAATTCAGACTTTTAATTAAGTGAATTAGCTTTTGACATTTTCTTGGAAAAAGATGTTCCCAGTGTGGCTTTTCCCCTTTACTTGCAGTTAAACATTCCTTAGTACTTTTAAAATACTTTGGTAAGAAATACGCAGTTTATAGCAAGGTGCCAGCTTTGTTCAGACTCCAGGGGAGAGCAGCCGCTAAGCTCAGGCATTGCAGCAAGAGGGGGAAATTTGCACTGAATCTGAATGACTTTTTTATAGTGAAAGATGCAAATACTACAAAATATCTGTGGTGATTCTTGAGACAAACTCTACTGATATTCCTATACCTCTACTGTTTTGTTTACTGAGGCAGAACAGATCCTGGCCACATCTAAGTATGTCTTGACTCTGCTTTAGCGTCTCACCTGTAGGTTTTCTGTTGCCACATTCCTGTTGCTCAAAGTTGTCAAAGGAAAAGTTAACTGTGCCACTGAACAAAGACCTCTGTACATTTGTCTCAAGTTAGATGAAGAAGCCCTGTGAACTGAGCATTAACTACAGGAGAAGCACCATCCTTGCCATATGTGTTATATGTCTCATATCACACTATTTCTAATAATTGTTAGAGAACAATCAGCTGCCGTGCAGAGATCATTGACAATCTCTTCCCACTGCCTCTGTTATTCAAGAGTTTGTTTCTATGGTGGAGCTAATGAGTCTCATCCTTGCAGCTAATCAAATGTAAGTCTTTGTATTTTAGCAAAAAAAAATAGTAATAATGTAGCTTTTTTCTTTTGTAATAAGTATCCAGTCTGGTATTCCTCTAATTAAGAAGTCAGACTTTTAAAATGTTCTCTATTCGTTGCCTAGGTACAAAAGCATCAACAGAATTAAGATGGTTAGCGAGGTGAGGCCTTGAAATCAACATCTCCGCCTCCTTGCATAAACCCTTCATTGAGACTCCTCTTCCATTTGGGCAACTTGATGTGGTTCAAGAGCATGGAGAATTGATCTCTTAAGACTCATAAAATATTTGCTTCTTCAAAAAGAATAAAGGAACTGAAACAAGTGATTGTGGTATGTGTGTATTTGTGCCTATTTGAAAATAATGTTCTTTGATATGCAATACTGATCCTATCATCAGGGAAAAGAAAAAAAAACATTTTAAAGAATGCTTTAAAAAAAGGTTCCACTTCATTTCATAAAACCTGAAAACTGTAGACATATATCTAGTTATTCATCTTTGAAGTCACCTACTCTCTCAAACATTCTTAGCTGTATATCTGGGGTCTCAAATGTTTGCTTTTGTAATAAAACAATTCTAACCTTATGAGACTGTCAACTCTACAGAATAAGATCAGCTAACTAAAAGCTTTTGCTTTGGTTTTTCAACAAAGCAATAGAAAAAAAATGAAAAGGAAGATGAGGACAAGAATAACACGATATTCAAACAACTTGAATGAATATGGGAAAAGAAAATTGCACTACTGAAGCCACTGAATAATGGTCTGTGATCTTATCAATTTTCATAAATTAAGCAGGTTGAAACTGGCCAATGTTTAGCTAGCAAATTTTAGTAACTAAAAAGAGACTGATGAAAAGCAAATACAGTCAACTTGATTTTATCTGTGGGCAGATTTACCAACTTGTGGGTTAACAGTGCCATCTGATCTTTTACCCACCATCAGCCTTTGTGTGACTGTGAAATCCCAGGCCATGTGGGGCTACTAGAAAACCCTACCTCTATCCCCACACTGGGCAACACTGGCTATTCATACCAACTGAAAACCACAGGACCAGTCACCACAATGAAAAGAATGAAATCATTTTCCCTAATTCATCGTCAAGGACATGATTCCCTGCGCCTTAATTGATGACGCTCCTCTTTTTAAAAATGCCATCGCTCACACACTTAGTGTCAGGCATTTTGCCGAGGACATAGGCATGCGGGGACCTTGTCCTACTGAATTTCACTTTACCACACTTCACAGACACTGCATTTTTACAAATGGAAGGTTTGTGGCAGTCCTGCGTCCATCACGTCTATTGGTGCCATTTTTCCAAAGGGATGTGCTCACTATGTTTTTCTGTGTCACATTTTGGTAATTCTCACAATATTTTGAACTTTTTCATTATTCTCATATCTGCTACAGTGATCTGTGATCAGTGTTCTTGGATGTTCCTATTGTAATCATTTTGGGGTACCATGAACCACACCCACATAAGACAGTAAACTTCATTAATAAATGTGTGGGTTCTGACTGCTCCAACAACCGGCTGTTCCTGTCTCCTCCTCCCATCTCCTCAGGCCTCCCTATTCCCTGAGACAAAATAATATTGAAACTAGGTGAATTAATAGCCCTACAATCACCTCTAAGTGTTCAGGTGGAAGAAAGAGTTGTACATCTGTCACTTTAAATCAAAAGCTAGAAACAATTAAGCTTAGTGAGGAAAATACGTCGAAAGCCAGGCGGAATGAAAGCTGGCCCTCTTGGGCCAAACAGTTAGCCAGGTTGTGAATGCAAAGAAAAAGTTCTTGAAGGAAATTAAAAGTGTCATGCCAGGGATCACATGAATGATAAGTGAAACAGCGTGATTGCTGATATGGAGAAAGTTTGAGTGATCGAGATAAAAGATCATATCAGCTACACATTCCCTTAAGCCAAAGCCCAGTCCAGAGCAAGGCTCTAACTTTCTTCATTTCTAAGCAGGCTAAGAGAAGTGAGGAAGCTGCAGGAAAAAAGTCTGAAGCTAGCAGAGGTAGGTTAATAGGCTTTAAGAAAAGAAGGCGGCCGGGCACAGTGGCTCACGCCCGTAATCCCAGTGCTTTGGGAGGCCAAGGCAGGTGGCTCACCTGAGGTCAGGAGTTCAAAACCAGCCGGCCAACTTGGTGAAACCCCATCTCTACTAAAAATACAAAATAAAAAAATAAATAAATAAATAAATAAATAAAAAAAAAAACACATTAGCGGGGCGTGATGGCGGGTGGCTGTAATCCTAGCTACTTGGGAGGCTGAGGCAGGAGAATCACTTGAACCTGGGAGGCAGAGGTTGCAGTGAGCCGAGATTGTGCCACTGCATTCCAACCTGGGCAACAAGAGTGCAACTCCATCTCAAAAAAGAAAAGAAGTCATCTCCACAATATATAACTGCAAGGTAAAGCAGCAAATGCTGATGTAGAAGCTGCAGCAAGTTATCCAGATCCAGCTAAGATCACTGATGAAGGTGGCCACACTAAACAACAGATTTTCAGTGTAGATGAAATAGCCTAATATTGGAAGAAAATGCCATCTAGCACTGTCATAGCTGGAGAGGAGAAATCAGTGCCTGGCTTCAAAGTTTCAAAGGAGAGGCTGACCCTTTTATTAGGAGCTACCACAGCTGGTGACTTTAAGTTAAAGCCGGCACTCACTGAACATTTCAAAAATCTTAGGACCCTTTAGAATTATGCTAAATCTACTCCCCCTGTGCTCTAGAAATGAAACAACAAAGCCTGGATGACAGCATATCTGTTTACAGCATGTTTTACTGAATATTTTAAGCCTACTGTTGAGACATACTGCTAAGAAACAGATTTCTTTTAAAATATCACTGCTCGTTGACAATGCACGTAGTCACCCAAGAGCTCTGATGGAGATGTACATGGAGATTAACGTTGTTTTCATACCTGCCAAGAAAACATCCATTCTGCAGCCCATGGATCAAGGAATAATTTCAGCTTTCAAGTCTTCCTATTTAAGAAACATATTTCATAAGGCTATAGCTGCCATGGACAGTGATTCCTCCGACGAAGCTGGGCAAAGTACATTAGAAGCCTTCTGGAAAGGATTCACCATTCTAGATATTCTTAAGAATATTCATGATTTATGGGAGAAGGTAAAAATATCAACATTAACAGGATTTTGAGAGTTTATTCCAACTCATGGATGCCTTTTAGGAGTTCAAGACTGCAGTGGAGGAAGTCACTGACGATGTGGTAGAAAGAGCAAGAGAACTAGAATCAGAAGTGAAGCCTGAAGATGCGATTAAACTGCTGTAATCTCATGATCAAATATAAATGGATGAGATGTTTCTCCTTGTGGATGAACGAAGAAAGGGGTTTCTTGAGATAGAATCTACTCCTGGTTAAACGCTGTAGACATTGTTGAAATGACAACCAAGAATTTCTATTACACAAGTGTATAATAGTTGATAAAGCAACAGCAGGATTTGAGATGACTGACTCCAATTTTGAAAGAAGTTCTATGTGCCTAAAATGCTATCAACCAGCATCGCAAGCTACAGATAAATTTTTTGTGAAAGGAAGAGTCAATGTATGCAGCAAACTTCATTATTTTCTTACTTTAAGAAATTGCCACAGCCACCCCAACCTTCAGCACACACCACATCAATCAGTCAGCAGCCATCACATTGAGGCAAGACCCTCTACCAGCCAAAAGATTATGACTTGTTGAAGACTCAGATGATTATTAGCGTTGTTTAGCAATATTGTTTAGTTAAGGTATGTACATTGAGGTTTTAGACATAATGCTGTTGCACACTTAATGGACTCTCATATAGTAAAAACAAACTTTTCCATGCACTAGGAAACCAAAAAAAGTTGTGTGACTCATTTTATTGCAATATTCCCTTTATTGCAGTAGTCTTGAACTGAACCCACAGTGCCTCCAAGATTTGCCTCTATTATCTCATTTAATTCTCACAACAACACTATAAGGAAGAAACTAATATAATTTTCATTTTAGAGTGGGAGAAAGTAATCTCAAGTAAATTAAAGTTACACAAATAATGAATAGAAAAGGTAACATTTGAACCTGTGTTTCCCATACTCCAATGAACATTTGTAATTTTGGTCTATCCAGGACTTATTTGCCTTTTCTTCTGGTATCCCCACTTTCCTTTGAAAATTATGTCTTCCACCTTCCACATGATAGAGTCGATGGTCCCAGAGGTGGCTTGTAACCCAAGCTGCATCAGCTGTGTTCTCCTGGGAATTTGAATGCTGAGCAAAGACCATGGAGCAAGGAGGAAGCTGGAGCTTCACCATCCAGTGGTAGCATCAAAAGAGCCAAAGAGCCCTTGTGGTGAGATTTCCAAGCTGCTCTGGCTGGCTTCCCATGGCCTGGTTGGTCAGCCCTTCCTTTGACTCCAAGAGCAACACAGCATCTTTCCACTAGATGCTCTTTCTGGTGTTATTCAGAGCAAAAGATACCTCTGAAGGCTCTGCTATAAAGGTGCCTCATATTATGCACACGAGGTACTTGGTACCCAGGAATAAGGAAGAAGTGGTCCAGTTCCTCAAGGAATTCAAAATCTAGGAGAGACACACACACGTGTGTGTAGTCAAAGCTCCCTCAGAAGCATTAAAATATAGTATCATAGCATACATGAGTGAACAACTTAGGACATTTCAGAAATACCATAACATACATGAGTGAACAACACAAGAAATTTCAGAAATATCATAACATACATGAGTGAACAACTCAGGAAATTTCAGAAAGTTAGTGACTCATAGATCCAATCATTTTGTTCTCTATGATTCTTGAGAACCCCCTGGCTATATGATCTTATCTCTGTTTGGAGAAGCAACCGAATGTACTCACTGACTTATTTATATTTGCATTCTTTCGATAGTCATGTATTGAGCAACTATTTTATTTAAGTGCCATATAAACTGGCATTGAAAAATAAATTAATAAAGAAACAACTCAACAAACCTGTTAGCTGGTCTCAAAGAAAGACATGTGTGTATCAAATACTTCCAATGGTGTCTTCTGTGTCTGGCTTCTTCATCTAAGAAAGCTTGCCCTACAGACGAAAGAGGGCAGATTCCACAAGTCAGACACACATGAGTTGAAGTGTGGCACTGACACCAGCTCTGAGTATTTGGACAAGCAACTTAAAATCTCTGTCTCAGTTTCCACATTTGTAAAGTAGACATCATAATTCTTGCCTCATGTACTTGTGGGAAGAATAACTGAGAAAACCATGTAGGTTAGCACAGCTCTCGCTGAGCTAGAAGCAAGGAGTTGGCAGGGCTGCATTCCTTTCTGGAGGACCTAGGGAAGAATTTGTTTTCCTGCCTGTCCTGCTTGTGGAGGCTGCCCATATTCCTTGCTTCAAGGCCCCTTCCATCCTTAGGGCAGCATGGCCAGCCGCATCTTCCCATCTCCTTATTGTGATTATTGGCTCTATTGGTGTTACCACCGGATGACTAAGCTCCAGCTTTCTTCTGATTCTTTCTTCCTACTCCCTCTTTCACTGATAAGGACCTTGTAGTTACATTGGGCCCACTTGAGTAATCCAAGATATGCTGGGATAAGATTATCCTCTTGATCAGCTGATTAACATGCTTAATGGCATCTACAATCTACATGTCCCCTGGCCTTGTAACCTGACATATTTACACATTCCAGGGAGTACAGCCTGAGTATCTCTGGGGAGTGATTATTCTACTACCCCACTTACGAAAAGTAGAAGCTATCAATAAGCCAGAGCATATTGCAAGAACGATATTCCCACCGCCAGATCACCTGTTTATGAGTTATCGATACTTGAGAAGTCTTCTTAGGCTTTTGATTGTATGCATGCCTGTGTACACACACACACACACACACACACACACAGACACACGTTTGGACACTGCACTCTAAATAAATTATAGACTCCAGAAAGCTACTAGCACCTATTTTCTATGACATTACTTAATTTGCATTACATTTCTATCTTGAAAGCCTATTCTTTCTCTGTGCACATATGAAATTAGAATCATACAACTTGTCTTCTCCTTTTTTATTCATCACTTTTGCCTAATCCACTTTCTTGCCTCTTAGATATCTACCAGAACTAGAGTTATCATACTCCACCATTCCCTAAGATACACTTGGAAATCAATGAAGTGACTAATAGCTGAAACAAAAATATTTCTTTAAAATAAGCTTGACAGTTTGCCTGCGTACTGATAAGAGGTGCTTCGGAAATTAATTAACAGGATGTTTTCTTAACTCTCAAATTGCAGGTTGCGATAGAAAACAGTGAATGATATTCAGAATATTGTGCTTAAAAGGAATGTGATACATGAGAGAGATACATAAGGGAAAGAGAAGCCACCAGAACACCCCTCTTTCATCCTTTTAAGTTACACTTTAAAATCATGATATCGCTATGTATAATTCATGCCAGAGCTTTACTAGAAAAATAAAATTCCTCCCTGAAAATTATAGCAGGTCTATAATTAATTTGTCCTTGAAATGAAAATTACTTCTCCACATTTAAAGAAAATATAAAGTTCCAAACTTTGGCAAAAATTGCAGTCAAGTTCTTACTGCCACAATAAGACTGTATATGGTATGAATGCATATGCAGATTAACAAGAAAAGAAAGCTATTAGAATACATTCATCTCAATTTCTATTTCAATGTTTTTCTCAACCGTTTTTTCATGATCGCCGCCCACCCCCCTGCCGACCTAAGGAGCCATTTCAGATATTTTTTCCTAATCATTTTCCACCATGAAGTGTTAATGCCACAGATATGCTGTGTATTTATTTACTGCATGTATATCTGTACTTTCTACATCAACAGAAGATTTTCCCCTCCCAAGAACTGATACTACTTCATTGAGAATGTGTGCTGATTTGATGCCTATCTATACTCATTTGCTAATTCCCCCCACCAAACACACGCATGTTTATTGACACTTACTATGTGCCAGGCACACAATAGTGAACAAAGACCTCATTCTCATTTTAGTAAGACACACACAGAGCAAGCAAACCAATAAATACATCACACATCCCGGTATTGATTTTAAGAAAAAAAATGTAAAGTGCATGAAAATGTTTCTGTGGGCAGACTCTTTGATATTAAAAAAAAAAAACAGTATGTTGCCTGCAGCACTCTTTCGCTATAAAGTCTAAGAAGACTGTGGATCCTTGAAAGCAGCAGGAGAAACTGAAACAAACAGTGGAGTTCTTCAGAGCCACCTCATTTCACCACAGCACTGAGTTTGCAACGTTGCTGTCTGCACAAAGCACTGCTGCAATGGGTTTTGTCTCAGGGTCAGAGAGCCCCTCCTCCAGGCTCTCTCAAGGGAAGCCTAGAAACCTGGAGGAAAGATAGTTAACGCTCAGGACAGGGGAGATAAACAAGGTTCAACCTGGTGAAGCTGGTCAGATTCCACTTCTTTCAGTTCCAAGTATTAGCAATGAAATCTATAATCTAGAATTCCTTCTGAAAATATTTGGGAATGGTCATGTACACAGCCTGATGCAAAGAATAAGCGTATAGCTCACTGAACTGCCCCTGCCATGTTCCAGTGGTTCTGTAATTATAAAATAGAATGTATGTTCCCCTAATAAAGTGTAGAATGTTGAGAGAAGTAGAAAAAATTGAGTAACTCAGAGTCTCATTCCCCTAACAGAAGCCAATTTAACATTTCATTTGAAGCCTGGGAGAGAGGAAGACATCAGGAAACGGAAAGCAGGAGGTAGGGAGGGTGGGAAGGATCCAGGAGTCATGGAGGCCGAGCAGCCACAGATTTGCTGGCAGCGCCGGGGGGAAAGGAAGGCGGTCAGGGTCCCTCAGTGGGTCTGAGTCATGAGCCTGGCAGGACACTGATGGTCATTGGGTCACTACAGCAGCTGAGATTTTTTTTCTGTCTTTGTGACATTAAACACCCATTAACAGAGATATCCTGGCTCCGTCTCTCTTTCTTAGATGTGAAAGTGATTGTTCAGCCTGATTTGTCAAATACTTCAACTTCCAAATGAACCCCATTTCATTCCTGATTTGACTCGATATATTCAACGTAAGTTCTGGTGATTTTCCTTCATCACATGTCCCGCTGTCTTTCTTGAGAATAACTTACTTTCTTTGACATGGCTGAGTACTACCTGCAGGACCATTCTCCCTATCTTGGACTATGGCCAGCTGGTTGGGTTGACCAGTGAGCCAAGTAGGAGAGCCAGAACTAGGTCTAAATGGAAAGGCCTAGAAATGAGATGACTTGGCCTAAGGCTACTGGACATGCCACAAAGGCCCATAGAGTCCAGCACAGGCAAAGCTAGAAGGGTGATTTGCTGCAATTTAGCTGGAAGAAGGCACAGAGCTGAAGCCAAATGACAAAGACACAGCCTAGGGGGCTTCCTTAGAGCCTGGTCTCTGGCTCCCAGCCATGGGATGAATGTAGCTTCTCCCGTTTACTGGCTGCAGAAATCTGGGCCAGTTACCCGACTTTTATGTGCCTCACTTTTCTCTTTTATATGTGAATAATCATGGTGTTTATCTAGTGGTGTTGCTAAGTAATAAATACTATTGATTAATCTTTAGTAAACTACTTGGAATGATGCCTGGTACATAATAAATACCATGCATAAGTGTTTATTAAATTAAGTAAGTGGTTAAATCAGATGAGCAAGAGTCTGAAAGAATGATCTTTAGGACAATGGAGCCCCAGAGAATGCGCCTCTTACGGGGAATCCCCTGGTTAAATTCTTGGGTGGAAAATAGCTATTAAGAGGACCTGGACAGATCAGATTTGAGCAGATATGGAAAAACAAATAAACAGAAAAATGTGTATAAATTGGGAGCTGTTTTTAGAGACCACATGCTCATTGTAATTTCCATCATGGAGTAGAAGGCACAGTATGTGAATATGTTATGGACAAGGAAACTGTGAATATGTTAAGTTTAATATAGTGTCCCTATTAACATATGTCCCTTCCACTCCATGATGGAAATTACAATTACAACTACGATGGCACCATGTGAATTTAACATAGTGTCAGTGTGTTTAATCCAGTTCTCCAGGTGATCAGCTTCTTGGAATATGGCCGTTGTTGGGAGAGCCCCTCACTAACGTTTCTGAGAGTAGTTGATCTGCCAAACAAATGTTCCTACCATGGTGTTAGAGCAATCATGTTTACTAATAACAATAACTGCAACAATAAAACACTCCATCACATCCAGGCGTGGTGACTCATGCCAGTAATCCCAGTACTTTGGAAGACTGAGGCAGAAGGATTGCTTGAGGCCAGGTGTTTATGGCTGATCAAGGCCTGGGCAACATAGCAAGACCCCATCTATATTTTTTTAAAAAACCTACACCTCGCTGTGCACATTAGTGTGCGCGGTGAGCAAAATCCACATCTTATAGGTCTGTTCCTCTCATTCGTGATATTTTGAGAGGTAGAAAGATTTTCATTCATAGTTCCTCACTGTCATGGCCCCAACGCTCACACTGTGTCCTGAGAAATGGTGTTGGTGGAGCTCCTCTCTCACCAGGGATCTGCAGTCCATTCAGGGACCCCAGTTTGCCTCCACAGAGAACTGTCTTGAGTGGCCCTGAGATTACATATAGATCCATTTTTCCTCGTTGTATCCATTTTCCTTCTCTCCCATATGTTTTCTGTTACTATGTTCCTATAATAAATGGATTTACTATATTCTACGCACCATGGTAGCTTTGCATGCTTTAGTAATGAGCAAGACAGACATGCTCCTACCTGCATGAAGTATACACTCTACATGCTTAGAGGTGCATTAGTGAAGGTTTTCCAGAGAATCAGAAGCAATAGGATGGAGAGAGTGAGTGAGAGAAATAGATATTAAGAAATGGACTTATATGATTCTAGAGACTGGTAAGTCTACAAGCTGCAGGGTAAGTTGGCAAGCTGAAGACCTAGGGAAGAGTTGATGTTGCCATTGTAGTTTCAAAACAATCTGGAGACAGAATTCCCTCTTCCTCAGGGGAGGCCAGCCTATTTCCTCTGAAGGCATTCAGCTGAGTGGATGAGGCACACACACATACAAAATGGGGAGGGTAAGCTGCTTTACTCAAAGTTTACTGATTTCAATGTAAATCTCATCTGAAAAATACCTTCACAGCAACATCTAGACTGGTGTTTAACCAAGTATCTGTGTTTAACCAAGTGCCTAACCAAGCTGACACGTTAAATAAACCATCGCAAGGGGCAAGCAGGCATTTTCCATTCAGAGTGAAGGACCTACTGAAGGAGCCACACAGAGCTGTCCAAGCACAGAAGAGAAGCCCCTATCTCAGATTTTGGTGGTCATGGGAGGTTTCTAGAGGCATGATATCTGATCCAGGGGCTATGTTGGAGCAAAGAAATATGTGCTGTAGTCCAGAGGTAAGCGGTCTGATGCAGTTGGAACAGTGAGGTGTGCAAGAAGCAAGGCAAGAACTAGCTCCTGCAAGGGTCTGTGGACCATGTTGAGAAGTCTGGATATTTATCCCAAAGGCAAGGGGGAGTCATTGAAGGGCTAATGAGTGACATGGTGAGAATTAGATATAATGACTCTCTTCATATTGTGGAGAACTGAATTTGGGAAGGTAAGCAGGGAGTCTCTAGGAGTGCGTTGAAATCACTAAGGTGAGTCCCTGTAGTGACCCTGTGTGTGCGCATTCTCCATATCAGAATGCAGCAAGCCTGATTTTCTTTAAAAGGCAAGAGAGTAAGTATTTAAGGCTCTGTGAGCCACATGTTCTCTGTCACCAAAATTCAGCTCAGTGGTTGTAGCAATAAAACAGCAATAGGGCCAGGTGCAGTGGCTCATGCCTGTAAACCCAACACTGAAAAGCCAAAGTGGGTGGATCACTTGAGGCCAGGAGTTTAAGACCATCCTGGCCAACATGGCAAAACCCCGTCTCTACTAAAAATACAAAAATTATCCTGGCGTGGTGGCGGGCACCTGTAATCCTAACCACTAGGGAGGCTGAGGCAGAACAATCACTTGACCCCGGGAGGCAGAGATTGCAATGAGCCGAGGCTATCTTGGGCAACAGAGTGAGAAAGAAGGGAAGAAAGGAAGGAAGGAAGGAAAAGAGAGAAAGAGAGAGGAAGGAAGGAAGGAAGGAAGGAAGGAAGGAAGGAAGGAAGGAAGGAAGGAGAAGGGAAGGGAAGGAAGGGAAGGAAGGGAGGGAGGGAAAGGAGGGAGGAAAGGAAGGAAAGGAAGGAAAAGAGGGAGAGAGGGAAAGAAAGGAAAGAAAAGAAGGAAAGAAAGAAAGAAAACAGCAATAGGCAATATGTAAACAAATGGATGGGGCCATGTTACAGTGAGACTTTATTCACAAAAACAGGTGCCCGGCAGGTCAGACCTGATCTTCAGGTCAGGGTTTACTGACAGCTAATCTAGGGGAATAAAAACTCAGGAATGGATTCAAGAATTGTTTAGGAAAGAAAACCAACAGGAAGTGGTGAGCAACACTATGTGAGAGAAGGGGAGGTGAAAAGGATCAAGAATGACACATTCAGGGACACAGCCAAGTGAAGATGTTCAGCTCACTCTCAAGCACAAGAGCCTGGAACTCAGACAAAAGGTCTGGACTGAAGGTTTAGAGCTGGGTGTTGTTTGCCTACAGATATTCATGGAAGCAAATGAATTGTCCATGGAGAAAGGATAGCTGGGTAATGGAAGAACCCTCAGAAAAATAGCTAATAACTCCCAGCATTCCAGAGATGAACAATGGAATTGGAACTAATGAAAGGGACAGAAAAAGAGTGTCCAGAGAGGGAAGAAGAAAAACAAAAACTTGGTATCCAGAAGACAGAAAAAGAGAGGGGTATTTTAGGTGAGGAGGGAGAGAAAAAGAAAGAATCAGTACGATGGTGTTTGGTGGTCTCCCAGGGGAGCCACAATGAGAGGAAGTCCCCTCTGATGCCTTTGAAGGGGCTTTCTCTGCCACCTTCGGCAGCACCAATGCCCACTTTCTTTGCTATTGATCATTATACTACAAGTTACAGCATTCCGTTCTTTTGCTTCTAGTCCATGCAGATTCTTAGCTGTAGTGCCAACGTGAAAAGATAGGGTGGAAAAACCTTAACCAGGTGTTAATTTTACTCCAAGCATTATTTTTAGAATCTCCCATTAAGGTTTTACTCATACAATGGCCGAATTGCCAAATGAAAACATATACATGTTATATAAATATAACATCGTATATGTTGATTATATATAAGCGCTTAGGAAACAGAAGTTTTGTTGAAAAATAATATTTTTTCATTATTATAATTATTAAAATAGATTTTTATATCTTTCGATTATATATTTTAGGTGTGGAATGTGTGTGTGTGCATGCATGTTCATATTGTGATTTGTTAGCATTAAATTAACACAAAGACTAATTATTCTGCCTTAATTAACAGGGGGAAGATAAAAATCTGATGAAGAAATTTTATTTTTAAATATCTTTCATTAAGGGAAAACTGTCACAAATTTTTAAGCTGCTATTTTCAGCTTCCCTTGCTTGCTCTAAAGTATCCGGTATAAACAATATACTTTGTCTTCACACCTTCCTTGAAGCTTGAGGAGGTGGAGATAGAAACAAATCTACGAGGAAAGAGCAAATATGTTCAAATCTCTTTTCTTTCACAGTCTTGACTCAAAGTAGCCTTCACTTCACCTTGGCTCCAAGAAGACAACGGTCCGTGTTGCAAATACAGCCAACACTGCTGACATTAATTGGCTCTTCACTGAGCCAGAGAAGAAAAGGAAGAACAGCTTGAGAGTAACTTTAACTTCTCATAAATTCAAAAAAACTTTTGAGGTTTCCAAACTTTCAGGTAAATTATAAAAGCATTCACTTTATTTTTTCATCAGTTACTTTCAGGAAGAAATACGTATTTCCTACTAAACCAAAAGCAGCTCATTGATTATAATTTAAAATGGCAGATTAAAAATTAATATTTAGTAAACAGAAAAGTCCAGAAAATATCTTCCCATTGATTCCATAGTATTTAGAATTAGACATATATAAATCAACTTTAAAACCTTTCATCTAATCTCTTTAGAAAATAAAATAGAGCTCAGCACCACACTGTATATAATATCTTTGAAGAGTATGTAATTTTTAACCGTAGCTTGTCTATAAATTCACTTTAAAATAAATTATAATAATGAAATTTTTTCAATATTATATGTAAGTTAGAAACTTTTTCCACTGGTCTCAAAATAAGAGTTTACAACTATTATAATAATAAAAATTAGATGAGAAATAAAATGAACAGCTTGAATTTTATTATGTATAAATCAATTTCTTTCTTTATTAGAATTCTTTCACAAAAGGTATTAGGTAATTGCCCTGTTGCATTATAATACATGCACATAAAATATCTCAGCAATGAAAAGTTAATTGAAGCTCCCTCCTCATCACTGTAAATGTCTCTAAACTGCTTTGACTGGGTCAAATTAAAACAAAAGATATTCTTTAATAAATGCTCAGAGAAAATTGATAACAGAGTATGACAAACCTCCTAAATGAAGTTCCCAGGTATATTTAAAGTTTCATGTTAAATATTCCTCATTTATTTTTTAGACTTGTTTTATACAAAGCGTAATGCATACAGAGAGAGCAAATACATTTACGAGCCACATTGTGTTTTCTTAATATAAAAATGCAAGAGAGAAATAAAAATTACTAAGTACATTTTGAACAGTTCGATTTTGCCGTGTATCATTTTTTCTTTTTCTTTATGATTTTATTCTAAAATGATGCAACTAATCAGCTATATAGAAATGACTTTTTCTAATACATTAACAGTTTACTATATTTTCTTTCTTGTTATTTAATAATGGAAACTTCCATTTAATTTGTTAGTTATTTGCCTGCATTTAATTAGCCTTTCAAAAGTAACTCAGCTTAATGATATGGCTTTTATTTAAGAAAAAAACAAAACAAAACAAACAAACAAACAAAAACAAGAAAAAACAAAATATTAATTGCCTCTACACTGTATGTTAATGTATCATACGGAGATGTATATACTGCTTGGAAAAAATCTGATGTTGTATGCCTCTTGGGAGCAGGAAGGGGAATTCAGCTAATACTATGTCTTTGGAAATTTTTTTTTTTTAAAGATGAAGTCAGAATATGTTGCCCAGGCTGGGGTGTGGCAGCTATTTACAGATGCAATCATATCTCACTGCGCTCTCCAACTCCTTGACTTGAGGGATCCTCCTACCTTAGCCTCCCTAGTAGCTGGGACTACAGGCAAATGCCACCTCACTCAGCCTTGGAATTTTTCTTTTTTTATTAACATATATCTTCTTTTCTTGTTATAAAGTCATTAGATATGATTCCAGGAAAATAAAACCAATTATGAAAAGAAAATAACAAAGAAATAGTCACAAGTTTTCACATACAGCATAAGAATCTGAGAAAATAGACTATGTCTTTAAAGGTTCCAATTCAAACCCCAAAGAATTGACAGAAATAAACAATACAATTAAGTACCTTGGGGAGGTGGGGGAAGAACCTTGACTAGATTGTCATATGAATGGTTAAAATAAAAAGTTATTGAAAATATTTTTAGAATCATATTATTAAGAAAGCCACTTGCCCCACTCCCCCACCTTTCTTTGATGTGAAACCCAGTCTTATTTCAAATCCTGGTAAGGCAAGAAATATTAAATTTAACAAGAAAATAAAACAGAACAAGTTCTTATCAACAAAAAGAAGACAGCATTCAGACAGGACACTGCAGTCCACAGAGAGATATTTCTCTGGTGATTTACATTGTTAAATTTGAAGAACATATATTTTGAAGCACCTTTGTTGTCAAGGTTTATTTATAAAGATGTGACTTGCTTCTCAATGGAACTTCAAGCACTTTTTTAAAAGCTTAATCCACCAGGGCCAGGAAGTGGAATCTTGATTAGAAGGCTCTGTCAAAGCTGGTTTGAGTGATGTTTGCACTTTTCATCTGCATAATCCATAATCCTCCCTCCCATTGGCTGCTATAATTCATTGTCACAACCACACACACATCTCCTCAAAGAAAAGATGCTCCTGCATCCAATACCGAGGCCATTTGCAAGCTCCCACCATTGATATATAGACTGATGTTCACGAATTATCTAGTCAGAGCCTTTCTAAGGAGCACCTGTATACTGTAACTCACTGCCGAATTTACAGCTTGTCAGGAAAGCGCATGCCCTCACTGCACTGTGTCAATCATGGCCCGAAATCTTTTACTCAAAACCTTCTAGCTATTTCTCCCACCACTCGAGGAAGTTTGACATCTCATAAAATTAAAAAATGAATTTGTGTCATAAAGGAAAACTAGATTGAAAGGATTCCTGATTAAATGAAGATAAGATCCATCATGTTTCTATATAAGTTCATTTGCTTATTTAGAATGCCAATATCAATCAACGCTTTTTGATCAGAGGTCTTTTGTTTTCCTTATTCAATTTATTTCATTTTTTGTCCTTAAGATATAAGGAACTATGTTGGATCACAAGTTAAAATTCTATTGGATATGATGAGTTATAATTACCAATAATGATAGAACAAGTGATATGCGTGTGTGTGTGCACATGTGTGTGTATGTGTGTACCTAAAGTGAGAACAGACACATCCCGCTATATGCTTATCTCAGAAGAACTGGAAAGGGTAAAAGTGTTTTCTGTCTCTACCAAAATCAGTATCACTGACATTAGAATCACTAGCATTATACCCTCGGGCTTTCTAACAGAAAATGCTGCCATATTTTATTTTGCTAAGTGTCACACTGGTGGATGGTTAGCAGCAAGAGGGGATAGTCAAATAAAAAAATGAGACAGGAGAAAAGCTATATACACATCAGCACCATAATCCATATTGACAGAGTGGGTGACGCAGCTGGGAGTCAAGGAGATGATGGCTGCTCCCGGCACCATCAAGGTGAAGACCCAGCAGTCAGACCTCAGGGTTCACTGGAGTCAGGGCCATGCTTGAGTGCAGTAGTCATTGGGTTGCAGGGCACAGCAGCAGTGAAGAGAGTGTACAGAAGAGAGCCAGGTGGAAAATGGGGCCACACCACCCATCTGCTTCCATGCTGCCTGCCCAAGGGTAGTATTTCAGCTGAATCTCCTCTGCAGAGATTCAGGGAGGAGATCCTTTGTGGGCAAAGGAGCTCCAGGGAATGTCCTCACTGTAAGTTGAGAAACTCAGAGCGCCAGGCAGCAGGATTTAGTAACTGACTTAAAGGGATAACCTGAGTCCTTAAAATGAAGGTGTCTCTCAGCACAGGACTCCTGCATGGCAGTGAAGATGCAATGAGATTTTTAAAGGCTGTATGAAAGCTGAGTTCGCTGGAGGAGGATTTGCAGCTATTATTCCCGAGAGTCCAGGCAGCCTAGAGCCCCATCGCTCAATCCTCCTAAGCTGGCCCGGCAGTCACAAGACGCATTAGGCTGCAGGGCTGGAGGATTAGTGGGCACCCTTGTTGATGCTCCTTAGAGGAAGGAAGCAATGAAAACCTCCCACAGCCCAGTCTTCCTTCCCCCGAGTCAACGGTTTAAGGAGGAAGAACTTCTAATACTCCTGATCTTGGGTTGGGCACTTTGATTTCAGTAACTGTCCACTGCCAAAGGGGAAAAATAAAATAAAATCTTTAAGCCTTAAAAAAACAGAAATGTGTAATTAAAAGACCATGTCAAGGTAGTCACCTTTACTGCTGAGAACTCTCTGCTGAGGGAGTGCTACAACCCAGGCCTTCCACCAGTATCCTTGTTCCCTTTATTTTTGTTTTACATCCAAATGAAATGTTTTCATTCCACATGGAATGTGGAATTCCAAATTTTCTCTTCATGGGTTTGTGTGATCTGTTTACAAATACATTTAAATGTAGTTTGCCATAAAGCAAATGGTTCAACACATGTTCTCTCTAAATATATTAATACAAAGAGCATGGTTAACTAGGTATTAAAAAGAGCAAAACTTAATAATTGTGGTTAGAAAACCCGGACACAATTTAAAAGCTACACTGTGAATACAGTATTCTCATTTCTTTGAAAAGAGGTGTCATTTTAAATAATGTTTGAGAGAGGGAATGTATCATTATAATTAAACATAAGCTGATATTAGTTGATGGGAGATAAGCAAAAGGCAGATAAGGACAGTGTAGACGCAAACCACATGCACTGAAACCAGAGGGCTGGCTCCAATCCCAGGTGCACATGTTACATTTATGAGCCATGCAATCTTGAATAAGTGGCTCAGCCTCTCTATGCCTGAGATTCCTCATCTGCAAAGTAATAAAAGCAGAAGACTCTAGGTTTGTCTTGAAGGTTCGATAATGTGATCTATGCACAACACTTACCTTGCACATATCAAGCCTGATGTAAAACAGTATTACAGAAATCAGTGTGATCCCTGGACATCTTTCAGGGAATGCTTTCAGAGGAGCTGGGAGATAAAACTGTCTTCATAATAATACTAAGATATCATTTCCCTTTTCCATTATGCTGTGGTTTGGATCTGTGTCCCCACCCAAATCTCATGTTGAATTGTAATCCCCATTGTTGGAGGTGGGGTCTGGTGGGAGGTGATTGGATCATGGAGGACAGTTTCTAATGGTTTAGCACCATCCTCCTACTGAGGTTCTCATGATAGAGTTCCCACAAGGTGTGGTTGTTTATAAGTGTGTAGCACTTCCCTTCTCTCTCTCTTCCTCCTGCTCCAGCTATGTAAGGAGTGCCAGCTTGCCCTTTGCCTTCTGCCATGATTGAAGCCAAGCAGATGCTGCCACGCTTCCTGTACAGCCTACAGAACTGTGAGCCAATTAAACCTCTTTACTTCATAAATTTCTTTATAGCAATGCAATACACATTATGTTGGTGTTTGCTCTGATGAACCAAAACCAATGGTGGATAAAACTGCTAACATCTTGGCCTGAATTAAGCCAGTGGGACCCACCTGTAGGTAGAGTGCTAGTAGACATGGCATTCCTCACCAGCATGCATTTGCAATAGAAGAAAAACACCAGTTTCATTTTCAGGTAGCCTTAATAGAGTAACACAACTATTAATTTTATAAATCTCAACCCTTGTTTATGTCTTTTTTAATATTCCATATGGCAAAATGGAAAGTGTGCACACAGTACTTTTGTTGCATACCAAAATACAATGGTTGTCTCAAGGAAAAGCAGTGTACTAGCTTAGTATTCTTCATGGAAAATAACTTTTACTTTAAAATTGTGTCAAAGTTTCATTCAAAGTACAAGCTAGACCAGTGGATTTTGATGTAACTCCCCCAAAAGTCCATTTGCATAGTTTCAGATTCCACATTGTAACTAATCTTTATAACAGCCACTTGTTGAGTTTTGGTGTAGTATCAAAGTGGACAATCCCTAAATACCAGGAAAGGCATTGTAATACTCCTTCCCACTACACATTTGTGAGGCTGGATTTTCTTCATCCACTTCAACCAAAGCAACACATTGCAATAAATTGAAGAAGCACATGTGGGAATTCAGCAGCCTTGAAATGAAGCCCAACATCACAAAGTTGTGCAGAAATGTAAAAAATGCCATTCTTCTTACAAATGTTTTGTTTTAGGAAGTAGTTTTTTAATTAAGATTATATCATTATACCCTTAAAAATATCATATTACTTGAATCGTGGAGAAAGTATAAACAGTGACAACGTATGTGGGGCTAATGTTGAAGGAGGAATCACATATGTAATGCCAAACTGTCAAAATAAAACACATTTTTCACCAATTATGAATTGTTGTTATTGGCATTAATAAAATGTCATCAATCCCTTAGTTTCATTTATTACTGAATTTTTTTTATGCTTTCTGATCTCTAAACACAAAAGAGGTCCCTCAAAAATGAACTGAAGTGCCCTGACTTGCTGGTTTCAGAATCGGTGTCAGAAGGCATGAGAGGGCGGGGGACATGTCCTGACAATCCTAAAGTCATGGGCTCCTCTTTGGAGCTGTGGGCTTTCATTTCTGAGGGCTGTTTTTCACTGAAGGTGAAAGGCTTCAAGCCTATTCCCCCGTATTATGGGCTGAATTATGTCCCCTCAAAATGTACATGTTGAAGTCCTAACCCCACAGAACATGTGAATGTGACTGCATTTGAAGACAAGATATTTACAGAGATAATTAAGTTAAAATGAGGACATATGCATGGACCCGAATCCAGTGTGACTGGTGCTCTTATAAGAAGAGGTAAGGACAGAGACACACACAGAAGACACCTTGTGAAAACTCTGGAAGAGCCCATTCACAAGCCAAGGAGAGTGGCCTCAGGACAAACAACCCCACTGACACCTTGATCTTGGGCTTCTACTGCCCGGGATGATGAAGAAGTCAATTTCTATCATCAAAGCCACCAAGTCCCTAGTATTCATTATGCCGGCCCCTAGAAAACTAATCCACCCCCTCTTTCTTGCTCCCCATACCTGAGTCCCTTTGCCCATCCAGCACCACATCCTGAGGAGCCCGGGGAATGTGGTATTTCCACAATTAGAAATTTACCTCAGTGTACAGTTTGGCCTGTGATTTGAAAATAGAATTTAATCATACCAAAATAATGATAATAAGCGTACAAAAACCCCAAATAGCCTGTTATTCATTATATATGTTAGATGCGCTGTCAAATTTTCTATTCAATTTAACCTGACTTTTCCAAAGGATTGGAAATGGCTGAAAATCAAATGTGCATATATAATCTTCTGAATGGTAAAGATGGAAATTAGAGGCCATGAAGCAGATAATGGAAGATGATAGCAGATGGAGAGTATAAGAAGAGTTACAGGAACTGGGCACAAAATTAGGGCTCTGAGGTATTCCTGAAACAGAAATAAATGCAGATATTAAAAGATCTATCAGAACTCAACAGATTGCCGTGACCTCATAGAGATTATAAAGTGTTGAAATACTGAAATTTAAAATTTCAGTTCGTGAGTTATTACCACTAAATGGATAACCTTCAATTCAATATGTTTCTGTGTTTTCTTAGGATAAATAAATCCAACAAGCGCAAATATTTCATAACTGACCACAGAGGCCTTAGCGTCACTCTGAGGTTTTACACAGAGAATACCACAGATCAAGATACATCAAAAGAAAGCTCACTATATCCCAAACACAGACATGTTTGCTTGTCCAAACAGGGCCAGATTTTCCTTAATTTTAGTTCTTTTGAGATTGTTTCCAAATCACTTCTTACATGGATATTAAAAACAAAATTAATGTGACATCGATTTTGACCTCCAGTCCTGCTTCCCCGAACATTCCCTCTCAATTTACAGTAACTCCATCTCCTCAGCTTCCTTGGAATCACCACTGACTACACAATTTCTTTCCTACTTTACAGCCAAAACCAAATGAAATTCTGTTGAATTCACCTTGAAAGTATATCCAAATGCAACCACTTCTCTTTTCTCTCATTGCCGCAATCCTTGGGTGCCATAGTCTGACCGGGATTAGTGCAATGGCCTTCAACAAATGTCTCCCTACCTCCAGCCATTTTTCTCCTCACCCTCTGTTCCCCATGAGGCAGCCAGTGAGAGCTTCATAAACATGTCAGATCCTGTAATTCAGGGGTCTCTAAGCCCCGGGGTCACAGTCCAGGGCCAGTTAGGAACCTGGCCGCACAAGCAGGAGGTAAGCAGCCAGGGAGACAACGAAGCTTTATCTGTATTTACAGCCACTCCCCATGGCTTGAATTTACCACCTGAGCTCTGCCTGCTGTCAGATCAGCATGGCATTAGATTCTCATAGGAGCATAAACCCTATTGGGAACTGTGGATCTAGGTTGGGGTCTAGGATCCAGGTTGCATGCTCCTTATGAGAATCTCATGCCTGATGATCTGTCAGTGTCTCCCATCGCCCCCAAATGGGACCATCTAGTTGCAGGAAAACAAGTTCAAGGCTCCCACTGACTCTACATTATGGTGAGTTATATAACTATTTCATTATATATTGCAGTGTAACAATAATAGAAATAAAGTGCACAATAAACATAATGCACTTGAATCCTCCAGAAACCATCACCCCCACAACTGGGTCAGTGGAAAAATTGTCTTCTACGAAACTGCACCTGATGCCAAAAAGCGGTTGGTGACCGTTGCTGTAATTCCTCTGCTTAACACCACCCAGTGGTTTCTCATTTAATTCAGAGAATACTCCAAATTATTTTCAAAGACCTACAAAGCCCCACCCAGTCTATCCCCATTACCTTGCTATCACCTCTTCTTAATTATCTCCCTCTTTACCCAACTCCACAGCATCAGCCAACTTGCTTGTCCTATCGCGATAGGGCATACTTCTACCTTTGCTCTTTCTTGCATATTCCCTTTGCCTGGATTGCTCTTTACACTCACTCCAAATCTATACCACTGGTTCCCCCACCTCCATCAAGTCTTAGCTTCAGTGAGACTTCCTCAGTGAGCCCCTTCATGACTCCTGCTTAGTAACACAATCTCACCTTCACCACATATTCCTGTTACCCTTACGCTGTTGTTAGCACTTAACAACACCTACCATAGTACATAGTTTTTAACATACTAAATAGAAATAACAATTTCTAACATGCTGTGTATTCTAGTTATTTATTGTTTATAATCTGTCTCACCCACTAGAATAGGAGTTGCAAAGGTAGGAATGTTTATCTATTTGTCAATTCACCTCCAGAGTATAAAATAGCGACTACACATAAAAGGAGCTAGATCAAAACTTGATAAATGTGGCCTGGCACAGTGGCTGACACCTGTAGTCCCAGCACTTTGAGAGGCTGAGGCAAGAGGATCTCTTAAGCCCAGGAGTTTGAGATCAGCCTGAGCAACATGGCAAAGCCCCGTCTCTAAAAAATAATACAAAAAATTAGCTGGGCATGGTGGTGCACACATCTGTGGTCCCAGCTACTCGGGAGGCTGAAGTGGGAGGATCACCTGACCCAGGAAGTTCGAGGCTGCAGTGAGCCATGATTGTGCCACTACACTCCAGCCTGGGCTGCAGAGTGAGATGCTGCCAAAAAAAAAAAAAAAAAAAAAAAAAAAAAAAAGTTGAATTTGTTAAACCTTTCTACAAACTTCCCAGATTCCATTTTTTTAGCAGAGGTGAAGTTCCTGCAGAGTAGGAATCAAATATTTTATTTGTTTTCTTTCCATAGTGCTTTTTCCATAGTGCTTTCTGAACAATAGGAAACTCCAAACAACCAGACATATCAATGGAAACTCCAATGCTCATTCAATTATTCAGATATTTGGTGTGTCTCAAATAAAAGTGGCACAAAATATGATTTTCAGATACAGTGGGATCCTGGGCAAAAGTATTTCCTGAATCATTTCTTTGCTTCTCCAAATACTCAGAACCGTCATATTTTCATCTGGATACACAAAGCCCAATACATTGTGCTCACACACTTGCCTTCTTCCAAGAACCTGCAAGTGACTCAGTTCTTGGCAACACCTTTTCCTCAACCTTTGTGCTCAGGGCAATTGTGCTCAGTAAGGTATTTTGGAGGAAAGCTGTCTTTTTAGAGTAGATGTTTTAAGATGTAAATTACTAGTGAGATTAACCCTCCTAGGACCATTGCATTTCAAAAAGAGAATTTACAAACCCAGTTAAATGTCTACTACTGTGTCATACTGAAAACAAATTTTAGACTTTTTTTTTTCCTATTTCTGACCTATTCAGTATGCAGAAGAAGATTTTCTTTTTTTTTTTTTTTATTGTATTATACCTCAAGTTCTAGGGTAAATGTGCACAACGTTCAGGTTTGTTACATATGCATACATGTGCCATGTTGGTGTGCTGCACCCATTAACTCATCATTTACATTAGGTATATCTCCTAATGCTATCCCTCCCCCCTCCCCCACCCCACAACAGGCCCCAGTGTGTGACGTTCCCCTTCCTGTGTCCAAGTGTTCTCATTAGAACAGGAACAGAGCACCCATTCCTGTAAGAGTGCAGTCCCCTGGAATACACACGGTCAAGCTTCTGGATAATTAGAAATTTACTCACTCATTGATACCATCGCTGAGCACAATTACAATGAGAAAAGTGTCTCATGTTAATATTTGAGCCTGTTTTGGTGACTTGTATGTTCATTGTCAAAACATCTCAAAAAAAAAGAAAAAATATAGTCTGTCAGTTTGACGTTTGGTCTACGTATAAATATGAAAGAGGAGACAGAAAGGGAAAGAAAAAGAAATCTGAAACAAAATGATGTTTGGTGTTATGTAAGTGAAACAGATTGGGGTGAAATATTAAATTATTCATTCTTCATTCCTTTATGATGACATTGCATAATCAAAAGTACATTTGTGTGGCTCTTTTAAAAGTTTTATAAGCATTTCTTATTGGCATGAGTTTTTTGCATTCTTAATAGTGACAAAGGCAAACAACACAAAGACTCCTGTCTAAATATGCCTAGGTGTGTGTTATGAGCTAAACTGTATCTGCTGTCTTCTAAAATTTATATATTGAAGTCCTACTTTCCAGTACTCCAGAATGTGACTGTATTTGTAGATAGAGCATCTTAAGAGGTAGTTAAAGTATAATGAGGTCTGCAGGGTAGCCCTAATCTACTATGACTGGTGTCCTTAAAACAAGAAGGAATTTCTACGCAAAAAAGACACCAGACACGTGCACGCACAGAGGCAAAATGATGTGAGAACACAACCACAAGATGGCCATCTGCAAGCCATGGAGAGTGGCCTCAGAGAAAACTCACCCTAATGATACAGAGGGTGAAGCCTCAGAAGACTGAGCAGGTGGAGGGTGTGGATGATGAGAACTTACTTAATGGGTACATTTTATGTAATTTGGGTAATGGATACCCTAAAAGCACTGACTTGACCACCATGCAATCTATGCATATAGCAAAATTGCACTTGTACCCCACATATTTATACAAATTTTAAAAAAAGAAGAAACTCACCCTGCTGACACCTTGATTTTGACTTCTAGCCTCCAAAATTGTGAGAAAATTTCTATTGTTTAAGACACCTAATCTCTGGTATTTTGTTATGGCAGCCACAGCAAACTAACAGTGTAGTTTTCTTTGAAAGCACTCAGAGAAAAACAATGCATAACTAATGGAAGAATAATAATACAAATGGCAACTGACTTTCATCCAGAAAAAAAAAAAAAAAGCCAGAAGATAGTGAAATGGGCTCTTTAAGGTACTGGGGAAAACTTATCAATTCAGAATTCTATATCCAGAAAAAAAAAATCCTTAAAAATGAGGACAAAATAAACACATTTTCAGATAAACATAATCTGGCAAAATGTATCACCAAGAAACCTGAATTGCTAAAGGAAGTCTTTCAGGCTCAGAGGAAACTTGAATCTGCACTAAAAAATGAAGACACCAAAAGATGTAAATAATATGGGTAAATATAAAAGACTACTTTTTTCTCTTAGTTGTTTCCACAGACAATTGGTTTTTTAAGCCGCCACTCCTTTCAGAACAACTGATTGTTAAAAGCAAAAATATTAACATTGCACTGTGCACTTTTAATGTATGTCAGTGCAAGACATATGACAACAGAATAAACAACAAAGGGAACTATGGAATAAACAAATAAAACTCTGTAGTTGTAAAAAAACTTACGTTTTTTGGGGAAATGTTACAATATTAACTCTAGGTAGACTGTATTAAATGTAAATATTATAATCCCAAGAGCAAGTACTAAAAAATAACTTAGTACTAAAAAATAGCTTAAAAATTAATAGAGGAATTAACAATTAGTGCTAAAAAATATTCAGTTAGCCCAAAAGAAGGCAGAAAGAAGAAACAAGAAAACCAAAAACAGATAGAAAAATTGGAAAGTAAATCACAACATAGACATAAATCCAACTATATGAATAGTTACATTAAATGTAAAGGAACTAAACACTCAACTGAAAGGCAAAGACCCACAGACTGTGGAGGAGGGAGGTGGAATGCACAAAAACCAATCATTTTCTATCTGTAAGAGACACACTTTAACATGAAGACACAGGTTAAAAGTGGAATCATGGGACTAACACACCATGCAGACACTAATCCTAGAAAGTTTCTGTGAAGTAGGAGTTGAGGCACTGTTTATCTATAAATTTATGGAGTTTTTCCTATCTCAATTTTTTGGAAAGATTTTTTTTTCCATTTTCTGCAGTAGTTGCCTGTGAAGGCAAGAGACAGATATGAATAAGGGAACTTTCTCGGTTGAAGAAAGGTTCTATATCTTGATCAGGTGTAGGTTAGGAGGGTGAATATATTTGTAAAACTAACCAAATCACACATTCAAGATTTGTTAATTTCATTGTATGTAATTATTTCTCAGTTTAAAAAAGAGGAAGGCTCTTAAAGACATGTTGACTAACAGCAATGGATAGAGTTTATTTAGATCCTGATTTAATTTTTTTAAAACCCTATATATTGGCATATATAAAAATGGAAATAGCCTTAAATATTTGATGACATTAAGAAATTGTTGTTATTTGCTTTAGCTGAGTAATAGCGCTTTGTTTTTTATTTTATTATCTTTTAGAGAAACATTTTAAATATTGAAGGATGAAATGAGCTAATGTTTGGGATTGGCTTCTAAATAGCATGAGGAGAGTTAGTAGTGGATGGGATGTATATGAAACCAGACTGAGCAAGGGTTGACGACTGTTGAAGTTGAGATATGGATACACTGGAGCTGGATACATTGTTTTCTTTTTAGAATTCTTTCTAATAAAATTATTTTAAAAAGGTAAAAAATCTTTCTGCCTTTGTACATAATTGTTTTCTGACTAAAAGGCCTTTTCAGCCATTCTCTCATTTAAAGTTTGACACACCATTTCTCTCGCCTTATGCTCTGTCTCAAACGGCACTTCTTCCTGCCTCCTTTATTCTGTGGTGTCCTCATTTTTCCCCTAACATAATTAGCATCTGCTTCCTAATGGTTCTTATTACTCTACGTTATGGGACCATGTTTCCCTTCAAACCCGTGCTCTTTTCAAAGTGACAGAGCAACAACCCCAAAGGGATTTTTGAGTCCAGAAAAAAAGCTGAGTGATTTTTCAATATTAATATTAATGTATCTCCATATGTATCACCAAGAAACACATTCTTCTAAAAAATATTAAGTATTATTTATATGCTTGATGTCAACAATGTTTAAGAACTAATCCATGAGATTCAAACTCATAGTTAGCTGGTAGTTCAAAAATTTTAATAATTTAACCACACACTTTATGGGAAAGATACACACACACAAACACACACAGTGGTAAATAAACACTAACAGTGTGAATGGTAGAATTACATGGAACTTCCAATGGCTTCTTCATATCCTTTCTGTCTCTGAATGTTTGCAACTATTATTAATTACTTTTGCAATCAAAATAACTTAGTTTTTAAAGTTAACTGGATAATTATCTTTTAATAAGATGACGCCAAGGATAATATTCTATTCATTAGACTTAGATAGGGAAGAGACTGAAATACAGTTAAAACAAATCCATCAGATGGAATGACTAATCTTTGCATCATTAATACTGAGCCACTATCACTATATGCCTCCTACATGATGTAGTATGGGATACACACCATCATCTATGAAACACTCTTGCCAAAATGAGCAGCGTGAATGCAATCAAATTTGTAGACCTACATTCCAATTGATAGAATATATGGGGGACAGAAAAGCAAGTTAAACACTACCGTGAAGAATTGACCACCCAAGTCCAGAGGGAGGATACAGGAAATCTTTTAGATCTCTTCATCAGATCAATGTCAAAGGGGAAAAAAGAGGCACAGAGGAACCCACTTCAAATGTGATATAAAAACCCCTGATCTTAAATGGTAAAAGATATTTCAAGAGCAAATTAGGGAAAGGTGGTTATGGATTGAATATTAGATGCTATAAGAAATTGGTGTTAATTCCACATTGTGAATTATCACTATGAGGTACATATTCTTGTTTCTCTGCAACACACCTGAAATATTCAGGTGTAAATGTCAAGCTGTCAATAACTTAACTTACGAAGCAAAACAATTGGTCAAAAATTATGTTACTTGGGGAGGGTCTCGACTACAAATTGTTCAAATTCTTGGCATTTTGAACAAAGAATTGGACAAAATGCACAAATAAACCAATGAAAGAATGAAGCAATAAAAGCAGAGCTTTATTGAAACAAAAGTACACTCAATCAGGCAGCTCAAGAGTGCTGGCTAAGCAATTTTCTGGGGTTTAAATACCCCCTAGAGGTTTCCCATTTGTTACGTGGTTATACCCTATGCAAATGAACGAGTGACCTGAGACCAGTCTGATTGATTGCAGGAGGAGACCAATAAGAAGTACTTTCCATTTTTCCTCTGCCACACAGTGGAAAGTAGGGGGATGACTGCAAAGGGAGTAGCCTCTGATCCTCTGATCCATACTTAGGCATGGAAGGGGGCGGTTTCCTTAGATTCAGTTCTAGGAAGTCAGCGTAAATCAGCCTTAGAGTCCCTGCCTCCAGACCCCATGCTCCTGCCTCAATTAGATCTAGGTAGTAGTATTATGGCAGGCTCAAAAATGGTTGGTGGCCCAAAATATATCCACTTGCTATTCCTGGGCCCTGTGAATGTTACCTTATGTGCCCCAAAAAAGAAGTCTTTGAAGATGTGATTAGTTTAAGGATCTTGACATGGGAGATTATCCTGGATTATCCAGTCAGCCCTAAATGCAATCACATGTATCCTTATGGGACAGGCAGAGGTGTATTAAACACAGACAGTGGAGAAAGTGATAGGAAAATGGAGAAGAGAGAGTTGAAGATGCTGGTCTTGAAAACTGGAGTGGTGTACCTATTCAACATAGTGTTGGAATTTCTGGCCAGGGCAATCAGGCAAGAGAAAGAAATAAAGGGTATTCAATTAGGAAAAGAGGAAGTCAAATTGTCCCTGTTTGCAGATGACATGATTGTATATTTAGAAAACCCCATTGTTTCAGCCCAAAATCTCCTTAAGCTGATAAGCAACTTCAGCAAAGTCTCAGGATACAAAATCAATGTGCAAAAATCACAAACATTCCTATACACCAATAACAGACAGAGAGACAAATCATGAGTGAACTCTCATTCACAATTGCTACAAAGAGAATAAAATACTTAGGAATCCAACTTACAAGGAATGTGAAGGACCTTTTCAAGGAGAACTACAAACCACTGCTCAACAAAATAAAAGAGGACACAAACAAATGCAAGAACATTCCATGCTCATGGATAGGAAGAATCAATATTGTGAAAATGGCCATACTGCCCAAGGTAATTTACAGATTCAATGCCATCCCCATCAAGTCCCCAATGACTGTCTTCACAGAATTGGAAAAACTACTTTAAAGTTCATATGGAACCAAAAAAGAGCCCACATTGCCAAGACAAGCCTAAGCAAAAAGAACAAAGCTGGAGGCATCATGCTACCTGACTTCAAACTATACTACAAGGCTACAGTAACCAAAACAGCATGGTACTGGTACCAAAACAGATATATAGACCAATGGAACAGAACAGAGGCCTCAGAAATAACACCACATATCTACAAACACCTGATCTTTGAAAAATCTGACAAAAGCAAGAAATGGGGAAAGGATACCCTATTTAATAAATGGTGCTGGGAAAACTGGCTAGCCATACGTAGAAAGCTGAAACTGGATCCCTTCCTTACACCTTATACAAAAATTAATTCAAGATAGATTAAAGACTTAAATGTTAGACCTAAAACCATAAAAACCCTAGAAGAAAACCTAGGCAATACCATTCAGGACATAGGCATGGGCAAGGACTTCATGACTAAAACACAAAAAGCAATGGCAACAAAAGCCAAAATAGACAAATGGGATCGAATTAAACTAAAGAGCTTCTGCACGGCAGAAGAAACTACCATCAGAGTGAAGAGGTAACCTACAGAATAGGAGAAAATTTTTGCAATCTACTCATCTGACAAGGCTAATACCCAGAATCTACAAAGAACTCAAACAAATTTACAATAAAAAAACAAAAACCCCATCAAAAAGTGGACAAATGATATGAACAGACACTTCTCAAAAGAAGACATCTATGCAGCCGACAGACACAAGAAAAAAATGCTCATCATTACTGGTCATCAGAGAAATGCAAATCAAAACCACAATGAGATACCATCTCACACCAGTTAGAATGGCAATCATTAAAAAGTCAGGAAACAACAGATGCTGGAGAGGATGTGGAGAAATAGGAATGCTTTCACACTGTTGGTGGGAGTGTAAATTAGTTCAACCATTGTGGAAGACAGTGTGGTGATTCCTCAAGAATCTAGAACTAGAAATACCATTTGACCCAGCCATCCCATTACTGGGTATATACCCAAAGGATCATAAATCATGCTACTACAAAGACACATGCACACGTATGTTTATTGTGGCACTATTCACAATAGCAAAGACTTGGAACCAACCCAAATGTCCATCAATGATAGACTTGATTAAGAAAATGTGGCACATATACACCATGGAATACTATGCAGCCATAAAAAAGGATGAGTTCATGTCCTTTGTAGGGACATGGATGAAGCTGGAAGCCATCACTCTCAGCAAACTATCGCAAGGATAGAAAACCAAACACCACACGTTCTCACTCATAGGTGGGAATCGAACAGTGAGAACACCTGGACACAGGGCGGGGAACATCACACACCAGGGCCTGCTGGAGGGTGGGGGCTGGGGGAGGGATAGCATTAGAAATACCTAATGTAAATGATGAATTGATGGGTGCAGCAAACCAAACTGGCACATGTATACCTATGTATCAAACCTGCACATTGTGAACATGTATCCTAGAACTTAAAGTATAATAAAATTTAGAAAAAAAGAAAGAAAGAAAATTGGAGTGGTGTGGTCACAAACCGAGTAGTACCACCAACCACCAGAAAATGGAAGAAGCTAGAAACAAATTCTCTCCGAGAGTCTTAGCAGCAAGTGCAGTCCTGGTAACACACTGATTTCAGCCAAGTCCAGAACTGTAAGAGAATAAACCTCTGCTGTTTCAGGCCACCATGTTTTTGGTGATTTGTTACAACATCTAGAGGAAACTAACACATGTTTTTCTGGGGATTTACTACAATTTTCTCTCCTTCTGAATGCAACAAAATTCTTACAATAAAATATTTTAGTCTGTAAATTCTTTAAAGATCCAAATGCAATTGTTTTAAGGAGAAACAGTATTTTTTAAAATTATTTCAAAGGAAAGATGATACACTCGAACACAAAAAAATAGGCATTAATATCAGATTATTGCCTATGTTACCCTGTATTAATGACACTCCAAAATTTTAAAATCATTCTTTTCTTTTTTTCCTACTTTTAAAACATCCTTCTTATTTGACAATTAAATTACTTTACAGGCAACATGTAAGCTGGTAAACCACATACTATATTATGGAGATAAAATTGTAGGAACTAACCTTTCAAGAACCAGTTGCAAGTGATATAAAATATAGCACTTGTAGGCTTTCTGATATTTTTCATATTGTGGTTTCCAAGTCATTCTTAATTTTGTAAACTATTTTTTGTGAATATTCTCTCCTCCCAAAAATATAACATAAGTTATCCAAATTTACTGCCATAATCAGAGTCTATTTTGGCAAAGAAAGCTATTGGCAAGAAAAAAGGGTGGTGGTTCAGGGTAGTATGGAAACCCCTTCAAGTGATCTCTCATATTTTGTATGAGCTTGTTTTTCCTTCTCATCACAAGATATTTTGGCTTGGAAATAACAACCTAGCAAGAGCAGATGAACTGTTACATCATTACACACTAAAAGAAGACAGCACAAAATATGTCTAATTTATAATGAATTTTCAAATTAATTTCCTTTTTAATGGTCCTGGATTTTGCAATGTGGATAGACTGGTAAATGGTTGGCACAGATACACAAGGGTAATCCAATAGAAATTTAGGAGCAGCTTGAAAAGAAAAATTATTCACTCACCCTTTCTAAGCCAACTTTTTTTCCGAGAAAGAGCACATATTTTAATGTTTGTGTATGAAAGAGAATTATAGGTAGGGAAATGGGACTGAAGGAGCTGGAAGTAGAGTGAAGTTGTGGAAATATTTAAAGACAGTGGATAATCCAAAATATAACTGAATTTGGAATGGAATTCACTCTTACATTTTAATGTACATGTGTCTGGGGTTCTTGTGATTCACAACACTTGAACAGAATTACAAGTCTCTGTTTCAAGGACCACTAAGTCTTCAGTAGCTGGAAAAGTGTCCTCCTGTCTCCATTTTCCTACGTATTCAACTTCTCTGTGCTTTCTATTCTACATTAGGAATAGTTAGCACGTCTCTCAGATTGCCACCGAGTAAACCCCTTCTCCCTAGAGGATCGCTACCCTTACCCTTCCCTTCATGCCTGGGCATGATGGATGGGGAGAAAGTTGTGTTGCTGGATATGGCTAATACGTTGACGAGTCCTTGGCAACGGTTCTGATTGATGTGGTAAGCAGTGCACTTAGGAACCACTCCTACGCAAGATAAACTCTATGTCAAATCATACAGTGGACCCGTATATGAAAATCTTCATTTCTAAATCATCTTGGAAACTCCTTATACAAAGAAAATATTGCAAACTGCTGGAAGTGAAATCTTCCAGCCCTTTTCAATTCTGCTGCCATGTCTGAATACTTTCAATAAATAGCCCCAGTCTCAGGTTATCAGGAAGTTAAAGAAACCGTGAGAAACACATGATACAATGTTACTGCATGACATTCGGGGTTATGACTTGTTTACAATGGGAGCACTCAATGTTATAAAGGACTAAAATTCTCCATTAATTAATATTTGGGTTAAGTGTGAATATAATCACATTTCTAAAATTATTTTTAGAATTTAGTAAAATTGTTCCAGAGTTTATTTAGAAGGGTATATTTTCAAATACTCAGAAAAATTCTAAGGAACAAAGAGAATAGCAACATTTAAAATAATAATTAAACTGGTATGGTGATGACGCAGAGAAATAGTGCTGGAAGAAAATAGAACTCACATTAGAAACTGCATAGGTAGATTTAGCACATAATAAAGGGCTGCAAATGAACAGGAGGAAAGACATTTATTATTAATAGTGTTGGCAGAACTCACTAGCCATTTGAAAAATAAATAAATAAATCTGTATTTTTACCACGCTTCTAACACTAACATAAAGTCCAAATGGAACAAGCACTTAAAGGTAAAACATTAAGATAATGGGGAAAAAAATCATTTAAATATCTGTATAATTTTAGCACAGTAGATGTTTTCTGGCTGGGCATGGTGGCTCATGCCTATAATTCCAGCATTTTGGGAGGCTGAAGTGGGAAGGTTGCTTGAAGCCCAAGAGTTCAAGACCAGCAACATAGTAAGATCTCATCTCCATGTTTAAAAAAAAAAATTATTAACTGAGTATGATGGTGTACACCTGTAGTCCCAGCTACTCAGGAGGCTGAGGTGTGAGGATCACTTGAGCTCCAGAGGTTGAGGCTGCAGTGATCGTGCCACTGCACTTTAACCTGGGTGACAGAGCAAGACACTGTTTCAAAAGAAAAAAAACAAAAGCTTTTCTCAGCTCAAAGCAACAGTTATAAAGTAAACGGTAAATATACACATAGAAAGAAAAATAACTATTGTACACAAAGATATGTAATAGATAGATATATAATATTTTAAATAGAAAATTAATTACCTACATCAGAAAAATAAGTAAACTTTAAGAAGTAAAAGAAAAAACTAAATAAATATTTACAGCCTATATGACAATAGGCAAATCTCCTTGATACTATGAAATTTTCTTCTCCGTCAACAAGGAAAGCTATCACATCCATTTTTAATGGGGCAAGAGGTGTTAGGATTCATTTCACGGAGGACACAAAAGGAGTGGCCATTAATCACTGGAAACACTGATCAAACTCACAAATAATTAAATTCAGATAACAATAAGACATCATTTTTCAACTATCAAATTGGTAGTGGTCAAAAAGTTAATAATACTGGGTATTGGCAAGAACATGGGAAAACAAGTTCTGTCATGTGCTGCGAGTGGCAGTGTGAAATTGTGCTAATTTTTTGGAAGGAAAAATTGAAACATCTATTAAAATGTTTAATATTCATATTCTTTAACAATTTCACATCTAAGAATTTTTCCAACTGAAAAACTCACACAAATATGCAAAGAAATATGAATAACATTTTTTTGCCTCATGGTTTATAATGGTGAAAAAATTAGGAACTAATGGCCAGGCCCAGTGGCTCACACCTGTAATCCCAGCATCTTGGGAGGCCTAGGCAGGCCTATCACCTGAGGTCAGGAGTTCGAGATCAGCCTGGGCAACATGGTGAAACCCCATCTCTACTAAAAATACAAAAATTAGCCAGGCGTGGTGGCATGCATCTGTAATCCCAGCTACTCGGGAGGCTGAGACAGGAGAATCACTTGAACTCGGGAGGTGGAGGTTGCCGTAAGCAGAGATCACACCGCTGCGCTCCAGCCTAGGCGACAGAGTGAGGCTCCGTCTCAAAAAGAAAAAAAAAGGGAACCAATTAAAGTTTTATCAATGAAGAAAAATTAAATATGTTGACATGGAAAGACATTCAAGACATTATTGTTAAGTCTACAAAAGATAGTTGCCGACCTAGATATATGATACTATTTTTGTTAAGAAATTGTTTATATGCCTAGGTATATATGTGTATGCAGCATGCATATATACAAATCTGAAGGAAAATCCATCACTCTCTACAGTGATGGCTTCTGAATATGAAAAGTATGAAGATATTTCAGGAGGAGCTGAGGCATAGAAATACACAGTGTGAACTGGAAGAACCAATGCAGGATGGTAAAAACAGTTGGAGGCACCACCCTAGTATAAGAAAAATAAAAAATAAAAGAGACCTAAGTAGCAGCATGCCATCTCCTCTCCCTATGCCAGCCCTCACCACACCCCACCCCTTCTCCGTGCAGCTCTATCCTGTCCTTCCCTGAAAGGCTTCCCTGTGGGCCTCTGTTGGCTTCAGTCAATGAGGGCACTGGCAGAGAACTTGACAGCAAGAAGAGAGGGGTCAGGGTCTTTCTTCCCTTCTTCCTTACTGTCTCGGTGCTGTGTCTTGTCAAAATCAGGTTTAGTAAGGAAAGATTTTATTCTGAAGAATTATTGCGGGGTGGGGAGACTGTTGCACTGGGAGAAAGCTCTGATGATAAAGTCTGCAAGTGTCTCCGGAGTTGGGCAAAAGGAGATTTTCTCGTATAGGGAGGAGGAGACAAGGCTAGAAAAAAACAAGCACGGGAGAGTGGGATGAAGGGGTCACGTGACAGGCAGTGGCTCACGGATGGTCGCCTCTAAGGCCAGCCTCGTCCCTGGAGGGGCTGAAGACTGGCTCACACAGAGGGTGGGCCGATGTTCAGGGACCTGGGGGAAGGGAAAAGCTTAACCAAAGCTTGATTAACAAACGTTTTATTCTCATTGATCAGTGAAGACAAGCAGTTCGGCTAATCATTTATGAGGCCAACAAAGAATTTGGGGGGTCTGTGTCTGGCTTTGTCATAGGCAAACAAGGTGGTGGCTGGGGGAGGAGGGACTCCCTTGATTCTTATCTAGGTCATGTGGGGAAGGGTAGTTCCTTGCAGTAAGCAGCTTCCCAGAATGCGAAGGGTAGAAGATTTCTTAAGGTTTTCTGTTTTCCAGAATCCTAGGGCTTGGGTAAAGTTCAGGATTGTCAGCCTCCAGCCATGTGGGCCTTTCTCTGCAACTACAGTGGGCTTAGAGCTGTCCTCAGGCTTCCTGCTATGAACCATGTCTTCACCTGCCTCCCCAGCCCTAGAGCTCAGGACGCCACCGCCACCGGCTATTGATGGTCTCCGCGGGCCTCAACACCCTCTGCTGGTTCCTTAACTCACACTCCTACCACCTGCTCTCAGTTTAAATGATTAAAGCCTCATCATCAGTTCTGAGCTCAACTCTATGTCCTGCTGTGGTCCTGGTGGCTTGTAATAACCAGTTAAAAAATTAATGCTCCTCCTCATTTTGTCACATCAAGTTTCTTTTTAACACAGCCACAGGTTACCAGGTAAATAAGGTAGATATCAAGGTGCCAACACAGCAAAGAGACTGAACCTGAAGTTAGTTTGTTTCATTTATTCTGGAAAATCACCAAAATATATATCGTGATTAATACATCACCAAAGGGTCCTAATCATGTTCCTTTTGAACACAATACCTAAGTTTGATTTTATCATTATCAAAAAGCTTTTATGAGGCACCTGTAGGAGACACTAACTTGGAAACATAGGGCCAGGAAAGCCTTGAGTCTCTTAGTCCAGGGATCCTGGGGTTTTGCTGTGGTGGTGGTAGTTCAATGTGGCACCCGCTGCCCCACTGTAGGCCCAAGCTGAGCTGAGAGAAGGAAGAAACTTGGGCCACACTGCATTGCTTACTATGCCTCCCTCTGCCCCCTTTCTCTCCTGCTGAAAACAGGAAGAGGCCTTTCTTTTATTTCTCTTACATCCTGCCTTCTTCTTGTCTCCAGATAAGGCTTCATGGCTTTTCTAAACAGCCAAAGGAGCATTCTGTCAACCAAGGTCTCCAAGCCCAGTTGTTAATATGGCAAATGTGGAAATAAATGAATTTGGAAAATCCATTATTAAGACAATAGCTGACTTTACCAGGCTATTGTTTTGCCAAACAGTTCAATTTTAGACTCAAGAGCTGAATATCGTCTTAGCCTTTCCCTCTGCAGCCGTTTGGTAGCTAATATCAGTTACCATCTGAGCAGAAGATATTTTGGGTGAAGTGAACTCAGGTCCTATATTCACTAGGGCAATAGTGGGAGGAGAGCTCCTAAATGATTTGTTATATATCCCACATCACAGCACAGCATCTTAATGAAGACACCCAGGCAGTGATTGCAATGTGAGCCTTCAGGAGCACAGGAGCACTTCACTCACCTCATGGAGGCTTGCGAGATGCAAGAAGCCAGGAGCCCATCCCCACGTGGAAGGAGGTGCACCTTTTGCTGTAACCCTTCAAGCTATGGAGGTGAAGGACTCACGCACAATGGAATTACAATGCTATTTACATAGCCATCAATTACACTTACAGAACAATTCCAGATAAGGTTTGTGTGGTATTTTTGCATTGACACAGCAGCCATAAACCAACAAGAATTATCAATACTTAGTAGATAGGAAAACAGCTAGACAACAAAGCCCCCAAAAACCTAGCATATATTGCAAGACCCTTCAGGAAGCTTGACTGTGAGATAGATCTGTGGGCTCTGACCACAGTCTCAGAGGCACAGTGCAGAGTGTATTCAAAATCCCTCTTGGAAAGCTTTTGCACACAAAGGGAGCCCAAGAGTCACATCTCTACACTGATCTATGTGTAGTTAATGCAACAGAGAATAGGAACATAAATAATAGCAATGGAAATTAAGCTTATTAAGTTTTACAGTTGTGGCAAAGAGTTTCTGAGTCTCAGACTGGAGTTTCACAATTGAAAACAAGGCGGAAAATATTGTCTTTATTGACACAAAGAAGAGAGCAGTCTGCAGCCAGAAAACAGAGAAGCACGTGCCAGGGGTACTGTTTGTCCAAGCACTTGCTTGAAACTCATTTGATGCTAAACAGTGGTCAAATGACAACATCCAATTCCAAAACTTACTGCTGCCCAAAGTACCCTCAATTCATGACCTTCCCAAGCCCCTCTTACTTATTAGAAACCAAGAGCTATTTTATCAAGTTGAATTAATCAAAAAACATTTATTGGGTTCATTTTGAGTGACACCCTTTCAGTTCTGCAAATATAATGAACCAGAACCAAAAAATGGTATCGTGTGAATTGTTAAGGTCAGGAACTGAGGATCTGTAGGCAACTGTACCATCAGAACAGCAGCTTCTCAGTGTTTCTCCTTGGCAGAGGTTGGATGTGGAAATACAACGCACAGGACCCATCATTTTACTTAAGCTACAAGGCGTTCTGTTTGTCTAGTGCAGTAAATAAACCACTCAAAAATAGTTGGTCAGGGTTCGAGACGAGCCTGGGCAACATAGCAATACCCTGTCTCCACAAAAAAATAAAATTATCTGGGCATGATGGTGTGCACCTGAAATCTCAACTACTCTGGAGGCTGAAGCAGGTGGATTGCTTGAGCCCAACGGTTCAAGGTAACAGTGAACTATGATCATACCACCGCACTCTCAGGCAACAGAGTAAGACCTTGTCTCAAAAAAAAGAAGTAAAACGTTACTAAAACAATAATTTTAGTTTGCTTTTCAATCTAAGGGTTGACTGGGCTCAGCCAGGAGGTTCCTGAATTCTTGCTCCAGGTCTTTTAACTACAGTCAAAACAGTCAGAAGATGCCTGGGGCTTCTTCACTCACACCACTGATAGAAAACTCGAACAGCCAGGGAATGGGGCAGCTGGGGCTCCTTGAGTGTCGCTCCCTCTCAGGCATGTGCTCTGCTCACCTGAAGCTGTCAGGGGTGTAAGCCTTCCTCCTACATGAGTGTCCCCAGACAATCTGGCAGATGCTTCACGTTCTTTTCTAACCTACCTTCTGGGAGTCAAGGGCATCACTTCCACGGAACTCTATCTCGGGAGGCGTTACAAAGGCCCACTCAGTTTCAAGGAGAGAGTCTTAGCTACCACCCCGTGGAGGTAGGCATTTCAGAAAATTTACAGACCTGTTTTTAAACCATCTCACAGCGGGTTGACACCACCACTATTGTCTTTGTGAAAACCCACGAGAAACAAAGCAACACTGCATAGTCTAGAAGGAAAGATGTTTTTCAAATACCAAGATGGGGTTCTTGAAAGCCAGGCACCAATAGAAGTGCCTCAAAACCAAAAAGAGAGCAGGGAATCCACATCAGGACACAATCCCAGCTCATCCTATCTGACAGCTGCTTCAGTATCCACGTGATGAGAAGTTTCTAGTTTAATACAAGATTCATACGGCAATTACGCCATACATTATGTATAATTTTCTTCAAGTATTTGTGCATGATTTAGCTCTTAAAAACCTCTATGTATTTCTGTATAATTCAACTCAGAGCATGAATTAAATTCTTCTCAACTAATCCTTTTCTTTTTCTTATAAACCTCAACTTAAAAAAACCTCATTTGATATTACAGTAAAAAGTTAGATCAACTTCCATCGCCATTCTAGGGTCCAGATTAAAAATGCAAAGTAGAACCCAACCATAGAGAATGGGTTTAATTTGGGACTGTCTCCTTAGTAAATGTCACCTCCTTTACCAGCACATAGAATTTCAAGGAGGAAGAAACTCAATCACACTTATGTATACATATTTTTAAAAGGTTATAATGAGTATCCAAGACATCAACACTACCATGAAGTCATTAATTTCTTTCAGCTATTTAATGTCAGCTATTACCTTCAAAAGATTCAGATCTATAAATAACTCCAAAATGGAGAAAACTGAATTATAATTTACAGCTGTACTATTATTAGTGTATAATTAGAAATTGGGCCAAACAATTGCCCTTAACCAACTTTTGAATAAATCTGAGGGATTTGATAATTGTATATACTTATTTCATGTAAAACTAGGATTAATAATTAAAGATCGACAAAAACTTAGGTAAAAGGTTGAAGCCAGGTGGATGATGTTTTTCATTACAAGACAATTTTTTGCTATATTAAACAATTAACTTGTCCGATACATCCACTAACCATTACTGTCTAATTTTTTAAGTGGAAGAAGAAAACTATATACATGTCTTAACATCTACCTGGCCAGAGAATGTCATTCTTTCATCAAAGATTAAAATGTATTTGATTTCTGGTCTCATATTAGACCCTATCTTAATACAAATGCATAAAGAGCGTATCATTTGAAAATTGTTCTGATGTGTTGAACTTAATGATCTAATCACACTTTTGTCATTATTATGAAGAACTAACACTTGTCAGGTAACAGAATTAAATTTAAATAGAAATGCTCATATATTTAATGGCTAATTTGGAAGAATAAGCTTTTTAAATTCAAAATTCACTTAACAAAAAACTATTGAGTAATTAAGTTCATGATTGCACTTTACTCTGAGAAACACATGAAGGTCTGAAACATTGAAAATTTTAGGAGTACGTACTCAGAAAAGCCATCTGTTCTAATACAACTGCCCACTCTTTGGTTGATTTCAATCCTAATTTTTCTCCTATTTCACAGTATTTTGCAATCCCCTCTTTTCTTAGGAACACATGTGTGCAGCTCCTGGTTTCACTGTTAGGAGCTTTGTCTCATCCACCTCATGCAATTTCTCACATATTAAGTCAGCCCACAGTCACTTCCTTCCTCATCCAATATGAGAGGCAGAGATTATTAAAATGCTGGGTCTGTCTGTTTCATAGTATGGAATAGGAGTCCATGAAAAGTAATGCTCTGTTATGTCTCTGTATCACAAAGGGTCACAGCTAAGGTAAAACAGGGGCTAGCGGAAGCAGTTGTGTAATGGAGCTGACTCACACCAGTGGCTCACAAGAGCTGGCTGCTAGACTCTCAGGAATCCTGTAAGACGGCTGTTAAGGTATTGCTAGCTTGAATTGGGTCATGATGGTAACACTTACACCACGAAAATCAGCAAACACTACAAACCAGAACGTTTATGGGGGTGAAGGTAGGGGAATTCATTGTTGAACACTGACCAGCACACCACTCTGTTGAAGAAAAGAGTGTTTACTATATGATATGCTACTTTCATAAAAAGATAATTGAACTTAATTCTCACAGCAACGCTGTAAAATAGGCATTACCATTACCATTGTTTTTTCAGAGAAGAAAACTGAGGCTCAGAAAAGTAACTTGCTGGAATTTGAACTACATCCAAAGGGTTTTAAAATCTAAAGCAGTTGTCTTTTTTACCTCACTAACCTCTCCCATCTGCTTCTTCCTTTCCCGTAGGATTTTAGGACTGGGTGAAATCTTAAATGTTCTCTAGTCCTATCAGCTTGTCGCTGAGATCTGCAGTATAATAAACCCCTAAAATGATTGTCCTGCCAATGTCTGAACACTTCCAGTGGCAGGAAACTCATGACCTCAGACCACTGAGTTTGAAAGCCCTTACTCTTAGAAAACGCTTTCTTATTTTGAATGGAATACTCCATTTTTGCCTTCAACTATTGGTTCTTGTTCTACCCATAGAAAATTTGAGAATGGTAGAAGCTTTTTGGGTTTCTATCAACTTAGCATCCCAGGAGACCTAGAAAACAGAGGGGGAATCAATGCATTTGTCTCCATTTTGCATTTTTTCTTCGCATGCATCCATCCACCCATCCTGCAAGAATTTGTTGATCAGCTTATCAGTGATCTCTGCTGGACTACATGCTGGATGTTTAAAGATGAGTGCAATAGTTTCTGACCTTAAGAAGCTCAGCTGCTAGACCCTCGCTACTCAAAGTGCAGTCCTCAGACCAGCAGCACATCACGAGGGTGCTCCTTAGAAATGCAGAAGCCTAGATTCCTCTCAGAAGCCAGAACTACCAAATCAAAGTCTGTACTTTAACAAGGTCCCACATGGGATTCCTTTGCCCCTTAAGTGTTGAGAAGTCCTGGTCTCAACTGAAATGAATATTTTACTTATTTACAGAATTGCACTTCCATTATTCACCATAGTTTATATTTTAATGAAATATTTTCCTTAGTATCTATGAAGCACCTGCATAGCTATCTGGAGCTGCTGGTCTTTTTCTACATAATTCTTTCTGTTTTAAAGGTTTTTTTTTTAAAGATAACAAAGTTGTGTCAAAAATGTTTCATCTAGCTGGGCACGGCAGCTCACACCTGTAGTCCCAGCACTTTGGGAGGCTGAGGCAGGCAGATCACTTGAGGTCAGGAGCTCAAGACCAGCTTGGCCAACATGGTGAAACCCCATCTCTACTAAAAATACAAAAGTTAGCCGGGCATGGTGGCAGGCACCTGTAATCCCAGCTATTCAGGAGGCTGAAGGAGAATAATTGCTTGAACTTCGGAGGTGGAGTTTGCAGTGAGCCAAGATCACCCCACTGCACTCCAGCCTGGGAGACAAAGTGAGACTCTGTCTCAAGAGAAAAAAAAAGGAGAAAAGCTTCATCTTAATTTGATTTTCAGAGTTCACACACACTTTTTAGTGACTGTAGTAAAAAGCCCCCAAAGTGCTATGATTTCAGTATATTATGCATGAATCACGCCATAGTTTTATAGTTGTATTTGGTTGCATGTTTCTGTTTCTTTGCCATCTGCATTCAGGGTTCACACATTCAGTTTTTCTTTGAGAAAGTCCTGCAGGGAAGGACACTGCAGATGGAGAAAGTCTATTCTTCATCATAGACAATATCAGCACTTGCTTAAGGGCACCACAACAAGATCCGTCCAGATTCAAGAGAGATCTATTTTCTTTCCTTCTCCTCCTGAGTTACTAGACATATTTATCTCCTCTTTGAAGAAATGGCCTTTGACCTAGGAGCTCATCCCTTAGCAGGTAAGAAGTCTTTTCAGCCTATACTTAATCCTAAAACAAGAAAAGAGAAACAAAAAAGCAACCACAATACATACACATCTCAAAGCAAGACAGGGTTTGAGGTGGTATTTTAATCATGGAACCTATGGGGATATTTTAAATGTATGGGTTGGATTGAAAACTTAAAACATCAAAGTGCTCACCCTTTGGTGTATGCACACTGCTGTTATAACAAAGTATATCTGCTTCCAAACCTCTACAACATACATATGTGACATGTACCAATAATACGAACGATATACCACTGCACTTTCTTCTAAGATATTTTTGTTGCCAGAGTACACTATTTTTCTCTCTGATACACAGTAATTTAATTATTCCCCAAAAGTGAGAACAATATTGCAATACAACATTTATCACAAAGAATCTTTGGAAAACGAGTCACTCTAAATGGCTAGATTTTTAGCCCTATTTATATCCCAAACAACTTTTTTGTTTTTATTCTCCTCATGATATAGTTTGGATCTGTGTCCCTCCCAAATCTCATGCATAATTGTAATTCCCAGTGTTGGAGGTGGGGCCTGATGGGAGATTACTGGGTCATGGAGGTGGTTTCTCCTGAATGGCTTAGCACCAACACCCTTGGTACTGACCTCGCCATAATGAGTGAGTTCTTATGAGACCTCATTCCTCTCTGGCTCCTGCTCTCACGATGTGATGTACCTACTCCCCCTTCACCTTCCGCCATGATTGTAAGCTTCCTGAGGCCTCCCTAGAAACCAAGTGGAGACCAGCACCATGCTTTCTATAAAGCCTGAAGAACCATGAGCCAAGTCAAGCTATTTTCTTTATAAATTACCCAGTGTCAGGTATTTCTTTATCACAGTGCAAGAACAGACTAACACAGAAAATTGGTACTGAGGAGTGGGGCATTGCTGTAAAGATACCTGAAAGTGTGGAAGCAACTTTGGAACTGGGCAATGAACAGAGGTTGGGAGAGTTTGGAGAGCTCAGAAGAAAACAGATGAGGAAAAGTTCAGAACTTCCTGGAGACTGGTTAAATGGTTTTGACCAACATAATGATAGTGATATGAACAATGAAGTCCAGGCTAGTGAGATTTCAGATGGAAATGAGAAACTTATTGAGAACTAGAGCAAAATCACACATATTATACCTGAGCAAAGAGCTTGGTTGGATTGTGCCCCTTCCCTAGGAATATGTGAAAGCTTAAACTTGAGAGTGATGACCTAGTGTATCTGGCAGAAGAAATTTCTAAGCAGCAAAGTGTTCAAGATGTGGCATGGCTGCTTCTAACAACCTATGCGCAGATGTGGGAGCAGAGAAATAAGTTAGAACTTACATTTAAAAGGGAAGCAGAGTGTAAAAGTTTGGAAAATTTGCAGCGTCGCATGTGGTAGAAAAGAAAAGCCCATTTTCAGAAGAAGAATTCAACCACTTGCCAGAGAAATTTGCATAAGCAAAAAGAAGGCAAGTGCTGTTAGCCAAGACAATGGGTAAAAGGCCTCAAAGCCATTTCAGAGATTTCCCAGGCAGCCCCTCCCATCATAGGCCTGAAGGCCTAGGAGGACAGAATGGTTTCATGGGCCAGGCCCAGGGCCCTGCTGCCCTGTGCAGCCTTGGAACCCTGCTCCCTGCATCTCTGGTTGCTCTGGCTCCAGCTGTAGCTCAAAGGGGCCCAGCTATAGCCTGGGCTGCTGGTTCAGAGGGTGCAAGCTGTAAATTTGGTGGTTTCTCTGTGGTGTTAAGCCTGCAGGTGCACAGAGTGCAAGAGTGAATAAGACTTGGGAGCCTCTGCTTATATTTCAGAGGATGTATGGAAAAGCCTGAGTGCCCAAGCAGAAGGCTACTGCACTAGCAGAGCCCTCACGGAGAACATCTACTAGAGTAGTGCAGAGGGGAAATGTGGCCCCACACAGGATCCCCACTGGGGCACTGTCTAGTGGAGCTGTGAGAGTCAGGCCACCATCCTCCAGACCCCAGAATGGTAGATCCACCACCAGCTTTCACCCTGCACATGGAAAAGCCGGAGGTATTCAACTACAGCCTGTGAGAGTGGCTGTAGGGGCTGAACATTGCAAAGACACTGGGACAGAGCTGCCCAAGGCCTTGGGAATCCACCAACACTATCATGACCCAGGGCAGAAGTTTACCCTGGATGTGGGACATGGAGTCAAAGGAGAGTTTTTTGGAGCTTTGCGATTTAATAACTGCCCTGCTGGGTTTTGGACTGGCACAGGGCCTGTAGCCCCTTTCTTTTGGCCAATTTCTCCTTTTGAGAATAGTAATGTTTACCCAATTCTTGTACCTCCATTGTCTTTTGAAAGTAACTAAGTTGTTTTTTTTTTCAGGCTCATAGGTAGAAGGGACTTATCTTGTCTCAGATGAGACTTTAGACTTTGAACTTTTGAGTTAATGCTAGAATGAGTTAAAACTTTGGGGGATGATTGGGAAGGCATGACTGTATTTTCAAATGTGAGAAGGACATGACATTTGAGAGGGGCCAGAAGTGGAATGATATAGTTTGGATATGTGTCTCCACCCAAATTTCATATTGAAATTTAATCCCCAATGTTAGAGGTGGGGCCTGGTGGGAGGTGATTGGATCATGGGGTCCATTTCTTATTAATGGTTTAGCACCATCCCCCTTGGTACTGTCCTAGCAATAGTGAGTGAGTTCTCTTGAGATCTGGTTATTTAAAAGCACCTCCCCACTTGCTCACTTGCTCTCTTGCTCCCCCATCTGCCATGATTGCAAGCTTCCTGAGCCCTCCCCAGAAGACAAGCAGATGAACAGTTCCATGTTTCCTCTACAGCCTGCAGAACTCTGAGCCAATTAAACCTCTTTTCATTATAAATGACTCAGTCTTAGACATTTCTTTATAGCAATGCAAGAATGGTCTGATAGACCTGGTGTCTCTTCCTCTCCTTATAAGGACACAAGTCATGGGGGGGTCCACCCTAATGTCTTCATTTTAATGTAATCACATTTGTGAAGACCTTATCTCCAAACAGGGTCACACCCTGGGATGCTGGGGTTAGGACTTCAATGTATGGATTTGGGGAAACACAGTTCAGCTCATAACCTTATGTGTCAGGCACCTCCCAGATGCTTCACCAATAGTAACTAGTTTACCCTCCCAGTGACCATTTAAGTCAGATGCAGTGAGCCTCAGATCTTAGAGAAAAAGGAGCTGAGAGGCCCAGAGAGGCTCCAAAACCAGCACCAAGTCACACAACTAAATAGCAATTGGCAGGGCCGGATGTCAGCCTTGGCATTGCAGCTCTCAATCTCAGTGCTATGCTGACTTTGCCTTTTATTCAGGGCCTCAGCACGCTGATAAATGATCATGCTGGGTTTGTGCTGAGAATGACTCTATTTGCTCGTATATCAGATGACTCCAGAATGCTAAGCTTTTTGTGGCCTCCTGACAGTTTTTATTGTTTTCCTATCTCCTCCCTCAATATGGCTCACTCTTGTATTGTCCATACAGGAGCCGGTCCAGGGCTGTGCTGGAGCCGACCTCTTGGGCTCCTGAATGCCCATTGCATGCCTCTTCTATGCCCACATTCACCACTTACCTGAAATGCATCATGGTGGATGGTGGGAGGAGTTACACAATGGAAACTGGCAAAGACTGAATTAGAACTTCTTTTGTTATTTTTTGAGGAGTCAGTTTTTCAGCACATCATTGCCTATGCCCTGCACCTTTTCACTTTCCTCTTTAAATTTACCCACAAGAAATATGATCTCTAAGAGATCCATATGATGAATTCTTAAAAGTGTATTTACTTTAATGCGCAAACTTTGCAACGACTTCTTTTCTCTTTAGAGATTTTTTTCTTACATCATCTGTTATCAAAATATACAAATATTCATGGTGCTAACGACCAAATTTTACACTATATGTTTATTCAGTCCTGTGCCAAATAGCATTATATGCAAGAAAACTAAAATGCCATTAATGTTACAGTTTTTCATATAAAAATTTACATGTTACATAGATGTATTTCCACTCGTGCAAAAACATGGGAAATGTCAAATTCAATTAATAATTTTTACTTACTGTAAAATTACATCACGGAATACCTACATCTGTAGTACTGTCAATGACCACAGTAAGAACTTTATTTTATTTATTTATTTATTTTACAGACGGGGTCTTGCTCTGTGGTCTAGGCTGAAGTGCAGTGGCACGATCTTGGTTCACTACAACCTCCATCTCCCAGGCTCGAGCGATTCTCCTCCTTAGCCTCCCAAGTAGCTGGATTACAGGTGCCCGCCACCACGCCTCCCTAATTTTTTGTATTTTTGGTAGAGACAGGGTTTCACGATGTTGGCCAGGCTGTTCTCAAACTCCTGACCTCAGGTGATCTGCCCGCCTTGGCCTCCCAACAATTACAGGTGTGAGCCACCACACCAGGCCCATAGTAAGAATTGATATAAATTTTATATCACAAATCATAAGCATAGTGACAACCTTCCTTCAGTCTTTCATTATATATATTGGCTCCTCTATTAATAAGTTATGATTGGCATTCTTTTGAGTAAATATGCATTACTAGAGAAAGAAATAATACCTGCCATATAGGAACCTCAAGGGTCCCTTTTAGCATTCATGGGCTATGGTTTTTATCTCTTTTTTTTTTTTTTTTTTTTTTTTTTTTGATCTAGAGTCCCTCTTTATCTTCCCATCACAGGAAGTCCTTGCTCCTCTCCCACCCCACGTTCCCTTGAGGCTGTTCAGCTGGCACATCCCTCCGGGGAGATGAAGCAGCAGAGAATGATCTAGCCTAGAATGGTTCCTCACTCCAGCCACTGATTCCGTGCAAACTGTGGTCAAACTTGCCACTTCCACCAGCTCCGTGCTGTCCATCCACATACTTTGTCAACACATGCTGGCTTCAAAGTTACAGTGTTTAATTCGGGCATCCCTGCACTAACAATGCCTAGGAAAAAAAACTGATCTCAAACATCTGATTTGCTAACAAAAACAGACAGAATTTCCAACTCTTTAGCTTGAACTGGAGCACATTCGTTTGGAACCCTACCATGTGGTTAGTTCATTCCATTTTGGTGAATGAGGGTAGGCAGGAAACAAAAAACTGCTTTTTATCTCTGCCAAAAATACTAACTCACACAGTTTATGGAAGACCTACTGTGTGCTAGATCCCGTGATAAGTGCTTTGCCACACCATCTCACTTGGCGCTCCATACAACCTCGTGAGGCCGATATGAAATGTTCATCCCATGGATGAAGAAACTGAAGCTCAAATTACTTATTTGTTCAAATTCACCTCCCCAGTGAGCAGCAAGACCAGGATTCAAACCCAAGATTATCCCATTCCAGAGTCTGACCTCTCTCCCTCCACCATGCAAGCTGCTATTGTGAATTCAGCAGTGGAATTTTAGAACTGCACGAGGATTTAAAGGTCATGAAGCACAAGATATTGGGCGTCCAGGGAAATCAGAAGTATAGAGGTTAAAAATCCCTGTGGACATTAGTAAACTAATCTCTTTCCTTGCACCTTTGAACAGACAGGGAGTTCCTGCTCTGTCATTTCCCCCCCTGTGAATCTCTGCTCTGTATGGCTTTTACTCATTTGTAAACAAGATTCATTCTTACCCCCAACCTGCTTCATGGGTGGTGCTGATGAAGTACAGAATGTATGTAAAACTCTTTGAGCACATCAAAGACGGCACTGTATAAATACTATATTATTATATGCATTCCCATAGGAAGCATCTCCAGGATCCTTTGATCCATAAATATTTCATTGACTCAGCCCAGCCAAAGCCATTTCAGACTCTGTGGCATCATAAGGTAATTGACCACAGAAAGAGTTCAGAAAGTGATGCACTCGGCCTCTGCGCCACAGCTCCCATCTCAACACTCTAATTTTGACGTGATCATTTTAAAAACAATTTTATATCTTTTTTTACATTTTAAATTGTAGAGAAAGCATGTAACCTGCACTTAATTTCTGGTTCCATGTCATAATAAGGGAATACGTTGAGTGTAAATACTGACACATAAGAAAAAAAGAAAAAAAAAACACTGCTTACTTTTTAAAGAGTAAGAAACCCTAGAATATTCAGGTCTCTTTCCTCAAAGATAATTCAAAATACTCTTAGATCTACTTTTTTCTTCTTTTATGACTTTTCAATTTAACTCCATTGCATTTCTAAGAGAGGCAACATGCATATATTTCACATCATTTGCAGAAGGAATAAATTTAAATATACAATTTCCCAGTGAGTCAAATGTATTGTTGCTATCTCTGTATCATAATTGGGATGCCTGAATTTATTAGAAAATATATAAAATAAGTTATATTTAAGCCAAATTAACTTTATTTGTTATAATTCCAGAAAAAATTCCCTATTTTCAAACCCAAAGAATCTTTGGAAAAACTGTTAATGACTTTTTTTAAAGGTGAATATTCTTAAGAAACAACTAAAGTTTAATGAACATATTTGAATGTAAATTATTTGTGAAAATTACTAAATATTAAAGAAAAATTTTATAATTTTCAAGTAATAATATAATTATGGGTCAGAAATATTTTAATAAATAAAATCTTCTGCAATCCTAGGAAAAAAGAAAAAGATTATAACTAAAAGCTATAATTAGTTGGTTTAATTGTCTAATCACTACCATTTTTCTGGCTTCTTCTCTACTGACTCAAAAGAACAAAAAAGCAAAACAAAGCAAAAAAGAAATGAGGAGGATGAGTTCTCATTCATTACCCTTTACCTAAAGGTTACATCAGTGGGAGTAAGAATTCCCACTCAGCTTTGTAGCAGATGTGGACTGACGCTTATAAAGAAATGTTAATCATCATGATCATTAAAAAAGGAAAAGAAAAAAGCCTCATATAACAAGCAGATATTTGCTTATGGCATTCTATTAGACCAACATGACCGCTGAAAATACAAAATTACTTTTATCTTCCTATCTTGAAATGTGTGAGAAATTCTAGAAGAATACCTTACTCTTGGCACACTTGCCCCTAGCCTTAATGTCTTCCACTGTATTCCAGCAATACCTGCTCTCTTTGTTCCCCAGCCAGGATCCCCTATTCACAAAAACTTAGTTGTAATCCTGCTCATGCACATACCTGCAAATTTGTTACTACCAAAAGGATCATGATCAAATCCACAATAACATTTGATGACACAGATAAAATTTTACCTTTAATTCACAGGACACTCAGAAGTGAATGTATGTGTTTAATGGTATCTTGTGGTCATGTGAAATATTGTTTCATCTGAGATGTAGAGACACTGTTTTGTGTTCTCATAGCCCCCTCCTTGAACCATGGCCAGTATAAAGAACAGTCATATGATCACCAAGACTTGCTCAGGATACACCAGACACATCCCCGAAGGGGATGGAGAAATGGCCAGAGATGTAGGGAACAATGTGGGTAGAGAGGTGTCCCAGAAGTCAAGTGCAGACCATGTTTGAAGGAAGAAAATCTCGGCCAGACATGGTAGCTCATGCCTGTAGTCCCAGCACTTTAGGAGGCCAAGGCAGGCGGATCGCCTGAGGTCAGGAGTTTGGGACCAGCTTGGCCAACATGGTGAGACCCTGTCTCTACTAAAAATACAAAAATTAGCCAGGCATGGTAGCACACACCTGTAATCCCAGCTATTCAGGAAGCTGAGGCAGAAGAATCCCTTGAACCCAGGAGGCAGAGGTTGCAGTGAACACAGATTGTGTCAGAGGGAGACTCTGCCTCCAAAAATAAAAATAAAAAACAAACAAAACAAAAGGAAGGAAGGAGGAAAATCTAGTCCATGATTTCAGATGCTTCCAAAATATCAAATCAGAGGAAGACTGAGAATTGGTGGCTAGACTTGCATGATGCTTACGGGTGATTTTGACAAGAGCTGTCTTAGAGAAGGGGGCAGGGAAAAATCTTGGTTAGAATGAATTTATTAAAGGAGAAAAGGGAGCTGGGGACTGGTGACAGTGAGCAGACCCCACGTGACAATCTCTGTGGCAGAATATTAGGTGAAGAAAGAGCCGTTTGATTGCTGTCACCACGATTGTTTACCGACAGGAGTAAGACAGTGGAGGGGGATGAGAATTTGCAAACAATTTGAAATTACCAATTTGAATTGACTTGTTTTCAAGATATTGCTTCATAAAATTGCATCTGAAATGCATGTGTACCCTACATATTGCGTGAAAGAAATACTCTTCTATGGGTTTAATTATAGATCCGTTATGGCCTAAAACAATATCACCTCAAGCTCTTTCAAAATTAATGATTCTGTACAGAAACAGGTATTAATTTTCAAATTCTCTATGTAATTAAGGTCATCATTGCAATTTCAATAACATAATTTTCATTTGCTTTTAATACACTTCAACATTTTTCATTTTTCATTCTTTGAAATTAGATAACCTTTTAAAGTACACCCTCCAATGTACTCCATGGCCACATCAGAGCTACAATGGCTGTCAAAATCCTTTACCTAAAACTAAGGGTATTCTTTTTAGTGTGGCTTTTATAACAGTCATAAAAAAATTATTCTTTCAAGGAAGGAACACAAGAAATGTAAAAATAAGTAAAACACAATATCCTCCCATAGGAAATTGATAATCTAAAATGGGAGTTACAATATACACATAAATTACTACAATATGTGATATATTAAGTTCCATAAAAGAAGTGCAAACGGCTATAGGGACTTGGAGCAAGGGGAGATCAGTTTCCACTCAGTGTGATGGAGGAAGACTTGGCTGTGAAGGTCCCCGAGGAAGCAGAGGGCACTCTCAAGCCAGGGAACTTGAGGAAGGGTTATTTACGGAAGGACGTCTGTAAACAGAGGTTTGGGTGTTGGGAAGCCAACTGCAACTCAGCAACCTGGAGTCGTCACAGCAGGAGCTGATACCAGCCAAAGTTCAAAGTGACAAGTGTCACCAAGAGCAGTTCCCAGTCACAGGGAGGCAAACAGGGATAGGCAAAAGAAGCTAGAGAAGCAGCAAGCTTTACTCAAGGGAGGAGCCAATAGGAAGTAACCTCACAGCAGGCGCTAAGGACTAAATTCCCTAACTTCTCCCTCTCCCCTTCCTCTGAGCCCCTGCCAGGGCTCTCCACTGACATCCCCAGCTGAAAGCCGCAGGCCTGGGAGCTTGTCCATGATGCTCAGCATCCTGAGGCATACACCTGAGATTTGAAAAATGAATCCTTAGAGGTTAGGTGTGCTCCTCCAGGTAGAAGTCATAGCAAGGCCAAATGATGAAGACCATGAACAAAAATTACAGTTTGCCTTCCGCCTTGAATACACATACAGTCAAAGTTAGGAAGAAGATGTGAGATCAAGCTTAGAGGACCTGGGCAGGGCAAAGAATACTGTGCTCAGGATTTGTGCTTCATATAAAGCGAAGACTCATTGAAAGTAACCAGTATTCCCATGCAGCACAGAGAAAAGCAGGGAGGCAGGAAATTCAAGGCAGGAAAAATAGGGAGGATCTGCAGGATTGGAGACCCAGCCAATCGTGTTTCTGTGTCTAATGTTCTCCACAGGATAATCAAATTAAAATCATTTTTAGCTAGGCAAGAATCTAAATGAATTTCCCAGAAAATGAGAGACTCAGCTACTATCAGAACACTTCCGTTACTATGAGCATGAGGCACAAGAAGTACTTTGAGGAAAGAAAATGATGGCACGCTTGGAAATGGGAAAACTCAGTTCAGAACTTGACCAGACTTTGAAGCTACATTTTCACTGTGAAAATGGTGTGACCACTGTGGAAGAGAGTTTGACAGTTATCCAAAAAGGTGAGCATCAAATTTTCATATGACCCAGCAATTCCACTCTTAGTATAGCCAAAAGAATGGAAAGCAGGGACTCCAAAAGATATTTGCACGGCAGTGTTCACTGCAGCATTACTCACAATAGTCGAAAGGCAGAAGCAGTCCAAATGTCCATCAACAGATGGATGGACATACAGTGTAGCCTCTACACACAATGGAGTATTATTCAGCCAGACAAAGAAATGAAAATTTTGAAACAGGAGAGTTCCCTGATCCCTCTCGCAGGACATGTGACAGGGGTGTGGCTTGTCTGTTGTGTCACTGCTGCTGCTCATACCCTGACAGGATGGGGAGCACACAGACCGGCAGGTGCAGAAGCTGGGGCAGGTGCTTTGGCCTCTGGCCCTGCAGTCATGTCTAGGGGTGGATGCCTGCAACCCCTGTGTTACAATGCTTTTAGCCTTGCCATCCTCAGACAGCTTAAGTGTTTACCAGATCAATGGACCCTCTGCCTTTTCACAAGGGCAGAGGGCCAGTGTGACATCTTTCTGTATCCTGAGCTCTTGCCCAGCATCCTAGAAGAATTGGGTCACACATGGGCTTGAAGGATGAATATGGGGTTTTATTGAATGGTGGAGGTGGCTCTCAGCAGGACGGATGGGGAGCCAGAAGGGAGAATGGAGCAGGAAGATGATCTTCCCCTGGAGTTTGGCTGTCAAGCAGCCCATCTCTCCAACTGCCCCCAGACGAAGTCCTCTCGGTGTTCAGATGTTCCTCTTCTTCTCTCTTTCTCTGCCACACAGTTCTGCCATCCCTCTGCTTATCTCGTCTCCTCTGCTCATCTGCTTCTGGAGCCTGGGGTTCAGGGTTTATATGGGTACAGGATAGGGAGGTGTGGCGGGCCAAAAAGCAACTTTCTGGGCACAAAAACTGAAATGCCTGTTCCCACTTAGGGCCGTGGGTCTCCAGGCTTGAGGGTAGGGCCTTTGCCAGGGAACCTCCCTCTTCTACGCAGTATTTCCCTGTCTCCTGTCTGTATCATTTTGACATATGCTGTGACATGAATAGATCTTAAAAACATTATGCTACGTGAAAGAAGCCAAACACAGAAGAAAAAATGTTGCGTGATTCCACTTATACAAGATACCTTGACTAGACAAATTCCTAAAGACAGAAAGTAGACAAGAAGTTAGCAGCAGCTGGGTTGTGGGGGAAGTTACTGATTAATGGGTACAGAGTTTATGTTTGAAATGATGAAAAGTTTTAAATATAGATAGTGGTGAGGATTCTGAAACATCGTGAATGTATTTAATGCCAATGAATTGCACAGATCCAAATAATTAAAACAATAACCACTATGTCATTTATAGTTTACTACAATGGTTTTAAAAATCAACTACTGATACACACAACAGAAAGTACATGATTTGCATCAAAAAGAAAGATTTCCTGTGTTAAATAATTTGTATCCAACTTTGTAGCATTTTTCAAATTACCATTCCCTACCAGTGAAGTGTGTAGCAGGTCCAGACATCCAGTATTCACATGGTAAATTCTAGAACTCTATTAATAATCCTACTGTATAGCAAGCCTGCATGCACACACATGCCACATACCATACACACACCACCGCCCCCCTGCCCCCAACACACGCACACAGTGGGGGTAAACTGCTTTCTTTGCCTATTCTAAAGCTATTCTAAGAGACCAATTCACATAGAAGTAAAGACCCAGTTGTACAAACTGTGGTAATTTTACAAACCATACACTGTCTGGGCTTCCGCTAAGGAAATGCTGTGATTTTCATGTTACACAAGAAAACCAAAGAGGGATCATTCTAATGCAAATTGGTCATTTCAAGCCATTCACCAATAGAAGGCTTCTTGAATAGTGCAAAAGTTGAGTTGTTAATACGGCTTGTTTAGTTGCTTTTAGTTGTTTCTTTTTTTCTTTTGGTTTGTTTTACTTTAATCAGAGTAAAAAATAACAGAGAAAAAAGAAGGAAAAAACTAATGAGGTAGTTCAGAAGTTTTAAAAATATCTATTTTACATTACAAGGCACTGGAAGGCACATTTCCAAGATGAGGAGTGGAACTAAGAGAAAGAATTTAATATTGGGAGAAATCACTGTTCCTTGAATCAGAAGGACTGAGAATTTACCCCCCAATAAACACAGACATAATTTAATTGAAAGTCATGACTTAGCCCGCATATTTTAAATATTTTCTTAGTCTTACACAAGTTTTATTTTCAAATACATAAAGAAGAAAGTTAGAACTTGCACATTAAAGACAAAAAATAAAATAATGATGACATCTTTATATCCAAGAAAGACCATTTCTTCCATTAATCAATATTTTTTCTTAAAAGTGATTTCAAATCATTTATTTTATTATCTGTTGAAAAGCAAAAATAACTTTCATGTTTTACAGCTGCCTGAACAATGGCAAAGTTTGTTTACAGCAAATAAGTCATGGGTCTTCATGAGAAATGGGATAAACTAATACATTTCTAATTTTCTTTCTAAATAATGGTGTTTTAAAAAGGCAAAGTTTCCCAATATTTAAAAACATAAAATATTTTTCTAAACATATTATATTTCACTTCTATTCACCATAAAACAAATCTAAAAATATTAACATTGGTCCTGTAGACTGGTATTTATAACAATAAAATTTTCTGTCTCATCATAAAGAAAAATATCAAGATTAAATTGTTTTCTTTTAAAAGCATCATCTTGTTATCCAAACCCATCCTTTATTCCATAATAAAGTTTTGTGACTGCCTGGGTTTTAAAATGGTCATTGACAAGGAAGAGTCTCAGGTTCATGTGTGAATTTCCTTCATTCAAATGGAGTTTGTCCTCCATTTACTCAGCGATGAGCAGTCTCCTGTCCTTAGAAGAAACAATGAGCACCTTTTTTTTTGTAACGTGAGAGCAAGTTTATTAGGTAAATAAAGGAATAAAGAATCCATTGAGCACTTTTAAGGCTTAACTGAATTCAAGGACCTTGAAGTGGAAAGAACCACTGAGATCTCTGACTGTAATATGACTTCTGCCTTCTCTCCAGGAGATCTATGAGCTGACTCCAATTCTCCCAGACTCTTGCACTGGACCAGGCAAGAGTAGCAGGTGAATTCTTATTCTTGAATCCCTCAACTCCTGTGTTTTGAGGTAAGTCTGAAGATAGGACATCCTGAATGATGTCAAATGTGTTACTCTAAATAGTAATTATTTTAATTTTGAACTTCAGAATTCCACTCTGCCTTCCTTCCCCATCTCCTTTTTTGAATAATTCTTTCCATTTTTTCTTTTTTTAAGACAGGGTCTCACTCTGTCACCCAGGCTGGAGTGCAGTGGTTCCATCATCGCTCACTGCAGCCTCAGCCTCCCACACTCAAGTGATCCTCCCACCTCAGCCTCCTGAGTAGCTGGGACTACAGGTGCATGCCACCATACATGGCTGGTTGTTTTATCTTTTGTAGAGATGGGGTCACATGTGTGCATGCCACCATACATGGCTGGTTGTTTTATCTTTTGTAGAGATGGGGTCACATGTGTGCATGCCACCATACATGGCTGGTTGTTTTATCTTTTGTAGAGATGGGGTCACATGTGTGCATGCCACCATACATGGCTGATTGTTTTATCTTTTGTAGAGATGGGGTCACATGTGTGCATGCTACCACACATGGCTGATTGTTTTATCTTTTGTAGAGATGGGGTCACATGTTGTTTCCCAGCCTGGTCTAAAACTCCTGGGCTCGAGTCATCCTCCCACCTCAGCCTCCCAAACTGCTGGGATTATAGGCGTGAGCCACTGCGCCTGGCCATCACTTTTTGATTCTTAAATGATAAAATAAACTTCCTAAAAGCCATATTATCCTTATAGAAAGACTATCTTTGCCATCAAATGAAACTGATGTGATCTATGAGGCACAATGACAGGAAAGATGACTCTAGGAGATGTCCTAGGGAAACCTAAAATGCAGTCTCTTTGAGGTGTAATTCTTTGGCCTTTTGAATACAATGAAACCCAAAAATTTGCAACAAAAATATATACAGACATGTCTTTTTGCATGAGCACTTTGTTTCTTACATTTTCCTAATTTGTCAAATAAAATTAAACTTCAGGGACAATTATTAAAATACATAAGCAAGATCATCTCCTTACCTAACAAAACATTTTAAAGTTTACATTCTCATCATGAACTGTGTAACAATATAACCACCACCTTCCAGAAAAAAAACACTATTTTTACACTGAAAACCATCAATGACTATAATTTAAGATGAGATTACCTATATCCTTCTGTAATAACTACTAGCAGATTAAAATCTAACATGTTTTCATTATTTTTCTTATCAACTAGCTATTTTGTAGGTATTGATTTTATTTTTTGAGCTCTGGGTGAAATGTGGTAAGCCACCTCCGTATTTCAACTTTTTCTATTTACACATTATTTCTATTCAGAAGTGTGTGACTTTTTTTAAATTGGCAAGCTGAGAAGCATTATTAGTATCAACTTTGTGATTCTTCCTAAATATATACACTAATTGCACTCATTTATTTCTTAAGGCTTTCTGTCAACTTTGATGATAAATAGATAATAAATTTTGGAGCTGTAGACTTTTTTATCATGTATGTTTACCTCCCATATTTCAACATAGGATAGACAGAATTCTAAATTTGCATTTATATTTTCTTAATATAATTGGAAATGTTACCTCTTAACCAACCTACTAGCTGTGCAGTCAAAATTGTCTATTAAGTTGCTGCAAAAGTAATTGTGGTTTTTGCCATTTAAAGTAATGGCAATTACTTTATAAAATCATTTTATAATTCAAAAACATCTATAATACTTATACATTTATTATATATAGGAAATGTAATTGGTCATGTTCATTTCTTACTGAAAGCTAGGATGTTTTCAATATCCTTCTAAAGTACCATCTAATGCCCACTTAAATCTTTTTTATTTATGAATAACACCAATAAATATCACCATAAAAAGTTATCAAAGGATTTATACCCATTTTCTATTACTCTCTGGCTTATTTTATATAGCTAATTTTAGTAAAACTGTCAAAGTCAAAATGAATACAAAGACACAATAAGAAAAATTCATTTCATTTTTCTGTGTTATGAAGAATCACTCCATTTTTTATACATCTCTCCAATTCAGCTGAAATAACGTCCTCTATTTACCTTCAACTTAAGAGGACTACTCCCTAAAGGGCATTTTCGGATTCTGAAACACAAACTAACCTAACTTAATTCATGGTGAAAAAAGCTCACATCCATAGCCACAGTGTCTGTCAATAAACTAATTGTCTTCAATATAATTCAAAAGAAGAAACCGTCAAAAGAAAACAGATTTTTTTTCATATTTAGTTACTATAATCTCTCACCCACTCCTTTTTTCTCACTGAAACATCCAGTCACAGTTATTTTAAAGCATATTCTTCAGCCTTAATCTGTATCCCAGCACTTTTCAAAGAGGAATTCTGTAGCTCTGTCCCAAGGCTCGGCACGCCTGGTGGATTTAGTCCAGTCTCGGTGGGATAGTCTTTAACCGAGCTGGTGGAATTCGGAGCTTTTGCATAAGACTTTAAATTCAAGTTGGCAAGAAATGTTCACTCTAAACTGATATTTGAATCAGACTTTCCAAAATTATTATTCTCTTAAAAAATAACTTTACAAAATAAGAAATGCATACAAAACGTAGAATCTTCACTCTTTATTTTCAGTATTTAGAACAACCTTTTGCCAAAAACTATGTCAAGTACAGGAACACTTATTAGCGAGAGGGCTATTTACCCTTAGACAATATCTGAAACTTGAATACCTACAATGTTGACCGAAGGGTTATTTAAAATGCAGAGGGAGAGAAAGATAAATAGAACATGGCAGAACGGAGGAAATTCAGCAGTGTGTGCCTGTCTTCATTTATTAAAATTTTGGTGCTGTGAAGTTATATCTTTTAAATTCATTAAATGTTGTCTATGGCCGGTCTGTATGGCCTGACATCCAAAATAAAGCCGCGAGGGATGCATGGAGTTCATATGTTCAGAGAACCAGCAGGGCAAGATTTTATCACTTTTTTCATTCAATAAGTTTGGTATCAAGAAAAAAGTAGAAGATTAACAATAAAGAAGAAACACACAAGCAATTGATCATGGTACCCATGCACAGATTCAAGATTTCTGCTCCTGAAGCTGATGTATACAGGAGGCCAGTATCTGAAGATGACTAAGTTCTTCTAGGTCTATTGCATTGCTATTTACATTTTGAAATCTGAGAAGCCTAGAGAGGAGAGGCTCTGCTTCATGTTTCTACTGTTAATCACATCTGTAAGTTCAATCCTCCGTGGATTTTCTTCTCTCTCACATATATGGTTCACTCTCTCCTTCAACTATAGCTTCTACTCTCTTAATTATATTTAAGCTCATGTCACTCCATTCATTGAAAACAAAAACAAGAAAAAGCCAAAACGTTTTCTAAATTCCTTTAGGCTATAACAGAGACTGATAAAATTGAAGGCTTGGAACATGAGCGATGGAGCAGCTGAGGAACACGTGTAGGAAGGTGGTTTTCCACCCTATGTCCTTTAGTAGCTTCTGAACCGTGTGAAGGTACTGCTTATTCAAGAACTAAGCAAGTATTTTTATGTGCAGATTCTTGGACCCCACCCTAGATCTATTAAAACAGAATCTCCAAGGTGGGGCCCTGGAGTCTGCATTTTAACAACCTCTCGGTGTGAATGTGACGCATACATAGGGAAGCAAAAAGATGCTACAGAATATAAACACAGATGGCCCAGGACTGACAGGGCCCCATGTGTCAGTGAGTACAAAGAATGCTGAAAAACCACCTGCTGCACAAGGGGCCTCCCTCACCAGCCTGCTCTGATGCCTGAGATTCTTTAGTTAGACATTCTGTCTTCAGTATGTTCTTGTACCAGTGTGATGCTGAAGGATTGAAGAGAGAAATCTTGCCTTCATCAAACTCACCCTTCAATCTACTTTTCCAGAGCTGTCTAATCAGCACAAAATCTTCTAAAACACAGGCTATTCACACTTCTATGACTTCACCATCCTCACGTGATGGCACAGTTTGGTGTCCCTGCCCCAATCTCATGTCAAATTGTAATGCCCAATGTTGGAGGCGGGGCCTGGTTGGAGGTGATTGGCTCATGGGGGTGGTTTCTCATGAGTGGGTTAGCACCATTCCCCTTGTGCATTCTAATCTTAGAGTTCTCACGAGATCTACTTGTTTAAAAAGTGTGTGGCACCTCCCTGCTCCCTTTCTTGCTCCTGCACCAGCCATGTGAAGTGCCTGCTTCCCCTTTGACTTCCACCATGATTGGAAGCTTCCTGAGGCCTCCCCAGAAGCAGATGTTGCTATGCTTCTGGTACAGCCTGTGAAACCATGAGCCAATTAAACCTCTTTTCTTTATAAATTACTCAGTCTCAGGTATTTCTTTATAGCAGTTGCAAGAACAGACTAATACACAGGCCCACCGCAATCTGTTCTGACACTGATACCTATCTAAAGTGATTTTCGTGAAAGTCACCAGTGATTCTTCAGTAGCCACATGCAGTAGCCTTTTGTCATTCCTGGGTCTACTAGCTTCATCCTTCTTCAAACTCTCTTTTCCCAGGAAGTGTATTGTATTCTGCTGTCCTGATTCTCCTCTTTCTTTAATGTGTCCTTCTTTATGCTCCCAGAACTCTCTGCCTCACTCCCTACAAGTTGTTCTTGGGCCCTCCTCTCTCTACTCCATACAGTCATCTCCTAGATAAGTGTTTCTCACTCTGTGGTCTCTCTCTTGAGATACAGACCTGCTTCCCCTGCTTCCCTGAGCATTTCCCCTGAAAGTCCTTTGTATCTACAGCTATAAAACTGAATGAACTCTGACCTACAATTTCAGTTCATGAACCCCCCATTGTCCTGGGCAGTGGATTCCATCTTTCCATTTGTTATTTTGTCCCTCCCCTCTCCCTCTCATCCTGACTCCAGATCTTTATAATTCTGTATGTTTATCCTCGGCAAAGTCTTTCCAATAATGATCTCCTTTCTATTCCTGCTTTCTATGGCAAGTTCAGCCATGTTACTTCTAAACTGGATTGCTATAACAATTGCCTTTTAACTCATCTGTCTCCATTGTTTCCTAATACTAATTTTGCTAAAAACAGCAAAACATAAAACATTATATTTATTTGGGTGCTCTTTGCCTTTTGTTTGTTGTTGTTAGTGAACATTTTAGAGCACCAATCAGATGCCAGGCACTTGTCTAAATATTTTACAAAATGAACTCATGTTAATTCATGACAACCTTATTTTAGGGATGAAGAAACTGAAATACCTAAAAGTGAAATGACTTTATTCAGGCCACATTACTATTCTGAGGTGGATCAAAGATTCAAAGCTAGGCAGGCTGAGTCCAGAACCATGTTCTCCATAACCCTGTTAACTCTCAGCATTAGTTTAATATACATCAGCACAGATTCATCCAATCACTTTATGATCAGAAATATTTTAATATATCTTCACTGAATACTGACATTTTTACAAATCTGTAATGCGAAACTTAAAGCTGGAATTTGATTTTCTCTCTATTTAATTCTATAGCCATTATTCTCCCATTATTCTCTTCCACACATACTAAACAGTCTTAACAATAAGCAATATAGATTATTTTCTGATTCCAAGAAGATAATTTAGTCACCTTCTTCACTGGCTTGAGCTTTCCTCAATACCTATCAAAATTTTAGCAGAAGTTGGTCGAATGGCCTAAAATTAGTCAGTGTTGGAAAAAGCAAAATTCAAATCAAAGGCAGCAGATACTACATTTGTCCACTTACCTGAAACAACTTGTAACCAGAAACATACCCAGGAAACAACGACATTTAAGACATTGAACATTAAACAACAAAGGAGAGTGATGACAGAGGATACAAACGAAGGGAGGGAGCTTATCTCCTGGACAAAGTTTCTAGGCTGAGCACAAGGAGGTGCCAGCCCAGGCTGAGCCTGAAAGACTTTATGGGTTGAGGGGACAAAACTGGAGTCTACAGATACTATGGGAGCTAGAGTTTGTAGGGTAGAGCATCACTGATCTATAGGACAACTTCAAGACTCCTAATAAAGTAAGACTGGAGTCCTCATGAAAAGAGGAGAGAGAAAGGAAAATAAAAACAATAATAACAAAGAAATAATGGCCCCAAACCTTTTAAATTGGATAAAAACTATATACTCATACATCTAAGAAGTTCAGCAAGCCACAAGGCCTAAAAAAAAATCATGAAGAAAACTATACAAAGTGTCAAAATCCAATTGCCCATTACCAGTGAAAAAGAAAAATTGTGAAAAGCTGCCAGAGAAAAGGGACACATTGTGACGTAGGGTCCAGAGGAACAAAGACGAGGATGACAGTAGATTTCTCATTGGAAATAATGTCACTCAGAAGACAATGGAACAGTGTTTTTAAAGTAATGAAAGAAAAACTACTTAAATTGCAAAAAATAATAAGCTAGAGCAAAAAGAATAACAATGTATTAAGGGGTTTGTAATATATGTAGAAGTAAATTGTGCTATAATAATAGAACAAAGATCAGGGTGAGATAAATGGAAGTAGATGGTTATAAGATTCTTATACTATACCTGAAGATTGTGATAAGTTAAAGATACTCACAAAAAATAAATTAACCACAAAAAATCATAACAGAGAGTTATAGCTTATAAGCCAAAAAGGAGATAAAACAGATTAATCAAAAACACGAAACTGATGCAAACTAAGGCAGGAAATGAGAGGAAACAAAAACAGATGAGGCAAATAGAAAGCAAAATTAATACAAAAGATTTAAATCCAATCATAACAATAACTACATTAAATATAAATGGTCTGGTTGGGTTCAGACCTGTAATCCCAGCACTTTGGGAGGCTGAGGTAGGCAGATCACTTGAGGTCAGGAGTTCAAGACCAGCCTGGCCAATATGGTGAAACCCTGTCTCTACTAAAAATAAAAAAATTAGCCAGGTGTGATGGTGCACATCTGTAGTCCCAGCTAATCAGGAGGCTGAGGCATGAGAATTGCTTGAACTTGGGAGGCAGAGGTTGCAGTGAGCCAAGATCACGCCACTGCACTCCAGCCTGCTGACAGAGCAAGGCTCTCTCTCAAAAAAAAAAAAAAAAAAGTATATACATATATATATATTTATAGACAGTACATATAAATATATATATATAATACACACACACATAGTGTCAACAGGTCAATTAAAAGAGTAATTGTTTAATTGGATTTAAAAAGTCAAGATCCAACTATAAGCTGCCTTCAAAAAAACCCACTTTAAATATAAAATCCAAGTAGGTTAAAATAAAAAGATAGAAAAAGATATGCTATACTAACACTATCAAAAGAAAGCTAAATTAACTGTATTAATATTGGACAAAGCAAAGAAAATTATTAGAAATTTAAGTCATTTTATATTTGATGAAAACTATAAACTCACACATTCAGGAAGATTAACAAACAAAAGGAACGTGAAGAACGCCGCAATTAGATACATCCCATTCAAATTGTCCAAAACCCAGGAAAAGAGCAGTTCTTAATTCCACATCAAAATCAACAAACGCATGCATCTGTAAAGACACATTTTTAAGCAGAAATGTGGAGGTACAGAGGCTTATAAAAGACACCAAGAGCTACCAATGGTCCAGTGCCAAAACAACAGGAAGAGTAGGGCCTGGGACAGGACCAGTAACCATGCGCCAAGCCACAGAGCTACATCTTTAATCCTGAATCCAATGTGTGACTATTGAAAAATTCTGTGCAAAGAAATGGCATGAAGAAATGTTAAAGGAAGAACATCTTTCTGGAAGTAGGTATATTTGGAATGGTAGAATGTGATACAGGAATAAGATAATAAAACAAAAGGTAGCAGTAGCTGGGAGTGAGGAGAAAAGGTTCAAAAGCCAGAGAGGAATGTGTCCCAGAAAAAAACTATTATAAGAACACAGTTATGATGAGCCTTATGACTAGTAAATTATTTTCTACGTTTTAGTGGTACAGTGACCATCTGGAGAGCAAGAAACACCTTTTTGTCTTCTTTCTCCAGCATCAGTGCAAAGCTTTCCATAAATGTTTTCAGGACAAATGAATAAACTAATCTGATCACAGATTCGTATTTTTATGTACTTTTTTAAGTTCAGAGACACTATTATTTATAATTCTAGAACTTTCTCATATACAGTTTCTGGGGAAAAGATATACCCAATCTAATGTTAGTTATATCTTTTCTCAAATGTTGCTCAAATATGTTGAATATAAAATTACAACAAAATAATAAATTAGCATGACTCAAGAATAAAGCCATTGGGTTCTGTCATGTCTTTCGAAAACAGTCTCATGATTGTATTGTTTCCCTGAGAAATAGTCTTACTTCCCTAGTTAACAAGAAAATACACACACCTTAGAGAGAGCAAAGAGCAGGAGAAAAGAAAAAGAGAAAAAACTTTTTTAGGAATTATAATTTCAGACTAAAAATTAATGAACGCTAACATTCCCATCCTTTTCATTGAATTTCCTTTCATCTCTACTAATATTGAATATCATTTTAAAAAATGAAGCTTCAATAGATCACAGGGTCTGGATTTAAAACCCAGTTTTGAGTTAATTAGGTGGTCTTGGTTACTCCCTTAGGCTCAGTTTTCCTGACTGTAAAATGGGAGTGTACTGGACATAAGTTATACCTGACTCCAAGTATTCTCAGCCTCACCTCTTACTCCAGCCATGGCTGAAGAGAACAGTTAGGCCCAGCTCTCATCAGCTCTAAAGAGGGACAGGCAACAGCATCTCATTCCAGGCCTGTGCCAAGGGGTCTCCAGCTCCTCGGTGTGGTGCCCATGGGAACACAGACAGGTTCAAAGGGGATGAGTGGGGCCGTTAGCATCCCTTCGCCTCACCTGACAGGAGTGTACAAGGCTATAGATGAACATTTCTCCTACGTCCAGCCTCGGAGACAGTTCCTGGATCTATTTCTGAAGCCTTTTCAAAAGCCCCTTGTCCAGAGTGGACAACTTCAAAATGCACCCTCGCGCTGGCTTTCCCTCCGCCCCTGTTTCACTTCCAATCCTTTTCTCTCTCTCTGATGATTTGCCACAGGCTTTGCTTTTGAACTCATCTGAGCTAAGGCAGGCAATAAGAACGCTGCTAGCCCCACAGGGTAGGAAAGGGATAAAATGAGATGATTTATGTAAATAGAGTGCTTAGGATTTGAGAGGCGTTGCACTACGCTTTGCATAACCTAACACTTTAAGCCCTGTGCGGTCGGTACTACTCTCTTTGTTACAGAGAAGAAAACTGAGGCACAGAGAGGGAAGGCACATTGGACAGGATCACACAGCTAACAAGTGACCTCTGAGCCACACTGCATCCTATACTGTCAACCACTAAAGCACACAGTAGGTGCCTTAACCTTTTTAAGGTGCTATTTCAAACTTAACATTGGCTTTGAAGGTTGGGAAACTATAAGGGACAAGGAGGAATAAAGTGCAGTCGGCATCATAAATCTGCCTCTGTGATCAGCTGTTATTCAAGTTGGCTTTGATCTCTAAAAGATGAGACGTAAAGATGGGCTATGTTCTGTACGTACACACAGGGAGAACCCCACTGGCATGTAAAAATCGTAGAAGACGAAATTGATTTAGATGCTAAGTTTTCCTGCTTAAATTCCACTTATCCTATTGACTTTAAACATAGCCTTTTGCTTTAAATGTAGATTTTTCCCATTATCTATTCCCTCAGGGCAATTCTTGTTAACAGATATCTATCTAGCTCTTGCATACTGAAGCTTGATGTCCAAAATCCCCTTATCAAATGAGATTACAGTCTTTTTTTTCCAATTTAAAGGCAACCTGATATCCAGGTACAAGAAATAAAGATAGAGCCAGGCAACCAAAACTCGTGGCCACAGATCCTCACTGTGTAAGCAAGATACTGTTCTGACGTGAATGAAGATAAGAAAAGCTTCTGAGGTGGGAGGACTGCAGCCCCACCAGCCTTCCCTTCGGAAACTCTCAGCCCAGTGATCACTCAGGAGCCCCAAGTACCTACAACTGGCTGTTAACAAACCCCAGGAGGAAGAAAAAGAGGGGTTGGGAGTGAATCCATTTTAATATCAGTCTTCTTTCAGTTTCAGAATCAAAACATCAAGCTGTCACTTTAGAATGAACAGGATTTGTGAAGCTGAGCTCAGGAGTTTGCCGAATCTCAGACCACGCTCAGGTCTAGCCAGGGCTGGCAGACACACATTTACTTTCTGGGATCTGTATGAGCTCTAATTTAAGAAAAAAAAAAAAAGTTACATTAAAAAAGAAATACATTGCATTTCCTCTTAAGAGAAGCCAATCAGAATAACAAAAATTTGATTTCATCATAGGCCTTTAAAGTTATCACCCAAGACCATAAAAATTTAACACTGGGTAAAGAAAAACAGAGACTCACGGAGGATATGTAGTCAGCGTTGAGTTTATAGGAGTTCTCAAGTAAAAATGCTGCTTTTGATGTGTAAAAGGAGATGTCCTATAAAATAGTTGGCATTCAGAGTCAAGGAAAATAGCAAGGGTTTTTGTAACTATAAATAAGGCTTATTTTATTTTTTAGAAGGCTGGTTGGTCTCATACATCTTGTGGATACAACAGACTATTTTGGCCTTTCCTGGCCACCTCCCAGCCCTGACTTCAGAAGAAGCTTGAAGACACTGGGAAATTTCTGAGCAACGTACTGAGCCATACAAATCCAACCACCAATCTCAATAAAAGGGCTGTTTCTTAAAGACCGTACCACTCCTTAAAAACTGCACCAATTTTATTGAGGTAAAAAAATCCTCTAAGTATTATAGGAATAGCTAAGAATGCAAATTAATCCACCTGAGTGAAGAACTACTGCCCTGTCAGCAGGAAAAGCAATTTTCTAAATAAAGCCCAGTGAATCTGGTCATGACCTGGACATTACTTTTCAGTTCATTTTCATAGAAAAATGATCAAAATTTCAACTTAAATGTTATTTGCAGCTGCTATTGCTTGCCATTTCCTGAAATCTGGAATTCCACTTTTTTGGAAAAGATAATTTTTGAGGGATCATTTTTCAGAAGTTTCTGGTATATCCCCCCTTGGAAATTTCTTTGTGATACCAATAAAATACTACCAGATAACTCAGAAGTGACACCATCAATATATGTTTATCCCTGGAAGAAATATATACATCAAAGCTTAAAAATACAACTAAAAATTATCAAACATTAACAATAAATTTGATTGTAAACACATTTCAATTTACCTCAAGCTTGAGAAACATTTTGTAGAATCTATTTATGCAACAAATACATTCATAATTACCATGACTTTCATTGAAAATCTGAGAAAACCTTACAAACTCTATTTTTGTTTTACAAAATAAACCAAACCAAACCAAAATTTCTTATAATTTACTTAATTCTTTACTGATAGCTGAAAGAAGAAAGTATGTTAACTAAAACACTTCTAGTGGACCCACCTAATAATTTTCACCACATCGTTGCTATTTTCATTTAATTCATGGGGAAAATCAACTTAGAATGAAAGGTTAGTCACTTACGAGGTCTGAACTGTTCCAACATCATCAGCGTGTCATTACTTTCAGGTAAAACAATTACTTTGAACACAGGTTCTAAACCTTATTTACAATAAATGAAGGCAATGACATTTGCATTCAGCTTGCTTTCAGGTAGTTCTGTGAACAGGTCAAATGCAATAGAATGCAATGACCTTATTTTATAAAATAAGCCTAATTGATAACCAGAGACTCTGTCCTAGCCCCAACTTAAGAAGTTACTTTGTAAAATTAGTATATATACAATGATATGTTTTAAAATAATGAATTAAGTTTCACACATAAAGAGTATTGACCTTATTACTTTTGTCAAGAAAAACGGATAATTATGTGATAAAATGGATAATTTTGTCAAGAAAAATGGATAATTATGTGATAAAAATGTCACACATAAAAAGAGTAAAGACCGTATTACTTTTGTCAAGAAAAATGGATAATTATGAACCTTCTATAGAAATATCCATGATATCTGCTCCAATCAAACCACTTAAATCCACTTTGCAGTGGCATATGAAAATGAAGCCTAGCATGAACTGCAGCTCTGCACACCAGGAATGGCAACCAAGAAGCAAGCCAACAAAAATATCAAGTTGCCCAAGAATCTTAATTCTTACATCTTCTTTATAAAAGTCTTGTATTTGATTAAAAAGATTAAAATTGCAAATATTTTTTGTTTTATCTAAACTCTAGCTTTAAGAAATACTAAAAATAAGAGTAATGAAAAAACTAGTATCAAAAATATTCAGATATGGGCCAGGCACAGTGTAATCCAGTACTTTGGGAGGCTGAGGTGGGCAGATCACTTGAGGTCAGCAGTTCGAGACTAGCCTGGCCAACATGGTGAAACCCTGTCTCTGCTAAAAATACAAAAATTACCCAGGTGTGGTGGTGCATGCCTGTAGTCTCAGCTACTAGAGAGGCTTAGGCAGGAGAATCACTTGAACCTGGGAGGCGGAGTTTGCGTGAGCAGAGATCACCACTGCACTCCAGCCTGGGCGACAGAGCAAGACTCCATCTCCAGACAAACGAAAAAACAGTTCAGATCTAAATTCTGAGCTCATTTGAAAGCATAAGCTAATTATTGACTTAGGAAAGTTCATACCCAGATTTAATAAGTTGTTGTTTTATGTCTTTTGTTGAAAGGCAATTAAATCTCACATACAAGTAGTGAAAGAGTGAGCTGAAGCAAAATCAAAATTGTAAAAAATAACACAGAGTTTGATAAAAGGATGAAATAGGTCAGTTTCATTGAAACCATATTGATAGCAGATTTGGTTCAAATTTAGTTTTTTTCTTACCTAATTTTTAAAAAATGTTAATCTTCATCTTAGCAAGTCTAACATCAAATGTCTTTTGACAACTGTACAGGAGTTTGCACAATTTATTTAAAAATTCAGAAGTGGAGAATATTAACTTTATATTTAAAATGCTTAAACTTAAAAGTTGGTCAATAAATAAACAGCATAATATCAAATAAGAAATAAAAGGGTCATATTTTATTTTAATTTCAAAGTCCTTGTAGTTCCCTAGGACATGAAAAATTTTAGTCTGAATCTCAAGTATTCTTTCTAAAATTAATTATTTAAGGCTTTTCAATAATCTATAGTAGTAAAGAATCAAAGAGGAATATGGTTTTTAGTCTTTAAGAACTCTTACTCTAGAAAAAAAAATCCAGTCCCACTTCCCACAAATGCCAACACTGCAGTTGTAACAGAGCTTGTCAGGTAAAATTAATAGTGTCATTGCATTATTTTCTCATTGGAATGGGCACAAATGAGCAAAATAAGAGCCTAGAAAACAATAATAAGATAAATCTGGCACTACTGATTGATTCTGGCTTCTATTAATTTTTATGTCTCAGAGTAAGAAACAAGCGCACGTTTAGTTTCTGACAAAAATACATTTTTTATTGCTTTCTCTATTATTCATCAAATTAGAGCACCAGACTTGATATCTGTGAAAAGTTAAGCCAATCAATTTCTTGGAAATAGACAGGAGATGTTTATTTTTAAGAGCTATTTACCAAGCTAAACATTTTAAGAACTGATGATACCTTTCTTTTTGGATTATTTATTTTTGAATCATGTGAAGAATTTCAACATGTAATACTGTTAATGTCAATTAATTAAGTAATTTCAAGTAAGTCATTCTTATTTTTAAAGTTCCCTAAAGGAGTTTTATTTCCCTCTAGTAATTGTGAAATATTTGGATAAACACTTGCTGTGTGAATTTGAGTGTCTTTCTTTCACTGCCTTAACACTATATCAAGTAATTAGTCCACAGGACTAATTACAAGCATACAGATACTGTTGTTATTAAACTTGTTCACACAGATTAAAATAAGAATGGATCTTAGCGTTGTACAGTGCACAACTTACCCAAGGGTATATGGCAGACCTGTTTAGTGGTATAGGTAGTCATTTTACGATTATTTTTTTAAGCAAAATCATTATGCTATGACTAAGTCCCTTTTTGCCAGATCCATACTTTAGATAGGTTACCTATATTGTTACTGCCACAAAAGAGACCATAGGGCTCATAGCAACAGAGGCAGAATAAACGCCTCAGTGAGATTCCAAGAGCATTAGTCATTTGACAGCTTCTTCTTGTTCACAAAAAAGCAAGGGCAAGCTCAATCTTTCTGATGAACTGAAGGACAGGCGCAGACAAAAGGCTGATACTAGAGTCTGATATTTAAGAACAAATGACAACTCTTAAAATGTGCTCTAGCTCTGAAATGCACAAGAAAATATGAAAGTCATTTTCAAAGCCCATTCCTTGATGTTTCTTTTAAAAAAGAAACATCATCTCTGGAGCTTTTGATTAAAGAAGGGTGTAATCACTCTTTTTAATTCACTCTGATTTCACCTCAAAAGGGACGCTCAAGTTCTCTTTATCCCAGTTTGGCTCTTACTTCAAACCAAAGATTTTTTTAAAAAGTTATCACAGTTTGAAGGCTCTTCCCAAATGCTTGGAACTTCGGGGATATTTACACATACTAAACTATACTTTTTAAAAAAGAAATTGATGGTCCTTATCTGCCAGAGACTAAGTCAGAAGCATTTTAGTTTAAATACTGTAGCATAGATCATGGGACATAACCCAGGCATGGAATATATATACTTCAAAACTATCCCTGCTGTTTCTCTGCATTCGCTAATATCTCTACGGCAAACATGCCATGCTTTCTAAAATAATAAGGAAAATTGCCTTTATTTTTTTTTAAAAGAATATGTCATATATTGTGCTTGAAGATTAAAATCTGAGAATCAGCACCATTTCAGGTCCAAAGATGAGAGATCCTGCTTCCTACGGTGTAACTACAAGAAGAAGAAGAAAAAAAAATACCTCAGAAACCATTGTGTTAATTGATAAGTGCACGGCTCAATAAAAGAATGGGAAAGGGTTGAGAAGCAGGGGCAGCCAGGGCAGTTAACACTCAAAAGCTGGTGAGCCTGTCCAACTAATCTGCCTCGTTTGTTTTCACAGCTTTGCCCGGAACATTTGCAGGGATGGCCCGACACTCCCCGCAGAGCCTGAGAGCGAGTGGCGAGCCAAGATACCAGCGGCACAATGTTTCACCTGCGCTGCCAGATACTCAGACAGAGAAAACACACGACAGTTTGTCAAAACAGCCATCAGCGCGGCGCGCTCGTTTTTTCCCGCAGCCCCCGGTCCTGGCTGCCAATGTACACGGCCAGGTTTATCTAAGGGCTGGAGAGCTCCTCTCTTAAATTCCCGGCGAGGTGGGGATGATGTGGCACAGGAAGGGACCGGGAGCGCTCCCCGGGGAGCCCAGGCGCTACCTGGAAAGGGTTTGCTAGACCCATTAACCCAGGTTCCCACAGCCTTCAGTCTTAGTCAGCACCTGCACGGTGAAATGACTCAGACACAAGGAAACCATCAGGATCAAGAGGGGCTCTGAGCTTCACGGGGAAGCTGGGCTTTTTAACCCCCTTTCCCCCACCATTGCCTGACTCATATGATTTAAAAAAAAAAAAATACAGCGTGCAATAAAACCTGAGGCAGAATCGGTCTGCCTTTGTCTTCCCTTTGTTATCGTGCAAAGCAAGCATCAGGGTTGCCTTTGTTGGCTTTCCAATTCGTTGCCAGCAGAAGCCCATGTGATAAGAACTTTTTGATTAAGCTCTAAATCTTTGGCACATATCTGCAATGCCTAATTATGAAAGATCTAATAATATGTTCCTTGTGTTTCTCTGACAACCACATGCATCTCCATTCAGCATCCCTGACGCTATTGGAAGTAGAGAAAGATACTGACACTACAAATGATTGCACAGAGAGGAGGGGGCATTCCTTAAACCTACACAGAACGGAGGCTGATGTCTTCATTAGACACATACCTAGCAGAAGACAAAACAGATTATACACAAAAACAGTTCGTTTAAAGTCAATTTTTGTCAGGAAAAAAAAATTGTGTTGCTTGGCAATTAAAACAAGTAGAATAAGATACTTTTTAATTAACATCTTCAAGTGGTAGAGGATGTTCAAATGTTGCTACTGTAGAACTTTCTGCCTCATCCTCTGTCTTTTTTAGATTATATATTTCTAAAAATACATTAGGTGACAGTTTAACAGGCAGGAGAAAGTATATTGGTTTTCTATACATATGGAAATGAGCTCTCTCAGGCAATAACTGGAACAATTGTGGCAAAATCTGTATCAAAGGCAGTGGAAGCTGGGCAACGCTCCCTTCCTATGATCGGTGTGTGAGCCCTGACTTAATGAGCTCCTACTAGAGGTGCTACCTTGAACAAACAGTGCTTGGTCACCTCCATGCCCCACCCTACAGGCTGCCTGAAAAGTACATAAAGGGAGGCTTCTTAGAAGTGAGATTTACCAACTACATTTGACATTTGATCAAAACGTATGCATTTGCCTCCCTGAAACAGAAGTGAAAAATACCAAAACGCTGTCACCGTACCAGGGGGTTTCAGTCTCAGCCTTCTGGGAAAACAATCAGGCAATTCTGTTCCCTGACATGCTTTAAAATATACTTTTTAGAAAATAATCATGGATTCTTACACAGAATCAATAGGGTGCCCATGAAACCATTTTAGTCACACTCTCTGATTCACAAGACTGAAAAATGGGATCAATTATGGCAAGTAAATGGGTGGAGAGGGGGTTCTCTCGCCATTGAGCTGAGACCTCCCTGGCAGCTTCTCACCTGGGAAACTCAGAGCCATCTTCACTTACATCCCAAAAGATATGCAATACGCATTATTTCTGAATTTTTAGAACAAAAGATTAAACAATAGATAGAGGAAGTCATCAGGCTCCATTTTCCAAATGTCAAAGTCATTCTGCAACTGCTTTTCCTAGCTCACCACAAACCTCATGGTTGTATCTCTTTGTCTTTTGGACTCGGATTCTTCAAGCACTCGAATCCTATGATCCTGTTGTTTCCCCTTTTCTGGCCTTTCACTGATTTAGCTCATTGAGACCTGACGATATCACATTAGTAGATTTCTTGTTATTTTTTCTGGATTGAACAAATAGTTGTATGTTATTTATATGTTGTCATCAGGCCTGAACTTTGCTTGAAAAAATTAGATGTCTCATTTTTCTCTAGATGTGTTAACTGTTTCTAGCAAAAAGCAACCTTTAAATCCAGAAAACTTTTCCCAAGTTAATGCATCACCAGAAAGTGAAAAAGTTTCCCTTTTCCCTGGTGATCACAGTCGATTAATCGCAGACTCCTGGCGTCCACTGGCCCACCCAGTGTTTGTAGGGTCCCACGTAAGCAGAGCAGAAATCACTACCGCTGATCAAGGAGAGATGAACAGCATCACTAAACAGTGTTCAGAGACTTAGCAAATCATTAGCAATCTCCTCAGCCATGCAGCTAATCTCATCACTCAAATTTCTTGGTTGTTCTGTTTTTCTCTGCCAGATAACACTTTATCAGACTGAAATGGAACTTCCCTCTGATCAGGAATAGGGCATTCAACAAACTATATACATACCTTTGATAGCTTCCTTTTTGGAAAGTGAGGGAGTTTAATTGATAAAGTACCAAAAAAATGAAACTGGAGTCCTAAAGTCTAGACACAGTTTTAGCAGCCAAATTGTAAACCAATGGGCTTAGTTTTGACAATCATGTGAAACACAAAGAACTAGAAAAATTTGCTGTCATGGTCTTTCCTTAACCAAGCATGTAAAGCAAGAAAAAAAAAAAGAAAAAAATACAAATAGAAAGTGCTTACCAGCAATCTGGAAAGCACTTTTGAAACAATGTCTAAAAAATCAAAGTGTTTATTTAAATTTACATTTATTTAAAATAAAAAATTATGCATGGAATTTTAATTCTTGTGTTTGAGTTTTGCTCATCTTAAATTAGTTCTTATTTTTAGAAGATGCATATATTATATATATTATGCATTATATATATTCATATATATATTACATGTATATTCTTTAAGATCTCCTATTTCTCTCTCTTTTTTCTAATCTCTCTTTTTAACAAAGCAAGATACAGGTTGAGTATCCCTAATTCCAAAATTTGAAATCCAAAATGCTTCAAAATTCAAAATTTTCTGAGCACCAATACTCAAAGGAAAAGCTCACTAGAATATTTTAGATTTCAGATTTTCAGAGTAGGGTTGATCAGCTAAGTATAATGTAAATATTCTAAAAGTCCAAAAATTCCAAATTCTGAAACACTTCTGATGCCTTTTGGATAAGGGATACACAACCTGTGTACATAAGAGAACTAACAGAACACTCATAAATGTTACAAGCACCTGACGACTAAAAAAGACCGAGACCAGGGCTTACAACTACACTGATGAAAAAGTCACAAAAAAATTAACAGCCACTTTGGAAGATAGTTTGGTGGTTTCTTACAAAACAAAGCATACTCTTACCGTAAGAACCAGTAATTGTGAGCCTTAGTATTGACCCAAATGAGTTGAACTTATGTCCACACAAAACCTGAACATGAATGTTTTTAACAGTTCTATTTATAATTGCCAAAAGTGGAAGCGGCCAAGATGCCATGCAGTAGCGGAATGAATAAGCAAGCTGTAGTACATCCATACAATGGAATAATATTCAACAATAAGAATAAATGAGCTGTCAAGCCATGCAAAGACATGGAGATACTTTGAATGCATATTGCTGAGCAAAAGAAGCAAATCTGAAAAGTCTACATATTGTATATGATCCCAACTACATGATATTCTGGAAAAAGCAAAAAACTATTGAGACAGTTAAAAAAAAATCATTTTCCCAGGGCTCAGAAAGATAGGATAAGGAAAGAATGGGTGAAGTAGAGGGGACTTTTTAGGAAAGTGAAACTATTCTCTATAATACTGTACTGGTAGATACATGACATTATATATTTGTCAAAACCATGGAATGTACACTGCAAAGCCACAAAGCAAGACCACTAATGTAAACCACATATTTTAGCTAATAATAATGTATCACTATTGGCTCATCAATTGTACCAAACAACACACATTAATACAAGATGTTAATAATAGGGAAAATTGGAGTTGGGGGAGTGAGGGTGAATGTGGGGACCCTGCACTTTCTACTCAACTTTTCTGTAAACCCAAAACTGCTCTATACATAAAGTCTATTAATTTTTTAAAAATAATAGTCTTAAAAATGCATACTAATAATGGGTTAAAATGTCACTGAAAGTGTCTATGAGTGTCATTCCACAAATATGCCTTCGACAGCTTAGCGGTTTTTTTAGTATTTTTTGTTCTGATTGGATATTAGGGTAACCACTAATTATTTTCCTTCAATAAATTATTTAATGATTAGCATTAGGGAGATAAGTGATTCATATCCTAAAACTTATTTAGTTTTATGGTCTATAGAAGGAACACATATTTCAATATCCTACTTGCCTTTACTAGTCTAACCCCAGAAAATGAGATTTCTTCCACTTGCCCTTACTAAATCAGTTCAGCTTTGACAGCTTATTACTTTGTAGACACAACCTTACCAAGAATGCTCTTAACCCCATCATTCTATTCAATGATGAATTATCCATCACTCCAAGGCTGACCCCTCATTACCCTTAATCAGCATGTCCTGCACTGTCCAATCTGCTGCTAGAACATTAATAACAACCCAGGGCAGGAACTTCCAGTGGCCTTTACATGGAGGCCTGGGTCTGGCAGAGGGGCCCCAGGGGTTGCCACTTTGTGTTTGCCACTCCCAGCCACCATCCCAAGTTGGAAAGGTGCTCAAAACATATCCTACTTTCTATATTTTTCCATATTGAAGTTCCAAGTAAAATTTCTTTTGTTAAAAAAAAAAGACTTTGCTGCCAAAATGCTTTTTTGAAAAACCACTGATGTAGACCATATCATCTGCTTTATTATAATAAAATTAACTGAATTTCTCTTTAATTTGATGTTGAAACTGTTCATTCTGCTAGTAAGGGAAATTGCCTCTAAAACAAATAAACTGATAGCTAAAATTATAGCGAGTAGCTACCACCCAGCAAAAACGTAATGAGCAGATCGAAGCAGCAGATATTGACCTAGAAGAAGACTGAAGAGGTGGGAACCTGGAGCTTGGGAAGACAGGAGGATTTCCATGTAATTTAGATTAACTGGTGGCAGGGGAAAACATGTGCTTTGGTTAAATATGTCTTCCAAAAAGCATGTGTTGGAAACTTAATCCCCAGTGCAACAGTGTTGGGAGGTAGGGCCTAATGAGAGATGGTTAAGCTGTGAGGGCAGAATGAGTGGATAAATGCTGTTATCTCAAAGGGGGTTTGTTACTGAGGGAGTAGGATTTTTTTAAACAGGGGAGTTCAGCCCCCTTTCACACACACACTCTCTCCCTCTCTCCCGAACCTTTCCTTTCCACCATGGATGACTCAGCCAGAAGGCCCTCAGCAGATGCCAGCACCTCCACCTTGGACTTCACAGGCTCCAGAACCAAGAGAAATAAATTTCTGTTCATTACAAATTACCCAGTCCCAGGCATTCTATTATAGCAGCAAGAATAAACTAAGACACTGTGAACAAAGGGAACCTGTTAATATATTTATCCAACTCAATGAAAAGATTTTGCTGGACAGAATGACAATCTTCATCCCCTGCGAACACTTATATCAGCTACTTTTATTGATACAACCTGGGTATGCTGCCTGAAGACATGAGGCCCCTTCAGCCTCCTGGTAGCAAATATAGTGGCTCAAGCCTGCATGCCACATAACAGAAGAAGCAAAACACATGCCTGTGGACGTGGGCACATGCATCCCTAACAGAGACCACCTTTCTAGTTTATTTGGCAAATAAATACATTTTGTTTACTTTCCCTTTATTTCTTTGTTTTTCATCAGTTGTGAGTCAGTCCAATGAGGTGCTCCTCGGTCTGGCTCCTCTGCGAAATTGCTGGCCACACCTTCCTTCTTTCCACAAAACTAACACAAGGCTCTTCTGTGCACTAGAAAGGGCTTTTGTTGAAGACCTGGGATAACAGCAGGTAATTACTGCACAGGCAGGGAAAGACATATGATTGAAGGCACACTAAAAATGTATGTACCATCCCCCATCCCAGGGACCGCCTCACTGGCCAACTGCTGAGCTGCCACCAGCTCCCTGTAGTTCCAGGTCTCCTTTGCCATCCCTTGCTCTCTCATCTCCTTTTTAAGCCTGAGCTTCCTTCACAAAGTGACTGCAACAGGCTCAAAAATTCTAGGCACTTCATTCCATGTGCATATAAGCTCTCGCATTCTTACTATTCCTACTGGGTCAATTTGTTCCTCCAAAATTTAAGGCTAATAGTTCCTCATCATAGGGTTGTTGAAAGAAGTAAGTAATTTTTTTTTAATTTAGTGCTAACACTGAGTATTTTATATACTTTTTGAGCACAGTGTTTGCCACTCAATACCCAATAGCAATTGATACTACAATTATCTTTCTCATACAGGAGGTTGTGATAGACACGACTGTACACACCAACATTCAGTTCTTTCTGAATGTTACACGCCCACAGGCATGTGTTTCACTCCTTCTGTTATGTGGGATGCAGGCCTGAGCCACTGTATTTGCTATCAGAAGGCTGAAGGGGCTTCACATCTTCAGGCAGCATACCCAGGTTGTATCAATAAAAGTAACTGATATTAGTGTTCCCAGGGGATGAAGATTGTCATTCTGTCCAGCAAAATCTTTTCACTGAGTTGGATAAATATATTAACAGGTTCCCTTTGTTCACAGTGTCTTAGTTTATTTTTGCTGCTGTAACAGTCACTCATGATCTCACTTTTCCGATCCTTGCAATTAGGCAGGGCCACGAGTCTGGACCACGAGTCTGTCACATGGACAGAGAGAGCAAGTGATATGCAGCACTTCCAGCCAAAGCCCAGAAAAGCCGGTGTGACAGCTTCACACTCTCTGCTCCCTGCCATGACTGAGGGGCCTTGTGCTACTTTGGTGGTCCCTAAAATTGAGTCATCCCGGACTTCTGAGTCACCCTGGGGAGGACAGCTACCCTGATGCATCTTCTAGAACTGCACCAAGCGGAGAGTGAGGGAAAAATGCACAGGGTCATGTACACATCTGAGATGTTGGTGATTCTTATTGCTAATGCATGGCCTAGCCTAATCTGACTAGCAGGGACATCAGGGATGAGTTTTTGTGATGGACTGAATTGTGTCCCTTCCAAAACTCACAGGCTGAAGCCCCAATCCCCAAAGTGACTATTAGGATATTGGGCTTTGCTTTGCTTTTCTTTCTTTCTTTTTTTTTTTTTTTTTTTTTTGTTTTGAGATGGAGTTTTGTTCTTGTTGCCCAGGCTGGAGTGCAGTGGCACGATCTCGGCTCACTGCTACATCTGCTTCCTTGGTTCAAGCAATTCTTCTACCTCAGCCTCCCCAGTAACTGGCATTACAGGCACCCATCACTATATCTGGATAAGTATTTGTATTTTTAGTAGAGAAGGGGTTTCACCATGTTGCCCAGGTTGGTCTCAAACTTCTGACCTCAGGTGATCCACCCACCTTGGCCTCCCAAAGTGCTGGGATTACAGGTGTGAGCCACTGCACCCGGCTGATATTGGCCTTTTAAGGAGGTAATTAACACGAGGCCTTTAGACTGGGGCCTAATCCAGTAGGACTGCTGTTCTTCTACAAAAAGAAAGAGACACCAGGGATTCCCATAGAGAGAGAAAAGGCCCTTTGAGGACCCAGGGAGAAGGCGGCCATCTGCCAGCTAAAGAGAGAGGCGTCAGGAGAAACCAACCCTGCCAGCATCCTCATCTCAGACTTCCAGCCTCCAGAACAGTGGGAAACAAATTTCTGATATTTAAGTCACCTGGCCTGTGGTATTTTGTTCTGGCAGCATGGGCAGACTGATACAGCTCTCCGAAGGCTGGTAGTACCAGGCATCAGTCCGAGATGGACTAAAGCCCAGGAAAGAAAAATTTAGAGACCAAAAGGGGAAGCACTTTTCACATCGATAATATTGTAGGGCCCATAGTCTGACTAACAATAAACAAGGGAGATTTTTGTAAAATGCAGGACCCCCACCTGCCCCAGTCACTGGGCCACCCCACTCTACCTTTGGTCACCTCCTCTGCAGTTTGATTCAGCCTCTGACCCGAACACACTGGATAAACCTCCCTCCAGTCAAGACTTATCCTCCCATGGGAAAGCCTGTAAAGAGAGTCAGGAAAAGCAGCTACAAACAAAGATATTTTTATTTGGAAGAAGACAAAAGAGCTATGACTAATACTTTCTAGGATGTCTTGCCTCTTTAACCCTCTCCCTGTTTATTATTTGTGCTAATCCCGTCTGCTCCCCTGCAGTTATCCCCAGCCAGGACAGACCTCTGTGTCTTGTATTAGAGACCTTTGAGCAAAGAAGGAGGGAGTGTGTCTCCCACTCTGCTGCAGACTTGGAGAGAGAGGAATACAGAGAAGAAGGCAGTTAAGGAGAGAAGGATCGTCACATCCCTGAGGCCTTGGGGAGAAACAGATGAACAAAATTGGCCTCGGAGTTTTAAGAATGAGGACAGCCAGCCTGCATTGGGTTGTAGACCTAAAGTCTGACGGGAAATTACCTTGGAAGCAGAGAGCAAAAGAGGACAATTTCAGAAGTGATTATCTAAGCATTATACCTCTAGAAGATCTTGATAATAAATTATCAGAGGGAATTTAGTATAAAGTAGAGAAAAGCTAAAATTCTCAAGGAATTTGACATCATGTTAAAATGTACAAAGACCTGGAAAAATACTGAATTTTCTAATTAGGGTCTTCAAATAAGATAGGATTTGTTGAAAAAGAGATCTCTGAATCAACTGAAAAATAATTGATCTATCAAGCAGGCTTGCAGCAACAAAAGGCTCAATAACACAAGATCCATCTGAAGCATATGCAATGGAGAGGTCATTTCGAAGGTGTAGGCAGGGTTTGGGGAAACATCCAGGGGTGCTCAAACACCCAGGGATTAGCAAAGTCAGGGGAAGAGGTCAGCACCCTATCCCTGAAGGGATGAGGAGTGATATGGTTGGACTCTCTGTCCCCACCCACATCTCATCTTGTAGCTCCCATAATTCCCATGTGTTGTGGGAGGGACCCAGTGGGAGATAACTGAATCATGGGGGTGGGTATCTCCTATGCTCTTCTTGTGATAGTGAATAAGTCTCACGAGATCTGATGGTTTTAAAAATGGGAGTCTCCCACCACAAGTGCTCTCTCTTTGCCTGCAGGCATCCATGTAAGACGTGACTTGCTTGTCCTTGCCGTTCACCTTCCACCATGATTGTGAGGCCTCCCCAGCCATGTGGAGCTGTAAATCCAGTAAACCTCTTCTTTTGTAAATTGTCCAGCCTTGGGTATGCCTTTATCTGCAGCATGAAAATGGACTAATACAAGGGGAGAGTGTGGTCTTAGCAGAGTTTGACAAGAGCTGGACCAGGAAGACGGCTGGGGTTGGAGCTGGAGTGAGCGGGGCAAAAGGCAGCATCCACCAGAACTCTGGAGGCAACGAGGAAGCAAATGGAGTGAGACCCCCTCCTCCCTGCCCCTCCCATCCTCCAAAACCACCCAGTGTTCCCCATTGGTCAAAACCGCTGGGAGCCAGAGGGCAAGAGAGCCTGGTGCTTCGGTCCACAGAGTTTCAGCCTCGCAGAGCAAAGGGCAGGGCAAGAGGCCCAAAGAAGAGCAAGCACATCTCATCTTAAAACGTCAAGTAGTTTGGACTAGACAGACCCATATACCCTGACTTAACCAACAAAGAAAACATGTTATCTCATGGTTAAGGTCCCAAGATAGGCCTGATTCCTCTAGGAGCTCAGCAAAATCCACAGGAAACCATGCTCCTTCTCTCTCTCCCTGTACCTGGTGGCCTTGACCTCAGGCCAGCTGTGCTCCCCAGGACCTTGAGGTGGCCCTGCAGGTGGGGGCTCCCCACCCAGTGCAGGGAATAAATATGGGGTGTACTGTCTGTAGTGAATGTGGAAACAATAATAAAACCAGCTGAAACTCAGCTGTTGGTTATCCCCATGTGTCTGCAAAGCTGAACAATATCAGTGATAATAATACCCTCCCAGACAAAAACTTCCGTTCTACAAATTCTAAGCAATTACTTAGTAGTGTCAAGTTTTAGTAATATACATAAGCTTCAAATTAGCACATTTTATGACTTATCCTTTAATAAACAAAGTATCAGAGAAATCTTGGTTATGCTTGGCCCCTGGTATACCTGGAATCAGTACCACATGGCAGTTTCAACAGTAACTTCCTAAAAATTTGGAATTCTTTGAGTTCACTTCAGCCACAGCTCATGTCCCCAGTTCCCGGGGGAGGAAATATTCCAGCATTTAAACAGTGGCTTTGAAATAAGCTGTAAAAGCAACTGTGTAGATGACACAGTTAGAGATGCTTCAATTCTGTCAGTCTACTTGAAGATCCAGAGAAAGTTTAAAATCTTTGGCAGTGAAATAGTACAAACTAAAAGTGTAATATTTTTCTTTGGTAAGTGCAAACTTTAGTTCATACATGAACTATGTTACTGGTATTGAATACATTCTTTAAAATGGAAACTTCATTTTTAAATCGTTGCTTCACAACTAAAGAACAAATCAAGAAAATATGATTGTAAGTGATTATTATTATAGCAGAAAAATATGTGTCCAATGTACGTATGTGGGGGCAGGGAGGGGATGCTAAAATAGCTATGCCCCTCATGTCAAATACACCTACTATGCAGGGCTCAGCAAGTCAGGGTGGACCCTCCATGCCCCACAAGCTGCTGTAGGGTAGGCCACATCCTTATGAGGTCCTTCGTATCAGCAAAGTCTCCAAGAACTCCTGACCAACTTCCCTTGGGTCTCCTCCACTGTAGTTTGGCCTCACAGGTAAGGTGAGCAGCCCACCTGATTATCCCCAGGTGGGGACAAGCCCCATATCCCATGCCCCCACAGAATGGGGTGCTGCTTGCTGGTGAGGTGCTACTGGGGTGCAAGGGTGTTAGCTGCAGTCATTTTATACCATTTTTTTAACATGTATTCTAAATTTTATCTGATTTGCTGTTTATTATTTGCATATATTATTTTAAGTGACACATTGGTCCCAACCTGGATCTAGACTTGGAGAGGGAATATAGGTGACAAAGGATCTCTCCACTGGTGCCCAGAATTCAGCCTGGTCCTGGAGCTGCAGGGCTCAGGAGCACGTTCAGATGCACACAGGAGGCAGCCGCCCCCTGCTTGCCACCTTCTGCTCGTTGGTGTGGGGGACACAGTTCTGTTCCATCACAGGTGTTTGCTTTATAACAGGTAAGGGAAGACAAAACTTAAGAGGGCAAAAGGACTGCACCAGGTCCCCTACGAAACACCCCAAGTAACTCCCAGAAATAGGACTCTGGGATTTGGGAAGGGAGGGCTGTGAGATACCAGTGCCCCCTCTGTGGGGACACGAGTTTGCCAAGCCAAATCTTTACTATTCTTGAGACCTCCTTCATATCCCCAGGCTCATGAGGAGAACTCAGGGTACAGAGTAAAAGTACATCATATTTTTCATATTTGTTAGGAATGGAAAATCCTCCATCACAAGTAAGGTGAGCAGCCCACCTGATTGTCCCCAGGTGGGACGATTAATCTGAGTGACTGTCTTGGCCCATTTTCACACTGCTGATAAAGACATGCCCGAGACTGGGAAGAAAAAGAGGTTTAATTGGACTTACAGTTCCACATGGCTGGGGAGGCCTCAGAATCATGGAGGGCGGTGAAAGGCACTTCTTCCATGGCAGTGGCAAGAGAAAATGAAGATGCAAAAGCCGAAGCCCATGATAAACCATCTGATCTGGTGAGACTTATTCACTACCACAAGGACAGTTTGGGGGAACCGCCCACATGATTCAACTTAATTCAGGATGAGATTTGGGTGGGGACACAGCCAAACCGTATCAGTGACCTTAGGAAGGAAAGCCTTCATCCTTCATCTCTGGTAGCAGATGTGCTTTTTTTTTTTTTTTTTTTTTTTTTTTTTGAGACAGGGTCTCACTCTGTCGCCCAGGTTGGAGTGCAGTGGCATGATCTCAACTTACTGCAACATCTTCCTCCCAGGCCTAAGTGATTCTCTTGCCTCAGCCTCCTGAGTAGCTGGGATTACAGGCACCTGTCACTACCGCCCAGCGAATTTTTGTATTTTTAGTAGAGATGGGGTTTCACCATGTTGGCCAGGCTGGTCTCAAACTCCTGACTTCCAATAATCCACCTGCTTCAGCATCCCGAAGTGCTGGGATTACAGGCGTGAGCCACAGCGCCCGGCCATATGTGATTTTTGATTCAAACACTGAATGAGGTGCATCACTACCAATCGACAGTAATGCATTCACAGGGCAACTACAACTAAGGAAATGAGTACATCTGTCTGAATCTAAAATAGAAGGAAAAAAGAATTGAATTTTGGACAATTTTAGAGTTAAAAGAAAGTACTTAAACTATGTGGCATTTTCAAAAATGCATAGTTTAATGCAATTTATTCCATCTTATCTAGTGTATCTCTTTATAATCAAAAGATAGACGCTTAGGAATAACTTTGGACACATGTATCTGTTTGGAACAGATTGCATGACTAAAAAGAATGTCCCTAATCAGGTTCCGACAGGCAGTCAGTGGCCACTGGCCTTGGTTCAGCATCTGGGCTAGTGCCTCCCTAATTCCCTAGAATTTTCCTAATGACTGTTGCATCAGAATCACAAGACAGCTGCTCCACCTCCAGCCATCAAGTCCAAATGCCAACTAAGAATGAAGATGAAGGATGAAGGGCTTTCTCAAGGCTTTGCCTCACTGAGGGAGACAGAATTGCAAATATTTAGCTTTCTGGATTCTACAGGCCTTATTTCCTGAATTGGGAAAAACAAAAACCAAACCAAAAAAAATAACAACAACAAAAAAAGAAACAAATTCACATTTCTCCCCTTCCACTCCAACTCTTTCATACCTGGATAATTGACTTAATAGGTTCACTAGCAGAAACAAGAATAATTTTGAGCCATGAGCTGACCCAGTAACTTTTACATTTGGACCCTCTAGGCTTTGAGACATGAGTAGCCCCGGACTCAGGATGGGAGTCGATCCCTTGAGTCCACAGGATGTTTCAGACATGGTCCTGTCATCCGATGGCAGAGTCTGGATTTTGGAAGCCTGGTTTGGGGTTCTGGGTTCTGGTTTCATTTTGCACTAACTGAATTATACTGTAAGCCTCTGTTTGCTCTGCATGATTGAGGAACAACAGTCCATCATTATCCTATAGGAATATTGGGAGGTTCAAATAAAATATTCCAAAATGGTTGTGAAAACCTAAAAACATTATAGCAATATAAGTTACCATCATATCTTCCATGTTAAATTAATCCCAAAACAAGAAGATATAGGTAGGAGTACGTAGCTAGCTCACTGCTTCTCCTAGGGGCCTGTCTCAGTCAATCCCAATTTCCTTATAAAAACAAAAACAAAAACAAAAACACCAGTGTACAAATCCTCCCCTTTCTCTTCAAGTGTGCTTGTCACTTCCCGGACATGCCCTCTTCTGCTCATCTCTCTGAGTTATCTCTCCTCCCCTGCCTGGGTCTGACCCCGGGAAAATTTACCCTGCAGATGTAAAGCTTTGTTTTCATAAGCAAAACCACTGACTCCACATGGCTAGAAACAGCCTATACTTTCAGGACTGAGATATGCCATCTTTCACGTCTGAACAGGTTTAGTGAAACAATCAGTACTCGGTGCATCCGGAAACACACTCGCATATAGTAAGATAACTGCATTTACATCAGAATATCATGACTATTTGGTGAGATAAATATACTGTCAAATGTAATGACATCCTCCTCCCAGCTCTCTCATAAAGAAGTATTGAGAACACATAATTGCCCTCAAAAGATGTCTATTTTATGATAATCATTACCTAAATATTACACACCAGAGACTTGTACTGTTAAAGAGGGCTGGAATTACTTATGAAATATTAGCTTTTTACTTAAGCTCTTTGGACATAATTCATAAAAATTAATTCATGGTTTATAAGAATGATCTCTATTCTTTAATAGAATACTTCTGTAATTCATTAAATTATTTAATCCCATCACCCTGATCATTTCAATTTTAGTCCTTCATAAGGAAAAATAGACTAACTTTTAGTGAGGAGGAGAAACATTGATGTCAGCACCCAGGACCCACATCTCAAAAAATCATGAAGAAATGTACAGGGTATGGAGAAAAGAAAGGTGACACAGTCAACCCAAATAATGCTGCTTCTCAAATATATTTGTGATTATTTGGGGGTAAACCTAAGCTAAGAAAATGTTAATTTTTGATTAATTTATTTGAGAATATATGGATGCTTTCTGAGGTTGGAAGCATGATTTCTAGTTTTCCTGATACATCCCAGGTTTTCCTAGAATGACCTCCCCGTGAAGTTTTCAGCATCTTTAAAATGCTGTCCAGAAGTAGCGTCAGCCCTTGGGGCCCACAGCAGACCATGGGTCTGTGTATGCCAGTAACTTACGGAAACAATATTATAAAATGTCATTTATTATTTCTCACAATCATAATGGAGTAATTGTTTGCTCAATGTGTTGATTCACATCTGTGTCTGCCTCTGGACTGTCATACACACGAGGGCAGGCAGGCTTCGTCTGTCAGGTTGACCTCTACATCCCCTGAGCTATGCACAGTGTTTTCCACATGATCCAGTCAATATTTTTAAACTGAAAGCCAACATATTTTACTAACTTTATAGTTGTCCAATGAGGATAATTAATATGAATTCAAGTCACAATATGTCCATTGATTTTTCTACTAAAAATAAAGGCTTTTAAAAGTGAGGAAAATAATCTCTTATATACAGTCACATTAACCCTATGAGAAATTAGGATAGATTTTATTTTCTATGTGTTATAAATAAGGCACTGAGATGCCAGGAAATAAATACAAACAATTACATAGGAGGGTGGAAAAGTAACTTAGTATCAGCACATGTAGGTTCTCTTTCCAACTTTCACCATTTACTTTGAGCAAGTCACTTAATGTTGGTGTCTTTGTTAGAGACATTATCAGGAACAAGAATACTTCCAAGTTCCTTTCTAATTAAACTACCCTCTTCTATAGAGCACTCTCCTAAGAGATATTCAGAGAAAGAAAAAAGTCAAAGTGTGCCTGGTGTCTGCAGGACATTGTATTTGGCCTCATGGAGTAGAATCTGATTGTAGGACTGTAAGCACATGGAGAGTTATTTTCTCACAAAACCCAAGTCCTGGGGCAGAAACCCAGCTGGCCCAGTTGCTCACCCATAAGCCAGGCATTTACTGCCATGTCCTTAGACAGAGACCCTTATCCTCTTGGTTAAAAGTGGCTACTCCACTTCCAAGCTTCAGGAATAAGTTATGGATGGAAAGAGAAACTAGAAAAGGCTCTTCCTAGTTGGGTTTTCCACTTTAATCAATATCACAGAAGCTTTTCTGAAAACTGTATCCCAAAAACTTCCACTTGAATCTCATTGGTCTAAACTGGTTATATGGTCACCTCTGGCTAAAGGGAGTATGGATTTGTAAGTGTGTCTTAGCAGACATAGTAGCCTCTTGAACAAAAGTGTGGTTTTCTACCAAAGGAAAAAGGGTAGAATAGATGTTAGCTGGGCAGCCAACAGTTTACCACAAACCATACAGTGATGGAGTTCTTTTAGTGAAGAATTTTTCAAATTTACTTTGAGAGTCCACACCTATGTGCCCCAAGGATCCATACAAAAACAGTTCATAGATGGATTACTGGTAATAAGGAAATCTGGAAACAATTTAACAGGCCAGAAGTACTCTGACAATTTCTCTTTATAAGAAAAAAACTGTAGTATACTTCATGAAAAAAAGATGCAAAATATTAGCCAATCAAATACAGTAATATATCAAAAGAATATTACCACAAACAAGTGGGTTTATTGCAGGAATGCAAGGTTGGTTTAACATTTTTAAAAATCAATCAAACTGAAAAGAACCAAAAAAGAAAAAGGAAGAAAATCAATCAATGTAATTTACCATATTAACCATCTAAAGAAGACAACCACGTGATCACATCAATTGATAGAGAAAATCACAGAGCTCTCCACAGAAAATACATGACCTGTGGGATGCCGAACCCAGGACCTAGAAGGCTGACTTTTTGACTTTTTATGTTTGAGATTCTGTGGTGCTGACTGTGAGATTTGAGCATTGTCAGATTTTGATATCCATGGAGGCCCTGAAACCAATACCCCAAAAATACTGAGGGACAACAGTTCTGGACAAAACTCCACATCCATTTACAACTTAAAAAGAAAAAAAAAAAAAGCTTCTAGCGGACTAGAAATAGAAAAGAATGTCTGCTAAAGGACACCAACCCAAAACAAAAGAAAACAAAACACACCAAAAATATCAAAAAGAATGAAACTTTAGCTAATATTGCACTTCATAAGGAAAGACTGAATACTTTCCCCCTAAAGAGCAGCAACAGGGCAAGGATGTTCTATCTCAATGCTCTTCAACATCACACTGAAAGTCTTACACAGCCCAAAGTGGTAAGGAAAAGAAATATAAGGCATACAGAGTGAAAAGGAGGAAATAAAATTATACTTATTTGCAGATGATGTGATTTGAAGCTGGGAATATTTTCTTCAAAATGGACAGGTACAATATATAAAAATATATTCTTAAGGAAAAATGGGAACTTTACTCCCCTGGAAGTCATCTTTTAGAATTTATTTTAAGTCTTTCTTATGTTATTATATGAAGGTCTGTATCTTATGTAAATGACAATATGCTAACCCAATATATATTTTTTTATATTGTGCAATAATAGATATTTGGATTGATTCTAATTTTTGTACCACTACAAACAGTTACTGCAAGTTATATATTCTCTTTTGTGCAGTTGTACAAGAGTTTCTATAGAATCATCCCTAGAATTGGAATAGACAAAATAGTTCAGTTATGAACATTTTAAGTTGTATTAGATTATTCCTCAAATTACTCTTTTAACCTCTTGTACTAATTTGCATACCTGCCAAGAGTATATGAGGGTGTCTGTTTCCCCAAACCCACAATAAAGAATGATCAAACTTACAGATTACTATTTACCTTTTCAGCTAAAAATATCTCATTTGTAAGACTTGGATTTTGTGAGGTTTGGCATGTTTATGTTGTGTATTTTTATTTCTTGTTTTCTATGCCTGCTCATATCACTTGCTCATTCTTCTGTTGGAGGTTTTATCACAGAGTTTTAAAACCTCTTTGCATATCAAATAGTAATTGTTCCCTATCATGTTTCAATATTTGTTTCTAGTTTGCCTTTTGTATTTTGACATTGTGGTGATTTTGTAATGGAATTTAAATTTTTGGTTGAGTCTAATCAATCGCTTCTTTTATGACTTCAAATTTTGACGTTCTTCTTTAAGTTGTCTTTTCCTTACTCAGATATGTTTTCCAAAAACAACTGTGACTGCCTATGTTAATGGTCTGCACAATCTTTGCATGAGCACACCTGGAAAACCCTCAGTTTCCCTGACATTAGTACAATTATCTCCAGGACCTGGAGCACAAAATCAGCAAATTGAGTTGGTTAGCTTAATATATTTTTTTTGTTTTCAGTTTAGAGTGCTGGCTTGCATGTTATTTTTACCACAAGGGCTTACTGCTCCTCCCAGGGAGTCTAGACTTGACCCAAGCTCAGTTTAAGACCCCCAGAGTAGATGAGAAAGTGGATATTTCCACAATTTAAGCTGACAGAACTATTAGACTATAATATCAACAGATCAAGTAAGCAGAAGGCATTCTTATTGTACTCGTACACTATCTCACTTATGATCTTTGTCTCTGCTCTACAAAGCCCATTTAATAGACTTTTTATCACTTGGAGACCATTTCATCTCTTGGTATAGAATTCCACAGCCTCTGAAGCAGCCAAGGATAGCAAGTGCAAAAACACAACTTCTTTTGCGTATGGCTATAGGTTGTGTGTCTTGTGTGTGTATACATATATGGTATGTGTGTGTATATGTATGTATGGTATCTACATATGTGTGTTTGTATATTATTTGCCCTTCTCTTATTTTCTGTGAGCTTTTAATTGTGAAAAGATCCTTGATAAGGCCTTTGTTCATCAGAGAACAGAATAATTTGGGCAGGAATAATTGAATCATTGACCACCATCAAACAAAACTTCCGTTATGTACCATAGGGAAATTTTGGTTTTGGTTTCTTTGTAGTAGCATAATCATAGTCCAGCTTCTCAAAAGTCAACCTGCAGCTGCTTGTGCTCACACATAGCACTGGGAGTCTATCTCAGCCACCATGGCTTTAAAGAACCCTGCAGGAAAGGAACTTAAAGTTCAAAGGTCAAAGTGTCCAGATTCTAAACAGAGTTAAGGTTTTCTTTCTGCTTCAGCCTAGCAGGGGTGTATTTCCCATGAGAGGTTTGTTTTTTTAACAATGGTCATTGTAACTGATCATCTAATAAAGAATTTGTAACATCTCCCCAGGAAGTGTTAATTTAGTGCAAATGATTGTGTTCTAAATGGGTGGACCGCAGTACAAACTTCTCCCCCTTCTCCCATTCTTCAAGAAGAAACACAGTAGGATTCAGGGAAAAAATAATAATTTGTGATGAGCATTTCCCACATGAAAACACTTTTTAGTTGTTATTTTTAAAGTCACAAGCTTTCAAGAGGAAGGACTTGTTTTTCTTAGGAAAGATTAACAGTAAGATGCCAGGCCTATGATGGCCAAAGAGAACATTCTCTGGGATTACATCGTTGCTTCTTAACATTCAGGGATGCAGGGAACTTCCCAGCATTTATTTGGAAAACAGTGTAAAAGCTAAGAAATTAAAGTTGTTTGAGCTATATTAGAAAATCATTTATTTAAAGGAGGGAAACCATTGCAAATGAATGATATTGTTATTTTGATCCTTAGGAAGACAATTAATTATCAACAACAAGGAAATGTGAATTTTTAAAAAGGCTGTATGCCCAATTAGTTTGAACCTAATTTAATTTGTAGCTTAAAACTAGAGCTACTAGTGAATTTAATGGTGGTTCTACCCACTGATGAATGACTGGGAATGCCAAACACATTCCGTTAGCTGTGATAACTCTGGGTTAGGACCTTGGATTAATGGGAATAATTTTAGTTTATCCTTTATCTATTCAGAATCTAGAGCGTAATCCTGTATACATTCACATGGTTTAGCATGTAATTAAAACAAGTACATATTAATCCTCTTATACTAAATGTTTTCCATAAATAGGCAATGATAGCAGGCTGAAATGTACATGAGCAAGATCTGAATATCTTTCAAAGAGTTAAGCAAATGGCAGATGACAACCTTGAAACATGGTGGGGAAAAGTCCTTTCCACTTTCTGTGACTATCGGTGCGTGTCACATTAGAGATTATTTTATTTAAGAAGCTTTCTTGCATGTTACCAGGATTGTCTGAATTCTAAGGCATTCGTCTCACTAAACGCTGTGACTGTCTTTGGGCAGGGCGGCAAATGGACTGGTCAGTAGAAAATAATGCAGATACAGTAAGGGTCTCTGGCTGTCTCTTCTGATTGACATCCAAAACCGAAGTTATTTTCCTTCCAAGGCATAGTATTCTGAAGCTCAAAGGTGGGTGTTTATGACAACCATCCATCAGAGACCTCTTTTCTACTCTGTGCCAAACCGTGTAGCCTGTCATCTCCGGAGGGGTCACCTGGAGACCTAGGTTCTTCAGGCCCCTCCCAGAGAGGTGAAGGTCAACAACAAGGACAATTTCTGAAAAGGGGGGACCGCTCCCTTGGATTTTCCCCACCTACACATTCCTTCTATCAGCAACGGCGACTCACCCTGCAGAGCCTGCCCCACAAACTCATGCACACACAGCTGGTTTTTACGTGGAAAGTCAGTGTTCATGATCCAGTTGCAGCAAGGGCAAAAAAGATCTTTGGTATTTTCTCAAGCCACCAATTGAGAGTCGACTCAATACAGGGAAAAAGAAAAAGAAAACCTGAAAAGAGAGCATGTGGGCTCTTAGAGGAAGAATTCCGGATGACAGAAGCTCTGCTAAGAATGGGCTTTGAAGGGAATAGCTGTGGGAAGAGTATCTCTCTAAGTCAGGCTGAAGATTTGCCAATCCTCAGGCTTAGAGGAAAGGAAACCGAGCACCGCTGAGAGCTGAGGACTCAAAGCAACTTTTGTTTCTTATCCAGTAATGCCGCTAATGGGTCTTAAGGTTGTCAATTATGGCTTGTTGCAGGTACAATTTCAGAATGTTACTATCGTGTATAAATGAAATAACAGAACTGGTTAATAACAAAACCACAAGCTTTTTGGTAACTGATAAAAATCATACAAAATACTTTAAAAATTGAAATATATTCCTTGCCTACTTCTGCTTACAATTCCAGAAATACTCTCTTTATTCATACCAAAAGATAAGAAATCAACTTTCATCTTAATGATTTTAAGTATAATTAATGATTTTAAAGTATAATTCTTAAAGGTCCAATAACTTTGTTCAGAAAAAGATGATAATAGCAATAAATATATTAGTTATTCTTACTGTAAAAAAAAAATACTTCTGATTGTGATCACAACTATTCTAACTTGTGATTTTTAAAAGATATTTTAAAGCTATACTTCATTGTTAAACATGTTAAATTTGTATCTGTTTCATAGTATATATTAATTTAATTGATAAAAAATATTTCACATTATCTCAGCTACATAAGTGACAGAAAAATGTAAGCAAGCTGCCGCAAACAACCTGAGTGTACTAAAAAACAAAATTTCCCACCAGATTCTCAAATATCTCCTGCCATGAAAGGACAGCTGTGTTAGTCTGAAGATTCTGTTGGGCCAGGAACAATAAGCCACAAGCACTGCAGGAAGCCAGTAGATTTCGAGATCTCTCTTCTTGGTCTTTCCTGCCTTACCCTCCCTGGAGCTGCCCTTTTGTTTCTCACCCTCAAATCACAGCCTCTTATTATTATCCTCTTTTTCCTTAAAAAAGTAAATCAAGATCTTATTATATACCTGTGAAACCCATTTGTCAAAAAAAAAAAAATAGAGAGGGTCATCTATTCTCCCACGTGCCATGAAGAACCGCCATATGCCTTATAAATGGCCAGTGTCAAGGTGCAGACGGCAGGTGGACATAAATTTCCCAGCCAATGGGCTTGGAAAAACAACAGGGTGCTTTCCATGTAATCTGCACCAGCACCAACACTGCTAGCTTGTCGTGCGTTTTGGTGCTAGAAAATCATACAGTGGCACCCACACTTGCCAGTGGGGTATCCTTTTCCCCAGTCTGCCTATTTTTGAGGTGTTATATTTCTTGACAATACCAAATCAATAAACCTAATTTGCAGCAACATACCACATTACAGCATTTTATATCACACTTCCAAGAAGCAGCAGTCTAAAATCTTGACAATTTAAACCACATACCAACTCCTGACATTTAGATCTTTTCCAGTAAAAAATATAATACATTTTTTATATAGAATATAGCTTCTGTCTTCCCTGCTTCTGGCAATAGCAACAGCACCTCAAATGGTCCTTTAGACTTAAGATGCTGTAGCTCACACCTTAGGTCCTTTCTTCTTCTGTGTACCTCTTTCTTATCGGGCACCAAGTGTGATGACTTCTTCAGAATGTCTTCCATTCCACTTCCAGTGGCTTTATCTTTCTCCAGTGATCAGTCATTTCAGACCCAGATTATCAATCCTTTTCTTATTTTCCTTACTACCTCTCATCTCCACTAACTCTAATTCGTTCTACTTAAACAGCACCTGATTGGTCTTCAAAAAATCGTAATGTTTTATTTCACTCACCCAAAGCTTTCAAAGGTTGATTCCCACTGTTTGAAATTGGCTTTCCCATTCCTCCAGCCTCTCTAGTCCAGGTTTTCAAGAGGCTCTCTCACCTCTCTACAGTGCACTGAGAGACCGGACTACTCATATACCCTCAAACACACTGCACAGAGGCCTCACACCACGCTTTCTTCATCTACTGCTCTGATGGGAAGATGCTTCCGATCACTCTGTACTTATCAAAGTCGTACGAGTCCTCCCAGTCTCATCTCAAATGCAGCCTCCTCCATAAAGCTCCCACATATTCCTGCCTGCAAGGATTCCTCTCTCCTCTGAATGTCTCTGTCTACTTACTCTCTAGATTTAATCTGTGCATTCCAATGCATCCTTTCTATATGTTTATTATCCATTCATAGACATACACATACAAATATAGATGCATCAGAATCCATATAAATATGTACACATATATTTTCTTTATGTAATTGCTATCATAATAAATATTGTTATGTGACTTGCCCCTTTCTATGCTACCATATATGTGGGAGATCTGACCATGGGACACCTGGAGGATAATGGGTGCTTATTTCTTTTCTGTACATCTGTATTTTTCAATTTTTCTTGTATTTTACATTTTAATCTATTTATTTACTTATTTATTTTGAGATCAGGTTATGAAACTGGCTACTTTTTGTATTTTGGGTAGAGACAAGGTTTCACCATGTTGCCAAGACTGGTCTTGAACTCCTGGGCTAAAGGGATCCAGCCACCCTCGGCCCTGCAAAGTGCTAGGATTATAGGCATGAGCCACTGCGCCTGGCCCAAATTTTCAACAATAATCACATACAGACTTTGTAATGGTGCATGCAAAAAATGTCATTTGCAGACCATAAAAACAAGCAGATAGAGAAGATGTCAACATAAGGGATCATGTTCTCGACTTTCTGTCTAGTAGGGAAAAAAAGATCATTTTTCACACTTATAAAAATAGATAATGGAGAGCACAAATAGCTTATCCACAACGATAATCATGTTTTTGTTTAAAATATACTTAAGGGCCTACTAGGCTCAAAGGACTCTGATGCTCAAGCGCAAAAATGAATCAGCACCAATCCCCCCATCAGAGTGGCAGTTTCTACAAGTTCGCAGTAGGGCTCTTATGCATATTGTGTTTCTTTCCTTGAAGCTCCCCTTACAAAGAAAAGACATCTTTTCAAAGAATTTCATTTGACAGCAAGGCCAACCTATTAACCATGATGTTATAGACAAGAGTCTATTGTTATGCAACGTATTTAATTGCTTGATTTTAATATTTAAAAAATGCTATTTTAGGTGCTTTTGAACTTTCAAAGCACTTTCATAACTATTACCCCATGTTACATTCTCAATAGCCCTTGTGGTAAGTTAGGCATCCTCCTCCTGCAGACAGGAAACAGACCCAGGCGGCCACGTGCCCTTGCCTTAACTCACCCAGCTAGCAAGACAGCAAAGGAGATGTCCCGGCTTCTAATTGTATGCCTTTCCCCTGAACCAAGCCAAGGAATGAACCTTATTTTTTGACAAGAAAGATTTAGTCCTGGTCCCAGAACGAATTTTAACAATAGAACTGTGTTATAAATAAGTTGCATGGTGAGAGCCTGGTGTACAGTGAACTCTATTTTATAGCCAAGACCATGTGGCACACACTGAGCATTCCAGTCCATCTTTTCCATGACTAACCTGGGTAACTATGAACCAGGAAAGAGATTTGTTCAAGCACATTCCACTTGACAAGCACAAATAAATTTACTCAATTGCCTATATTCTAAAACTATCCGAGTAACAACACCATCACAGAAATAAAAGACATCAAGTTGGTGACAAACCTGTAAGTTCAGGCACATGTAATGTCCAAAAAAATACTGATTTTCCTGTCTGACCGAATGCTGGGAATGAGTGGGGGTAGGGGACACTCACACAAAAAGGACCATCTGTTACTTATTTAAGCCATCCTTAGACAAGAATATATTACTTTTCAGAGAGAAAAATATTGTTCTTTCCAGAGGAATAGGAATGTGATATAAACAATGAGATGAGATAAAGCTGTTTATATCAAAGGGTGAATCAGATTATAACACTGAAAAATAGTACACATTTCCTGTTATTGCTGCTATAAGTAAAACAGTATTTGAAAGACAAATTACCATGTTACTATTCTTGAAAATCCCAGGCTCTCCTATAAGTAATGACATTTTGGTACACATGAGACTAATCAAGTACAGACATATCTCTATCCACATAATTTAAGGAGGAAAAAAATCAATCTTTTCTCCTTCAAGAAAGAGAAGAGTTTCTTTTCTTTAAAACTTAAAGAACCAAGAAAAGTTTATATTTAAGACAAACAAAAACTGCAAATAGCGCAGGGAAGATATGAGTGGCAAGCATGCTCCCAGCGGGACTGAAGTGCAGCCTAGTTCTAGAGGCAATGTTCTGGGTCATAAACAGCAGGCAGGAAACAGACGGTCCCCAGACTTGAAGTGCTTGCAGCAGTTCACAAGCCCCGAGGGACCTCTGCAACCACGGCTTCAGTGACATGGAGGGCAAGGAGGAGTCACAGCCTCACCTGTGGCAGGTGGCAAAGCAGCTTTCTAGTGTGAATCTCACACACACACACATAAACATGCACACACACAGTTGGCCTTCCTTACCCATCCTGCCACCAGTTCTCGCATGTGGACCTGTGTACCTATGGAAGCCACCCTGGGTCCCAGCATGAACAGACACCAGGCACTGTCTCAGCAAGAGTCAAGAACAGGTCCCTGCTCACCTGATCTCACCTCTTAGCAACTCTCATTTTCCGAAAGAGAGAGGCAATGGCAGCTACAAGTCTGGGACATCTGCTCTTCTCTAAATCCAGTGAGAAGCTGATCAGGGGCATCTGCTCTTCTCTAAATCCAGTGAGAAGCTGATCAGAGCCCCCTTCTCACCTGCTGACAACCAGGGTAGCATGTGTGTCCCCACACTCAGAATGACAAGCAAGCAGCCAAAGCCACCTTGAATGACAGCCAAACACAGAGCCTACCCACTAACCACTGTCCCCATGTGCCCTAGGCAGAGGGGCTTCCCAGGACAAAGGGACTTCCAGGGCTAACACAGGAAAGTCCCAGGCAAACCGGGGCTGTTAGTCACCCTTTGAGGGTGTTCTCTGGGCCACGGCTCCTTATGTCTGCTCACCTGTAGGCCCTGCCCCAGGAGGCTGCTTTAGGAAGCCCTGGGCCGTCAGGGTCTGATCTGCTTTTCTTTGAAAGTCCTTAACCTCTCCCTGTGTAAGTGAAGAGTGGTTTGAATGGTTATAGTTGCTTTGCGTACATCTTAAATAAGAAAAGTCCATTCATGTGGTCTAGAAAGGAAGCAATAATTCTCTTTTCTGGCTGGATTTTGGTTTCTGGTTTTTTTTTTTTTTCATTGGAGACAGAGTCTCACTGTGTTCCCCAGGCTGGAGTGCAATGATGCAATCATAGCTTACTGCAGCTTCTACCTCTGGAGCTCAAGCAATCCTCCAGCCTCAGCTGACCAAGTAGCTGGGATTTCAGGCACATGTCACCACAGCAAGCTAATTTTTACATTTTTGTAAAGACAGGGTCTCACTCTTCTGCCCAGGCTGCTCTTGAACTCATGGGCTCAAGTGATTCTGCCATGTCAGCCTCCCAAGTGCTGGGATTACAGGCTTGAGGCACCATGCCTGGCCTAGGAATAGGTCTTAATCAGTGCTTCTCATTTGGCCACGTCTGGAGACCCCTCTGGTTGTCACTGTGGGAGAAGCGGTGCTCATGACATCTCCCGGGTAGAGCCAGGGTGCCGCTGTGCCTCGCACAGTGCCCGGGGCAGCCCGCACGGCACAGCATTACCTGGCCCAGAATGTCCATTGCACTGAGGTTGAGAGACCCTGGTCTATGTTAATCCTGGGACAGGATCAGCAACAAGCTAAGGAGGAGTCGGCTGAGAGGCTCATTCGGGGACCAGAGGTCTCCCTAAGGGCCCCTCAGCTGACACACTTCCCCAGCACCTCTTTGTGGCAGGGCAGGCCAGCTTTCCCAAAATGAGCTATGCGGGTGAGGCTTCTCCTTGGACTTTCCTCCTTCTTCTCCATTCTTCTTCCTTTCCAGCAGGCCGGACCCCAGCGCTCGCCTCTCCATGCCAGGACGCTATGTGCCTCGGTGAGTCCCTGTGCGCGCATAGCAGAGGCGCTCTCCCTTTCCACGGGGTACTGCTTTCCCTGGGAGACGCGAAGAGGAGAGGAGGGCCCGAGTTCAAGCAGGGAGGGAATTCAGAGAGCAGTCATTCACCAAGTCCCCTCCAGCCCCAGCCCTGTGAGCCAGTCCTGCGGGTCCTGCCTTTCGCTAAGAGATTCCCGATTCCGCTCCCTCCGGACGCAGGGAGGTTGAGCAGGGGACACGCAGCCTTCGCCCTTCCCAGTTTTCTCTGTGTGGCCTCTGTCTCTCTCTCTCTGTCTTCAGGAACCAACAAAAGGCAAATGAATTCATTAGGGAGACCAACACCCGCCATGTGCCTTTCTTTTTTTTTTTGAGATGGAGTCTCGCTCTTTCACCCAGCCTGGAGAGCAGTGGCGCGATCTCGGCTCACTGCAAGCTCCGCCTCCCGGGTTCACGCCATTCTCCTGCCTCGGCCTCCCGAGCAGCTGGGACTACAGGCGCCCGCTACCACACCTGACTAATTTTTTGTATTTTTAGTAGAGACAGGGTTTCACCGTGTTGGCCAGGATGGTCTCGATCTCCTGACCTCGTGATCCGCCCGCCTCGGCTTCCCAAAGTGCTGGGATTCCAAGCGTGAGCCACCGCGCCCAGCCATATTTGCCTTTCCTTTTTTGCTTTTTCAGATGGGGTCTCACTCTGTCAATCAGGCTGGAGTGCGGTGGCCCGATCTCAGCTCAGTGCAACCTCTGCCTCCCAGGTTCAAGCGATTCTCCTGTCTCAGTCTCCTGAGTAGCTGGAATAACAGGCATGAGCCACCAAACCCGGCTAATTTTTGTAGAGAGGGGTTTAGCCATGTTAGCCAGGCTGGTCTCGAACTCCTGGCCTCAAGTGATCCACCCACCTCCGTCTCCCAAAGTGCTGGGATTACAAATATGAGCCCCTGTGCCCGGCTGCATTTGCTTTTCTTTAAGGCCGTTATTTAGGACTCAAGAGAGGGACGTCAGGAGAAAAGGTGAGGGAATTGCGGGCGAGAGTGGAGAAGAGGGTAGGCAAGGTTTGGAGAAGTTGCTTTGTTCAACAGTCACCAGCCTAAGCAGCACATCAGTGCTTTCAAGTTAAAGGTAGGAAATGGAAGATAATGTATCCTGTTGAATCTATAGGGATAATTCAGAGATAATTAAAAATATAATGACCCAAATTGGGACTGAGGAAACACGTTGGCATTAACCTCCTTGCCCGGAGAGAAGGTGCCGGGAGAGCTCGCGGTAGGTTTGCCACTTATTTAAGACTCCATCTCCACTTGTTCCTAACCCACTGAGAAATCGGCTCATTATTGACTCAGAGGGATGAACGCCAGATCCTGACTCACCGGTAACCACTTCCTGCAGAAATCCTCCAGCCCTGTTAGAAATGCCTCAGCCAGGGGGACTCATCTCCTCAAACCTGGGGGACCGAGACCTATGAGAGGTCACAGCATGAGGTGACGGAAGTGCCATGTGCACAGGGTTGATTTGGTGGCTCTAATTCTTATAACATAAAAGCTTGCTTCTTAGCATAGTTCTTGCAGTGTTAATTTTAGAGACACATAACGGAGAGGAGTAGGGAAATAAAGACCTGTCTGGTCCTTCCCCACTTCCCTAATCCATCTGTCTCCCTTGCTATGTCTCTAAACCTTCTCCAGCCAGGACATCGGAGGTACCCAGACATTGTTATGAAACTCCGCATGTGCCCCTGGTGGACGCTGCTGGACCCAGCATGCACACTTCTCGGCTAAGAGTCACCCTGGATGAACCACCATTGCCAGCGGGGAGCATGTTGCAGCTTTCCCACGCAGTGGATGAGAACGAAGGTTACGACCATTGTGTGGGAGGCGTCTGTGTAGCAATTGCTGGAATCACTGTGAGTAGTCCGTGTCACATGTGTCTCCCCTGATCTCTCAACGTCTCTTCTTCCCTCTCCACTCCCACTGTCTAACTTTATTCCTCTTTTTTTTTCTACCCCTTTCCGGAGACAGTGTGGCATTGTAGAAAGACTGAGCGTGGGAAAGAAGACGCATTCTGAAGTCACCCCGATTTATGTTAAATTATCACCTTGACTACTGCTATAGAACGAATGTTTATGTCCCCCACCCAAATTCGTATGCTAAGACCTAATAGCCAATAAGATAGTATTAATAGATGGGGCCTTTGGGAGGTGAGTGGCTCATGAGGGCAGAGTCCTCAAAACCAGATAAGTGCCCGAATAAAAGGGGCCCCAGAGAGATCCCTTGCACCGTCTACCATGTGAAGTGTAGAACACAGCGAGAAGGCCACCTATGAGCCAGAACGTGGGCCCTCACCAGAACCCAGTTGTGCTGGCACCCTGATCCTGGACTTCCAGCCTCCAAAATGACGACAAAGAAGTTTGTTTTTCCTGAGCCATCCACTTCAAAGTATTCTGTCATAGCTCCCCAAATAGACTAAGACATCTACTTAACCTTGGTCAAACGTTTAACCTTGGAGTCCACGCCTCTGAAATGGTGACAATAACACTGTGTATTTCCTACTTTATGATCAGGATTAATAAATGTAATTTATTAATCAGAAATTAGTAATTTCTGATTATTAATTCTATGGTGCTTGATACTTGATTGAGGCTTATTTAATATTTGGATCTCTTTTAATTTTTTTCTTTTTTGCTCTTTCTTTCTGCTTTTCCTCTTCCCCTTTTCCTATTGAAATAGAATGCAGAGGATAAAGCAAGCAAACAAAAAAACTTCCAGAAGAATCACAGAGTTTTAGACCTAGAAAAAAACTGAAAAATCATCCATTCCACTCTCCTCATTTTACAGATGAGGGCATCGAGCCTCAGAGAAATGAAACTTGCCCAAGACCACACAGCAAGTGAGTGGGGGACTCATGACCCAAGACACTTTTTCCAGGCTTCCTTCTACCACATCATGCTGCAGAAAACACAGCAGATGGGAAGAGACGAGGCATGTGGTTGCCATTTCTGTATTACATCCAATTCATATTTCATTTAGAAAATGTATTTCTAGAACTTGTTAAAAAACCTGAATGATTTTGATTGAAGTTTTTCAAAACTAGGATTACTATGCTTCTAATGGAGATCAAGTTCAAATTTTTAACATATTTTGCCTTATTTTGCCACTCCCCTCAAAATATCCATAGTATTGAATGCCCAGGTTTCCTGTTTGGAAAAGCCCGAGGATCTGTGCACACTCTGGGCTACTCTTGCCCAGCTCCTGACTGAGGCACTGGACCTGGCCCGATGCTGCTCTCTGCTGCTGCCCAGCTCTTCTGCTCCACCGGCAACACTGTACCCAGTTAATCATTAGGGCCCTTGTCTCTGTACAATTGCTCTGTACAACTCGATAAAATAATCCATGCTAACAAAAGTCTAGAATGGAAGGTGCCTGCTATGGTTTGAATGTTTGTCCCCTCCCAAATTCATGATGAAATTTAAGCCGTATTAGAAAGTGGGACTTTTGAGAGGTGATAAGGCCATGCAGGGCCCCCCTCATGGGTGGGATTGGTGCTGGTATAAAAGGGTGAGCTTAGCCCCCTGCCTCTCTCACCTCCTCACCTTCTGCCATGTGATGATGCAGCAAGAAGGCTCTCGCCAGATGTCGGCACCTTACTATTGGCCTTCCCAACTTTCGGGACTATGAGCCAATACATTTCTGCTTATTGTAAATTACCTAGTTTCAGCTATTCTGTCATAGCAGCACACAACAGACTAAGACGCTCTTCAACTCACTCCTCACAATCCTGTGTTGTTCTAGGAAAAACTGTGTAATTTAACATTGCCTCTTTAGAGACAACGTCCCTCCTCTATCTCTCAGAAAGAGGCTTTCTCAGTAAAGAGGAGGAGGATGTTGGGTGGGGGAGAGGGTTGGGAGTACTTTGGTTTTTCCCACCGGTATGGCCATGAGATCCCTCTGTTTGCAGCACCTCGGCATCTGCCTGCCTACTCCTGAGTTGGGCCCTGTGGTCATGAATTCTTCTGTCAAATAACTATTCCTAAAAACAAGCATGCATGACTAACCATGAGACAATTGCAGTGATGCAAGTGTATGTGACTTATCTCATCTACCCAGTGTGACAGCTTGACACTCAAGGGGGAGATTTTCACCATCGATTCCCAGAACAAAGAATTTAGAGTAATGCTGGAGGCTGAGGCAGGAGAATGGCGTGAACCCGGGAGGCAGAGCTTGCCATGAGCTGAGATAGCGCCACTGCACTCCAGCCTGGGCGACTGAGGGAGACTCCATCCCCCCCAAAAAAAAGAATTTAGAGTAATGAACATTTATGTATGGGTGGCCCTGTGATGTCTCTGATAACATCCCTTGTTTGGCCAAATTCTCGGACTCTAAAAGACAGTATTGGCTCTGCAGGCTTTCTGGGCTCAGCGAACCTGCAATACCAAAGTTCCACATTTTGGGGAGTACTACCTCATCTGTGTAAGTACAGTTCTGAAAATTATTGTAAAATGTGTTCTACAAATAATGGGGTAATTTATTGCTGTAAATTATCAAACAAGCTAATCAAAATATGCATTCACTTATTCATTTTTTTTCAATCATTCATAACACAGACGTACAAATGATTATCTATGGATTTTTGGAGTTGCAAAAATAGAATCTTAGCTCCACCACTTACCAGTTTAATATTCTGGCCCTAGGAAAGTTACTTAATGATCTGATCCTCAGTACCTATCATCACTTGAAAAAAAATGGGAAAATAATACCAATCTCATAGCTTGGTCATAAAGATTCAGTAAAATAATGCATGCATGTGCCTAAAACCAAACAGTCACAGAATGGAGGTAGGAGCCTTACCGTAGATTCCAACATAATGGTGTCAATCAGCAAAGTTCATCAGATCAAGGCACAGACTGCCAATTATGCATCATGCTGGCATTTGATGCCTAGAAATCCATGTTCCTCTTGCATAAAGCTTTCCTCTTAATCTGTACTTTGTTCCTGTTCAACATTTTGGCATTTTTCTAAGTCCCTCAACCTTAGGGCTCTTCTGCTTTCCCACTTAGTGTTGGATTAATGAACCATTGCTGGTTAAACCACCTCATCCTCTCCTCAGACCCAGTAGAAACAGTAGAACCAGGGGCTGAAGCCATCGTCCCATTGTCTTCAGCACAATGAGTCCTGTGAGCCTAAGCTCCTAGGAAGAGAGTTGCTTTTGGCTGCAAAGGGTGTATAACAGCAGCTGAACCAGGCAGTGCAATATTCATGGGGCTTTTTACTTTGTGGAACTTGAGAGTAAATTTAAAAGACAACTTACTTCTAACTTTCTCATTTTCAAGAAGAAATGAGGCCCAGAAAGGTAGGGGGTTTGCCAGGATGAGACAGCTCTTAAGTGGCTAGATCTATCCCTACTAATGACTCAGATTAAACAGTTGCTTAGGATACCCCAAAGTCATCTCTGCACTTCAAAAGATTAAGTGCTTGTATAGACAATATCACATATTCCACTACAGCAATTTAATGATTTCCTGATGATATATGATAGGTCCCAGATTATCACTAAAAGGTATTTTAAATTTTTACAACTGACACAATTTGGGAGCCAAAAGTAACTCTTGGAATTGGAATCTAGTTAGCACATGTCTGGTTGGAAGCCACAAGGTGACATACTCCAGTGGCTTCCAAACTGTCTGTGCGACTAGCAGTCCCCATGATCGCATGGCTCAGAGATTGAATGAGGAGGCATCAAAGAGTTTGCCCCACATCTATCTTACCCTGAAATCCAATATCTTCTTTTGTGAAATAATATGGTTAAAAATAAATTCAAATAGAACAAAAGGGTAGTAGATTAGTCAAGATTCTCCAGAAAAATAGAACCAATAGGATGTACATGTATATCTATATCTATATATCTGCAGAGAGACGTATTTTAAAGAATTGGCTCGTGGGATTGTGGGGCCTGGAAATCTGAAATCTGCAGAGAAAGCCAGCAGGCTGGAAATTCAGGTAAGCATTGATATTGCAGTCCTGAGTCCAAATCTGAAGGGCAGCCGGCAGGCTGGGAACTCAAGCAGGGTTTTTATGCTGCAGTCTTAAGGCAACATTCCTGGTCTCCAGGAAACCTCAGTGTTTGCTCCTAAGGCCTTCAACTGATAAGAAGGGGCCTAGCTTGTAAAGGGTAATCTGCTTTTCTCGAAGCCAACTGAATGTAATTGTTAATCACATCTAAAAAATACATTCACAGCAATATCTAGACTAGAGTTTGACCAAACAGCTGGGCACCATAGCCTACCCATGACTTTAGTTGACACATGAAATAGCCATCACAGAGTAAACAACGAGAAAGGGACCATATCTCACTCCAGACCCTTTCTTCCTTTCCCCAGAGGTAAGCTCTTTAAGTGGCCAAACCCATCTTTTCAGGGAGGGGCATTGGTTCTATTTGCATCCAAATGTTTATGTGTGTAAAAAAGCACCAGACTTTCTCCATTCTTCACATCTCTGCCGTCTTTACTCTGTGCCAGGCCTTCTGCTCACCACTTTGCATGGATTTCCTCCTGTCAGTCCTTTCAGCCACCCAGACATGCAGTTACTATTCTGTCCCCCCTTTTGCAGATGGGTCAATGGTGAGCAATATTAACATCCTTTCTGTTGAACAAATCTGATGACAAGAAAGGTTCAATCTGCTTTGGAAAAAAACAAATAATTTGAACCATTTTTATTGGGAAATTGGAGGCAAAAACAAGTTCAGAAAAGTTTCAAAGGCATGCTTGATGCCAAATATGATTTAAAGCCCTGTGTTCTAGAACCCTTGAGTGACACCAGAGGGACATATGCCGGGGCCGTGTTTTTATTCAGCTCCCCATATAGACAGCAATTTTCCTTGTTTTAAATTATTTATTATTTTGTGTTCCCAATTAAGCTATAATGTGACAGGCAAGCTATTTTACAAGGCAATAAAGAAAATAATCATGCTCCCCAGCGAGTAAACTGCAAGGCCAAAAGGTGAGTTGTTTATATCAGAGACAGAACCATATTACCACATTGAAAAACAGTAGGCATGGCTTGTTATTGCTGCTACAAGTAAAAATGGCTATAGAACAGAACAAGAGAAACTGGTTCCCAGCCTCCTTAAAAGCACTTATTTTTAGAATAATGACAAAACTGTCTGTGTTTGCATAAGGAGCAAAAATGATTGATAGACGGCCTGAAGGGAGCCAAGTCTTACCCCCAAATTAGGACCGCAGGGACAAGGAGGTGCTGAAAGGGTCAGGAGCAGAAAGATCTCCTGGGGTGGATGAATGGCAGAAAAATCTAACAGTAGGTTAACTTGATTTGAGGGTCCCATCTTCTGAACATGCTGAACACACCATATCTTAAATTCAAATTAGCCTGTCTATGGAAAACGAAAATGATATTATGAGTCCTGCCTTGTCATTATGGTGGTTTATGGGAAGCCCAGATGGCTACATATGGCCACCAGACGGGAGTTGGCCTTCAAAACAAAAACAAAATAAACCAAAAAGCCCTCACCCTCAAATAAAGCCAGAAGAACTCACCTGCTGAGAGGCACCATGCATTTCAGCTGGTAATAGCTGGTGACAAGTGAGCCCAGGGGTAAGACGGGGAAGGAGCTAGAGGAGTGTGTCATCAGAGCTGTTTTCATCTCCCCCTGGTGGGTGGCACAGGGCTGTTTGTTGGCTGTGGGTTCACGTGTCTGGGATATTGCAGGAAGTGGCGAGGAAAGAAGAATGAAGACAAAGAATATGGAGTTTCCATTGATTTAGCCAAGTCCATAACAGAAGAAAAGTGCCTTCCTTCGGAACTTCCAATACAATGTGTGAGAATGGACCTGTTACAACTTGTATTACTCGCAGGGTTCCCCCACTACCAAGAATAGGGGTGGCCTTAGAAGGCACTCTGAAGCAAGAATCAGCAAGTGACTGAATCTATGAGACTCGTATTGATCAGCCTCAAAAGAAATGAGTCCTACCTTCTCGGTCTCTTAAGAAATTCATTCTCTTGAAAAGCAATTCAAAAAGAGCTTTCCCTAATACACATTAGATAAACAATGAGATATCCTCCTAGCTTTCTCTTGGGAAACTTTCACTTTATATCTTTTCAATTTATTCTCATCTTTTTTTTTGTTCCTTCCTTCCCTACTTTTAGGCTTTGTCGTTCAAAAGCTAGCTCGTAGAATTTTTTTAAATCTTTGTATTCATATATCCCTAACTAGAGCATGATCTTTTTCTGGCTGGTGGATCCTCCCCAGAATGTTTGCATGTATTAGGGCTCCAGTGAATAGGTGTTGGTCATGAGGAAGGATGACCAGCTAAGGGAGCTAATGGCTTAGACAGACACTGTAGAATTGCAAGGAATAGAGATGTGCTCAAGATACCTTGGTTGGCGAGGTTTATTGTTGCAGAAACACACTGGGTGGTAGCCAGTCAACCAAGACGGCGGCCATCAATTCCTTACCTTTCTTTGTGTACATGCTGCACCCCATGACCAAAGGTAGGGCCTTTTTTCTCCTCCCTTGTATTTCGACTGGCCTCATACCTTGCTTTCAACAGTGAAATGTAACAGTGGTGAAGTTGGACTTGTTCCAAGCCTAGACTTTAAGCCTTCTGTTTCCTACTTCTTAGAAGCCAGTCACCATGCAAGAAGCCTGCCTACCCAGTAACCAGCTGTGAGAAGTCCAAGCTGGCTACACAAAGGGGGGGACACTGAGGTGCCAGACAGGTGGGTAAGGCCTGCCTGAACCTTCCAGCTCTGCCCAACACTCAGCTGAATGCAGTGAATCAGCCAGCCCAGCTGAGAACACAGTGAGCAGAGGTTCTGATCCTGCCTGGATTCCAGACCCACAGAATCCAGAGAAATCATGTGACTTTAAGCCACTAACTTTTGCAATAGATTAATGTACAACAATAGATAAAACACACAGAAAAGTCAAGAAAATGTTTTTGAAGAAAAGTGATCTCCGTAGGTTAACTGCAGTTGGTTAATACTAATTTATTGTATATTTCAAAATAGCTAGAAGATAATAATTAGAATGTTCCTAGCATAAAGAAAAGACAATTTAAGGTGATGGATATGCCAATTACACTGATTTGATCTTTACACATTATATGAATGTATTCAATTATCACATGTACCCTGAAAATATGTACATCTATTATGTGTAATAAAAATAAATCAAAACTTTTTAAAGAATAAAAAGCGGTCGCACATCTAAACAGGGCTTATGGAGTCTGAGGCTTTCTCTGGGTGTTTATTGCATGTTGGAAAACTCCTAATTCCCTCCCCGTGGGTCACTGAGTAGGTCACGGTCCCTGAACAAGGGTCCAGTTGTTCAGCCACCCTATGGGTCTAAGGCCTGGCCGCTCCTTGGCTTCAGGTCAGCTTCAGGATGGCTGACTTGGGATCACGTGCAAGACCTTGGCTTGGTCACTTGAGGAGAAGGTGGCTGGGCACAAGGTTACATGTTTGGGAAACAACTCCCACAGCTCTGTTAGAATTCAGAGACTGGGATTCATATGTAAATAGCACATTCCCTCTGGGTTATTCCATCTCTTAAGTCTTCTGGGCTGAATGGAGTGCCCGGGGCATTAGAAGTGGCAATGATGAGGCCTTTGAGGTGGGCCAGGGCCCCACTTTCTCACATATTAATGTAAATACCCTCACAGTATGGGGAGGCCGTATGTGGGATCATAGAGAAGAAGGGGAAGGGACAGACAACACAACTCCTGACTCGAACACCACTAAACCTTTCGTGCGCTAAAGAAATGTTTGGCTTTCCCACGATTGGAAGCCTGGCTATTACCATAGAGCATTTTCCTCAGGCTCCGGTACATTTCTGGATTCCATTTGTGAGTCTGGATATGGATGTGAATATTTTTCTGTCACTGGGAAAACAAAATAAGTCCAAGAGAATGACTTGGAATCGCTGCAACTCAAAAGTACTCTGTTTACCAATATGCAGTGCAAATAAGACCCAAGAAACAGCACCTGCTCCTTGCAGCTTCACTTACAACTAGTGCTTTGGGATTGTTGTTTTTTCTTTTTTTACACAGGGTTTCTCCTTGAAGAGGCCGCACTTCCTGGATGCTCTTCATGAGCCTCCTCCCACCTGATGTGCCCTTTTTGCTGTTAAAAGGAGTGTAATCCACCCTCAAAGGCCAACATTTCCTGATGACATATATGGAGAATTAAACGCTATTGCAAGGTGGAAACCTTAACTTTAGATCATTAACATGCTTCAGGACTCTATGCTTGCCAGTAGGCTCTCTCTGGCTAAAAAGTGGGTTCATGGTATTAAATGTCGAATACTCACAATGAACCTGCAAACTATTCATTACAGGAGTCCCACCTCCCCCAGACACTTCTTGAAGTTTAATGTTTCTGGTGAAGAGAACCAGAGATTGGTGATTTCACAGACTTTCCTGGGAAGAAAATAGAAGAAATTCACTCCCACCTCCAGACAATGTGGCTTTTCCCAGATGGAACTTATTGTGCAAAGCTGCACACAAATAAAAGAAACTTTTGGTGAATTTGATTTAATGTTTACAAAGTATATTTATTAAACAGACTTTTTCCTATTGAAAATTTCCACTGTGGTCCTGGAAAAAGATCAAGGTCAGTTCTTACTAAGTAAGCCTATTTGATGCAAGCTTCCACGTCAGTCCACCAAAAACAATTATGAAGCATTCGGCGTGGGAGAAACAGCCCTCGCCCTGCTCAGGACTGTGAACCTGGTGAACTCCGTCCACGGCACCACCCAGTTTCTTTTCTCAGCTCATTTTTTCCCTCTCTGGGGCTTCAATATCTCTTTCATGAAGGGGTCATCCCTATGCCCACTAACAGGCAGCTCCTGTCATGCCAGCACAGCAGTAGATGACAGCACAGCACTCATCTACAACAGACAGCAAATGTAGACTAGGGACTTTTTTTGTTTTTTTTCTAATTATGGAGTGAAAGATTTTTTCCCAGCTAAAAAGAAGGTATTGGGGGTGGAGTTCCCATGCAGCCAACACTACATTATGGAAGCTGTTGCCGAGTCTCCTCACATGAAGGGCAGTCCCAAAATAGAGAATTCTACAAGGTATTCCCCTGAAATGGTGCTTTCCAAACAATGAACCATGAACCCCTTGCAACTTCAGAGCTTGCATCTATTTTCTTAAAGGACACTGAGAATACAGTTCCTATGGAGAGGGAGGGAGTTGAGGTCTTAGACTTTTAATTTTTACATTAAAATAAGAGGTTTTTACTTGAAAATGTTGTGAAGCAGTGCAATTTTTTTAAAAAGAACAGCACGGCCTCATTAAGGAACTGGTAGTCCAATAGAGATATAGGTCAAGTTGACAGAAGAAAAATAATGAAATAAAATATGCAGCACTTGAAAATAATACTGAAAACAGATATTTATATACACATAAACTCTAATATATATACACACACATACATGGACAGAGAGATGGATAGATTTCCTGCATATTTACGGAACTGAATGCAGATAGCGAGGTTAGTTGTGAAGTTCAATGGAGAAGCTGGTGTTTGAATGGATATTTTCAACTTGGTGATATGTCATTTCATTCATTCATTTAACAAAGCATCATCCCTAGCATCACTTACTAGGACTAGGAGGTGTCTCAAGCAAGTAATGACAGCTGCTGCCCTGAAGATAAGTTCAGTCTGTTGTGCGAGCACACACATCCATCTGGTATGATCTACTTTACTTCGGGGGGGGGGGGTACAAATATATTGTAACACTCACATTTCTCAGTTAAACACATCGGCACCCACATGCACTTTTACCCACCAAGTCTAGCATTAGCCCCTCCTGTGCGGTGAGCCTCCAGTCTTGGACCCCGAGGTCACAACATCTCTCTTATTTCACACTCATGCACGCTGTCATTGATCCCCCAAGCATGAATCCAGGTCCAGGTGGCTGGGCCCATGCATAGCTCCAGTTTCAGGCCAAATCGTGACTGGTGATTTTTTAAAATTATGCCAGCTCAGTATCTCCCACCTTCCTGGGGGCCTGCCAGCAGAACTCGTCTGCTCCAGGGTCTCTCACTTAAAAAGAGAGGCTGTCGTAAGGGTCTTCATTTTTTCCCTCCCAAAACATCGTTGTGTTCCTTATGGCAATCCCTGCCTCCTTTTCCAGCATTATAGATTCCCAAGAGAAGAACAGCCTTTGTGAAGACAGAGAAAAAGAAAATGAAAAGATGATTCAGGGAGTCAGCTCCTCTCACTTGCCCAATCAAGGGGTTACTTGCATCACCCCCACAAGGCAAACAGAAGGAAGTCAAATGATGTTTTTCCCATAATTAGGAAGATCTGCTTCACAGTCACCTGCTGCCCACTCCCAGATTTTCAGGAGCTCAGCAATTTTTTTAAATTCCATCTCACCAGAATGCCATGCACACAAATGGCCAAGTCATTGCAATTGTGATAGATGTTGCACACAAAAAGCACAAGGGGATGGGAATGCAGAAAGCAGGGGGAGCTGCACCCCTCTGCTAGTGGGGTGGGAACTACGGGTGCAGAGATGGGTTTTCCATGTGGGAATGAAATCTAGGTTTAGGCCCAGTGGGTGAGGAGATGTTAGCCAGGTAGGCAGAGGAGCAGGGGTGAATGGGAGACTGCAGGGAGAGGGAGCTGGATTGTTCAGAAAACCAAAACACCCAGATAAAATGATGTAAGATCAGGCTGGAGTGTGAGGTCTGGGCCAGAGCCTAGAGATGTGTAGGGACTGACCCAGTGTAGACTGAGGAGTGCATGCACTTGCAGATCCCACGAGGGAAATGTGCAGAGCCCTGGGCCAGCAGAACTTGGAAGCATGGGTTCATGCAGCTGGGACAAGGTCTCTGTTTGCCTCTGGTGGTAGAAATCCAAGAATAGTGTTGGGGGTGACCAGGATTCTGGTTTTCCTAGGACAGTCCGGGCTTATACTTATTGTCATTCCTCTTTTCACTATGGAAAATATTCTGGCTTATGACCCTCGAATGGTTTGTAATAATAATAATTTTATGATGATAATGATAATAATAAACTGCACAGAAAGAGAGAGGAGAAAGAACAAGACAATGAAAAAGCAAACGTTGCAAAACATTAAAAATTGGTGAATCTGGGTTTATTAGTTTTCTTCTGCTGCTATGACGAATTACCACATATGTAGTGGTTTAAAACAAATATATTCTCCTTTTTTTTTTTAATTTTTTTTTTGTTAGGCACAGTTTCACTCTGTTGCCTAAGCTAAAGTACAGTGGCACAATCTTGGCTCACTGCAACCTCCACCTCCTGGGTTCAAGTGATTCTCCCGCATCAGCCTCTAGAGTAGCTGGGACTATAGGCACGTGCCACCGCACTCAGCTAATTTCTGTATTATTAGTAGAGGAAGGGTTTCACCATGTTGACCAGGCTGGTCTCAAACTCCTGACCTCAGATGATCCGTCTGCCTCGGCCTCCCAAAGTGTTGGGATTACAGGCATGAGCCACTGCGCCCAGCCACAGATGTATTCTCTTATGGCTCTTGAGGTAAGAAGTCTGAAGCCGTTTCAGTGGACTAAAGTCAAGGGTCAGCAGGGCTGGACTGCTTTCTGGAGGCATGAAGGTGAGAATCTGTTCTCCTGCCTTTTCAGTGTCGAATGGCTCCAGCATTCCTTGGCTTATGGCCCCTTCCTCCATCTTCCAGGTGCATCTATCTGACCTCAGCCTCTGCGGCCACATTGCCTTCTCCTCATCTGTCACAAATCTCCCTCTGCCACCTGCTGATAACTACATCTAGAGCCCACCCAGGAGATTCTCCCCATCTCAGGATTCTTGGCATGAGCACACTGGCAAAGTCCCTTTAGCTGTGTAAGGTAATACCCAGGAATTAGAACCCGAATATCACTGGGGGCTATTATTCATCTTATGACACTGGGTCAAGGAGATACGTGAGTGCTTCATACTTACCTAGTTTTTGTAAGTTACAAATTATTTAAAAATAAAGTGTTTTAAAGGATGAACAGGTATGGAAGATAAATTATATGCTCACTCTAATAAGAGTCAGAAACTTCCCTCTCCCCAGCCCCTTCAATCCTCTTCTCTCTTAATTTTCTGAAAAATACTTAGTAGATCATACAGGTACGACAGCCTCTTAATCCAAACATGCCCATGCATTTGCTGAATTGTGTTTTAAAGGCAAATGCTAACACAAAGTGATCCCCACTGCTATCTTTTTTAAAGGCTGAGAAAAATCTTTAAGTTTCCCAGCAGTGAAATTTATAAATTTAACATTGTCAGAGAATGCAACCTTCTACACTCTTACAAAGACTCTAATAATTAAAGAGCCAAGAAGGAGTCTCAAGAGCTTTTTTAAATTATTATTTAAACATGCTTTCCTCTGCAGTGAAGGAACAATCCAACGCTATTATAAATGTCTCTTTGCATCTGCTCATGTTCTCCGCACATTGCCACATATTTATTCAGGCCTGCAACTTGAGATTCCATGCTGTTATTTCCATCACTCAAGGCTCTTTTGCTGTCCCTAGGCTCGTGTTCTCTCGTATCCACACGGGGAAGGTTTTCCTTCCTCCTCAGCTGTCTCCTTTCATCCAAATTGCTCATACCCTCTACCTCCTGAACCCACTTGTATCATCCTTACCCATATAATGGTATTATTATTGCCAGTCACGCTAATAACCTTAACTAAGGCCTTTCTGGGGAAGGGGAAGGAGGCACACAGAGGAGAAGTGGGGTATGAACCATGGTTCCAAAGGGCTAAAGAGCTGCCTCCAGCAGGGTTCTGCACCCACCACCTCCCCCGGCCCAACCAGCACTTGGATGGGAAGGAATGAAAGCAAAGTGACGTTCACCATTGCAGACCCTTGAGACACAGCCGTCAGGGCTGGAAGAAGAATATGGAAGCCAGGAAAGGCTTAAGGGGGAAAAATAAAGGGAAACCCAAGGAAACAAAAAGGAAACTGAGGTCAGACAAAACTGGGTGTGGAGCCCTGCTTCAGACAGCTTTTGAGGCAGGTGTAAACAGAAACTCAGGTTTGGGGAAAACAGCTCCATTCTAGTTGTGGACAGGACAAACACATGGCAAAATATTTGAAAGCCAATACACAGCAATTTCCTGAAGAAAAGGAATTGAATTACAAAAGAAAAGGTGGGGAGAAGGGGGGTACTTTGACAAACGGCCACATTTTCATTTGGGCTTAAAACTTTGAAAGACTCACTGGACAAATAAAAGTGGGATATTCAAGGTAGTATATAAAGATACTGTGCAACTCGTTTCTTTGTAATATTTCCACAAAAGAAGGAAGTCCTGAGAATGTTTGCTGCAGCTATTTGCATTGTACAAGAACTAATGTTTTGCTTCTTGTCATTGGGCAGATTGGCAGATTACCATCTGTAATAGACACAGAATATATACAGAGCCACCTTGCCTCAGTTCAAAAGTCATCTGCTTCCCAGACTTGCATTCCTTCAGACTCCACCCACAAGTTTCCTTTTCCATGATCTTCCCTAAATTCAAGTAGCAAAAAATGATATGCATAACTGAATTTGAATATTTTTGCCTTCTCTTTCAACTATTTCATAACAATTCTGCAAAATTTACCAGAAGAAAGGCACCTGGTGATGGCTATCCACACTCCAGACCTCTCCCCGCTGATCTTTTTTTTTTTTTAATTTTATTATCATTATACTTTAAGTTTTAGGGTACATGTGCACAACGTGCAGGTTAGTTACATATGTATACATGTGCCATGTTGGTGTGCTGCACCCATTAACTCGTCATTTAGCATTAGGTATAACTCCTAATGCTATCCCTCCCCCCTCCCCCCACCCCACAATAGTCCCCAGAGTGTGATGTTCCCCTTCTTGTGTCCATGTGTTCTCATTGTTCAATTCCCACCTATGAGTGAGAACATGTCCCCGCTGATCTTTTAAGATGAACCACAGAGCTGTAAAGACCAGGTCGCCATGAATGCAAGTGGATTGTCAGCAAAGGGGAGCAAAGGTCTCACCGCCCACTCCCTTTTTGCAGACACCCCCATTCAGATTTCTGTCGTTATTTTATATAATTATTTTATAGAATTATAAAGGAGGTTCATTTCTTGAGCCATCAGCCAGCAAATCTTTATTTTATTCTAGATTTAAGGAACTCTCAGGTAACCAGTGAGACTTAAACCTTTCGCCCGATTAAACCTTCACCTTTTCCCACATCAAAACCACGATCTACACAGTTGATGAGCTGGCTCTGCTGACACATTTTCTTAATAATCTTTCCTGACCTGCAGGACATTTCGGCCAGGTACTTGCAAGCTGGAGGTGGGCCCTGGCTTTATCTGATTGTGTGTCCAGACAAGTTATGATGACATCCTCTTTTCTTTCCATTGCTTTCAAATCTCCCAGAGAGAAGGCTTGAATCCCCAGGCTTTCATACTTGCCTGTCCTCTCGTTTGCAAAGTAAAACAAGCTTCATTTCCCTCCTCCTCCCTACTTTCTCTTCCTTCTTTTTTCCTTTTCTCCTCCCTTCTCTTCTTCACACAAAAAGATCCTCAGATTAGTTAATGGATAAAGAGCAACTAGGTTTTCTAGAGGCACGCAAGTATTGGGCTCCGAGTCAGTGTTACTGACAGTATTCTACAGCACAACATTTTCCATGCACACATTCATGTTCTAACAGCAAAGCTTTAGCTAATCTGAAGAGGCAGTGGGATCTGAGCTCCTGGTCCCTGCAGGGAGGCTGGTAAAGGCGGCTGTTACGCCTGCAACAAGCAGCCTCTATGCAGTTGTTTCTGGAGATGCATCTGTGGGGATTCTTCCAGGTGCACCAAGTGAAGGTCCATGTAAGCCTCTTGAAACAGGAGAAATGGCCGCTGTGCATTTTAACTGGTAAGAGGTGCTGAAAGCAACGCCTCATGCTAAAATATAGGCACGTCTACAAAAAAGTACTCAGAACACATGGTGAACTTACCACTGTTAAACAATTGATTTATAAGCCCAGTTTTTAAATTAGCCACCCCACTGGGCCCTCTATACACACAACTAGACATGAAACTCAAACAGCTCTTGCTTGGCTGGGCATGGTGGCTTGCGCTGGAATCCCATCACTGTGGGAGGCCAAGGGAGTACTGCTTTAGCCCAGGAGTTCGAGACCAGTCTGGGCAACATGGCAAGACCCTGTCATACACTATTTTTTAAATTAGCCGGGCATCATGGTGCATGCCTGTAGTTCCCAGCTTCCCAGGAGGCTGAGGTGGGAGGATCACTTGAGCCCAGGAGCTTGAGGCTGCAGTGAACTATGATCACACCACTGCGCTCCAGCCTCAGGGAGAGTGAGACCCTGTCTCCAAAAACAAACAAACAAACATACAAACAAATAGCTCTTGCTTAAACTATGCCAAATTTTAGAGCCCCCAACTCTCACATTTAACATTAATCATCAAGCAAAAATCTTAACAACACCCAGTGTTTGTTAAATCCTTTTCAGGTTAGTACCGGAGAGCACCCTAGCTACGTAGTCTCTCATCCTGGCCTCGCAATGGCTTGTGAAGTGGACGGTTTGTCACCTTCATTTTTCAGAGGGGGACACAGCTCGTGAGGAGAAAGGAAGATTTGAACCTTGGAAACTTCCATGAGCTTGAGTTTGAATAATATGTCCTATCTAGGGCTGCTGTAGCAAAGTACACAAGCTGGTGGCTTAAACAACACCCTGCCTTCTCTTGCGGTTCTGGAGGCTCATGGTCTGCAGGGTTGGTTCCTCTGGAGGCTGGAGGGAGAATCTGTCCCACACCCCTCTTCCAGCTTCTGGTGTTTGCTGGCAATATCTGGTGCTCCTTGGCCTGAAGAAGCTTCACCCCTATCTCTGCCTTGATGTTCACACAGCACTCTCCCCGTGTGCACACCTGTGTCTAAATGTCCCTTTTTTATGCAGACACCAGTCATATTGGATTAGAGACTCACCCCACTCCAGTATGAGGTCATCTTAACTAATTACTTCCAGGACCTACTTCCAAATCAAGTCACATCCTGAGGTTCTAGGAGTTAGGACCTCAACATATGAAGTTGGGGCAAGTGCAATTCAATCCATAACATAGTTTGAGATGCTCAGGGAAAAGAGTTCGTTTCACTGCTGTGATGGCTAATATTAGGTGTCAACTTGATTGCATTAAGGGATGCCCAGATGGCCGGTGAAGCATGGTTTCTGGGTGTGCCTATGAGGGTGTTGCCAGAGGAAACTGACATTTAAGTCGGTGGACTGGGAGAGGAAGACCCAGCGTCAATGTGGGTGGACACCATTGAATCGGCTGCCAGTGCTGCTAGAATAAGGCAGGTGGAAGAAGGTGGGAGAAGTTTGCTGGCTGAGTCTTCTGGCTCTCTTTCTTCTTCCTGTGCTGGAGGCTTGATTTCACTCCTCCTGCCCTTGGACCTCAGAGTCCAGGTTCTTTGGCCTGTGGACTCTGGAACTTGTACTAGTTGCTTCCCAGGGGCCCTCAGGCCTTCGGCTGCAAACTGAAGGCTCCACTGTCAGCTTCCCTGGTTTTGAGGCTTTCCGACTCGGACTGAGCCACTACCAACTTCTCTTTCCCCAGCTTGCAGACGGCCTGTCGTGGGACTTTGCCTTATAATTGTATGAGCCAGTTCTTCCTAAATTACTCCCCCTAAATTTATTATTTTTCCCTTTCCTATATACATACATCTTATCAGTTCTGTCCCTCTGGAGAACACTGACTAACACAACTATCATAGTTCCCAGCATCTTCCCAACGACTCACCACCTCTCTGCACATGCTCCTCCCCTGGGCCTGTCCTCCTAAGCAGGGTTCATTCTGTACATCCCGCTTTGAACTGTCCCTAACATGTTAAAACCTGCTTTTCACAGCTGTACTGTCTGATAACCTACAGTGTGTGTTCCTGAAAAGCCTAGAGGCAAACGTGTCCTCCCTGATTTCTTAACTCCATCGAGTGAGCATCTAACTGCTGAGAAATCTGGGAGAGGGGAGGGAGTGGGCCTTCTTCCTGGTAACTTTAACCCACGGGCCAAGACCACCACCTACACACAGCACCAACTCCCAGCCATAAACTCATGCCCATCTCTGCTTTTTCTAACTTGAAGGTTCTGTTGTGATCCTTTCATCTCCCTTGCAACGGTTGTATCAAAATCATTTTTCAGGTCATCCCTGGTGACTGAAATGTGCCAAACGTTCCTACAGGTAAGTCAAACACTCCTTAGAACCCACCTGCCTTAAGAATTAGTCAACCCTTAAAATTCGCTGCCATGAGGTATCCATGATGTGAGCTATATTCCTTCTGAGACTGTAGATGATAAGGCCGTGGTAGTCCTCTTTCACTTGGATGGTAATTGATATCAGGTACCAGCGACCACTCCGGCTCAGGTCCTCGAATCATGGTGATAGTGGTTGAAGGAGCTAATGCATGAGGGTCCACAAAAGAACATCCAGTGCTTTTGACAGGCAGACCCGCCCTGTGCACTTTGACAGAGGGAACTGGGCAGCTTGGAATTTTTCATTTTTATGTGACTCCTTTTGGAGACAGGTTTGGTATTAGTCCCTTTTCATGCTGCTGATAAAAACATACCTGAGACTAGACAATTTACAAAAGAAAGAGGTATTGGATTACAGTTCCACATGGCTGGAGAGGCCTCACAATCATGGTGGAAAGCAAGGAGGAGCAAGTCACATCTTATGTGAATGGCAGCAGGCAAAAAGAGAGAGCTCGTGCAGAGAAACTCCCATTTCTAAAAATCATCAGCTCTTGTGAGACCCATTTACTATCACGAGCACAGCAAGGGAAAGACCTGCTCCCATGATTGAATCATCACCCACTGGGTCCCTCCCACCACACGTGGGGATTATGGGAGCTACAAGATGAGATTTGGGTGGGAACACAGAGCCAAACCATATCAGATTCTGACCATCAACTCTGCATTCAAGACTCACAGAATGTAGGACCTTTTAATTCTCAAACAGAATTTTAGCCTTGCCACTTAAAGGATTCATCTACTAAATAAAATCACTATGTCCACTCCCTTTTTGGTGCAAAATGTCAGGGTCACCAAGTAAAATAAAGTTTCTTTCTTGATCCGTTCCTGCTGCTATAGAAAAATACCTTAGACTGGGTCATTTATAAACAACAGAAATGTATTACTCACAGTCCTGGAGGCCGGGAAGTTCAAGATTAAAGTGCTGGCAGATTCAGCATCTGATGAGGACCTATTTCTCACAGATGGTACTGCCTGGGTACTCTCACATGGCAAAACGGCAAAAAGAGGCCAGGAAGGTTTTTGAAGCTTTTTTTTTTTTTTTTTTGAGACAGAGTCTCGCTCTGTTGCCCGGGCTGGAGTGCAGTGGCGCGATCTCGGCTCACTGCAAGCTCCGCCTCCCGGGTTCACGCCATTCTCCTGCCTCAGCCTCCCGAGTAGCTGGGACTACAGGCGCCCGCCACCACGCCTGGCTAATTTTTTGTATTTTTAGTAGAGACAGGGTCTCACCGTGTTAGCCAGGATGGTCTCGATCTCCTGACCTTGTGATCCGCCCGCCTCGGCCTCCCAAAGTGCTGGGATTACAGGCATGAGCCTCCAAGCACAGATAGAAATAGAATGCAATTATTAAAAAGGTATCTTGTCAATGGCCTTTGATGGTAGTGAGGGGGAGCATAGAGAAACACACATGTTCTTCTTGTGTATTAACCATTGAAAATTCTATCAATTATTAGGAATGAATCCACTGTATTTCTTGATGTTTAATTTGTTCTTCAAATGCTATTTAACATATTGCTTTTAAAATAGGACATCTTTTGGCTCATGCCTGTAATCCCAGCACTTTGGGAGGTCAAGGCAGGCAGATGACTTGAGGTCAGGATTTCAAGACCAGCCTGGCCAACATGGTAAAATCATGTCTCTACTAAAAATACAAAAAAATTAGTCCGTTGTTGTGGCAGGCTCCTGTAATCCCAGCTACTCAGGAGGCTGAGGCAGGAGTATCACATGAACCCAGGAGGTAGAGGTTGCAGTGAGTTGAGATCATGCCACTGCACTCCAGCCTGAAGTGCTGGAGTGACTTTTAGACAGAACGAGACTCTATCTAAAAAAAAAAAAAAAAAAAAAAAAAAAAAAAAAAAAAAAACCAAAGCACATCCTTCTGAAAATGTCCTCCTTTTAGAGCTTATGGTATTTTTTTTTTTAACTTTAGGTTCAGGAGCACATGTGAAGGTTTGTTGCACAGGTAACTAGTGTCACGGAGGTTTGTTGTACAGATTATTTCATCACCCAGGTATTAAGCCCAGTACCAAATAGTTATTTTTTTCTGCTCCTCTCCCTCCTCCCACCCTCCATCCTCAAGTAGCCCCCAGGGTCTGTTGTTCTCTTCTTTCTGTTCATGAGTTCTCATCATTTGGCTCCCACTTATAAGTAAGAACATGCAGTATTTTGTTTTCTGCTCCTGTGTTAGTTTGCTAAGGATAATGGCCTCCAGCTCCATCCGTGTTCCCGTAAAAGACATGATCTCATTCTTTTTTATAGCTGCGTGGTATTTCATGATGTATATGTACCACATTTGCTTTTTCCAACCTGTCATTGATGGGCATTTAGGTTGACTCCATGTCTTTGGTAATTTGAATAACGCTGCAATGAACATTTGCGTGCCTGTGTGTTTATGGTAGAATGATTAATATTCCTTTGGGTATATACCCAATAATGGGATTGCTGGATCAAACGGTAGTTCTGTTTTTAGCTCTTTGAGGAATTGCCGCACTGCTTTCCACAATGGTTGAACTAATTTACACTCCCACCGACAGTGTATAAGGGTTCCCTTTTCTCTGCAACCTTGCCAGCATCTGTTATTTTTTACTTTTTACTAATAGCTATTCTGGCTAGTATGAGATGACATCTTATTGTGGCTTTGGTTTGCATTTCTCTGATGATCTGTGATATTAAGTTCATAAATGTAACGTTAATGTCCACTGTAAAACCCAGCCTGCTCAATCAGAGAGAGTAGAGATAGTTAAGTAATTATCTATAATATCGAAGCAATCTGCCCTCTCTTGCTTTTTGGTTCATCCAGAAATCCACAAAATGAGCCCCTCCACACAGGCCATCTCACAGGTGGTCTCTGCTCCATCAGAACCTTGGGTCGCAATTGTCTTTCTCCTCTGTCACCCTGCAATCTCCGGGGCTCACCTGGGTCACTGATTACTTTGCTACTCATTTCTTAGGATCTAACCCACTACGGCAAATGGACCATGTGCAGGTGGCATCAGAAAAGTGGGGAAAGTGTGGCCACACCTGCCCAAAAGACCAGCAGCAGACGCCACTGTCATTCTTCTTGCTTCTCAGTAGGATGCTGACCTCACCACCTCCACTTAACTTACCATTTTTTTTAATTTGTAAATCACTTTCAACTCCTTCTCTCCCTCCTTAAAAATGTATTTTAAAATGCGAAGGAAATTCCAAGGATGGCAATGCATGCCCTTTCTAATTAATGTTATAATAAAATGGTATATTTGTATTTATTTTTCTATAAACACACATTCACATATATACACGTGATTAAATTGCATATTAGTGCTGCCCATCTATAAAACATTCTTCTCATTGAAACAGTCACAGGCTCTGACTGGAGTTCCATTTCACCCAGCACCAGCATTCCAGCAGTGTTCTGCTGTATACCTGTGCACAGTGCCCCAAATATATATATACACATATATATTTATATACATATATATATTTATACATATATAAATATGTATAAATATGAGTCAGGCCAGCCGAGAAATTTACTCTATGATTACTAATAGGTTGATGTCACTCTTTTTGCCTTATTTCTCCTATAATATGGGAATTATTACACTAAATTTATACATATATAAATATGTATAAATATATAAATATATATTTATATATAAATGTATATATACATTTATGTACATATATTTATAATTATATATTCAAATTCATGCACACACACATACATTTTTGTTTGGATCATTCAAAATAAAATATGCTTGAAGTAAAGTCACCTTAATAGTAAAAAATCAAATTGAAAAAAGACAAAGTTAATAACCTGACTTATGACTATCAAAAGACAGTAGGGTCTTTTTAGCAAATGTGCCTTTTTCAGTGGCCTCCAATAATTTCTAAGTGCTTATTACCCACCTGAGCATGCACATTTTAAATACCTTGTTCTATTATACCCATTGTATTACATCAATTCTTTCAGCAATTTCCTTGTAAAATTAGATTTGTGCTTCTGTTCTCTCCCGTAAAGCACTGAACCAAAGAACTGTGGTAATCTCAATTGCCTTTCATGCCAGATTTAACCTTATGATACATGCATTAAATAGAGATTAACATCTTGTCTCTGAGAAACTTACATTTAGTAGACTGGCCAAAGTTTCATTAAAATATAAATCAATATACAATTCATGAAAAGAAAACCAGCCAGCTATAGCATCTGCATTCTTCTTTCTAGGAAAATACATTGCCCCTGCTCAGCTACAGCACACACAGGTAAAGCAAGATTTTACCCAGGACGATGAACCGAATGGATTTTCCTAAAGTTATAGAAGTGAACAAAATGGACTTTTCCAGGCCCACAAATCTCAATTTGGGAACTGATTTTTCAAAATGAACTTAGGAAAGCTGACCTAATTCCAGTGATCTCTGAGGCTCTATTTCAGTGGCTAGCACCTTAGATTTACTTCAGTGCTGCTTTAAAACCTATAAGAACAGGGGATATAATTTCATCAGGAAACTAATTCCCCTCAGGAGTCAGCCTCGTGGTGAAATGAAAATGTACTATATGTTTCAGGCCAGATGGGCAGTCCTACAATTGCATAGTAGCAATTAGATGGATCTTTTCATTTCTTCCTAGAGCAGAGTAAATGCATTTTCAACCAGGAGAGTTTCTTCCCTCTCCTCCTGCCGCATGACAGAGAGACTCCAGCAAAACCCCAGGAAGTATGAGCAACAATCAATTGGAAACAGGTACAGAAAAGGCACTGAAACTGCCATTTCTACCCAAATAACCACCACACAAAGATATAATCGATACGTTGCAAGAAGTGAAAAAAAAGAAAAGGAAAATGACAGATTTTGTAGTCTTGTTATAAAGTCTAAATCTCTCTACTCTCCTTGCATTATTGTATTTTTTTATACTCCCAATCCTATAAAAATTACCCCTTTCATTATTTCAGTATCCCTTGGAGAGCTAAGCCATCGTTTTCTCTGTAACTCATGTTCTTTTATTAATACTAAGAAAGATATTTCTTATACTCCAGGACCGAAAATGGCTTTACATATGAGTGAGGCCAGCTGAGAAATTTACTCTATGATTACTAATAGGTTGATGTCACTCTTTTTGCCTTATTTCTCCTATAATACGGCAATTGTTACACTAAATTTTTCAGAGGAAAAATTGAGAAATAAACTAGAATATTTATGGTAAAATGCATTGGTATAACTATTGTGAGTTGAGCTCTACCTACAGAATATCTTTTGTTCCCAAGTAAGTCAAGGACACTTTTGTTTCAATCTTAACCCAAATTGCTAATGGGACAATTTTCTTCCCCACTGAATTGACAGTTCTTTTGATGCTGATATGTGGCAAAAATATATTGATAAATACAAGGTTAAGCACTCCCATAATTATAATATTTTTACCTAATTGGAAATACTATTTTGGAAACATTTCTATTGCTGGGTATATGAAATAACTCTGCATTTAGCTGGAAAAGTCTGGTCCTAAAAAAAGGTGTTATGCTAAGATAAATCATTTCTAGATCTGGTCTCCATAGAGACCAGTTTCTGAGCTCTAGGAAAGTATTTCCCATAGAGGGAGGACCACAGGAATAGTGCCGTGGTGTTCATAGGACTTGATATCTCAGAATTACATGAAAGAACTTCCTAACATATCTGAAATTTGATGGTGGTGCAAGCAGAAATAATAGAACCAAACCCTATAGAAATAGCTTCCACTTTCTCAGTATTTTGTCATGCAGATAGATGTAAAGGAGTTGAAATGCTGCCTGTGAATGACCTTCCTGTTTAGGTGTCCCCATGTCTGTCCTGTGTTATCAAAGAAATTCATATTCCCAACTGTAACTGGTGAAAGCATGCTGAACTGTGCAAAGTGGCATGAGAAAATGTAAAGTTTGGGGGCTGGTAAGATAGCAAAGATTTCCCTTGTTGATGTTCTCTTGTCCAGGCCTTAACAAATTCGCTTGGATTCATGACCTTCCCTGGTTGGCATTAGAAGAGACAGCTGTATCAAATGGACTAGCTTGAGATAAATTATGAACCAGACCCTGTTGGATCTGGTTATGGTGAGGATGAGAGGGAAGAATGCTTCTGCTATCAGCTAAATACCCAGACACTGCTCTGCCTGCAGGGGACTTCAGAATGGATTGAAAAATGTAAGTTTCAAACTGCAAACTCTCAGAAAGCTAGAGCACTTTTTCTGCTTTGCAGAATTGAAATAATACTCTTTTTCACAATACCTAGGAGGAATATTTAAATGTATATTTACCTCTGTTCCTTGCGCAAGGACTTAAAACCATATTCCTGATAAATGAAAATACTTGTTTAACAGCATTTTTAAGCTTCAGAGTAGTCTCAAATAATAATTTTCCCAGAAAAGTTGGATATTCCTGTAATATATATATATATATGCTAACAGATAAATAAAAAATATATATTTATGTTAGCAGATAGAGGAACTGAGTAACAGTTAATGAGTCAAAGGTCAAAGGTGATAAAGCCAATATCAAAATTTACCTCTTTCGAGTTTTGTTGCTTTATATACTGTGTGCTGATGCTTTAAGTGCATAGGACATTTTATCCATAACAATGGGAATGAACAGAAATCCACAGTATGTGAAGAACAAATACTGCTTTCCTTTGTTTTTACAACATTATCCAGAGCAATGTGTGAATCAAGTTAACTGAAACCCAAAAGGATAATTGACTTGTTCATCCTTATACATATGCCTTTAGAATTGCAACGATAATCATGACCTTTGGGTTATTTCCTGGAAGTTAGTCACTAATTTAAAAAACTGGAGGTTATTTCCAGAGAAGTGATAACAATACCCCAAATATAAATCATGTTACACAATGCTGCTTCAATGGCAGGTCTTGCTTAAATTTCTCAAAACAGGAATAAAAAGAGTAGTCCCCGTGTGAAGCAGGAAGCATCAAAAGAGGTTGGGCAGCTGTGCAACTTCAAGTCAACCATCACTGCATCAGAGAAGGGATGGGCAGCTGCACGAAGCCAGACCCATCAGGGAGGAAGAGCAAAGGCAGAGTGGCTTCAAGACAGACCTTGTCTTCCATCTCTGCTAAGGAAATGATGATCTGCCTGAGAAACAAAACAAAGTCAATAAGAAACACAAAGAAACATCTGCAAGGGGGAAGATACCTATCCAACGAAATAAATAAGAAACACAAAGTGACAGTTGAAAAGAAAAAACGTTTAACACCTTTATACTATGCATGTTCTACAAAAATGAAAGACCAAACTAAATGACATCCAATGGAATGGATTGAAGATGTTTAGCAAATCTATAGGAAAACACACAGGAAAAAAAAAAGATGCTCTATTCTATGAAGCTTGTGTTTCTTTCCGGTGCTGTATATTACTGACTGCACAACATCAGTAATTAACGGAAAATGTAAACGCTGACAAATGGAGGCAGATACTTGGCACCACAGTTTTCCTCTCATCATTCATGTTTTAAAGCCGGCGAACATGAAAGTACAGCCATAGGTGGGAGAGACAAGGACAATTTGGCAAAATTTATTGTATAATTCAAATCTGCTACAGACATTAGAAAGAGAAGGGGTGCAGTAAGGCATCTCACACAGTACACAATGTCTTAAATCACAGCAGCAAGCAACGATGTGAACAGGGACTGGCTTTAGTTACTCTGGCCATCTTAAAGTAATAACTGCATTCCTTTTACACTATAGAAGGTGCTTACCTAAAATATGCCTCTACTATGTCACAGCTTGACAAATAATATGTATCAATTATTCTGTTACAATGATGTTTTCCTTGGTTATTCAATAAATACAGATGAAACCCTATGACCTCCCGTCATTGTGCTGGGCACTTCCAAATCACACTTTTTATAGCTCATGTATGTGTTTAAAAGACATGTTAATACTATCTCAGTGGCTTTAACCACACCAAGTCAACCTCAGAGTCAAGCGGATTTTAGAAATTCACAGGAAAGCTTTGTTATTCCTATCTGCAGAATATCAAAACCTCGTTTTAAAAGAATATTTGACAACATCTAGTACAACACTCCAGCTACACCGCCAGGTACAAATGTGGTGAGCAATAATGTCCGCAGGAGGCACAGCCAGTGCAGTGACACACACAGAGGCTCAGATACAGCCATGAAAGAATGAGTGATTTGTTTTCATTTCCTTCTTAAAAATGTTATCTATTAAAAAACTTTTACTATATGTATGCATTACTTCCTAATCACTTTATGTGTGTGTGTGTGTGTGTGTGTGTATGTGTGTGTGCATACAACTAGATGAAATCTTTCTTTCTCCCCTCGTGGTAGTGGCAATACCACTGCATGAGATATTATTCAAATACTGGGGAAAACAAAAGCCCAAGAGTGTTTCTAAAATCAAAATCCAATCCTATCTCCTCCTCCTCATTCTCAGCTATGACCATTAAAAACTCATGAGAATTCATTGGGAGCCTTTATTCACAGTGAACCATTCTCTGAAATAAAAGTGAAAAATCCAGAATTCTTGGCTCATAGCATCTTGGTCTATTCAAACACAGTTGGAAGAGGCCTGGATTATGGCACACCATAGAGGAAAGGCCTCTGGAGCTGCTAAGTCAACATGTGACCTACAGAGTCTCCCAGACCTCGGCAGGAATATTCACCACGAACGCAGCCTGTGAGATGTTGCGCTGCTTTCTACATTAGGGGTTATGCATTATTAAAAGGCATCTCATTACGATGGAAATTATGACCTTGTCACCAGCACTATAAATGTCAAGAAATACCACTTTAAAAGAATATATTGTCTTGATTATAGAAAGAAACCTCTTCCTTTAAAAAAAGAGAAGAAAAGAAAATATGCTTTTTCATTGAAATCCTTTTCATAAAAAGGGTTGTAATTAATCATGGCTATTTCATCAAGCTTCTATAACACAAACTCTTAGAAGTCAAAGGGAAATTACACACACACACACACGCGCACACACACACACAATTCAAGAAATATTGGAAATCTAGACCTTCCTCAGTAAATAACTGTCAATCATGTACATGTTCTCTGACAACCCGCCACTTTCTAAACGGTATTAAAGACCATGTTATCTAAAAAAAAATCACTGTTTATCATACAAAGCAATGCTTCCCCAACATAAACATTCACATAACTTTTGTTGTATGGCAGTGACACCTACATTATTATTTCTTAATATAATTCCTTAAAGTAGACCACTTTTTAGAAATCTAATTGTCCACGTCAACTTCAGGAAAACTATTGGTATAATTGATAACATATTGATAAAATATTGGCAAAATAGCATCTAGTAAAATATCCTGGATTTTGTATGCTGGCTGCACATTTTTCCTAATACGTATACATTCTTTTTAAAAATCTAACAGATTAGTTTACTTAACATACCATACCATGTAAAACATTGATATATTTTTCATTACAGTGAAACCCTCCTGAGAATACCTAAGTCAGTGCCATGAAAAGGGACACCCCTGGCAGCTTCGAACATTGATGAGAGGGCATCATTATGAGACAGAGGGAAACGCACTGGGCCTAATGGAAGAGAGGTGGATCCAGTGAGGACTCTGTGATAGCCACCCTGTCATGATACGCTAGCCCCCTTTCCTCGTGGGAAAATGAAGATAATATGGAATCCTGAATCAGAATTGCTTAAATTAGCAGATATGCAGGTTGCTAATAAAATGTATTTTGCTAAGACAAGCTATTGTATTACAGAGCAGGATATAAACATCAGTGAACTCTGTTGTGTATGACATTTACATACCCCTGCTCTGTCCCAGGCACTCCGTTAGTGACCGGCAATAATGAGAAAAAGAGATCTAGGTTCCACCCTCAAGAGACAATTATTTCATTCAAAGCTCATGAGCATCTGTCAGGATCATGACTCACTCAATATTGATACCTTCAAGGAATTTGTATCTGGATACATGTCTTTGATCAAAAAGATGGTAGAAGGCTTCTCACCTGTACTTTGAATATCACTGTTTTGATATTTGATGTTAGACAGCTTCAACTCCATAAGTTTGTGAAATACATGGATGTAACTACAGTACACTATCACAGGATTTCCTAAACTAGAGAATGTCAGAATTGTTGGAGGTGCTAGATGAAAACGCAAGCAGGATCCGCTTCTGCTGAGTCGAGACCTCATTGGTAGAAGGACTCACTTTTGATAGCGAGTTTAACAAGAGTACCCCAGGTGATTCTGTTTTAGACAGTGATTCTAAAAGTGTGGCCCCGGAACGGCTGCACTAACGTCACGTGGGAATTAAGAAATGCAAACTCTCAGGTCCCACCCCCACTTACTGAAAGAGAGAGTGGGGCCCAAGCCCTCCAAGTGACTCTAGTGGCACACTAAAGTTTGAGAAGTGCTGGCTTAGGACATAGTATAGAAGTAGAACTAAATGCATGTGCTGAGTACCCAAGGTTCGGAAACACTACATTATAAATAGCAAATAAAACGTATAGCTCTAACACACTGGTTCTCAACTTTGCCACCTCATTAGGTGACCATTAGGATCACATGGGATGCTTTCAAATATCTTGAGGCCCAGTACCACACAACAGACTATTTATATCAGGTCCTCTGGGAGAAGAACCCAGGGATCAGTATTTTCTTTAAATATACATTTCTAGGTGTTTTATTTGGATAGAATAACTCTAATGTTTCATTCAAAAATTCTAAAAATGATACAAATATCCTTCTTTCTTCTTTGTGGTTTTTTGTTTGCCCCAAACAAATAGAATGTGAACATACATTTAGGATGGTTTTATCCTGAAAATTTTAAGGCAAAGAAATTACAATATAACTTATTACATAAAGACACTGTATATGTAACATACCTGTGTGATATACGTGAAAACATGTTTATAAATGTAGAGTATCAAGCTTGATGTTTTGGAATTTATTTTAAATCATATAATCTTGAAACCATTAAACCATATTTTTCTGATTACAGAATGTATTTTCATTTACACAAACACACATTTTTGTCAATAGGATATAGGACTTTTATCTTCTCAAAGAGGTCAAGTGTTAAGTCAGAAACATCTTTCAAAGGAAATGTGATAAAAGTAATGTCAAATTCAAGCTAGTGATCTATTCCAGAACAAAGTATCCTATTTTCTCTCTTCAAAGGTTTCTAACAAGTAGGTATTAAACTTCATCTTAGTGTTTAACACACAAATTTATTTTTCAAACTGCTGCTTTGAAAGCAAAAGCCATGAATTCTGTAATGTCATTGCATTACTTTTAGGATTCCATCCCGCAAATGCTAAAGCAGCGGTAACTCCCAGTAGGATTTTATCTGGGCAAGAGGCAAAACTAAATGCCTGAAGTGATCCCACTGTGCACTAATCTCAAGGCTAATTTGTCAAATCTGCGTTTCATTTGTTTTCCTTGCTTTGTAAAAGTGTATTGATAAGCCATTTTTGTCATCTTCCCGGGAATTAGATGCCGATCAATCTCGTTTGCATTCCTGACTCTTGAGTAATTAGTGACCCAGTGGGTCTCCTACAAGAAGGGTAAATGCGAGGACAAATTCTATTGAGCAGCTCTTATTGTAAACAATTTGCTTTCTTGCTGGCTTCCCAGGTTGCTACATTTTGAAGGTTCTTACTTTTTTTATTCAGAATTTGTTCTGCTTCAGAACATCATAAAAGTGATGTCAGCCTTTTGTATACTTTATTTATGTTTTATTGTGCTCAGGGCAAATGATTCTACAAGACATAAAACATCTGGGACTGAGAGATCCTTTTTATGAAGATGGTGTTGAAAGGAAAGAAGGAAACCCCCGACACCACGCCCCTCCTCTGCAAAATCAAAGCCAAAACTGGCTTTGAAGGTCAAGAAGCCTGTGCTGAAAGGTGTTCACAGCCCTGAAAGGCCCACAGTCAGTCACTTTTTCTGTGGTGGGAGCCCCGGGTATCATACAAGCAGCTCCTGTGTCCTTGGACAAGCCCTCCATGGAGAACCACCATACCCTCATCAAGTTCTTGAAGCACAGAGACAATGATGAAAAAGATGGATGGTAGCACCCTACTGGTGTTTATTAAGGACATCAGGGCCAAGAAGCACCAAAACCAGCCAAGAAGGGGCCCCGCACACAATGTGGCCAAGACCAAGGTGGCCATCGAGCCTGGTGGAGAGAAGGCTATCCTAGGATCAACCCAGATGGGCATGATTTGAACACTGCCAGTCTCTGGCATCCTCTAAACTCAGCCCACCCTGCTGATTGTAAAGATTAGTTTTAATCACCCAAATGAAGGAATGGGAGAAGAAATTCTCTGACTCGTCCAATAACATATGTCCCAGATGTCACCTGAGATTTCCTTGTAAATATTTTAAGGATGCTTCTAACATAGTCTTAGTAGGAACCATATAAGCTCCCATTTGAGCGAACTCAGAAAGAGCAGTTTGTTTAAGTTGCTATTGACCTATCTGAATTCTCTTCTCCCTGCACCATCCACCTCCCTCCCTCCTGTCCTGCTCACCACACCAACACACTGGAACAATTGGAAAAGTAAAATCAGTTGTGGAGTTTGATCTAGATAACATAAACCAGTTGCTTACTAACTATGCACTCTTGCGGAAGCTGCTTTAGCTATAAGATTAAAAAAACAAAATTTATTTGCAAGAATTTTAAGGTAGAAATCATGAATATGAAATGCCTGACACAGAGCATGTGTTCACAGAATGATTTCTATTATCAAAAATAGGAGCCAAAAACACCCCACCACAGGAAAAGTGGGACGGGAGGCAATGGAGCAATGGTCAGAACAGATTGACAGTTATCCACTGCAAGAGTCATCTTAGTCATTTAAATCTGGGGGTCAGTTTTGAACCTTTGAGAGGTTCCAAGTTTCAAACACTCCGGGCTAAGAGTCAGCAAATGAATTCTGGAGATAATAAATTTGAGGATCGTGGATGTGGATTCTGCTCCATGTACCTCCCGGCTGACTGTGGACACGGGGAGAGACAGAGCCTATTCCTGTAGATCTCTGAGAGGTAAGGGACTGAGAATAGCTACAAAATCATTTCAGGAAATGACTCAGCTGCTTTTGTACCTTTATGTGGGTTGTTTTAGTCACATAAATGGATCAATGTCTAAATAAGGCGGCGATACTCGGCCAGTTCTTCTGCATTAAGTGAAAAGCAGGACTGTGTGATGGACAGTGAGAAGGCAGGTTCCGGGAAGAGGGTGAGAACCGGAGTGTGGAGCCCCAAGGCAAATGCTGCCTTCTTATTGTTTCACCTCTGCAGAGGCCCCTGGCTTTCTGATGCCTGACCTGACTGTTACCTCGGGATTGCTTTGTGAAGTGGCACACACATGCCTGTCCCAAGGCCTCCAAGAAGCCCTTGCTCAGCTCAGCTAAATCCAGCCTCTCCATAACATCACGATGTTTCTTTACCTGCTTTCTCATCCCTCCTTTGCTAAAAGAAGAAAGAAAAGGTACAAAAGTGAACTGTTGCAGGCATATTCATGGTCTCCTCTGCATCCTGCTCCCTTTTTCTTTTTTCTTTTATTAAAAAGTCTTTATTTCCATAGGTTTTTGGGGAGCAGGTGGTATTTGGTTATATGAGCGGGTTCTTTAGTGGTGATTTGTGAGATTTTGGTGCACCTGTCACGCGAGCAGTATACACTGAACCCAGTTTGTGGTCTTTTATCGCTCACGCACTTCCCGCCCTTTCTTCCTGAGTCCCCAATGTCTACTGTGTCATTCTTATGCCCATGCATCCTCATAGCTTAGCTCCCACTTATGAGTAAGAACATACATGTTCTTTGCAATTGCGAATTGTGCTGCTATAAACATGTGTGTGCAAGTATCTTTTTCATATAATGAATTCTTTTCCTCTGGGTAGATACCCAGTAGTGGGATTGCTGGATCAAATGGTAGTTCTACTTTTAGTTCTTTAGGGAATCTTCACAGTTTTCCATAGTGGTTGCACTAGTTTACATTCCCACCAGCAGCGTAGAAGTGTTCCCTTCTCACTGCATCTACACCAACATCTATTATTTTTTGATTTTTTGATTATGGCCACTCTTGCAGGAGTAAGATGGTTTTGCATTGTGGTTTTGATTTGCATCTCCCTGATCATTAGTGATGTTGAGCATTTTTTCATATGTTTGTTGGCCATTTGTGTATCCTCTTTCAAGAATTGTCTATTCATGTCCTTAGCCCACTTTTTGATGGGATTGTTTTTTTTCTTGCTAATTTGTTTGCTGCCCCCTTCTTCTTAGCAGTAGACTTGGTACAGTATTCTTAGGCTCCCACTGCGTGGAGTGCATAAAAAGCTCTCTTGCAAATGCCAACACTCAGCTATCTCCTTTCTCAAAAGTTTGCAAATGAGTAATTAAGAAATGTTTTCATCTAACAGATTGCACATCATTCTGTCAGGCAGGGAACTCTTCACCCCTTACTCCCCTCACCCCTGTCTCTCTCTTTATTGTGTAATACACTGGGGACACAAAATTAAGAATAAGATAAAAGGGGCAGCATCTTCCCTCACAAAGTATAATGGAAGAGATGATAAATACACTTATAATTAAATATTTTGCATTTTAAACTCCAACGAAAATTTAAAATGTATTTATACGGTAAGTATCAAGCTCAACATGCACTGAAGCTGAGCTATTCTGAGAGCAAAAGTTCTACCTGGCATTGATGGCAAGAAAGGTAAGAAAGGTTTCTGGGGTAGACAGAAGATGGCCCTCCCAAGGTGTCCATGCCTTAATCCCCCCAAACTGTAAATACAGTAGGTTACATGGCAAAGGGGGATTATCACTGCAGACAGAATGAAGGGAACTAACCAGCTGACTTTAAACAGATTATCCTGCATTACCCAGGCAGACCCAAGTAATTATAGGGATTCTTAAAAGTGAACAAAAGGCAAAAGGGGAGGTCAGGGTGATGGGACGCCTGGGGGACCTGTGATTGCTGGCAAAGACAGGGCAAGGAGCCATTGCCTGTGACATGTAGGAAGCCTCTAGAGACTGGAAGAGGCAAGAGACTGACTCCACCCTCACCCTTTCAGACAGGAAGCCAGTCTTGTATTACCTGGAACCCAGTGAGACTGGGGCAGACTTTTTTATTAAATAGAAGTATTTGTATTTTAATGCACCATAAAATGATAATCTCTCTAAGAAATACCTCTCCCTCCATGTGTGAAAATCCTTAAAAAAAAAAAACCACAGTGTTCATAGCCATCAGGAACTTGGAAAACAAACTTTGGTGAATGCGAGCAACTGTGCTAAACAGGACTTGGGTTGTACAGGTTCTCACGTCACTACAATAATTGACAATCTTGCAACGGACTCTACTGCTGATATCCTAAAAGGACAGAGGGGTGAACTGAATACCTGTAATTAAGAAGAGCCCATGGGGCAGGGGATGCTCAAAACCAAAATTTGGCCCGGCACAGAGACTCATGCCTGTAATCCCAGCACTTTGAGAGGTCGCGGTGGGTGGATCGCTTGAGGTCAGGAGTTCGAGACCAGCTTGGCCAACATGGCGAAAATGCATCTGAACCAAAAATACAAAAATTAGCTGGGCGTGGTGGGGGGCGCTTGTAATCCCAGCTGCCCAGGAGGCTGAGGTGGGAGAATCGCTTGAACCCAGGAGGCAGAGGCTGCAGTGAGTGGAGATCGAGCCACTGCACTCCAGCCTGGGCAACAGAGTGAGACTTTATTTCAAAAAAAAAAAAAAAACAAAAATCCGCATAAACTTGGCAGTGTTGGCATTTCTCCTTCCCTTCCTCCTTGCTTCCTCTCCTCTTCCCCACTCAGGCTGGTATTCTCCTGCCATGCGGATGTCAGCTTGCCCTGCAAAAGGGCCACCAGTTTTTTGGATGTCTCTTTGTCAGACTTCCAATCTATAGAACTATAAGATAATAAATTTGTGTTCTTTTACACCACTAAGTTTGTGGTAACTTGTTATAAGGGAAACAGGAAATGCATGCCACTTCCCTGAAGAGTTGACAACTGAGCTGAGTTTGTATAGATTTAAGCCAAGCTAGGCAGGGAGGTGAGAAAGCATATCCTACATGAAGATAACAAGATTCCTGGCACTGGAGCCAAAGATGATGGTAATGAGGGGTAGGAGTTAAGCTGGAACTGATAGGCACAGCTGGACCAGGGAAAGCCTGGTTTGCAGTTTAACTTTTTCCACAGACCATGTTGCCTTTGTTGGCCTGAACCACTGGCCACTCCAGAAATGTCTTGTAACCTTTCAGAGCTTGTGCCTTTGTTCACACCAATCCTTCTACTTAGAGTAAGCTTCCTACCTATTCCACTAGCCCAAATTTTACCCTCAGCCATAAAACATGAATTAACGTGACCTGTGATCACCTCAACTGAAATGGTCACATCTTCCCGAGAACTTTTATGACACTTTATGTTCCTCAGTTTTGGTCCATCGCCCTAATGGCTCGAATGAGAGTTATTTGTGTGTCCAACTCATGTTATTTATTATTAGCATCTGAAGATGAAAACGGCATCTACCTAGTAAATCCTCTGCGACTTCTCTCATGCCGCCATGATGCAGTGCGTGACAGAGCAGGTCCATGATACATAGGTCTTTGATAAGATGTTTATGAACAACTAAAAGAGTGACATCAAGCCCAGGAGACACCTTCCAGTCTGGAGGAAAAAGACCTGTTCCTGGTCCATTAATCAAAACAGAAGGTCAGGCAGTGAATCCCAACAAATAGTAGATGCACCCATCTTAAACACTTCACACGTAAACATCTGTTCACCAGACTTCTGAGGTGGGGTCTTCTGATTGGTATTTTGTCTTGTCTCTTTGCATAAAACGCCCCTAGAACACATCTCTACTAGATTTCTAGGGCAGCCATAACAAAAGACCCCATACTGCACGGGTTAAACAACAGAAATTTATTTTTTCACCTTTCAGGAGGCTGGAAGTCCAAGATTAAGGTGTTGGCAGGTTTGTTACTCGGCTGGCAGATGGCCACCCTCTTGCAGCCTCTTCATGTGGTCTGGGTATGAGCATCCCTATCCCTGGTGTCTTTTTTCCTTCTTATGAAGACACTGGTCACATCAGATTAGGGCCCACTCTGAAGACCTCGTTTTAACTTAATGACCTCTTTAAAGACCCTATGGTTACATTCTGAGACACTAGAGGGTTGGGACTTCAACATACGAATTTGTGGAAGATGCCATTCAGCCCATAATAACATAATTTTCATTTTCATTTGCTTTAAAATAAATCAAGAAGTACATTTTGGCTGGGCATGGTGGCTCACGCCTATAATCCCAGCACTTTGGGAGGCCAAGGTGGGCAGATCACGAGGTCAGGAGATCGAGACCATCCTGGCTAACACGGTGAAGCCCCCTCTCTACTAAAAATACAAAAAAATTAGCTGGGTGTGGTGGTGGGCGCCTGTGGTCCCAGCTACTTGGGAGACTGAGGCAGGAGAATCCCTTTAACCCAGCAGGCAGAGCTTGCAGTGCCACTCAACTCCAGCCTAGGTGACACAGCGAGCCTCGTTCTCAAAAAAAAAAAGAAGTATATTTTGAGTGGAGAATCCTTCTAGATTCTTACATTTTCCCTTCGTCTTTTAAGAGTTTTCTCCCCCACATCTAATTCAACAGCAACTTCACTCCTCTCTCATGGCCATCTTCCAAAGCAATTGCTTTGATTTCACAGAAATAACAAATCCCTTCTCACATTCAGACATCACCGGTTTACCTTACAGTGAATTAAGTCATGTAATTACAATAGCAAGCATCAACAGTTCTGGGAACAAATATAACTGACTTTTGGTAAGCTTACAACTCAACTATTTAGAAGTCTGAGAATACAGAAATGGGCCAAGCAGAGAATTACCCAGCAACCTTCCACACTCAGCCTGTGGTGGGCCTGAGTCCTGTGCTTCATAGCACAAATGGGGAAGCAACCCAGTGGGGGCACTTACAGAGACCCTGGAGTAACAGAACCTGGGAACTGGACAACTTCATGGAGTCTCATACCCCGACTCCTCTTCTAGTAGAATTCCTATGTTGGATTTGTAACACTCTTTTTAATTCTAGATTTCAATGATTCAGTGAAAATCCCTGACAGTGGGTATCTAACAGTTGCTGGATTCTTCCTGGTGATAGGGTTTTCCATGCTCACAAGGCAAGCCTGTTCCTTTCCCAGATGTTTTCATTGGTGAGAAGCACCTGCATTTTTTGGAGATGCACTCTGCCTCCTTGCAATTCCCATTTATTTTAGCCCTTAGGAGTTGTATCTGTCTTCTAAATACAAAGCTTATATTTTATCCGTCAAACATCTAGAGACATTTTTCTTAATCTTATGTATCACCCTCATTCTTCTCTTCATTCCTCCTGCCATAGGATCTCACATCATTTTTCATCCTAATTGCCTCACTCTGGACACATTGTATTTTGCCAAAGTTCTCTTCAAATTGTAGCCCCCAGAACTGTCATTCTGCAGATCTCAGCTGACCAATCCAAAACAAACTGAAACGACACCTTTCCTGATTCTTTACATTTCCACTAAGATAACTAAAAATCACCTTGATGGCTCTCAAGCAAAACACTCAGATCTTTTTTCAACCCACAAGTATGTGAACAAGTTGGTCCCAGATTCACATTTTATAATATCAAAGACAAAGTTCACTTGAATATCACTTGCCGTTTTGAGTCTCTCACACAGTGTAATATGTGTTTGTGTCAAGTCCACGTATGTCATGAAAAATAGTCCATAAAGGAACGACATGAACTCAGCTCTGCAAGTACCAGCTGTGTGATTTGCACCGGAGTTCCCAAATTACAACCATTCCCTTACGACTCTTGTGACACTATGTCTTAGTACTACCGTTCAGTTATTTAACTAAATCAACTCATTTTCCAAATTGTAAATAAATCATTTAAATAGAAATTTTTATTACATCAGCACCACAAGGCAGGGGAAAAAAAAAAAGAAATTTTTATTCCAATAAAGATCCTCAACAACCGGTGCGCCATGTCTCAATTCTCACCCAACACAAACTGAACTACTGACCTTCCCCCAAAAAATCAGCCTGAGGGTCAACTTTTCCATCTCATCTGATGACAACTCCATCTTCCAATGACACAGGTAAAATCAAAAGACATTTGATGGGATCATTTTTAATTTTTCTCTTTCTGATCCAATTGATCAGAAAGTCTTGTTGGTTCTATCTTCAAAATGCAGCAGAATCTGATGTTTCTCCCAGATTTTACAGCTTCACTCTTAGTCCAAGATCCTCTCTTGCCTGGATGTCTGTAACACTCACCGAAGTGGTTTCCCTGTTTTAATCTTTGAGTTTAAACTCAACAGCCAGAGTGATTTTTTAAAAATATAAGTTGGTGCATGCCACCCTCCTCAAAGCTGCCAAATGACTTAAAGAGCACTAAGAATAAAGGCCAAGCCCCTGTAGTGTCTCCCATTTCTGAAATGATCTGTCCCCACTCCATCTGCTGTCTCTTTGACCTCATCTCCTATGCCTCCCTCCGCTGCTGCTCACCCCACACCAGCTCGCTCGCTGTTCCTCTAACAGCCGGGCACATGCTCACAGGAAGGATCACAGGACAGATCACAGGAAGGACGTGGCCCTGGTTGATGCTCCTGCTGGGATGATCTTCCCGAGAAGTCAGCCTAGCTGGCTCCTTTGCCTCCTTGAAATTATCGCTCAAATGGCACTTCTCCGTCACTTCTCTGACTTCTCTGTTCTAAATTGAAACATCCCAATTCCCAATCCTCTTTACCCGCTCCCTTCTTTTCGTTTTCCCATGGGACTCATGACGCTCTAATAAGGTATTTTGTTTTGTTGTTGTTGTTGTTGTTGTTGACACAGAGTCTTGCTCTTTTGCCCAGGCTAGAGTACAGTGGCAAAATCTCAGCTCACTGCAACCTCCACCTCCTGGGCTCAAGCAATTCTCATGCCTCAGCCTCCCAAGTAGCTGGAAGTAATTACAGCCGCGTGCCACCCCACCTGGCTAATTTTTGTATCTTTAGTAGAGACGGAGTTTCACCATGTTGGCCAGGCTGGTCTCAAACTCCTGACCTCGTGATCCACCCGCCTCGGTCTCCCAAAGTGCTGGGGTTCCAGGCGTGAGCCACTGCACCCGGTTTTCTATTATGCTTTCTAATTTACTAATCTAACGGGTCAGGCATTTATTTCTTGTCCCACCCCCTCCTATGAGGAGGTAACCCTGCAAGGCCTCCGATCTCTGCTTTGCTCACTGATGCATCCAGAGCCCCCAGAACCATGCCTGGAGCACAGCCTGCCTGGTGGTCTTCTCCACCTTCATTGAGCAAAGTGGCTCGAAAATTCCTGATCTGCTACTTTCCATATCAGCCAGAGGCTGCATGTTCACACCAGCGACGCCGACCCCACCTCCACAAAGAAAGAAGAAGACCACCTCTGCCAGGCCCTTCGCTTCATCGACACAGACCTAGGGTAACTCACTAAAGCTCTTTGCTTCCCCTGCTTACTGCAGCCTAAAGACAGTTCTTTGGAATAAGGAGCTAGGATATAGTACAATTTTGTGATAGGCAAGTACCTCATTTTTATTATGCAGTGTGCCTGAGGATAAATTTTGTTTAGAGCTCCCTGTTTTTCTGATAGATATATGACCAGTGTGTAGCGCTCAGAGCTAGTGACATAGAAATAATTTAACAGATGTAGGGATATGATTTTTCTCTTCCACTGTCTCTCTCTCAAACATCTTTAGTTTCACAGCTTCCTCACCGCAACACCTTACGTTTCTTATATATTACTTCTCAACACAGTAAGTCTGTTAAAGTATGAAGAAACCTAGGTGAAATTTTTCTTCTTCCTTGGAATATTCTTCTAAAGCCAACAGGAAGATTTAGCTGCAGACCGGCTGTAGAGAATTGTGACACAAATATAAAATGTCAAATAAAGAATAAAAGTGTTTATGTTGGTCCCTTCCTGAACCTACAATAGCTCTATAACAAATAAAGTAAAATAATCAGAATGAAGTAACAGCTATAACAAAAAAAAAATGGTTAATTAGCGAATCCTATCCCAAATATCCGAGAATTATGAATATTCAACCTCTGATGTGTAGAGGGAGAAACCTTACTGAATCCCATGTGTGAGTACCTCTGTCACTATCTTGAGTTGGGTATTTATAGTAACTTACAGCTGCAGATTCTTGACTGTACAGCCGTATGTTTTATTATTCGACCAGATGTAGGCCATAAAACTGTTTTATCTATTCTGGGGTTTGCTTAGTACTAATAAAATAAACTTCAAATCCCTAACTTAGTGGCTGTTGTGATATTGTAACACTTCAGCAAAGTACAGTTTTGCTATCTGGTACACTGAAAATGTTCTAAAGTCAAAGTGTACTTGGAAAGATATATTTCTGCTCCTAAAGATTTCATAAAGACCCTTGCAATTTGGATGAATTGTGCTGTGCAATGACTTGTTTTTCTATTGATTTCTAGGCTGATGGACCATAACCTTCATTGATAGTTCATTCTGGCTTCCTCCAGACTGAAAAGGAAATAGCACTGAGTCTCTTCTCTGCCTTGGAGCCTACGTTATTGATATTCTTTCATCATTATGTAGGAACATAAAGCTTCTGTTATGTTGCAATTATTATGTGTCTTTACTAGAATGTAGTTAGTGAAACAAAAATAGATGAGGCAGCCCACCACAGGGCTGTCCTGCTGTTCTCTGTTACACTGAGTACAATACACAGAGCTCAGAGAAAGCTCCCCAATCATGCTGATTTTTTGGCAACAGTTGCACAAAAGAAATCTTTCTGAAGTTCTCAAAAGTGAAAATGTCATAATTAGCATTTCAACCCAATAGGAGCTATGCAGAAGAGTTGAGTCAATTTTCATACAACAATGTATTATTTTAACTCATCTTTCTCTAGGTACTTTTTATGAATTTCATACCATTTTTAAGAAATGATATAATGAAACAAGATTATGAACCTCCTATGGGAAAGAGCTGACAAAATTTTGCCAGATTTTAGAAGTCTTTTGAGATTTCTTGCACTAGATTTTATCTACCTGCCCAGACCATGGAACGTAGTCCTATCAACCTACGACTATTGAGATTCCTTAAAGCTTACGAAGTTAAACATTCATAGGAACAAAATCTTTTATGCCTTTTTTTAACTTTTCATTAAACGGAAACAAAAAGATCTAATGATCACGCATGCTCACCAAAATAGATATTAACACTTCTGAGAATAACCACTGAAAGGCAGCATAAGTTAATTCAAAGTCAGGATGGGCATGAGAGAGCTCACTGGGTTTACTCCCTGTGATTGATAACAATTACCTGCCATTTGCAGACTATTTCTTGTTCCCTCCCTCTTTCTCAGTACTTCCTGGTACTGACAGGGACCACGTGACTGGTTCCAGCCAATGCAACGCAAGTAGAAGTGATGGGTCACTTCTGGGCTGAGTGTTTCCCTGGGGGTGCAAATCCCTCCAGAGCTGTCTCTTTCTCTGTTACAGCAACCAGTTATGTGCAAGATGGTGGCCACTCTGACTACCCGGGTAACAAAGGGACAATGCCACCACCCAGGATGTACATGAACCTTTCTTATTTTAAGCCACTGACATTTGGGAGTTGATTCTTACTAGCCTATTCTGACAAATTTTTTTAAATGATTATTTTTGCAATAAACTGATTCTTCATTTTGCCTTATAAAGATGGTTATCTACATTAGAAACAGTATACAATTTGGGCGGGTGAGAGGTGCTTCATATCTCCGGGTTAATAATGTGCAGTGATGAATAGGCAGAAAGCAGGAAACAACCGTGGCCACGAAGATAGTTGTTTTTCTAAATCAGGGAACTAGAAAAGCCTTCAGATTCAGACGGGGCAAAGACTGGGGCTAAGAGTTACCTGTCCCCAAATTCCTTTTGTTTTATAAGAGAAGTCTGGTTAAAATGAACTTCAGAAGTTGCTTTGAAGAGGAAAAATCGGGGGAAAGGAGACAAAATATACAACTAGAATCGGCTAAGTAGGCAAAAGTACCTGGTATTTATATTCTTATTATAGGTACATGAATTTCAGAACTTTGATTTTTCTTTTTTCTTTTTTTTTTTTAGTAACAGCTGTGACTTACCATTTCCCCCAACTACTGCCGGCTGGTCAGGGAAAGAAATCATGAGACTGCCGAGCCGCTTGCTCTACCCCGGGGAGCGACAGGAGAAGCAGGTGTGGCTGAAGATGCAAAGGTCTGAGGTTCCTTTGCTGCGTGTCAACTCCTGGCCTCGCAGCTGTGAATGCCCAGCTTTTTACCTTCTCCGTGTTATGACGACAGGAACACTCACATTTCACTTGCTCAAAATAACGTGCATGTCATACGAAAAGTGAACTTGATCTCTTGAACTTCCAGAAAACCCTCATTTGCAGCGGGTGAGCTTTCGTTTTTGGAATACAAATACAATTTAGGATCCCTCTTTACACTCTGGCTCTGCGTCATCCCGCAGCTTCTTCAACAGATTTTCTTTTTGCCCATGGCAATGTGAAACAAAGTTTTGTTTTTTTGTTTTTTGTTTTTTTTTTTTTTTTGCTTCCCAAAATGACAATATTGAGAACATCTGGTTTGTAGCCATCTTAAAGTTTGTTCTGCAATGCCATTAGGTTTAAACATCCGTCATTAAATCAAGGGATTGACAAAATGCTCTGAGTTGAATTGCAACAGAGGGTACTACATAATTATCTTTTTTTTGGAAACAAATTGAAAAAGAGTTAATTGTCTCTTCTTGAAGAGTGTGGGTCCAAATCACCAAAGGTATCTGTTTTCTTTTCCAAATGAGAAAATGTATTTAATTTATTCTACTAATTTTCCATTTTCTGTCCCACTGACTACTATATTTAATTATTCTAAATCTCTCTCCACATAAAGACAGTGATGCGCTTCTGACAGTCATTACAAAGATATTGTTTTGTAAATGTCTTTGCCTATTTGAAAAGCACTAAAAGTTTTCAGCAGTTTTGCCCCCCACTGGTTTCCTAGGCAGGCACGGATCAATATGTCATTTGATAAAATACAGTGCAGGGACACTACCCCATCAGAGTCCGGGTTCTCCTGACGTCTCCTGGTGCCAGCATCTTGCTCTGTTTTCACGTTCTCCGGGAAAGAAGAACTGATCAAACATAACGTGCACTGTGATTAGCTGTTTAAGCTGAAAGTGATAACAGATGAATATCATTAAGACTCCAGGACCTCTTAAATCCAGAAAGAAAACTAAGGCTGGATGAGTAAAGAGGCTGGCAGGTTGCCCTTCAGTACCCAGCTGAACAGCTCATCCACTGTGAGGGAAGTCATATGCGATTGATTAAATATAAGCTCTCTAGACAGCCTGATACCACTCCCAAAGCTTTTACAGTGATGTCTTTCCCAAGTGGTGGAATGAAGCAGCTTTTCTCTGCTTTATTGGGAAATGGGAAAACCCTGGTGTCTTCCTTTTATTCCCTAAGTTCAAGCTGCTTTTAGTTATCATTTATGTAAAGGATTAGATAATGTGAGAATATTTATTATGCTTGAAAAACATCATTTTTAGTCAAATTTTAAAGTTTCAATTTTTATTTTAAAGACGGGGGTACATGTGCAGGTTAGTTACACGGGTAGATTGCACCCAGATAGTAAGCATAGTTACCCAAGAGGTCGTTTTTCAACTCATCCCTCCAAAAAAATTTTTAAAAGAATTTGCTTCTTAAGAAATCTAGTATATAGAAACACTATCTTTTCTGTATGTAATTATTTTTAGTTTGGATAAGATACCTTTTTTTGAATGGTTACTAAATTATTCAGAATGCTAGATCCCAAAGCACAAAGAAAGAGAATAAAAATTAAGCAAAAGCAGGGTCTTTGTGTAAGGAGGAGCTGTGGGGTTCAAGTCAGGGCTTCACCCCTTAACTAGTTGGGAAATGTGGGCCAAGTTTATTTAACTTTGAAGTCTATTTTCTCAACTCTCCAATGTTAGTAATAAATCCTATTCCACACGGTTGTTATGAACATTACATTAGATAATGCTGATAAGGAACCTGGCAGGGAAGTGCTAAATAACAAGTAGCTATTCCCAATACTTCCAACAATTTTTTTTCTTAATTTTATTTTAACTTCCAGGATACATGCGCAGAACATGCAGGTTTGTTACATAGGTGTATGTGTGCCATGGTGGTTTGCTGCACCCATCAACCCATCCCCTAGGTATTCAGGCCCGGGTGCATTAGCTATTTCCAACGATTTCTGAATATCAGAATCATTTCTGAAGATCACTGAATATCTGGTGGACATCTTCGTTGCTGTTTGTCATAGAACATGTGATCTTGGCCCCCAGGTTTGTCCTTTTCAGGATGGGTTTCTTTGAGGCATGACTTTAAATGATTTTTGTTTTTCCATTTTTATAATAACTAAGAGTTTCACTTTTGTTCTTGGTTGGTGGGGATTTAATGAAATGGAGAATTGAGCACCTTCCCAATTAAAGTTGACCAACCAGGCACACGAAAGACATTGACTTTTCAAAGCACAGAGACAGCCTGAACCCATTATGCATGTGAACGGTACCACACATCAAAATGTCCCATTTAGCCCACTCAAAATTAGCATTAAAATAAAATGGGTAGGTAGACACTTTTTAAATCTTTTTAAAATTTTGAGGAACAAATCAAGAGAGTAGTTTACAAAGGCAACCCTTGGGCATTGCCTTCCTTCCCATGGAGGAGGGCAGAGCTGACTGCGTGTAACCAGGTTTCTGCTGACACCGTCTTCCCCCATCTCCCATCTCAACTGCTGAGTAGAGACAACCCTTCAATTATTATCTTTACTTGATTCTCAAATCCATAAACACGATGTTAAAGGAAACCTCAACCCCATAATGAGACGTTGTAATACTTTGCATCATGTTTTAAAAACATTTTGGCTCTGATCATAAATGGGGAGGATATTGTTTAAATAGCAGTACCTCCAGTGAATACAAAAAGATTCCTAGAGTTATCTTCCAATACTTCACAAAAAGCAATTTATTACACAAAATGTTAGGATGTTTTTATCATTAATAAGAAAATAACTTGATTTTTATAAAATGAAAAAATCATAGCCATATATGTGATTATAAACATATAATTTGTATGTGGTATTCATACTGGACTCTATCCTGTCCCCAGCCTACATATACTAGGACTAAATATTACCAGATAAAACACTGGTACAAAACTAGAATATGGGTTTTAAATTAAGCAAGTCTAACTTTCAAATTGTATGCTTCCTTATGCCATGGATAAGAAAACATTACAAAATGTAAAACCTTCTTGAATTGACACTTCAAATTTTCAAATGAATTCAGCCTTTTTGAGGTTTGAATTCCAATTATTTTGGACAAAATGGCACTTCCTGGCCTTGCAGGGAAAAAATATTCTTAAGGGGGCTTCTTGAAAATCTTCCTAAAGGATCCTGTCCCTCAGGATGCTTTCCAAGGCAAACAAAGTCTGAAGAGATGAGTGAAAATTAAGTCGATCCCTACAGATTAACTTCCTCCAGGGATCAGCCCCACCTGGATGTCAAATGGCCTAGGAACAGTCCCACAGGTGTGGTTGGTATTTGCTTCTAGGGTCAGTATCCTCTGATATAAACAAACTAAAGAGAACTGAGTGTGTTTTTCCTTTGGTTGAAAGTAGAAAAGGCATGAGAAAGGAATCTTGTTTACCCTAATAACTTCAAAATATTTATGAATATTTGAGTTGGGTTTAATTTCTTTTTAATCTCATCTACCTTATGATGGAAACTGCAAAGCATTTCCCCTATACTCCTTAGATTTTATAGAAGCTTGGCAGAAAATTTAGTATTTTCCAATGTACATTGGACATAAATGTGGAATTATAACAAACTATACTATTGTTAGCATCTGGGGCTATACTCCACTTTCATAAATAATGTAAATTTACTGACCATTCTGAGGATAAACACCCAAAGATAAACAAATAAAAGTAGATGCTGGTAGCTTCTATTTAATTTAATAGACGTCCAAACATTGGAAAATTGCAAAGCAGCAAAAAAAAACAAAAAAATGTTATGGGGATTGCCCAAAGAACAGGTAGAATTCTATCAGCTCTATTTTCTTTCTTACTATAATTTTTTTCTAAGTTCCCTAAAGATATTTAATGGGAGATGATTACACAGGGAGTGTGTACAACAGCTGATTTAAAAGCAGGTCAGAATCAGATTTAATGATTTAAAAATTACAATTATGATTACAAATACACGGGGGAAAACTTACACATTGAAAAAAACTATCAAAGAATGAAAATACAGTAAAGTGTTAATAGTTTTTTACCTTTGGGTGATGAGTCCGTTACAGTTTTGATTTTGTTTTTGTTTTATGCCTGTTTGTAATTTGTGTTTTCTGTATTTAGCAGTAACTAAACACACATATGTAATCTTTATTTTCATGTGAATTATTCAAAGGTAAATGACATAAAACACACACATACGTATATATATTAGAAAATAACTAGGTGAGGTCATGCCACAGACCTTTTTTTTTTTTTTTTTTTTAGACGGAGTCTCGCTCTGTCACCCAGGCTGGAGGGCAGTGGCGCGATCTCGGCTCACTGCAAGCTCCGCCTCCCGGGTTCACGCCCTTCTCCTGCCTCAGCCTCCCGAGTAGCTGGGACTACAGGAGTCCGCCACCACGCCCAGCTAATTTTTTTGTATTTTTAGTAGAGACAGGGTTTCACCATGTTAGCAAGGATGGTCTCGATCTCCTGACCTCGTGATCCGCCCGCTTCGGCCTCCCAAAGTGCTGGAATTACAGGCATGAGCCACCGCGCCCGGCTGCTACAGACCTCTTTAAGAACTCTACTCTTGATAATTGTTTTGGTCTGTTGGTAGAAGTAAGACTATGACATAGTTGAATGACTATATTTACTCTGTGCATTTATTTTGCAGTAAGACTTTCACTGGCAGAGCGCTGGCTTGGTCATTTTGGCGTGCCTCTACTGTCCTAATGTCTCAGCAGGACCTCAAACTCAACATGTCCAAAACAAATACAATTATCCTCCCCTGTGCGGAGTGACACACGCATATATCCCACCTAAATCCGCAGCTTCTGTAACTAATGACAGAATTATGCCAGCCTTAAAAGTTCTGGAACAGTGGCGGGCTCTTCCCTTCTTCCTCGCCTCCTACTGTGAGATTCAGCAGCCCAAACTCGCTTTGAGCTCTCTTGATTTCCATTGCCACTGCTCCGTCTCCAGGTTCATTCCCTCTCTGCTTGACTGTTACAGTAGCTTCCTCTTCTTCCTGGCTCTACACTTTATCCTCCTGACATTTAATACAAACAACTCTTCTGTCATTTGCCCTTAGGAAAACCCCCAGGTTTTTTAGATAGGCCGTCTACTGTCCCAGCTTTGGAGGTCAGGAGCTGGCTGTCACTGCCCCTGAACAAGCCTGAGCTTCCCTCTGGTGCCTGCACATGGCACGTGATTCTCATGCTCCCCTCCCACCGCTGCCATTTAAAATATTTGCTGTTCCCCAAAGTGGCTCTTTCATGATGATCACAACCCAATGTGAGTTCCTCCTCTCCTTTGAGCCTCCCTTAGTACTTTATCTGTGTATCTCTCTACATCCATCAAAACCTACCACAGGAAACACTTACCTGTAAACTCACGTTCTCACACGGGAGGCTCGGGAAGGGTAGCCACTCAATTCCTCTTCTTTGCATCTATGCTTTGCACCATGTGAGCCTCTTACCCGCATTGGTTGAATTTAAAAATATGGATTGCCCTGATACGAAAGATTCTGCAGACTGGAAACCTGGAAATTTCCATTAATAAGTTGATATCTGTAAGGCTCTCAGAGCAGCGCCTGGCACGTCGTAAGCACTGTGTAAGTGTTATCCACTCGTCCTATTAGCTATTAATCAGAGCTCAAATACAGGGAAAGGCAATGAATGACTCAGATACTGAACTATGTCAAAAAAGTGAAAACCAAATGGAACAGACACATCTAAAATTCAGAGCCCACCACACACATCACAATGTGGGACCCCAGCAAAAAGCCCAGCCCAGCTGAAAACAAAGGTTCCTGAAGTCTGAATGCAAACAAAGGCCAACCTAACGACACCTAAGGGGAGGGGAATTGGAGAATGAATTCCCTGGGGGGGACTTCCTGACCCTTTCTGACCTCCAGACTTAGCCCGGGGCTTGGAAAGTCACTCAAGACAGTATCTTTTATCGAAGTGACTGGTGAGACCAGTCCCAAGGGGAAGATTGACCTTTTTACTTCTTTATAGTGAAAAGTACAATGTGGGAGGGGAAGGTTAAGCTAACCCAGTCTCTGGAAGGTAACTCCCCTTCCACTTTCTATTGCACGTTTGCAAGAGTTTGTCACCGTCACCTGAGAGAAGCCTGCCTGCTCACCCGCCCACCCGCCAGCACTAGGCCTGTGGAAGGCCTGGGAAGTAGGGTGCAACCACTCCCTTCTCAGCTGAGTGCAAAAGAACCACAGCTAGCCCAAGTTGTTCTATAAACCCCTGAGAAAGAGCCTTCTTGGGAATACGGAGCGTCTAAGGTTCATTCCCAGAAGTAGTGACTGCAATTAACAAGAAAATTTAAAATTTTCAATTTCAGGAAAATTTCCATTTTAGGCAGAAGCCAGAAAAGAAAAAGGAATAATTCTTCCCTTATGTACAAGTTCGCCTCCCATTTTTTTGCAGGAAGTAATCAGCTTCGTGGTACCTCGTTTGAATCAGAAGTTTAGAAATTTATGTAATGATGAGCCTTGTTATGAATCTTAATCAATATTTTTTTGTCCAATTTTGTAAGGAAATAGAATTATCACATGAAAAACCTCATCTTGTTTCATTGTATTTTAACTCTCATTGATTCCAAAATAATAAAACCTCAGCAACGGCAGCTATTGAAAGTTCTTGGCTCTGAGACACGAGGATTCTCAGAGAAACTGAAGAGATTACATCCCAGGACACCAGCTATTTATCCTCCATCATTTTACATCTAAAATATTGACAGTGTCCCAGGCAATTTGCTATTCACAGATCATTTCATTGAGTCAGTACAGCACCCCTAAGAGGTAGAATATTTGTGGTATAGAAAGTCCACACACTCAGAATTCAAAGTAAGTTTATCATTAAAAAAAAGGTGGAAAAAAAGGAGGGAGAAGCTTATCCTATCAGAAACTGGAATCCTCAACCTTTAGGTTGTTACCTCATCAAAACTTCAGGCTTTGGGGCCGGGTGTGGTGGCTCACGCCTGTAATCCCAGCACTTTGGGAGGCCGAGGAGGGCGGATCACTTGAGGTCAGGAGTTTGAGCCCAGCCTTGCCAACATGGTGAAACTCCATCTCTACTAAAAATACAAAAATTAGCAAGGCATGGTGGTGAGTGTCTGTAATCCCAGCTACTCAGGAGGCTGAGGCAGGAGAATCTCTTGAAACAGGGAGGCAGAGGTTGCAGTGAGCAAAAAAAAAAACTTCAGGCTTTTTTTGTAAACACACGAGTTCAACCAGTTATTCCCTCCAGGAAAACACTGTCTTTGCTCATAAAGATTTGCTCCATGAGTCAGATATAGGAGAGAGGACCTTATAATCATCAGTACTGGAGGGGAGAAAGGGCCTTTTATTAATAAGTTACCAAAGCTTGAGAAGCCTCTTTGAAAATAAAGCAAACAACATACATTTTTAAAGGATCCCAATATTTGTCTGGTAAAACATTTCATATTTATAAGTGATCAATTGCTTATCGATAGAAGAAAAATAGTAAGGATCTCTTGAATAGTTGAGATCTTAACTTTCTTTGTCTAACTATAGACAGGTAGCATTGTATTGTTGGGGAAGGCTGATTCTTCACTGAAATTCATCTTCATTTTTTGTGTGATAAAGCTTAGAGTTTAAGTGGGTTAGCCAAGTTCACATAGCTTACAAGGAATTGCTTGGATTGGAAATCAGCCCCATTAGAAAGCCCGAAATCTCTGCATTTTTCTATTCTACTTCCCTGATTTGTTTATTTGCAAAGGTCAACGATAGCATTTCCCATAGAGGAATTTTGTCATGAGTAAGTGAGATAATAATATGTATAAAAGACTTGGCATAGTTTATCGGCTGAACCCTGTGCCCCGAAATTCACATGTTGAAGCCTTCACCCTCAGTACCTCAGAACATGACTATATTTGGAGATAGGGCCTTTAAAGAGGTAATTAAGGTTAAATGAGGTCATATGGGTGTGCTCTAATCCAATGTGATTGGTGTCTATATATATATATGTATATATGTGTCTATATACATGATGAATGGGTGGCCTGTGCAGCAATGGCCAAGATCAAGTCTCGAGACCTTCACAGGAAGAAGGAGGCGGAGCTGCTGAAACAGCTGGGCGACCTGAAGGTGGAGCGGTCCCAGCTGCGAGTCGCCAAAGTGACAGGCGGCGAGGCCTCCAAGCTCTCTAAGATTCGAGTTGTCTGCAAGTCCGTTGCCCGTGTTCTCACCGTTATTAACCAGACTCAGAAAGAAAACATCAGGAAATTCTGCAAGGGCAAGAGATGCGAGCCCCTGACCCTGAGGCCTGAGAAGACTCACGCCAGGCGCCGCCGGCTCAACAAGCCGAGGAGAACCTGAAGACCAAGAAGCAGCAGCGTTAGGAGCGGCTGTACTCACTGCGGAAAAAAAAAAAAAAAAAAAGACACAGACACACACACTGAAAAGATCATGAAAAGACAAGAGAAAGACAACCCTCTACGAGCCAAGGAGGAAGCCTCAGACAAAAAAAAAAAAAACAAGCCCATCACATGATCGTGGCCTTCCAGCCTCCATAACTGCGAGAAACACATCTCTCTTGTTCATGGCGCCCATCTGTGATGCTTTGTTATGGAAGCCCTGCTAAACGAATATGAACATATATTAGGTATTTAGGAAATGTGAGGCTCCTTTACCTTGGGAAATATGGAGGCCGGCTGCAATGACAGCGAATAAGCTTCCTCCAGGGTCAAGACATCAGCAACTTCTTGTGCCGTGTGAATGGCTTGGTGTACACACGTTGCTGCAAAGTTTGTGTCTTATTTCTTATTTGTGTCTCCCCTTCCAGGCTCAGAGCCCATTGCTTTGCTTATAGTAAGATTCATTAAAAGATGGAAAAAAAGATGTGAACCCTCAACAAGCCCCTGGCACAGGGCAGGCCCTTTTGAGAAAGTGCATGAACCTTTCATACTGCCAGGCTTTGTGTGGTTAGTAAGTTCAAGTTGTCTTTTACAGGACGGAAGACAACTTTGGGGGTTTGAAGGAGCAGAGGAAGATGCCTAAACTCCCTGCCTTGTTCTCCTGGAGTAACTGAAGCAGTGGAAAATCCTATTTATTGATTAGTAATAATACATATTTTGTAATAGTTTTTAAAAGAATAATGGTTCAATTCCCCTCTCTGCCACTTACAGTGATAACAGTAAAATTGAAAAATACCTAAGCGCATTTAATTTGCAAGATGGATTCTGCTATTGCCCACACCTGTTGGTAAGAGGTGAGCCCCAAAGCACTGCTACCCCGAGGACTTTGTCGCTGCCAGGAGCATGCTGGGTTGTCACATAAATGAGTCACTGACAATAGGGAATCTGACAGCAAGTGTTCCTTGGAAACCACTCCCAACTAATGGAATAACCCTCCACAACCACCCCAGGTGAAAACAGTGCTTGCCAAGTTCCCATACAGTACTCCATTAAGTCTCAGACTCATAAAATGAGAAAGAAGCACTGGATGGCCTCTTCAGCTGTTACAGTCCAGCCTGACACTGGGAGACGAGCATCTAGGCTACTGTCAGCATGGTAATAGTTGAAACTTTAAACAAATTAAACCTACTTCTTCAGATACTGGTGCATGCCTCAGAGGTTATCATTTTTAGAAACCCAAGCACTGGGAATTGATGTTTCCTGAGCAGGAGATTGCCAAGAACAAGATCACAAACTTTTGGTGTTTTTCTTTTTAACATATGAGTTCAACCAGACATTACCATATATCACTCTTTACTGAGTCTGAGGGCTTAGGAGAAGAAACCAAACTGATTTTTTTCTAAGCACGTATTCTATTCAAACATAATGAAACTTAAATGGCTTATTAAAGAAGATGGTAATAATTTTATTAAAATGTAGATCAAACGAACAAAAACATTTAAAAAGCCTAGAAACGTTAGTAGCATATAGAAAGCACTCAGGAAACATAGGTGTTACTTTCCATGTGCTGCCAATGGTGCTAACAGCAAATAGACTCACAGCTTTAGACATTTTCCTCTCTTTAATGGTTTTTAAAAAGATGACACAGGCCAGGCGCGGTGGCTCGTGTCTGTGATCCCAGCAATTTGGGATGCTGAGGCGGGAGGATCACTTGAGGTCAGGAATTCGAGAACAACCTGGCCAACATGGTGAAACCCTGTTTCTACTAAAAATACAAAAATTAGCTGGGCATGATGTCAGGCACCTGGAAGTTGAGGCAAGAGAATCGCTTGAACCCGGGAGGCGGAGGTTGCAGTGAGCTGAGATCGCGCCACTGCACTGCAACCTGGGCGACAGAGCGAGACTCGGTCTCAATAAATAAATAAATAAATAAATAAATAAATAACCAGAAGATGACACTAAGGAAGCAATGGAAGCTGTAAATACAAGCTCCTAGGTGAGAATTCTGGTGCATGGGGCGTATCGTTGCATTAATTCAATATAATGACTAAACAGCTTTGCAGCAATAAGACTGCCTCATCTAGACAGAATCTGATGAATCAACAAGAGGTGTGAGAAAGCAATTATGGATCCAAAATTGATAAGAAATAGTCAAATAAGTTGTGGAAAGTTGTAAATGATATTTCATAGCTCTAGGAAAATTAAATGTGTTGAATATAAAATACAAAATTATTGGCTAACAGTATGGAACTTGGCTTGTAAATGAGGAATGGAAGAGAACAGAGAATTATAAACTGGGGAGAAAAGTAAACATTCTATTTAATCTTAGACTTGGCTGTCAGGTTTTTTTTTATTTAAAGTTAAATTATTTACAATTGCCTATTGTATTTAACTGCAATATTCACATACATCTTTATAACTTTAGAACATTTTTTATTTTCACGAGGTCTCTAACTATTAAAAGTACATTGAACCAAAACACACATGCCTTTTTGTGGTCAGCAGAGAATTCCAATCCATCCATACACATTTGAGACTATTAGCCATAGGCAATGGGTCTTGCACGATGCCCTGAAGAATAACATACTGACATGTTCCAGAAGGGCTGCGCGCCCAGCAGAAAATGCACACGACTTTCAAAGTCTTTGAAGAGTAGCCAGATTCCCTGGGACATTGCTGCTACCTAGGTTAGGCACTTTGTGAATTTATTTTCAGGAGAAAAATAGTATTCTTTAATAACAAACTACTATAACACAGGACAGATAAATGAGTGTCTTCTCTCTAGATCTCCATTTCTTGAGGAAGTGGGAGAAGATCTGATGGTCTGTAAATTACCATTTCAGTTCTGACATTCCTCCAATCTTTGGAAGATAAGTTGCCCTTTAAATGGTTCCCAATAAATATTAATTTTAAACATGGATGAATATGTTATACCTAACCAAACTCTATGTAGCTTATAAAAGTTTCTTTCAAGTCTACCACTTAAACATGAATCCAACTTTAACTTGATGGATATTATTTCAGAATATATTTTTCATAAAACAGACCTTTAAAAATATATAATGATGTGTTTTTGCTTTCATTCCTTGGGTAAATTGGAGCTACTTGGTCTAAGCATTGTTCCAGTGTCTTCGAAGTAACTGTGCATAGGCCAATTGTCTTGGTATATGTCACCTAACCCATATTTTGTTTTCCTAGGCTTTGTTTCCTTTTTTAAAGTTGATTTAATGTTTTTCAAAGTATCCTAAGTTTGCCTCATTTCCAGATGAACATCCTTTAAAGTTCAGAAATTCATCCCTCTCTGCCTTTTAAGGCTGGAGAACACGTTGGCACTGAATAGTTTGGCAGCAGAGATGGAGAAGCAGCCTGCACAGGATGAGAACTGGAATTATGGAGGCAGCTGTATTGGGCAGTAGGTTTCCATTAAATGGATGTCTTGGGCTTGCCATCTTTCACTGTAATTGCTGTGTCCGGGAAGTTGACTGTCTCTGGAGATCAATCTATTTTAAGTTTAATGGATCTGTAGAAGCTATTGAAAGACTGGTACAACTCTTTCTCCTTGACTTTTCCGGTCCAAATGAAGACATTGCTATCAGTTATGCTGCACCTGCCTTGCATGCCAACGTTCCAGCCCACTCCACCCCCAAGAGGAAACCTCCTTCCATGGACTTTATGTATTGGAAAGCTTTTATACTAAGTTACTTGAGTTTATTAGTAACAACATATTTGCTTTCCTATGTGATATATATACACATATATGTATGTATATGTATGCACATATGTGTGTATATATGTGTATCTATATGTGTGTATATATAGAGAGAGAGAGAGAAAGTGAGTCTCTTCTAATCAGTGTGAAATAATTTGTGTTATCAAACTGAATTGATACAATACCAAGAAAAAGCAAAGAAAATTCACATGCATTTATTCAATCTATATATGCATTGGCCTTACTGCAGGCAAGGGTACAATTTTCATAAACTTTCATTTGAAAGAACTTTGGCATTCAAAGATGTAACCTTTGTGGGTTAATAAAAAGGCAACGTAAATGTTCATAGGACATAGTCATTAGTGGTCTTTCTGAAAAACAGACGTAAATCATGGACCTTGGGGTGGTAAAAGGTCACTTGGCTAGTGAGGAATCCAACCCACCTCCCCAGCTTCCACGTCAACAGCTTTGTGTGCTCAGCTTGCTGTGGTTTACCTAGAAACACTAGTGAGAAAATGCGAAAACTGTTCCTTCTGAGAAAAAAAAAATGGCATCAGAGGTGAAGATGGAAGAGAAGAGGACTAAGAATGATTTTTAATTCACGTTCAGTCAATAATGTTTAAGTACTTTTCTGTAGACCACTTCGTAGGCACTGGGGATGCAGTGATGAACAAATCAGACATGGTCTTAGTCTTCATGGAACTTATAAACTATGCAGGAGAGGAACACAGCAAAGAAAAAAGAATCCCCACCTAAATATATAATTTAGAATTGCTACAAGCACAGGGAGTCAAAGCAGAAGGTGCTATGAGTGAATGTCACAGGGGACCTCACCTAGAGGAGGCATCAAGGATTACCTGTCGGAAGAAGCTACATTTAACCTGGGTCCTGCCTGCTGAATGAAATAGATGCTAATGAAGCGGAGAGTAAGGAATAGAGCTTTCTAGACTGAAGAAACAGATACAGAAATCCTCAATAATTAAGAGGGGTGTGATGGATTGGGTTGTGTCTCCCCAGACTTCCTATGTTGGAGTCCTAACTCCTGGTACTTATGAATGTGATCTTTGTTTGGAAACAGGGTCTTTATAGAGTTAATCAAGTTAAAACGAGATCATTAGGTCAGGGCCTGATTCAACATGACTGGTTTCCCTATAAGAAGGAGAAATTTGGAGACAGACATGCATACAGGGAGGCAACCATGTGAACATGAAGACCATCTACAGGCCCAGGAGAGGGGTCTGGAACTGACGCTTCCCCCACAGCCCTGCCCACGCCTTGGTCTCAGACTCCTAGCCTCTAGAACATGGGTATCATACATTTCTGTTGTGGAAGGCACCTCGTTTTTGGTACTGAACTTTAATGTGGGAGCTCTAGGAAACACAAACAGGAGACATCTAAGACAAGCCAGAGAGGAGGGTTATAGGTTGACTTGAGGATTTTAGGTTTTCTATCAAAAGTGCAATGGGTGTGACGTGGTCTAGCTTCACAAGGCCTGCCTCGATAATATTTGGGGAACAGATTGGAGGGCAGTAGAAGTGAATGTCTGGAGACCAGCACGGAGGCAATGCCAGGAGGCCAGTTAAGGGGTGATGGTGAGCTGGGCACAGGGGCTCATGCCTGTAATCTCAGCACTTTGGGAGCCCATGGCAAGAGAATTGTTTGAGGCCAGGAGTTCAGGACAGGCCTGGGCAATATAGCAAGACCCATGGTCTACCAAAAAAAACAAAAAAGTAAGAGGTGTCAGTGCCAGAAGTAGGGAGGTGGTAGTCAGGTGGGGCCTGAGCCAAGGTAATTTTGGAGTTAAAAGCAGTAGGTCTCAGTGTTGGACCACAAATGTGGTGATAGTTGTGGAAATGGTGGCTTCAGGAAGGACTTATGGGCCTCTAGTTTCCACAGCTGGGTGAATAATAACTCCTTCTGAAATGAAGAATCGAGGAAGAGGAGTGAATTTGGGATGAATGGTCAAATAAGTTTTGAAAATACTAAGTTTGAGATGCCTGTGTAATACCTAAATGTAATTTTTGAGTAGACAGTTAAACATCTAGACTTGTAACTCAGAAAAGAAATCAGATCTGAAAATATAATAAAATTGGTTCTGTTGGTATATAAATGGTGTTTTAAACTGTGGGAAAAGATGAGATGATCTGAGGAGAGAAGGTAGAATGGGAAGAGAACGGCCAGCACTGGCGCCTGAGGAGCCCTGTTAGAGGAAGCTTGGTTCAGGTTTCCTCAGTCTTGGCTTTGCTGACATACGGAGCCAGGTAATCGTTGCTGTGGGGGCAGCCTTGTGCATGGCACGATGTTCGGCAGCATCGCAGCCTCTGCTCACGAGATGTTAGCAGCCTCCTCTTAATTATGACAACCAAAGATGCCTCCAGGCTTTGCCAGATGTCCCCTGGGGCCCCAAATCACCCCTTGTTGAGAACAACGAGTGTAGAATAGACAAGCAAAGAAAAAATATAAAGAGTAAGTAGAGGGGGAAGAGGAAAAGCAGAAGGGTGCGATGTTTCAGAAGCCAGGAGAAAAGACAATCTCGGGAAAACTCAAATCACAGATTGCTGCCGAAAAGTCAAGAACGATGCTTACTGTGAAGGACCTAGTAGTTCTGCAGATGATCGTAACTTTAGCAACAGTAATTCTGGTGGCTCAGTGGGAGCACAAGCTAAATTGAAGTAGATTACAATTCCATTTTTATTTATCCAATTGGTAATACATATACACGTAGTCAGATTTTAATGACATCTGTGTGATTATTTTGTTTAACATAAAATATAGCAGATGCTATTGGTTGTCTACTCAACAATTTCTCCCTTTTAACAGAATTTCAATTTTTTCATACAACATGTTGTCTATTCATGGGAAACTGCTTTGCAAAGTCAGTGGTGGCAATCCCTTTCTCCTTGGCAGTGGCTGGTTTAGAAATAGACGTGTGATGCAGATGTAGTTAATGATGACATCAGAAGAAATTTAAAGGCATCTGGGAAACATTTCCTTGTTGATATAGACAACCAGGAAGGAACCTACCTTTCATCTGGGTGTGGCCTCCTAAAATTCCTAGAGGATTTGGTCACTTCTAACACAACTTTTCTCCCCACTATGGAAGAAGAATTAACTTGAGAACAAGCCAAACAGTGCATGTAGCAAAAGGGAAAACGGGAAGAATGTGGGTGTTTGAATGAAGAGGGAAGACTGAATCCGTCAGCCTGGAAGCCGTCCGTCTTCAGGCGTCTTAATACATTAAACCTAATTTCCTGCCACCTCCCATCTGTTTGCAGTTGTTTTAGTTTGTTTGTTTGTTTGTCTGCTAGCATTTATCATCAGCCCAGCATCTTTTTCCTCAATCTATTGTCAACAACTTCTGGAACAACACCATTCTTTTCCTCTGATGTGCTGTTCTCTTACTAACCCAAGTGGAATTCAGAGTTGCCCCATTTTACAGTTTTCCAAAATAAGGCAAATCGGCTACTGTCACCTCTTGACCTCTGATCTCTTCTCTGCCCCAGCTGGTTTCTTTTGAAGTCCACACCATTCCATTAGCACTTCCCTGACCACAGTGCTATCTCCACCGGTGTCTGCTCCTCACCCACATGCCTTGAGGATCTGCACACTTGGCCCATCACTCTTCTCTTTGCAGTGTCCTGGGAGCCATTTATTTTAATGGTCCTTGCAAACGGCTAGCTTCACACTTCAACAACCTCCAGTGGCCTTCAGCTATACCCTCCTCTAGCACCAAAACTCACAGCCACACCTTAGACCTCAGCATTACCTGAAGCCACTCCATCTCCACCATCTTAAACTCAGAAATTCTTCTCCCCCTCCCCCACCCCCGGTTACAACCCCCTACTCTCACTCCTGTTTACTCTCAGTGTGACCTTTGATTCTCATCCCCTCTCTCATCTCCCATGAGTCCCTTTCTGGATGTAAAATACAAACAAACAGGGGCTCCCATGAGCCCCTGAGAAACTGGAAACTACAATCAATTACAAGGTATTATGACCACTTACTCATGATATTTTTGTGACAACCCAGCCTGAGACCACATCTGTTCAACCATTTCAATTAAAATTTTCCCAGCACTCAGAATTCACACATCCTCTAAACCCACCTTGTCAGAAACTAAGCCATGAGTTGTCCCCACTTTTGATTCTGGGCTGTAGAAACTACCAGAAGAAAATTAGGCTGGGCATGGTGGCTCACACCTTTAGTCCCAGCACTTTGGGAGGCTGAAGTGGGCGGATCACCTGAGGTCAGGAGTTTGAGATCAGCCTGGCCAACATGGTGAAACCCTGTCTCTACCAAAAATACAGAAATTAGCCGGGCATGGTGGCTGGCACTTGTAATCCCAGCTACTCGGGAGGCTGAGGCAGAGGAATCGCTTGAATCCAGGAGGCGGAGGTTACAGTGAGCTGAGATCACACTACTGCACTCTAACCTGGGCGACAGAGTGAGACTCCATCCCCCACCACCCAACAAAAGATAGTTCTAAATGTTTCTTTCTTTTCCCAGAGGGTCATTGTTCTGTTCATAGAGAACCAGCCTCGGAGGTGCCTGATGTTTCCCCTGGTGGCCTCCCTCTTCCCCTTTCCTTCACCTGGTCATGCATTCAGACTCTGGGTCCAGGCCATGGCGTGAGCATCACCCTGTAAGGCAGCGGCGGGCACTGTGGTCCACAGACCCTACAAGTTCTCCATGAAAGTAGGTTTGGGGGTTTTGGATTCTTCAGATTAGATCCCATCGCTACCACCACCCCTCAGAAACAAAACACAGAAGGCTTTTCCTTTTAATAGTGATTAATGGTAACAACACAACTTTGATACATTACAAGGGAGCTGCATCTTTCAAACATTTAATTAACATTTTTGTTTTTTTTTTGAGACAGATCTCGCTTTGTGGCCCAGGCTGGAGTGCAGTAGCACAATCTTGGCTTACTGCAGCCTCCACCTCCCGGCTTCAAGCAATTCTCCTGCCTCAGCCTCCTCAGTAGCTGGGACTACAGGTGCCCGCCACCACGCCCAGCTAACTTTCATATTTTTAGTAGAGACAGAATCTCACCATGTTGTCCAGGCTTCAAGTGATCCACCCTCCTTCATCTCCCAAAGTGCTGGGATGACAGGCGTGAGATCACACCCGGCCTAATTAACATAAATTTGATGTACCAGCTTCAATGAAAGAATAACTAATTCAATTTGATACAAAATGCTACAACTTTATGCTGACCATCCACTCACTGAGCCTGGCGGACAGCTGAGAGGAGTGACCGTGGCGTATGCTGTTTCCTCGTCCAGTCTCAGCTCCTGTGGCCTCCCACATTGTCTCAGTCACAGCGAGTGTGATCCTGTTGTTCACATATATACATGTGTATTTTTATTGCACATGGCTGTCAACACCATTTGGTGACATCATCTCTTGTTCCATCCTAGCGCCTCTGCCCCCTTCCAGCCCTGGGACTATCACAGTCACTGAGAGAAAGTCTGTGTCGGCTGGGCGCAGTGGTTCACACCTATAATCCTAGCACTTTGGGAGGCTGAGGCAGGCGAATCACCTGAGGCCAGGAGCTCGAGACCAGCCTGGCCAACATGGTGAAATCACGTCTCTACTAAAATACAAAAAATTAGTCAGGTGTGGTGGCACATGCCTGTAATCCCAGCTACCTGGGAGGCTGAGGAAGGAGAATCACTGAAACCCCAGAGGCGGATGCTGCAGTGACCCGAGATCACGCCACTGCACTCCAGCCTGGGTGACATAGCAAGACTCTGTCTCGGAAAAAAAAAAAAAAGAATAAGAAAGTCTATGCCACCCACACGGCACCACTACAGGGACTAGTGCTGGGTGCAGCAACTGGCATAAAGAGACTAATAGTACTTGCTGGATGAATGACTGGAAGGAAACAATCCCCACAGCTGTAAGAACACTTGCTGAGCACTGCACTAAGCCACTTCCACGAATGTGTTTCATGGCAGGCAGCTGCTTCCATTCCTCCTATTTTGCAGATGAAGAAACTGAGGCTTAGGCTACTCAACTAGAACATGGTAAAGCAGGGATTTGACCTTCTAGGACTCTGACTCCAGAAACTGTACTCTTAACCCTTTTACCATTCTGCACCTATGTAGTCACTGATCAATTAACCTGCTTCTGATGGTAATCTAACCTCCAAAACTTTTCCAGGGAAAATGCTTAGATTCCTACACAATCCTAGCACTTCATTAACATCATCTATTGAGTGGTAAATGTAAGCAGTGTTAGGTGTATCTGTATAAATTGAGTTCAATTTTCTAAATTAGTATCAGAAAAGTAATTGGTCAATGAATACAAATATTGTGGGGTGGGGCAGAAGAAGGAAAGTATTATTTTCTTTCATTCACATTAAAAAAAAGTCTTTGTACATCATGGTAGGCTATCTTTACCAATTATTCTGTTTTCCTTGTAATAGAAGTGTACCCCTCACTCACTGACATCCAAGCCTTATGATATTTTTGTGACAACCCAGCCTGAGACCACATCTGTTCAACCATTTCAATTAAAATTTTCCCAGCACTCAGAATTCACACATCCTCTAAACCCACCTTGTCAGAAACTAAGCCATGAGTTGTCCCCACTTTTGATTCTGGGCTGTAGAAACTACCAGAAGAAAATTAGGCTGGGCACGGTGACTTGACTTATCCTTCAGCCTGGATCTGCAATGAAGACAGGCAGAGCAGAGCCAGGCAATGTCGCATCTACCTGCAACTGACATCCCGTGAGAGCCAGACTAAGTCTTTGTGCTAAGTCCTTGAGATTCTGGGGTTGTAACCCAGCATAACTTAGTGAAAGTTGAGTAATACACACATTGTTATGGGTCAAATTGTGTTCCCAAAAGATGGTGCTGTCCAAACCCCAGGAGCTGTGAATGTGACCTTTTTTGGGAATAGTGTCTGGTCTTTGCAGATAATCAAGATGAGATGAGGTCATCAGGGTGAACCCTAACCCAGTAAGACTGTCCTTAAACAAAGAGGAAATCCAGACATGGGTCAGAATGCATGGAAGGAAGATGGTGTGAAGAGGTGCAGTGGAAAGACCACCACCATCTCCACCATCTCCAAGACCTCAGGGATGCCTGAGGTCACCAGAAGCAAGGAGAGAAGCTGGGAACAGATCCTGCGCCAGTGTCTTCCAAGGGAATGTATCCCTGCTGACATCCTGATTTCTGGCCTCCAAAACTGTGAGGCAATGCATTTCTGCTATTTTAAGTCACTCAGTTTATAGTACTTTGTTATGGCAGCCTTAGCAAACTAATGCAAACTCATTTATCTCCAATTACATAAGGTCTTGAATAAATGGATGTTGTGATTTAGAATTTAAATGTAAAGAATTTTCCAGTGTTAACCCTTAGAGGAGTTACTAATTGTTCTAAATAGAGCTAAATAGAAAATTCCGAGGACATCAAACTTGCTAAACTATGACTTTTAACTTGTTCAAGAAAGATATAATAAAATGAAGATTTGAAACCACAGGTAGAAGTTACAATATCAAGAAGACATAGATTTTTTAATCGCATATGTACATTAGACTAATTTTCATATTCTGTGGTTTTTTATGATAGTAAATGAAACACTGCAAATTATACCTTTTTCTCTAACATTCACTCCCAATATTTAGGATTTATGCATTTTTTCTATATAATAAAATGGAACTGTAATACTGATCTCTTTCTCCTCTCCCACAGGATAAAAACTCATTTTCTATAGTTCACGTGCTATATGTGAAAAACGTACAGTCCTTGTAAAATGCTTTAGGACCTAGGTGAGCGCCACTGAGAATTGGCTGAACTTCTTCAGCATCATTTTTAAAAGGTCTATAAATTTATTGTTGTTATATCTTGGTCTTCTCAAAGCTGGACTAGTAAACGAGATGCTCCATGTGATTTGAAGAGCACCGCAATGTTCAGTACAAGTTGTTCTTTACCCTACACAAGGCAGACCCTCATGGGCTAATTGTATAATACTTAAAGCACTGCATATTTGAACTAGTAAAGTCAGGAAGGCTGAAAGATTGATCCTTTTTTATTAGCCACAGCAGACTTTAGTGTACCAGATTAGCTCAGTGCTGCAAAGGATATTGGTAAGTTGTTCCCCAGGTGGAAAGGTGGAAAAGGTATTAAAATTCTTCAGTAACTCCCCCGAGCCTCAAGAAAAAAACAAATTCATAGCAAGACACATCTGAGACCTCTGAGAGCTGGCCTCTGATTTCCTCTCCAGACTCCTCTGTCTGACTTGCTACACTGAATTGTTGAAAGGGGAAATTTTCTAGTCACCTTTTTCTGGGTAACTCTACCTTTCCTGATTTACCGTGCAGCCTAATTTTAATTAGGGTAATTAATGCTGTCTGCAACAACCGAAAGACACTGCCATCTTCAATGGCTTCACACAGAGTATGAGATCTTGCTTAGAAAGAGCCCAGGGCAGGTCTGCCTGCTGCCCTCCATTTTGCATTCACATCAGTTTGGACACAGGTCTCCCAGGTGTCCACGTTGAAGGAAGAGAGGGAACAAGAAGCACCAGGTGCTGCAGCCCAGCCCTCTTGAGGTCCCCAGGTGAGAACTGGTCGCCAGGCCACACCTCACTGTGAGGATGGCGAGAAGTACAGGGGAACACATGGGCTTTTTGTGGGGCATTCCTCCCTGCCTGATACCACAACCCCGGTCTGCATGGTATCCCAGCCGTAGCTCACACCACCCAGCCTTGCTCCTGTCTTTCTTCCTCATTAGATGATCAGTGCCTCCAAGTTGCTTCTGCACCTTATTTGTTTTTGTACCCAGAGCTTCCAGCAGCTTCCCTCTCACACTTCAGATGCTCAATAGCTGTTAAAATATGGAACAAATGGATGGATGGATGGATGGATGATGGATGGATGGATGGATGGATAGAGAGATGGATATATGAATGAATGGAGGGAGGAATAGAGGGATAAATAAGGGAAGGAGGCATGTATAGATGGACGAATGGATAAATAGATGGATATATGGATGGGTGGAGGGAGGAAGGGAGGGAGGGATGGGTGAAAGAAGGAAAGGAGGGATGTATACATGGATGGATGGATGGATGGAAAGAGAGATGGATATATGAATGAATGGAGGGAGGAATGGAGGGATAAATAAGGGAAGGAAAGGAGGCATGTATAGATGGACGAATGGATGAATGGATGGATATATGGATGGATGAAGGGAGGAAGGGAGGGATGGGTGAAAGAAGGAAAGGAGGGATGTATAGATGGATGGATGGATGGATGGATGGATGGATGGATCATTCGGCTTGTGGTATTGCAAGGCTGTTCAACACCTATAGAGAAAATTTCTTAGACCCATTACCTTCTTGAGAACTCTTTGATTGGGAACCTTCTAACATTGAGAATCCTGGCTCCCCAAAGTAGAGCTCAGGAAGTTGAGTTTTCTCCAATCTCCTGTGCAACCAGAACACAAGAATGTCATCTAAGTTTCTGCAGTCAAATAGACACACACAAGACTTTAATGCAAAGAAGCAGGCAACACAAGGCAACAGGCCCTGCATCCCTATGTTTGCAGGGGATGGAGTTAACACAATCAACTTTGTGTCATCGGTGGAAGCCGCAGTGATTTCACAGGAGTTACAGTGGAGCTCCTGGTGTAGAGGAAAGATGTGGGGACAGCAGTACTGGAGCAGCCCAGTGGAGGCGGTGTCCTTATCAGGTAAACTCTGAGGGGTGATGTGGGCATTATCCCACAAAGCTTAGCCTTGGCTCAGGTTTTACAACCCTCCCAATATTTCTGCCACCCAATATTTCTTTAATTAAATCCCTTTCTACTTACAAAAAAGAATCAGCTTTCTTCGCATGCAATTAAGAACCAACTAAGATCCAAGAAAATAGCATGCGGCCACAGGACATTGGAACTGGAAGAGAGAGAGAAAGTATGTGTGTGTGCACATGTATGTGCATGTGTGTGTGTGCATGTGTGTGTGTATTAGGAGAATCACTGGGGAGGGGAGCAGATGTAGAGGGAAGCAGTAAAGTCATAAAGTTGGTGAGAGTGGCATCTGGGCATCAGAGGTCAATTTTGCCAGCTTCATTCTCACTATAAATCTTTATTTTGTTCCTGTGAGGTGTCACTGTTACACTATATTGCAAGAGTTCAGCGATCGTGGCCCATTTATAATCTTAACATGTATCTATTTAAGTCATGCCTTGGGTCTTCAATCTACCATTAGACAATATTTATTAAATTCATGAAATTGTGCTTCAAGTAAAAACTGTGGTAAACAGCTTCAAGTAGTACACATATTCTTTGGTTTTTCTATAAAGTGTAAATTTGAAGGCAAGGTTAGATTGAAGAGATTTCTGAGCTCACAGAAAAGCTGATTGCCTCATACCAAGAAACAGAGTTTTGCTCAATTGAAGAGTCTAAAGTGGTTGCACTATCAACAGTCTTAAAAGTAGAATTGCAAGGATATTCTGAGGTAGACAGTGCTTCTGTGTCTTACTAATAACATTGTGTGCGTCCTAATAAATATCGACTTAAGAAGAGGGAACTACTATAATTGTGGAAGGGACAGTTGAATAAAAGAGAATATGGAGTTTTGCTCAAAACATTTTAACTGAAACATTTGTTTGTTTGTTTTCATAAAATATTCATTTCCACTGAAAGTTTGTGGACTATCAAAAGTTTGTTTCGTAAGGGATGGTACAAATTCACTTATCAGGTATTTTTTAATTTTAAAAACCAATATTTCAAGCAACCCACCAGAGATTTCCACTCTCAATTAAAAAAAAAAAAGTCTTCTCTGAATTAAAATAACTTTAATGTTTGAAATGCCTTGATTTAAGATTTTTCAAACTGGCTCATTCACAATATGAAAGTGGTATACCTATGAGATCATTGACTTTTGCTTGCAATTATCCTAGCAGTTTAAAGAAGTGTAATTGATGCTAAAATAACTGCTTCTTAACATTTTCAAGGTACTGAAAAGACTAGCTGGAAGTGAAGAGTTGACCCTTTCTGAAAACCTGAATAACCAGAGGTTCCCTAGTCATCAGTCACAGCAACAGCTAGCTCTTCTTTGAAAACAGGTCCATTTTTCAAGCTGTTGTTGGCATTGCTATAGATCCTGGAGGCATGACTGAAAACAAGATCATAACTGAGCCTTAGGAGGTCTGCTTATCTCTCACAGCAATGAGCTGGCAGAGGATGGGGACCCAGGCTCTTTGAGTGCAGGGGAACAATGCCCCTGCTTGGAGACCTAACTGATTGTAAACCTTCTTGGTAAAAAGGTGTGAAGAAGTGGGTCTCAATGTTTTGTTTGCTGCCTTAGGATTTGTGTGGGGGTGGAGGCTGGAAGGTTATACGGAGTAGGCAGAAAAGACATGATTAAAACTATTCATTTCATGAAAAAAAAAAAAAAATTTGCTCTGGCTTCCCGGCAGGCTTGATCTCTTTGTTACGCCGTTTATTTGGAAAGTCCTCTTGAAATGTCATTCAGGAAGTGCCACTCCAGCGGCCTCGCAGAAAAAGAAAAAGGATAGTTAGGGAAGAAGAGTGAGAAGATAAAAAGCATCCAATTTTAAAAGAATAATATTGAATTAGAAGCATCTTAATTTGTGCTTGCTCAATCCTGTGAATTTTACCTAGATTACAATCAAATTATCTCCTATAAGAAAAGAAAGATTTTAAGGAATTGCTAATCTTTTATTTAAAAAATAGTGCTTGATCTTTCTCCTTCTTCACTAACATGTTAAAAACATGATTTCACCATATGGAAAGCCAGTCCGTGCCTAAAAGGAAAAACAGAAACAATCATAAAATAATAATGCCCATAATTAAAATAAGGGCAAACATACATTTGGTAAATATGTCAGTGTAATGAATAAATAGTTGGTGCACTCTATGATTTGGTTCTCAACTAATTGATGTAAACCTTCAATTTGATTTTCTGGTTCCTTTTTATGCCTCTCAATAACCTCCTTCTGCCCCTCAAGATCTCCCGTTGACATCAAAGGGAGTGTAGGGTACACGAGAAGAGACACCAGCAGGAGCACCGAGGAGAAGGAGGGTGAGCGCTGCAAAGACCACATTTGTTGGAGCTAATTTTTAAAGAATGAACACACAGTTTGAGTCTATGTTTAATGTAAATATATAATTATCAAGAAGAAACACTGCAACCCTTCTATCCTTCATCTGTGAAAGCTAGATCTAGAAAAGCTAGGCGTTTCAGAACTTCAGGAGTAATATTAGCATATACTCATTTAAATTGTGGATTATTTTCATTCTCTGAAACCAGATGAATGTGGAGCAAAAGCAACTTTGGCAATTTAAAAGAACGAGTCAGGTCTTTGGGTTATTAATTAGAATATAGTCAATCTGCTTGTCTGCATTGAAACTTGTTGAGTAGGGACAGGGAGAACTGGGGAAGTGGTGAATAAGGAAGAGATCATCATTTATAATGAATTTGAGATTTATTTTCCAAAGTTTATCTGTGTTCTGCAGTCTTGCTGCAAAATGGATTCAAACTCAAAAGTTGGATAAATAACAGCATAACTCACTCACAACATTTTCAGTTATAACTATAATTAGACACTCCAGTAAATCAAATATCTTGCCTAGAGTTTCTGTATTCCATAAAAAGTATAAAAAATTTATTTCTCTCAAAGAAAATGATATTCTGTTATATAATCAATGTATTTAATAACTGAGCAAACTGGAATCATTTCCATTCCTAACATCAGTAATGTTGTCTGACTCTTAATGAATGTGGCATCGCATGAAAGTTTATTGATTGTTAGAACCAAACAAGGTAGGTAAGAAAAATCACTTTTATCCTTTAAAAAAAAAATATATGGAGAATTTGAACACAGCTTTTTTTTTTTTTTTTTTTTTGAGATGGAGTCTTGCTCTGTTACCCAGGCTACAGTGCAATGGCCCTATCTCTGCTCACTGCAACCTCTGCCTCCCGGGTTCAAGCGATTCTCCTGCCTCAGCCTCCTGAGTAGCTGGAATTACAGGCACCCACAACCACACCTGGCTAATTTTTGTATTTTTTAGTAGAGATGGGGTTTCACCATTTTGGCCAGGGTGATCTCGAACTCCTGACCTCGGGATCCACCTGCCTCAGCCTCCCAAAGTGCTGGGATTACAGGCATGAGCCACTGTGCCTGGCCGAACACAGCCTGTTAAAACTTGTGTTAAACTTTTTGTAGTTAGTAAAGAGCTAGATTCTTATATTTTAAATATTTTAAATATATTTTTACATTTTTTATAATTAATTCACTTTTTAATGTACAACTAAAGTTTCAAATATGTAAAAATAATTCTACTTTAATTTATATATATGAATGAAATATATATGTATATTCCAACTTTGTCTTGTTATAAGAAATAGCTATTTAGCATTATTTGACCACTTTGAGAGATAATGTTTTCTAACAACGTGAAATCTTGAGAAACATCTAATCTTTGTGTTGAAAGACAGTAATATTTTACATGTTTCTTGCATGTGTGCCAAAATTTCACTCCACTGGTATTAAAAAGTTTAAGCAACTAAAGCATGTTCTGTACTACAGTGTATAAGGCAATACAGTAATTTAAAATGATTTAGTGAGGAAGAAAGAGTGAGAAGTGTTAGGAAAAGAATAGCTGTTATGTGCCTCAGAGATGGTCTTAATTTATAACCTGAAGGGTTTTATTATAACAAAATCCAGTTGCATAGTCTCCACATTAAAATTAAAACTGGTCTTCAGGATACATATTATAAACCCACGACATCAAAGACTATGATTTTGAGAAAAAATTATTCTTTAGAAAGGAAATACCCTATACTTGTCTAAAAATAAATTTTGCAGAAAGCCACCAAGACAGTGTTCCATTGTAGGCTGTGAATCGTTTCAAAGGGATGGTGTTCTGAATATTAACATCATGTCACATCTCCCCAAGATGCATGCAATTACCCTGGAGAGAAGCGCTGGAATTGGAAGGTCTCAAGGGCTTACTTAGATAATGACATAAAATAAACTGCAACGATTCCCCGTGTGCTTTTCCAGGAGACATATTATTTAAAACCTATCTAGGACTTCAAGAATGAAAGACAGAGGAATGTCCACTTTATGAAATTGCTATTAAAGTGTGACATAGAGTTGAAGACAAGGTTAATTATTGGTTTTTAACCGAAGTATCAGTCTTGTTTAATATCAGTGCCCTGTTCTTAAATATTGAAGCAAGTCACATTTTTCAGGGACAATTGCCTTTGAATGAAGAATGACAGAGCTCTGGTCTTCGCTGACCCTTGCAACTCCTGCAGCGTAATCCATGGCAACTCGTTACTACGGCAACCAAGGAACATGCACCAGACCAGGATAAAACCGTGAAATCTGATGTCATATTTTCATAAGACATAATTGCAAATGATATTCTAAAGCAGATTTGTTAAACGTGTGATCTAAATTATAAGTTAGTTGGAAGTGATTATGAAACCTTCATTGGGACTAAGAATTAAGGGTCTGTGTTCATGCACTCAGTGATTGTGTTCATGCACTCAGTGATTTTATTGAACACCTACTATGTGTGGCACACAGAGATGAATAAGACATGGTTTCTCATATCTATTCTTCCCCTCAGCCTCACCCACTTCAGCTAGAAGTTCCAAGTTCGTCCACTGCTTTTTTCACAGGCTTCCCCCACCCCCACCCCCGCCAAATGAAGTCGGTATTTTCAAATGTTTCCATTGGTTTAATCAATATAAAATCCATAACCAGATCTCATTGAGGGTAGAAATTATACAAATATTTGCCAAATTTCCAAGTTCCTTTCTGTAATAGAGTTTTGCTCTCAGTTTTACTTTTCCCATCTTAGAAAATTGACCAGTATTTTTGGCTCTGGGTCCCACAGCAGAAAAGAAGGCTTCTAATTCATTCTGTTGGTGTTTTGAGTTCCTGAAGTATTTGCAGTGACTTTCATCCAAGTATCTCAGGTATTTCTTCTTTGTCACACATTTTAATGAGAAAGTGAGAAAGAAAACTGTTATTGATCTTAGTCTATCAGAATTTTGCAATTACACTATAAAAAGTCAGTTTTATATGTTATGCTTACAACAAAACATGGTACCTAGTATTGAGTTTTGTATTTGGGCTCTGTTAAGGATTCCTTGGTAGACCTGAGATGAACATGGCAATTGTCATAGTGATGTGTATTGGCCCTAACCCTGCCACTGGCTCTGACCAATTTGTTTCTAGGTCAAAACCCATAACCAATCTGAAAACAAATGTTATAATCATTCTTTAAATTTGCAAACTCTACAAAGGGAAGTATCAAGCCTCTTGGGAAATAGGAGAGAACAAAATGACTGCACAGAAACCACCATTTCTCCATCCTCATTCACAAATTAAATGTAGATTGTTCTAACCGTTGCATTTCCCAGCAACCCCTGAACCCCAAGTTGTGTGATTAAGACATGGTTCCCAGTGCAATCACTCTCTGATAGATATCTACCGACCAAACTGTTCTGCTCCAACCTGTTTCTAAGTCAGGTAACTGAGCTGCTCTTTCTGTTTCAGATCTGTTTATATTGCAAGGACAACCCTCATGTCACATATTAAGACAATATAAAGAAAAGCCTATTTGCACTTCATAAGAGCTTGGATGCAGAAAAAAATCTGCTGTGTGAGAGCCGCGGTCATTCCATTATTCACTGAAAAAACATTTATGCAGGACCTGTTGGCCAAGTGCTTGCAATGGCTTGAAGAAATACAGTCCTTGAATAAACTCACAGTTAGTGGAGAGAACCAAATACTAGACATGCTAAATAAGCAACAGTTATCAGACTTGTCATTAAGAGATGCACAGCCTGCCGTGGGAATGTGATGCAGATCTGAGGGGAAGCCTGAGTCTCCCTACAGAAAAGGTGTATGAGAGCTCCATACAGAGGGAATGGTACATGTGCTGGTGTAAAAGATGGCACAGCATTGCAAGGAGATGCAAGAAATTCAGTGTGGATGGCATTTTGTTTACCTATAGCAGAGAAAGGCACGGGTGACAGTATGAAGGGCTACACTTACGAGTTTGCTCATCTCCCTCAAAAAAAAAATAAAAATAAAAAAACAAGGGACATTTTATAGGATTATTTTCATCTATCTCCATGGAGTGCTGGCCCGGCCAGCAACCATGAGACCTGGGACAGCTTCAGCTACGGCTTTATATCAGTTATCTATTGTTGCATAACACAGAACCCAGAAACGTAGCACCCTACGCAGCACAGTTTTTATTTCACAGTTTGTGTGGGTCAGCTGGTTGCCTCTGGCCCAGCTGAAGGGACACTAGAGAGAGACAGAAGGATGTGCATTCCTGCTCATTCATGCAGTTGACCTCCCCCGGGATGAGTAATTCAAGGGAGAGCAAGATGCATGCACTCAGGCTGAAAGACACCCAACACAGAAGCCACAAATTTTTGTAACTCATTCTCAGAAGTGAATTACCATCACTTTGCCATCTTCTCTTTGTTGGAAGTAGGTCACTTGGTCCAGCCCACAGTCAAGGGAAGAGTATTACCCAGGCTGTATACACAGAAGGCAAGGCACAGGAGTAGTCTGAAGTTCTTGCGTATGGCTGGCAACATGATACCATACCACAAGAGCAGAGAGGGCAGGGATAACATCTTTTAATTACATCAATGATTTCAGGTAGCATTTATCGTGTATTTACTAGAATCTAGGTACTGTGTTTATTTATTTTTTTTCTGGTTTGCTTGGTGGGTTGAGCTACAGAAGTACAGTATTTAATTCCTATGACAACCACATGAGATAGGAAGTATTGTCTTCATTTTACAGGTGAGGAAAGTGTAATCAATTTGCCCAAGGAACAACAGCCAACAAATTTTAAGGTAGTGTTTGGAACTGGGATTCAGACCTGACTCCACTATGTCTCTCTCTAAAACCTGCTCATTTAACCACTGTCCACACAACCTCCGATATCCCATCTGCTTCTGCGAACCTATTGTCAACTAGAGTCTTCTTTGGACTTTGGAACAAGGTATAACTTTAATGATGCTCAAAAGAGGGAAACATAATATTTCAAAGAAAAATGTCGAACAAGACCTTATGACAGTGACTCCATGCCCTGAAGACTAGAGCTCCTAGGACTCATTGTGTTACTATTATTAAACAGTACAGAAAATTGCCCATGCACAAACTGAATCACAGGCTTGCAGTTCTGAGCCTGCAGTACATGATCTCACCCTGGTTAAAGACACCACCCTATTGACTTTTGATGTTCTAAGTGGCATTGTGAAGCCGACCAAAAATGCAACTGTAGACAAAACTAGTCTTGTATTAAGGCCAATGCTCTGAAAGGAGGACACACAATACACAGAATTTTCATTCAAAATTAAATACAAAAATCAAAATTTGACACCACAGCAAATAAACATCAAAATATGTAGAGTTCCCCAAAAGTGGTCATGGGTGATGAGCTGTAAAAGAAAATCTATTTTTACCAAATGGTTGAGAAGCTATGAAAGCATCGGGTAAGGGAGCAAGGAGACACGGGCTCCACTTGATGCTGTGGTTCAAAGAAGAAACATGTTCAAATGTGTTCTGTAATAATAGCTCTTGTTTTTGTTCATTCCAAGGTACTTAAAGTACTTTGTGAAATCATGACTAAGAGATAGAAGGAGATGGGATTTTTTGTTTTGTTTTGTTTTCAAGACACACTCTTCGCTCTGTTGCCCAGGCTGGAGTGCAGTGGTGCGATCTCGGCTCACTGCAACCTCCACCTCCTGGGTTCAAGCAACTCTCCTGTCAGCCTCCTGAGTAGCTGGGATTACAGGTGTGTGCCTCCTTGGCTAATTTTTGTATTTTTAGTAGAGACAGGGTTTCGCCACGTTGGCCAGGCTGGTCTCGAACTCCTGACCTCAAGAGATCCGCCTGCCTCAGCCTGCTTGTGTGCTGGGATTACAGGCGTGAGCCACTGCGCCCAGCCAAGATAGGTATTATTATTATTCTTTTGGGTGCAGAAGCTGACTCTTCCTTCCTATTGGTCCCCACCAGTCATCCAATCTTAGATCACAGAACAACCACTCCGTCCCAGGAGCTTATTTGGACAGCTGGGGTGAGCTCATGAGGAAGACACATCCGTGAGACACTCACCCACTGTGGAGGAGAAGGGTCATGATGTGGAAAGGCAGGTGGCACAACAAAACGCTGCAAGAACACAGACACAAGAGGGAAGGATTCTTCCAGGGGCTATTAGAAAAGGTCGACAGGGGAGATGAAATCTAAGCTAGACTCTGAAGGATGGGTAGAAGGAAAGGGAAACCAGGAAGAGGGAACAGTGTATGTGAAGCTGTCGGGGAGTAAAGAAGTCTGCGGTCTCTGAGGAGCACTCAGTAAAGACAAGGTCAAACCTCTATCCACACACTGGCCCCTCTCAAGCCACCATGTCTCACTTCAGTTTAGCACAGCATACGCCTTGCTGCATTTGGCCTTTTGTTTGTGTTTAGACAATGTTTGTGTCCCCCTGAAATGTGTAGGCTGAAAACTAATCCCCAGTGTGGTGGAGTTAGGAGCTGAGACCTCTGGGAGGTGATGAGGGCATGAAGGTGAATCCCTCATGAATGGGGTTAGCGCCCTTATAATAGAGACTTCAGAGAGCTCCCTTGCCCATTCCACCACATGAGAACATAAAAAGGATGCACTGTCTGTAAACCAGAAAATGACCCTCAACAGCCCCTGAATTTGTGGGTGCCTTGATCTAGGACTCCCCAGCCTCCAAAGCTGTGAGAAATAAAGTTCTATTGTTTATAAGGCACCCCATTTATGGTATTTTTGTTCTGGCAGCTGATATGGTTCGGCTGTGTCCCCACCCAAATCTCATCTTAAATTCTGGGTCCCATAATCCCCATGTGTCATGAGAGGGACTCGGGAGGAAGTGACTGGATCATGTGGGTGATTTCCCCCATGCTGTTCCTGTGAGCGAGTTCCCATGAGATCTGATGGCTTTGTAAGCATCTAGCATTCCCCCTGCTTGCATTCATTCTCTTTCCTGCCGTCCTGTGAAGAGGCGCCTTCCACCATGATGGTAAGTTTGCTGAGGGCTCCCCAGCCATGCAGAACTTTGAGTCAATTAAACCTCTTTGCTTTATAAATTACCCAGTCTCAAGTATTTCTTCACAGCAGCGTGAGAACTGACTAATACAGCAGCCCAAACAAATGAAGACAGTTTGATAATCACCATTGTCTTTTAGTTTAGTTTTTGTTCTGATGAAACTCTTGCCTATTAGAATTACATATTGAGGTCCCATGGGTGGTGCATGCAGGCTTTAAGCCACAGAGAAAACTTTAATTTTTCTCAGAAAAGACATTTTGCAGGGTTGTAATATGTTATTTATTTTGCTTCCAGATATCAGCGGTGCTCCATGGCCTTCCCACTACTTCTTTATTAAAATCCCATCCCTAACAATTTCGCTCCTGCTGGGTGAGTGCCAACACAGGCACTTACCTGGAGTGCCCATTTCGGGTCAGCCTCGTAGGAACTTCTATAATCACAAATGCATAACACAGAGCAGGTGCCTCTTTAAATTACCCAGTACCAGCAAATGCTTTTTTTTTTTTTAACTTTAATTTTAGCAAATAAGAGAAGGAAAAAGAACAAATCCATGAAATATAAAAATAATTTCTCAACAGAAAGTACCTTTTCCCTGGAAAATAAACACCAATGGGTTTATTACCAGCCATCCTTCAATTTTGGGTCATTTTGCCACATAAAACATTAAATGATTTCTCCTTTTGAAAACTATTCTTACCATTAACTTAATGTGAAACAAACAAAAAAAACCTGAAGGATAAAATTAGATTTTGTGATATATAAATACGGTTTTTTTCCCCAGTTACTGATCTTCTGCGTTAAAAACAAAAATCAAATAAAACTGAAAGTACCCAAACAAGATAATAATGTTCTTAACAGAAAACTAGACTTATGTACAGACATGGAAAGTTATGCAAGGAACTTGGTAAAGAAGGGGGGAAAGAAGGCAGTTGAAAGATTCCATTTTGGTTTAAAATTATTTATAATATTTACGTGTTCATAAATTAATTATCTTAAATCTGAGGAAAATTATTTAACAGTGGTTTTTTCTGGGTGATATGAGAAAATTTCACTTTTTTATATTACAGACTTCTCTATGTTTAAAGCTTTGTATATATATTTTAATCTTTTTATAACGAGCACATGCTTCTTTTATAGTTGGAAAAAATCAATCAATAAATAAACAAACACTTTCATCGTCTACCCCTTGTAAGTATTGTATGCCTCTCTTACAGTCTGAGAGTAGATAAGATTTCTCCAGCACTTTTAAAAGTCATTTCCTAGGCCAGGTGTGGTGGCTCACGCCTGTAATCCCAGCACTTTGGGAGGCTGAGGCAGGTGGATCACTTAAGGCCAGGAATTTGAGAGCAACCTGGCTAACATGGTGAAACCCCAACTCTACAAAAAATACAAAAAATAGCCAGATGTGGTGGTGCACACCTGTAGTCCCAGCCACTCAGGAGGCTGAGGCAGAGAATTACTTGAACCCAGGAAGCAGAGATTGCAGTGAGCCAAGATCATGACACTGCACTCCAGCCTTGGTGACAGAGTGAGACTCTGTCTCAAAAAACAAAAATAAAACAAAAATAAAGTCATTTTCTTGCTAGAAAGGGGAACTTTCCTCTGTCTTGTTCCAGGATGCTTCCTCCTTCTTAGGTGAAATATTAATAATCCCGTTACCCAGCAGTGGCAGTGCTGCTAGACTGCGAGGGGCAGGAGTTCCCACAGATGTCGGTGAGCTTTAAAATTAGCAAAGCACACCCAAACCCAAACCCAAACCCAAACCCAAACCCAAACCTAAGGAATCCTACTAAGCCACAGCCCGATGGAGGAACTCTGCCTCCTGAAATCAGCGGGGTCCAGCCTCTGCCTGGAGCAGGCCTCTCACTATAGACACTAACCTGCCAGGATGCAGTTTCACTGCTAAACTTAAATCATTTTTTCCTCATCTGGAAAAACAAAATAAAATATGTTTCAGGCTTTTGCCTCATAAATAGTTCCTAAACCTTCAGGACCTACTACCATTTGTCTTTCTCAGATTTTTTTTTAAATAAAAATGGTATCTGCTTTATACTGAATTATGTATTTGTTATGAGTTTAATATGCAGAATACTCAATGCAGTTTTACAAAACACAGCAGGCATTTTCCTGTGCCTCTCCTGTGCTTTGCATCTGAGTGTGTCTGAGAATCACCAGCCCAATATCCCTGGTAAAGGACTCGGGGTCTGTCTTCTGAGCTCTGCTCTGGTCATAAGGGACACCAGAGCTCTGCGAACAAGCCTCAATCGCCACCCCCTGCTTTTATGCGTGTGGTTCCCTCACCTGGGTTCCTGCTCCTTCTTCCTGCCTCCTCCCTCCAAGGCACCTGAGACCTCACTGAAGGCTCAGCTCAGGCTTTACCTTCTTCGGGACACTCTCCCTGGTCTTCTCCCCGAAAACTCACCACTTTCCCAAGATGCTCCCATAGCATCCTACACAAGTCTCTTTTCTTTTTTTTTCAACTATTCATACTGCAAACACTTTTCCTTATGTCTCTCCCTAAATTACAGGTACTATATTCACTTTATCTTTTCCCAACACAGTGCCAGCCACAGTGTTTAATGTGTTTGCTAAACAAATGATTACTTGAGTAATTAAGAAATAGGAAAAGGGTTTGCTATGGTTTGAATATTTCTGCCCCCTCCAAGTTTCATGTTGGGACTTGAACCTCAGTGAGAGAGTGTGAACAGGTGGGGCCTTTAGGAGGTGATGAAGTTATGAGGGCAAAGCCCTAATGAATGGGCTTAGCAGCCTGGTGAAAGGGTAGGAGAGAGCCGGCTAGACTTGGCCCTTCTGCCATGTGAGGACCCAGCACAAAGAACCTCACCAGACACCAATGTGGGTGCCTTGATCTGGGACTTCCCAGACCCCAGAACTGTAAAAAACAATGTCTATTGTTCATAAATTACCCTCTCTCGGGTATTTTGTTAAAGCAGCATAAATGAACTAAGACAATGTTTCACCCTACCCCTGTCTCTAACCCTCACTCCAGTCCAAACTCAACTCATCCTATGTGTCTCTTAACATGAGTGCAGAAGGAAAAGAGCAGGGAGGAAAGAAAGGGAGGAAGGAAGGGAGAGAGGGAGGGATGGAGGAAGGAAGGAAGGGAGGAAAGGAGGAGAGAGGGAGGGAAAAAGAAAACGAAGTAAAGTGATCTGCCTGCTTCAGCCTCCCAAAGGTCCAGGATTACAGGCATAAGTCACCATGCCCAGCCCTCTCTGTGCTTTTTTATGTGACCTGTATTAAATGATCACTAGAATTTAGTTAGTAGCTTGTACAATGATGCTCCTCACCCCTAATATATTAGGGTCTCTTTTAGCAAATATTTATTGAATAGCCATCATTTGCCAAGCAGTATGCCAAGCAAAATAAGCCAGATATTTTGCTCACTAAATATTTTTCTATTTTACTTCTCGTGGTTTTTATGTATGTCCACTTTTCCTGATTGGAATATAAATTTCTTAAGAGCAGAAGCCTTCTTTTTAAAACAATGAGCAAAGTATCTGGTAGGTCCTAGCCTCATAAATTCCGCAGTTTGATGGGGTTAACTGACATTGATTAGCAATTACACATATATATTTATAAACCATGATAATTGCCATATATATATATGTATATATATATGTGTATATATATATATATATACACATATATATACACATATATATATATACATATATATATATATATATATATAGAGAGAGAGAGAGAGAGAGAGAGAGAGAGAGATGGAGCTTCGCTCTTGTTGCCCAGGCTGGAGTGCAATTTCGGCTCACTGGAACTTCTGCCTCCTGCGTTCAAACCATTCTCTTGTCTCAGCCTCCCAAGTAGCTGGGATTACAGGTGCCCGCCACCACACCTGGCTAATTTTTTTTTGTATTTTTAGTAGAGACAGGGTTTCACCATGTTGGCCAGGCTGGTTTCAAACTCCTGACCTCAGGTGATCTGCTTACCTCAGCCTCCCAAAATGCTGAGATTACAGGTGTGACCCACTGCGCCCGGCCAAATAAATTTTAAAATACACATAAGAGGAGGTATTGACGTGGTCTTGAAGAATTAAGAAGGTTTCCCTATTGATCAAAAAACATGGCAAACATGTTGAACAATCTAACCTGAAGGATGGAACGGAGTTAGCCAGGCTAGGGGGCTGGGGTGAGAGCTGGAGTTCACAGCAACCGGAGAAGGAGGAACGCCAGGCTACAAAGCTTTTGGGACAGTGGGTTCCTAGACATGGCCCATTCGGTCAGTGTGCCTGAGGAGCAAAAACAAAGGGAGGGAGGCGAGGCCAGAGAAGAAGACAGAGGCAGGTGATTGGGAGCCTAGCTGGCCATTCTTAGGAGAAATGGGAACCACAGAGGGCTCCTGGCATGAGAGTGGCATGATCAGATGGGAATGCTGAACAGCTCTCTGGTCACAGAGTAAGGATACAAGGAAGGCAAAATATGTGCAAGGACACCAGGTAGGAGTCCACAGCAGCTGTGTAGGCAACAGAGAATGACGGCATGGACCATCGCAGTGGCAACGGGGAAGGGAGAAGGAAACTGCTGAGGGACTTGTTTAGAAGCTAAAATCACGAGAATTTGATGATAAATTGGATATGGGGAAGTCGGGGAGAATAGCATGAGGGTGGCTGAAACTTCTGGATTGTAGGATGAACAATTCACTATTCATTTGTCTAATCCACTGAAATGAAAAGCTGTTTTTTAGACATGTTGAATTTGAGTAGTCCTCAAGACAACCAAGCCGAATGTAAGTGTCTCTCATATTAACATCAGGACTGCAGAAGAGGCAAGTCGCCCATTCCAGCTTTGGAAAACAGACTCAGACCAGGAAGGATTTCAGAAGAGAAAAATGCCTTTTTTTTTAAATGCCTCCCACTTGAGCTATTAAAAGGAATATCAATTAAAAGTATTTAATGCATTAAAAGTAATGGCAAAACCAAAATTACTTTTGCACCAAGTAATTGGTGCAAAATGAAGCCCACTTTAGCCTTCTTTATCTTTGTGAAACTTTTCTTTATGGAATATGCTACAGACACCACGAGTGTCAACTGCTAGAGCAAGTTTCCGTGAAAATCCACGATGGAGAAAGCTGCAGAGTTGGTTAAGGCCCCACTATTCATTCATTTTTTTTTCATTTAATAGCTCATTTATTTATATATGTATAAGTACTCTCTTGTTATACTACATTTTTCAGTTTTACTTCTTATGGTTTTTATGTATGTCCACTTTTCCTGATTGGAATATAAGTTTCTTAAGGGCAGGAGCCTTCCTTTCATCCACTTATTCCCCCACAAGACCTAGGAAAATGACCTACCTGACAGGCTCTCAGTGAAGATCGCTTGAGCCAGTTGAGGTATCATTAGCTAAACTGACTGAACATCCTGGAAAGAGACATGAGAGCAGTTTTTGGATGTTGTTAATATACTGAAATCAGCAGGTATGCATGTGGCCTTTATAACTCTGCAGAGGGAAATGTTTATGCACTGGGTCACTCACTTATTCAACCAGCAAGCATTGCACACCATCACAAGCAAGACACCAAAGGGGAAGCAAAGGTGCTTTTTCTCCTGGGCATGGCCGGCGAGCACCAGGGGCCAGCTGGCAGTCACCATGGCCCATCTGTCTGGGGTGCTGGGTTGGTCTGGTGATTCTCTCTCTGCAAACCAGACATAAGCCGCTGAGTTAGTTTGTTTGGGCTGCTATAACAAAATACTATAGACTTGGTGGCTAGTAAACAACAGGAACGTATTTCTCACCATTCTGGAGGCTGGGATGTCTGAGCTCACTGCACCAGCAGACTTAGTGTCTGCTGAGGGCCTCTTCCTCAGGGACAGCTGTCTTCTCACTCTAAGCTCACAGAGTGGAAGGAGTGAGAGGTCTCTGTTGTGTCACTTTTATAAAGGCACTAATCCCATTCATGATGACTCCACTCCCATGACCTGATCCCCTTTCAGAGGCCTCACCTCCTGATACTGTCAACTTGGGGATGAGGATGGCAACATGTGAATTTGGGGGAACACAAACACACCTGCTACATCCTCTGCTCAGCTAGATGGCTTGCAGAAAGGCACATATCTCCCCCAAATCACCCATGGTTGGATGATCTGATGTGTTTTCCAAAGCCAGAATGGCTTGGCTCAGCTACACTCCCAAGTGTGAGCATCAGAGATGCTTCAACTATTTAGAGTAACCACTTCAGAGGAGAGAGCTGGCGTAAAAGTTGAGACAGACGAGAGGTTTCTTGTCCAACATTGCTGGCGAAACAAAGAGAAGCACACACCCCTCCCTGTTCCCCAGGGCTCTGAGACACTCCACATCCATTTCGTCGTCTCTCCATGCCAGCCGCCGGAGCACGCTCACTGCCATCAGGGCGGTAGGAAGATCCAGATCCCCTGTGGGGCAGGAGGAGGTCTGGGGATAGGGGCTCCATGGGAGGCCATCCTGGGCCCTACTGCCCACTGCCCAGGGGAAATCCCTCCCCAATAGCTGGGTAGTGCCCTCCAGGTCTACCAGATGCCCATCTGTAGTGCGCACTTCCACCCCAAAATCAGGGCCTGATCCTGCAGAGCCTCTGCTCCCACCAGGACCCTTCCCTGACCACAGACCCTGAGCACACGGGTGAGTTCCTTTGTGCTCCATTTTCTCAACTCTGCCGCAGAGAAGGAGGTTTTGCCCAATGCCAGGGGGCTACTGGGGAAATAACGCAAGGCTCTCCAATTCCTTCCAAGTGTAGAAGTGTTTTGTAGTCTCTAATCATTTTAATGGTCGTTAATAGTTTTTAAAAGTCACTTAGGAAGTAGTGGTTTACCAGAATCTCTGAACATGGGATAATTATGGATTAATTAAGCTATCCTGGCCTAAACACTGGGGCATCGAGGTCAGACACAACTGAATTGCCACCTTACTCTGTCAGCTTGCTTTTCAAGGTGTAAGAATTGTGTTGCAATAGACTACAGGACTTAACTTCGCAGTGATGAAACAGCAATGCATTTCTTTCATCAGCTTAACAATTTTTCTTTCATGCTGGCTAGTTGTTAAAATCAAAGTCTGTGCTGGCCCAGGAATGTTTAATTCTTCTCATATGTGTATTGTTATTTTTATACTTTTGATTATTTTCTTAATCTACTTTCCAGGCTTACTTATTTTATCAGCTGAAAAGCTGGAAAATGTCCTTATGACTAAATACTTTGCTGTTTATTATTTTACTTATTTTTTTAGCCAAACCCTACGATAACATTCTAATTTGATAATGTTCCATTAAACACATTAATAGGAGATGGAAAAGTATAACAATTAAGGAATGTTTTAGCAATTTTTAGGAAAATGCACCCTCTAAGATAGAAACATTATATTTAGCTTTTTGGAGCTTCAGTTAACCTGTAACAAATGATTTGCATTAACAAGCTGTAGGTATATTTATGTGCACATTTTGAGAAGTATGAACTAGAGGCAATATCATATGAATAATGTCCTGGAGTGGTAGTACGAAAATAAAACTCACGTGCCTAATTCTAACACTCTCGTTACAATTAGCAAATCACTTAGCTTGCCTTCATTTCTCCATAAGGTGCATAGTGGAAATTATGTTAATACATTATAATAATGTTACTACGAAGAACTAAGAACAGCAGAAGGTATCCCACAAATCCTGCAAAAAGAAGTGCTCAGTTAGAGCTTAGGTTTTAAATACATATTATCTACAAACAAAACCAATTTATATGCCATTTCTAATTTTTAAGATATAGCTAATAATCAAACTTGATCTCATTCTATGATGTAATAAATTTCTCCCCAAGAATGAAAATACAAGTGTTAGAACTTAGGCTATTATTATTTTATTTATTTATTTATTTATTTTTTATTTTTTGGAGAGGGAGTCTCGCTCTGCTGGCCAGGCTAGAGTGCAGTGGCGCGACTCGACTCACTTGCAACCTCCGCCTGCCGGGTTCAAGCAGTTCTGCTGCCTCAGCCTCCTGAGTTGCTGTGACTATAGGTGAGTGCCACCAAACACGGTTAATTTTTGTATTTTTAGTAGAGACGGGGTTTTACTATGTTGGCCAGGCTGGTCTCGAACTCCTGACCTTGGGTGATCCGCCCTCCTCGGCCTCCGTAAGTGCTGGGATTACAAGCATGAGCCACCATGCCCAACCAGCTGTTGTATTTTTTTATGGCAAAAACTGCAACAAAGAAGAGAAATTCAAAATAATTATTTGCAAGTGATATTTATCTGTTTAAAGAAAGCTTAGTATGAAAACGACCATGCTAAGCCCTCTTTAATGTTTTGACTCCACTGAAGTCAGAATTCCTTTTGTAAATTCGTACTTCCTTCACATTTTTTTTTAGCAGCTAAAACTTCCATGGTACTCAAGTTTTACATTTAATTTTTAGAAAGTAGCTATGGAAGCAATCAACATCTGCGCTGACATCTGAAAATAAGTATTGAGAAAAAATTGGGAAAACAATAAGATTAAGTAACTCATTTACAGAACGAGTCTAAATTAACCACAGGTACAAATGTCTTAAGGTAGCAAAAATTTGAAACTAGATGTTTGGATGCTTTAGAAAGCTGAACTTTTCTGTGTTTCAGGCATAATTTTTCTAAACAAGTTTTTTCAAAATAATTAGAAAAGGAAACAAATCCTTATTAACTATACATATATATATATTTATATTTAGTCACAATCTATTTCTCAGGTGGTATTGTGAAACTGTTAACTTCCACTACAAAAATGTATTGTGAGCAGAGCTTAAAGAAATATTATTGTTTAATATAATACCAACTGTTACAATAATTTCACTTTGCTTTGGGGGTTGGCCTTGCTTCTCTTACTACTTTGCTCAGCGTATTAAAAGATACTGAAAAGGGCAAAGCTATGGAAGCAGTAAAAAGATCAGTGGTTGCCAAGGGTTAGTGGAGAGGGTGGGCTGAATCAGCAGAGCACAGAGGATTTTTAGGGCAGTGAAACTACGCTGTGTGACACTGCAGGTACAATGGTGGATACGTGTTACTATACATTGTCCAAGCCCATACGAAATACACCAAGAGTGAACCCTAATGTAAGCTATAGATTCTGAGTGATGATGGTGTGCCAGTGCAGGTTTATCCACTGTAATAAACGGACCACTCCGTGGGGGATGTTTTTAGTGGGGGCTTTGCATGCGTGGGGGAAGAGGAAATACGGAAAATCTCTGTGCCTCCTGCTCAGTTTTACTGTGAACTGACAACTACTCTCTAAAAAGTGTAATTTTAAAAACTTTTTAGAATATTATGTGCATTATATAAGTTAAAATCTTCACATATAAACCTTTTAATCTATATTTCTATTTTATGAAGGACATGAATGCACCTAACAGTCTGAGAACAGCTGGAAATTTGCTTTTCCTCATGTCTTTCACTGCTGAACATTTCCAAACAGTTCTCTTTTTTGAAGCCAGACATCTTGAAATACTGAATTTTCCAAGTCCCGTTGTTCCTGCTGACCACACTCTCCTTCTCCATGGGCTAGTTTTGCCACATTCTGCTATGGAAGGGGTTCGCCCTATCCACACCTGATGTGCAGGTTTCTCCTTAACTAACCTATTTTTTCCTTCCTTCTCACAATTTCTACTCACCACCATCTTACATTCACAGGAGAAGGTCAAGCAAAGAGAAACAGGATGCACAAAATGCCTGGGGTGGGCTTAGCATCCACTGAGAGTATATTTGTTGAATGAATGAAAAAACAAAGTAATATTTAATTTATTTACATCCAGGCTTCAACTTCACAGTTATTCCTGTATGCAGCTTGTAGTTAAGATTATGAGTGAAGGAAAAGCCGCCTTCCTGTCTCCAGCCCTCCCAGGTGATTTTTGGCATGTAGCACTCACGCCAGTCTCTACCTCTGCTGCCCCATGGGCTTCCCCCATCTCTGTCTTCACCTGGCATTTTCGTCTCCTCCTCTGACTTGGCAGACCAGTCGCATTGGATTAGGATCACCCTAATAACCTCACCCTGACTTGGTCATATCTGCAAAGACCCTATTTCCAAATGAGGTCACATTCCCAGGTCGTGGGAGTTAGGGCTTGAACATATCTATTTGAAGGACATGACTCAACCCATAACATAGACCTTCCCAGACTGGAAGTGCCCCGTGCCTCCAAACTACACCTGAACAAGGGTGACAGCAAAAATGGCAGTGGCAGCAGTAGCAATAAAATACACTTAAACAAAAAAATGCCCAACGATGATTTGGAACAGCTTAATGTTTCTTTATTCTAGAAGTGCTCATTCTGAACGAGTTGACAATCAACATTGAGAAAGGAAAAGAAATCTCTACATGTTGACTTTATGAAAGTCAACGAATTACTTTTGTGTAAGTTTTCAATGCCTAACTTCAGCTGGTCATTGCAGAGGAGATAATGTAATATGTATTTATATAAAAATTTTAGAAAATCTGTGGTTTTGCCCAATCATGTGAAACCTTTTGGTGAACTGACAAGGTTTTGCAGAAGCAAGACGGGAGGTGTTTAGGGTGCATACCTGTCATTCTGTCCGGCGTGCGCATGAGCCAGCCTCTAACCTACTTGTGATGGGGGTCAGCTTGGTAAGTTCTTGCTGGTTACTGGAATGCATGCAGAGAAATGCTCTAATTCCTTCCCACTGGACTCACAAGTCCAAGGTTAAGGAGCAAGGTTAGGCAAGTAGGTAAGATGGCTTTAAGTATGTCATCCTGCAGACTCGGAGTAAATGTCATTACCTAGGCTCTCATTCAAAACATAGACATTCATAGTTTATAGCTTTTGATGGCATCGTCATTTATTTGTGGGGCTTGGGGGTGGTTTTTGAGACAAGGTCTTGCCCTGTCACCTGGGCTACAGTGCAGTGGCATGTCACAATCATGGCTTACTGGAGTCTCGAACTCCTGGGCTCAAGCGATTCTCCTGCCTCAGCCACTTGAGTAGCAAGGATTACAGGCACATGCCATCATACCCATCTCATTTTTAATTTTTTGTAGAGATGGGGTCATCCTATAGTTGCCCAGGCTGGTCTGGAACTCTTGGGCTCAAACTGTTCTCCTGCTCAGCTTCCCAAAATGTTGGGATTACAGGCATAAGCCTCTGTTCCCAGCTGGCATAGTTATAAGTTGAGAACATAGATAGAAAAAAATAGCATATGAAAAGTAAGATCTCACCTGCCCTCTCTGCTCCACCCAACAGTCATGGCACGCCTCATAGATGCTGTTCTCATTAACTCCTTGTTCTGGCCCTCCAGCAGTATACTGAAGGTGAAATCTGTCCAACATCCGTTGGCTTTTTAGCTATACAAAAATTTAGGGAGAAAATATTTTCTGTTCTTTTAAAAAAGTATAAACAAAATTTGGCAGGTTTTTTTTTTAAGGTGTGAGCCTTAAAGACTGAGACCATGATAATTCTAATTTCTAATGAGGCAGTTCAGTCCTGCACCTCCGAGGCCCTCAAGCCCACTCTGAGCCTGGGAGAGGCCATTGCCTGGCTGGTGTTCCATGTGATTAAGGTGGCATGAGTGAGGAATGCTGGCCTAGGTTCGATTGTAAAGTTCTAGGATTCTGTGCTGCTGTATGGAGCTTAGCTGATAAATGGAGCCCAAAAGTTGTGTGATAATCAAAGACAGATATAGGATACACATATGTAAGGTGAAGTGTGGGGGGTGGGGGGTTTTGCGGGATAGAAAATACCAGATCACTACTTCAAAGTTGAAATATCTTATTGTCCCCATGAGCTAACCATAAATACCAGTAGATTTTAAAGTTTTTTTAATTTTGTTTTTATTCATTTTCTCTGCTTAAGGAGAGCACAGGCCAATTACTTTGTGAGAGAACAGTAGTTCTCCATCCATTTAATTCATTCATTTATTGATGCACATTTATGGATTGACTAATTAGAACAGGCTGCCAAAGATCAAGGCAGAGAGGAAGAGACAGGAGCAGTGCCGCAGTGTCCACGTCCTGCAGGCTTCCACACCTGTAATCCCGGCACTTTGGTAGGCCAAGGCAGGTGGACACTTGAGTCCAGGAGTTCAAGACTAGCCTGGGCAACCTGGTGAGAGCCCGTTTCTACAAAAAATACAATACTTAGTCAGGTGTGGTGGCATGCGCCTGTAGTCCCAGCTACTCGGGAGGCTAAGGTAGGAGGAGGATTACTTGAGCCCTGGAGGTCAAAGCTGCAGTGAGCCAAGATCCAGCCACTGCACTGCAGCCTAGGCAACAGAGTAAGACTCAGTCTCAAAAACAAAAACAAAACAAAACAAAAAAACACCTAATTTTTTTTTAAAAAAAAGGAAGGAGAAATGTCACTAACCATTGGATTTAGCAACACCAAGGATAGAAAATGTTTGAGAAGTTTTAGTGTGAAGGGACACAAAAACAGTTGAGTCTTATTGCCAGAGGACAAAGAAAGAGCTGGGCACCCACACCCAACCCAGGAGTTTGGTGGGACACTCTGAAGAAGGTTAGGTCTAAAATCACTGGAAACCTGGAGGGATTTTCATGCTCTGTTAAGGACCACACACTTTAGCCTCTAAACAGTGGAGACCCTAGCAAAAAATGCTTGCTGTGGATAGATGTTGTCATTAAATTCTATGGCTACCAGAGGTGTATGGAATGGAACAGCAGTCAAGGAGGGTGGATCATAAGTAGTCAAGACAAGAGATGGTGATGCCTGGCCAGGCACGGTGGCTCACACCTGTAATCCCAGCATGGTGGGAGGCCGAGGTGAGTGGATCACTTAAGGCCAGGAGTTCGAGACCAGCCTGGCCAACATGGCAATACCCCATCTCTACTAAAAACACAAAAGTTAGCCAGGCACAGTGGCACGCACCTGTAGTCCCAGCAACTCGGGAGGCTGAGGCAGGAGAATCGCTTGAACTCAGGAGGTGGAGGTTGCAGTGAGCTGAGATCGAGCCACTACACTACAGCCTGGGCGACAGAGTGAGACTCCATCTCCAGAAAAAAAAACAAGGAAAAGCAAAAGGTGATGACAGTCTGAAGGACACAGAGCTGGAATCATATTTTAGGAAGTAAGATCGTCCTATATTTGCTCTAAGGTAGGAATAAGAAAGAAAAATTCACCAGTTTGTGAGACTGACCAGAAGGAGAGAATACAAAACATAGAGCTAGTTTTGTTCATTTCGCTTTGCTCTTTGTTGGCTGAGTTGGAAAACTGATAAAGTGAATTTTTGGCCTTCTTGAATTTGAGGTGTCTGTGCAACGGTTAGATGAAGATGCTTTGCGAGGTGAGATATGGACATCTGAAGTTGCAGAGAGACAGCTTGGCTGAAGTCATCGGCTTGCACGCTGTGCTTGGCGCCATGGGGTCAATGGCATCACTGAGAAGAGCAGTGCAGCAAGGACACAGCCCCGGAGACTTCCAGAGTCTCAGAGATTCACAGGGAGTTTTGGATGTCCGAGATGCACACTGTGTTGATTGAAAGTTTGGTTAACGCAGACAGCCCTGCTGGTTGATAGCAAAGGTAAAGATGGGGAAAATTATTTTGAATGCGCCAACAGCTCACATTTCGAACTCTTTTCTTCCCTCCATACGTAAGCCAACATGTGAAGGAAGCATCTTTATTATAGTCTTCTTCCCTCTTGTTTTCTTACTGTGAGTCTGAAGTTACTACCTGCAGGAGTTCCAACAGTAATGTCAAAGCCAAAAGGTTCAGAAGCCAGCTCTAATGGGTTGATGGGCTGCTAAGAACCATCTATGAGGCTTAGGAAAGTGGATCGTCAGGTGACACTCAGTGTGTGCTGCAGAACTAAGAGCAGGCAATGGATTGAAAGCAAAAACAGAGAGATTTATCAGAGACAGAGTGTTGCTGACTAACCTCAATATAGGGGGAAAATGTGGATTTTTATTAAAGTGGTGAGTAGCACATAAGCCTTCATTCTTATCCTGCTGCATCCCTTAGGCTACCTATAAAACCATATTGAGAAACTGTATTTTTCTAAATCATGAGGCGATTTCTTGGTATGAGTCCCAGAATCTTCCTGACCATGTGCTTGGTGAGGGGCGGGCATAAAGGGATTGAAATAATTTCCTCCCTTGGGCCATGGATAAATATATCTGACAACTCTGGATGTATTTCCCTTCAGTCCCTAAGAGTAGCTTTGAATTTTGGGGTAAACTCTGTGCAATGTGAGGATGAAATCCGGGTGACTCTGGGTGACGAAACGAGGGAATGCTGCTTCCCAGCCCTGAACAGGGATTGAAACTAAAGTTTCAGGCAGTGGGGAAAAAGGGAGGGGTTGCGTTCTGGACAATGAATATGAGTGAGTTCACTGATGACACCTAGGTGAAAGGCTGAAATCTGTGGCAAAAAAATGAGGCCGTCTACTTTAAAAACGTCAGGTGGAGGAGGCAGCACACAAAAAAATACGATTACAAAAACATGCGGAACATCTGCAAATCTAATTCTTTGCTTTGCGTGTTTAAGAAAAACTGCAGAAAAGTAGAGAAAATAACAAAACAAACACCTGTGCAGCTACTACCCAGAATCTACAAATGCCAACATTCTGCTGTATTTAATTCTTTTTAAAGAAAAGTGAGAAAACATTTTTAAGAAAGTGAACTATCCTTCCCTTTTCCTGTCTCCAGCCTGGTGCTCATAAACCACCCTCATGAGAATTTGATGTATGTATTTCCCAACCATGTTACACACACACACACACACACACACACACACACACACAAGTTACTGTGGCTTTTAAAAAAGGACTTATGTATAATATTGTACTGCACTATATAATTCTGCATCCTGCTGTTTTGGGTTCACGGTACCTTTTTGATGTCTATTTCACGGTAATACGTGTGTCTCCTATTCATTTCAATTATCGTGTACCCATGTCAGCTTTACTGTATGAAGGTACAATATATAGTCATCTCATTTAAATTGTTATACATTCACTTAAATTCCATGATATCAATATATTACAGTTTTTTATTCATTCGCGGCCCTGGGATGAATACCCTTGCTCATGTTTCCTGCTGCTCGCCCACATGAATGTGTCTAGGATACATGCCTCGAAGTAGAAATGCATATCTGAAATTTTCACAATCACCAGTCTTCTCCCTAAAGATGTTGAACCAATCTATTTTCCCGACAAAATACATCAGTGTTGTTTGGAGGTCCCTCACAAAAAAAGAGTTGGCTATTCAGTTGGCCAAGTCTCATGGATGTCTGACAATTTAGACCAGCATTTTAATGAATGATAGGAAAGCCTTACAGAGCACAGAGGACTTTGTGGCTGACTGGATTACTGTCGGCCAATATTCTGGTGACCCTCTCTGCAGGGCGCTTCTTGTGGTAACCCTCATTGTGGGAGAATTGCACAATTCTGGCCCTGCGTGCTTTTGCCTGCAACATAGCATTAGAAAGTGATGTGTGTCATTTCTGAACAGAGGTTTTAGGAGCCAGCCTGTGGCTCACCATATCTATTTCCTCTACCCACCCTTTTTCCAGAAAAAGATCACTTCTTTGATGGAGATCCCAGAGTAAAGGCCATAGGGGGCAGGGATTCGGTCAATCCACAAGGAACATAAAGCAGGAATGAAACAGAAACTTTTGGCTGGGCACGGTGGCTCACGGCTGTAAACCCAGCACTTCGGGAGGCCAAGGTGGGTGGATCCCTTGAGGTCAGGAGTTCGAGACCAGCCAGGGCAACATAGTGAGACCTTTTTGTACTAAAAATACAAAAATTAGCTGGGCGTGGTGGTGCGCACCTGTATTTTTAGCTACTTAGGGGGCTGAGGTGGGAGGATCACTTGAGCCCAGGAGGCAGAGGTTGCAGTGAGGCGACATGGAGTCACTGCACTCCAGCCTGGGCGGCAGAGCAAGACTCTGTCTCAAAAATCAAAAAAAAAGAGAAAAACTTCCGTAGTGGAATCCACATAAATGGTGTGGCCATTTGTTGTTGGGGCATTACCTAACCTATCCTGATGTAGACACCTTCAGACTGAAGAGAGCCAGGAATGGTAGCAGCTGCAGTGAAATTAAAGGAATGACTGCGTACATGCTGTGTGCTAAGGAATATGTTTTTAGGGCTGTGCTAATACTGCTCGAGGGTGAGATAGAAATGCTATGTTTTATTAATTTAGAGCTATGTTATCAGAAATGTAGAAGTTTCATAATTCCCTATAATTGCTATATGTAACAGAGGAGAGCAGGAAAAATCCAACCTTTTACACCGAGGGAAATAAAAATAAGTAGTCTGCATACTTGGAAACCTTTTTTTAAAAAAATTTTTTGTCTTAACACCCAGGATTTCAGAGACGTTGAACAGTTCTGTCTTCCCTGAATGTCACAACGTATTTTGTTGTGTTCAATTTTGGTAGGTGGGGGGCAATTTAAAAAAAAAAATTATAATTTAGTATTTTACTTACTATCATTTAAAAAGGGTCAAAACACCTGAGGAGCTTTTTAAATATATAGATCCTCAGTCCTGAATGAGCACCTTTAGGGACGAGGTCTAGAAGCTGTATGAATTTATGCATACTGTGATGTGTGGTCAGATTTAGGTTTTACTGAATGTTCATATCTATGGGTATGATATTTTCAATTGTAAGTTTTTTGGAAAAGAATTGTTTTCTAACTCTGTCATTCTTATTCTTAATTTTTAGTTTTAAAATATCTTTCATTTATGAAATAGTGAAAACGGTAAATAGTAATAGTAAGGATATTTTAAATCACTTCTTTTAATGCTGTACTTGGCAAAATAAAAAACTGGAAATCCTAAAAAATATAAATATAATAAAATAAAAAATGATCAAGATGTACAGCTTGGAAAGTAACGTAATTTTTACTAAGGCAATCAAAATGTGAAAAAATTACAAAGTCTGTTTTTTCAGAATTATGAGTTCTGGTGTTACAGAGTAGAAAAAGATAAGCTACAAAGGGTATGAGAATGAATGCTCAATGTTTTCTGGAAATCCAATCAGGTATCATTAAGCAATAGATACTGTTAAGCCCTCATAATATGCTAGTTATAGTGTTGTGTAAAGGGGAGAGACTCAAAGAAATATAAACCACAATTTCTGTCTTCCCAGACCTCAAAACACATGAGCCAATTGTATATAAACATACAGAAAAACATCCAGTGGTACCGATAAAAACCACAGGACTGGGGCAGATGAAGAGAGTTCAAAAGAGGGAGGAGGTCCCAGGCTGCCAGACACTTCCATTGCCCTTGTCCAAGGTCAAACAACCAGCAAATGGCAGAGCTCAGACTGGACCTTGTGTTCTGTGGACTCTAAAGCACAGCTCTGTAATTTAGAGATTGCGAGCTGGTGGTCCAGGAGTTGGATCCAGTCCACAGACAGGTCTTTACTGTCATTGTTTAGGTCTGCACAGTTTCATAAACTTGAGGCAACATTTAATAACTTGGAACATTCATGTGAAAACCCACGTCTGGCAACTCTAAGCAACCCCTTCCCGCAGGCCAGAGTTCACTGGTGGTTCGCATAGATGGCGTATGGACTCTCCATCCACCCATTCTTACTACTCCCATGATGAATGCATGGGCAGCCACTACAGCCCTCCTCTGATCCTCCCAGTCTGCCCCAGTGGCCCCATTCTCTGATCAGTCATCATCGGGGTGTTATGCAGATGTGATCTGGCCTGATCTGGCTCCTCTAAGAAGCTCCCCAACCTCTCCACCTTTTCTTACCCCCAACCAGGAGGCAAACTATGGTTTACATAAAAGAGATACCCCTGTGTGCCTAGCATTGAAAGATTTAGTTCCCAAACTGTCAAATGTCACCTACACTGCACCTGGTTCCTGGTTCCATTTCCTCAGCCTCCTCTGCTACTGCTGTCTCAGTCTAATCTCTGTTTATCCCTTTCCTTGTCATTCCAATTTGATGCATGATCTACCTTCTCTTAGTCTGTGACCTCAGCTCTCCTCCTGCCTCTGGCTTTCATCTCTCTCTTCTCTTTGACAAAACAAACAACCTTCCTGTCCACACCCAGCCTGGTCCACTGGCGCCCTGGACCCATCCTCCCATCGGCCACCCCACAGCCAGAAGCCTCACAGGCAGGAGCTAGCATAGCCCAGTTTGTTGCCAAGTTTATTGCTATTTAAGTATTTTATTTATTTATTGGTTTAGTTTGTCTCTTTTTAATTATTTCCTGAAACAAATATTTAGAAGAAATGCCCAGATATAATAAAATGGTTAAAATAGGAAAACAGGAAAAGCAAGGTAAGAATCACTAATAATTGTACTAAAAACTAAGGTTAGACCATAGCTGTTGTTACAATGGCATTTTCACCAGCTCTGAGCTTCATAAGCAACCACAGCGAAAACCGCAACGGAAAGGGTAGAGTCACTCTGAGTTAATAGAGTTTATATGACCTAATTCTCAAATGAAAGAAGCATATCTGTGCATTTGAAGAAAAGGGAATTCTGCTATTAAACTCTACGAAAAAATAAAAGACTTACCGAGGAAATAATTTTTTACAACAATGAACTATTTCTCTGAGTATCAAAGATAAACAAAGCCGACTCTTCCCTCAAAGGAGAATCTTAAACCAGCAAGAACGGAACATTTTATGAAAGGAAAAGATGCATTCCGCCTTTCAGTTTAAAAGTACTCTCCAGTACTGTCAACATCGGCTTGGTTGGAATGTTCCCTTCATGGGAATGAACAGGAATCTTGACCCTTTCTGTTGTCTTTGACATGATCTAATTTCACTGAATGCTACTATAACTTGCTAGCTTTAATTACCACTTAGCACCTGAAAATTGATACTTTGAAGGCCACTAAGAAGAGCTTTCTAAGCGTCCTCTAAAGCGACACTATCTTTCTTGACAGGTCCATTGTGTGAAATAGACTCATCATTTCATTACTCCTGGACATCAAATTGCTGGGAGCCGAAGCTCATTCCCCTCTCAGCGTGCCCCGGCCTGACAGCTCCTTTACAATGTTTTTGAAATTCCATTATCTCCAGTAACCTCTCTGACCTGCCCTTTGCATGGATGGCATCTTCCCTCGGGGGTGGGGGGTGGTGGCTACCTTCAACCTTTCCCTTTTACAGGCTGCTGAAAGCTATTCTTTTAGAAGTCAAAGGAGAGTTGGAAGCCAACAAGTCATGTATGGAGAACTTCTTTTAACTTTCCCCTAAATTATCTAAGTAGACAAACCCAGCTGCCTCAGTAAATGATTCATTGAAAAGGCAGAGATTACAACCGAAGTGTTTTCCTTGACCCGGGAAGTGATCGGAATTGGATCGTAAGTGAAAATGCCAGATTTGCAGTGGCCTCAGGCACATGCCAACCTCCTGGCATTGCAGCAAATGCCAGGCCTCTCTTGCCAAAGTGAAGCTGGGGGTTTGCATGTCCCCGGTTCACCAATGTGGGCCACAGCCTTGGCTGATAAGATTGTCAGAAGCACCAGCCATTCCAAGGAGACGACTGAGAGCCTTGGGTGATGAGGGCGCCTTTCAATTAGCACTTTGCTCTGCCGAGCCAGCCGGCCAGTCTGCCAGCTGGCACAGAGCGGACCATCGGCAACCCCAGCCTGGGCAGCACAGCCAACTCTGTGAAAAAGAGACTGCAGTTAACACTGGCAAGTAACAAAAACAAATCAGAGAGGGGAACTGGGAGACAGGTGGTGTGGGGGGCCCTGGTGGGGCCAGCCATCCCTGAAACTCCTGCCTCCAAGGACAGGGGAATGTGGCAGGAGCATATGAGAAGTTCAGGAGTTCAGACCTGACCCTTCTATACGAGTTGGAAACTCACCATCCTGTGTCTCCATCTTAGATATGGTTGCCTCAATCTTTCCTGTAAATCTATGTCTGAAATAATCATGTTGACTTTTTTGTAGTTTGGGATACAAGACAAAATATATTTTAGACTAAAAAGTGTAGGTGAGTTGTTTTTTAAAAAAGAAAAAAACTCTAACAACTATTGACATGATTCTTAGCAATCTTCCTTTCATGTGTTGCCTGGGAGACACCACCGTGCACTTCGAAAGCTCCCTCTTTCTTTAGAAAACTGCCGCCTGTATGAATGGCACTTTTGCTGCTTTTTATTAACGTACAATGGAGGAGGCAGGTCATCGTCACAATTCCATAGAGAGAAACACCAGCTTCTTGCAGGTGTGTGGGCAAGATTCACAGGTGTTTCTGGAAATCTAATCTGGGCACAGGGATTTGTCCTCATCGGCACATGAAAGGTGTCGACGCCTTCCTTGAAATCTGCCTGCAAGGAACAGTTCAGCCCTTGCTTGGCACCAGCCATGGTGAGGGCAGGGCCACAACATGAGATTCCTTTGCTGTCGAGAAATCACCTTGATAGCAACTGCTACTGTTCATAACAGCATGGAAGCCGGCCCTGGCGTTGCGCACACAGAGCTGGTGAAAGCCTCCATTACCTCTCCCAGTGACTCCTGCAGACACACGGCACCCGGGGAGAGGGGAGGTGACGGGCTAATAATTGGGAGTGATAAGGAGCTGCTAGGGGGCAGGGCGAGGGCTTGTCCTGTGTCGACTCTGACAGCGATCAAAGCCAGGCCTTGGTTCCTCAGCTCTCCATTTTGCTAACAGTCTGAAGAATACAAAGCGAAAAGCAAAAGATGCCAAGAGCAGTGTTGCTTTTGAAGGTGAAGGCGCACTCTCCAGCCTGTTTCTCTTGGTAAGTGAAGACAGGAGCAGCAGAGTCTATGAACAAACAGGGATTTCTCTTCTGTTTTGGAAACCCTGAGCACGCCAAAAATAAATTTCGGTTTGTTGGTTGGTTTGACATCTAGTTTTGTTTTGATCACTTGAAGGGAAGAGCGGGGAGATCATAGCTGGGCCTTGGGAGAAACAGGGAAATTCCAAGGAGAAGGTTCCAGGGGGAAGAGGAAGTTCAATTTTGAAAAGTGTCTTTTATACCAGGCCTCCAGAATTACTAGGTGCTTTATTCGGGTCTAAATAAAATCTTATTGACTACAATAGCAGCAATAAAAAGAAACAGAAAATCCCCATGCTGTGTTACCCCCGTTAACACTACTTGTTTTTAGATGATTTAATCTCATAAGCATGAGAAAGCAAAAGCGCTGAAATGCAGGGGGCACCTATTTGGTTTATTCCTTACTCCGCTTTTTTGTTTTGTTTTGTTTTGTTTTTTGTTTGTTGTTTGTTTTGTTTTTTTGAGTCAAGATCTCACTCTCGCCCAGGCTGGAGTGCAGTAGCGCAATCTCGGCTCACTGCAACTTCCGCTTCCCAGGTTCGAGCAATTCTCTTACCTCGGCCTCCCAAATAGCTGGGACGACAGGCGCGTGCCACAATGCCTGGCTAAGTTTTGTGTTTTTAGTAGAGATAGGGTTTCACCATGTTGGCCAGGCTGGTCTCAAACTCCTGACCTCAGGTGATCCTCCCACCTTGGCCACCCAGAGAGTGGGGATGGTTTATTCCCTACACTTCATGCCCAACTTTTTCTTATTTGAAGAAACTCTGAAGCACTTTTTGCTTTGAATATATTAAAGCGAAAAAGAAAAGAAATAATTAGTGCATTATCCTTACCAGCATCCTGTTTCCTAATTCTAGAGAAAATATTTTTACTGAAAAATAAAACTTCTCTTCCAGTGATGCCAGTGCTGGCTGCAGTGTCTCCTCCATTTCGCCTTGTGCTCTGACCCCAAATGATTCACCTCTCCTGGGATTCACAGCCAAGCCAGCCCCGACAGGGTCTCCGATATTTAGTGAGGATCCTTTCCTGCTCTCTGTTCCTTCTTGACCTGTATCTCCTGTTTCCTAAGGCCTGTGCTCACCCTAACTGATGCCCCTGCTAGGGACAGTAAGGGAGAGTGTGGTTAGGTCCATTTGTGGAAACGCCCACACGAGTGTTTTAAGCAGATTAGGATCCCATTGGATTCCTCTTGCTCATTGAAGCCTGTGTATGTTGCATCTAAATAACACAAAATACAACAGCTGAGACATATTGAGTACTCAGCATGTGCCAAGCACCTCGGAGCATGGTCTCATGTGTGCCTCACGACAGCTCTGTGAGCGGTGCTCTTACCACTGAAGAGAAAACTGAGGCTCATGGAAGTAAAGGAACTTAGCTCTGGTCACAGAGGGGGCAGAGGGAAGAGCTAGGATGACAGCAGTCGGCCTGACTCCAAAGCCCCTTCTCTGAGCCAAAACAGTGCATCCAAGCCATTTTTAATATCACAGCTCTTTTTTTTTTTTTTTTTTTAGGTGGAGTCTTGCTCTGTCACCCAGGCTGGAGTGCAATGGTGCAGTGGCATGATCTCGGCTCACTGCAAACTCCGTCTCCCAGGTTCAAGCAATTCTCCTGCCTCAGCCTCCTGAGTAGCCAGGATTACAGGCGCCCACCACCACGCCCAGCTAATTTCTGTATTTTTAGTAGAGATGGAGTTTCACCAGGTTGACCAGGCTGGTCTTGAACTCCTGACCTCAAGTGATCCACCTTGGCCTCCCAAAGTGCTGGGATTACAGGCATGAGCCACCAGTCCCAGCCAGTATCACAGCTCTTAATTTGAAAAATGGAATGTTTGACTCCCGTAAGTCCATCAGCAACATCAATGAATGCTGCTTTCTAGTGGAACTCCCCCTGTAATCATCACACTATTCCACAAGACACAGGGAACTACGTTGTTCTTTCTATAAAGGTATAACATGAAATGCCCCTTGGTCACCAACAGAAAATGCGAGTGTCCCCACAACACCTTGCAGTTTTGGCAAATGCCTTAAAATGTCATTGCCGTTAGTACAATGTACTTCTGAATTATACTAGATCTTGTTACTTAAAGAGTTAATCAAGAGGCACACGTAGTACTAGATCACAATTACTTCAATATTTTGATAACTGTATTTCAAGATATTTGGTTTCCTTTGATAGCTGTTTCAATATAACTGGTTTCCTTGGTGCCCGATGTATTTATGTTATGGGTTTAAAAATATTATTCTTAGAAGGGGCCCACGGGCTTCATCAGACTGCTAAAGAGCTTCTTGGCACAAAGGTTGATTAAGAACTTCTTCTACACTGCCTCTGTTGCATGCAAAAATCATGCCTCCTCAACCATGAAGTGATTTTCTTTAAAATGGACATGTCACTTCTCCTTCACGGGGGAGAGTTGGTTTCACAGATGAGGCATACCCTTAATGCTGGGAGGGTGTGGCCGGCAGGATCTGCAGGGCCCAGCCGACTTTCTAATCGGTCTGGTTTCACCTAAGAGGGCAGCCCCACCCGGTCTCTGAGTCAGCTGTGCACAAAGCAGTCGGAACTGACAAGGTAAAGAACGCCTGACTCCTCTTTACAAACCCCAGGCTCCATTTAAACTGCAGATTCCGCGGGCATTTCTTCTTATCTAACTCCGCCCTGTGGGTTCCCAGGCGCTGACTCCCTCATCCTGCAGTTTCAATCCCTGCCTTGACTCATCCTCCTGGGCCTGCCTCTCCCCTCCAGAGTGCCTGTTCCTGCCTGCTCGGTGACTGAGCTGATCTCTCTAGGAATGACCTGTGTGCTGATCAAGCCGACACGTCTCTTTGCTTCCCGACGTCCTGATATGGCAGCAAAGGGTGGTAGAATGAAGTCATTCCTGCAAAAGAAGCTGTGAGAGGAAATACAGATGCAGTGGCTGAATATGAAAGTGCTTATGTTCCCAAAGGAAGAAAATGCTAAATCTCAATTAGAGGTTGGAAGAAATAATGACGCAGTCTTTTTACTTTTGTTCTTGCTTTTGTGTGTAGTTTTGCTTCTTTTTTTTTTTTTAATCTGTCTGGGTTTGCAAATCTCTGAATAATATCCACAAAGCCATCAGGGGTTCCAGGTTCCAAACCCTGCCATGTGTGATGGTAAAGGTGGCTCACATTTCCCAGGTCCTCCTAAGCTGTGGGTAGAACAGGCTCCTGTTTACACTCATGACTGGAATTTCCCTAGCCCGTCTACCTCCCTTTTAAGCACCTTTAAATTCCCCTTAATCAGTGTAAAAGTTCTCTAGGAAGGTCTTACGTGTGTTCAACAAATTCCTCTTGACTACAAGGAGGTGGTCACCATTTTCCTCCTCTGCTGCTCCAGCTAACTGGGTGTTATCCAGCTTCCGGTCCGTAAGGAGTGACCCAGTGTCCTCTGAAGTCCCCACCCTAGTGACATGCCTACCAAGGGCCATGGCACTGTGGCTGTGGCCTGAAGTCAGCCCCCAGCATGGAAAGCTGGGCTGAGCCGTGCTTTTTGAAGGGAGCTGGTGGGACACAGGCCCGGCTTGTGGCAGCACGCTGAAATGTTTTCTGAATTGAAGTCGTGTGCTCTCACCGCACAGCAGAGATGGCAGTGAGACTGCTCTTCAATGTGTACATTTCCTCCATTTCAGTACCTTGCTCAGGCCTCTGACGGCAGCATGTGAGGGCTGAGGGCCAGGCCAGAGCTGAGGGCGGAGTGGCCAGCAGTGTGTGTGCCCTCGTGCATCAGGTGTCCCTGCTGACCCTGGCATTTGGCATTGAGTCAGGCTGATAAGCCTTGTCTCTGTCTGGTTTTCCGACAATCCTTTCCCAGGAAACCTCTTGGGCAAGTTTGCATTCACAGCCTCAGGCACTGGGACACAGGTTTGGGGTGGGCTAACCCACCTGGTCCTCCAGCAGCCCTAGGCAGTCGTGAATCCTGCGGGGCTGCAGTTGAAGCGCAGGCCCAGACCCCGTCTCCCCATCAGGGCTGAGAGAAGCTGCGCCGTCCTGGAGTGAGTTTCCCACGCCCGCTGCTAGAAGTCCAGTTCAACAGAACAGAGCCGGCCAGAGCCTTTGGGAAGGTCTTCACGGCAGAAATGGAAATTGTAGTTTCTATAAATGTTTGCCAATATTCTTTTTATTGGCATATTGTACCCATAATAAATTATTTGGAACTGTTGTCAGTTGTAACTCAGTAATTATTATTAAGACAAACCCTATGGGGGCTGCTAATTTGCTCTTATGCATTGGCATTGCAATTTTTTTTCTTTTTTTTTTTTTTTTTTTGTTTTGAGACGGAGTCTCGGTCTTTTCTTCCAGGCTGGAGTGCAGTGGCATGATCTCGGCTCACTGCAACCTCCACCTCCCGGGGGCAAGCAATTCTCCTGCCTCAGCCTCCGGAGTAGCTGGGATTACAGGCACCTGCCACTGCACCTGGCTAATTTTTGTATTTTTAGTAGAGATGGGGTTTTACCATGTTGGCCAGACTGATCTCCAACTCGTGACCTCGGGAGATCTGCCTGCCTCGGCCTCCCAAAGTGCTGGGATTACGGTGGCTCACGCCTGGCCTGGAATTGCAATTTTGATGCGCTACCCTGAAAGGAGAAGTGAGAGGAAGCAAATGCTATCATCCTTGGTTATGACTTTTTTAAAATTAAATAATTGTTAAAAAAAAAAAAACTATCTTTACCATTCACTGAATCTGCTGTATGTAAATGCATCAACAATAACAAATGCAACAAAAGCAAACAATCTTATTTCAGACAGTGCTGTTTTAAGCACTTTACTTATATGCAACCATATAACCATCATGACAGCACGAGGAGATTGATACTGCTAGTTTCTCCATTCTGCAGATGAGGAAACTGAGGCACAGACTTAGAAACTTGAACTCATTCTGAGGCAAGATTTTAAGAACTATAACCCTGCGGATGCAAGAATGTCTTCTCGCTTGTGAACTGCGTCAATGGCTTTAACACCCATAGTACACTGAACTCCTTTTGAGGATCTTAAAATTCCACTGCCAGTGTTATTCATTCACACTATGGATTTTGACCTATTGGAAATTGAGGAAAGTAGTGAAATAAATGTAATGAGGCAGGTTGTTTTTAAAACTGGAAGGGAACAAAAATATATACAAAACATCAGATTACATCATGTATGATAATAGTAAATTTTTCATGAAGTTTTGCTTTAGTTGTGTGGTGTGTGTGTGTGGTGTGGTGTGTGTGTGGTGTGTGTGTGTGTGTGTGTGTGCACGTGGGTGCATGCTAGGTAACCGTGTAACCTAGCTGGGTTGCAGTCTAAAGGATTTGACAAACACTGTCCCCAGCCAGGCAGGGTTGTGAGAGTTTGGGCACTTGCTGAGTTAACTGACCCTCCCGGCGAACGTGTAACTGGTTCCTTATCCTTATCTGAGCTGAGGTATCATACCACTTGGCCTCTGCAGCACAATGCCAGCTGTGAGCTTCTTTCACAGTGAGAGGGAAAAAAAAGCATATTATCTTCATGGCATGAGTTAAGCACAGACCCCAGAAATGGAGCCCCCTCCCTCCTCGGCATGACTCACCTGTGATGCTAATCACAGAGGAGCTACAGCAAGCCTTCCTTGTCCTCCCTCCCTCCCTCCGATCGCCCCTCCTGAGGGGACCTGCACTGGTGTTTCTTCTAGGGTAGAGACTTTCACCAACCTGGCAACTTGTTAGAAGCTGGTGGATGTTATCCCAGGAGTGCCAGCCCAGTGGAGGCCCCACGTCACCCTCCCTGGGTTCTAATTATGGGGATCCTTGCCTACCTCCTCTGAGACGTGAAAACCACTTTGTGATTGACTAAGCCATCTTCATTCTTGTATTTTTCATGCTCCTGGCTTAGGAGCCGGCATAGTCACAGCTCATTGCATATTTGTTGAATTTGTGAGGTTTTGATTTTGATGTGTGCAAACATTTCGAGACATAATTTGAACGAATCATTAAAAAAGTAAAATTATTAGCTGAGCATGGTGGCATGTTCCTGTAATCCCAGCTACTCAGGAGGCTGAGGCAGGAGTATCCCTGAGCCCAGGAGTTTGAGGCCAGCCTGGGCAACATAGTGAGACCCCCATGTCTAAAACCAATGCATAAATAAATAAAAGTATTTAACAATTTCTTCAGAAAAACGTACAAAATGTAAGTACCTGGCACATAACATGTTTTGAGATGCGGTGCATGCATAGATCTATGCTAGGAAATATAAAGCGATCCTCAAGAAGACAGAACTCCTGGCCTGTTAAGCTGTGTTGTTTCAGCCTAATGTTGTCATCTGACCCTTGTACTCAGAAACTTCTCAGGCTGTCTGGACCCAGCAGCAGCACGGCCTGTCTCCAATCTTAAACCTTTGTGCGAATAGCTTCATGACTATGAGTCTTTGTTACCTGTTTATCATAAAATTTGGAAATCTGAATCACTGGCAGAAAATGTTCAAGGAAATTGCTGGCTGTTGTTTGGTTGAGAGATATGAAAGAGTTAGAGAGTTATACTCTTGGCCATGGTTCCACTTACTGTTTACCTTTCTCTCTAAGAATGCAATGCTGCCACAGGACAAACTTAAGAATGGAGTGACGTTTTTTTTGTTGCCATTTCACATAACCTCTCAAACTTTCTACATGTCCTTATTATTGCCTTCATCGTAACAGCTGCTTACGTTTAATTAGCCAACACATTACCGTGCTCTGAGAATGGGCTGTGCACTGTGAAAATCTTTCAGATTTACGGTCTCATCTGAATCCTAGGAGCCCTTGTGATGTATGTACTCCTCTCTCCATTTTACAGCGAGAACACTTAGGACTGCAAAGTTTATGAGATATGCTCAAGGTCACAAACCATTAAATTACGGGTCTGAAACGCAAATCAAGATGTTTAATTCCAAACCTTTCTTCTTATCCTCTGCTACCCTAGTTGACTGCCCAAGTCCTGGGGAGGCACCCGTCAGCCCAGGACACAGAAATAGCCTCGCCATTCTAGTTTGCATTCACAGCCTCAGGCACTGGGACTTCTGTGTTTTTGTACCACAATACAGCTAATGTTTTGTTGTTTTTGTTTGTTTGTTTGTTTTCTGAGATGGAGTCTCACTCTGTTGCCCAGGCTGGAATGCAGTGGTGTGATATTGGTTCACTACAACCTCCACCTTCCCAGGTTCAAGCAATTCTCCTGCCTCCGCCTCCTGAGTAGCTGGGATTACAAGTGCGCACAACTGTGCCGTCTAATTTTTTGTATTTTTAGTAGAGATGGGATTTCACCATGTTGGCCAGGCTGGTCTCAAACTCCTGGCCTCAAGTGATCTTCCTGCCTTGGCCTCCCAAAGTGCTGGGATTACAGGCATGAGCCACCATGCCCAGCCACAATACAGCTAATGTTTTAATCTGCCCAGATAACATAATCTCTTGATCCAGTGTTAAAGGAAAATGTTCCAAAAATGGATAGAATCTTGACTCTTGTACAGATACAACAATGAATACACAGTAAAGATTTTACTTAACTCATTAATGAGAAAATGGTAAGATGCAACAACCAGTTTCAAGAAGAATACAAAGGACAGACGCAATTTTGCATCAGGAATATAGAAACAAACGTGCAGATGAAGGAAACCAGCTTCTTCCCCGGCTGGGGTGGCAAGTCCATTGAATGTGTGCATCTACCAGGCAGAATTTATTTTTCATGTCTTCAGACAACATTTTGCATTGCTGTTGGTCATCTATAAATTATAGAGTCATAGAAGAGTTCAAAGGAATGGAAAGCTGGGAACCAGATAACCCAGAATGGTGTGCTCTCCACCAGGTGTCTGCAAATCTGGCCCCCACCTGTTTCTGTGAGTAAATTTTTATTGGAACACACCCATTTGTTTACTTATGGTCTACGGCTGCCTCCCGTCGCCACAACAGAACCAAGGAGTCACAGCCGAGGACCACATGGCACACACGCCTAATATCTTTACTATCTGGCCTTTTCAGGTGAAGTTTGCCAACTCCTGCTTTATATAATGAATGGCTTTCCACTGAAGCACACAGTTTTCCTTATACCACCTGAAACACATGGCTTTGTATGTTATGCAAAGCAGGTGGCAAGGATTCTAAGAATTTCTTTAAGAGCAATAATTGATTAAGGGAGATATTTAGTGTGTTTTGTTTTGCTGGGGCTGACATAATGAAGTGTCATCAACTGCATGGTTGAAACAACGGAAAAGTATTTTCTCACAGTACATGAGGCTAGAAGTCCAAGATCAAGGTGTCAGCAGGGTTCATCCGAAGACTGTGAGGGAAGAAGCTATTCCAGGCCTCTCTCCTTGGCCTGGAGACAGCCGTCCTCTCCCTGTGTCTTCACACCGTCTTTCCTCTATATGTGCCTATGTCCTGATCTCCTGTTCTCATAAGAACATGTCATATTGGATTAGGATCTACTCCAGTGATTTCATTTTCACTTGATTAGCTCAGTGAAGTCCCTCTCTCCAAATAGTCATTTGAGGTACTGGGGATCAGGACTTGAACACAGGAATGTTGGGTGGCACAGCGCAGCCCCTCACATTTGGTGAGAGGGTAATCTGCGTGCCCACTAAATACACTGTGAAGACGGCCAGATTCTCTTCCACCCTGTGAGAATGATGCTATAGTGGCTCTGCCAGAAGTGGACTCAGCAACACCCCATTAATTCTGGAACTCGCGGGTGCCTCTGCTCCTGCCCTCCTCCTCATTTAGAAAAGTCCTGCTCTCCAGCAGCAGCTGGCACATGTAGAATCCTGACACAGGGACGGGAACTTTCGCAGAGATGCATTCTGTGTATGCTTTTAATATAGTTACCATATATTTTGTCTTATTGTATAAGCCAGGTATAAACCAGGAAAAACTTGATCTCCTTTTAGGTCTGAATCAGCAGTATTTTAGTATGAAGTATATATTGATGCTGACTTAAATAATGAAGGCAGGAAAGTCAGGTGCAAAGAATGTTCTGTCCTTACTCTGGGAAAAAAATGCATATGGATTTCCTCTTCCCTTGGAGATATCTAAAGATGCTGTACAATGTGTACTCCTCTTGGAATACCTTTCAAGACCCCCCGTGGATGCCTGAAACCACAGATAGTACTAAACCCTGTATATACTATGTTTTTTTCTATATGTTCACAACTAAGACAAAGTTTAATGTATAAATTAGGTACAGTAAGAGATCAACAAAATAATAAAACAGAACAATTATAATGATATACTGTCATAAAAGTTTCGTGAATGTGGTCTCTCTCTCTCTCAAAATATCTTATTGTATGTTACTCACCCTTCTCCTTGTGATGATGTGAGATGATACGATGCCCGTGTGATGAGATGAAATGAGATGAATGATGCAGGCATTGTGACATGAATAAACAATTCCAGAAATAAACATGCATATGTTCTAAATGGCGTCGGTCTTAGCAGCATGATGGAGCCTGGTGCTGTCTGCATTCAGCCTGGATTGCCATTAGCCGCTTAGTAGCTTTGCCTTGGTTCTCTGATCAAGCATTGAGGTATCACAGCGCTGTGTTCAAGTAACCTTTATTTTAGGTCATAATGGCCCCAGAGCACAAGAGTAGTGACATAATAGTTTCAGAACTTGGTTGACTAAGGGTAACTGAAACTGAGGAAAACAATAAGGAGGGACCACTGTATACATAATGTAATGTTGACACTAATGTTTGCATGCCTATTAAAAGAGGTGTATTTAAAAAAAAAAGTCAGCAACGTAGGATTATTTGCGGTCAAGAATAAAATCTAGGGCTGGGCACGGTGGCTCACGCCTGTAATCCCAGCACTTTCGGAGGCCGAGGTAGGTGGATCACCCCAGGTCAGGAGTTCAAGACCAGCCTAACCAATATGATGAAACCACGTCTCCACTAAAAATACAAAAATTAGCCCGGCGTGATGGTGCACAACTGTAGTCTCAGCTACTAGGGAGGCTGAGGCAGGAGAATCACTTGAACCCAGGAGGCAGAGGTTGCAGTGAGCTGAGATCTAGCCATTGCACTTCAGCCTGGGTGACACAGCGAGACTCCATCTCAAACAAAACAAAACAAAAACAAAAACAAACAATAAAACCTATCACAAAGCCAAGTCTTGAGATCAGCTATATCTCAAGATAGTATGAAATAGAGAGACACTATTCACAGATCGTTACTGAGTGCCTATTACCTTCTAGCCCCTTTTGTGCGTGTTATTCCCACTAATCTCATGGCAGCTTTCAAGGTGGGTGTTCGTAGACCTCTTTTCACTGATGAAAAAACTGAGGTTCCGGGAGGTGAAGTAGCTTTCTCAAGAGCTCGTAGCTAACACGCAGCAGCATGGGGTTCCCACAGAGCCCATCTGCAGTGGAAACGCACCCGCAGCTGTCTTTTGGGAATGTGCGAGGATGACGCTGCATTTTTGAAAGAACCTCCTTCTATATCAGATACGCCATGATTTGGGCTGAACAGGAAGGCCTCCGCTGGCCGATTTTGCACGGTGCAGGATGAAGGAGGAGGTGCAGATGAGCATCATTGCCCGCCACTGGATTCCTAGCACAGGGGGAGAGATCTCTGGCGGGCCGAGCCTGCTCCTCCTTGCAATGTGATCTTTTTCTAATGTGTTTTGATAATGCTCTGTGGGGCCTCCTGTAGCTCAGATCCACGGAGCGCAAGCCCTATGAGCTATTTCCTTGCATGTGGAAATTGGCAAAAAGAAAGGGAAAGAGCCCGAAAGAAAACAAACGGACTCCATTTTCTCTCTTCTTGGTTATGACCGCTAGCTATTGATTGCCTGTGTTTGCTGAAGTAATTAGAAACCTCGCCCAGTGTCTCAATTCCTATAAGAAAAAAATGAGAATGTTCATGATGTGAAAAAAGAGGAAGGAAGAAAAGAAAAACAAATTATGCTTATCCTTACTGTTCTAGGGAACCACAGCCAAAGCCGGGCCTGCATCTGGACAGCAAAGGCATAGTTTGAACGTTGCAGAGAAGCTCTCATTGCCAAGAAAATATTTCTATATTGACTTGCTATGAGCTGATGTTTTACTGGGAAAAACAAGAAAAACAGGGACATTATCTTCAGAAGACCTGAGTTAAATAAACCATATGTTTCCTGAGCAAGGCCTTCTAACCTTTAGAAACTGTTCATCAGATTAGATAGTTGAAATCTGGGGGTGGAGGAGCTGGGATACTAAGCAGGGAGACCAGTGGATGTGGTTTATGCCAACACAAACTCTGTAGCTGGGTGATGAGATGAGGGAGGAGGAGCCAGGAGGTACCCAAGAATCTCAGAAGGCCCCAGGACCCACGGCCTGGACAGTTTGGGAGGAAGAATGAAGCAGAGGTGCGTTCAACTCATTCCAAAACAGCCCCGCTATTTCTCCAAGGGCTGATCCTTTTGCCAGTCTTTCTGTTGAAAGTCTCTGATTGTTGGCTTCATCTCTATTTTTGAACCATCTGTATTATATGCAGACAAGCAAGGCCCAGACAGGCACTGAAGAGGCGTAGAGGGAGTAGGTGTTGTTTCGTAAAAGGACTCATTGGAGGATCAGTGGAGCCTTACCCTAGACAGAGTGGGCAACCTCCTATGTAGTATGATCTATGGGGTTTGAGATTTAAGCTCAGGTTCTAGAACTAAGTTATTGTCCAAGAAAAAAAAAGTATGTATGTATAAACATACAAATCTCCTTATCCTCATCCTCCCTTCATATCTGATCACTAAAATTATGTTAGACAGTTTAAGTCCTTTAATTGAAGAGATTGAACCTTGTTTATTAAAAAGGAAAGAAAAGAAAAGAATAAAAAGAAAAACCCCATGAGAGGGAAACCTTCGAGCTGTTATCAACCATTCATACACCAGCAATCTTCTGTTTGCAGGGGAAAAAAGATTCTTGGGTCACACCAGCTCTATAGAATCTGAATCTCTGGCTTCGGGTACAGGGAGTTCTACTTTAAAACAGGGCATGAAAGTTTACAGAACTTCTTTAGTAGGCTGTCATAACTCTCAAAACAATCACTTATTTCCCTAAAATTGTAATTTTTAAAATAAACAATATTTATTATTCTGAAAAGATTATGTTTCTCTTAGAAAACTAAGATTACTACAGTGGGCCGTGATTGCTATTTTCACAGCAGCTCTATCTTAGGTGCTTTTTATGTTTCCTGCAAAGCTTCTGGCACAATTTTAAATAAATGGGAAGACACTTGGGGAGATAGTAAATATTTGGCAAAATAAATAAAGCACATGCCTTTCAATTTTTCTGTATAACTCTTAACATATCCTCTTACTGGTTCAAAAAGGAGAACGAAGTAACAAAGTATATCACATTCATGAGAGAATTACTGCCTAAATCTCATTAGATGAAATTTCTATTAGATCCGGAATACTCGGTTTTGTTTGTGCTAGCAAGATAACTGACTGCAATTACATGGCTTACACTTAGGCGTCTTCTCTATTAAAAGCAAAAATACAAATCTCTCTGCATCATGTTCCCAGGTCCACAGCTCAAGATCACATGCTCTGGTCACACTAGCAGATATCAAGTCCTATTTTAGTAGCAAATACACTAATGAAAGAGCTCTTATGCATCCACAGCTATGAAACAAAAGAGGTCTAAACTGTAACAAGGGGGGGCTTCAGATTATTTGACATATATTTATGTATTACATTTATTTCTAATTTCCACAGCTGGCATCAAAGTGATATGTAATGTTTCAACAGTTGTTACTTAAAACAGAGATAGTACTTTAAATACAGTAACACACAAACAAATTAAAGGCTCCTTTTAGTATTAATCTGTTTCATCCTATTTGCCTCTTGTAGGTTGTAAAGCATATCACAGAGTAAAAATGTAAACAAACCAGAGAAGAGAAGAAATGGAGTGGAACACAAATTATGTGTTCAAACCAGAAGTGAAAGAGGAAGGAAATTGGAAGACAATCTGGCAGTATCTATCAAAATTTCAAAAGGCTATTTCCTTTCATACAGCAATCTCACCACCAGGAATTTAGGTGAAGGATATATTTGGAAAAGTACCTTGAGATGTCAAGTGTGTGTAAGAACAGGTAGGCTTATGCTGTGGCAACAAACAATTCCCCAAATATTCCGGCTTAGCATGTTCATTTTATTTATTATGCAAAGAGCATAGTACCGCAGGTCAGTGGGAGGCTCTACTCCACAAAGTCACTCAGGGATCCAGGCTGACCAAGCTTCTATCATCTTTGAGCTGTGCCTTCTAGAACTTGTGATATCTATAGTCACTACAGCAGGAAAGGAGGAGCACATGAAGATCCAGCACCTGTTCTTTTATGTCACCACATCATTCCAGCTACGGCCCATTGCCCTCAACCTATGTGCAAGTGAGGCTGAGAGAAATAGTGGAGTACCTCGATTATCTGATGAGCCCTCCTGTCTCTCCACAAACCAAAATATGTTCATGAAGCAGTATGCAGAACAGCTTAAAAACCATATTTTGCCTGTAGATGATGGACAAAATAAACAAGCATATTATGTGGCAGTTTTTTTTTTAAGTAGATCTGAGCGTGCTGATGAGGAATGGTCTCCAAGACATATTACTTACCAAAAATACATGGCATAAAACAGTATTTCTGATGTGATCTCTATAGAGATCATTTAGAAACACTATTTATATGCAAGTGTGTGCATATATCATTTTTCTGAACAGATAGACAAGACTGATTATGCCAGTGCTTACTTTGAGAAATGGAGGAGGGGATGGAAAAGGAATCATAATTTTTAATCAGATAAAGTTATAGTGTTATTTTTACCCACATTTTAAAAAAAACCTAAAAAGATAAATTTAATAGATTAGATAGTAGATTATATTATGAAATGCTTGTACATTTTCTCAAGACTGATAATGGCATTGTGGTTATACAAGAGGGTTTCATCTTCCGAGATGCTGACATGTGGGAAGAAAGTATTGTGAGATCTGAAAATTCTTCAGCCAAGGAATGTGTGTACACATCCATATACACACATACACACATACTGATGTACATAGAAACACACAGAGCATGAGCATATGTACAAAGTGCTGATTATTGACTCTACATAGAAGATAGCTGGGAGTTCATTGTTCTGTCTTTCAACTTTTCTGTATATCTGAAAATTTCCAAAGTAAAATACTAGGAAAAATAAAAAGAACCAAAGGGATAAAAAGCACATCACCTGCAAACAGAAAGCTCCACAGATCTCCAGTCTCCCTACCTTAGGGCTCTGCAGAGTTCATAGGTAGACATACTTGAATGTCAGAAATCAGATATTGATATCCAAAACCAAGAAGCATCACAGAACACGCGGGTGCCGATGGTCTGCAGTAGAAAAGTTTTCCCAAAGGATTTCTGTTTGCTGCTATAAAAAGCTGGGGTGACCTTATAAAGCATTTGCCAGACTCTTCAAACTGCCTAATCACTGTTGTAATAGTAGTACCTGCTTGGCCGGCGGTGCTGGTTAAAAAATTCTATTGCCATATTTCAAACACTTTTCTGGAATCTGTTCTTAAAGTTAGCATAATTGAGACTCAAAAACAACGCACAGGGGATGAAAAGCCATGTGGCTTTAATCCATGTTCTCGTGGTCCCTGAGGCGATGGTGACTCAGGGAGAGAGCATGTCCCACCAGGCCATCTTTAGGAGGTGAGGACTTGGTATGCCACCTTTCCAATGGACAGCTGCCTCTCCCTGTGGTTAACGTCCACAGCACACGAGGCTTTATTGGCTCCACTCATTGTGTTGCACACAAACGTTAATGCCTCCCACTTTTTCAGCAACTGTTTGCAGCAAAAAACCCAGTCCCGGCAGCGCGGCCTCAGTGGGAGCTTCAGAGACCAAACTATCAAGGTACATTTTCCATTGTTTAGCAAAGTACCCGATAGTTTTGGAAATGGAGAATGGTGCTTCCACCATGCTTAAGCAGACTTTTTTTTTTTTTATATAAGCCCACGTGTGACTGCTACACAGAATACGAACTTCTGACACAGGCACTCCTGGAAAATGTTTTTCATCTTTTCCTGACACCCAGCCAACAGTGTGGAGGAATAAACTGGTGTAAGTTGAAGTGTAATTAATGCCGTCATTATTTTTATCTGAAATATTTAAGGGAGTTGGTAGGAGACCCTTATCTTTTCCCTCCCCTTTTACAAAGACGGAAGTTAAGAGGCAGGGACCTGGGTTTATGCAGGAGGAGCCCCGCGTCTGCTCGTCTGAAATGCTTATGCTGCACGTAGCTTGTAGGTCACTTTGGCAAACACCCCAGATACTCAGACTTCCTTTTTTTCCCTACTGTTTTTGGGTCCAGGGCTAACTACTGTTAGCGGACATAAAGTTCTCTGCAATTCTTTCCTCAGAACCAGCTACCAGAAAACTACCAATTATAGCCAAGAAACAGTCTTTCAAATACACATACACATTGTAATGTGGGCTGGAAACCAGTTGGAAACTTTTTGATTTGCCCTTTAAGGCTGGAGGCAGGCACTTGAGGCAAACTCCTAAGACGTTCTGAAGAGCAGAACAGCGATTCTAAATTTAGCATCTTAACCAGCCAGTCGGCATACATGTAATGAAAGATTTAAAAGGAAAGAAATTGAACTGGCAGTAACAGAAGATACAGGTGGATGAAAAGACAGCTACAAATAGACAAACACCTTCCTAAAACAATGCCCAAGGAATTCAGACCTAGAGCAGCTGTAAGCCTTCTTCCTTCCTTTCTCACCTGCATCCGAGATGCCTAATTGCTGTTCATGAGGTTTTAAAATTCCTAAGTGGACCGTGAGTTCCCTCATAGGAGGAATCCTGTCTTTCATGTTATAATCTCTAATATTCAGCACACTGCCTGGTAGATAGTAAGTGCTAAATAAATGATGTTATATGAGTGGACAAATTAATGTGTGTGTGTGTATGCATGCATGCACATGTGTGTGTGTTCGTTATATGAAGCTTCTAGACTTATCAATAAGCAAGAATCTGCTTAGGTGAGCTCATTTTGAGTGTCTCAGGCCCATCTAATGAAAAGGTGCTAGCTGAGGGTGACTGAAACCAGTGCTGCCTCTGCCTCTCCCCACGGCTCCCTACTAACCTGTGTGTTCTCTGCTGAAAACAGAGATGAGATTTTTGGATTTGTTGTGTTTTATGAGCTACACTTCAACATTAGCTGCATGTAATTGACCTAAGTCTTAGGAAGTCTCAATGAGTATCCGAGGGAGTCCACGTTGCAGATGGCTGGCCTAAGTCAAGGACCTGCTATGTGGTTTGCCTTGGGTCACATGAAGAAACAGAAGTTCCAGACAGAGGTGCCCCAGATTCCACAGGTTCTATGCTTTCTTAGCATGTAAAGGAATCTAAGCTATACTAGTTATTCATGTAAAACAAACAAACAAAAAAGTTGGAGTTATGTGTATAGAAACCTGTCTCACATCTTTTTTGTCATCTTGAACATCATGCAGGTCACTCAGTTGATGAAGAACTAAGAGATCAAATACTCCTAGACCCACTGGAAGATAGAGCAAGCTGTGAGCTCTTCCTGGAGCATTTTTTCCCAGTTGATGAATCCCAGAGATAGAAATGAATTTTGACTACTTTTTTTCTTCGTTTAGTGTTGTGTTAATGAAGCCACTGCACAAAAATGATATACCTGAAGAGGATTCTTGGAGTATTCAGTTTAAGATTCTAGGTAATTTTAAGCAATTTGCTTTGAGGAAATTTATCTCCCCTACTGTTCTTGGACGTTTTAAGATAAGAGTCATCACGCCTTTTAAAACACACACACACACACACACACACACACATACACACACATACACACACACACACACACATAAACACATACACACATACACACACATACACACATACACACATACACACACATACACACACATACACACACACATACACACACCCCTGTAATCTCTTTATTAAGCATGAATGGCACTTAGTTAAGAAATAATAGCTCTATTATCAACTAAAAGATGTTTCTCAATTCTACAGTTTTCTGTCACAGACTACAGAATTAGAGGTGTAAATAATAAAGGAGGGATAAGGATGTGTTCCAGATACCAGCATGAACAATATTCAACAGGAAGTTAAATTAATCTTGAGTCTACAAGGAAGACAAAGTCAAGTTGGGCTAAGTTAACTGGTGGAAGGGGACACCGTGACCACCCGACACGTTGCCTGGCTCGTGGTGGGTCTTTATCAGACAGTCACGTAGAAGAGTGTAGCGAATGTGCTCGGACCCCGCCTGCAGTGGCCTGAAAATGTTTTTAAATAGAGATAAATGATTCCACTTAACAATTAGAGGGAAGGGCTGGCAACACCAGCTCAATCCGTACATATACATCGCTGGTTCTGAAGTCTTTTTGGATTTTGATTCTAGGGAGGGGTGAAGAGCCGCAGAGTCCTGGACCCCGGGCCCTGGGCAGCGGGTTCTTGCTGGAGGCAGTGGGTTCTTGCTGGAGGCAGTGGGTGGATGGGCATGCGCAGCTAAGAGGTGGGGCCGACTGGGCACCACCTCCGCAGACTTCAGAGCTGTGTCTGCAGCACACTAGGACACGGAGAAGCTTGCATGGAGATACTTTTGTACAGCTGAAAATGGTGATGGCTTTTTGCTGCGAATCCTGCAAAAAGGCAAAAGCGACCTTTGGTATCTTAGAATCCATCCCTCTCACTTTACAGGTGAGGCTCTGAGGCACAGAACATAAAAGGATCTGCTGAAGGTCACAGCATGAGTCAGTAGCAGAAATACAGCCAGAAACCAGGTGCCCCTTTCATGATTTAACACCTTTGTTAACTGTCTACAACTGGCCAGAAACTGTGCTGCTATAATTAGTATTATTTTCCTTGTGCCGTATGCCTGTGTACCTGGTGTATACCTGGAGAATTCTTGAGGGGGTTGGTTGTTTTTAAAGATATGGTTGACTTCATATGAACACTGTTTTAAAGAGATTCCACTAATCAAGTTATCAAAGTATAAAAATCTTAAGCTGCATGTATCGTTAGCTTTTGGGACATATCTAAAAATGGATTAACCTACCTGGTTTGCTATATTTTGTTACAAATAATGCAATATTTTAGTACCCCCCCCTCAAATCACTGATGAATGATTCTCTACCTGGAATAATGAATCGGAGTAGGAAATACTCTTTTCCATGACAACACTGAAAATTTGCCTTCAAGTAAGTGTATAGTGTAAATATCACAAACGTAATTCAAAAATCCATCCAAAGTAAAAACCAAAGCAGTAGCACATCCAGGCTAGTGTCCTTGGTGCTGCAGTAGCTACTGTGTCTCCTGAGCCACCTGAGACCTATTTGCTACCCAACCAAAAAGTAGGGTAATGGTCCTTTTTCTTTTTCTTTCTTTTTTTTTTTTAACCTACATTAGGAAAGTGAGTTTTACTACTCTGGAGTTTACTTTTTCTCTTGCTAATTCTTCTCTGGGTTGGGTTCAGAGACTGACAGTAAGCTGGACAGCAGTTACCCAGAAAGGAATACTTTATTTTTTCTCATTTCCATTGCGAACCTTTATCCCAGGGTTTGAATGGCCATCTGCTTTGCCAAAAAGGGAGTTGATAAGAAAGAGAGCTGGCTGCTGGCTGAGGGACGCTCGCCTGTGCAGAGAAGTAACGTGCTCAGAGCAGGCTGGGCTCACCTTTGAGACAGAACAAAGGGCATCTGGTTATACGCCCTCTGCAAGGAGCTTCTGCGTGTGTTCCTTCTTCCCAGGTGAAAAGAACAAGTGGACAAATCTTGTTTCTTAGCTGAGCTTGGCTTACTCAGAAAACGTGGTTTAAAAACAGGGTCCAAACCATGACATTGTGTATTCGGTAATTTATGTTGTAATAGGTACCACAAAGTAAAGGTTGAAAATGCATGATTTCACTTTGGTTCTTTTCTTTTGCCCAAACTAACTAGAAATGACCTTGGTGCACACGGTCGAGGGTTCAGCTTAGTGGCTTGGCCATAAAATTGCATCCATCAACTTGGATCTGCAACTGAAGGCAGGTGGGTGCAGCAGGAGAAAATCCTGGAACAGATGAAACTACGATTCTACCATCCACGAAAACCCTGGGCCTCCGGGGATTGTTGTTGTTGCTGATGAAGGGAGGCATTTATTTAACAAACATTTCTCTAGTACAAGTACTGTGCTAAGCTGTGTAGATCCCTGTGTCCAAACCAGCCTTTCTTCATCACCTATGGACTTTTGAAACATATGGTTTCTTCCACTGACTGGGGTGTGGTCCTGGGCAAGTCAGTCAGACCTGGGAACTCTTCTGGCTTGCTTCCTGACTCCAGGGGCCTTTTCCTATTCTCCCTACCTAAAATGTCTCACTCTTATGGCAGGGATTAACCTGAGATAATGTAAAGATGTTAGCACTCAGATCTCAAGGGTGTGAAGTTCTCTGCCATGGGTGGGGACTCTTGGTTGTTTAAAAAGCTACCCAGGAAGTATAGTGATCAGTCTTAATACCCAGGACTACAAGAGGCCTGAAAAACAATCACACCCCTCAGGGTACATAGTTACCTTCCCCAGGAAGATGACCACTGAAAGTGTGTTTTAAACTCACAGCTGGCCTCTGGCTTGCCTTCAACCAGTATCTCAAAATGTGCTCTCATCAATGTTAAGTTTTTACAAAAACATTTGACTTTTTCCTTCTCCCTAGGATTATTCTGTTAAGAAAAATGAAGCGATAGACCGCTGCTTTGCTTCTATGGACACTAGATCGATCTGGAATTAAGTGTAAGATAAGAGTACATTTCCCTCTTTTTCCTGAGACAGCTAACTTTGTAGGTAACTATTCTGACTGTGCAATTCAGGTGCCACTAGAGAGATTTTCTGTTGAGGATTATTAGGATTTTATACAATTGCATATTATTTTTGAAATGAGAGTTTGTGGTTTTATGGGGAATAACGAGCTCACGGCTCTTAGCAAAATTAATATTTGTGTGATGTGCACATCCCGATTTGAAAAGTGGGCACACAGTGTCCATAGACAGAAGTCTCTGGATTAACTGTAATTTTGGGGGAAATAGAGTAAAGGAAGGCAAATTAAAATAACAAACAAAAAAGAAAGAAAAATGAAAAGAAAAGAAGAAAAGTACTTTGAAGGCACTTTTTCCATAGGAAAAAAATATTTTATTTTTTTAAGAACAAATTCAGTTTGAAACAGATGTGGAATGTGACTTCACGGATTTCATTTTCTGGGGCTAACTGCAATGTGAAACTAAAGCAGATTTAAAACCTATGACAGGCTATTAAAATAAAACAAAGAAAGAAAAAAATATTTATAACTCAGGCATAATACTGTGTTACTTACAAATTGGACAACGAAATTTTAAATAAATATTCATGGTACATAATTACGGCACAAATATGCAGCAATTTGGCAACCTTTTATACCATTTTTTCCTCATTACAGTGCAAAGGGGAATGACACTGCCGTTAAACAAGCTGTAGCTAAATACATTGCAAAATTCAGATTTTATACAAAACATCTTGCTTAGACTTTATAAAAAACCAACATTGCTCTATGTACACAATCTGGGTAAGAAAAGCCATTTCTTTCTTGTTTTCATGTGTATTTTTATTAAAAAGGTGAATAAGGCTACTGTAACACCCCAAATCCATAGACAGTAAAATCTGAACCTATTTACAGCATCTTCACTGAAACATGATGGTGCAAATTCCAAAGTCGGGTGACCAGGGACGATCATACAAGCAAGGCATTTACAGTAACTTTCCAAAGCTAAACCAACTTCAAACAAAGGGACAGTTGGTAGATTGTCATATTCTGCACCAGACACAAAACAGACGCACAGAACACTTTTCAATTGGTTGCAGGGAACTCTTTTATCAATTCATCTGATTTTTCACAGTTTAGCATAGAACCAAAACGTAGCCAACTGATGATACATACATTTGATTTCATTAAAATCAGACTATTTCCCATTTTTCCCCTTCTCGCCCCTCTCCCCCATCCTAAAAGTAACTTCTGATGGCTTACAAGAAACTCTTGCATGAATGCACAGAAAGGAGAGGTTGGGGTGATGGAAAGAATTACATATGTACTGTGGCTGGTTACCATGGCAACCCTCCACAGAAATATGATATAGATATATATAATATATATTGTAGATATATATTATACATATATGTACACATGTATACCACGCACCCACTCACACATACACACACGCACTTTGGACCAACATCATTTCCAGGTTCAGGAAATAGAGGATCATAATTTCTGTGACAACTCATTTTTGCAGGTACTCACTGGAGGTCTGAGAACCTTAAAATGCTGTCGCTACATTTTTTTTCCCTTCCAATTCAGAAAGCAAAGTGTTACCATAGTAACAGGACTATGTTAAAGATGTCTATTTTGCATAGCACATAAAAAGTAGGTTTCCTGTTTACTCTTCTTGTTTCCCAGAAGGGAGGGGGTGCGGGGGAGGACAGGAGGAGGGAGCCACAGCTAAATCGTCACCTGAAGCCCCCAGTGTGACCTGCTGGATTCTAGAGAACACTTCAGCCCATAAGGCAAGGGAAAACCCAACGCAGAAATAAACGCCGGAACATCTTGTCATTGTTAAATATATGATGCAGTCACATCGGCTTCCTGCTCTGTGGGGCTCGTACTTCCTAGTCTACGGTTCCGTGAGATGCCTTCGGAGGACTTGGTTATTTTTGCATTTGCTCTCATTATTGTTCTTTTTGGAATGATGTTGTTTTTCCCAGAAGTAGCTGTCCAATTTGTTTTTTTAAGCGCTGAGCATTGGGACCACTTAATTGCCACAAATGAATTTCACATCTTCTGGTGTGTACTGTGTGCAACCTTAAAATATATATTAGTAAAAATCTTTCATTTTATATCCCTTGTGTTCTATATACCTATTATAAATACGTCCTATCTTCCTTCTCCCCCTGGACATCATAATTTACTTCCGTCTTAAGGACTCTAAGAGGTCTGCCGTATGTGCTTCACCTTGACACAGAGCACCGGGCGCTGCAGCCTCCATCAGTACCGACCCTGCAGCCCTGGCACCCGGACAGCACCGCATAAACCAAAGTGTCGTAAGGCTCAATCGGGAGGGGAAGGAGGAACCTGGGGGGAGGGGGATCTGACCTACCTTTTATAGATAAGGATTCTTTAATAACAACGATGATGATGGAATTACAGCCTGTTTGACCTTTGGCTTTTCAACTTTTAGGTCAGATTTGGCTCTCTGCTATTCTCCTAAATGCTTTCCCTGTGTTTAATAAAATGTGATAAGTATAGCAGCTGAGTCTGCTTAAAAAATCATCCAAAGCAGACCGACTCTCCTACAGCTCGGAGCTGTGTATCTTATTGCCAGTACCACAACAGTCCTGCCCGAATATATCATCAGCGGCCTACTTTCTCCCTTCCCTCCAAGCCTGTTCCTTTCCCAACAATACCCGTCTTTGTTCCCCGGAATGAAGAGGGGCTTTTCTTCCTGCACATCGCTATTTGATAACAGCGAGTGCCTCCCCATGCACTGGAATCCACTGTGTGTGCTGTCGTGTCTCCTACTGGCCTCTTCGATCTCAGCAAAACCAAAGTGCTGTGCTACCTAATTGCTTTTTTCTTTTTTCCTTTCCAACTTTCTGTTTCAGAGGCAGCAGCAGTGAGCTGCAATTGCAGCCAGCCCTTTCCCCAGCCCCACTCCCTTCTATGAACTCCTAGCCTTCTTCGCAGACAGCCTAGCATCTGGCTAAAGGGCACCTTGTTAGCAAACACAATTTCTATGAACGGATTACCCATGGACTGAAGCTGTTGTTGCCAGCGGCTGGAGGAGGGGACTCCAGACATGAGTGTTCCATGAGTGATGCAGATGTGGAGTGGAGGTCTCAGGTGAGGTGCTGCAGAGCCCTGGGTAACAGAACGAGTGAGACAGTAAGGACTAAACTCTAGAGATCTTTGCACACCTTAACTAGCCCGAGGTCCGTGTGACAAGTCCGGTATGCACTGCGGGGGAAATGCACCCCAGGCAGAAGCCGGCCCTTCCAGGCGTGGCATCCTGGGGCACCTGCCAGGATGCTCACAGCCCTCTCGTCCACAAACCACTGTCTTCCCTTGGCTTCTGCAGAGGCCTGAGTGACCGCAGCACATGGCTTCGAGGAGGAGACGTGGGACGCGGCACAGCAGTCCGAATGGGCGTCTTCTGCACAGTCTTCCAGCTTCCAGGGAGCGTGTGTGTTCACCAAGGCCGAATGCTACAAGACTAGGTAAGCTGTCCAGCGCGACGGGCTCTTCCGAGGAGGAGTGTCCCTCTCCCCCGGTGCTGTGCTTCAGTCAATTCTCCAGCACGCGGGCTCTCAAACCCTCAAGGGAGGCATCGGGACATTAGGTGTCCTCTGGGAAAGCACAGGTACCACCAGGGTCCCTCTCAGACCTTGTAGTAAATGTTCGCCGGGCTCTGCGGGGGCATCTCCTGGACGATGTACACCGGGTGCCCGTAGTCCCCGCTGACCTTCTCGTAGTGAGGGCAGAAGACGCTGTCCGCAGTCCTTAGCGGGATGATAATGTCACTGGGCTCTGAGCCGTTGTTGTTGCCGCTGCGCTTGGGTGTGGCCAGTGTGCTGAGCGACAGCGTGGTCGTGTGCTGCGGCGAGTGCTTCCTGTGTCTCCTCCGGTACTTCAGCAAGAGGACCACCAGCGTGATGATGATGACGATGAAGATGATGCATCCTGAAGCAATCCCTGCAAATAAGGCCACTTCGGAACCGAGGATGTTGTTCCCCGAATGTCCGGCGCTGTTGCCGTCTGTGCTAGAACCTGCAGACGCGGAGACAGAAAAGGTCAGAGATAGTTACTGCTGTCCCAGTGCAGACGGACTGCTTTTATGACCCTTAAAAATGTGAAAAATAAGCCAGGCTTATTACTAACTAGAAGCTGGACTTTGCCTCGCCAATACCTCGTCTAAGAGCTCAACGCAAAAGGAAATGAGAGGTATCTCTAGGAGGGACTTCCCTACCCTCCCAAGCCACAGGGTTTCCTTTGTATCATTATCCAGCAAGAGCACAGACTGTCGGTGACAGCCAGCCCTTGATCTTGCTTCATCTTCTAACCCGTGTCAGCCAGCCTGGGGCAGCGGCAGGGAAGAAAAAGGGAAGTGGCCAATTCTCCAGGTCAGCGGTGAGCGTTTATGTGGTATTGCTCTTCCGCCTCCTTTGAGAAAGGGAGTTTCATGCAAACCTTCAAAGGGCCTGCCTTCTAAAGAAGAGCCCTGCCTCCTGGCAGAACAGAACAGCTCGGGAACGCGGAAGGAGTGAGGGGGCCTGGGAAAATGTTCAGCTCGTAACTCGTCTGTATTATTTGATTTACACTTAAAATATATTTGGAAGGCAGCAGAAACTCTCACACCGAACAGACTGCCAGCCCAAATGTTAAGCACTAAAAAACTGCCTGGCATCATTATATTATCCATTTATCAGTTTGTCACAAGAATTTGACACATCTTGTCATTGAAAGTTAGAAATAACAACTTCCCTCCTTGACTCTTGGAAAGGGATGGAATATTGCTGCAGACGATAAATTTGCACAACGACCAAGCAAGCACACAACAATCCTAATACAAAACTGCTGATGTCTGCTCAACAGCTACTCTATAAAACCTTCATTAGCATGGTAACAAATACAGAACTATTTGTTCCAAGACTGTTAAGAAAACGAAGGTCAACGACGGACAATTTTATCTGGTATTCTACACTTTTGTCAGGGACCTGTTTAATATTTTCTTTTACATGGAAAATGTGAAACAAAATAACGATAACCACCTGAAAAAATACTATTATGCAATATTTAAAAATGTTACCATTTAAAATTTAGAAGAGGATCAATTAAACCCTCTGTGGCTTAGATATAATTAGATGAGGGATTAGCACATTAATTACATATACATTAACATCAGCTTTAAGCTGGAGTTGACAACCAGCTTGATAAAATGTCAGCCAATGAAACCTTTGGCCTGACAGAGTAGTTCTAATAACTGGCACTTACAGCTCATGAACTCTACTCCTTTGAATATATGACTTTCATTGGAATGAGTTATTTTGTTCTTATTGAGTGTAATTAATAATGACTCACTGACAGCAAAGATTCCTGATCACTGTAACTTCCAGCTAATCCTAACTGGTTAGAAGTCTTTAGACTCTGCCCTACCTTTTAAGATACTACTAAGAATGTGGTACCCACAGACCTCCATACACACAGATCATGCTGTTATACCTGGATTTGGTTTTACAAAGGGACTTGTTGTCGAACTTCTTCCATTTGTACCAGCTTCTAGTTCTGGACGTCTTGTTGGATCTTTATTCCTGGTTGATCCAGCAGAACTTGCATCTATATGAAAAACAAATGATTAATTACGGCACAGACATCTGACAATATCTAGCTTTAGGAGCTGCATATATATTTCAACAGGCATGAATAGCAATGAACATAAGAGTCTTTATGCAAAGTACTGTGAAATACAAGAATATAATTTTTCTTTTAAAACAAAATGGTTATACTAGTTATTTCAGAGGTTTAGAACGTGAGGCCATCTGTGGAAACTATAGGGATTCTTGCATTTGGCAGGCAAAGCATTGCAGATGACATTTCAATTTAACTGAGCAAGTTGATTGACTACTATACCAATTTTTAATTAGAAGAATAATTATTTCTTTCTGCACAATAGGTTATCTATATTGGAAAAGTCACAATGAACAAAACTCTTCTGTAGTCAAGATTCAGAAATGAGCAAAACTGCACAAGCTTTTAGTTTTCATTCTGGATATTTTGATTTTGAACCAAAGTGTTTTGCTTTTTAAAAAGAAATATCTATCTATCTATCTATCTATCTATTATCTATCTATCTATCTATCTATCTATGGCAATAGACATTCTACCTTGCTGATCTTAACTCTTAGATCTCCAATAAAAGCTTAGTACATTGACTTGAGGAAATCTGTCAGTGGCTCAAAGTGCAGAAGGGTTTGCTTTGAAAACTAAAAAGAAGAGCGAATGAAGGTGGGCATCGGCAACATTAGCACCATACTAGCTGGGGGCTACACCAGGTCACAGTGGCGTCATGAAGCAGCAGATGGTCTTTACCTTGTCCAACTTTCATGAGGATCTTCATGGCTCTTGTCTGGCACACCCCTCCCTCCTGGTTATCCAGGCCCTCCAAAGACCCATTTGATGTAGCTGATTAAAAATAAAATGGACAAAACAAAAAAATAAAGAAAAATCAGGAAATCAATAAGCCAAGTTTACATGAACATGAAATGTCTGAAAACAATTTGAAAAATAAGAATTCACTCTTAGTCACAAGTTTTCTGAAAGTATGGGGATGCTGAAAGCCAAAAAGAAAAAGAAAAAGAAATAAAGAGAAATGGATATCGGAAACACTGCCGCACGTATGCTATCTGACTCCAAATTTATTTAGGCACTTTCTCCTTCCTTCACAAATGACTGATTTAATGTTAGTCTATAAATAAAAGGGATGGCATCCTTCAAAAAGTCTATGGACTCTTTTGGGGCCAAACTCAGAAGAGCAAAATAGTTAATGCAGCCATTTCCAAACGTGGTAATCATCCCCCCACACCTGCTTCCTCCACTGCAGATTTCCTGCTTCAAGAACAATTAGCTTGACGCTCTGTTTGTCAAGCATCCAAGTTCTGTAAACACTAGACCAGGAGCCTCCCACAACCCTTGTCTTCTTTTTTCAGCCTTATGCATGCTTAAGAAGTATACCAGAAATCAGGTCTTCAAAATCTCCCCTTTTTCCTCCATCGTTTTGTAAATCAGAAGAACATACGTGTTATTACTGCCAATGTCAACCTTAGTCAACCTCTTCAACCAAACTACCTGTTGCGGGAAAACTCTGGCTGAATAGAGGGTTCACACACATGCCCACCACTCATTCTGGGTCCTGTGGCAGCCCTGGAGAGAAAGTGGGGACTTTTACCAGCCACTTGCTGGTGTTCACCAACTGAATTCCCTCTCCACCTCAGCAGTGAGGAGTGGAAGGAAGGACAGAATCATTTTACCATTTTCAGCATTTTTTTTTTCAACAGCCTATGCTCTATTTAAACACATCCTTGTTCTGTCTCTTTAGACCAGCGAGGTCTCTGAATAGCTTTGTAACTCAAGCTGTAAAGAGATAGGCTGCCAGGTACTTTAATGAGAAACAGGCTTTGAATTACAGTTCAAGTTCCAGGAGAGAAAAGAAGGTGGAGAGTGCTAGACATTTTCATTCCCCTAAAGTTCAAGGGGCAAGGAACAAAAGTGTTTCATATACATTTCTGCAATTTAAATCCATTTTCTACCTGATTATCAAAGTCTTGGCTTGTAACACTGTACTTTGCAAGGGACTGAAAAAAGGATTGATTTTCTGGTAAAAATAAATCCCAAAGACATTCTTCTAATGGGATTGTTTGTTTTCCAAACAGTAGGTCAGCAAACAAGTTCTATATGCATTTATGGTAGAAATATGCATTCCACTGAAATTATATTAACTACAAAAATAAGGCACTTATTTACTTGTCTTTGTGGTCTTGAATTAACTTTACTTTCACTGTTTTCCTCAAAACAAAGACTGCCTCTTCTGTGCATACATATCACTGTGCTTCTCTGAGTGCTTGCTTAAACTTTACAGTCTCACAATTGCATCTCATTCTTCTGTAACTGTGGATAAATTTTTCCCGGGAAACTGGGCAATAATTGCCATAATAATACTTGTCTTGGAAGGGTAGTAAGAAGCAGACAGTATCTGTTTGTAGATACAAACATTGTAGACCATTAAGAAACTATTCAGCAGACAGCTTAAAAAAAAAAAAACCTAAAAATTTTGTACACTTCTGTGAATCTAAAAAAAATCTTTTTAATTATTTAATGGGGCTATTAAAATTTTTTTTTATTATACTTTAAGTTCTAGGGTACATGTGCACAACGTGCAGGTTTGTTACATATGTATACGTGTGCCATGTTGGTGGGCTGCGCCTGTTAACTCGTCATTTACATTAGGTATATCTCCTAATGCTATCCCTCCCCCAGTCCCCCACCTCACGACAGGCCCCGGTGTGTGATTTTTTTCAGTTCTTCATTCTGCTCTTTCCCTTTTCCCTCCTCCAAATATGTGACTAAATTTTAAAGTATCCTTTCCTCCCAGAGGCTTCAAACTATGAGTTTCTATGAGCAGATCCTATTTCTGGACCATTTCAGAGCAGAGCTATAATCTTCAATTAATTGTTGAGAATTTTCCTATTTGATTTTTCTAAAAAATTAGGATATGTCTGCATATAGAAAGAAGTGAAAGGCTGATGTCTCTATCTGGCTGATAGTTTAAAATGTTTGGTTTACTTCATTCAGGTGGAATCCCAATGTTTTTAAATTCACAAGCACATAAATGAACCTACACGCAAAAGTGCACTCAAACTCAAAGTTAACTTACTTTGAGTTACTTACTCAAAGTAAGTAACTGACTTTTTGTTGCTAAAAGTTTCAACACTAAGCTGAAAAATGACAAAATGAGATCTGAAGGGCAGTGCACAGAAAGAAAGGGGAGGAATACAGATGTATTTATTTTAATCTTGAGGGGGAAAAGACAGTCAAAGATTCAGATCCAAAAGAAAAACAATTAAATGAGTATCAGCAAGAGAAAAACAGGCACAGTAGAGCAGTTACTTGTAAATAGAATTGAGAACTGCGTCTGCAGAGGGAGAAACTGCTGATGACTTCTGCTTTGTCAAACTGGAAGCACAAGAGGTGCACATTATTTGATTTTTTTTTCTTTTAATTTGTAGGTCAGTGCCTTTTCTGAATATCAATGCTTTTGTGCGGAGCTCCCTAGGTTTACCAAAACGGGGTCTTGACAACCACAAATGTAAAATCTCTAGAGTATTAAAATTCAATTGGAATCTATAATTTAACATCCACAGACTATAAGACAGTAGGAGGAAGGCTGTGTTGCATAAGAATGAAACTGCTTTGCACCTTTAAGAGTGAAAACTTTTTTATTTCTTGGTTTAAAAAAAAAGTGTGTGGGGAAGAGGGAAACATTCAAGTCTTAGAGTTGAAGAAGGAAAAATCTACAGATGCTGCCTTTGTAGGTTCCTCTGAAGCCACAGGCTATTGCTTGTTTGGGGGAGTGTGCTTGCCACGTGGGGAGCAAAAGTGGGCTGAACAGTCTGAATGCAGACAGTTTTTCTGCTATATTCAGCATTTTGCTTCTTTTCCTTTTAAGTCAACCTGTGACTTGCAAAGGGTACTGGAAGATACTGAAAAATTCACTACTAATATCAAAATAACATCCCAAATACTTGGTTGCTTATAAAGGGGCATTTAAAATACAGTTACACGTTCCACCAGGAAAGATTTTTGCCATGAGTTAGAAATGATCTAAGGTGCCATGAACTGTTTTAACCCAGTTAGTACACTGGTACTAACTGAAACTCCAGGAGGTAAACTTTACAAGTATAACGTAATTCAAAATGACTTCAGTCTATTTTATACTTGATGTAAGTATAGCTTCCCATAGTGAAAATCACCTTTCTTCTCCCCTGCTACATCCTCATCACAGAGTGTAATTCTTATGCTGAGGTTCCAAACCCCCCTCCTTGAACAGTGACACAGCTAAAAAAAAAAAGTCTCCTATCCCAATTATACCTCCTTCCTGGCAGCGAACTCTGAAATAAAACCACAAGATTAATATTCTGATTTCTCCTGCAATAGTCACCAAGAAGCTCTGAAAGGCTTAGTGGCTGATTTTGAAAAATAACAAGAAATTGCTAATGCTTGGGAAAAAAAATCTATTTCCATTTCAGGAGACAATTCTGCAATTATTTTCATTGTTCATTTGAATGTACTGGGAATTTTTAACTTAGAGAAAGAGTGAAAATAAATTGTTAGTTCATTATACTTAGTTTTTCTTTGTATCTTTCTATCAGCGTGATCTAATGCAGCCACAATCATAGTATTGCTACATAAATGAAATCACATTTAATCATTCAGAGATAGAAAAAATAACATTGTTATAACTAAGCTTTTAGGGCCCAGATATTTTTTTTCCCTTGGCTCAGGAAAAAAATAGACTTTACAAATTTAAAAATTACCAGAAAATTTCTCTATCCAGTTGGAAAATAGGCTTAATAAAGATACATGGGCATTTTACAGCCTGTTTTTAAAAGCTTTTGCTTCAGGGGTCTAACTGCATGTAGTAAGTATATAGAAGTCACTACATTGTTCCCCCCAGGGCCTAATTTCCAGTGGGTAGAGATTACTGCTCAGCAAAAAAGTTCCTTGCGTTCACATCGTCTAAAAGTTCTGCAGCACATCTGAAACCACACAGCTGCCATCTGCGGTTTGCCATCTATTTGCACCTATACTTATCTGCAGTTCTTAGTCACTGGGAAGAGTATACTGGTTATCTGAGTAGGAAAAAAAAGAGAACCAGTGAGTAACTGTAAAGCAGACTGGAAGGGCAAGAATATTTCTGGCTGTGCTTTTTAGCCCATCCCCAGGAAGAGGAAGTAGTACTCCATTTTCACATGTCTTCATCTGATGTTCACCGCTCTGCTCCCAGGAGGCTAAGCTCCAGCCCCACATCTTGGCTGTGTTTAGTCCACCACATTGCTAACAGTGTGCTAATCAGATGGACAATCAAACTTCTGGATTTGCACCGATATATGGGTCTCACTGGCACAGAGATGTGAAACGGGGAAGCACAAAAAAATCCTACAGAATAATGGTATCACAGTTCTTATGGAAAGAATGAAGCACCAGGAAATATAAATACTATTGAGGGTATTTCAAATTATTTAAAAATGTAGCGTATTTGTATGGGGCCAGGATGGAGGAGAGGGCAGATGGACACTTGGAAGCAAGTATTTGTATCAACTCCGTTGAAGAAGTCCAACAGAGAGACATGATAAGCATCCAGGGTCATGAAAACCACAGAGTCGTCAGAATAAAAACGTTGCCCTTACATACAGCTGCACTGGACACAAGTTACTCTCATGTAACCACAAAACAAGTAGCATTTTATGAACATTCTCTGTCAATATCTATGGGAACTATTCTTTTCCAGCATGTCCTCACATGCTAGCCTTGCTAATTTGGACTTCTTAGGCGAGTCTTCCTACACATCAGTTTCCTTAAGCTTGATACAGACTTCTGAAGATCGGAAGACTGTTATCTTGGCAAACTGAAGAATTAAAAAAAGCATAATCCAGTAACAACATGGAAAGCAAAGCCGTGACTTTAAAATAAACACAAACACAACAACAAACCAAACTGTATTACTGTTTTCTTCTACCACAGGGCTATCAAATCTGAGTGTCAAAAAAACAAAAAGAATAAGGTAAGTTGAAAAATAAGAAGGCTGATAAAAAAATAATTAGTGTGAATATACAACCTAGGAAGCTAAGATTTATCTATTTAACACCCTGACATCAATTCAAACTATGTACTCTAGAAACAAGAATTCAATTTCTGAAACTCAAATTAATGTAGTTGAATGCCTTGAGTTTCACAGTTATCTTTTAAGATGCTAACTTAGAAGAAAAGTTCTAAACATGGAAATGATAGTGTTCACTGAATGCCAAAAATAAATGACTGTTTCTTTAAAGTTAATTAATAAAATCTTCTGAAACAGAAACATCTATTTAATTTGCCAAAAGGAAAAAAAGAATTTCATTCATTTTTTTTTCTAACTTCTTCCTTTTATGTGTTTTTCACTGTGGCTTTAAAATGAGAAAAATGAGAAATATAATCATGACTTTCCGAGGGCCTCATTATTCTTGTTTAGTTTAATATATTTAAAAAATTCAGCATTACTTCAAATCACATAGCACTTCATCCTATAATACCAAATTTGCCTTATCTTAGAGCAAGTTTTATGGTATACTTTCCCCTAAATGGCCTCACTTGAAGAAAGAAAAATACAGAAGAATTTATTTTCCTTTTTTTTTTTTTTGAGACGGAGTCTCGCTCTGTCACCCAGGCTGGAGTGCAGTGGTGTGATCTTGGCTCACCACAAGCTCTGCCTCCCAGGTTCACGCCATTCTCCTGCCTCAGCCTCCCGAGTAGCTGGGACTACAGGAGCCCGCCACCACACCCGGCTCATTTTTTGTATTTTTAGTAGAGACGGGGTTTCACAGTGTTAGCCAGTTTGGTCTCGATCTCCTGACCTCGTGATCCGCCCGCCTCGGCCTCCCAAAGTGCTAGGATTACAGGCGTGAGCCACCGCGCCCGGCCCAGAATTTATTTTCAAGAAGAAATTTATACTTAGCAAAGTTAATTTAAACAAAACAAGCCCTCTACTTGATGAGATGGTTCTCACTGACATTTGATTAACTCTTATTTTGCATGCAGGGAGCCACAGCTAAAACACTGTATAAACTATCAGTGATGTAGGATGTGTGAGTTTTTCACCCGTGAAAATATCGTTCAATATGATAGGAAGAATCACTTGAATTAATACCACATTGCTATGGTTGTGTTTTGAAAACTTAAAGCAGTAAATCATGCATTAAGAAGTAATAACTGGCTTAGCTTCAGTGACTTTTCTATGCAACACTATTAATTAGTTTTCTGCACTAAACAGAATAATTTGGAAAAAGTAGATTCTAAAATTGAGTCACAGTTTAGAACTCCCCTCCTCTTTGCCAGCATTGAAATATGACTGAAGATGTTATCAAGTACAAATGGATGCTCTTAAAGAAAATGGTACAGTTTTATTTCTTTAATTTCAAATATTCATGATGAACAATAATAGGACATTCTACCCAGAGCTCAGAAAGAAGAGTGTTAAACATGGAACAACTTTGAAGCAGTTTGGTAAGTTGATTTTGTTTGTATGTGCACTTAAAAGGTTTTGATGACATATATTACTTAATTGCTTCTACTTGGGAAGAGAAAGGATACCAGGATACAGAACTGAGTTTACAGGTGCCATCATGCTATGCGAGGCTTGGACACTGAGGGAGAAGGTCAATCTACTGAGAGAAAAGTCACAAAATAAAGCAATAAACACCACATCTAGAACAGGAGAAATTCTATCACAGCTTTCGCATAAAGCCTTTTAACCATTAAAAACCGTATGAATGTCAAATAGCAATCAGTGAAGACATTCAGGGCCATAGGTATCTTTGACTATACAGACCTGGAAAGCTACTGGCTACAGACACTCAAGAGTGAAAAGACGGAAGAGCAGAAAGTGATGGCAGGTGCACATGTGTGCGTGTCTACATGTGTGTGCGTGCAAGCACATGTACACATAGGGGGTATAGATCAAGAAAACATACCGTCCAGGCTCAGTGATGTACACTGACGCTTTTCTGAGAAAGACCAGACAGTACTGGCAATAAACTGCACCTCCCCCAACCCCCGACTTTTTTGTTTGTTTGTTTTGCTAGAGACATGTTTAACAACATAAGATTATTTATGGAGTTGTTTATTTTATTTCCCCTCAAACTATTGTTTGGAACAGCTTGGTGTCTTGATTTTTAATAAATTCTGTTGAGGAAAAACATCACTTTCTAAGTCTAAGATCTTACTGTTAAAAGTTATGACGATTTATGCAGGTGGAATCTCTCAGTTAAGAAAAAAAATTTAACATAATTTCAAAATAAAAAACAAAACAAAAAAAAAGCTTTTCTTCTAGTATAATTTAAGGGACCGTTTCTTATTGCCACAGTAATTCAGAAAAACTTAATATAGTGGGAACATGAGAGTCAATGGTAAAAGAATAAGTAACTTCACATAGAAGAGCCAGCCTTAGACACACCTGAATATGTGTCCTGAGCTAGGGAATCCGGGAGTGGCCAATGTGGAGAGTCATTCCTTGTCTATGAGGAACAGCTGAGCCCTCGGCCCATCCTGTGGAACATGGGCCGTACAGGGACTCGAGGTCCTAAGTTCTGGATTAAATGAAGGTTGCCAGGTGGAAGTCATTAGCTGGGTGGTGTTAAGTGAAAATGCTATAGATGAACTACATGCTGTTTGCAAGCAGTTGCAGTTTTCCTGCCCAGCTCACTGCCACAGGGCCATGTGGATATCTTGTCCAGCCCACTGCCACTGGACTCTCTCTTTCCTTGTATATAAGCCCCCAATAAAACCCCATGTCTTGAAAAAAAAAAAGTCATTCTTGATATGCTTAATATGGGCCAAAATCTACTAAGATAGAGGAATTGTGTTTTAAAAATAGGCGGCCAGATGACCACTGCAATAGCAATGACTCAGCTCACATTTTTAAAGAAAAGAATAATGTAAGAGTTCTAAAGATAAAACATAATTCCCTATTGTCTATATTAGCTGTACTTAAGCATCAGATTTTTAAAAATGAAACTTCCCAGGGAAGGGATAGTGATAATATCTAATGAAAATATTCTGAACCATGGAGAAGCAGGTGTTTGAGTGAATTATTTCCAGCACATAATCCAGTGCCTGCTCTGAAGATTCTGACAGTCTCAATCATTAAAATATCCTTGCCAAGATACGAAAAGGTCTAGCTGGGAAAGGGTCAGAGTAAAAAGTTCATGGTGGGGAGGGTGCACATCCCACAACCCTCTAGCTCTTTCTACTGTCACTAATTGCATGCAATGATATTAATGACCCAGTAATTGCGAGACGAGTGGCACTGAAGTGGAAAACATCCATCGGAGGCAGAGTTCATCTCTAGGCGGTGGGACTTCACCAGCGACCGAATTAATGTCTGCTGACAGTTTAGAATATAACAACACTGCAGAGGAGAAAATGCGTCACTCTCATGGACACACACAGCTTAGATGGACATCACAGCTTAGATGGACATGTTGTTTGCTTTGACCATCTAGAGACCAGTAGTAACCCCAATAAGGTGCCCCTATCTAAATTTGCCCTACACATGAACCTTATTCCGTCCAGGGGACATGTTCTATCCTCTAAGAATCCAGAGCAATTTCCCGCGTTTGTGCCAATAAAAGAATACCTTCATCCCCTGTTTAACATCAGGAACAACAAAATGGGCTACTTCACCAATGCAAAAAACCACTTGCAAAGCACAACTGTCACCCAGCCTGGCTCCTCTGTAATGAGATCAATTACACTCCAGCTTGAGGGTCTGCCAATCCATCAGTCCTTCTATGCAGCCAGCCAGCCAACAAAACTGCTGCACTTGTACTTGGCTAAGGGAATTTGAAGTCTCATACCACCTCTACTTGTATGTTTGAGAGATTTTTATTTTTAATCACTATATGATGTAGCAACTTTCTATTGAGGGGCTTAAAGTACTTGCTAACATAAAAACACAAAATAGTATAGATTTATTGAAAAAATGGAATTAAGAGTATGTCTAAAAAGAAAAAGAAAATTCATAAGAGCTAACAAATTGCCACTATAACCACCTTTTCCCAATGGCCTTCCTTTCCTAGTACCCTGTAGGATTTTCTTAGTTCAACTTTGGGGGCAGATGATTGCAAGCTGGTTATATGTTACACAATATATGACAAAGCGTCAGTACCAAAATGTCTGATACAAGCATACAGTCCATCCTTTATAGTTCATGAGCTTCTCTGCTGTTGCTATGTATGCAACATGTGTGTACGTATACTCTGCTGTCTCTACATATGTGTTATGTATGCATACATACTATCTTTACTATTGCTACATGTGCACTTAGATGTTTGGACCCAGGAGGCACTGTTGTAAACTAACAACGCCGGCCTAAGGGTCCAGCGGCCCTGGACTGAGTTTTGTTTCTGACATTTGATGGCCAACTGAATTGTACTAAGCTACTCACACTAAGTTTCAGCTTTCTCACAGTGATAAAAATTGCTCTAAGACCTGTGTTTCTAGACTTCAAAGTGAGACAAGAGTATGTGAAGGCCACAACACTTCCCTAAGTGATCAAACACTCAGCCCGAGATTTTGAAACTTCAGGAACAAATGTGACTCTTAAGAACTATACAAATAAGTTAAAGTAGTATTTGCTTGTCTGGTCTGTGCATCTTGGCTATTTTCATGTGTTTTATTTTGCTTTAAAGTTTTATCTTCCTGATGAATGTTTAAAGGTTATTAAGAAAGAAGCCTGTCCTCTTTCATTCTTGTACTAGGTCTCTAGCATTGTCCAATTATTTATAAATCCCAGTGAACCTTTAAAAAGCCATAAATAAGGTGCTAAAGATACCAAGATACATTTTATGAAATAATGAAGGCAGTTTTATTCTGAGCAATTCCTAAATAATTCTTGCTGTCATGATGGCTTAGGTGATGTCATTTAATGTGAACAGAGTCTCCGTCCACAGCAGCTTTTTCTTCTTACACACAGAGCCATATGGGACAGACATCCCCAGGTCGTGACTCCGCTATACCCGAGAGCCAGGAGTTTCTCAGTGCAATCTCAAGTTAAGCAGAAGCTGAGACTTTAATCCTTAAATGTAAAGAATTTATCTTTATTCATATTAAATTCAATCAGGAGTCTCACTGACACACACTGGGAAAACCTTTAATACACCCAGAAAAGGAGTTCACATGATGTTCAGAAATAACAGAAACAACGCTTCGAATTATCAGACTAATGGGCTGATCTACTTTCCCAGCTAGCCTCAGTGATAACGCAACCCTGACACATTTTCTTCTCTGGAAGACGATTTATACCACATTAGGATGCTACTAAAATTATCAATAAAGAGACACTATTTTCATTGTGTAACAGGGAACTGAGAAAAAGTCCTGGCAAGGCTGGTAACATGGAAATTGGGAAAAATGATTATATGTATCTGAAGACTCCTCCCCTGTCTGTCTCTTTTGGGTCTTACAAAGGATCTGCTAACAAGCTTGGGCAATTCCATGAACAAAAAGATACATAAATGCATGTTTCTTGGTAAAGGAAGCTCAAGGACAAAAGAGCTTTTATAACACTGAAAGAAGACAAAGAGAGAAGATCTTATAATTAAGTTATGCAGCATTACTGAAACGTGTAAACTCTCTGGAGTTCCATTTTATGGATGGACTTCAAATCAGCCAAGCTTTTGGGGTCCATCCTCTCCAGCTTGCAGCCGAACACAGGTCTGCCTCCAGCCTGGAGCCTCACACTTCCTCCCCTGCTCCAAAGTTAACTCTTAGTTATATGTATTTGGTGTCAAAGGTGGAAGTAATAAGCATTTTCTATATCCCACCACATCTGGATTCCCATCAACCCTGTGAAGCAGGTGCTGTCATTATCCCCACTTTACAGATGAAGAGACTGAGGCAGACAGGGGTTAAGTTACTTGTCAAAGGGCACTCAGGAACTCGGGTCTTCCAGACCCCAGACTCTCAACCTAAGATGTTGATCTGTTTCTCTTGGACAGGGGGAGGGTGGTGGTGGTGCTGTATCCCCCAAGATCCCAAATGCACAGTCTCTGGCAAGATTCTGATGAATATCCTATTACAAAGATGACAGCTGTAGGTTAGAAATAAAAATGAGTTTAAATGCTTGAACGCAGCCATTATGCACAAGGTATCAAACAGAAATCCTCACCCCTCAATCAGAGGACCCAAATGACAGGCTGATGTTGCTGTATCACCAAATGGGATTACATTTAATGATGGAAATGTGGCTTTTGCTACATTTATCGTACATAAATAATTCATCAAATAAAGCACATAATCGCTTTATACAGCCCACACATTATTCTATATTCTAAAAGAAATCTATATGTTAAGAGGACATTTGAAAGCTCCTGTAACTATCTTGCTAAAGAACAGTGCATTCAGTACGTTTCAGTACTACTTGCCAAACCTACACCCCAGAAATAAGTAAATCAAAAGCAGAGAAGAAAACAAATATATGCTTAACATAAGCAACAGACTCTGAAGTTCTTCTGCTTTGATTCTTTAAGAATATTGTTTCATTATATTTGTGGAAGCATTTTACTTTATTTTGTGATTTTGCTTAGAAGTGGAGTACATGTCTAAAAAATAGCAAAGCTGTTTGTGAAGCTTTCCAATTTTACATACTCTTTATTAAAAAAAAAATAAAAAATAAAAAGCTATAGACAACTGAACCAATGAGGGCCCTAAGAAATGGCAGCTTCTCCAGACTTGTTCAGTGTTCCTTAAGGAAGACTTTGCCAAGGCATGGAGAGTGAGGGAGGCCTCCAAGAGGATGCCATGAACAACACAGGGTGGATCTCACAGAACAACCTTTAATCAAACAGTCCTTCGGAAAGATGACTTACGGACTATGCCACAAGATGTGTCTTAGCTATGGATTTGCAGCAAAATAATGCAAAAGCCATATGAAGCTAAATTGGGAGGCGCTTCATTAATACGGTTTTCTTTGTCTAACAGCTCTGCTGTAGCTACTGTTCACTGGAAAAGTATGAACACAATGGCATTCATTTTTCATCCATCTCTGACTCACATGATTTTGGTAGTGTGACGAAAACCTCTTTGTGGGTTATTTTGCAAGGTTTTATGCGAAGGTAGAATAACCAGCCCACAGAACCTTCGTAAGGACAGCTGTTGCAAAGGGTCGACACACCAAACCTGCTGACTCATTCAGCTCTGGGTGTCGCCTCTGAAAAGAAACTAAACCAGGCACAGAAAATGCTGCAAAGAAAACTCTACGGATAAAGGCTACGAACACAAGAAGGCTTTCCCAGTATCAACTGGAGCATTTAGTAAGTCTAAGACACAGCTTCCCTTGAAAATAGGCAATTTCAGAACAGTTATTTCATGAACATTAAAAAAAACTTTAAAGACAATAATAAAATAACTAGAGGTTAGGTAAATTAGCTACTCTATTTTTAAGGCAATTAAAGATCTGAACATAATAAAGAAAAGGTCTCTTCAGACCACATGGCCATAATATCTCCATCTTTGCATTACTTGAAGATTAGGAGATCTCATTATGCAAATCAGGCCCAGGGCTAATTACTGAAATAGGTCACTTGAAAAAGTCAATTCTAAACAAGAATAAAAACCCATATACAGATGCTCCATGACTTAGGTGGGGCTATGTCTTGATACTTGATAAGCACAAGGTAAGCTGAAAATATCATTAAATTGAAAATACATTTAATACTCCAATAAACCCATCAGAAAGTTGAAAAATTTAAGTGGAACTATTTTAAGTCGGTGACCATTCATATATAATTTTGCCACAAGTTAAAAAACAAATAACCATCTATGAGAAGAATGAATGAGGATGCATATCAGTTTGCCACATATCTCCTAAGGGGACTTAGTTAATACTTAGTGTGTTTAAAAATACAGTTCAAATTAAAAATTCATATTCACGTCTGAAACTCACAAGTGTGATGACTATATTTTAAAGCAGGTAACACCACAAATCAAATTAAATGTTTTTAAAGAATTTACAGAGGATCATGTCCATTTGAAACCACACTAACAAGTGATCCTATATTGCATTTGTATGCCCAGCCCTAAGGTGGCTTGAAACTGGAGGAGACCGCCATCATTAGCCAGAACAATGACAATACTAAAAGCGTTTTTTAGGGAAATAAATTAAAGTTCAAAGAAATAAAATTGACTTTCTCATTAAGCTTAGGAAGCAGGACTAGCAAGTAGGACTCTAGGTTCCTGGTTTAATTCTTCTGAAATGCTGTTCATGTAGGGTACTCCCCAATGCAAGTCAGTCCCTCTGGACTACTCCTCACTGGGGAAAAGTCAAGCACTCCTCCAAAGCATCAGGTCTCTTTTTCCTCTCCATGGAAAGAAACCAGCACACAATAACATATTTATTATAACACTGCTCGTTCTGAAGGCGCTTACCAACTAGACACTCAGATTTGGGGTTAAACCCATGTAGAATTTATTAAAGCTGAACTCAAATGCTAATATTATTTACTGTCTCAAAGTGAACCAACGATTTGAAGTGTTAAAAATATACATGTAAATTTTAATACTTTCCGTCATGCTACCTAGCACTATTTATAAATGTACTGATATAAAAATTACTAACTTCAAACACTTTCCTTCTCAAAAAAGCCAGTACAGAGCTTGACTGTGTGTGTGTGTGTGTGTGTGTGTGTGTGTGTGTGTGTGTGTGCATTTGTCTGATATGCAAAGTAGTGACTTTTTAAAATCCATTCATTGTTTTGGTGTCTTGGAACTTATGCAGAAGCAATACAAAGTCAATATTAATTTCTAAAACTATTTTAACATTTGTTCTCTGCATTTCCCATTTCCTTTCTAGGGAAACTTGTAGATCAATGAGCTTTGCTGTAGGGTGGGTGAGAAATTGGCTTCTATATTTTCCCAAGTATCTGAAACGCCTTCCTCTGCCTACGCCATCGTGGAAGTCTTTCAACTCTGCTGAAAGTCTCAACTGGACTTCCTGGCAAACTTCTTAGCCCTGAGTCCTCCACCCAGCCCTTATGACAGTCCCCCAAAGCAACATTCAAATAGCCTCTCGTAGTTTCAAACTTGAGACCCTCAATTCTGTATTAAGAAAGATTCATTTATCCCAGGCTACCATATGCTTTTGCATGGTAAATCGTAACTCTAAGGAGAGCTCTGATGGCCAGAGTAGTTCAGTAACTGCAATGAACCTGTTAGTGTGGTATGAAGAGTTTCCAAAAAAAGAAAATAATAGATGTCGTTATTGTGTAGATTAATATTATAATTATAAATTAAACTGCTTCTAAATACAAATCTCTCATGTATTAATAAAAAGCAATTATTAAATGCTCACCACATTAAGCAAAGAGATGTTGGTAAACAATTATTTGCATATCTTGCATATTATTTCACACTAAAGGTTAAACTCTTAATGTTTACTAAAATTCCACTTGCGCCCAGTGCGAACTTAGAATTTGCAAAGCATTCTTCGTGAAGTCATAAGCTAAAGTAAGAAGAGAGACTCTGGGTGTGTCGGCATTATCGGTGGACGTGGGCTGCATCCACGCATTAGGGACATGCGTTCACTGCCCTAGGGCATCTCATCTCTAGTGTGTCCCCTCTTCCCGTACCACGACCTTCTTTCTCCCACCCCACCTAGGGGCATTAACCTTCTTAATAAATGCATCTGATCAGTTTCAGTTGCCTGTAAATGTCATGCCTAACAGTAGCTTTCACTGAAAAAGTCTTACTTTAAAAGTCTTTACTAAGGCCAGGCGCGGTGGCTCACGCCTGGAATCCCAGTACTTTGGGAGGCCAAGGCGGAAGGATCACAAGGTCAAGAGATCCAGATGATCCTGGCCAACATGGTGAAACCCCGTCTTGACTAAAAATACAAAAATTAGCGCACACCTGTAGTCCCAGCTACTTGGGAGGCTGAGGCAGGAGAATCACTTGAACCCAGGAGGTGGAGGTTGCAGTGAGCCGAGATCACGCCACTGCACTCCAGCCTGACGAAAGAGAGAGACTCCGTCTCAAAAATAAAATAAAATAAAATAAAAAAATAAAGTCTTTACTAATATAAATACATTGTTAGGCTTCCAAAAGCTTAAAGTTTCCATTTATTTTACCTGGTAACTATTTTACATTTTCAAAGATTTCCCTACTATGCTGCATACTTGGCCACCCCATCTACCTGTTTCATTTCAGAATGCTTTTATTTTATAATAATTACTCCTTACTAAGTATATACTCTACCACATTCTCTCTTTTTTTTCTTGTTGTTGTTGTTACTAATTCTTGGTAAGCTACTCTATGTATCAAGTTGGCTTTAAAAATAGGTTTTCATTCTGTGCTTTGAAGTGTAGCTCTTGAGCTGGGTGCAGTGGCACATGCCTGTAGTCCGAGCTACTTGGAGGCTGAGGTGGGAGGATCACTTGAGCCCTGGAGTTCAAGGCTACAGTGAGCTGTGATCATGCCACTGCACGCCAGCCTCGGCAACAAAGCTAGACCCTGTCTCTAAAAAAATAAAATAACAATAAAGTGCGGCTCATAGGTTGAGATGCAAGAGTTTCAGTTTGATCACCAAGAGTCTCCTACCTAAAGTTTTAGAGTCCACCTTGGGGCAAATAATAAACCAGTGGCAGATAGCAGTTCCCTAATAAACTGAAGTCTATGGTAACCAAGCCACTGGAAAATTCAACCCAATTAATTATGAGTATAATTTTAAACCAAAGAAATTAAGAAAAAAGACTTCATTGCTTGAATGACGCGAACAGCTGTCTGAGTCACCTAGACTTTAACACCACCTGGGGCCCTGGGAATGACGCTGACGAGAGATCTGCACATAGTAGGCGTGGGCTCCAAATGTGCTCATCAGCTGACTTCACATCCTCACAAGTCAGCCTCAGATATGACCCAAGGGATACGTACCATCTCTTCTTGAAACAGCGTGTCAAATTATATATATGTATGCAAAAAAGAGTAATGTACTAAGCAAACCAAGTTTCGTCTTTTTCTTCTGAATCTGGTTTTAATGTGACCTGTCATCCCCATCTTTCGAATTTATGAGCTCCATCTTCTCTAGACTGTTAACTTCTTGAGGAAAACATGCTATTTTACCACCTTTCACTGCTGAATCCCTAGCCCTTAAGCACAGTCTCTGGCACAGAATAAATACGAAATGAATGAGTGAATGAATGGATGGATGGGTGAAGAGAAAAGGCAATGCACAAGATTTACCTATCAAAATCCACCAATGGTCCTTAAAAATGGTTTTGTCAGTAGAGATGCTGAATATATTCATATAATACATTTATTTCAATACTATTAAGAATTCTAGTGTTTTTTTTTCTCTTTGGGTATGTATACTTAATGAATACTGGTAGCACAGGGTCCCAAATTCAATGAAGTTTTCTTTGAAAAAAAAAAAGGGGGGGGGGACAATTTTTCCACATAGATTTTCATCAAATTATTTGTCACAATAATTTTAAGGAAACAAAAAATTGATACAAACCTATATAGCTTATCTTAATTTCTATAAAATAAATGAATAAAATTATACTTACATATAATGTAATAATCTTTGTTCTTCTGAAATTCTAGACCCCAGAGGTTAGGGCTGAATTCTTGAAACTTGATGGTGAATTTGATATCTTGGTCTGGTTTGGCACAGTTGAGGAGAGGGGTATTTTCCTTCTTAATAGTGCATCTGTCTGCTTGGTCTTTATCAACCATATAAACTTTATAATATTCATACTGGCCAACAGTTTTAGAGTCCACTTTGGGGCAAATAATATCCAATTTGTCTCCTATCTGTGGGTATAGTACCAGTCCTTGTCCAGGTAGAAATCTAAAAGCATAAGAAAAAAAAGCCATTGAGTTGATAAAAATTAACAGTATTAATGACAGTTACAAGATAGCCAGGCAATGCCCATAATCCCAAACTACACATTTTCAGATTCACACTTTAATTTATCAAAAGTCTCTTACTTCAGATCAATATGGGATGAATGTATTTTGGAATTAAGCTTTAAAAGAAAAAGGAAAGACAGAAAGAAACCACTTTCCTTACTCTAAGCTGTAGGATCAGGCTACCTGCTGACATTTCTTTACCACCCCCTCGCTTGTAATATTTCAGTACTCCTTTGTGTAACTTTACCATAACTCTTCCTCCGTGGTGAGTCAGATCTCCCACATGTTTGTTATTTTTTAACCATTGGCAGCTTTAGTTTATTGGGCATGCCACAGAGAAAGCTCGTCAATTGGAGGGAACAGTGGATCCACTAATACTTTGTTGTCCTGTTAGTTTCCCTGTGCTGTTGATGTTAATTAACAGACAAGTTTCATCAAGAATGTTTCAAATTACTTATCATAATTAGTCAGTCACTGATCAAACAATGGGTTTTTTATTACACTGAACAAAAGCAATGTCTTACAAATGCGTAAAAGATAACCAGAAATAATTAGTTGTGGTATTGATTCAGCTGCAAAATGAAGTGTCCTCTACTTGCAAGGACAACTACTGTCCCTGCCCTATAAATCTTTTTTTTTCTTCCCTTGAGATGTATTTGCTCCAATTAATTCTCAGAAGCAAATCTTTAGAACTAAGACTACTGATACAATATCCCCTTAATGCTTATAGCTGAAAGCCTCCCTCCTCCCTTTCCTCTTTCTTGGTAGCCATGTTCCTGAATGATCTTTCTTAATGGGGAGTTTCTCTGAAAAACTGAAACAAGAACTTCCTAATGAACATCCTTCTACAAGTGCTAACACTAACAACACACTTAGAAATCTCAGCTCGTTCGTAAGCAGCCAAGCCTGCAGGCTCATTAAAATATTAAAGCCTAAGAACAAAGAATCGCCTCTGAATCCTTCCAATCCAACCCTTTCTTTAACCAGAGACGCCCACCAGCCATGATGACTACAGGGTCATAATTCACTAAGAGATAAAGCAAGGATGATAGGGCACCCCCAATTTCAAACCCATACCAAGGGAATAGTTTATGATTTATGCTAATGAATGGTATTAATTTTCTGAAAAGTGCATGAGTGTGGTTATGAAGCAGCACAAAACATAACAGAAATCATACTATGGATTCATATTAAAAACCCACACTCTTTATTGGGAAGAAAAATGTATGTGGCTGTTACCTCTTTCTTGGGAATGTGTTACTGTACAACCCCCAAAAGAGAAGGATGGTCCCTTTTTTTTTAACTGAGCTCCTTTAGCAAGGATATATGACATTCATTCATTCAAAAAAACTTTCTGTGAAACAGAACTCAAAACGAATTTTTATAACAATGATATATTTAAAACAACCATGTGTGTACTGTTGAAGAATTCTCTAGAACTTTTGACAAATGCAAATCACAGTGGGAGCCTCTCTGTGGTATCCCCTCAACCTTGTGAATGGCAATGTGTTCTCTGTAGACAATTTCATCTTCTTTATGGACAAAACACAATTCAGTTTCTCAAGTAACAGACTGAATCAGAATGTTTGGGATGAGGCTAATTTCTTTATCTCCCCCAGCCCCTCCAACACACACACAGTAATTCTGATGTGCTGCTGAGGTTAAAAACCTCAGGCAAGATGCCGGGCAGTAAGTACAAACTAAATTCCATAAACATTAAATTGATCATCTTCCTGACATTTCCTTTTTCTCCTGTCTTATTCCTTGACCTTTTTAGGACATCTTTAAGGTTTACAAACACCAGGAGTCAATTCCTGCCTAGGGTTTCTCATACACTCCAAACCTTTTCTATCCTTAATCTGCTCCTTTTGTAGCCTGCACAGACAGCACTATATAAGGGTTAGCTACTATTAGGGGAAGTATTCCTAAATTACAAGCCCTGGGGGCATCCCAGGCTTCAGAGATTAGGATCCTTAACCAAACCAGATGTACCCATTTCCTCAACCATTCATTCAGCTCTTTTAAGAAAATGCATTACACCCCCTCCCAAGCTGTACATCTCTGCAAATCTTAAAACTCTCCCACATTACACCCTATGTCTCAAGTTTGGCTCACTAAGCTCCTTCTTCATTCAAAATGCTCCCAAGATCCTGTTTCCTTCATGAGGATTTTTTTTTTCCTGCTTAACTAAAGATTCACAGGAGGTTTCCTCCCAGGCCATGCAAGTCACTCCTCTTGACTCTCATCACTCACCGTCTCAGCGACAGGTCTTGCTGGTGCTGATGCGGTGAGGTCGAGAACATGGGACGCAGGGGTCGGTGTGGCTTTGGGGATCTCTGTGTTTGAGGCCATATTTTCAGAAGGCGTAAGTCATATAAATCATTTAATGAGCCTTTTAATTCATTTTACAAACACGCCAGGCCTTCCTTGATGTAAAGTTTTCATTCAGTGTGTACTGTCCAACTTTGTTAAAAATCTATAATGGTCAGTGACGGCAATCCGGGGGATGCTTATCAAAGCGGAAGTGTGGTGGGGAGGCTCACATTTCAATATGCATATTAGATACGCTTGTAAAAAGTAAATCGTGACAAAGCTCACTATTCCTGATGATTCCAAAAGCATTAATTCACCTTTCAGAACACACTGTGGCAAAACGTGAGGCAAGAATTTGATCCTCGGCTCTTCAAAAGTAATTGTTTCTAGAGCTCATTAAAACAATGATTGTTCCTTTAATTAAATCAATACAAAAGGCCCCAATCCTTGAGTGGTTTAGCAGCTTTTACTTTTTAAGCGTATATATAAACAGCCATAGCGCACAGTCACTTTAAGTGAAGAAATTATGGCTTCTCAGTGGACAGAGTGCAGTTGAGCTGAGAGCCTGAACTACAGCTCTCCTGGCCATGTTTTCACTACGTGTAGTCTGCATTATTGACTCTGCCTCCCGGGAACTCTCACACTTCCTAAAGCACCATGGCAGCAAACAACAGTACTGTGAGTGTAACAACTCAAGTAACCTATGTTGTGCCAGACATTATGAGTGACAGAAAAGTGGAGACCACTGATCATTAGGAATTTATAGTCTAGCTCCCTGAGGGCAGGCAAGTCCCACATGTGACTAATTCAGTATTAAACACCCAAGGGGCTGACACAGAGTAGATGCTCAATAAATAATGTATTAATTGAACAAAAAATAGGAATGAACAAATAGAAGCTAACATTTATACAAATTGAAGTCAAATTAAATACCACTATTTGCAGATCACAGACATGATAGGAATTCTGAAGACAGAACCACTGAGTCGGTACAGGACACACTGAGGAGGAGAGACTGGATTTCTGAAGATGCCCTCCCAGGCACACTGGCATTTCTGGAGAGCAAGGAGCCCTGCAGATGCAGTTTCTGACCCTTCCTCTCTGGAAAAAGTTCTAAGTATTGGCAGTCTTCTACAATCCCTCTCTACTTAAAATGCAAGGCAATCAGCCACCTCCAGAACCACTAATAATACAAACACAGCTGCTTTTGAGCACTTGCTTTTGGCTCAGCACTGTCCAAAGCCCCATACATCCCATGTTCTTCATTTCAGCATGACGCATGGACCTAACACACAAAACAGGTGAAGACACACTGGTGCCCAATGAGCATGACAGGAAAAGCCCCCTTTCTCTGCACACATTTCAGTTTTGACTGCAGCACATTCAATTATAACTCCAGCATTGGGAAACACATTTTTTTCCCCCAAATCAAGCTGTTCATAGATAAGCCATGAAGTTAAGGGAAATCAAGACACGCACATGTGAGCGTCACATGGAGAGCCAGGGAAAGTCTAGCTCCACACCAAGCACACATCAGTGGTGCCTGAAGGGAAGAGGCTTCTTCCGAGGCAGTCATCTGAGACCACGGCTCAGATGTGCAACCCTTCCCCAGGAGGCCAGGAACCAAAAGGTGAGGAAGAAACAGACCAGCTACATGGCATTTGTGTTTTACATTTAATATTACATATGGACTCCAGACAATTATGCAAATAGCAGAATATATATGAAAAGAAAATGGGGTGAGTTTCCTAATAGTATCATTTTTTAATGGAAAACAATTGAGTTCCATATGTTATAATCAAGTCAGTAAACAGAGTTCCTATTTTGGAAGTGATGGGGTTTATATTTGAATTCTGTTGCTTTGATTGCTTAGACACATTAACAAATCAAACTACACAGCACATCTATCTATGCCCTAAATATTTTGTAATATTCAACAATACACTTCTCCTATGCTGACTTTGAAAGTGTTAAAAAGAATTATGATGATGATAACTGGCTAAGTTTAAATTACTAAACTGACTTTCCATTATGGATGCCAAATACAGATTTCTTTCTGTGTGTTCAGATAATGTTCATCTTGTAACCAAAAACAGCAGAGGGAAACCGCCACAGTTACAACCCATACCACATGGGGGGAGGCTGTTCTTGTTAAACTTCGCCCAGACAGAGAGTGGTTAGAGAGAGGTGTCATTTAATAAAGTCTGCTGATTTTAAGCCCAAATAAAAAGCAAAGACCACCAAGAGTGATTCATGTCCCACACAGGAGAGAGAACTGAGCCAGACCAGTTCCATCCCTGAGCGAAGTCAGAGCAGGCTCTCTACTATCTTCCTGGGAGGGGAAGGCTGCCTCTTCCTTTCCATCAAGACAATCTCCAGGTTCAGGACTGCTTCCCAGGCCATGGCGTGTGGCTTGGTGCATTCTCACTGGAGGGCCTGCCTGGGAACCATGGGAAGCTACTCTAAGAGTGAGGCATACTGAGTGGAAATAGGCAACTCCAGTGGCTTTTCCCAGTGAATCAGTCCTAAGCAAGACAATAGATGCCCTGCCTTTGAATCAAATATAGACACAATATAATGTGGAAAAAACTGGAAACACTCAAGTAGGGCTTCCAAACTTAACATGACTATGGTGAAAAGATCTGATATTGGAATCTGTTTTTACTCTTGGATTACCTATTGAACTTAAGCCAAGCTTTTTCAAGTTTTTCACCAATCTAGACTCTAATACTTCTACATGGATACTTTGGCTAAGTCTAATCATCTCAATTAGACATAAATATTTAGTAATCTAAACTGGATCTCTAATAATTTAGACATTTCAACTTCACAGTCATAATTGTAAAAACTTTAAAAAATAGTCCTTATGTTGCCAGGCGTGGTGGCTCACGCCTATAATCCCAGCACTTTGGGAGGCTGAGGCGGGTGGATCACGAGGTCAGGAGTTCAAGACCAGCCTGGCCAAGATGGTAAAACCCCGTCTCTATTAAAAATACAACACTTAGCTGGGCATGGTGGCGGGCGCCTGTAGTCCTAGTTACTCGGAGGCTGAGACAGAGAATTGCTTGAATCCGAGAGGCGGAGGTTGCAGTGAGCCGAGATCGCACTACTGCACTCCAGCCTGGGTGACAGAGCAAGACTCCGTCTCCAAAAAATAAAAAAATTAGTCATTATGCAACACAATATTCTTTAATATTAATAGACTAGAACACAGCATAATTAATGAAGACAACAGAAAGTTTTAACCTACACTACGAGCACATGCTTGTTTAAAACACGGGCCTAATACACTGAAAACATAAACCAGCCACTTAGAGTTCAGAGGTCACCTCATGTGATTTTCATTCACAGACCAGACCATGGCACGTTGGGATGTCAAGTCTGGACTTTTCTGCTGACCTGTATTGCATTATCGGGTCTCACAGGGTGCCTGGGAAATGGACGGAGGCAGTGGTCGCCTGATCTATTTCTGCACTTTGCCCAGTGTAATAGGAGGATCCGTGGGAAGCCAGCAGTGGAGAAGTTTATGGAGAGCTGTGTAGTGAACCCGAAATTGCACTCCCTGCTTCCCCTCCCACCCACGGCCACTCCATTTTCCCTGCTTCTTTCTTCCTCTGACCATACTACACGCACCTTAGCACAAACATCTGATGCCTTCTTACAAGTTTTCTCACGGTTGGCCAAAGAGTGTAGATTAACCGAGAAGAAAACCCAAATCGCTGGGGGGCCACTTGATGCTGCTGTAGTCTCTGAAAATACATGCGAAATGTGTGACAATATACCTGGTGGCTCTCCTGAGAGACGCGACAGGTCCACGGAAGGAAACCATGGAAGGATATGCCAAAGTTTCCAAACAAGGATGAGTTAATATGTTAGTAACTGACTGCAAGAATATTTAGCTGACACAGAATAAAGAGATCAGAACAAAAAAGATACAAACAGGAACTACCAGTTTCTACACCCAGACAGATAACTAGGCCAGGTAAACCCCAAATCGAGACAGACACGATGACAGTGCTTGGAAATGTTGTGGGAAAGCTTCTATTTAAAAAGCATCAGATTCGATCCAGAGCCACTTCTACCTAATATTACACACGTAAAGATCTATTTAAATATTTAATATTTATGTGTAATTATGGCAGTTATCATGCACTTGAGAATCAGGGCCATGTTACTCATGTAACAGGACAAGGTGAGTCCTGACATGGATGCTGGTGCAAGTGTGAGCAGAATAAATGTGTGGGGGGGGAGGAGGCCCACACATAAAGCTCTTCTACCTCTAGAGCAAACTGCCAAGCAGGGCGAGATTCATAAGTCAATTCGCATTACTCTCCACAAAGAATTATTTTATTTTTCTTTTCATTTCAAAATTATACCATTAGTGTATATGATCATTGTAAGCAGATGGCTAATTTCAGTTGAAAATATACACATCAATAATATATGGCATGTTGTTCTGTTTATTTTGCTGACTGCACGGAGACAACCATAAACAAATGGTCACACACACCGCCTTTACCTGAGACCACTTTGGGCTACTGAATGGTGGACTTAGAATGATTTTTAGCTTTCTGTGTTTTCTTTGCAATAAATAGTCAATGCTTTTGTGATAAGATTAAAACATTATTTTTTTAATGTAGTTTCAGAAAAACTTTGTGCTATCTTTCATAATTGACTTTAAAAATAAGCATTTAAAATATTTAATGCCTACAGACTTAAACTTTTGATGCAATTCCCTAACAAGCAGATAAATAAAATTATCCTAGTTGAAGTTGTGGCCTATTTAATACATAAATCTCTGAGTCCACAGAAGCTGTAGTAACAAACTTGTTTACTCAAATAAGTGAAAAAAAGGGAATATATACAATTTATGCTTAATCATTGAACTGTACAAACATTTCAAAGATTCTAAATCCCAGCTTTACAAAGAGGCTCAGCCTAGCAGTTGCAAACCAAAAGTCATGTAATATCACAGGTTTATTCCCAAGCCAGTGTTCTGTATCAAGTATACTTCGAATTTACCCCATTTTGGAAAACATGTACTTTTTCCATAAAAGGCTTTAATTTTTAATTAAATGTCAAAGCCTACAGTGAAGAAGAGAAGTCGAGTACAAACTGGTTCATCTGCAATTCCGAATGCAGATGAGCAGTCTGCAGTTCTGCTGTAATTGGCTGGTGTTTCCAGTCACCTCCTGACAAAGGATGCACGCTGCTCTGGATAAGCCCAAACCCTTGACCCTTCACCCCACCATGTACTTTGGGCCTGCCACATCTATACGGAGCTAGGAGAGCATTAACACCAAAGACCAAGGCTCCTTTCCGAAGTGCTCTGTGCACTTGGGAATACGAATACTCCCAAAGAAGGACTCTGCATCATGAGCATGTGAATTTGATGGCACACTTCATAAACAGGCAGGATCTTCAGTCTTGCATGTCTTCCATTTAATGCTAGATTGCTGCAACAGCTTAATAAGGTATTCTCTGAATGCCCCAAACATAAGAGTTTTGTTATAAAATGAATAAATAAAGGCAGGGCCTACGAAAGACACAGGCAGTAATAAGAAATACTTGGAAAATGTTTTTCCTTTTTTGTGGATAGCACTTTACTGCCCCCTTTTGCACTTTAACATCAGAACAAGTTTCTACGCAGACTTATTCTGAAATCAGAGAAATACTGGGGTGTAGCGATAGGGTGTCAGGTTTATACGGAATTAGGTTACCAGATACTACTGCTTAGAGTAAAAAGTAATTACCTTAAAACTTCCAGCGAGGGCACCACTATCTTCTCAGCGGCTTTAAACCTCCAAGAAATAAGGTAGTGATTGGAGGCTTTGACATTTTCTGCTTTAATTTGGATGTATATGTGTGTTGGAACAATTGCGTGTTTTCACAGGTGCCCCTTCTTTCACACTTTCCTAAAACAAATATCGTCTGCAACATGAACCTGATTTATTCAAGGAAAAGAAAAGGGGTCTAAGAGCAGGCTATACAATTTGGAACCATTAAAGTGTTATAAATCTGAGAGCAAAGACTAGATGGGTGGGGGTGGGGGGTACAATTCACACCAATGACAAGCAAAATCTTTTCAAGAAAAGGAAAGATGAGAAGCACAGAAATTCAAACACACGGTGAACTGATCGGCACACAAACCAGTTTAGCAACTCTTCAAGGTGAGGTGTATTTGTGCCTCTTCATCACGCATACCTTTGAAAAAAAGTAATTAAACTACAGTCTAAAGGAAAGTTTTATTTGTCAAACTTGAATCTGCAATAACAGAGCTAGAGGGCCCCCAGTTCCTGGCCCAAAGACCTCAACTTGTATTTGATACAGCTGCGTGTGATGCTGTGTATCCTTTTATTTAAACACAATCCATTTTCCTCTGTCAGTCTACAATTAGCATATGAGTCAAAATAATATTAAATTTCACAGCCCACAGTGCTGCACAATTGAATGAAAACTGACTCCTTTTGATGTTAATCTTGTTTTTTATTTGTGATGTAATGCTCAAAATCCTGCTGGCTGAAGTCAATTTTATTTTAAAGTGCTCAAAGACAGTATTCTCATAGTTTAAGCTTTTTTTTTTTTTCTTCAGGAAAATAACAGAAGTATTTATTTAATTTTTATCTGTGCCATGATTTTCACTGTCATAAAAAATTCACAGAAGGGCATACCTATAAATGGCTGAGGCTAAAAAATCATCTACTTTGGTATTAATCATCTAGAAATCTAACTTTAAGTGTGTGATCCCCAAATATCATTGTTGTCTTTTCAAAAGTTGAGACTAGTTAAATCTCTGTCATGAAATTAAAGACAAAACTCAACCACCTATATCAAAATAAAAATGCAGGTCTTTATTTACCAAAAAAACAAAAAAAAAACCACACACGCACCCCAAAAAAATCAGCCTATGAATTTTGTAGCTAGATAAGAAAAAATGTGGAGATTTGAAGAGTAAGGCTGGGATGCTATGTACAGTGGGCAAGTGAGAAGGGGGGTGATCTCACAAATGCCAAATTTCATCCTGCTGGCTTGATCACGCCAGCTCCATTACTAAAAGGAGGATTTCATAACCTTCAGAGACAAGATGCACTGCAGGCTTCTTTCCCAACTGTAATTTGTGTGCACCTGTACGGTCTTGTTCCAAACCATGCTTTCAGCAAGAGTCTATAAAGGAAGGTGGAACTCCTGTTATTTATAGGTGAGGCACCAGAAAGAAAAATGGTTTACATAGAGAAAGAAATTCAAAGGGCATTTCCAGCTGGTTCTCTCTTGTTTTAGATATGAGTGTTCAAATCCATTTGCTCATTTACCTGAATGGGAAAAATCGCGGAGATGAAAGGCTCACGTAAGTCATACAGGGAATGCCTTGGCATTGAAAAAACTCAAAGAAATGGAATTCAGCTACAGTGACAAGCATAACAATACTACAATCTAGAGTTAGGGAGAGCATATCTTTTGTTTTAACCCTCTGCCCATCCCTTTCCTTCCTACCATCATATTTTTTTTTAACTACAAAGAATTTTGCCTATTGACAAAAATGATTCACCCATGTATTATTAAAATGAAACCTTTCCCTTTTGGTGGGGCCAACAGCCCAGCGAGGGGCTGCCATTCCTGCTCCTCCAGGATTGAGTCTGTCTCGTTTACCATGGGACCCTCCCTCTGACCCCCGACCAGGTACCTTGCATAAATAGGGTGCTCAATAGGTGGCTGTGTAATTAAAGAATGAACAAATTAATAAGGCATAAGATGAGATAAAACTCTCCAAGTTCTCTTTTGCTATAAGAGATTCACCTTGCCAATCAAGTATAATCAGCCCAGTAACACAGTTTACAAGGCTGTGTGCAATTGCTTTACAAGCAGGCTGCTTCACAGATACCTCCTTCCTGGGCTTCAGAGGAGGGTCAGGGCTAGGTCTGCTGTGGGCGTATGACAGGAGACATTTTCCTGCACGTCTCAGGGCTTTGCCACAGCCCGTGAAGTTAGGGAAGAAAAGGAAGAAAAACAAAGCAGGCTACAAAACAGCCAGGTCTGTACTGCTACCATCAAAAGGAAGCAAAATCAGACTGGGTTCCTGACTTCCATACGGATCGCCCCCACAACTGTGTACCTTAGGAAAATAGAAACAGCGCTCCACTGTAACTTTGAGGACGACCCATTTATTTCCTGCTTAGTCACCACATTCAGCCTGGAATTACCTTGACCAAAACCCAAAAACACCCTAGAAGTTAAATACTATAAGTGATTCAAACAAGCAGCTACTGAGAACTGCATGAAAGTAATTGGACAAGGAGGAGGAAGGAGGATGTGCTGGGGACTCTGAGTTCTAAAAGGCATGAAGATTTGGTTGTTGGAGACCTCTGGCCGGCGGCTGCATGGTCTCCAGGTAAGCAGATGCTAAGCATGGTGAAAATGCAAACCAAGGGGCACCACTTGGAGTCAAGAGAACCCCAGGACCACCAATATTCACCGCCTGGCTTCCTTCAACAAATGGCTCCAAACTTGCAGAACATCAAAAGCCAGATGGGCTGTACTGAATGAATCCACCGGCAAGAAGCCAGAATCCCAGTTTGCTGTAGAAATAAGCCTGGACTTGATTTGAGTCTTCTCAGCTCTGACAAGCTGGAAGCTGGCACGGATCCCAAAATCCAAAATAAAATGGCATTTAATTGTGACTAGACTCTAAAAAAGATGTCATACTATCTCCTTAGCTTGACACACACTCAGCATCTCACCAAATGGATCTCCCCTCAAAAATCTGACCTCCTTTTCTCCCAACAAGGAACAATCAAATGTTACAATTTTTAAAAGGAAAATGTTACCAAAGGAATACTACTCAATATATGCATGACTATTATGTATTGTAATAACTCTCCAGTCATCCTTTAAATGGGCTGATCATTATTCTGTTTCCATTGGGTATAACCTTATTATACCCAAGATTTGACATAACCTTATTATATCAAAGATTCAAAGGTTCCATTTAAAACTACACGACCATCATAAGAAAGTGACTATAAATCAAAATGGATAATGACAGAATTAAACCAATTATACCACAAACTTTTTGATCCATCATGTATGCACTGCTTTAAGCAAATGCATGCTTAATTTAGTTATATGATAAAGACTACTCCATGCAACAGCATAAGCAGGAGGCAGAAGATTAAAAGAGGGACCCTGGCCCCAGACTAGCTGGGTTTAAATCCACTTATTAGTTCAATATGACTTTGGCTAAGTTAATTAACCAATTTGGCCACAGTCTCCCCGTTGGTATTATGGATATATTAAAAGTGCTTCCCTCATATGGTTACCATGAAGGTTTCAGGAGTATTTGTCAGGCAGTTAGAATAGCAGCTGGCACATAGTGAGTGCTATACACAAAATGCTGTTAATAAAACAACGTCCACCAGTTAAGCAGTTTTCTAAATATCATGTAATATCAATGTAAAAAATGCAATACTGCCCATCCCTCCAGGTTGAATTAATGTATTCATTCAACAACCCAACTGCTCACAGTACTCTCTACTAGAATATACAAAATGAATTCAAAGAGCCTCCTCTCAGTCCACAGTTGCACAGCTGAATGAGAAAGTCCAGGGTTAAAAGTGTTATTAGAAAGCACCAAAAGCAGGAAAGCAGAGGAGAGAGAACTTAATTTAATAGGACAAAAGAATTACAAAGGGTGTTTCATGTAGCAGAAAGTCATAAGGAATGAGTAGAAGTTTGGCAGGTAAACAAAATAAATTAACATCAAGAAGTTTAAGGTGAAAGTATTATGCTATAGTCTTTATTAACAGAGTATTTTAATTTTTTCCTTGTATGCAAAGGCAAATTGAACCACGGCCAGGCACACAGTACATATTCAACTGACTTTTATTAATAACAACTGGTGTTTGATTGATTGGTTCATTGTGCCAATCACGGAGCTTAGCTCTTTAAATACATTAAATGTTGACCAAAATTTTGTTACTCTTTTATTCAGCACTATTATGTTATTGTCCCTATTATAGAGATGGGACAACTGAGAGACACTAAGGCTACTGCTCCTAAAGCTACCCAGCTAATAAATGGCTAAACTGGGATTGGACTCACATAGCCAAACTCTAAAGCATGTGCCCTTAACTAAACTACAGTGGCACTTGCCCTACTGTCTCTGCGAAACTGAATTGCCTCACCTATCCATGATCATACTCATTTTGAAAAGCAGTAGGTACTGATAATTCTCACGTGAACAGGTAGCTGAAATCAGTGGCTTAGCTGTTCCTGTGAGGGATCTGTCTTGAGCAATGGCCGGATGCAGAGAATCCTGGGACGTGTTCACAGGTGGACGTGATAGACACACGCTGCCCTTGGCTGAAATACTGTTTCTTTGGCTTGCTTACTATTTTCTTTATTTCAGCTGTCTACTGTGACTTTGCTTAGAGATGCCCACAGTATTTCAAGACTCAAGCTCCTCCTCCCTAGGCTGTTTCCGGACCCCTCCAGAGGCAAATGCCATTCCCTTCTTCTGTGTCCCCACCTTGCACCAAGCACCTAACTCTAAATGTGCTTGCTCCCACCTGGGCTTCTCTCTACAGGACTTAGACTTTAAATCTCGAGGGTACAGGTCACTCTGCCTTGTATTGTTAGAGCCGAGTAACAGGCCTAACACTTAATAGTTGCTTGCTGAATTAACAACAAATACTCCACCATCAATGGTTAGATCCCTGATGCTCCCCCAACAAGGCAAGGACTACAGATTTCTTCAGAGATCCCCAAACAGCTTTAATGTTGAGTTGTTTTCCCAGAAAGGTTTGTGTAGGGCGAGGGTTCTCAGCATGGCCCTGAGGCAGCAGTTGCCAGCGTCACCTGGGAGCTTGTTAAACATGTCCATCTTCAAGCCCCACCCCAGACCTCAGGAATCAGGAACTCTGGGGGTGGGGCCCAGAAACCCCTGTTTTCTCAAGCCCTGCAGGGGATTCTGGTGCCCTAAAGTTCAAGAGCCAGGGACCTCTGAGCAGTCCCATCGTCTCAGGTCTCATCCATGTCTAGTAGCAGAAGGATGACAGTTAAAACAGGGTAAACTGCCATCAGCACAAATTCGGGTTGTCTGTCCATTCCACTAATACTTACTGGATGCCAATGCTGGATAGAAGTAGGGACTGATGAAATGAAGAAGGTGTGTCCCTGACTTTTAGGACAGGTAGAGTGGTGAAGGCTTGCATATCAATCATGACGTACCGTGTATATGGTTCTTTCTAAGTACATCTAAGTACAAAGTGCTGTGGGATTATGAAGAAAAGACTTAAAGAGATCACTCTTGATCTAGGTCATAAAGAGAGAGAACATGTCTAGGAGAAATCATGAACTTTACTGGACAGTCCATTATAATAATGATCCATTTTCCCATAGCAAGGGGGGGATTCAAGGCCTACGAGAACTTGCTTTTTTTTTAAATCTAAAATGTACCTCGAATATAGTTCTGGTAGATAAGTAAAAGATGACACTTTCTAACTTCTTCTGCAGCTAGGTACATTCTCAGCTGGTCTGGAACAGGATTTGCCTTGCCCCACTCACTCATGAGACAATTCTGATTCTGGGCAAATGTTTTAGGGCCATGGTAAGCCCAGGTAAAGGTGTGGAAAGAGCAAGGATTATAATTCATCAGCTATAACCCTAGGCTGGAAGAGATCAATTGAGAAACACTTCTGGCTCTGAAGGTCGGAAATTCTTTGCTATGCACACAGGTTAGGTGCCCCGCAGGGAATGTGGATTGGGAACAACAGTAGAATAGGCAGACAATAAGGAGCTGCACCCACCCCACTTAAACACACATCCACCCCTGCCAAAAATGCTAAAGCATCATTGGCTTTCCTCAAAGACAAACATGTTGACTCTAGTGGTTTCAAAAGTCTGGGTAGCACTCATAATTATTCTGGGGTGATACGAGAGTGGTGTACACAGAAAACATGGATAAGGCCGCAGTGGCAATGGGGACGTGGGTAGCAAGTATGGGAAGGCAGATACAAAAACTGTAATTAAAATTGGATGCAACAGGATTTAAATTGAGAAAATAAATTAGTAATATAAATAAATAATTATAATAATACATAAAAACAACAATAAAATAAAAATAATAATATAAATAAATTAAGTATGGCAGAACAGCAGTGGTTCATTCACAGCGCTCTAAATGTATGCCCACCACAGAGTAGTTTGAACGCTTACTTACTCGTGCTTTAGAGAATGAAAAGAGCACACTATTAATACTCCACTACTGTCCACTTTTTCTTCCTATCTTGTTTAGAGAATTACTAAGGGCAGAAACAACTTGTTTAATGGAGCTTTCCCTTGCTATGTTTTCTTATTTGAAATCAGCAAGTATGTGCTTACCAGCCACAGAATGCTTTGGACTAGAATTACATATTTGAATTTATACATGAAAGGAAAATATGTTAATAATCTAGAGCCACTGCTGATTGTCTGCTGGAATAACAGAAATAGGTTCGCCTGGCATTCAATGTGCATGGAAAGCATTTTATAACTGGTCACCTACTCTTTTCACTGGTTTGCTAGATCCTCCTTCCTTATCTCTAATACTTCTGAAATATCTTCTCACAGGTAGACTACAAAGCTAAATGTTGGATGAAGGTTAGTAAACAAACGGCAGGGCTTTCTTGAATGATTGCTTTAATCACTTTAACCCTGTTTCTGATAGAAAGCTGGAGGCCAGGGCAATTCAGCTTTTTCTTTTGTCATTTGCCTGCCATAAATATGCACCAGTCTGCGTTTGAAAAGCTGAAGGAGGCAGCAAGCTTGCTGGACATTTATCATGTTCTGTTCCCTGTTAACAAGCAAATACTTTAGTTGAATGGGCCATTAGCAATCACTGTCAAGTGTAGAATGCAAGGTGCTTGGATGTGAGCAGCCTGTAAATCAGGGGGTAGCCTCTCTCTGATGAAGCTAGACAAATGAAATGGATCTGTTAATACAGACTGCTGCATTAAGTTAGAAAAAGAAGGTAAAGTAACAGGCACTGGATATGGCCAGCCTATATGCAATACTTTAAAAATGTTTTGAGTCTATGAAAGCTACATAGTAATGGCTACAGTAATTCCCATAGAAACGAGAAAAACAGTCAACAAGGGCAATGTATCTACAGCCCCAAACAGATGCTCAAGTCAGTTGAGAATTTGGAACAAAATCAGTGAAATGGGTCTAAATTATAATATTGCTCATTTAATGACCATTTTTGTCAGACACAGAATCCAAGAGTCTAGAAGGGCCCTATGCTGCTCTTTAAAAAAAAAAAACAACAACAACAACAAAAAAACAGCACTGAATTCCCCTTTGTAAAACACACCAAGATGCACTCCATCAAGAAAGACACAGGGTGTTTGCAGCCTTTGGCATTTTCAATGTCTTGAGAGTTCAGACTCTTCCAAAGTGTGGAGACTTTCCTGTAATGCCAAATAGGGGGCAATCGAGCAAGTATTTCCTTCTGGCTTGACCCGATTGCGGATGTCACTCTGCATGGAACCCAATCGTGGTTTCAATGGCTTATTTTGTTTAATGGCTGAAATGGAAAGTATGGAAGGCAAAAACAAAAGTCTAGCTTACTTACAAGGTTGTTCAGGAGAGAGGGCGGGAAGACTCAACAGCACAGAGATTTTTCTGTTTTTGACTTTAAGGCTGGGCAGCACTAACATTTTTATAATCCTGTAATTTACACCACCTCTAACAGCCTGCCCCATTCAACTCAAAGTTTAAGACTCACATTTACGAGTAAAATTACATCTAGGTAGAGCCCACTGCTTTTGGCATATTGGATTACTACTCATTTGAATTAAAACTAAATTCCTCCCTCCCCTTTTAAAAATTGTATTTTATCTTTTTTTCCAGGGTGGGAAAGACAAAACTCACAGAAGAGCTCTGTGGCTGAGGGAGAGGGACAATGTGTCCTGTTTACCTTTGCTTCTCCCATGCAGCGGGAGAGGGAGCTGGGTCTGAAAAGATGGCTGAAATCAAAAGGTCTCTGTTTTCTTTTCAGATAACCCCAGCCCTACCTATCCCCTCTGGTCTCTGTTCCTTCCCAGCATGTCCCTGCCTGAAGCCCAAATAGATTAAGGCAACGACCGCGAAGTGCAGTTAATCCTACAGAACGGCTGCTGCTGTTAGGCCAGGAGTTAAAAAGGAAAATCTCCCAGGCCCTAACAACTGCAGTGATCTGAAGTTTTAATCAGCCCCAATCTCAATCTATAAAAAAGGCAGTCAATGAAATCTACCTTTGCCATATTATCCACCACCAATGAGCAAGAACTGAGCAGCTTTTCTTTACTGCCTCAGCCATCCCAGACCACAAGTAGAGCTTTCATACTTCCTAATCCCAGTTTCCAAGTCTGTGTGGTTCTCACATAATGCCCAACAGCCTGGAGGCAAGGGCCTTCGTCCCGCGCCCTTTTCAGAGACGTGTCATTTCTAACATCAAGCTAATCTATATGTTGCCATGGCTTCACCCTTTATCTGCCTTTACATCTTATGAACTGCATGGATTTACCACATTATTTTTATCTGAAAGACAGAAAATGGTGGTTTTATTGCCATACAATCAGATTACTGCTGCTAGTTTCTCTATGCCTTTTTACTATACTTCAATCAAAAGGGATCAGTTTCTTTATACTCTGCCCTTGATTTACATCACATCTGTAAAGACCTAGTCTGAGTTGTAATCCCCTTATTAACTATGACCAGGGTTGATTTGCCTAAAAATAAAAGCAAATTGTGTCAGACCCTTTCACTTTGTTTTTGATTCGGAACTACAAAATGGATTACTAAAGAAATCTTCAGAGTTCACACGGCTAGTATCGTGCTGAATTTAAAATGAGAATTAAACAAGTTAAACAGGGGAGGCATGTCAACGGTTTACATCTTCCATCATGGGAGAAGGGCTGAATTGCTTATGTCTTTGTATTCTTTGGCTTTATAGAGACAATGAAGCCACAGGAGTTTTTCCAAGCTGTTCGGAACATGTCCCATTTGCTATCCTTCCTTCTTTGCTGTTCTTATATTCCTCCCCCAGCCTCCTTCTAATTCCCCCCTTAAAAAGAAGGGGGGAGCTGTTCCCTGAAAGAGCTAATTCCTGACTAGAAGCTTATAGTTCTATGGGTTCTGCATATTTTAATCAAAATATTTTAAACAGTTGAGCACTCCTCTTTAAGGCTCTACTCCGCTACACAAAGGGTGAGCTCATAAGCAAATCTATGTAGATGTATATTAAGTGACCTGAAAAACAGGTTCTTTATGTCAGCAGCAAAGGCAGGCAGAGATTAGGCTGATAGGAGGACCAGTTTAATCACCTTCCTTAGAAGAGCACTTCTATTTGTCTAATTTGCAATTAAGTATTTTAAGAATGAAGTTCTCATAAAACGTTAAAGAAATATCTTTCCTAAAAATTTTTTTATTAGGGTCTACAATCTGTATTTCCTTTTCCCCTGCCACTCCCATTCCTATGACGCATTACTGCAGTCACGCTGGGATCTCGAATAGTTTCCCATTAGGTGAACGCACTCTAAAACGTCGCCCGAAGTTTGGTGTCATACTGAAGCTCTCGGGAGCTACCTGGAAGATTTCAGAGGAAGGAAAGACAGCAAGGATTTAGTTGCTCCAGTTGCAATGTCCATCTGAAGGCAATTATCTCACTGATCCACCAACCGAAGGATGCACCTCAGTAAGTTTACAGACAAGAGGTTTTAATATAAATCCACCAATTGTTCTTCAGCTGACTCTGTCTGGAGGAACCATTCAAACACATAGTTTTTAGCAAGCTGGTCTCCAGGCCCATGGCGAATTCACCTGTCCACACACTTTAGCTTAAGTCAGAAGCCTCTGGAAATGTTGGAGTCATCTGCATGTCTTTGCGTCGGCAGAACCAGCGTCAACAGCTTATGCTTTGTAAAAGATTTAGAACCAGGTGCTTAGCAAATCATCTTAACCTCCAGCTCCTGTTTCTGGGGCTTGAAGCTGTAACTGTTGAGGTTAAGATGTGCAGTCCCTAGACACATGATTCTCAAATAAATTCTCATCTGAAAAGAAGGCTACCAAGCATGTTGTGAGGTATCGCTTTAGCTTAGTCTTTGTGCTCTGCCTGGCTCAGTTGTCCTGCAGAACAACGACAGTCCATTACCTACAGTTTATCATCCTGACAAAATGTGAGGAATGTGGATGTGAAAGCACTAACAATTCCACCCCTGGTGCTTTGAGCTTTTTTCTCTCTATATTAAAACCGACAAGATTAACCCAAACGCAAACTGTGGAGCATAGTTCAAGGGGCTATTCAATCAGTGCTGAATGTGCATTTGTTTACCTACAAAAATAAGAATTTCAGACACAATGGAAGGCAGGCTGGCTTATATATGTTATTGAATGGACTGTTTAAACAGCACTATCCATTGTAGTTTATTTTATCAATCTCTGACAGGTCTGTATTTATTCAGAGCCTGATTGTGGTGAAGCCCATGTATTATACGTTATCTGGATATCATCCAGCCATTCTTTTGTATCAAGTCAATTAGTATCAGGAATCCAGTATTATATAGGGAAAAAATTACATGGGAAAAGCAAAATGCTATGTTAACTAACTAGTATGTGATGCACAGGGAATGGTAACCCCAGACATAAGGCATTAGTACTCGAAATTTTCAAAGTCAGTGTAATGCATTGCAGAACACCATACCAATACAGATTTGCTCACATTAAAGTAAAATTAATTTTTTTTTAAAAAAGAGCCCACTACTTTACTTAGGCCAAAATCTCCCTCTTGGAAGAAAATGTTCTACTGAAGTGTTAAGTTAAAAACGGAAGCTAGGCATTACTGTTCTCTGCTGAATTAAAAAAAAAACAAAAAAAAAACCAAAACTTTAAACAACCAAAATGGCTACAACGGACCCAACTCTACCAGAACGTATCAAAGCAATGTGAATAACCTAACAGGGCAGCTACTGTTTCAGCACGCAGGACATCTTTCCATTATTACATACAGTCAGGGACGGGAGAGCCGACAATGTGATTAAAGTAGTTACGGAGACGCTGAATTTACAAAGGGTTTTCTGGACCCTGTATCCAAACAGCTGCTGCATGCTCCCTGTGTCGACCACCTGCTAAAAAAGCTGACCTCTGAATGAAACAAATCTAATTACTGATGGCGGCTTCATTACAAATGAATTGTTCCACAGTTCATAGGAACTGATGTGAAACTTCAATGCATTTGATTACCTTCCTGCCACATCATATTTACCGATTCAAACTTTCCTCTGGAAATAAATATAAAACTTCCCCAAGGAAAGCGACCCCCTGTCATCAGGGGGTTGTATGCATTCTCAAAAACTTAGAGAGGACTCTTTCCTATGGCTCCTACAGGAAGAAATCTTTCTGATCTCTGGAGCTAGCATTCAGCTGCAAGGGAGACCTTTTCCAGGCACACATTATCCAGTCATCCAGGCAGGCCGTTATCAGGAGAATTTTAAAAGAAATGCTGCTGTGGAGGACAAGACAGCAGCAGCAACCTCAACCGCGCAAACGGCAGGCTTCCAGAAACGCAGGGCCCTCGCAGGTCTGGACATAGCTGGAAAGACAGACTCATCTTCATCATCAGAATGGGGGGGGGGAGTGGTGAGTACCTGTCACCTCCCCCCAGGACCCCCCATCTCGACACATTACAAAAAGAAGTTATTAACGTCTAAACCTTAGGTTGAAATAACTATTGTTCTACTTTTCTTTTTCTCCCAACTAGGTATTTCTAATTCTCCTACCGGATACACACAAACTAATAGTTAATATAGCGCAAAGATAAAGATACACACACCGAACTAAACGCTGAAGAGGCTAACGGAATTGCTTTCAACTAGATTTAAACAGAAATATTAAATCCTCATAAGAAAAAAAAAAACAGCCTCAAAGAGAACCGGTCAGTGAAAGTGCAGAGTGGCTGGAGCAGGCGGCCTGGGGGAGGGGCGAGGCCTGGCGCTGCGCGATTCCGCATGGAAGAGTGACCTCTGGAGGCACCGGGCGGGCAGCGGCGCCGCGGGCTCCCCGCGACCGCCTCGCCCGCCCGCCCGCCTCTCCCGGACTCCGGGACCCGCTGCTGCGCGAGGTCCTAGCCCGGCTCCTTCCGGCACCACCTGGCGCCTCCCGAGCCGGCATCGATGCAAAGATGCCGCCGCCAGTACTTCATCAGCAAATACAACAATTTACATTAAAAATATAATCCATGCAAGAGCAGACTACATGGAAGGAGGCAGAGCTAAGTAACTTCTCCGTATGAGCGGTGTTGAAAGTGCCTTCTAGCATCATACAAACATTTGTTTAAACCGATTTGTAACCGACGTTTTCGCCCTTTTCATGAAGGGATTCTTGGTTAACATGTTAGTGAATTTGAAATTTGACACTTTTAAGAGAATGGACACACTCCTTTAAGACGTGATTTCTAAATCAATCCCCCATTTCTTTTCTCCTAAAACCAGGCCCAACTTGCTCAACTTCAATTAGGCCATTGATTTTGCTTCTGATCTCAAACGTTTTCTCCAGAAACCAGCTAATGTCTGCATACTTCTTCTCCAAGTTTCCCGAGACTACAATTCCAAGATTCTGTAAAATATGTTTTGGCTGTGATTCGAAATAAGGGGATACACAGTACTGAATACCCAGATGACTACGAGTTATGACCACACAGATTTAGGGATGGATGGGATTTTCTAAATTCTGAATGCACTCTGGTGGCCCAAACTGAAAGTTACTCTCCACAAGGCCTGGCTCGCTCCCGGCTGTAGAGTCCGGTAAGAGCAAATCTGATCCTAAGGATCCCATTCCTACCAGGGTCCCGAGGGAGAAGGCTTCAGGAGCAGTGTCGACTGGGCAGGGCCCTAAGCTTTTATAGGAAGTGCATTACAATCAGGTCGGCCATCGAGACCGCATACTCCGGGGCTACCGGCTTATGAACGAAGCGGGAGGCCGAGGTGCGGCGGGCCCTCAGGGAGAAGCCTAAGGCCCGTCTCCCCGGCGCGGAGGAAAGGGCTCGACGCCCGAGTTCTCCTGCGAAGCAGGCGAGCTCCCCGCGCACCCTCGGGCTGGCGGCGCGGTGCCAAGGCGCCCCGGCTCCAGGGCTCTGCGGGCAGCGTAGCGACTCCAGGCTCCCCTCTCCAGAACGCGCTTCGCTGCCAGCGTCCTGCCACCCCGGTCGCCCGCCCGCGGGCCCCGGACCACGCCGCCCGCGCTCCCCGCGAATGCAGCATCTCCGCCTCTCTCCAGAGCCCACCAGTCCCCGCGTGCCGGCCAGCCTAGATTGTGGCCATGTCCTTCGTCCTCGAAAACAGGAGAGGGTCAGGTATCGCCATCGGACACCTTCCCGGACTTGACACCCGAGCCGATAGTAGCTTTTAGCGCCTGGGAGCGTTCGGGGGAGGAAAGGCGGAGAGACCGTCCGTTCCAGCGGGGCTCGGGTTGGAAAGCCGAGCGAGGAGTCTCCACCTAGTGAAATGGGGCGGGGGTTGGGGGTGGGGGACGGGGAACCGAGGTTCCAGAAACAGGCTCCGAGGCCCCGCGGACTGACCCCTCCTCCCGCCCGGACGGCGCGGCGGACCCCGGGGCGGGGACATAGGGGGATCGCGGACGCCACTTACTTGGAGTTCGAGGAATTCCAATAGATAGGCTCTAAAACTATCGATTTGGAAATCGCAGTTCTGCATAAAACCATCAAAACACCCCAGCAGTACTTCCACACGGAGTCCCTTCTCACAGCCATGGCGAAGCCACTCCCAGCTCCGCGCACTCCGGGCCAAGAAGGGACTGACGGGACGCAGGCTGGGACCCCCAATCCTCCGGGGCAGACTGGCGGGGAAGACGGCGTGCGCCCGCAGGCAGCTCCGAGGCGCGCTGCGCAGCTCCAGCGGTCGCCGGGCCAGGTGCGCTCGCTCTCCGGGGCCCTCAGGGCGCGGGGCGGGAGCGCACGCGCGGGGCGCGGCGGCGCGGCGGACTCGGGGTTCCGGGGCGCCGCGCCGGACGCAGCTCGGACGGCCGACTCCCGTGCGGCTCCAGGGTGCCGGGCCGGCCGCGGCTGGCGGGTGGGCGCGGGGCGGGTGCGGGCTGGGACACAAAGACCCGGAGCGGAGACGACCGGCGCGGGCGGCGGGCGCTGCGCCCCGAGCGGGGCCGCCTGTGACTATAGATCCAGTGCAGCGGGCAGCGGCCCGAGCGCGCGGGCGCCGCGTCGGCGCGGTTCCATGTCCCGGAGCACGGAGCGGAGTAGGGCGCCTCCGGGCGCGCAGGAGCCTTCTCAGTCCGCGCGGCTCCCGGCCCCCAGGGCAGGAAAGAGGGAGCTCGGTCCCCGCCGCGGGCTCCGGACGCGCGCGGGCCTTTGTGTGCGGGGAGGGCGCCGGGACCCGCTGCGTGCGCAGCTCCTCGCTCCGGCCGGCGCCGCGGTCCCCGCCGAGGAGAGTCAGCGCGGCCGCCGCGCTGTCAGAGCGCTATAAACGCGGGGCCCCGCCCCGCCGCGCGAAGCCCATTGGCCCGCGGCTCCGCGGCCGCGCGCTGGTTGGACGGCCGGTCCGTCCGTCCGCCATCCCCTCCCGACATTGGGTGCCGCGAGGCGGGGCTCGGGCTGACAGGTGAGCCCCGCCCCTGGCTCCCGCGGGCGGCGGGAGCGGAGCAGAAGCCGGGCAGGAGAAGCGCTCAGCGCGTGCACAGGGCGCCCCCGGGGCGGCGAGAGGCCTTCTGGGCGCGGTGCAGACGTGGAAACAGCGACGGCCGAGTAGCGGGCCACCTGTCTCCGCGCCCGGGGGCGCCTTCCCCCTCGGCGGAATCAGAGGGCGCGGCTTTCCCTCGAGCAGTGCGGAAGGCAGCAGGCTCCGCTCGGCGTCCCTTCTCCGCAGATGCGGCGCTGCCCCGCGTGCAAGACTTGCACTCCGCGCGCACCCTTAGAGCTCCCGGCTTCTGCGCGCTTCTCCCGACGCCTCTCGGCGAGGGCTTCTCACTTGATTTTGGTACCAATCGCCTACGGCTCAGTTTCAGTCAGTGGGGCCGGGAATTGCAAGACGATTCCTGCGACGCGGCGCCGGAATTTGCAGCTCTAATCAGGGCCTGAGCATCGTCGCCTCCCGCCTTCTCTGCGGGCGTCTCCCTTCCCTCCTGGCCCCCCGGGAAGGTGGCGCCCCTGGAGCTTTCCCCGCGTGTCGCCGGCACAGGCACGACGCGGGGACCGTCTCACTAGCCTCTAGGAGACACGCGCGCTTCCCAAAGTGACCAGAGATTTAGAGGGTGTGAGATGGAAAAGTCAAGGCATGTGCTTCTCACTCGGCGTCTGCAAGACCCCAGAGCAGAGCTGGCAGGAACTCCTCGCTACTTTCCCGGTCGAGCGCCGGTGCTGACGCTCGTCCGTGACTTCCACGGAGCCACAGCGCCCACTAGCGGCCAGCTTTGCTTCTCCGCATCTCGAGCGCTCTGCGGTCCACCGACCCGGATCCAGCATACTGCAGCATCTAATCAAGTCACAGTTCCAAGGAAAATCTTTTTATATGTCCAACAGTAGGAAGAACACGGTAGAAATAAGGCACAGTGCAAATGTACGATTCAGTATGAAAAATTAAAATATACTGTATGCCCACGTTTTTTTTCAATTTAATGCCGTCCACCCCAGGATTTATGTTTCAAACACAAACTGGGCAGTAATTCTACAAATTATGTATTTTTAAAACAAAGTATCCACTACGCTAAATTTAAAAATGCATATGGTAAAACACCTTGTTTTCTTTCACTCTTCTTTGTAACAATTTCTGAAGATTTTTATGGTACGTTGCTTTTAAGTATCCGTTTTTGAAACATTAGTCTAACTTAACGTATACATCTCAGTTGGAGTGGTAAAAGCTTGTGAAGACTAGTTTAAGATAGAAAACACATTAAGGCATACAAAGTACTGAATACACTTACTCTTCCAAACAGATCTTTGAGAGCAGAAAAGTTTCATAATTTATTTTCATTTTAAATAAGCCTTCAAACTAAATATATATATACACACATATACGTATACACACATATACACATATTTATACATATATACACATATGTACGTATATATATACACACACATATATACGTATATATATACACATATATATATGCACACACACACATATATATATAAAATTTATTTTAAAAAGGCTCCACCACGGTATGACGATTTGAACAGCGGATTCCCAGGAAGCACCAACAACCCAGGAAGCAGCAGGCACTATGACTCCTACCTTGACAAGGGTGAGAAAGGGCTAGTTTTTAGTATGCTAAAATACCATTTAAGGAACTCATTGAAATTGAATATAAAGTTAGCTTAATGATCTTTTAAAAGAACACTGGGTACTCAGTACCTTTTGACAAACTTATATTGTGAAATTTAAATTGTGACCTCTTAGCTCACTACATCCTCCTCTCCAAGTAAACTAGAGGAAATACAGGAAATTTGCATTGTCTGAAAATAAGCCAGCTTCCAAAAATAACATTTTCAGTAAATCAGAAAGTCTCACATCCAAAGCGTTTTACCTTGGGACAAATGTAAATATACACTTTAAAATCGCTTCCTTTTCAAAACAAAGTGCGTATTTGACTGAAAAGGAATCCTACACACACACAAAACATCTATAGTGTGAGAGAATATACAGCTTAGTTTCAGTCAACAGAGATTCAATGTAGACAATGTGAAAAGCATCAGCAGTACTCACTTCGAAGATGTCAACATTCTACTATTTAATGGTAATTTTGGTAATTAAAAGCATCACCTCAAAGCCATTTGTATCTACTATTGTATAACATGCCAGCAAAAAAGTAGGTCATACTGGCATGCACAAGGCAAAGTAGAATTTCCAAAGCATGCCAAACCAAGAACCAATCACATCAGTGTCGTATCTCTTGGTATTTGGACTTCATTTTACAATTATTGGGAAAACTTGGTTAATTTTTTTCTTTACCACACTTTGAATCATGATCAATGTATTTCGAGAAATCTATACTTTTAGCAGATGTATTTAAACCCTCATCAAATGAGATTTTATTTCAGCAGAGGAAGTTACTTCACTGTGTTCTAGACTTAAGTTTTGAAGGCCGGGCGCAGTGGCTCACGCCTGTAATCCCATCACTTTGGGAGGCCGAGGTGGGCGGGTCACGAGGTAAGGAGATTGAGACCATCCTCACTAACACGGTGAAACCCAGTCTCTACTAAAAATATAAAAAATTATCCGGGCGTGTGTCGGGCGCCTGTAGTCCCAGCTACTCGGGAGGCTGAGACAGGAGAATGGCGTGAACCCAGGTGGCGGAGCTTGCAGTGAAGCCGAGTTCACGCCACTGCACTCCAGCCTGGGCGGCAGAGTGAGACTCAGTCTCAAAAAAAAAAAAAAAAAAAAAAGTTCTGATAAGTCAAATAAATAAGGATTTGGGAATTTCAAAGGATACCATAGTTATAAAAGTTAACACAAAGCTGAATAAATGTAAAATGAGATGACAAATAGATAATCGCAGCTTTAAAAAAGTGCAATTCCCCACCTCCAACAAAAAAAATGCAAGTAATTATGTTCCTACCCCTTTGAATTCCTAGGCATGTTTTGGGCTTTAGAACTTATGGTTGTTTCTTATATATTCCTTATATAGTATTCCATCATTTCTAGGACATATTTCAAAAGATATATGTAACAGAACTTCTACAAAAACAAAAGGTTATCTAAATAACATTACAGAAAAATAAATTTGGTATGTGTTGACTAAGTGTTGTCCAAGCCATACATTCTCTATGTAGCTTGTAAGCCTCTCGCAAAATCATACCCTTTGTTTCCTGGCATTGTATGCTGTTTATTTCATACAAGTCACTGATGCTTTCAGCACTCTCTAGCAAATCACATTTTCCCCCATTTATCCTTGAGGGAAAGATCTGACAGGAGAAAATAAAACCCTTTCTTAAAATCAACTTTGCTAAACACCCTTCTCCCATCTGCTTCTGAAATTCAGATTGTTAAAACACTGAAACATTTTATATTAGAGTCTATTTGTTTGGCAGGAAAAATACTACATTAGGCTCTTGGTCAAAAGAGAATCATTCTTCTCTCTGGGAAGTTTAGAGGAAACTCATACCTTATAGACTGTCACATATTCCTTATGGAAGAAAATTACCGTATTTTCCACTAGTATCCATTTTAATCTGAAGCTCAACCTCTCATTTCGTTGACAGCATTATTAATGTAAAAACAGCACACATGGAAATACGAATGGCTCCAACAAGCATGCACACCTGGCATGAAACTTCATCTCTTTATTTGCAAACCAAGTGTGGAGGACCAAACTCCACTCATCATTCCAAGCTGGATTAAGAGGTGTGATGGATACAAAGGAGCAGATAATGGCTAGCTAGCTGTGCGCTCTCTTGATTGCATGATTAATTCTAATATTTAACCTCTATCAACAGGATGTTTTTTCAGACTGATTTGATACAGACATACATGAAAATTTAAAAGTTAAATACTACTCTTAATAAACATAAGGAAAACTTCTGACAACAATCGTAACGGATCTCCTCTTTTGGGTCCATAAAATCATTTTTTGCATCCTCTTTATACTACTTAACAGCTTCAACAGCACTTAAAACCAGCTGCAATAATGTATTATTTTGTTAACTCCTTATTCTACTTGTCACTTCTTTAATCCAAAGTGAAAACCTAGAAAATGAGAATCATCCAAATGGTAAACAAACCCATTTTATTCTAACCCTAATAAGCCTAGGTTTGGTAATCAACAGTTGCAGCAATCACAAAACATACACTATTAAAAACATACGCCTTTGGCCGGGCGCGGTGGCTCACGCCTGTAATCCCAACACTTTGGGAGGTCGAGGTGAGCGGATCACGAGGTCAGGAGATTGAGACCATCCTGGTCAACATAGTGAAACCCCGTTTCTACTAAAAATATAAAAATTAGCCAGGCGTGCTGGTGGGTGCCTGTAATCCCAGCTACTCAGGAGGCTGAGGCAGGAGAATCGCTTGAACCTGGGAGGTGGGAGGTTGCACAGAGCCAAGATTACACCATTGCACTCCAGGCTGGCGACAGAGCAAGAGACCATTGGCGGGGGTGGGGGGGGGGGGGCAAAAAAACAAAACAAATACACTTTTATAGCATTGATACAAAAACAATGAGAGAAACAGCTGGATCACTGGAGTTACTATTCTCTAATGTACTGGCTCTTTAGAGCTAGAGCAAAAAATAAAAATATAAAAATAGAACTGTCCCAACATCCTCTGATCAACCACTGTAGGCTCAGAAAAAGATAAATCATCAAGTATGACTTCCAATTAAGTTTTAATTTCTAAACCCAATGACGACTTAGGTATAAAAGCACTTAACTTGTGGAACACTTACATAGATGTAAAAGCAACCACTCTGATTTGTATTACTTTGTAATACCAGAAGGAAGTTCCAAAGAAATACTTAATGGAGTAAGAAGCTAGTTATTTCTCTCACACACGCAAATCCCTTAATTAGGTCTTCTGTATCCCCCACTTCCACTGTTTGCCAGCACTAAATCAGTTACTCTAGAACCAATACTGGATGGATGGATGGATGGATGGATGGATGGATGGATGGATTAGGTAATACAATCCACTCATCTTAAGCATATCTACAAAGTAAACAGTGTAGTTTATCAGCAAATGCAAATCTTCTAGATTACTGCACCACATTTTCCATCATCACGGACAACTGAATGTTAAAAGCCAAAAACAACGCAAGAGTAAACAAAAAACGTTACAGACAACAAAGATAGTGAAAGAATCAAGACCACTGTTAAATGGCAATTCAACAGATCAAAAAAGTAGGGTCTATTGCTTGGGCTTCCACACTCATTCTAGACTTCCAGGTTGAGGCTTTTACCTTCAGCAGTCTCTTGAGGTCCTCTGATTAGTAACACTAGTACTTGTTCACAAGGCTCTCCTGGAGGGGGAGGAGAGCCTCAAAAATTAGGATAGCCTGTCTTCAGTATTTCTCATGGCCATTAATACAAAACAGATGAATGGTTTTGCGTGTAAAGATGCAGAAAATTTAGACAACTGAAAAGAGACGCTCTAATGGATAGAAATAGCTTTGGAGAAATGTCAGTGAAGTGACAGGCTCCTCATAAAATGAGGCATTAGAAATGATACATAGAGTTCAACAAGTCAGGATTCTACGCTTACTATACTTAGAAAATTGAAAAAATACAAACCACTGAAAATTCTTAAGATACTGCTAAATCCAGGACAGGTGGTGATACAAAAAAAAAAAAAAAAAAGCTATGGACACATACTAGCACAGTAAATGAATACGGAGATTACTTAGGGTAGAAATAGTCTGATTTGCTGCATCTTCATAAGGGAAACTGAAGTAGGTAAAATCTCATACTACAAACCCCTTCCCCAATTTAAAGCATTAAAGAGTCCTCACACCAAGCTAATTTAAAGGTTTAGTTTATACAATTGATAATTCTGCAAACCACAATATGTCAATAACTACATACTGTAATAAAAATAAACAAAGTCATACTTAATTCTATAATGCATTAAGAATAACCTAAAAAAACAAATTGTGAATAAAGGCATATTTAATAAATTAGGGAACATCTTAACTTCTAATAGACTGGGGGAAATTTTTAAGTTTTCTATGTACACAAAGGCAGTGGGAACAAATGAAAAAAACAAATTACTACATTGTTGCAGCACATTAAAGACTGGATGGTGTATATTATTCACAATTACATCCTCTTTCCCATAGCCTGGCAGAGGAAAGTAGTTACCAAGCACAGGAACAATTTCAACATCTCACTGGAGTCTCCAAAAGCAAGCAGATACTGCAGGATGTCATTAAGCAACTTACTGTCACTTCACACCATATGTGGCAGTAAGAAACTTAAAAAAAAAATTAAAAGGCACGCATAAGCTGATTTCAAATATTTTAAGTCCAGGCTACTCTCTTTAGATACAATGTTTTGAACACTTGTATAGAACAGTTTTTAAATAAACATTTCCAAAAACTTGAATACAGAACTTAGGAACCATGAATCTTCACCAAAAAAAGTTACATTGAAAAAAAAAAAAATTCATGAAATAATTACAGCTAACCTATATTTAGAGATAAAATATTTTTTGGCAACCTATATTCTTTAGGAAAATAAAATGTTTGATTTTAGAGTAAGTAGTATGTTTACTAAAAGTTCTCACTATATTTCATGCCTATTTAAAATTCTACCTTTAAAGATCTTTAAACTGATTTTATATTGTTCCTTACCACAATTAGACTCATTGAAGAGCTCAAAACTAAAGCAACAGCATTTTTCCTAGCATGCACACACAAAATAATCTACCATTTAGTCATCTCTTTAGCTTATGTTTTCAATTTTTAAGAATAATCAAACTGTCTAAAAAATATTGGGCAAAAATAAAAATATTTTCTCTACTTGATGACATGTTTATGCATCTCAGGTAGCATTTTAGATCAATATCCTTTTCTTGAATGTTTTAATACCAGTATACTTAAACATATGTTAAGAGTAAATGAGGCAGATTCTAGTGTATAAAATGAAAGCCATTCATAAGATTTCACATGCAAAAAAAAAAAAAAAATTCATAAAGTTCAAATGTGTTTGTCCTAAAAATAAACGTGCAAGTACACTACACAATGAAAATGACTCGACCATCTTAGCCTTTTTTTGACAGTATAAAGCTAAGTTCTTTCTGATGGCCCACTCTGAAAACGATCTCAGATTCCATAATTTAAAAGCATTTTTCTAGCCTTTATTAAGTATACTTTGTGATAATACTTATATCCTAAAACAGAGGCACAGGTTTGAGAATTTAAATCTTCTGGATGTTGTTAGTCTTTCTTAAAGGTAACACTGATGCCATTTGCTCTATCAGCATAAAGTTGATATTTGTAAAAATAGCCATTAAATACTAATTCACAAGTATATTTAATGTACATATAAACCCTATGTTAAAAGTATAAACAAGAGGAAATATAGTTCTAAGACTTCTAAATGGTTGACCATCAAAAAGTGAACCACCCTCTTTAAGACTTAACATAACATTAAAAAAAATTGCTTCAACATATGAATTTAAGACTTTACTTTATTCAGCAAAATCATTTATTTACACAATGGGGAATGCTGGTTTGATTTTGTCAATGAAATAAAAACAAAATGAACAGAGACAATACTGAACTGTATATATACTTTGTATCAGAGTTGACCAACTGTTTCCTTACCTGTATCAGGAACATCAAGAGCAACAGTATCACAAGGACACTGGTTTAACAATACACCACATAGGTCCAGTAATACCCTGGGAATTTCCCAATGCAATCACCAACTTTTTCTTTTTTTATAAATATATAAAAAAACAAAAAGTCAGCAAAACCAGCATTATGATGTAGCAAACAGAGTATAACTCTGAAGTCAGTGGGGTCAGTAAAAGCCTTATCAGACCATCCATAGTTTTACAATGTGATCTGCTCTTCCTCAGACCACTAATATAGAATCCAAACAGGTGAAAAATACGTCACTCCTTAGAATACAACAATGATCTGATAAGGATTTGACTTAGTGGAAGGAAAAAAAAAAAAAAAAAGGGAATTGCAGAGCATAGCCCCTATTAGAACAAGCTAACTTTCCAGATTTTACAAATTAAAAAAACAAAAACAAAAACAAAAAACCACTTCAACATGAAGCTACCATACAAAGTTTTTCCATTTTTCTTTGTAAAAAGTTCAGAGTTTGCAATTTAATCCTGGGTTTTTAATGAGAAGGACAGTTTTGGCCTGGACTTCCCCTTGCCCAGGATAATTTTTTGTTCTTCTTTTTGTTGACGTTGTCGTTCTTGTTCTAGTTTCATCCTTTCCTCATGAATCTTTCTTTGTTCTTCAACAATTCTCAACTGTTCTTCGGCCTGAAAGTTAAAAGTAAAAATTAATTATAGAAATGTATTAAAAATTATCATATGTACCCCTGCAACAGGTGTTATCTATTATGTATCTACAAAAAAATTTTTAATGCAAATGCAAAAAAGGGGGTAAAAACAAGGACTTCCTATGAATTACATGCCTTCAAAATATTTTAGTTATGAGGTGACAACTTACACACAATGGCATGTGTCATAAAATCTGACGAAGGTCACATAGTTTGGTAGAGAAAAAAGAATTAAGAAAATTAAAAGAGAACCCTTTATTAATTACATCTACATTTTCTGTCTTTCATTTTCAATGAAAATAAATGAACAAATTATGGAAAAGCATTTACACATTTTGGAAGTGGAAATTAATTTCCACAAATCACATGTTGAGATGACAGATTTTGTTCTATACCTATTTTTATCTCTAACTTCATTGTACCAGATTAATAGATTGTTAATTATAAACCGAGGTACAGATTTACTCAAAGAGCAGGTTATCTACCAATTGCCATATTTATAGTTGAAGGGCATACACACACACAAAAAAACAGAAACATAGGAAAAAATCTCCACTGGGGCTTTTTGTGTGGTCAAATCATGCTGAAAAAAAAGGGACTATATTATAGTATCAGTAGACAACCAAGAAACACGACAGACCCAATTACCTGAAGAAAAATATTACAAAACCTTCTGACCTGACTAACTATAAAGTGCTATCTAATTTCAAAAGGACACTGGTATAACTGATTCCACTCCTGCAGTGCCTTCAACTCCTTCCATGTCAAGCAACTTCTTTCCCGCATTCTTCCACAGATTTCCCCCTCTTTACCAAAGTCAGGCCCTTCTCATGCTTCCTAGAGATACCATACACACATCTTCAATTCTCAATTCTCAACCAAGCACAATTTTAATCCCTTCCCCAAGGGGACATTAGGCAATGCATGGAGATGATTCTGGCTGCCACAACTGGGAATGGCTCCTGGCATCTAGTGGGTGGAAGACTGGGACAATGCTACACATCCTATAATATGGAAGACAGCTCCCACAACAAAGAATGATCCAATCAGTGCCAAAATTGAGAAAGCCTGCTCTAACCCTTTTTAATATCAGTTATCATGATTTATCCTTTTTCCCCTCTATCTGACAGTGATCTTAAAACATTCGCTGCATCCTTTGAGCTGCCTACCTATTCCCATTCAAAGTCAAATTTTAGGTCATTGATTCCATCTCCATTATTCTACTAAAATTTTCTTCTGTATGGTCAAAATCTATCAAATTCAGTGATTTTTCTCTTTATTCAAATAAATTCTTCTGTTCACTTAAGTCTTTTAAAAACGTTCTCTCTTCTGATACATTCTCTAATGCCACACACTAATTACTTCTTTTGTCTCCATTGATATATATGTATTTTTTAAATAAAGTGTAAAGTGACTGGTTTACAGGCATTTATGGCAGAGGAAGATGGAAAAGGTAACAGGACTCCGGTATGCAATAAAAAATGTTGAGATTTTATCTTAAGTAGCAAAAAGGGAAGAACGCAAAGAAGTTTAGACAGCAATGTGACGTAGACTAAAAGATAGGTGTTGGAACAAATCAACCGCAGTCAAGTAAGGTTGGAGATAACAAAGATCAGAATTACAAGCAGTGAGAGAATCTGGCAGGTGAGCATGGTGGAAAATCCAACAGAGAGCTAAAATGTATCTTTAAGATACAGCTCTCTAAAACCTTTTTCCTATGCTACATTTAGACCTGGCTACTGGACACATCCACCTGGGAGACCTAGGACTTGCTTCAAAATTCAACATGTTTCAAGATTTAAATTCTTCCACTTTATCCTTAAAATAAATCTGCCCTTTACACTTTCCCTTCCGCCACTCAAATTCTATAGCTTTATTTCATCTCTTCCTTCTTCAGTCAAGTTTGTTACTTCTTGTTTTATATTCTCTGCCTAGAGTTTATTTTCATTTCTTTTGCCAGCTTCATCAGTTTAGGGCCACATATCTTTTGTACATCTAAAATGGTGCCCGTTTCCAGTGTGTCCTTCAATCCATCCTACACGATACTGCCAGACTCACCTTTCTTGACCACTGCTCACTCTTTCTTGTTCTCAAATTGCCAATGATATCCACTGTCCATGGCATACAGCTTAACTTCCTAAAGTATAATGTTTCTCTAAGACAAGATTTTCTATAACCTGGCTCCAGCTTTGTTTCTACTCCTCTTCTAAATTCTCCTTTCTATCTTGTTCCCCCGTCTTTTGCTCATGCCATTCTTTCCTTCTATGGAAATCCTACCTGTACATCAGAATCTATTTCAAATAGCCACTCTCTTCCTTAGGCTTTCACTGATATTACAACAAAAAGAACTGCCTGCTATCGGTCATCATTAATGAATTCATATGCCAATCACTTTATCCAGTTTTAATAAATCATCACAAATTTGGGGTAAGAGCTTAGTGTGTGCAACTGAATCAAGATGTAGTAAGGGTTCTTTGGATGTGTGTGTGTGCCTAAGAAACATTTTATCAATATAAATACTCAGATTCACTTTCTTCTAAGGTTCTAACTCAACCCTAGGAAAGCATCCTAGAGCCCTGGAGAGTGAGGGTACATAAAGAACATCACAACCTTAATCCATAAGAGAAATCTAATGAACATTACAAATATACCATTTTTTACCCTAGAAGACAGAAATTCAAAGTGTGACAGCACACTGCTGTGGTTTCAGTATGTCCCCCAAAGGTCGCTGTTAGAATTAACTGGCATTGTTAACAGTATTAAGATGTGGGGCATTTAAGCAGTGATTAGGCCATGAGGGGTTCATCCTCATGAATGGATTAATTCTGTTATTACCCGAGTGGGATGTGGGTTGGTTACCATGGGAATGGGCTCCTGATAAAAAGACGAGTCTGGCCACCACTTTTCTCTCTCTCTAGGGCCCTCTCTGTCTAGCTTGCTCGCCATGTGATGCCTTCCACCATGGGGAAACCTCATGGGATGCCTGTGCCATGTTCTTAGGCTTCCCGGCTTCCAGAACCCTGAGCCAAATATTTTTATAAATTACCCTGTTAGAGCAGCAAAAAATGGACTAACACACATATGCTATCATATAAAGAGCACTCTCACACTATCAAAATTACATCTTCGTAATACTTTATGCCAGCAAGTACATTTTCTGGAATTTACATTATGTACTTGTACAGCAATGTGCAAATTTTGCACCCATGCGAAACTGATATATTTACAGGGTTACATATTACAACACAGTTTATAGAAAGAAAAGAATGTGAAAAAAACCCAAATATCCACCAATATGGGGTACACTAAATAAATTACTGAAGATATATAAAGGAGAATATTGTATAGCCATTAAAAACAAGTAAGAGGAAAAAAGGAGGCCCCTATGTTCCGCAATGGAAAAATCTCCAAGTTACACTGTTAAATGAAAAAAAGAAAGTTCCTTGTGTACATGCTACTTTTGTGCAATAAAGGGAGAATTAAAATATTATGCATTTGTATCTGCCTGAATATGCTTTTACAGACATTCTGAAAAGATTTTAAAAACCCGTAACTGAGTACACTTTTGGAGACGGGGTTGGGAATTGGGGATTGGGTTGGGGGTAAGGTAAAGGGACTTCACTGTTTCTCTTCCTAAAAAAACAAAATTTGAACCATGTGATCATTTTGCCTAATTAAAAAAACAAGATTTTTAAAGTAAAGCAACTTCCTTCAGATAAAATACTAATTCTGCACTTTAGATTGGGTAAAGAATCAAGTTTCTTCACTTAGGTCTACAAATACAGAAGGCAAAAGTGTGTTGTGTATGTATGTACAGCAGAGTTGATTTTCTCCGGGACTACGGCTCAACAATGTTAATCACCAATGCTAGGCATACAGTGCCTACTAGAAGTATTTAATGCAATGATTTAAAAATTAGTTGAATATACTGTCTATATACAAATATTGGTATTTTGTTCTACTATGGCTTTAGGCATAAATCTTAATTACACTTTGACAAAAAAAAAGACTATTCAAACACTAACAACCGTCATCTCTCATTTTAATATAGTCTCTCAAGTGATAAAAGCTGGTTTCCTGTTCATCCACCACTTGTAAGTGTGGTATGACCCTATACCTTATTTGCTAGGTATTTTCCTAAATCCTACCCTCTCTCTGTAGTAACTTTTTCTTTCCTGATGACTTGACTTGCCGGAGAATACAACCATTGCTCCTTTCCCTGCTTGTTTCACATTTATGCACAAGAAAGCAGTATTTGCATGGGGGGTTGGGGATGCATATATGTATTTATACAGATGAGTAATACTAAGCAACTCACTCACAAGGATTACGTAGTGGACAGCTTGGAGGCCAAGGAGAAAGCTAACATCCACAATACCAGAACCAATACACTGGGGCAGACCCTCCTAGCCATTATGCCCATAACCCTGTTCAATCTCACAAAGGTGGCTTTCAACTTTGTACCCCAAGCTAAAGAGTGACTGGTGGTAAGAAGTACACACACAAAAAAATGTTCCATTATAGTTAAAAGGCCTACTTACCCCTCCCAGTAATCTCTGCCCTATTTTATTTATTTATTTATTTTTAGACAGAGTCTTGCTCTTGTTGCCCAGGCTGGAGTGCAATGACACGATCTTGGCTCACTGCAACCTCCGCCTCCCGGGTTCATGCGATTCTCCTGCCTCAGCCTCCCGAGTAGCTGGGACTACAGGTGCGTGCCACAACGCCCGGCTCCTTTTTTTGTAGTATTTTAGTAGAGACGGAGTTTCATCTTGTTAGCCAGGATGGTCTAGATCTTCTGACCTTGTGATCCGCCTGCCCTGGCCTCCCAAAGTGCTGGGATTACAGGCGTGAGCCACTGTGCCCGGCCTCTGCCCTACCGTCTTTACCCAGAGGATCTACTGATTTTATAAAGATTACCTTCCTAAGCATTCTCCTTCTTAAACTGTCCATAAATTTAATCAAGGTAGTTCTTAGCAACAGTCCCTTTAGCAGACAGAGATACTGAAATCTATTCTCTATTTGAAATATATGTAACTTTATAAAATTTTAAAAATCCATAGAAATATTTCAAGAGTGATTATAGAAATGGATGAAAAACAGCACAATTAGAAACTATGCCACTATTCAGAAATGTGATTTCTACATTTTAAACCTTCCAAGATAAACAGCCTGATCCACTCTGCCATTTATAATTTTAATTCCTTTATTCATCTTCCCTTCCATAACTTTTTAAATGTATATCCCACTTTAGATAACCAATGAATAAAAAAATGAAAAAAATATATTTGATACGATTAGTTCTGACACTTAGTAAACTACGTCAGTAAATTTTTCTGAGGTATTCCATGTACAATGTTAAATAACAGAAGGGTAAAACGCAAGGATCCCCTTCATCCCTGTGACAACATATTTATTCTCACAGTTACCTCCTTAGGGTTTCTAATATGCCAAACCATCATTACAGGATATCATTAGCTACCATCTAAATTCCTATCACCACCTACTCCCTTTACCCCCTTTTATTCTTAATTCCCCTCTTGTGACATTTATATATAATCTTAAATCATTTTTGAAACTTCAACCTTAGATAATATCTCCATGGATTCCATGTTACCTGAAGTGAAGACAACTGTTTCAAAAGGAGGAAGTGACTGAGATTGAGCTTTGTATGCAATATTATGTACAAAAAGCACTGCCTGAGCACTCTGGAGAGACTGCTGTATAATTTTGCCAAGGAAAATCAGATGCCTTTGGAATTTTCTTTATACTTTCTGTTCTAAAATTTCACAAATAAAGGTATTATCTAGATGTGGCTCTTTTAATCTTCTGTATCCTACATTCTCTCTTTTTACAGTTCTTCTGTCTTGGTCATTCACTATTTTGTGCACTAAGTTTTCCTTAAATGCTTAGGGATACCTGGCATGAGTTTATTAGGAATGATTACATCAGGAGTGTCTTTTCTGGTTCCTACAACAGACTTTCCCCTGCGTCCCGGCTTTTTCATACCTCTTCACTCACCAAGTTTATTAGTTCTCCCTCACAGTTTCTAAGAACTGCTACTTTGGTGATTCAAGGCCCCATCTTTTGACTGGCCTTCAGTGGCTTCGTGTTTCCAATTTGTGTCCTACAAACCCATCCTTCACAATGTCAATACACTCACTCATGTCCAGAAATTTATTTTTTAAATTACTGTCCCAAATACATTAACATAAGGTCTTCAACCAGCTTTTTATCTTAACAATCAGGAAAAAACCTCTCGCTCTCTGAAAATCCTTACCTGACTTACCCAAAACTTCATTTCAAATTAAAATATTTGACATTTACATTTGGTGCCTTATTTTTCCTAAGTATTGTACCATTTCAACTTATAGAAATGCTTGCTCTACTATAAGATACCCTGTTCTTTTTCCAACTGTGTTCATTTCCTGTGGCCACTGTAACAAACTGCAACTGGATGAAATTTATTATGGAGTCAAGAAGTCCAAAATCAGTATCACTGGAACAAAAATCAAAAGTGTTGGCAGGGACACACTTCCTCCAGAGGTTCTATGGGAGAATCTGTTCCCTGCCTCTTCCAGCTTCTGGTGGCTGCCAAGGTTTCTTGGTGTGTGGACACTTCACTCCAAGATCAACATCCTCAAATCTCTGTGTTTGTTTTCACATCACCTTTCCTATGTGCATGGATTCTGTCAGGAGTCTGAACACCTTCCTTCATCGTGTCATGTGTCTTTTTCAGTACCAGTTGGCAGTTTCTGCTGACACAACATTCTCAGAAACTTTGGAGGTCCCCTACACGTCACATCATTAAACATCGTTCTCCATAGATATTTCCTGGATAATCTCATCTATTTCTGGCTTTTACTGAGATAGTACGGGAACCTATGAGTTACATGCATAGTTTCTTCCACACAAACAAAAGGCTGTCTAGCAATACCCCTGGCCTTCTTTCCAGAGACAGTTTTTCTAACAGTGAACACCTTTTGCCATCTGAGTAGCCTGAGATATTCCCAACATCCAGTGCTGGTGGTTCTTTCTATACTTATCAGTTCATTCTTCAATTTAGCTTTTCTTGCCACTTTACTATAAACAGGAAGAAACCAGGCTGCAACTTCAACACTTACTTAGAATTCTCAGCTAAATATGAAAAAGTTTTAAGTTCTGCCTTATATACAACTGTAGGACACAATTCAGCCAAGCTTTCTATCACTTATAGAAAGGATCTCTTTCCCTCCAGTTTATATGTTCCTAATTTGCTTCTGAGCCCTAACCAGAAGCACCTTTAAAATCCATATTTTTGCCAACAGTCTTTAAAGGCAACATATGCATTTTCTATCATGTGACTCAAAACTGGAGCCTCTACCCACTGTCCAATTCCAAAACCACTTCCACATTTTTAGGTAACATATTACCACAAACTAAACAGCTCAAAATAAATTTATTCTGGAGGCCAGGAGTCTGAAATCAGTATCACTGGGCTGAAAGCAAGGTGTCAGAAGGGTGTCCATTCTCCTTCTGGAGTCTTTAGCGGAGAGTCTGCTCCTTGTCTCTTACAGCTTCTGGTGGCTGCGAGGATTCCTTGGCTTCAGCCTACATCACTTCAATCTTCAACGCCAACATTTCCAAATCTCTCTCCTCTGTCTTTACTTAGCTTCCTTCTCCTGTCTGTGCTATATGCTAAAATTTCCCTCTGCCTCTCTAAGAAAACATGTGATGGCATTTAAGGCCCACCAGATAATCCAGAATAAACTCCCCATTGCAAGATACTTAATCACATCTGCAAAAGCCCCGCCCTCCTTGTCATATATGGGCACATTCAAATTCCAGGCACTAGAATACAGATTGTTTTTCATGGAGAGAGGACAGAAGGGATTTTTCAGCCTATCATACAAACTCATTTAAAAGAAAGCCATCTCGCAAAGCAAACTCTGGTTTATTTCAAACTTATGTATGTGGTACACATTTGATATATAAGCAACTTTCAAACATGGCATATCTTTTCTTCTCTCAAACTGCTGAGATAACAAACTGGTGAGATACAAAGTGGTATAACACGATGAACTTGGCAAGGGGTGAGAAGAAAACTATTTCATTAGTAAAGAGATCTGTAAATCTAGAATTTATAACTTGCATATACTTTAAAACCCCAAACACCCCCATCTCCCATCAAAAGTAATTTGTCCTTCCTTTGACCAGTATGTTACCTAAAATTTTATTAGAAATTATCAATCTATCAATCTATTATTATAGTTTAGGCGTTTACACCAGATTCACTAGCCAGGTTGTACGGTTTGTATTTTACAATCTTGACAAGGGTATAGATTGAGAGTTTCTTCCTTCTGCTGACACAACCTTCTGGAAGAGTATTTTATTCTATAGCAAAATCTATCCCCAATTTTTAAGTCTGTTTCCCTCTCCAAAAAAGTAAAATTCATATACATTTCAGAACAGTATCTGAGATTTTCCCAGGCACATCATAAAAACACCATGAAGACTTCAAAAAATTTTAAGCATTATTTTTAACAAAAGAAAATTAAAATTTTCCATTGTATTAACCCTTCAAATACCTAAAGATAGTTATGTGTCGCCAACACTAACTCAAGAACAAAGAACAATCTGCCAAAAAGCCAAGTCAAGTCATATTTGGATGCTTTTACTTTGTAAATAAAGTATGTTTGTTGGTTAATACTTTTGTCTCTGTTGACAAACCAAATATCTTGGTACACAATGTGGAACTGAAAAAAACAGTAACTACCCATGGATTAGAGCACTTAATGATTTTCACATATGGATGAGCTCGTGTGGCTAGGCTAACACATTCCTTATTAGTCATTACGGGATTCAATCTGTGAACTTGTGTCACAAAAGGCTACTTAAAAGTCAAAAGTATGACTTTAACTTCTTTACTAGTATTTCTATGTGATAAAAAAAAGTGATATACATTACTTGTAGCATGTAGAAACTGAAGAAAAGTATAAAGTTACACGTAAGACTACCAATTAAGGATAACTATTTTTAGCATTTTGGCTTATTTTTCTGTCTCTTAAAATGTGCAAGTATATGTTTCTCAAAATAAAAGGATCATATTGGATATATAAATTTTGTATTTAGCTACCTCCTATTTTGTATTTCCCCTGAATTATCAAATACTTTTTGGCTACAGAAAAACCCACTGTGTAATAATAATGAATCCAACAACTTGGACATTTCTATTTTAAATAATTTGAGAGTATCTTTGTACATAAATTCATTTGTAAATGATTCTATCTCATGAGATAAATTCTTAGACACAGAATTAAAGTTTTTTATATTTACTGATTTACTGTTAATTGTCTTTGGAAACTGTTATACCCATTTAAATTCTCATGATCATCAGGTAAAGAGGTATCTGTATAATAACCCGCCAACACAGGACACTATGAAAAACAATGGCTTTAGGGGATTTCTATTAAGGAAAAAGAAAAGAGGGGGACATTTCTTTGTTTCTCTGAGGTTGAGATATATTTTCAGAAATGTATTGTAGTTGCTTCTTGTCCTACTTGTGTACAAATATCCTTTTTAATTAGGAAGTTAGTCTTCTTTACTGATCTGTAACATCATTGTATTATTTTTTCAGTTAAAATGTTTAAGAAATCTCCCTCCCCACTTCCAAGGTACTTTCATTATCAACTTGTCTTTTCTATAATCCACTTTCCACACAAACTTCTTAGCATACATAAAGTTGGATGGCTGCTACTTTACTATAGCTCCTTCTTCCAATATCCCAAGTTTCCACACCCTAGCCTTTGTTTTATTCTACTACCCCAAAGGCCTTTGCCCTGTTTCATTTCCTCACACTCTTGTCTACCTCCTAATAGAATTTCCACCTACCCATCAGGGCCCAGCTCAAGGGACTACCTCTTCTAGGAAGGTTTCCGAGGCCACCCAGGGCAACTATGTCATTATCTTACATTACCTATACCACTTACCAAATATTTCCATGGTATTAGTAACTTTTTTTGGAGTTGTCTTTGTTTCCAAAATATGTTAAATTATTTTAAAGCACTTAATGGCTTGTCTACTTTTCCATCCAGTTGTTTTTCTCAATATAGATTTTAGCAAACAGTTACCTTTGATCACCCTTCATCATTCATCACTTTCTAGAGGCCAGAATGCTTCTCATTCTTCTTGCTTTATATGGTATCAAGTACTTTTAATAGGAGTTTGAATGTATTTTACATATTTCCCAATAAACATACATAAAGATTAAAGAATAGTGCTCAAAATTGAGAGGAAGGGGAAGGAAAAAGGCAATAAAAGTGGAAGTGGGCCTCAACGTGTACCGTGCCATCTTTATACATTTTTTGTCTCCTCCTACACAAAGAATACCCTACTTTTCCTGCCAGCATATGACTACCAACAGAACCAAATAAAAAACTTTTCTTGGCCGGGCGCGGTAGCTCACGCCTGTAATCCCAGCACTTTGGGAGGACGGTGCGGGTGGATCACAAGGTCAAGAGTTTGAGACCAGCCTGGCCAACATACTGAAACCCCGTCTCTACTAAAAACACAAAAATTAGCCAGGTGTGGTGGTGGGCACCTGTAGTCCCAGCTACTCAGGAGGCTGAGGCAGGAGGATTGCTTGAATCTGGAAGGCGGAAGTTGCAGTGAGCCGAGACTCCGCCACTGCACTCCAGCCTAGGCAACACAGCGAGATTCCATCAAAAAAAGAAAAAAAAAAAAAATTTCTCCAGTATCAATTTACTACGCTCCCAACTTTATTGAACACTATAAGCAAACATGTTAAATATGTTCAAATTCTTACTCAACTTTCTCAAATCCAAGCCTCTTTTTCCCTAAGATATGTTTTTTACTGAAGTTTATCACAAGCATGCCATCAGAATAGTGTCACTCTGGGCCAGGAGCGGTGGCTCACACCTGTAATCCCAGCACTTTGGGAAGCCAAGGCGGGTGGATCACCTGAGGTCAGGAGTTCGAGACCAGCCTGATCAACATGGTAAAACCCCATCTCTACTAAAACAGAAAAATTAGCCGGGCATGGTGGTGGGTGCCTGTAATCTCAGCTACTCGGGAGGCTGAGGCAGGAGAATAGCCTGAACCCACCCAGGAGGTGGAGGCTGCAATGACCCGAGACTGCGCCATTGCACTTCAGCCTGGGCAACAAGAGCAAAACTCCGTCTCAAAAACAAAACAAAGCAAGAATAGTGTCACTCTGATCAAATCTAAATCTGTATGATCTAGAAAAGTGCTAATGTAAAGCATGGCCCACAGACCACTTATAATCTACAAACTAATCAATCCCCAACAAGGACAAATCAATATTAAGGGTTTTAGAAGTTTTTACAGCAATATGACCTCATTTTTCTAGTAATTCATCTTAATTGTATTTTGCGAAAGTAGAGGTCTGAGACAAACTGGGATTAAAAAACAAAAACAGAACTTTTACTACCATTTGAGAAGTATTAGGTTATGACTACCAATATTTTTTCCAGTGATCACACACCGAAAGTCATATTTTTTATTTTTCATGTGGGCAAATAATAGAGGACTGTAAGAATGCAAGGAGGCCAAGCCGTCCCTAGCTACCACAGGGTCAGAAGGGATCAAGATCTTGGCTGGGCACACCAAGCTTCCAGGCCACCCACATAATGAACCCACCACAGCTATCCAATCTCTTTAACATGTCCTAATGGGAGGTCCAGTTCCACCTGCTCAGTAATTTTGCTTCAGTGATTTAACTGTCAACCATATTTTTTTCTTCTTTTCTGAAACATCCATGCCTCACAAACCAGAGTGTATTTACCCTTCAAAGCTCAACCTTCTAACCTCAAATTCAGATTGAACACTTTCCCTCTTCTTCCTATCTGCACTGAGGTTCTCTCCTTATATGGAATCCCAGAATAACTAAAAAAAAAAGTTATCACATACTTATTCATAAGCATGCAGCAATATAACTTAGAATGACTCATCCATTTCACATTCCTATTGCTTTTTCTGCCTTAGCAGATTTTAAGATTTTCTTCGGGAAAGCGGATTATGGCTTTCCAATAGATTCCATTATGGCCTTCACAAATACCAGGTGATATTTACCAAGAATCCATTGTGCCATGCTCACTAAGTTATCTGGAATATTTCTAGCATTATCTCTTATCCAGAGTACTCTATTTTTCAGAAGATGATGTTCCAGAAACAACTGCCCCGTATTAACTTTTTACATTCTTATTAAGGTTATTTATGGTCTTCCTTCATCCCTACTCTCAATGGGATCCACTGTTAACTACTCAGACCCACTTGGATATTTTTCTGTACATTTATAACCACAAAATTTCTTTATACCATGTAACTGGAGCTTACAACTTGCTTTCCCCCACCCCCATCTTTCTATATTATATAATTACCGAAGACTCTGTATTTCTTAAGATTATAAACTAGGAATAGGAAATTACTCCGGTGCACTTACTATCAAATAAATACTATCTACTCCTGGTAACAAGCCAACTAATACAAAGTAAAATGCTGCATATTATAGTTGGTTTAAATATACCCCCAAGCTTTTGTTGTTGCTATTAGTTTTTTAGGCATAGGAGAATGTGAATGAGGTTAGGAAAGAAAAAACTGGGGATAGAGAACAAAATAATTTCCCCAGAAAACTTGTTTTTTAAAATCACTGCAAATTTTGGAGTTCTGTCCAGATTGGAAGGAAAAATCTCAATTGTTCCTATCCTTGCCTCAAAAAGCCTTTAAAGTTAGTCCTGAGAATCCCCCCAAAATAAGTCAAATTATAGGGCACAAAAATCAATCCACAAAATCCGAAAAAAGGAAATAAAGCAAAATACAAAACACTTTTCATGTATGCTTTACACTTACCAGTTTGGCTTGTGCTTCTGCAATTTTTCGGTTATTCTCTTCCAGTATTCGCTCTAGCTCCTCACGTTTTGCACGTTCTTCCTCCTAAAGGGGAGGATATGTTAAGATATTAGAAAAACAAAATGTTTATTTTTATTGATAAATATTTACTAATCTTCCTCTGAACTTTTTTGATATGACTTACAGGGTAGCTTTATAGCTACCTTCTGTCTGACAAATGATAAACTGTGCAGTCACTAAAATTGGTTTCTAGCACTAAATTTAAATCATCCCTCCCAGTCCAAACAGCAACCAACTAAACCCTCCCTAATGATAGTTTCCTGGCAATTATTACTAATACTTTAATATCACACAAATCAACAAGGACAACTACAAAACTGGATAGTATTTACCAAATTAAAAAAATAATATATAAAATATAAATAAAGTGAATATTTGTCTCACCAATTATGTATACCTACGTATTCTTTACCTATACTCCTTTAATCAGCATTAAAAGTTGAATATTTACTGTCTTGTCCAGTGTCCTGCAGAGTGTGCTCCTCGGCTGCCATACGCGCCAGCTTCCTCTTTAAAATGATTTGTACTGTTAGCTTGGCAATACCTGCATCAGCAGCTCAACCATTTATAAAGAAACAACATACAAGGAAGGCTGAGCTGAGGAATGCAGATGTTTATGGTAAGAAGGAACAAAAAATGTAATTCATCATTCCTAAGGCAAACAATTAATAAGAAAAATACATTTACTGTTAGTGAAAAATACAAATGGTAATCCATACTTCATGGAACTACGGGCTTCTTCCATGGGGAAAATGGACTTAACATTCAGATGTTGACAATTTCGGAAGGCAGCTTATATTGTCATCTACAATCTGAACTGAAACTCAGAAATCCAGGGGATGCATGGTCAGGAAATAAAATTCTTCAACTTATTTTTTCTTGGAGAATTTAATGAGATTTTATAATGCAAACTGTATGAAGACTGCTTGATGGCTTGAGCAGTGTTCAGATCACAGCATACATATTCAAATGATTTTAATATTTGGAAAGACTGTCAGAGGGTTGTGTCCGTGTAAAAAAAAAATTGTTAATATGAAACAAAAAAAGCAAATGAAGAGAAAAAAATCTTACTATGATTAATAACTCGCTACAAGACAGCACCATTACTCCAAAAATATCTTCATTATTAAAAGCACTGATATAAATAAAAATTTCATACATTCAATTTTATAGTCTGTGAAACCCACTATAAATATAAGCATGTATATCTAGTTAAAGACAGGACAAGGGAAAATGCATTTTAAAAGCTAAGCTTACCAGAAAGCAAAGAGATTTAATATGTCAACTTGTCCACAATAATGCCAAGATGAAAAATGACAATGAGTCTTAATTATTTTGAGTCAAATATTTCAGTTCAAGAAAATACAACTACAGGATTTCCTACATCACACACCAATGGGATTCATATTCATTATGCAAACTATGGTGACAGACACTCAGGGCTGTAAAGTAATTTGCCTTGAGTGTTTCAGTGACTTTCACCAAGTTTTTGGATCCTGGAGTAATCAGTGCAAACAAGCCATAAAGCTTCAGTAGCAAATTACTGTCTCACAGAAAGACATTTTCAACTTCTGCTCCAGCTGCTGATAAAACAAATCATGTGTTTAGCTTGACTCCAGACAAGGACAACCTGTTCCTTCATAACTCTCTAGAGAAAAAAAGGAGTTGTTAGTAGATACTAAAAAAAGTGGATGAATAATCTGGATATTTTTCCTAAAAAGATTCCTTGAAACACATTAGGAAAATGGAGGGCCTTATGATCAGAATGCTAGAATTAGTCCATTGTGCTGAAGCAGGGTTTAGGGGAGGGAGTGAGGGATAAAAGAAGGAAAAAAAGAAGAGTGAGAAAACCTATTTATCAAAGCAGGTGCTATCACTCAATGTTAGGCCCTGCTCTTTTTAATCTGACTGAAGGCAAAAGCCTCTCACAGTCTAGGTAACAGAGTGACAGAATAGAAGAATATACAACCACAGGTGGATTTTTAACCTTTTCCCTTTACCACTCCCTGTCTCCCCACCGTCCTCCCAAAAAAGAATGTAAGTCCTGCAGCCATGGCAAAAGTTTCAAACACTTCTCAAATAGCCAGTTCCATTAAATCAAAAAGTATCCTTGAATATGTTTTATAAAAGCTTCCAACTTTTAAGTTATCAGTCAGCACTTCTGAATAGGCTAAAAAATTAACTTTCGCAGCAATGTTAAGTTTAGACGAGAAAGGAATTAGATAGTCTGTATTCCATCTCTTTCTGAACTGAGCAGGAGGCAGAACCCAACACTGAAAGTTTTGCCATGGACTGTCTCTACTTTCCAAACGACCGAGCGTTACCTCTCTAGCTTTTTGTGCGGCAAGCTCAGCTTGTCTCTGTCGCTCGAGTTCTTCGAGCAACTGCTTTTCCATGATGCGTTTGGCTTCCTCCACCCTTCGGAGAACTTCTCGTTCAATTTCATCCTTCCTTTTCTCCAGTTCTTCCTCCACCCTTTTTGCTACCAATTCTTCTACTCTTCGTGCTGTTTCTTCCTCGATGAGTTTTTCTTCTATTTCTTGCTGTCGACTAGCAAACAAAGTGAAAAAAACAAGTTAGGTATTTACTTTTAAAACTATAAATTTAAACAAAACTAGTTTTAAGTCTATCAAGCCATTGAGCCTGATATTATTCAGTGATTTTTTCAGAATTCATTTCCATGTCACATTTGAGGAAATGACAGATACCAAGATGTTAACTGATACAGAAATTCAAATGAGTATAAAATCTTTTTTTCCTTTATCATATTCTAAATACAGGAGAACAGGTATATACAAAGAGCCTAATTCATTAGTTCTAATTTAGGAACAATAAATCCGGACAGAAAACCTATTCTGTTATTGACTTTATAATCAGAGGACAAGTTGTTAAAACATATGGATTTGCTCATTTGCCAATCACTTCGTCTGGGGCTGAGCTACAGAGAAGGAGAAATTATGTAGCAGGCAACTCAGATTGGCTGAATTGATTTCCCGCTAAGCAAAGAGAGAATAAATACAGATTGAAGAGATTCAGATTGCTGGACTAATAGTGCGTAGTTTTTACTGAAAATATGACCAACTTAAGTTTTGAACTGAAGTTCTTTAGCTTTATAGTTCCTTACTATGTCTTTTCTTCCTTTTGTTAATTTTCAATTAAAAGCTCCTCTAGAAATGGGAAAGTGGGTAAAAATATATTTTTATTACCAGAAAAAGTTCAATAAAGCATGATACTACAGTTTTAATTACTCCAATCCCATTTTGATATTATAAACCAATTTACTCAAAATAAAATTCTGTGCTGAAATTACTGACATTCATCAAGGCACCACTGGAAATCCTGCACATTTCATACCAATGATATTCAGTGACAGCCACCAGTCATATGTGTCTGGTCCAAACTGAAATTTAGTATGAAGAAAAAGAATATAAATGATCTCCTATTTTTATTTGATTGCGTGTTAAAATGATATTTTGGATAAAAATATACAATAAAATTAATTTCATCCATTTCTTAAGGTTACTAAAAAAATTTTACATTGCATATATTGTTCATACTATTTCTAGTTAATAGCACTGAGACAATAATTTGTGCTGAATGAATAAATTCTGAGGCTCTTGCAGTAAATCTCAATCCTAAGAGGACGATTCATGTTCCAACTTTCTCAAAATTAAATAAAACCTGCAACCTTTATCTTTTGATCACTCATTTGACATCCATATATATGAGAATCATTCAATTTATCTGTTTAGTAAAGACTTTATAGTTTCTAAGTGACCTTTAAATACCCCAATCCACTTCAACTCAACTCTATTCTTCGGGATGATTCAATTCTCACCCAAGGGCTCTCATTTTCAACTCCTGTTACTTATTCAGTGATAACACACTAACACCAATGTGTCTTAATCTGATTCATTTCAGTTTCTACATTTATCCTCTACATTCTTCTGTCAAGGAGACAGTAGGTACTAGAGAAAGAATATTTTCCTTTAAGGGCCTAGATGTTTGCCCAACACTCATTCTCAGGACTTTGTTGTTTGAAGTCTTTATCTACAGCAGCTCAGTGAGAGAGCAGGTATCTTCCCCAATACTAAAAAAAATCAATCACTGGGAGCATATAAAAGGAAACCAGACAGCAACTTCAATAGAAATTAAATCACATTTCCATATAAAATGTTGTTTCTCTACTTCACCCAAAAGGAAAGAAAACTAATCAATGAAACAAGGCTGACAACTGTTGAATCTGGATAATGAGTACCCAAGAATAATAATAATAATCTGCCTTTGTGAATATGTAAATTTCTCATAATAAAGTGTACACACACACACACACACACACACACACACACACACACTTTTGCTAGTTGGTTCTTCTGAAATTAGTAAATGTAGAGAAGCCTAAGAAGAAACTTAATATTTAAAATTTCAAAACCGGTACAATGTGACTTTTAATTAACAATACTAGGTGGATCATAGTACCGACTATTAAAAAAAAGGATAATGTAACACAGTTCCAATTAAAATTCCACACAAAGTAGAAAGAAGGCCCTAGGAGTAAAAAGTTGCCATCTTAAGAATTTGGTGAAGGCAGAAGAGACCTGATACACACTCAAGGTTATTTTTGGCAGTCAAGCCATCCCTCAGCAAAAGCGCAGTGGCTAACAGGGCCTCATTTCCATAGCTTTGGTCAGTAAGGAGAAAATGAGCCAAATAAATTTACTTACAGCAAATGCCAAATCAGAATGTCAGTTCCCTGCTTCTATTTCCACTGATGACATCAAACCAGAGGGCCCATGTAACAGGCAGTACAGGCAGGCCGTGGGCTGCTCCGCTGCTAAGGAGTCAATTCTAACTACAGCTCAGCGACTTTATAGCCCAAAGGGAGGGCAAGTGGAAAGTCCCACGCTCAACTGAAACACTGGAGAATGAGAAATGACCTAGTGCAGTTTCTCACAAAGCTGCTTATCTCCCTTTGTTCCTGGAGGAACTGCAAGGCATCCCAATATGAAAATGAAGCTTTGCAACAGGCAGGGTTCAGGGTACCACAGCAAAACTGTTTGCCTGCAAGTGTTAGCAAGAATATAATTTCTGCTGTTTTTCTTGGTAAAATTAAAAATGCTACTTCAGTAATCAGAAAAAAATTTTAAATCAAATTTTAGAAACAATGCTGAAGGAAAGCTCAATTTTATCCCCTCACCATACACTGAATTCAGCAAACCAGTGAGCACATATACAACTGAATTAAGCATGAGTTCATCTTTACTGATGGCAAATTTATCATCATAATCAATGATAAAACCACTATTATGCCTACTCCCATAAGAGGCACTGAACTTTCTTGAGTGGGTCAGTGTCTTGCAAAATAGGTATCATCTAACAGCCTATTCACTCCTCAAAACCCTTGCCATAGCAGTTGTCACCCTCATGATGTTCTTTTCTCTAATGTTTTCCTCATGCTCCTCTGCTGAATATCCATTTCCCTGCCAATAATATGTTATACTGACGAAAGCATTAAATCAAGATCTTCAAGGTTTTCAATGAAATGGTATAATACTAGGTCCTATTTTCTCTGTGCTCTCAGGTATTTTAAAAACACTAGTCAGGCTGGGCGCGGTGGCTCACGCCTGTAATCCCAGCACTTTGGGAGGCCCAGGCAGGTGGATCATGAGGTCAGGAGATCGAGACCATCCTGGCTAACACGGTGAAACCCCATCTCTACTAAAAATAAAAATAAATAAATAAATAAAAAATAAAAATTAGCTGGGTGTGGTGGCGGGTGCCTGCAGTCCCAGCTACTCGGGAGGCTGAGGCAGGAGAATGAGCTGAGATTGCGCCACTGCACCACTGCACTCCAGCCTGGGCGACAGAGCAAGACCCTGTCTCAAAAAAAAAAAAAAAAAACAAAAAAAAAAACCACTAGTCACACTGAACTTTAAAATGCTAACTATTAAAAACAAAACAGTAAGGCTACAGCACTTCGGCACTGTTACAGAGTAACTGGCACCATTATTTTAAAACATCTTTAAAATGTGGGAACTCAATCCTAGGGGTTTACTTCTAGGAATCGCTTAATAATTATTAGCAAACAGCATTTACTTATTACTTAATAGGTAACATATAATATTGTGCCAAAAGCTTTATATACCATGTCATCATTTAAATCACATAATTATTCCTATGCAGTGGGTATGTATCCCATTTTTACTGAGGAAACTAAGAACAAGGAGCTGAAGTTTCTAGACTCGAGCACACTGGATGTTGCTGAGCTGTTTCTCTGAACCTAAGTAGATGCCAAAGCTAACGATCTCAAGCAAGCACTATACTACCACCCTACACCGGTTTCTGCAGGACAAATAAGCAAGGCAAAGACAAGCACACAGATTTAACGACCAAAAAAAGGAAGAAAAAAGTATAGGCCAGGCACGGTGGCTCACATTTGTAATCCCAGCACTTTGGGAGGCTGAGGTAGAAGGATTACTTGAGGCCAGGAGTTCAAGATCAGCCTGGGAAACATAGTGACTCTGTCTCTACAAAAATAATAAATAAATAAATGAATACATATTCTTAACATCAGCTAGGTCTTATGCCTTAATGTTCTGTCAGAGCCTTAACCTCCAAAAATATGCGGTTCCATATAATCAATTTTCTCCTAAAAGCTCTTCTTTGCTCTCACAATGAACTGCCCAAGTATTCTAAGAATCACTTATATAGATCCCAGTTCAGTGTAGATACTCTAATTTAGAAGGCCCTTAATCCGTCATCCAGTTGAACACGGAGGATATTCGAACCTAGATATCACAGGCTAGAGTAAGTTACTATGCCATTAACATTTTCCTGATTTGCTGCAAGTTATTTTCAGTTGTCTATTTTTTCAACAGTTAATATAACATGCATGCAGCATCTCAAAAGAGCATTTAAGAAAATGGTGCTACTGGTGTGGGGGAGGGGTGAGAAGAACCACACTGAATGGCTGGGACGCAAGGATGAGAGGAAGATCTTTTGAACTGAATTTTGAACCATGTGAACTGCCTATTCAAAATTGAGGGCAAAAGTCTTTAAAAATGTAAAGGCCTACCTTCTCAGCATTAAGATGACAACTCATAAGATCACTTCTGAAATTCATCAGGCTCGGTCTGGCTCCATGTAAGTTAGTTACATTAAATAACATTACTTATTGAGAGCTATTACATGCCAAGTATCACCTACTTTAAATACATCATCTCCAATTTTCACAACAAGCAAGACAGATTATCTCCATTTCACAGATTTAAAAACAAGGTTAGAGGGAGGTGATTTATTCAGCAACTCAGAATTATAAGTGGTAAACCAATAAGGTTTCCAATCTTACCAAAGAATTCCTAATTAGTTAAACCCAATGGTTGATTCTTATTTTACGGTCTCTTTCCATCTAACTAGATTTCTTGTAAGGGCACTTGACACTATGCATTTTTACCATATTTCTTTCTGCTTCCACCATAGGCTCTTCTCCCTCTTCCTAACTGCAAATACAGGCATGTCCTAAGGTTCTTTCAGTCCCTTGAATGAACCGCTCTCCTCTCTCCACACTCTCCCTGGGTCATTCCATATACTCTCAAGGTTTCACGACATTCAGCGAAGCCCCTCTCAGCTAGGCTTCAGTCTCACATGATCAAGTCTGGATAAACTCAGTACAGTATATCCAAAACTAGTGCTCACAGTGAAGGCACCATTCTCTTATCCCCTTTCCCTCTCCCTTATCCACTATTTAAAAAGTTTCTGACATTTTTACCAGTACCTGCCACATGGTTGTTACTGAAACATTTGGTAGATGAGTTGCAACAGCCACACTATAAACATGAGAACCAACATTCTTTTTCTGAAGTCCCACATTCCATTTAATATACCCTGAATGTTTCTTAAATCTGTCCCTCTTTTCCATTCCAACAACCATCCTCACTACTCCTGTGTAAACTTCTGTACCCACCTCTTAGTTTCCATCCTACACAACAATCAAAACAAAAAAGGCACCATGTCATTCACCTGCTTAAAATCCTTCCCGTTTCTAGGATGCAATCCAAGCTCTTTAATATGACATACAATAACCCTAACATGATTCCCAGCCTCTATTTACCTCTCCAGTCACTCCATGACTTAAATATTTATAGAACTTCGTGTTCTAAGTCAACAGTCACCTGATCATTCCACTTTTAAGACCATTTCCTCTATTTTGGCAGGAGTCGGGGGAGGAGGCTCTTTTCTGTGCTCCACATATGTCCTATACCTTGCCTGACATTGTCATATTCTTATATCCTCCACCCACACAGGATACTTCCTTTATACAGTTTATATTACTGTCACTAAATTTACTACACTGTATTATTGCCTATTTAATGATCTGTCTTTGAGCTAGATCAAGCTCTTGGAGAAGGGCCAATCATCTTTATATTAACAGTACCTAGCACAGTGCCTGGCACTTATTAAATGCTCAATAAACATCAGTTAAATGAATAAAATAACCAACAGGATATGTAGACTGCAAACTGTTTCCTTACACTGCCAAAGCTCCAACACTTAAGTCTTTCCATTGTTTCTTTTGCATTGTTTCCAAGACATTAGAATATATTAAATAAAATGCCTATTGTACGGCACCCAGGAATTTAGAGTACAGGTGGCTGCTAGTCCTGGTCCCTTCTCCCTCCTAAATACTATTGGCAGTTTGTGTCTTCTCTCAAACCAGAGAACCATATAGCTCCTCTATTTGCCGTATTTCATTCCTGAATTTCTTGTCTGCTATACATGCGAAACCTGCTAAATGCTTCTATTTATTCTTTGCATACCAAGTTTCTTTTCATTTTTCCTACATATCTTAGCTTTCTAGTGAAAGGCAAGTTATTACTCTTTGGAGGTCTCCTTTGTTTTCACATGTAGAAATTATCTCAGCAATGTCTTAGGTAACTTTTCATACATCCATCTGTTGATAGCTATTTGAGATCTTTACAGCTAAGGGCCTTGTTGCAGACCCAAAAGTTGTATTCTACAAAATCAAGGTTTAATTTGAAACGATTACTTGAACTTTGTTTTCATATGTATCACTGACAGTTCTAAGTACAGGAAAAATGAGTGTTGCATGTGTTTTAAAGGAGTGTTGGAAGCAAAACAGCTCCAGGTACAGCTTCCTCTGTAATATTAGTGCTCCAGTCCTACCTTTTAGTAACTTTGGTTTTAGAAACAAGCTGTGTGTGTGTGCTGGAAAATCTACCTAACACAAACCCAACTACAGAAAACTACAAACCACGCAGTCAATTCAGCACACATATACTCGCCTCGAGAAAATCATAAATTCAGTAACGTTCTTGCTTCATGAGCACTTTCTAAATATTCACTGAAGAACTGACCAAGTACGGCTGGTTCAATAGGGAGTTAGTAGGACTGTTCAAATCTACTTTTCAATGCGGTTTTTGGAAACTGAATACCCAGAGCATCAAAGTACGATGATCATAAAGCAAAACACACAACAAATCCCTAAATTTTAAAACCCAAAAATTCCTTTAGTTTGGGATTATTTATCCACATCTACTTTCATAGCCAGAAATACTTGAGAGCTGACATTTTCGGAAACACACTCTAACTCTAGTTTTCACTAAATATCCTTCATGGGAGCAACGCCAAAATAAAATCAACCCTTCAAGTGTCTTCTGAAGAAGCACAGTGTAAGGGAAACAACAAAACTGCACGTGTTTGCTACAGGAATAGAAAGCAAGTTAAAAAAGCGGTAGGCTTTGGGATGGTGATTACACAGGTGAATTCAAAGGTCAAAAAACTCATCGCACTGTACACTTAAGGTCTATGCTTTTTTTTTTTAACATCTCAAGGAAGGGGTGAGGGTGTAGGCTCAAGGGGAAAAAAGCAATCCCAACACCTTAACAACAGGAATACACTAAAGTGAAAATGCATTTTTCTGGCGGACCACCTAAAGTGTATGATTCCCGAGATTAGTTAAGTCCTGTCCCAAATTTGAGCTTCAATAGAATGCTTCTGGCCAGCTGTGATTCGCATCTCAAAGGTTAATTCCCTTCTCTCTCCTCCTCAAGCCGACCAGCAAACGCTCACCACCCTCCACATCTGCAGGCCGGCTCGCTCCCGGCCTCACAAGCCAACGCAGCTCTCCGACCTCACTCCGAACTCCACCCCTACTTCCGGGACACCACTCCTCTCTCGCGCCAAAATCGCCTTCTCTTAAACCCTTTCTGCTCAAGCCCTCGAATTTTCCATCCCGAACAACTTCTGGGTCTGTCCCACCCCAAGCTTTCCAAACGCCAAGCCTGCCCGCCCCGCCGCCGCCTCTCCGACCCGTTCCCGCGCCCGGTCCCCAGCCCCGGACCGTCCCCGCCATTCTCCCGGCCCGCACCGTCCCGCCCCGGCCCCACGCCCTCGCCCCGCGCCCTGCTCTCCGCACGCCCCGGTCCCTCCCCGCGCGGGCACTCACATTTTTCGCTGCCGCTCGAACTCCGCTTTCTTCTCCTCCTCCTCTCGCTTCTGCTTCTCGTCCAGGCTGCTGCGCTTGCTCACCGTGCGCCCGAAGATGTCGATGCGGTCGGGCGGGGACGAGGCGCGCTCCCGGTCCCGCTCGCGCCGGGACACGGCCGTGTTGGTGGAGCGCGAACGGGACCGCGACTCCCGCCGCCGGTTCCGTTTACTTTCCCGAGATTTGGAACGCTTCCGCACGCGCTCCTTGTCCCGGGATCGCGACCGGGACCGGCTGCGCTTCTTGTTGTGCTTGCTGCTCTTGGTGTGCTTGGAGCGGGACGAGCTCCGGCTCCGAGACCGGCCCATCCTTCCGGGAGACGCTCTAACCGCTCGCCTCAGGCCCCTCACGCGGCCAGTTCCCCTCGCCTCCGCCTTCGGACGCGGGCTGGCGGTTCTACCGAGGCCGGAGGAAAGAAAGGTGTCGGCCAACGGACTTTATGCCTTTTCCCGGCGTCTACAGCTGCCACGAAGGCCGCCTCCAACGAGAAACCCGTAGCGCCAGGCGCCCCTAAGATGGCAGCTGCGGCTGCACCGGCCGCCCTTCCCACAATGCCCTGCGCGAAACGTGCCGAAGCGTGGGCCCCGCCTCCTGACGATTTTTGCCGAAGGCAGGCGAGCGCTTCGGAGCGGACTCGTTTTTTTCCGCCAGTCTTGGCGGAAGCCTGAGACGCAATAGATGGAGACTCTCCTTTTCGCCTTGGCGTACTCTTTTTTTTTTTTTCCTCCCTGGTAAGATGCCAACGCCTGTTGAATGAATTAAGCACGTTTTAGTGGGATTTAAGTCCGGCCTCGCAGAAGTTGATTGATTGCATTATTTTCTAGGAGCTGGTCTTGTGGGGCAGCCCTAAAATGTATCTCCAAGTGACCCTGCACTCATCACTTGCTGCCTTGGACTTAGTTTCCTCATTCGTAGAATGGAGACACCACACTTTCTGAAGTGCTTATGAGACTTGCAGGAGGTAAGTAGGCAGCAGGTTTTGATGAATGTAACCTAATGCTTACTATAGGGCTTAATGTGCCTTCTAAATGCTTTAATGTATTAACAAGTGCTTAATTCTTACAATTCTGAATTAAGTACTACTATTATCCACGTTTCAGAGATGAGGACCCTGAGGTCCACAGAGGTTAAATAAGGGTCACACAACCAGTAGGTGACAGAGCAGGGACGTGAACCTAGATCATATTGTGCAAAGCCCTTGCACATAACCAGCAAGCCCTCCTCAACCCTAGCCACGAAAAGCTTCGTCCCTATGTGGCACAACAAACTGTGTCATTGTTAAGACCTAAAAGGAAAAGGCAATGTTAATATTTGCAGATGACAGGAACCCTTGAAAATCTAGGTGCCTCAATTTTAAAATTGAGTGCAATAATAAAGCTTAAGTAAGTAGAAGAAAAATTAGAATTATTTGAATAAGCAAAAACATATTAAAAATGAAATAATATTTCCTCCACAATGGCAACAGAAACCATAAAATACTTAGGGATAAACTTTAACAAGTTACACAATCTTTATTATAAACCTTTACTGAAAAGGCAGTAATAAGGCCCTAGTAAATGTAAAACATGCTGTATTCTTAGGTGAGTAGTCAGTATCAAAAATACTGTCAATTCTTCCCAAGTCAAATTACAAAATTAGTGCAATTCTCATGAGAGTCCCAAATTCTCTTGGGGATATGTGTTTTAGAACTAATTAATTTTAAGTTTTATATGGAAGATCACATAATTAATTATCAAGAAAACTTGGAAACAAAGAAGAGTAGTGTATTAGTCTGTGTTGACTGCTGTAACAAAATATCATAAACTAGGCAGCTTATGAACAACAAATTTATTTCTCACAGTTCTGAAAGTTGGAAATCCAGGATCCAGGTGCTAGCCAATCTGGTCGCTGGTGAGGACCCAGAGATTCACAGATGACTCACAGAAGGCACCTACTCACAGTGCCCTCACATGATAGAAGGGGAAAGCTAGCTCTCTGAGCTCTCTTTTAGTGGCACTTCTAGGGTCTGAAAGTTTGTGTTCCCTCAGATTCATATGTTGAAACCTAATCACCAGTGCAATAGTATTAAAAGGTGGGGCTTTGGGATATTGATTAGGTCATGAGGGCTCTAACCTCATAACTGGAATTAGTGCCTATCTCAGCCCATTTCCACTGCTATAACAGAATACTTTAGACTGAGTGATTTATAAATAATAGACATTATTTCTCAGAGTTCTGAAGGCTAAGAAGTCCAAGATAAAGGTACCAGCAGAGTCAGTGTCTGATAAGAGCTTGCTATCTGCTTCCAAGATAGTGCCTTGTTTTGCTGGGTCCACAGAAGGGGACGAACACTGTGTCCTCACATGAGGGAAGGGATGGGAGGCAAAAGGGCAAAAAAAAAGGGGGGGGAACTAGGACACTCCTGTCAACCTCTTTTGTAAGGATACTATTCCCATTCAAGAGGGTGGAGCCTCATTTCTTAATCACTTCCAAAACGGCTTCAGCTCTTAATGTTATTATAGTGGATTTTAGGCTCCAACATAGGAATTCTAGAGAGACACATACATTTAAGCCATAGCAATGCCCTTATAAAAGGGGCCCAAGGAAGCTTGTTCACCCGTTCTTTACCATGTGAAGACATAGAAAAAGGTGTCATCTATGAAGCAGAGAGTGAGGCCTCACCAGACACTGAATCTGCCAGTGCCTTAATCTTGGACTCCCAGCTTCCAGAACTCTGAGCGATAAATTTCTGCTGTTTATAAATGACCCAGTCTGAGGTAGTCTTATAGTAGGCTGAATGGACTAAGATAGGAACTAATCCAATTCATGAGGGCAGAGCCAGCAGCCTCACCTCCTAATACCATCGTCTCCCAGCTGCCCCGCCTCCTAATACCATCGTCTCCCGGCAGCCCCGCCTCCTAATACCATCGTCTCCCGGCAGCCCCGCCTCCTAATACCATCCTGTCCCAGCAGCTCCACTTCCTCATACCATCATGTCCCAGCAGCCCCACCTCCTCATACCGTCATCTCCCAGCAGCCCCACCTCCTCATACCGTCATCTCCCAGCAGCCCCACCTCCTCATACCATAATGTTCCAGCAGCCCCACCTCCTAATACCTTTGTCTCCTATCAGCCCCACCTCCTAATACCATCGTGTTCCAGCGGCTCCACCTCCTAATACCGTCATCTTCCAGCAGCCCCACCTCCTAATACCATTACATTGGTGATTAGATTTCAACATCTGGGTTTGGGAGGGCACACAAACATTTAGACCGTAGCAAACAGTACCTGTTTGCCCTACACAAAATTGAATAAACTGAACAACAAGATTTTAGGACAGAAATAGGAAAACAGTGCAATAGAAGGATAGATCTATTCTTTTACTTCAGATACGTTCAAGTAAAATCACATTTAATATAGAATGTATAGAATTACCCCCATTATAGTAGAAATATTTCTGTCAATCTAACCATCTGTCTGTACGTATCTGTACCTATCTATCCAGTGGGAATGATATATATGGTTTATATATCCATATATGGTGTGAATATATGATATGATGTATAGATATATCTGGAATTTTGTTTATATATATGTATATTACATATATATATAATCCAGAATGATGTCTGTTTAATGATAAAGATAGTTATTTCCAATGAGTTAGTGTATAAATTTTCTAGAGCTGCCCCGACAAATTACCACAGACTGATGTCTTAAATGAACAGAAATGTATTCACTTACAGTTCTGGAGTCCAGCAGTCCAAAATCAAATGTCAGCAAAGTTGGTTCCTTTGGAGGCTCTGGAGAAGAATCTGTTCACTGCCTCTCACTTAGCTCCTGGTGCTTGCTGGCATTCCTTGGCTTTTAGTCCCTGTCTCCATCTTTACTGTACGTCTGTCCTCTTCTTATAAGACCACTGGAGATTGGATGTAGAGGTATAGGGGATTATGGAGCTTTTAAAAGAGGATGATATTGGGGCGGGCGTGGTGGCTCATGCCTGTAATCCCAGCACTTTGGGAGGCTGAGGCGGGTGGATCACAAAGTCAAGAGTTCAAGACCAGCCTGGTCAAGATGGTGAAACCCCGTCTCTACTAAAAATACAAAAGTTAGCCAGGCGTGGTGGCGGGTGCCTGTAATCCCAGCTACTCAGGAGGCTGAGGCAGAGAATTGCTTGAACCCAGGAGGCAGAGGTTGCAGTGAGCTAAGATCGGGCTACTGCACTCTAGCCTAAGTGACAGAGCAAGACTCTGTCTAAAAAAAAAAAGATGATATTTACCCTGCTCAGGCTCTGGCCATGTCTTTTGGCTGCTGCCAGGAAAAAAAAAAAAAAAAAAAAAAAGGAAAAAGTGCATGAAAGCCCTTAATTTACCAGGGATCATCTCTGAGGATGCATTGAAGGAATGAGGAACACACACATTTTATGCCTGCATTTTATAGTATAATTATCAAAATCTTGACATTTCACACTCCCTGAACTCACCTTATTTTCTCATGTATTTCTTTATTGACTATTTTTTGCCACCAGAATCCAAATTCTCGGCATCTTGACTGTTTTGTGTCCACTGACACCCTATGGGTTAGCTAACCTCGATAAATATATGCCGAATACACCTTGAAAGAAGAGAATTGCATGGTTTTTTATCCTAAGTATAAGTTTGGCTTCATTTGTTTTGTTTTGTTTTGTTTTGTTTTCAGACTCTTAAAATTTTTAGTTGCCTCCCTTCCTCCATTCCCTTCTCCAATAAAAGCATTTTCTCAGTTCATGTTTGAATAATTAGGATAGCCAAATATAAATAACACATCATTCAAATCCAGATCATTCCAAAGAACAATTTAATGTAAAAAATAGGAGATGCATGAATGTATCTTTCCTCCTTAATATGGTTTGGCTGTTTTCCCAACCAAAATCTCATTTTGAATTGTAATCCCCATAAACCCCATGTGTCAAGGGAGAGACCAGGTGGAGGTAATTGAATCATGGGGGTGGTTTCCGCATGCTGTTGTCATGATGGTGAGTGAGTTCTCATGAGATCTGATGGTTTTATAAGTGGTAGTTCCTCCTGGGTTCATTTCTTCTTCCTGCCACCTTGTAAAGAAGGTGCCTTGCTTTCCCTTCACCTTGGGCCATGATTGTAAGTCTCCTGAGGCCTCCTCAGCCATGCTGAAATGTGAGTCAATTAAACCTCTTTCCTTTATAAATTACCCAGTCTCGGGCAGTTCTTTATAGTAGTGTGAAAACAGACTAATATACTCCTAATTCTTAAATTACTGATCCTAATTCTTAAATTAAATTGATCCTCAATTGTTTTTGCCAACTTTTCAAAGTTTGAGATGTATTTTACAACATGCCCATGAAGCGTCGTAAGTATTGATTGCCTTGTTAATGGAAAATACCATCTTAGTTGCTCAGAGAGTTATGTCTACACTTACAGTGCAGGTGGAGTCCTTGGGCACCATGGTCCCACTCTCTCTATAGTGTTGTTTCTTAGAATCTCACCTACCTAACTTTTCCTGAGCTGTCTGACACCCAGTTTATGCCCATTTCTCCCTATCCCACTGACTCCCAGTCCCTTGGTAGGTTGTCTCCTTGGCAGCACTTTATTCATAAGTTCTAAAAATGACATATAAATGTGTTCAATAATTTAAAGGTAAACGTCAACACAATGAAAATAAACCTAAAAAAATAAAAATAAACATGTTCATTAATTATTTAATATTCATCTCTCTAGCTAAAAAGTGAGCTCCTTTGGTTTGGGGGTTGGCGGGGCAGGGGGTTGGGGGAGTTGGCGTCCGTGTCTAAGATTCGGGTCATCCATCTCAGGCCTAGGACCTAGGAGCACATGATGGGACGCGGTCAACAAAACATTCAGAATGAGCAAATCAATATGGAACGTGTTGTCTGGCTTTTCTTGGCAGCATGGGTTCTTTGAAGAGTTTTAAAGAGAATTCACAATTACTGAATATTACATAATTTGAAGATGAGTAAACTGCTTTCATCACTGCTCTGGCAATAAAATCTGGAAATCTGGAGAACTCTAGCTTCTAAAAACTATCTTATGATCCAATTCAGAATGTGTAGTTCTGCACACATCGTACATTTCTTTTTCCTAAGCCAAATGATCATCAATTCATCTAAAACCATTGTCAGGAGGCCCTATGCTATGCAAGACTAATTGTGAGTGTGACTGTATGCAAAAACAAACAAACAAACAAGGGAAAAAAAGCTTGTTAAAAAGGGAATTCTTTACTCAAGAGGCAGGAAAAAAATACCTCCTGACTAGGGAAAGCACATATTGATAGTTCCAGCAGCAACAAACCTGGAGATCTCTGTCATTTCTGTTCAAGTGCATGAAAAGCAAGGCAGCAAAAGCTGTTGGTGCTGTGAGCATAGAAGGCTAAGGACATACTTCCCAGCAACTTGCTCGGACTGGACGGTGACTGGAGCTGATTCCTGAGATGGGAGTGTGAGCTTGGCAGGCTTTGACATGGAGCCAGGCCAAAGTGGGAGGCCAAATTTACAGTGTCAAATAAACCATGACTTAGGCGAGATTTTGTTCAAAAGTATCATTGGAAGGGGTTGGATGGTGGTGGGGTGTGGGGAGACTATTGTAATAAATAGAACACTCTACACATGAGATCTGCAGGCATCTCAAGAGTTAGGCAAAAAGTGGTTTTGTTTTATAGGAGGAATAAACAAGGAAGTGATGTGAGGAAGTGGATGAAGGGGTCCCAAAAGTGGGTAGTGGATCAGGGAACATTCTTCTGGAGGCCAGCCTGTTCTTAGGAGTGAGTGAAGACCAGCTCAGGCTGATGGTGGGCCAAGGTTCTGGGACCTGGGGAAAGGACAGAAACTTAACCAAAGTTCAATAAATAAGAATTTTGTTTCCATTAATTTCAGGGGAAAAAATAGTTCAGCTAATCTATGAGGCAAAGAATAGGAATTTGGAAGGCCCAGTCTGGCCTGTCATAAGTAAACAGGGGCAGGGGTGGGGTGATATGGTTAAGCTTTGTGTCCCCACCCAAATCTCACCTTGAATTGTAATCCCCATAATCCCCACTTGTCAAGGGAGAGACCAGGTGGAGGAAATTGAATCATGGATGTGGTTTCTCCCATGCTGGTCTCGTGATAATGAGTGAATTATCATGAGATCTGATGGTTTTATAAGGGGCTCTTCTCCCTTCGTTCAACACTTCTCCTTCCTGCCGCCTTGTGAAGAAGACGCCTTGCTTCCCCTTGGCCTTACACCATGATTGTAAGTTCCCTGAGGCCTCCCCAGTCATGCTGAACTGTGAGTCAATTAAATCTCTTTCCTTTATATTAGGGTGGTGCAAAAGTAATTGCAGTTTTTGCCATTGAAAGTAATAAATTACCCAGCCTTCAGCAGCTCTTTATAGCAGTATGAAAACAGACTAATACAGGGGGCTTCCATGAGTCTAATTTAAGTCATACAAGGAAGAGGGATCTTGAAGTTAAGTCATTTCCTCTAGCACGAAGGATGGGAGATTTCTTAGCATCCTCTGTTTTCTAAGAACACAGGTAAAATTCAACACTGTCAGCAGTAAGGGCTTCTAAGGACAACTTAAGAGTCTTCTTTTTTCCTTTCCCAACTCTCATCCTTTCTTTAGGTAGAGAAGATTTCCTGACCTGTATCTTTTTCCCTCCCTCTGAAGAACTTCTTTCAACATTTCTTGCAAGGCAGATTTACTGGTGACAAATGCCCTCAGTTTTGTTGATTTGAGTCTTTATTTCTCCATCACCTTTGAAGGATAATTTTGCAGGATACAAAATTTTACATGAGTTTTTTATTCCTTCAAATCTTTGAATCTTTACTCCACTCTCTTGCTGGCCTGGTTATGGACTAGAAGTCTGATGGAATGCCCATCTTTGTTCCTTTCTGGGTGGGTGTCCCCCACCATGCCACCCCTACCCCAGGATTTTTTCAAGATTTTTCCCTAGGTCTTTGTTTTTCTGTAGTCTGAGTATGATACGCTCAGGTGTTGATTTGGGGGTATTAATTGTGCTTGTTGTTCTCTGAGCTTCTTTAATCTATGGTTTGATTTTTGTTAATAATTTTAGAAAATTCTCAGTCATTATAATCTTTAAATATTTCTTCTGCTCCTTCACTTTCTTTGTTCTCCTTTTGGTATTCATTAGTGTGTGTTATGCCTTTTATGTCTCACCATTCTAGCATATTCTATTTCTTTTAAAATATTTTTTTTCTTCTCCTTGCATTTCAGTTTGGGAAGTTTCTGTTGATGTCTCTTCAAGCTCACTGATTCTTTCTGTGGCTGTGTCCAGTCTACTCATGAGCCCATCAGGGTGCATGCTTCATTTTTGTTATGGAAGTGGTTTTGGTTTCTAAGGTTTCTTTGCTTCTTTCTTATAATCTTCATCTCTCTGCTTACATTACCCATCTGTTCTTGCATGTTGTCCAATTTTTTCATTAACATTTTAACCACAGTTACTTAGAATTCCTGATATAATGATTTTGAAGTCTCTGCCATATCTGAGTCTGACTGTGATGCTTGCTTTATCTTTTCAGATGGTTTTTTTCCATGCCTTCTGTCATGTCTTGTAATTTCTTGTGAAAAGCCAGACATGATGTACTGGGTTATGAGAACTCAAGCAGACAGGCCTTTGGTGAGAAGTTTGATGTTTTTCTGGCTAGAAGTTAGTCTGTGCTTACTGTCCCCTGTAGCTGTATGTGTCAGAAGCTTATTTGTCCTCGGTCCTGGTTTTTGGCTCTCGTATTATCTGTGGGTTTCTCAGGAACTTTTTCTTAGGAGTCTGGTCCTCGAAGTTTTATTGTGCTGCAACCACCTGCTATTATATGGGAACCCTGTTGATGTGGGATAAAGTGTGGGATGGGGAACCAGTTCATGATCCTATGACCAGGTCTCAGTGTTTCAGTGAACCTGTGACCCTGGGCTGTGACCTTCACCAGTGTTTCTCAGATGGTTTTTCTCTTCTCATGCCAGAGAAAGCAGGCTAGAGGGGGCTGCAATTGGGTCATTTCCTTTCCCCAAAATTGGATAAAGCTCTGGCTTGGTGGTGTTTGTTGTGGAGAATGACCTGGGCATATTTCAGAATGGTTACTCTTCCCTTCTCCCTGGCCATGCATAGGGTATATTCACCATGAGAACCTGGTGGGGTTCCTGGAGGAAAAAAAAAATGTGTCACACAACCCTGCTCTAGGGTCCCCAGGAGTTTTTAACTCTCACGTTAGTCCACCCTCAGCCCCTGGTGATTTGTCAGCTGCACCCTTCAAGTGTTCTCACCAGCTCCAGTGGCCTGTGCCTCCGGCGAGCTAATCTGCACTCTCCCTCTTCACCCATCTCTTCAGTTTTCAGGGTGCTGATTTATCCTCCACCTCAGTTCTGTGATGGATCTAAGAAAAGTTTTTGATTTTCAGCTTGTTTTTATTGTTGTTCGGAGAGGGGGAGAGATGACTTCCAAGCATTTTTATTTGGTTGGTTGTTGTTTTTAGATTTTAATGTGCATATATATTTAAATTCTCATTAGAATTATACACTAATGATCTCTAAACTCCCATTTTTTTTTTTTTTCAGTTAACAAGACCTTTCAAAAAAATTTATCTGAGCTACCTCCTCTCTCTGAATGGCTTTTTCCCACTTGAGCCTAGCAATCTTTCCTTAAGTAAAAAAAGAAAGCTGAGATATTCAAAAGAGTCCCCAAAGTTAGTGTCTCACCCAGCCTGTTGTTTGTTAGCCAGTTTCCTTCTGGAGGAGGAAGTTAGTTTAAACATGGCCTACTTTCCTCCCTTCTCCCTTTCATTGCAGTCCATAGTTATTAAATTAAATGTGAACTCAGCTGTTTTACTGAAGTGCTTTTGTGGTGTTTATGAATAGAAGGGATTAGCATTTATTGGTAAATCGTTATGCCCCAAGAACTGTGTTAGGTAGTCCTCAAGCTTTAACGTGCACAGAATCATGGAGAGATCTGGTAACGTGCAAGCTGTGGCTCAGCTGGCTGGGGTGCAACCTGGGTGTCGTTGTTTTGCGGGAGGATGGGCTCACAGGGCCTGCCCAGGGTCACTGGTCTCAGTCAGCCTCCACTCACAGGTAAGAACTCTGAGACTGGTGAGGGAAATCACTTTGGCATAGCTTCACAGCCAGTCGGTATTTACACCCAGGGCTTCAGGCCACGCGCAAAGCAGCAGCAGGCGTGCCCCGGATTAATTATCATCTCCTCCTGCCACAACAGCCGTTTATTTAGATTTTTTTGTTTAGGACACTGCTGTGGGTTGAACTGTGTCTCCCTAAAAGGTAGGTTGATGTCTTAACCCCTGGTACTTGTGAACATGACCTTATTTGGAAATAGGGTCTTTTCAGATATAATCGAGTGAAGATGAGGCCATACTTGAGTAGGGGGGCCCTTAATCCAACATGACAGGTATCCTGTAAGAAGAGAAAAGGAGACATGGACACACATACAGAGGAGAATGCCGCATAGCAGAGATGGGAGCGGTGTGGCTCCAAGTCATGTCAAGCATTGCCAGCCACTACCAGAGGCCAGAACGGCCAAGAAGGCGCCTCCCCTGGAACCTGCAGAGAGACCGTGACCCTCTCGGCACCTTGATTGAGGATTTCTAGCCTCCATAACTGCGAGATAATACATCTCTGTTGTTTTAAGCTTCCAAGTTTGACGTGATTTGTGATAGCAGCCCTAGGAAATGGATAAAAATACTGAGTATACTGCCTTGGTTTTCCGTGTTGCTGACTGTGTCTGTCTGCCCTCTAGACTGTCATCAGGCAAACTCAGTGACTGCTAAAAGCGCATCTGACCCACACAAGCCCTCAGCCCACCTTGCTGTTTACTTGGCTTTCAGCAGTAGGAGAAAAAATGATGTTTATATTATAAAAGTAAATCAGCTGTATTGTACTTTACAGCAGAGAAACCCTTTGTTACTCATATTTTCAAATACTTTTTAAGAGATGTTTAAAGCATGGAAAGTATTTTTAGCATTTAAAGTATTTGCATTTTTAATAAAAAAATTTCTCCACAGAAAAATTGTTGTATATGTGTGATTAATTAATTGCCTGATATTTGCTTGGGAGCTATACTGCCAAGCAAACGTTTATCATCTTCTGAAAAATCTCGTGACATTTAAAAAAGAAAAACCTCTTGGGGTTGCCTTCTATTTGTTCCTCAAAGAATCTGTGCTGCAGAAAGTGAAAATGCAGAGCCTGGTTTTATTTCATTTCTCTTTTCAAACCAAATACAGTATTTTGGCTTTAGTTGGCCTTGAGTGAAAGTAAAATAGACTAGGAATGAATTTTTCTATTTTGCTTCCCATCCAAAAGTCTGTAGTAGAACAAAAATACTGCTCCTCTTTCAACTGCTGGTTAACAAATCACCCTAAAACACAGTGGCAAAAAAGTCGTCCATTTTATTATGCTCAAAAATTCTGTGGGTAAGCAATTCAGAGAAGGACACAGTGAGAATGGCTTGTCTGTGTTCCACAATGTCTGGGGGCTGAGCTGAGAAGAGTCAAAGGCAGAATGGGGAGCATGACCCAATTTGGTAGTTGATGCTGGCTGTTGCCTGGAACTTTACCTGAGGCTATCAGCTGTTTCACCTTCATGTGGCCTCTTCATATGGCCTGGGCTTCCTCACAACATGGTGGTCTTTTGGCAGCTCATTGATCCAAACGCAGGTGACCCAAGAGAATTAGACAGAAGCAATAGAGGCTTTTCTCATAGCTTCAAAAGCTGTGCTATATTCTACTAGTTACCAGTGAAGTCCCTCCAACTGGCCCAGATTTAATGGGAGGAGAACTAGGCTCAACTTCTGGATGGAAAGAATTACAAGAATGTGCAGGTGTGTTTTAAAATCATCATAATGCTTTTAATAGATACATGTTTCACATAACATACAATGAAAATGGCATCAACTTCTAGTTGAAAGATACTGATTGATTTCTGTTTAATTTTAAGTAAGATGTTGCACCTCTCTAGTCCTTACTTTCCTTAACTACAAAATGAAAGGTCGCACTGAGTGGACTCCACAGGTCCTCAGCAGAGCTATGATTTGGTTTCTTCCTGTAATTGTACCAGTCGAATTGTTAGAGATTCAAGACTGAATTTTATAGCCAACATTTATCTAAGAGGACACTACTGTGCTGCGTTTAGCTATCTACAGCAGAATGAGGTAGAAACACATCTAATCTCAATGTTTCAGTTCCAGTTCTTCCTATTATTATTCATAGCAGGTATAGCTACCATGTATTGCCTAGTGCTGAAAGCCATTTCTTTGCCTCATTTGCTCTCCATACCCACAACAATGCTAGCCTTGGTATTTCTTGTAGACATCTTTTGAAGGGTCTGTGTGGGCCCACCCCATTCACTGTAAAGGTGTCCTTCTTTGCCTCCTTTAGGAATTGTCCAGGATCCCAGACAATTTTTTTTTTTTTTTTTTGAGACAGAGTCTCGCTCTGATGCCCAGGCTTGAGTGCAGTGGCACGATCTTGGCTCATTGCAACCTCCGCCTCCTAGATTCAAGCGATTCTTCTGCCTCAGCCTCCTGAGTAACTGGGACTACAGGTTCACGCCACCACACCCGGCTAATTTTTGTATTTGTAGTAGAAACGAGGTTTCGCCATATTGGCCAGGCTGGTCTGGAACTCCTGACCTCGTGATCCACCCGCCTTGGCCCCCCAAAGTGTTGGGATTACAGGCGTGAGCCACTGTGCCTGGCCCCAAGACTATTAATCACCAGAAGCAAAGCTGCTGTGTTCATGAAAATAGAAGGCAGTCAGGAGGTGGGAGGAGGTGGAGGATGGAGGTGGTGTTTCTGGCTTGGCTAAAGTGAAGTCCCATGGGAAGGAAATTGCCAGAAAACTCCAGTCAGGCATGTTGGCACCCATGAATGACTCAGAATGCAGAAGCTCCTGCCACCAGATGAAAGGCACCTCTTAGGTGGCCAATAACAATACTAATTTGCCATGTGGCAGATACAAAGCTCAGCATTTTCCATGGATCCTTACAAGAAATGAGAGATAACTAACATATCAGTTTTCCTCCATTTGACAGAAGAAGAAAATGAATCTGGTTGGACTTAAATCACTTGTCCAGGAAGGTCACAGGCAGCTGTTAAATAGCACTGTACTTGAATCCAGGTGCTCTAACTCTGAGCCCACACCTGTCTTCTGTCTTCTCTCCGTAAACATGCTGAGTTTTGTCAGATTTCCGTATCATCCACCATTGAAACTTTAGCACCATCTTCATTCATCACGCTTTCCCCCTCCACTAGGTACTCATTCCTATCCAGGACTGGCTGCATAATTTGCAAAACCCGTTGCAAATGAAAACATGGGGACTTTTTCTTCAAAAAGCAGGAAAAAGAGTGTTGTTAAAGATACTAAAATATAAAGCTTTTTCATTTCTTCAGTGGTTTCTTTCTCAAGCTGTAATGATAATTTTTGTCTTTGTTTTTCTTGTAATTTAATGTCTGGTTTCCTCCTGAAAAAGGAAAGGGTCCACAGGCAAATGCAGACCCTCAAAAGCATCCTGCTGCCACCCTTGCACCCCCTGCCCACCAACTTGGGATTCATGTCCTAGCTGAGAGTGAGGGAACTGAGGCAGGCAGGCACACCTCCTTTCCAAAGGCAATGCCTAATCCATGGCCAATGCGTGACCTCCACATTGGGTCAAGCTAACAACTGGGTGGGGGCTCATTCTGTTATCAGCCTTAGATGTGATACTGCCGGCTTGGGAAGGGGAGGTGGTGAAGGTGGTTTGCATGTGAGCCAAGGCTGCAAGGTCCTCCACTCCACAGCGTGCTTCATTTCTTATCAAACTTCACATAGAAAACACACTCAAAGATAAGATTAAGAATCTCAAGAGGGGAGTAGCGGAGCATTAAGCTAGGTGCCAGCCTTTGTGAGCTCAGGGTGCTGTGTGACTACAGGTCACCTGGCCCTGGATCTGGCCCTGGTCCTATTCATCCTCTCTCCAAAATGATTTTCCCTTTTATCTTTCTCTGTCTGCTCTTAGTCTCCATCCAAGCCCAGGACTTTGTTCCTCATTTCCGAAGCTGTCAATGGTGTGTAAGTGGCTATCACTTGAATCCAAGCTTCTCAACCTAACTTTCAGTGGCATCTATACTCTGGATCCCTGTACCTGTCCAGAGTGCCCCATCCTGTCTAGATTGTCTTCCCCAGTGCTCATGAGTACACACCCTCTGCCCTTCATCCTGGTGCATGGTCTTGTTCTCCATGCATACCCAGCACCAGGCTCTCACTTAACTTACTTCCCCTTGTGCCAGCCCCTGACTCCTTAGGTGCAATGCCTCCCAGCTAAGTTCCACACTGTTCCCCAGCTTCCCCTGCAGGATTAGGGTGCGGCTGCCCATAGCAGCAGTGGCTTGATGATTTACTGTTACTGGCTGCTTCGTTTTCCCTCTCTCACTGCTCTGCTCCTCTACCAGGTTTCTCCAGATCATGAACAGTTGAATCTGTGTCTTTGGGCTCTATTTTGCTGTGGGCAAAGTAAGGATTCAGTGGTTTCAAACCAGATCCAATAGCATCTGGTTTGAGATGAATTTGTCCCAAAACAAATGTTGCTATGGTTTGAACATTTGTCCCCTCCTAAACTCATGTTGAAAGTTAGTCCCCAAAGTGACAGTGTTAAGAGGTGGGGCCTTAAATAGGTCCTACCCTCACGACTAGACTAATCCATTCATAAATTAAGGACTAATGGGTTACTGGATTAATGAGTTCTATGGGTGTGCAACTAGTGGCTTTATAAGAAGAGAAAGAGAGACTTAAGCCAGCATGCTCCGTCCTTTCACCATGTTGTATCCTGCACTGCCTCGGGACTCTGCAGAGAGTCCCCACCAGCAAGAAGGCCCTCACCAGGATGGCCTTTTGACCTTGGACTTCCCAACCTCCATAACTGTAAGAAATAAATTCCTTTTCTTTATAAATTACCCACTTTCAGATATTCTGTTATAAGCAACAGAACAGGGACTGAGGCAGATATACCTTACACTGCAGAAGAGGGATGCATTGGACAGTCGTAATATAGATGCACCTTGCAGCTAGTCTATGGGCTACTAAGCCCTGATCATTGCTGCCAGATAAATAAGGCACATCAGTTGCATTTTTGCTTTGCATTGTGAATATGCATCAACAGCATGACTGATGTCCAAATCTGGAAGGAAATATTTAATAACATATATATTATGTGGAACTGATAATACACAAGGATTATTAGGACAAGGCTTGCTGCACTGTAATTGGCTGCCTAACCACCAGCCTCCCTCCACACTTCACTGCCACAAATAACCTACATTATTCAGGTGTCATGAGGCCATGTTGTTTTGGTCCTTCCTTAGCCCCTGTGGGGGTAAATATTAATGTATTGAAGACAATCACTGCTGCTCTGTTCCCTTTGGCTGTGAGTGGTTTAGGAGTGAGCATGTAACACAATCTGGCAAACAAGATATGAGGAAAATTCTGCTGGGAGACTTCTGAGACAGTTTATCTCATTCTATAAAAGGGATACTTGAAGGAATGTTCTGATTTTTCTAAACCTATGGGATTAAGATGCTTGAAAGTGCTGCAGTTCTCTTGCAACTTCCATAGGATGAGCATGAGGGTGGAAGCTAGCATGATGCAGATGGCAGAGAAGAAAGGCAGAGAAAGCCTGTGACCTTGATTATATTGTTGAGCCACTGGCTTAACCACTGAATTGCCAGCTGTGGCCTTGTCCTCCCTTCTGATTTCTTGTTACATAGGATAACAAATTCCTGTATTGTATGAAGCATTTTGATTTGGGTCTCTGGTTACTTGTAGCCAAAATCTGGAGTCAGACTGGTCAACAATCAATGTGAAACACAAAAACAAACAAACAAACAGCCAAGGTGTTGAAAGGAGGCTGACTTTCCTAGATAAGATAATTAAATGCAATGCGTGTCCCTGTTGAATCAATCAAAGTTTGAACAAACCACTTGTAAAGGACACCTTGAGGACAGTTTGAACAAACCACCTGTAAAGGACATCTTGAGGACAATAAAGGAAACTTGGGTATTGAATGATGTTGATGAATTTTTGTTAATTTTATATGTGACCATGATAATTATGATTATGTAAGAAAATGCCCTAAGACTTTAATAGTATATTTTAAAATGTTTAGGAATAAAATTTCATGATATGTGTATTACAGACAGTGACAAAAATATGAGCAGCAAATACAGCAAAATGTTAACAATTACATCTAAGCAAAGGTTATATGGGTCATTACACTACTCTCTTCACTTAGGGTATCTTCAAGACTTCACACAATTAAAACATGAAAGAAAAACAAAACATTTCTAGATTGTACATCTGATAAAAAATTAATATGGTTTCATGTGGCCCAGCCGTATGGAAAAAGGCAGGGTTCTTTTTGAGAAAAATTAATACAGAGAAACACACGCAAATAGCTTTAAACACTCTGGCCGTAGGAACAGTGCTACCTGTTGTAGAAATCCAGTTTATTTACTACCCATTTGCTAAAAGCAGTACTCCTGTTTGAGGGAGAAACTATGACCTCAAGGAGACATACCGTCGGCATAAGCTATAATGCAGGTAAGAAAGGGCAGGCTCACCCCCTTTCCTTTTGGAATGGCCACTGTAAAGATGTGCCCACAGTTTCACAGAGGTGGACCTCATAGTCTTCTGTAAAGTGAATATCCACCAGTGTCCCCAGAGCAACAGCCATCCACAGTGAGCAAAAGATGCTCCTGAAGACTATGGATCATGGGGGCAGAACCTTGGTTACCAATGATCCAAGATGGCAGCAGGTAACAAGTCTCCTTGGGTATCAGGTAGGTGTGGACAGGAGTTGGGAGGACTTCAAAGTCTCTCTTAAAACCAGTGACACTTTTACAGACTGCAAAGCTTCACTTGAAACCAATGACTTGAAACATTATCAGCAAAGTGATGGAGATGTTAGGAGTTTGAATAAAAATGGTCATATGGTTTGGTTGTATCCCTACCTAAATCTCATCTTGCATTGTAGTTCTGATAATCCCCATAATCCCACATGTCAAGGAAAAACCAGCTGGAGGTAACCGAATCATGGAGGCCATTTCCCCCATTCTGTTCTAGTGATAGTGAGTGAGTTCTCATGAGAGCTGATGGTTTTATACGTGTTTGACAGTTCCTCCTTCACACACTTAATCACCCTCTCCTGCTGCCTTGTGAAGAGGGTACTGCTTCCCCTTTTGCCATGATTGTAAGTTTCCTGGAGCTTCCCCAGCCATATGGAACTGAGCCAATTAAACCTCTTTTGTTTATAAATTACCCAGTCTTGGGTGGTATCTTTGTAGCAGTGTGAGAACAGACTAATACAGTAAATTGGTACTGCAGAGAGTGAGGTACTGCTATAAAAATACTTGAAAATGTGGAAGTGACTTCAGAACTGGGTAATGGGCAGAGATTGGAACAGTTTGGAGGGTTCAGAAGAAGACAGGAAGATGTGGGAAAGTTTGGAGCTTCCTAGAGATTTGTTGAATGGTTTCTGCCAAAATGCTGATAGTGATGTGAACAATGAAGTCCAGGCTGAGATGGTCTCAGATGGAGATGATGAACTTATTGGTAACTGGAGTAAAGGTGACTCATGCTATGGTTTAGCAAAGAGACTGACTGAATTTTTGCCCCTGCTCTAGAGATCTGTGGAACTTTGAACTTGAGAGACATGATTTAGGGTATCTGATGGAAAAAATTTCTAAGCAGCAAAACATTGAAGATGTGACCAGTACCACTCTGAAAGTGTTCAGTTTTATGTGTTCACAAAGAGATGGTTTGGAATTAAAGCTTATGTTTAAAAGGGAAGTAGAGCATAAAAGTTTGGAAAATTTGCTGCCTGATGATGTGATAGAAAAGAAAGAACCATTTTCTGGGGAGAAATTGAAGCTGTCTGCAGAAGCTTGCATAAGTAGTGAGGAGCCGAATACTAATCCCCAAGACAATGGGGAAAACATCTCTAGGGCATGTCAGAGATCTTGGTGGCAGCCCCTTCTGTCACAGGCCCAGAGGCCTAGGAAGAAAAATGGTTTCATGGGTTAGGCCCAGGGCCTCCCTAATCCCCCAGCCACTTCAGCTCCAGCTGTTGCTAAAAGAGGCCAAGGTACAGCTTGGACCATTGCTTCAGAGGGTGCAAGCCTCTAGCCTTGGTTGTTTCCATGTGGTGTTGGGTTTGCAGGTACCTGTAAGTCAAGAATTTGAGGTTTGGAAACCTCTGCCTAGATTTCAGAGGATGTATGGAAATGCCTGGGTATCCAGGCAGAAGTCTGCTGCAGGGGTGGAGCCCTCATGGAGACTTTCTACTAGAGCAGTATAGAAGGGAAATGTGGGGTTGGAGCCCCCACACAGACTCCCCACTGGGGCACTGCCTAGTGGATCTGTGAGAAGAGGGCCACTGTCTTCCAGACCCCAGAATGGTCAATTCACTGACAGATCGCACCATGTGCCTGGAAAAGCTGTGGGCACTCAATGCCAGCCCATGAAGGAGCTGCCCAAGGCTGTGGAGCCTACTCCTTGTATCAGCATGCCCTGGATCTGAGACACGGAGTCAAAGGAGATTACTTTGGAAATTTAAGATTTAATGACTCCCCTGCTGGATTTTGGACTAGTGTAGCACCTGTAGCCACCTTGTTTTGGTCAATTTCTTTCATTTGGAATGGGAGCATTTATCCAACTCCTGTACCCCCATTGTATGTTGGAAGTAATGAAACTTGCTTTTGATTTTACAGACTCCTAGATGGAAGGGACTTGCCTTGTCTCAGATGAGACTGTAGACTTGGACTTTTGGGCTAATCCTGGAATAACTTGAGACTCTGGGGGACTGTTGGGAAGGCATGATTGTCTTCTGAAATGTGAGGACATGATTTGGGAGGGGCCAGGGGCAGAATGATATGGTTTGGCTGTCTCTACCCACCCAAATCTCATCTTGAATTGTAATCCCCATAATCCTGACATGTTATGTATGGGAGGGATGTGGTGGGAAGTTATTGGATCATGGGGGTGGTTCCCCCCATGCTGTTCTCATGATAGTGAGTGAGTTCTCATGAGATCAGATGGTTTTATAAGTGTTTGACAGTTCCTCCTTCACATACTCACCCCGCCTCCTGCGACATTGTGAAGAAGGTGCCTGCTTCCCCTCCCGCCATATGTTTGTAAGTTTCCTGAGGCCTCTCAGCCATGCAGAACTGTGAGTCAATTAAACCTCCTTTGTTTATAAATTACCCAGTCTATGGTAGTATTTTTATAGCAGTGTGAGAATGGAATAATACAAATGGGATGTTCTTTATGAATAATAAAAGAGTCAGAAGAAAGCAAGAGGTGTGGCCCTTCCTGGAAAAGTGAGAACCCTGATTAAAATGAAGTCATCTTAGTGCAGGGAAAAGAACAAGCCTGCTTTTTTAAGGCTGTGTGTGTGTGTGTGTGTGTGTTGACAAAGATTCTCTCCTCAAGCAAGCAAACTCTAGTTAGGCTTTTCTGAACTCTCTTCTCAACTGGGTCCTGAATTTTGCGCTTCTGTGTTTTCTGCATGGTCCCAAATCCTGCTATGTCAATTTAGCCAGAACCCTCCACCCTCTATATCTGATCACTGTCAATATCTCATCAGGTTCCTCATCCTCCACCATCTCCCCGGTGATTGATCACTTTAGCCTGCCTTCAGTGAGAATCCTATTAGGTCAGTTTAACCAGAATCCCCCTTCACCCCTAATGTTTCCTCTTAGTAATTTGTACCCAATGACCTCTAGCCTGTTTCTTGACTGTAAGTCTCTACTTTTCCTTACCGTATTGCAAGTTGAGCCTGCCCTCTCTCTCCTGCTGCAAAACCCTATTGCAGTGCTCCCTACTCTTATGGTGATGGCCCTGAATAAAATCTGCCTTACTGCACTTTAACAAGGGAATGAGTAATTTTTTTGCTTAAAAATATGGGTATATCATTTTTAAAAACACAACACAGAGAATATAGCTTTTTTTCACTTGCAGCTCCAAAAAGTGCACATCTCAGGGGTGAGTTTATTTTATATTTTGCACAAACAGACATTCAGAGAGAGCTTTTTGGAAACCACCACTACTAACCACTGGAATAGCTACTATGTCAGACCCCTCATCACTGGATTTAAAACAAAACAAAATAAAACAAAACCATCCTGCTCTTCCTGGTTCTGTGGAAACTGTGGGAAAAGCATTTGCGGATCTTGATACAGAAAGATGATCAATTACCCTGTAGAAGCTATTTTCTTTCCATTCGATCTGTGAGTGAGGATCTCATTGGCCAGAACAATGACTGTGACTGTTGCAGGGTTTCATTGAGTCAGACCTCAATGATAGTGAAACTACCTTGGCTACGGTATTTACAGAAGGTGGAGACACATGTGATAAACAAATTTACAGAGACACACCTAATAACAGGAAGAAAGACCAGGGGAGGAAAAGGCACTTTGCTTTGTGAATTGTTCTCAAAGAACTGCTGGGAGCTGGAGGCTTGACTTTCTAGGCCCTTTGTACAGTGATGTGTTTTACAAAAAATAAATGTAGTTGCTAAATGATTGAGCTCTGAAAATCAAGCTTTAAGTATCAAGAATGCCTTTTGCTTGATGACTTCTTGGCCATTTGTACGTTTAACTATATATAGAGTTGCAAGATAAAATAGGGGACATCCAGTCAATTTGAATTGGATTAAATAACAACAATCATTTTTTAGAATAGGCATGCCACAAATATTGCATTGAACATACTCAATGCTTGGAACACACTTATTCTAAAAGAAGGTGTTGTTTATCTGAAATTCGAATTTAACTGGACAACTTGTATTTTCATTTGCTAAATCTCACAATGTTAACTGCGTATCGTTTTCATTTTTCTTTCCGTCAAGGAAGTTCTTGCTGCATCCTGTGAACTGCTGGAACTTGCTGATTGCACTTCATAGACAATTCCCCAAAGCCTGCATTTGCAAAGCTGGCCTTTTCCATTTGGAACACTCCTAGCAGCTACCAGTGCCACCCTCCCCACAGCCTCTCTGGCAAAGTATGCTGGGGAACTTGGGGATTTTTGCTAAGCTGATTAGTTAGATATTGTGCATCTCAGTGTAGTTTCAATTACTATTTTTCATATTATGAGTGAGTTTGTGCATTTTTTCATATGTTTAAGGGTTATTCACACTGGTTTTTCTATGAGCGGTCTATATCCTTTGCCCGCTTCTTTTTCTAAGTTTCTTGTTTTTTTATCCATTTTGGGGAGCTCTTTTATATTAGGAAATCCATCCTTTGTCTTGAATATAACTGAACATATTTTTCCTTGGTGTTTATATTGAAATCACTATATCTTTTGACAATTGATACTTGCCTTTTCTTTGTCCTGTGAATTTGTCATATGCTGAGAGATGAATTAAAGTCTCTTTCTACCGCTGGGTTGTGTCTGTTTCTCCTTGTGTCTCCTAGAATCTCTTGGTGAATACTGCTGGTGGGGTATTCAGTGCATTAAAAACCACCCTTCATGTCACATTTAATGGTTTGGGGCCCGGATTTTACTCAGTCTGATCTTTATATGGAGACCACAGCTTTCTTCTTGCTTGCATGTGCTTGGGTGTACTTGGCCCATCTTTTAATTTTCAGTGGAATGGAATTGCTTTTGTGGTGCATGTCTCTTGTGCATAGCATAGGGTTGCATTTTGCTTTGTGTTCATATCTGAAGACCTTTTCCTTTTAATAGGTGAGTTAATCCTATTTTCACTTAAGGATTAACAGAAATGTTTGATATTAGCTCTTTCACATTGTTCTGTGCTGTATTTCAGTTTTTAGGGTAGTTCTAAAAAGTCTTTCATTATATAATCTGCCCTCTTTGCTTTTTGTGTAGAGTCCTTATATTTAAAGTATGTATTTGGTTTTATTGGCTACTTTGATAAATCTAATATTGCACATACTTTACTCCTTCATTTTTTTAAAATAGCAATGATGATATTCGAATTTTCCCCCTCCCTTTATTCTATAAGCTGCTTTTAATCAATGATGCTGTATTTCTCAGTTTCTACATCTGAGTAGTGTAATCTGCTTCACACCTCTACTACTTGATGTATCATCCTTAAAGTGCCCCGTCCACTGCCAGCAATTGGTGTGGATTGACTCTACCTCCCGCTCTCTTCCCCTCCTCAAGTTTGTCAGTTGTGTCATCTCTACATCATCAGCACATATGACATTTACGTTCTTCTCTTTAACCTTCATCACCACATTAGAGTCAGTAATTCTGTTGAGATTTTAGTCAGCTGACGTTCTTGCTCTGAGAGTTCCTCAAGAGCACGTCATGGGAGGTCATCAATTTCAAATCTATGAACTTTTGTATTTGAAGGCAGCTTGGTTGGATATAAAATCCATGAGTCATAAGTTTTCTGTTCTTGCTGTTTGTTTTTTTAATCTTAGGGTTACTGCTCCATTGTCTTCTGGTTTTGAATATCGCTGTGAAGAAATCAGAAGCCAGACTGATCCTTTTACCTACCTGCCCAACGGAGTCTTTCTTTATTTTTGTGGTCAGATAACTTTATTAGGATATGTAGCTGTGTTGATGATTCTCGTCAGTTTCCTGGACATAGTGGGAGACTTTTTTTTTTCACTTAAATTACATCTTCTTTAATGTGAGGAAAGTTTTTAAATTATTAAAATGTTCTATACTATTATTGTTATTATTGATAATGTTATTAAAAGTGGGAAGATTCTGTGAGTACACTTTTTTTTCAGTCTTTCATCTTCTCTTGAGTCCTATTAAACTTTTAATTTCCATTTCAATTGCATGTTTTTCTCATTTCTGTCTTCTACTTCTCTTATATGTTCTCAACAGTATCTCTTATCCCTTGCTTGCCTTCCTATTTATCTTCATTTCTGTATAATTTTTCCTTTTATTTTTGTTTTGCTTTATTTTGTTTTGTCTTGCCATTTCTTTTTTTGTTTGAGACAGAGTCTCGCTCTGTCGCAAGGCTGGAGTGCAGTGGCACGATCTTGGCTCACTGCAACCTCTGACTCCCTGATTCAAGCAATTCTCCTGCCTTAGCCTCCCGAGTAGCTGGGAATGCAGGCACGCAACACCACACCCAGCTAATTTTTAGTAGAGATGGGGTTTTACCATGTTGGCCAGGATGGTCTTGATCTTCTGACCTTGTGATCCACCTGCCTTGGCCTTCCAAAGTGCTGGGATTACAGGCGTGAGCCACCGTGCCCTGTCTGTCTTGCCATTTCTCACTTGAGTTTTTGTGTTTCTCTTATGTGGCCTTACTTCATAGAGGCTTTTTTTTTTTAATCAGACTGTCTTTTTAAAGAATGAGAATGCTCGTTAGTTACCGATATTTAAAAATCTTTGATATATTTTAAGTGAAAAAAGCAACAGACAGAGCTGTATGTGACTAGTTGTGCAAAAAGAGAAAGAGAACAAAATAGCAATATTCATTTATATATGCATAAAATAATTCTGGAAGAATTTTCAAGGAGTGGTGACATTGTTGGCATCCAGGTGGGAAAAATGTGTTTGGGAGACACTAGTAAAGGAGAGATTTTTATTGTATGTTCTTTGTAACTTTTGAATTTTGAACCATATGAATGTATTGTCACTTCAATTACTAAAAGTAGTTGAAATTACTTTTATACTAAAAGTTTAAGATCATCTGGAAAAATGTGCTAAAATACTGAAGACAAATTTTTAAAATAGGGATTAAATATAATGTTATCAAAATGTCTATTGTTTTATCAGACATTAAAATGTTCCACAGATTTCTAGAGTTAGGTCATTGTGGATTTAGCCCAAGGTTAGAGAGACAGATGAAAGGATTGGAATAGAAATGGAAGAACTGTCCCTGCCCTAAACAAAGTTCATCCCTTGAACTGGGTCCAGATCTTAATCACTTCTTTTCCCTGCCTTTATCCCCTCTGATCGGCATGGCTCACTTTATCTTTCACCTGGGGTTTATCAGCGTGCAAGCATGCTAAATTAGCTCCCATTAAAAACAAATGAACAGAAAACCTCCCTGGTTACATATTTTTCCAAGCAGTTCTCCATATACCTATCTCTGTTTTCACTGTTTCTTAGTCTTTTCCTCATTCTCTTTCAATTCCTCTTCCCGCTGGGAGCCCTACTCCTATGTGACAGCAGCTCTTGTCAGCGTGGCCGGTGACCTCCAGCTCACCAAGTCCAGGGAACCATATGCAGCCCCAATTTCACTCACCCCTCAGCTGCTTCAACAGGGCATCTCCTTATCGCTTTCTCAAAGCATTTTCTTCTACTGGTTCCAGCCACTCTCCACTCCCCACTCACTGGTCATTCCTCTGCCTTTTCCCCTGGGCCTCCTCTCATTTCTATATACTCCTTCTCCAAGGAGTTCCTCAAGGCCCTGCATACTACCTGAACACTGGAGACCCCCATCCCGCTCTCCAAACTTGTATTTCCAGCCCTGAACATTCCCCTGAGTCCGGATTTGTAGAGTTGACCCTTGAATAACATGGGCTTAAAACATGTGCATCCACTTCCATTTGAATTTGTTTCCAATAAAAGTTCCATCGAGAGTGCCTGCTTCTCCTGCCTCCCCTTCTACCTCCTCCACCTCTTTGGCCTCTGCTCCCCCTGAGACAGCAAGACCGGCCCCTCCTCCTCCTCCTTGGCCTACTCAATGTGACAACAATGAGGATGAAGACCTTTATGTTGCTCCACCTCCATGTAGTGAATAGTAGATATATTTTCTCTTCCTTATGATTTCCTTAATACCATTTTCTTTTCTTTAGCTTAACTTATTGTAAGAATACAGTATGTAATACATATAACATAGAAAATACTTGTTAATGGGCTACTTATGTTATCAGTAAGGCTTCTGGTCAACAGTAGACTATTAGTAAAGTTTTTGGGGAGTCCAAAGTTAGATTTTTCACTGGACAGAGGGTTGGCACCCCTAACCTTCGCAGTGTCCAAGGATCAACTGCATATCCAATCACCTGCTTAACATTGCCACTTGGATAGATAGGAAGACTTTCAACCTTAACGTGTTCCAAACAAAATTTGTTGTTCTTAACTGGAACTTCCCATACCCCCAGTTTTTCCACCTAAGTGAATGGCACGACCATTCACCCCATTATTTAAACCATCTCCAAATTTCCTTCCATTGCCAAATTTCTTCCTTATGTTCAATACATTAGCTGGTTTGGACAGCTCTCGGTTAACTATACACTAGAGCTGATCCCATCTCACCGTCTTTGTAACCCCAGCCTAGTCTCCTACACCCGTCCAAGTGCTTCTCACCTGGCCTTTCTCATCCTGTCCCTGCCTCACGAATGCCAGTTCTTTGCACATAGCAACAAAAGTGCTTGTTTAATCAATGTGAACCAGACTACACTCCTTAGCAAACAAGTCTTCGTTAGCTTCCCACCAAATATAAAGTAGAATTCAAATACCATTCCTTGGCCCCCAAAGACTCCAACCTAAACCTCTGAACTTTTCCTCATCTATTTCAGTCCAGCCACAGGGGCCTTTTTGCTCTTCCCCCGGATACCAACCTGTCCCTGCCCCAGGCTCTCTGTGCTTCCTGTTCCTTTACCCCCATACTTTTGTGGGGTTGACTTCCTCACTCCATCTCAGAACTCCCTGCATTATTCCTATTCCCTCTGCTCTTTTCAGGTGTCTGCCCAAAGACCAACCCTCACAGAGGCCGTCCTGACCACGCTTGCTCACATGGCTCCTGGCCTTCTCCCACACGGTCACCCTTGTGGCTTGCTGTGGCTTGCTCTTCCTCTTTTTCGGGAATCACTGTTCATAGTCTGTGCCTACTGCTTAAACAAAAGCTACAAAAGGCAGAGGTCTTGCCCATCGTATTCAGTGCTATATTCCTTGTGCCTAAAACAGTCCCTAGAACATAGTATTTGCTCAACAAAAATGGTTGAATGAATGAATGAAAATTCAAAAACAAACCCAAGTTCACATAAACTTTGAATACATAATAAATATGACATTATACCATTATACACTAGTGGATAAATAATTGATATTTATTTATTGATATTGACATAATTTGCTAACAACCATTTGGGGAAAAATAAGTTTCATTTCCCACCTGTTTGTATTTAGATAAATAAGCAAATAAATTCCAGGTGAAATGGTTTTAAACTTACATTTTTATGTATTGCACACCCTGGTACAAATTTGCTTTTTGATCTAACTTTAAGTATTTGTTTTTTTTTTCATATTTTAAATAGTTAAATGTAAAAATAAAACTATGCTTGTGGTTTGATATTTTATGTTTCCATATGTATTGAATAATTGTTTAAACATGACCCTGAAGAAAAAACAAGAGAAAGTATTACTAAATTTTAAGAAATAACAACCTAAATCTTCTTATGGTAAAAATTTTTAGAAATAATGTTTAAAGCAAAATGACCCGGCTGGGGGCAGTAGCTCACGCCTATAATCCCAGCACTTTGGGAGGCTGAGGTGTGCAAATCATTTGAGGTTAGGAGTTCAAGACCAACCTGGCCAACAAGGTGAAACTCTGTCTCTATTAAAAAATACAAAAATTATCTGGGCATGGTGGCTCATGCCTGTAGTCCCAGCTACTTGGGAGGCTGAGGCAGGAGATTTGCGTGAACCCAGGAGGCAGAGGTTGCAGTGAGCCAAGATTGCATCACTGCATTCCAGCCTGGGCAACAGAGCCAGATTCTGTCTCATAAAAAAAAAACCAAAAAAACAAAAACAAAAAACAAACAAACAAAAAAAGTAAAATGACCTGGTACATGTGCAGGGTTTTTATTGAACTGTTTTCCTTTAGTAATACTATTTATTCATCCAATAAAAATGTATGTGATTTGCACTGTGCTAGATCCTCTAGACGACGCAATGATGAAGGATAAGATGCCTGTCCTCACAAGATTTTATATTTGTGGAGTTCTGTTTTTGGGTTACAGTTGGAGGATCTCAAAGTCCTTGTTCAAGTTCACCCTCTTTTCAAAAAAACAAAAGAAAGATTACAATATTTTGTCTCCAACTTCCTGGAAGCTATCTCTGCTACATCCCTTCTCATGCCAATCCTATGAGCAGCACCCCTAAAACAAATGCCACGGATTCATCAATGCTTTCTAATGTTGCAGAATGGGGTGGGGGTTTGCAGCCGGCCTGGAGGCTGGGGACTGGTGGTCAGAGAAGTGCACAAAGCCTCTGAGCAGGAGTGGTAGGGGCAGCAGCCTCTGAAAGCTGACAGTCTTGTCCTCTAAAGCCTGGCTTGTGGTAGGGAGTATGGCTTTAAAGATTCAGCTGCGTGATTGACGTCTGAAGGTTGGAGCAAAATCAGATACTATCCAGAAATTTAAGTCCACAATTTTCTTATTTGTTTAGATGACTAGGGACTCCAGCTTATTTTAAATAACCAGCTTCCATTGCTTAAGTTTGTTTCATAAAAGTTGCTTCCACTCGATAATGACAGGATTAAGATGCAAAGTCATGCATGCTTAGAGCCCATTTATATCTATGGCGAAAGCTATGATGATTTTTATCTAAACAGGCTGTATATCATGCTGAGCACTCCTATTGCCAAAAATCTGAGATCACTTTATTTCAAATGTAGTGCTCGTTGGTTGGTCTCTGAATCTCTGCAGTGTGTGTGGGTGGGTGTGAACGAGGATATAGATGAGCTTGTGCATGCTTTTGTGTGCATTTATTTGGAAAAACTTAGGGGTTGGATGAAAGCAAAACTTTTTCTCAGATGAGAAGGAATTCAGTTTAATTGCTGGATTACCCAGTCTCTTTTCCCATTTTTCCACAATTAAAATGTATTATAGAGACTTTTGTTTAAACACAGCACATTGAACGTATGTAATTTACAATTTCCATACCTTCTCTAATCTTCAACAGAAATAACAGAAAAGTAATTTTAATAAAAGTATAAACAATAAACACAAAAACACAAAGAATATGAGGAAGGACAATGTCAGATGAATGACAAATTCAGAGCATTTCTAGATGGTGGAAAGTAGAAGCAAAATGGCAACTAGCTGAGTTGGGAGAGTGGGAGATCTAGAATCGAAGTCTTTCTAGAAGGGGACAGCAAGAAGAAGTGAGAAAGTAAAGCATCGAGGGTGGAGGAGGCAGGACAGGATGGTCTGGAAGGAGGAGGAACCCTGGCATCTGTGCACAGAGCAGTCACATTGCTGGCCTGCCCTTTGACACCCAGGAGCAGGCGGCCAGGCCTCCAGATGTCTGCAGGAGCCTGGCTGCATTCTCGAGGCCAGGAGGAGCTGGGCTCCCAGGCACCAGGCCCAGTGGAAGGAGTGAGGCAGGAAACAGGAAAGATGGAACGAATATCTTACCATGGAAATATGAATAAATTGTTATATTACAACCAAATGTAGTTTTTTCCGTATGTAATATTTTTGGATCAAGGAATGAGGTGTTTGCTTTCATTTTATGCAAAGGACGTGTGATGTTTGGTGTGTGTGTGTGTGTGTGTGTGTGTGTGATGTGATTGGCGTATGTGTGTTGTGTGCATTGTATGGGTTGTATGTGTATGATGTGTGTGCATGTCGTGCTGCGTGTGTTGTGCTGTGTGTGTGGTGTGATAGTTGTGTGCATTCTGCTGCATGTTGTGCGTGATGTGTGTGTTGTACTGTGTGTTGTGTGTGTTTGGTGTGTGCAGTGTGTGTGTGAGGGTGTGTGTAGCATCTAAACCTTGCCACACTATCTCTCACAGGCCTTCCACAAGGCCTTCTTTTCACTTCAGTTGGTCTAATTGTTCCTAAATACCCTGCCCACCGTCTCACTTTCTCACCGTGGCTCTCAGCTGCGACGCGCTCTCCACTCCCTCTCCTCCGACACACCTGTCAGGGATCCAGACTCACGCCTACTCCCTCCACTGAGTCTTCTGGCACCTCAGCCCTCCGGTATCTTCTGGACCTTAGCCTGGACTTCTCTGGCATGCAGCATACACTCCCTTGAGAGTTGCTTTAGTTTAAGTAAATGTATTTTCTGTCCAAGTCGAACTTGCGTTCTACTTTTTATTTTTGTTGTATTTAAACTCACTTTTCTATCAGAAGGTGAGGCAAGCTGGTTCTATCTAACTGTGCAGTGAGTGGGCTGAGGAAGAGGCTGGGAGGCAGTGCCCTCTGTCTGCAAATGGCCTGGCTGACTCCTCATGGTGGGTGCTGCAGTTTTATTTCCATCCTCCCTGGTATGGACTCAGTATTTACTCCTGCACATTTGGTGCTGGTCTAAGATTTTGCTTCATGGAGCCCACATGCTTTTTTAGCCAACAGGAGCCTTCAACAGATGAGTTATTTTTTCCTTTGTGGTTTTATTTTGAAATGATTTTAGGCGTACGGAAGAGTTGTGAGGATACTACATAGAATTCCTTCATACCTTCACCCAGCTTCCCCGAAAGCTAACATCTCACAGGACTCCATTATATGCATCAAAACTCATAACTCAACACTGGCACAGTACTGGTAACTAAAACACAAACCTTATTTAGATTTTTTTTTTTTTTTTTGCTAATTTCTCCTGTTTTTCTACCAATGTCCTTTATCTGTTTTAGGATCCCACAAGTCTCCTTATATCTCCTTCAATCGGTGGCATTTTCTCTGTCTTTCCTTGTCTCTCATGACCTTGCCACTTGAGAAGTCCTCATTTCCTGACTTCTCCTTCCCCAGTACTTGGTCTTGTTAGCTGTGTTTGTGACCGTGCTGAGGCTGAAACACACGCAGTGGAGGCAGCTGTGTGGCCACAGAGGCAGAGGAGGGAGTGAAGCCGCCTCAGGCAGGGAACGCCTGGAGCCACTGGAAGCTGGAAGAGGCAGGAAGGGTTTTCCCCAGAGGCTTCAGAGGCAATGTAGCCCAACTCAAGCCTGCTGCAGACTTCTGGCCTCCAGAAATCTGTTTTTTTTGTGGTTTGAATCATGGCTCACTGCAGCCTTGAATTCTTGGGTTCAAGCAATTCCTCTCAAGTCAGCCTCTCAAGTTGCTGGGACTACAAGCACATGCCACCACACCTGGCATATTTTTTTTTTTTTTTTTTGTAGAGACAGAATCTCTCTATGTTGCCCAGGATGGTCTTGAACTCTTGGCCTCAAGCAATCCTCTTGCCTCAGCCTCCTAAAGTGTTGGGACTGTAGGCGTAGATACCTGTTTCCTGAAGCCATCCCATTTGTGGTAACTATTACAGCAGCCACAGAAAACTCATACAGGCTCCCATAGGAAATATTTAACTTTCCCAATCACTCTGAGCACCTGGTTTTTCAAGAGTCCACTCAACACGTTCTTTGTGGAGATCCAAGTGCCCCTCCAGGCCATCCTCCTGGCTGGGAGTACCATGGCTCCAAGTCAACTCTCCCCCTGCACAACCCAGCTCTGGCTACAAGGATGTTTATCCTGCCAAACTCTGAACCAGCCCTGCAGGAGTTCTCCTTCACTCCACTGCTGAAGAGCTGGGAGTCCAGATTTGTACTTGCAATTTTCCAGGCAGGGGTAAACGTGAGTCCGCTGTGTCTCTACTAGGTAATCTCCAGTTGCCTCTCTCCTTGACCAGGAAGGCTGGCCATGGGGACGCGTCATACAGGCTCCCTTGCCCTCTAGCTGCCTGCAGGGTTCAGCCAAGGGGAAGGCCCTACAGGAGGAGAGTGGCTGCGTGCTTATGCCTCATGTTCCCTGCTCAGCAGTGTCTGTATTTCTCAATGGCAGGCCCTCGCCCTGTCAGGTGCCTTCACCAGCAGATCCAGCAGTGCTGATCTCCACTAACCACTTCTTCTCCTCACCCCTGCAGAGTAAAATGGTGCTGTGCTTGGCTCTTCATTGCTTCTTATTGCTTTCTCTTAACTCCGATCTCACCTTTCTGTCTCCTTAGACTCTCGACAATCACCCATTTTATTTGTGCTGTCTCTTTCCTGCCAGGACCCTGAGCAACTCAACACCCCTCTAATTATAAGGGGCACCCTCTAGCTCTCTACTGGCACTGTTGAACGTTCACAGATTCCAACTTGGGGGGGTAGTTTTAAAAACATTTATAGCATGTGTTGTGAGCTAAATTGTATCTCTCCAAGAATCATATGTTAAAGTTCTAACCCTCCATGTCCTGAGTGTGACTGTATTTGAAGACAAGACCTTTAAAGAGGTAAGGAAGGTAAAATAAGGTCATGTGGGTGAGCCCTCATCTGATATGACTGGTGTCCTTATAAGAAGAGGAGACCATGACACATATGTACACAGAGAGAAGACCATGTGAAGACAAAGAGAAAGCAGCTGGCCATCAGTAAGCCAAGGAGGGAGGCTTCAGAAGAAACTGAACCTGCCGACACCTTGACCTTGGACTTCTAGTCCCCAGAACGGTGAGAAAATAAATGCCCGTTGTGTAAGACCCCCAGGCAGTGGTACATTGTTAAGGCAGCCTTAGCAAACTAATACAGCATATCAACAGCTTTTTTTCCCAAGGCAATTTTCCCCAGAAGATGGTATAATACAATAGAATTGAAAGAAACATATCTGATTCCAACAGTCCACCTCTTTCATACCAGCAGTGCAAGGTAAGTGGCACAAGAGCTGTTTAACTGGGTTCTGTCCAGTTCCTTTTGCTTGAGAGTTTTTGTTTATTAGCACTTCCTTTGGATTGTAGCATCTGTGTAATAGGATCTCCTATTAGATCTGTAAAATAGGATCTCCTAAGGGATCCTATTTTCTCTTTGTTTTCTAAGTTTTCCTTAGCTGCTTTATTGTTTTCTCACTTAATAAATGATAAGATAAATTATTTTAAAAAATTGAATGAGTAACGAATACTGCATTACTCTGTTTTCATGCTGTTAATAAAGATATACCTGAGACTGGGCAATTTACTAAAGAAAGAGGTTTAATTGGACTTACAGTTCCATATGGCTGGGGAGGCCTCACAATCATGGCAGAAGGCAAGGGAGAGCAAGTCACATCTTACGTGGGTGGTGACAGACAAAGAGAGAGCTTGTGCAAGAAAGCTCCCTCTTGTAATAACCATCAGATCTCATGAGACTTACTATCACGACAATAGCACAGGAGGGACCTGCCCCCATGATTCAATACCTCCCATCAGGTCCCTCCCACAACACGTGGGAATTCACGATGAGATTTAGGTGGGGACACAGCCAAACCACATCAAATACAAATTAGTGAAATGAAATTAGGCTATTGACTGATAGCTTGTCTTTTTCCCACTTTTACCCCCTCTCCTTAGGTCTTTGTCACTTATCTTAGTACAAAGTAAAGGAAGTTAATATATAAAGTTTAGTAAAGTTTTAAAGCATCGCAACACTTTTTTCTTTTCACCATTGAAGTTGATCTACATTAGCCAAAACCAATAGAATAAGTCAAACAGAAAGCCAATTTAAGTGTCATTTCTACTTTAGGGCTGATTACTCAGTCTCATTTACTTGGTAGTGTCTGAGAGTTGAATGGTTTTGAAGGGAGTGACTCTCCTGCCTTCTCTTTCTCCTTCCACCCTGCTCTATTTAATGATCAGTTAGCCCTCTGCTTCCTCACTCCTTGGCTCCTTTTTGATGACATCATCCGAAACTACAATCTTTATACTAGACTTGTGTGTTAATGATTCTTAAGTCCCACAAGCAGCCCCAAACTCCCGAGATCCAGCATCTGTGTATCACACTGCCCACTGAGCATCTTCATTCATGTGTCCTCCAAGCCCCTCAAACTCACCCTGGCCCAAAGGAGAGTCTTCATTTTCAATGTCTCCCCAAACCTGCGCACGCAGTTTTCTATTATTGCTCTTGATCTCAGCCACCAGAACCCTAATCTCCCCAAGCCCATGAAGGTCATCCTGTGCTTCTCCCCACATTTAACATTTTATTACTCATCGAGGCTTATACATATCACTTATTTAACATCTGATACTAAGTTATTGAATGTTAAAAAAGTGTCACTCTCATTAGCAATCACATACAAATCAACCAAGAAAGAAAGAACATTTGTCAGCTGGTTAGAAAACATGTAAAAGATAATACCCAATGTGGTTAAGAGTCAAAGGAAATGAACATTTTTATATGCAGCTAGTGGGAAGGAAAAACTTTTGCTGGGCAATCTGCCAAAGTGCACTAGAAGTCTTTAAAAATGCATTCCCTTTAACTCAGTAACTTCACTTCAAGAAACTTACCCCTAGGAAATAAACTGGCAAATATATAGCTATTTAACTATGCTTCAGCTTCACTACTTTTCTTTTTTTTTTTTTTCTGAGATGGAGTCTAGCTCTCTTGCCCAGGTTGGAGTGCAGTGGCATGATCTTGGCTCACTGCAATCTCCGCCTCCTGGGTTCAAGTGATTCTCCTGTCTCACCCCCTCCCCCCACCAAGTAGCTGGAATTACAGTTGCCCGCCACCATGTCTGACTCATTTTTGTATTTTTAGTAGAGACAGGGTTTCACCATGTTGGCCAGGCTAGTCTCAAACTCTTGATCACCTTGACCTCAGGTGATCTGCCTGCCTGGGCCTTACTACATTTTTAAATAGTAAAAAGTTACAAATATTACAATGCCTAAATAAGAGATCAGTTAAATAAATTATTTCATTTTTGTCATTTCTTTTCAGCCATTAAGAATGAATATGTGTGTGTGTACTTGACCTAAATGATACCCACATATATTTTTAAATATAAACAAAATTGCAAAACATATATATAATAAATATATAACATATACAGAGTTTCCATTTTAGACTGAAATATATATGTGTGCACCTAAACAGAAAAAGATGCCTGGAAAAGTGTTCTTCAAATATTGATGGTGGTTATTTTAGGAAGCAGTTTTGTAGAAAACAAATTTTCATTTTAAACATTTTCTGTAGTTGCTGTTTTTGTTCAAGAAGCAAGACTTTCTTTTATAATAAAATAGCCAATATTTTTATTTTTAAAAATCTGGGTGATTTTGTGTCTAGGATGAAGCTAAGCATAACCCATTGAATAAGGACACAGAATCATGCAATTCATGTGCCGTGGAACCCCATGTTAAACTTAACAGCCCTTAGAACCATATCCTTATTCCTAAAAGAGAAGCAGCATCTGCTGAATGAATAATGCCCGCATAAATCAACCATTTCGGAGTTCATGATCCTTGCTTAATAGAAGCAGTGCAATATTCCTAAAATCTCTGACTAGGTGTGGCAAAAGTGTGAAAGAGTACTAAAGCCGCAAGCCTGCAGTCATATCTAGATTTCAGAATTGCCAGATGCTAATTATTTTCTCGTGCTTGAAGGCCTTTACATGGAAAAACTAAGATCATCTCTTCACCGATGCTGAAATTTTGGACTTATAAGAAATAGAAACCTGCTCCTAGGAGTTTTCATGCTCTTTGCAGACTTAATTTCTTCTTTGCCACAATTTCTCAGTGACCTTTCACAGAGGAACTCACTCAAGTGCTCACCCTCGTGTACAAATGTGAACAGATGTCTCAGCATCCTTTCTAGGTGAACCACTGTTTGTCTTTTCCAAACCTGATGCTTCCAGGTTAGGGTATTGAGATGACAATCAGTTGCTTCATGGGAATGAGCTCTGGCACCGACCCTGTGCCATGAGCCTAGACTAACACAAGAGGCATCCAACCAACAGTTTTCGTGAGAACAGTTTTGGATCTCTTGCCTGATTCCCGCCTGCCCTCTGAGCATGCACTTCATTCTTTGTTTACTCAGTTCTGCCCCTTGGCTTCCCTCCTGTTTCTGTTCCCTGTGCCTGGGCATGACTGCTGTGAACCTCAGCAGGACTCAGTATTTACTCTTCCACTCCCTCTGCTCTCAAAGCTCCAGATAACTCCCCTACAAATCCATCTGGAGCTCCGGAGGTGCACCTGTTGACTTTGCCCATTTGGCAGCCCTCCTGTCAAGCCTCTTTGGCCTCCCTGGGGCTGTTTAGACAAATAATCCCTAAGGATGCTTTCTCACAGGGTGGCCATGAGGACCTCTTGACCTCTTCCTAGCAATGTGCAAAGTAGGCAACAGTCTGCAATTGGTTCATTCATTCACGTGTTGCATGGACCATCTCTACTTCCTTCAGCTCATTTGCTCTTGTCTCCTTCCACCATTCTTTAATTACACAAGAACCCCAGTTCTTTGAGTTTACCACTTCCTTACCCATTACTGTTTCAAATTCTTTCCTCCCTTACTAACATTCTCAATTCTCTGATTGCTTTCCTTCTATAGTAATTCATGATAAATTACTGATTACATTCATCCTCCAACCTTGGTGAACCCAGCTACCCAACCCAAGTATCCAGCTCCTCTGCACTTTCACCCATTAGAAGTTAAAATTTCCCTGGGCCAGTCGCAGTGGCTCACACCTGTAATCCCAGCACTTTGGGAGGCCGAGGCAGGTGGATCACCTGAGGTTAGGAGTTCGAGACCAGCCTGGCCAACAGGATGAAACCCCATCTCTACTAAAAATACCAAAAATTAGCCGAGCGTAGTGGCAGGTGCCTGTAATCCCAGCTACTCAGGAGGCTGAGACAGGAGAATCACTTGAACCCAAGAGGTGGAGGTTGCAGTGAGCCGAGATCATGCCACTACACTCCAGCTTAGGCAACAAGAGTGAAACTCTGTCTCAAAAAAAAAAAAAAGAAAAGAAAAGAAAAGAAATTCCTTGGGAACATTGTATACCACGTGGAAGGTTTCACTGAAATTTCATGACCACAGACCCATGTGAGCACTCGACACTCCCTCATGGTTCTACCATATTTTCCAAGATCTTTGTGACTTTTCAACTCTTCTTGAAACCCTGTATCTGGCCCCCTCTACTTCCCTCTCTTAGCCACTGCCCTTGACTTGCAAACAATCAGATGGGAAATCCCTCATCTTTCCGCTACCAAATCAACACACCTATCTGCGTCTACATCCGGATTCTGCCCTTTCTCTCCTGTCACCAGAGTGAGACACCGGTGCTATTTTTGAGAGGCAAATGCCTTCTTTCATGATCTGCACCACCTTTCCTCACTCACCTGCACCAGGTCTTTATTTCGGGAGTTACCCTGCCTCTCTGCTCTGCACCATCCATTTCTCCCTCTTTGCTGGCTCAGTCCCGTGGGCACTCAAGCAAGCTGTATTGTTTCACTTCTTTAAAAGGATCTTTTAGTGACCTTCATTCTAAAGGATCTTTTATTGACCTTTATTCTCTTCTGGCTACAGCGCCGTTCTCGGCTCTGTTTTCACAGTAAGACGTCTGGAAAAAGTTGTCTACATTTATTGCTGTCTCTCACATGCTATTTACTTTTCACAATGTGAGATGTATTGTGAAATAGGTCATGCATTCGAGGGCATATAAAACATATATAAATATATATTTCTTTATATATTACATATATAAATGTATAGAGGTATTCAAAAATCTATGTCTAAAATAGTAACATAAAATGTTGCCAGCCCCTAGGAGTCCCCCAAGTGATACTTCTAAATCATATACTGTGGCCTGCCCCCACAGATATAAACACTTTCCCAAACTTTGTGATAATCATCCCAATACTTTCTAGTTTCTTTCCTTCCTTCTCTCTGTCTCTGTCTCTATCTCTCTCTCTCTGTCTCTTTTTTGATCCTAGAGTTTAATAAAAATAATGAGCTTTAACAGAGCAAGGGCACCTAGGCCAGCCAGAGGAGGGAAGTTGAGTTGTAGTTTCATTCAAGGGGGAGAAAGGGAGAGAAAAAGAGGTGGGGAGAGAGGAATTGAGTGAGTGAGTGTGAGAGAGGAGGTGAGAGGAGAGAAAGAAAAAAAAGGGAGAAAAGGGAAAGACAGAGAAAGAAGAAGGAGAAGGAGGAGGAGGAGGTAAAGAAAGGAGGGGAAAGAAGGAAAGAGGGAAGGAGAGCCTCAGGCTTTCTTTATAGTTTTCCCAAATTTATATGTCTCCCTAAACTACACATATTTTTTGTCTGTTTGGTAAAACATATTATTGTGTCCATTATAATATTAGACTTGTGTTTTGTTTTTGAGTTTTGCTTTTTTTGCTCAACATTATGGGATTGGGATTCTAACATGTTGATATGTGTATCTTAATTATGTTCAATGTATAGTATGGCATTATATGAATATATCCAGATTATTTATCTTTCCTATAGTTGAAGGATATTTGGGTTGTTTCCAGCTTTTTCCTTTTTATTTATTAATATAAGTAATGCTTCTATGAATGTTATTTTATATATCATATGTGTAAGAGATTATCTAGAAATGGAATTGCTGCCTTATAAGAGTGTACATTTTCAGTCTAACTATAATTGCTAATTTTTTCTTTAAGAAAGTTATACTATTTTACACTGTTCAAACATTCTATGAGCATTTCCATTACTTGACCTGCTTGATAACCTTAGTATAATCAGATTTTTAACTTTTTCAACTTTTGGACATGAAAAGCTGGTTCATTATGGTTCTAATGAGGGTTTCCTATATTGTTATTAAGGCTAAATATCTTTCATATGTTTATTGATCATTTGGATTTCCTCTTCTGTAAAATTCCACCTTACATCTTTTTGATTGTTTTTCTTATTGAGGGATGGTGTCAGAGGCATGTGAACCAGAGCAACTCCATGTTGAATAGGAGCTAGGTAAAAAAAGGCTGAGACCTATTGGGCTGCATTCCCAGATGGTTAAAGCATTCTAACTTACAGGATGAGATAGGAGGTCAGCACAAAATCCAGGTCATAAAGACCTTGCTGATAAAACAGCTTGCAGTAAAGAAGATGGCCAAACCCCACCAAAACCAAGATGGCGACCAGAGTGACCCCTGGTGGTCCTTACTGCTACACTCCCACCAGCACCATGACAGTTTACGAATGCCATAGCAACATCAGGAAGTTATCCTATATGGTCTAAAAGGGGGAGGCATGAATAATCTACCCCTTGTTTAGCATATCATCAATAAATAACCATAAAAATGGGCAAGCAGCAGCCCATTTATATACTCCCAATATATTCCAATTTATCAATCTTATCTTTTATGATAAATGGTTTAGCGTCTTGTTTTAGAAAATTCTTTGCTACCTCAAGGTCACAAGTATCTTCCACATTTCTCTTAATGTTTCAAAATTTTGCCTTTCACATCTAAGCTTTATCAATTAACTATAAATGTTCCAGTTAAAAATGCAAAGATTGGAATTTTAGACATCTAATTATCTACTGAAATTATCAACATCTAAAATGAATCAATATCTTTGTTCTCCACCTGGAAAATTTAAGGATGTAGAAAACTCAGTCATTCTTTAGGTTCTCTTTCCAACTGTCATGAGTACTTTTGACTTACATCACCAATTTCCTACTCACTTACTTACTACTCTTTAGCTCTTTACTTATTCTTTTATCTCAGACATTCCATCTGAATCACTCTTTCTTCCACCTTTAGGCTTTTCTATCGTGAGGATCTGAGAATGGAAAATCCTTAATCTTTGTCTGAAAATGTTTTTATTTTACCCTTGTTCTCAAAAGACATTTTTACTGGTCTACAGTTTTAGGTTGACAGTATCTTTCTTCAATCCTGGTCTCCATTATTGCCATTAAGAAATCATCTGGAAATCCAATAGCCACTCTATTAAAGACAATCTGTCTTTTTTCACATCATGATTTTATATATAAAAAACCATAAAGACTCCACCAAAAAACTGTTAGAACTAATAAATGAATTCAGTAAAGTTGCAGGATACAAGTCAACATACAGAAATCAGCAGTGTTTCCGTATTCTAACAACGAATTATCTGATATGGTTTGGCTCTGTGTCCCCACCCAAATCTCATGTCGAATTGTAATCCCCACATGTCAGGGGAGGGACCTGGTGGGAGGGGATGGGATCATGGATGTGGTTTCCCCCACGCTGTTTTCGTGATAGTGAGTGAGTTCTCATGAGATCTGGTTGTTTGAAAATGTGTGGCACTTTCACCCTCTCGTTCTCTCTCTCCTTCCCTGGCCGTGTAAGATGTGTGTGCTTCCTCTTAGCCTTCCACCATAATTGTTAAGTTTTCCTGAGGCCTCCCAGCCATGCTTCTGTACAACCTATAGAACTGTGAGTCCATAAAACCTCTTTTCTTCATAAGCTACCCAGTCTCAGGTAATTCTTTACAGTAGTGTGAAAATGGACTAATATACTATTTTAAAAAGTAATAAAGAAGACAATCTCATTTACAATAGCAACCAAAAAAAAAAAAAGGCCAATTTAGGATAAATTTAACCAAAAGGTGAAAGAGCTTTACATTGAAAACTATAAAACATTGCTGAAAAAAATTGAAGACACAAATAAATTTAAGATATCCTATATTCACAGATTGGAAGAATTAATATTGTTAAAATATCCATACTAATCCAAAGTGATGTACAAATTCAGTGCAATCCCTACCAAAATTCCAATGAAATTTTTCACAGAAATAGGAAAAGCATCCTAAAATTTGTGTGGAACCACAAAATAGCCAAAGCAATCTTGAGCAAATGAACAAAGCTGGAGGCCACACTACCTGATTCAAAGTATATTTCAAAGCTATAGTAATCAATACAGCAAGATACTGACATAAAAACAGACACATAGGCCAGTGGATCCGAATGGAGAGCCCAGAAATAAATCTATCCATTTACGGTGAGCTAATTTTCAACCAAAGCACCAAGAAGACATAATGGCGAAAAGACAGTCTTGTCAACAAATGGTATTGGGAAAACTGGATATCCACATGCAGAAGAATAAAACTGGACCCTTATCTTACACTGTATAAAAAATAATCTCAAATGAATTAAAGACTTAAATGTATGACCTGAAATCTTAAAGCAACTAGAAAAAAATATAAAGAAAAAACTTTTTATATTGGGCTAGGCAATGATTTTTTTGATATGACCCAAAAAGCACAGACAACAGAAGCAAAAATAGACAAATGGGGCTGCATCAAACTAAAACGTTTCTGCATAGCAAAGGAGACAGTCAACAGAGTGCAGAGATCACTTACAGGAGGGGAGAAAATGTTTGCAAAGCATCTGTCTGATAAGGGATTAGTATCCAAAACATACATGGAACACAAACAATTCGATAGCAAAAAAACAAATAACCCAATTACAAAAATGGGCAAAGGACCTGAATAGACATTTCTCAAAAGAAGACATACAAATGGCCAACAGATATATGAAGTAGTGCTCAACATCAGAATCACTAGGGAAATGCACATCATAACCACGGTGAGATATCACCTCATATCTATTAGAATGGCTACTATAAAAAAGACAAAAAACAACAAGTGTTAGTGAGGATGCAAAGAAAAGAGACCCTTTGTACACCATTGGTGGGAATGTAAGTTAGCACAGCCTTTACCAATTAAGAGTGTGTGGTTACCTGGAGAACAGTATGGCGGTTCCTAAAAAGTTAAAAGGAGAACTGCCATGTGATTCAGCAATCCTCAATACTTGATATGTACCCAAAGAAAATAAAATCAGTATGTTGAAGAGGTATTTCATTCCCATGTTCATTGCAGCATTATTCTCAACAGTCAAGGTATAGAATAGTCCCAACTGTCAATTGACAGATGAAGAAATAAAGGAAATGTAACATATATAATATATAGTATAGTACATACTAAACAGAATGCTATTCAGTCTTAAAAAAAAAAAAAAGAAGGAAATTCTGCCATTTGTGACAACATGGATGAACCTGGAGGACATTATGTTAAATGAAATAAGCCAGGCCCAGAAGGACAAAGAAATTGCATAGTCTCACTCATATGTGGAATCTAAAAGATTCTAACTCACAGAGGCAGAGGTAGAATGGTGCTTGCCAGAGGCTGGAGAATGGGGGAAATGGGGAGATGTTGGTCAAAGGGTATACACTTTCAAGTAAGGCAGGATGAATAAGCTCTAAAGAGCTAACATACTGCTTGGAGATTATTGTTAATACTGTACGATATACTTGAAATTTGCTAAGAGAGTAGATCTTAAATGTTACCCATCCCCCCGCCCACACACAATAACTATGTGAGGTGATGGATATATTAACCAGCTGATTTGTGGTGATCGTTTCACCATGCACATATACATGAAAGCATCACTTCGTACTCTGTAATATAAACAATTTTTATTTGTCAATTATGCTTCAACAAAGCTAGAAAAAATAATGTATTTTTATTCTGGTTCCTCTTAAAAAATTGCTTTCTTATTGTCATTGGCATTTTTCAGCTTCACTGTGATGTGTCTGGGTTTTTTGTCTGTGATGTGGATAGATTTTTTTTTTGTCCTGTTTGGCATTTATTGAGTACTTGAGTATATGTACTGATGACTTTATGGAAAATTCTTGGTATCTCTTCAAATATTGCTTGTTCTTCAGGTTCTCTCTTCACCACAAACACCAATTATGCATATATTAATATTAATTTTCTCAATGTGCTTTCCATTTCTCTTTACTTATCTTTCATATTTTACAAGAAATGATTGACGAAGAGGTACTCTGAGCTAAATTGAGAAGGGCTATGGGCGTTTCAGAAGGAAGACTGTGTGGTTTCCTGGGAAAGCTGAGAAGGAAAACCACATAGGCTGCTGCTCAGGGAGTGATTGGGGAGGTACGATGTAAGGATGGTGACATGGGCAGAGAGAAGATTGTGTAGCATCTTCAGCCAACAGGCAGCGGGAAACCATTGTAGGGTTTAGGATGAAGGTGAAGGAATCAGATGTGTGTATTAAAAAAATCACCTGGGCCCTCGTGTAGAGAATGGATGGAAGAGGGCCAAACACGACGTCAGGAGACTAATTAAGAGGCTGTTGTAGTGTCCAGGCTTGTGCTGACATGATGGTAGCCAAGACACAGAAGCAGCTGGAATGAGAGATACTTAGGAGACAAAAATCAACAGAACTTCATGTTGTGGAATTATGGCTTCTAAAATCAGAAAGAAATAGAAATAAAGGACATGCTGTGATACAGAAAGAATAAGAGACATCATTGTTTTCAGACTGTATGCCTAGGGAATCTCAAATCATCAACTGAAAAGCTAGAATTAGTAAAATTATTTATTTAATAACTGTCACTTTCCCTATTCCATTTATTTTCTCACTCTCTTTTCTCTCCTCAAACCTCCCACGTCTTTTCTCACTTTCTCAATGTCCCAGCATCTCACTCTCCACCAGGGATGTGCTTTTAATTTCAGAGAAAAGCTAAAAGCAATCAGAAGAGACTCCTCACATGCTCCCACCACAGTACCTTCCCCCATTTATGTGCACATATTCCCTTGTGATCCATCTTTTCTCATGTTGCTAGAAGTAAGCTGTCCTCACTAAGGCCAAGCTCCCTGTGTGTGAACTGGCTTCTACTCCTTCTACTGCCTCAATTCTCTGTCTCCCTCAGCCTCACCACTTTTCCACTCTATTAGTTGATCTATATCAACACAGGAACATGAGCTAATTATTTCCTTTTTACAAAGACTCACTTGACCCCATGTATGTATCCAATTACACTTCCCCATTTCCCTGCTTCCATTTGCAGCATCACTGATTCATATGGTTTGGCTCTGTGTCCCCACCCAAATCTCATCTTGAATTGTAATCCCCTCAGCATGTTGAGAGGGGGAGGTGATTGGATCATGGGGGCAGTTCCCGCATGCTGTTATTCTGATAGTGAGTGAGTTCTCACGAGATCTGATGGTTTTATAAGCATCTGACATTTCCCCGGTTGCACTTCTGTCTCCTGCTGCCATGTAAAGAAGGTTCTTGCTTCCCATTGGCCTTCTGCCATGACTGTAAGTTTCTTGAGGCCTCCTCAGCTTTGTGGAGCTATGAGCCAATTAAAACTCTTTCCTTTATAAATTACCCAGTGTCCGGTAGTATCATTATAGCAGTGTGAGAATGGACTAATACACTGATCAAAAGACTTGTCTACACTCACTGTCTACAATTTCTCCCTTCCCACTCTCTCTTAGACACACTCAATAGGTACGTTCCCACCTCATCACTGAACCTGATTTGATGAAGGTCATAAGTGACAACCAGTTGCTAAATCCTTGTGGGTGAAAGTCCATGACTGAATGACACAAGGATGTAAACATTGCCCCCTTGCAACAAGGTGCAGTGAGCCTCCCTGCAGGTTCAGACTGAAGCTCATCTCCAGTTGAAATCATGCACATTCTTACTGAGCTTTGCCTCCTGCCCTACCCTGTTGCCTGCACATCCCTGATGACTCTCAATGAATCACTTACAAACATCCTCTCTCAGGCTCTACTTCTAGGCAGCCAACTCCAGACAGTTGCTCTGTGCCTCATCACTGGGTGTTCAGAGAAAAACTTTTCATATCTGTGTCCAAATTTAAACCATCTTAACTTAGTAATGAACCTTTATCAAGATCCCAGTCTATCACATCTGGAATTTTTGGAGGTAGTTAAGAAGTTCTACTTAGGTCTTTCTGTGTCCCTGACCTAGTTAGGAACGTAATTTCACTCAGATGAGGATATCTTGCTTAGAATTATAATCAACCCCTCACACAGTTTCCAATAATTAACACAGAACTGGCACACAGAAGGTATTCAAGAAATGCTTTTGAATGAAGGAATCATTGCATTTAGCCTTCTCTCGGACTTTGACCATTTGCCTTGTGTTGTTGCTTTTAGTGTCTTTGCCCTGTAGAATCTGAAGCTTGGAGAAGATGCTGACTTCTGCTTCCATACAAGCAGTACATACATGAAAAAGGCAAAGCTTCTCTTCTAAAGCAAGCAAACAAACAAAAAAGCTTGTTGAGAATGGACAAATGATCTAGCTCAGATGTCCTCACAATCAGTCTCTTAGCAAAAATCAGTTCATGAAGTCAGAGAACCTCATGGTGGTAGGAATTGTGATGGGATTTATTCCAGTCAGTTCTTGTTCTAATGCTCCCATCATGTGATGAGGTAGCATAAGTGAGAACACAACTCGGGCATGCAATTAGGTTTTTTAAACCCATTTCCTGGGAATTCTTGTTTATCTTGGACAGTAGAAGATTCTGAGGGGTAAACATGTTTTCTTTCCTATTCTTGTACCATTATGCCTTCTAATTTCCATTCATTAGTCTAAATTCTATCAACTGGGGCAACATTGAGCAAATATAATTTTCTTTCACAGGATGATGTGATGGTTAATATTAAGTGTCAACTTGATTGGATTGAAGGATGCAAAATATTGTTCTAGGTGTGTCTGTGAGGGTGTCGCCAAAGGAGATTAACATTGGAGTCAGTGGACTGGGAGAGGGAGACCCACCCTCAATGTTGGTAGGCACCATCTAATCAACTGCCAGTGCAGCTAGAATAAAGCAGGCAGAAGGTGGGAGAAGATGACTTGCTGAGTCTTCTGGCCTCCATCTTTCTCTCATGTTCGATGCTTCCTGTCCTCGAACATCAGAACCCAAGTTCTTCAGCTTTTGGACTCTTGGACTTACACCAGTGGTTTGCCAGGGGCTCTCGGGCCTTCAGCCACAGACTGAAGGCTGCACCGTCGGCTTCCCTACTTTTGGGATTTTGGGAGTTGGACTGGCTTTCTTGCTCCTCAGCTTGCCTATTGTGGGACTTCAACTTGTGTTTGTGTGAGTCAATACTCCTTAACAAACTCTCCTTTATATATTCATCTATTATATTAGTTCTGTCCCTCTGGAGAATCGGTCTAATGTAGATGGCCTTTCAGATATTTGAAAATAATTATCCTACTCCCTCTGAGTTTCTTTAATACGTATTTTTCTGTTTTTATCAAAATCTAACCCCTCTAATGTGTTCAGGTTCCCACCTCTTCTGGCTTCTCAAGGACTTCTCTTTCCTGTCTCTACCTCATTTTGTCAATCTCTCTCTCTCTCAAATACATTATCCTATTAGAACTATCCATCATCTAGGATAGTATTCTACAACTCTGCCAGATTCAACATCCCCCTTTTTAAAACAAATATTTTTGCTCCTTTCTTTCCCTCCAAAATGAAATTTGTTGACATTATATCTTACACACCTGGTAAAAATATGAATAAAATGCCTTAGCCATAATAAAATGGAGAAATAAAAGGTATGCAACATGTAATAGGATAATACGTTTTAATACGTAAATGCTTGGAACATGAGGTTAGTAGTTTCTGAAATGGCTCCCAGTTATCCCTTTGTGCCATTCCCTGCCTTTGAGAGTGGGTTAGACCTAACTTGCTTCTGATGAAGAGGGTACAGCAAAAGTGATGGCATGTCCCTTCCTTGATTGCATTATAAAAGCTGTGACTTCCATCCTCTCTCTCTACTCCCCCCACACACCCTGTTTTCTCTCTGGCTCTCCTTGCTATTCTGATAAGGGAAGCTGCCAGATAGAGAGGCCTATGTTGAAACAAACTCTGTGCAACCTCGGGCACATTGCCAGGGAGGATCTGAGGCCTTCAGTCCCAAAGTCTGCAAGAAACAGAATCCTGCCAACAGCCACATGTGTGAGCTTAGACATGGATCCATCCCCAGTTGATTGCACCTTTTATCAGAGCCCCTGAGCCAGAGAAACCAGCTGAGCTGTACCTGAATTCCTGACCTACAGAAACTGAGATAGTAAATTTTGTTGTTTTAAACCACCAAATCCTTTAAGATAATTTGTTACTCAGCAACAGATAACTAATATAATCCACAATGAAGAAGTGAGATGCTTGCATCTACTCTTAGAGAATTATTTGGATATGAGAGGCGTAAGATCAGAAATCATTCTCAACAGAAAGTTCAGGGCAGAGAAAGAGCAGAGAGCCAAGTAGACCCTGGATTAAAAGCCAAGGTTAGGTTAAAACTAGTTTTAGGATAACCAGAGTTATTCCAATATTTATTTTAAAAAATCATCCCTTCTACAGCCAAACAATCTTCATGGCATTTATTCTAAGTTAAAAATCTTAACTAAGAATAAGATCCTTGATGCTTTAGTTCCCTGGATGAACACTGTGATTTGTTTATAGAACCTACATGTCTTCCTTGACAAATGCTATGATATTAAAAAATGTATATCCTCAATGCCCTTTTAAACAGTGTTTCCCCCCTCAAATGTGTGAAGTTTTGATGATAACTCCACTCTTTCCTTCTCTGCTCAGCCTCAGGATGTTCCATCTGCCCTACTTGAATGCCTGAAGCCCTTCTTTCTCCAATGACCCTGAGGAAAATCTTGAAGGCGTTTCTTAGTCTGTGGATTTTTTCTCCACAAGGGTATAAAATAAGAAGATGAGGGAAATAACCTTAACTGAATACATGGTGATATGGTTTGTCTGTGTCTCCACCCAAATCTCATCTGGAATTGTAGCTCTCATAATTGGGAGATAATTGAATCATGGGGGCAGTTTTCCCCACACTGTTGTCTTGGTAGTGAATAAGTCTCATGAGATCTGATGATTTTATAAGCGGTTTCCCCTTTCACTTGGCTCTCATTCTCTCTTGCCACCACCATGTAAGACGTGCCTTTCACTTTCCACCATGATTGTGAGGCCTCCCCAGCCACGTAGAACTGTGAGTCTATTAAACCTCTTTTTCTTTATAAATTACCCAGTCTCGGGTGTGTCTTTATCAGCTGCATGGAAACGGACTAATACACATGAATAGCACGTCAAGACAAATGTTACAGACTGAATGTTTTGTTTGGACCTAAATTCCTGTGCTGAAGCCCTGACAGCCAATGTGACCGTATTTGGAGTTGGGGACCATAAGGAGGGAACAGGGGTTAAAAATGGTCAAGATCCATGAGGCTTAGAGAGACTAGAGAGCTCTCCCTCCTCTCCCAACCCAGGTGCACACAAGCAAGAGATCATATGAGCACTCAGTGAAACGGCTGCTCCTACAAGCCAAGAAAAGAGGTCTTAGAATAAAACCTAATTTACTGGCACCTTGATCTTGGACTTCCAGCCTCAACAACTGTGGGAAATACATTTCTTTTGTTTAAGTCACCCAGTCTGTGATTTTTTTTAATAGCAATTTGAGCAGACTAAGACAATAGGTTACAGACTCAGGCCATTAAAGTGACAAAAATGAGGAAGTATGGTAATCTTATAAATAAGGGCAACCTTATTATTTGTAAATATAGATAAAAAGAATTTTTTGTTATGATGTGGGTCAGAGTGGTATGGAGTGTCATAGAAAACACATTTCTTTGCAACTCTACCAGGTTGTAGACCATCCATACATTCAGTCCTAATTTTGGACGAGATTTACAAAAGTTGTGTAGGACAAAGGGTTATTTCACCTTTGCACATTGGCATGATATCTGGCATCTCTGGCTCCTCACTACTCAATTCCAGTCATTCCCCTTTAATGATTTGACAATCAGAAATAATCCCATAAATTTTCAAAACTCCCTTCTGAGTGGTGACACCCCTATTGAAAATCATTCCTCTATTATTTCTTTAAAATTCATCATCAACTGCTGTCAACTCTACTGTCAAAACAAGTCCTGCCATTCATACATGATTAGTTCATGACCGTGAGCAAGAATCTGCCCTCAGTTCAGTGAGGGAGCATGAGATCTAGTCCTAAATCAGTCAGTGCACTGTATTCATCTGGTGACAATAGCTAGACATGACCCAATCAGAGCCAATGACACATAATGGAGCTTTTGATTAATAGCTTGGGAGACTCTGGTCCTCCCAGCCACCTCGAATGACAGAGGCTGTAGGTATGGAGCTGCTTAACCATCTGGCGTGTTGCAGAGCCTCCAGTAAAAACCAATCCAGTGGAATGTATAGTTGGGTTTCGGTTCTCTTTGTGTGATACTTTCCCTGCATTAAGTCATGCAAGATTTGAAGAGGAGGAAACTATATTCCTGCTTTATAGTCAGATTGGGGGACACCTAACAGCATGGTGCAGGAAGAGCTTGTATATGGAATCTGTGACCCTAGTACTTCCATATAATATTTTCTGCACTTTATCAATCACTGAACCAGTTATATGCTCCAAAGGTTACATCTTGTACCCTGAAGGGAGGAAAGAAGAAGAAGCAAATTTACACACAGGTACACAAAATACCTACCCAGTTCTAATTATTTTGTTTATTGTCTGTCTCTCTTCACTTGAACATAATCTTCATAAGGCCAAAATTTTCTACCTGTTTCGTTTATTGCTATACTCCTGGTGCTGAAGATGGTGGGATGAGGGAAAGGTAAGCCTTGGCTTCCTGGTTTTCTATTTGCCATCTAAACAGTATTTATCAATATCCACTTCCTTTCTGCTTTTTAACTTTTTATTATGAAAAATTTCCAATATATACAAGGTAGAGAAAATATAAGTGAAATTCCTTGTACCCGTTACTCAACTTCATAATTATCATGGCCAATTCATTTTCACTTATATTCACCACAACTCTCCCTCTTTGCTTCTCTAACTAGATTATATTAAAGCAAATCTCAAAAAGCTTCTACACACTTCTTTTAAAAAAATTTTTATGGGTACATAGTAGGTATATATATTTATGGGGTACATGAGATAGTTTGATACAGACATGCAATATGAAATAATCACATCATGAAAAGTAGGGTATCCATATCCTCAAGCATTTATCCTTTGTGTTACAAACAACCCAATTATACCATTGTAGTTATTTTTAAATGTATTTGTACATTTTAAATGTATTTTAAATGTGGTTGTATTAATTTACTTTCCCACCAAGTGTATGAGAGGGTCCCCTTTTCTCTACATCCTCTCCAGCATTTGTTATTGCCAATTTTTTGGATAAAAACCATTTTAACCAGGGTGGAATTATATCTCATTGTAGTTTTGACTTGCATTTCAGTCAAATGGACCATTGGAACCCAGATCAGGGCTGAAACTCCATTTATTTCCTGGCCCACAAGCACCCTACTCCAATAGAGGGCCCTAAGGAATCCCGAGTTCTCTGGGTGTGAATGTCAGCTCAGGCCCTGTGTCCAGCATTTCTCAAAATGTTTGCATATTCTGCTTTTCCACTGTATAGTTGTTTAAACAAGTGACCACAGGCACATTTGGCAAAGAACCATTGGAACCATAACTGTGTTCCCTTGCCATGGGTGCTCCTGAGAACCTGACCTCCCTTTGAATTAGTGGATTCTGGGTCAGATAAACTGACTCAAGGATTAAGATCTGTTTTATTTCTTCTTCCATCATCTATCACACACTTGTGGCATTTCATCTTTACTTAATGTGGGCTGTAATTTTCTCCAAAGTTCCAGGAGTCATCCTAGCAGTGTGATGAAAACATCTCCCAGAGTCCTTGCCAGGGTGGCAAATCATCTATTACAGTAGACTGTGCCCATATAAATAAACTCATCATTTTCCAACTTCATGCTTCCCCTGCTTTGATTCATCCCCCTCATTCAGTCCCATGAAGAGTCTCTGGCTTTGGCCATTGCACGTTGGCCTGCCGCCTTTAGGCACATGGTTCCTTCCTTTGCTCAGCAGGCTCTGCATTTCCCCTCCACATGCTGTCTCACTTGACTCTAGTGATGGGTCTGGTCAAGGCAGGAGGTGGGGGTGGGTCCTGAGGAGCACTGTGTTGTCTTGCAATGCAGAGATTCCTATACCATGTTCAAGCAAGGGCAGAGCACAGCCTCTCACAGGGAGGTCAGGGCCACCTCTGTAGGCCCGGAGGGCTCTGAATGGAGTGTTGAGGTTTTGTTTTGTTTTGAGATAGAGTCTCACTCTGTCACCCAGGCAGGAGTGCAGTGGTGTGATCTTGGCTCACTGCAACCTCCACCTCCCAGGTTCAAGCGATTCTCCTCAGCCTCAGCCTCCTGAGTAGCTGGAACTACAGCCACACACTGCCACGCTTAGCTAATTTTTTGTATTTTTAGTAGAGGCCAGGTTTCACATGTTGGCCAGGCTGGTCTCGAACTCCTGACCTCAGGTGATCTGCCTGCCTGGGCCTTCCAAAGTGCTGGGATTACAGGAGTGAGCCACTGTGCCCAACCTCAAGAGTTGAGGTTTTGAGAGCATTAATTCTGTTGTCTCTCTCATCCCTAATAGGCCCCTGACATTGTCATAGCCATAACCAGACTAACCAGAGCTAAGAATTCAAATTTTTTTGAAGTGCTGCTATTCTTATAATTAATTCCTGGGCCTTATCCTTAGATTTTTCAGTCCTCCTGCTACAGGAGATGAGTCTCTTCCGATGCCTCCAGTGAGGCTTTCTCCCTTTCACACTTTCCTTTCAATGATGATTCACAGCCCTGAGCCTCACTTTGTCTTTCTCTAATGCCTCCAGTGACTCAGCCAGAGCCATTAGAGTCCATTGTTCTCAGGACTGGTAATTTCTCTAACTCCCAAAAGCCTGGGAGATTGCCATCTACCAGGGTATTCTCTCCCACCTCTTTCCCACCCCAGGTCATCACCAGTGAAAGTTCTGACACTTGCACTTCTCCGGCAAGCCAGGGCCGGGGCTTCACTGCCAGCCAGCAGGAGGATGAGCCAGCTCTGCAGTTCCACTTCAGAGTCCATCTTCTTGGATCACTCTTGGCACCAACTGTATTGAGTTGAGTTCTGGGAAATAGACTTGCAGGTAAAAATTTCCATGAGAAGTTTTTTGGGGAGTGATCTTAGTGCTTATACCTATAAAGGAGTAAACGCGGTAACACTGGGCAGAAGGAGATGTTGAGCTTTGTTGCAGTTGCAGCAGAGGAATCGGTCAATCTTGCATGGAGTCTGACCTGGGAGGGCCTCCCAGAGCTGTATCACCATGAGGCAAGGGGCCAGGCCTCTGCATCCCACCTTTGTGCACCAGTCATTGGATGCAGCTGCCCCTGGGATGGTGCTATGAACTTGGGCAGGGTGGCTGTCTTCAGCTGGGAGCCGTTTCCAGGAAGGGACCCAGTGGGGAGCCCTGACAACCACCCCCCAACCCACCAACACTCTCAGCTGTGGAGAGGATGACAGCGTCTGCCTGGGCATCACAGCAGCCACAACCGCCCCTTTTTCACTCCTTTTAATCTGTCTGCCCCCTTTTATACATTTATTCTTCCAAGGTTTCTATTCTCAGGCTTTTTCTTCTTGGGTCTGCCTTTCTTTGGGGGGATGGGGCTGCGGGGAGTGTTGCATCTACTTCCTACTACAGATGCTGTGCCCTGTCCTCGGATCTCCATGATTCCCACCCACTGGTTTATCCTTCTGTTTGTACCAGTCCTCTTTGGACTTCCCACCTGTTTGCATCACCTCCCCAACTTCCCGATTCGACCCCCAAGTCCTATATCTGTACGATACCTGTGCATGCCTTGTATGGAAGTCCCCATGGCTCGTACGTTGTGGATCCAGGCTTCTGTACTTCAGTTCCCAGCACCAATATCACAACCTGTTTGGAAGTGGACATGCGTTAAATTCGTGCATGTTCCCTACTTTTTGCCTTGGTGTCTAATTCTGCTCTCTCTTTCCACCCCGCCCCCCTACCTCAGTCCATTATCCACAGCTCTTACAAAGCTACCAGAGGAAGCTTTCTAAAATATGAATCTTTATTCATCGAAAAATATTTATGGAACGTTTGCAGTGTCCCACCTAGGTTATTTTCTAGGCATCTGTGATGAACAATACAGTCAAAGTTCCTGCTCTCACAGAACTTACATTTTAGCCGGAAGACAGGCATTTAAAACAAGCGAATGAATGGATAGATGCTATGCTAGGAATTAGAATGGTAAGATAGCATGAAGACATGGCTGTTTTATAATAATATCAGTTGCCTGATTAAAAATTGTCAGAGGTTTCCCATTGTCTTCAGGGGAGAGTTCAGACTCGCTTGGCACAAAAGACTCCCATGGAGAAAAGTTCTGGGCCCCTGGTGTGGATCAGATGGCCCCTTGAACTTGGTAATTTGGGTGGCTGACTCTTCCAGGAGGCCAGTCCTTCTGCCCCAGTGGCCTTCCTCCTGGTCTCCTTCCTTCCTCCTCCCGGGATCCCTTCCCACTGGAATAATGTTGCTTTTAACCAAAGTGACAAAAGCCCAGCTGGCCTCAGCAGGTTTATTCTTGTCAGTGTCTCAAACCAGACAATGAACAATCCATTTCAACAGGGACTTTTGCCACTATTTCTGGGAAACGTGGACTGTGACATGACTTTTGGAAGAAGATATATTGTTTTTAAGCATGGAGGTGCAATGCTGATTTCTACTGAGGCTGGGCGCTGCGGCTTGATTTGCACCCACACAACACTCCCTCTTCCTAGCCCAGTATCCCCTCCCCCCCGCCATTTTATCTCACTGAGATTATAGGAGATTTTAAGCAAGAAAACAAAATGAAACCAAGCACTTTATCAGTAGGTTACAGGTCAAAGGCGATAAGTCCTCAAAAATCCCAGTTCTCAACAGGAACCTGGGACTTTTCACTGCACTCACTGCAGAGGTGAGGAGATGACAGAGGAAGCAGAAGGTCCCTTGCCCTTGGCAGGCTCCCACCAAGCTGCCATTACTTATGGGGCCATCTAATGAGGGATCTGAAGAAATTGATGACGGACCCCTAAACATCCCTGAGTCCAGCAAATCTCCTCCCCCTTCCTTCCCGCATTGCCGCTCCTCTTCTTTTTCCCTTTATTTGGCGTTATGTTCATTGCCTTTCCCCCACTTCTCTCTCTTCCTTGGACTCCTGCAGCCCGGGTCACTAACTTAGCTTTCACCCCCCCTAGTGGTAAGTAAGGCAAATCACCCATTTGCTTGTTGGTTCCAAGAGCTACAGCTACACGCGCTCTCATAGGGGCTGAACAGATATAAAATGAGAGAAGACATCTACTTATTATTTGAAGGAGGTTAAACTTTTATTTTAACCACAACAGATAGTCCCCAATCTTGAGATACTTATTCTTTATTATTTGATTATTACATACATAAGAAATTACAACTATAGTGTATCAATAGAATTTCATAATGTGTACAGTCAAGCCTTTTAGGTATTTTCTATTATTATACATAAAAATATAGTTAATGAAAAATAAAATCATTTCTCATTATACCTGAGGTGTGATGTAAATGAAGTTGATACTGTAAGATTGATATTAGTCACGGTGATTGCCCTTTTGAGTGAAATCAACATGCTGTACTAAAAAAAATATAGTACAATATTAGGGTTTAGCTTGTATTTCTGAGACTGGAAACGGTCTTAAGAGGGATGAGGTGAGCTGCTGTGATATGCAGAGGCCTGGGAAGACCTTTCTGCTGCTAAAAATTTTGCCCTGACTCATGTGGCCTTGGGCTAAAATCAAATGTTCACATTGATAGGAAGGCATCATAAAAATAAACGAATTGTCAGCTCTTTCTCCTTTCCACTGTTAAACCTCTGCAAGTTTAACTCTGAGCTGCTGGAAGGAGGGTGAGAGGTAGTTTTGTAAGGAACTGGGTGGATTTTCATAATACTGGGATGTTAAAGAGCAGAATGAGAAGTGTGACAGAGAGCACGGAGCACTTCAGGAGGTGGAAATGGTGTGTGATACTGTAACTCCAGCTCTTGTTGGACACAGCTTTTTAAAATTTGTATTTCATGAGTCCTAGGAAAATTCTTCTTCCCCAAATGGCAGTAGTACAGATCTGGGGCTGAAAGAAAGGCCTTCATTCTTTTTTTTTTTTTTTTTAATATGTAAAATGTTAACTCATTAAATCCTCCCTATGACATTATGAGGTAGGTGCTATTGTAACATTCACTGTGCTGATAAACTGAGACAGAAGAGAAGTTAGGTAACTTGCTCAAAGTCACTTAACAAGTAAGCAAGGGGTGCGGCTTCCACCCTAGCAATCTGGCCCCAACATGCGTGCATTTGCTTATTCTCCAGGGCTGCTCTTCTAGCTGGAGGATCTGGAGCTGGAGGTCAGAACCCGCAGCTTTCTGGCCGAAGGACATTAAGCCAGACAACTCAAACGTGTTGTATTGCTCATACTTTGGGTTTACCATGATCATGTAGGCAACACTGATTGATGATCAGTGCAACTAGGTCTGAAACAGGATATTCTTGTACTGAAGCTTAGTTTTATGCAGAATTACATCTTATCCTTCAGATTCTAAGCTTATTTCTGCACTGATAAGTTGGCATCTCGGTGGCCTCAGTTTCTGTGGGTTTTTACCCGGTTGAGATGAGAATATTCCTTGCTCCCCTAATGGATTTCCATTTAATTTTCTTAAAACAAAAACAATACTGTTTTTTAAAAGAAAGTGTTTTCATGCAGTTTAAGTGTTAAAAAATCAGTTTAAAATTTTCACAGCAGCAAGAGCAGGAAGAACTCAGGTTATATGGTCTTGACCACACTTGCCGGCATACAGCGTACTTTGTCCTGGGTGGGTGCTGAAGAAAAATGGAGAACAAAACCAACTCCATGACTGAAACACAAACTCAACCTTGCACATGCAGCAAATAGGTTGAGTTAAAAGAACAATGAAAGAGAGCTCAGACTCATTCTTGTTTTAGTGACTTTTTAGGTTTATTTTTTTCCAACTGTGATTTTATCCAGAGTGTTAGTATAAACTTATGTGGTTAGAACTGTTACCAAAGGATAGGAGATCTAATTCCAGATCAACCAGTGAAAGTCGGGTAGTTTTAACCACCAACATCTGCAACAGCTAAATAAGATCCATGTTGCTTCTGTTACACAGTGTTTCCTACTGTATTTTTGAAAATGTGCTCAATTGTCACATAGTAAAAGCAAATATTGAGTAGCTTCTGAGGGACAGTGGTACTTTTAAAAAAGTGATCCCAACTCCTATGTTCTTTAGAAACAATTCAAGTAAACATATTAAATAAGATTCCAAACCTTTCACCTCTTATTACTGTTCCATCTAAAATTTCATCCATTTGGAATGAATGGGGAGATGGACAATGTCCTTGGAAAGATTGTAAGTCTAGACGGGGGTAGCTTAGTTTCATATTTTTATATAAAAAAAGCTTTTTGCTCACAAAGCCAGATGGTAGACGGAATTGCTCCACTTAATGCTGGGAGCTGTTCATGACAGAGCATGCACTGGGTATGCTGACAGAGATGAATGCTTTGGAAAAGGTTTCCACTGAACACAGAAACTTGATTTGCAAAGGAGGAGAGACTTTGTCCATTCCCTAAGTGACCAATCTTTAAGAATGGCTTTAAGAATGATGTGAGTTGAAAATTAAATCTAAAATCATAAAATAAGTAATATCTTCCTGTATACTTACACATTTGAGGGTATGATTACTATCTGGTCATTTGGCAAGAACAGTTACAAGAAATCACATCTTAAATAAACTTCTCATACACAATTTGTTGCTAAAATGCATTTGCTTAGCAGCCAAGGATTAGATTTTTGCCAGTTTGTACTAAGGATTAGCTGAGATTTGTGTTGCAAACAGAAGATTAAGGGAGCAGGCATATCATCTTCATGAACAATTCAGAATAATATTTTGTTTCAAAATTAACCAGTGTGGGATCAGCACTTCACATTATGTGTTTGTGTGCAGAAATTCATGCATATAGCATTTCTTTTTCCAGAAGTAATTAGGGGATTCAGGTAAAACCAATTATTTGTGAGCACTTTGTTATATAAAAGAGGTCCCTGTGCTGAGCCACACACTGGGAGATGGTAAATCAGTAGTTCCTTCCCGGGTATGTTATGTTTGATTATACTTATATTCTATAATATTTTGCCCTTTTCATTTTATGCTCATATTTTCATTGGTTTATGAAGTAACAGTCTCTAGATTTCATTCCAAATGGAAAGTTGGCATGAAAACTCTCAATCCAATTATTCCTATACGCATTTTGAAACAAATCATTTTGGCCCTTTTGAAAATTTTACAGGAGGTGATAAAAATAGGAAATTTCAGGTTTCAGATGTTTTATTGCATTCTTGTAGCATAATAACAGCTTCATTAAAAAGAATTCCACAATACAATGTGGACTCTGTGAGTTGTTTAAAACACTTTTGCTGGCTTTCTTTTTAAAGCTTTGTATGCAAGAAAGTTGTGTTATTTTACAGTTTATGTTTCATTTTATTTTGCTAAGCTTTGGGGAGATATTGAATTAATACTCCCCAATGCATGACTGTAGGGATTAAAGAGCCTGCCAAGTGGTACTGCTCTTGAGACTGATGACTTAGGACACTTCCAAGCTAAAATCACACCTATTCTAAGAAGTTGGAATCAGTTTCAGGGCTTATTTCAATCTCCGGAGCTAATCATCCTTCAACTTATGGGCTGTGTTAGAGGTGGACTTGGGGGAAGCTCTTCCCTAGGGCATTTTGTTCAGTCACTGGAGGAACAAGAGGAAGAAGCAAAAGTAACTCTCTCTCCCCTGAATTTGGGAAATTATTATTTCCCAGGCAACAAATTTTAGCAGGGGTAGAGGGAACCTTCAAAGCTATCTGGTACAGGTGTTCTTTCGGTCTCAAGTCTCCTTTCCAAACTCTGTCTTCCAAACAAAGCTCAAGTATCTCCAGCAAGGGGAAATTTCATCTTGGGAGGCAGAGCCTTCTGTCTGGGAACACCCCGGAGTTACAGAGCTCCTCCTGATGTGGAGCTGAGATCTGTCGTCCTGTGACTTCCACCCATTGTTCCTAGCAATATACCTCCGACACAGAAAGAACAGGCCTCTTTTTATTTCTTAACAGCAATTCAGCTCTCAGGGGAGGGCATGGGTAGAGTAGGGAGGATGGAGCTTTGTAGATGGACAGGGTCCTGTCCTCTCTGGTCCTCAGTCTCCAGTTCTGTAAGGTGCCGATTATAAAACCAGACTTCCAGCGTTGCTGGGGAGATTCCAGGAAATGTGTATGAGGCCCCTGCTGCAACTCCTGGCACCAAGCAGTGACTCCATAGCAGATGATCACTACGATTCCTATGGAAGCTGCTTAGTGATTTTCCCTGGAGTCCTCTTTCTGTAGGAGAATTGGCCTCTATTTTTTCCATCTCTTTACATGTTTTGTAGGTTGGGGTCTCCACCACTTCCAGTTAGTCAAGTCTTGCCAAGAACTATCTGCAATCCTTTTTAGACCTGATGGCTGCTAGGGAACAGAGTGGAAACCCTCCGCAGCAGCTGGTCACAGAAGCAGAATTGATGTCCTCGTCGGGTTCTCCATTCAGGGACCAAATGCTCAGCAAATGCCTAGAGAGCGAATGGCAGGCATTTCGTAGAATAGAAAGAGTAAGACAGTTTGGAGCTGAAATTCACACTCTATTATTATACTGTGAAATCCTAGTGCGCTCCTTCTGTGTCAGCCTTTGTGTCAGATACCTACATATTTATTATCTTACTCACTCCTCACATCAACTCGGTGATCTGAAGATTGTCTCTATTTTCCCTCTGAGGAAACAGAAGTTCAGAGAATGTGAGAAACCCATGGAAGGTTGGCCAAGCGCTCCTGGTAGATTTGAGATGATCTGATCAGTGAGCAAGATGATCTCAATCACCTGAAAACCAATGAGGAGAAAAATTGTGTTCATCACTGTATTAGTCAGGGTCCTCCAGAGAAACAGAACCAGCAGGAGATGTACACATTCTATATGGATATAAAAGGAGGTTTATTATGAGGAATTGGCTCACATGATTCTGGAGGCTGAGTAGTCCCAGGACCTAGCATGTGCAAGCTGGAGAACCAGGAAAGCTGGGGCTGTAATTCAGTCCCAGTCTAAAGGCCTGAGAATCTGGGAAGCTGACAGTGTGGAGCAGGGAGGTTGAGGCTTTGCAGGTAGATGGGGTCCCCTTCTCTCTGGTCCTTGGTCTCCACTTCTGTAAAGTGGTGAATATCAAACCTGACTTCCAAAGTTGCTGGGGAGACTCCAGAAAATGTGTATTAGGTACCTTGTGCAGTTCCTGGCATCTATCAGCGACTGAATGACAGATGATCATGATGCTTCCTATGGAAGGTACCTAGAGCCAGAGAAGATGAAATGAGATGTCCCAACCCAAGCAGTCAGTGATGATGCAAAAAGGGGCAAACTGCTGCTTCCTCTGCCTTTGATTCTGCTCAGGCCCTCCAGGGATTGAATGATGCCCAACCACTTGGGGAGGGCATCTCCTTTACTGAGTTCACTGGTTCAAATGCCAATCTCACCTGGAAACACCCTCACAGGCACACTCAGAAGGAAATTTAATCTTGGCACCCCATGGCCAGTCAAGGTGACCCAGAGAATTGACCATCATAGTTACTTTTAAGGCAATTCTGACATGAACTCAATTCCATCTTATGGTTTTGTTCCATGAACAAAACCCAGAGAGGTAAACGTGGTTTGCAGGTGGTGGGAAATCAATGTCTCAGGCGCTCTTCACGCTGACTTGTGTAATCCTTCCCTGGAGAACTGAAGACTCCCAGCAGGGAGCTAACAGGGTTTCTTCTCTTCTTATCTCTGCTCTAGCCACTATCAGTGTGCCGGGTCCCTCTGAGAGACAAATGGGAAACTCAAAATGTAAGCCTGTATTAAAACAGATCACAGTGATGCTAGATGGCCGTACTCATCTATGTCTCCAGCAGGCCATGCACACAGGCTGCCCAAAGCCTTTCCTTTTCCATGTTGCCCCCAAGTTTTTCTTTGTGTGTATCTCGCTGTTTACATCTAGTTCTCTTGAATATTTCCCCAAGATAGCAGGTAGCTCCCCGGTCTCACAGGAGTAGTTCATAAGACAAACAGAATTACCATTTCTTGGTTAATTATCATATCTGTGGACCCTTTAAGCATTACTGTAAATGAAGATTTTCAAATCATTTGAGAAACACTAAAATTTAAAAATACAACAGAATCTTAGTGCATGGCTAAACATCTGATAATATATGCAGGGTGAGTGGTTATAAAAGAGAAAACATGCCTATGGCCAATATTTTATATAAAATAGACTCAAAAGCAATAAGTCCTAATATTAGTTTAGAAGGGATGGAGGCTGTCCAGCTCATAATAAAATTCCTCTTCTTTTCATGTTGTTTCTTTTCCAGGTCATACGAAAACAAGTATAATAATGTATTTTGCCTATAGGTGCCAAGACCTGCATTGTTTCCTTTCAGATACTTTTCTTTATTGTATTTGGGAACAAACCAGCTATAGCATGAGGAAGGGATGTCAGGTGGAGATAGAAGAGAAGAAAACTGGATGTGCCAACACTGTCATACACAGGGATTTTCAGCAGTTTCATGAAGCTACTGGAAGATCTTTTCTTTGCTTGCCTATAAACCCATGCCATCCAGTTCTCTCAGTCATAGTGAGCTATTCCTGGAAAAGCCCTTGCATCAATCAGTGTCCCAACAGGAAATGGTTGGCATCCCAGATGAAGATGATAAAGGGACTGTTTACAAAGTTTTGGGGAAACTCCAAGGAATAGTTTAATAGCCCAGTCCTGTTACCACCCCTGCACCCAAAGTGACAAGGGGAGGGGGTGGAGACTGGGACATGGGAAAATCATCTAGGGAAGGATACCTTTACTGGATCAGCAGCCTTCAGTTGGAGGAACACAGCCAGCTCCTGGTGACCCCACAGGGAGAGAGCGGGAGCACTAAGGATTCCAAACTCAGTCCTCCTGATCTTCATCAGTATTCGTCATTGGCCAAACAAATAACTGAAATTCAGAGGGCAAGAGAGCTCATTGTTATCTAAACAGGTCAGCATGGCAGACAGCGAGGCGAAGAGGGAAGGAAGGTGGATTTGGAAGAACAAACGGGAGTGACCTAGTGCAGCCCTGATAAACCCGTGAGTATCGAGGCATATCATAGGGGCAGATGCTTCGTGCTGAGCTGATCAGCATCCCATGGAGTAGTACGAACTGTAGGCATTACCAAGATTGTGTTCTTGCAGAATCATACGCAGGGATTTCCTGGCCCCCCACCCCCCTTGAATCATGATTTAAATTGCTTTATGCTTAAAAATTACTGCTTATTCTTAGAGGGTGTGGGTATGAGAGAGTTCTTGTGTGAGCTTTGGATGGTGAATTGGAAAACTGGACCATGGCATGAAGAACTAGCAGCCTTTTCTTTTCTTTTTTTTTTTCTGTTTTGTTGTTTTGTTTTGTTTTTGTTTTGTTTTGTTTTGTTTCATTTTTTTCCTCCTGTGGGAGGGAAGACAATGAAACTGGGCTCAGCACAGAGTTTCTGGAATTGGGCTGGCGGATTCCCACACTTGGTGTTATTTAGGACTGAATAAGCCAGACTTTGGTATTGCTCTGTGAATTATTGTCACTGTTTGGTTCAGCTTTTCTGAGTTAGACCCTAGAGGGTGGGAAATGGGACACACCCTGCAGGAAATAGCTGTGGCTCTTCTTTAGGAGGTGAGCGTTGGCCTGAGAAAGGACCTCACTACTGGCCAGGAGGAAGTGAAGTTTGGATTCAGAAGTTCGGAGCTAATAAGATTCCCACTGATGGAGGCAGACTTGGTTTCTGACAGTGGGCACCCTGGGCAGGGGAAGCTGGGCAGGGCTGCTGAAGTCTGGTGGGAGCCCTGGATCTGTGAACTCTCACTTCTAGGAGGGACTGTGACCCCCACTTCTAGGAGGGGCTATCCTCTTTCTGCTAACCTTCAGCCTGCTGTGCATTCCTGTTAGAAGTCATAGCTACTGTCATTTGTGCTGGTGGAACTAGGAAAGCAGTGTTCCTCTCAAGATATTATGGGGTCCCAGGGAGATGCAGTGTCCAGGGAAGCAGAGGCAGCAGCACAGCTGCAGGAAGAAGTCAGGGTGGAATCCACACAGAGCGCATTCCCAGGTGAGCATGTAGGCCCAGGGGCGTGGGCTGTAATTCCTTATGTATTAAAATAAAGTAGATTCTGTTTCATAGTCACCAGCTACTGAAGTCAGCAATATATACAAAATATACATTAGCAAAGCACAACTTCTTCTTCTGTCTCAAATGTCTTGTTGCTCCTACCAATTACTTGCCCTGCTTAATAGATACTCTTCACAATGGTTAACTCAGTATACTGTAGGTCATACATTAGTAGAAACATGCTCTTATAATGAGCGTGATCATGGTAGGTGCCAGGCAAGTACACTCCAAGCCCAGATGTCTAGGAAGATATATAGGGTCGGGTGGCAATTGGCAAGGGAATTTGGACCTGAGGCCAGTGTCCTCCTGGTGGTGTGGGCATATGGGGGCATGGGTCTACCTGGAGGCCACTGCCTGGGAAAGCACTGGCTTCATTGATCCTCAGAGTGGGGACCATTGGCTGGCCACCTGAAAAATGACTGTCAAGCTTGATGGCCTTCTACAAGTTGTTTAATCTCTCTATGGTTTCTACATCTGAAAACAGGCATAGCAATAGTTGTCACCTTGTAGGGGGTTGTCAGCATGAAATAAATGGATACATACACAATGTTTAGAAAAGTGTCTGAAACTAAGTCTTCAATTCCCACCCTCATTTACTCATTGATCATTCAAGAAATATTCATTGAGTGAGAGATAGAAACTTTTTTGGGCTCTGAATAATGCAGGTAGAAGTATTTGCCTTCATGGAGCTTATTGCTAGGTCATAGAGTCATAAAGACATTGCTAGTTTAATCCTTTCATTCACATCACACATTTCTCCTATGTTGAGAAGATGTGCAGGCTATGGGCTGGAAGCTGACCATGGGCTGGAAGCTGGCTTACTAGCTTTGCTGATGGGTAAGCATTTCTGATTTCTAGCTGAGATTGAAGGAAGAAAATGTGTCCCTATCAAAACTGTTCATTCTTTCTCAATTGCTAATGCTTCCTTGAGGATTTATGGATTCAGCACTAATAAACTGTGGATTGGAAGTTTAACTGAAAGACTGACCTATTTCACCTCTGTACTGGAAAGAAAAGCCCAGATTACAGTGAAATTGAGTTCCAGAAGTTAAGCAAGAGGAACTTCCACTTTTGAACTCTGCAGTAGGAAGGGGTAGAAATTGAGAATTGGTTCAGACATGGAAGTTTATAGAGGATTCGAAAACATTTTTATTTTTTTCAGAGGGAGGGGCTTTCCAGGAATGCCCCAAAGCCCCCAATTCAATTTAAACACACAAAGAAAATCTCCACAGCTCCATGCCACATGGCGGTATTTCACTCCAACACAAGCTTTTTGGCATAGTGTCCAGGGCTAAATGTTTACAAATACTGCATTTTGTTTGTAGGGCTGGATCTCAGAGTTCAGATCTCATACTCTTTAGTTGCATTAACTGATTCCAGGAAAAGAAACTAGGGAAAAGACTTACCAAAAGCAAAGAAAGAAAAACCAACAATATTTTCTCATCTTTAATCATGGAATTTGGCATGAGGAACCTCAGCTTTTTCATGTTTATCATAAAGTTTTACTTATTCATTTATTCCACAAAGGCTCTTTGAGAGTCGACTTTTTTTGCCAGGCATTGCACTCCACATCAGAGATAGCACCGTGGGCACAAGAGCAACAGCAGTACCAAAAAGGTGTGGTCCTGGCCCTTATGGAGCTGACGGTTTAGTGGGGGAAATGGACAGTAGTGACATTGATTGTGTAATTAACACTGGAGTGTTTCCAAGAGACAAGTTTCCATAAGAACGAATACTAGGAGGAATTGCTTAATCAGGGAAGTTAGGGGGAGCTGAGCTCGGAAGGAGAGGGAAGGATGGACCAGATGAAGACGGGGAGATGGAGGCAGCGGGCTCCAGGAGGGAGCAATGTGTACAAAGGCTGCATGGTGCAAATACCACCCTGGAGAGATGCCGGAGTGAGGAGCGCAGAGGCACAGAGATAGGGGAGTGGGAGAGGGGAGGCTGGCGTGGTTTACATTAAGGATTTTGACCACCATCAACACCTAGAGCTACTGAAATGTTTAAGGGGAGGTGTGACGAGTATGGTTAGGTTTGTGGGGTTGGGTGGGACCACTTGTGCACGATCGGGGAGGAAATCTGTAGATTGTAGGTCTACCAACTATGAGAGGAAGGAGGGGAGGAAGAAGCGGGGTAGGGCAGGGGAGCTGCAGACCGTGACACAGATGTGACAAATTGTCAGACCACCCAGTGGGAGCTGTCTTAGTCAGCTTGGGCTGCTATAATGAAATGCCACAAGCTGGGGGCTGCAACAACAGAAATTTACTTTCTCACAGATCTGGAGGCTGAAAGTCTGAGATCAGAGTGCCAGCAGGGTGGGGTTCTTGGTGAGGGCCCTTTTTCTGGTTGTACTCTCACATGGCCTTTCCTTGGGGTCTGCAGGAAAAAGAGAGAGAGAGAAAATCTCAAGTCTCTTCCTCTTCTTATAAAGGTGTTAATTCTACTGTGGGGGCCTCACCCTCAGGACTTCATCTAAACCCAAACATTCAGTCCATAGCAGGAGCTCCAGAACAAAGATTTCTCCCTGGAGTCCTGCGTGGAGCAGAAGTGACCAGGCCCATGTCCCCAATTATTCTTCTTCATAGGCTGGGAGCTACCAGAGTATTTGACCTTGGGCACAGCTGGGGTGGCCCCGATGGCGCTGCTGTCTGCTGATGGTCTCCACAGCTTCCCCAGCGAGGCCTTCCTGGAAGGAGTGCTGAGCAGCAAAGCTCTGTGGTCACCACTCAGGACAAAGGGGAACCAGCTGAACAGAGCCTTTCATGTGACAACAAAAAACGACCTGGCTCAAACATCACGACAGGCATCTGTGGAGCCTGGGAAATGACCTTTCTCATGGGGAGAACACAGAACACACAAAGCTTTCTCTTAAAAGTCTACAAAATTATAATCTGATAACAACAGAACGTTTTGGTATTTTGAGTAATAGGTGTCACATCGGAATTGATATTTGCCAAATTTGGCATGATAATTGAATGCTTTTTGCTTATTTATATTTCATATTTTAGTTGTTTTCTAATAACCAAAAACATTTGTGTATTTTTAATAATAGTAGAGGTAAATGAAATTTTACATGTCAGTAAAAAAACTGAAAGATGATGCTTGTAATTTCAAGTCGATTAAAGAAAATTATTAATAAAACAATAAAATACAAATTATACATTTTATATTGTGATACTTAAAGTAGATGACCTGGTTTATCCCTGAAGAGAAAGCATGGATGCATAAACCAGACCATATTGTAAATATTTCAAATTCATTGGTAAACATTGTTTTAAGAAGGTGATTAGCAAATATTGTTTCAAGAAGGTGATTAAGAAGGTGATGCAAAATTTGGAGTACTTTCTGTTTTGTATTTTTCGTGACTATTTGTGAGCACTTGGTGCTTAAGACACACTCAAAGAGGTACTGACAATTTATCATATTCTAAAGCAATAAAACAGGTTGAAAATATCTAATCAGCTTCCTGGCTAATCAAGTAAATGTTACAGAAATGGGTCAATAAGACGGTTAGAAAACCCAGCAACTCCCTAGTATAGACCTCTTCCTTGAGCTCCAAATCAGATAGCTTTATCCATCTCTCTGAAAAGCATCTCCAATTTGAAACCTCTTTCTATTTCACCTGCTTCACCTGACAGGACCTACCTCCCCATCACCCACAGATCCACTGGCCCAGGTGTGTGTACCTAGTCCACCCAATCGCCAAAGCCAGGAACCTGGGGGCAGCCCAGGCTCCTTCCCCCTTCTCATAATATTCAACTGGCCACCAGATTCTGCCTTTTGACATTGCTCTGACCCCACCTCGCCTCTGCATGCCCTCCGACACTGCTTTAGCTCAGGACCCTGTCTCCCAGCTTCCTGGAGCAGGTGCCTCTCCCCTGGTCTCCCCACCTCCAGAGTTACCACTGTCTATGGCAGTGGCTTTCAAAGCCATTCCTGGACCAGCAGTAGCAGCTAGAAATGCGTTAGGAATGCAAATCCTCAAGCCCCATCCCAGACTTTCAGAATTGGAAACTCTGGGGGTGGGTCTGGCAATGGTGTTTGAGGGAGCTCTCGGGAGGCACTGATAGAGTAAAGGCCATTAGAGTGGGCTCTAGTTCAATATGACTGATATCCTTATAAAAAGAAGAAATTTGGACAGAGTCGTACAAAGAAGGAAGAAAATGTGAGGAGACACAGGGAGAAAATGACTGTCTACAAGCTAAGGAGAGAGGCCTGGAACAGACCTTTCCTTCACAGCCAACAGAAGGAACCAGCTTTGCCGACACCTTGATCTTGGACTTCCAGCTTCCAGACTGTGAGACCATCGGTGTCTGTTATTGGAGCCACCCAGCTCATGACACTTTGTTACAGTAGCCCTAGGGAACTAACAGAGTAGTGAAAAGCAAGAATTCTCCAATGATGGATCCCTCAGCTTTGGCATTAACTAGCATTGTGACTATGAGCAAGTTACTTTATTTTTCTGTGCTTTGGTTTTGTCATCTGTAAGATGGGGCTGTATGTACCTCATAAACTTGCTAAAAAGATTAAATGAGTTGATTGTGTGGAGCACCTAATTAGTGGTTGGTATAGAGGAGAACTAAATGTTGGCGAATGCTGCATAAAATCTTCAAGTGCATCTGGCCTGCCTCTCCTCCCCGCCAGGACCGCATGTCACCATGGAAGATGGATTTACAGACATGATGGGGAGCTTTTGTTCATGGTGGCTGATATGGTTTGGCTCTGTGTCTCCACCTAAATCTCACCTTGAATTGTAATAATTCCCATGTGTCAAGCGGCTGGACCAGGCAGAGGTGATTGGATCATGGGGGTGATTTCCCTCATGCTGTTCTCGTGACAATGGGTGAGTCTCATGAGATCTGATGGCTTTATAAGCATCTGGCATTTCCCCTGCTTGCATTCATTCTCTCTCCTGCTGCCCTGTGAAGAGGCGCCTTCCACCATAATGGTAAGTTTCCTGAGGCCTCTCCAGCCATGCAGAACTGAGAGACAATCAAACCTCTTTTCTTTATAAATTACCCAGTCTGTGGTATTTCTTCATAGCAGCGTGAGAATGGACTAATGCAGTGGTGATGCCACGGTAGAATGGGTAACACTTGATACAAGACAGACAGGTCAGACAGTAGGGGATCATTTCCTAGTTCCCTGGATGAGGGCTCATTCAAGTTGGGAAGGAAAAGAACCGGAGGACAGAATAAGTGTTGATGACAAATTTACCACTGACTAGACACGCTACTTTCCTAGTGGGGCCGTAACAAATCACCACACACCAGGTGGCTAAAACAGCATAAATTTCTGCTCTCACAGTTCTGGAGACCAGAAGTTAGAGATAAAGTGTTGGCAGGGCTTCTCTCCCTTTGAAAGCCCCAGGAGACAATCTGTTCCCTGTCTCCCACCCCCAGCTTCCGGTGGCTCCAGGAGCTCCTTGGTTGTGGCTGCATCATTCCAATTTCTGCCTCCATCTTCACAAGGCCTCCTCCCTGTGGTCTCGTCTTCTCTTCTGTTTCTTCTAAGGATACTTGCCATTGGATTTAGTGCTCACCAGAGCATTCCAGGATGATCTCATCTCAAGATCTTTAACTTAATTACATCTGCAAGACCCTTTTTCCAAATAAGGTCACACTCATAAGCTTCAGGGGTTAGGAAGTTGACCTATTGTTTGTGGGGGGGCCACCCTTCAACCTACTACAGCAACTATTTTTCACAAACAAAACATCTAATTTAGTCTTTATAACAGTTCTGCAATATCTCCATTTCATGGATAAGGATGCTTCCAAAAAGAGGGTGACAATGGTGCCCCAGGTTAATGGTAGAGCTAGGGTTTAAATATTGATATTCATGACCTACAGTCCCATGCCTGTCCTCTACTTATGCTTTGAGTTAAGCAAACTGCTCAAAATCTTTGACAGGGCAGCTTTTGCATCAGGCTGTGGACACTCCAACACAAGGGCTACACATGCGAGTGGAGAAAAGAATTGAGCTCGTGCATTTTCAGAAGACACCAGCTGTACAAGAAATATAATTTTCTTTGAAACACTGACAGTTTTATGCTCTTGCATCATGTTTGTCCTTACAATGAGGACATTCGCTTCTAATATTTAACTTACAGCTGGTAGGAAAAAATCTTTGAACTCTTCTGAAGGTTTGCACCAAATATTTTAAGATTCAAAAGCAGGCAAATAATTGTCATTTTCCTCAGCACATTTCCTCCTCTTGCAATATTGCCTGGTTTATTCACGCTTGAACAAAACTGTATAAACGAAACAAAGTTTTGTGTTTTTTACCGGGAAGCTCTCATTATCCATCCTTCATAATAAAAACCAAAACCAAAACCAATGTACATGATCATCTGCTTGACCTCCTTGATTTTTCATCTCACATACAGATACGTTCTAATCAGGATGTCAAAATTCCACTCTTCTTGCTTGGCTGGGGAATTCCGAAAAACAAAAAGAAAACACTGGACTTTTCAGTTGAGAGTTAGGAATATATATATATTAGCTGTGTGACTTGGGTAAATAAGTTCAACTCCTTATGTCTCTGTTTTCTCATCTGTAAAATGAAGTTCAGTAATATTTATCTTATGGGCTTCTCATGCGAATTAAATAAAATACCACATTGACATCAGCTAGAATAATGCTTGGAATAGAATACAGTTAATCAATGCATACTTCCTCCTTCCCATTCTTCCTTCTTTTCTTTATTTGGCTAGAATTTCTCTTGTTTTGACTCTTTACTGAGTTTCCCATTGTTGGCAAAAAAAAAAACTTTCTCCAAAGCTGTTTTGAATTCTAGAACAATCCTTGTTATTTGGCCTTGGTTTCTATATTTTTTAGAAAAGTCAGCCCTTTTCTTTTGACTCTGCCTTCTAAATTTTCCGTCCTGGCATCTTTATAGTTTTACTAACTCTAAAATGTGTTTCTGGGATAAGTTTGTATGTAAACACCAGGCAATTTAAATCACTGAGTATCTATTTCATCAGAGGAAGGGGCAGGGGCAAAGGAGGTTAGAAGAAACAGTGGATGTCTCCTATGGTCTCTCTCTCTTTTTTTGAGTCAAACTCTTCGCTTTCTGGTTTAAAAATGCTCTTACAAATTATATGAGCCTGGGGTTGGCCCAATTTTACCCTTTTGGAGGACGTTTAGCTTGCCTTTCTGCCGCTTTAGATAGGAAGAGCTGGGAAAGAAAGCAGCTTTTTTCCTCTCTAGGAAAGACAACTTTGTATTCTTCCTAGGAGGTGAGGTGTGGACCAGGCCACAGTGTGGTGTTCTGAGCTGGTAGGAGGGGGTGCAGGGAGAATGTTAAGCACTGGCCCTTTGGGGAGGCAAGGTGACTTCCAGATTTGAGTTGCCTAAAGGTAGGGAAGCCTGTCCATTCTTACAGATTCTCTATCATTTCTGTCCTTGATCTAAACCAGACACTCGGAGAGTTGTACATTTGCTGCAGAATTGCTATGGACCCAACAGTAGTATCCCAGGGCTGTTGCAACAAACTCCCACAAAACAGGCACCTTAAAAGGCTAGAAATGTATTCTCAATTTATCATATTCTAAAGCAACAATACAGGTGCCAAAGTCAAGGCACCAGCAAGGCCGTGTCCTGTCTTCTGGTGTTGCCAGCAACCCTCAGAGTTCCTGCCTGGCAGCTGCCCCGTCCAGCCTCTGCTCCCTCGTCCCGTGGCATCTGTGTCTCACCATGGCGTTCTCCTCTCCATGTGCTCGTGTCTCTGTAGCTCTTCTCTGTGTCTTATAACGACACCATCATATAGGATTAAGAGCCCAGTCTATTTCAGTGTGATCCCGTTTTAACTTCCATCTTATTTACATCTGCAAAGACCCTATTTTTTTAAAAAGGTCATGTTCCCATGGACCAGGGGTGAGGACTTCAACGTATCTTTTAGGGGGACACAATCCAACCCATAACAGATACATGAAGAACTGAGTTTCCCAGCCCTGGGAGTGAGCAGCATGGAAGGTCACATGCATGGTGAGACAACGTGAACAGCGCAACACATTGGAGCTGGAAGATCTGGGTTTGAAGGCCACACAGCAGCTCAGTAGCGATGAGATTTGGCCTCAGGTTCCTTGTCTAGAAAAGGGAGTGATGGGTCTCAGACCCATACATAAGATATTCGTTATGTGGCTCACATCACATTCAAATCTTTGTAATATGGCTCCAAACCGACCTTATCCTGTCATCTTTGATTTTATTCCTCTCTGTATGATCCGTGCATAAAGGGCTTCTTGGCTTTCTCCAAATCTGTCACATGGCTGCCATCTCCACTGCTGAGCTAATGCAGTTCCTTAAGCTATTAATGCCCTGCACACCATGCTTTTCTCCCCAAATATTTCCTCTCATCATCCCCAGGTACTTGTCCCAGTCTCACATAAATGCTTCTTCAGCAGCAATTTCACAGTGGGCCTAACTATGCACATTTTCATGCAGCCCAGTATCAAAGTCACGGATCTGTTTCCTTCGTAGGACTGTCAGTTCTTTGAGGGAGGAAATGATGTCCTTCCACCCCCACCCCTTAGCTGTTTAATGAAGTCCTGCAGGATTAAAATCTGACCAAATGGACTTGTGTACATAAAAATGTATCCTACGTGGAAAAGCAGAGGACAGGATTCTGATTACTATCCCTAGACAATACAAATTGAGGGAGCACTAAAAGGCCTGCCCAGTGAAAATTACCAGTTTCTAGCCTGCCACTGGGTTCCCCAGGTCTGCTACTGGTTTACTGTGAACAACCCTACTGGAGACTTTTTTTTTTTTTTTTTTTTTGAGACAGAGTCTTGCTCTGTTGCCCACGCTGGAGTGCAATGTCGCGATCTCAGCTCACTGCAATCTCCGCCTCAGTAATTCTTCTGCCTCAGCCTCCCAAGTAGCTGGGATTACAGGCACACGCTAACATATCTGGCTAATTTTTGTATTTTTAGTAGAGAAGGGGTTTCACCATGTTGGCCAGGCTGGTCTTGAACTCCTGACCTCAGGTGACCCACCCACCTCGTTCTCCCAAAGTGCTAGGATTGCAGATGTAACCCACCGCACCCAGCCTGACTTATCTTTTCAAAGGGATTGTTCCCGTGTTCCCTGGAAAGGAAAGCACTTGGCATTCATTGTCTCCCAGCTGGGAAAAGGTCTCCAAAAGAAGCACAATAAAGAGAGTAAAGTTCGAAGGGAGGGACAAATCAGACAGCATCCCCAGTAAAGTGGGTCTCAGGAGCCCTGTGTGGCATGCTGACTGGACAGGCATCGCTCAATTTGGGAGTGCTCTATCTGCCTGTGGTGGTTGGTGGATATCACTCATATGTGTGCTCTGTTAAAAGACTGTGGCCCATTGCACAAAGAGAAAAGGACTGGGCTCTGTACACCTAATTCTCTTCTCATCTTCAGTCCTTTCTTGGGGATCCCTGTGGAGCTGCTTTGTGACTTAAACAATTTGTGGTCTTGATGGTGTGATTGCTAATCAAGAACATAGATGTATGCTGAAAACTTAGCATGTAGTCCAAGCCTGCCTGGCAACACATTACGGGGCTGGAGTATCACAGGCAGATCTCTGCATCCATGTCCCTTCCAACCTCACACACTGGCCACCTTCTCTGAAGCTCCATCGGGCAGTCAGAAACTGAAAGACCAAGAGCAGGGTTTCTTTCACCCCAAGTAGGATGAGAAAACCTCATTTTTCCTCCCCTCAGCATAACTCAGGCATTTATAATGACTTACCGATGGGAATACAGAACAGAATTTGTCTTTACATATAAATAAAATTTGCTTAACTGTAACTCCCTGTGGCCAAGAGATATTGTGATGGTCCTCTTCCATTCTCTTTTTTCTTGGTCTTGATATTTTATTTCCCATGTCTGTGTACTGAGCAGCAAACCAAATTCACCATGCTATCCAATTTTCTCCATCTTTCTCCCTTTCCCAAATCCCTTAATAAGGCTTGCAATTTTAACTTTTCAGTGTATGCAGCACACCTAGGATGTTTGAAAATTAGAATTTTGTGTGAAAGCATTTATAGTCACTTTCTTTTTGAATTATTTCATCCTTCCTAGCTGAAAATATTCCATTTCTTTTTTTTTAAATGTGCGAACTAAAAATGGATATATTCTCTGATTTGAATGCTTTGCTTACTCAGAAATCAGCAGTATATAGATGCTATTACTATTGATGTAGGCATAATTTTTCCCCTTATTTTTTATTCCTTTAACACATGGTCATGGCCTTTGCTATATCATGGCAGAGTTAATTAAGTTTTAGGCTTTTAGCCTAAATCACACTGTCTGCTTATTAGGTGTTACTGAAATTGTCTTTTTTGTTGCTGTATGCCTCAATAACAATCTAAACTGCATAAAAACAACAACCAAATTTAATACCACAAATAACAACCAGATTTTACAATTACATTTTGACTTAAAACAAAAGCTATATGTGAATTTTATGTTTTCTCTAGTGTCTTAACCTCTTTCTGACATGATTATTGTGGGTATTTAACAAGGCAAAAGAAAAATATATCTGAAAATAGTAGATAACAAGGTTAATTGCTCAATTTAGAGTGTGTCAAGAGACAGCAAACCCAATCCTGTTGAGATCCACGTGGGGGCCATGGGCAGCAGTGCAGGAGAGGTGGTGACGGCCTTTCCACTTGTTCCCCTGCCACACTATTTGATGTTGCTTTGGAACCAGCATCATTTATAATTCTTGTTTCTCTCTCTGAAGCTCCATCCACCAACTGACAGGCTGTGGCAGGCACTGTATATTGTCTCATTCAATACCTGCTCCGGCTTTGCCTTCTACACCCCAGGCAGGAAAACTAGACAATGCACCTTAACCCCATGCCACAGGGGCGTCCCTGTTCTCTGAGTCCCCCCAAGCAGTTCCTTCCCGTGAGACCTGGAGGTGGATGTGCTCAGGGAGGTGGGGTCTTCTGGATACCACATGGCAGTGATCATCCTGGATTATATAAGGTGGCCCAGCCTCATCACGTGAGTCTTTAGCAATGGAGAACCTTTTCTGGCTGGGCTAAAGAAATGAGACAGAAGGAGGAGGAGTAGAGATTTGAAGCATGATGGGACCCATCTTTGGAAATGGTGGGGAGGCCGGGAGCTAGGAAATGCAGGCGGCCTTTAGTAGCTGGAAATGGCGAGGAGAAACAGATTCCACTGGAGCCTCCAGCAAGGCGTGCAGCCCTGCTGACACCTGGATTTTAACCCAGTGAGACTCGTGTTAGACTTCCAATGTGGGTTATCTGAGCCACTCAGTGTGTGGTGTTTTGCTCTGGCTGGTCCCCCTGTGTCGGAGTTTCTAGCAGTGTGCTTTTGGAGTCATTAGTAGTGAGTGTGCGACTGGGATGGTAGAGTATTTCCACTGGGACAGTTCAGTGGTAGGTTGAACTTTTCTACTGGACAGGTTACATAATTTGCGAGGCCCAGTGTGAAATGAAAATGTGGGACCCTTGTTCAAAATGTAAGAGAAAAAGTGCAGTTAAAGATATTAAGACAGGCTCACACCTGTAATCCCAGCAGTTTGGGAGGCCGAGGCGGGTGGATCACCTGAGGTCAGGAGTTTGAGACCAGTCTGGCCAACATGGCGAAACCCCGTCTCTACTAAAAATACAAAAATTAGCCAGGCATGGTGGCGGGTGCCTGTAATCCTTCTAGTCAGGAGGCTGAGGCAGGAGAATCACTTGAACCCGAGAGACGGAGGTTGCAGTGAGCCGAGATCACGCCACTGCACTCCAGCCTGGGCAACAAGAGAGAAACTCCATCTCAAAACAAACAAACAAAAAGATATTAAGACATAAGCTTTTTCCTTTGGTTTCTCAACTTGTGACATATTTTATTTGCTAATTAAGAGCCTTCTAAATAAAGACATTTAAGAAAATTTTAAAGATTTTTAAAAATTAAAAAAAATTAATCTTTAAAAAATGTATTTTATTTTTTTAGAGATGGGGTCTTACTCTGTCACCCAGGCTGGAATGCAGTGGCAGCATCCTAGCTCACTGAAGCCTCAAACTCCTGGGCTCAAGTGATCTTCTGCTGCAGCCTCCTGTGTAGCTGGGACTACAGGCTCTCATCACAAAGCCTGGCTAATTCTTTAATCTTTTTTAGAGATGGGAGGTCTCCCTTTGTTGTTTAGTCTGAAAGAAAAATTAAAATGTTAAAATATTGTATTCCCAGCAACTCAAGAAGCCAGGATGGGAGGATTTTTGAGCCAGGAGGTTGAGTCCAGCCTGGACAACATAGTGAAACACCATCTCAAAAAAAAAAAATTCGTATGAATTTTGTTGTTATCCTTATATTGTACATTGGTAGCTTTAAATGTAAATATAAAAACATTTAATATGTATGCAGAATCACCAAAATGACACAACTTGTGTTTTCTAGCTTATAAATGCGTATGTATTTTGTTCTTACCACAACCACGGAAATGCTGAACAAAACTAACCCAGCTGTTTCTGTGTCACTTTTTGACATAGGTACTTTCTTTAGCTGCAGATCAGTTAGGGCATTCTGAAAGGAATTGGGTTGCCCTCTCTGTCTCTTTCTTTCTCTGTCACCATTTTTCAGTATGCCTGGCTAACTTATACAGGGAAGCCACACAGGCGAGAAAAGGTGTGATCGAGTTCCTTAGTTGTTCACACCTTCATTCTGTGCAGGAAACAAGTTCTAGTTGGAATGGGAAGCTCATTCAACAACCAGGCATCATCCGCCCACCAGGATCTCATGCTCCTAAGGCACCGGCTCACTCCAGGAGACTGAGATGGCTGAAAATGAAGAACAGGTGTATCTTGCAAATCTCCCCACATATAAACATTCTACGTGGACTTCACCTACAAAACGCAAGCTCAGAAATAAAGTCGTTCAAATTTCAAGATGGTGACAGCAGGGTATTACCCCAACCTGTGGGGTCTTGTGAGCATGGGACCTGATGTAACTGCACAGTCACATGGCCCAGCTACTAGATATTTCTCTACTGGCTTATGTGTGTTGTGTAGCATATCAGCCTGGTTCTTTGCTCTCTTGGAGATTTTGAGAGTTACTTAATGTCTGTTAATAAATTTCTTTATGTTTCCAATAGCAAGAGGGGATTCTGTTGTTTGTCCCAAATCAAGACTAGGTTAACTAATGGGTTGAATTGTGTCACCTTCAAAAAAGATGTTAAAGTCCTTAGTATTTCAGAATGCAACCTTATTTGAAATAGGTCATGAGTCTAGAGTTAGGTCCTAATCCTATACAACTGATGTCCTTATAAAAAGGGAAACTTGGACCCAGAGACATACTCAGAGGAAGAACGCTGTGTGAAGGCGGAGGCAGAGGTCAAGGGGATTCATCTATGAGCCACAGACTGCCACAGACTGCCAGCCAACCCTCACCAGAGCCAGGAGAGAGGCACAGGGCAGAGTCTACCTCATACCCCTCAGAAGGAGTCAACGGTGCTGATACCTTGATTTCTGACCTTTACCTTCAGAACTGTGAGACAATAAATTTCTATTGTGTAAGCCACCCAGCTTGTGGTTCTTTGTTATGGCAGTCCTAGCAAGTGAATACACTTGATATTCTGATACGTTTTAGAAGTGGATTCTGTCAAAACTTGCAGGAGAGTTGAGATGCCCACAACTCATCAGTACCACATATCTGAATAGGACACGGTAGACGCTAAATAAATATGCCAGATTGTGAGTAAGTGAATGGATGCTGTTGAAAGTCTGGGGAGTTTTATCAGGAAAAGCTGTGATAATGACACAGTGCTATGCAGTATACAAAGCAGTCCTTTTAATAAATAGTAAACATGTTGGCAAAAAATTGAAATAAACATTTCAAATGAATAGTTGATAGATTGATAATATAAGGAAATTAGGCAAATCATCAAGAAAAGACATCAAGAGCCTAATACTTAAATGATCAGAAGGCATGAACAATTTTTAAAAGAAGAAATGTAAGAGATAATAAACATGAAAATGTTCAGTTTAATCAGGTATAAAACAATGGAAGTTTCACTAGCTATACACTTTGAGTTTTATTTTTTGGCCTTTTGTACAACTATGTGCAAAATTCCCCTGCCAAATTTTGCGCATATATATTTATTTAAGAAGATTGTATTTTTCCATCAAATTTATCCAATAGTACATTTTACCACGTATAATTGTAACCGTCAACAGTTTAGCTTATTGCTGACTTTTTATACTTATAATTTTCATTATGAACAAGATAATAGACTTTTTGTTTATTTTTCAAAAATTATCTTTATTTAAATATGCATAACAAAGAAAAAACTTGCGATTGCACCATTAAGATCACTCTTGTTGACATTTAAAAAACGTAATATATACACGTAGATGAAAAGCTCAAGTAGAACAGGAAGAAGTAAATCAAATGTAAAATTCTTACCTTCCCGCTCTCTTCTGTTCCTCTCCAAAGATGACCACTTTCAGTTTCTTTCATATTATCCAAAAATGTTTTAGCAAATATTTTATTTTTCTTAATTCATGTTTTTTTAAAAGAGTTGTGAACAATGGTAAGAGAGAGGACAATTCAACTTTGTCCCATGTCATTAGACAAAGGGGGATGAAGAGACACATGTAGATAAGAGAGAATCATACAGACAGACGCTTAAGTCCCCCCTGGATAGAGTTTTATAATGCTTCCCAATGGGGTCTAAATGTTCTCAGGTTCAAACTGGCAGGTCTGGGCATTGTCCTTCACAATTGGGAAATACAGTATTTTATCAAACCTGATACGTCATTCAGATTTTAAAATGTGGAACAAAAAGCCCCTTAAAATTCGAGATCCTTTGATTCTGAAGTTAGTCTTCTAGGATGCTATTCTAGGGAAATATTTAGAAGTGCAGGAAGAAATTTATGAATAAGGATATTTATGGCAGTGTTAATTATAAGTAGGACATAACCCCAATGTCCAACTTGAATAATTAACATCAGGTATAACCACACGAAGAAATATGTAACCATTGTGCAAAGAGAGTTTAATGACCTACCTAATAATATGATTTTTAAGCACAACAGAAGTGTGATATAAAATTATATATAAAGTACAATCTTAAGCAGGTAGGAAATCTTAAGCACATAAAGAACTAGAATAAATTATGCCCATATGTTAAGCGTAGTTATTTCTGAGAGGCAGATTGATGTGTTTTCCAAATTTTCTGGTGTAGAAAATGGAACAATATTGTTAAATAAAATTTATAGGAGGGCTTTGATTTGGACTGAGCTCCTGCACTAGGCCCCAACAAACCAAACCAAAATGGAGTCACTCAAGCTAAAGTAAAAGTCCACCAAGCTGAAACCAAGTTGTTTATCTCACCTTCTAAGAAATCAGGGGAGAGAGAGAGAAGCCAAATCCCCGAACAGGCCAGTTTTAGCCAGCATGTTGACCTCTCAAGGAAGGAAAGTTTAAAATGACCAATCCACTTTCCTTTCTTGTTTCTTTCTTCAGCTTTTTTTCTGCCTCTAAATACTCATGGCCCTTGTTGCAGAGCGGAGTTCTAAGAACCTCCTCTGGTTCTGAAGGTCTCCTGATTTTCAAATTGTTCTTTGCTCAGATATACTCTGTTGAATCAATTTTGTCGAAAACTTTTCTTTTATCAATATTCAATATTAATATGTAATTAAAATCAATATTTAACTCTAAAAAGATTGGTATCACAACAGTTCTCTGGGAAGCCAAGTCAGCTACCAATAATCACAGCAGTAAAAATCTGAAGATGAGGGCTGACGAAGGCTTTTCTGAAACTTGTTGCCGATGCTCGGCTGGGCTTGAAGAGGTGAAGACAGTTGCTGAGCGTAAAGCAGTTAAATTACACCATAAAATTCAGGTCAGATGCTAATATATCAAGCTGTTTTTCTGAAATACTGAATCCTTAATTCAAAATTTAAGCAGTAATAAAAATGGGCATGAATTGCCTACCTCACCCACATCTCTTCAGAATTCAATCACTATCAGCTGTCCCTGGGGATGAAGAATGAAATAAAAAAGCACATTTCCTTGAGTTTTAAGAGATTCAATAGACACTGAAGAGAACATCACTTACTTGTGCATCCATGGACTACGAACAAGCAGGAGATTAGAGAGATCAAAAGCTTCAAACTTTGATGAGGAAGAAAGCTTTCTGTTTAGCTGGGGGTAAAAAGCTCTATCCGGCAAGACTACCTTTAAAAGGGGCTTTAGAAGTATAGAGCAAGCACAAATCAAAAGTTTACCACAGATATACAAACAATTATAAACATCGCTTCCCGCGTCCCCAACTTACACTTTCTGGGTAAGTAAATGATAGGAGCCGCCATCTTTAATGGTCTTCATTTTCCTCGGTAAAAAGGTACATGAGGAACACCGGACTCTAGTAGTTCTCTGGTCGTCAACTCGTTTCCTCAGAAGAGCAGAAAAGGGAGAAGGAGGAGCTGAGCAGCTGAAGAAATTTTACCAAACAGACTTGTTTTTCTTAGTTAAGTTCTGATTTCTGGGAAGGATTTGTATTTCTGCTAAGGTCTATGTTCAGAAATGAGCCCCTTTGTAAACGGGCTGGTTGTGCTGCAGAATGATATATAGGACTCCCCCAAGGGCCGTGCAGGGAAAAGTTGATCGAGGGTTTGAGAAGAAGAGAGTTCATTAGAAAAAATAAAACTTTTTATTGTTTTGAAATAGTAGATTCAAATTTTCCAATTTTTATAACTCACTCAAGGTCTAAATACAAATTTAATGGTGTTAAAGAGTTATGATATGTCACTATTTTAAAATTCACTTTATTAAACTGGTATTAGAATAATTTAGCTTGGTTTTTATAAAGAACTCTAGACTCGTGGGCATGTTCACGACTGCAGGAGTTTGGGACCCTCTCAGAGTGACAGTCTAGTTACTAAACCGTTATGATGTGCTTAGGTCTCCATGCAATGGACTAAAGAGTGGGAGGATGTCTTTGCAGTTACAGAGCTCCTCAGATACACTCAGGTTGACAATATTTACTTCTGAGTGTTGTGTATTTATCACAATAACAATGAAACTCCGATTTTATTATTGTATTTTGTAACCAAAACTATACTCATTCTACAATGTGCCCCCCCTTGCTTTCCTGTCCTGTTTAGTTTTTGTGACACCCCTGCTTGATCATTTTTATCAGCCGCATGTTTTGAATGGGGAGACTGACTCCCAGCAAGGTTAACTACCTTGCCCTAAGTCATCTAGACAGAAAGGGAGAAGGCCCACAAAGCCACGTTGCTTCCCCCATGCCCATGAAGCTGGCTTGAAGGACTCACAATAAGAGAGGTGGGGCAGGAGAGTGCCTTCGTGTTGCTTTAGAACATAAGATTATGTGCTTCAAGAGCAGAGGGCAGATCAGTTTAAAGGGTCCTATTTCATTTTATCAGATTCAACAGGAATAGAAGAATATTGGAGTAGCCTCAGGCCAGCAATGTGCTGAGATCAGGAAGTGCTTGCTTACCTGAAGTCGTATACTTAGTTACAGGTGGGACAGGTGTGCACGACCTATTTTGATGCTTGTATGGATGCGGGTAGAACAGACGTCTTGCATTCTGGAAAACGCAATGATGGAATGGAGAATTGAAGGTTTCCACTGTATTTTGAACCCTAACTCATTTCTTACTAGTCATCTCTGACTTCCCCTTTTCCTTTTTCCACTCCTCTGATAGCTAAAAATTCCACATGTATTGTTCATTATTACCAAGCCTCCCTCTCTCCCTCCCTCCTTCCTTTCTCTCTCTCTCTTTCATTCACTCACCATTCCAAGTTTGGCTGTCATCACCTCATTCCTGATCACTTTAATACCTCCTAACTGATGTTTCTTTTTTGGACTCTTTTCCACCTGAATTCAGCCCCGACCCATAACACGATCTAATTAATTTTCCTGAAAAACTTTGATCATGTAACCACTCTGACCTCAAAATATTAATAAGTCCTCTGGCCTGTTGGAGAAAATAAAACTTTTTTAAAGCATTGCATTCAAAGTGATACTGACCTTTGCTGGTAGCTTACTTGGTTACTGGACAAACTATTTGCTAGAAATGCCATGACGTTTTTGCCACCAAATTTTTATTCATATTCTTTCATGCAGCAAACATGTCTCTTTTCCTCTCCATCATACCAATCAGACCAAAATTTCAAAGTCAAACTAAAATTAACCTTCCCCATCAAGATTTCCCTTAATGCTTAGGAACTTAATGATCCAGCTTGGAAAGACATGTTTACTTGGTCACCAGCCACAGCCAAAGCTGATGGTAACCTTGTCCTGGCCTCAGCAGCAGATGCAGAGAGGCCAAGGATGCTAGCATAGTAAGAATGTACTGGTGGGAAGGAATGGAGGGAGAAGACACAGAGCTGTTAGGTGAACAAAAAATTTTTTTGAGGATGGAATGGTTTTGGAGATTAATTATAGGAAAGGTGGAGAAAAAATTTGGGTTTGAGATCATGAAAGATAAAGATGGCTGTAGGGAGAGGGAAGGAGCCTATAGGTATGGACATAACAGGGATTGTCATAATTTTAATGAATTGTTTTAGGTAACAGTGAAACATTGGTTACCTGATTCCCACAGTAGTTGCAAGGGTTTCCATCTCTTCGAGGGTGTGGTGTGAACTTTCCAAAGAAAGGATTATTTTGCAGCCTTAAACAGTCCAAAATTCCTTTAAAAATGGGAGGCTTTAAGCAGGAAACCTACTACCCTCTTGAAATTGTATAATAACTATTTCTACTTAGGTTGTTATTTCATCCAGTTGGAGGGACCTAACCACTTTTGGTCCATACTACCTTTCACAAACCTTTCAGTGGAGACTTTGATCAAATCCCACACAATTTGACCTTATCATTACTAGCAGTTTACAACATATACATATCACATGCCATGTGTTAGTCACAGTCTGTCTCCAGGATTACAAGTCCTGGAGACAAGTCCAAAGTTATAATTTTGAACATTCGGGACCACATGTAATATCAAGGATATAGCGTTTGTGACTAAACAATATATTGGAAGAAACTCATGGTAATGGCATTTGGCTAAAGTTAAAAGCTTAGTTTTAATGGTTGTGAAGATCTGAAAGAATCTTGGTTTTTGTTTTCTCCAAAACTCTTGCTCAGTTAACTGCATAATATCCAATTATGCATCTTAGGAGAATTAAGGGTTGAGAAAACCCAGCTACTATTGGAATCTTTGATTCTTTAGAATATGCTCTCCCAAAACCAGTGCTTACCCAACTAAAGTCTTCCCTCTGGGATTTAGTTGATTGTCATAACTTTTGAGCTTGCTTGTAAAGCCACAGAGCCATTACAGCTAAATGCTGCAGTTTCAAATGTTTTAAAACTCTGGTGTTGTAGCTGATTTTGTTCATTATTTGATCAGGAAAGATAAAAAACCTAAGAATCTTTTTTTTTCTTGATGTCTTAAATGAACTGGGGTTTTAATGTTTATTTTTTTCAGACTGTAGCATATCAGCTGCAGCACATCGTTTTTATAGGTGTGGGAATCAGAAGTCACTAAAATATTTGTATCTTAAGGCTGGAAGAAAATTGCAATTATCATTTACTGCAAGTAAGCAGGGGGCCACCAGGAGTGCTTTGTTTAGTCTGATTCTTCTTTGCGGTGAGGGGAATGTCAGGCTACCCTTCCAGCCATGTCTCCAGAACAAATTCGCTATGGCTGCAGGTGTTGTACTCCTACAAAAAGGTGTAAATCATATGTCTTATGTGTGGTTTTGCAGAAATCCAAGGGCTTTAGGAGTTTATAAATACAGTTTCCCTTAATTTGCGAAGGACATCATAAAGATGGCATTTTTCTTAGGTCAGAAGCAAGAATTGGGTTCATTTTTCTGTGATTGGGAGAATCACATTCTCCATTTAATGAGTCACAAGTTAAGGACTTTATATTGGTTGAATCAGGCACTTCAAGGCCTGACTTTCAGTCTTCTACATCAGCGTTTCCCAGCCTCAGCACTACTCACATTCTGGGTCCAATAATTCCTTGTTGGGGAGAAGCCTGTGCATCGTAGGATGCACATTAGAAGCCACTCACACCCCCTTCTCCATCAGTTGCCATGACAAAATAATGTCTCCAGACGTTGCCAAACGTTCCCTGGAGGATGAAGAATTCTTCCTAGTTAAAAACTGCTATTCCAGATTTACTTTATATTTGGATATTAATTAACTACAGCTTAGTTTGAGGGTCCTGAAATGCCTCGGTGAACTTTCTTGAATATGAATGAGGACTAGGGAGTAAAAGGTATTGAGGAATAAAAGAGTAACTTTAGTTATAGGAGCTTGGGTTGCGAGTGCATAAAGGAAATTGTCATGACTCCTAGAATGTGACCTGGAGGACTTGTTTTTATCAGAGCAGAGCTCCAGGCACTCCTGTCTTTTGTAAGACTTTAAGAAGTCCAGAGTGGTCACACGTCTTAAAAGACCCAGTTTACTTTGATGTGGGGCATCCTTAAACTTCAGGTGTACGTCCCTATAAAAAATTCACTGATACGTGTGCTGGAAAACCAGGCATGCCACTACCATTCTGCTTCCCATGGCAGACATCACTATTCAATTCTTGCACTATTTAATGCTGAGTGTAACACCAAAATCTTTCTCAACACAAGACTCCAGGTATTGCTACCAATATGTCCAAATTAGAATTTAAATTGAAACCTATTTGTCACCCGTGCTTTTAAATTGTTACCAGTTATTTTAAAGCAATGGTAGCCAGTGATGAAATACATTGTTGGAAATATAACCTGCAAACAAAGCATCGAAGTCTAGAATGGAAAAATAACAAACAGCAAAGAAAGCGCATTTGGCAAAATTATAAATTTTTATAAATTACAAAGACAAAGTTCATTGTTTTTTTGAAACTGATGGCATGAAGATTTAATTTCTCAAGGTCAAATGGTCACTTAGGTTAAGTGAGAAATTCTGTAACAGAGATTTTGTGGGTAGCAAGAAGGTCTTCACAGGCCTGAACTTTGCTCTGGTGTGTCAAGGCTGCCCACCAAGAGCCACGTTTGTGTACAGTCCCCAAAACTGAAGAGAAATGAAAGACAACTGTGAAAGAGATGGACCATCTTTTGGAACAATGGGTGAGAAGGAAGACCCTGGGCATCTGCCTGGGTTGCTGAAATCAGAAAATTCACCCTGAGTCAGGAGTTTGCTGAAAGTAAAACGTGTCTCCAATTGGGATTGACGGTCACCAGATTTGTGGAAGTCAAAAACTCTGTTCCCTTTTATGTCCAAAGGATCTAGAAAACTGTGGAAACTTCTTCAGTAGAGAGACTCATGTAAAATCAAAGGTCTTGGATTAGTTTGGGAGCCTTGCTACTGAACCAGGAAGTCTGGGAGCGAGCCCGGCAATCTGTGGTGTTATCTAATTCTTAAACACACTCCTCAGGTGATTCTGATGCATGTTAAGGTTTGAAAACGCTGATCTAAGGCTGGTTTATTTAACTTTGATTTGCACAGCACTTTCCCCACCCTGACTCAGATTGTTACAATGCAGTGGTTGGGGTGGGGCTTGACTGTCTGCATTTGTTGTTGCTTCCTGGGCCATGATCCAGTATCTAAGCAGTGAAAGTGATTTGCAGTGAGTAGTGAAGCAGAGACAGGCAGCCACCAGGAGGGTGAACCCAGAGGGCAGTGAGCAGTAGGAGCTTTGCTGGACATCGAACCCAAATGTCACCTGTTATCCATTCACCAGGAGACAGGGAGTGCTGGTGACAGGGGTGGCCGCGGGCTTCTGTTTAATACCGTGGCAATTCTCACCTGGCTTCTGACTGCTGCCAAGACAGATGTGGCCTAGAGAATAGCCAATAGCCATTGCAAGGAGACTATTGGGTCTTCATGCCTGATTGGCTGCTTGATCCTGAAGTGCTTTCACACGAGGGTACTTTTATGACCTCATCTTAGAACAAAAATGCCTTTATCCAACTTACTCAGTGTGACTGGGTTCAGAGTGGCTTTTAGTTATTTCCAGAAATCAAAATCACTCTCAAAGGAGGAAGTTTTGCTGTTACAGAGTGTGATGATTAATACTGAGTGTCAACTTGATTGGATTGAGGGATGCAAAGTATTGATCCTGGGTGTGTCTGTGAGGGTGTTGCTAAAGGAGGTTAATATTTGAGTCAATGGGCTGGGAAAGGCAGACCCACCCTTAATCTGGGTGGGCACCATCTAATCAGCTGCCAGCACAGCTAGAATATAAAATGGGCAGAAAAACATGAAAAGACTAGACTGACCTAGCCTCCCAGCCTACATCTTTCTTCCATGCTGAATGCTTCCTGCCCTGGAACACTGGACTCTAAGTTCTCAGGTTTTGGGACTTGGACCGGCTCTCCTTGCTCCTCAGCTTGCAGATGGCCTATTGTGGGACCCTGTGATTGTGTAAGTTAATACTTAATAAACTCTCCTTTATCTATCTATCTATCTATCTATCTATCTATCTATCTATCTATCGATCCTGTTAGTTCTGTCACTCTAGAGAGCCCTGACTAATACACAGAGACAGCTGGAAAAAATAAGACCTGGTCTTGAAGGTGGCTCAAGGCAGTGGAGACAGGTGGGGAAAGAGAGCCTTTCAGATGAGTTCTGGGAAGGCTGAAGCAGCCATGTGAGTGTCCAAGCTCTGGCAGGTTAGACATTGCCATGCCTGGTCGTTGATGGGTGTATCTTGCATGGTTTGCTATAGCAAATGACCTCAGAGAACAGGCAAGGAGGGGACAAAGAAACCAAGAGCTCAAGAGAGAAACTGCTCTGTTTGCAGTTTTGTCGAAGGCCACCTCGTTAGCCTTTCACAAAACCGCTCTGTCGGTGGGAGGGGAACTGGCGATACCATTGTGGTTCAGTGAGTCAGCCCGCTCCCCATAGGCAGGGAACCAGACTCCATGAAATGTTAATTATCTGTTAGAAAAAAACAGTTTATTTTACAGAATTTCAAAAACAATAACTCAATTCCTAGGCAGACTCTGTTATTTGACTCCCTTAACTTAGATTGAGATAGGCTCAATAAATGTACATGAAAAAATTATAAAGTGGTCTTTTGAAAGGAGACAACATATATTCTTCACTCATGTGGTTTAGATACCATAACACTTACACACACGGTGATTGAGTTACAGTCAGAAAGGCGCTATAAAATGACCTTTCCTCCCACCAAGTTTAGATCGCCTATGCAGTTCTAGAGAGAAGTATTAATCTTCAACACAAAATGATCGACTCCATTCCAGCAAGATCACATTGTTCGTATACTTTCTTTGGTTATTTTATCAGCTCAGCTTCCATTGTTTCTCCAGTGATAAATTGCACTTTTATTCATTTCTTTATTTTATGGAGTGCAGAGTCACAGTAATTTCCTTGTTCCAGTTCCATTAACTTCCTGGCAGTATTGTTTAAAGTCTCCAGGCCCTGATGTGTAATCCAACTGTTTCCCTAATATGTGGGAAGCAGCAAACTGCTTGTTTATGTCATAAACAACTCTTGCTATATCTTTTCCCATGAAAATTCTGGCACGAGCTTAGCTCAGTATTCTAGGGCTTAACATAAACCTGGTGTATACAGAGCCTTCCTGGAGTGTTTGAGAACCGAGTAGAGGAACTAGGACTGGCCTGGAGTATCATACTTATCCCACCAACCAAGTTAAGCTTCGAAATTTGGAAAAGAGATCACATACACCAGAATTATTTTCATGTTCATATCTCGGTAGATTCCTCAAACTATCTACACTAGTTTTTTTTTTTCCACTTTTCTCAAGTCCTTGATTTTACCCACACCTTCCACTATGTCATCATACAAATTAAACCTCATTTCATTGTAAAAATTAAGGTCATCTGATCAACATGCTTTCAGCTATCCCTCCATCTCAGAATGCCTCCACATTGCTCCTGTCCTCTCTGCTTCAAATCTAAACCTAGAACCAGCATGGCTTTTCTTGGCCAAAGTGAATCCACTCACCTGTGCTCCAGATGGCACTGTTTCTTTTCTTTTTTTTTTTTTTTTTTGAGACAGAGTGTCGCTCTGTTGCCCAGGCCGTATGTAGTGCAGTGGCGTGATCTCGGCTCACTGCAACCTCTGCCTCCTGGGATCAAGTGATTCTCCTGCCTCAGCCTTCTGAGTAGCTGGGACTACCACCATGTCTGGCTAATTTTTGTATCTTTAGTAGAGATGGGGTTTCGCCATGTTGGCCAGGCTGGTCTTGAACTCCTGACCTCAGGTGATCTGCCAACCTTGGCCTCCCAAAGTGCTGGGATTACAGGCATGAGCCATCATGCCCGGCCTCACCATCCCTTCTTTATACCCTTAATTTCTCATGTTCTCTGCCCTCACTAGCAACATTTTCCTTTTTGGAGAGGTCATCTCTGCATTCTATCTTTATTTTCTTATCTCCTGGTCCATTTTCAAATACACTGTAAATCTAATTTGATCCTCAAACTCCTCCATCAATGTTCAGAGCTGAGATTCTGGCTCATGGCGAAGCAGGCAGTAATGTGGGGGTGGGAAAGCGCAGAGAAAAACTGGAGGTGGGGAAACCTGTTAATGGCAATCATTAAGTCTAAGGAAGCAAGAGGCAATGAAGCTCTGTGTTAAGGGTTTCAGGGTAGGAGAGCTTGGGTAGAAAGCACAGTGCCCATCAAATCTCCAGGTGGTTTGCTACTAATGGGGGCATGCTGTGTTTTCAACTTGAATGTTGAAGGAAATGATGGCATTATTTACAAGTATAGGGGCAAAAGGAGGAGAATCTGAGCGCAAGTGTGTGGGGCTAATGAGGAATTAACATTAGGCATGTTGAATTCGTGGGGATGGTTGGATGATGAGAGACAAAAGTTGGAACTTTGCATTTAGGGCTGTAGAAGGAAATGAGGGTTAAAGACACAGACTTTCAAGTCAACTGCATAAAAGGGAGCCTTTCCACCATAGCTGCAAGTTTCCTGAGAAAGGATGTAAATAGATAGAAGATGGCTTAGGACAGAGCTTTAGAGAAATTCTACCAGGGACGGGTGGAAAAGGCCTCAAAGGAGAATGCAAGGGAGTAATTCAGGACCTTGTAAATCAGGACTAGTTTCCAAAGAAGTGCAGTCAGCAGAGTCAAATCATGCAGAGACTCAGCAGCAGCAGAAATGTGAAGAGCCCCAGGAATCTGGCCATGGAGAAGTCACTCATTCTGTTGTTCAGGAAGAGGTGGCCAGGCCTGCACAGTGGGCTGAGCACTGTTTTAGATAATGGACTAGAGATTCCATTAAATCAACAGCGAATTATGTCCCTGACTTTAGGGAATGCACATTCAAATGACAGTAGCAGAAAATTAACAAGGAATTACAATTCAACTTGGTAAGTGCAATAGCAAAGAGAAAGCAGGGTGTCCTTGCCGCCAATACTAAGTGGGTGGATTTGGGGACCTCTCAGTCATCTCTCTACTAATAAAGGCTCGGCAACCAGACTGCCTGAATCTCAATTATGGCTCAGCCACTTAGCTGTGGGATCTGCGGCAAGTTATGTCCCTGCTCTCTGCTTCAAATTCCTCATTGGTAGTAAAAAATGATAATGATGATAATAACTATATCTACATTATTGGTTTGTGGTAAGAATTAAATATTTTAAAATATCAGGGCCACCCATGATTAACAGCCACCGAACATCTATGGCACTTATAGGAGACTTATGAAATAGGCATTATGATCACATGTGTTTCCACAGGTGAGGAAACAGACGCACACAGAGGTGAAGCAGCTTCCCCAAAGGCGCATGGCTAAGAGTGGTTATTTGTCTCCTTGTCACGCTGTTTTGAGGGAAGGATTCCTACACTAGGATTATGAAGATCGCCAAACAGATGACGCTGGATCCCAGAAAAGTGGGGCAGAATGCAGTTTAGTTGTCACATATGCTCACAGCCTAGGGAAGAAGACAGCGGACAGCCCACAGGGCCACGCGATGGTTCAAGAACAGAGTGAACAGCCAGGGCCTGTGAAAGGTGGGTTTGTAGTAACAAGAAGGGGACTTGGCCCCCGTTTTTGCTGTGTTCATGGGGGTGAGTGGCTGTGTTCATGGGGGTGTATGACTAATTTTGTAGGCTGGCAGGGAACCAAAACCTACTACCCAAAGATAAGCAGGAACTGTGCCTGGTCCCCTGGTGAATTAGTGTTTTTGGCTAGGGGACCTTACCTGTCAGAGCAGAGTGGGGAGGGAAACTTGTGGTCATTTGAAGCCTGATTTTATCAGATGTCAAAGCCTCACTTAATATTGAACCCCAATTTCAGGGCTTACACCTCAGTGACCTAGTGGTGATTAGGACCCATGTATTCTGGGTCCAGGTCCAAGTGCATCTACACTATCCTGTATTTTCTAAAATTCAGACAAAATGTTTTCTTTTGAACATGTCTTACATTCTCCATCTCGACAATGTTTGTTCAAGCCTATCTCTTTGCCTGGAATTCCCTCTTGATTCTCAACTCAGCTTTTGAGATCCTGTCTGCCAAGGACCATCTCAAATGCCAGTTACTTTGCAAAGCTGCTTCGGTCAGATGTGGCCCCTTCTGCGTTTCCAGCACATTGTACGGGGAAAGAGCGTGCCAGAAAATCATGGCTCAGTCTCTGACTTTGCTATTTGTTTGTTACATACTCTTGGGGAAATGAGCTTGATTACCCTTAGTTTTCCCATTTTTCCAGCAGGGATAATAATTTCTCTTTGAGAACTCTTGAAAACACATGTGTAATGCTCAGTATTTAGAAGTCACACAATAAATATGAATTTCTTTCTCTTAAATGATTTTGTATCTCTACTGACCCCGGTATTATTATGCTTCATACTATAATTACTTGTTTGTTTTATTCACTCCCACTAGGCCATAAACTTGAGAGATGGTATTTTACACTTTTGTCTTTCACATCTTTGTCCTGGTTATTTGCTGCTCACCGTCACTTCCAAAGTGAAAGGGTGGGCTGTGTGCGGTGGTTCACGCCTATAATCCCAGCACTTTGGGAGGCTGAGGTGGGCAGATCACTTGAGGTCAGGAGTTCAAGACCAGCGTGGCCAACATGGTAAAATCTCATCTCTACTAAAAAGTACAAAAAATTAGCTGGGCTTGGTGGTGGGCGCCTGTAATCCCAACTACTCGGGAGGCTGAGGCAGGATAATTGCTTGAACCTGGGAGGCAGAGGTTGTAGTGAGCTGAGATCGCACCACTGCACTCCCGCCTGAGTGACAGAGTGAAACTCCATCTCAAAACAAACAAAACAAACAACAACAACAACAACCAAAAAAAAAAACACAAAGTGAAAGGGTGACCTTGGTTCTCATCCATTGTGGAAGGACTTCTCAGCATGTGCTGCTCTACAAAGCAGTGGGGCTGGCTAGGACAAGCACTTTGCTGTTCTCTTAGGAACGCAGTTGCTTTAACTGCACATAATGTCTTTTATTCCTAAAATACACATGCCTGGGAGACATAGCACAAGAATATGAATCCATATTATATTACATAAATCTATATTATGGTGAAACTGACATATCCAATCCCAAACTAAGTTTAACTGGGGTAGTTTTCAGAACCTGAAGAGGGGCAGGCGTGACATGGAAGAAGAAAAGCAGGTGTCAAAAGATGAGTCTTGGGCTTTTATGGTAATATTTGTTTCTTTATCAATTTTAACACATAGATTTGGGAATGGTAAGAAAATGCAGCTCAAACATATTATTTGTGCTATTCACCCATGAACAATGTAAAATGTATGATAAAGAAATATGAAACTGCCATGGGAAAGAGAGGTTTGAATTTTCTAAAGATTTAAAAGATTTGTGTCACATTGTTTATTCTTCATTAAGTGTTAGAGGAATAGATGTATTAATTCATGAAGAGAATGAAAGACAGAATGTCAGGGCTTATTATATTTTTCTTATGCAGTCTCTGATAAAGTATATGACTTGGCATGAATGAGACATCTCACTTCTCTTTCTTTTAGTTTTTGATGAATAAAATGAAAGAGATAGTAATAGGCTGTCTCTAAATGGTAGCATTGGCCATCAAAAACGGACCAAAGGGCATGATAAAGAGGGCACTGGGTTTTGGGGTCACTAAATGCTTGTCTCCAAATAAGTACAAAGTGGGAAAGAAATATTTCTTTGTGATTTTAAGGTTTTAGAGGGGAGTGATAATCATTGGCTAGCTGCATTCATTGGCTCAGAATTATGCAATGCTAATGGTTTTGAAGCCTGACTAAGAAATCTCAGCTGTCAGAAAAACTGCACAATTGAAAGTAATTATGGAAGTTTGAAGGAATCCAAACCATTTCCATAATCCATTGGTTCTTGTCCAACTAGGGTGTCCTCCTTTTTTTTTTTTTTTTTTTTTGACTGTGTGAAATATTATGTAATTTGCTCTAAAAGTCTTGGATGTAATTTGCCCAAATTTCTTCCCAACTCTTTCATAAGTTATCAGTTAAAAGTTTCCTTTCAACAAATGGATTACGCTGCAGAAATTACTGAAGCCACCTGAAATCCTTTTTGAAACAAAGCAGAGTAAATAATTGTCCCACTGCATAAATAGATAAATGACATAGCCTGCTGACATAATTTGCTACCTTTTGAATTATTATCATTTCAAAGCTTATCAATCTTTTTTTCACTGTTCCATTCTATTTTGCTAATGACAGGGAAGGAGCTAAGAACATTTGAATTAATTATGCAAATAAATTCGTATTAATCTTTCTAGAAACTGGGGTGCTCATTTTAGTATCAGTAAAGCTATTTCCATGGCTGTTTGTGGAGATAATAGATGACAGAAAAATAGAATATTATAATAGACTGAGAAAAATATCTTTGAATTACAACAAATACAATTTAATTTAGGCTTAACGCAGGACATTTCCCTCTGGTAGATGAAGGCTGTAGTTTTTTTAGACCTTATTTATAGTTCGATTATGAATAGACACAGGAAAGAGGAACTTGGGGTGGGGTGCAGCATATTAATGTATTTTCATACATTTCCTTTTTTGCAAAAGTGAAATATGTAATATTTAGAGTTATAAGTAAAATTTTGGGGAGGCTTATCAAGAGTCTTCAGAATCATTTTTCTAGAGCCATTTCTGAGATGAGGATCAGCAGACGTCTCGTCTGACTGATGTAATCAGGAGAAGTGGCTGCAGGCCTGATAAGTAATGATCTGCATTTCTATGCTGGGCTAGGGGATGGGGCAGGATTGTTTTGCAGACAGAAATAACTGGACAACCATTCTCGTTTCTGAGGACTGAGGAGGGTAAAGTAGAAGCCTGCAAATTATATGCTTGGAAATTCTCTTGGCCAAAAATCTTCTAGCAATAAAACTTTTGTAATAAGCCTCTTCTCCAAGTTTAGTATTCTTTTGTTATTAAAACTGCTTGGAAAGATATAGTTAGTTTAACGTTCTGAGGAAAACTAATCATTCATTACCAACTTCAAATAGAAAACGGAAAGAATATTAGTAAAAGAGAAAGAAGACTATGAACTGGACATTTCAATGAGTGTTCAGTATAAACATAGCTATACTTTTGAAAGGGAAAGTGTGGAAAAGTGATTACAAAGCCTACATTTTTCTGGCATACCAAAGAGTCAAAGGTTTACATGTTAATCTAAAATCTGACTGGGGTTTGAGGACCAGAGTGAATAGGGGCTGAATCTCTATCCATCTTTGTGTTCCCAGGGTCTAGCACAAGGGACAAAGAGTAGGGGTTCCATGAATGATTGCTAGGCAGCATAAATAATTTTAAATTACAGGAAACCCCCAAGCCTGATTCTAGCCAGTAATGCCAACCGCACTTCCTACTAAATCTTTTATTCATGCACTCAATCCCTTTTTCAATTGAATAGTTTGAATTTCATCTCTTTTTGACACTATATTTATGAAGCCTTTGAATCAATTATTTTGTTCTTAACATGCTTTTTGGTACCAAGATATTATACATGACAGTGAAAAAGGGGTAGAAAATCAATGTCAAGTGAATGGCTTTGTGAGTGATTGACTACACGCTGAATCCAATGGATGCAATGCCTTACCCCCCAAGGCTACAAAATTGGAGGACAGCATGAAGCTGCCCCAGAAGATAGGTTGATCCACATCTGACACAGAGACTGCCGAGAAGTACACCTGTCCTGTGTCATTCACAGGCCCAAGGTGAGTCCTGTGAGGTCATTACTAACAGTGACACCCAGAGAGACTCTCTCATGCTGTCAATCAGGGTTGGCTGTGCATCAGTTGATGGGTGCCCAAGTGTCTTACTTGGGTGAAGCAGACAGGATCCATGTGATTTAGGCTCTGTATTTCAAAGGAAAGCATGGCGGCCTGACAACTGAAGTGTACATTGAGCATTTTGTTGAAAATCAAATAAACAACACTACTTAAAAAATAACAACAACAACAACCAACCTCTTGAATTTTTTAGTTTGTTATAAAGGTATCATCTCTATCTTCTGCCCCTATTGTATGGTTTTGAGAAGAGAGATGAGAAGGTATAAATTCCATCAGGTGGGAATTCCTGTTTTGCTCATTGCTGTGTTTTCCGTGGCCAGCAGAGTGCCAGACATACAGTAGATACTTAAGCAGTATGTGTTGAGTGAACATTGGATAGGGTGAGAGAAATATGGAAGTAAGGCTGAGTATATGGCTGGGTAGTCAACACTTGGATGTCTTTTTTCTGTCTTTTCTTGCATTTATTTTCTCTAATCTTTTAAACCTATTTTTCATATACCTTATATGTATAAGGTCCTATATAAGGCACTTTGAAGTTCTTGGAGAGTTTCCTCATACATTTGTATTAATTTACTTATTTATCCACTTAACAAATATTTGTTGTTCATTTAACAAGGTATGTATCACTATTGAATTTTTTTCTAAAAATAGTACCATTTTAACTGTTATCCTCTAATGAAATTATAGTTTGGAAGCAAAGACCAAGCAGTAAAAAATAGTGAGAAGGATCTAAACTGATCGAAAAGATGTAATAACATGGACCATTAATCCCACAAAGTAGTGTATTCCACTGAGCAATATTAAATTGTAGAAAGAACAGTCTAATAAAATATCACCCTAGGCACTTTCAAAGAAGAATAGTTGATACCAAATTGGCTAAAGGAAGATTTAGTCATAAGATCTTTTGAGAATAAAAAGTTTGAATAGATGATATAAAAATACAACTTTTGACTGATTTCATTGCAGTAGCTAATATAAATAGTTATTATGCTATGTGACCTAGAGCCCAGTAAAATAGAATTTTTTAGTCTTGAAGTTTCAGATTACCTTTATGCCTTAATAGGCTTAAAAGCTTAAAACATTTGACTTAACCAATATCAAATACTTCTTAATGAATATAAATGATTCAGGAAGAAAACATGAATCCTAATAGATTCCCATTTGAAATTGGGAGGTACATTAAAGTCATTATGTCCAAATTTCCTATCTTCTGGAAAGGAAATTGAGGTCAAGAGAGGGCAAGTGACTGATTCAGCATTGCACATGTAGGGTACATGACTTCTACTACAGTTTTCTCTGCACTATATAGCCATACTTCCATTGCACATTAATACACTAGCTTTCTAGTCCAACACAATCTTGCTTGACTTTGGATGGTCTAACTTATTAAATTTATCATGTTATTCCCATATCGACTCTCAAAACCAAAGCTTTCCCCACATCAACAGGAATCTACTTGGACCCTATTGCCAGATAGGGATTGTTTGAGTACAGTGAAATATGACTAACTGGAAACTTATCTGAATTTAAATGTGATTGGCTCAAAGAGTGGCTTATGCCCTTTTTGTACTTTATTGGTGACATGTCAGTAAGAGGAAATCCAACTTTATTAACCAAATGCTCCTCATCCTTGGACTGCCCCAAAGTCATATTTCTTCTAATTTATTCAATTTGGGGAACCATGTTATAGATAAGGAGACTGAGGCCCAAGGAAGGTCTTGAAGGAAGTGTGTGGCAGAGCTGCTATTGAAATCCCAGGCTACATCCTCCACCTAGGATGGGTAATTTTATGTGTCAACTTGGCTAGGCCATAAAGCCCAGTTTTGTTTGGTCAAATATAAATCCTAACATTGCTGTGGATGTATGTTTTAGATGTGATTAAGATTTAAATCAGTAGACTTAAAGCAGATGACCCTGTGTGATTTGGGTAGGCCTAATCCAATCAGCCAATGGATTTAAGAGAAAAGACTAAGGTTTCTTGAAAAAGAAAAAAATTCTTTTCAAGTGTTAAACATAGAAGTTCTGCCTGAGTTTCCAGCTTGCATCCCTGCAAAATTTGGACTCAAGGTTGCAACATTTTAACTCTTCCCTGAATTTCCAGCCTTGGGGGCTGATGCAGATTTTGGACTTGTCACTTCTACAACCGAGCCAATTCCCTAAAGCTTCTTTCTCTCTATCTTCTATGGATTCTGTTTCTCTGGAGTACCTTGACCAATAGTCCTTGCATGCTCTTTCTGTGTACCTTTTGTGTCCTAAAGCTAGACTTTGAAGTGAGAAAAAAAAAAATCTGCTATGGAGACCATGAGCCCTTGCAGGAGGATGAACTGTGACTCCATTTGAAAGAGAGATACCCAGAGAGGCCAGGCCTTACCCAGAGATCAAGGTGGCAGCATTGGAGCTGGGTTTTGACAGGCACAGCTGCAAATGCTCACAGGACCAGCAGCATTGGAAAAGTAATCACCAGAGCCCTCCACGAAGCCCCTGATGGGATAGATCGGACTTAAGAACAACAGTATCAACAAAGAGAATTTTCAGGAAAAGAAGCTCTGCCTTGCTTGTTTAATTAAAAAAGAAGATATATGGGAAGACATTTTGCAGAATGCCTTTTTAGAAAGGCAAAAAAAAAAAAAAAGAAAGAAAATTCCTCCTACCTAAAGTAAAACATCAACACTCTTGAATAGAAAAGAATTTAGATTCTGAACTAAATGGTTTAATGAGGGACAGATAATAAGTGTGAATTGAAACTAATTGGTGTTTCAGATCACTGAGCTGGTTGAAAAACCATTTGTGATGAGGTCTGTATAAGTTAACAGTCGCTTTTAAATGCCCAATTAAACATCGTTCTGTCCCTAGTGAGAATAAAAAAATGTATTGTTGCTTATTGCTCTATACTTAACCAAATGATTAAAGTGGGTAATCTGAACAGATTTATTTTTTGTGTGTGGTAAAAGGCTCTTTTTTCCCGAGTAGGCTGATGTAGGTAGCCTTTGGACAATGACACATTGTGTCACATACAGACAAGAATGCCACCTCGCAGTGAGCATGCATAATGGGATAATGTGAGAAAAAGGCCACCAGATTCTTGTTGAACAAAAGGAAAAATAAAGAGACAAGGTGAGAGGTGGCTGGGTCATGGCAGATTTTTTTTCCTCTCCTGGGAGTAATAATTAAAAGGGTATCAATAAGAGGATTTAAAAAAATATGCTATTTGGGTGCTAAGGATTAAGGGCACAAGTGTTTGCAATGAATTATATTCAAGAGAGATCAAGGTTTAATACTTGTAATTTCATTTTACTATGGGCTGAAGCCCTCTGGAATTCAATGAAAAGGTTATTAAGAGGATAGTCGGACAGATGGGGGACTGGAGAGGGCTCAGAAGGGCTTGCTCTGAGGCCATCACCCGTGGAATCATTTTCTGGGTTTAGGGACGGAAGACCTGGTGTGGAAATGGAGTGATTTCTGAAGGAAAGTGTCCAGGAGGAGCAGCCTACAAGGTAGAGGGAGTCTCGGGGCATCAACTTTCCTTCCATCTCCTCACCTCCCACCTCCTTCTCTTCTTCCCACTACAGTTTCATGCCTTGGGGTAAAGCATGCCATTTCTCTATGGTCTAGTTTTACACCCATAGCTGCACAACAGTGAAAGGAAAAAAAGTATTTTCTGTAATTAACTTCCCTAAATGTTTTCAAGGTAGTTTATTTGACTCTGCGTGAGCATAAGGTCAGGGGAATATTTTTCTTCTGCAATTCCAGAAAACAAAACAAACAAGAACCTAACACCAAAGGTGTTAAGAAAAAAAAAGAGAATCATTTAGATTTTTCAAAAATATATTCCAACAAAAACTCTAATGTTATCTGTGCAACTCATTATTTTGTGTGGAAACGTCCTCTGATGACGCAGGTGCTAATGAGTGACTTCTTTGAGAGGAGGACATGAAGAAAGGTGGGGACAAGGAGCCAGGAGCCTACTGGAAAGATCAGGGTGAAGGAAGAGGTACTCACAGGGTTACTCTGTATTGGCTTCACCTTCCTCTTTCTCCCACTCTCAACTTTGCTGAGAACCAAAGTCTTGGTGGCGAGTTCAGACATTCAACAGAGTAAGCTCTATCTATTATGTACTGAGCCTATATATTTATTTAGATTCGCATATTTGTGTGTGTATTCATTACTACTTTTTTTTTTCCCTTAAAGACAGAGTCTCACTCCTTTTTCTTAGAGTCTCACTCTGTCACCCAGGCTAGAGTGCAGTGGTGCAATCATGGCTCACTGTAGCCTCGAACTTCTGGACTCAAGTGACCCTCCTGCCTCAGTCTCCTGAGTAGCTGGGACTACAGACACATGCAACCAAATTGGGCCAATTAAAAAAAAATTTTTTTTTTAAGAGATGGGTTCTCATTATATTGCCTAGGCTGGTCTCAAATTCCTGGCCTCAGGAAACCCTCCCTCCTCAGCCTCCCAAAGAGCTAGTATTACAGGTGTGAGCCACCTTGCCTGGCCCATCCATTACTTCTTAATGGCACTTCCTTCCTCTGTTCCTCTAAGCAGTCATTTGCTTCTAACAGCACACATGGTTTCTTGTATACGATTTGCACTGATGTCTATTGAGTCAACCCGTCAATAGCAGTCCTGGGTTCTGAGACAGTCGTTTTTTTCAGTTGGCCTCAGACCACGCTAGTTTGTTTTCCTTTCTGAAGTGGATTACGACATGGGTGCTTTGGCTGTTCTACCTTCTTGACCACTGCTGGGTCCGCTGCTTTAAGCCAATAAGCCCACCTGTTTGGACATCTAGGTGTGACTTTTCTTTGAGAAAGAGTAAATTTTTTCTCAAATTCTAATTTAAGCCCCTATGGCTTAATTAGACACCCACCCTGCCAACCCCCCCAGCAAATGTTAGAACAAAGAGTCTCACAACCAATGTTTCAACTGTATTGTTCTGAAGCTTTATTTCCATCTTCCTCCATGCAGCAAAAGTCCCAATAAAGTAAAAAGAAGAAAAGAGCTGGAGCGCTGAGACCAAGGGCTAAAGCTGGGAGACTGAAACAATGCAGACCACAGGGGCATTACTCATTTCTCCAGCTTGGAACCTCTGTTGTACCTGGGGTCTAATCAGGACTGTATCTGCCTCCTTCTTGAATAGCCCAGATAATTCACCTAAACAGCCTTCCTACAGCAGCTCCCCACTGCGGGTGGCCAGACGGGAGTTCCAGACCAGTATTGTCTCCCGGGACATTGACATAGCAGCCAAGTTGATTGGTGCTGGGGCAGCCACAGTTGGTGTGGCTGGTTCAGGGGCTGGCATTGGAAAAGTGTTTGGCAGCTTGATCATTGGCTATGCCAGGAACCTGTCTCTCAAGCAGCAGCTCTTCTCCTATGCCACTCTAGGCTTTGCCCTATCTGAGGCCATGGGGCTCTTCTGTTGAATGACCACCTTCCTCATCCTCTTTGTCATGTGAGGCTCTGTGGGGGTCACCTGCCTGTGCATGCTGCTGTGACTCCATGCCATTCCTGGTTCTGCGGTGTGCTAAGCTTTACCATTGAACACGTTTCTCTAAAAAACGAAAAAAGAAAATAAAAGAAAGAAAAGAGCTAGTGGAGTGGAAGCTCTTCCACCCCCACCTCCCATGCCCAGGAGAAGGGCCTGCGGGCCTCAAGCACACTGGTCACTCTGGCACGAGTGAGGAAGAAGAGCCCTGTAAGGGCTGTATGGGAGAACGCACCCCTTCCTCAACAAGGACTGCTTCCGCCTTTCAGTGTTGCTTCCCAGAGCCTGAAAGCACACTTGGACTACAATCTCATTTTTTCCTGGACTCAGGCTCTCAGCCCTGATGAAGCCTCACTGCCACTCTCCTGGAGTGAAAACAGTCTAGAGATGTGACCTACCCAAATAGATTTAACATACTCCTCTACCGTACAGAAAAGAACAAGGGCTCAGCGACAAAACTATTAGGAAGCCACGAATCACACACAGGGTTAGTTCAGTCATATGGGATTCAATACTGGAGGACAATTTTGATTTTATTTCTTTCACATTTTACATACTCAGTAGTAGAGGCTGTGAAGGGTCTGAAGACCTTCTGTTCTGCCAGGGAAATGGACAGCTTGATGACCAGGCCCTGGGGCAGTCAGCTGAGAATGACTCCTGCCATCAGGGCCCACCTCTTGACTTTTCCTAGGAACTGACATTTGTCCTCTCACTTCTAACTTCCCTTTATTTCCCAGTGTTACACATTCTTTGATGATTGAGCCTCCTTTATGATCTGCACCCTGTGGAGTTCTCTCCAGACTAGATGAAGAGTTGAACAGGCTTAATAAATCATTAACATAATACAAAATATTTGAAACAATAATGCCACAATTTGACTACTAGATTATATCTACACAGCTAGACAGAAATTTAAATACTAAGGGAGTTAAGTGAACACTTTTACAACTAATTTGATTTATTTATATATTTTTAAAAACAGTAGATGATAAAGCAGATATGGAAAAATTCCAAATTACAAAAAGATTAAAATTATTTCTTGCATAATTTATTTTTAAATATATTTTTCCTATACTATAATAACTAGAGTTAATGATTTTCATTATAAATTGCTAAACATGTTTAATTTCTAAATGCGAAGTCAGAAACCTCTAAACAAAAGATTTGTCATTTAAAACGATCAATTATTGTTTTAGACATATTTACTTAAGAAGGAGAAACCTAAAATATACAGCAACTGTGCTTAGAATTGATGAAGCTGAGATATGATGAAAATGAAGTTCATATGAGGAACATTTAAAAAAAATTAAAAAAACAAGACAAATCGAGTCAGTCATTCACCCTTTTATATAATACTACAGTACTTGTGCTGATTAAAAATGGAGCTAATTGTAGGGTAGAAGTTCCTTCAAATTAGAAAATAATTTCTATGAATTTCTAGTTGTTCCGTGGCAAATAATTTAGAATACTAGGGTTTCAATATCAGTAAATCAACATAAGGACTGAAATAGGCATCATGAGCGTATTTACAAATTATTCCTGTTTCTTGAGGGTTAAATTCTTATGGAATTCATACATGAACACTTTACAAATGTGAAAGTGTGGGCTACTTTATCTCAGGTTATGCTCAAGGAAACAATTATGCAAGCTCCGTGCAAAGTACTAGACGTGGAATAAGTGGAGACTAATATTATTAAAAACATTAAATAGGCCTTTCCATCAATGAGTCCAATGGATGAAGCTCAAATATTTTCCCTTCGGAAGCTTCCTTTGCCCATTCTATACCTTGCTGTGCTTCCGCCCTTCCTCCTCACAGCTACAAACCAGAACATTCTTCCCCAAGGATAACGTAGATCTCTGTGCAGTGAAGGCTTTCTTCTCCATGTCCCTCGGTAGAATTTTATCATTTTTATAGTTTTCTTTATTGTTCACTAAGTGAATTCTTAGTTACCTCATGATTAGAATTATTCGGGTGAATGCAATTTTCCTTCCCTTATATTTTCTAGTTGCTTTATTCCTGGAGAAATTTTTGTCTATTTGTGTTGCCCTGATATGTCTATGTTTGCTTTTCCTTTATGACTGAAATGACCTTTTTGATGAAAAAGTGAGTTTAAACTAGCTTACAAGCTAGTTTAAACTTTTAGTTTTCTAGGTGAGTGTATATTTTTATCTTCATAGTTATATCTTCTCCACAGCTTCAAAGCAAAGGCCTTATACGTCCAAGTTAAGGAGCTTACTCCAAAGGAAAAAGGCACATATTGCTTGATTTCTGTTTTCTCTCTTCCTTCCATGTCATCAGCAGCTCAAATCCTGCCCATGTGATATGTGAACAAACACCAACTTTTCTGTTTTCTGTTCTTTCTTTCTCCAGCCTCATCTGCCAAGCTAGAGTATATCTTTCAGGGATTCCTAGCTGCACTGTTCTGTGCTCATCTTCCAGGGAAGTTACAAGTTAGTTCCTAATCACCTTTATTTGATCTAAGTGGCATCGTATCTGATAGTCATGTAAGTTTGAATCCCAACAGGTTTCTGCGTCAACGGAGATTAATAGTGGCAGTCAGAGAGTGGCCCCAATGATGGCCACAGCAAAACTCCTGGAACATGCGTGTTACCCACCGTGCACAGCAAGAGGGCCTTTGCAGATAAAATTAAGGGTACTGTATTAGGGCTCTCTAAAGGGACAGAACTAATAGGAAAGATGAATATATGAAGGGGAGTTCATTAGGAAAATTGACTCACACGATCACAAGGTGAAGTCCTACAATCTGTAAGCTGAGGAGCCCAGAAGCCAGTCCGAGTCCTAAACCCTCAAAAGTAGGGAAGCCGACAGTGCAGCCTACGGTCTGTGGCTGAAGGCCTGAGAGCCCCTGGCAAACCACTGGTGTAAGTCCAAGGGTCCAAAAGATGAAGAACTTGGAGTCTGATGCTCAAGGGCAGGAAGCATCCAGCACAGGAGAAAGATGGAGGCCAGAAGGCCTAGCCAGTCTAGTCCTTCCACGCTCTTCTACCTGCTTTATTCTACCTGCACTGACAGCTGATTAGATGGTGCCCACCCAGATTGAGAGTGGATCTGCCTCTCCCAGTCCACTGATCAAATGTTAATCTCCTTTGGCGACACCCTCACAGACACACCCAGGAACAATACTTTGTATCCTTCAATCCAATCAAGTTGATACCGGATATTAACCATTACAGGTATGATCCTTGAAATTGGAAAACCATTCTAGATTATCAGGGTGAGCCCATCTAGATACATGAGTGTGTCCAAGGGCATGACCTTTCCCTCTGTGGTCACAGAGAGACATGACGATGGGAGCAGGGCCGGGGAGAGATTTCTTGTTGCTGGCTTTGAAGGTGGAGGAAGGGGATCATGAACCAAGGAATGCATAGTGTTTCTAGAAGGTGGAAAAGGTGGGGAAATGGCTTGTTTGCCTGAGCCTCTAGAAAGAAACATGGTCCTGCTGACACTGGATGTTAACTCAGGGAGGCCTGTGTCAAACTTCTGACCTCCAGGAGTGTCATATAATAAATGTGTGCTGTTTGAAGTCCCTGAATTTGTGGTAATTTGTGATGGCAGCAGTAGAAAACTGATACACTGAGGTATTGGTCTGCTTAAGCTGCCATCACAGAAGACCACAGACTGGGTGGCTTAAACAACAGAAATTTATTTTCTCACAGTTCTGGAGGCTGGAAGTCCAAGATCTAGGTGCCAGCATGGTCTGGATCCGGTGAGGGCGCTCTTCACGGTGGGCAGATGGCTGCCTTCTCACTGTGTCCCCGTGTGAGAAGCGGGTAGAAGAGACGTGCTGCCTCTCTTAGGAGGTAATTACGGTCAAATGAAGTCATAAGGGCGAGGCCACAATGACCTCTTAAAGGTCCTATCTCCAAATACAGTCCCAACAGGAGGTAGGGCTTCAACATATGAATTTTGAGGAAGAAGCACAGTTCAGTCCATAGCAATTGATGTAAAATGTTTAAAAATTTGCTTTTTCTTCCTTTCAGTGCTGTGTGTATGTATGTATCTGTGTTTCACAGGGTGGGAGATGTGCACAGGAATAATTAGTACTTGTGATGATATTGCTCTTTAAAATATTTTTAAATATTTTAACATATTATTTAAAATGTAAAAATATTATAGTTTAGCTACAGCCACCTTGTATATTGTATTCTTTAAAAATGCAATGAGTGGATGTTAAATACTCTCACCAAAAAATAGCTGTGTGACATAATGTATATGTTAATTAACTAGATTTAACTATTCCACAATGTATATATACTTCAAAATATCATGCTGTACATGATAAGTACATAAAATTGTATCTGTCAGTCTCGTAAAAATTAATAAACAGATTCAAAAAAATTATATTTTGCATTTTAAACTTTTATAGAAAAATAATTTTATTTACAAAAATTTATAAACATTGTGCAGAGAGTTTTCTGTGCTCCTCACCCAGCTTCCTCTATGTTCACACCTTATATAACCATAGTACAAGTAGCAAACTGAGGAAGTGAATGAGGATATGAGGCTATTGGCTAAATTACAGGCCACATTAGAATTTTGCCAAGTATTCAAACTGTCTGTTTTCCATTCCAGGATCCATTTCAGGATCCCATATCAAGTTTAATTGTCCTGTCTCATTAATTTCCTCCAAATTGTAGCCATTCCTCACTTTTCTTGCCCTTCATGTCCCTGACAATTTTGAGGAGTACGAGTTGGTTATTTCGTTGAATGTCTTCGACCTGGGTTTAATGTTCCTTTTATTTTCCAGGGAGGAATCTCCCAGTGTTTGTGCCATGTTTTGATCTGACTGAAAGCCATAAACATAGCCGAAGCCTGGGCCATCCACAGAAGACCCAATGTTCTCTTTTTCCAAGTGGGCATTTTGTATCTCTGAAGAGTTCTAGACTGAGCTACATCAGTAGACCTCTGCATTTAAAGGGAGCAATTCTCATCCGAGGATCCTGATTCTTCTACTGTAGTGCAATTTCACCACTCTCTCCAAATGTCTCCAAGCAAATTCAAAGCAGCTGAAAATAACTGCATGCCTGAGAGTGAGAGAAATTTCTTAAGTGATCGACCAAATCTGGGTCTGATTAGTGGGTGGATGCCTCATTGGAGAGGCTGATTTGAGAGTCGGGGTACAAATAATAATGGCTAATAATGGCAAACAATTAGTAATTGCTAGGTGCCAGGAGTTGTGCTAAATGCTTTACATGAGTAGATAGGATATTGCAGATCTCAACAGTTAAGAAATTTGCTTGTGATCATGTAGTTTGGAGAGTATCAGAGTCTGAAATGAAGACAACTTGAGGGTCAATAAACAGGAAGAAAAAGTACTCTACAAGACAGTTTATCTGATAACGGTATGATGGAAGATGGCATCAGGCGGAGGTAAATGGGACGAGGGACTGGAAGAAAACCACTGAATCAAAGACTCTTGGAGTTGAAAGTTTCCTTAGCAACTATCTAGATTCATTAACTTCTTCACAGTTGAGAGATTTCTGCATTATTTTTCTTCCATAAATAACCAATCTCTGCTTAATTTTTTACCAGACCACCCCATCTACTCCTGGGCTACCATTACCATTCAAGTCTTTTCCCTTCTTTTGGACTAAAAACTACTTTTAAAAATTGTCATCCATTAGTCACAGTCAACCTCTCTGGAGTTAACAAGATAAATATGTGTCTCTTTCATTTGACAATCCTTCAAGTATTTCAACATAACTATAACATTCTCCTTAAGTCTTTTCATTTCTATTTGCAAGTTCTTCAGCTATTTTTCTTACAATATAATTAACAGTCCTTTTGCCAAGCAGGGTCTCTATTATTTAGTAAAAGGCAGGCAAATACTGGAAGACTATTCACATTTGAATTTGACAAAAAAAAACAAACGAAAGCCATTTTACAATTAAGGCAACTTAGATGTCAGGACAAGAAAACTGTAGGACCAGCATTAAGTAGTCAGTTGAGTGTGGGAACATAATCCACAGGAGAATCTAGTGTGTATAATGAAAGTCTGGAAAAATTCAGTATAATATCATTTCAATAACTATTCCTTTTAAGATTCCCCTTAGAAGAACACATAACTTAGATGTCCTGAGGACAGAATCTGGAGCACATCTGAGCATTTATAAACTGGATTCTGCCTGGCACTTAAAATGTTTTCCTATTTAGGAGATTTAATTGTCAAATGAGGCTTTTATCTTTTGATCCTATCAACTGATATCCTGCAGAAAACGCTGGATGATGGATTTCTTTGGAACACACGATCATTCTGTAATTTTACCTTTCTTTCCTTTTCCTCTGTTTCTTTACTTGTAACTGAACCCTGAAATAGAACTTAATCTGTCAGCTGCACTCTACATTTGTTCTTTTTGCACAGAAAACACTATTATTGCAGATATTCAAACTATACAAACTATACATTTTTCTTAAAATTCAACATAGTTGAAATAAAAAGGTTTTGCAAATGTATTTAAAACTCTTCAGTGCTTACTATGCTGTTTTTACATAGTATCTTTTAGTAGGAAAAACAGAAACATGGCGAGGTAATGTCTCTTTTTTTTTGCCTAATGCTAATTAAATAATCTGTAAACTTAAATACTATCAAGATTTTGAATCAGCTGAAAATCAAACTGAGTCATTCATAATTTTTTCTGAATCTTGATATTTTTGCAGTTATTCTGCAGAGTGTCTTGAAATGCTAGAAGCTGTAATAATTTGTGGCTATTCTATTTCTCAAGGACATTAGATAGAAATTTCAAAAAAATACTTCTGTTCATAAGACAGTGAGTTATACCCATCTTTAGGGAGGTAAAGTAGACGTTTTGAAATGCTTTTGAGATTTCAGGAGCCATGGTAAAAAGAATAGAAGCAGTTAGATTCTTAACTCTCCCTAAATGTGTTATTATTTAACAAAAATAGGAATTGATTGAATAGTTTTGAGTCTAATTACCAACAGTTTACTCCATTTGTGTTTTAAAATGGGAAATGTATCTTGATTCATTAATGGAAATTGCTTCATTTTGTCCTCCATGAAACATGGAGATGTTAAAGTTTTATCATAATACAGTTGAAATTACTTAGTAAGATGAAATTACTAATTTCCACACAAATACAACGCTTACTATTTCATTACTATTACTAGTAATTTTCATCTTTCATTTTAGTAATTATATGGTCTGCACTATATAATTCTTTCTTTCTGAAAGAATACTCATCAGAAGTTATATTAATACTTTGAAAGGTTTATGAAAAATAAAAAATGAAAGATGCCCAGCATTTTTTTTCTGGTGTATTTTTAGCAAGATCAGATATCATAGAATTTAAATGAAGAACTTTGCTCTACGTAATTAGTCATTGATCAAAGAAACGACAAATTTTGGAATGAAAATAGCAAATTCAGTTAAAATATTCTGCAAAAATACTTCTAAAATTATTTTTAAAAGATAGTTGTTAAGGCATAGGACTAGTACTCTTGGATACTATTTTTTCTAGGTGTATCATATGAGTATTAATAATTCAATCTGAAACAAATCAGTAAGCTTTCTAGTATTGAAATTTTCTCTTTTGCTTTCCTACTGTGTCACCATCGTACTGTTTTGTTTTACACAGTGAGAGCATAATTTTCTTCTACAGGGACCACGAAGCTTCAGGCCAGCCCTGTCCCGAAGTCTTCTGTGCTTCATGTCGAGTGGTCTGCAGTGGACTGTGTCTGCTTGAAGCGATGCTCCGGAGGGCTTATTGTTGTGTGGGGTAAAGCATGAGATCACTGAAAAATGAGAGAAATCGAGCATACGAAATGTGAAGCATATCTGTTGACACCATGCGCTCCCTTTGCTTGCACTGGATGGCGCATGGTTTCCGTGCGCAGTGCCTGAGGTGTGGGGCAGGCGAGGCCCATGCAGCCTGGCTCCTTTCCAGAAGGTTGCTGTTCATTACAGCTCGAGTGTGCTGGGTTCTGCAGATATTATCTATTTTAAATTAACGCTCCGTAAAAGGAATTTAAAGTTTTCTGAAAAGAAACCAATGAATGAAGCTAATAGTAATAATGCAAACACAAGCAAGCTGCCAAGTAAGCCATTTTTCTATTACGGAGCCCTTCATCAGTCATATTATTAAAGAAAAAACAACAATACTAGTAATAATGATCACCTATTCAAGACCAAGAGGTTGATCCTCCAAAATTCAAACAAGGAAAAATCTCTCCCAATCTCTCCTTTCCTCCATCCCTTTTCTTTACTTCTCATCCCATATATAATATTATATAATGCATACGTAATAAAAGACATTCACTATTATTAGCAATGATTCCTTATCTGTATATTGTGCCTTAAGATATATTAGCAAATGGTGTGCATATTTAGAAGACTTATTTTTAAAAATAATATATATGTTGGGGTAAAGGGTCAACCCTTTATTCATTGACAAGCGAGGTTATCAAAGAAGTCTGGACTCATTTTTGCTCTTCCAAGTCTAAATATAAATTTTGGTTTATAAAGGATTTCATATGGTTCCCAACAGCACATTGTAAAAATTCAACTCTCTGCCTTACTAGTTATTGAAGTCATCTTACAGATGGCCACAATAAGTCCCTTCTTATTTATTTTTGCCAATATAATTTGTAGGGTAGATGTATGTAGTTTGCTTGATTCTGACCGGAAATCTGTTCTGTTTCCTGCTTGACTGAAATTTGGGGCAATGGAGGCAGCAGAAATATGCAAATATAAACCTGAGTTACACAATGGGCTTTGGTTCAGTGGATGAATATTATTTAATTTTCCAATGTCATTGTAAGAAATTGAGAGATGAACTTGAACTTTTAAAACTTTGTGGACAAAATATCATCAATATTAAGGGAACAAGTTTCTTAAACTTTAGAAGGAAATCAATTCTAATGTGTAGTTAACCAGATTGTTCATTGTTGGGTTTATCATTAACTTGGTCTTTACCTCATTAACTTCCCTCTGTCTTATTGTTTATTATGCTGCGTTTATTTTCTCTGTAATCAAGTGTAACTGTAGCATTGGGGAGAGTATTAGATTTTCTATAGATTTGGGTGTTTCATGTGCAGCAGACCACGTGCTATTTTTGCCCGAGCAGCTCTTGTTCACCTTTGTTCTGGAGACAGAACTCTCCTTTAATTTTGGAAACTTCCCCTCCTATTACTGATAGGGCTGTCAATCGCATGTCCCCCAAGCCTCCATCAATGTGATGGCCAGGGACTTGTGTGGGTCACAGACTCAAACCTGAACTTCTGCCGAAGATATCAAGAAGGAGAAGCCCTCTATTTACTGAAGTCTCTGACTGTAATAACTGAGTGAATTGATATCTTCCAGCAGCCACTGTAGCACCACAAAAGGAAGGCTTGTCCAGGAATTAAACCAACACAAGGAAAGCCCAGACAAAGAGGGAAGGATGGGCTCATGATGTTTGAACCTCTGATCTGTCTATGCCTTGAGCCAGCCACACTGCAGGATGCTGTTGCTCCAGCAATTAAATGTTCTATTTTTGTTTAGGTTAGTTTGTGTCAGTGTGTGTCACTTATTACTAAAATGTTCCTGAGATAGACAACACTGTGGAGGGAAGATCATATGAACTTAATGATTTGACCTAAAAAATGGCAATTTCTTAGGATTCAAACCAATATAATAAAAAATGCAGGTGGTCAGATGACTCAAGAACCATTGCTTTGTGTTCTTGGCCTCTTTGAGCTTCAGTTTCCTCATATTGAAAGGAGAGAGATAACTGTCTACCCACGCATCGGTTCACACACAGAAACGGGAAATGCAGGATCAGGTAAAGCATAGAAAAACCTTTGTAGACTATCTGGCTCTATAAAATGTTACCTATTGTTACACATTGGAAGATCTGATTCCTTGAGATATATTACAGTGTATAGAGTGAGCTTACTGGTCATGCTTAGGAAAAATTTTGGAATTGGTAGCACATGTGAGGCTGTGAAGACTTCAAAATTTGACTGCAGATGTTATAAAGTCCTGTGTTTTGGCAGATAATCATCTCCCCATTTAGAATTCACAGGACTCATCTGGCATCCGGTGGAGTTGGTAGGAGCTGATTAATGCCTGGCTTCTAGTGGAGATGATGAGAACTGGTCAATGTAAGTTACGTTAGGATGGCATTGTGGACGTCAGAAACCCAAAAGAGGACAGAAACCCAAGCCTAAACAAAAATAGGACATTTAATTGCTGGAGCAACAGCATCCTGCAGTGTGGCTGGCTCAAGGCATAGACAGATCAGAGGTTCAAACATCATGAGCCCATCCTTCCCTCTCTGTCTGGGCTTTCCTTGTGTTGGTTTAATTCCTGGAAAAGCCTTCCTTTTGTGGTGCTACGGTGGCTGTGGAAGTTATTACAGTCAGAGACTTCAGTAAATAGAGGGCTTCTCCTTCTTGATATCTTCGGCAGAAGTTCAGGTTTGAGTCTGTGGCCCACACAAGTTCCTGGCCATCACATTGATGGAGGTTTGGGGGAGAAGTGATTGACAGCCCTATCAGTACTTAGTCTATGTTGCTTTTAGCCAGTACAGTTCATCCCAAAACAATCTTCTAAAATCGGTACTCTAAGCTTATCACATGGATTAACAATTACTAAGTGGTTCTATGAAAATCCCAACTGAGTTACACAGGCAAGATCCCAACCCAAGATTGTCCAAGTATAAAACGGAGGCTCAGTTCCTCATTTTGTTACTGTTGCTTTGAAAAGTAAAGACCATCTAGCCCTTCTGCTGCTGCAAATGAACTAAGAGATGAGGTAGGGTGCTTTGTGGCCTGTGACTGGTTGTAGTACATCCAGTCATAAGGGGAAATTCAATTTCAGGTTGGAAATCCTTATAAATCTATAGTAGTGTGTAAAGGAGTGTGGTACTTCTGAAAGTATAATCGCCATCTTTTTAAAAGGCCATTTTGACACAATGTATATGTGTGCATATGTACAAACTTGCTCACTAAAATGGACATACAGTAAATCTGGGCTTTGTAACTAGGACTACACGATACATAACTCAATAATTAGTATATGAGGTACTCTGAAAAATAAAAATGGTAAAATATATGGAAGACACTGCTTTAAAGAGATGTAATGGGTCCCATTTCGGAGAAAGAAAAACAGACAATAAATCTGTTGAATAAATACAGACTAAAATCTGGATAGAATTATCTCTAATGAGTTAATGGGTTAATTCAAAATAATATTTTAGACTTCCAGCCACAGGCTCAACAGATTCACTAAGTCTGTCCTCAGCATCAGTTTTCTGAATCTGTTCTATATTTATTTTAGTGGAAATTAGTGGAGAATTAAGACAGAACTAAATTACTTTTCCATGATGTGTACACTGCACTCATTCCATAAAAAGAGTTTCCTCAAAGTTTAATTTATCAATTGGAGTGTAAGATTAAAATAAAGATACTCTCTGGACATATACAAATATACACATATGTACACAGATATACATTTCTCTCTCATGAAGCTCTCCATGGTACTATAGGCATAGAAAAAATTATGTCACCAAGGACAGAATTTATTTTATAAAATGATTTCTGAGATAAGTAGTTGCTGAAGAATATCCCACTGACATTCTATGATATTTCAAACTCAGACTTAACAGACTTGGAATCTGCTTTTTATTGTATAAATCAATTTTAGCAGTATTTGTAAATAGTAGTAAGATGCCAAGATGTGAACATTAAAGACTTTTGAAAATATTCAGAAGTATATACAATACAATGTTTCAGATAAACATTAGTAGCCTTATGCTCAGCTTTGAAAAGAAAAAAATTCTTTACCCAAAGAAGAAATATTTTTACATTTTTATAAGTTATCTGTTTTTCATATTGCAACTCTATACTAAGCACTGGTTTTTCTTAATATTAATTAGATAACCAGAGTGGTAAAATAGATTTGCAATTTATAGAGCAAAGATTTGTATTTAGAATAAACAAAGAACTCTTAAAAATGAATAAGAAAAATTTAAATACCCAACGGGAGAAAATGGCAAATAGTATAAAAGAAGGAACCAAAAGCCAAGAACTGTTCAACCATACTAGTCTTTAGAGAGATGCAAAATAAAATAATAGCTTCACATTTATTCTGTTGGCAGATGAGGAGGTAGGCAAACAGGAATATATATACATCCCTGGTAAAATTGCAAAGTAGTACCACCTCTTTAAAGAGAAACTAAATAATATTGAATAAAGTTGAAGTTACCTATACCTTTGATTCAGTAACTTCACTTCTAGGTGTCTGTATTAATCCATTTTTACAGTGCTGATAAAGACATACCCAGGAAATTTTGCAATTTCCAAAATAAAGAGGTTTAATTGGACTCACAGTTCCACGTGGCTGGGGAGGCCTCACAATCATGGCAGAAGGCAAGAAGGAGCAAGTCACATCTTAGGTGGATGGCGGCAGGCAAAGAGAACTTGTGCAGAGAAACTCCCCCTTATAATACTGTCAGATCTCATGAGGCTTATTCACTATCACAAGAACAGCACAGGAAAGACCCACCCCCATAATCCAATCACCTCCCACCGGTTCCCTCCCACCACACGTGGGAATTATGGGAGCTACAAGATGAGATTTGGGTGGGGACACAGAGCCAAACCATATCGGTGTCTGTTCTAGAGAAACTTTTACACAAATGCACAAGAAGATTATGCAAAATGATCATCATTGCAGCATCGTATATAGTAGTAAAAAGTAGAAGCAACTTAAACATAACTTTTTAGTGTAATGGCCAAAAAAACCCCGATTTAATCCCATAATACAATAAATAGTATGTAGCATATGTAGAACTAGATCAGCATGGATCAAACTAAAAAATGTAATTAAGTGTAAAAGGCAAGCTACAAAGCAACTAAACAGCATAAAACAGTAGTGTAAATTTGTAACACAGAAGCAATAGCGTATAGACTTCATACACATCAGTTTTCTGAATCTGTTCTATATTTATTTTAGTGGAAATTAGTGAAGAATTAAGACAGAACTAAATTACTTTTCCATGATGTGTATACTGCACTCATTCCATAAAAAGAGTTTCTTATGCAGGTGAAGTACCAAAACAAGTCTGAGAATGTTACACACCACTTTCAGATTATAAGATGCCTCTGGGGAGAGAGAAATAAATAATAGAAAGGAAGGTCATTGCTTTAATTTATAATGTTTAGTTTAATCTCTTAAAAATAAAAGATCTGAAGCAAATACTGCAAAATGATAATATTTGTTTAACCTCTACATTTGGGTGTTACATTTTGGTGTTACATTACCTTTTCTATAGGTTTGAAATATATTATAATAATACAATACAAAATGTAATGAACTGGGGCTGGGCACAGTGGCTCACGCCTGTAATCCCGGCACTTTGGGAGGCTGAGGCAGGCGGATCACCTGAGGTCAGGAGTTCAAGACCAGCCTGGCCAACATGGTGAAACCCCGTCTCTACTAAAAACACAAAAATTAGCTGGGCATGGTGGTGCACACCTGTAATCCCAGCTACTTGGGAAGCTGACGCAGGAGAATTGCTTGAACCCAGGAGGTGGAGCTTGCAGTGAGCCGAGATCACACCACTGCACTTCAGCCTGGGTGACAGAGGGAGACTCTGTCCCCAAAAAAACAAAAACAAAAACAAACAAACAAAATGTAATGAATTGGATATTACTTCAAGTTGAATGTGTTAAAATATATTGTTTCACCTCTTTTCTTTAGCTTCCCCAGCCTATCCTTCCAAGGTAAGTCCTGAGCAAACCTTGTTTTGATTTGATTATAGAGGTGAAAGCTTTATTGCAATTAAGTAAGTGCATCACAGAGTGTTCCAGACATTGAGACTCACTTAGGAAGCTCCTGATCTGTCTGTAAAGGTCAATGCAATGGGAGTTGTAAAGAATAAGCTAGGTGCTATCCATGTTGGCAGATCTTAGGAAGGAGACATCTGTCCGAGGACCCAGGAACTACTTTTGGAGGTAACAGAGAGGGAAGAGTGTGAGGTCATGGGAGGTGGAGGTGCTTAACCTCATGATCCTGCATGATTTATGTGGCCAGGGAAGTTGAGGTATGCACAGCCCCCTTCAGCACTGGCTGGTCAGGCAATGAGCCTCTTCATGTGTAGGGTCTGGTACAAACAAACAGCAAACAGCACTTCACCTGCATGAGGTCCAGCGAAGATAAAGGCAGATGGACTGGGAGCATGGCTTCATGACCAGGAACTGCTCTGGGGAAGCCATTTCCCAGCTAGAAAGGTGAGAGGTGATTGTGACAAGTAAGGGAGCTGATGGTGTAAGGTGTAGTTTTGAGCAAACTCTGTCCGCTGCACTCTACCTCACCATCACCTCTTCATCTGTCAGCAAGTACAGCAATGGGCTGGGATGTTGTGGTTCTAGCAGTTCTACAGGTAAAGGCTCAACGGGGAATTTGTATTCGGCTCTGGGCTCTGATGAAGATGAGGCAGGATGGTTGGGCTGATAGCCTGAGCAACCCCACTGACTAGCTGTGTGGAGGAAATACCTCTAAATTGATGTGCCCGATTCCACAAGTGTATGGGATTTTTAGACACTGATTTTCTGTTTGTTCTGATTTCACAAAGTCAGAAGGTGGTACCTCATAACAAAAAGGGAGATGGAAGCCAATAGGTTCTGTTGACAAATTACATTTGATTGACATACAAAAAATTGCCTGAATTTTAGTCTCATGTGTTTATGAAACAATGAAGGGAACTAAATTTGGAAAATGTCACCCTCCCACCCTCCCAACCCCAACATTTTGTATATCTTTTCTTTCCAGCTTTTTTTTTAAATGGCAAAACCTTTCATTTGCTATATATCTAGCTATGTATTTAGTTGTTTGCAGAGCTGAGTAAAGTATTCATGATATCATTTCTTTCTAAAGTGAAGCATAGCATTCTTTTAAGCTGCATATCAAAAGGTAAACAAGTAGAGAAACTGCTCCTTTGAAGATTCTGCATGAGTCTGTTGCTAGTTAAATTTTCCTTGCAGAAATCAAACAGGGTTTCCTGTTGCATGTTTACCAAGCCCCCTTTTGTCCATAAAGTATAAAACGCAGGGCTGCAATTTTCCCATTTGTTAATTTTTCCCATTGAGCCCATTCCTTCCTTTTAAAATATATTCTTTTTTTCTAGTCTACCTCATTTAGCAGTGAATATGGAGGATTACAAACATTCTTGTTAGATATAAAACATTCCAGGAAATTTAATTTCTTTAGTCATGGATTTTAGCTGTAATGATACTGCACATTTGTATAACATCCCTGCGATGAGAAATGTGAACCCCTTATTCATTATCTGGAGACAAGCATTATTATTATCATAATTTTGCATCCTGTGTAACTGAGTCACAGGAAATGGACCAGAAATAAATCATACCTGGAGTGTAATTTGCAAAAGAACGTAGGAAAAAAGTAGGATGATTGCATCGTGCCTTGGACACTTGCACCCTGGAGTACAATGCAGCTGGTTTACCATTTAGAGAAGACAGGCTCTCGATGGCTTGGATGTGGATGGGAGGAGGTGGGAGGCAGTGAAGGCATGTTGAGGGTTGCCGCTGATGTTGGACAACACTACAAGTCATTCCCTTATGCTTTTATGATACGCCTATATCCTCAGTGTAGCCTGTCCGTGCAGCCCCCAGCCACATTTCCCTAGGCCTGGAGCCCTGCTGGGTGCTGAGCCCAGGCACCGCTGCTTCTTGGGGGTTGCCTCCGAAGTCCATGTGAACCAGTGTGGTCTTGAACCTAGGTTGAGTTGCTCATGGCCCTTTGGACCTGGCAAGTGTCTGAACCATACCTCTGGTTCTATCATCATGCTCAGAATCCTTAGTGGTCCAAGCCTGCACCCCCAGGAATTTTCTCTCATCAAAATGCTTCCAGGGCCGGGTGCAGTGGCTCATGCCTGTAATCCCAGAACTTTGGGAGGCCAAGGCAGGCAAATAGCTTCAGCCTAGGAGTTCAAGGCCTGGGAAAAATGACAAAACCCCATCTCTACTAAGAATACAAAAATTAGCTGAGTGTGGTGGTGTGTGCCTATAGTCCTAGCTACTCAGGAGGCTGAGGTGGGAGGATGGCTTGAGCTGGGGAGGTCGAGGCTGCAGTGAGCGATGATCACAACACTGCATCCCAGCCTGGGTGACAGAGCAAGACACTGTCTCAAAAAAATAAAAAGAAAAGAAAAGAAAAAAAACTCTGCTACCAAAAACAGAGCTGATATTTTTGAGAAAAAAAAAAAAGAAACTAAAAAGAAGCCATGAAGTGAAGGATCCACCTATGTGTCTTCTGGGATGGGTAAGTCAGTCTCCCCAACAACTCCCTCCCACTCAGAACGTAAAGCAGGATTCCCTGCCACAGTTTCCTCCACCTGACAGGTTTAGGAACAGCTGGGTCCACTAGGGAAAGTAGGAGAACTGATAGAAGTAGCAAAACAGAGACGGTGCCCTGACTCTCCTACTCTGGGCTTGGACAGGTGGTGTCCATGTTCACTGTGGGTGGGGCTTTGAGTTCTGGAAGTTTACTGTTAGTGCCATTGGTGTTTATTTCTTATTTCAATGTAGAAATGAATGAATGAGTTCCGCTCTAGCAAAAAGTGCCTGTGATCTGAAATAATTAGTCATCACAATCAGAGAGAATGCTATGTGACTAGTAAATCATACAATTGAGGAATTGCATTTAAAAATTAGAGTTATCAGGAACACCTAAAAAGCTGTCTATTCAAGTAAGCCCCTGGAGCTTTGATAATTATCAGGAGGCAGAATGTAACCTCCTTGGCTTATTCTCGAAGGGATGCTGCCACAATTCGGTAGTAGATTCACATGCCATGAGTTTATAGGGAGTGTGTTGAATTTTGAGGGGCTTTTTCATTTGACATTTATACAATTAGCCATGGCTTTGGCTGGGGTGTTAAAAAAGGCAAGTAGGAAATCACCAGAAACAGGAGAACTTACAGATATGTTGCCTTTTTTGGTGTATGTGGAACATAGTACGAGAAACTCTCATGGGAACTCTGAGGAAGGAAACATACCATGTCTGTCACTAACCAGGGAAAAAAAATGTCACTGGGCCAGTAAGCATTAAGCAGAACAATAAGAACTTCCTGGTGCCAAGAGTCAGGACAAATGTGTGAAAGGGAATGAAGGGACATTACCATACTGAGCCTTTCACAGGAAAATGCTAAATAAACCGAGAGATGCTTGTCAATATTTGGATAAGGAAACATGTCTCAGTCTGATTTTTAAGGCACGCTACAAAAAAAAAAATCTTGAGAAACTTTGTACTGTATTCACAATATCAACAAAAATAATACACTTGGAGTCTGGGGTGGCCATTCTCATGGTAATGAATGTGTTTCAACAGTGATCTCCTATTGTGAGCCTTGGAGCTGCATGTCTCCAGGCTCTAGGGAGGCACGGATGGACACCGCCCCCACATTGTGGCCACAGCGTGCCTTTGTGAGCCTCAGCTGTGAGCTTCTCAAGTCCTCAATGGGCAGGCAGGGCACACTGAATTAGGACCCATTGCTGCTTCATTTATCCACGACACAATTTATAAACAGCAAGTATATTACTTGTTTCATGTTTTATTTGTTAGGTCATTTCTAGCAAAAGCTGAGCACATGCACCCACATATAGGGCAGCTGTGCCTCCAGTCAACCCAGTAGGAAGAAAATTGCAAACATTGTTGAAATAAAATTGGGTGGATGGTTGCTTTCAAGGAGCACAGCCTCCCACCTGCTTTCCTGAACTAACCGTGGGGAGCAGTTGGTTGCACTCTTATCAGTTTTGCTGGTGCTTCTCTCTTCTCCATTTCGACCATGCTTTTAAAAAAGGCATTTGGATCTGGAAGGAAAAATGCAATAATCCAAATCTTTGGCCTCGGGTTTTGAGAGGTGTCTGTTATACTAGGAATCTAAAAAGGAAAGCAGAGAAATTCAATTGAAAGAAACAAAAAACCAGCTTTCTCCTTTCTCTTTAGCAATAACAAAGGAAGGAGAGAGAGCAAGAGTGAGAGAAGGAAATAAGACTCTTCTATTTTAACACTTTAGTGTATAATGGCATATGAATAATATCATTTTTCTGCCATTTATTCAGATGTGAAGGAACTCAGTGAATAATAATAGCTGCTGTCAAAGGTATTTATATTTAAAAGGTCTTTATGTAAAAAAAATTTTTTTTTTGTCAGGACTGATTTTTCTCTGAGAGGATCCCTCTATCTCCTAGCAACCAATATGGCTATCTTTTTGAATAGCTGCTGCGTGTACAGTGGGTGCATAACCTTTATGTGGAAGCATTTGCAAATTTAGCAGTCAGGACTCATATGAATTCAAAGCAAGTTGTGAAACTGATCTCAGACCCAGACTTGTGATAGAAGTCTCAGGGGGTCTCTTCTGTTGGCAAGACGAAACACATGTGATGGGCACGATCCCCTTCCTGTGTCGACTGCATGTTCTGCAAATGATAAACGGCCCCTTAAATAACCTGTTCACAGAACTTTTATCTATTTAAAAAGAAGAAAAACAAGCTAACCTGAGGAAACCCAAAGATTCTGCTTTGCAAATTACCATCCTAATGGAAAGATTCTATCTCAAGAAAGAAAATGTCTAGAAGTTTATTAAAAAAAATTAAAGAGTAATGGAAACATCTGGAACTCAGTCATCTCTTTTGCTTCTACGTTTTGATTATTTGTAATATATTAATGTCATTTTCATTCCTTCTAAATCTTACAACAGGGACTTTCTGCATGTTCAAAAAACATTGGCTAAAGTTCCTAATCTCTCTCTGAGATAAACATTATAATAAACAGATTATAAATAAATAAATTCATAGAATGAGAAGAGATAGAGACAGAAACAGAAACCATTTCTTGTAATTTCTAGTCTACAAGGCTGTGTTTAGCAGTAGAATATTATCATTAAATTTTTTTTAAAAACAATATTTGTCTCCTGGAGGCATGCACCCTATTAAAATGAGTATATGGTTTTAAAAGAAGAACATTTACATAATTTCAAAAGCCTTCAAAAATGAACTCTCTAGGCTGGGCGTGGTGGCTCACGCCTGTAATCCTAACACTTTGGAAGGCCAAGGTGGGTGGATCACAAGGTCAAGAGATTGAGACCATCCTGGCCAACATGGTGAAACCCCGTCTCTACTAAAAATACAAAAATTAGCTGGGCGTGGTGGCCCATGCCATAGTCTCAGCTACTCGGGAGGCTGAGGTAGGAGAATGGCTTGAACCCAGGAGGCAGAGGTTGCAGTGAGCCAAGATCTTGCCATTGCACTCCTGCCTGGGCCACAAGAGTGAAACTCCATCTCAAAACAAACAAACAAACAAAAAAAGAACTCTCTAGAACCAGACTTCCGCGTGTGAAGTGCTCAGAGAAGGCACAGAAATCTCCGGCATTCATCAGCACATGGTGAGCGTGAAGCTGCCCGCTGGTGCCACCACACACTGCTGCTCTTTGTTCTCTGTCCCACTGAAGGTTAACGAAGCTGTCTTTAGGCACAGCTGTGAGGTCGGCAAGATTTGTCATCAGAGAGTCCTCTTCCCGCTTTTTATTTACTCTTTCTCTTCTTGCCTTTTCAGACTTTCACCTCTCTTTACCATCCAAACAGGAAACATTCAGATAACCAGATATGACACTTGTCTATTTACAGAATTATTTAACTTTCATTTTCTTTCACTTGCCTTCCATGTAACTATGCATTTTAAGTCTCTTCGTGGTTCCCAAAAAACCTTGTTCCCCTTATTAAAACGTTTTCAGGAATCTGTAATAGTCCCTGAAGTATTTGGAGTGCTTTACAGCCTCAAAGGGACTTTCACTTTATCTCATTGATCTTCACAAGGACCTTGTCTAGGTATATGTTATTTTTTATTAACACCACCATTTTCATACCTAAGGAAATGGAGCTTTGGAGAGATTACCTGACTTGCTTGAGCTCATAAAACTAATACAGACGGTGCAAGGGTTCAAGAGCAGGTCAACTTTGTAGAAATCATTTGCTCTTCCCCTTAGATCACAATACTTCTCAGAAAGCAGTTGGAAAGGTACTCCTGGAGGAAGACATTTGGTGAAAAATGACACCAGGCCTACTGTAAGATTGCAGCTGGAGTGAACCCTGAGTTAGTCCTTAGGGGGTCACCAGGAAGTCAGGGGGAAGGAGATCAAGTTGCTTCCTACTGACACCACTTATGTGAGGAGGTGCCTACCAGGCAGGCTCTTGGGGCAGAGGAGTCTGTATTGCTTCATCCCAGGCTTCTTGTTGGTCCTGGAGCTGGTCCTGTAGTTGAACAGATCTCTATCCTCAGACTAGTGACACCAACATTATCTGCAGGCTTAGAAATGCAGAATCTTGGACTTCGCAGACGGACAAGGTCGGAATCTCTGAGGAGGTGGCCCAGGACTCTGTGTTAGTATGCCCTTCCTCCTCCGGGTGATTCTCTGCCACATTGCGGTTTGAGAACCACTGCTGCAGATGGCTGCCCTATGTTATGTCTGACTAACGGGAACCCTCGTTCCCAACGTCTAAAGTTGTCACCCTCAAGAGCTTCTTCCTTCCTCCTAGATCTGGATGTAGCTTCTTTTCAAGAAGAATTTATTTTCTCTTAGTACTTGAAATTGATGATATCTTCTCAACTGACTTTCTAAAACTCATTGATTTTGTTCGTGTCATCTTTTATCTTTAATGTGACAGTTCTAACTACGCATTGAAGCTTAAGGAGTTTCTAGGTTTCTGAAAGATATTTTTACCTTTTCAAAATAGAAATGGAAAAAGAGAAGAGGGTATTTTTGGGAAAAGAAAAAGGAAGAATTGCATAAAATAAATTAGAAAGGAAAACATTTGGAAATGTATGTTAGCTATTGATATTGATTTGTTCTGGGAGTGTTCTGCAGTTCTTATACAGGATGCAAAAGGATGCCGTATATGAGGCGATCATAATCGCAAAGCTGACTTTGACTGTCTTCCTGTAAGTACGAGACAGTGGACAGTGGATCAATTCAGCTAAGAATCCAGTTAATTCAGAGATAAAAGTCTGACTGGTTATTTGGGGCTGTTAAGTCAACCTGCCCACCTGACCGTGCATGAGATATTCCTTTTTAATGAAATATTTTGATATCCTAGAGATTTTTAAATTACATCCCTGTTAATTATTTACATCTACAGCATGGGGAAAGGTGGATTTATTGTCATTTGCTAGCCAAGCTCTATGTATGCTTTAAAAAGACACCAGTCCTTTCAATTTTTAGAAGACATTGTATGTTATTCTTCTGAGCCTTTATTTAATCCTAAACACACATGTGTACACACATACCCTCAGATAAACTGTGTTTTTAAGCAAATGTGTCACCAAGCTTTGTTTGAGACTATAGACGAAAATAAGACATCCTTCACATTGTGTTCCTCCCGCTTGAAAGCTTTTCTTTTATACATTTGCACAGGGTGAAGCCAGATGGGAGTGCTGAGCTTCAGGGAGCAGCTACGCAAAGTTAATTGTGCTCAGCAAAGTCTTCTAGATTAAGCGGTCGCTCCAATAAAGTTTCCTGATTCTGTCCAGAAATCCTCAACTCCGACAATAAGAAGTGGGTTGAGGGGCAATTTGAATACATAATCAAAAAGCATATAATTGAAGATTGAACTTGAGCTATAGCTTCATGTATTGTCTCTGCGTTGTTCTATTTTAATAGTTGCATATGGAGACAATAAAGCTACATGACAAATAGTCTGTTGTTAAGTTTCAATGCTTTCTCTCTGATTCACATTCATTCTCTCTTGTCAGGTTATCAATCCCATCCCCCAAATTTTCTCCTAATTTAGAGTACTTGAAAAAATACATTTTTCATTTATAACTAACTGGCTGTCTGACTGAAAATAGCAGAGCTGCTACTAAAAACTTTTTCTTAAGTAGCTCTTCATTTGAAGAGAAGAGGAAATATTGACTCAACTAGGTTAGGAAGATACAGAATGTCGTTACCTTTACATGATACGTTTTATTTATTCCTTCTTAGGAATCATTTCCATTTTATTTTTAGTTTGCAGACAAGCTTCCTATTGACTTCACTGCTATCTCTTCATTTCTTAATGTAGGCAGTTCTCTGGACATTTTATGAAGAAAAGTTTTATCTTGATTTTCAGACATCCTAAAACTCTTTTGTTTTGAAGAAATAATTCAAAATACTTCAAGTAAAATGCATTCATTGTAGTATTCTACCTGATTATTTATCATTATCAAGGCTGTTTACAGCTTTGACCTTCTTTCATTAATGTGCTATCCTGCGATGCAAACTTACAAAATTCCTTGTTTCTGTTCCTAAAATGATGATGCTGGATATGGAGAAAACTTTCTGGGCATGAACAAGAATTAAAATAAAACAAAACACTTCAAAGATCTGAAAGAAAGATCAAGGATTTCTGCCATATAATGTAATTGTGAAATTGTTGAATCACACAGTTTAGAAAGGAAGTAAAACAAAAACAAAAACCAGCCCTCTGGTGCTAGACAGAAGTCAACCTCACTGTTTGAATCACATGGTTTTCCTTCCCAATTTTTAGAATCCCAGAGGTAGCATTTCTGCAGCTTCTTCGATAGCCTTTGTTCTTGTTATCTTGCTCAGTAGCTTTTGTCCTCTACTTCATAGAAATATAAGAACGATATCACTGCTACTATCAGGATTTGGAATGTTTCTAGACCAAAGAAAACCCGATTCCTTATTTCTTCATGGCTCCTGCAGAGTCGAGGCCAGAACTTCTGGTACTACTGTAAGGATTACAGGAAACTTGCAACTACACCCTCTTCTTAATCTCAGTGAATTACTCCATGGAGTCACTGGAAAATCACTGTTGGCACTTTCTTTCCCTCTCTCCCTCCCTCCCTCCCTCCCTTCTCTCTCTTTTCTTTTCTCCTTTCTTTTCTTTCTCTGTTTCTCTCTTTGTCTCTTTCTCTCTTTCTCTCTTCTCTCTTTCTTTTCGGAGTCTCGCTCTGTCACCCAGGCTGGAGGCACAATCTTGGCTCACTGCAACCTCTGCCTCCTGAGATCAAGCGATTCTCCTGCCTCAGCCTCCTGAGTAGCTGGGACTACGGGTGCCCACCACCATGCCTGGCTAATTTTTCTATTTTTAGTAGAGATGGGATTTCGCACGTTGGCCAGGCTGGTGTCCAATTCCTGACTTCAAGTGAGTGTCTCACCTCAGCCTCCCAAAGTGCTGGGATTGCAGGCTGAGCCCCCGCACCCAGCATTGTTGACCCTTTCTCTCTCTACTCATCTTTCTGGGCACCTTTCTAATCTGTTCACTTCATTCCAGCCCTCACTGCCTTCTTATCACTGCCTTTGCTTAAATTTATGAACCCGTATGTCTTTCTTGATCTAAATTAACTCCTCTGAATATATCTTCCTGTCCTAGAGCTCTTCATTGGCACCCTTTTGCTCTAAGGATAAATTCCAAACCCTATAACAGGCACAAATGACCCTGCATGCTTGGTTCCCTCGTCAACCTCATCTCTACCTGAAAAGCTAGTGTTGGTGCCGCTCCCAGGGGCCTCCGTAGCATCCAGCATTTTCTCCGCTGTAACAACCAACACTTTGTGTGGTCCTGCAGCCTCCAGTCAATTCTGTGAAGACCGGCAGTGTCTTATTTACTGACATATTCTCAGAGCAAGTCTTGTCACCCAGACCATAGTAAACCTGCAGAAACCACCAGATGATTGGTATAAAAAGAATGGTCGCATTTGGGTGATGAGGGATGGTTTCAAGGATGATCTGGGACCTTGTGCATCATACATTTATCATCATTAAAAGATAAAAGCTTAAAAGATACCTATTGGACTACTACAGTAATATTTTTATTTGGTTTTATTTTAGTGTGTTCTCCCATTATTGTGATTAAATTCTTTGACAATGGACCATGATGATGCAAGCTGGGCTGGGTATCATTCCTGCAGCCCAGTGAAAGCTCACACAAGAATGAAATCCACACCAAAGTGAAATGTCCATGAAACATGGGGAAAAGAAAGCCCTGCACTTCACATGACTAATGCTAGAATCTTCCTTGAATTTACAATTAATGGAACACAATAAATGTCCTTAATTGATATGGGCACCTATCCTGAACTTACAGGTGGCAGGATGTTGGGGGTATCAGGAAAAGCTTTCTAGAGGAAGGGATGGTCAGGTTGAACTATGAAGGAAGAGTAGGGCTTAGACCTGCAGTATTGTGGGGATCAAAAAGCCAATGTCCTAGGCAGACGAAGCATTATGTAGGATAGTATGAAGTAAGATGTGCTTGAGAAACACATCTAAAAGAGTGAGGAAATTGGTGTGAGGAGGTAAAGGTGAGATATCAGGATGAAAGAGTGAACAGGAGTCAGATGATGCAGGCCTGTGAGCTGCTCTGAGGAGGTTTGGATGGGATATTTAAATAACAAGGAGCACTTGAGGGATTGTAAGCAGCAGAGGGCAATGTCGTGTTTGTGTTTTAGAAAGATAATTCTAGAAAATGGAACGGAAGAGGCAAGAAGAGAAGTGGGGAAAGCAGTCAGGAAACAGAATTCTCGAGAGAGACAGTGGTGAGCATATGCAGAATGCAGGGTGGAGTCTAGAGGCACTTAGGAAACAGTGAATGGGACTTGCTGATTGGCTGGGTGGGGGGAGATGGAAAGAAATAGCCAAAAATCAAGGTGCTGCCCCTGTTCCTGGCAAGGACAGGTGAGTTGATAGTTATATTATTCACTGAGATAGAACAGGTCTCATACTGGGCTTTGCTGAATTGGAAGTGTTAGTAGAACTTCCAAGTAGAGACATCCATTGGACACTTGGGTGTAAAGGTTTGAAGTTTGGAACCTCGTTGGTGGGAGATTTAGATTAGTTAGTCATTAGCAGAGACAGTTATTGACACTCTTGGAATAAATGAGAGCAATCAGTGACAGTGAGTAGAATGAGAAGAGAAAAGAGACAAGGACAGAAAGTTGTAATATTCCAATGTTCAAGAGGCTCATAGCAGCAGGACTGTGCAAAGGAGGCTGAGGAGGAGCAGCTGGAGAGGCGGCTGGGAAGCTAGGAGTGTTGAGGGGCTGGGGATCAAGAGAACCTTGAGAAGCAGGAGTGGCCAATGACACAAGTGATGCCAAAGGTCACAACAGTGACTTTTGTGGAAATGATTTCAGTAGAGAAACCAAGGTGAAAGGCAGACTGTGGTGGACTGAAGACAAAATGGAAGATGAAGAAGATGATGAGGCAAACGTAGACAATAATTGCTGATGACACAGATTTTTATTTGCCAGAGAAAGAGATGATTTTGAGGTAGTTCTTTTACCCTTTCTCTGTTTCTTTGTTTCTTTCAGTGTGAATGGTTTATGTTTTTAAAAGTTGTTGACACAGACCTGATAAAACATGGGCATTTGAAGGCATGGAGTAGGTGGTGGCTGCTCATGATTGTGTGGGGAGGGCAGGCTCAGGTGTGTATCACACAGATAAGGTGCCTGGTGAGGGGCACACCCACACTAAGTTTCAGCCTTGGTGCAGCACTGAATGAGCGCAGAGGAAGGGATGCCTTTTCATAATTTATGTTTTTACAAAGCTGCCCTAAATGCTTGCAGGACTATGGTGGAGGAAAGTGGCATTTAGTAATTGATTGAATGAAGTCTTGAAGACACGTAAAAAGTAAAGTCTGGAGGACAGGAGAACAGGGCCCTAGGAAGGGGGACGCATCTTCCCAATAAACCAGAAAAGAAAGAAAAGGATGTGTGCCATTGTACACAAGAAGCCTGGCTTAGTATGAGAAGTTGGGAGAATTTCTCTTTTCTCATATCCATTTTCTCTGTGAAGAAAGAAGAGACAGATCATCTGTTGAGAGAATGGGTCAGAGGAGGTTTGAGGAAAGTTGAAAAGTTTTGAAACAGCTTCTATAGTGAGTTGGGAAGGGGGCTGATTATAAGAATTGCCAAGTTCCTACTGTGCCATTCAATTTTACTATCATAACATTCCACAACATTTCAGTTCCTTACATGGTTTTGTCAAGAAAATGTAGCATTTTGTAGGAGGAAGTTTTTTTTTCTTAAATTAAACATGTTTGAAATGTTCGTTGAATCACTGATCATTAGAGACATGTAAATCAAAATCACAATGAGCTACCATTTTACACCAGTCAGAATGACTACTATGAGAAAGTTAAAAAACAACAGATGCTGATGAGGTTGTGGGGAAAAAGGAATGCTTTTACACTGCTGGTAGGAGTGTACATTAGTTCAACCATGTGGAAGAGAGTGTGGTGATTCCTCAAAGACCTAGAGGGAGAAATACCATTCAATCCAGCAATCCCATTACTAGGTGTATACCCAAAGGAATATAAGTTATTCTATTATAAAGACACATGCATGTGTATATTCATTGCAGCACTATTCACAATAACAAAGACATGGAATCAACCCAAATGCCCATCAATGATAGAATGGATAAAGAAAATGTGGTATTTATATGCCATGGAATACTATGCAGCCACAAAAAAGAATGAGATCATGTCCTTTGTAGGGACATGGATGGAGCTGGAGGCCATTATCCTTAGCAAACTAAGGCAGGAACAGAAAGCCGAATACTACATCTTATCACTTGTAAGTGGGAGCTAAATGATGACAACTCATGGGCACATGGTGGGGAACAACACACACTGGGGTTTATCAGAGGGTGGTGGGGGGCGGGGGTGTGAGGAGGGAGAGAGCATCAGGAATAATGTTGATGGATGCTGGGCTTAATACCTGGGTAATGGGATGATCTGTGTAGTAAACCACTGTAGCACATGTTTACCTGTGTAACAAACCTGCACATACTGCACATGTACCCTGGAACGTAAAATAAAAGTTGGAAGTATAAAAAAAGGAAAAAAAGAGAAATGTTTGTTGAGCCTATATATGGTCAAATTCTCACCAACATGGGACTGTACTGATTCACTTTCTTATCTCTGCTCCTCAAGCCTAAACAGCACAGGGCAGCAGCCCATGGCTCTGACGGGGCAGCTCTCTTCCTGTTTACCATCGTGGTGGACTGCTGCTCTCTTCCAAGTCAGTCTAATGAGATACAATGAGTCTCGGGAAAATACTAGGAAACTGGAAATTTGAAAACAAGAAGGTCGAGTGACATGAGAACTCTCTAGATGATGGATTCTGAGAAAGTGAGAATGCTGACTTGGAGTTCAAGAAAGGGCTGAGAAGGCTGAGAGGAAATCCTGAAACGGCCTCCTGGAAATGGGTCTGGCTGTGCACCGTGTCCAGGACTTTCCAGCTTGCTGTCTACAGATAGTTCCTTGCCTCAAGCTTTGAGTAGTCTATTTCTTTTTACGATGATGGCAAATTTGTGGGCAGACAATCCCCAATCAAGCTTCCGACCCCTCATTAATTTGTAATATGTTCAATTGTTGCCACTAAATATAAAACGATTTACCTGCACTTAGAAAGGAATTGGCTTAATACACTGCATGACCACAGGGCATTGTCTATTCCATTTCCCCCTGGCTGTCTTTCCCTTTCAAACCTTCACGCTGCTGTGCATAAAGGGAGTACACAACAGGCAATGCCCACCTCGCCCCAGCAATCCCTGGGAGTAGCGGTTTCAATCATCAGGTCCCTTTCTTTCATTGCCCATGTGATCCCTCCCTCCACCCTTTCACCGTTTAAAAGAAATGAAAGGAGCAAATCTAAACATGAGTTTCAAGCTATTCTTGTACCAGGAACAATATATTCTTAAGCACTACATGCATCCTAGATTTGTCTCGATGTGGTCCATTTATTTTAATTTGGGACTGTCAACAGAAAAGAAAAAAAAAGAAGTAATTAAACTTGTGACTAGCATGGAAAAACATTTTAGGTCCTAATGCAGCGGCGTGATCCCACCAGTTTCACCAGATTTCTTCTACTTGTCAGATCAAAGTCTCAACTCCTAAAATTCAGCCATGCTTTGATTAATTACTTCATACAATGACTTTGCAAATTATAGTTCTATGTGATTTATGTCATTTTTAGCTTCAATCAGATTTTTTTTTTTTGGTTGCTCTATTCACAGAGCCAGTCAGCCTTCACCTTGGAGAAAGCATGTTTTAAAATTGCATTACAGTGTTTTGTGCTCCAAGAAGAGTGAGACATAAGAGTTTTCAATAATATGTTGCAGCTTAACGAGAATGTAGGAGAAACCTGTTATACCAGTTGGAGATCAGACTTGAAAAAATGGATTTCCTTCCTACTATCTCCAAGTTTATTGGCTGTGCTTCCCCCCTTTTCCTTATATGCCTACATTTCTCTCCCCGACCTGGGTCACTTACATAAGAAATATAAAGCATTAAAAGAAAAGAATAGAAATATAAAACATTGCTTTTAGGCTTCTTTCCCTATTTTCCCCCATCTGCAATTTCTAGTTTAAATAAATAAGGCTGAATTTATTTGAAATTATTAAATTGGTTCTCTCCAAAATTAGACAGTAGATGGAATGTCTTTTAGGAAAAGTGCAACACAATTTGTGGTGTGTCCTTTTGAATAGGAGACAAGAAAAAGCTCCTCCATGCTCTGCTAGCTCAGATTATTCATTGAAAGTAGAAAAAATCTCCTGTCCTGAACCCGAAGCCACCTGAGTCTTTGCTTTTCGGATGTGATTTCAGGTAGGGCTGACAGCTTTGTGGTCTTTGTGCTCTTAAAATATTGATTTAGTGAGGGCTGTGCTCACGTCCCAAGGAGTCTGAGGTTTTGGTTTTTAAAGAGGTGGGGGGCAGTTCATGGAGTAGGGCAACTGCATTGAAGACTGAAAATGCAAAGTAGGAAAAAAACAAACAAACCAAAAGTGACAACCTTACAAGAGATTGTCACCAGCTACCCAAGCAGACTCAATGCACGTTTACAACTCACAGCTGTGCATATTTCCAAATGAAATAAACCAAGGAACGTGAGTTGCAATAAACATAAGTCGGCACAGATAGCCTTGCATTCATTTTTAAAATAAAAATCCCACAACCGTGATATAAACATTATAAATATTAATATTTCCCTTCTTATTGAAAACGATAACTATGACAGAATTATTATCCATGAGGCCAAAAGAGAATAATATTGCCAAAAATCTTAATGAAATTTTTGTATTAATATTATGAAAGTCATACAAACCACTTTGCAGCTAATATAGAAAATAGAGGGGGCCGGGCATGGTGGCTTATGCCTGTAATCCTAGCACTTTGAGAGGCTGAGGTGGGTGCATTACCGGAGGTCAGCAGTTTGAGACCAGCCTGGCCAACATGGTGAAACTCTGTCTCTACTAAAAATACAAAAACTAGCCGAGTGCTGTGGTGTGTGCCTGCAATCCCAGCTTCTCTGGAGGTTGAGGCAGGAGAATCACTTGAACCCGGGAGGTGGAGGTTGCAGTGAGCCGAGATCACACCACTGCACTGCAGCCTGGGCTACAAGAGTGAAACTCCATAAAGAAAGAAGAAAGAAAGAAAGAGAAAGAGAAAGAGAAAGAAAGAAAGAAAGAAAGAAAGAAAGAAAGAAAGAAAGAAAGAAAGAAAGAAAGAAAGAGAGAAAGAAAAAGAGAAAAGAAAAAAATAGAGGGAACAATAATCTATAATTCGACCTTCCTTATACATCTACTCTAGTTTTTTGGGTGCATTTCTTTCCAGTCTCTATTTCTTAAGCATAGATTAACTTTTACATTGCAATCAGAGTTTAAATAGGTTTTTGTTCATTATTTACCTCCTATTACATCATAAATACTTTTTATATTACTCTTAGACTGCATAATGTTTCAAGTGAATACACTATAATTTACTTAACCATTTCATGGTTTGCAGTTATTTATTTTTTTCTCAGTTATTTAATATTATAAACAATGCTGGAATAAACAGCTTGGGACATGTAAGAATTTTAGGTTCATTTCTTAGACTAGATTCCCAAAAGTGCAATTACTGGGTCAAAGTTTTTGATGTATTTACTGCCAAATTATTTTCTATCAATTTATAATGTCAAGAGCAATATATAAAATATCAGTCTTATACAAGTTGGCAGACATTTTATTATAACTTTAAAAACAGTTTGATTCATTTATTGATGAAAATACTTTTCTTCAATCTTTATGTGTTTGGTTTTCCGCCAGGGTCTGTATGTTTCCAATACAGACTCACCATTTGTCATTCTGCCTCCCTGAGTTATCTATTCATCCTTCTGATCTAGCTGTCACTTCCTTTATTCATCCCTTTCCTTATCATCTTGAGTGATTAACTCCTAACCCTCATCTTACTGACATATTGGAGTATTACTTTCTTAAAACATCATCTTCCTTTGTCTCCTCTCACACCACCGTCTCCTGTTTTCTCTTCTCTTTGTCACCTTCTCTCAGTGTATTTCAAAGAATTGGGATGTCTCTGTTTGGTACACTATTCTCTTCTCACTTGCCACCCTCTTGCTAGATGATTCCATCCTTCCCTGTGGCTATGAATACAATTCATATGTAGACGACTTATATATGTTCAGCAAGATCTGTCCTCTGACTCGTATTTCTAATTATCTACAGTAGGTTGCAAATGAAACATCTCTAAAATAATATCGTTAAGACCAACTTCTTAAATTTCACCCCAAATTTATTTCTCTCTATTTTCTCCATCTGAGAAGTGGCATTCCCACTCACTGCTGCTCCAAGGAGACATTTCTGGGCCCTCCCTTCCTTCTTCTGCCTGTGCAGGTTCCTCGCTGCAACCCTGCCTCCGAACCTGTCTGTTTTCTTCCATCTTCACTGCCACCTCCATAGTTTAGGCCATTGAAATTTATGTGGACTATCACCAATTTTAGCTAGCTTCCTCTCTGCTCCACATTCCTTTTGTCATTATGCAGCCAGAAGGTTATTTTAAAAACAAAATTAGATTGTGTGTCTCTCCCTTGCTTATAATTCTTCAAAAGCTTCCCACAGCACTTGAAATAAGACCCATATTCCTCAATCAGGCCTGTAAGACCAGGAATGATTTCCCCCCAGCTACTTCCATCAACTTCTCTCTTGCCATTCTTACCTCTCAACTGTCCAGCCACATCCATCGCCCCTTCTCGGACATGCCAAGTACCATCCTGCGTCTGAGCCTGAGATGAGCCTGGATCACGCATTCCCTGATTCCTTACCTGGATCTCTATGTTTCATCTGTCAGCTCTTGCTTTAATGCCACCTTCTCAGAGAGAAATGTCCATGATTTCTTACTGAAGACATTTCCGCAGACTTTTAATTTCTGTAATAACATTTGTTTCCTTGATAACCCTCAAAACAGTTTGAAATTGTACCTTTCAGCACTTTGTTTGCTCATAAATAAGCAAATATTTGCCTCCCACTCTGAGCTGTGAGCTCCACAGGGTCAGGGATCCTGTCCATTTACACCACTGTACCCCAGCACTGACAAAATACCTGGTACAGCACAGCACTCAATGCATAGTTACTGAATGAATGTTCACCAACAGCATTTTACTTTATCTTTTGGACAGTAGGGAGGCACTGTAAGATCTCAACTGTGGGATTGGTATTTGGCAAGAAGAATGATGATGGGTCATTTGGCAGAAGCCTGGAGAATGGGATGATAGAGGGGCATAACTGGAATGCAAGTGAACTAGTTAGGTGCCTGTTGGAATCTTGAGACTAGAGATGAGGAGAGTCCACACTAAGGAGATAAGATGTCCAGCACACTAAGTACAATGCTGGGTGCAAACTCAAGAGTCCATTCAGTTTGGCAACCAACAAGCTTTCTTTGTAAAAGTAGATTTACGGGGTCAATAGGGACAGCCGACACATTGCTTAAGGTTGCAGGCCGGAAGAGAAGCCTGACACCAGCAGGTATGGAGATCCTTGAGGAGCTAGGCTGTGAGAGAAGGACAGGGAGGGGGATAAGAGGAGAGGAGTGTGGGATTGAGGGTGGGATTTTAATTTTAAAAGAAACAACTTGCGCACACACTCTTATTTTGTAGGGGGCACAAATGGAATAGAGAGGGAGAAGGTGGATATGGAGGAGGGAAAGAGGCCAAGAGGTGAGCAAGCCCAGTTCTTTGCATGCTGTGTGGAGCGTGGGTGGAAGTGCCAGTCTTGAATGGGAGAATGGGAAACACTTGCTTTCCTTTGAGACGGAAGAAATGGTGATGGTGGGTGCAGAAACAGCTAGGTTGTCAGTGTCGTCACTAGCAAGGTTCTTATCCTTCTAGCTTCCATGTAAGCTCCTTGAGGATAGGGCATAATTTTAGGATTCTTTGGCATCTTCCCAAATACAGACCTAATTTCTGGGCACAGAGGAGAAGTCAGTCCAAGGTAGGTGATTATGTGAGGTAGGAATTTAACCCCATGAGGCATATTCACACAAATTTGTTCACACCGGCTTGTGTGGTTGACTTCCTGTTACTCCAGAAACCACTTATAAGCCACATGCGTAACATCTTTAACCAAAGTGCCAGGCTTTCACCCTGCTGTCATCGCACCATCCCACTGCTGCAGCACTCTCTATCCCACAGCTGGGCAGCACTATGAGCCTCACTGCATCCAAACCTGTCTCCAGTCCACTGCCCATACTTCACAGGAGAGACTGGTGTGCCCTCCTTTTTCTTAATTCATTGATGTATGAAGAGCAACAACCTGTAAAGGGAATGGTGGCTTTGCTCCTCTCACACCAGTGACTACGATGTGTGACTGTGGCCTCATGTCTGCTGCCTACCAAGACCTTTCTACATTGCCTCGTTGGTACTTTTCAGCTTCTTGGGCACAGGATCAAGTTCGGGGGGCAGGGCAGAGCCAGACACAGCCAGGAGATTTAGCAAATCTCTGTGTCTTCATGGTCCACTGTACAAATGAGTCCAGGGTCTAAAAAAGTAATCAGCTCACAGATGTGTCCATTGAAATGGAAGAGACCACCAGTGGCAGCCTACTAACAACTACCTCTAGGCTCTTTATGCCGATGGCTATGAACTTTCTCTCACTGGGACATTTGTTAACATGGAAAGAAGTCCAAAATACATACTGGCTCAGTCTAACTCCCTCTGTGCTCCCTACGCTCCAGCTTCCTGTTGAAGAGAGGAGAATTTTGTTCCCACTGTGCAAGTCATTTTATCTGGATTCAATCTACTGAATTGTGCTTGGTGACCACTATTTAATCTTGATTGGGTATTATTACTGGCAGCACAGCCTCAGGAAGGAAATAGCAGCTTCAGGAGGAAAGATTATTTAAATGATATATTTCAGCAAAAATACATGTATATCTGTATTAATATATAATCTTATATTTCATAATGCATAGAAATAATAGATAATATATTTTATATATGTATGTATCCTATTTCTTTATGTCTCTTAAACTCAGAAATATTCTTTCCTGTTCTTTACTTGTTTACAGGTAGACTTTTCTGGAAGACCCAGACCTCGAGTTGGAATGGGGAGAACACTTAAACACTTGATGTGCAGACATCCTGAGCTTCAGCTGATCTTACAAGCACAAAGGTCTTTTGTAGGAGGAATGTACCTACAAATGTCTGAATCGTCTAAAATATCAGAACTTATAAGTCAGCATTTTCATATAAAAGTGAATTAGAAGCAGTTTGAGAATGCAGTGCTAATTCATATATGCATACATTCATAACTTGCATAAATATGTTAAAAGTTGTTTGGAAATGTGACCCAATGACATGGATCCTACTTCTAGACTTTTGAAAATATCTGCATATGGTTCTTATCCTTTAGCACTAACATGACACATATAAACAGATGTAAATAGCTAAAAGGGGCCTGTAAGCTACTTTGTAAGCACGGCAGGCAAATACTTCACCAAACTTCTTGGCATGGTGAATATCACCTCTGCCTACCTACACTGTGGGTGAAAGTCCTTAGACCTTGGGTTATGATGTAAGTCATGGATCTCAGAATTAGGAAGGATATCTGAGGAACTTAGCAGAATGATTTAATCAGTGTCAAGGCAACTTCTTCACCTTTTCAGAGTAGTGGTCACCCAGCCTGTTGGAATATGCCCCTCCAAGTGTGCTGAAATTTACAGAGATGATAAGAAAAAAGTTAATATGGGGATAACTATTGTTAATGTTTTGCTTATTTCCTTCTAGTCTTTTTTTTTTTTAATCTTTTTTTTTTTTTTTTTTGAGATGAGTCTCACTCTGTCACCCAGGCTGGAGTGCAGTGGCACGATCTCGGCTCACTGCAAGTTCCGCTTCCCGGGTTCACGCCATTCTCCTGCCTCAGCCTCCGGAGTAGCTGGGACTACAGGCGCCCGCCACCTCTCCCGGCTAATTTTTTTTGTGTATTTTTAGTAGAGACAGGGTTTCACCATATTGGCTAGGATGGTCTCGATCTCCCAACCTCCGTGATCTGCCCGCCTCGGCCTCCCAAAGTGCTGGGATTACAGGCGTGAGCCACCGCGCCAGGCCCCTCCTTCTAGTCTTTTAATTATAGATTTACAAACTTGTGAATATATAGTGTGTAGTTTTGTTATCTTTTTTCTCCCAATAGTACATCATAGGCATAGCTCCTGACCAACATGAGCTGTGTAAGGCCTGCCTTGCACTGCCTTCTGCTGTGTGAATGAACGAATAATTTATTTACCTACTCTCCTGATGTTTGATGTTAACAATATTTTACCACCATAAATAATGTTGTTACAGACATGCTTGTGCCTGAATGTCTATGCCTATCTCTATTTCCTTAAGATAGATCCTGAGAAGTGGAATCAATTTTAGTGTTTTAAGGTATCATTTATTAACAACTTCTAGGAAGTGTGTACCAAATTTTAGACCTAACATGCTTCTTTTACTAATACAGGGTGTCTCATTACTATCAAAATATTTTTAAAAGCATTTTTGTTACTTTTTTTTTTTTTTTTTCTGAGACGGAGTCTTGCTCTGTTGCCCAGGCTGGAGTGCGGTGGCGCGATCTCAGCTCACTGCAAGCTCCGCCTCCCGGGTTCAAGCCATTCTCCTGCCTCAACCTCCTGAGTAGCTGGGACTACAGGCATCTGCTACCACGCCCAGCTAATTTTTTTGTATTTTTTTTTTAGTAGAGACGGGGTTCCACCGTCTTAGCCAGGATGGTCTCGATCTCCTGACCTCGTGATCCACCCGCCTCGGCCTCCCAAAGTGCTGGGATTACAGGCTTGAGCCACCACGCCTGGCTGTTACTTTGATGGAAACTGAATGATACTCTGTTTTGAAACCATATGTCTCTGTTGATATATGTGACAGTAATTGTCATTATTCATCTGAAATTTTTTTTATTGGTTTGTTGATACTCCTTGTTCATTTTTTTTAAATTAAAATAATGGTATACATTTCCCTGGTCCTATCTCAGTCATTCTCAACCCTGGCTGTGCACAAGAATCACCTGGGGTGCTTTTAATAAGTATACGAATGCCAGGCCCCTTCCCAGCGATTCTGGTTTCACTGGCCTGGATTGGGGGTACTGGCATTGGTATTTTTTCAGTTCCCTAGGTGACTTTCTCTGCATCCAGAGTTGAACACCACCAATCTAGACTCTCCAGATAATAACCCGCTGCCTTCTTATGTTCTCCTGCTTAACAAATTTATAGATGTTTACATTTCTGACAATAAAATCTAAGCACGGGTTGCAGAGAGTTTAAGGTATGTACTCAGATGCTAGACTGCCTGGGTTTAAATCCTGCCTTTGTCCTTTGTAAGCTATCTCACCTTGAGTGAGTCGCATTATCTCTCACTGCCTCGAGTTTCTGTGCTGTAAACTGAGATTAATTTATAGTGTGCACCCTATGTCTTTGTTAGAAAGATTAAATTGGTTGGTATTTATAAAGCTTATACAACAATGCCTAGTACGTTGTAAGCATTAGACGAATGTAGCCAGTTTTTTCCTTTATCGTTTCTTTTGTTGGTTTTAGTCTAAGAAAGTATTTTCCTTCCCTAAGATCAGGTAAATATTGGTGTGTATTCGCTCCCAAGTTGCGTGTTTTATTTTTTTCTATATCGATTTCATTGCCTCTGAGGTCTGTACTTCTCTCTGTCCTGGGATGAAGTTGATGTAGAAAGAACAAGCCAATCCACTGGGGCCCCAAGAGGCTGACGTTCAATCTCTCTAACCCTGCATTCCACCTCAACCACTTATTCCTGATTTCAGGAGACCAACAGAATTTGGTTTTGGGTGTTGTTGCTTAACTTTCAACACCCATGTAAAATGACTCTGGTATGTACTTCGTTGTATGTTTTAAACTCGTTCCTCTGCTTAACTTGGGCCTTATCATCTCGTATTTGTCTGCACACCTCTCTGGATCTCAAAGACAGACCAACTGTCAAGAGGCTACAAATTGCTGATGATGACAGATTCAACATACCTCTGTAAAAATCAAAGAGAGAGAATATTATGGCAGGCACACGAGCACAAGTTGATGCAAAATGACCTACGACCATCATTGTCAAGTATTTTACTTCCGCGGTATCCAGAAAAGGTGATTCATGGTATGAAGATGAGAAGTTTGATCGTGGGATTTTGAAATGAGCCTCAACAATGATATGAGAAAGCACATCTTGGTAGCTTTTGTTCTTTCCCTGATTATCACCTCCTGCTCACACAGTCATTTCTTCCTTCAATTCTCCCAGATGTTGGAAGTCAACCTCATTGTTTCGGTTCATGAATTATATTGTGCAATAAGTTAAATGAAAGGAGTTGAATTGCAACAAAAACAACAGTAAAATTTTTATGAATTTCACTTTAGGGAAGAGTATAAACATCTTCTTTGTTTTCAACTTATCAATTTTCAATCAGCTTTTTAGGAGCAGCCTTTCCAACTTGCTTTTAGGAATGATAGTATCAGCAAACACAGGAGAAAGACGCTGTATGGGCCAGCAGCTGTAAGACGCCAGGATATTGGAAGTTTCAGCTGGTATGTCTGAGTCACGCTCAGTTTTGTGGTCCCTGTTTTTATTTCCCAAAATACTTTAATAGTGACAGAGGTTATTGAAATGTATGGCTATCCTAAAAGTACCAGGAGACTTGATCCAGTTTTACAAGGCTGGAATATTTGCATTCTTTGCATCTTGTAAATTACAATCACCAAATGCTTCTATAGAGAATTTTTTTTGGCGATAAATCTCTGAAACAAGTTAATAGTGCATACCTTTTAACTTTTACGAATGGCACATTTTTAGATATGGGATTTTTTTTTTTTTTTTTTTTTTTTGAGACAGAGTCTTTCGCTCTGTCACCTAGGCTGGAGTGCAGTGGCACAATTCTAGCTCACTGCAGCCTCAAACTGCCAGGCTCAAGTGATCCCCCAGCCTCAGCCTCCTGAGTAGCTAGGACTCCAGGTGCATGCCATCAGGCCTGGTTATTTAAAACAATTTTTTTTTTTTTTTTTTTTTTTTGCATAGATGAGAGTCTTGCTATGTTGCCCAGAGTCTTGCTATGTTGCCCAGGCTGGTCTCGATCTCCTGGCCTTCCTTAAGTAATCCTCATTCCTTGGTTTCCCAAAGTGCTGAGATTACAGGTGTGAGCCACTATGCCTGGTGGAGATATATGATTTTTAAAACCATAAATGCTCATATTTGCAAAGGAGCTGAGAGATCTAATACTAGGATTTAAGTCCACTGCTGAGTTAAAAGCCTGGCATAGGAGAATGTTTGTTGAATGAATGAAAAGTTATTTGCTATATGGAACAGCAGTAAATATATCATCTGGGTCGCTGACTTATGTACTACCATTGCTTTAGTTAGGTCTAATATCCCATTTAAATTAAAATACTGGACTGCACTGTATTATATGTTGAGTCAGATTTCTCCCAGTCATAATAGAAGAACTACTGTAAGTTACGTTAATACTTGGAAACCACTTGAGTACCCTTTAGTGCAAAGAGACTGTGCTGATTAAATTTCCGCTCACGTAGCTTCTGTAAGTCTTTACCCCACTCCCAAGAAGGAGTTTGAGCCTTAGGAAACCCTGGCTCCCTGGATTCTCTTTCCCGCGGGATGGGCTAATGATGGGGGTAGGGTGGGAGTAGAGCAATTATTTTTCGCCAACTCCAACCACTGCAGGAAGACGCCGGCTACAGAGGTCACGTTTCTCTTGTTTACTGGCCGTGGACATTTCTGTTGCGTAGTTCTTTTGTTTTCTCTGGGTGTAATCTCTGTTGCACATGGAGTTCAGACAATGTAGATGACCCTGTCGTCCACGGACAGAGTTCTCCGTCAAGACATTGTTGCCCCTCACTGGGCCAAAGTCCCATTTTAGTACGAGAGAAAAAAAAAAAAAGAAACAATGGAGACAAATTTAGACACTGATGGGAAAAGAAAAGCAGTGCACTGTCCACCCCAGCCCTAAGAAGCTGCACCCACCAGGTCATTTCCTTTCACCTTCTCAGGGATTCCCAGCGACGCAGAAGCGCTTGTGTGTGCCAAAGCCGAGGGCAGATGATTCACATGTGGCTGACCCTTGCCACGTTAAGTTCATGTCCCAGGAGAGCCTTCTAAAAAAAAAACTACACTCCATGTTTCCAATCAGAAGCAAGATTAATCTCTCCGTTAAAATCTAGACGGGATCATTATCAGCTTTATTTTCCCACCCACTCCTGGCCAGCATTAAACCTTGCGCCAGATGCATCTTAGCACATTCCATATTCACCAGCCTGTATCCTCTGACGGGGGATAAAGCGGCCTCTGCTGAGCCCATTTTTCGCTTCTTGGTCCCATTCTGAAGGAACAGCTTCATCTCATGTATTCGTGTGCTCTCTGCTCCCCCTGACTCTAGACAATGTAAATGGACTCGGTGATGGGAGGAGGCATTTATCAGCATGTGAGATGGATAAGGGTGTTTGAAGGTATCCGCACTGTGTACTATTCGTGCTGGGATGTATGTGTCTACTCTAGAGACCTAGATAGTAAATGTAACAAGCACTAAGACTGCAATCTCCTCTTGCACTGTCTAGTTAATGAGCTGTGAAACCAGACAGATGCGGCTGTAAATACGTAATACTATTTCACATGGGAATAATGTCTGGTTTGAAATCATCTACCACATCACTGGAAGATCTCTTTTTAGCTGGTCACTGAGTGTCATTGTAAAGTGTTTAATAATTACTTACATATTTAGTGGGAAATTCCTTATAGGTGCATATCATCGGCGTTATCACAAATACCATATACATTCCATTTTCAAGCAGTTTTAAAATCTCATACACAGGTTCTACACAGGTATATAAGGCATAATTATTAGACCATCTATATGTACTAATACCCTATAGTTTACTTAATTTAAGTGGATGCAACTTATGGAGCACAACTTTTCAACCTGCAAGCTTTTCTTCTAGTTTCAGTTCCTGAGGGCGTCATTTCCCTCCATCATGTCTCCCCCGAAGTCTCCACTTTTTAAACTTGTAAGAAAGGGAATGTGACAGCAGAGAGGAGAAAAGTAGCAGGGAGGAGAAAAGGCAGCAGAGAGGAAAAAGTAGGTAGCAATTAGAGGTACGTGAATTGAAGGAGGGAATTGTGAAACCAGGGCTGAGAAAAAGAAATCCAATGTTGACTCGTTTCTTTTTAATCCCGAAGAAAAATGCAGCTGGTTTATTGTAAATGAACATGCAGTTACCATGTTTGAAATGGTTTAAATATAGAGAAAATAAAGGGCGCATGCGAAGGTACAAGTGCACACTCTTGCATGGCTTTTTTATAATTTGCCTAAAATACAACTTTCTAGTTTCCCAAAATACACTATCCCACCAAAGATCTGGACATCTTTTGCCACAGAACTTCACACATTTCATTTGATAGGTATTCAAAACACTATAGGATGAAAACCAGAATTTTTAACCTTTGAATCTCTCCATTTCTCTCTCCTCAATACCTTGTGCAGCATTTATCTGGTTCTGGCCTAACAGAATCTCACCAGGACGGCTCAGAGCTCTCTGCGCTCGGCAATGCCTGTCATCCGGGTCAGCCCCACTCTCTTATATGTCTTCCCCTGCATCCTCCTCCCCCGGCCCATCTCATTTCCTATCTCTGTTCTTCTTTACTTTCCCCTTGCTATGTTTCTCTCCTTGGTTTGTATTAAACCCTGTAACTGGTAATTGCACTATTTGGTGCTGAATGTTTAGGATGCAAATGGAAATGAGGAGGTTGCGTCACGGTATATGAAGCAGAGTGATGCCGTGCAGTGAAATTAGGGGAGGCCATGTAGAGAGGGTTCCACACAGGCAAGAAATTTATACTGGATGTTCTTTATATTCCCTAAGGGAGCGACTAAAGACTTTATAAAGGTAAAAACGATTACATATTAAACTTTTCATTGTCTGTTCTTTTGATGCCATGCCTTCCTATTTACTTAGTGAACATATGGTCAGTTCGGTGACCCCTCTTGCTCGTGATAGGATGCATACAACCTGGGGCAAGAGCCTGTATTTGGTCCCCTGTCTAAATTGTCTCCTTAATCGTGGGGCTTCGTCGTCACAGGACCAGACAGAGCCGCCTGTGAAAGACTGGAAATGAGAGTTTCAAACAAGGTTTCTCAACTGCAGGTGCTAGTGACACGGGGCTGATCATTCTTGACTGTGGAGTGTCCTGTGCACTGGCGGATGTTCAGCAGCAACCCTGATATCTACCCACTAGATGCTATAGAATTCACCCCCACACCCACCATGTGAGAATCGAAAGTGTCTCCCTACTTTGCCAAATGTACCCAATGCAGGAAAATCAGACCCCATTTGAGAAGCGCTAGGTTAGGATCTTATAGCATTCATGACCTTCTTCCCACTCTTGACCACATCACATTGTTCTGCTTCAGAACATTTGAACTACCACGTCCTCATCCTGGACTTAGCTTCCCCAGAGCTTTACACACCTCACTTCCTGAAATGGTCCTGCTCAAAAGTCACCTCAAAAGATGGTGGGGAGATCTTCCCCAACCATCCCTTCTTAGATAATGTGTTCTCCCCTCACCAATCCTACCTTCTCTCTCTCCTTAACCTGCTGCATTTATCCCTACGTGCGTTTATCTTATATTCTTGTTTGTTTGTGTTGGCTTCACTTACTAGAACTTAAACTCCTCGAGAGCTGAAACTTTCACTTGTTCACAAATGTATTCTGTGCAATACCTGCCATGCGGAATGTGGTCTGCATATTTGTTGAATAAACGAATGGCTGCTGAATCTGAGCCACCAATCCTGCTGCAGACAAATCCAGAATCTGAGCCTGCCTGTTGAAGAGATGCACGTGAGGGAATTTGCTCATGTCCAAGGCTCGAGTGCCCACAAATCTTTCAGTTTCCATTCATTTATCATTGGTTAATACTATGAATTTTTCCCACCATGGAAGATTTATTTTAAAAAAATACGTTCTCACATTCATGGTGAATAAGTGTTTGGTGTTTAATCTTTCTTTCCCGTGGAAAACAACATTGTGAGACCATTGTTCTTCCCTTTTCCTTTTCTAAATCATTATCAAGATGTTAAAGGAAGTGATGCTAGTCATTCAACCAATGATTCCTTCCCTGAGTCAAATTTCAGATCTTTAATTTTAAGAAATTATATGTTACATAATTTTAATATATTATACATATATAATTTTTAAAATTAAAATAATGCATGTACACATTGTTTGCTTTGCTTTGCTTTTTCTTATTGAGCTGGTTTCTACCCTGGAAGGAAATGAACTGTTGAAGCAAACTGGTGCCAGATGTGCTGGAACTGAGTGTTTACTTGCATCAAGAATGTCCTTCTCATAGAGGAACTATGGTTTTGCAAAGAGCCTCAACATTTGTGTGGACCCTAGGGCACAAGCGTTCAAATTGTTGAAATGTCACATTCCTAGACAGGAACATGTAGTGGATTCAGGTCCCCTTGGAGCATTTATCATCTAGGTGCTACTCTTACTGTCCCTTGAAGGAAGTATGATTTTATTGTCAGAGAGAGGGTCTATAGGTCAGTCAAGTTGGGTTCAGATACAGCCTCCGTCATCCACTAACTGTTTTACCTTGGTAAAGACACCAAATTTGCAGGCCTCAGTTTCCTTATCCATGAAATGAAAATAGATAGTTGTATCTGCCATGCAGGACTGTTGGATTATTAAAGGAGATCATCCTCATGAAGCCCAGGAACAGTGCCTGCAATGTAGAAAGTTTTATAAACTGGCAATTTTTGTTGTTGTTTTAATGCAGTTTAATTCCAGTTCTGAGCGAAAGAAATCCTGTCAATACTGGCTGGGAATATTTTCTGGTTCAACTATGCTCAATTCTGGCCTATTCTATGCAGGAAATGGGAGAAAACAATGAGTTCTAATTTTTTATTTAAAAATAATATTTATGTTACTCCTCATTTATATAAGTAATATTTATTCATTATAGAAAATTTGAGAAATAAAGAAGAGAAAAAATGAACTTCAAATTTTCAACATTTATGTGTTGAATTTAGTGATGTCTTTGTGTGTTTGTGTGTGTGTGTGTGTGTGTGTGTGTGTGTGTTTATAAGTATGGACAAAGAAAGTTAACAAACCTATATATCCTTAACAAAACCTCATTTATTTGTTTCTTTTTTACATTATTAGTAGCTGTTCTGTAAACACACACACACACACACACACACACACACACACGAATACAAAATAAATCACGCCTGTCCTACCATCCTGAGGCCACACGGTCAGGATTTTTCTCACACATAAGTCCTAGATTTGTTTTGAAATCCAGTTTTTATATTGTGAATTTCTTCACAATGGAAATGGGTCAAATGCAGAGAACTGCCCTAAGTGACTTTGAAAGAAGTCATATATGAGGTACTAGTGAGATGAACTCCAGCTTGTAATGAGGCAGTACTGGGTTCCAATTCTCCCTCCAATGCTGACTGACGGTATTTAACCTCCTCAAACCTCAGTGTTTATACTGGTGAAACAGAGACAATAATGGATCGATTACATAGATTACATATCAAAACCAGGTAAAGTGCCCTGCTTAAACCGAGTACACAATATGACCTTGCTTGTATTGTTTACTTCACTTTCCTACTACATTCAGGGTCCCCAGCCTGGCAGCAAACCCCAGCGGGCTTGTGCCTCATCAGCAGAGAGTCCACTCCTCCACCCTCCTCCTTTCCAAGGGAGGTTTGGAGGGGTGCTTCCAAATGTTATGGTGAAATTCTGAATTTGGGGGTCCCCAGATATGAATATTACCTGCATAAGAGCTGAGAACACTAAATTGGTGATCTACAACTCAGAGTGGGAAGGAGTAGGGAGGTTGGCGATTTCTAAGCTGCTGGAAAATGAAGGTGTAAGGCTGAGCTCACTATTTATTACAACTACCGGCTGGAAACCAGAGCTGAGGTTTTGTTGACCTCCCAGAGTCAACAGCTCCAACCCTGCCCTTTATTGAATTTTCTGTATTGGAGTCTTTCATTTATTTTTTAAGATCTGTTCTTTTTATTTTAGTTATTATTATTATTTTGGAGATGGGGGTCTCAGTATGTTACCCAGGCTGGTCTCGAACTCCTGGGCTCAAGTGATTCTCCCACCTTGGCCTCCTGAGTAGCTGGGACTACAAGCACATGCCACTTGTATTAGTCCATTCTCACACTGTTATAAAGAATTGCCTGAGACTGGGTAATTTATACAGAAAAGAGGCTTAATTGGCTCACAGTTCCACATTGCTGGGGAAGCCTCAGGAAACTTATAATCATGGCAGAAGGCAAAGGAGAAGCAGTCACCTTCTTCACAGGATGGCAGGATGGAGTGAGTGCAAGCAGGGGAAATGCCAGATGCTTATAAAATCATCAGATCTCGTGAGAACTCACTCACTATCATGAGAAATGCACTGTGGAAACTGCCCAATGACCCAGTTACCTCCACCTGGTCCCACCCTTGACACGTGGGGATTATGGAGATTACAATTTTGGATGAGATTTGGGTGGGGACACAAAGCCAAACCATATCACCACTGCACCCTGGCCCTGGGTATCTCATTTAAATAAATAAGATTCTTTAGCTAAAAAAAAAAAAAAAAAAAGTTCAGAAATAACAGCTGTAAACAATATTATTGTTATAAAGAATTTCAGAAACTTGAAAGCATTTCTTTTGTGAACTGTTTAATAACGTTCATGGATATTGTCGTCTTCTGAGTCCTTAGATGATGTTCCAATATGCTGTCTGCCTGGTATTTTTTTATAGATCCCATTAGAGTTCACCCTCGCTCTCTATGTTAATATCATTTGTGTGTGGTTTTGACTATATTTCTTTTTTAAAGAAGGGTGGCTTTAACTATACCTGGTGTTTTCCAACATTTATGTGATTGGCTCTTTTGGTTTTCTCCCTTTATCCTCTTTGATGATGCCAACGGACACTTTGGACAAAAATATGAGACATGTGTTTTTGGAAAAAGTTGTATGGTATAGAAGAAAATTTTATGCATGAATACTATATGAAAAAAAGCATGGTAGCATCCTATGACACCATCTCGATTCTGTAATATTTAGTGATCTCTCAGACTTACAGTACACACGCATCTTGTACTTTACAGATGCAAGTACTCAGTAAACTGGCTTTTTGGACAGAATGAATTAATCATATCACTATAGAGTGGGATTTTGACTGACTCACATGTTGTTTCACAGACCATTCAGTATTTTTCAAATTTTCTGTAGTGAATATGCAGAATTGTTGGAAAAGAATATAATTTTACAGAGATCTTTTCTAATTCCCCAGATAATTAAATCACAACTACATTTCTTAGAAATCATGTCTATTTTATTCATGGAACCATGCTTTTCATAACACCTAAGTTCTTTTTCTCACATCTGCTTAAGGTCTTTGCTAGATTAGAAACAACTAGAGGTCAGAAATGAAATCTTCTGCTCTTGTTAAATTACCCCTACTTAAGAGGTGTTCAAAATGTCAGGTGACCTACTCAGCTGTGTCAGAATGAGAACAAAGATGATCAAGTATTAATAAATAGCTCTTCCCTCAACCCATCCAATTTATAGTATCTGTTGAAATCAATCCTCCACTATAATATGAAAAAACAAAAAAAATTATAAAATCCACTTTGACCAAGCTCTTATTAAATCGATAGTAGTGATATTGATGTGGTAAAAGTTTTAAGCATGAAAAGAAGTGATGGTCTGATTTTTTTTATCAGGATACTAAAATATATACAATTCTGGCATTTCCGACATTTAATTCAGAGAATTTTATTTGTATGCTACAGCTAGATAATAAATAATTAAACTAACTTTGATATATGCCGTACAACATAGTTAATTAAATGCCAACAGCACCTTTTAACCTCAAAATATGTTTTTCTCTCCTTAGGTCCTGTCTTGGTGCCTAAAATTCTTACCAAATTAAGGCAATATTTGTGGGGTTAAACTCAACATCTGTAGTAGGCTAGTAGGCTGCTATTAAAATGCAAATACAGTTCATGAGACGGGAACCATTAATACATTAGCTTCTACTAATATCTTAAGCTTGATACAAGTATCAGATTAGTTCATGGACAAGGCAAGAGCAACACTGTGAGCAGAGGGAAAAGAAAAGACAAATTTTAATGACACCACAGAAGGAATCTGGGACACAGAGAGATTGCTATAGCTCAGATGTGGTTGGAGAATTCTGGGTAACCAAGGATCAGCATAGACCTCTGGTTGGTTAGAGACCTCAAAATGCTTAGGTTCCAGAGCCTGAAGATAGTTTTCTCAGTAAGAGGCATCACGGACTCCCCATAGGCAGATAGATGCACACACATTTCTGTCTTGCTACAGGGCAGCCTGTTTCACAATTCCATGTTGTTACAGCTGTTCTCTTTTTTGGAACAGAACTGGTCTATTGTGGAAAGTACCAGAGACAAGGATATGTGGTCAGTGCTTTTTCTCAAGCCCAAGAAATGCAAAGTGTTAACTGGAGTAGGCGGAGTCTCTGAGTCCCAGGGCTTCTTTCTGCACCTAGTGAGAGAACAGTAATACTCCTCACTCCTCCTTACACACAAGGAAAATTCCTCCTGGAAGAATGAGAGGTGCGCCAATTTGCTAATTACAGCTACCAGTAATGTTAACAATACTCTCCAAGTAATGAAGTAAGATAATATGACCAAACTGAAACCTCAGATGAACTCCCAAGAAAAGATGTTCATGTGTCGGAGAGAAGCTGAAAGTTGTTGTGAGAGCAACTTGGCAGAATCTGAAGTATACACAGAAGAGCTGAAGGTGCTTCTTAAAAGAGCAATGCTAGCTGGGGAGATGGAAGCACAAAGGAGGTTTTAATCATCAAGTGACTCTGAGAAAGCATCAGAAGAAAGAAAAAGCGTTTTGAGTAAAATAGAATACGTAGACACACACTGACGTGAATGCCCAGTCGAGGGGCAGATGAGAGTCACAGCTCCCACTCCCAAATGCAACCTCATCACAAAATCACACCTGAGAGAGCAATGGGGAAATGACGGTTAACCAACCAATTTTCTGATGTCTACCCTGCAGGGAGCTGTATACTTTCTTTTGTTTTCTTCACGTTGGGTTGCTCTTAAATCAAATGCAGTGTTTCAGCTATTGCTAAGACGCTGGACATATTGTCTGGCAAATGAACGGGTCCTTTGCCAAGTAACCGGAGCTCACTCTTGCTAAAGGAAGAACATTGTTCACTAAAATAGTTTCTCTTTTGATGCCAAAGGAAATCGAATTGTAATCAAGGGCTGAGAACGGACTGAAGTCATCAAGGCTGTCTTGCTTCAGATTTGGCAAACTTACATGTTCCCAGGCTTATGAAATATAATTTACATTTACAAAAGGGAGAGGCTTCATTACACTGGAAATTTGTTTTAAATAATGCCGAAGTGAACCACTGATGGAACAGCCAGCATCAAAATCCATGGTGGCTCCCACGGATCCGCAGGATCTACCAGGCGGCACAGATAAGCAGGAATTTAGGTTTTGTTGAAAGAACCCAACAAAGAGAGAAGGCCTCTAAGTAAATTATGAAGCCTTTCTATTAATATCACCATGTTGAACTATCTCAGAGACACCACTGTGGGTTCTTGTTTTTGTTTATCTGGTTTGGCTCTTATTTTTGTTTTGAAGGCAGTGGGTATAGGAGTATATAGAGTGAGAGGGCATACACTTTTATTTGTAGATCCATGATTTCCTCGCATTGCCCTAATGATTTATTCAAATTTCAAGTAAATCTCATTTAATTCACGCACCAAGGTTTTGAAGTTACACTTGCTACATTTGAGGAACCAAGAATTAAGGCTTATATGGTTAAATAATTTACCCAGGCCAGGAGCGGTGGCTCATGCCTGTAATCTCAGCACTTTGGGAGGCTGAGGCGGGAGGATCACGAGGTCAGGAGATCGAGACCATCCTGGCTAACACGGTGAAACCCCATCTCTACTAAAAACACAAAAAAATTAGCCGGGTGTGGTGGCGGGTGCCTATAGTCCCAGCTACTAGGGAGGCTGAGGCAGGAGAATGGCGTGAACCCAAGAGGCGGAGCTTGCAGTGAGCTGAGATGGCACCACTGCACTCCAGCCTGGGTGACAGAGCAAGACTCCGTCTCAAAAATAAATAAATAAAATTTTTTAAAAAAATAATAATTTACCCAAAGTCTCATAGCTAGTAGGTTACAGAGACAAGATGCAAGTCCAGGTTCCCTAGAGCCCAAAGCTATACTCTTTCTGCTATGTTCCCTGTGCTATGCTTGATATAAAGGTCAAGAAAGGAAAAAAATTGAGTGAAAATTCTTTATATCCACCATTGAGTTTTCCTCGAGAGCTGTCATGTCCAGAAAGGCCACTTTTGCCCTTATAAAATAAAGCAGAGAACTGAGGCAATTTATTCACTGCCTCCAAATAATCTTTCTCTGTCCTGTCTTTTGGGGAGCATAGGGCATTAGGTTGGCCTCAGTCATCTGCAGGATGCTGCTCCATTTTCCTTTGCCTTCTGGACATGGCCATAAGCAATCATAGTGACAGCAATACTTTGAACCAAATAACACAGTGAGTCAAGTAATTTGTCTTGAATAGATAAGGCTTTGGAATATGCAAATTTAGAGATCATCTTCCAGGTCAGGTAACTAAATTCCCACACCTGGTAAGAATAGAGAATGTAAAACACAGAAAGTAACAAGAATTTCTTATCACCTGCTATATACAGAGGAGAAGGCATTTCCAGATTTTAGTGATGAATCCAGTGATATCTAATTTTTTAAGTATTTATTTTTGTATAAAAAGTAGCATTAATTTTTGTAAAATGGAAAATGATGGAGATGATTGTTTTCTTTCGTCTTTTAAAAATGATAACCGGTTGGCCTCTAAATCTTTTAAGTTAATGTAATATTCATCAAAGTGATAAAAAAAGGTTAACTAATGCAATTATTAGATTATGTGGAAGTCACAGGGTATGCTACAAGCTTGGGCTTATCAGCTCCAGTTTTATTTATTTCTTTTAATTTAACTAGATTTCATTTAGCACTGTACCACACTTGGAGACATTATTCACTAAGCTAAGAAAAGACAACAAAAAATGCCTTGAGGACTAATGGGCCAGGATGTTTTGGTTTAATATCATAACAAGTTTCTATATGGAGCCGTTTTGCTCGTTGGCATGGAGTCATGAGTGTCCAATGCACGCTGCCGTTAAACTCAGTCCTTTACATAAGCGTCTGACTGCCAAGCTGTCCTCTGCCCTTCACCCGGCAGCTTTGGAGTATTTTGGTTAGCAGAGCCAATGCACTTTCCTCCACATAAAGGGAATTACGATTCCACTGGAGGCTCAAAGGGGAAAATTAAAGTCATCAAAAAACTCTGATTCAAGTAGGCATTTTCCTTGAAAATGTGAAGCACGCTTTGATTCACCCCCATCTCTTGCTGAGGGTGCTACAGAGGAGATGCGTTTGGCTCTCCATCCGAGAGGAATCTTTTAGGTTGGTTAATTCCACCCTCCACAAAAACAAAGGGATACAGTTTTTTGGCAGAAGGAGGTGAGAAGAACATGCAAAGTAGGGCATGAAATTTAAACAGGAATTCTCTGCAGCTGTTGTCAAATGGAATAAAAACAGCGTCACAAAGAAGGCAACTAAGGAAGCAGAGGTTAAATGTGAAAGAGCCCAAACTGGTGATGGTCCGAGGGATGCCTAGGTAGAACCGGAACCACTCAGCTTCCTTCTGAGGGACACCGCTGACCCCTCCTGTTGGAGGAGGCCCTGGACCACGGCTGCTGGCCTTTGATCAAACGGCAACATCCTCTGAGCGTGCACCCCTCTGCCAGGCCTGGCAGCTTCTTGGAGAAGAAGATGAGTAATTTTTCCTTAATGATGGAAACATTCTCTCCATGTCTTCTTTCAAAGTTTATGGACAATGATTGCATTTTATGATAATGAGAACAAAGTGCATCACTGTGAATGTGAGGAGTATTTTCCCCCTTGGCAAAACAATTGTTTTACACCTTTCCATGTGTTGCATCCTCGGGAAAGACACTCTGGCATAGATTTCCCCAAAGAAAATCTTTGTTCAGATAAACTTTAATAATAGAAGAGCATACTTGAGAAACAAAAACCCTCACTGTTTTTAGAAGTCCTTTAATAGCTTTAATGTCTAACCAAGAAAGAGCCGGGAAACTCTACCATCACAAGCAGATATTTGCTAGGACTTTTTTTCTTTGAGTTTATTAAATAAAGATTAGCCCTATAATCCTAAAATGTCCCCACAGTTAAGCTGGTGGTTGTTTCCCATTATACAGGCAGTAGTGTGATAGTGGTTTTACTGGATAATGCCATTATTATATATTTTAAAATACAGCATAGTATCATTATTGTTTGTATTCACAATCAGCACCTGGAGCCATAACCTGTCTTATAATCATTAGAATTCAAACAGTTGCAATAGCACTTCCTTTGAATCATGATCTAATACGAGAAACAATACAAGGCAAATAAATAGATTTCCTCCTCTTGGGCGACTTGAATATTCCCCATTGTGTGTGTCTTCACTGGCATTGAAAACTGGGAAACATTTGACAAAAGGTTTCTCTCACTTCCAGATTAGAAGTCTCTTTCTCACTATTCTTTGTCTCTCAGATAAGTTCATATACTTTTCCCCCTTTTCAACTAAGACCATGACTAAGTTCAGAGGGTCTCACCACCTAAGTGTGCAGCAATTGTTGGATTGGTGAGTGGTGTTCCGGACTGGTGGGGAATCCCTTGTAAATGTCAGTTTGCTATTTTCATTGAATGGATTGGTTCATTTTGGCATCTGTGGTTGAACAAAAAGATGAAAGTCGAGGGCCAAGATATGGACTTTGTGTATTGTTATTGGGCCACTAAGAAGTAAGAGCGTCAAATGAGCCCTGTTTTCTGTTTTGCCTGCAGGGGAAAACTTCCTGCCCTCCTTCCTGAGATCAGAGAGACGAGTTTTCAGGAATCCCTCCCCAGGGTTTGCCTGTGTACTCTGTGCATGGTGGAAGTGGAGAAGAGTGATCCAGCTTCCTTCAGTGGGACCCTCCTCACCCATCCTGATGGGTAGATACAAGATGCCGCCATAGGGGCTGCCCTCGGACAGAGCCAAGGAGAACATTGACTCATTCGTCGTGTGCAGACCTTTGCGGAAGATGCCGATGTGCTCAAGGCATGCTCCCTCATGTGAGGGGTGACATCACTGCCTAATTTACACTCATGCCAGGCCTAAATGACCTCATCACAGAAAGGCGATTGTCTTGGCTCCTACTACATGGCACAATTCTTTTCCTGAACATTCCTGATCATACTCTGTGCACTCCCTCATCCCTGCCTTTGTTATTTCCCCCTACCCCTGGAACACAGTTTGACAAACATCAATTCCATTTTCTTGTGAAGGCAAGTTAATTTTCAGACTCTCAGTGTCTTCATCTCTAAAACGAAGGGTTATCTGTGCTACTGCTGCTGCTGCTGCTGCTGCTGCTGCTGCTGCTGCTGCTGCTGCTGCTGTTTTCCTCATGGGTGTCTGGAGGGGAGCTGAAATGAAAGGGTGGAGGTATCTGGATCCCAGGGCTGCTTCCTTTTATCTGCCCTACATATTGCTAAAATCGCTTTTGAAAAATAGGCCCCACTGCTTTTAAATTACTGAACTAGATAGTATCGCAGGCTTCTTTGGCTATAAAATTCTGTGATTCTAGCATTCCCGGGAGTGAGGATTCAAACTGACCTGCAAGGATAATCCTAAGGCATTCAGCCTTCAAAGCCCTCAGCGCTGCCTCCCTAACCCTTATGGGAACTTCCATGGGACATCCAGGGTCATCTGACATCTGATTTCATTCTAGCTTGCAGCCTTATCTTTTCAAATGGCTTGACAATGTAGTCAAACTAGACCCTCTCTAAATTTCAAACCAACTGATACTTTCTGCTCTAGGTCTTTGTTGATACTATACTCTGCTCAAAATCATATGCATCCTACAAGATTCATCTCAAAAACTAAATATTATATCTACCACACTTACCGTATTTTGCTATGTGGTATTCTTGTTTGTTTGTTTTCTGAGTGAACAATTCAGGAGCTGTGAGTACATTCACAGCCTTATGCAACCATCACCACTACCTAATTCCGGAACATTTTCATCACCCCACAAAGAAATCCTGGGCCCATTAGTAATCACTTCCCATTCTCCCCTGTACCCCGCCTCTGGCCACCACTAATCTACTTTCTGTCTCTGTGAATTTGTCTATTTTGGACATTTCATATAAATGGAATTATACAATGTGTGACCATGTGTAAGGATTTTCTCACTTATCATGATGTAAACTTTGAAAAAGTTTCATCCATGTTGTTGCATGGATAAATGCTTTACTTTTAAAATTGATACTATTTTATTGTATGAATAGACCATATTTTATTTGTTCATTTATCAAATATTTGGGTTATTTTTAATTTCTGGCTATTGTGAATAATGCTGCTATGAATATCCATTCTGTGAACATATATTTTCGATTCTCTTGGGTACCTAAGAGTGGAATTGCTGGGTTATGTGGTACCCATGTTTAAGTTTTTGAGGAACTGTCAAACTCTTTTCCACAGTTGCTGAACCATTTTACATCCCCACTAGGAATGTAAGAGAGTTCTGATTTTCGTACATCCCTGACAACACTTTTTATTTTCCATCTTTTGAATTATAGTCATCATAGTGGGTGCCAAGTGGTAACACATTGTGATTTGGTTTGCATTTCCCTAATGACTACTGATGAGCATCTCTTCACATACTTATAGGCTAGTTGCATATCTTCTTTGGAGAAATGTCTGTTCATATCTTTTGGCCATTTTAAATTGGGTTATTTGTATTTTTATTGTTGAGCCATAAGGTTCTTTACATATTCTCTGTGAAAGAAACTTATCAGGCTTATCATGTACAGATATGTTCTCCCATTGTCTGGTTCATATTTTCACTTGCTTCATAAAGTTATCTGATACATAAAAGTGTTTAATTTTTATGAAGTCTAACTGATCCTTTCTTTTGTTGCCTGTGCTTTGGTGTTATATCTAAGAAACCATTGCCTAACCTAAGTTCATGAAGATTTAAGCTTATAAGATTTCTTCTAAGAGTTTCATAATTTATGTCTTACATTTATGTGTTTGACTTCAGTTAAATTTTTTAATATCATACAGAGATCCAACTTTATTATCCAGAATGTGGACATACGGTTGTCGCAGCACCATTTATTGAAAAGACTGTTCCACATTGAATATTCTTGGCACCCTTGTTCATAATCAATTAATTACAAATGTAAGTGTTTATCTTTGGGCTGAATTCTTTTCCATTGATTTATATGTCTATCCTTATGCCAATACCTCAACTGTCTTATTTACTATACTTCTGTATTAAATTATGAATTTGAGAAATGTGAACTCTCCAACTTTGTTCTTTGTTTTCAAGATTGTTTTGGCTATCGTGGTTGCCTTGCATTTCCATATGAATTTCAGGATCAGTTTGTCAATTTCTACCAAAAAAACCAACTGGAATTTTGATAAGCACTGCCTTGAATTTGTAGATCAAGTAGGAGAGATTTGCATTCTGAACTATATTGTCATTTGATTCATAAACATGGTATGTGTTTCTCTTTATTTAGATTTTTATGATATCTTTCAACAATGTTTCATAGCTTTTAGTTTATAAGTCTTACACTTTGTTAAATTTACTTCTAGGTATTTTATTTTTCTGATGGTGTTTGAAGTGGAATACCATTGATCCTTAAACAACATGGGTTTGAACAGTGTGAGTCCACTTGTACTCAGATTTTTTTTCAACAAATACTGTTGGCCCTCTGTACTGACAGGTTTTTGCCTTCACAACCAAACACATTGAAAATACAGTATTCATGTGATGTGAAACCCATGTATATGAAGGGCCAATTTTTTTATATCCATGGGTTCTGCAAGGCCACTGCAACACTTGAATATTTGTGGATTTGAATATTCACTGGCAGTCCTGGAACGAATCTCCTGCAGATACCAAGGGACAACTGCAGTTTTCTTAATTTCACTTTCAGATTATTCACTGTTAGTGTATAGAAATACAATTAATATTTGTATATTGATCTTGTGGCTTACAAACTAGCTGGTCTCATTTATTAGTTCTCATGTCATCTAAAGAATAGAGATCGTTTTACCTCTTTCTTTCCAATCTGGATGCTTTTTAAATCTTCCTGCCTAATTTTGCTGGCTAACACCTCCAGGACAATGTTGATTAAATGTGGCAAGAGTAGGCATCTTTGTCTTATTTTTCATCTGAGTGATAGAACTTTAATTTGTTCACAGTTAAGTACAATGTCATTTGTCTTTTTTCGTAGTTGTTCTTTATCAGGTTGTGGAAGGTGGAAGTTTTCTTCTGTTCCTCTTCGTTAAATGTTTCATCATGGGAGAAACTGTCCAGTGCTTTTTCTGCTTGTGTGCTTTTTTCATCTTTTATTCTGTAATATATTACTTTGATAATTTGTATATTGAACTAACCTTGCATTCCTGGCATATATTTCATTTTCTTCATGGTGCATAACCCCTTTAATATGATGCTGAATTGCATTTGTAAGTATGCTGTTGAGGATTTTTGTGTCTATGTTCATAATGGATACTAGAGTGTGATTCTCTTTTCTTGTCATATCTTTGTCTGATTTTATTATTAGGGTAATATTGGCCTCAGAGAATAGTTGGGATGTTTTCTTTCTTGTTATTTTTCAGAAGATTTTGTAAAGGATTGGTATTAATTCTTCTCTAAATATTTGGTATGATTCACCAGTGAAGGTATCTGGGCTTGCACTTTTCAAGTGCAAAATTTCAAGGGAAGAGATTAATGGTACACACTTCAAGGGAAGTATTAGAATTTCTAATTCAATCTCTTTACTTGCTATAGATCTATTCAAATTTTCAATTTCTTTAATGATGTTTGGTAGTTTATATCTTTCTAGTAATTTGTCAGTTTTATTTAGTTGCCTGATATGTTTGTACAGCTGTCCATAATATTCTCTTATAATCTCTTTTATTTCTGTGAAGTTGATAGTAATGACTTTTTTATTTTTTTATTCTCAGTTTTAATTATTTGATTCTTATCTCTTTTTGCTTTTTTAGACTAGCTAAAGGGTTGCTAATTTTGTTGCTCTTCTCAAAGAACCAATTTTTGGTTTTATTGATTTTTATATATATTTTTTTCTGTACAGTCATTTACTTCTGCTGTAACTATTACTATTTCCTTTTTAAGTTTCCTATTATTTTACTAGTTAAAGTGAAAGGTTTTAATATTTACATGAGATTTTTAATCTCTTTTAATGTAAGTATTTATTGCTGTAGATTTTCTTCTAAACTTTGGTTACACCCTATAAATTTTGATGTCTTCATTATCATTCTTCTAAAAGCATTTTATTATTTCACTTATGATTTCCTCTTTGACCAGCTGGTTATTTAGAAATATGTAGTTTAACTTTCACATACTTGTGAATTCCCCAAATTTCCTTCTGCTATTTATTTCTAATTTCATTCAATTGTGTTTGGAGGGTATATTTCACATGATTTCAATCATTTTAAAATTATCAAGACTTTTTTTATGACTGAACATATTACACATGCACTTGAAAAAAGTGTGTATTGTGCTGTTATTCGGTAGACTGTTGTATGGAAGTCTTTTAGGTTTAGTTGGGCTATAGTGTTTTCAAAATCTAGTATTTCATTGTTGACCTTCTGTCTAGTTCTTCTATCTGTTATTGAAGTCTTAAAATTATTTTTGAATGTTTATTTGTTCCTTGAAATCTGTTAATTTTTACTTCATGTATTTTGAGGCTCTGTTGTTAGGTGCATGCATGTTTATAATTGTTACTTTTTCTTGATGTATTGATCCCTTTATCATTATAAGTTTTCTCTTCCTGTAGTATCAATTTTTAAGGCTATTTTGGCTGAAACAGAAACTCCACCTTTTTTTGGTTACTGTTTACATGATATATACTTTTCCATCATTTTAATTTCAACATCTTTGGTTTTTTTTATCTAATGTGTGTCTCTTGAAGACAGGATATAGTTAGATCTCTTTTTAAAAATTAATTTTGCCTGTCTCTGCCTTTTGACTGGTATTTAATCCATTTTCATTTAGTGCAATGGCTAATAAGATAGAATTAATGCCTTCTTGTATTAGTTTTCTAGGGCTACCATGAGAAAACACCACAGACTGGATGGCTTGAACAACAAAAATTTATCTTCCTAGAGTTCTGGTTGCTAGAAATCCAAGGCAAAGATGTGGGTAGGTTTGGTTTCTTCTGAGGCCAGTCTTCTTGGCTTGCAGATGACCATCTTCTCTGTATGTCCTCACATGGTCTTTCTTTCTGCATACACAACCTGATGTCTCCTTTGTGTTTCCTAATTTTTTCTTTTTATAAAGATACCAATTAGATTGGGTAATGAGAACCTATCCTAATTGCCTCATTTTAATGTAATCTTTTTTTAAGTCATATCTCCTAATACTGACATACTGAGGGTTAGCATTTCAACATAGAATTTTTTTAGAGAACTAGATTCATTCCATAGCATTGATATTTTGCTGTTTGTTTTTTTATATGTCTGATGCCTGTTTTGTTCCTTGATTCCTCCATTACTACCTTTTTTAATGTTAAGTAGATATTTTGTGTGTACCATTCATTCTTTCTATCATTTTTATTCCATTTTTGAGTTATTTTCTTAGTGGTTTCCTGGGGATGACAATTTATTTCTCAGTTTATAGCAATCTAGTTCAGATTAATAATTTAATTTCAATTGTATGCAAATGATATCATTACACTATGTAAACACATCAACATAGTTTTATAATTATTGCTTTAGGCAATTGTCTTTAAAATCATATAGGAGAAAAGAAAAGTTATAAATAAAAATAGATTTATATTGTCTTTTATGTTTACCTATGAGTTACCGTTATTGATGCTGGTGGTCTTTATTCCTAATGTGGTTTTGAGTTACTGTATAGTGCCCTTTAATTTTATCTTGAAGGATTCCTTTTATTATTTCTTGTAGAGCAGGTTTCTCCTTCATTTTTGAAAGAGAGTTTTATTGGATACAAAATTCTTGGTCAAAATTATTTTCTTTTTACCACTCTGAATATTTATTACCACTGCTCTGGCTTCCATAGATTCTGATAATAAACCCTGTTAATCTTATTGAGAATCTTTTATATTTGATGAGTCATTTCTCTTTTGCTGCTTTCAAGTCTTTTTTTGTCTTTGGCTTTCAAGAGTTGGATTGTTGAAATGATGTGTTCGTGTGTGGATGTCTTTAAATTTATTCTATTGAAGTTTGTTTGCTTCCTGGATGTGTGTATTAATGTTTTTCATCAAATATGGGAAATTTTTAGACATTATTTCTTCAAATTATTTTTTCCTGCCCATTTCTTATTCTTTCATTATTCTGGAACTGCCATTATGCATATGTTGGTAAGCTTTGTGATGTTGCACAGGTCTGTGAGGCCCTGCTCATTTTTTTATTATTTTTTTCTCTCTGTTCTTGCTCTTCAGACTGGATAGTCTTATTGACCTATCTTCAAGTTTGCTGATTCTTTCTTCTGCCAGAAATCCACTATTGAGCACTTTAATACGTTTTTCATTATAGTATTGTACTTCCCAGCTTCAGACTATCTACTTGGTTCATATTTTTTATTTGGTGAGACATCATTACCATAATTTTCTTCAGTTTTGTTGTTGTTGTTGTTTATTTGTTTTGAGACAGGGTCTCACTCTGCCACCCAGGCTGGAGTACAGTGATGATGACAGCTCACTTCAGCCTAGACCTCCCGGGCTCATGCAATCTTCCCACCTCAGCTTCCTGAGTAGCTGGGAGTACAGGTGTGTGTCATCATGTCCAGCTAATTTTTGTATTTTGTGGTAGAGATGGGGTTTTGCCATGCTGCCCAGGCTGGTCTTGAACTCCTGGGCTCAAGTGATTCTCTTGCCTTGGCATCCCAAAATGCTGGGATTACAGGCAAGAGCCTTCATGCCCAGTTTTCTTTAGTTTTGTTAGACATGTTTTTATTCAGTTATTTGCTCATACTTATAAGTTGACTTCAAATTTTTGTCTAGTAAGTCCAACATCTGGGCTTCCCCAGGGAAGGTTTCTAATGATTGCTTTTTAAAAAATGTGTATGGGCCATATTTCCTGTTTCTTTGTGTGCCTTCTATATTTGTGTTGAAGACTTGATATTTAAAATAATATAATGTTGCCAATCTGGAAATTGGAACCCCCCCACCCCAGGGTTTGTTCTTGTTGCTATTTGTTTAGTAACTTTCCTGGGCTAATTCTTTAAAGTCCGTATCCTTTGTCATTTACGGCCACTGAAGTCTTTGGTTAGTTAGGTTAGTGTCAGCCAATGATTGGATTGAGATTTCCTAAAATGCTTTGAGCCAATAACGATCCCAGCCTTTGCCATGGGACTCTCTGTGCATGTCGGGGCATGGCTTCAGCACTCCAGGAAGAAGGTCACCACTCTTTGAAAGATTTTACTTTCTGTTTGTGCAGGCTCTCGAGGTCCTCCAGAGGTGAGATATTAGGGCCTTCTCAGATCTTTCCCAAGCCTGCCCACTGTTCTGCACACGCACATGGCCTTCTTCCTTCCCAGGAATATGCCAGAGTTTCTCAAAATCTACATACATCTCACTCACCAGGTTTTCCTTTAAGATTCTTCCTCAGAATGATCATGGTATCTCCCCTGGCAGCAAACTATCACAAGGACAGAAAACCAAACACCACATGTTCTCATTCATAGGTGGGAGTTTAACAATGAGAACACTTGGACGTAGGGCGGGGAACATCACACCCCGGGGCCTGTGGTGGGCTGGTGGAAAGGGGGAGCAGGGAGGGACAGCATTAGGAGATATACCTAATGTAAATGACGAGTTAATGGGTGCAGCAAACCAACATGGCACATGTATACCTATGTAACAAACAATGCACGTTGTGCACATGTACCCTAGAACTTAAAGTATAATTAAAAAAAAAAAAGATTCTTCCTCATTTGCCCCAACCATATCACTGCTTAGGCAGCCATAATGTAAGGCAATTTCCAGTAACTATTTTCAGGAAATGTTCTGGGGAAGAGACTGCTTGCAGTGAGCTTGTTCTTACTGTCAAATAAAGACGAGCCTTGCAAGCCAGTGTTCCCATGGAACTTGTAAATAGATTAAACATGGACAATGCTCTAGAAATGGGGCTTTGGGGATTAACCTCAAACCCTTTCTGCACTATCTAGCGGCTTGTTTGCTGCTGATTTTTGTGTCTACCATGATTGCAAGGCTGTTAGTTTTCAAGGCTACTGCAGAGTTGGAGAGTAAAGGATAGATAGAAAGAGAGAAAGTAAAAATGTCACAAAGCACACTGTTTAGCTCACTGTTCAAGATTCAGCTGTCGTTATTAAATAAACATTTCTCAGATTGTTGCAAGTCTTTGGACAACTTCTACAGTTCTAAAACGCTGACGTGGATCATTTGGTCAGTGTTCTCTTTGCTTTTATAGAGGAGGGGATTTTCAGAGGTCCTTATTCAGTATTCCTGAAGTGACTCTCCTTTGTCATATTCAATGTGTTCACATTAGCTTGTTTCTACTAACTCACCCCATACATTAGTCCAGTGCTTTTTATCTTTTCTAAATGCCAAAGCAGCAATAGTGGATCTTTTGTGTTTTGAGTCTATACTGTTGGGACTTGGGGTATAAATCTCCTTGGTAGAGCTTCTTTGGCAAAGAGTTAAGGAAGGAAAGCAGAAGCCCACTGGAGTGCAAGCAGGTTTTGTCCTTGGCTTCAGCTCTGGAACTCACAGTTTTGGTACCTGATCAGTTATTAACTTTGGGCAGAAGCCTTGTGGATAATGTGACAGACAGACCGTATTCTTCCTGACACAGCTGTAAGCTCTGTTTGCTGTTTCAGCACCCCGCCATCAGACTCCGGAGAGTTCTTCCACATGTGCGTACACAGGGAGAATGGAGCTCATTCGTGTTAAATGACGATATTGTTATCATAATAATCAAAAGACAAATGAAGGCAAAAGCTATTTAATAATGGGAGTAGATGGCAAAAGAAATTTTCAAAGAATACTGCTCTATTATTTCTACATTTTAGCAATAATATGCAAACCCATATAGTGTTATGCATGGGGATTGAATCTAATTAAATTGTAAAGAGCAATCCTCATGTTGTGTGTTATGTAAGCCGTAAATGACAATCAGAGGTGCCAGGAAAGCCATTCCCTGTCCCTTTTGCACAAGTTAAAGCATATAATGAGAAAAAACAAAAGAATGAACTGATATATCTGTTTCCAAATTGCTTTTCTAATATATGATTTATTGAGGAGTTGAGTATTAGCCTTTTATATCTTGAGACGTACTTACAATGGGAGAAATTAATTTGCTTATTTACTATTTTTATCTGTATGTGTGGAGAAAATAGTTGCATGTTACCAGAGATATGCCAATTTTAATTCAAAATACTGGAGTAAAAATATTAAAAACTAAGTTTTATGTACCATCATTTATGGTTTTGATAAAATGACTTTTGCCCTGTGGTTCTTTAAAACCTGGAAAACATTTTTCTAAAGTAATTTATGTGTCTTTCTAATTTAAGGTGAACTGTCATATTAAAAACAGCAACAATGAAAACACCTTGCCAGTACCTTCCAGCTTTCAATTTAGATACTTTTCAAGAACATGAATATGCACTCTTTTCTACACCACCTACTGGGAGCACCTGCTCTGTGTGTGGCACCTTGCTATTCCAGGCACTGAGAGTGCAATAGCAAGCCAAACTGTTGGTTTCCTCATGGAATTTTAACATATAGGAAGAAGCAGCAGGGCAAAAAAGTATATTGCAACAGGCTGTGCTCTCTGAGGGCTATTGTTTTGGAAAGACCCAGAAGTAAGCAGGGTACAAAGGGATGAGAAGAAAATACAGCAGGGTTTTCTACAGGAAAACACCTAAAAACCTAGACAGTTCCATGGGACATGGGAAATTAGGCAGAGATGGAGCAGGCATGTTCCATGGAATAATTTATTTTGGAGTTCTGAAGCTGCACTGCCCAACAGAAATATAATGTGAGCCCCATGTGAGCCCCAGTCATTGTATTTTTTAAAAGTAGAAATGAAACTAGTGAGATGATGGTAAAAATATGTTTTATTTAGCCCAGTACATCCAAACTGTTACCATTTCATCATACAATTAATGTAAAAAATTATTAATCGGTATTTTACACTTTTTTATGGATGTTCTCAAAATAGGTATTCTTACAACACATCTCAACCCTTACACTTAATTCTTATTGGAAATAATTGGTCTATGTTTAGACTTTATAAAACTAACCATTGCAAGTTATATTCACTTGCTCTAGTTGTTTCAAACATTTCAAGTTTTCCAATAACTGGATGAAGTATCATCGGTTTTTAAATTTAAGTGAATGAAAATTAAATAAAACTTGAAATTCAGTTTCTCATTCATACAGTTCACACATTCTCACCAGGGACACTCTTGAGTACTCTAACTGGACAGCTCAGGTCTGGAGAACAACCTGCATAGGTCACTGCCATGCATTGGTGACATGCCTGGCTGACACTGGGCAGACAGTATAATGTTTGCTGAATTAGATTCAATGAAGCAGCTGAGACCTATAGAGGCTAAGTGACAGGGTCAGCATCCTCCAAATAATAAAAAGTAATGAGGATAAACTAGAACCCAGACCTCTTACCAACTCATGAAACCTTAGAAGAGTGTTTAGTGCTTGAGTTTCAGAAAATAAATTTCAAAAATTTGGATCACAGGGGATTTTCTGAAAATGTTTCCAAATCTACTTAAGTATTGAGTTTGGAAAGAGAGAAAGAGAGAGAGAGAGAAAGAGAAAGACAGAGAAGAGGAAGAGTTCAGATAACAAGGGGTGCCTCTATTTACTGTTAAAAGCTTGGAAATGTGGTAATCATAGACTAAAGGAGCGAAGTGCTTTACTTGGCCTCATTTACCCACAGAGCATAATGATGGCCCTGGAAAGTATCTAACTCAAGAGTCTGGATGAATTTTCTTTTTCAAAAATAAAAGTCTGCAGAAGTATGCAAGAGTGTGTGACAGTTGTTCAGGCTCAGAGCTAGAGCAGAGGCAAATGACCCTGGGTAGGGTGTTGGGGTTTGGGCAGCTGCCTTCAAGAGGGGTGATTGGAATCCAGCTTGCTGGCCTCCTTGGGGAGCAAGTAGGACCCAATCTCTCACCCATCCTTGGTTACAGAGCTTTAAGAGATGGAGGAAGCCACATTTGGGTTGGGAGTCTTTTCTGGGGAAGGATATGATTAGACTAATGAAATAATGGAATTAGGCTTATTTGTCTTTCCTACAGTGAAAAAGTTGATTCTATTCAACTTATAAGGTATTGCTCTCCTTATTTTTTTTTCTGGAGGGAGAGGAAAAGAACAATGGAGTAAGTACAATATTATTGGCTAAAAATAAATCTTTTTGGCTTAACTTATTTTTCAGTTTGATTAAAACATTAAGTTTTCATCACAATTGAAATGAAAACAATTAGTGGCAAGACACTCCATTTTAAACAAGTTTTACCTGTTTGAAATGAACTACCTTATATAAAGCCAGTCAAATTTTTTAAAAAGGACTGTAAGATTATTGCAGGGTCATGTTCATTTATTTATTTAGCTTTGGGAATTTTGCAATTAGAAAGAAAACATCACCGTTTCACAGACAGATACATCTGCAAACAAACCCAAGACAAATGACATCTACCATTGGGGTCATGTCATCACTCTGTCCCCCCCAGGGTATGTCCCCATAGGAGGCCATATGATGAGCCCCTTCAGAGGGACCAACCTGCTCTTGAATCACATTTTTTCCAAACTTTACCATTTTCCAAGCTTCACTGACACACTGGTTCAGCTTTCTAAGACAGTATTTTGATAAGGCAGATGGGAATGAGTTTTGAAGAGACTCTAATATAGACTAAAGAAAAGTAGTATGATTTTCAGCATTGTGGAGCCCTTGGCTGGTTGAAGTTGAGTGTTTCATTTGGGAGCAGGGTTGCATACCCCCAAAATGTGTAAGTCATCTTGACCACTGATGTGTTAAAATCTACTCTAATCGTCCCTAAATGACCATTGATGAGAATAGGAGGTGCTTTTAATGAAAATTTGACACATATTGGGAGGCTGACATGAGTAATTTTTGCTAGTAGCCATAATCTTCATAAGTTTTATCAACCTAAATAACAAACAGAGGCTCTCTAAAAGAAAAATGATGTTTATTTGGCAATAGGTCACAGCAGTGGGAATACATGTTTCATAGTAAACTGCATATTCAGGGAGGTAAAGGAACACAAAAGATTGTAAAGAAAAAGTGAAGAGTGTTACGTAATTGTTTTGAAATTATTGTCCTTGGTTACATGTATCAATAATAAGGGTGGTGCCAGTCCAAGATTGCACAGGCAGTGGCTGGGCTGATGTCCTTAAAGAAGAACTTTTTGTGTAAGGTTGTGGTGGCTTATGTGCAAGATTACAGTTGTTTTTGCAGAGTCTTTGATAATAGTTTTGTTATTGGGCATGCAAGCATGAGAACCCTCTCGTTCATAGCCTTCTCTGGCTCTATTTGTCTTTTTTTTTTTTTCAATTTAACACAAGTAACTCTATTTTGATTCTGACAACTTTCACAGCTTCCTCAGTATGCTCCTTTATCCTCCCCCATTAAACAAGCACACATTTCTTCAACCTTTTAAATGAGTATTTTGATTTCTACCATGAGCTAAAAATAACTGAATGGCATGCACTTAAAATAAATGGTTGTCTCTTTAGTATAATTAAAGAGATCAGTGTCATCCAAAATCCTCATTTATTTCAAGGAAACCTAGACAAAATCATCTACTTAAGTAAGGTAGAGCCTATAGATTGAATTAATTTGCTAATATGGTTTTAGAATGATAAAAATTCTAAATTTAAAATTGACAGGAAAATCATCCTTGTTAATGCTTACCAAAGTAAAACTGTTTTACAGAGAAACTTTTACAATTATGAATGCTTGAATTTTTAGTGGAAATATGCATGCCTAATTGCAATTATGGTCTATACGTATTGAGATAAATGTGCATTTTTGCCACGTAGGATTTGCTTCTCTTATATCTGAATTGTGTGTGGTTTTGATGAATTTTCCATTCTGCCCCAGCCTGACTCCTCAGATGAGGCCAGGAGCCAGAGTAGCAGGCCAGCTGCTGGATTCGCCTTCAGCCCACGTGGATGTGTTTTGAAAGAGCCAGCCCCCAGGGTTGGGCAGAAGGCTTCAGGTTTTGTGAGCCAGAATGCACCTTATAAACATACAGAGATAAAATGATGCCATCTCTGTTATTACAGTGTGTGTTCTTAATGCTGTTTTTTTTTTTAATGTTGTATTTATGAGGGACAGAGAGTAAGAAAGCCTGCATGAAAAAGAAATCTAAAACAAGACATTGTCTTCTATACCATATTGAGCAAGCAAATTCTCACTGCATTTCTTTTTATTTAGAAGCACAAAATTTTACTTGATGATGGATAGACATAAGCACTTCATAACTTAGAAAATTAGGACACTTTGGAATCTTTATTGAAGCAAATATAATCTTGAGTTTCATGAGACAATGGGTAAAATTATGCTTTATACACAAAATAGACATGGATACAATAACACATCCTTTAACCAAACTCTTCAAAGAACAAAGTGTTCCACATAAATGAATTTTCTTAAAATGAAAGGTTTTCTCTTTGAAACAAAATAATCTGAGAAAAATGTTTCATTTCTTTATTTTTGTTAGATATCAATTTATGAAGGTAAATGCACTTCTCAGCTACTTAAGCAGAAATGCTCAACATTTTTAAACTTTACCTTGATGAGTTAGGAATATTTATAGAAAATTCTAATGCTTTTAGTACAGTGTATCTTAGAGGCACATAAGAACAAACTTGGAGATTGTCAAAAATATGTATTCTTGGGACCCATCAGAAACTCTTATTCGGTAGAGTTGGGTGAGTTTCAAAACTCTCCATCTGTAACAAGCTTTCTACCTGATTATCTTCCAAGTGGTCATCAGAGTCACACTTTAAGAAACCTTGACTTTCCGAACATTATTTCAAAAATGACAATAATCATAACAACCCGATCTCTCATTGTCAGGCACTGTTCTCCATCCTTCTATAAATTAGTTTATTCAACACTTCACAGCGGTAGGTACTCTTTTCTTTCTTTCTTTCTTTTTTTTTTTTTTTTTTTTTTGAGATGGCGTTTCACTCTTGTTGCCCAGGCTGGAGTGCAAAGGCACGATCTCGGCTCTCACAGCAACCTCCACCTCCCAGGTTCAAGCGATTCTCCTCCCTCAGCCTCCCAAGTAGCTGGAATTATAGGCATGCACCACCACGCCCAGCTAATTTTGTATTTTTAGTAGAGACGGGGTTTCTCCATGTTGGTCAGGCTGGTCTTGAACTCCTGACCTCTGGTGATCCACCCGCCTCGGCCTCTCAAAGTGCTGGGATTACAGGTGTGAGCCACCACCGCCCAACCGGTAGGTACTCTTTTCACTCCCTGTTTTCTGATTTGAAACTTGGAGCCAGAATGATTTCAATGTCTCACCTGGGTCACCTGGTCACTATGTGATGAATTGGCCTGAGTTCAAATGCAGCCTGCCTGACTCCATGGCTTAACCATACTGTTATACTGCACAACTTAGATGTCCAGAGATAAACATTTCTCAATGTTTTATAGATTTGTTGCTTCTATTCTCCGTGCCAGATTCTCTGAGTGTGTGTTAAGGGTTACGTTTTCTAATGGGAGTGTGTGGTATCAGTTAGGCATGATGGATTCACCCGGGTCTGAGGGGCTGGAAGAACTCCTGCTGCTAGAAAACTCACTCGCCCTCCTTTCACTTCCTCAGCTATTGATCCCAATCAATTATGCATCAGGAAACCCAATCACCATCTGCGAAAGAAGTGGCTCCATCACATAAGCAACTAGACTTTCAGCGGCATTTAAAAATCATCCTATTTAATGAGTCATTTTTCTAAGCATGATATTAACATGGGCTCATTGTGGAAGATCTGGAGAAACTGGGAAGTATCATAGAAAATATAATTTGCAAACTGGTCAGAGAGAATACTACTGACATCGAAATCTCTTTAAAATAGTTTCTATATATTTAAACATAAACATGCCAATACAGATTTGTGTGTTTATATGTAAATATGAGGGCATTATTTATACATTTAATGGTATAATCTGTATTACATTGTTTTACATAATGGGGGTCATACCGTATATAACACTTTGCATTATTCATTCCTCACTTAGTACTATTCTGTGGACATTTTCCTAGGATATGAAATATTTTTGAAAATATTTTTCATTAAAATTGCAGGCATAATTTTCAATCATGGCCATGTTTTAAATTTGCATAAATTGGGACCTACTTTTGAACACATCTTGTTTCCTTTTTTTAGCTATTATAAATTGTTAAATAGTGCAGGGAGAAATATCTTTGTGTATAAATTTATGTCCACAGTTTGAATTGTATTTTAAAATAGAGCTCTGGAAAGGAAGTTACTTTGTTAAAGAGGACAACATTCCTTAAGGAAGTAAATAATTATTTCTTACATTACATTTCAGAACTGCTACACAACGTCTATGTCCATCACTAGTATATGAAAGAGCTGACTTATACACACTGAATATTCTCATAAAATTAAATATTTGCTTATTTAAATAATCTGTCTTTTGTAGTTCTTTGATTACTTCTGTAGTTTGTATTTTTTCCTTTATATTACTTAACAATTAGTTTTTCCTTTTGCATGACTTGTCTGTACTTGTTGTTCTTTTTATCATTTTAAAACCTATAATAGCTTTTTATATGTAAGTTTTAACCATGTTTTCTATAAACTTTCTAAAGGATGTTTTTCTAGGATTGAGAGAACCAGCTTCAGGCTCTTGAATTTATGATAGCATTTCTGGGTGTTCAGAAGGATTCTGACTTATTTCTGGGCTCTTGGTTTTGCTAGAAACAGTTGATGCTAGTAAAAAAACGATTTCCATAAATGCATGCTACATTTTCTGTTTAAGTAATAAATGTAAGCTGAATTGATGCTTTGTTAAAACAGTTGCTTTTTTAAGAAAGCAACTTTATCAATGATATAAGATAAATTGGGTTTTTAACTTCTTTTTATTTCAATTGTGTATTTCAGCCTCTGTCTATTATGTGTCAAAAACAGAATCCCAATTTTTGATATGGAATATCAAGTTCAGAGAGGTATGGCCAGGATATCTTCAAGTATCCATCTACAATGTTTTTACTTTTTTATTACATCAATGTTCTTATTTTCCAAATAGTAATACATATTACATACCTTCACATTTTCTGACAACTGAAATATATGTTTTAATAGTATGATTGGCCAGGTGCGTTGGCTCATGCCTGTAACTCCAGCACTTTGGGAGGCCGAGGTGGGTAGGTCATTTGAGGTCAGGAGTTCAAGACCAGTCTGGCCAACATGGCGAAACCCTGTCTCTACTAAAAATACAAAAATTAGCCAGGCGGTAGTGGCACGTGCCTGTAATCCTGGCTACTCGGGAGGCTGAGGCCAGAGAATCACTTAAGCCTGGGAGGTGGAGGTTGCAGTGAGCTGAGATTGTGCCACTGCACTCTAGTCTGGGTGACAGAGTGAGACCCTGTCTCAAAAAAAAAAAAAGATATTATTTAATCTTTTATAAAGCATCTTACAGAATTATTTTTAAATAAGTATAGAAGAAATAAGAAATATACCCAGGTTCAAAGTTGCAGTGGAATAATTAAGAACAGTTGTTGGTTTAGACTGACTTTCAGAGAATTAAAATAATACACCATGAAACCATACAGTTAACTTTGTAATTAAAAACACTTTTCTTTATTCAAAAAATGATTATTTTATTGTAGAAAGAGAAGAAGCTGACTAGCCAAATTCCAAAGAATCTAAAGAAATTCTCACTGATTCCAATTTTACAAATGGATCTGAAAATCTTATATGACTGGTTCTTCTACTTAAAAAAATAAAAACGCAAAATAAAGTAAACATATTTTTTTTTAAATGTGAGGTAACATCGATTATTTTATTTTATTTTATTTTATTTACTGATGGGGACTTGCTCTATTGCCTAGGCTGGAGTGTAATGGTATGATCACGGCTCACTGCAGCCTCCAACTCCTAGGCTCAGGCAATTCTCCTGCCTCAGCCTCCCAAGTAGCGGAGACTATAGACACGAGCTACTGTGCCTGGTTATTTTAAAAATATTTAAATTAGAAACAGAAAAAAAGCAAAAAAACAACTTTCTATGAAGTAAATTAATTCTTGTTCTTAAAAACCACATGCAACATAATAAAAAATGCAGAGATTTTAATAAGTCCACTTCTGGCACTCACTGTCCTAAGTCAATAAACCTGGTGTCCAAATAAGTAACCACGAGCCCTGAGCACCTGGTTAATTTCCTCAAAGTAGCAAGTGGCTATTCATCGTCTGAAATCATACCTCCTTTACTCAAATGTCTCCTGTTAGCTACGTCCAATTCTTTCTCAAATCTTTATCAAATCCTCACTGATTTATGACCTTGACAGGATTTTGTGGGTAGCTGGGAGCATCTGGTCAGCCACCCTTTCCTCTCCCAAACTACAGAGGCAGAGAATGGCGCTGCAGCCTCCAAATGCAAAATGCAAAACCCTTGCACATTGACAGGGCTGCTCCCCATGTATATTCATTACTCACACTCAATTAGAGACCCAGAGAAGGCGGAAAAGCGGGCCTTACCTTGTCAATCTCAGAAGAAAACGTCTTGTGAACGTTCCATCATGTTTCATTAGGTCGATTCAGCCAAGGGCAGGCCCATTTTCCCTTTCCCACCCGGCCCTCCCTCTGACACCAGGCCTGTCATCACCAGCTGCCACTGTTCCAAGGAAATTTTTGGTGGGAAAAGGGGGCATAGAAAGACTCAAGGTAACAATAATTGTTATATTGCAAATCTGAAGATGTTCTTCCCGCAGCAGAGCTGTGTACAAACCCCACATGTGTGTACTGGGCAAAGCGATATTGTCCTCACTCTTCATTGCTGGTGTTCACACAGCATGGCACAGGCTTGGCACATGTCTGGAATGTGGCATTTCACTCAGGATCTATGGCATTTGTAGCAACTTATGTGGCTCAACTATTCCTGTCTCTCCCCTTTGTGTCGTGGGCATCTGGTTGTGCCACCATCTTCCTCAGCTGCACTGGATGGATGGATGAAGCTTGTGGGGAGGGGTTGTTTGTGAGCAGCACCTTCAGGCAAAACCCCAGAGTTAACTGGGACAGGAGGCAGGAGAAAGGGGCACTGAAGGGAGAGCTTTTGGGGCAGGCAGAACACAGGAAGAATCAGGTCTAGTATTCAATACTACAATAGGAAGACTGTGGTTATCAATAACTTAGGGTAGGTTTCAAAATAGCTAGAAGAGAAGAATTGTAATGTCTCCAACACAAAGAATTGTCAATGTTTGAGATGAGGGATATACCAACTACCCTGGATTGATGATTACACATTGCACACATGTATCAAAATATCACTTGTGCCCCAAAGGTGTATAGTTATTATATATGAATAAAAAACAAAGGAAATGGAAAAAATTGTGATGATGGTTGCCCAACTCTGAATACATGAAAAGCCATTAAACTGTACACTTTAAATGGGTGAACTGTATGATATGTGGATTATATCCCAACAAATCTGTTTTTAAAAAATAAGAAAACAAACAGGAGGGAAAGAAGAAAAAGAGAAAGGAGAGAGGAGAGAAAAACCTGCTCTTCATCTGATGGTGGACATAGGGGTGGGGACAAATACTAAGTGCATCTCCGGGTGGGCTGCTTGTTTGAAAATCTGATAAAAATGGGTGTCTCCACTCTCTGCTTCCTTCCCACTCCCTTCAGTGAACTCCTGGGCCATGCCACTCCCCAGCAAATGCTCTCCCAGCTACAGAAATCAATCTCCTATCCCCGCCTTCTTCTTTCTTTCTTTTCTTTTCTTTTTTTTTTTTTTTAGCTTGGCTTACCTTCCTGTCAACTGCCCTATTTAAAAAAATCAATTAACTAATCAACTAATTACTCAGCAATTATGTTTTGCTTTTTGACTCCCTGTAGCGTGCTCCTGCCCTGATCCTATATGGTAGTAGCTCCTGATTGTAGGAATGGGCCATTGCCTCTCCACCTCCCCAGGAAGATCTGTTGGGGGCAGAGGGTGGTGTCTGGAGTTGGGGGATATAGACTGATGTCAAGGCTGTGCATAGCCCATTGTTTCAACTGGCTTTTAGTCTTGATATGTAATTTATTTTGATATATTAAACAACATTTTAAAATGCATGAGATTTTTATGTTTGTAAAAAGGGGACAGGGGTTTAAGGTAAATGAATAGTACTGAAGTACGGAATTGGAGCAAGCCAAACGGAGAGTACAGGGAACAAAAACCTGGAGCAATTCTGGTGAAACTGGGAACTTTACCCACAACAACTGTAACTACTTCATTGTTTTCTGTGCACAGTTATGCCCAAGAATCAAGGCTGGTTATTCAGCTTCATGTAAATAGCATTCCACTTGCCAGTGTTTACACTAAACTGAGCAATACTAAACATGGAAAATCTTTGTATCATGATTGTATTAATTCTACCAAAAGGGCTTTATCTCTCTACATTGCACACTATCCTTATGATAATCTTCAGAAAATGTTAAAATTGTGTCAGATTGTCTTTTTTATGTTAAAATTTAAAACATTTATTATTGAAGAAAAATAATAATTAAAAATACATTTAGAATTCAAGATCTAGAAATATTTTAAAAAACTACTCTCAGTAATTTAACAGAGTTTGTAAGGCAGAGTTGACTTTGTTGAATTCTTAGGTTTTGCAACGTGAAGACGAGATTCGTTAGCCTTCCCATGAAAATAGAAGTATGCGTTACATCAGCAGTTCTAGTCTGCTCCCAGCTGAAGGTCAGCTCCACCCGTATGCTGCCCCAGCTCCTCTCCAGAACACTCATCATACACCAAGACTTTGATGAATGTACTTTTAAAAAGAGAAGTGCATGCTTGGCTGGAGGGAAGAGGATGACAGCGGCTGGGCAGCTAGAATTGGAGCCAAGACAGGCCAGGCTGACAAAGGGCAGCTGACATGCACTGGGAATAAACATGGTAGCCTGGGTCAGAGGATCCATCTGCTGCACAGCTGCAGGTGCAAAATGCACATTCATGACTCCTGCACCGCCTCCCTGCACCCTTGGCAGGTGAATGAGGCCAGCCCTGGGCCAGTGTATTAGTCCGTTTTCATGCTGCTGATAAAGACATACCTGAGACTGGGAAGAAAAAGAGGTTTAATTGAATTTACAGTTCCACGTGGCTGGGGAGGCTTCAGAATCATGGCAGGAGGTGAGAGGCACTTCTTACACGGTGGAGGCAAGAGAAAATGAGGAAGATACAAAAGCGGAAACCCATGATAAACCCATCAGATCTCATGAGACTTATTCACTACCATGAAAACATTATGGGGGAAACTGCCCCCATTCAAATTATCTCCTACCAGATCCCTCGCACAACACGTGGTAATTATGGGAGTACAATTCAAGATGAGATTTGGGCAGGAACACAGAGCCAAACCACATCAGCCAGTGTTGGGGCAGAGGGCATACAGAGGCTGCCCTGACCTGTGCTCTGATTCTGTGGGTGGTTTTGCACCACAGCGACAGTCTGTTTTGTTAGTATGCAAAAGAAACACAGAGGGGAAAGGGGCTCCTTAATATACACGTTTGTTATTTAATTGCTTGTTAAAATATAATAGGTCAAATCACCATTTCCAAGACAACAATGACATTCAAATGAAAATCAAATCAATCAGGATCTATTGAGGCCAATAATGTACCTGGTTACTGGGAGTAATGAAAAGATGATGGAGATATTGATTCTGCCTTCAAGAAGCTTACAGTTTAGTGGCAGAGGTAGGACCTAAATACATAAAAATCTTGATGAAAATAACACTAAATGCTTAGTGACATTTTAAAAGTATGTTTACACAGTCCCTGATTTAGGAACTGTCTAACAGGAACATCTAACAGATTTCTTGGTGCATAAACCCTTCATCTTACTGTAGAAACAATTATCTGCCCCAGAAATTCTTGGAGAGCCCAAGGTGCTCCACGGAGGCCCCCCAAACTCCCTTGACAAAATCCTGGGGTCCTGGAAGAAGCTTTTGGAGTCCTGCAAAAGCTTAGGGAAGGAAGTTTTGGCCTCTGTTGGGGACAATGTGTTTCTGGTATCCCAAATTGAAACTCAGAGAACACGTTCATATAGAAACAACATAAAAATAGGTGACCAGGTAAATAATAGGTGACAGTGTTAGGTTGCAATTAAATCACAATTTGTGCTAAATAGATATTTGCAAGAGTAGAACATTTTTGATGCTAATTTTGTTTAAAAATGTGTTCAAAGTACCATATACCTGACTTCTTTACAAATACACTTTCCATCCCAGCACTTCGGGAGGCCGAGGCGGGTGGATCATGAGGTCAGGAGATCGAGACCATCCTGGCTAACACAGTGAAACCCTGTCTCTACTAAAAAATACAAAAAATTAGCGGGGCGTGTTGGCGGGCGCCTGTAGTCCCACCTACTTAGGAGGCTGACGTAGAAGAATGGCGTGAACCCAGGAGGCGGAGCTTGCAGTGAGCCGAGATCGCGCCACTGCACTCCTGCCTGGGTGACGGAGCGAGACTCCAGCTAAAAAAATAAATAAATAAATAGATAAATAATAAAACAAATACACTTTCCAGAAATCAGCCAATGCGTGAGCCAGGGCTGACCACAAAAGAGATGTCATAGGGAGTCCTTGATTAGTTGCCAAATTAATAGCACTGATGTAAGTTGTTATTATGGCTCAGAGGCAAAAATATCTCTCTTACACCTAGGATAGTCAGGAAGAACCAGGCTCCGAGATCTGGGGGATGAAGGATCTAAGGTACTGGACCTCTCTGCTCCTGATGGTTAGAATGGGTAGAGTGCTTCTAGCCCTCCAGAACCAAGAGGAAAAAGGATTTGCAAAAATCGTTGCAAGTCAAAGAGAGGGATTTCCCTTTCAGGCAGGGTCCTTTTCATTCCACCTGACTTTTTCCTTTAAAAATGCATCCAGTTAAAGAAGAGCAAAATTCAAACAGCAATGATTAAGGACCAACGTCTAGTTTAGGAGGCGAGGGACACAGAAACAAAATTTTGTATTGAAAATTAATATGTTTCCCATAAGCCAGTTGATACATGTATTTCCTAACACTTCTTACATTAAATATTAATTAACTAGAATAATTATTAGCTTAAACTGTTTGGGCCAGGTCCTCTCTAGTTTGTAAATTACTAACTGGTTATGAATCATAGATTCAGGGACCGCCTCACTTCTTTTCAGCATCTTTCCTGGATACCTAAGGGCCTAAGAGTTAACACGGCACCCCTCCGCCTGCCGACCCATGGAATGATCCCCATCCAGGGCAGAACAGACACCCTCAGTTTCTAATCTAGGGGTGCTCTCCTCCCCAGGAGCCCTGAGTCCTCTGTAAGGAGCAGGTTTACTCATCTCATCTATTAAGAAGACAAGAGAGCACTTTCCAGAAGATCCCAGCAGCCTGGCACTTCACTCTCACATCACAGCGCTCTGTCGGAAGGATTTTTTTCTGAAAAGGTGCTTCTTATCTTGTTTTCCTTTGAAACCTCTTCAAAGGGGAGCTCTGACCCAGGCGGGTGGTGGAGATGTGAGATAAGTCCTGCTTCACGGCGCGGAGTTGTGAGTTGTGAGAGAGTGCGGGCTCAGGGCGGCGTGAGCTGGACTCCAAGCTAGCGGCTTTGCCGGCACAGCCTGTTCTTTAAAAACAAACAAACAACCGGTCAGTGTCACCACTTTGAGTCTCTTCTGGATTTTTGAGGTGTAATTCCTCATCAGCAGCTTTGAGGCAACTTTTTTTTTCTTCAATCAGGGCTGGCTCTTTGAAATTTGTTGACTGTGTTTTGATTTTAAAACTTTATCTCCGCCGGGTGTGCTGGCTCACGCCTGCAATCCCAGCACTTTGGGAGGCCGAGGCGGGTGGATCACGAGGTCAGGAGATCGAGACCATCCTGACTAACATGGTGAAACCTCGTTTCTACTAAAAATACAAAAAATTAGCCGGGCGTGGTGGCGGGCGCCTGTAATCCCAGCTACTCGGGAGGCTGAGGCAGGAGAAGGGCGTGAACCCGGGAGGCGGAGCTTGCAGTGAGCCGAGATCGCACCACTGCACACCAGCCTGGGAGACAGAGCGAGACTCCGTCTCAAAAAAAAACAAAAACAAAAACAAAAACAAAACTTTATCTCAAAAGCTGTATCTATGGTGTCCACGCACAAAGTTTTGTGAATAGTTATTTTATAATTGTGTGTCAGTATCAGTAAATAGGGTGTTATCATGGGAATGGTAACTCTCGTGTGTTTTACTAAAAGTTACAGTTTATGTTTATTGGAAGTAGATCTTGAAAGAAATATTTTTAGAGGATAAAATCCTAACATATTGTCAGCATTGACTTATTTAGCTATATTGTATAGCACAGCTAAGGGACAGTGAGAAAAAGTAGGTTGACTGGCTATCTGTGATAGCATTTGCAGGTTATATCACAAATGATCACTACTCTGCTACATCTTGGAAATGCAGTTTCTTCGGTAAATATGGAATGGTTCTTTAAGGTTGAATCTATTCATTCTTTTCAGCTCTTACCACAGAAAAGTTTTTCTGCAAGGAAAGTATTTCTAGAAGATGGCCAACTTTATTCCTATTAGCAGCCAACATTAGAAAAGAAATGCAAATGTGATTGCATCTTGTTACTTGGTAACTGGAAGTACACACATTTGGGCCGGGAAAACGTATTTGACAAAAGGATCCATTTTGGCGACTCCCCTCCCCCTGACTGGCCTGCTGCATGTACTCGTGTGTCACATTCAGTCTTATTTTGAGTTGAAGGATCTGCGGAAAAGTGTGTGCGGCTGATTCCCAGTTGGGAAAAGCTCATATTGCAGAGCCCTGGGATGGTGTTTCTTACAGTGTGGCCCATGGGGTTCTCAGAGAGCTGACAGAGGAAGCTGGCTTAGGCCAAGCCGCAGCTCTAATGAGCTCAGCCTTCTCTGGTGCCATAGCTGGGAATCCTGTAAGATAGATAGACGTGATTGCTTACACTTTCTTCTCGTGAAAAAAAAAAAAATTAGAAAGAGAACCCTGGGCTTTTCTGGACGTGATGATTAGTAAAGCAACAAAGTCTAATTCTCACTGCAATTTTAGTGTTTTTTGTATGGCTTAGAGAATTTGGCAACATCTCAGTAAGTGGGACTAATTGGAAGCAAGGCAATACTAAATTGGTCCACACAGAGCCTCACAGCAACCTTACCCCAGGAAGTCTCTTGCTTGAGTAGAATTTGGAAGTACTGGGTGTTTTTTTTTGTTTTGTTTTTTTTTGTTGTTGTTGTTTTTTGCTGCTTTTGCAGTATTAAAATGAGGCAAGACAAGCAGGTGGACACATCTCAGAGTTCTGGGTCAGGCATGCCACCATCGTATAGGCAGTGAAAACCTGTCCCAGTAAAAATGTGGATTGAACAGGAACGAATCCAGAAAGGAATTGGTAGGCCTGATGTGTTTTTACAAGGTGTTTCAAATTGATTGGTTAATCCTCATGGCATCTGGAGTGTGGAACTACAGAGAGAAGCCCCACAGAGGCTTCAACTAAACTGGGATTAGAACTCAGCCAGAGTAATTAGTCCACTAAAGCAAAGAAAGCAGAGAGGGAATTTCTTATATTGTACTTGGTTGATAGATTTCAAGTGATGCTTCATTTAGGGGAAAATAAATTTTGAGGATTTTAAGCCCAATTAAGGTACAACTTTGAGACTGCATTTTGAACAAGATAAGCAGAGTGGCCTCTGAGTCTTCATGATGTGATTCACGTAGAAACATTCCCCATTTCTTTATATTTATCTGGCTTCTAACATCGTTTAAGGATGAACTCAAATGGTGTCTCCTTTGTGAAGTCTTTTCTGCTTATAAAAGTAGTTATGACTTGCTGCTAAGCATTTTAGTTGTCATCCTTAGAGCAACTCTGTGAATACTTTAAAGATAAAAAGAGCTGAGAGTTAGAAAAATAAATTGCTAGTGAATGTCAGAGTTAGAATTCAAACTCATGAATGCTGAGTTAATGCATGTCTTGTGAAAAACCAGTTTCCTCCTACCCTATAGGTAATTAACCTACCCTTTGCTTTCATCTTGATCATTATTTAAATATTTTTATATTACTCTTGCAATTTGTTAATGTTGCAGTTCTTTGAGAGCAAAAACTAAAGTAATGTTTCTAATGAAAACTTCCTAGCAGTTGGCACAATGTACAAAAGATGACTTCACTATTTTTTTTAAGAAGAAGAAAGGGGGCTTATATGCTGGGACCAACACTTACTCTTACCACAGTTGACATGGCCCATGTGTGGTAGGAAATGTAGAAACTGTTTTTATGCTTGGTCCTGTTCTGAACATTCCCAATATGCTTTTTATAAGATCTTCACTCCACATCTGAGAAGAATTCTTCAGAAGCTGCAACACTTTGTATGGAGAGACTAGCACAGAACAAAGTTTATTAAATAAATAAAAGATTGAATGAAAAGATAATCCTTACGTAGAGAGACTACACTTTCTTACAATAGAGAAAAATGTTTTCTGTCTTTGGCCAGTCAGGTTGCATCTATGAGAGTGCAGTTTCTACTGCTTGTAGAGTAATTTCTTGATAAATATGCTTTCATAGCAATACTAATCTCCACTGCTTGAAGAGAAAATACAATTTGGGAGAACTGGTGGAATGGCAGCGCTCTGCTAAGATTTCTATTATTCTCAATAATGTGTTGATGATCATCTTCCTTATCTTTAAACAGTTACTATATTTACCTCCAAGTGAATTTCCTTTCTCCATAGAGATGCTATTTTTGTAATGATCCTCTTTTCCTGTACAAATGTCAAAATCTGCTTAGTAAGGAAACAGCAATGAAGTGCTTCACTTGAAAACTACAGATGATCTTGAAGAACACAGTTCATCATACAACCAAAGTCAACATAAAGTTGAATCTCCCAGAGCGGAGGTAAAAGCTGTTATGAATCATTTGCCATTCAGTGTGTGGGGTAGAGAGGGAGAGATAAGCAGAGAAGAATGGCTACATTTTGATGCTTGGTGTATGAAGTAGAGAGGAAAGGACTCAACATCTGGCAGTACAACATAGTTTTGCAGCACAGAGAGATCAATTTATTTCACTAACATCTAGGATACATTTGGAAAATGCAGTAAAGAGAGAAATATGCTCAGATATTCCACGACTCCGTTATCCTTCACATATCCTATATCATGCATGGACAAAGAAATGATGGAGATGGTTTACCACTTAGATCCCTAAAATTCATAAATTCATAGAATATCAGAGTTGGAAAAGATTTTAGAAATTCTTTAGGTCAGGTTGTTCTTGAGGGGGATTATCAAATCTTGCCTCCTGCATAAGAATCCCCTAAAATCATCGTTGGGTTGTGACTTAATTCTGATACAAGGTGAACTAAATAGCACTGGTCCTGACTAACGGACTCATTCATTTATTCACTCATCCACTCATTCATTCAACAAAGAAGTGTTGAATGACCCCTGTGTGTCAGTTTCGGTACCATTGGTTTCCAGGAAGGTAACGAAGAAGAAGTCAAGGGCTGCATCCTTGGAGAATGCAGGGGCTAGGACTGGAATCTCACACATAAACATTTAATTCTGCTACACATAATGCTTGCTAAAAAGTGAGTGTTTATAAAATGCTATAGAAATGCAGAGGAGGAGATCATGTTTTCTGCTTGGCACAGTTGGGGAAAATCTTTCAGAAGTGGCATTGAAATTAGGACTTTGAAGATGAATGGATGCTCATCATTTGGAGAGAAAAGAGAAAAAAAGAATGATATTCTAGACAAGAGGAAGAGGCAAAACACATGATGAGTTAACAAAACAGTAAATAACTTGGTACTGCTTGAAGGCGGGTGGGAAGGTAGAGGTGATATTTGCTCTTTAGCTTAAGGCCTTGTCCATCATACCTGTTGCAGTTATTTTAGTGCGTATGAACACTACGTATCCCATTTCTTCTTTTCAGTCTTGAGCAGGAAGCAGTACTCATTTCCAGAATCATGAGGTATGTTATGTAAACATCCATGGCAGCCTTCACAAGAAACCTTATCTTCTTTGATTTAGGTAAACAGGAACCAAATCCTGACACATTATCAAAAACAAAAACAGCTGGCAATAATAACACTCTACAAACCCACAGCATTTTTGGCATTTAAAAAAGCTTAAAAAATAAAAAGGGCTTTCCTAAATAGACACTCTTGACACTGAAGTATGTTACATTACCTATCTTTTCTTTATAACCCAATTAGAAATCATATCTATAGTTCATGTTTGCACTTCAATTTTCACAAATCCTATGATGAGAGTCCTGTTATTCCATTTGACATTGAACTTTAGAGTTTAAGTTGATGGTAAAATCACAAAATAAGGGAAAAAAAATTACTTAGCCAAATGCAGACAGCCTGGTTTAAAGCTGAAGGAATTTTAACTGTTCAACCTTAAGAGAGTTTTGTAAAACATGATGGCTTTAAGGACAAGTAGCAAATTTAAAAGCAGAATAAAACCCCATAAAATTTCTTTAAGACATACTAGTACACTTGGGAGCCATTTGCATCTTATTTTTGTGTTTGCATTTTCTCTTTGAAAATATACTTGGCAAAATGCCTGCAGAATATTACCTAAGAAGAATAATTAAAGCCATTTCTGTCAGCCTTTCCTTAATGTAACTAAGCCATCCATTTCCATTGGACTCAATTCTCTTGCTCTAGGACTTTTGCAAAGGTCAAGGCTCTGCTCAATAGCACTTTTTATTTAAATAAAGCCACAAGTTTATTTCTATGTTGTTTCTCCCAACTCTCAAAAGCCTCAATGATTCTCAACTTCTTATAGCTCTGAATCTTCTGATTTATCAGCCAGAATTAAAACTTCACATTTGTAAGATGATTACATGTCTTCAACAACAATTGCAAGTGCCGATTTGTTTTCCTTTTTTTAAATGCCATTTTAGAGAAGCACCATAAAAGCGGCCAAAGAGGTCAGGCACAGTGGCTCAGGCCTGTAATCCCAGCACTTTGGAAGGCTGAGGTGGGCGGATCACCTGAGGTCAGGAGTTCAAGTCCAGCCTGGCTGACATGGTGAAACCCTGACTCTACTAAAAACACAAAAATTAGCCAAGTGTGGTGGTGAGTGCCTATAATCCCAGCTACTAGGGAGCCTGAGGCAGGAGAATCACTGGAACCTGGGAGGCAGAGGTTGTAGTGAGCCGAGATTGTGCCATTGCACCCCAGCCTGGGCAACAAGAGCAAAACTCTGTCAAAAAAAAAAAAGTGGCCAAAGAAATAGGATGGCCTGTGGGAGTAAAAACTTGAGAGCCTAAGAGGCATATTGGCATTGCACTACCTACACAAGGCCAAGCCAGTGACTAAAATATGTCACAGAAAGGCACAGTTGTCACGCATGAAAAATCTATAAAATTACCTCAGTCTTCAGTTTGCTTTCTTCAAATAGAGTCTTCAAATCAGAAAATGTGATGTTTTACCTTACACTGGTTGTATTGCTTATTCTTTAGTCCCTCTTTTTAATTTTCTTGTGAAAACAAGTCTACATACCTTCGCATCCATTCCTAAGGTATGACCACCATCCACTTCCTAAACACATGGAATGCAGTGTACTTGTGGCTTTCTTTAGTGTTGTGTTTAATAAATGCTTATTAACTCACTAAAGAAGGAAAAAGGAGCCCCTGATCTTTGCATGAATTTCCAATCTCTCCAGTGTTTTAATAAAAATAGAGCATTTTTCTCAGTCCATTTGTTTACATTCTATGGTCCCTAAGGGCTGATGCCTTCTTGTTTAACTTCAACAACTAACAAATACTAGGCACAGCCAGAATATAAATTTTTTACTGTTATTAGTGAACAATACTCACTGTGCTTAATCGAAGCTTAGAGTTGTTCTTAGGTAGCTCTAAGTGAACTTTAAGCAAGTATTTATAACCACTTACAATAAACTAGGAAACATTCTTTGAGTAAAAGCCTTTCTTCCCCACAAATATATCTTCATTTGCTCTTTGGGTTTTTACAGAAATATGACCATTTCAGTTCTGGTAATGGTACTTTTCAATCAGGACATACCTTATTTGAAAACAGGTATTTTTTAAAAGGAGGATTTGCCAAACTAGAGTAATCAGTGCCTCCCCTTGGAAATCTCATTTTGGAAAGGTTTGATATTTAAAAAATATTTATGGTGTCACAATTTTAAAAAGTTGATGCCAAAGTATGCATTTAAACAAAAGAGGTTAGAAATTATTAAAAGTGAGACAGTCTGACAAGTAGACATGAACAGTCACATATTGGAAAGACTATTCCAAAACAGGTCACCAATGAACTGCTACTGATGCCTCTTTGAAACTCTGTTAATATCCTTGAGAAAAAGTGGAACTCTCACCTGGCAAAGTTGGGGCATGTGGCAGGATGGTTTCCTGGGCACTCCTCTGCTCTTACCATTTTGTCACCATGATGCTTTCTAAACTGTTTGTTATTCATCATAACTCCTTTTATTTTGTCTTTACACTTGTTTGATTTTATTTTTGCCATTTACCTTTTGATATTATTCTTTTCCTAATGTATTATCTTTCATTCATTTAAAATAATTTTCATTTTCTTAGATTGACTTTGTAAGACCTTCATATTGAAGATAAACACGAGGAAACTTTGAATTATCATAGATGAGTTTCTCACATTATTCTCACATGCACCTTTTCTCTATCTTTTCCTACCATTATTATTTCTCTCTACTTATTTTCTCTAGGATCCATTTTTTAAAAGTTGATCCATGTGTAAGCAACTCCATGACTCTGCTAGTGCAAGCGTTGCCTAGAATTCTTATTTCATTTCTCTGATGTCACCTAGCAATGTGTCTGATGCTAGAATCACATTAATGAAGACTGAAGAGTTGAGAAAGAAAATTGTTCATCAAATTAGCTTGACTTTCCTGGAACACGACAAGCAACTCAAATGCACCAGATAGAAACTCACAAGTAGAAAACTTTCAGGTACCATACGCCTTTCTTACAGAGAAGTTAAAACCTGAAGAGCTGTTTACCTGGGAGCATTTTTACTAACATTATCCCAAGCACTGGTCCTGGGCCTTGGTCGACAGGCCTCTGAAACCTTTCACCTGATTTCACGTCACCATGAACATAGACATGGAAGACCGGTTTGGTGAATATTGGTGTCCTGGTGTTTTGGGGTGGAATGGAAATTTTAACCCCTGAAAATCACACGACTACTTCTTTGTATCTGTTAAAGTATATAACTGATTATAAAGTATGGCTACAGTTGGAAGCAAAAGTGACATTTGAGGGGGAGAAACTCACATAACCTGAAAGAAAGGAAGTAAAGTTAGATAGTATATAAGGGACTATGTCTCACTTCCCTGGTGAATTCACTGATATGATAACCTACCTGTAAGTAGCTATGGCCAACTAATATTAGAAAAGTGGAGGGCTGCCCAGTGCTGCTGAAACTAAGCTCCCAGGCTAGGGTTGGTGTAAATTGGTTTCTTTGTTTGTTTAATTTTGTTTAGAAAAGTTGTACTAAAATTGGACTAATGAAAGCATTGCTACTTATTAATTGCTCCCAACCTGAATATACTTTAGTTTTAATTCCTTATTCTAATGTTTAACAGAAAAATGGACAATAAGAATTTCCCTTTGCAGTTTTCAAACTTTCACAACCAAGAAAAATATATGTACAACATAAAATAATTATACAAAAAAGACTACTTGAGTAAGTTATCAATGTGACCAAGTTCATATTATTGTAACTGGGTTCACATTATGACCAGTTCATTTTTCAAAATAGCCCCCATATACATCCAATACAGAAATGAAATTAGAGGGATAATCATCTGTTTTGTGACACAATAAAATATGGTTTAATGGAAGTAGTTTACTTAAATAAAATGTTTCCATTACAGTTCCATGTAAACATTCAAGCCATACCTGTGTCTAAATTATTCATTGATAGAGCATCATTCATGCTCCCCTAGATTAATGGGAGCACATTCTCAATGGTCCAACTCAGTGACCAAAACATAATTTTAACAAGGTAGGAGAATGTAGGAATTAGACAGTTTGCAGCTGTCAAAACATTCCTGGCCTTATTGAAGGGACCTTGAACTTTTATAGGCATACCTTTAATTTCCAGAAAGATTGAAAAAAATCCCTTGTAGTTTTGTGTATTTGAATTTTTTTTTACCTTTTATTTTTAGTTCTAGGGTACATGAGCAGGACGTACAGGTTTGTTCCATAGGTAAACGTGTGCCATGGTGGTTGGCTGCACCTATCAACCCTTTACCTAGGTGTGAAACCCAGCACGCATTAAATTGCCAAAAGCAATAGCAACAAAAGCAAAAATTGAAAAATCGGATCTAACTGAATGTTGAATTTTAAAATAGTCTCTCCCAAGCACAGCAAATGTTTTTTAAGTATTTTTGTCATGTAAGGAAAAGAAATTTTTCTTTAATCAGCATATCCCATAAAGTCAGCAAAAGGTCACTGCCTAAGGACATCAGATTATTTAAGGCCAAGGTATAAAAAAATTAAAAATAAACTGGTGAGGAGAAAAATAAAAAAGGTAATTAATATGGTAAATAAAATATTTCCCTGGTAAAGGTAGCTAGTGAACAGGAGGTCACCAAATCTCATACTTCCCCCAAGTGTGATTAATGTAACTCTCAAAGAATATGTATTAAGCATCTCCTAAGAGGACACTTTTCTAAGTATGAGCGACTGAAGGTGTGTGCGTGTGCCTCTTGGCGCTGGCTGTCCATCTGGTTGTCTCTGTTTGGAAGATGTCGATGTTCCTTTCTTAGTGCCCTCCTCATCCACCAGTAGAGGCTGCCCTGGGCTTCATGGATGTCTGGAAACTTGGTTTCCCTCCTTGTTTACCTAAGTCTGGGTGTACAGGGTAGAACTAAGTAATTTACTCTGATGAGATTGCACTGTTCTAGTGTAAAGTGGAACGGTGATGAAAAGGATAGGCTTTTTTGTTCCAAGTTCTATCCCTTACAGTATAAAGAGTAAGAGTTGAAAAGTGAAAGGTAAGTTATTGTAAGGTTTTGCTTTTTTTTCTCCTCATGAAGAATATTTAAGCCCTTTGGTCTTGGTAGTTCCAAAATGTCTACAGCCCTGGAGTTTACTAGGAAGTCACTCATTCATGCCTCTTTGAAATCTTTTCAAAAACCTAAAAGAATTTGCAGCTTTTAATTGAGGGTAACCAGGGTTACAGTTAAAAAAAAAAAAAGTGACAACTAAAAACAAATAATTTACTAATTATTTACTTTTTACTTATACTTATCAATTTACTAAAAATGTTTGAGCCATATTAAATGTTAAAGCATGCCTAAAGTGAAGTAATTAAAATACAAAGAGAGCACAGTTACGTTAAAATAATGAAGAAAGAATGAGTTGTATCTTAATAATGTCCAGGCACAAATTTAGCTTTAAGCCTCTGGAAATATGTTTTTAAAAAAAAGGATTAGATTGGATTAGATTAGATTTGGTCCTTGGTGTCAGATGAAAAGAAAAAAGGACAAAGCAAAGTAATGAAACCTATTTTTAATTGACTTAATTCTACAAAGTATGCTTCATATGTGGATCCTAACAAAAATATATTCTGCTGGGTCATTTCAACCATGGTTTTGCAGAATTTCCTGCTTAAATCAAATGCTATTATTATTCATCATCAGAACATCATGTTTCTCTCCAAGTAGTTATTATAATAGTAATGTGTGTGTGATTATTATCTGTGTTTTGAACTAAGGGAATGTAAGTTTTATGAGAGTAGAGACCAAATCTACTTTTGCTCAACTTTATATTTCAGGTGCAGGGCTGGCATAGGGAAGCACTTGCTAAAAATCTGTTACATGAATGAATTATTCTAACGAATGCCTTTCATACCATCCCCTCAAATCCCAGGACATTATGTTAAATTTCAACCTGTGTGATAAATTTTATGAAAAAAAGTGAAAATAATGTAATCTAATTGCTTGGTTTTTGCATATGATTATTGAGTAATACAGCTTGGAAAATCTAGAGGAATGTGTGAATCAAATGCCCCTTAGATTGTCCCTTCTAGTATTGGATGGTAAGTTCTGGCAAGAGCTGAACTTACAGGAATTTGCAGTTAAATTTTCTAGAAACAAAATGCATCCACTACTTACTCTAATGTTAAAGAAAACTGTACACCAACATTAAGTGGAACAGTATACATTCTTCTGTAAAAATTCAGAGGTTTGTGTTGTGTTATGGCCTAGGTGGAGAGCTTCATCCTTTTCCCTCGAAGACAGTGATGTCAAGAGATGAGAAGGGGACTTGGGGGCCAGCCAAGCTTGAGTTGAAGTCCCAGTCCTGCCTCTTGATATCACTGTGACACTGGGCAAGTATTCTTTGCTTAAGCTGCAAGTTGATGCATTGTGAAGTGTGGCAATGACACCTGCTACTTCTCAGAATTATGGAGGCAAATTCACAATGAATGAAAAATGTCCAACACGTAGTAGTGTAATACATAGATATACATTTTTAATGGATGCCTTCCTCAGGCTGTCTGCTCAATGGAGGTGAATAATGCCATTCAGCTTCACCAAAAGTACACCTAATTCCCTAGAGGGAATTCTGTAACTGGAGGTGACTTTTGAGGTCAATAACATGTTAGTGATAGTTTTCCAGAAGTTTCCATAATATGCCTAGATCTCAATCACTAGTCACTGAATTAAGAGTAAGTGAATAAGTCAATAAATTTGGATCTGAAAGCCCTTGATTTTGGTTAAGTTGTAGCCGAAATAAAACCCTAAGGCCAATTGACATTGGAGTTTATTTGAGCTTTTACATTTCCCCTTCTATGGGCTTACCTTTTAAAATCTGAGTTTTTGAATACCCTTGAAAATTAGAAAATTTCTGATTATAATTAGTTTTTTTCAAGCCAAAATGTATTCCATCTCTTTCTTTACATTGTACACCACATCTAAAAACAGCCTCTCTATGTGCTTGAGTTTAGGTAACATGACATAAGGCTTTTGCCCAGAAATTAGGTATTAAATGGAAAGATAAATATTGATTATTATTACAGCATATTTTCTGGTAAATTTTTGTATTACTGGATGCTAACAGACATTCAATGAACTTAGTAAATAACATCATTTAGAAACAATCTTTATTTTATTTTAGCCTAGGTGTCTCTAACTTGCATAATTGCTTTATTTATGAAAACTGGAATAGTCACAATTTCCTCTGTAAGAAATCTATGTTTCACTGAAAGATAAACAATTCTCTTTTTGTTTGGGAGACAGATTTAGATTTTAATAACCTACACTCTCCCATCTGCTCCAACTATAAATTGTACATACAATTTATCATTATGACAGGATGATGTCAGGTCAGCATCATTGGGCAGGAACGGCATATCTAGAGTCCACTCTCTTCTGAAAAAGTCATCGGGTCCTTTGTCACTAAGAGCAGGCCATTTTAGTAGTTTGGAGAGCTACCATGTGATACAGAAAGAAGGGGCATGTACTCCCAATAGATCTCAGAAGCAGTGTGACTATTTTAGAAAGAGATACAGCTAAACATATAAAATAATGCAATTACACTGCTATATCAATTCCTAAATCTTCAAGCAATTAACCAAATTATCTAAAAGGATCACAAACAAATGATATATCCAAGCTTAGGATAGACAATATTTTGTATAAAAGGTATTTGAAAGCAAAATGGGCATCTGTCTCACTATTTTGAAATGTTTGAAAAGAAACATGGATTGATGAAAATAAGAAGTTTGGGTTCTAGACACTCACTCTACAACCCCCCCTCCCCGCCACACACACGCAAATGATAGACCACAAGTAGGCCTCTCTTAAAGTCTGTGACTTTGTACCTTTAAGAAGAATAGGCAGGAGTCCACGCTGAGAAACATCAAGTGTTTTGAGATTCGCCTGGGGATCCTGCAGTGCTTCACAGCTGTGATTGTTACCATTTGCTTATTAATTCTGATAAAATATGAGATGCATTAAGTTACTAATTTTTTTTTAAATATCTGTTGTTTAAGTCTTCTAGAAGATAGTGAATTCCACTGCAGAAACAGAAAATTTGAGTGGCAAGAGAAAATAACAGGGATGTCCTGTGTACTTATTGTACCTCCACTGTGTTACAGGTTACTGGGGACTGTGACCTTGGGTGGTCCTAGACCTAGAGCTGAATCCACCAATAAAAAAACGTCTCACAGGGGAAGGTGGTCTCCACACTCAGCAACTTAGTGCCAGCTTAATTAAGGTCACTGAGGATCTGCAAACAAAACCAGAAGGAATCCATGGGTAAAAAGAGGATGATCAGCATAGAAGGAGAGGGCTAGGGGAGCAAAGATCATTTATGCCCCTCCTGCCCTAGGTTAAAGCATAACCTCAGCCTTGGAGGAACAAGATTGTTATCACCCAATGGGTTCATCTTGCCCGCTGTCCAGAAAAGCCAGTTTATTGACACAGCGTTATTGCAATAGAAAAACATTTAATAAACACAGAGCCTTTTAAATGGAAGACCAAAGTTTTATTATTAGTCAAGTAAGTCTCCCTGAAAATTCAGAGGCTAGAGTTTTTTAAGGATAGTTTGGTGGGCAGGGAGGTAGGGAATGGGGAGTGCTGATTGGCTGGGGTAAAGTTAAAAGCATAAGGAATCAAAGCTGTCTTTTTGCACTGTCAGTCCCTGGGTGGGAGCCACAAGACCCGATGAGCCAGTTTACCCATCTGGGTGGCATCAGCTGGTCTATCAGAAGGCAGAGTCTAAAAAATACCTTGAACACCAATCCTAGGTTTTACAATAGTAATTTTATCCACAGGAGCAATTGGGGAGGTTAGCAATATTATGGCCTCTGGCTGCATGACTTCTGAGCCATAATTTCTAATCTTATGATTAATTTGTTCTACAAAAGTCGAATTCCCAAGCAAGGAGGGTGTTTGTTTTGGGAAGGGGCTGTTATCATCTTTGTTTCAAAGTTAAACTATAACTTTCACGGCTTAAGCCCATGAAAGAACAAAGGCTACTTAGAGGTTTGAAGCAAGATGGAGTTGGTCAGGTCAGATATGTTTCACCATCAAGATTTTTGAAAGGCAGTTTCATGACCCTCCAGTCTCCAGAGAGTTGGGATATTCACCGGGCCCTTCCAAAGCTTAGATCAAACACCAACTTCCAAACATTTCTCTTATTCCTGTTTAGATTAAATGTATTAAATAAGCTATGGAGAAATAGTTTGACTTCTTAAGTGCCACTGAAAGGGGGATGGCCATGTCTTAGATAAGGGGATAGGATCTTGTGGGTGCTAGGAAAACATAGCTCCCTTATAGATGATAACTGTTTCTAGGGTTTGTGGAACAATTCACTGTCAATCTTCCAAGTGTGAACCTGCTATTATAAGTCTAATCACCCTGGGCATCCTATATATTTTTATTGTTTAATCAATTTCTGAAATGAAAAGACTGAGGATGAGATAGTGGCACCTGGTCACTCAACCTTCTGGTTGCCCCTGAGAGACTCTACCTGCACCCAGGCGCCTTCAGACACAATAACAGGACCAAACTCACACATTTGACCACACTCACTATCGTCAAATGTGTGTACAGCTTGCAGAGTGAGTCTCCCTGATTTGTAATAGAGCCTTATGGTCTCTTCTGGCCAATGATGCCTTTTCTTAATCTCTTTCCAATGCGAGCTAGAGCTGTAGAATAAAAGGCGATGCAGTACGGCAGCCAGCACCTTAGACATTCCAGCTGGCTTGGGTTTGAATCAAAGCTCTGCTACATCAGAGCCTGCCTTGGCCCCTCTGTGCCACAATTTCCTCATCCGATTGTGCCTGCCTCGTGAGTTTTTGGGAGGATTAACTGAGGGAGTACAACAAAAGTGGTTGAAACAGCGCCAGGTGTACCATAGGAGAGTTGGCCTTGGGGTCTAGCATGGGTCTTATACACCCTAGAAAAGATTCACAGAGGAGGAAATTAAGACCCAGAGAAGCAGCATGAGTTGTTTCAGTCATGCTGGCCTCGTTGAGATGGAAACCCAGGGCTCCCAGTTACTGTCCTAGGTTCTCTCTACTCTCACTACTTGTTTTTAACTTATGTTACTATTAATACAAAGAACATAAACTAGTTTTTAATGGGGTTTTTTTTTGTTCTAGGACATATATACATTAGCAAGATTGTATTTATTTAAAAAAAAATCACTTTATGTCTTTTATTTTCCAACTACAGGTTTACGTTGCACCATCAAAGTTGCTATCCATTTTTTATGATCAGTTATAGAATCTGTGCTTATTGAATGTGATGTGATACCAGAAACATTATACATGGTATACCTGAGCTGTCCTAGTAGAGATATTATAGAAGAAAGCATACTTACACTCATAGATCTAAACAATGACATCTGATTAAGAAATGTTACTCATACCATATGACTTGAAAAGATGGGAAGACAGAAATATTAAAGGAATCACATTTTAAAAGAAGATATTTTTATTTCTTAGATTTCAGCATTACCCATTTATTTTTTCATCATAAAAGTAAGGAAAAATGTTCAAACTAATAGAAATAGCATATACTACTATGATGAGTAAAATGTCTCCTTAACGTGACTTTGAGACTAAGAAGTCTAAAATAAGGGGTTCATACTGAATCTGATCCTCCAATGACAGCAACTTCTTTCTAGGCTGTTTTTAGTTAACAGATTAGAATACTTTCCCTTCAATATTTATATGATGTTTTTATCAGTATCTATAAAATCTTATTTTTCTCTGCTGTATCAAAATGAGTAAAATACTTTCAGATGATCTCTCATGAACAACTATTTCATATTATCATGCTTTCTTTTAAATGTCTTTACTATATCTTTCTGCAGAATGGTAAAAATATAGTTTTAATACGTTCTTCCCAGGCTACTGCAAGTTAACATGAAAAAAATATTCAAAAAAAGGAAAAATATTCATATGCATTTTCTATAGATACGTATATCTGCCTTCCCGCACCCAGTCAGGACAAAAAAAGAAATTATAATAAATCTACTCATTTCTAACAACCTCCTTGGGCAATTCTTCCGCTGAATTATCGTATTTCTTTCCACCAAGGAGAAAAAACCAACTGAGTGTTAGGTTAGTTCTACGGACATGAACAAGCATTTCCCACAGGATGTGTGTGTGAGAGTTTGTACCCAGAACTCAGACTGGTGGGAAAATGGAAATTAGATTTATGAGAAATTGATGCTGATTCTTAACTTTTCTCATTTTACAGCCCATTGTTTTCAGAAGAGTATGTGTTTCTCATGGGCAAAGGAGAGAATCCAGAGTGAGAAGCTGAAGAAAGTGGGAAGTCCTAGATTGGCGTGATTTCAAAACGTATGATAAGATGCAGGAGCTCATCAGCTGTGGCTGAGGCTGAGTGGCTTCCATTGTGACACAGAGGGACATTGTAAGAGCTTTAAAAAGCAAAGGGGATTCAACCAGGCGATTGTTCAGGACACTGGAGCTGCAAGAAAAACTAACAGCTGGGTCTAAGTCAAACTGCTTTGCACCTCCCCTTCTTTTTTTCTTTTCTTTTCTTCTTTTTTTTTTTTTTTTTTTTTTTTTTTTTGGTCATTTCTAGGTGCAAGTGGGAAGGACCATAACAGAATTATTGTGTTTCTCTAACCCAGGAAAGGAAATTCAACACTCTGGTGCATTCACCCTGTGAACAAGCTTTATTTTATTCCAGGGGAAACAAACTGAAATTTCAGTGTAGGCAAGATGGCTGTTTCTGTCGCAGAAACATTGAGAATATCCCTTAGCAGAATGTAACTCTTAATCAGGGTTGTTTATTCACGCCGGGAGCACGGCAGGTCACGCTGCTCACTTGGTGCCATTTGGTCTGCCCTGAGCCTTCCTGGACAGGAAGTCCTTAAGATTAAAGATTATATTTTTATGGTCTCATGCCTGCCTACTCCAAGCTATTAACTGAAGAGAAATGTAACTAGAAGTCAATTTGTAGAAAGGATATTAACGGTCTTTGGTGTGTGTCACAATGAAAAATAGGAAGGAATCAAGGTGGAGTAGTGGAGAGAAGAAACCAGCTTGGTTATTGTTTGGAGTATTGGAAATAAGAGTATTTCTGTGTGGAAGCGGAATTGTCATTGCATATGTAATTAAAACAAAATTGATAAAAAACGTAGATATTAGGATATTAACAGGTAGGCCATATAAAGGATTTCATCTTACTTACTCCGGCTGCCTTTTTCAAAGCACTCTTTTTCCAAAGGAATGTGCAGGAGAGAGAGGCTGTTTTCTTTGTTTGTTTTTCAGTTGTACTTGATGCTGTGACGTATCCTACAATTGTCTAAATGCAACGCGTTTTGAAAATGTCATTTCTTCACACCAGCCTGGTGGGTGACCTGTGGTTCTGCATTTGATAAACATGCCCCTTGGGTTTATATTTTTGCATTTACTGTTTGTCAAGGTAAGGTAATAAGGCGTTATGTATGATTAAATTAAATTTGAAAAAAAATTCTTTTGGCTTTTCACAATGAGTCATTGTTAATAACAACAGAAAATTCATATTTATTTCCTATGCATGTTCTATGATAGTTTTAAGACTCCTAAGTTTGAATATATATAAGTCTTGAGAGATGACTGAAATTTTTGGAACTTTGGATGTGTCTGTACGCGTGCACATTGGAGTATTCACTTCAACGTGGAAATGAAGCTGTTCCAACATTGTCCATGAGGAACGTTTTAAATTTTTGATTCCTTCTAATCCTCTGTTAACCTTCAATAAGTCACGAATTCAGTCATAGAAATAGTAACATAATCCTTCTTATAGGAAATAATTTCATTAATTTAATAATTCAGTTAAACAATTGCTGAGTTATCAATAAAGCAACTGCTTATTAATACATAACAGTAATTATGTACATTAATCTAATGTTCATCTGAAAACTAGAGGATAAAAAGTTTGGCATTAATAAAATAGATCATTTCTAAAGGAATATCATAACGGCCTAATGTTTTGATTTGGAAAAATGAAATTCGTTCAAATTTTAAAAATACGATTTGATTTAAAAGCAGATATATATTCTTTTTAGAAAATTTGAAGAAAAACAAAGAAAAATGCAAAGAAGAAAATAACAGTTATCCATGATCTCATCATCCGGTAATAACTACTGTGAACATTTGGGTTTGGCTAATTTCAGCTCCTTTTCTATGCACACAGAGCTCTTTAAGTAGCTCTATACAAATCTGCCAATGCCAGTAGCTTTCAAAACGGGATTCTGTTCCATCATTTCTTTTTACATACTATAATGGGAATATTTTCTAATTGCGTTGTTCTTCCACAATTTACATTATTGTGTACTTCATCAGCTTTTTATTGTTGGCCATTTAGTTTTATAATTTTTTTCATAGCAGGTACTTTAAGTGGGAATTTATCTTCACGCTAACCACTGTGGGCTCCTGACAATGTAGCTGTGTTTGAGGGGCAGTTGGATATTGAAGACATTTTTAGACCTTTTTTGGAATAAACTCCTTTAGTCTTTCCTCCCATTGTTTGTACCTAGAGCTCCACACTCTAGATTTCCCCATTTAAAATTCTCTCACTGTTCTCTTCTATTAGCTAACATCAAACTGCTAAATTTATTTTGGAGTTTATACTTTGGAGAAAAATTAAATGGTTGTCTTAGGTACTGTTATTTGGCTCATGTGGAAAAAAATTAGACAGTTTTCTTAGGTACTCTTATTTGGCTCATGTGGGCTTTTTAGAACCGAGATGTATTTTCATTCATTTTTAGGTGCATCACGTCAATACCTAAATATTATAATAGATTATGCTTGTGCAAATTTCCTCAGACAACCTGAAAGCAGCTTCCTTCTAATTTGTAAAGGCCAATTTTGCACTTATCTGCCAGGGTTAAGAAAGTTTTCTTTCCTGTTCTTTCTCTCGTTTTTGTCTTTATATGGTGGTGTTGTCGTTGTTGTTGTTTATTTGTTTGTTTGTTTTTTATAAACAGAAGGTGGCTGTTTCATGCCAGGGTCTGAGAAGCCGCGCTGGTTGAGGACTGGGACTATTTTCCTGTGAACATGCGAGGAAGGTTTGCTCCGTGTCCTCCTGGAATGTGCTCTCCAGGGAAACTTTCCGGTGGTGAGATCACTCCTGCATGTATGAATCTTTGTTCTGATACTTCCGACCGCAGTTCATGCACATAACCAGTGAAACGTGAAACAGGTTCCATGGTGAGCAAGAAATTCTGGAGGTTATTCTGTTGTCCCCTGCATCACAACTTAGGCCAACATAGCAGCAGTCTCAATGTCATCATCCTCCATAGGTATACTTTATTGTTTTGTCACCTTTTTTTTTTTGAGAAAGAGAAAATGAGACATCACTTACTACTCTTAGTTGCTTCCCCATGTTTCTTTTGCTTCAGAGCCAAACTCGTTAATGAACAAGTTACAGAACACGGGGAAAAAACAAAGTACCTGGCTTGGTTTAGGCTCTGACAAGTATTCCTTATGGGAAATCTGTGAATGCACTGGGTGGATTCTCACAGGTATCGGTCTGGGCCAGCGCATCCTTGCCAGAAGACAGTGAATCTACACCCAAGATCTGAGATTGCTGCCAGTGCACAAGAAAATAGAAAAAAAGAAGCCCAGTGATAAAAGACATGTGGAATATTGTTCACCTGAATGCAGTAAATTAAAGAAAGTCAACCACAGTGATCACAGAGTGAAAAAACAACAAACAAAAAGCTACCCAAACTAATTAAAATTTTAACACTCTCCCCACCCCCACCCTTAACCCTAGCAGCTTTGATTGACATTTCATAGTTAAGCTAGTCCATTTGTTTTTAAAGCCAAAGTTCCCACAGCATAAAAATAGCACAATAGCCCCTGCTTGGCAGCTTGTGGACAAGTGCAAGGAGCTTGGAGAAGCGCTGATGGTTCTATTGAAGAAGCAGCTGTTTGTGTCTTCACTTCTGACCCGTGGCCGCACTCTGGGCTGGCTGTGCTCAAAGGTCTTTCACTCTCCCCCCTCCAAGCGGCTTGCTATTCACAAAACAGAAGCCAGGCGTGTGTTGGTTTCAGCTACTTCCAGAAGCAGATGCGGCAATTACCTTCAGAGGCAAGCATGAGATGAACTTTGAGTGGTGGCCGGCTTTTAGGATGGTGGTCCATCCAAGGAGACTTTTATTGCTGGTAATCCTTTTAGATCTTCAGCACCAATTGATGGTCTTTACTTCAAGCTATTGTCAACACAGATGGCGCTGGGTTTGGAATGCCAGAGGCAGACAAATCCTGCCTGTGTTTATCCAGTTTTAACTTTTGTGCTAAGCGATTGAACTATGAATGCTAGCAACAAAGAAACAAAAAGAAAGAATATTTCCATCAGATGTTATCTGTTCATTGTGAAAACTAATTAGGACACCTACACAGACTCACAGATAGGCTAATGTTAAATGATTATATATATCTATACATCCATATATATGTATATAGTATATCCGTGAAAGAAAAGTTTTAAAAATGAGATTGGTTTTGAAATCCATTACTCACCTCTTTATATAGTACTTACATTACCAATAGGGGGAGTTTGAAATGATTTATTTTTACAAATAAAAAAGGTGCATTATGGAACTTGTCCTGTGGAGAAGGAAAAGAAGAAAGTAAGAAGGAAAGAAAGAAGGAGGGAAGGAAGGAAGGAAGGAAAGAAGGAAGGAAGGAAGGAAGGAAGGAAGGAAGGAAGGAAGGAAGGAAAGAAAGAAAAAGAAAGAAGGAAAGAAAGAAAGAAAGAAAGAAAGAAAGAAAGAAAGAAAGAAAGAAAGAAAAGAAAAATGAAAAGAAAAGAGAGAAAGGAAGGAAGGGAGAGAGAAGAAAACGAAAGAAAGAAAGAAAAGAAAGAAAGAGAGAGAAAAAAGAAAGAAAGGAAAGAAAGAGAAAGAAAGGAAGGAAAGAAAGAGTACATGGTTCTGTTACTTTATCAGGGTCTTGGGAGCAGTGGTTTTGGAACTTTGTACATAGGAGACTCATAGGACAGGTTCGTGAAAGATGTGAATTCTCTCAGCCACAGGGACCTTGTGTCAGGCCAGGAGCTCCACGTTTGGTCAGGTGCCTGTGACTGTGATGCAGAGCTGAGGACCACACTTGGAGAGAGAAGCCCTGCAGGAGAGTTTCTAGCCTCAGCTCCGGGAGGGGTGGGGTGTGGGGTAAGGGTCGGGGGTAAAGTGGGGAGGGAGGTGAGGGTGGGTGGGGAAGGGAGTTCTCAGCCAATTCCTTCCTCACTGAGTCTTTAATGTACACGTCCTTCCTGCTGCCCAGACCAACTGTCTTCCAAACTCCTCACCCTTTCCCAGCCAGCTCTTCTCACCTGGGACGCAGTAGAGAGCCACTCTCCTCTTCCTGACCTTCGGTCTGTATCCCTTCCTTCTGTTAGATTATGCTCCTTAGGACTTGTCTCCACCAAACACTTCGGGCCTTTTGAAAGTTTCTTTTTTGTCTGTCATTCTGTGAGTTACTTGAGGGCAGTGACTGTTTCTGTCCTCTGTGGCATGCCGAAGCCTCCCCTGGTCCCTGGCAATAGCAGGTGCTGCATAAACATGTGTTGAATGAAAGGTATGTATGAATGGGGATTCACAAAAGGACAGAGCCTACTTCGTAAAGGAGCCCTGTTGAAGAAGGCTTGCAACCGTGGGCTGGAGGACACTGACAGTCACCCCTCAGGTCTCTCCTTTCAGAACCACAGCGCCTGCTCCAGCCTCTGGCAAGGGGCCTGCAGGGCTCAGTGCTCCGCAGGCCTTAGTTTCCTAGGGAAGTTATAACATTTACATCAGACAAATAAACCACAGAAATGTATTCTTTCATCACTCTGGATGGCAGGGGTCCACGATCAAGGTGTGGCAGGGCAGTGCTCCCTCTGCAGGCTTCAGGAGAGGGTCCTGCCTTCCCTCTTCCAGCTTCTGGTGGCTCCAAGCGTATCTTGATTTGTGGCTGTCACTCCACTCTCTGCTTCTGCCTTCACAGCCTCTTTACTCCACATTTCTCCTCCATGTGTCTCTTATAAGGACACTTGTTATTGGATTTAGGACCCACCCTGATAATATAGGATAATCTCATCTCAAGATTCTTAATTACATCCACAGGACTCTTCTTTCAAATCAGGTCAGTTTCCAGGGTTGAGGATGTGGACATGTCTTTTGGACAAGGGTGTCATGAAGTTTATGGCACTTTCCTATGGCAGTTCTAGAAAATTATGCCCAGGTATTTCCCTGAGAAAGGGAGCTGCCAAGTGCAAGCCTATGCCCCACTTCTGTGTGCAGACCGTAGCCAGCGACCAGCCGATGGCTGCGGCATATGAAGTCTAGCCCCTTTGCCTCAACTGGTGACAACTCTGAAGGGTCATCTCACCCCAGACCCCCATGGGATAAGCTGGGAATCCACTGCACTCTATTACTCAGCTCAGAGCCCCCGTGGCATAGGCTGAGGGTCCACTGTGCTCCATCACTCAGCTCAGAGCCTTTGTGGGACAGGCTGAGGGTCCACTGTGCTCCATCACTCAGCTCAGAGCCCTCTGGGACAGGCTGAGGGTCCACTGTGCTCCATCACTCAGCTCAGAGGCCCTGTGGGACAGGCTGAGGGTCCACTGTGCTCCATCACTTAGCTGAGAGATCCCGTGGGATAGGCTGAGGGTCCACTGTGCACCATCAATCAGCTCAGAGGCCCTGTGGGATAGGCTGAGGGTCCACTGTGCTCCATCACTCAGCTCAGAGGCCCTGTGGGATAGGCTGAGGGTCCACTGTGCTCCATCACTCAGCTGAGAGCCCTCTGGGACAGGCTGAGGGTCCACTGTGCTCCATCACTCAGCTGAGAGCCCTCTGGACAGGCTGAGGGTCCACTCTGCTCCATCACTCAGCTGAGAGATCCCATGGGATAGGCTGAGGGTCCACTGTGCTCCATCACTCAGCTCAGAGGCCTCATGGGAGAGGATGAGGGTCCTCTGGGACTCCATCACTCAGCTGCCCTCTGTGCTGACTCTTGGGGAGCAGTCCATAGGAGACCCTCTCCATCCGTTTCACAGGCTGTTTGCTGCTGAACTTGACCTAAGGCATGTAGCAATTTATTAAGTCCAGAAATTTGTTGGAAATGTCATTTATTCTTCTATATCATCTTGTTGAATTCAGCCAAGAAGATATACGACCTGTGCAAATTGACGACAGTTATATCATTAAAAGTTAATATTGCAATCGTTTCTACTTCTTCAGAAAACCATACGTACTCATTTACACATGAGAGTTTCAAAGACCCTCTATCTATCATCCTTTTATCGGTAGGTTTAAGAAGCTCCCCAAAGTAAATTTTTTTCTAAGGATGAAAAACCCAGATCTTGGGGTCCATCTGACCTGGGTTCACTCATGGCTTGGTCTTTTGTAGCCTTTCTAGGCTTCTACCCCTTCTCTGTGAAATAAAGATAATGCAACCCGACACGTGATGTTGGGTTGAGAATTCAAAGGACCACACAGGGAAATCCTCAGCTCAGAGCCTGGCATGTAGGCAGTACTCAGAAAAGAGTGATTATTGTTGTTCCTTTGCACCCCTGCCTCCAGTGGCTCCTGAGCGTCTGTGATGATGGACTGTTGGGGAAAGCTGAGCTGAGATGCAGGGCCGGTTCAGGCAGTAGTCTCCAAATCCTAGTTAAGTTCTCCTGCAGGATGTGGAGTGGGAGGCAATGAACTCACTTTTTTCTCTTTTGATCTCAAGAAGGATTCTCTCTGGTCTCTGCCTGCAGGAGAGTTTTATCAGTGTGCTGACCTGGACACACAGGATATATGAACCGCCGTGCTCATATCCCTCGGGGCTTGTTTTGAGACCAAGAGGTTTGTCTTTTTGGAAGTGTGATACCCTCTGGCACCAGGGTCTCCTCTGCGGCTAGGCGGCTGCCGGGAAAGCTGGGGGCCAAGTTCTATAGTCCTGAAGTAACGATGGCCCTGGGGGGAGCATCAGGAAGCAGAAAGGCTGCCAGTTACTCTGCCCACCTGGGCGGGGGTGTGTCTCCAACACTGGGACTCAGGTGACTATGTTTAATCTACACAGGGCCAGTCTTTCATATTCTAGCCCCTCCCTGGCTCCTATATTAATTAATTTAAATGAATGATGGCCAAATCTCCTCTTTACTATATGTAAGTTTGGTATAGTCTAAGTTCCCAATGGTCGGCTAGTCTATATTCAGTAGCAGGAAAACTGAAAATATTTATTTATTCAAAAATAGTATAAGGCCTGTGTGATCTTCTCAGATATTTAGCTTACCTCTGTGAGCTCTTTTATTGAAGGATAACACTGATGTGGTAAAGAATGCAAGTTTTAAGTGTACACCTTGATGGATTTTTATAAATATACATACTTACGTGACCAAACCGCAGATGGAGATAAACCTGGAGTCTAACAAGCCTCCATCTGTCTCCTCCCTGCCAATATCTGCCCATCAACACACCCACAATCCTGACTTCTATTATTTTTCCCATCATTTGTTTTGAGCCCTGAGAGCTTGTTACATGTTATTATTGAACTCTTTAATGTACAATTTCTATGACAATTAATTACATTTTTTTTAACTCAAAGAGAAAAGAAGGCTCGGGAAAAGTTAGTTTCTTGCTCAAGTTCATGGAGCTGGTGAGCGGCAGGCCTGAAATCAAATTAGTCAGCTGATTGCAGAGGCCAGTTGAGCTACCCTGCTTCTCCCAGTAATTCAGATATTAAACAAGAAAGATAATAGAAAGTAAAAACTAGTCAGTGAGTTATTCAAGGTGGTTAAAAGAATTATTTCCTAAATATAATATTCCTTGTACTTATGAGACCTTGAACTCCAAGGTGAATTGGAAGGTGTTTAGCAGCTCTATAATAAGAATATGATAATGATACTTAACCAGTGCTGTTCTAGGTACCATCTCACACGTGTTATCTTCCTTAATCATTATGACACAGCCTTCACAGGCAAGCACTAATATCCGCCCTATTTCACAGGGGAAGTAACAAAAGCAGAGTCATTAAATAATTCACCCAAGGTCGCGGAGCTAGGTAACTGGAGCATCCCAGATTTTAACCTGCAGCTTGTACTCCTGAGCACTGTGATATATACATTTTTTCTTTTCCATGTCACTTAAAAATAGATAAAAACCATATGACTGAAGAGTGAAAAGTACCGAATATTCAATGAAAGTTGAAATACAAATTATTTAGCTTTTTATCCTAGCATTAATACCTAGACATGCAGAAACTAGTTATTTGCTGAATCATATGTGTACCCATTAATATTCCTGATAAGGTCCAGTAGATAAGAGTTCTAGAACTAGAAGAACTGAGTTAATAACTAAGGATCCAGGCTGTATTTAGCATCAGGAATACCCTTGGAAATTAGGCAATTATGGTCAGAAATTACCCCAAGAAAGCATCCCAGAAGTCTGGGGATGAGTGGATGTACCTGTCGAGCTGACAGAGCTTATGTGTAGAGGCTTATGCGAGGCAGGGTTTCTGGTGGGTGTGCTGGGTAGTGCCAAGACAAGGTGCTAAGGCTGTCTCTTTCTGATGTATAATCCAACCATTATCACCCACGTCCACTTCACTTGTGAGCTTGTCTTCATTTCTCGTGAAAGTCAGACTTACACATCCTCACCTCTCCCCCACCCCCTGAACTGAACCTCTTCCTGGACCTGGAAATCTTTCCCATCTAAACTGAAACACTATGGCTACTAGATAACCATTAAGGGATCTGTGTCCATTTTCATGATCAGACATAAAAATTTCAAGTGCGTGCCTTGCTCCTCAAACAATTTTCTTCCAATGAAACAATTTTCTTCCTATGAAGGCTGTGTCATGATGATTAAGGAAGATAACACGTGTGAGATGGTACCTAGAACAGCACTGGTTAAGTATCATTATCATATTCTTATTATAGAGCTGCTAAACACCTTCCAATTCACCTTGGAGTTCAAGGTCTCATAAGTACAAGGAATATTATATTTAGGAAATAATTCTTTTAACCACCTTGAATAACTCACTGACTAGTTTTTGCCTTCTATTATCTTTCTTATTTAATATCTGAATTACTGGGAGAAGCAACACACAAAATAATTTATGTGTGTTGAAGGTGAGGGTGGAGGCCCCAATCATTCCCCAAAGATGTCAAAGAAAATGAGAAATAATAGGAAGCTAAGTCTGCACAAAACTTTCTGTGTATGCACAATACCCATTTCAACTAAATGTGTGAAACGTACATTAGCTAAGCCACTTACTGAGGATGAATACCCAACAAGCTGAGAGGTAATTACTCCGGTGGCTCTGACTCATCTGGTAAAGATTCAGATTTTCAGATTTAAAGGGAGCATGCTAGAGTCAGAGAAATAAACAGAGCTCCAGTTGATTTTTTTTCCTGATCAATGGAGCATTTATTACTACACACACACACACACACACACACACACACCCTCTCTCTCTCTCTCTCTCTCAGTGAGCCCTAAGACGCACACCAGAAATGATATGGTTTGGCTGTGTCCCCACCCAAATCTCATCTTGAATTCCCACGTGTTGTGGGAGGGACCTGGTAGGTGGTAACTGAATCATGGGGACAGATCTTTTCCATGCTCTTCTTGTGATAGCAAATAAGTCTCACGAGATCTGATGGTTTTAAAAAGGGAAGTTTCCCTGCACAAGCCCACTTCTCTTGTCTGCCGCCACGTGAGACGTGCTTTTCACCTTCCACCATGATTGTGAAGCCTCCCCAGCCACATGGAACTGTAAGTCCATTAAACCTCTTTCTTTTGTAAAGTGTCCAGTCTTGGGTATATCTTTATCCACAGCATGAAAACGAACTAATACAAGAACCGTACATAGGAAGTGATGAAATACAGTGTATGTGCTGAAGTGTGATAAAGAAATTCAGAGAAGGGCAGGCTCAATGTGATCTGGAATATTCAGGGACACCTCATGGGGAATATAGAATTTGTGTTTGTTCTTGAAGAATAAGTAGGATTTGTGTGAAAAAAAAAAAGCAGCAGTGAAGTATTTTGGTGAGAAGCAGCATGAGCACAGAGAGGAATATGGTTCTTGTTGGAAAGTATAAGACCAATTCAAAAATAGAAAGATTTCATAGAGGGTTTATGTTGGACAATGTTAGGTTTATAAATTTGAAGCCAAGCTATAAAGTTCCCAGGATTTTTAATGTCAGATGAGGAATGTAAACCTAATTTCAGGAACACAGAAATGTTTAAGTTGAGAATTAAGGAATGACTGGATGAAAGCAAACTTTCAGTATATTTTTCCTGGATCAGTCACATAATAGACATTAGGCAAAGAGATCACTTTGAAAGCTTTTGAAATAATGGAGCAAGTAGGAGGGGCACTGGAAATAGAAAAAAAACAGAGAATGTAATAAATATTGTCCAATAATAAATGTTGGGGAAGGTATCAAACAGGAGGGATAAATCTGATGAATCCCAAGATGTTAAACCTCTCCATTGTTTGTGAATGCTACTGACAAACATAAAAACAGCAGAGCTGGAAGCTTCATTGGTTGAAAGGTGGCAAATTCAGCTATGTCCAAATTAATCTTGATATACCAGTTTTGATGTCCTGTATTCATTCCCTTAAGAGCAGCAAATATTGATAGCAAAGTTAGAGATGTCATGGCATTTTGAAGGAAAGGACAGTACCAGTTAGCTGGGGACATATGGAAAGGCTCTGAGAGCTTTTGAGAAACAAAGAAGAATCTTTCCTCATTCAGCGAGCTTTCATTAAGTTCCAACAACGTGCTAATCATGGTACTGGGTATTGGCGAATACAAATTCCTTCTCTTAAATGGATCATCATGAGAGAAAATGACATGAGTTGTACCAGTTGTAATCATGTGGCAAGCCCTTTTATAGCAAGTTCTGTAGAGAGAAGAAGTGCCTGTGTGAGTGTTTTTTAAGTAGGACATTTGAGGGAAGGTCTCACCATGGAGGCATCCAGAAATTGGGTTTTAGTATTTCTCTGGAAAGGTAAGAGAAAAAAGCACTTTTTAAGAGGAACGAATGGTAGATGTAAAGACTAAAGGAAAGAAACAACTTGTTGATTTTATAATTATCAATTGCTCATAGCATTTGACAAACTAATTCACAAATACAGTGGCTAGGTCATGGGATAAGAGGCTAAAAATGAGCAGAAGTTTGTGTGCTGTACAAAGAATTTTAGATTTTAGTTTACAAGTGATAAGGAGGCACGGAAAATAGTTTAGTCCAAGAGTGAGCTGACTTTTTCTGAGTTCCAAAATGATCGATGTGGTGTTGGTATGAATGGTGACTTGGATGGGGTGCCACGATGATACTGTTAGGAAACTAATGTTATATAACTCCTGGAAGGAAATGAGATGATTGGAACTGGCAAAGTGGCTATTAGGAAGGACAGGAGGAGTCAGACTTCCAGTGTATTTGTGAAGTAGAATAGACAGGTGTCTTCCTGTAGTGATGGTTATAGGAAAAGGCAGAATCTAGGGTGACTCAGCCCTTTGGTCATTGGCTGTTGTGTGTGGTGAGACAAGAAACAGAGAAGGAGCAGGCTTACCTGCCTAGGGCCAACATGGGGCAGTCATGAGTTCAGTGTGGGTCATGTCAAGTTTGATGGGTCAAGCTGGCGATGTCTAGAAGGCAACATTATGTATTGGTCTGGAACTTAGAAGAGACATCTTAGTGGAGATGAAGCTTTAAAAGTCATCAGCACATAGGTGATTGAAACAGGACCTGTGTGCATTCATATGTAGCTTAAGAAGATAAGAGGGCTGTGTGCAGACTCCTGGGGACACCAATATTCCAGGAGCTGGGAGTCCAGCAGTCTTGGTGCTGGCCCTACAGATGATGTTGTTTTAACCCATGTTCCTGAGTTATATTCCCTAGCTCAGGCTGACCTCAGGTAACAAATCTATTTAAAATTTATATTTTATTTTTCCTTCACTTTTTAGTTTCTAATTCAATAAGTGGAACCAGGATATGGAAGAATTTATTTTCATATTGCTGATCTCAGCTTTTTAAATTTTATTCTCTTTGGGTATGGACCAGCCTCACAAATTTTATGAAAGCTGGCCTCACCACTTCTGGTGATCTGACGGTGTCAACAGATGAGGAGGTTTGCTTAGAATGAAGGAGAGGAGGTTAGGGAGTGAAAAAGAAGCAGCTGTTAGTTAAGTGCTCATATTGTGCCAGATTCTTTATGTTCATTAACTCACTTAGCTCCTATAACTACGTGTAAAGTGGATATTTTCCCCAGTTTTATAGATGAAAAAAATCAAGACTAAGTGTGTTGCTTGGGATCACATAGTTTGTAAGGACTGTAGCTGAGTTTCACTCCAGAATTGCCTCTTGCTCTTTCAGGGATAGATTGAGGTTTTTTTTTCCTGCCTTTCCTTGAACCTTTACCCTATGAGTCTTAATTAAGCCAAGCTAATTTCTCATAACCTTCTCACTGGGTCAGTGAAAGGCTGTGAGATTTAACATAGCTAAGATAGGATTTGGAGACAAAGTTCAGACTGTGATTTCTATGCCACATTTTATGGCATAGAAGGGGACCTGGGGACCTCAGAACTATTACCCTCCAGGGGGACTGTTTTGTCTCCTGTGAAAGGATTGAGACATTTAGGAACAGAGGGAGACCGAAGTGAGCTAAAATCTACAATCTCATTCCTCTAGCATTCCTTTCTTCCTGATGTGGGGTTTAATTTTCAAGACATAGAATCATAACCTATAATATTAAATGTGGGTGGGAGGAAGCACTTTTTCTTAACTGTTTATTTTTTTTAAATAATACATGCACATGGAGGAATATCTAAATAGTACAAAAGGAACTATGGTGAAAAGTGAGTGCTGGCTTTGTCCCTGCTGGGTGAGGTTCCAGCTTTCTTCCAGGCTGGAAAATCATTCACCACTCAGTCTGGGTGCAGCATTTGTGGTTGCATCTCTTAATTTCTGTTGCCTCCTCTTTGGTTCTTTTTGCCTGTTCAGGTGTGTTTGTGTGTGTGTGTGTGTGCGTGTGTGTGTGTGCACGTGCACACACATGCGCGTGTATGAATTTCATTATAAATGTAGTGACATTCAGAGGAGAGGCAGAAATAAAGGTGCTAGTAGAAAACACAAGTTTAACAGAATTTTTATCTTTAAAAATTCTTTTCTTTGGCCTTTTCCCTACTGTTCTAACTTCTTGAGTTCAGTTCTTATCTCATGTATTTTTATTCTATCTTTGTGGCAAAGAAAGAAGAAAATACCCAAGGCAGGACTTTTTTCCCTGAAAACCATTTTAGCAAACCATGTCTCCATTATCACCATTTTCAAGAGCCTATACAGTTTAATAACTTCTGTTATCAATAGTTGTTTAAGAAACACCTTTAAAATTTTAAGTGGATAGATTTTTTTATTTTATCCTTTTCAAAATAAATTTTATCATGTTATGGGTACAAAACATTGCTTTCTCTGAGTAAATCCTCTGGTGAGGGACCTTAGGATTTCAGATATTTGAACATAACATGACTAGTGACCAACAGTTGGCTCCAGCCCTTGTTCCAACTCTAATTTTCCACCGGAGTGAGCTTGTGTTTTTATTGTCTATAGAGCAAAGGGCTAGAAAGGAACCACCTCATGATCCTTTAAGATTTTCTTGGTTCAGCATATGGCAAATTCTGTAACATTATAAGTTTACTCTCTTTGTGACAATGCAGACACAAATATAGTTTTTCATTGATCTTACAATAATAATGTGATTCTCACATTTTGAAATTTAAAATTTTTATTTCAGCATTCAATCTCCTTCCTTTGTTGATCTTTGAAATCCAGTATTGTTATCTGGGTATGTCCTATTTGTGACAGTTCTTCATCTTTTTGCTTCTAAGACATAGTACACCACTTCTTAGATGAATTATAGAAAGTTTACGGAGCCTCTCCTTTTGGGACAGGGGTACCAATTATTTATGTGTTGGATTTTCTTTGTCAGTCTTTCATTATCTATCATTACCGATTATTTTCTCTGTTATCCCTTTCAGTTCTTTGTTCATTTCATTTTTATTACTTTTTAAATAGTATTTTCCATGGCCTTTATAAGGTATGTGTAAATGTCTATTTTCTATTTTGCTACCTCTAATGTGGACTTCATTTCTGAGACAGTGTTTTAATATTTTTCACTTATTTCTTGATCTCTGCTAGCTTAGGTTTCAGCTTTCCCTGTTTTCCTGACACATTTCCCTGTCACATTTCCCTGTACTTTTTTGTTAATTATGTGGAAATTTTTTTAAATAGAAGCAGTGTCATGGTAAGATTTCTTAATGTGTGTGGCTATATATAGTCATTCTTTTATTTTTCTTTTAATTTTCTTGCATTGTTTCCCAATGAGTGTTTATTTGCTTCATTCTTTTTTTCTTTTAGTTATACAGAGCAGTACTTCCTCCTCCTCCTCCTTCTCCTCCTCCTCCTCCTTATTTTTCGTTTTTGAACCAGGTGAGTTCAGGCTAGGAGAAATTCTCCTTACAAAAGAGAATTGTTTGTATAATTTAGTTATTAGCCTCTACATGTTCTCATTTGTCAGAGGCAGCAGCTAAAGTGCTGTCCACAATACAGAGAGTCTCTTCTCCCCTGGCACGCATCTCCAACTCCCCACTCAGCCTTCTGCCTCTCTCCTCATTTCTCTTTTTTCCTTTTTTGTGATGGAGTCTTGCCCTGTTGCCCAGGCTGGAGAGCACTGGCAAGATCTCAGCTCACTGCAACCTCCACCTCCTGGGTTTGAACGATTCTCCTGCCTTGGCCTCCCGAGTAGCTGGGACTACAGGAGTGTACCACCATGCTCAGCTAATTTTTGTATTTTTAGTAGAGGCAGGGTTTCACCATGTTTGCCAAGCTGGTCTTGAACTCCGGAACTCAAATGATCCATCTGCCTCAGCCTCCCAAAGTGCTGGTATTACAGGCATCAGCCACCACACACGGCCCTGCCTTGCTCCTCTTTATAGCCAACCAGAACTGAAGCAACTCCTGCCATCAGCCCCTTCCTGTGGCTATAAATAAGAGTGTGCGATGTGAGGGTTACTTTGAAAGAATAGTGTTATCCTGTCTGAGTCTGAAATTTGCAGCTACAGGCATTCCCTCTATATATCTTCCAACACCCCTATTTGACCTTCACTGTATTTGGCAGTCTTTTCTCAGGTATTATTGATTTTCCAGGTATTACTATTTTCTATAGGAATGGGATGTGCATTTTTTTAAAAAATCCTCCTAGTTGCTTTTGGGTGATCATGCCAGGAGAAGAGGCATATACTGTCCTGTCTTCTGTCTTATAAATTGGAAGTAAAAATGGAGCTTAAATCAATTAATTAACAAGGTGTAATGTTACGTACTCAGAGGTAAGTAAGGGTGAGCTAGACATTCTTTCTTGTCTTAGTAATCTTACAATTTATTAAAGTGGCCAAGAAATGCAAATATCAATGGAAAACTAACCCAGTAATAGGCAACATATGAGTGCTACCTAAAGGGACAATAAGAGTTTGGGAATTTGGACCAGGGAAAAGTGGCTGAGGTCTGCCGTGGTCACGCATGAAAGTTACTCTCCATTTCCTGCTTCACTGCCCTGGAGGAGGCTGCCAGAAGTCAGAACAAGCCTGACTCTTTCTACCTCCAGTCCCTGCCTTTCTGTCCAAGGCAGCAGCTACTGCAGATGGTGAAAGAGAATCCCCCTTTGAGAGAAAAAGGTAGAGCAACATGTTTTCATGAAGTTTCCCAGTCAATGCTTGGCCCTAAGAATCACCTGGAAAGATAATCACGATGGACACAGGATCTCCAGAGAAGACCTGGGATTTGTATCTTTCACAAAGGCCCAGAGTAATTTGGGTAATCAGGTAATTTTGGAAATCCCTAGCCTAGGAGATAGAGCACTACGCTGGAAGGGAAGAGACCTGTATTTTGTTTCCGGCTTTGCTGCTAAGTAGGTGTAGAATTTGGATAAGTTTCAACGTATCTGAGCCTCGATTTTTTTGTCTATAAAAGGAGGGAGCTTGGCTTGATGGTGTCTAAGAATCACTTCCAACTTTAATATTCCATGATTCTCTAAAACATACAGCATTTTAATAAAATTCTATAACTCCCTTATAAAAAGAAAAGGGAGAGAAGAAGGATTAGGGACAAGGGACTAAGGAAAGGAATTAGTTTTTCCTTATAGACAAAAGGAATGGAATGAAGCCCTTTCTCCTGATATGTCTGAAAAAAGAACTTTTAGGGGCAGAGTTTCAGTAAAATTTCAGTTAAAAACAAAATAGCGTCTCTTTACTGGCCCAGAAACCAAAAGTGCACATATGTTAGACATGGTTTGTACTGATTATTCTGGAATGAGCTATGCATTCATAGAACGTTGATTTTCTCAAGAGAAATCATAAAGCACCAATAGCATTATTTTCCCTCCCAGTGTTTGCACACGCCAAGGTAAGGGAAAGTCTTCCCTTGGTTGTTTTTTTGTAAGAATGACCTTTTTCTTACTTCAGGAGTTTGATTGGCAGGTCCCTACTAAGGAGGAAAAATGAATTTCAAAGCAGACCTAAAAAAAACATTTTTTTTTTCTTCTACTTCTGGGCTTTTGTTGCTCCAGGTGTTACAGAAAAAGCACATTTCTCAACTGGTCTATTCCCTAATAACAGTATTATTAAGATCCCCAAGCACATCTGATATCTCTCTTCCAGAGTCTAGGGAGCACCATTCATTTAGTGATGCGTCAGCCACAAAGAGATTGCATTTTGCTTTGTTTGAAGGCCCTGAGTGTCCTTATTATTTCTGTTTGTAGAAACACTGGGGTACACATGAAAGGGGGAACAGGGAGACATGAAGAAGAAAACAACCCTGGAGTCCGGGTGCTGATTGCCTTTTTTATTCGCTTGAAAACCCTCCCGGTGGATTGATTTGTGATTTGGATACCACTTCTCCAGCTTGGGACTCTGAAGTCTGTGCTTGTCATGCACTTCAGACAGTCAGCAGCCTTCTCACAGGTGAGTGATTATGATGGGGATGCTAATTGGTTTGTTCCACCACCTTTTCCTTCAAAGTGTAGCAGGCTTGCAATTTTCGATGGCCACAGGGAACAGGAACAGCATGCATAAGTGGAATCCACAAAAAATAAAACTGCTTTACTGAATTGCCTCCAAATTCTCCTGGATCAAAAGTGGACTAATTCTAAAAGTGGGGACCAGCCAAATTTGGGGTGAGAGGTGCAGTGGACAGAGGCGCAAGACTCTAGGGCTACTATGCCACATATTTGTTGTTAGAACTGAAGGCGAGAGGCTGGGGAAGGCTGAGTTGCTCAGCCTGAGCTGTGTGATATCGATGTTTTGGACCAACTGGGAAAGGTCCTATTTGGGAGGAAATTACACATCTGGAAAACTCAACTTTCTGCAAAAGCTATGGGCCTTCCCTAATCGAGCCCTAAGGAGCATGAACAATCACTGTCACCAAATCAATTGCACTTCATCACAAAGGGAAATTACCCTGCAACCATGGATCATTTTTGTCAAAACAATAGATAACAAGATATGAGAGCAAGCGCACAGCAGGGAGAAGAGATGGGTGGCATGAGACCACCATTCAGACACGGGTGTAGGTTACAGTAGGAGAAATAGTCATGAGTTATAAACGACCCAGAGGAAGAGTGGATTATAGCACAGGCAGATAACTGGGGACACCTCACTAAGATAAATTACTTTTAGTATTGTCCAAATTGGCTTTGTCAACTTCATGGTCCCTCTTCCACTCCCATGGTAAAACAAAACCCCATACAAAAGGCCTGGTTCTGGGGATCAGGGCCTTTGGTATTCTTGATATGCCTCTTGTTCACACCACACCCCAACATTGGCTGGTTTCTCTGGCCCGAGACCCCCTTCCTCAGCATCTGTGAGCATCTCGCATTTCTGCCCAGCCCACCGTGCATTGAGTCTTTGTCTGAACTGTTCGGGGCTTCCTAATTCTTCCGTCTGCCTGTGTTCTCCAGTCCTGCCTTTGTTCTAAGCCCCATCCCCACAGGACAGCCCTGGTGTAGCACCTTGGGGCTTCTGCTTGCCAGAAAGTTTTGCCTTTGTCAGAATGACAAGCAGACTCTACAACAGGCAGTAAAATGTGGAAGGACTTATATTAACGGCACTGCTTTGCACAAACGTTGTGAACGCCGGGCTTCAAGGGATCATATGGAACCAAGGCCAACTTCATTCACCCTCCTCCCGTCACTGTTGCGTGTGGCCTCTGCTCGTTTATCAGAGGAAGCTTCACAGCAGGGAATAAATTCAGGGTCAGATGGACCCAGGACTGAATCCCACTTCTCCTCCTTACTAGCTGTCTCTTCTGGCAAATCCTTCACCATCCCTGCACCCAGCTTTCTTACGGGTTCATGGTAAGGGAGGGGCGTAGGTGCTATAGTCACACCACTTGGGGAGTATGTGATGATGAGTGTTGTCAGCTCTCAAAAAGATGTCATTTTTCATTATTCAGCCAGCAAATATTCCAGTCACTGAGGATATAAGGAGTGATATGATTCCTTTCCAGACAGCTTCCTGTTTTCTCAGGCACCTGCCCTTTGTACTTGGCTCACATGGAAGCAGTCATTGCCTATCTGTGAAAATCCCTGTTGCTCTTCAACCGTGGCTGAACCTGTTGTAGAAAGCCTGTGCTGAAGGATGACCTCTTCGACATACTCCAGCAGCTCCTACTCGAATATTGCAGAGCACCGTCGGAGAAGCTCTGTCTCTGTCTTTCTCTCTCTCTGTAATACACATACATATGCTCACACCACTGCCCCCAGTCTGCTCACAGCCTTGGTCATCCCCAGTTAAATTCCTGCATGCATCCCCCACAGCTGTTACACATATTTTCCACAGCCAGTTCCCCAGCCTCACCCTGACTTTCTCCCACTGGCAGATGACCCTACTCTTCCGGTTTCTGATAAAATTTCTCACTAAATCCTCTAGGGTCTCAGTTTTCTCAGGACCATTTATAGACCCCATGCTTCTAACATCTGTGATTAGACACATTCCATTTGTTATAGCTTCAGAACCCCTCTCTGTTCTCCCCTGCACATCAGCGTCTCTTGGTGTCTCCATGCATTTCCTCCTCCCTGGAGAGAAAGAGGCTCCCTCTTTCCTACCGGGCAAATCATCCTACCTGGGGTTCCAGGAGCCCTCCACTCCCACCCTCTTCATTCTCGTTGAGGTGGCACCTCACTCACAGCCTCTCCTCTATGCCTTGTTCCTTCAGCCCCTCTCCCTCCACACACACACACACACACACACACACACACACACACACGCAAAAAGCAATTGCATCTCTTTACTGGCCCAGAAAACAAAAGTGCACATATGTTAGACATGGTTTGTATTGATTATTCTGGAATGAGCTATGCATTCATAGAACATTGATTTTCTCAATAGAAATCATAAAGCACTAATAGTATTATTTTCTCTCGCCTTTAGCTTTATTTTTACCCTGTGATGCTATTATGCTTCCATTCTAGCTTTTCCTTCAACTCCATACACAAACTTATTGAAAAATATTTCCAAGCATATGCATTTTATCAACTCATATGTAGTTGGTAAATACATATTTGTATATATATAAAGATATAATAAAACTAAAAATCTTAAGTAAATTGCAAAATATTTTACTAATATCCATTTCCTTAGGATTTTCTTAATATCTATTTTCCACTTTCACCATTTCAATGAAATATGTCTACCCAAAACTACCAAAGTCTAACTGTAAAATCTACTGGTATTTTGTAGGTTTTTCATCCACTGAAGTTCTTACCCTCACTTGTCTGCTGCTGAACTTTAAATTAAAACCTTATAATCTCCCCAGTATGATTTGCCACATTCTTGATCTAACCCAGGGACTGGCAAGCTTTTTCTGTAAAGGGCCAGACAGTAAACATTTTCAGCTTTGAGGACCATATGGTTACTGTTACAACCACTCAACTCTTCCAGGTAGCAGGAAAGCAGCCATAAACAACATGCAAAAAAACTGGCATGGCTGTGCTCCAATAAAACTTTATTTACAAAAACAGGCACTGACTTGCAGGCTACAGATTGCAGACCCCTAGTCTGATTGAATTTTAGCTCCTCTTCTTCCACATCTACCATTTCCAATGGACTGAAAAAATGGCACCCTAAAGATATCCATGTTCTCATCTCTGAAATTTGTACATGTTAACTCATATGATTAAAGAAAAGAGAAGTTCTTTGCATATGTGATTATGTTAAGGGTCTTGAGATGGGGAGATTATTCTGAATTATCCAGGTAGGTCCTAAAGCAGTCACATTCATATCCTTTTAAGAGGGAGGGAAAGGGAGAGTTGATGATGCCCACACAGGAGAGGAGAAGGCAATGGGGCCAAGGAGGAAGACGTTGGGATGACGAGTCTACAATGCAAGGAATGCCAGCAACCACCAGGAATTGGAAGAGGCGAGCAAAGGAATCTTTCATAGAGCATCCAGATGAAGCCCAGCTTTGGTTTGTGCTTGATTTCAGCTCCATAAGACTCATTTCAAATTTCTGGCCTCCAGAACTGTAAGAGAATAAATTGATGTTGTTTTAAGCCATGAAATTTGTGGCTCTAGGAAACTTACCCCCTTGTTACTCATGACTATTGTCTCACTTTTTAAAAAAATTTTATAAAATCTATTTATTTCCTAGATGGACATTATCTCTTATTAAACAATGAACAAAATATGTGATATACAATCGTGCATTTAAAACATGGAAAGACAAACCAATATCTTAAAGTACATGAAGACAAACTTCAGGAGACAAATATTAAATATATCCAAAAACTAATCGGACCTGGACTTTGCTTACAAATTGTTTAAATGGAAATGGAATTCATGTTTAAGAAATGTTTTCACTGATGGAAGAATAAATCTAACAAAACCATTATGTAAAAACATAGATTTACAAAGCCAATGTGTCTCTTAGTTTTAATTTTTATATACCCTATATGATGTTCATATTAAATGAAAATAAAGTTTTAAAAGTCTATCAGTGTAGAAAAAAGAAATTCAGTTGCTCAAGTACTAGTTAGAACATCATATTGATCTTTCTCCTTTGAGGTGCTGCTCACAGTTTACACCCTCATGTACTTTTTCTTTGCATTGTCAGGGACCAAACTCTTGGACATGGCTTCAAGTCACTGTGGACTTCAGCTTCTGAGTCATGTTTTTCCACCCTAAATCCAGTCATTGTCTTGTGACTTTAACACCAAAGAGGAAGTCCACCCAGTTAAGACCTTCTATCCAAGTTCCTTGACTAACAAGATTCCAACAAACCTGGTCTTCGCTTTACTGTGTTTCAGAAATCCACTTCCATGACTGCATTCTTGGCCTTGGTACCACTCTTAAAATTATTATACATTTGGAATATTCAGCTGAAACCCAAAAATCTCTGGCTTGCCCTGCCTTTTCCTCTACCTCCCACTCTCTTCCTCCCAGGACTCCAGAACTGTGGACTTCATTCAGCAATTCCTTGCCTCATTTCTTCCCTGTCCTCCCCTCCTAGCTTCAGTTCCTCCACAGATGAACCCCAAGGAGAAGCACTCTTGGCATTCTTCTGTGAGTCCCTCAATTCTCTTGCCCGCTTGTCCCCCAACAGCACTTGGGGTGAAAATTCCCAACCTTGGATCAGATTCTTCCTTCATACCACCCAAAAGTCATGGTCTCCAGCGTCAGTCGACTACTCACCCACCCACCCATCGTTCACTCTTAGGACCTCATGTCCAGTTCGACTACTCAGCCACCCACCCATTGTTCACTCTTAGGACCTCGTGTCCAGTCTTTTTGCCATCTTGGCCATTCCTCTTTGAATAGTAAGTTCTGTCTGAATTTTAGCTCTTTCCTAGAGATCCTGCCACCACATCTACTGTTTGTGGTGAGCTGAAGAAATAAGAGTTTCGTGCTTCCCCCATGGTGTCCTGTGTCTAAATATTTTCCTCTTTAATGTAGGCATTGCCTGCTATTGTTCCTGTTTGCTTGTTTGTTTTTTCCTAGCTGCGACATACTGCAGGCTTCATGCATCCAGTTTACAGCCGCTAAACTTTTCTTCTTCTTTTGTATGTGTTTCACTGTAAAGGCATATTTCTTTCATTTTCTTGTTTTTAACTTTAATTTTGGATCCTAGCATAGGGCTTCACATTGAACCTTACTAACAGTGTAGACGGTGAAGCACAGTGAGGCATCTATGGTTTTCAATCTGCCTTTTCACTTGTGCTCCTCCATGCACCTGTCAACCAAGCCCTCCTTTCTTATGTGTAAACATGCCATGTAGTTTAGTTGGGATCTGATTTCTCTCTTACTCTCTTCATTGTTCACTACAGGGATGTTCTGTAGCTCTCAGCCCGGCCAATTGAAATATCCAATGGCTCTGGCCTCCATGATTGTAGGACATGGCCCAAATCGGGTCAATCAACACCTTCCACAGAATTTTTGCTGAGGCCATAAAGAGAAACACTCTTCCTTCTCTGGTACCATGGATGGTAAAGGAAATACAAGACTAAGATAGCCAGTGGCAGTCTTTCACGCTAAGCCTGTAAGAGAAAAAGCAAAGCTGAAAGATGGAGAGAAACATAGAACCCCAATAATATAATTCAAACCCTATGAGCCAGCCTTCCACCCCTGTATCTTCCAATTTACATAAGCCAATAAATTTCATTTCTTATTTAAGTTCTTTTAGACTGAGTTTCTAAAATGTACAATTGAAAGAAATTTGACTAAACACCTTCTAAATTGCTTCTTTAAAATTCTATCATCCACCCAGTGTGGTGACTCACTCCGGTAATCCTAGCACTTTGGGAGGCCGAGGAGGGCGGATCACTTGAGGTCAGGAGTTCAAGGCCAACATGGTGAAACCCCGTCTCTGGTAAAAGTACAAAAATTAGCTGGGCATCGTGGTGTATGCCTGTAATCCCAGCTACTCAGGAGGCTGAGGCAGGAGAATCACTTGAACCTGGGAGGTAGAGGTTGCAGTGAGTGAAGGCTGAGACAGGAGAATCGCTTGAACCAGGGAGGCAGAGGTTGCAGTGAGTGGAGATTGTGCCATTACACTCCAGCTTGAGAGATAGAGCAAGACTCCGTCTCAAAAAATAATAATAATACATATATATATATATATATATATATATATATATATGAGTTAGAATAGTGTTTAGCACATAGTTACCGATCAATTAAAAACTAATTACAGATGGTCCCCAACTTAACAAAGGTTTGACTTATGATAGTAGGAAAGCAATACACATTCAGTAGAAACCGTGCTTTGAGCTCCCATATGACTATTTCATCTTTCACTTTCAGCAGAGTATTTAATAAATTACATGAGATATTCAACACTATTATAACATAGGCTTTGTGTTAGATAATTTTGCTGAACTGTAGGCTAATGTAAGTATTCTGAACACATATAAGGTAGGCTAGGCTAAATTGTGATGTTTGGAGCAACACTCTGTCTCAAAAAAAATTATTTCATCCAATATATTTGTCAAAAGATCTTAACTTCTTTTCATTAGAAAAATAAAAATCAGAAACACAAATGTGCCCATCAGACAGTGACAAAAAATGGCTTCAGCTTTTCAGTGCAAATATCACTTTAGATTGAGAGCAATCAATTATTCCACATAGTTTAAGAATTGTCATTTCATTAGCTGAGAATTTACCCCTCTTTTTTGTTTATAATGATACCATAGTAGATCTTTACAGAATTTTTGCTAACAAAGTACTTATGTCGTGTTTATCACATTCTGTTGATGGGCTTTTCTCTGAGGAACATAAAGAAAACTATCTAACAAATTAGTATGTTTTTCTAAATACTTACAATTATTTTCATAATCTATTTTGAGATTTGATATATAGCTTACCTATTTATAGTTTATGGAGTTCACCTTCTCCCTCTTCTTCCTCCAGTAGCCATAGTTTCTCAAAGATTACAAAAATAATTCAGAGATTTAATTTTTAACTAATTGATCATAAATATACATATTCATTTGGAGTATCTGGATACCACATTACAATGCCTTCATCTGCTTGAGGTTTCCTCTCACTAACATTTGTTCTACCTTTTACATTGTGAATCTAGTCTCACCAAGAGAGTCAAAACAGAATTTGAGACCCTCATCCTTCACAGTTCATGCTACTGATCTATACACCAAGTCTAAAATCTATGCATTTCTTATTTCTACTTTTTTCAAACATAATAAATAAAGTTTTATCATATAGGTAATCTCCATTTGGCTTTCTACAATTTTCCTTCATTTATTCATATTTTAGTTGGTTAATAATTTAATTTTATATATTAGTGTTTCCCAAAGTAACAAGACTGTAATTCAGCAAGTGACTACTAAAATATCAGGGGACAAGATGCTTCCTGCATTAGATTTCTTTTTTCATGCAACCATATTATACTTTAGACACAAGTTGAGTTAAAATAAAATGTTTTCAAAAACCTAGCACTGTGTGAATTTAATCTATGTTTCATTTATCACTTTACATTGTATTAGTTATCTCCACATTTTATAAACTATATAAATTATAATATCTCTCACTATGACATTAAAACACACCTTTTTACGTGCTTTTCTTTTCTTGCATGTAAATCTCTTTATTTTATTTTATTTTATTATTATTATACTTTAAGTTTTAGGGTACTTGTGCACAATGTGCAGGTTAGTTACACATGTATACATGTGCCATGCTGGTGTGCTGCACCCATTAACTCGTCATTTAGCATTAGGTATATCTCCTAAAGCTATCCCTCCCCCCTCCCCCCACCCCACAACAGTCCCCAGAGTGTGATGTTCCCCTTCCTGTGTCCATGTGTTCTCATTATTCAATTCCCACCTATGAGTGAGAATATGCGGTGTTTGGTTTTTTGTTCTTGCGATAGTTTACTGAGAATGATGATTTCCAATTTCATCCATGTCCCTACAAAGGACATGAACTCATCATTTTTTATGGCTGCATAGTATTCCATGGTGTATATGTGCCAAATTTTCTTAATCCAGTCTATAATTGTTGGACATTTGGGTTGGTTCCAAGTCTTTGCTATTGTGAATAGTGCCGCAATAAACATGCGTGTGCATGTGTCTTTATAGCAGCATGATTTATAGTCCATTGGGTATATACCCAGTAATGGGATGGCTGGGTCAAATGGTATTTCTAGTTCTAGATCCCTGAGGAACCGCCACACTGACTTCCAAAAGGGTTGAACTAGTTTACAGTCCCACCAACAGTGTAAAAGTGTTCCTATTTCTCCACATCCTCTCCAGCACCTGTTGTTTCCCGACTTTTTAATGATCGCCATTCTAACTGGTGTGAGATGGTATCTCATTGTGGTTTTGATTTGCATTTCTCTGATGGCCAGTGATGGTGAGCATTTTTTCATGTGTTTTTTGGCTGCATAAATGTCTTCTTTTGCAAAGTGTCTGTTCATGTCCTTTGCCCACTTTTTGATGGGGTTGTTTGTTTTTTTCCTGTAAATTTGTTTGAGTTCATTGTAGATTCTGGATATTAGCCGTTTGTCAGATGAGTAGGTTGAGACAATTTTCTCCCATTTTGTAAGTTGCCTGTTCACTCTGATGGTAGTTTCTTTTGCTGTGCAGAAGCTCTTTAGTTTAATTAGATCCCATTTGTCTATTTTGGCTTTTGTTGCCATTGCTTTTGGTGTTTTAGACATGAAGTCCTTGCCCATGCCTATGTCCTGAATGGCAAAGCCTAGGTTTTCTTCTAGGGTTTTTATGGTTTTAGGTCTAACATTTAAGTCTTTAATCCATCTCGAATTAATTTTTGTATAAGATGTAAGGAAGGGATCCAGTTTCAGCTTTCTACATATGACTAGCCAGTTTTCCCAGCACCATTTATTAAATAGGGAATCCTTTCCCCATTGCTTGTTTTTCTCAGGTTTGTCAAAGATCAGATAGTTGTCGATATGTGGCCTTATTTCTGAGGGCTGTGTTCTGTTCCATTGATCTATATCTCTGTTTTGGTACCAGTACCATGCTGTTTTGGTTACTGTAGCCTTGTAGTATAGTTTGAAGTCAGGTAGCGTGATGCCTCCAGCTTTGTTCTTTTGGCTTAGGATTGACTAGGCGATGTGGGCTCTTTTTTGGTTCCACATGAACTTTAAAGGAGTTTTTTCCAATTCTGTGAAGAAAGTCATTGGTAGCTTGATGGGGATGGCATTGAATCTATAAATTACCTTGGGCAGTATGGCCATTTTCACGGTATTGATTCTTCCTATCCATGAGCATGGAATGTTCTTCCATTTGTTTGTATCCTCTTTTATTTCACTGAGCAGTGGTTTGTAGTTCTCCTTGAAGAGGTCCTTCACATCCCTTGTAAGTTGGATTCCTAGGTATTTTATTCTCTTTGAAGCAATTGTGAATGGGAGTTCACTCATGATTTGGCTCTCTGTTTGTCTGTTATTGGTGTATAAGAATGCTTGTGATTTTTGTACATTGATTTTGTATCCTGAGACTTTGCTGAAGTTGCTTATCAGCTTAAGGAGATTTTGGGCTGAGACAATGGGGTTTTCTAGATATACAATCATGTCGTCTGCAAACAGGGACAATTTGACTTCCTCTTTTCCTAATTGAATACCCTTTATTTCCTTCTCCTGCCTGATTGCCCTGGCCAGAACTTCCAACACTATGTTGAATAGGAGTGGTGAGAGAGGGCATCCCTGTCTTGTGCCAGTTTTCAAAGGGAATGCTTCCAGTTTTTGCCCATTCAGTATGATATTGGCTGTGGGTTTGTCATAGATAGCTCTTATTATTTTGAGATACATCCCATCAATACCTAATTTATTGAGAGTTTTTAGCATGAAGGGTTGTTGAATTTTGTCAAAGGCCTTTTCTGCATCTGCTGAGATAATCAGGTGGTTTTTGTCTTTGGTTCTGTTTATATGCTGGATTACATTTATTGATTTGCATATATTGAACCAGCCTTGCATCCCAGGGATGAAGCCCACTTGATCATGCTGGATAAGCTTTTTGATGTGCTGCTGGATTCAGTTTGCCAGTATTTTATTGAGGATTTTTGCATCAATGTTCATCAAGGATATTGGTCTAAAATTCTCTTTTTTTGTTGTGTCTCTGCCCAGCTTTGGTATCAGGATGATGCTGGCCTCATAAAATGAGTTAGGGAGGATTCCCTCTTTTTCTATTGATTGGAATAGTTTCAGAAGGAAGGGTAACAGTTCCTCCTTGTACCTCTGGTAGAATTTGGCTGTGAATCCATCTGGTCCTGGACTCTTTTTGGTTGGTAAACTATTGATTATTGCCACAATTTCAGAGCCTGTTATTGGTTTATTCAGAGATTCAATTTCTTCCTGGTTTAGTCTTGGGAGGGTGTATGTGTCAAGGAATTTATACATTTCTTCTAGATTTTCTAGTTTATTTGCGTAGAGGTGTTTGTAGTATTCTCTGATGGTAGTTTGTATTTCTGTGGGATTGGTGGTGATATCCCCTTTATCATTTTTTATTGCACCTATTTGATTCTTCTCTCTTTTCTTCTTTATTAGTTTTGCTAGCAGTCTATCAATTTTGTTGATCCTTTCAAAAAACCAGCTCCTGGATTCATTAATTTTTTGAAGGGTTTTTTGTGTCTCTATTTCCTTCAGTTCTGCTCTGATTTTAGTTATTTCCTGCCTTCTGCTAGCTTTTGAATGTGTTTTCTCTTGCTTTTCTAGTTCTTTTAATTGTGATGTTAGGGTGTCAATTTTGGATCTTTCCTGCTTTCTCTTGTGGGCATTTAGTGCTATAAATTTCCCTCTACACACTGCTTTGAATGTGTCCCAGAGATTCTGGTATGTTGTGTCTTTGTTCTCCTTGGTTTCAAAGAACATCTTTATTTCTGCCTTCATTTCGTTATGTACCCAGTAGTCATTCAGGAGCAGGTTGCTCAGTTTCCATGTAGTTGAGCAGTTTTGAGTGAGTTTCTTAATCCTGAGTTCTAGTTTGATTGCACTGTGGTCTGAGAGACAGTTTGTTATAATTTCTGTTCTTTTACATTTGCTGAGGAGAGCTTTACTTCCAACTATGTGGTCAATTTTGGAATAGGTGTGGTGTGGTGCTGAAGAAAATGTATATTCTGTTGATTTGGGGTGGAGAGTTCTGTAGATATCTATTAGGTCTGCTTGGGGCAGAGCTGAGTTCAATTCCTGGGTATCCTTGTTAACTTTCTGTCTCATTGATCTGTCTAATGTTGACAGTGGAGTGTTAAAGTCTCCCATTATTATTGTGTGGGAGTGTAAGTCTCTTTGTAGGTCACTCAGGACTTGCTTTATGAATCTGGGTGCTCCTGTATTGGGTGCATATATATTTAGGATAGTTAGCTCTTCTTGTTGAATTGATCCCTTTATCATTATGTAATGGCCTTCTTTGTCTCTTTTGATCTTTGTTTGTTTAAAGTCTGTTTTATCAGAGATTAGGATTGCAACCCCTGCCTTTTTTTGTTTTCCATTTGCTTGGTAGATCTTCCTCCATCCTTTTATTTTGAGCCTATGTGTGTCTCTGCACGTGAGATGGGTTTCCTGAATACAGCACACTGATGGGTCTTGACTCTTTATCCAGTTTGCCAGTCTGTGTCTTTTAATTGGAGCATTTAGTCCATTTACCTTTAAAGTTAATATTGTTATGTGTGAATTTGATCCTGTCATTATGATGTTAGCTGGTGATTTTGCTCGTTAGTTGATGCAGTTTCTTCCTAGCCTTGATGGTCTTTACAATTTGGCATGATTTTGCGGTGGCTGGTACCGGTTGTTCCTTTCCATGTTTAGTGCTTCCTTCAGGAGCTCTTTTAGGGCAGGCCTGGTGGTGACAAAATCTCTCAGCATTTGCTTGTCTGAAAAGTATTTTATTTCTCCTTCACTTATGAAGCTTAGTTTGACTGGATATGAAATTCTGGGTTGAAAATTATTTTCTTTAAGAATGTTGGATATTGGCCCCCACTCTCTTCTGGCTTGTAGAATTTCTGCTGAGAGATCCGCTGTTAGTCTGATGGGCTTCCCTTTGTGGGTAACCTGACCTTTCTCTCTGGCTGCCCTTAACATTTTTTCCTTCACTTCAACTTTGGTGAATCTGACAATTATGTGTCTTGGAGTTGCTCTTCTCGAGGAGTATCTTTGTGGCATTCTCTGTATTTCCTGAATCTGAATGTTGGCCTGCCTTGCTAGATTGGGGAAGTTCTCCTGGATAATATCCTGCAGAGTGTTTTCCAACTTGGTTCCATTCTCCCCGTCCCTTTCAGGTACACCAATCAGCCGTAGATTTGGTCTTTTCACATAGTCCCATATTTCTTGGAGGCTTTGTTCATTTCTTTTTATTCTTTTTTCTCTAAGCTTCCCTTCTCGCTTCATTTCATTCATTTCATCTTCCATCACTGATACCCTTTCTTCCAGTTGATCGCATCAGCTCCTGAGGCTTCTGCATTCTTCACGTAGTTCTCGAGTCTTGGCTTTCAGCTCCATTAGCTCCTTTAAGCACTTCTCTGTATTGGTTATTCCAGTTATACATTCGTCTAAATTTTTTTCAAAGTTTTCAACTTCTTTGCCTTTGGTTTGAATTTCCTCCTGTAGCTCGGAGTACTTTGATCCTCTGAAGCCTTCTTCTCTCAGCTCGTCAAAGTCATTCTCCGTCCAGTTTTGTTCCGTTGCTGGTGAGGAGCTGTGTTCCTTTGGAGGAGGAGAGGCGCTCTGGTTTTTAGAGTTTCCAGTTTTTCTACTCTGTTTTTTCCCCATCTTTGTGGTTTTATCTACTTTTGGTCTTTGATGATGGTGATGTACAGATGGGTTTTTGGTGTGGATGTCCTTTCTGTTTGTTAGTTTTCCTTCTAACAGACAGGACCCTCAGCTGCAGGTCTGTTGGAGTTTGCTAGAGGTCCACTCCAGACCCTGTTTGCCTGGGTACCAGCAGCGGTGGCTGCAGAACAGCGGATTTTCATGAACCACGAATGCTGCTGTCTGATCATTCCTCTGGAAGTTTTGTCTCAGAGGAGTACCCAGCCGTGTGAGGTGTCAGTCTGCCCCTACTGGGGGGTGCCTCCCAGTTAGGCTGCTTGGGGGTCAGGGGTCAGGGACCCACTTGAGGAGGCAGTCTGCCCATTCTCAGATCTCCAGCTGCGTGGTGAGAGAACCACTGCTCTCTTCAAAGCTGTCAGACAGGGACATTTAAGTCTGCAGAGGTTACTGTTGTCTTTTTGTTTGTCTGTGCCCTGCCCTCAGAGGTGGAGCCTACAGAGGCAGGCAGGCCTTCTTGAGCTGTGGTGGGCTCCACCCAGTTGGAGCTTCCTGGCTGCTTTGTTTACCTAAGCAAGCCTGGGCAATGGCAGGTGCCCCTCCCCCAGCCTCGCTGCCGCCTTGCAGTTTGATCTCAGACTGCTGTGCTAGCAATCAGCAAGACTCCTTGGGCGTAGGACCCTCTGAGCCAGGTGCGGGATATAATCTCGTGGTGTGCCGTTCTTTAAGCCCATTGGAAAAGCACAGTATTCGGGTGGGAGTGACCCGATTTTCCAGGTGCTGTCTGTCACCCCTTTCTTTGACTAGGAAAGGGAACTCCCTGACCCCTTGCGCTTCCCGAGTGAGGCAATGCCTCACCCTGCTTCAGCTCATGCATGGTGCGCTGCACCCACTGTCCTGCGCCCTCTGTCTGGCACTCCCTAGTGAGATGAACCCGGAACCTCAGATGGAAATGCAGAAATCACCCGTCTTCTGCGTCGCTCACGCTGGGAGCTGTAGACCGGAGCTGTTCCTATTTGGCCATCTTGGCTCCAGCCCCTTTTTACATGCTTAAAACACATGTATAACCCATTTATATTTTAAATTTTTTTATATTGTTGTATGTATAATTTTCCAGCAAGTACAATAATTTGAAATGAAGCAGCAATCTGTAAGCACTAGTTACAGGATTAAAATAATGTAATCCTTATTACAGTTGCACACTTTTAATACCATGTGTGAGCTCAAAGACATTTAGTGATAAATCCCAAATGAAATTGCTGGGCAACTCTGAAGGTTCCGGTGGAAAATGCATTTAGTAAGTGTTCAAAGTTAGAAAACCATGAAGAATTGAAATTTACCTTTGATGCTGCTCTGCAGGGTGCTGGCAGTCAGGTAAAAGGCAAGCAGAGCCTGTGGTCGTCACATTCGGAGGCTGCGCATTGCAGAGCCATTACTGGACACTGACTCTGGTTGGTTTTTTTCTCAATTAGATTTGCTTCAATAGAAGAACAGGAAATGTTTCTCGAATAAACTGAATGCTTTTATAAATTAAAACCTCATGTATAAGTAGTTCAAGAAACTCAACTGTATTTCTTTTATTTTTTTATTTTTTATTTTTGAGACAAGGTGTTGCTCTGTTGCCCAGACTGGAGTACAGCAGTGCGATCACAGCTCACTTCAGTCTTGACCTCTTGGATTCAGGTGATCCTCCCACCTCAGCCTCCTGTGTAGTTAGGACTATAGGTAGGTGCAGTACGCCTGGCTAATGTTTTCTATTTTTTGTAGAGATGGGGTTTCACCATGTTGCTCAGGCTAATCTTGAATTCCTGACTTCAAGTGATTCACCTGCCTCAGGCTTCCAAGGTGATTATAGATGTGAGTCTCTACACTGGTCTCAACTTCATTTATTTAATTGAATGTTTAGAGGGAGCAACTTAACTCTCAGCAAATTAAGATCTGCCAAATATGTATGTACACACATACACACATAATTTCACATATAATAGTCTGCTATATATGTTTCTGGTTCAAACTTCTTTGTGGATCCCTTTTGGATGGTCAAGAAGTATTTTAAACCCTCAATTAAATTAAACAGTGTCTTTGTTTTAAATTAGCTTCTTCTTGGTCAATTCAGTCTCTTTTGTCTAAATGCTCAGGTTTGTCTTTTTAATTGAAAAAAATTATTATTTTAGTGTATCTACACAATCATTCCTCTCAAGATAGCATTTGAGTACAAAGAAAAACAATGTGTGCTCTGTTAATGACTGAGTCTCAAGTCCAGGCTTAAGTTTTTTGCTGTTTCCTGCACCCTTTAATCATCCACGCCATGCCTGGACTATCCCTTACCACACTTGATCTCTCATAAACCTTCTGGCATCAACTGATGGAGCCACTTCTGGTAAACTTGTTTCTCTCAACATCGGCCATGAGCAATGTTTTCAATCTCCCCAGCCAACGAGTGTCACTTTGCTCTTGCTGGAGTATAACATCTATGGGGCTGGGTGCGGTGGCTCATGCCTGTAATCCCAGCACTTTGGGAGGCCAAGGCGAGTGCATCACCTGAGGTCAGGAGTTTGAGACCAGCCTGATTAACACGGTGAAACCCAGTCTCTACTAAAAATACAAAATTAGCCAGGGGTGGTGGCGCATGCCTGTAATCCCAACTACTTGGGAGACTGAGGCAGGAGAATCATTTGAACCAGGGAGGCAGAGGTTGCAGTGCAACAAGAGCAAAACTATGTTTCAGAAACAAAAAAACAAGACAACAACAATAGCAACATCTATGGGGCTCCGTGGACCCCTGTACCTGGCCCCTGGCTTGAGTATTCTACCCTTTGGCTTCTAGGGGGCAATGTCACCCCTCATAAAGGAATCTTCTTACAGCCCTTCTGGGTCACTTGTTACTTTTCACATCCCCCATTAAGAATGCTCAGTAACTTCTAGATCCCAGTAGGTTCTCTCCTCACGTCCCTTGTGCTGGTGCAGGGAAGGGACATCGTGCAAGACACTTCCGTTCAGAGACCAAAACAGGAAGCGGGACAGGAGACCTCTGTGTTCAGCATCAGTCTCAACATAGCTGGGATGTCTCTACCTTACTCCTTCAAGTTTTAGCTCTGTTTGAGGCCCCTACTATTGGGTGCCTTGCTTTCTTCTTTGATTTCCCTCACTATTTCATAAGATCCTCTTTCCCTTTCCTGTCTGGTAGAAACACTCCTATATCATGTCCCCCTTCTCCTTACCCTGTATACTTTCTGGGTTTTAGATAGTACCTCCTTTTTTTCTTTGCAGGAGCACTAAACTTCAAGCTTAGTCTTAATGGTGAATGAGGTACAGGCAATTTAATTTATAATGAAAATACGGCCGGGCACAGTGGCTCACGCCTGTAATCCCAGCACTTTGGGAGGCTGAGGTGGGTGGATCACCTGAGGTCAGGAATTTGAAAACAGCCTGGCCAACATGGTGAAACCTTGTCTCCACTAAAAATACAAAAATTAGCTGAGCATGGTGGTGGGTGCCTGTAATCCCAGCTACTTGGGAGGCTGAGGCACAGGAATCGCTTGAACCCAGGAGGTGGAGGTTGTGGTAAGCGGAGATCGCACCACTGCACTCCAGCCTGGGCGACAAAGCGAGACTTGGTCTCAAAAAAATAAATAAATAAATAAAAATAAATTGTTTTTATGTTTTCAAAATATACTCTGGGTTGCACTATAAAGTGCTGTGTTTAGTGGCTTCTGCCTTGTGCTCATCACATGGAAGTGTGAGCAAGTGTCTTGAGCCATTCTCTAAACTCATCATTCCGTAATGCCTCTACCATTCAGTTTATAAGATGACATTTTCTTAACACACTCTTCCTAAGATCATCCCACTGCTCTTACCTTATCATTCACTTTCCTAGGCAAGGCCTTTCTGTTTTGGACTTACATCTGCCGTATGAATATGAAAGGCGGAATAACAGGCTGGGTGCTGGAAAAAGATTTCCTGGTGTCAAAATTCTTACCTAATTATGGGAAGTAAGACAAATCATTTAATGTCTCCGTGCTTCAGTTTTCTTATCTTTAGTCATGAGTGTAATAACAGTTGTTGTGACAATTAAATGAGGTAATGCATAGAAAATGCTTAGAAAATGCACAGGACCTGGCATGGGATTCGTGCCCTGTGCATTTTAGCTGTTATTACGATAGAATCAAAGCATCTCAGGTGTGGAAAGATGGTAGGTACAACCTTGCAGTGTTTGAAACTGCCTTTAACATTCCTGTAAAATATTTATACAACTTCTCCTTGAATGCCTCAAGTAAAAGGAGACTCGATACCTTCTAAGGTAATTCATTCTTTCATTGGAGAAGTCTGGCTATTATAATGTTCTCCTTTACCTCAAGTAAATATCTATCCCCCTGAAATATCTATTTATTATTCCTAGAAAGGTTTCTTGGGGCCATTTAAAATAAATCTAATTTTACTTTTATTTGAGAGTCCTTTTAATATTTGAGCATAGTCAGCATGCCTGTTTCTTTTTCATATTGCATTTCCTCATGAGCTGAACAGTCAGGTATCTCTAATTGGTCCTCTTACAATATGGTTTAAGTCCCTTTACCATCTGGGCATGGGAGGTCATGTAAGCTATCACAACTGCAGCAAGATCCTGTTATCCTGACAACAAATGGATTAGGGACAACTATGTTTCTTAAAATCAGACTAGAAGCATCCTTTAGCTCTTTGGAAATTATAGTCCACATGCAAGCATGGTAATTCTCCTTTTATCCAATGTCACATAGAAATCAGGTGCTCTACAGTTGAGAGTTTTCCAAATAATATTAACCCTTTAAGCACCAAATTTTTGGGGGGTAGCAAGTGTGATACTTCCCCAATTCTACAATCTTATGGTAGATTTTGTCAGTGCATACAAAGTTATAGAATATACAGTGAATCCCAAACTTGACAGTTTAAAATTTGGAAAGTCAGAGGTAACGCATGCCTACAAATCACTGTAGAGCTTGGCAGTAGTGAACCATGTCAATTAGAATAACTCTGAGAATGCGCTGCAAGTTTAGAGGTGGGGGAGATCACCTCCATCAGGTGTGGTCAGGAGTGAAGATCAGGTGTGATCAGGAGTGAGGATCAGGTGTGGTCGGGAGTGGGGATCAGGTGTGGCCAAGAGTGAGGATCAGGTGTGGTCAGGAGCGAGTGGGGAGGACTTCATGGTCAAGCGGGAAGACAGAATGGCCCTTCAGAATGGCTAGAGTTTTAAGAGGTAGAAATGTCAAGTATAACATTACAGGAGAAATTGCACTGAAGTGCTGGGGGGGGTATGTACAAGAAGTGAGGGAGCACAAAGTGAAATCAGGAAGCAGTGGAACAGCAGGCTTCCATTCAGCAATAAAAATTAAAGTGCACCTGCGCAATCCAGATCTTGCAGTGTTGAACATGGACAAGTCATTTCAGGCCTGATGGTGTTTATAGATTGTTGGGACAGAGAAATAGAAAGCAAATAACACAAATAAATGAAACAATTATAATTCTGATATTTCAATAAAGGAAAGATACAAAATGTGGTGAGAATATATAACAATAAGTCCCTGTGAGTTCAGAGATGGCTTTCTGGGATTGACATTTAAGCTGGGAAGTAGAAGTAGAAGTTCCCTGGGTAATATGGAAAGCTGGAAATTAAGAAACTTTACAAACACCAGGAATCACATGGATAAAGCCCCAGAGGCAGGATGGGGTGTATATTATTGGAGGAACTTGGAGTGGTTAGAGTTCAGAGAGTAAGGAAGAGACAAGCAAGAGATGGGGGAGGGAGGTCTGACGTTTCAGGTTAATCCTGACAGCAATAGAATTGCCAGGCTTTGAGCACACACTGACAGGGGCAGATTTGCATTTGTAAATGAAAGGCAATGAATTGAAGGGACATGATGGATTTGCCATCCAAGTAGATGAGCTTGCCTAGAGAACGAGTGTGGCACCAAGGAAAGATCACCTAACATTGAACCATTAAAAATGCCAGCATTAGAACATCAGAGAGTGGGAGAGAAGCTAATTAAGAAGATTCTGAGAGACTAGGGATCATAAGGACCACACACTTTAATCAACAAGTCAAGAAGTGATTTTGACCTCTTGGTCCAACTCTAAGACAACCATCCTAACAAAAATTTTCCAAATCCATGGAGCAAACAGTCACTTCTTCATCCCCAAAAACGGCCATAATATTTATTTTTCTTTTCCTTCCTGTCACTCTCTACCCTGAAACATATTTATTTATCTATTTATTTATTTTTAAGACAGAATCTCATTCTGTTGCCCGGGCTGGAGTGCAGTGGTACAATCTCAGCTCACCTCAACCTCCACCTCCCAAGTTCAAGCAATTCTCCTGCATCAACCTTCTGAGTAGCTTGGATTACAAGCGCGCACCACCACGCCCGGTGAATTTTTGCATTTTTAGTAGAGACAGGGTTTTGCCATGTTGGCCAGGCTGGTCTCGAACTCCTGACCTGAGATGATCCACCCGCCTCGGCCTCCCAAAGTGCTGGGATTACAGGCATGAGCCACCGCGCCTGACCAGAAATATAGTTGTTTACAAACACATCCTTTCTATAGACTAAAAGCTTTCAATGTCAGAATCTATTTTTTGTTCATCTTTGAATCACTCAAAGAACTGAACAGAGAGATTTGTACATGAGTACTCAGTTTTTTATTGAATTAAAAAAATGGTCTAATTTGTGAAACAGGAAGATGAATGGTAGATGTGGTTATGCACAGGAGAGATTGCTGAGGAGAGAGACCACAGGCCTGGTACAGAAGTACTGCAGTAGCTCTTTGGGGAAACAAAGACTAATGGCAGCAGGAATAAGAGGAAGAAATAAATTTGAGGGACATTGGAAGAGAAATTGACAGAGTTCAGTGATCTCATCCTATTGTATGATTTAAACACTTTTATACACTGATGACTCCCTTGTTTATGTATCTCCTTTGAGATCCTTGCCTCTCCTTTGAGATCCAGGCTCATATATTCCACTGTTGACTCAGCATCTCATAATTGTCCCATCCTCAATTCCACTCTTTCCCTAATCTTTCTCACGTTCTTCAATGGCATCACCAATCAGGAATTGCTCAGGAATCCTGTCAGATTCATACCTTTCTCTCATCTTCCCTCACCTGGTTTCATACTGAGCCCATAACCAAGCCCAACTCTACATTCAAACCATATTCTAAATTTGTCTCTTCTTCCACCCCAGCCATGCTAGCCTTATCTTCTTTTCTCTGCAGTAATGCAAACACCTCCTGACTGGCTGCCTTTCCTTTGTCTTTCTGCAGTCCATTCTCCAAACAGCAGCCAGTGATCCTTCACAAACCTGTCAGAATGTGCCATTCCACTGTTTGAAACCTTCCGGTGCCTGCCACTGCACATAGAATCAAACCCCAAATCTTTATTGGCCCCTACTCGCCTCTCTGACTTCATTGGAATCCCTTTCCAACCTGCCACCCTGCAGTCAGCCCTTCTCAGCTGGGGTTCTTTTAGAGAATGAAACCAGAGTGCCATAAAGCATGTGTTACATATAGTGGCTTCTCTCTTGTTCCTCTAGAATGGCCCAAACTTGAGAGAATTTGGGAAATAGTCTTGCAGGTCATTTCCTATAGGATTTCATTCTCTTAGGAACCCTGGTGGATAAGACTGCTGCACACGTGGACATAGATATTCTTTTTTGTCACTTGAACATGAATCCTGGTCCCTAGACCTTTGCACTTGTGCTTTTCTTCATAAGGATTGCAATTTCCCCAGAACCTCACAGAGTTGGCTCTTTCCAACACTCAGGACTTAGCACAAAAGTTTAATGAAAGGCAGGGCGTGGTGGCTCACGCTTATAATCCCAGCACTTTGGGAGGCCGAGGTGGGTGGATCACGAGGTCAGGAGATCAAGACCATCCTGGCTAACACGGTGAAACCCCGTCTCTATTAAAAATACAAAAAATTAGCCGGGCGAGGTGGCGGGCGCCTGTAGTCCCAGCTACTCCGGAGGCTGAGGCAGGAGAATGGCGTGAACTTGGGAGGCGGAGCTTGCAGTGAGCCGAGATCGCGCCACTGCACTCCACCCTGGGTGACAGAGCTAGACTCTGTCTCAAAAAAAAAAAAGTTTAATGAAAGTGTCTGTTCCCATAGAGGCTTTTCAAAACCCCTATTTCTTTTTCTTTTTTTTCTTTCCTTTTTTTTTGAGACGGAGTCTGGCTCTAGTCGCCCAGGCTGGAGTGCAGTGGCACGATCTCAGCTCACTGCAAGCTCCGCCTCCCGGGTTCACGCCGTTCTCCTGCCTCAGCCTCCCGAGTAGCTGGGACTACAGGCGCCTGTCACCACGCCCGGCTAATTTTTTGTATTTTTAGTAGAGACGGGGTTTCACCGTGTTAGCCAGGATGGTCTCGATCTCCTGACCTCGTGATCCACCCGCCTTGGCCTCCCAAAGTGCTGGGATTACAGGCGTGAGCCACCGCACCCGGCCAAAACCCCCATTTCTAAGGTAGCTTCACCTCCCAAGCTGCCACTATCCTATAACCCTGTTACTTTCTCCTTATCATCTCTTATTATATATGTATTTATTTATATATTTATATTTATTTATATATATATATATCTTTGATGCCCTTATCTAGATTTTAAAATTATAGGCACAAATTGAATGTATACACAGGTAGCTTTCTACATTTATCATTAACATGCTGAGCATTCATTTGGCTTCTATAGTAGATAACAGCAAAAAAAGTCTGATTGGAGGTAATATAGTCAATCATAATTTCATTCCATCCATTCTGTTTTTGAGATGAATGCTCAGTTTTTCCTGCCATCTTCATTCTCTGTCCTGAGATGGCAGCTGGGGCTCACCGCTTTATGGCATCAATGGAAAGGCCTCTCATTGATCTTTTGCTGAGCGGTTCTGTGCTGCTTGGTTATTGAGCTTCATATGTACACATTGGCTGCAGTTACTTGTTGTGCCTGCTGTAACCTATGGTCATGACACCCACATTTTTAAAAATCTTTGAAAATAGTTTGCCTCTCCATTTACTTATCTTCCCTGTTCTGCTGCTGCCCCTCCTTTCTTGGGAAGCCCAGTGTCTTAGTCCATTTTGTGTTGCTGTAACAGAATACCTGAGATTTGGTAATTTATAAAGAAAAGAGGTTGAGTTGGCACATAATTTAGTGGCTGAAGAGCCCAAGGCTGGGTAGCTGCATGTAGTGAGGCCCTCAGCTTGCCTCAATTCACAGCAGAAAGTGGAAGGAGAGTGGGTGTGTGCAAAGAGATTGCATGGCGACAGAGGAAGCAAGAGAGAAACCGAGGAAACAAGGCTCTTTTTAACAACCCACTTCTGAGGGAACTAATCCATTCCAAGAGAGAAAAAGCTTACCCTCAGGAGAGTATTCATCTATTCATGAGGGATCCACGCCCATTCCCCAAACATTTCCCACTAGGCCCCACCTCTCAACACCACCACATAGATGAACAAATTTTAACATAAGTTCTAGTGGGGATAAACCATATCCAAACCATAGCACCCAGGAATGCTCTAATGCTACATTGATGATGAAAATTGTGCCTAGGATGTATGTAGCATCGTCAACTACATTGGTGGTTATGCTCTGGGGGGCAGTGCACACTCCTCCTCCCTATTGTATCAGTCAGGATGGACTAGGTTACATTGTGGTAACAAGCACCTCCCAAAAATCAGTGGCTCAAAAACCAATAGTTTATTTCATGCTTATGTTACATGTCCTTCAACTTCATCTGGGGCTTTGCTCTGCATCACTCCAAGGACCATTGGATGTGGCAGTTGTCATCTTGAACATGAAACATGCCATTTTCACTCACATTTTATCGGCCGAAGCAAATCACACAGCATGCCTAACTTTCAGGTTAAGGCAATATACTTCCACTGCAGGCTCAGGAACTATTTGGTAAAGAGCGCTAATTACTCATGATCCCTGCAGTCATCCTGATTGACACCATTTTTGGTCTTAAACTTGAGTGTGTGTGTGTGTGTGTGTGTGTGTGTGTGTGTGTCAGAATCACCAGGAGGGCTTGTTAAAACACAAATTGCTGAGCCTCATTCAGAATAGGTGTGAGGTGGGTCCAGGAATCTGCATCTCACAGGTGAAGGCGATGCTGTTGGTGGAGAGAGCTGCTACTCTACAGCTCAGAAGCTGTTGGTTTGTGAGGCTTCTCTAAGAAGCTTGCTGCCTCTGGAGACTCACTCTGGAAATTAAAGCATGTATTGCTGCATTCCCTTAAAGAAATCTGGCATTTCTCTTAGAGCTTATGTTATTGTACTGCTGTTCTACCACAAGCTCATGCTTGGGGGTAAAGTGCTGGTCGCTCTTGAAGTTCAGGCAATAGACCTTACCCATGTCCAGTCTTCTTTTTCAATAAGTTTTTATTTAATAAATAAATGTTAACAGTTTCTATCATGCAAAGTACACATGCAGTGGCTCCAGCCTCTTTGCTGGGACTCTTTGAAGAGGTTTAACTAGCTAGCAACTAACAACTTTCAAGCCTTTGTAGGCTCATCCTATAAGTCTAATGTGAAGGTTCTATGTAAATGAATGACGGTTTAAAAAACTACTATATGTGAAAGGAAAAACACGATCGATTACTGCTAAGAACATATAATTAAGTTTAGTCAATAAAGTATTCTGTAAGGAACTTGCTTTAATAAATATAAAAATGATGTTGTTTAAAGAGATTTTCATGAATTTTAAACATTAGCCCTGGCATTCATTTGTAATATAGGGAAAAATTTTGCTAAGGTCGAAATTTGGCTCATTCCTGGTTCAAACTTTAAGAAATCCCGTATTATTGGAGTCACATTAGTATAGTTCAGCTCTATTTACAAATCGCATTGGATACATTTGAGTTGGGATGTATAGGGACAGTTTTCCTGAAAGTAGAGCTATTTTGTCAGAATAAGTTCCCACCCAGCTGATTCATCATACCCTGAAATGCCATGCTATTTCTGAAACATTTGGTTAAGCCAGCTGATATTTTTAAGTAGATGTTATCACCTCTCCTCTAAGGCTAAACAAACATATCTGTCTCCACCTAGGCTAGAAGTTTAAGGGATAATATGTGTGCACATTAGACTCATAGATTTTACCAAATGAAATATTCTACTCTACGATAGCATTTCTTTTTCAAAATATTAATCTAGTCTTCACCATTAAGACACAGCGTTCTTTACTTTCATAATAGGTTTTGCTTCTCATTATAAAAATAGTACATATCCATCATAGTAAGTTTAGAAAACACAAAGTGAAAGAAAAGTCACCTCTGATTCCATGGTTCAGAGATATTGCGAATGTATTAGTTTATATTCTTCTAGTCCTTTATTTTTCTTGTGCTTATAAAAATATCTTTTAAAAATGATAATGTAGGGCCAGGCGTGGTGGCTCACGCCTGTAACCCCAGCACTTTGGGAGGCCAAGGCAGGCGGATCACCTGAGGTCAGGAGTTGAGACCAGCCTGGCCGACGTGGTGAAACTCCGTCTCTACTAAAACTACAAAAATTAGCTGGGCATAGTGGCACATACCTGTAATCCCAGTTACTAGGGAGGCTGAGGCGGAAGAATCGCTTGAACCTGGGAGGCAGAGGCTGCATTAGGCCAAAATCGCGTCACTGCACTCCAGCCTAGGCAACAGGGTGAGAATCTGTTGAAAAAAAAAAAAAGAAAGAAAGAAAGAAAGAAAGATAATGTACTTATTACTGGGTAACCTGCTTTTTAAAAACCAGTATATCATAAACTTTCCTCCAATCCACTAAATATTATTCTACATAATATTAATGGCTGCATTAAATTATGTTTTAATAAACATTTTACATTAACAAAGGAAAACAAAGTGCACTAGCACTTTCTTGTTTAAATCATTGCTTGGGAGAGCACTTTCTAGGTAATTCATGATTTATAGCACAAGGCATGCAATAAATTTAGCGGTCATAATGATTCATCAAATTATTTTATGATAGTGACTTCCTACAGAGAAAGGAGCTGCAATAATTGAACTTGAAATCAAGTAGCTAAGATTTGCAGAAAGTTTAAAATAAGTCCATGTACCATATAACTTTCTTAATATTTGCATCTGTAAAATCAATGTAGTACTGAGAGATGAAAGAGATCTCAAGAGAGGACCTAGTTCACCCATTTCACCATAATCTGTTTAATTTGCATATCTTAATTTGAAACATCACTATACAGAAATCTTCACAGATTTTGTCTCTGATTTTTTTTAACATCTATGAATAAAATTCTACAATTGCCTTTACTAGCACCTGCCTGTGTTTAATAATGTCTACTGTCCATGCCTCAAAAGCGTTTGACCCAGAGCAACTCCATCTTGCACAGGGGCTGGGTAAAAGAAGGCTGAGACCTACTGGATTGCATTTCCAGGAGGTTAGGCATTCTAAGTCATAGAATGAGATAGGAGGTCGCTACCAGATACTGGTCATAAAGACCTTGCTATTAAGACAGTTTGCAGTAAAGAAGCCAGCCAAAACCCACCACAACCTAGACGGTGAAGAGAGTGACCTACAGTCGTCCTCACAGCTTATTATATGCTAGTTATAAAGCATTAGCGTGCTGAAAGACACTCCCACCAGCGCCGTGACAGTTTACAAATGCCATAGCAATGTCAGGAAGTTATCCTATATGGTCTTAAAAGGGGAGGAGCCCTCAGTTCCTAGAACTGCCCACCCTTGTCCCAGAAACCTTGTGAATAATCCACCCCTTGTTTAGCAAATAATCAAGAAGTAACAATAAGTATCTTTGGTTGCGTAGCCAGTGGCGTAGCCATTCTTTCTTCCTTTACTTTCCTAATAAACTCGCTTTCACTTTATGGACTCACCCCGAAATCTTTCTGGCATGAGATTCAAGAACCCTCTTTTGGTGTCTGAATCAGGACCCCTTTCTGTTAACACATGAATTCATTGCATCTCCCATATAACTTAAATCTCTCCCACTGCGTTTTGGCTACCTCCCTGCTGCCGCCTCCTCTGTTCATTTCACTGTAGAGGAAGAACATCTGGTTGCTAATTCTTTCTTTCAAAGATGCTTTCCAATGTGTTGATGAGTAACTTGCGGAGTAGAATAGACCTGCAGGTGGGCTGCCAGGCATTCCAGCTGAGATGACCGTCAACAGATCAGACACACGATACCTTACGGAGTGGTGTCATTTCCATTTCATATTTATTTTCACCCGCTGGGTGTATGGCACTCTAAACAAAGTGTTTACCGTGAAAGCGATCTTGAGATTCAGTGAAACCGGTGTCACTGAACGTGCTACTTAAGTCACCATTGTAGAATATTTGACAACGTTGAAAGTGATAAAATGAAAAAACATTTAGAAGTAGCTACTTCCCCTCTGTGTTTACTCAGCCAGTGAGGGCTAATTGTTGTGTTGACAACCCAGGGCTTCTACTTGGCTAATTCTGTGATCTTTTGAAATGTTAATTACAGTTTCCGTGATGTCATTGTTTCTCCTTCCACAGTTTTAGATGAAACGGGGTACCTTAACTTTATCTTTTTTTAATGAGCTAACCTGACTGAAATGAATTGATCTTTTACCTCTTAGCGGGGAATCTTCTGTCTGGGACACATGTGTGGGTTTCCCCCAATCTCTCACAATACCATTAGCTACCTTGAAGGAGCAGATGCCGCCTAATTAACATTTCCTCTCTTGATGTCTCCCTGCAGTTCTTCATTTCTATCGTTCTGTTTTTAGATTTACAATGAGTTTGTAAATTTACAAAATAATGATTTGTTATGTTAATTTGAAAATGCAGTGATTTTTTTCCCCTCCTGTTGTTTTCTCTCTCCCTGTCCATTTAAGCTGTTAATAAATAAATTAATAACAACTTTCACTGGCCAGGTGTGATGGCTCACGCCTGTAACCCCAGCACTTTCAGAGGCCGAGGCAGGCGGATCACCTAAGGTCAGGAGTTCGAGACCAGGCTGGCCAAAATGTTGAAACCACATCTCTAGAAAAATACAAAAAAAAAAAAAAAAAGCCAGGCATGGTGGTGGGTGCCCATAATCCCAGCTACTCGGGAGGCTGAAGCAGGAGAATCTGCTTGAACCTGGGAGGCACAGGTTGCAGTGAGCCGAGCTTGCGCCACCGCACTCCAGCCTGGGCAACAGAGCAAGACTCCATCTCAAAATAACAATAATAATAATAACTTTCACTATAGAGTCTCTGTATGTGCCAGGCACAGTTCTATGTGTTTATACAGATAAACTCAGTTAATTTATATGCCCCTCTACAGTAAAAAAAAAAAAAAAAAAAAAATCCTGTGAGGTGGATACTGTTTTTAATTCTTCCTTACTGAAGAGGATAGTCTTTAATTAGAATAATTAACTTGTCCGAAGTTACTGAACCAGGTGTGTTTATTCGCTTAAAATAGGGTCATGTGTTAAAAAAGTCTTCAAAGGAACTTAGAAGATCTGAGGCTTAGACAAAATGATTGGGAGAATGATTGAGATAGAGTAAGACAGAGATGTCCTCCCTCTCTGCTAGAAAAAGATTTCCCTGGCTGGGTGGACTGCCTGAGAGCAAGGCGCTGGAATAAGAGCAGACGTGTCAAAGAGGCCCAGGCAGGGGACTCCACAAGGTGCCTCCCAGCGAGTTCTGGGCAGGTGGCAAAGCCCAAGAAAGGCTTTTTTGGTGAAAACCCAAGGAAGATGTCAAAAAAGAAATGGCCCCAGTGATTCCAGGACTCTTAATGGTATAGAAGTCACAGGAGGATTCTCAGGGTCTTCAGAAGTAGAGCTACGAGACCTGAGAGGCCGAAGGACAGAAACCAGCACCATTTCACGGCGCACAGGTTCTATCTCCAGCCTAAAATCACAGAGGCCCATAGACATCCCAGCAGATACCTGCAGAGCCAGGTGACCTGAGAGAGCCACAAACCCTCCCTGGGGTCCCCGTCCCCTTCCCATGCTAAGACAATCCCCAAGAAAAGTTGAAAGAAACACAAAATTGACTGAGATTAAGGTTCTCCTGTCCTCATGGAGTAATGGCTTAAAATAAGAAAGTGGATGCCTTGTTGAGAAATATAGACAGTTGCATTTCTTGTCCATGGCTTCATGCTATGCATGTCAGGAGGCTGACGTGAATGTATCTGATGCATTCATTTGAAGCTTTACCACTTCTATAGAATTATTGCTGTACTGCTGTGAAGAAACTTTGTTTTCTTCTCTTTTGAAATAATTGATTTTATGATAGGTTATCTGACTTTTAAAACTATCTGCTCTTTATGTAGTAGATTGCTATTCAGGAATATCAATGGTGGGAACCATTCAGGGCATCTGAGTGACTGCTAAAGTTTGGAAAGCCCCCCTTAAAAATCACATTACATCGCAAAGACTTGATATGTATGATTTAAATAAAGCGTAAAAGAAATGTATGCTATCAGAAGTCAGAAGAGTGGCTGCCCTTAGGGGTGGGGGTGTTTACTGGAAGGGAGGATGGGGGAGTATCTGGAAAAGTCATTATTATGAATTGAATTATTTTCCACCTCCTTTCCCCTGCCAAAAATATGTTGAAGTGTGATCCCCAGTACCTGCAAATGTGATCTTATTTGGACATAGGATCTTGGCAGATGTCATCAAGTTTAATTCAATATGACCAGTGGAGAGGATACCCCGAGATGCATACACACAGAAAGGCCGTGTGAAGCTGGAGGCCGAGATTGGGATATGCATCAATGAGACAAGGAACAGCATGCACTGCCAGCCATCACCAGAGCTCGGAGAGAGGCACGGGACAGATTCTCCCCCATGCCCACCAGAAGGAACCAGTCCAGCCAACACCTTGATGTCAAACTTCTAGCCTCAGAACTGTGAGACAATAAAGTCCTGTTTGCAGCCCCCCAGTTGGTGAGACTCTGTTTCAGCAGCCCTAGGAATTGAACGCACAGGTCACGTTCTGTCTCCTGGACTGAATGCTGGTTACACGAGAGCTTGTGAAAATTCAGTGAGATGTGGACTTACCAATTGTGCATGTTTTTCTTGTATACAACACTTGAACAAAGGAATCAAAAAATATATGTCACAAAGCAGATGCTTGGAGGAAGTGTTGGAAAAAGCCCTTTCTTGCACTTAGCTGGCAGAATGAATTCCACTCTTCTGTGGTCACTACCTTCCTGTGCTTTGGAAGGTACTTTGAGGGGAACCATGTGAAAACACGATGTTCAGAAACGGTCACAATAGAAGCCATGCAGAGAAAGTGAGTGTAACTGAGAGGGCTCACATCTCACGGAGAACGATGGCCCTCTCTTAGAGGACAAATAAAGGGAAACAATGGTTTGTAAATGGGAAGGAAATTTGATTTCTCTTTCCTTGTGCTTATCTGTTCACCTGATCACCACTGTTGTGTCAGCTGTAATTGGAACTCGTTCTTTGCCAGGCCCTGCGGTTGGGGGGATTTGCTCACTTCTAGCAGCCCCCGACTTTGTTTCCTAGCAGATGCCCCCTGTTTGTCATGGAAGCTTCCACAGATAAGAGAAAAGGAGAGTGGAAGGAAGCGTAAAGAAGTCTGAGCCACAGGGAGTCCCTCCAGACCCGGGAAACACTTGGAAACTTTTCTTACAACTGTCACTGGTATTAACTTCTAACCCATTAAACTCGCTTACAGGATAGCTTTAGTCAATGAAGCAGGATATGGCCTTTTCTTGGCCTCTCCATTTCCAATTCCAGCAAAATGAATGAAACACAAAAAGTTCACAAGGGGATCGGCTGGGGAGGCAGAGCTGGGAGTTGGTGTCGGAAAGAGCTTTTAACTGGCCTGACCGTTACTGTCCTTTCCCATTTCAACTTTTATCTGCCCATTAACTCCTTAAGTGTGCTCATCCATCCATCAAAAAGAAAAGAAAAAAAAATCCCAAATGATGTGTGAAAAGATCTTCTGGGTGTTGCTAGGTCTAGCGTGTCATCTCCTAAATTTGTCCAAACGTGATTGGCTTCTCATCGAGACAAAATGACTCTGTTTTATGAATGGTCATTTGTGATTTCTTAAAACTTTTATCTTTAAGATTTCTTTGAAGTATTTGAAATTATTTCTGTTTCTAACAAAATGAAGAGGTAACTTCCCCAAAATATTGCAGGGTGAATTTTTATAAATGAAGAGTGTTTATGATCAGTTTTCAGCGATTGTATAAGGATTACTTATACAATCTCACACGACTTTCTTTGAAGTGTGTCAAGTTAATGATTCTGCTTATGGTGTAAGGACAAAGTATTTAATAAAATATTTAGAACTTTGATTTATAAAATAAAAACAAGCTAATTGTTTATAGGCATCCATATCTATTTGCTAAATTTATATGTGATAGGTCTTTGCTCAGATCGTTGCTAACAAAATTCTGTTGAGGTCCAAAAAAAAGTTAATTCTTGATAGTAAAAGGGATCCAGCTGACAGGGTTCAGTAGCTAAGAAATTCAAATAGAAGTAGCACTCAATCTGGGTCAAAGGTATTCATTCACTCCATTAATTGATATAACATTCAATGAAGTTATTAATATAAGAGATGTAAAAGATTAAGTCCCTGCACCAAAATCTCTACAGTCTTGGAAAAGATGTGAATATCAGATTAAAGCAACCTAAATACACTTCAAGACAGATGTGAAAATCTTATAATCTGTACATAGTAATTGCTGAGATGATGAAAGTATACATAAAATGTCCAAGAACTTGAGACAGATGCATTTCCTTCATGATCGTTACACAGAGGTGACAACATCTGATGTTTTATATCATTGGCCCTTCTCATTTATCCGGGCTTTGTGTCCCCACCCACAAAATAAGATTTAACTTCTAGATAATCTCTTTACAGCCATTATCTCCTTTTACTACTATTATCTCATGATTATTGTTTGGAGCATGAGAACAATTTCTCATATAGAAAATAAAGAGGCCAGGTGTGCTGGCTCATACCTGTAATCCCAACACTTTGGGAGGCTGAGGCAAGCAGATTACTTGAGGTCGGGAGTTCAAGACTAGCCTGGACAACATGGTGAAACCCTGTCACTACTAAAAATACAAAAATTAGCCAGGCGTCATGGCGAGCACCCGTAATCCCAGCTACTCAGGAGGCTGAGGCAGGAAAATGGCCTGAAACCGGGAGGTGGAGGTTGCAGTCAGCTGAGATCGCACCACTGCACTCCAGCCTGGGTGACATAGTGAGACTTGGTCAAAAAAAAAAGAAAGAAAGAAAGAAAGAAAGAAAGAAAGAAAGAAAGAAAGAAAGAAAGAAGGAAGGAAGGAAGGAAGGAAGGAAGGAAGGAAGGAAGGAAGGAAAGAAAGAAAGAAAGAAAGAAAGAAAGAAAGAAAGAAGGAAAGAAAAAGAAAAGAAAGAAAAGAAAAGCGCAGTTTGGTCACATGCCTTTAGTACAGTGTTATTTTTTAGGACAAAGCTCATTTTTTACACTGAATCATCTGTTTACAATATTAATAAACTGGCATGTTAGGGCAAGGGCTGCCTAGTATATGATGAGCAGGATGTGGACAAGAATCAGAATCCAAATTCAATTTTAGACACAACCACTATTTAACTTAGCTCAGCAAACAGAATTCAATATGTGCCAAGCACTGTGCTACGTTTTGGGATTTGAGGATCAGTATCCTCTGCATGTATTTATGTGCCTGGTATGGCCTATATTTGCCACCTATGTCTAGTTCACTTTCTTACCTAGGATCTCCCTTAGAGTAGGAAACATGACATCATTTGAATGAAAGTGAATATTAGAGGAAGGCCTGGCTTTGTAAGAGTCCAGTCCGATAAAGAAGATGAGTGTGGACACAACTATGACAGCATCAAACTGAGCACACTCAGACACAGAAACACGTGCACACACGGTCTAGAGATGGGTGAGCTAATTCTGGCTCCAGGAGTGGGCTGGATGTAGGCGGGGAAGGGGATTCAGTTTAAGTGGGGGGACGGGGGCGGTTTAAGTGGGGGGACGGGGGACCCTTTTATGTAGAAAATGATGCTTTCCCAGTTAACTAATTACTCCAGAAACCCTCGAAACTGTATTTCCCACTCTCAGCACAGCTCTGCAAGTGTTCATAGCCACGCTTTCAAGTAAACAAAGTAATGTCACACTCATGATGGAGCGATGTCTGTCCAGGAGACTCTTCCGGAGCTAACAGAAGGCACAAATAGGAGCAGCTCGCAGAGCTAAGGCCAGGAGGTAGGTCAGGTGCATGGTGACACTCGAGAAAGGTGAAAGCACAGCAGACCTCCTTGCCGTAAAACTGTGCCTGCAGCAAGGCCTGAGCACAACCATATTGGAATGTGAAGATCCTGCAAGTCCAGCATGCTGTCTACACAGCTGCCTTGTATTTAAATTGTTCAAAGACTTCTTTTCCCCCTAATCTGCTAATTCCTCAATTCCTCTGGTGTTGAGATTCCCAGAAAAGTCCTCTCAGGAGAGCTGATAACTCTATCCACACTAAGAACCAGCAAGCACTTTTGTGTGTTGGGGGGTGGAGGCGGGGTTGCGGGAGGCAGGCTGGAACACTATTTTTTGTCTTCTTTTTCCTCTATATTTTTCCCTACCCAGGATTCCAGCAGGCAGCTATTGCTCTGGGAGCCTTTGCCTGAGGAAGCTGTGCAAGGCTAGAAAATAGAAGCTGCTTCTTAAAGCTCTGATTTTCATTTGCAGAAGTGTAAGTATGTGCAGAGCGAGACTGCCCCGATTGCACCTGGTGGGCTTCGGAGAGCAGGCAGAGAGCCCAGCTGAAGGAAAAAGCTGTTCCCAGAGTCAGGGGAGGAAGGAGTTCTTTGGTCCTCGACTTGCAGGAACCTGCGCCCTGGCTACGTGGAGGTGGCTGAGCCTCCAGACCTGCAAGGACCACATGAGACCTGGAAAGATCTCCACAAGCCCTGGGGACAGAGGATGACACAGTAGTATCTAAGATTGCATTCCCCAAAATGCTGGTGCCCTGGGGTGGGGGTCAAAGCCAGGGAAGCCAGTTTACAGAGAATAAAGTAACATTTCTTCCCCACTTCCTTCTGTTGGCTGAAAGTAATTCCTTCTACAATAATTATGTTATATTTACTGTTTTACATAAAACACAATGAGTTCAACTGATCAATTTTCAATTTATCAATTTATCAAAATAAACATGCTTATAAATGGATTTAATTTAAGCCTAGTTATTGGGGGAAGTGGGAAAAATACCTATAGCTTCCAACAAACTTCTGTTCCTTCATTATTTAATATATTTCATATTTAATAATGTTAATATTTCGTAACAGAGCAACAAGGGAAAGAAACCAATTTTTTTTTTAGTGCAGAATGTTATAATTTTAAGATGTAAGAGTTTCTTTTGAAAGTTATTTTGTAGTCTATTTTATATTTTGAGCTTTTTATGACAAGAACATGATACGCAGAAAGATCTCTTTAAGTATTTTTGTTGGATGGCTGATTTGATTAATGAAGGGAACTTGCAGTTTATTGGAGTATACAGTGGCACAAATTTGGGAAGGTGACTTCACAACATTAACAAGCAGCTTAAAATTATTCATAGCTTTTGATCCTGAAGTCCCATTTCTAGGTATTTGTGCTAAGGAAATAATTACAGATATATGCAACAATGAACAGAATGCTCAGCTGAGTGGGGTTTAGAAAAAAATTTTAAAATTAGAAAGAACTCTAATATCTCAAAATAAGACCCCGGCCAAATAAGAATGGCCCATTATATAATGAAATGCATTCAGCCATTATAAATTACGTTTGTATAAATTATGTGTTTGTTGTATATTCTTAAGATAAACTCAGGTATTCAAACAGATGAGATATCCTTTCTCTACCCAATCTATCTGGCTTGTGTGTGTTTATGGGATTTTAATTTTCTCCTTTTTTACATGTATTTTCTTAATTTTCCTCAATGGCAAATCATTACTACTAAAATAAGAAAAAAAATTAATAAAATATGTAAGACTAAATTTTAAAAAGAAAAATGTGAATATAGGTTGTCACATTTCTTTTTGTTCAATAAAAAGAAAAAATATATTAAAAAGGATAGTGATTATCATGTATCAGTCGAAGTTATCTTTATTTTGCTTAAGATTTAGTAACAGACTTTAATCTCAATAATACTTTTTTAATTTGTAAAGAGTATTTTTTAGAGCACCTGCAGATATACAGAAAAATTGAGAAGATAGTATAGAGAGTTCTCATGCAGCCTCTCCCATTTTTCCCTATTACTAACACTTTACATTAACACGGTACATTTGTTACAATTAATGAACCAATATTGATAGACTGTTTTAATCAAAATTCCATAGTCTCTTTAGATTTCCTTAGCTGTCACCTAATGTCCTTTCTCTGTTTTGGAATCCCATCCAGGATTCTACATTACATTTGGCCATCACGTCTCCGTGGACTCTTCTTGGCTGTGACAGTTTCTCAGACTTCCCTTGTTTTGATCCCCTTGACAGTTTGAGGAGGACTGGCCAAGTATTTTGTAGAATGTCCCTGTATTAAAAATTGTCTGATGTTTTTCTCATGATTGGACTGGGGCTTCAACAATATATTCAAAACAATCCTTCTCACATCCTGCCCTTCAAAAAAAAAAAAATCATACCCTCAAACATAACAAAATCCCCCGGCCTCGACTCAGGATGATGTTATGTATCTTGTAATTCATTGACAAAAATGCAAAATGACACTAAATACTGCAGGCTGCAGGCCTTTCCATTAGTAACCTCACCCCTAGGTACAAATAAACATCATTTAATGGAAGTTCCATCCATGCAGGAGCCTGATCTTTGGCCTCCTGGGTTACAGGACGCTCTTGTTAGTTCCCTCCAGCACCTCCTCCACATTTTGAATTTTAATGGGGCTGGGAAACCTGTGGGTTAGAAGTGTATTGGTGTTATTTCCTGTTTCCACTTCAGTTAGCCTCCCAACTTTCTGATTTGACATGAATTTCAGGAGTGAACGCAATGTACACAACCGGGAACAAATATCTAATTTTTTTCTTCTTTAATATGGCAACTTTTAAAAGATGGTGCAACTTTAAAAATAGCAAATATTATCACATTATTAGGAAGGAAACTTTTTATAAAACTTGAAACGTACTAAGAGGTCCAAGTCACATATAAAGTGCTTGCAAAAACTAGTTTTTTTGCTCACTGCCTAGTTTTTGCAAGCACTTCATAAATGCTGAGTTCAGGTGTTCATATGCCTACCCTTTACCAGGAGAGACTGTTTCTCCTGGTAAACTCCTGTTTCTGCTCCGTGGGTTTCTCACATCCTTTGAATACTCCACATTTTATAACTGAAATCTAGGACAACCCTTTGAGCTGAGAGAGAAAAAATGATTTTTTTGTTGTTTAACATAAAATAAACATGGGTGATTTCTTTCTCTTATCATTACCCAGATAGGCTAGTATCTGAGACCTGGTTGCATCTTAGCAGGATGCCCGTGGAGAGGAATCTGGGGATGGATAGAAAACTAGTAGAGCTCATTCCCAAAGGAGTGTGTCAATCACATAATTTCTGTTGTCACCAAGAAAATGGGACCAGGTCAGCCCTAATTCAGAGACGGTTCTAGGTGATCCACCAGATATTTGTGTTGGACTGACCAATTTGTGCTGTTCTCTGCAGGCATGTGATAGGGTCCAGGCTGGGGAAGGAGCATTGCAAGAATTCCACTGGGTATAAAAACCAATACCAAGCAGTAGGGATTTGGGGAAAAATTCTAAAATCAGTATTAGAACTTAAGCACACATCAGAACACTTCAGCACTAATCCAGATCCTGGAGGAAAGCAGTCAATGGTGGGATTGGTTATAAACTGACCACACGCTGGGCTTCCCAGACGCCTCTGTGCAGTATAGAGCAGCAAGACAGATTCCAGATTGCTGACTTTTTCATATTTATTGTAAATATTTTCCCGGTTTCTTATTATCTTGATATTTTGATTCACAAACATATCAATTTTGAATTAATCTCATTGTACAATGTTCAATTTTTTTTCTGAGCTTATTGGTTTGGAAAGATCTACTCTACCAATAAGTCAAGTCATTCATTCATAGTTTACATTAGTTTTTTTCTACACTTAATTATTTTAGTCATCTGAAATTTAATTTTAATATATGGTACAAGGTGAGAATCTAGATATATTCTTTATCCTTAGGTAATTAATCACTCCCCTGCACAGACCGTTGAAGAAAGATTTTAGTTTCAAAGAGAAAAAGTAACTTGTCTTGCCTACCTTTGCATCATAAATGCCTACACCTAACATTGTGTCTGATCTATAGTAGTTGCTCAATTAAACATTTGTTGAGTAAATGAATACTTATTGAACCTGTTGCCTGTCCCTGGCATCCAACATGGTGGAAAATTCATCTGAAATGACAGAAATCTTGGGTAATGATGAATCTCTGAGGATTCCTGTGTCATAGCTAACTAGTTGATAAGTATGTGCAATTATTTCTTTTGGAGATGGAGCTATAAATCAAAGGAACACAATGATTATGCTTAGTTAGAAAAGAAAAAACTAACATTCTAAGTAGTGGTCAGTTGCTAGGAATTAATGCCTACCATCAAAGTCTCACAGGCTGCTTCCAAGTGAGACAAGCTTCTCAAAGTAATGACACCTGAGATCTGTGGATCCCTGCCCTGCCACATTGCTGCCCTCCAGCACAGCTTCCACGTGTCCCTCCCTGGCCAGCTTGCCTTGGCGGCTGTACTGAGGGAGATGTATTTCTGCTATTCATTCCCTCTAATAACACTTACTGATTACCTATGGTTGTTCTCTGTTCTTGGAATACACACTTTTATACTTTATATTTTAAGACAGTATTGTAGAGATAGATAAGAGTAAGATCACTTCCCCATTCACCACCTGTGACTTAGTTTCCCTAAGCCACAGTTTACTCATCAGCAAAATGGGAGGTAATACCAGCTAACATTTCTGTACCATCTATTTTGTGCCTGGCACTGCTCGAAGTGTCATATACATTTTAAATTATTTAGTATTCATTAACTCTTTAAGTAAGCACCATTTTTAGACCCATTTACAGACAACGAAATGGAGGCATGAAGAAGTAATTGCCTTGCCTAAGGATTAGAATCCAGGCCCTCTGGCTCTGAAGTCCATGCTCCTAACCACAGTATTAAGGTGTCTCCCAGGCAGGATAAATAGTAGCCACCTCAGGGAGTTGATGTGAGATCAAGTGAAACACCATATGCAAGATTCCCGTGAGCCTTTGATGCGTGTTAGCTCTGTGACAGGAAACATAGCCCCCCGGCTCACTGATCTTACCTTCCATAGGGAATACAGATGCTCAGACAGTCACTTTCAGTGCAGAGACAAAGGTGATAGGAGAGGAAGAAGTCCTGGAGGCTAGAGACCACATGTCAGGGTCCCCAGTCAGAACTGGGGGAGAGGAAAGGCTTCTCAGAGGGAATATTATTTGTATTAAAGCCAATTAAAGTCTGTTCCTTTTCCTGCGAAGATCTCAAGGGTTTATTTCCCTCCACAGGACCTGTTTTGCTTCCCCTTCCTCCATTCCCTTCACCTACTCTCTGCCCTTCACCTCTTTCAGAATTCTTGGGGAAACAGGATGTACCCCGGCAACCCAATCATGTCTATGCATCCCACAAACACTGGTGGGTGGGGAAGCACCACAAGAGAGGTTAGTTGAGTTACACCCACGTGCTATAAGCTGAGGAACAGATGATTGAAGGGGAAAAGGATTAAATGTTTTCAGGAACATTCAGAATTTCACATTTTACAAGATGATGTTTAATTAGTTATCTCTAGTAGTAGCCTGGATAGGTCTCATGATTTTTTTCCAAAAGCAGCTGAATCTGAGTATGGTTCCTAAAGTTATATGAATTCTGAGTAAATGTATGTATACACATCTGAAATGATACCCCTTTGGCTTACTCATAATGTTTGTTGAATGTAATATACTGAGAGACCTTTGGGGTCATTTAGTTCAACTTCAAACTCATAAAGACTTCCCTTTTAGCAGAAAGGCAATTTATCTAGTTTATCCATTTTCTCTTAAATAATTGCAGTGATGTGAAGCTCACCATGCCTCAATACAGCCATTTTGATTGTTGTATAGCTATAATTCTAAAAGTCTTGACTTACATTGACCTAAGTCTGTTGACCTTTGTTCTGTCCTCTGCAGGGAGAGAGACATAAAAACAAGCAAACATGTTTTTCTTGTAAACTCAGACAACTTCATGGTTTCCCTTTGTTCTTTGGATGAAATAATGTCAGTTGTTGACGGTCTTATTTATATTCCAGTGGGCAAGCTCTTCTACGTATGTTACCTAAACACTTATGTTTACGTATTAATCTATTTGTTTATTTTAAGAATGCTGTTGCCAAGAAACTTTTGAATAATCTAAGAAAATTGAGCATATGATACTACAAATTACTTTTAAACATAGAACTACCCCATAACAGCTAAGAATAAAACAAAACATATGCATGAGAAATGTATTTTTAACTATTGCTTTATAAATTGTGTTTATTTCAACTTAGTTGGTATAAAGATGATACCCTAGAACATGACAATAGTTTAAATAATAAGATCAAATATGACTTCACGAATAGGATTCAAGAGGAATCTCTTACAAACATATTTCCTTTTCGAATGCACTTGTTTGCTTTCAAACTAGTTTTTCAAACAATAGGAATAACAATGATAGATACGTAATAACACTTAAGCTTTATTATAATTTTTATATGACCTCTTTAGATTAAGATATACTTTTTTAACTGGCAGATACATTTAATAATCTTTTGTAAGAAGATTGTTTTCATATTCCATATAATACATTTTCATATTAACATTTCAAATTAGAAAAGGAAAATTAAAAAACTGCCATTAGAAATAAAATCTTTCTTTTAGAAATATGAAAATCTCATAAAAACCCTTAGTTGTGTTTAGGACAATTCTGGTTTAACATTTTGGCAGTAACATTCCCTCCCCTTTCATACCTACCTATTCACCAAAAGGCTGTGATATTACTTTTATTTGGTCTTAGTTACTTTGTTTGGGGATTTTTCCATTCATTCAGATGTAATGCATGGCATAATTTATGATTTATGTGATAGAGGCTCAGATTTAATCCATGGGGATTTTCATATAAGGTGTGCTCAGTGACATGTTTGAAGTTATGCTATTGAATTCAAATAACACACTTAGTTCTCAGAAATATTAATTTGATTTTAACATCCTTCCTCACCACCCAGGTTATGGTTGGTTTCTTACCTTAGGAAAATCCTAAGTGAATTTAATTAACTCATATTTTGAAAGTTTGTACATTTAGGTTTGCAAGGCAGAGATTTTGCAAACATGAGAAGCAGGGCTGTACACTTAAATTTAATCATTTTCCTATAACCTCATTGATCTGACTTTATATTTCAGTTATAATAATGCAGAATATGCAATTTTAAAACAAATTATTATTTTGAAGCACTATATTTACATGTGATGACAAATCCACTGTGTTGCTTTTATCTTTTAACTTTTGGGATATTAAAATAAAATAGCATTTTTTCTCTGCTTCACAAAGTAATTATTGTAGCATCTGTTGAAATACATGTTGGCTCTCGGGGACTTTTCAGTCTTAGGACAAATTCTGTGCTTTCTTAAGTATCTGTATTGTTATGCTCCTTTTGTTTTGTTGTTTGAGAGGAAAATGAAGATCTGTGACATCATTTATTCTGGAAACAAGCACAAGTGCGTTTAACAAGAAAAATCAAGGATGTAACTTTTGTCCCGCTGGTTTGAAAATCCAAAATCTTCTTTGCAAATAGAGCCATTCATTGGGTACAACTGGATCAAAAGTAACAAGTTTTTGTCTGTGTCTTTAGCCTAAAACCTCCCCTACCCTCTTCCAGATTAACTCTGTTGTGCCTGGATTAACCCCTAAGAATCCTGGTATTGTTTCTCTTCATTACACTTATCCCCATGTCCCCTATTGTCTTTGCTTTTCATTAGGGGAAATAAACAGTAGACGGTTTAAGCCATGATAAGCTTCTCCAGCTTGGAGTATCTATTTGAGCTTCATATTTGACACTTGTTTCCCCTTTCAATGTAAACATTCATTTTGAATCCAATAACCTTGTCAATGGAAATTGTGAATGCTAAGGGCTGAGCAGGCTGTGTGAGCAAATACCAGTGAAGTCTCATTAGTTGTACGGAACCTAGGACCAGAGATGACAGTTCTGGATCTGAATTAATGGTCTTTTGACCCATTTTACTGTAAACAAATAAGAAAGAGTATTAGCATCTGAGAACCATATCCATTTTAATATAATTAAAACTAGAACGGTATGTCCCTAGAGCTTGTCAACAACAGAGTTATGCATAATACACTATTCTTTCACTTTATACCAAATCTTTTTAGCAGATTGGAATATTACATGCATTTAACATAAATTTGTTGGCAGGGAAATGGACTAAAAGAGACAAACAGAACTGTATGCTGACTGTGGCTAGAAAAAAATGTTATTCTGATCTCCAGTTATTGTTTCAATTAAGACAGCTCTTTTTGGCCTTATCTTGATAGAAATTTGACATTGATTAGAAAGGCCATGACCATAAACCTCTGAACTAAATTCTGGGGAAGGATGAGTGATATTATTTTTCTCTTAAATGGCATGAAAAAAATCGATGGTGGTAGCATTTGATGGTGTCATAATTTGATTTACTAGCTGACCTGTTGGCCAATCTATGGCTGTTTAAAATCCAAGAACACTTCATTGGCTTCATCACACAAGCTTTGCTCTTCTATTTACAATGTGAATTTCATCCTGGCATGAGTTTAGAACCCCCAAAGACTAGTCACTCTGTCTGACTAAGTAAAAATATTTACAAAACTGGAATCTTGAGATCATGGGTTATCAACAATTTTTCATTTTTTAGGAACTTCTTCTGTTCCATTCTTCCGATAACAGTGCAGACCACTTAGAGCTTTTACTTCACCTCTCTGAAAATCATTCTCAAATGCAAATCTATAGTCAAGTTCAAAAGGTAAGGACTCGGGTGGTTTTCTAGGAAGGAAAGAGAGTTGTTCTTCTCACTATTATTTGTACTAATTGGTCATCCAAAAGGAAAGGGATGTTCCTATGTTCTTTTCCCCAATATGTAAATTTTGACTTTGTCACTTTTATTTCAAAGGAATTCAGTGTTTGGGGCTAGGGTTAGAACCAGCTACATAATTTGTGGGGCCCAGTGCCATTTGCTCAAAAAAATTTAAGGATTTCAAGATAGCAACAGCAGAACCAAGCACAGAGCCCTTCTAAAGGTGGAACTCTTTGTGACAAACCAGATCAAGGGCTCATGAAGCTAGCCCTGGCAGGGGCAAAATCCTAGTGTTATTCAGTGGTATTTGCTTAGGGGGTTGATGAATGCCTGATCCTACCACAAATCCCCGCGAATTCTCCTTAGGGGGCTCCTGAGGGAGTTACAGACATAAGGAGACAATGGGAGAGAAAGAAATTGGGTATACTATTCAATTATTAGCTGTACTTGTGAGCAAAATCTGCAGAGCACTTTAGCAAGCATGGCTGGAGAATGGTGCCCGACCTAAAGCCACAAATATCCTCTTCACCACACTGAGCCCAAACTCAGTTTGGGTCTCCTGGCTCTGCTTCAGGCTGACCTACCATGAGGGTGGAGAGGATGAAAGGGTCCAGACAGCAGAAAGAGCATAGGGAGCGCGCGGGCAGACCTCAGGCTTGGGAAGCATCCCTGGTCGAAAAGAAGCAAGAAGAAGAAAAAAGGACATCATATCTATAAGCGTGATGTCTGCACACACAGCAGCCTCACTCCTAATGTGACGGGTCACGGAGTGTGAGTGACCACTTGAACTCGCTAATCCTTCTGTACAGGGTGGGGCTGGGGGAGATAATGGGGCAGAAAGTCAATAATTTCTGCGAAACATTTTTCCAATTAAAGGATATCTTAACTATAAAAAATAACTCGTGTTCTCTGAAGAAAATATATTAGAATTTTTTTAAAAAGAAAAATCAAGTTATATCTCCTGTTGCCTTACGAGCCAGATAATAAAAGTTGAGATTATATTACGTGTACTCTGTTCCTTTGGCTTAACAATACAGTATAGATGTCTTTCCATGCCAACTAATATTTATCTATGTCTTTATTTTATTTTAACTTATTTTTATTTATTTATTTGTTTTTTTGAGATAGAGTCTGGCTCCATCGCCCAGGTGGGAGTGCAGTAGCATGATATTGATCACTGCAACCTCTGCCTCCTGGGTTCAAGCGATTCACCTGCCTCAGCCTCCTGAGTAGCTGGGACACAGGCATGCACAACCATGCCTGGCTAATTTTTTTTTTTTTTGTATTTTCAGTAGAAATGGGGTTTCACCATGTTGGCCAGTATGGACTTGAACTGCTGACCTGAAATGATTCACCTGCCTCGACCTCCCAAAGTGCTGGGATTACAGGTGGGTGAGCCACACTGCACCCAGTCTACATCTTTATTTTAAATGGCTACCTAGTGTTTCTTCATAGACATTTCTTTAATCTTTATTTCTGAATATTTATGCTGTTTGTTTACTTTAGTTATTACAAGTGACTCAGCTAAATATCTTGTCTACACAATTTTGCAACATTTCTGGTTATTTTTATTAATTAGATTCCTAAAAATGAGATTCTTGCATCAAAGGTTATGTGTATATTATGGACTTTCCATACATTAGGAAGAAGCGTCACGATCTGCAAGTTCTACTGGCAGGGTTAGAGAGTGCCGCCCTGGCAGGGTTAGACAGTGCCGCCCTGGCAGGGTTAGACAGTGCCACTCTGGCAGGTTAGACAGTGCTGCCGTAGCAGGGTTAGACAGTGCCGTCCTGGCAGGTTAGACAGTGCTGCTCTGGCAGGGTTAGAAAGTGCTGCTCTGGCAGGGTTGGAAAGTGCTGCTCTGGCAGGGTTGGAAAGTGCTGCTCTGGGTGGCACTGGGTGTGGTTATTCTTTTTCAGTTTTTGCCAGTTTGTTAGGTGAAAATGGTCTTTTCTACATGCACATGTAAGTTTATTGCGGCACTATTCACAATAGCAAAGACATGGAACCAACACAAATGCCCATCAATGATAGACTGGATAAAGAAAATGTGGTACATATACACCATGGAATACCATGAAGCCATAAAAAGGAATGAAATCACGTCCTTTTCAGGGACATAGATGAAGCTGGAAGCCATCATCCTCAACAAACTAAAACAAGAATAGAAAACCAAACACCACATGTTCTCATTCATAAGTGGGAATTGAACAATGAGAACACATGGACACAGGGAGGGGAACATCACACACCGGGGCCTGCTGGAGGGTGAGGGGAGGGAGAGCATCAAGACAGATAGCTAATGCATGCAAGACTTAATAGCTAGGTAATGGGTTAATAAGCATGGCAAAGCACCATGCTACTTGGGAGGCTGAGATGGGAGAGTCGCTTGAGCCTGGGAAGTTGAGGTGACAGTAAGCTATGATCATGCCACTGCACTCCAGCCTGGGCAACAGAGCAAGACCCTGTCTCTACTACAAATACAAAAATTATCCAGGCATGGTTGTGGGCGCCTGTAATTCCAGCTACTTGGGAGGCTGAGGCATGAGGATTGCTTGAACCCAGGAGGTGGAAGTTGCAATGAGCTGAGATCAGGCCACTGCACTCCAGCCTGGGTGATGAAGCAAGACTCTGTCAAGAAAGAAAGAAAGAAGGAAAGAAAAAAAGAAAGAAAGAAAGACAGAAAGAGAGAGAGAGAGAAAGGAAAGAAAGAAAGAAAGAAAGAAAGAAAGAAAGAAAGAAAGAAAGAAAGAAAGAAAGAAAGGAAAGACAGAAAGAAAAGAGGGAGGGAGGGAGGGAGGAAGGAAGGAGGGAGGGAGGGAGGGAGGGAGGGAGGGATGGAGGAAGGAAGGAAGGAGCAGGAGAAGGGGAAGGGAAGAAAGAAAGGAAGGAAGAAGGGAAGGGAGGAAGGAAGGAAGGAGAAGAAAGAAAGAGAAAGAAGGAAGGAAGGAAAGAAAGAGAAAGAAAGAAAGAAAGAAAGAAAGAAAAAGGGAGGGAGGGAGGGAAAGAGAGAGAAAGGAGGGAAGGAAGGAAGGAAGGAAAAAGAAAAAGAGAGAGAGGAAGGAAGGAAAGAATGAAAAGAAAGAAAGAAGAAAAAGAAAGAGAGAGAGAGAAAGAAAGTTGAAGGACTGAAATTAGGCAGGCATGCTACTAGTGGAAAGACAGTTGGAAAGGCCAGGAGGATTCAGGCATAAAAGGAAGAGTCTGCCCAGTTCTGACTCCTCTGTGACCACAGAAGGATCTAGGATGAAATCGGAGAGGTTTATGCTTAGTACAAAGGCTGAAGTCATGTTGCAGAGAGTCTGAGATGTAGAGGAGAGGAAACACATGGAGGCCCCATTCCTGAGAGCATGTTGGCTTTGTGCTAGCCTGCCATTTCTTTCTTTGGTATGATGATTAGACTGATTTTAAAGAAAATATTTGTGAATATATATTGCTGTCCTTTCTTTCAACTCCCCATTGCTTTACAGGAGAAAATTTCACAGGAATCAGGGAAGGATAAACAATATAATCAAGGAAAGGGAAAGAATATAATCAACAACTACTTTTAGGTTGATTATCCCAAATTCTTCTTCAAACCCTGGTATGTTTTCCAATTCTGTTTGGAAATGTTAATATCTCTGACTAGCATGTCAAAAAGTGGTAAAAAGAACAGTTTGACCTAATTGGTCTCATTTTGCACAGTAAAGAAATCTCAAAGGAGAATGTTTAATTTATTACCTTTGTGAAAAACAAAGCTCTGAATTATAGATTATAATTATTTTTATGTGATTCTTTTCCAAAGGTTTTTAAGATATATTTGCTTTGTGTCTCTTTATTCAGAGAATTTTTGAAGATAAAATTGAGCTATTTTTGTTAAATTATTGAATATAGAACTTTATGGCTTAGATGGTTACACAATGCTATAGCACAGATTGTTTTGAAATCTATTTATTTATTTAGTACATAGAGTTGTGTCATAGACAGCATATAAAGCTTTTAAGTTGGAATCAAGAGGGATTCTAGCCCAGTTTTCATAATGTAAGGGTGGTAGGAGGATCCTTGGTGGTGGATATAAAGATCATAGGAGTTGAAATATTATTCGTGGCTCTCACTTGGGAAATGATCAGAACAAGGTGGCTGAGCAGAGATCACACAGCTTGTGACCATCAAAGATGGTCTTCTAAGTTTAAATTTATGAGGAGGGGTCATCACACCAGCAGCAGCCATCCCCCAGCCACTGGCTGCCTACATGGTGAGAGTCACTGGTTTGACCACACCACAGCATGGTGACTTGGGTTCCTGCAGAGACATCCTCCTTTCTCACCTTTCCCCTAAACATTTGCATCTTGCTCAATGGAGAGGGGGTCTCCAGCTTCCTGCTTGGAGGTCATTGAGCTCTCACCCCGCCTGGCTGTGTAGATGGACCAGGTGGAGGTACTGAAGTGGGGGTGGGGACTAAGGAGCTATTACTGCTATGTGGAAATACTTGCCTCTCCCAGATCCAGCCTTAACAATTTTCTCCTGGTGATGTTAATAGCAGCTCCTGCACAAAGGAGATGTCAGAGTTTATCCTGTGAGGAGACAAAATAATAAGAATAGTTTTACCAAAGAATGAAATATCATATAATGTCTGCATTTTACCATTAATTTGAGTGCATCTTTGGAAAACTGAATGTAACAAAAACCCAGGACATTTTTGGAAATCGTGTGCTTTCTAGCCACTTTGTGTGAATTTTTATATAAGCATTGTTTTATGAGTTATATAAAATGTTATAAAATAAAAAAATTGATCAATAAATGTTAGCCATTACTGAGTATAGGATTAAAATATATATATTTTCTTTTTTCATCTAAATTCAGTATTAAACTATTACTCTGAAATTATAGACCTATGAAGTATTTATTAACAACCTGAAGTTATATTGGTAAGTTATAATTGGCATCCTCGGTACTTTGGAGTACTGTATCTTTATTTGTGTTACATTTTCTTATGACAGTATTTTGTTATTTTCTTCTTGATATCTTTGTGTTATGGCTGGGCAGAAAGTTCTGTTAGAGCAGAGCCTTTTAGTTTTCATACTGCATCTTGAAATGTCTCTGATGGAAGACTCGTCAAGGTTAAGGCTGTATCTGTGCCTCCTGCAAACTTCCCAGAGAGTTTAGCTGGTGCCCCGCAGCCTGCAAAATAAAAAAATGCTTTATTTTATTTACTGACTGAATTAGATAATTAGGTTGTATATTTGAATGGGCCACACAAAATGGTTTACTATCCCAGCTCTGCAGAGGTAATGTTAAATGCAAGAGAAACATATATTTTAAGTGTTTAGTTAACTGAAGTCATTGCAATGTATAATGACCCACACCAGGAAATCTTTGATTACTTAGACAACTCTTAGGAGATATATAACATTTTATGGATTGATTATTCCTACCTTCTATATTTCTGTTGCTTTTACATACAGGTCATTAGGCAGAAATAGCTCTTGTTTCAGACCTACGTAAATCTTTCAATGGTATGCTGAGGCAGTCTGGTTTAAAATGTTACACCACAATATTAAATGGAATTACCTTCTAGGGTATGAAGTGAGAAATAAATTATTTGGGGAAATCTAATCAATGATGCTATAAAAATTAATTGCAAAAGACTGGGCTCATTTAACTTTTGTTCTATAAAAATAGTCAATGAAGAAAAATATGGTTAATGCTAGTGCAGAATGAGTATGTCAATAATTGTCAGGCAATAAGTAATACTGAGTTTCAAAGATCTAAAAGAAAGAGGCTTGGGTTTACTTTTATGGGCAATTGTAAATGTGGAATCATTTTACATGATGATAACTTAAATTAATATTTTTGCTATACTTCTTTTGTATTTTTTCCCAATTTTGATTATGAAAATTTTCAGATACAGCAAAGTTAAAGGAATTTTTAGGTGAGAATCCATATACTCACCACTTCCATGCTACCATTAACATTTAACTAAACTTTCTTTATCATGTCTATCCATTCTTCCAACCTTCTATCTAGCAATTAATTATCATTTGCTTTCAGTGCATTTGAAAGTAAATTGCAGACATTGGTAAAATTTCTACTAAATATTGAAATATGCCTATCACAAATTAAAATTTAGCATTTACTTATATTCTTTTCCTGTAAAATTTATGTGAAATGAATTGCAAAAATTGAAAGTGTACGTTCTCTGAATTTCAGCACAATCTCACCTTTCTAACCCAATGTTCTACCAGGATACAGAAACTTAACATCACCCCAGAAAGTTCCTCAAGCCTTTCCCAGTGAGTCTTCAATCCACTTTCTAAGGGGCAAGCACTCCTGTGATTTTCTCCCTCCCCCATGATTATTTTTTTCTCTTCCAGAATCTTCTATCAATACACTGCTTGCTTTTGTGCGGTGCTTCTTTCACTGGGCATGAGGTCTTTGAGATTCATCCCTGTCATTGCCTGTATCAATAGTTCATTCCTTTTTATTGCTCTGTAGTATTCCATTGAATGAATATACTACAGATTTTTATTTTTATTATTATTTTTAAAATTTAATTTAATTTAATTTTAAGTTCTGGGATACAAGTGCAGAATGTGCAGGTTTGTTACATAGGTAAACATGTGCCGTGGTGGTTTGATGCACATATCAACCCAACACCTAGGTATTAAGCCCAGCATGCATTAGCTGTTGATCGTGATGCTCTCCCTCCCTCCAACCCTGAATAGGCCCCAGTGTGTGTTGTTCCCCTCCCTGTGTCCACCTGTTCTCCTTGTTCAGCTCCCACTTATAAGTGAGAACGTGTGTTATTTGGTTTTCTGTTCTTGTGTTAGTTTGCTGAGGACCATGGCTTCCAGCTCCATCCATGTCCCTGCAAGGAACATGATCTCATTGCTTTCTGTGGGTGCATAGTATTACATGGTGTATATGTACCACATTTTCTTTATCCATTCTATCATTGATGGGCATTTGGGTTGATTCCATGTCTCTGCTATTGTGAATAGTGCCACAATGAACATACGCGTGCATGTATCTTTATGATAGAATGATTTATATTCCTTTGGGCATATACCCCAGTAATGGGATTGCTGGGTCAAATGGTATTTCTGCCTCTAGGTCTTTGAGGAATCACCACACTGTCTTCCACAATGGTTGAACTAATTTACATTCCTAGCAACAGTGTAGAAGCGTTCCTATTTCTCCACAGCCTCACCAGCATCACTACAGATTTTTAAATCTGTTCTCCCATTCATGGACATGTGGGCTGTTTCCAATTTGGGGGCTATCATGAATAAAGCTGCTATGAAAATTTGTTCAACTGTCTTCATAAACTGGTATTTTCATTTCTCTTTGGTAAATCCCTAGGAATTGACCTGCTAGATCACTGTCTAGGTATGTATTTAGTAGTTTTTCTTTCCTTAAGTACTTTGCAGATTTTAACATACTTGTTTCTCAAAATACAATTTGCAAGATGGATACTATTATCATCTTCATTTTACCATTGAGAAAACAAAACTGTAGAAATTTTATAAACACACAGGTAATAAGTGATGAGGCCAAAGTTTCAACCCAATAAATTAAGTTCCAAAATCCATGCTTTTAACACGTGATAGCCAAGTAGTGGAAAATCAATCTAGAGATACATCCAAAAGGCAGATCATTAAAAATCTTGTAAATTAGGTTAAGGAATTTAGACTGTCTTCCTAGGGGAGCCTCCTAAGTTACTCATGTTCCTGTTTGCTTTTGACGTTATCAGTGCAAGGGATTGAGAAACCTGATCATATCTGTGCTTTAGAAAGATGACCGCATTCCTAGTTTGTGGAGAAGGATAGAAAACATGAAGCTTAGTGGAGTTTTAATTACATTATAATTGAATAATTTATTCAGTTATTCAGCACATAATTACTGAGAACCTGCTATGTGGAAGAAAATGCTCCAGGAACTGGAAATCCAGCACTGAACAAAAAGACATCCGTCATGGAGCTTGCATTTTAGGGGGTAAGAAAAATAGTAAACAAGCAAACAAAATATATATAGCCTGCCAAGTGGTAACACATATTTGGAGAACAGTGAAATAGGTGAAGAGAAAGAGGAAGTGTTGCAAGGGACAGGAGCGGTTATGATTTTATTGAGTGACTGGGGAAAGCCTCTAGTAGGAGAGATTTGTGCAGCACCTGGGGACTGAAGGAGGGAGTTACGCAGATGCCTGGAGAGTGCTCCTGTGAAAGAGGAAATAGCATGTGCACTGGTCCTGGGGGAGATGGGCTTGGCATTCAAGGATCAGAGTGAGGAAGGGAGGGGAGGAGATGAAGTCACTCTCAATATGACCATTAACACAAAAACATGTTCCATTGTAGAATAGTTGTTGTTAACAACCATGGGTGGTTTTAACAGTTTTATCTATCATGGGGCTACTGTTTGGGGAGAGTAAGAAAAGATGCCTGGATAGTTATGTTGGTGTGAATGTGGCTTCCCCCTCTCCCTCTGGTGTTGTTAAGATGAAACGGTGAGTGGCGAAAGTAACAGAGAGCATATGACTTGCAAAATACAGTCATGCATCACTTAATGACACGGATACATTCTGAGGAATGCATCATTAGGTGATTTAGTCATTGTATGAACATGATAGAGTACTTACGCAAACCTAGTGATATAGCCTACTGCTCACATAGGCTATATGGTATGGCCTATTGCTCCTAGGCTTCAAACCTGTACAGCATGTTACTGTAAGAAATATTGTAGGTGGGGAACATCACACACCAGGGTCTGTCAAGGGGAAGGATAGCATTAGGAGATATACTTAATGTAAATGATGAGTTAATGGATGCAGCAAACCAACATGGCACATGTATACATATGTAACAAACCTGCACTTTGTACACATGTACCCTAGAACTTAAAGTATAATAATAATAAAAAAAGAAAGAAATACTGTAGGTAATTGTAACACAGTGGTAAGTATTTGTATATCTAAACATAGAAAAGATATGTTTTTGTAATCTTGTTGAAACATTGCTGTCTTATAGGCGGTTCATCATTGACTGAAGCATCCTTACACAGTACATGATGGTATCTATGTATTTATGAATTTCCTATCATTTATTAGCAATATATCATATTCCAGGTATAGTCTTAGTTCTTTGCTCTTTTTGAGGGCAGTCTGTGCTTCCAGGACTAATCTACTGAAATAAAGCCCCCTCATGCTGACCATTTTGGCATGTTTTTCCAGTGCGGTACTTACAATTGCAAACACACATTTGTTGGCTCGTGGGTTGGTTGGGTGCTTCACCTTCTTCATTTCTGGTTACAAACATAACTACATGTACTTCTTGAATAAATGGAGAAAAAATCCTCACCAGGAACTGGTCTTTTCAGGTCCTCTGTCTTATCAAATCTCTCTTCAGTATGTGCATCGACTTTGTCTTGTGACATTATATCCTGGAAAGAACTTTCTGGGAGCAATCTTCAGGTTGATATTTACAAGGGTTTTTATTTTGGAGATTAACTACGCTATTCACTTTGATATACTGCAACTCATCCTGTGATCTAACGTCAGGAGCACATTTCAGGAGAAGATAGCACACCGAGAAAGGTGATCCTTTCAAAGGAAACATACCCTAGCACCAGAATAGCACTAACCATGCCTTTATCCATTTCAAAGCCTCAGACTAAGTCAGAGCAAATATTTGGTTATATCATACGATATTGCAATTTTTACAGGAAATATATTTAAGTCATTTCATTTCCCCCCTTTTTCTTCACATTCTGCCTTTTTTCTTTTTTCTCTGATTTTATGGAGGTATAATTGCTATTAAAAACTGCACATAATGTATACAATTTGGGGAGTTTGGACATATGTATACACTGGTGCTAACATCTAATCCAGCAATTCCACGTTCCGCTTTTTCTATTGAAGTAAACTTTAGGCGTGATTTCTGTTCTCTAAGTTATTAGATTTTAAAATCTAATAAAATAAAAAATATTCTAGTCTCCATAGCTAAGGTATAGGGGATGCCTCCTGAGGGTCAGTTTATCAATGTAATTGTAGGTTTAATGTTTTCATGTGCTCTGTACTGCGCAGCTAGATGGTGAAAAGAATTTCGGGGGAAAACTAGAGTCCAGATTAAACAGTTGAATCCTGTCAGTCTATGGTTGAGTGAGGTGATCCCGATATGTAGTCGCTTTCGGTGTGACTCGTTTCAGAAAGGAAACAGTATTGTTGTTCTCTGTTTTTTGCACTGAAAATATTTGCAATACATCTTCTGTAATTATTGCTTCTTCATACTAACTGATCTACAGAACATTTCCACTGGAAACCTGTTTTCACTCATATTTCATTTTGAGCTCAAATGATTCCTCGCACTCCTGCAGTTTTCCTCAAGCTCTTTTTCTCATCTGCGTTGACATCTACCTTTCCACTGGAGGCGATGGCTTGAAACACCGCCATCTGTTTTTGTCAGTGAAAGAACGCACATCTCAGGTGTATGAGGCAACGATGCTGAGGCTCAGACACTCTTGCAGCCTAGACGCATGGATACATTCCCAGGTGCAGGACCGTGGAGTGTGGCAGACTGTTGTCCTCGAAAAGTGTCACTCCAGCAGTAGGTTAGGGGTGGAGAAGAGGCGAATCAGTGGCTGTCAGATGTTTTTTCTTCCATTCTCTTCTGGAAAGCTGTGACTACCCCCAGAGAAGTTAGCTAACTGCTGCACTGTCTCCCAGGGTGCCTTTTGCCTTCACACGGAATGTCCAGGGTATGAGGGTCATGATTTAGTGAGCGCAATAACTCAGCATCTCTCTGTGCTGCCCGAGGAAACTACTGAGACGGAACATAAAATGTTGACATGATCCACAAAGAAACAGCTCTATCAGAGAGAAGTAAATAGTCCCCCAGGATGGAGAAGAGGAAGCCGTCCGCAGCTTCCAGGGCAGCTGTGCCCTTTGTCTCCTTTTCCCCTCTCTAGGAAGTTCTGTAAGGGAAGAAAAAAAGATCCTATATTTTTATTTTTACCTTGTTTGTTTGTTTGTTTTTTGAGATGGAGTCTCGCTCTGTCACCCAGGCTGGAGAGCAGCAGCGCAATTGTGGCTCACTGCAAGCTCAGCCTCCCGGGTTCAAGCGATTCTCCTGCCTCAGCCTCCCGAGTAGCTGGGGCTACAGGCGCCCACCACCACGTCCGGCTAATTTTTATATTTTTAGTAGAGACAGAGTTTCACCATGTTGGCCAGGCTGATCTCGAACTCCTGACCTCAGGTGATCCATCCGCCTCAGCCTCCCAAAGTGCTGGATTACAGGCGTGAGCCACCGCGCCCCGCCGTATCCTATGTTTTTAAAGTCCCCTTTTTTTCAGTAATCAACACAGAGCAGAGGTCAGGAAATAATATGTGTTTAATTTTCTTGCTAATTTTCTTCCTGTTTTCAGGGAGAAATATGTGCTTGTGCAGACATAGCTCACCCAGATTACTGCAGGGCACTAGTTACATGAGAAGCAAGGTGAACACCATCTAGTTTCTTGTACACTATTTTTCTTTCCATAGAACTCTTGCATTTATGTGAAAAAAAACACAAAAATTCCATCTTATGAAATGAAAGAAATTAACTTCAAAGTCTAAATTTTAATTTTTCTAGAGATTTAAAAGTTTGAATTTCACCCATTGCAAGGTCTTATTTCTGATGTCAACATAGTAGACTTGAACGTGATGTGGATGCAGAGAAGATCTTTTTTTCTGACATTTTAAACACCACATGAATTTAATTTCAATTAAAAAACTAATGACAATGTTTAGAAATAAGAATAATTTATGTCCCTTCCTTTTTTATTCCTAGATTTTATATTTTATTTACCACTCTACATTTTGACTAGAGTGTATTAAAACAGTCATTGAAAAAATAAATGGGCAGTTCTCCCATTTAACATCTTATTTGTAATCACTATACAGTAGGCTATATCATATCCTGTGTTTAGTTACATTCTTTAAACTCATCTTTTTTTCCCCTCATTTTTTAGATTTTTTTTTCCCCCTGAAACTGTAGCCTGCCTTGTAGGCTGATCTGATTCTTTCCTTTTCATTCATCTGCTTATTTTAGCCTCATTGCTCTTTTCCTCAGCACACATGGGGTATAACGTCCCACTCCTCTGCCATTAATCATTAAACAAATACCTTGGGGAAAAACTAGAATAAATGGTGGGAAAATGAATTTAGTTCTGGAGTTGTCTTCTTCATGTTTCTTTTTTCTTTTCTTTTCTTTTCCTTTTTTTTTTTAGGACAGAGTCTCGCTCTGTCGCCCAGGCTGGAGTGCAGTGGCGGATCTCGGCTCACGGCAACCTCCGCCTCCCAGGTTCACGCTATTCTCCTGCCTCAGCCTCCCAAGTAGCTGGGACTACCGGTGCCTGCCACCACGCCTGGCTAATTTTTTTGCTTTTTTTTTTTTTTTTTTTTTTTTTAGTAGAGAAGGGGTTTCACCGTGTTGCCCAGGGTGGTCTCGATCTCCTGACCTCGTGATCCACCAGCCTCGGCCTCCCAAAATGCTGGGATTACAGGTGTGAGCCACCGCGCCCGGCCTCTTCTTCATGTTTTAAGTGAACTTCAGTAAAACTAGTTAGTTTCTCTGTTGTGTGTATGAAGATATTTTGCTTTGTATTGTAGAGAGCTGCATATGCTGCCAGCTTCTCTGTGAGAGGTCAGAGCTTTAAAACCACACTGAATGAATCTAATACCAATGTATTGAATTGAAATAGGTATCATTTATTAAATGTAAATGCATATTGCTCAACTTTTATGTTTTCCAGTGTTCATGTTTATTGAGAATATTTCATAGAATGTTAATCAGCTCTAACTTTGCTTCTGACTCATGCAAACAAGTACCTACCAAAATATCCAATTATTCAGTAATCCACAATGACTGTCTCAAAAGAAATACTGCACAGTCACATAAAAATGTGTGTGAAAGTGCTTTGGAAATTGTAAAGCACAATATTTAAATTAGTTGGTATTACAGAGAATTTTAAGTATTGACCTCAAAAACCATACCCACCTCACCCACTTCTCCAGCTATGGAAATCACTTTATTTCATGCATTTTTACTGGCCATTTATCTTCTTTTATGGATAAGCATACTTTCTTAGTGCTTGTGAGACCAGGTCACTGGCCAGGTAAACAGGCACTTGACTTTTCCTGGATACCTGCTCCAGTTGGCCAGCTGGTGAAAGTGTTGTTGAAGTACAAAATGTACCCAAGGAACTGTCAGATCTAGCTAATAACATTTCCAAACAGACTGCTGAAGGCATCACATAGTTTTTACTTGCTGCTTATAGTAAGATGGAAAAGAAGAGATACAAACTAAAGGAAGGTCTATGAAGCATAAGAGAGATGAAAATTGCTACTTTAAAAAATACTAGACCTCCTAGATAGTAAAATGATGCTAAAGTTAAAAATGGCTCCAGGACAAAGATCAAATCTAGACTGCTGTCAACAAAACATGCTAAGAAGAAGCAGTTGAGGGTGTGGCTGTAAACCTTTTGTTAAGATCTTGGAAATATCTATCGTGTACCTCAGACAACCATTCAAACAGTGACGCTTCTGAGAAGCTTAAAAAGTGTTGTCCCTCCTATCATTAAAAAGTCAGGAAACAACAGGTGCTGGAGAGGATGTGGAGAAATAGGAACACTTTTACACTGTTGGTGGGACTGTAAACTAGTTCAACCATTGTGGAAGACAGTGTGGCAATTCCTCAAGGATCTAGAACTAGAAATACCATTTGACCCAGCGATCCCATTACAAGTTATATACCCAAAGGATTATAAATCATGCTACTATAAAGACACATGCACACATATGTTTATTGAGGCACCATTCACAATAGCAAAGACTTGGAACTAACCCAAATGTCCATCAATGATAGACTGGATTAAGAAAATGTGGCACATATACACCATGGAATACTATGCAGCCATGAAAAAGGATGAGTTCATGTCCTTTGTAGGGACATGGATGAAGCTGGAAACCATTCTGAGCAAACTATCGCAAGGACAGAAAACCAAACACCGCATGTTCTCACTCATAAGTAGGAATTGAACAATGAGAACACTTGGACACAGGGCTAGGACATCACATACTGGGGCCTATTGTGGGGTGGGGGGAGGGGGGAGGGATAGCATTAGGAGAAATACCTAATGAAAATGACAAATTAACGGGTGCAGCACACCAACATGGCACATGTATACATACGTAACAAACCTGCACGTTGTGCACATGTACCCTAGAACTTAAAGTATAATAAAAAATAAATAAATAAATAAATAAAAATTAAAAGAAAAAAGTGCTGTCCCTCACCACTTGCAGTAGAAGCCCACGATAGAGAAGGGCTAATTCCACATTTGTGTGTGTGGCTTTTTCTAAGGGAGTGAATACCAACAGGAATCATAGGAGACTCACAAAGTTTTTAAGATAATTTTATTAAGAAAAACATTATTTGCTTGAACTGCAAGGGACAGAAACAGTACAATTTAAAAAGAAGGCTTTGAAATCCAAAATTTCTAAAGGTAAGAAGCAGGCTAAGAATACTATTCTGCTAAAAACACAAGCTGTATTCCATGGAAAAGAAGAAATGACTCAGGGGAAAACCAAGAACTTAGAGGACAGAGCCAAAAGTTATGAAGAATTATTCTCAGGCCTTGACTCCTGATCAAAGAAATGCTAATATGTGCCTTGCTAGATTTCATAATTGCTATGGACCACTGATTCCTGAGTGTCTCCTGCTCTACCCATTTTTGAAAGTATTTACATGGGTTATCTCAGGCTTGTCTCACCATTACATACAGGTGTATAAGACAGACAATTTCTCTCTAGTTGACAAGTCTTCAGTTAGGAAGGAGCTGTACTCAAGAAACCACATTTAAGGACTTTCACTTAAAGCAGGATTTGATTTAGATACCCAAATCCTTGAACTTGAGTCTGAGCTGTAATAAGTAAGATTTGGGGGGGAGTTTTGAAGGAAATATGTATATTTGGCATGCAAGAGGAAGGTTAATAATTTGTAGCCAGAGGGTGAACTCTGGTGGTCTTACAGTAGGTCCAAAAATTCTTTGATGTTCTTCTTTTCAAAAGGTAGAGCCTAAATCCCCTCAGCTAAAATATGTCTCAGACTTAGAAACTTATTTTTAATGAATAGAATTTCATAGAAGTAACAATGTGTATCTTTTGACACTAGGTTATCGTATTAGGCTTCTCCAGAAAAACAGGACCAATAGGAGATATATATGTGCGTGTGTTCATAGACATAGGTGCCTATATATAGAATTATATCATATGTATGTATATATAAAAAATCTCTTCTGGAAACACGGTCGCAGATAGACCCAGAAGTAATGTTTTGCCAGCTACCTGAGCATCCCTTAACCCAGTCAAGCTGACACATAAAATTAACCATCACATATCCACCCCTTGCCAACTTTGCACCCAAACACGTCGCCTTAGTTTATCAAATAATAAACTCAACCTCCAAATAAAGACAATAATGTCACAATTCTACCTAACACGATGCAATTACCCTGTGTATAACTGAAAATACACAATTATCCCTCCCTTAAAAGAGAAAGTAAAGTCCTTGAGAGATGTGTACTCTTCTCGTGATATTCTGTAACTTAAATACTACGATGTAGAATTAACGATACTTAAATATTGTTATAAAGTCAATATATCTAACATTATATAAGGGCATAAGAGATAAAAAACAAAGATATTTGCTTAATATATGCATATATATATATATACATAGGCATATTTATAACAATAAAGGAAGAAATTCTCATGAAAATTACAGTTCTTAAGTCTGTAACTGGTCATGTGCTCACAGCTCATGTTGATAACTACCTTCTTCTATTTAATACTACCCAGTCTATATTCTCTTTGCTTTCAGCAAGCACCTCGGCTGGTTTTTACCTGATGGGGTGACTCCAGTTGTTATTCCCAGGGCATCTGGGCTATTAGTTGGTATGCCTGATTGGGTTGTTTTAATTTTCCATCGACCTTAATCAGAAGACGTGGTAGTACTAAGAGATTTCCTAAGGAATCTCCTGTATCCCAGACACACTCTTCTTTACCTCAATTGTGGAACAGCAGTCACCTTTCCCTTTGGCAGTCTGGATCAATCACCCCAACCAGCATTATAACTTCCTCCTTGGCCTGTTGACTCAGAAGCATAAGGATCCCAGCGTGGCCTGGGCTCTTCTAATCCAATAGCATCATTGTTTGCCTCCTGGTGGAAGCGTTCCTCCCTGTGGAATTCAGATGTCTAGCCAGGTGCCAGTGGCTCATGCCTGTAATCCCAGCACTTTGGGAGGCCGAGGCGGGTGGATCACCTGAGGTCAGGAGTTTGAGACCATACTGGCCAACACAGTGAAACGCCATCTATACTAAAGATACAAAAATTAGCCAGACATGGTGATATGTGCCTGTAATCCCAGCTACTTGGGAGGCTGAGGCATGAGAATTGCTTGAGCCTGGGAGGCAAAGGTTGCAGTGAGCAGAGATCGCACCACTGCAACCCAGCCTGGGTGACAGAGCAAGACACTATCTCAGAAGAAAAAAAAAAAAAAGACGTCTAGGCCAACAAGGCATAAATTCACAGGAACTGGGGCAAAAATTTGCTAGTGGGTCACTAGTGGGGAACAGTGAGTGGAACCACACCCACTTCCATCCCTTGATTCCTGGACCCGTGAATCCTAGCTATCAGAGAAACGGCACCACATATTAAACACTGGCTCAGAGTATATATAGCCTCTGGAGAACATTGTCCCAGCCCTAAAAGATATTACCACCTGGCTGGCACTGTAACTGATTCTTCGGAAGGCCATTCTGCCATTCTATCAAGCCAGCGACTTCAAGATAGTGAGAAACGTACTATAACCAGCGAATTCCGTGAGCATGGGCCCATTGCTGCACTTCTTTGCTATGAAGTGAGTTCCTTGATTAGAAGCCATGTTGTGTGTAATGCCACAATGCTGAATAATAAGGCATTCTGTAAATCCATGGATGGTAGTTTTAGCAGAAACATCACATACGGTAAAGGCAAATTTATATCTACAGTGAACATCTTTTCTAGTAAGGACAAAATGCTGCTTCTTCCATGATGGAAGTGCTCCAATGTAATCAGCCGGCCACCAGGTAGCTGGCTGATTACCCTGAGGAAAGGTGCTGTTTGGGGGCTCAGTGTTGGTCTCTTCTGCTAGCAAAGATCACCCAGCAGTGGCCACAGTTGGGTCAGCCTTGGAGAGTGGAAGTACACAGTGCTGAGCCCTGGCATAGCTCATCTCCACTGCCACGGCCATTTTCCTCATGAACCTATCAGGCAATAACAGAGGTGGGAAAGGGGCTGACTGATATACACAGAAAAGGTCATCCTATCCACTTTATTAAAATCCTTCTCTAGTGAGGTTACTGTTTGATGAACATTCACGTGGGACACAAATAGTTTCACATTTTTTGCCTTTTAAGAGAGATGTCTCCATACACCTCTTCCCCATATTTACTTGACATCAGTTTTCCAATCATCCTTCTTTGAAGTCTCTGACCATTCTGTCAAAACACCAGCCACAGCCCATTAATACCCACTTCACAGGCTGTAGCCATTGCATCTAGGATCCACTGGTCATTTTTCACATCTGGCCATTTATCCTCCCAAGCGAAGTTCACAACCAAGCACACTTGCCAAAGTTGTGCCCGCTGGGAGGATTTTCCTCACTGCTGTCTTTCAGGGATGTCCTGGAGAGTGGCTGAGTGCTACAGTTATCCACTTCTGGGTGGTGCCTGCATATTGACTGTCTGTCAACCAGGTCTGAATTTGCCTTCCTCTTTCAACTGATTGTAGGGAACTCCCCATGAGGCCATATATGCAGACTGGGAGAGAAAGGGCAGTGTAGCAAGAGTGGGACCATGGGCATTCGAACTACTTATTCATGTAAATTGCTTGTGCCTTCAAGTTATGTTTGGGTCTGATCATGTGTACACCACTTCCATCTGATGATATAATGTTGCTATGCATGTCCAACTTTATGGTTTGATAGGTCAGATAACATCTAGTTCATGGAAAGCAGCTCATGTTACATGTTAACTTGATGGACTGTGGTCAAGTGTTCCAATTCTACTATGGCCAAGTAGCAGGCCAAAAGCTCTCTCTGGAAAAGAAAGTAGTTATCTGCTGATGATGGCAAGGCCTTCCTCCAAAATGCTTAAGTCCTGCACTGCTCCAAACAGCATCCCTATCTGCCACTGACATTTCAAGCACCATTGGATCTGCTGGATCATGGGATCCAAATGGCAGAGCAGCTTGCACAGCAGCCTGGACTCATCACAGAGCCTTCTTTTGTTCTGGGCTCTGCTCAAAACTAGCAGCTTTTTGGGTCACTTGGTAAATGGATGAGAGACACACCCAAATGAGTAATACATTACCTCTAAAGTCCAAATAAGCCTTTTAGACATTGTGCTTCTTTCTGGGTTGTAGGAGGGGCCAGATTCAACAACTTATCCTTCACTTTAGAAGGGTATTTTGACATGCCGCATACCACAGGACGCCTAAAAATTTTACTGAGGTAAAACATTCCTGAATTATCATTGGCTTTTTCCCCACTTTCTGATACTCAAATGTCTTACCTATAAGTCTAAAGTAGTTGCTACTTCTCACTCACAAGGTGCAATAGGCATAATGTTATCAATGTAATAGACCAGCGTGAATGCTTGTGGAAGGGATAGGCAGTCAAGATCTCTGAATTCAATTATGACCTAGGACTGGAAAGGTGATGCATTCCTAAGGTAGGATCATGAAGGAGTATTGCTGGCCTTGTCAGCTGAAAGTAAACTGTTCTGATGGACCTTATGGACAAAGATGGGAAAAAAGGCATTTGCCAAATCAATAGCTACATACCAGATACCAGAGGATATGTTAATTTGCTCATGCAATGAAATCACATCCGATACAACAGTTGTTATAGGAGTCACCACTTGGGTAAGCATGTAGAAATTCACTGTCTTCTGCATAGGACAAATAGGAGAGCTACATGGAGACGAGATGGGAATCACCACCCTTGCATTTTTTAAGTCTAAGTCCTTGATGGTGGCACTAATCTCTGCAATCCCTCCAGGGTACTGTTTTTTATTTGCTCTTTTTCTAGGTAGAGGCAGTCATAATAACTTTCACTTGGCCATTCCCACCATAATATCCCTAAGTCAACAGGTCAGAGAATCAATGTGGGGATTCTGCCAGCTTCTGATTATGTCTATTCCAATGATCAATTCTGGAACTGGGGAAATAATGATTCGATGGGCTCAGGGATCCACTAGACCCACCATGAAATGAATCTGAGCTAAAAGTAACTGATCACCATCAGCCCCTACTCTGACTGGAGGGCCACAGTGATGTTTTGGGCTCTTCTGAAATCAGTAGCTGTTCAGAGCCAGTGTCTAGAAGTCCCCCAGAGTTCTGACTTTTTCCTTTTTCCCACACACAGTTACCTTTTCAAAAGGCTGGAGGTTTCTGTGGGGAAGGCTGGGATAAAGATTTACAGTATAAATATTTGATACGGCACTAGGGCTCTTCCTCAAGGGACCTAGCCTTCGCTTTATTAAAGTGGTTCTGGGTCTGCAAACTGGCTCAATTCTGAGAATTGATGGAGGGGCTGTGACTCTGTTTTTGTGATTTGAGTTAGGCTTTTGTTCAGTTGATCTAGAATTTTTCTCCTTATACAGGTCAACTAAAATTTGGGTATGATTTCCGTCTATTTCACCTCTAGCATCACCATGATGAACTAACCAACACCACACATTTGCACAGGTCTGACTGCTCTGTTTGCTGCTTTAACTTTGATGTCCATTATGGTAGCCACTGCCCACCTTGGCACTGGCAATTGAGTCTTCCCCTTAGCCTCTGCCCTCCTAGGTTCCAATTACTCCCATTGCATTTACATTTTCTAATCAAGGGCTGTAGCTCCCACTGTCAGGTTTGGCCTATAGAGAACATGCTGGGGCTCCCCTCACAAATTTAATTCTCAAAGAATTGGTGAAAGTATGGTTCTCTGGACCCTCCCTGGGGGGGTAACTCTCAAATGACAAATCCACTCTACATTCCAATATCCCTAGATCTTTGAATCCCTTCATCTATATTAAACCAAGAGAGGTTGCATGTTTGCAATGTGTTCATTGTGGGTTATATTTTATTCCATGTTCCAACCAGCCAAACTCTAAGAGCTCTTTCTAACTCCTTGATTTGCAACATTTAATGCAAAATGTCTGCTTAGTGGATACATATTAATAAATTTGACCTGATCCAAATGTATGTTCCTCCCAATACTATTCCACTCTATTAATATCCATTTTCATACACGTCCCATAAATTTCTACTTATAAAAATTAGAAAATTCAAGTAAGTTCTTTTGGAGTGTAGTACACCTTCCCATGCATCACACTTTTCGCCTCACCTTTAGGGGTCTTCTGGGACTTGAGCCTGGTTATATGTCTAGAAGAAAAGAGGGGTGATGAGGGTAGGTCGTGAAGAGCATCAGTACTGTCTTGCAGGGCAACTGCCTCAGGGGAGGACATTACCATTTCCTCAAGCAATACAAAATTAATATCCTCAAAGGGAGGTGGAAAGGCCAGTCCTTTGTGAATGGAGAAGGCTCTACCACTGTGAGCAGGGAGACCTCTTCCACTGGCAAAGAAGACTCATCAGAATTTAGGGGCTCAGGCAGTGCACCATAGCTCATGCCTGTAATCCCAGCACTTTGGGAGGCTGAGGCAGGCAGATCACTTGAGGTCAGGAGTTCGAGACCAGCCTGGCCAACATGGCAAAATCCCATCTCTACTGAAAGTACAAAAATTAGCCTGGTGTGGTGGTGCACACCTGTAGTTCCAGCTGTTTGGGAGGCTGAGGTGGGAGAATTGCTTGAACCCGAGAGGCAGAGGCTGCAGTGAGCTGAGACTGTGCCATTTCACTCCAGCCTGGGTGACAGAGTGAGACTGTACCAAAAAAAAAAAAAAAAAAAAAGAATTTAGGGGCTCAATGTTCTCAGCTTAATTATGTTCTCCCTACACATCTTCACTCAACTTATGGGATCTCATTCTTTCATTCTTTCCTAATTAATGTTCTCACTTTAACAGTAGACACCCTACTTTAAGGCTGGGAGTTCAACTTGTGTTGTAATCCAGCCAATCACAGGATAAGATTCTGAGTTTGATTTTCAGTAATTTCAACCCTGTAGTGACAGAAGATAAGGCTCTCCTTCAAGGAACATCTAGAAGTTCTTAGGTCATTTACGTGGTGCTTGAGGTGGAAATTTGAATTCCTGAGCTCATACTTTTTTTTTTTTTGCCATTTGCTCAGTGATATTAGGAATAAGCAAACAATGACATTGAATTGTGTCAATTTCAAAAAAAATGTGCAAAATTGTTATATACAGAGTCACTTCACTCTTTGCTTTTTCTAAGTGGTTGATTAGTGATATCCAATGCAGATACTTTGGATATTTTTATAAAGTTTACACCACGAACTATTATGCTCTCTTTACTACTTTAAAGAGTGCTTAGCAATTTGAAATCAAGTCAGATTACAAGAGCCAATTAGAGACCACAAAACCATTTCATAGAACTCATCCTTAAAACTCATCTCTAGAACTACTCTCAGTACCAAAATCTGTATAAGTCAAGGATCTCTAGAGAAACAGAACAAATAAATGTGTTATATATATGTGTGTATGTATATTTTTATGTATATGTGTCTATATAACATACATGTATATATAAGCACTCAGATACATATATTTGGAGAGACAGATCTATATGTATATCTATCTATATCTTTCTATCTCTTTATCTATCTATCTGGAGAGAGAGGAAATATCATTATGAAAACCAGTTCATGTAATTATGGAAGCAAAGGAGTTCCATGATTTGCAGTATTCTGGCTGAAGAATCAGGAAATCCAGTGGCAATTGAGGTCAGGTCCAAAGGTCTGAGGACCAGGACTGCTGATGTTTGAAGGCAGAAGAACATGCATGTCCCAGTTCAAATAGAACAAATTCACCATTTCTCCTGTTGTTTTTCCTATTTGGGCCACAGATGGATTGGCTGATGCCTGCCCATCACATTGGTGAGGATGGGTCTTTCTTATTTAGTCTACTAATTTAAATGCTAATCTTTTCTGGAAGCACCCTCATACACCCACCCAGAAATCATGTCTTTCCAGCTATCTGGGCATTCTTTAGCCCAGTCAAGTTGACACAAAATTAACCATCACAGTCATAAGAGGCTGTATTAATTCCTCCTTGATCTCTTTCTCAGCTCAGTCACCCTGGGAGAAGCCAGCCTGCATGTTGTGAAGGCACCAAAGCTGACTGCACAGAGATGACAGGAAGAGAAACTGAGGCTTCCCATCAACAGCCAGCACCAACTTGCCAGCCATATAAGTGAGACATAATAAAAACAGATCCATCAGATGGTTAGGCCTTCAAAAAACTGCAGCTTTGCCAACCTTGCAAAAAAACCCTGGATCAGAACCACTCAGATAAGCCACTCCCAAATATGCAGGTTACTATTGTAGTTATTCATTGATGCATAACCAATTTTTCCAAAATGTAGTGGCTTAAAGAAATAAACACTATCCCCCCAGTGTCTGTGAAACAGGAATTTATGAGGGGGTTAACTGGGTGTTACTGGCTCAAGGTGTCTAATATCGCAGTTAAGATATTGGTTGGGGCTGTGGTCATCTGAAGGCTTGACTAGAGCTGGGTGATCTGCTTCCAAGATGGCTCCCTCATGTGGATGTTAAGGAGACCTCAGCTCCTCACTGACTATTGGCAGGAAAACTTGATTTCTCCCTATGGATGCCTCTTCAGGCTGCTTGAGTGTCCTCACAATATGGTAGCCGGCTTCTCCCAGGAGAAGGAATCCAAGAGAGGGGGAAATATGGAAATAATAACGTCTTCTATGACCTAACATTGGGAGTCACATGTTGTCTTTTCCATATGATCTAACTGGCTGCACATGTCAGTCATAGTCAGTGTAGGTGTGGACTGCAGAAGGGTGTGAAAACTAGGAAGTGGGAATCTCTGTAAGCCATCCTGGAAGCTGGATATCACAGTGGGGTAATGAATGGTTGTTATTGATTTATGCCACTAAGTTTTGTGGTAATTTATTATGCAATGATAGATAGCTAATATACAAAGAGACCAATATGGAATATTTGGTTGTTCCTAATGATTCGAAGTGAAGAATGTTAGTGCTGCCTGCCTTCTCTATCCATGAAGCACCAGGAGATGTTGTGGACCAGAAGGGTGCACACTCAATCCTGTTTCCATAAAGCTCTCTAATTGAAGTAGTGTCCTAGGAACCCCAGCATCTCTGGAACTGGTTTGGAATCCCAGCAGCTGGTACTGGGACATAAATCTTGGCAATTCATTAGCTATTTTTATTCACTATTTTCGACTTTTTTATAAGTCAGGTTTTATAGTTTTGTCTACGTTCCAATCTTGAGACGTAAACCTTTGTGTTCCTTCTGGTAAACAAATGCCATGTGTCCTTAGAACAAGCTCTTTATACCCTGCCTTTTCATATATGAAAAATACTGGGTTTGTTTCCTATTCAGACTTTATTTGGAACACTATAATTTAAATCAGTCTCCCCAGATAGAAGCACAGAAAAAGAAGATTGGGGAAGTACAGCGTGTTGTTTCCAACAAGGTGGAAAATTCATCTGAAATGACAGAAATCCTGGGTAATGATGAATCTCTGAGGATTCCTGTGTCACAGCAAACTAGCTGATTGGTCTGTGCAATTGAGCTATAGCATAATATCAATACTTACACTCCCTTTTGAATTGAAAATGAGGCAATTAAAATTTACTAAATCCCTTGTTTTGAATTGCTTCTGGTCCCTTTGGGTTTGCCATAGCCCAGTTTTGTGCCTTTTATTTTGAGAAGCCCTGTCTTGCAAATTTGAAAGTTTGTAGACTCTATTTTGAAATGGGCTTTATTCCAAAAATAGGTTTTACTTTATTATTTTCCACTGCCTCTGGGGATATTTTGACCAAAATGGCAAAACCCAAAGACTTCCTGAAGGCTAATCTTTTTTCTGGGTCATATGATTCTTTTCAGTTTTCATCTGGAGAGGGTTTTCTGATAACAATAGGTTTGACTGTTTGTGAACTGGAGAAAATCCCGTTGCTTTGGAGTTAACAATGAGTGGAATTTCAGTGCAGTATGGTTATTTGCTTAATACAATAGAAGTTGGTGCAGACTGGATTTGCAAATGTCAAATAGACTGTGTGGGAAAATCTATATCACTGCAACTGGGTCAACAAACAGTTCTGAATGCAGAAATGCTGACAGGACTGTAGCAAGCAATTTGGTCAACTTCAATTCATGTCCAAAGTTAAGCTGGATTAAAAAGATGCCTGTGAAGAAATGGTTAAATATTAAAACAGCAGGGATCTTACAACTAAGAGGGGAAGAGAAAGAGGAGTCAGTGAAATGAAACATTAGAAACACAAAACAATATGCAATTAGTAATACCTGTCTCAGAGGCAGGCTTATTATAAGGTGGAAGCCACAAAAGAACAAATGCTCAAAGAAGCAGCTGAAGTCCTCCAACTCATTACTCACATGCATCATGAAGTTTTAAACAAACAGTGATGAGATGACAGAAAGATAGTCTATCTTCCAGTATTTTTAAACTTCTAGCTCTGTTGGGTAAGCAGTTTCCAAATGGACATGAATTCACTTGAGCCTGATGCTTCTGAGTTTTTTGGCCAGACATAGGATTTCAGATATGAATTGAATAAATCACTGCCTTACATCACGTAGTTTTCCAACCCAGCAATACTCAAGAGCATCTGGGTCAAGGGCAAGTTCTGGAGCAGGAGTTGGAAAGCAGAGGTTCTGGGTTGCCTGAGAAATTTAGGACAGGTCCATTTAATTCCATGAGCCCCAGTTTCCTTATTGACACAGTACAAGTCTCAGTTCTTTACCTGCCTGATTAACAAGGTTGTTGGGAAGGTATCAAATGTAATTACACACACACACACACACGAAAGCACTTTAGCATTCTTAAAGAGCAAGATTCAGCATATTGTCTATGAGCAAAATGAAAATAAACATAATAAATTCTAATGTTTACAGTAAGTAGTATAATTGTCCTTATGAGTCAAATGATGTCATTATGTCAAATGATGTCATTTGTCAACGGACAAACAGGTAGAAAGGAGTGGATCCGAGTCTAATTAGATTTTGGGACTCCAAAGAGCAAGCTGTTAATCACCATTTTAAAACATGGGATGGAAGAAGGGAGTGAGGGTAGACATATGAGGCATAAGGATCTCTTTAATACCTGAGCATGCATATAATATGATTTTCCTTAGAATTCCTAGGAGACATGGGAGACAAGCAAAAGCTTGCCTAGTGTACATACCAGGGGTTCTGGTCATTTAAAAATAATGATTACTGTATGTCCTGTGCATTTGCATTTTGGTTTTGAATAAAAAACAGCTAAAGTCATGGTGGAAATAAAGCTTAAGTGTTAGGTGCAGTCATTCGGAGAAATTCAAACTTTGATTCAAGCTAGTGATTGAACTGTGGATATCACTGGTCATAAGAGGAATGAGAAGAAGGTTGGAGCAGTGAAAATCCTTCAGTACAGATCTAAGATACGATTTCTCACCCTCAGAGCTCTTGACATTCTGGGTCATACAGCTCTTCGTGGTGGGGCTGTCTTGTTCAGTGTAGAAGGTTGAACAGCATCCCTGGCCTCTACACACTACGTGGCCCTAGCACATACCTTTCCCCCCACCAGGTTTTGACAACCAAAAAATGTTTTTAGACATTGCTGAATGTTTCCTGGGGTACAAAATTGCTCCCATTTGAGAACAATTGTTCTGAAAACATCTCACAAAAGCATGGGTTATTAGTAACTGCCAGTGTACGTGTATAGCAATTGGCACAGCGCATATTTCATACGCAAATTCTATACTAGTAAATGGTCGGTAGCACGTTGAACTATTTTTAAACAAATTTTCAAATTTGTGTATGCTTCAAATAGTAAAAAGTGTTATTCAAATTGATGAGTGTTACCTTATTAAGACTATTTTAGAATTTAGTCAATGAGCAGAGCGATCCATTTATTCTTTACCCTTTTTTAATTTGTTTTATTCCAAATAAGATTCTGAAAATAGTGTAGCAAGAAACAAAGTAACACTACATAAAATCAAATACATTAAAATGTAATCGCTAAAATTTTTTCTTAAATTTTATGTATCTGAGAAGTTTACTTTTGCCATGCTAGCAGGGTCCCTTAAAAAAGCAACAAAGGAAAAAAAATAGGATTTTTATTCTTTACATGTCTATGATCACAGGAATACATAATGTATATGTATGCACTTACAATATGCAGTGGGTTCAATAGTGTCCCCCAAAATTTATGTCCACTTGGAACCCTAGAATGTGACCTATATGAAAATAAGATCATTGCAGATGTAATTAAATTATAGATCGAAAGATGAGATCATCCTAGATTTAGGCTGGGTCCTAAATCCAATTACTGGTGTCCTTTTAAAAAGAAGAGATGGGCCTGGAATGGTGGCTCACATCTGTAATCCCAGCAATTTGGGAGCCCGAAGCAGGTGGATTACCTGAGGTCAGGAGTTTGAAACCAGCCTGGCCAAAATGGGGAAATCCTGTCTCTACTAAAAATTACTAAAAATATAAAAATTAGACCGGCATGTTGGCATGCACCTGTAATCCCAGCCACTCGGTAGGCTGAGGCAGCAGAACCGCTTGAACCTTGGAGGCGGAGGTTGCAGTGAGCTGAGATAACGCCATTGCACTTCAGCCTCCGAGACAGAGCAAGATTGCATCTCAAAAAAAAAAAAAAAAAAAAAAAACAAAAAAGAAGAGAGGATACAGAGAAGCACATGAAGAAGGCCATGTGCAGATGGAGGCAGAGATTGAAGTGAAGCGTCTACAAGCCAAGAAATTCCACGTGTTGCCAGCAACCACCAGAAGCTCATGGCGTAAATTCTCTCCTCTAGCCTCCAGGAGAAACCAGCCCTGCCTCATTCCCGACTTCTGGCCCCCTTCACTGTGAAGGAATAAGTTTCTATTATTTTAAACCACTCAGTTTGTGGCCATTTGTTACAGCGCCCTAGGAATCTAATATAGTATGTATGTATCTATTAGTAGAAATCATATTCCCAAGACGTTGATTCCCTACATTCTTGATCAGGCTAGTATAATCGTATTTTGGCAAATCCATCTGCAGGACCAGTGTACAGTGCAGTATGCTGCACAGGGGAGGGACAGAATTCTTTTTTTAAGCATGAAGAAATATGGAAACATCTTCTAAACATGTAGGATGTCCTGGTTATTTTTGGAGATTGTGCTAACATCTGCCAATTGTCATTGTAGGGCAAATACGTTTGCGTTGTAGATATGATAGGGAACATGCTGGGAAGCCATCATCTCTGACTTCTCTAGTTCAGTGGATTCACTAACACAGGTGAGGAGCAGATAATCAACAAGCCCTGTGAGATGCGCTCTGGTCCAGCAGAACATGAGTTGGAAATCTAATTCACTGAGTCCTAACACCTTGGGACATTTTGTCTCAAAAGCAAAAAGATGATCACTTGAAGTCATCTGATTGTGGAATGGACAGAAGACTGACCAAACAAAGTTAGCCAGTGTACAATGGAGAAGACGCAAAAATAAAGAAGGAAGGATTGTAGAAGAATACAGCAATGTCGGACCCAGCATTGAGGAAGAGGCAGCAGCCGCCTGTGTGCTTTGGAGCACGGAACTCATGGGCTTTGGAGGCAGACAGAGCTGGATTCAAATCTTCTGCCTACATCTTCTTCACTTTTGGCAGATGACGTGAAATCGTTACGCCTTGGTTTCACATGGACGGAAAAGCGTACTTTATTGGCTTCCTGTCTGACCTGGCACGTGATGGGCATTCACGTGGCAAGGATGTTAGAGCTACTACCTCCTGTACGAGCCCCCATTTTGTGAGTAAGGAAAATAAATCAGGGGAAAACAATTGTTATAAAATTGGGTGGCAATCTGTTCAAAAACTGTTTTTAAACTGATTGCTTGAAAGGCACAAGTGTGTGATGTGTGATAAGCCTTCCTCTAGTAATGCCACACTGACTTTGCATCAAAAACAACATTTATGAAAATCCCAGGCTAGATGTTTGTCTTTGAGGGACTCAATTTCGGTTAAGAGAACTGGAGGAAAACAACACAAATTTTCTATTTATAAAGTAACACTCTCTCTTTTAAAGAGTTTTGTGATCTTTATAAAATGGAATTTGATGTTTATGTGTTTATCCTTTTGACAGCTAACAGTAAAGACTAGCTAAAATAATGAAATTTGCAATTACGGTTTATTGCCATATTCTAACATCCAGAAATTGAAAGAAAGTTTTAGAAGGATAAATCAAGGTCTTTTATTGCCCTGTTCCCTATTGATATTGAGGAGATCTCAGCTCTAAAGCAGAATCAACTTAGATATTTTTGAGGCATATATGTCTTTATCTTTAAAATTTAGACTTAAATGGATCTACAGGAAACCTGGCTAACATTTTAAAACATGACAGCTGTAGTGAAAACATCAGAATATATTGGGTCAAATTAGATTAAGTTGCATTATCCGACTCTTGTCAATAAAATGCATTCCAAAATCTGTGCTATCTAGTAAAAATAAGATCAAGGAATTCCAATGTTGTAGTGACGACAAAGTTTTCAAATAAAAGGCTTCATGTATCTTTGAAAAGAGATTTTAAAAAGCAAATTGCCCATTTTCAGTGGGGAGTTTATTTTTAGTGAGGAAACATCTCCTGAATACTAAAGGAAGGCCGACAAGGAAGCAGAAATGCTGTTCAACTTCAGAAGGGGAAAAATTCAAGCCATTTCTTTGCTCTCTCCTGATATATATTTTTTTTAAATAACATTTTCACAACTAGCTTATTTTTTGGCACAGAAAGAAGACTCTCAGTTTCTTTTCTTTTCATTCTGTTAGTTAGTTGACAGGACCTCCAGGTAAAAGAAATGTTTTTAATAAAATATATTCCCTCACAGTGTGGAGAAGAAGGTAGCTAAGCAAGAAAAAAGATGTTATCGCTGGCTCCTCTGAGACATATATGATGTTCACTTTAATCTATTTGATTGTCCCTGAATTGCTGATTGCTGCTCTTTTCTCTCCAAGGCACAAAAGGGAAGATTAATATATTTATATATGTAATATGCAGGATATACAGGCTGTATTAGGCATGCTCATTGGCTTTCTTTTTCACCTCTCTCTGTTTCTCTGTTTCTGCCTTTCTTCTCACTGTGAGCTGAAAAATGGAAGCAATTTGCTGGAGCCATTCCTAAAGCTCTCCCACCTGGTACCTTGACTTTTATAATTGCTGTGATATTTCACTTGAGCCAGCCGAAATGAGTGGAAACGGTGAGTGGGCTAGAGTGAGGGTGCTAATATGCTGATGTGTCATGGCAGCAACCCATAACTATTTGTGTCCAATTTCTCCTCGGACACAGAGGAACCACTCCAGCCACCAGGCAGGGATTTGTAGGTTAGATCACATGATCCCTCATTTCCTCTGAGACCTGAGACTTTAATGGGCATTGTTTCAATTACTCTTGAGACAAAGCTAGCATCTTCAGCAACAACCCCTCATCCCCTCTCCTACTCTGCAGAAATTCACCCTCTGTGTAAGAATATCTTGGCCTTTGTTTTAAAAATTAAGCATCCAAATGAACAATGAACCATCAATTTTAGGATAACAAGTTCAAAAGTTCAATTCCTTTTTTTTTTTTGAGAGAGAGTCTCACTGCAATGCCCAGGCTGAAGTGCAATGGTGCAATCTCGGCTCACTGTGACCTCCACCTCCTGGGTTCAAGGGATTCTCCTTCCCCAGCCTCCCAAGTAGCTGGGGCTATAGGTGTATGCCACCACGCCTGGCTAATTTTTGTATTTTTAACAGAGACGGGGTTTCACCTTATTTTCCAGGCTGGTTTTGAAACCCTGACGTCAGGTGATATGACTGCCTCAGCCTCCCAAAGTGCTGGGATTTTTTTAATGTTCTGGTTAAAGCCCCATCTTTCTTTGCACACTATCTGAATTGGTGGTTAGATCCAAATTTCACAGTGCTTCTCACTCGCGTCCAGGCTCGTGGCCACTCAACAGCCCTCCCTGACATGCCTTCCCCCAAGACAGATTTATTTTCTTCTAACTTCCAGAAGGATGATTCCCTTCACTGTTTAATTAATACATTGACAACTTCCTCCTATTGCATTTTACCTCATAGATCAATCACTACCCCATTGTCACTCTGTTATATAAATATATTTAATCAAAAAGATTGAATTACCTCTCCATCATTTATAGTGTTGTTCACATGAAAGCTGGAATCAAAGGCATCAGAGCGATGAAAAGTGCTTGTATCAGCCTCCAACCTAAGTCATTCCCCAAATCACCCTTTCTAGCTCCTGGCATCTTGCTATATTTCCTACCTCTAGGACTCAGGGCAGTTCTGGATGCATTTGTCCACTATTTTCATGTCTCATGTGCTTTGGTTGGATAATGATGAACCAACAATAGTTATGAAAACTTTGAGGTCCTATATTCACCTTCGCTTTCAAGTCATTTGCCCTAATTTGATGTCAGTCCCATTCATTCATTCCATCATTGACAGGCACTTCGCTGGGCACAGAGGATAAAGCAGAAATGAAAAAGATGAGCCTCCTGCTTTCAGGGAGCTCAGAGTCCGAAAGAGGAAAGCAGCCACATAAACAAGTAAATACAACCCCTCCCTTGCTGGCTTGTTGGATAACAAGCTGCTCAGTTACCGCTAGGTTAGGTTCGAGAGCATGGTCAAGTCTTCCCAGCATTTGTGTTTTCTCGAGATCCTTTCAGGCTCTCTGATCCGCAGACTGGATGTTTAGGGTGCACGTGTTAGTGGAAGCCCTGACTAAACTGACCTTTACAAAATGAGGACATTTATTTCTGCCTCCAAATGTGTGGGGGCCTCCACCTGAGGGTATGGTCATCATTTTAACAAACAAAAAAGCAAAAGGCACAGCTGACACACACAAGTGCCCTGTAGGAGAACCTATGCATTACTCCAAACTCTGCTCAGATGTGTAACAAACTTACAATATTAACAAACTCTGCTCCAAACCCCACTCAGATACGTAACAAACTTACCATATTAACAAGAGATGTAAGAGAAGTTATATTTGATCTTTATGACATTGAAATGTCTGTTCTTTGACATTTTATATTCTGATTGGAACAGAAAGGATGTCATTTAAAAATATTGTGTTTCTTCTACAATTTATATATTATTATAGACAGGATAAGCTTCATATACTTAAACAAAGATATTTATAATGCATAGTGTGTATTATTTCATGTGCTAAGATTCACTCTTTAAAGTGGCTTAAGCTATGTTTTATTCACATCAGGTTTTTACAATCATATTTTCTATTTGTTTTTAACTTTTGTTCTATAGATGGTGTTTTGCTTTAGCATGAACTTCCAGACCTGCCCTCACATTCCTCCATTTCCAGTTAATAAAGCAGTGGGCACTTCCAAAACAAAGCAAAAAGACCACATAACTTATGTAATGTAGTGGGACACATTTATTATGTAGATAATACTGAGGGATTTCAGTATATAATAGAAAGTGCATAGACTTGGAAATAAAAAAAATTTGATTTCAGGCTTGTCTTGTTCATTTCCTGGCTGTGTGGTCTGAGGTGTTTACTAACTCCTCTGATTTTCAGTTTCTTCACTTCTAAGGAAGGATGGCACTGGCTACTTTTTAGATTTATTATGAGGATTAAACGATGTGTTATATATAAAATGCATGGAGTGTAGTAGAAACATAGTGAATGGCACGTATCCCTTGAAGAGAGGAAACTCAGACAGCATATTAAATCCAGTATAGAGACATGACAAATATCATTTTCAAAGCTTTTGTTAAGGATAGCTTAAAAAATTAGATTTTTCTAGGACTATATCCTAAGAGTACCGAAAACACATTGGTTGATTTGGGGGCATTGCTTCTAATCTAGCAACTTCTTAACTTGATTATTTTCAACTGGAGGCATTAAAAGTAATTTATTTTTCAGAAAAAGGTCTATTTACCAAAAGAGGAGAAGAATAAAAAGAAGGAAAATGAAAGAATAATAACAATGAAACTCACAATGAGATAAATCACATAAAAATATGAAGGTATCTATATTGGCTGATGCATTGAGAGAGACAGAAATGGCAAGTGAAAATCTTTTAATGAAGAGGTTCTTTAGGAGATGTATTTTTATAGCTTTTATTTTTATCTCAAGATTTTCCTTCCAGCAACATCTATATGAAAAGACAACTGCCACCAACTTCTTTAATTTGATTCAATTTTAGGATAAAAAAGTCTACAAATAAAATATCATTCTGAGAGTGAGAGGTAACTCATTCAGAGAAGAAATATTAATGACATTATTTTGATACTGACCAGTATTTCTCAGGATAGTGCTTTATTACTTTAAAAAAAAAAAAGTTATTTTTTCTTCCAAAATGGAAATATCTTAAAGAATTTTGTTGATTTTGTAAGTAATATATTCTCATTTTAAAAACTATAAACAAGAACTGTGTCCAGGTGTAATGGCTCATGCCTGTAATTCCAGCACTTTGGGAGCCTGAAGTATGTGGATCCCATGAGCTCAGGAGTTCGAGACCAGCCTGGGCAACATGGTGAAACCCCATCTCTAAAAAAAAAAAAAAAAAAAAAAAAAATAGCTTGTCGTGGTGTCACATGCCTGTAGTTTCAGCTATCTGGGAGGCTGAAGTGGGATGATTATTTGAGCCCAGAAGGTCTGAGACTGCAGTGAGCCAAGATCTTCCCACTGTGCTCCAGTCTGGATGACAGAGCGAGACCTGATCTCAAAAATAAAAATAAAAATAAATAAAATAAATAAATAAGCAAGAGCTGAGTGTGGTGGCATGCATTTGTAGTCTTAGCTACTGAGGAGGCCAAGGTGGGAGGCTTACCATGAGACCAGGAGTTCAAGCCCAGCATGGGAAACATATTCAATTCTGCCTGTAAAAAAAAAAGAAAACTATATAAACAATACAGAAACCTATAAAATAGAAAATATAAGACATGGCTAACAACTCAAGTTATGTCTTTTTCTTTTTTCACATGCATATTTATTGTTGTAATAAAATCACATACATGTTGTTATAGAACCAGGCATTTTCACCTGCAGCAGCTTTCTATATCCATCCACACAGATATATCTCATTGTTTCTACTGGCTTCATAGGGTGCCGCTATGCAGAGTTTTTATCATTATTTAATCAATTCGCATTGGTGGTCATTTGAGTAATTTCTTGATGTTAGTCTTGCACCAGTTGCCTAGAGCTGTGATAACAAAGTATCAAAACTGGGAACTTAAAAACAGAAATTTATTCTTATTCTATCTGGAGGCCAGAAGACCAAAATCAAGGTGTTGGCAGGATCACGCTCCCTCTGAAGGTGCTAGGGGAGGAATCTTCTTTGCTTATTCCTTCCTGGAAGTTGCCAGCAGTTCTTGGCATTCCTTTTCGATGCATTACTCCAATCTGTGTCTTTCCATGACCTTTGCCCATATGTTTGTGTCTCTGTGTCTCTTCTCTTCTTATAGGAACACCCATAATGTCGGATTAAGGTCCCACACTGCTCCAGTAAAACTCATTTTAACTAATTGCACCTGAATGACCCTATTTCCAGATAAATTCACCTTCTGAGATTCTGGGAGGGACATGAATGGGGTCAGGAAGTTGCGGGGAGGGTATCCAACTGACTAAAATTACCAAAAATAAAGATCCAACAAACAGATAATCTGCAAATTTGTCTGAATGTTACCTGGAAAGGAATTTTTTTTTTTCTTTTGAGACAGAGTCTCACTCTGTGGCCCGGGCTGGAGTGCAGTGGCACAAACTTGGCTCACTGCAAACTCCGCCTCCTGAGTAGCTGGGATTACAGGCGCCCATCACCACACCTGGTTAATTTTTGTATTTTTAGTAAGTACAGGGTTTCACCATGTTGGCCAGGCTGGTCTTGCATTCCTGACCTCAAGTGATCTACCCCCCTTGGCCTCCCAAAGTGCTGGGATTAGAGGCGTGAGCCACTGGGCCTGGCCCTAAAAAAGAAATTGGTAGATTAAAGTCTGTCACATTTCCAAGCCTTGTAATACTGATTTCCAGGTTTTCCTCCTAAATGCTGGCACTCCCACAGGAGTACTGTACCACACTTGTCAGCACTGGGTAGCGCCATGTTTGCTAAGCTGCTGGGTTTAAAAAGAGAGTTTATTGTTTTCCTTTAAGTTCTTTTGATTATTGATAATTTGAGCATTAAAACAAAACAAAACAAATTTATGGTCACTTGTATTCTTTTACAACTTACCATTTTGGTTATTGGCCATTATTCTATCGTGGTATTCGTATTTTTCTTCATGTTTCTTAAAACACTTTTTATATAATAAAAGTATTAAGCCTTTATCTGTCTCTATGTTGCAGAAATATTTTCCATTTGCTGTTACTGTTTGTATTTGTAGTTCTCAATAACTTCATTTTTGCCTCACAAAAGTTTTTACTTTTTGTAAAGTTGAATATGTTGGTCCTTTCCCGAAGATTATAAGACCTCTCTCACTACTGATTTTTAGGACATTTTGAGGGGTTTTGTTGGCAAAGACATCCAGCACCCCTTCAGGCCCAGCTTGCCCTGGCTTGTCTTGACTCCTGGGATTTTCTTCACTGATTAGTCCTCCTTTTTAATCCCAGGTGCCTTGCATTAGAAACTCCCCAAAGTTCCTTGTACATTGATGGGCCTAACCTCTGATTTCCAGGGTGTCACAGACTTTTCCCCCTTATTTTTATATGTCTTCTGTCATTGCCATGGAATTTGGGGTGAGGTTTGGGGCTTACCATGGGCTCAATTTGCCATCTGGCAAACAGAAGCCAGTGCTCATTAAATAATAGATACTAGAAAATCCATTGATGAGGAAAATAAACCCATATGGGAGTGGTAGACTTTATATGTTCCAAAGGAATTAAATACATTCATCTCCTTCTATTTGTAGTTTTGGAATGCTTAGTAAGGCCTTATAAATCTAGACTCTTCTTTAAAAACAAAACATAAACTTAAAAAGCAAACACTGAAGAATTCTGATTACAGCAATATTACAGGTTTTCAGTTAGGAAATATGAGCTCCCAGTTAGAACTTAAAATAATAGTTTGTTTTGCACAAAGTATGCTAGCTCCCTGTCCACCCCCTCACTTCTACTAAAAGTAGTTAACTGCCTAGCAGAATGCTGGTGTCACCTGCTTTCAATATGAACTAACTGAACCACTCTGCAGTTCATAGTCGAAGGGTTTATAGCCTAAGCTAAGCAAGTTCTGCATTTACTTTAATTGCAGCTTTGATTATGTCATACTCTGCTTCACTCTTTAATGGCCTCCTCTGCTCTTAGGCTAAAGTACGAGTACGAGAACATGACCTGCAAGAGCCTTAATGAGGGGGTTCCTGCTTGTGCTTTTGGCTTTCAAAGCTCCCAACCCAATGACCTTTCAGTTCTTGACTCCTTCTGCCTCAAAACCTTTGAGCATGTGGTTCCCTATACTTGGGGTAGCTTTCTGCTCAGTGGTGGGCTTCATGTAGATAACTCCTAAGCATACTTTGCTTCTTAGGGATCTTTCTCTGGAAACTCCTTCAGGGAAACCTTGCCAGATGCCTCCAGGCTACATTAGATTGCTCATTACTCAGTCACTGATGTGGTTTGGCTGTGCCCCACCCAAAATCTCATTTTAAATTGTCATCCTTATAATCCCCACCTGTCAAGGGAGTGAGCAGGTGGAGGTAATTGAATCATGGGGGCCATTTCCCCCATGCTGTTCTCAGGATAGTGAGTGAGTTCTCACGAGATCTGATGGTTTTATAAGTGTTTGGTAGTTCTGCCTGCATTCGTTCTTCTTCCTGCTGCCTTGTGAAGGAGGTGTCTTGCCTCTCCTGCGCCATCCGCCATGATTGCAAGTTTCCTGAGGCCTCCCCAGCCAGGCTGAACTGTGAGTCAATTAAACCTCTTTCCTTTGTAAATTACCCAGTCTTGGGCAGTTCTTTATAGCAGCATGACAATGGATTAATACAGTCGTATATCTTCCTTTAATTCCATAACATGTATCAAAAATGTAAAAAAAAAAAAAATCACTTTTTGAATACCAGCTTTATGAGAGCAGAAAACATTCAATCTTCTGTCTTCAGTCTAGAAAAAAATGCCTAGCAGGTAGTAGAAAATCATTAAATTTGTGGTTTTGAATGAATGAGAGTAATCTAGGTCATCAAAGTGGTTGTGTGTATGTTGCGGAGGAGAGTGAAGGAGTTGAGTGTGGGATAATTCAGTGTGCCACCAGGCATTCTATCTGGTTCACCAAGAAATCCTTTTTTCTCCATAGCCACTCACTCACTTTCCTGTCCAAGAAGATTTGCATTGGAATACACAAAATGCACAAACACACAAAAATAAAAATAAACAATGTAAGGTTGTTATTTCCCCCACCAACAGCTTTGCTTCTGTGTTTTCCATGGATATATCATATTTTTCAGTATGAGTTACATATTTATACACTTTATTTTTAAATTTGTGACTTCTTTAAAAAGCCTTCAAACTCTGTAGAAGCTGTCTGGAAGGTGCTTCTGATTGGGTTCCTCCTGTCTATGCCCTGAGTCACTGTGGCACGAGCAGACCGCTTGCTGTGTAAATGTGAACAGGTCACAAAGTAAGCAAGAAAAATGAAATTTCAAAACTATTATAAATGACTTAGTCTTACAGAAAGAATTGACTCGTAACACAGACCAGCCCCACAGAAACAGAGCTGCTTTTTTTGCATGTTCTTCTTGATGTTTGCACAAGAATTAGATGTATTAATGGAAGACATATTTTGCATTTTTCCACCTACTTTTCATTCTCTCTGTACTTTAAAAATAAATAAGATGCCATGGCCATTGTAATGTTAATTAAGTAATGTGCTAGAGCCTGCTCAAAAGCTAACTGTAAATTTTTTAATGAATTTTGAGGCCGATGTCAACCAATCATGTTGGTTGCTTGAAATTGTCCAAGGTAGGAACATTTCACCAAGAGAACAGGTGAATGCTGCGGGACGCCCCCCGCCCCGCCCCCCCACCCTCTGCAGAAAGGCAGTGGCCAAGCTTTCACAAGCACCACTGAGTGGTATAGGAAAATATTCCCCTCTTCAGCAATGCACACGTTCTTCTGTACCAGAGGCTGAAGAAGCCACATCAGTACCTGCAGAGTTTCTTATGCTCTTCTAGGTAAGCTTTCATTTCAACCATATCTTTCCATTTCTGGCTATGTGGGAACCTAAATTATTTCTTGAACATGCTTCTTAAGGGATTACAGTTAACTTGATTCATATTAAAAGTCAGTAAAGAAACCTGGGGGAAGTCAGATGATCTTCAGATCTAGATGCCTTGGGTCCCAATCCTGGCTCTGGCCTTGCCTAATCTCTTCACTGGAGCAAGTTACCTAATCTCTTCATGCCACAGTTTCTGCATTTCTAAAATGAGGGTAATAGTATTCCCTACCTTTTCGGACTTTCCAAAGAGTAAATGAAAGCATTTATATGAGATTACATATATATGAGTTAGAATAGTGTTTAGCACACAGTGATCAATAAAACTTAATTACTAATGGTCTCTAACTTAACAATGGTTTGACTTAGGGTGGTGGGAAAGCAATATACATCCAGTAGAAACCATACTTTGAATTACCATATGACCATTTCATCTTTTACTTTCAGCATAGTAATTAATACATTACATGAGATATTCAACACTCTAACAGGCTTTGTGTTAGATAATTTTGCTGAACTGTAGGCTAAGGTAAGTGTTCTGAGCACATTTAAGGTAGGCTAGACTAAACTGTGATGTTTGGTCGGTTAGGTGTATTAAATGCATCTTGGATTGATCATATTTTCAACTTAGGATGGGTTTACTGGGATATAACAGTATTGTAAGTCAAGGAGCATTTGTATTATTCTATTTTTTTTCTTTTGAAATAACTCTAGACCTACAGAAAAATTGTAAAAACAGTACAGAGTCCCTGCATATCTTTCACTCAGTTTTTCTAATGCTAGCAACACTGCTCTGTTGCTATTAAGTAACCTACAGGCTTTACTCAGACTTTGGCAGCTTCCTCTGAAAGGGTCTCTCTTCACTCTACAATCCCTCTTTGCACTTAGTTGTCATACCTTGCTCACCTCTGGTCAATTAGGGTTCCTTAGTCTGCCTTTCTTTTATGACCTAGACACTTGAAAGTCAGTTATATTTGTAGAAAGTCTCTCGATTTGAGTTTGTGTGAGTTTTCATGATTAGATTGAGGTTGTACATTTTTGGAAAGACAACCGCAGAAGCATGAGTATGTCCTTCTGAATGCGTCGTGTCATGGAGCTCATAGTATGCTGAGATTGTGTCACTCTACTGGGGATGTGACCTTAATAAGGGGTTACAATCTGATTGAGTTTGGATGTTTGTCCCACCCAAGTTTCATTTTGAACTCTTATCCCCACTGCCAGAGGTAGGGCCTGGTAGGGGCCTGGTTTGGATATTGGGAGATGATCCCTCGTGGCTTGGTGCCAACTTCACGATAGTGAGTTCTTGCGAGAGCTGGTCATTTAAAAGTGTGACACCTCCTACCCCACACTGCTGTCTTCACGATAGTTTTTGCAAGATCTGGTCATTTACAAGGGTGACACCTCCCTCCCCACACTCACTGTCTCTTGCTCCTGCTTTCGCCATGTGATGTGCCTACTCCTGCTTCACCTGCGTGATTGGAAGCTTACTGAGGCCTCCCCAGAAGCAGATGCCACTTTGCTTCCTGTACAACCTATAGAACCATGAACCAATTAAATCTCTTTTCTTATAAATTACCAGCCTAGGCCGGGAGCAGTGGCTCATGCCTGTAATCCCAGTACTTTGAGAGGATGAAGCAGGTGGATCACAAAGTCAGGAGTTCCATACCAACCTGGCCAACATGATGAAACCCTGTCTCTACTAAAAATACAAAAATTAGCTGGACATGGTTGTGCGCACCTATAATCCCAGCTACTGGGGAGGCTGAGGCAGGAGAATCACTTGAACCTGGGAGGCGGAGGTTGTATTGAGCCAAGATCGTGCCATTGCACTCCAGCCTGGGCAACAGAGTAAGACTCCATCTCAAAAATAAATAAATAAAAATAAATCGCCAGCCTCAGGCATTTCTTCATAGCAATGCTAGAGCGACCTAATATACAACCCATCTGCCATCTTTCTCCACCCTAACAGTGCCATTTTTTTCTGTCTGAAATGAAAAAGTGTCTCATGTGTTGGAGAGAATGCATACATTCTGTTTTCCATATTTTTTTTCACAAACTAATTTTACTATTAATAACTTTTTATTTCTTGTTTCCTCATCCTTTTCTGAAACATGTATTTCACAATTGACTATGCCAGTTGACGCTTATGTGTATCATAGTAATTTTTAAACATGACTTTAAAAAGTCCCTCTCTCAAACAAGTAATTATACCCCAGAGAGAGGAGTCTAACTATGCTTAGACTCCAAGGGTTAGAGAAGCGCCAACTCTCTGACTTCACCAAGAGGCAGTGTGTGAGCTGAGTTAGACACAAGGCAGGGAAGGGCAGAGGACCTCTCCTGGGAGTGCAAAGGTGAATGTCTTCTGGCCTGAGAACACATGTTCACAAATGTCTATTATTGTGCTGAGCAGCTGATCAGAGCTGGGGTTAGGGACATTGATGCCTGGAAATCGTAGTTGAGCTGCACTATACTTCAGAAGTAGTCAAGAGAAGAGCACTTTGCTGGCCACAGTTGTCAGCAAAAGATTCTTCAATCAGATGTCACCATCTGGGAGTGAAGGAAAGGGTTTTTATCCTGCCTTCCTTACGGAAGTGCATTTGATTCATTGCTGCCACATCAGCAGATGAGTCAGCTCTCCTGGGTATCTCATGGCTATGCAGATCTTCTTGTTAAGTAAACCCGTTGATGCTTCAGACACAAATGGCAGAGTTAAAGTCACCAATAAAATGTTAAGTGAGCGTTTTAGAAAATTATTTGACTGTCTCTATCGGATCATGGTGTGAGCATTTGGGGCAATAGAGTGTAACAAATTATTGGAGAAAAAAGTATCTATCTATATATCTATTTATAAATTTCTTTTCAACATAACCCATATCCATGGACTCTACTTCAACTTCCTAGTTCACGTGAACATAAACCGATATGGCATCAATGCAGTTGGTGGGCTTGTGGTTCCCTTTTCTAACGGTATGGTGATTTCCATTGTCTTTCCCCCTGTCATTAGAGAAGGACCACTCCCATTTAAATGCTGGTGGACAGATTCATACATATTAGCTTCTGGACACCACAATAATTAAGACACCATCTGTCTCTGTTTAAATATGGTGCAGTTTGTACACAGAAAACCCTGGAATTATCTGTTCTTCTTTGAACAAAAAGAGTGGGTAGCACACAATCATGCCAAAACAAAATGAACAAGCATTTTGGGCAAATATGAGCCGTCCTATATCCAGTGCAGTTTCAACTCATGCCCATTATATATTTTAAGGTAGGGGAAAGGAGCCTATTTAATGTTGGATATCTTCTTTTTTTTTTTTTTTAATCCATGCATAATAGATGTACGTAGTTATGGAGTACATGTGATATTTTAATACATTCATATAATTTGTAAAGATCAAATCAATGTACTTCAGATATTCATCATTGCAAACATTTTTCTTTATGCTAGAACCATTAGAATTATTCTGGCTATTGTGAAACATACAAAACAGATTATTATAAACTATAGTTACCCTACTAATGCTGGAATATCTTTAACTTAGGGTACTGGCTAAAGTGGAAACAGTGAGGTGCTAACACAAGAACAGAGGTATCAGGAGAAAAGCTTCTACATCTCGTTGTATTTCTAGCCTTGGCTCTCAAGCCAGTACTAAGATAAAAAAAATTCGGTAGATGTTACATCAAGCACGATTTTCAACATAAAAGGAATTTAAGGGATAATTGTCATTCTCTTTACCACAGATGCAAGCAGACATTGACACATGCACAGACATGTATACATTTCACAGGAACTTTGGAACACGAAGACCAGAATGAGGACTGAAGAGATAAAATGAGAATTTCCTAGATTCAGCACATTCTTATGTAGAGGATTTCTAGCCAAATTCTGCAGCTCCGAAAGGGTCAGAATGTTTGGAGAAGATCCCAATAAACACGTCAACGTGAGGTCTTTTATTCTGTTCATTACCTCCAAACCTCCCAACGCTCACAGGTCCCCTCCATCACTAATCAGAACAAGGATTGCTTTTTGTCCCACAATCTTCCCATTACAAGCTAACCAATTAAAAGTGAAAAATTGTGCTTCAACTGTGAAAAGGTTCCAGCTCCTAAAGAAGATGAACTGGAACGAAAGGCCTCCTTTGTTCACTTTTCTTTTCTCTGGGAAAGCTACCTTTAAGGGCTGCAAGAATATAGCATGCAATTATTCTAAAAGGATATGCTTTGAGACTTTTAATTCATTTGAATCTTCCTTGTATTATGACAGTGATACTTCTTTTTAAGGCTTTCAGACAACGAGCTTAATTTTCATATTGATTCATTCAGGGACAAAACAAAACTTTGTATAAACTGAATGGAAAATGACTCTCTTGTGGTGAAGAATCTGTGCTTGCATTTAATTATAATGCATGGAAGTGTTTCTTACTAATTAAACATTTAAATGAAGAGGAGGTATAAATAGAAATTTAAAAAGGAGAGTGAGCACGACATAGTTCATCCATCCCAAGATGAAGGTCCTCAACAGTTCTTGTTTTTTAACATACCCAAAGCTGATGTGATTGTCTGGGGTTTTAAAAGTGTCTCTGAACATATTAGGGGAAATTTGTCACTGTATATGATGATTACTAAATTAGCAATATGATTCACTTACAGTCTTATCAAGGAGGGGTCTTCAAGTGCTTTATTATCTAATTAAACCTCACAACATGCTGCAATTTTATTAATACATAAAATGAGATACAGTACAGTTAGTGTCTGGCTTTATCGTATACAATGAGAAAAGGGATGAGAGTATAAATTTGAGATTGAACACACTTCAGCCACTGAACCATCCAGACTGCTGCCAGACACACATTTCTGTTCATTAGAAAATTTTGGCAAAACAGGAAAGTCTCTTCATATAGATACTCAGTTTTCAACTTCATAAAATAAAGTAGCTTTATCTTATAGAGTCATTGTGTGGATTATATACCATAAGACCTTATTTGTCCATGCCTTTCTCTTCTTGTCCTACATGTATTTCCAACCACACATTGAGCAGGAGGGAGTGATCACCTGCCTTTGGTGAAAAGAGGGATCTATGCTTTACTCTAGGAGAGAATGACATATAAATTATTTTTACTTTCTTCAGCACACAGTTATTCAGTACCTAAGTGCGGTGACACCTAGTGCAATCCAGCATGCTGTTTCACACTCATCCTCTTACCTCCTGGAGAACTTAGCATGACACTGTGAACGTAGAAGGTGTCGAACAGACATTTATGAAGGGAAACAGCAAGCCCTTGCCAGAAGCATTTAGAGGATGTGGGAGAATCTGTGACATGCCAAGCAGAGGACTGTCACTCACTACACCTCATGCTGCACACCTCTAAGGACTGGGCAGAAAATGCCCAGCAGAATGGCAATAGGGACACACATGCTGCAGGAACATGCCTAGAACCGATAGAGCAGAACAACGTCTGGAAAGAGTGCGTGTATGAAACTTTCGTGTATATCAGCTAGGCTCTGATGTTTAATAAAACCTCAGTGGTTTAAAATAATAAGCATTTGCTATTTTTCATGAATGTACAAGCCAGTTGGGCAGTTCTGATCTTGGCTGGGCTCTCTTGCGTGTTTGAGGGTGGGCCAGCTGTAAATTGTTCTAGGCTGGGGAATGCAGTCTGCCTCCAGATGTCCTCTCATCCTAGGCTAGTGTAGGTTTGTTGAGAAAGAGCAGCAACAGTCATGGCCTTTTGAGACTGGCACATTGTCACTTCTGCTGCATTCTTGTGGCCAAAGTAGCAAGGCCAGCCCAAATTAAAGGTGGAGAAGTGAAGGTCAGCTCCTGATGGACTCAGGGGACCGTGAATTGGGGCAACAGCAGAATGGTGCTGCCACAGCACTGACACTCAAATGGGGGTTTCAAATCAGCATAGAGGGAACTGTGTACACAGTGGAGGAAAACAACTGAACGTCTAAACCCCAATTAGCCAATTAATAAAACTACGAGTGTAATAGAAAAAAGTGAGATATTATCTTTATAAACTTGAGGTTGAAAAGGCTTGCATTATTTATTTTTTGAAATAGAGTCTTGCTCTGTTGCCCAAGCTGGAGTGCAGTGGCATGATTCTGACTCACTGCAACCTCCGCCTCCTGGGTTCAAGAGATTCTCCTGCCTCAGCCTCGCAAATAGCTGGGAGTACAGGTGCACACCACCATACCTGGCTAATTTTTGTATTTTTAGTAGAGATGGGGCTTTACTGTGTTGGCCAGGCTGGTTTCGAACTTCTGAACTCAAGTGATCCGCCCACCTTAGCCTCCCAAAGTGTTAGGATTATAGGCGTGAGCCACTGTGCCTGGCCAAAAAGACTTTCTTTAGAAAGATATATATCTTAGAATTTATATTGAAGAGGATCAACAGTATTGCTACATAGAAAATTTAAAGCATCTATATGACATATATATGACAGCATCAAAAAAAGGTAAAAGACAAATTTCAAATTTGACAATATATGCAACTATATCCATAAGATCAGTATCTTTGGTAGTCTTATGTAACTCCCACAAATCAGTTTTTCTAAAGAGTATCAACACTAGAAAAAAAATTAAGGGAAATGCAGAGGCAATATGATGGAGGAGAAACACAAATTGGCAATTAACATGGGAAAAGAGAAATAGTAATTAAAATGATAATGAGACTAGGACGGGCCCGGTGGCTCACATCTGTAATCCCAGCACTCTGGGAGGCCAAGGCAGGCGTATCACCTGAGGTCAAGAGTTCGACACCAGCCTGACCAATATGGTGAAACCCTGTCTCTACTAAAAATACAAAAATTAGCCAGGCGTGGTGGCAGACACCTGTAGTCCCAGCTACTTGGGAGGCTGAGGAAGGAGAATGGCTTGAACCCGGGAGGAGGAAGTTGCAGTTAGCAGAGATCGCACTACTGCACTCCAGCCTGGGTCACAGAGCAAGACTGTCTCAAAAAAAAAAAACACAAATTTTTAATAATTGCATTGTTAAAATGTCAATATTGCCAAAGGTTGATACTTTGGCACTCTTAAACTCTGTTGGTGGAAGTGTAAATTGAAACTGAGTTTTCATTTATAAGTCATATAGATAGAGGAATATTACTTTAGTAATTATTGGAGTTAAATATGATAAAAGAAGAACTTCAGCCATATTAAAGGAGTTTAATTGAGCAATGAACAATTTGAGAATTGGTCAGCCCCCAGAATCATAGCAGATTCACAGAATCTCCAGGGGTGTCTCATGGTCAGAACAAATTTATAGACAAAAGGTAAAATGACGTACAGGAATCAGAAGTGAGGTACAGAAACAGCGAGATTGGTTACAGTTTGGTGTTTGCCTTATTTGAACACAGTTTGAATACTTAGCAGTCTGTGAGTGGTTGAAGTATGGCCACTGGGATTGGCCAACACTCAGCCATTGTTACAGGTGCATTCTATTGGGTTTTCAATTTTGTCTGACTATTAAGCTAGGTTACAGTTCATCCACAAGGACTCAAATATAGAAGTACAGGCCATATTTAGTTTGCTTGAACAAACATCATTCTTACATGTAATTTTTGCTTGTTCTCATAACCATTACATTATCCCTATGTGCTAGTTTGCAGATGGCAAAACAAAAGTAAATTAAACTTTTTCCAAAATGGAGATCGTAAGTTGTGCCTATAAGTTATAGACCTGATCTTAGATAGTTTTGTGGCATTGTAAAAGGTTCACAAACTTTTAAACATCACTGTTTTCATCAGTAAAATTAGAAAAAAAAAAATCTTGCCATATTTCTCCTTTAAAAATTAAAGATGAGTTAATATACCCAAATTAGTGAAATCTGATTATCTTCTGGGCTAAGTTGTTTATTCGTGGTGGATGGCCCTGTAAATTGATCCAAAAGGAGATGGCGGAAATTAATATATCTTTCTAATAATAACTACTGTTATTTTTTGAGAGTTATGTTTCAGACTTGGTCTTTGGTAATTGGTAAATACTCAATAGCATTTGTTTGACTGATTGTCTTATTGAATGATTACCTCATTTAATTCTCACTCGAGTTAGGCTTTATCAATCCAGCTCTGTATAGGAAAGAACTGAGCAGAAGCTAAACACCATGCCCAAGGTGACATGCGTAGAAAATGGCAGAGCTGGATTCACACCAAGATCCCTCTTTCTCCATGGTTTGTGCTGGTAGCCATGTTCAAACTCAAACACTGGGTTCATGTATTGTTTGCATGTGCACCTTGTGATGTGCATAGGAACTGTGATCTGAGATGCTAAAATAGACACCACTTTATCCACTGAGATGGACCCAAAGATTAAGGAGACAAAGTCACCTATGGGTGGAGGGTTCAGGGCCCAGCTGACTTGGGTAATTTCTAAATTCCTAGGGCTAAACTCCCTAACCATAGGATCTGTCAGCTCTGATTTCCAACCTAGACCACTGTAACTCTGATTGGACAGAGGCCGGGCCTTATCCTAACATCCTCTTCTGATAAGCTGTTACAGACCTCAGGTTTCAGCAGCTCACAGAGGCTGTGCACAAACCATCTTTTTGTCCCATAGTTCACTTTTTGGTGTAAAAAGCCAAATTCCACCTCATTTTAATGCTAAAACCCAAAGTGAATATGGATGTATGTTACACATATGTTTATCCATCACACGTGTACTCAGCTCACCTCAAAAATATGTATAGCTTTCCCCCAAAACCTGTCGAATATGATACAGGCCCTGTGAGACTAAAACCCAACCTGTCCCTTCCCCTCTTGCAAGAGAGCACCTTTGTTCCATGCTAGAGACTTTCTCTTTCCAGCTTGCAAATAAGGCTTCTCTTTCTACTATTTAGCCATTTTGGTGATATTTTGGATGACAGAACTCAGAACCATCTTTTCCAAACCAAAATATAACATTTGTAATGAATTTGAATGTAATGCAACTTTTGTGCTATCCTTTAAAAATTTAGTGCAGGCTGGTGGCAGTGGCTCATGCTTTTGTAATCTCGGCATTTTGGGAAGCTGAGGTGGGAGGATTACCTGAGCCCAGGAGTTCAAGACCAGTCCAGGAAACATAGTGAGACCCTGCCTCTCCAAAAAAAAAAAAAAAACATTAGCCAGGCAAGGTCATGTGCACCTGTGGTCCCAGCTACCTGGGAGGCTGAGGCAGGAGAATTGCTTGAGCCCAGGAGATTGAAGATGCAGTGAGCCAAGATGGCACCACTGCACTCCAGCCTGGGTGACAGAGCAAGACCCTGCCTCCAAAAAAAAAAAAAAAAAAATCAGTGCTAAGTTGAAATTTTTTACAAAGCCAACATGAACTTAGAAAGTGCAAAAGCCTTGGGGCATTTTCAGATTGTTAAATAAAAGAAATCAGAGTTTGAAAATCAAGCAAACCAGGCTTACCTGGAGCCATCTATCACAATAAAAAGGCAGAAGTAAAATTCTTTTAACCATCATTCATATCTATTTAAATGATTATTTCATCAGTGAGTGAAATGGCATGAAACAACTTGATTCCTAAGTGATACATTCATATGATTCCGACAGTGTATCAAATTAGAAACCATTATTTCTGGCATGGTTGAGAATAAGCCAGAACTCATTATAATTTTTGTTTCTTCACTGGTTTTCTAGTGCATATGAGTATGGTTTTCTCTGTGTTGGATGGGTGATTCCAATATCATCCCCACCCAACTTGTATCAGTAACCTTCCACAATCCGGGATCCATCCCAGGGGGCCACCACATTTTCTCTGAGCAGAAACCTTACCAGGCCTTTCTCTGCTAACATTTCAAGCAAAAGACAACTGCGTACACGTTTTATTTGCTTGTTTTTTCCTTTGAGATGTCTCTCCTTATGTTGGAGATGTGTGTGGAAGAGACACTGAGGACTTTTAATTTTTATATCCACTGAGTAATATGAGGTTCTTACAACGATTTTTAAAATACTAGAATTGCTTCTTTATGTGAAAATGTGATTCCTCTGAAGGCTCAGTTCTGCTACAGTCACAAATATAGTTATTTATTTTCCAAAACTCAGTGTAGTAGGATATCAAAGTAGCTTATAATCAACCCAACAAATATTCTTTTCGAGACTTCCTGGCTAGAAGGGCTGGAATGTTTTCTTTAGGAGGAGGAGATTCACTCATCCGTGAATCTGTTTCTAGGTAGTGAAAAATCTGTGCATTTGCATAAATAACCACTAAAGAAATGTAAATGACTAAAGGAGGGTTTCATTATCATAAACGTCTCAGACTACCTGTAGGGCTTGGAATGCAGGCAGATCTGGTTTCAAGTATCTTCTTACCTTTAAAAGACAATTATCTTCGGCATTTCTGGAGAGAAAAAGAATACTACAATGTTTCTTGGCAACGATCCTCACGTATTTAAGTAGCTGGATCCTCAAAATGCGTTTGAACAGCTCTTTGGACTATTTGTATATTAAATATCTACCTGCAAAATCCTCCTGTGTTTCATTGCGCGTGTGGGAATTAGGTTGTATTGAGAACATTTCCGGAATTACTCTTGCAAAACCAATGATTATAACAGGACTAGGCTAATCAGAAACCTTCTCTGTGGTGGGGTATGTTTTGCAAGGTACTAGCACACAGGTTTCAATTTGCTCACATCATGAAAAAAGGAAACTCACGTGGATTGAAAAGGAAGAATGTCGGATCCATGATGGCAGCCCTGACTGATGCAGAACATTAGCCCCAGAATGTTGAAAATGAGAGGGCATTCCCTTTCAGAGCTGTATATACAGGAACAAGGTGTTTGGCAAACACAGAATTTGCTAAGGGTGAGATTGTGCAGCTGATAAGCATGCTAGGATTTCATCCTTGGGCTCTGCTTCTAGGCCTGCTCAGGTTTCAAGGGTTGGGGATCTGTGCTTCAGCCCAACTGCTTCAGGAGATTCCTTCATTTTAGAAAAGGCCCTGGAAATCCTCAGCCTAACCACGTGCGTGTATGAGAAAGCAGAGTACTGTACACTCGCTCTTGTATTTACCTCCTGAGGCAATCGTCCCCCTCTTATCAAATTTCCAAGAATGTTTCTCCCCTCCCATCTCTTCCACTGCTTTGCTCAATACTTGAAATGGTTTCCTAAAGCTCAGCTGCTGATTTGATTGCCTTCTCATTTCACCTGCTTCCCTGTTTTCTTCCTCCTCATTTCAATCTAAGCAACAGCACCACGACATCTAGGGAAAAAAAATAATAAGTCATTTCCATTCTGGTTAAAGCAAACCTCCACATTGTCCTCATTAAAAAAAGAAGTTAAAACATAAATTAAAATGCTCAAAAAGTCAGGTATTTTTAAGCCACAAATCACTCAGCTCAGTTTTCCAGCAGAATTCTCATGTAATCACGTTGCTTCTGGTATTTCACATATATCGGTCAGTCTTGTTTTTTCACTGAGATAGCCAGTGTGGGACAGTTTTAGACGTGTACGTTTTTATCCGAGAAAATGTATTAAGGTGGATAGTCACAATGGTACTGTCTCATCAATCCTTTATTACATTTTCTATTCTTTAAAACTCTTGAAAATAAGTTTTTCATGTCAATCTGTATTCTTAAAAGTTATATGAATGCCAACATGGAAAAAAATTATGAAATTATAATTATTTGACCCAGAATAACAATATTAATAGACAATGTTTCTTGGATCTATATAACTGACATTGTATTAAGCTTTTTAGATATATTATCTCATTAAATTATTCAATAAACTTTATAATATAGGTTTGATTTTTGTCCATAGCTTACAAACAAAAACTAAGCCCTAAGAATTTAAATAATTTCCTCCAAATCTCACAGCTTTGTGACCTGTGATGATGGAGATAGTCTATTTGATGCCTGTCCATCATTTGATGCTACCATATTGTCCAATAGTTGCAGAAGTAAAACAGTAGTAGAAGCAAGGATTATACACCTAGCAAATTGTCCACTGATAAAGTTCAGGACGTGCCACCTCAAAACATAGCACCTTGGCATTTGAGAAAACAGCAGTAGCAGAAGGGCCTCTCTCACCTTCCCCTCACCCTTATTACCTGAAGCAAACTATAAAACCTAGGAAAGTCATTCTGACTTTTCTCCCGCCCCTCACCCCTGAAGCAAGTCATAAGATCTTCATGCCAGAGGTGCCCATCTACACCTGGAGGAAAGAAATGTCTTTATCTCTCTCTTTTTTTTTTTTTTTTTCTGAGACAGCCTTGTTCTGTCACCCAGGCTGGAGTCAGTGGTGCGATCTCAGCTCACTGCAACCTCTTCCTCCCAGGTTCATGTGATTCTCCTGCCTCAGCCTCCCAAGTAGCTGGGACTACAGGCATGCAACAACACGCCTGGCTAAGTTTTGTATTTTTAGTAGAGATGGGGTTTCACCATATTTGCCAGGCTGATCTTGCACTTCTGACCTGGTGATCTGCCTGTCTTGACCTCCCAAAGTGCTCGGATTACAGGCTTGAGCCAGCGCACTGGTGTCTTTATCTCTGAAAACACAATGACATAGAGAAAAATCTGAACAAACAGGTCTCGCTAACTTTCTCCCAGTTTATTACCATTAGGTCACACACTTTTGGTCCGATCATATTTCTCCACAACTGTCTACTCTTTATCAAACGTAAGCACAAAAATGCACGTTTACCTGTTTATTTTGGGTCTTCCTTTATGCAGAGACTCCCATATCATGTAGTACTTAAATCAATCTGTATGCTTTTTCTTGTTAATCTGCCTTTTGTTATAGGGGCCTCAGCCATGAACCTATGGTTGCAAAGAAAAGATATTTATTTTTAACTCTTACACCAGCCATCTGTGACTCTTTAATATTAGTGTGGGGCAACTTGGGAGAAGATGGGATGATGTCAGGGGGCAGGCATATAAAAATAGAAGAGATTATATTATTAGCAAATGTAGCAGAGAAAAAGATTTCTCACCCATTACAAGAATCATAGCTGAGATTCCCGATAACAAAAGAAAGATTAAAAGAGAAAAGTGTACAACTTTATGGTTTTAATCACACAGGATTCCTTAAAAATGAAGACCCAAAGGAAAGAGGAGAAGTGTATTTTTATGGACAGTCTTGCAGAAGTATGATTGGAGGACAAAAGGAGTGTCCTACTGGTAATAAACTTGGGGGAACTTAGCCCTGTTTGTTCAGATTCGTCTGGGTGTCATTGAGTCTTTGAGAATAAGAACATTCTTTTCCTCTGGGTATAGGGAGGAGGAAAATGACCTACTTCAAGGATAGGTCAGCTAGTTTTATGACCTGCTTCAGGACAGTAGGGACAAGAGAAGGTCAGAGAATCTTCCAGCTTCTGCAGTTTTCTCAGCTTTCTTCAGCTTAAGATACTCAGTGTGCTAGGGTCCCATACGCAGGTAGTGTGTCCAGAACCCATCACGTACATTACTGAAAAGCTATGTACTAGTCAGTGTGATATAAGTCAGTGGGATTTTTCTCTGATTCTATCTTGGAGTAATTCAAGGTCTAATTGGAGAGAGAGACATTTCATGAGAAATATACCACAATGGTGTAAGTGCTACAATACAGTCAGTTGAACACAGTATACCCTGGGGTTGGTTCAGCAACAGCCTTGGACATAAGGCTGGACAATTTATAATTGCAAAAATGTGGAATCAACCCAAATGCCCATCTATCAATGAGTAGATACACAAACTGTGATATATACAACCAATGGAACACTACTCAGCCATAAAAAGGAATGAATTAATGGCATTTGCAGCAACTTGGATGAGATTGGAGACTATCATTCTAAGTGAAGTAACTCAGAAATGAAAAACAGAATATTGTATGTTCTCACTCATAAGTGGGAGCTAAGCTATGAGGATGCAAAGGCATAAGAATGAGACAGTGGACTTTGGGGACTCAAGGGGAAAGGGCGGGAAGGGGGTGAGGGATAAAAGACTACAAATTGGATGCAGTGTATACTACTTGGGTGATGGATGCAACAAACTCTTGCAAATCACTAAAGAACCTACTCATGCAACCAAACACCACCTGTTCCCCCATAACCTATGGAAATAATAATTTTTTTTAAAAAAGAGCGAGAGAAGGCTGGGATAACACTTCTCACATTCTCCTGCAGTAGCCAGGCCACCATGCTATACTCTATAAAAAGTGGCTTAAGTCCACCTGGGTAGGTCAGTTTCCTTAGGTGTATTTTTATTAGTTATACTTGTTATCTGCACCCTATGTGAGATCAAATACTAGTTCAGCCCCTTAATAGTTGTATGGTTTTGAGCAAAGTATTTAAATCTCTTTGAGTATCTGAGTCACCAACTAATAAGTATAGTTACTGTGAGGCTTCATTAAATAATGTCTAGATTATGAAGCCTCAAATTACTTTAATCCCTTTGAGCCTCTCCTAAACTAATAAATGGGGCCAAGTTATTGTGAGGACTCAATTAGATAATATACATAAATTGTGAAAGCCCACTTAGGTAATTTAGGTAAACTGTCTGATACAATGCCGGACATATCATTGGTACTCAATAAATACCAGCTATTATTCCTTCAGAGTCCCTACTCCATATCATTATTGCCATTGCTTATTTTGTTTCGTCAGGAAAAATAATCAAAGACTTGGAAATTAGCAGAGGGGGTTACTGGGTATCCTTTTAATGGAGTAGTGGCTATTGATTTATGCAGTGCTGTTCAGTAGAACTTTCTGTAATCTCAGAAAGGTACGGTAGCCACTAGCCACAAGTGGCTTTTGAGCATTTGAAATGTGGCTACTGTCACTGAGGAACTGATTTTCTTTTTTGACAAATTGTTATTTCGTTTGTATTTCATAATTATAAACTTAACTCTGCAATCCAGCTAGGCATGAAAGGGAATAAGGACAACATGGAACCCAAAGGGAACTGCAGTAAGAGTACGAAGATTCTAGGATACTGCGAGCAAATGGGGTAGAGGGGTGCTCTCTGGAGCTACAGAAAGAATGGTCTGCTGGTTAAGATAAACCCAAGTCAAACATATTAGAGTAGCCCACAGTCAGCAACAGCGATCTTCTTGCTGGTCTTCCCATTCCCCGCAAAGCGCCCCATGGCCTCCACAATAATCATGCGTTCTTTCACCTTGCCGAACCACTCGGTCTTAGCAGTGCAGGTAAAAAACTGGGAACCATTTGTACTGGGTCCAGCATTTGCCCTGGACAAGATGCCAGGATCTGTATGCTTCAGGACGAAGTTCTCGTCAACAAACTTCTCCCCATAGACGGACTTGCCACCAGTGCTGTTATGGCATGTGAAGTCATCACCCCGACACATAAACCCTGGAATAATTCTGTGAAAGCAGGAACTTTTATAACCAAATCCTTTCTCTCCAGTGCTCAGAAGATGAAAGTTTTCTTCTGTCTTTGGAAACTTCTCTGCAAACAGCTCGAAGGAGACGCTGCCCAAGGGCTCGCCATCGACGGTGATGTCGAAGAACACAGTAGGGTTGACCATGGCTGGCAGTATGAGGCGCCCAGTGGTGGCAGTGTCTGCAAAGCCTAAAGTTTTAATTTTATTTGATTTTAATTAATTTAACTTTATTTTATTTTACTTTTTTTGAGAGAGTCTCACTCTGTCGCCCAGGCTGGAGTGCAGTGGCATGATCTCGGCTCACTGCAACCTCTGCCTCCCAGGTTCAACAATTCTTCTGCCTCAGCCTCCTGAGTAGCTGGGATTACAGGCACATGCCACCATAACCGGCTAATTTTGCTTATTTTTAGTAGAGACAGGGTTTCACTATGTTGGCCAGGCTGGTCCCAAACTCCTGACCTCAGGTAATCCACCCGCCTCAGCCTTCCAAAGTATTGGGATTACAGGCGTGAGCCACCGTGCACAGCCTAATTAATTGAAATAGCCATATGTAACTAGTGGCTATAGTATTAAACAGTGTAGGTCTAGCTAACTCTCTGGGCACTGATTTTATAGGACTGTGAACATTTCCTTGCCTTTCTATGGACTAGGCCATTTTAAAAGTCTTCAGAGGTGGAAGTTAAGATATTAGTGCCAATGATTCTTGTTGGTAGCAAAGCAAGTGAACTTTGTTCAGTAGAAATGTAGCTGATTCCTACCTTATAGATAAAATGATCCAAATACTGCATTTCATTTCCCTATTGTACATTAATTCATCTTGTGTCTATTGGTAAATTTATGTTGGCATTACTGGTTGCCTACATATATATTCTTTAAGTTCTTTTTGAACTGGCTTTAACATCTTACTGCTTCCCTCCTATATTATTGAGTTAAATAAAATCCTTACTGTGTTCATTTTATGCTTACACGAAAGTGATGATTTTACCTTGAAAAATCAAGTAGGTAGGGCGTGGTGGCTCACGCCTGTAATCCCAGAACTTTGGGAGGTGAAGGTGGGCAGATCACTTTGAGCTCAGGAGTAACATGACAAAACCCTGTCTCTACTAAAAATATAAAAACTAGTAACATGGCGAAACCCTGTCTCTACTAAAAATACAAAAATTAGCTGGGTGTGGTGACACACGCCTGGAATCCCAGCTACTCGGGAGGCTGAGGCTGGAGGATCCTTTGAACCAAGTAGGCGGAGGTCACAGTGAGCTGAGATCATGCCGTTGCACTCCAGCCTGGGCGACAAAGCAAGACTCCATCTCAAAAAAAAAAAAAAGAAAAATCAAATAGTATCACACTCTTATTTTCTAATAATACTTTCGTTTTGGAACAGTTAAGTGGGGCAATGGGAAAGTTTTTCAATGCAACTTGTGTTTCTGTTTCTGGTTATATTACTGTATCTACTTTTCACTTGGGTGTAGGGGTTGTGGGAAATTACATAATGTGTTTATTAAAGGGTTGAGGGTTAGTCCTGGGAAATAAAATACAATAAGAAATAAATGATATGCCTGGTGCATGAGTTGGCCATTTTTTTCCCCTCTAGAAACCTGTCTTCATGGGTTAGAGATTGCAGAGCTTTAACTACAATGTCACTGCTCATTTTGTTGGCTTATATTTCATTGCCATAAGAATAGAGCAACTTGTGTCTTGGGTTTACTCACAATATCAGGTGAAATGTGAGAGCATTATTAGATAGCATGGCATGGCACACAGAAACACAGGAAATACTGGTTCATGATGACAGGAGGAGATAAAATGCTTATCACAAGGTCCAGTTTATTCTTGTTTGGCCTTCTGTTTCCAGGCAAGTTGTACAAATAAATATACAGTTTCATTTAATGAAGAAAATTATTCAAGAATTGAAACCAGAAACATTTCCGCAGATCAAGAAAAACTAGAGTTGAATTATGTCATGAGCATCCTGAAAGCAGAGGGAAAGTTTGAGAAATGGCAAAAGCTTTTAAAATAACTGACATAACACATACACAGCCCACATTTTATATATCCGACCAGACAAAATGAACCATAACCCTTATCAGCCTCTGCCTAGAATCATTTTGTGGGCAAGAAATAGGAACTGTCTGTGAGCAGTCAAGTAGTGTTTAAGGTGAAGATTGTCATGGTTTTATGTTTGCCACATTACCATACCACTGATACTTTTCAAAATGTGCCCCAATAGCTTGTGAATAGAAATAGGTGTACTTCATTCACGGGTAGTTAAAATCAGCTTTCAAACACAGCTAGAGCAAAGTTACACTAGAATTTTCCACCACCTGCCAGCAGGGCAAATGGAACACCCAGCTGTAGCAGAGATTAAACTAAAGCAGAGAGTTTTGAGCATGTACAAAGGAAGGGGGCAAGAAAAAGAAAGAGGGATGTGAGTGCAATAGGTATGACATAATAACACAAGAGAATCATGTTACAGGAAAGGAAAAGTGTCCACAAAAGAACGCTGAGTGTGAAAGCAGATCACAAGTTTATCGACACTTTATAGGTACTACGGCCACTGATATATTTCTATGGATTAAGAATGAGAAGAAAGTGGCCGGGCACGGTGGCTCACGCCTGTAATCCCAGCACTTTGGGAGGCCGAGGCGGGTGGATCACGAGGTCAGGAGATCAAGATCATCCTGGCTAACACGGTGAAACCCCGTCTCTACTAAAAACACAAAAAAAATAGCCAGGCGTGGTGGTGGGCGCCTGTAGTCCCAGCTACTCGGGAGGCTGAGGCAGGAGAATGGTGTGAACCCGGGAAGCGGAGCTTGCAGTGAGCAGAGATCGCGCCACTGCACTCCAGCCTGGGCGACAGAGCGAGACCCCGTCTCAAAAAAAAAAAAAAAGAAAAAGAAAGAAAAGAAAAATGAGAAGAAAGCATAAAAGGGTAATTTCTTTTAACTTTTTAAAAAGTATCCTTTAAATTTCTTTTTAACATTATTTGTGTTAAAAAAAATAAAGTGAAAAATGTGAAAAAAACAAGAGAGACAATGACAGGGGGACGCTGAAAGAATGAGGAAGCCAGAGTGAAAAGAAGAAAGCTTAAATTAGAAACAAAAGTGAGAGAATTAAACAGAAAGGGGGGCCCGGAGTCCCTGGAGCCGCTGCCCTTTGAAGCCTGTAGCCACCAGGGCACGTTTGCTGTGACTGTCCAGTGGCGTTTCCTTCTCTCTGCTTACGTTCCTGCCGTACCAGGACGGGTCTGGCAATTTTTCTGTCTTTTGTTTTCTCCCTCCTGGCAGAATGACACAAAATCCTTTCGCTTCATGCGGTGAAAGGGAGTAAGTGTTCCTTAGGTAACCTTCATGTTAGTAAATTAAATTATCTGAGCAGACGCATGCAGAAACGTACCCTGCTGGCCTGCTGTGAACAGGCAGTCATCAAAGATGATGAGGAAGCCGGGAGGAGCTGCAAAGGCAAGGGCTTGCGTTCTTTTATATTGAAGAAGCTTCAGCAAAACTGTAACTCTGCGTGGGAGAGCAAAGATCTCCCTTGTGAAGTTTCTAAACACAACCAGAAAAAAATCTTAGACTAACGTTAAGTCAAAGGAGGTGTTTATTGCATTTTTAATTTAGGAGGCTCCAAGCAGACAGATCCGTTAATGCGGAGGTGATAGTATTTTACCTCCTCCATTCCCAACACTTGGCACAACTACAAATCATTGACGTGACAATTCTAATATTTAGAATTCTTAAACACAGCTCTTATTTTTATTTGGATTGCATCTTGGCAGAGCTAATCCTTAACGTTTTATGGTCATTTAGGGCAGCAGTCTAAACTCTTATCTGTGCAACCCTTGCAGTTTTCATGAAAGATAATGCCTCGGAAGTTGTAGATGCTCAATTAGGAAACCATGTCGTAGGAAGATGTCTTTGGGACCAGAAAAAGTTAAGATTTCAGCTCAGCTTCCTAGCAGTTTATGACCTTGGATAAGTCACCTAACCTCTCTAATACTTGGTTTCTTTCTATAAATAGGAGAATGTGCCTCCCTTACAGTGATGTGATGAGGATTTAGTGGTATGACCCACCAAGCAGGGTGTCCAACACACAGCAACAATTTCATAGTTCGGCGTTGTTTTGGTGAGGGCATTGAGCTGGGCTTTTCCTTAACGCTCTGTAGTCCAGGTTTTCACGGTCTTGTATCAGACACTTATATCTATAATCGTGTATCAATGAATAGAATATGACTAGGCACTATTAAAAGTAATATGAAGGCTAGGCAGATTGGCTTACGCCTGTAATCCTAGCACTTTGGGAGGCCAAGGCGGGCGGATCATAAGGTCAGAAGTTCGAGATCAGCCTGGCCAACATGGTGAAACACTGTCTCTACTAAAAATACAAAAAAATTAGCCAGGCGTGGTGACACGCACCTGTCACCCCAGCTACTCAGGAGGGTGAGGCAGGAGAATCAGGAGAATCTCTTGAACCCAGGAAGCAGAGGTTGCAGTGAGCTGAGATCGTGCCACTGCACTCCAGCCTAGGCGACAGAGCCAGACTCCATCTCCAAAAAAAAAGTAATACGAATTCCTTTTTCGCCTATAATAGAATAAAGAAAATAATATTTAATAAGAATATTGATAACCTAAATGTAAAAGGGAGTAAATTTTATTTAAAAAGTTTAACATTAATAGAACTTGGGATAATAAATTAACATAAATCTTCCCATTAATCCTCATATTAAGTCATTTTGCCAAAGAAAACACTGAGTTAATCAGATGGATTATCCAACATGACACACCAGTGGGAAAGTGGAGGAACTCTAGAGTTAGAACTTCAATTTTCTTTTGTGTGTGTGTGTGTGTATTTTTAGTAAAGACGGGGTTTCACCGTGTTAGCCAGGATGGTCTCGATCTCCTGACCTCGTGATCCTCCCACCTCAGTCTCCCAAAGTGCTGGGATTACAGGCATGAGCCACCATGCCCGGCCAAGAACTTCAATTTTCTAGGCCAGGCAAGGTGCCTCACACCTGTAATCCCATCACTGTGGGAGGCTGAGGTGGGTGGATCACCTGAGGTCAGGAGTATGAGACCAGCGTGGCCAACATAGTGAAACCCCATCTATACTAAAAATACAAAAATTAGCCCGGCATGGTGGTGTGAGCCTGTAATCCCAGCTACTCAAGAGGCTGAGGCAGGAGAATCACTTGAACTCTGGAGGCGGAGGTTGCAGTGAGCCGAGATCCCACCATTGCACTCCAGCCTGGGTGACAGAGTGGGACTCCATCTTAAAAAAAAAAAAAAAAAAAAAAAAAACTTCAATTTTCAGAGTGTTGGTAGATCCCAAGATTTCACAAATAAGAGACTTTCTGGAATTGTACAGGAAAGAGACATTACATGTATACATTAGCAATGCACAATCAAATACTTGGAGAAATAATATTGTTTTATGAAAACTCATTTATGCAGTATACACACAGTTAATTAGAGCACTCTTCAATATTAAGAAAGAGGTATTGGCAAGAGGCAGGAGAAAGGATCAGTGGATATTGGAAACAGAAGAGAGTGACCAGAAGGCTAACTTTAGCAGTGAGCCTTTAGCAATGGACCAGGATACCAGGTGAGACGGGTAATAAAGGGACTGTGTGCGGAGATGTGGGAAGAGTGCAGGGAAAATGCAGAGGTAGCACAGACCCACAGGTAGGAGGGCAGTGCTGCTGCTGCTAGGCATGAAGCTCTCCCAGATTCTGGAGACAGAGTACTCTATGAAAAGGGTTGCCTGATGAGAAAGGGGTGTAGGCTTCAGCTGGGGAGGGGAAGCCAGATCTATGGGAGCCCGCAGGGAGAGGTTAGGGGAGAGGTACTCTGACAGCATTCTCTTTCCTTTCGCCAATTGCCCTGTACTCCCTATCAGCAGAACCCAACTGGAAGCAGGGAGTCTGCTGGAATAATGTGCATGGATCAACCTTTGGATGGAAGAAAGGAAGATATTCATGGCCAGGTCATGGAGACCTTCATACAGGGTGTCCCGGAGTCGGGATCTTCTATTACAGGTTATTGGAAGACATTGAAAGTCTCAAACTCTTCAGCACTGTATCCCAGCGGGCACATTCAGCTTGAATTCTTTGTGGTCACCCAACCAGCTCCCCTCACTCCATTCGGTGTAATGTGAAATGGAGGAAGGTGGAATTAGGGGGTGCAAAACTGGACGCCGAGGAGCAGCTGGGATGCCAATGAAGGGATCGATGGGATGAGGATACAAAGGAGAGGAAGAATTTGAAAAATACTTTGGAAGTGAGTTACAGAAGCTGAGGGAGAAAAGTCAAGGATCCTAAGGTCTAGGTTTATGACTTGGGATTATGAAGAGATAGTTGTACCACAAAATGAGATAGAGAATAAAGGCTTGGGAGGAACTTCAATGATGAATATAATCAAATTAATAAATTTAAATTTGTTAAATATAATCACAAGAGTCGTAAGAAACATTTACAATGATCTTATTCTTAATAAAGACCCATAATCTTTAGTTTCCAGTTCAAGACCATTCATGATGGGTCTTTGTCTTCCCCATTAGCATGGCATCTAAAATTATAGACTCTGAAGAATATCGCTGATATCATAATTTTTTCTCATGATATTCTTTTCTAATCAACCCATAGTCCATATTTTTATGGTTGGAGAGAAGTTCAAATTTGATAGCAAAGGCTTGACTGGTAGGTAATCTTAACTAAATCACAGAAGAATATATATTTAAATGTATTATAAATATTATTCAAATAAGCTAAAAGAGAACATGAATAGTGTGGCACTCCTGGATTTTTCTTCTTTCTGGACCAGTTATTATGAGTGGCCTTAGGCAAGCTACTTTTGACTCAGTTTTCAATAATACATAGCCACTCCTGGTGTTATAAATGAGTTTTTACAAAGCACTCCCCTATAGGCAAAATAGAAATAATAATACTTTGCAGAATTGAGGTCATAGGTATTAATTATGTTAAGTTCTAAGCAATGATGTAGCAGACATTTTGTTTCTAGGACAGGATGCTGGCTTTTACAGCGCTTTGTTCTCCTGTGTAATTATAGATCACTTTACAAGTATATTTAAAATATGAGTTTCTGTTTAAATCTTCTCAGTAACATGTTCAAAGAATACCAGTTTCATTAAGGAACATGGTTTTCTTTATTATCATGTTCTTTCATACAAATACTGGATTGTGAGTGCCTTAAATTCACTCATGAATGTAACCATTCAACATTTATTCTTGCTTTGCTCTACTTATTACTTATGATTTTGTCAGTTAATATAATAAGATTAAATTTGCAAGGCATACCTTCTAGAAGGTGTTTCTTTTTTGGCGCTATATTGATAATAGCTGCCACTTAGTTGTATATATTAAAATAACTCAGAAGTTTCAGTTAAGGTGAATTGCCAGCCATGGATAATTTAGAACAATTATTAGCTGATTATTTTAATGTTACTTTAAAAAAATATTTAAAAATGCTTACTAATTGTACCATTTGTGAAGAATCAGTTTTTTAACAGTGTGATGTTTTACTATACAAAGGTAAATGTTTAAAACAAAAAAATTACCTGGACAGATATAAGGACTTTCTTGCTCTAGACTCAGCCATTATTGGAACAGACTTCTCTATTACTGTTTCTTTAAACTTTGTAAGAACGCAATCCACTGTTTTCTGGGATTATGTTTTGGATTCATGTCCTGCTTTGGTGACACACTGAAACTGAGAAAAAGCACTCCCTTACTTCTGGCAAGAAATGCTTTATTTGGATGTTTACCCTAATTACTCCATAGAACATATTTTGGCTAGTTTTAGGGACCTTTAAGCCCTTCCTAGGACCTGGCAAAATCCTTCCTGTCCTGTCTTTTCTCGTCACTGGGGAGAACACTGCAGGGAATGTTGATACAGGGTCATGTGCATGCCACGATCCTCCAAAACAGATTCCCCACCACCCCAACCCCAATTAGCAAGACTGGACAGAATCACTCTGCTAAGATTCCACCTTTCATATTTTGATCAGGTGGTTGAAGAGTAGCACTTTTGCTGAATAGCTCTAGTGTATGGCCACCAGAAAAAAAAAAAAAGGTTATAACACCTTGAATTATTCACATCCAATACAGATATTATTCTGGCAAATAATTTAGTACATCGGAAAGTATAGAAAATTATAATCTCCTCATCACATGATTCGGAGGACAGCCTAGTCATTGGAAACTTATTCCTGGCCAGTTTTTTTTTTTTTTTTTTTTTTTTTGTCTGAAAAGATAGAGCTATTTTCTTTTCATGAGGCTGCAGTTTGTGATTACCAATGAAGTAGAAGCTAAGGAATTTTGGCTTCCAGACAACCCTGTCTTTCGTAAGGAGGAGTGACCTACAAAGGTACAATTAAGTCTACTTTCAGAGAGCCCTATTAGTAAAACAAAAACAACAAACAAACAAGAAAGCTCCTATTGAAATTTAGCTGCAAGGTTTGACGGGGTGGTGGCTCTTGCCTGTAATCCTAGCACTTTGGGAGGCTGAGGCGGGTGGATCACCTGAGGTCAGGAGTTCGAGACCAGCCTGGCCAACATGGTAAAACCTCGTGTCTACTAAAAATACAAAAATTAGCCTGGCGTGGTGGCATGCACCTGTAGTCCAAGCTACTTGGGAGGCTGAGGCAAGAGAATCACTTGGACCCAGGAGGCGGAGGTTGCAGTGAGCCAAGATCATGCCATTGTGCTCCAGCCCGGGTAAGACAGCAAGACTCCATCTCAAAAAAAAAAAAAAATAAGAAACTTAGCTGCAAGGTTTCGACACTTGTCTTTAAGGTTCTTGAGGAACCAAAATTAGGAGGCTTGTTGACATACAACCTTAGGTGCTGTCTTCATGGAAATGGGTCCATTTAGCCATGTTTTTAAACTAATATTTAATTTCAAAAGGATTTAGGTAAACTAATTATGGTTTCTCAGTTTTATCAAATTGAAAAGAGATGTAAGAACTGCAGAATTTCAGGGTTTTTAAGCTGGACCTGATGCCTTATGTGGAACTGAGTCCCATCCCTTTGCATCCTCCTCCTGTTGTGATGTAAGCTGAGTAAGGATAAAGCAACTGCAATAACAGAAAATTTAAAAATGCATGTTTTTATGAAATGCTTAGACAGTCTGAGGTGCAATGAGACAATATGACTATAGCATCTCAGCTGACGTCTTTGGCAATGACTTCATTGTCATTTGGGTTTGAAGGAAGTGGATAAGTAGAGAAAAGCGAAATTTGATATGTACATCTTCTGAATTGCTCAAGTCAACTGATTTTTACAGAAATAAGTCTTTCTTAGCATTTTGATCTTATTGTCAAGTAATCTAAACAGGAAAGGGAAGATGAGCTGGGCGCGGTGGCTCACGCCTGTAATCCCAGCACTTTGGCAGGCCGAGGTGGGCAGATCACCTGAGGTTAGGAGTTCGAGACCAGCCTGGCCAACATGGTGAAAGCCCATCTCTACTAAAAATATGAAAATTAGCCAGGCGTGATGGCACATGCCTGTAATCCCAGTTACCCAGGAGGCTGATGCAGGAGAATCACTGGAACCCGGGAGGTGGAGGCTGCAGTGAGCCGAGATGGTGCCACTGCATTCCACACCCCAGCCTAGGCGACAGAGTGAGACTTTGTCTCGAAAAATAAATAAAATAAAATAGAAAGGGAAGATGGAAAGAAGGGAGAGTCTTTGAATTAAGGGAACCATGCTGAGCCCTCCAGATCCCACAGGGCTGCCTACTCCTGGACACTGTCTCTAGAATTCCCCACGTGGACACCCAGCATGCCAAGAGTCCCAGGAAGGTACTGCTCATTGGCTGAATTTTCTGCATCTGCTTCCCCTCCCTGCTGTATTCTCTGTCCTTACCCACACCAGCTCCAAATAAGAACAAACTAGCCTGTAGACCTTCCATTCAACAGAAGCCAAAATTCCTTATCAAAGTCTTCTTTGAACTGCTTTGTTATCAGGCACTGTAATTTCATGCCCAACTTTGTTGATGTCTCTCTTAAAAGGACCAGAGAACTGGAGAACAATCTGGGCTTGAGCCTGCTGGTGAAGGGCAGTTCTTGAAAGGAAGGAGCTCCTCTTGGTGATGAATTGGGTGAAGAAGCGTGATTGTTTTGCTCTATTTACAGGATCATCTCTCTACTGTCTTTAAAAGCTTATTAAAAACAATCTGAGGAGGTTTCCCAGCATGCTGCTTTAATTTAGGCTGTTTTTAATTTTAGAAGAATGAAAATTCCCTATTTGGTAATTTCCTTTCTTGCTCAAGGTTTGTTCCTTTACAAGGTTTTCTCTTCTTATCAGCTTGGCCACTGTTGCAGCTATTGTAACTCAAATGTGGACAAAGGGGGAAAGAATACCACTCTCCAAAACAAAACCACAAAAACAAATTTAAAAAGTTTTTTTTTTTTTTTTTTTTTTTTTTTTTGGCAATTTGCCTTCAAAAGGGTGTAGTTCCGGGTAACAGAGAGTGCAGCAAGTCTCTGGAGTCTAAACGGAGACAGAAATCAAGGTGCTGACTTTAATTTTTCTTGGAAAATAAACAACATGAACATAACCCAAAATGTTTTCCAAGGAACCACTCTACCCTGAGGTCCTTATGCCCTGGAAGGGTGGGTTGTTTACTCACAGCCTCACTACTTAAAACTTTTATTTCAAACATTTTTAAATATCTTTCTTGCCATCTACCCATAAGTTACAAAGTGGCATTAGCAAGCATGGCCTCACATCCTATACAATATATGTGGGCAGTGTCTTGGAGTCTTTGTTGCAGATAGAGGCATATTGAGTAGAATGGGAAGTAGAGTCTAGAAAAAGCTTAGTGAGATATCCAGTAGCTTTTCTTATGAAACATGCTGTATTTTGGAAACTCATTAACTTTGATTAATATTAATTTAGTCTTTTATCACGTCAGGGGCCGTGCTGAGCTCTGACAATACAAAAGCGAATAAGACACCACCCCCACCTCTGGAGTTTATAGAGGAAAGACAGGCAAACAAGGGATGGGTAGGGAGACCTGTGTTGATGGACAGGGACCACAACGTGCTCTCTGCCAACACGGAGGGATGTCTCGCTCAACTAACACGAGGGCAGGGGGTGGGCTGTGTCCTGTCTGTCAAGCTGGCCAGAGAAGAGGACATGAAACAGATGATATGGTTGGGAACGATGTTTTCCCCTGAAATAACCTTAGTGGCAGTGAGGAGTGAACACAAAACCCTAAGTTTTTCAGTCACTGCCCACAGCAACCTTTGGTAAGCAAAAAGGATTTGTGAGGTCTTATATTTTAGCTTGAAAATTAGTGGGACATTTGTATCCTATTCTGTCATATTAGATTGCTCCTTACAGAACTGCTGATTTTGAAGGCCTAAACGTTTAAATAATGGTAATTGCACGGAGTGCAGACATCTGAAAAGAATGCCTTGCAGGAGTTGCCAGTTGTATTTCACTCTATCCTTTCATGTGCCCACTGCTGTCTTGGGGACAGGCATGTGGCAAAACGCAGAAGACCTTTGGGACAAATGGGGAGCTGCGACTGTTTGGAATGGCTCAGTTGGAGAGGTGGGCTGTCAGGTGGACTGCGGTGGGTGCAAGCTTCTCCTGAAATGTTCCATCAGTGCAAGTGAGAGGAAGCCTGTGGAGGGCTGGGAGCAGGAAGTGGCATGACTGTGCTTCCTGAGCTCATCCTAGTGGGGAGCTGAGGATGCTCTGGAGAGCCAGAGGCTGGGATAAAGATCACTTGAGGTCAGGAGTTTGAGACCAGCCTGGCCAACATGGTGAAACCCCATCTCTACTAAAAATACAAAAGTTAGCCAGGTGTGGTGGCATGCACCTGTAGTCCCAGCTACTCAGGAGGTGGAGGCAGGAGAATCACTTGAACCCGGGGGAGTGGTTGCAGTGAGCCGGGATTGCACCACTGCACTCCAGCCTGGGCGACAGAGTGAGACTCCATCTCAAAAAAAAAAAAAAAAAAGAAACAAAGAACTTTTAGGACATGAAAGGTGCTAAACAGTGAGAGACATGGTAAAGAAGAGAAGGGTGATTTTGGAGTTTTTAAGGGCTACAGCAAGAAGACTTGGAAAGTAATGAGTGGTGAGAGCTGAGGAGGAGGAAGAGCAATGGTCCTTATGGTGACTGCCGATCTTTACTGAGCGCTCCCTACGTGCCAGGCACTGCCCTGAGCACTGTCCATGGACTGTTTTACTAAATCCGCATTACCGATCTATATAAGGCTCATTTCCCAAATGAGAACATTAAGGCTGTCACAGAGGTTATGTGACTTGCCCAGGGTCACAGAGCTTATAGGTGATTGGTCCAAGATGTGGATTCAGGTGTACACTTACATGACTGGTCAAATCTTGTTGCTATTCATTGAAACAGAGAATCATCATCATCATCATCATCATCATCATCATCTTCATAACAAGAGACTGTGACATTTATTGTGTTTATGATGTGTCATGCCTAGGCTTACTCTAGGCCTGTTGTAGAATTTAACTGATTTAATCCTCAAACAACTCTACAACAGGGTGCTATGTGTTCCCCTGTATTCGTCTGTTCTTGCACTGCTATAAAGAAATACCTGAGACCAGGTGCAGTGGATCACGCATGTAATCCCTGCACTTTGGGAGGCCGAGGTGGGTGGATCATCTGAGGTCAGGAGTTCAAGACCAGCCTGGACAACATGGTGAAACCCCCATCTCTACTAAAATACAAAAAATTAGCTGAGTGTGGTGGCTGGCACCTGTAATCCCAGCCACTTGGGAGGCTGAGGCAAGAGAACCACTTGAACCTGGGAGGCGGAGGTTGCAGTGAGCTGAGATCGCACCACTGCACTCCAGCCTGGGCAACAAGAGCGAAACTCCATCTCGAAAAAAAAAAAAAAAAAAACCTGAGACTGGGTAATTTATAAAGAAAAATGTTTTAATTGGCTCAAGTTCCACAGGCTGTGCAGGAAGCATAGCTGGGGAGGCCTCAGGAAACTTACAATCACGGTGGAAGATGAAGGGGAAGCAGGCACCTCTTACCTGACTGGAGCAGGAGGAAGCGGGGAGAGGCACTGCACACTTATAGACAATCAGATCTCGTGACAACTCACTCTCACCATGACAACACCAAAGGAGATGGTGTTAAACCACGAGAAGCCACCCCCATGATCCAATCACCTCCCACCAGGCCCCACCGCCAACACTGGGGATCACAGTTCAGCATCAGATTTGGGTGGGGACACAGATCCAAACCATATTATCCCCCATCTTATGGATGAAGAAACTAAGGCACAGAGAGAGTAGGTCATTTGACCAAGGTCACACAGCTCATAATGTGGAAGAGTCAGTATTTGAACACAGACCTTCTGGCTCTAGAGCCCATACTTTTAAAGACTTTATTATATTACAATTTTTGAAACATAACTTAAGGTACCTGCCCATATCCAAAGGAAATGTCTTTCAGAGAGTCAGATTTATTGGTTAAAACTCAGAATAGAGATCTTGTGTAGGGATGAAGATGTGGGAGTCATTGGCTAATCGGTAAAATTTGAATCTTGGATGCGCATGGGATCACCCACATATATCACAGTGATCAGATGACCATATCCACGATTGTGGGGTCCTTTAATCTCCTCTAGCTGGGAGAGCGCTATTTAGATACCTGTTCCACAGCATAAAGCACAAAAGCACAGCCAGCCACTCGGTCCGTTCAAAACACTCGCCACCATCATCACTGATGTATTAATCTCACATACATGAATATTTGTTTACCTGCAAAAACATCATAATTGAGGACCTTGGCAATGCGTTTATTTTGTCATAGGTTTTTTATTTTGTTTACCGCCCAGATTTTTGGTGGATATAAAAATCATAGTATTTTTGTTCTCTGAGGCTGTGGTGTTTATAATCAGAAAGAAATGAAGAACTGAGGCAATTAATTACATAATTAAGAGAAAAGTATCATCTAAGGGGAGTGGAAGGGAAGAAGAATTATTTTCAATATTGAATTATCTCTCAAGTTGTCTCAGTTCTCCAGCCTGTGTGAACATGCCTGTAGGAGCAGCGGAATCCCTAAGAACAAAATCCAACCACTCAATAAAATGTGCACGCTACCATGGAAATGAAATCCACGGAAATTCTTCCCCAAGGTCAGACTTTTTCTCAGAAAGGAAAGGTTTAAGAGTATGTTGAAAAGAAGAATATTGTTGGAGAACATTTTTGACATTTAAAGGCAAACATCTGTTATTTTGTATTTTTATTTATTTATTTATTTTGAGACAGGATCTCCTCTGTTGCCCAGGATGGAGTGCAGTGGCACGACCTTGGCTCACTGCAACCTCTGCCTCCTGGGTTCAAGCGATTCTTCCACCTCAGCCTCCCAAGTAGCTGTGTCTACAGGCACACGCCACCATGCCTGGCTAATTTTTGTATTTTTAGTAGAGATGGGGTTTTAGCATGTTGCTGAGGCTGGTCTTGAACTCCTGCACTCAAGCAATCTGCCCATCTTGGCCTCCCAAAGTGTTGAGATTATAGGCATGAGCAGCGGGCCTTGCATCTGCTATTTTTTAGATCCTTCAGGATTGTGCCTAAACAATGCAGAAATAATTAGCTAGGAAGTCACGTAACCAATGAACCGGTTATTTAGTTTGTGGAAAATTGAACCTGGTGAAGCAACTGAATCCCATTGATAGGGTTTGGCTCTGTGTCCCCACCCAAATCTCATCTCAAATTGTAATCCCCACATCCCCACAATCTCCACATGTGGAGGGAGGGACCTGTGATCGCCACGTGTTGAGGGAGGGAGGTGACTGGATCACGTGGGTGGTTTCCTCCATGCTGTTCTCATGGTAGTTAGTGAGTTCTCACAAGATCGGAGGGTTTTATAAGTGTTTGGAAGTTCCTCCTTCATTCTTCTCTCTCATAGTGCGAGAAAGAAGGTCTCTGCCTCCATGTGGAGAAGGGCCTTGCTTCCCCTTCGCCTTCCACCATGATTGTAAGTTTCCTGAGGCCTCCCCAGACATGAGGAACTGTGATTCAGTTAAATCTCTTTCCTTTATAGATTACCCAGTCTCAGGTATTTCTTTACAGCAGTGTGAAAACAGACTAATATACCCATTCTATTTTCTTTCTCTTGTGGAATCATTCAAATATTTTTAGAGTTTAGACACATTCTAAATGAAAGTGAGAATCTCAGAATTTGAGAGGTTCAATAGATGTTATTATTTGCACTATGAGGAAGACAGGCCAGGTTTCCAAATGTTGAGGTGACTCTCCAGGTTATGTAGCCCTCAGGGATACAGAAAATATTTTGAACAAAGTTTTCGAGGAGAAATCTAACTTTCTTTACTCTATCAGATTCATCTAGGTAAACACTTTCTTTTTTTTTTTTTTTTTTTTTTTTTTTGAGACTGAGTCTCACTCTGTCGCCCAGGCTGGAGTGCAGTGGCGCGATCTCTGTTCATTACAAGCTCTGCCTCCCAGGTTCACGCCGTTCTCCTGTGTCAGCCTCCCAAGTAGCTGCGACTACAGGCGCCTGCCACCATGCCCGGTTAATTTTTTGTATTTTTAGTAGAGATGGGGTTTCACCGTGTTAAACAGGATGGTCTCGATCTCCTAACCTCGTGATCCACCTGCCTCGGCCTCCCAAAGTACTGGGATTACAGGCATGAGCCACCATGCCCGGCCTTAGGTAAACAGTTTCTAAATCACAGTCCAATTCTGGTATTATCTTGTTAGTTTTAGTTGTTGGTGACTTCATAGCATAAGAGGCAAATTGTTACCATGATGGCAACTGGTTAACTACTAGGACAAATGCCTTGTGTTTATACTCAAGGAGCATAAATTGCCTCTAAAAATATGCAGTGCTGTAACTGATAAGGATACGCTCAGCCTGTGGTGGGAAGTCTGCAACAGAAGAGGAAAGACCTTTTTTTTTTTTTTGAGACAGAGTTTCTCTCTTGTCATCCAGGCTGGAGTGCAGTGGCATGATCTGGGCTCACTGCAACCTCTGCCTCGGGGGTTCAAGTGATTCTCCTGCCTCACCCTCCCAAGTAGCTGGGAATACAGGTGCCCACCACCACACCTGGCTAAGTTTTTGTATTTTTAGTAGAGATGGGGTTTCACCATGTTGGCCAGGCTGGTCTCAAACTTCAGACCTCAGGTGATCCGCCCACCTCGGCCTCCCAAAGTGCTGGGATTACAGGCGTGAGCCACCACACCCGGCCAGAAAGAGCATTTTTTGGTCTGTCGTTTATGTCAGAGAGTCCACTGACTCCTTTCTGAAATTGGCTACTGTTAACTTAAAGAGAAAATGGAGGTCCTAGAATGGAGACACACCTAAAGAGACACAACTCTGTGATGGAGCTGGGATCAACCTTCAAAGCTTCTGACGAGCTCCTTTTTATGTGAAACTCTGGGAGGACCTCATTTTCTAAGTCGGTTCAGCTCATCATGTGCAACAGATGTCCACACTGTTTAAACCTGTGCTAACACTTCCTCTTAATTTTTTTTCTTCCTCCCACTGGAAAAATATTGAAAAGAACAAAAATAAATGAATCTTAGCTAAGCAAATTCCACCTTAAACCAAATCCAGGTGAAGTTTATAATCGGCATTATAAGATACCACCAATATGTCATATATTCATAATATATAAAGAAATTTTCCTATAAATAAACTCATTGTTAAGCAAGTAGAAATCAATGTATGGCATATGATGATTACAATATCATTTCCCCCACACAATGCCATGGTTTGAAAAATCACAGAAGGAAATATATAAATGTGTCTAGTGATAACATCTGTGTTATGGTTGAAGACTTTTTTCCAATTGAGAAAAACAGGGTTGCCTTTGTGTGGCTTTCAATGACCTAATTGAACATTATTTCTTCTGCTGAAGAGGGTCCTCATTGCCGGATTGTGACTTTGTTATTGTATTTGAACTCCTTTCACCCCCGGTTCTTGTCTCTACGATAGCTTGGTTGGCTACTGTATCACAGAGTTGTGTACATGTAGTCACAATTGTTCAGAAATAGAAATTTGTTGATGTCTCTGCTTTGATGGGTAAATGTATCATAAATCAGCATTCAAGAAAGCTATTTTTTAAAAAGCCCGATTTTCCTGATTTTGTGATAATGACATTTATGCATAACAGATTTGGAACAGATAATGTAGATTTTATTGCAGACAAGGTCAGAAAAATGGCAGTGAACAGAGTCCAAGTCTCCTCCAAGACTCTCACGCCCTGACTTGTCTGAAGTGCCAGGAGTTCAAGGTCCTCTTAATATGAAATACAACGTGGATGGAAACAGATGCAAAGGTTTCTTGTCATTTTCTTTTTGCCAGGAGTTAGAGATCATACATATCTCTATATGTCTCTCTGTCTCTGTTTCTGTCTCTGTCTCTATCATCTCTATAACCAAGCCTGAGGCACTCAACCTACATCTGCTTGGATGTGGGCAGACAGGTCAGTTATATATTTGTTATTGTTTTTCCCTGCTTAAATAGTATTATAAAACATGCCAGAAAAATATTTGATTGTTATGTTGGTTCTCATATCAAAACTGTTTGGGCTTTGCCATATCTCAGGACTGCTGAAACTATTTTAAGATCATACAAATAATCCCAAGGTTTCTAAGAATAAGTCCTGGGAACCACTCAGCAAACCCAGCTATTTCGGGTCTCATCCATCTACACTTTTCTATTTCTATTTCCAAAACCATGCTCATTTTTTACCCTCTCTTTCTTAAAGATGGCTTGCATGACTTCTTAATAGGTTCCCTAAGATAAAACACTGTATTTAAAAAAAAAATTATCACTTTGTAAGTGCAGAGAATAATGTGATTGTTGTTAGCATATACTAATTTTGGCTAAATTGAGGTTTTAACTAAAGCTCTGGCCCAAATCCTGAAGACCATTAGCAAACACGAACAAGTGGTGGCTTATGTGTATTTGTATTAAATCCAAAGCTGGCTGTCTGTTTACAAAATAGACTTGGTTCCTGAAGACGACTTCCTGGAGCCTTCGCATTGGTGTAGGGTTTCTTGGCCAGCACATACAATGCCCTGGAATTTAAAAAGTCCTGGATTATCCAGTCAGCCAAGCAAAAGTGTATGGGTTAAAACAAAGTAGAAAGAAAAAGGATTTCAATGAGGATCCTTTTGGTTTTCTGTGCCTCAGCCTTCCCTGAAGGACTGCTAGATGGACTTCATTATTGGGAGAGGCCAGAGGTCACATTCCTGGTTTTTAAGGCAGTACCAATAGCAGTTGATTACTGAGGACGTTACCTTCCCTCCAGTTTCAAAACCGACTTTGATTTCCAACTGGTTTGTGGCTGATGGTGCTGCATGCGCGTGTGACAGGGCATGACTTGGACCCGACTTGACGTCTGCAACAGCCCCCTTGGGCTTTCCTGATCCTCTAAAATGTTTGCTTTTGTTTTTCAATGTGCTAAACCTCACCCATATTCAGGTGGAAATCAATCAATTAGGCTTAAATCTGATTATTCAAGGCAGCAATATTGGTATATTATTTAGTGACATAAAGATAACCAAGAGAAAAATCAAAGAGATCAACTGTTCACAAGCTGTTGCCTGTGGGAAGCCGCGCTGCTGGGAGGGCTGGAGTGGTGGTATCAGGGAAAGATGGTTTTTCTTTGTAAGCCTTTGAATAACCTGCTTTCTGTTTGTTTGTTTTTGTTATTACAAACATTTTGTGTATTACTTTCACTAAAAACAAACCCATTTAAGTTAAAACATTGTTTTCTGTTTATAAAAATTTTTCCACAGGACTCATTCTATTCTCTAAGTATAACATAAATTTTACCCATAATTTAAATGTCCAAATTAAGGTATTTTCTCCATTAGTAAATGTTTAGTATCTGGACCCTAGGGAAAAAAAAAAAGACATGTCAAAAGCACTCTGTTGTAATACATTTTGCAGCAAAGCAGTATTTGAAGGAAGGAGAACCAGGAGTGTGTGATAGGAAAGAATGGGAGGTACTGGGCTTTTGGCTTAAGGTTTTTTGTTTTTTTGTTTTGTTTTGTTTTGTTTTTTCCTTTTTACTTCTATATGGGGAATTCAGAATACAGTGTAATAGAATTGTTGGAATATATGTTTTTCAAGTTTTATTTTCTATTTAAAGCACTGTAATAATCTTTAGCTGTACTTAGATCATAAACCTACTTAAATGTATGCACTTTGAGGACAAATAAACTTGGGTTTAAACACTGACTCTTCCCCTTGGCTCTGTAATTTCACTCTCCCTTTGTGTAAAATGCATCTAACAATAGCGCCTACATACAGGGTTGCCGTAAGAATTAAATGGAGGATCAGTGTAAAGGAATTAGCACATAGTATGCTTGCAATACATTTTTAAATTATTTGATAATAAAATACATCAACAAATGCAGCACACATATACACATATGGGATATGAGACAAGCATAGAACAAGTACATACAACACAGGTGATTATTAGTATAATGTAAGTTGGATACATTTTCATCTTTGTCGTGGTATCATAGAGGATAACATTTTCTCACTTCTGAATGTAGGCAGTACTCACAAATTCCATGTTCATATCAATGCTTGAAGCTGCTGGAGCAAAGTGATTTAGTAAGAGATATTAGTTTCTGCTAATGTAACGTCATGAAAGAATTTCTCCTGCTTTATACTTTTCCAGGGGTGGTTTTATTTTCCCAGAAAATTGAGTATACTTGATTCTTGTCCAAATCAATGCCCCATAAATCATTTAGAAATTATGTCCCTCAGGAAAAAAAAATTCCCAAAGTGAGGACCCAGGGGTAGGTCATTTTCTCTCTGAGGTACTTTTATCATTCCAGTTTCACAGGAAAGAGCCAGATGTTCCCTGTAGCCAGGTAGACAGCAGGGAAAGGAAAACATTTGTGTTGTTACTCTATTTGAATTGGTTCATAACTTGGCCTGTCCTTTTCTCCCAGCTAAGTAATACTTTCAAATGTGCTCTCTAACAAATTTCAGAAGATTAGGCTCAGGATGTGGTCTACAACTGCAGGGACTATCTCTGTGTTAAACACATCCACACACACACACACACACACACACCTCTATAACAATAAAGCATATGCATGTTGGTGACTTAACATTGAAATGGGAAGGTTAATTTTGGCATTTTCTGATCTGCTTATAGGTTTCCAAATAATAAAAGTTTTTTAAAAATAAATATTCATTATTAAAAGAAAGCAAAAGCAAATAAAAAAATTAGGGAAAACAATAGTGGGTTCTCACTAGAGACACTGGAGAGCATCCATGCATTTCTTAGGTCTTCTTTGAGTACGTGAATATCGACTGTTGGAAGTTTGTGGTGAAAATAGTCTGAAAGAGCAATCGCAACTTTACCTACCTGCGGTGCTTTAAGTAATCTGAGTACCTAATCAATAATAGCAATAGTAACTCATGTCTAAAAACCGAAAATATTACTATTATTACCCAAAATTGATTTCACACAGGATGCGTTCAAGAGGATTTCTGCAGCGCTGGGAGCCTGTCCGCCCTCTTCACTGACCCTCCCATCACCACCCTTTCTATGGCCTCCTCCACTCTGGGTGTCCAGGCTGTTCTGAGCTCCTCCTACTCCAATCCCCAAGCCGACTTCACTCTCATTACCCATCTCATTATTTTTGGAAGTAAACAGTGAAAAAAATAGGCTTTAACTCTACTCCGAACAGGACCAGCTATATCTTTACTGGGCCCCTGTGGAATCTGGAGCTCAACCTGCTCTTCTCATCATGTTCAGGGCCCCAGTGGGTGAAGCCAATCCCCCCTTTCCATGGCCCACCACAATCCATGCTGACAATCTACCCCAAGACACTCTCAGCACCTGGATCAGGGCGGGACCCCCTGAGTCACCTGCTGAATAAGCCATGGACAGCCAGTCCTCTGCCCACCTGAGGCTCTCTGGGAACTCTGCCTGATCCCAACTTCCCCACACCACGCCCAGAGTCCTGCCCGGAGCAGACAGCCATGGGGGAAACTGAGCCTCTGCACATCAATGTGACGCAGTTGCTGTCCAGGCAGGAGTGGCAGGGGTCCCAGGATACAGGTGGGGAGGGAGAAGCTGGGCAGGGATGAGGCACCAGGGAGCACCGGGCAGACCCATCCAGGAACACCGGAAGGTGGGGAGGGGTGGAAGGTGGGGGAAGAGTGGAAGATGGGGAGGAGTGGAAGGTGGGGAGGGGTGGAAGGTGGGGAGGAGTGGAAGGTGGGGAGGGGTGGAAGGCTCCACACCCCAGTGCGTGCTCCACTGTCCCCATGGACTTCATTTCAACACAATTCCAAAGCTAAAGTGATTAAGAATTTTGAGACTGTGACTGCAGAGCATTGCAAAATGGGTCAACTTCACTCCTGGAGCCTGTCTCTAGACAGGATTTTATTTTCTTCTTCTTTGACTACTTCGAATCTAAACTGAAGTCCTTCCCTTTGACTAACTGGTCTCTCCCTGACTCTTGTTGTCCGCCTCATTTCGCCCCAGAGGACTGTGTTGCTTGATGGCTTGTTTTGTCCTGCTGTCTTCAGATGTCCCCCTCTTCTTGCATGCACTCCTGGCCCTCGAGACTCTGGAGCACTCCAGTCAGAACCTGTCATCGGCCTTGGTTCAACCCCGTGCTTGCACCGCTATCCATTCTCTCGTGTGCGTCAGTCCTGCATTCTAAGTTTGAAGCCAAGAAATACATATTTTTTCCCCTAAATCTCCCTCTCACTTAAATTAGATACTGTGAGATTCTGTGTTCAATAAGTATTGGCCAATATCTTGATTAATAATGAAGTTACATGTATGGCTTTACACTGTGTCCCCAACATGAGGAGTAAAAAAGAAAAGGAAAGCCACAGTGACTATGGAGATTCTCATGCTGTAGAGAACTGAGTGATTCCCCAGGAATGTTCTGGAATTTTATTTGCACATGCTCCTTGGCAGAGGGGTTGGGGTCGCTGGGAAGAAACAGAAGAGCTAAGGGTACAGAAGAGAAAATGTAAGATGATGTAGCACTGTCAAATGCCTAGTTCCCCCTGTTTCTGAAGGATTAAAATACTTGAAGGCCCCATGTTAGTTTCCCATGATGCCATGAGATAGTGCCATAAACTCACTGGCTTAAAACAAAAGAAGTTTATTCTCACAGTTCTGGAGGCCAGAAGCCGGAAATCAAGATTTCAGCAGGGCCACACTCCTGCTGAGGCTCCACTCCTCAGCCTCGTCTTAGCTCCTGGTGGTGGCCACAAATTCCCGGTGTTCCCCAGCATTCAGCTGCAGCACTCCCATCTCTGCCGCTTTTATCCCATGGGATTTCTCTCTTTTTCTTTAATAGGGACACCAATTATATTGGATGAGGATCCACCTAATGATTCATCTTAACTTGATCACATCCGCAAAGCTCCTATGTCTAAATAAATTCACTTTCACAGGTAACGGGGCTTAGGACTTCAACATCTCATTTTTGGGGAGACACAATTCAACTCAAGACAGAGATTTTTGTTTTGTTTTGAGATGGAGTCTCACTCTGTAGCCTAGCCTGGAGTGCAATGGCACGATCTCAGCTCACTGCAACCTCTGCCTCTTGGGTTCAAGTGATTCTCCTGCCTCAGCCTCCTGAGTAGCTGGAATTACAGGTACCCACCACCATGCCCAGCTAATTTTTTGTATTTTTTTTTTTAGTAGAGACGGGGTTTCACCATGTTAGCCAGGCTGGTCTCAAACCCCTGACCTCAGCTGATCCGCCTGCCTCAGCCTCCCAAAGTGCTGGGATGACAGGCGTCAGCCACCGCACCCGGCCCATGACAGAGATCTTGAAGGTGATGCATGCTGTGTCAATTGTGTTTCTATGTGGCAGAGATGAGGTATAAAAAAAAAAAAAAAGAAAGAAAAAAAAACACCCAAATTCCCTAATGAAGTACTGAGAAGATACTCAACCCTGTCAGGGGCCATCTATGTTAAGAGATGAGGTCACCTTTTGGCACAAACTCTGGGAGAACGTCTTGAGCAAGATACAGTAGAGACAAGACATCCATGGCACCAGTGAGAGTCAAAGTCAGATCCAGTTACCCCGAGAAGGTAGGTATAGATTCTGGGGATAAGAGGTGTCAGATCTCAAGCAAAACCACTGCAACCTTGACTGCTAGATAGACATGAGACTTCACTCCAGAGGGCAGAGATGGCAAAGGATACCAGTCCCAATGACTCTGACTCTTACTCTTCACCAAAAGGTCATACGCACTCCAACCTTCTTTTTCCTGTCCATGAAAATGCCACTGAGAAAACTTAAGGGTTTCGAAGTATATAAAGGGACTGTTTCAATGATTGCATTGGATTGGACTCAGGACTGCTTCATAGAGATGTTCAGGTTTTCCACTGCAAAGGAATCTGCATAGACATAGTCCCACGGCCAATCTGCACTAACCCTATATGAGTGTGAAAGACTCTTGCAGGCTATTGAGGCTTCATCTCTGCACCACCCGTGGGTGTGAGTTTACTCTCCCTGCATTCAGTGTGCATGAGTTGAAAGGCTGGAAAGCACTGCTGGTCTCTCTTCATGGGTCCTCATCTTGAGACCAAGACTAATGAGAAAGCCATCTAGAGCCTTGGTACAGTCAAGATTGATGTTATTATAAGAATTCCTTCTGAATATGCAGACAGAAGTAGAATAGAGCCAAGAAGGAAAGCAAAGGATGGTGCCAGGGAAGATTGATCTGTGTGGTGTTGAAGGAGAAAGGCAGAGCCAAAATGCTAGGCAGGCAGCAGGCGTGGTTGGGCAACAAAGTTGAAAAAAGGGTCAGCAAGCACATTTTCACGTGGCTAGAAGCTCTTGTACAGACCCTGTGCCTGGGGAGGGTTGTTTCCTTAGAAGGAGCTGGACTGGAAAAGATTCCAGAATGAACAACTTTCTGTGCACTGAGAACCAAGAAATTAAAATGTCCCAAGGGAATTAGAGTGGAAGCATCAATAACTCAGATTGGCTACAAATAGGGAAACCCAATACAATTGGCTGAATCAAAATTCATAATATGATTTAAATGTACCATGTTTATTAGATCTTTTTCAAATTTGTCATTAATGTACTGACACTTCTAGGCTGAATTTGAAAGTCTTAGACTTGACATTGCAGCTCCTTTTTCCTTTGTAGTTTGTGAATACATAACGCTACATACATTACCCATAATCTATTAAGAAACTGTTAAAGAGCCATCTCCTGGTGATGTCTCTCTCTGACATTCATGAAATTTTATCCACAAAGAAAATGTGTGACAACGCACAAGTGTCTTAAAATTGAGACTTGAAGCAGAGAGTTTTGTACACTTAAATATGGCATTTGCTGTCATATGGGCCTCCTGGGTAGAGTCAGTCTATGCATTGTTATGGAAATGTTTCTCTTCCCTCACATCTTATTCTTAGTTTTGTTCTTTTTGTTCAAACATTTAAATTTGAGCTAGATTGGAGAAGAGGATTATTATTTCTGACACATGTTACTTGAAAAGAATGATTTGTTTTTTCCTAAGTGTAAGAAGCAAATTTATTTTTTAAAATGGGACAAACACATCCCTAGGCTTAGCAAATAAGAATATTTAAGTATTTAAACACCTATTTATAATTTATTACTTAAATTTACTTATTCCTCTTGATATCTTAGAGTCCCCAACCTTTTGCACCAGGGACCAATTTCATGGAAGAGAATTTTTCCACTGACTAGGGCAGTTGAGAGGGGATGGTTTCAGGATGATTCAAGTGCATTACATTTATTGTGCACTTTTATTGATATTACATTGTAATATATAATGAAATAATTATACAACTTACCATAAGGTAGTTGACATGGAATTAGGGGGAGTCCTGAGCTTGTTTTCTGGCAAGTAGGTGGTCCTATCTGGGGGTGATGGGAAACAGTGACAGATCATCGGGCATTAGATTTTCATAAGGAGCATGCAACCTAGATCCCTCCCATGCGCAGTTCACAATAGAGTTTCGCTCCTATGAGAACCTAATGCCACAGCTGATCTGACAGGAGGTGGAGCTCAGGTGGTAATGGTGTCACCCACCACTCACCTCCCACTGTGCAGCCTGGTTCCTACCAGGCCACGGACCACTACCAGTCTGTGGCCCAGGGTTGGGGACCACTGTCTTAGATAAGGAATATTTATTTACCATGAAGAAAATATCTATAGGTGAAATGCACACATAAGTATGTATCAATATGTATTACATATATGCATAATTATACACACACACACACATAATCACATTAGATTTAAAAATGTTTTTCATAGAGCAACGCCAGGAACTGTTGCTACAATATCACCTGGGATGCTTATTAAACATGCAGACTGTTAGACTTCTACACTGATCTACAAAATCAGAACCTCTGGGTAGAACCAGGGAACATGTCTTTTTAAACAAATTCCCACCCCTAACCCTATGCCCACACATTCTAATGCAGAGATTGTCAATCATCTTCTGTAAAGAACAAGATAGTAAATGTCTTAGGCCTTCTGGACCATACTTTCTCTGCTGCAATTATTCAGTTCTGTCATCGTAGCACAAAAGCAGTTATAGATACTATAGAAATGATTGTGCATGGTTACATTTCTATAAAACTTTATTCAGGTGCACTGGAATTTCAGTTTCATAAATATTCACATTATTAAATATTATCTTTTGACAATTAAAAAATAGTTTAAAAATGTTAAACTATTCTTATCTTTCGTGGCGGGACAGATTTGGTCTCCAAGCTACAGTTTGCCGACCCTGAAAATCTGAGGATAATTTAGCTGGACTGATGGCAAACAATATAAATGATAGGCATTTATAAATATTTGTCCAGAGCAAAAGATTGTTATGGTTTAATGTTACTTCAACCAGAAAAACACACTAGTTCTTTCTATGTTGTCATGTTACATGTTTGCCAAAAGATTAACAACTTCAACTAAGAATTTTTACATGTCTAATTCTTGCTGTTATTATGAATGAATACCAATATTTTCTCAACCCATACATCAAGCAAATCAAAATAAGTAGCTACAAACTTATGCTGTAAACCTTTTACTGGCAGAGAAGAAAAGAGAGTAATAATATATGATGATAAGATGATTTGTGGACCGATGACCTGGATCAATCCATCCGTTGTGTAGTCCGAGGAACAGTAGTGAGAAAACATCAATTCAGGCCAACAACTTTCTCTCCTCAATTCGTTTTCAAATCCTTCCTGCTATTTATTTTTGAGACAGATTCTTATGCTCTCACTCAGGCTGGAGTGTACTGATGTGATCTCGGCTCACTGCAACCTCTGTCTCCTGGGTTCAAGCGATTCTCCTGCCTCAGCCTCCTGAGTAGCCACAATTACAGGCATGCGCCACCATGCCTGGCTAATTTTTGTATTTTTAGTAGAGACAGGGTTACACCATGTTGGCCAGGCTTCTCTCGACCTCCTGACCTCAGGTGATCCACCCACCTCGGCCTCCCGAAGTGCTGGGATTACAGGCGTGAGCCACCACACCCAGCCTCCTTCCTGCTATTATAACTTCAAAAGATTATAACAAATTATCCTTCTTTTGTGAATGCATGTGTTACAGGATGAGACACTAATTTGTGCTGTTTCCCTGTGGTTTTCCTACCTCCAATGAGAAAGCCTCATTGATATTTCTATTACAGAGCCTGAAGCAGATGCTACCTTGTGGACACCTTAATTCTAACCTTAGATCCTAAAGCCCATGTTTATTGAAAGTTGATGTTGATCTTTACCAGACAGGCGAGGAAAGCAGCTACTTCCCTTGCACGGAAGAAGAAACCAAGGCAAGGGGAAATGGGAGATTTGCAGGACTGCAAGGGTGAGTCCACTTGGACCACCATCTCTTCTTTTTTGCAGGATGAAGGGAAAGGCCTGGAAGAGAATGGATCTCAAGAGAATGACTGTACCACTAAGGCTTGAACAAAATCCCAGAATCCAACCTGGGCCCCACTGCAGCAGCCACAAATTCTGCTTTACTGGACAAGGAGCCCATCACCAGTGACTTAAACAGATGACCAGAGGTCCTGTTCCTCTGTTTAGCTGGCACAAGCCCTTGAATCTGCACATGAATTGGGGATTAACATGCACGGATATTGTTGGAGCATCATCACCTTGGTGAGTAAGATTAGAGGTTAGATTTAATAAACTCAAAATTGTTCCCTGCTAAACAAATATTTATCAGCTGAGTATAATGTGGATTTTGTTTACCAACTTTCTTGAAACAATTTTTTCTACATTATATCCATATCATTAATTTCACATCAACAATCACACAAATTTCAAGAATTAGTAATCAATTGTGAGTAGAGTGATTTACTTCAATTACTGAAGAAAACATAATTTATGGAACAAGAAATAATAATTTATGGAGAAAGCTTAATAATATGAAAGTCTCAGAATAAGAAATAGAGTCTTACCTGATTCTTATATTTCAGCTACGCTGAGTGCTACTATGACAAAAGCTGACAGTTTAGTAGGAATGGTGATGTCTCTGCAATGAAGATACCACGTAAGATTCCTGTATAATTTAAGCACCGCACCGATGAAGTTGAATGGTAAGTTGGTTAAAAAGCAATTACATCACAGGAATTTCTTTCATTGTGTTTTATCTCACTGGCAACAGCCCACCACATTTGCTAATGCTTGAGTTTGGGTTAATGAATTTGACTCACAGGAATTGATAAGGGCAGGGTTAAGGTAGATTTGTGTAATAGATAAATGATGCTGATTTAATTATTCCTCCGTTTTCCATACAGAGCATACTTTCAAAATCTCCTTTACCACCTTCTGAATTATAAGGCCATAAATAATTCAGTGGTGCCTTTACATGAATTCCTATTTTGTTTATTGTGACAACATGTGAATAGATTTACAGATATGGGCAGAGCAGGTTATTGCCCGGTCCATAGGCAAAGCATGAGAGGTGTGAAGGAGAGTGCCTGGAGGTTCTCAGGCCCTGCACGGTGAAGCCAGGCTCCCCAGCTTCCAGCCTTGGCTTCTCTCTTGCTATCTGTGGGATCGTTACCGCATACACGAGCCATTTAATTTCTTCTGACGTCGGATTTTTTTCAGCTGTAAATGCAGGAATTAGTTACATCGATGGCTTCCAAACCTGGCTTATCAGAGTCACTCAGCAAGCTTTTAGGAAACATGGATTCTCTGATTCTCTGAAATTCTTATTCAGGGTGTAGTGAAGAACTCACCCTACCTAAAGGAGGTCTGGCCTTTATCATCAGCTACTGGGAAGTGACATGTTGGCCACTAGGATGTCCTGCATGATAGAAGTGTCTTTGTTTGGAGCTTTGGCAAAGTGACTTACGATAGGGACTTTCAGGCACACAATATTATTTTCAACTTTTGGAGAAACTGGCAACAAAAGGTATTTAGCCCAGACCTCCAGAAGGGGAGGAAGAATGAAAGTTAGCCACACAGGCAGTGTGTGAGGGAGCCAGGTCACAGGGGCGGGAGCCCACTTCCTTGGCTGGCCGTACCCTGTGGTGCCCCCTCACAGATGCCGGGAGGGCATGCGCCTCTTTCTGCGGCTGTCTCTAATTCTAATTTATATCCTTCATCTGTAGCAAACCTTACTGTGAGGACAATAGCTTTCACAGAGTTCTGTGAGTCCAGTGAATTATCAAACTTAAGAGCAGATGCGGAGACCGTCGAATTTGTAGTCAACTGGTCTCAAGTGAGGATGGTCCCCAGACTTCTGGCTCATGTGTGCAGGGAGGGCAATCTTAAAGGGATTGTTTCCTTAGATTTTTGTTTGCCTCACCCATTGTAGCCTGTGTATTTTAAAGAAGCTGGAGATTGTTAATAAAAGTTTGCCAGGCACAGTGGCTCACACCTGTAATCCCAGCACTTTGAGGCAGAGGCAGAAAAATCGCTTAAGCCCAGGAGTTTGAGACCAGCCTATTGCCTGGGCAACATAGCAAGACCCTGTCTCTACTAAACAAATACATTTTTTAAAAATTAAAAACCCAAAAGTTTGAAAGGTATTGCAGGCCATATGACATCAAAAGTTTCTTTCCATGTCTAAACTTTATTTTTTTGATCTATTTTATCTATTTGCTTATGCATTTGTTTTATATTTAAACCTGAAGTGCGGAAAGCTGGGTGATCCATATTCCTTAATTTATGGAACATTATCATTTTTGGTCCCTGCAAAAAATTGTGCCTTGATTTTGTTTTGTTTTGTTACTCTTTATCCCAGGTTGACATTCTCATTTCAGCGTGTTGTATGTTCTTGTGTACGCATGTATTCTTGGACGTATACATCACATAGCATTGATTGAGGTTCATGAGTTTTTATTTCACATAAACAATATGGCATTATAGAACCTTGTTTATGATGAGTTCATTCAGTACTATGTATTCAGATGGGTTCCGGTTCTTGTGTTATATGTAATTCACTTTTGGCATGCCTGCAAAGCCCTCCACGAATGCATTCATCACATTTGCTTATCATTGCTCTAGTGTTCAACATGTGAGTTGTCTCAAATTATCCACTACATCATATGACATCAGGATGAACATTGCTGTCCGTGCCTTTTTATGGGCCTGGGTAAGGGTTACTCTGAGACACACAACCAGGAGTGGGATCTGGGACACAGTGGCCATGTATACTTAATTTCACCAAGGACTTTGCAGGAGTTGTAACAATTTACACCAACAGTGCATGAAGATTCTTAGACTGCCACACTCTTGCTAATTTGGTACTATCCTACTTTTTAATTTTCACTTAACTGATTAATTTCCCCTCTGAATAACTAGTTCATAACCTTAGCCCAATTTTCCATTGAATTTTTTTTTATCTTTTTGTTGTTGAATTGTAGGAGTTCCTTGTATTATAAACAGGTTTCACTATTGCAAATATCTTGTCTGAATCTGCCTCTAGTCTATAAAATTTGTATACGGCATCTTTCATTTAACAGACATTCTCGATTTTGAATCGTTAAATCCATCAGTGCCTTTCCTTACGATTTGTCTTCCTGGGGTCATGTGTAAGAAACCATTTCCAACTCAGAGTCACTGAGGTATTCTCTATTGTCTTTATAGTTTTATCTTCTACTGTTAAGTCTTTAAATAGTGGTGGTAAATATTTAACTTTATTTTTGAGTCAGTTTTCCTGCATCATTTATTATTAAACAATCTAATCTCAACCACTGACTATGATGCTCTTTGATAATATACACCAGGTTCCCTCAATGGGTCATGTAAACACTTGAGGCTTTTAGTGATTTTTCTATTTTCTTCATACTTTTTGTTTCTGTGCCATATTTGTATTAATATGACTTTCAGTAATTCTTAGTATGTAATATGGTGAAAATCCACACTTTGCTTCTCTTCTGGTCTTTTAGTTTTTAATTTTTTTCTTAAATTTTTTTTTTTTTTTAAACAGAGACAGGGTCTCAGTCTGTCTCCCAGGTTGAAAGTGCTGGAGTGCAGTGGTGAGATCACTGCTCACTGCAGCCTTGACCTGTTGGGCTCAAGAGATCCTCCCACCTCAGCATCCCAAGTAGCTGGGACTACAGGCATGCATGAGGTCTCACAATATTGCTGAGGGTGGTCTTGAACTCCTGGCCTCAAGTGATCCTCCTGCCTCAGCCTCTGAAAGTGCTGGGATTATAGCCATGAGCCACCATACCTGGCCTTAATTTAAATTTCAAAATAAGCTTGTAGTATTTTGTTTAAAATTATCTTGTAATTTAGATTGGATTTACAACAAAGATTGTACCATTTGATTTTTATTTGTTTATAGCTTTTTGCTGTAGAAAATCCTATTCAGGTCTTGAACTCTTGAACTCAAGTAATCCTCCCGCTTCAGCCTCCCAAAGTGCTAGGATTACAGGCGTGAGCCACAACGTGCAGCCAAAAATCATATTCTGAAGTTAATAATAATTTTGTCTCTTCCCTTTCTATTGATATGCTTCTTAATTCTTTGGCTCATCTTATTTCTTTGGCTGTATCTTCCCTCCATTACCTTCCATACTGGAGGTGACAGTAACCACTCTCTGTGTTCTTAAGTGGGTTTAATAGGTCTCCACTGAGTACTATGCCTGCTATTGGTTTTGGGATATAGTCTTTATCAAGTTATAATATTTCTTTCTATTCCTGGTCCCCTATGATTTGGTTTTTTATTACTAATATTTTATTTGGGATTTCTGTTTACTTCAGTAATCACAAGTAAAAAAGGCCTATCATGCCGTTTTTTTTTACATTATTTTTATAAATACAGTCTGTAATCAGTGTTACATTAGCTAAGAAAATGAGCTGAGTAACATTGCTTCTATTTAATTTTGAGAAAAAGTATTTTTAAGATAGGAAAAAACTGTTCTTTTAATGTTTGGTAGAATTCACCTAAAAAATTGAGTGTGAGCCTGTGTGATACCTTTTGTTTCTATTTTTTATTCTTATTTGATATATTTGCATTTTTATCTTCCCAGCACAAATATTGGCATCATATATTTTCCCAGAAATGTAATTATTTTACCTAGATTTTCAAATTTATTGGCATATAGATATTCCTAACATTATTTTGCTATTTTTTCAAATGTTCATTCTGTCTGTTTCTCTTTTACTTTCTGTGTTTTATTTATTTATAACTTCTTTCTCTTTCATTAGTTTTGTCAGAGATTTGTCCCTGTTTTTAGTCTACAGTGAACTAGGCTTTAGTTTTTTTTGTTTGTTTGTTTGTTTTTTTTTTTTTGAGACGGAGTCTTGCTCTTGTCGCCTAGGCTGGAGTGCAATGGTGCAATCTCTGCTCACTGCAACCTTCTCCTCCCAGGTTCAAGTGATTCCCCTGCCTCATTCTCTCGAGTAGCTGGGATTACAGGTGCCCACCACCACACCTGGCTAATTTTTGTATTTTTACTAGAGACAGGCTTTCACCACGTTAACCAGGCTGGTCTCAAACTCCTGACTTCAGGTCATTCGCCTGCCTCAGCCTCCCAAAGTGCTGGGATTACAGGGCTGGGATTACAGGCAGGAGCTACCACACCTGGCCTTAGCCTTTAGTTTTTTTATAGTTCTATATAATTCTCTATTTATTTGATTTACTCCCATATCTATATTATTTATTTCCTTCTTGTTCTTTTTCAACTTTTTTGTTGTTGTTGTTGAGATGGAGTCTCGCTCTGCTGCCCAGGCTGGAGTGTAGTGGTGCGATCTCGGCTCACTCCAACCTCTGCCTCCCAGGTTCAAGCGATTCTCCTGCCTCAGCCTCCTGAGTAGCTGGGACGACAGGCACCCACCACCACGCCCAGCCAATTTTTGTATTTTCAGTAGAGATGGGGTTTCACTGTCTTAGCCAGGATGGTTTCGATCTCCTGACCTCGTGATCTGCCTGCCTCGGCCTCCCAAAGTGCTGGGATTAGAGGCGTGGGCCACCATGCCTGGCCTCTTTTTCAACTTCTTAAGTCGAATACTTACCTCACTATTTTCCAGTTGTCTCATTCACCAAATAATTCATTAGAAGCCGCATGCTGTTTTAGCTAAGTTATACACATGTGGATGTGGAATATTTTATCATTTAGCTTAAATATTTCATAATCCCCATATAATTTGCTCTTTAACCAAAATTCATTTAGTAATCATCTTCTTAGGTTTCAGATATCTGGAATTCTCTTTAGTTCTTCTTTGTTACTGATTTATAATATTAATAAACTTAGTTTGGGTCATTGTGGCCTAAATTTATTATTTCACTAGAAATGGCAAAATGGTGACTTGATTTTAGTTATTGCTTCTGTATTTATTAGCTGGAATTCTTCTTTAAAGAAGAAATATCTCTTACCAACCATTTTCTTAACTTGAGTTAGAGTTGGTAAAAGGAATTCAGGATGAATTTTTGATTTCTTGCCCTCATAAATTTTCAGAATCACAGGCTGCTGTATTAGCAACCTCTGGTGGTGGCCACTGCGCGTGCTTTGATATCACTAAGGCGCCATAAGCTTTCAGTTTCTTGAAGCGTTGCTATTCATTGTCATCATTATTCTTTTTTATACTAAAATATTCCCCTATTAGGCCAACAGAAGCACCTTTAGATGAGTTCCTGTGTCCCTTTGATAAGACTCTGTTAATCTTTAATGACTGCCTTAATTTCCAGCATAACAAAAAGTTAATGCCAGAAAGATTTAATTTATAAATTTGCTGCCCTAGACATAGCATTGGAAATAGCTCCGAGGTGTTCAGGGTACTTTTAGTGGAAGTTGTTATTTAGAGGCCACAGTTTGGGTGCTAGTGGTCCTTATGTTTCTAAGCTCAATGTTTCTAGTCTGGAAAATACATATATATATTTAAAGCAACATATAAAATTGTGCTGACATTTCCAATTAAAATTTAATATTACAACATTTTAAAATTACCTATTTTGTTTCATTTGCTCAGCAAATCTACTTCTGTCCTGGCATACATCACCATTTTATTGTTCATCCTTATATTGTTTCTTTTTTTAAAAAGTTGCCCTTCCCCTTAGTTACTTTGGAGTTGACATACAGCCAATACTATTCTATTATACTATTATAATACAGTATATATATATATATATATATATATATATATATATATACACACACACACACACACACATATATAATATAGTATACTAGTATACTATTCTCCGCTTTCCTTCTTTTATTTTATAATACAGCCTAGAAAGCCATATTACTATGTAGAGTTCCTCTCTACTGCTTTTTATAGTTAATTACATGTATTCCATCTTGTGGATTCACCAAAGTTTTTCATCCAGACTTCTGTTGATGGTCATTTGGGTTATTTCCAGTCTTTTGCTTGCAGAAATAAAGGCTAAAAAATATGCAAATATCATTTTATGTTTTTGTCTTTGAGGTAGATATAAAAGCCTCAATGAGTTAATTCATATGCAACTTTTCTCTGTACAGCTGAATTCCTCTCCTCAAGTGTTGCATGATTTTGCATTCTTACCAACAATGAGCACTCACATTTCCCCATGGTCTCACCAATAGAATACGTTGTCAAATATTTGGATTTTTACTGAGCTCATAAATACTACATGGCATCTCAATGAAGTTTAATACACTTTCTTTTCCCCATGAGCAAGACTAACTTTTTTGAATTATCCCTTTTTCCTTGTAGTTTTGCTGGTCGTTTCCTGATATACTGTGAGGCAATATTGTTGGGTCAGTAAGTGTTTATAATCACAAAATCCTAATATCTACTCTTATTTTATTACATAATGTCAGCTGTGAAATTTTTGCCTTGAATTTTTGTTCTGTGTTTGGGTGTCTTGGCTTTCTTTTGGCTTACATGTGTCTAGTATATCTTGCTCAATCTTTTCATTTACAAACTTCTTGGATCTTTTGGTTTTAAGTATGCCTCTTGTAAACAACATATTGCTCACTCTGTTTGATCTGTAGATTACAAATCTGAGAATGTCTCGATCACTAAGTGTGACCATTTACATATTTCAATGAGTCTTATAGTTAGATTTATTCTTCCATCTATTTTATGTTTTTAAACCATCAACACATATTTTATGTTTTTAAAAAACATGTCAGTATTTTTCACTGTTTCCCATGGTGCTGGCTTTGCCTTTTCCTGAAAAACCAATAGTAAATTATTTATTCATGTGTAATCCATGAAATATAGCTTATAAAAGCTAAATGTATTTTTCTTAATTCTTAGTTCTTTTTTTTTTCTTGTGAGACAGAGTCACCCAGGCTGGAGTGCAGTGGTGCCAATCATGGCTCAGCACAGCATTGACTTCCCAGGCTCAAGCTATCCTCCCACCTTAACCTCCTGAGTAGCTGAGACTACAGGTGCATGATACCACACCTGGCTAATTTTTAAATTTTTGGTAGGGGCAGGGTCTCACTATGTTGCTCAGTCTGGCCTTGAACTCCTGGAGTCAAGTGATCCTCCTACCTTGGCCTCCCAAAATGTTGGGATTACAGGCATGAGCCACAGTGCCTGGCCTGTTATTTCTTAAAGAGGATTTTGTCTTGTAAAACTTCCTAGGATATATATGATTGAGACTATTAAGTAGAAAAAGTCTAGTTTCAATGTTATATCAATACTGAAAATAACTCCATCATCTGGCTTATTTTGCTGCTGATGAGAAGTCTGATGTTTATCTGATTCTTCTTCCATTGTAGGTGATCTGTTTTATCTTTCTAAAAATTTTTAACTTGATGGCAGCAATAATCTGCCTTGGATTATGACTAAGGAAAACAATCAGAAACAAAATGCTCTCCTCAACCTGTCCCCCATGCATGCTCCCGGCTCACTTTTTTTTGAGTCTGCCATCTTTCTGCATCCTCCAGGAAACAACCACCTTCTCTCTTCCTGGAGCTGTCAAATAGCTTTAATGTCATTTTCTCACATCCTTCAAATTCTCACTTCCACAGAATCTCCAGAGCTGGGGACTGGGGAAAGAGCTGGCAGTGCCTATGAGTTTATCATCCTGACAGGAGCTGGAACAGCACCAATTTCACTTAAACCTTAAGCAAACAGTCCAGTGTGTACATGTGGCTTTAAACCAAAGTTATGTAACTTCTGAGTTGCTTTTTGTTGTTTTAACACTATTATTTGATTCTTTCAATATTCTAAAACCTACATCCATTTCCTTGATACAGGATAATTACATATTTGTAACACAGATATCATAAATATTATTAAAATATTTTTCTTCAGTTTGGCTGTTTTCTTTATCATTTTTGCTAAATAACAAGCTATGTTCAATATGTTTGATGAAACTTTGAAAAAAATACCTTTTGTCGTCTAATCTGGATGTATATTCTTGATTTGTCATCAACAAGCAGAGGAAAACCTTTCATTGGTTTTGGTGAAAGAAAAATTTATTTCCTCTTCAGCCAGGTCTGAACGATTCTTCTTGAAGCTATGCATGCACTCCCAAATATTTTCTCCTGGCAAATCAATGGCTGGAAATGTGCTTCATGATCTTTTTTTCTAAGTGGTGACAGGGCTAAATGTTTCCTAAAACTGAGGCCTGAAGAGAGAATCTGGTCTGACATCCAGCATACAGTAGAAGATATCTACTACCAGTGGGTCTTCTACCCTCCTTACAAGGGAACACAGGTGTAAGAGAAAAACAGAGAACACTATTTTTATGTATAAATTATTGGGGGTAGTCGCTAGCTTTTGAAATTTGGATTTAAGTATTCTTTATTTTGAACTCTCTTTCTTACACTTGCTGTCTGTCCATCTGGCCATCTCAAATGAGAAAGAGGATTCTGACAAAAGAGAACTTAAGATGAAAGATGCACCCTGACCAGAGGCATCCATAGTACCCAAAAGAGAAACACAGCGGGAAGACTACTGATACTAAAACATCTGTTTGTGAACATATGGAAAATCCAATTATAAGAACAGGGGTGCCTGTGAAGCAGACAGACTAAAATGGTGAATTTAAACTGGTTCTCTGCATAAATTAAGCAAAATTCTTTTCTCTGTTACATCGTCGCACTTTTTAAATTTGCATGCATGTCTGTGTGTTTATCGAGATTTGTTGCCCAGGCTGAAGTACAGTGGTGTGATCTTGGCTCACTGCAACCTCCGCCTCCCAGGTTCAAATGATTCTTGTGCCTCAGCCTCCTGAGTAGCGGATATTCCAGGCACCCGCCACCACGCCCAGCTAAATTTTTGTATTTTTAGTAGAGACAGGGTTTCACCATGTTGGTCAGGCTGGTCTTGAACTCCTGACCTCAAGTGATTGGCCCACCTCAGCCTCCCAAAGTGCTGGGATTACAGGCATGAGCCACCACCCAGCCTAATATAGTCTTGACTTTTTAAAACTCAATCATTTGGTATTGATCAAGCTGATCCCGTGAAGACTGAGGGCATAGGCAGGCAATCCAGAAGCATCTGTGTGGCCAAGCACACTCTAGAGTCAAGCACCTGCTAGGATGAGTCAAAACAGGCACCAGGCACGGTTTATTTACAGAATACATGTAGTTCCCACCCCAAAGGAAATGTATTTCTCCAGGATGAGTTTTTCACTATTTGTATATCAAACATTGTCAGTATTTAATAGACAAGGAATAATTAAAGCAATCAATTTCTTTTTTTGTAAATAATTTTAAGTACACAAATAATTTAGAATAACTATAGAAATCTAGGAAAACATTCTCTATAACGCCACAATCCCCAAATAAATATTATTTAGAACTTGTGTGGGTGGGCGCAGCAGCTCACACCTGTATCCCAGCACTTTGCGGGGCTGAGGTGGGCAGATCACCTGAGGTCAGGAGTTCGAGATCAGCCTGGCCAACATGGCGAAACCTCGTCTCTACTAGAAATACAAAAATTAGCTGGGCAAGGTGGCGCACACCTGTAGTCCCAGCTATTCAGGAGGCTGAGGCAAGATAATCACTTGAACCCAGGAGTTGGAGTTTGCAGTGAGCTGAGATTATGCCACTGAACTGTAGCCTGGGTGACAGAGCAAGACTCCATCTTAAAAAAAAAAAAAATTGTGGGCATTTTTCTGAATATTTTACTCTCTGATTTCTAAATCACACACACATGCACACACACACATACAGAACTGTCTATTCTGAGTTTATCAATCATATAATCATATATAATTTTTTCCTGTCCCCTAGTTACTTCACATTTTTAATGGCTGTATAATATTCCATGTTGTGAATGTCTTCTAATTTACTTTTCACAATGCTTTTAAATCTTGAGACATTATTGATTAAGAATTTTTAATGAGGAATGGAATTACAAGGTATGGTTAGTTTAACTGATTTTCGATATATGATTTAAAGTATTTTGGTTTCTCACTTCTTAAAGGAGGCAGTAAACACCCATATGACATCTGCTAAGACACAAAAAGCTGCTCATTAAAGGTGGAGAACATAATTATTACGACCAGGTGAAATTCCTTCAATTATTTTGTTTTTAACATTGAATTAAATTATAGTTTTTGTTAAGCTTTCAATATTCCTGAGACTCACTGACAGATGGCTGTGTTCTTACATTTTGCTTCCCTCTGCTAGGGTTGTATTTATGTGTATGTGCTCATGTAATTTTCGTGAACTGCATGGAGGAAGTAAGGCATTCAGAATAGAAGGTGTCGGGAACCCGTTTTTATCCACACCAAATGTCCTTGGCTGTTTCCAAAAATTTGCTTTAAGTCAAAGTATTTAAGTCTTCATTTTTAGGGCCCAGTGATTCATTGTGTTTATAATTTTCATTTGAAATCCAATTAAAAATCTTTGAAAAGCTCATTGGTCTTGAGTTGTTCTATCTTTTTAAATCAATGATGGATTATGTTACTTAAGATAGGAGTGAAATTAAACAGCAGCTTTTCTTTAATGTGTGAGGAGTGCAAAATAAAACTATATTTTTTAGAATATTTATGCTTCTACCCATGAAAAAATCTAACTACCCACATATATGTTTCTTGAAAACGATGGTGTATCAATCAGGGTTCAACCAGAAAAGCAGAACCAGTAGAAGACAGGTAGAAAAGTAGGTAGGTAGATAGATGATAGGTATATAGATAGACAGATTAATATTTAGGTTTATTACAAAGAATTGGCTTACATAATGTGGCAAGGTGTGTATGCAAGTCTGAAGTATATAAAACAGGCAGGAAGGGAAAGATCACAGGCAAGTTGCAACTCTGGGAGCTAAAACCTCGAGTCTTTGGGCTCTGTGAAGGCCTCAGCCCTCTTTTAAGGGGTTCATCTGATAAGGTCAGGCCCATCTAGAATACTCTCTTTTGATTCCTTAAAGTCAACAGATTAGATATCAACAGAATCTCTTCACAGCCACATACAGATTCACATTTGATGGAACACCTGAGTTTGATGGAAAACCGTAGTTTAGCACAGCCAAGCTGCCACATTAAAAAAAATCATCACGTGGAAATTAAGTAAATTGAGTTTCAAGTCCTATTTTCAATGCTGATTGAAAGAAGTTTGACAATCTTTTTTTTTGTTTTTCTAGCTGAAAAAATTAATGAAAATGGACAGCACGACTTTTAGCAACTTATTAGTTTTCAGTTTATTGGGTTTGTCTGGTGTGCATGGTTGACAATATACAAATTTTATATACCTTTACTCCATTGTTATTGACTGTTACAGTTTATAAGCTCTTCTTTAAGCTCTTAGCCACCATTTGCATTAATATTAATATTTAATACAATTATGGCTAATATTATCCTCTGAATGCTTTTATATAATAATAGCTTTGCACTTACACAATACTTCTCTTCTGAAGAGCTGTGAGAGCTTTGTCGACATGAGCCAGATTTCTCCCCCTTGGTAAGCTGTTCTCTAGCCACCCCCAGAGGAAGATTAACACTTTAGAACACAACCTCTATGTTTGCTTGTAGCAGAAATGATCAGTGTTCTTATAGCATAAGATACTTTTCTAGTAGATCCTAGGGGGATTATTTCGTGTTTTAGGCACAACACAAAATCTTACATGGAATAAGTTATTCTTTACAGTTGTGAAACTGAACACAGAACAATGCACACTGAGAAAGTCTGTATTTTTGCATGTTGGGTAAGCTGCAGACAAAACAATACACTGCTCAGTTCAATAGCCTTTTCACATTGGTTTTTGGAAAGCAATGGGTGAAGTCTGGTTAGTGTAGCAGTCTTCCTACTACATACACAGGGGAAGGTTTTCATAGCCAGGAAGAGGAATGTTCTCAGTTAAAAAGATGCTCAAAACCCAAATACTTTCTCTTTGGCTGGAAAAATCAGAAGCAGTCTATTGTGTTCAGATGAAGGTCAGATCATAAGCTCCCCCGGAACATATATCATCACTAAGCAATAAGTAAAGCCGATAATCCAGTTCAGACGACAATGGACTGGGGGGTCATGAAACTTCTTGTTGGTTTTGCCCTAAATAGTGCTGTGGTTTAAGCAATATCTCAGCTTCTCTGAGTCTCTGTTTCTTCACGTATATGGTTAGATAATTAGTCTAAATGGCATTTCTTAAGTTCCATTTTGGGCCTAAAACTTTAGAAGAGTTTAGAAAAGAGCAGTAAAAATTACTTAGAGAAGGGATATGGCTATTCCCATCTGATTTTGGAAATGTTTTGTTTTTTTTTCCCCCTTAATGCCAAATATTTTTTATACATTATGGGCTAAAGACATCAAAGATACTACAATAAAAATAGACAAATTCAATAATTATTTCAGAAAATACGGTGATTTTAGCTGGTTTTAAATATTTGAATGTTATTTACAAACTTCGTAAAATTTCTTTTAACTTTCAACCTAAAATTACAAATCTAAGCCAATTCCTCATTTACACTTTTAAAAGTGTAATCCCAAGGCGAATCTTTTAGATTCTCTAGGATGCAAAATCCTTTTAAACATTATCATTATTTAAAATACCAAATAAGGCCGGGCGAGGTGGCTCACACCTGTAATCCTAGCACTTTGGGAGGCCAAGGCGGGCAGATCACTTGAGGTCGGGAGTTCGAGGCTGGCCTGGTCAACATGGCAAAACCTTGTCTCTACTAAAAATACAAAAAATTAGCCAGGTGTGGTGGCTCGTGCCTGTAGTCCCAGCTACTTGAGAGGCTGAGACTCAAGAATTGCTTAAACTCAGGAGGTGGAGGTTGCAGTGAGCTGACATCGCACCACTGCACTCCAGCCTGGGTGACAGAATAAGACTCCATCTCCAAAAAATATATATATCTACAGATTATTATTCTCAACACGAAAGTCTTCATACTATTTATGCCATCAATATACCTAATTTTAAGCCTCCTGGGTTATTTATAGTCACCTATTTATCCTTTACGGAAACAATTTTTTTATCCCAAGTAATTCAGGTTGCATCATTAATGAGCTGAGTTTGTGCATTCAGAAATTTTGGCGGGGGTATGAGATCCGGAGTGGAAATCCAGGGCAGTTTTTCTCAAAACCATGAAAGACAGACTGAATTTCGTTGATTGTCTCTAGGTCAAACTGGGCCCCAAGTCCAAACACTACAAGTGGGTTGGATTGCACTTTGATTTGTCTTCAGCTCCCCTGATTCAGAGCTCTAATTTGAGCCTGCAACTTCCACTTGGGCTATTTTACCCCTCGTTTAGAATCAATGAAGGCAATTGCTGTTTAGTTTCATTCTGATTTTTTTTTCATACTCATCTTACAGCTATTAAGTTATTGAATTGGATTCTGCCCAGCTCTTGTGTCTCCATCTGACTGTCACAACCATGGCTACTTATTCACTCTGATGACATTATGCATTTTTCCTTCAAACATACTATTTCATTTGAGCCCTACCCTTGCTGATGGGGAGGACAAATATATTCATGTTATGACTATTTTTGTCACGATTGTCCCTAACTGTTGAGTTTGAAGGATATCCCTAGAAACTAATATAGTAGCTACTTGATACATAACAGGTCTGTGTAAACTTGCTAAATGAGTATCAGCTCTGAATTGTTATTGTGCAATATCAGAGTTGTGTAGTTTAAAAAATCCTATCATTCATTTCTCCAATTCAGATAAATCTCCAAGAGCCCCTCAACTCATAGAATATTGAATCCTAAAATCACAATTAAGTGGGCACGGACCTTGAGGCAGTGCATTCTGTTGCCCCACTGACCAGCTGAGCAAGCACCCACGACTGTAATTCTCAGACTTGGATTCTTGCAGCCTCCAGCCCACAGGCTGGGCCTCTTCCTTACAGGCGGGCAGCAGCGGACCAGGAGCAGACCAGCACTGCAGCTCCCAGACAATAACAGACAGACGCGGGAGGAATTGCTTCTCCACTTTGCCCCCTCTAAGCACAACTCCCTTCTTCCTGAATCCGGACACCTGACTTCAAAGCCTCCACAACATAGTTCTATCTTCCTCCTCCCCTATGAGTTGAGCCTTTTCCAAGTAGCCTGGATGGGAGAGGCTTCTGAATTCCTGGAAACTTCTGTTTCGTGCCATGCGTAAGGGTGTGTGTGCGCACGCCTGCACGCACACACACACACACAGAGCAAGGAGACACACGTCCTTACTAATTTGTTGCAGTGGAGAGGAAAATGGCAATAGGTTAAAGAAAGAAACAGGAGTTGATAAGTCAACACATTATCTTTCAATACGTATTTTGAATTAGTAATTATAATAATAAAATACTTATTTAGTGATATATACTTTACAAAATGCTTTCATGTATACATATTTAAATGATGGCCATGCTCAGGACTCACCTTAGATGAACTGAATTAGTCTCTAGAGGTGGCCCAGGGCTATTTCTTTTTAGAGTTTTCTAAAGGATTTTAACATGCAAGCAGGAATGAGTAACAGAACTGAAAACACTGCTTTTCTGATTTCCAGTGCCATGCTTTTAACATGGTATCGCAGTAATCACTGGCATGTGGTTAATAAGGACATTAATTCTTGCTGCTCTGTGAGGTAGACGGAAAATGGTTTCTCCAGGCATTTCTGGGAGTCCGCCGCCATTCAGGGAAGGGATTCTCCGAAAGCAGCGCGGCAGCAGGGAGCAGGCGGCGGGGCACAGAGCGCGGGTGCTTCTCTAGGTCCTGCAGATGCAGTTTCTCTTGACTCAGTGCAGATACTGCAGTCAGAAGTGTTCCTAAATGGATGATATCATGAGCTGCAGGGAATTTACAGTCCCTCGGCATAAACCCTACTCACCAGACCCCACAGTGTTTGAAATGTGGCCTGGGTAGCAGGTAAAGGGCTCAACAATCATGCTTTTGTGTAGGGAACTGGCAAGAGTGTGCCCCAGACGTGATGAATCATGTTCTTAGGAGGACAGCAAGATTTGGGGTTTCTTTCTCCAATGGGTTTTCTTTCTTTGTCATCATCAGTCATTATTTACATCACCTTTTTCCCTCTTGCATCTATTTTGTCTGTGGGGACAGACACAGAGAAAAGCTGTGACTTCTTGCTGTGCTCTTGCTGCTCAGTTTACAATGTAGCTTCTTGGGGAGGACTAAGGTGAGCAGGCAGCCTTCTGGAAAGGACAGTCTTCCTACTGAGGGCTCTAGGAGTTTTATTTGGGTGATACTGATTCCCCTCTATCAGTCAGTTGGAAAATATATTTGAAAATGCAGTTGAAGTCGTTTTAAATGCACCTGCTTTATTGGGTGGAGGGTGGAAATCTTATTTACACAAGAGCTACGTCAAATGATTAGGGGAGAAAATCATTAAAATATGTGCGTTAAATTCTTGTCAGCTTTGGTTTTAAAAACGTATGTTTTGTGTAAAATGATAGCGCTTCTGTCACTGAGGATGGAAAAATCTGAAGATTAAGGGAGTTAATAAGCCATTGTTTGTAAAACAAAGATTTGATCAGGAAAGAGAGTGAAACTTGGAAGGAGTTGTCTCAAAAAGAAAAAAGAAAGAAAGAAAAAAAAAACAACAGCAAGTGAAGAAAACGCCTTGATGCAGCAAGAGTGGAGGGTCTTTCCAGACTGGGAGATAAAAGACAGGCTGGTTTCTTATTACTGTAATTGCTTCCTGCCTGTTTGGGTCCCTGGTAGAGAGTGGAAGCCAAGAGATCAGAGAGAAGAGAAAAAACATTCTAGAACGATAAGGAGAGGAACACTGCAAGGTCTACCATTTAATTAGTGCAAGCGGCCTCAATAGCTGAGTGGACCTAGGGTGGCTGATATGGAGGAGAAAACCTTGGCAGATATGAGACCCTAGAAGGCCTACGGTGACAAGGTGGCCCATTGTCCCATGGCTGAAGGTCCTGAGACGCAGTGAGCCCTGGAAGGGATGGAACCTTTAAATCCGACTTCACAACAGGTTAGGAAGTTGCTTTCTAGGAAAGGATAGGGAAAATGGTGATGATTTCATGAAGCTACATGCTAGAGTTATACTCTAGTTATATGCCAAGGCTGAAAAAAGCATTTAAACAATTATAGTCTTTAAATGAATTTTTATGGAGGCTTCTTTTATTTATATCCTATTTATTATATTATGTGCAAAAGATTAGTGAGTAAAGAGCTGTGCTTGTTTGTTTATTTCTCACCAACTAGTTAAAACTTGGTAGTTCAGGTCACTCAAATGAAGCGTCTACCTGTGATCCTCCCGGGAAAGTCTGTTCTTTGGTGAGGACCTGCTAACTCTTCGGAGTTAAAACCATGACTTTAGCTGTAATGTGGCCATTCCAAATGTCCTCTTGCAGGGTTACAAAGCCTTTTATTCACTGAACCAATAATTGAGTGTCCTGTGTGCCAGGCACTTGCAAAGAACTGAAGTTTAAGACATACAGAACATTCTGCCCTTTGGAAGCTCCAGTCTAGGAGAGAAATCTAAACTTGAAGTGCTGTAGAAAGGGTCAACTCCAGATACTATTTTAGAAATAAATGGTTTGTGGTCTGGCCTGAGACAAAGATGGAAGTTATGGGAAGAGACATGGGCTGCTATCCTCACCAAAGTAAATTTAGGTACAGATTTTCAGATTACTTTACAGTTGTATAGGTTTTCAGGAAAAAATCCTCTCAAGCCCATGTGTGTGTAAAGAAGGTGAGTTTTAGAGACACAAAAACTTAGGTTTCAGTCCACGCTCAGGACTAAGACCCACCTGGAGCTGGCAAGTTGTTTACCTTCTGAGCTGCAGACAGAAGTTCACATCTGTTATACAGACACGATGGTATCCAACTCATCTGACATTATGAGGAAGCAATGAGATGATTTGGGTAAAGCAGTTGGCATCTAGAAAGGGATTAATAATTTGTAGCTCTTCTTATTATAATGTCAAGAGTGGAACTCCAGAAATATCTTTTACTTCAGAGCCCGAACATCTCCATCTGGAGACAGAAAGGCTCCCGATGTGTCTTGCTAACTTCAGAGATGTGCTTCCTCCCAGCCTCCCCTGTGCATTGCCATCAGCATGATCCGTCTGAAACCCAGAGCTGAAATGCTTCCCTATTTCAACCCTTCAGTGAGTCTATTGCCTAAAAATGAAGTCCCTCTTTCCTGCTTGATACACAAGGTCACCCAAGTTTGATGGGATCTATTTCCCCCATCTTGTCTCCTACCTCCCTCCTACCTCTTAGGACTTTTTCCTTCACCAACTAAGCAAGGCCGGGACACTGAACACAGCGCAGCCCTCTTCCTCTGTGCTTCATCTTCCCTTGGCATGCCGCTTCACCTTGACTTTCTGTAAACATCTTTTAATACATCAGGCATTTATGGAAAAATTCCCTGGCTGTAACCTTCCATGATAACATGACTGTGCTCTGTACCTACTGCACACAATTGCTTGTAAATTGTTATTGGATAACAATTAGATATTTTCACAATCCCTCTCCCTGACTACATGCATGCTTCTCAGGGTCTCCTATGTAACTCTAATTCCCAGCCCAGTTCCTGGTACCTAGTTGGCATTTGGTATAATTTATTGAAGTAAATGTAACTGTGGTTGCTGTTTTTTTATTCTGACTTGGTTTAACCTATATTTGTAAATTCTTGTTTCCCTTAGGACAAAGCCCTGACAGTTGCTACAGTTTGTTGTTAGCATTGCTGACAATTATAAATCTTGTTTCAGGCACTTTGTCTCCATTATTGCATAACTCGGAATTGATTTACTATGCATCATAATTTGTCTGGTTCCTCTCTGTGTCCTTGCATTGTCTGCAGTGACCTACGCACATCTCTAAAGCAATGTTGTCTTCCTTTCTTCCCCTAGCCCTGGTGAGCCCCTCTGTGCCCTCTGGCACCTTTGGCCATTCGCTTTAATTGTACTTCATCTTCCTTATGACTTGCTCTCTATTGTTTTGAGACCCATGTCTCCAATGTCATCTGGTATCCCTTGATGATATATTCTGGAACCAACTCTGCGTATCTGGAATGTGCGTCTCTTTGTCAGAATAACCTGTGCTCATCACCTATGCTGTCATACTAATAGCACTTGGGGATATTTATAGGTCCTTGTAAATACCACAATGGCTTCTGCTGCATCGCCTGATTGTTTTTCTGATACTAATGTTTGGATGTTGGCTAATTTTCTTAAGCATAATGCTGATAAAATAGGGCTATTATAGAAAAGTCCTCTCCACAGAGATATCTATTGACTCCTTCATCCTGCATGGTTTCTTCAGTCTGCCTTTTTTTTCAGACTTCCTAATCTTTGAATCACTTTTGACCTTGAATTTCCTTGTGAGACATATTTGAAACAAATCATTATTTTCATGATTATCTATGTCAATGTCTTAAATTTAAATCACTGATTCCATTGGATGAGACTTCCAATGAAACAAAAATACCATGGGCATACATTACCATCTCTCACATCTCTAAATCAAAAGGTGGACAGTTATGTTGATCATTGCCTTTGACTTTCCCATTAGTTTGCTGTCATCATTTAAAATACCTGACATATTTTCTGCTCTTTGTCAGTTTAATAGACAGTTCCAGACTTCTCCTGAACACAGTTGTTTTGGTATAATTACTTTCCTTTTACTTGGACAATCCAAATCATTGATTTCTTCAACTGACTTTCTATTTCTCCGTGTGAGGCTTTTTCAAGTCCTTTCTCCCCCTCACCATTATTATTTTATTTACTTTGGAATAAAATAGAATTCCATTATATAACACTCCACAAATTTGGGAGTTGTATTAATTCAATGCATTATAGATGGGATGAATTAGTTTGTTCTCACAGTGCTATAAAGATACTACCTGACACTGGGTAATTTATAAACAAAAGAAGTTTAATTGGCTAACAGTTCCACATGGCTGGGAGGCCTCAGGAAACTTAATCATAGCAGAAGGCAAAGGGGAAGCCAGGCACATCTTACGTGGTACCAGAAGGGAGAGAGAGCGCAGAGGAAACTGCCACTTTTAAACCATCAGCTCTCGTGAGAACTTCCTCACTATCATGAGAACAACATGAGGGAAACTGCCTCCATGATCCAATCACCTCCCACTAGGTCCCTCCCTTGACACGTGGGGATTATAATTCAAGGTGAGATTTGGGTGGGGACACAGAGCCAAACCATATCACGGAAGCATGCCTTTGCTTTGCAACTAAAAGACATACCCAACTCAAGAATCCACTCCAGTCAGAGTAGGTTGAAAGTGAAACCTACTGTACATCATTTCCTTGTCTTCATCACTCAGTACCTGCAGTGAAGCCCTGGCCGTCTACTCATGGCTGTGCCTCTTTCATTAGTCAACATCACTTCCGTAGTCCCCAGCCCTCCACCTCTACTGATCATCAAAAGCATTCTCTATCGCAAATGCCTTTGTGCCATCAATCTCTTCTCCTAGTGTTCTCTCCAGTTTCTTGCATTGTTGCCTGGCTATCTGCTGGAACCACAACTTTCCCAGATGCCCATCAATAGCTGCTGTATATTTTCCTGCACTTCACCTACTTCAGGGACAGAGAATGGCATTGGTTTCTTCCTGGATCCTCATTGCTGCTTCAGAACATAACCCCTCCACTTCTCCTTTTGTAAAAAGAAAATTGAGCCACAAAAACCCTAGTCTTCTGATGCTCAAGACATTTCACACTAATAACCATCTCTGTCTCCATTGCTATCATCTACCTTCTGACCATCAAAATATCATGAATTTTGCACACAACAGTCTTTTTCTTTTCCCCAAGTCATCTCATCAGTGCAGGTGACTTCTAACCCCTGTGGGTAGGTCTATCCCTGCCCTTCCCTCTGTGGACTTCTACTCTGCTTCAGCTTGTCACTCCTACAGTCACGCTGACAAGCTTGTTATGAGTCATAACTAGAAACACTTCCAAAGTCATGATTAGAGCAGTGACTTTCGACCACGAATTTTCTCTATCTCCTGCTAACTTGTGAAACTATTTCCACCATGACAGTTCTTCCGTCTTGCCTAGCCTTCTACCCATATCTATTTTTTTTTCTCTATCAGCCTTCTCCTTTCTTCACTTCCCTCCTCATGGAGCTTGGACTTAATGATTCATCTTTTTATCAAATCTTGTCAATACCCAAAACCCTCTTGCCCCTTGGTTTGTGTGTGGTTTCTTTCCCCCAAACTGGTCTGACAAAAAAATCCACCTTAGAAGGACCCAACTATCATTCTTCTTTGACTGCCCCTAATTAGCTGAGTTCTTCTGGAGGACGCCACATATCAGGAGAGAAAGGATCTACCTTAAATTCATCACTAAACGGCTGGGCGCAGTGGCTCACGCCTGTAATCCCAGCACTTTGGGAGGTCGAGGTGGGCAGATCATGAGGTCAGGAGTTTGAGACCAGCCTGGCCAACATGGCGAAACCCCGTCTCTACTAAAAATACAAAAATTAGCCGGGTGTGGTGGTAGGCTACTGTAGTCCCAGCTACTCAAGAGGCTGAGGCAGGAGAATCGCTTGAACCCAGGAGGCAGAGGTTGCAGTGAGCCAAGACTGCGCCATTGCACTCCAACCTGGGCGACAGAGCGAGACTCCATTTCTAAAAAAAAAAAATTAATCACTACAAGCAATGCTGCTTCAATCCTACTAGAGATTTCTTTAGTTAACTATTACTCCACTCTGCACAAGAATGATTTCAAACACTTTCCAGTTTCCATAAATCTCTGAGCATTTTCCTGGGCACAGTTAGGGACACTTGGTTGATGTCCTCATTTCCCATTTTACAAAAAAAGAGGTAGGCATTGGATAGGAGTTCTGTCATCTTCTGAAAAACACACAAAGAAATCAACTTTCAGTACTGTTTACTCTCTTTGTGCTTCCTCCTTATGTAATTAGGGAAACTCCTCCATTTATTCTCTGGACTCTACCTTCGCCATCCTATTCTTTTTCTCTAGAATGCATTTAATTCCTTTTTCTCCAGAATCATTTAAAATAGCTTCTAAATATATTCCCATTCCACAGAAATCTTTCAAAAAAACTCGAAGCAGAATTCACTGTAGAAGGGGAATAGAACACAGTGCTTAAGAGTACAGACTCTAGAGCCAAATTGCCTGGGGGCAAGTCCCAGCTTGGTTATTCTTCAGCTTTGTGACTTTGGCAAGTCTCTTTTGATCTGAGGACAGGTGATATTTTTCAGGTTTGGGAAATTATTTTTCCATTGTGTTTTTGGAATCTCTTCTCTTTTCTTCCTTTTCCTGGTTTATGACACTCCTCTTATTGGAATATTAGACCTCCTGCATTTGTCTATCCTTCATATTTTCTATTTTTTCTTTCTGTTATTTTATTCCATGTCCTTGAAGATTTCCTAGACTTTACTTCTTTCCCTTTTCATTGATGTATGTTTTTTCAATTTCATTAATCATATATAACACCTCACTTATTTTGTGATTATGATTTTTTCATTACATTCTATTTTATAAATATACCATTTTCTCAAATCTATCAATGAGAAGTTTTCTTTTTCAAAGTCTCTTTATTCTCCAAATGCCTGTTTCTTTCTAGGCTCATTTTTTTTCTTTCTTTTTCCTTGGTCTTGCTTTTTTACCTTGACAAGGCCCTTCTTTGAAATTGGCTCATTTACTGAAGGACAGGGAAGCTGGTGGGGACCATCTCTCTGGAGTGTGAGAGAGCACCACCGGCTGCCTGCCCCTCACCACACACAATCCTTTCCTGCTTCTCTTTTTCCTGGGGTAGACTCATGGAGCCTCTTAAATGTGGGCATAGCCTATTTCCTAGCTGGCTTCTGGTCAGGGTGAATGGGCAGAGTGCCTACTATTAGCTGCAAGCTCCTCCCCCACCATCCAAGAGAAAAGGTGAGAACAAAAAGAGCTTGACCCTGGACTGCCAGCACCCCCACTGTTTTTCCTATTTTATTGTTCCACTGGAAATAAATCCCCAGTTATTATGCACTAAAGACCTTCGGGGAGATGAATGTTCATGGACTTGCTCTGTTGCTGGCCGTCTTGTTTTCTCTCATTCTCTCCTGGACCTGGTTTTCTCTGCTGCCCCACAGCCTCTCGGTGGAGACACACAGGACTGCTGCCCCCTTCCTGAAGCCCCTTCCCAGAGCTGTATGCTCTGGGCTGTGTTCCTTGTCTGTGCTTCACAAGCCTATAGGCTTGCCTTTGCTTTCCCTTTCCCAATAATTCACCGAAAACTCCTATCTGTCAATGACCTCTTTTTTAGAGCTATGGATTTATTTCTTTTTATAAAAGTGTTTGCTATTAGTATAAGAAGTCTGATGGACTTCAAGAGAGTTGAGAAGCAATCCATGCATTCATTTCTACCAATTTAAATTTGAGGCTCTCATAACTAGTTAACAAATTCATGAACGAAGAATTATTTTTTTGGTATAGAATGATCACTAAGCATAAGGCTTGAGACTTTCATCTGTGTCATGTCATCAACTTCTCATAATGACCCTAAGTATCCCCAGTTCACAAGTGAGGAAACTGAGGTTTGGAGAAGTCTATTAATTTGCTTGAGGATGCAGAGCTCATAAATGGCTGAACCAGTATTCGAACCCAGGTCCTCCAATTCTAAGCTGTTTGCTTTATTTATTTCACATCTGAAAACAAAGTAGCTATCCTAGACTTTGAGGAAGGCTGAATATAATGAAGACAGAAATTGTGTATATGATCACCTGTGTGAGATATAGCACCTGGATCTTTTTGTACAATGGGCGAACAAACATCAACAATGAGCTTGTTCTTCGGAATTTACATTAACAGGATAATAACTTGACAGTCAGAAATAAGAGCAGTATTTGTGAGTCCTAAAATTATCTGAGGACAGAATTAGGATCTAAATGGTCATAACAGGCATGACTGGCCAGGTGCAGTGGCTCATGCCTGTAATTCCAGCACTGTGGGAGGCTGAGGGGGGCTGATCGCTTGAGTCCAGAAGTTAGAGACCAACCTGGGCAACATGGCAGAAACCCTGTCTCCACAAAAACACAAAGAATAAGCCGGGGGTGGTGGTGCACACCTGTTGTCCCACCTACTCAGGAGGCTGAGGTGGGAGGATAGCTTGAGCTCAGGAGGTCAAGGTTGCAGCAAACCATGATTGCATCACTGCACTCCAGCCTGGGTGACAGAGCGAGACCCTGTCTGGAAAACAAACAACCAGGTATGACTGGAAAAATTAAATCTAATCGAAGTAATTTCATAGGGACAGGATTATCAGATTTAACAAATTAAGGAACACTTAATTAAATGTGAATTTCAGACAGATAATGATTAATGTTTTGGTATAAATATGTCCCACTAAAAATTGTTTGTCTGAACTTTAAATGTAACTGCTTATTGCACTTAGTCAATGCTACACAGAGGTAAATGCATTCTTTTGCATTCCAGCCTTAAAACTCAATTATGCAACTGTAGAGTCAGAAAGGGATGCCTAGGAGTTCATGTGACAAGGCTTATTTGTTTAGGTTAACCGTAGTATCAGTGTAAGTCTTACAATGTGGAGGGAAAAAGGTAAGTGAGAGCTGAGGTCACGTTAAAACAAATAGAGCCCCTAAGGAAATGTTTCTCAAAATACGGGTTGAGGAATACTTGTTCAAGTACTTGGGCTGTTTTGTAAAACGCAGCTTTCTGGGCTCTAGAAATGTAAATATTTAAGACGAGGGCTCAGAAATGTCCATTTTTAAACAATTTCCCCAAGTAATTCTCCTACAGGTAAAAGTTTTGAGAATTGCTGAAAACAAAAATCGAGGCTGTCTCACTGGGCACTGCTGGGGCCAAGCTACACCCAGTAGGTCGGGCTCAGGTTCCAGTGCTGTTGGAAACACAGGTCCTGAGCGATGAGACCAGGATGGTGGACATCTGCCACGCTGTGACACGCAAAATAACAAAGAGCCCCCCTGCGCTGTTTAGCCTAGAGAATTTTCAAGAAGACATGAGCGCTTTCTTCAAAATACAATTGTGGAAGAATGTTTGAATTTTTTTTTTCATTGTGTCCCCAGAAGTTAGAATTAAAACCGATGAAAACAAATTATGAACAAAGTTGGGTTTAATATAACCCGTATCCTACCTAAAAATAGAATGAACCTCCTTCGGAGATGGTGACTTCTCTATCAATGGGGGGTGTTTCAGAAAGGAAGGGGGAAGTCTTGCCGGATATTCTGCTGCTATGAATCTCTGGGAGGCTGGCTTCAGGTCAATTTTGTGCACCAGTACCAGACACTTCCTAAGGCCTTTGCCTATAAAAATCTCCGTTTCAATATTGAGAACCAGCATGTTTTCAGAGATCAATGAAAATAATTTCAGTGTTGAAATTTTTAAAAACTCAAATGAAATAACCAGGCCTCTGGATTTTGTCTGGCATAGAAAATGCTGAGAGTGACCTGATGGTTTTCAGAATCACGTTGGATACAGTTGAGAAAGAACTTAAGCTCCTCATTTTGAAGATGAAGACAGGAAATGCATTGTCAACAGATGATTCCCCCCCCGGCCCCCCCGCCCCACCCCGCCCCGCCCCAAAAAAAGGCAGGGTTGTTCTTGGGGCAAACTGTGGAATCTCCTTTTGCAGACGAAATCTTTCTGCAATGGCTGAGTCAAGTTCAGCGGAATGGGAGGAGAGTGGGCCGTGGGGAAACGTGTTACTTGTGTGTTACTCTTAGCAATCGTATGATCCTTATTTAACTTAAAAAAAAAATCTTTCCTTTAAAATTACACATGCATAACCCGAATAGCAGTTCCATCACTTCTTTTCAAAATGTGCATTCTGAATTTAATTCTTTTCTAATTTGAAATATTTGAAAGTGCCGACTCTAGTTCGTCTTTCAGTACAAACCAACATGCCATGCAGCAAACTCACATTCCTTATTGAAAGGGGAAAAGCGCTGTGTTTTTTGAGAGGGAAGGGAAACACTTTTAAGTGAAGCACTTACAGTTCATGTCGTTTTCAGTGGGAGATGAAGCTGCTGAGAAATTCAATGGTTGTTTGTTTGTTTGTTGTTTCCACAATACAATGAATTTTAAAAAGTGAGCCCACTCATGACTCAAATTACCCAAGTCTGACCCAAGCGAAGGTGCCCCTGGAGTTCTGGAAAACGCAGGAGGCCTCCGCGGGCTGGGTGCGCCCCGAGCACTGCCATCCCTTTTCTTGTAATTACTTAATAGCCTGTGCCTTTGTCTTTTGCTTTGTTTTCTTAAGGAAATGTTAAAAAAAAAAAAAAAAAAAAACGGTGTACAATAAGAAATGAGACTTGAATGCGAGCGGGCGGGAGGCAGCGCTGAAAGAGGCGGCCGTGGATGCCACGGCGCTGGGTTCAAGTCCCGGTCCAGGGGGTTTGAGGGGACCGGGAGACAGTGGCCGCAGCGGCCATGGGGTCCCCGCAGACCTGGCCCAGAGTGCGGAAGGAGTCGCCTGAGCCGCTGTTTTAATTCGTGAATTCATTGAAAGACGAGAGGGCCCCAGGGACTCCCTGGGAACGCTTGGATTGCGGGGGGGTGGGGGGGGGGGCGGTCAGGGCTTTCCTACCCTCCCCGTTTCCCATCCCTCAGAATGTTCTAGAAATCTCAGCACACAGGAAGATGCAGTGGCCGAGGCCCGTAGAAGGAAGCGGGCGAAGGGCGGAGGAGGACGCGCGGGGCCGGGGCCGGGGCCGGGGCCGGGGCCGGGGCCGGGGCCGGGGCCGGGGTCGGGGACGCGGGGCAGGTTCGTGGCGCAGCCCGGGGAGACCTTGGGCGAGGCCTCCAGGCGGGGACGGGAAAGGGAACGGGAACGGGGACAGGGCGCAGGGCAGAGGGCCGGGACGGAAACGGGGACAGGGCGCAGGGCAGAGCACAGAGCGCAGGGGCGCAGAGAAGGGGACGAAGACGGGGCCGGAGGCGCCTGAGGGGGGCTCCGTGCGGGAATCGGCGGCGCCACCCAGCCCCGCACATCGCCGAGAGAGGCCCGCGTGCTTCTGAGAGCGCCGCCCCTGACGTTTCTGCTGCGCGCTGGGACCGAACCTACAGGAAGCAAAACCCTAGAGGAAGAAGTCGGCGGCTTTTTGGCTCGGAGACAAAATGGAGCCCCGCGGATGCAGCCTGGGCTCCCTCGGGCGCATCCCCAGAAGCTGCGGGTGTCCCCGGAGGACTTGAAGTCCTCCCGTGCGTCTCGATGCCACCAGTTTTTGTTTCTTTGGTGAGGAATCGGTTCACGGTGAAACTTCATTCCTCAGCCGGTGGGGAGCCGAGGCTGGGCCGGGCGGCGAGGGTTGCGCTGGGACGCACTGCCCCCTACTGGCCGCTGCGCCGCGTTCCCAGCTGCTCGAGCGGGTGGTTCAGTGAACTCGGATTAATTTAAATACAGCCGTAGATTTGGCTTTTTTCCCTCCCGGGCGAATCTAAATTTAAAAAAAAAACTAGGGAGAGTACCAAACTTAAAATAATAAACAGACTGAAGGATATTATTTCTTAACCTTTATACAGCCTCCTAAAAGAGTGAAAATTTTATTGTGAGTAAAATCAGAGTTTGGCTCTCTGGTATCCCTTCTGCTTTAATGTGCTTTGAGACTATTCTTATGAGACTAGAAATTCTTTGGTTAATGCATATTTATTAAAGACTAAATCATACTACTTTCCAAAATATTAGGCTCTATCAGCAATCCTTGATATGCAAAGAAACCATCTTAGTCCACCTCCAAGAGCAAAACAAATAATGCAGTGAAATATCTTTAAAGTTCAAACAGAATGTTACCAGACATACTTGAGTTATAGCGTCCAAATTACTAGGTTACATAAATTGCTCACAAGCAACCATCACCTGATCATTTTATGTTTTCTAATAACTTAAATGTCCCTAAATTGTAGAGTAGATTAATGCGTAATCGTCAAAGGAACTGTGCTAAAGTCAAAGTCACTTGCAAAGCCTGGATTGGAATTAATTGTCTCAAAATCCTTAGCCTACTGCTTCAACTACAGAACAATGCTCTGCCTTTATTAGTAAGTAGGAGAAAGAAGTTGTTGTGTCAAACACTTTATTGCAAATCCGAGGTTCAGCAGTGAATTCTAATTAATTTTATTATTAAAAAACCCCAAACTTTAAAACATTTTTTCAAAGGGTGGCAACTGTGGCATGGAAATGGATGGATCATTGTTTATTGAAGGGATGTCTCTGTTAGAGTTAGTTGTGTTTTGCTGAGTATAATTATTTTGGGGTTTGGAGGAACTGAGGTGGCTTTTCCTCCGGTTCTTCAAATTAAATAGCTGGATTGCACACATCTTCGTTGGGTTCTGGTTGAGTAAACTTCAGTGTAGTGGGGTGTCACATCACTTCCTGGATGAACAGTTGGTTGCCGAGAGCAGGTTTATTTAAAGCCAGAAACTCGTTTAAATAAGTCTTTGGTCACGCTGTTGAGGGGGCTGTTAATGCAGTGTGAGCAGCGACCATCCATGCATGGGGAAGTTGATAAAAGAATCTCTGGTTTTCTGACGATGTAGGTCTTAGTGGAGCCTTTTTGGTAAATCTAAGACTTTATGTTCATTTTATTATACACAGTCTTAATTTGAGTCTGAAAAGGGGAGCTCCAGGGCAGACATAAAATTAACTTCTCTTTCAGCGTCCTAACCTTTGGGTTTTAATTTATTCACTTGTCAATCTTATGAATGCCTCATGAACCCCAGCTATTGATTTCCGTGGCCAATGCTATTTTTCCTGTTTATTATAATATATTGTCCCATTGTTGCCGGCCGTTTGCGCTCAGTTAGATTTCCCACACAGCGGACAGGAAACCGTTCCATGGCATCAGACTTCCTTAGATTGATTTTCACAGAGGCAGGGAGGGACCTGCCCACTTCTGGGCCCTTTGTGCTGAGACTACACAGGGGCCCCAGCAACCCGCCTGTGTGGACGCTTCCTTCCAGGCCCCCAGTGCAGACAGCAGTCTCCCCAGGCCCTCCCACTGCAGTCCCACGCAGCCCCTGGGAAAAGCTCCCCTTATCAGCGCTGAATGTTATGTCATTTCTTTTTACTCACGATGTTTATTGTCTTTAGAGCCTGCTCTGTGGGAATGTTCTTTTCAAGGGCGACAATGGGGAACCGGGGAACAACACCGGTGAAATCACACAGCCCTGGAGCGCCAGGCCTTCCAGTTGCTTCATAATTAGAAAACAAAACACTCAGCTACAATACAAATGATGTTTTTACACTCCCTGGCTACTGAATTATTTATTAATAAAAAGCTTTATCACCACTGCGTTACCTAACACCCTAAAAGTAGGTTACAAGAAAAACTGAGAACCCATTCGGGATGAACCGGAAGAATGAAAGGGCTCTTTCTAAAAAGTAGTCCATGTTTATGTTACTATTTTGAGTTGTACTGAACACCCGTAAGCTTTTTGGCAAACGTCAGCATGTGCCCCAGTGAGCTGGGATTTAAGAGACACCTGTCCTACCTATAGCCAACACTCAGTTTGAAATAATTTAAACTCAACAAACTGACTGAGACAGCACATGTGGGTGTTTTATATTTGTAAAAAGTAGGCCGCTACAATTATTGATTTGTTTAGATATGTACCATCAGACTCAAAATTATTTTTTTCTTATTGTAAATTTGTCTTCCTGGGACTAGTTTATTGCAAAATATAATACAAAATGTGCTGGATAACGTTGTTAAAAATGAGGCACCATCCTTTGAAAATGATTATTAATTTACACTCTGAAATCATGTTCCCCCAAGGAGCTCATTATCAATTAGAAAAGCTCCTGCAGTAAATAGTTGACAGATGAAGCCAGTTCCACAACCACAGCTACAAACCCACGGAGGAATCTATACGTAAAAGACGCTTTAGATTTTTGGGGCGGGGCGGGGTGTTCGTTTTCTTTTCTTTTTTTTTTTTTTTTTTTTATTTTCCGGAAGATTTCAGAGGTCATACAGAGAATGATGTAAATTTTAAGGAGACTTTATCCAGGGATATCAAAACAGAGGAATCTACAGAGAAGAAACTCAATTTCTACTGCAGAGCTGTACGTGTCAGTAAGAATCATTTCCACCTGTGGAAATCGATGACCAATTTATAGATCTGAGTGAATGAATGATTTGGATCAATGAAAAACGCAATCTTGTTCATTTGCATCTGCAGTGGGCAGTCCTTTTAGAGTTTGAGCTTCATTAAATCATTTCCATAGTTTAGAATTAATTGAATCAATTAATTAATTAAATCACAACAAGGCTCTCAGATAGAGGAAGTTACAGACATATGCATTTCTATTTTACTAATTTGGAAACAGAAGGCCGCAGGTATTGCATATGCAATTGTATCTTCCCAGCAAGCAGCCTGGATGGGAGGCAGGCTTCAGTTCCACTGTTATCCGTTTTTTGTTTGTGAGTGTGTGTGTGTGTGTGTGTGTGTGTGTGTGTGTGTGGCGGGGAGGGGAACTTATCTTCTAGTGAATACGTATTAGGAATTAAAATGGATGAGCAGATCATTTAATTTGACATGAATAGATATTCGTACATGTCCCAGGTAGGTTCTGCTTCAGGATGAATATGGGGAAATGCGGTGCATCCTGGGAGAAGTTTATTCCCTGTCACCCACTTGATGAAGTGACTGATACTGCAGTGTACAGATTTGATGAGATTATTAATAGAGGCAGGTGGGCCATGTGGAAGGCATGCTACTATGTTAATTATGAATGTCAACATTTATTCTCTAATGGATATTCATGGTTTCATATTTCTCACTTACTTTTTTCTTAGGCCATAGTTTCAATCTTTTATAAACCTTGGTCGATATCAACAGATTATTTGAACTGGATCCAAGGATTTTTGTTCACAACTTTCTTTATACAGTGATTCCAGATGAAAGGCTACGAAAACGTTGTCTTGAATATTTTTGAGAACATGGTTCTTGTTCTCTTGGGAGAGTGCATAGGATAGGGATCTTAGGTGCCTTTCCTGGCTCTCTGATTTTAGAGTCAAAAGTTGAGGCCGTGCGCAGTAGCTCACTCCTGTAATCCCAGCACTTGGGGAGGCCGAGGAGGGTGGATCACAAGGTCAAGAGATCGAGACCATCCTGGCCAACATGGTGAAACCCCGCCCCTACTAAAAATACAAAAATTAGAAGGGCACGGTGGTGTGCACCTGTAGAAGCTGAGGCAGGAGAATCACTTGAACCCGGGAGGTGGAGGTTGCAGTGAGCCAAGATCGTGCCACTGCACTCCAGCCTGGCAACAGAGCGAGACTCCATCTCAAAACAACAACAACAACAACAAAAGTTGATCTGGGGAGGAATGGGGAATTTAAATTTGTGAGCAAAGTAGGCGACTGGGGAGTGGGGCAAGGATTGTATGCGTGAAACTATGTGTTCACCTGGAGGAGTAATCTAGGGATACCCTTAAGCCTCTGGCTTGAGTGACTGGCTTCTTGATAGCACTCATGTCTAAGGTTGGGAAAATATTAAGAGGCAACAGTTTTGGTTGGGGAATTAAGTAGGGTCACAAGTTCAGTTGAGGATGTGTTGAGTTGCGGTGTCGAGTTGCGGTATTGAGTTGTGGTGCTGAGTTGTGATAGTGAGCAGGAGGCACATGCAGATGTCTATGTCCAGAGGGCAGTTGCTCCGTGCACAGGGGACTGGGAAGGGTGATGAATTTCTGGTCTGTAGATGTCATCAGAACCTCGAGAATACCTGAGATCCCACAGCAGAACGTAAAAAAGGATTCCAGGAGGCCAAGGAAGAAACCCACAGTGAACACCCATTTTAAGGGTAAGGAGAGGAGCACCTCAAAATAAAAATAAAAAATAAAAAATAAACAAAAAAAAAAACAAACCATGTAGAGAAAGAATCATTAGAGAACAGTCACAGAAATTGTGTCAGTGAATCCTTGTAAAATCTTTACTCAGGAAGCTGTTTGTCATGTAACAAAGTCTCTTTTACATGAAAACTTCATCTAGTGTTGATACACTTTTGCTAGGGGATTGTAGGGTTGTGAGGTTCAATCCATTGCATTTTTAATAGATTATATATATAAATTGCACAGTGAGAAGCTGCAAACATAGGCATGTTCGTCACCTTACCTATTGCTCTGGGTCTTGAGAATGTTTTGCATGCTTGTTTCTTCATAATATTTTTGCTAAAGTACAGCATAGAGGACACTCACCTCTCAGAGCCCCAAAGAACATAAAAGTGGTTATCACACCATATTGTCCTTATGAGTCATCTCAAAAATGAAGGAGGGAAGCTGGTCACCTCATGAGGCAAGAGCATTTATCAGCCAGGGCCACGGTGCCTGATGGCGGATGAATTCCTTTTCTTAGGTAGCTTTTTCTCTGCCTAAATTATGAAATAGTTCAAGGAAAGGGACATCACTACCAAAGGACAGAGAAAATTATGTTTTCTCTTGACCAGGAAATACATGAGTTTATTTCCGTTGTTTGTTAAAAACAAACAAACAAAACTCTTCTGATTGAGGGCTCTCTTTGGAGCTTTAGAATCTACCTGTCACTGCCTTAAAAAAAACAGGCTAATTAATACATTCGTACTTTGGAAAGGAGAAGGGACTGTCCCTTGATATTTGGCCAAGTAGTGTTCTAAAATACTGAGTGATGAGAGGGGTCCAGGAAGATAAAGGCTGAGCAGTGTTTACAAGCTCCGATGATAAAGACGTATTTGGTGCTGTTTGTCAGAGTCTTTCTGGGGAGTCCTGGGGGCAGAAAGCAGATGGCAGCCTGTAGGAAGAATGCATGGGAGGTGAGGAGGGAGAGGAAGGGGATGGAGAGATCACTTCTAGCACATGGAAGCAGCTTGGCTGAGAAGGGAAAGAAAGCTAGAAAGGTGAAGGCTAGAAAGGGATACGGAGTCAGAGTAATTTTTGTTTCTTTGTTTTACTTTAGGAAATAACTGAGGCTGTTTAGAAGCGGTGGATAATTGTGTGCGAGACAGAAATAAGAGGAGAGGCCTCTGTCTGCTTAGGCTGCTGTCACAAAAATGTCATAGCCTGGGTGGGTCATGAGCCACAGAAATTGATCTCTCACAGTTCTGGAGGCTCTAAGATTAAGATCAAGGTGCCGGCTGACTGTAGGTCTGATGAGGGCTGCTTTCTGGTTCCTAGATGGCTGTCTTCTCCCTGTGTTCTCACCTGGCACAGAGGATGAGGCAGCTCTCTGGCTCTTGGGCTCTCTTTCATAAGGGGTTTTATAATCCTATTTTATAAGGGATTTTATAGTCCCTTTTATGAAGGTGGAATCTTCCTGACCTAATCACCTACCAGAGGCCCCACCTTCAAATACCATCACACTGGGGGTTAGAATTTTAACACGTGAATTTGTGGTGCGGGGGATAGTACAAACATTCAGTCTATACCATTCTACCCCTCCCTCCACCACAAATTAACATCCTTCTCATATGCAGATATATTCATTACATACAAAGAGCCCTCAAAGTCTTAACTTTGTTATAGCACCAACACTGAAGTCTAAAATCCAAAGTCTTATCTAAATATCTTCTCAACCGAATATGGCTGAGACTCAAGGTACAATTCATCCTCAGGTAAATTTCTCTCCAGTTGTGAATCTGTGAAACCACACATGTTATGTGCTTCCGAAATACAACAGTGGGACTGGTGTAGGACAGACATTTCCATTCCAAAAGGGAGAACTAGGAAGAAGGAGGTAACAGGCCCACATGAGTTTAAGCTACAGGCACACTCCCCGAGATCCTAAGGCTGGAGAATAATCCTCTTTGGCTCAATGTTCTGCCCTCCAGGTCCACTGAAGTGGCAATGCCACCCCATGGCATGGTGGAATGGCCCTGGGGCAGCTCACTGCCTGGGTCCTGCCCCTGTGGTTCAGGAAATCTCCATCGCTTGACATCTTGGTGTAGGCAGCACGTCCCCGGGACCCGTGTACTATGAAAGCCAGTGAAGATGGCACCATGAGGGTGCCATCAAGTTTTTGCAACTTGGGCCCTCCAGAAGGGTGGCTGTTGTGGCCCCTCCCTCACTGAGACCTGCTGGAGCCATACCTGGGGTGGCCAAGGACTGCAGCACCAGAGTGTGGGGAGCAGAGCCCATGATGTGAGGAGGCACCGGGTGGGGTGTCAGGGTCCTGTAGGCACCAGAAACTGCTCTCTCCTTCTTTTAAAACTGCTTTCCAAACCACTCTCCCACCCCGCAAGCCCCATACTCTGGACCTATGATGAGAAAGACAGCTCTGAGGATCTGAGGATCTCTGAATCACTTTGCAGGTAATTCTTCCATTGTTTTAGAGAATAGCACCTAATGGCTGATCCATACTAATCTCTTTATCTGAGATTTATTTCTCATATTTTACAGAATGTTCTCATATTTTACATTGAATGTTCTCATGTTTTACAGAATGGATAGGCTGAGAAATTTCCAAATCTTTTAAGTTTTGCTTTTTTTTCTCCTTACCAATTCTGTCTTTACGTCATGTCTCTTTTCTTGCATTTTACTATAAGCGGTCAGGCGGAACTAAGCTGCACCTTTAGCACTTTGCTTAGAAATTACTTGAGCTAAACGTCCCATTTCATTGCTTTCTAGTTCTGCCTTTCACAAAACACTAGAACATGAACAGAATTTGACCGAGATCTTTGCCACTGTATATGAAAGGTCACCTTTCTTCATTGTCCAGTATGTTCCTCATTTCTGTCTGACCTCATCAGAATGAACTCCACCATCCCTATTTCTACCAACATTCCGTTCAGGATTATTTCAGGTGTTCTCTAAGAAGACTGAAGCTTTCTCTACAGCTCTCTTCTTTTCTTTCTGAGCCCTTATCAGAATTGCCATTAATGGTTTGTTCATGGCAATGTAACTTTTTCTAGCATGCACCTCAAAAATCTCCCAGCCTCTGCTCATTACCCAGCTCCAAAGACATTTGGAACATTTTTAGATATTTGTTAGAGCAGCACCCCCACTTCTTAGTACCAATTTCTGTCTTAGTCTGTTTAGGCACGTAACAAAAATACAATAGACTGGGTGGCTTATAAACAATAGAAATTTATTTCTCACATTTCTGGAGGCTGGGAAATCCAAGATCAAGGCAGTGGAAGACTTGGCATCTGGTGAAGGTCTACTTCCTGGTTTGTAGATGGTACGTGGGAGGGGTAAGAGAGCTCTCCAGAGTCTCTGTTAAAGTCACTAATCCCATTCCTAACTACCTAATCACCTACCAATGGGTCCATCTCCAAATACCATCACAATGGAGGTTAGGATTTCAACATATGAATTTGGGGGGCAGGACACAAATATTCAGTCTATAGCAAAAGCATAAAAATATTTGAGCAGGGGAATGAGAGCAAGAATGAGTCTTTTTTCTTATCACTCCTAAGTGATCTTAATAAGCACAAGCACTAACCCCCCATGACTGTCGGATCTCCAGCCCGGGTTTCTCATCTAGACTGATTCACAGCCACCAGGATGTTCCCTCCTAAAACTCTGTCTCCCAAGTCCTCATTAACAACACAAAGAGAGAACACATTAGGTTTGATGAATTCTAGTAGCTTGCATTAGACTCCTGTCTTCTTGACTTCTCCATACCAATTGCCTTCTAATTTCTCACCCCCTTTTGATCTAAAGATTTATGTATGTTGCTGGGGCTGGGCACGGTGGCTCACGCCTGTAATCTCAGCACTTTGGGAAGCTGAGGCAGGTAGATCCTGAGGTCAGGAGTTTGAGACCATCCTGGGCAACAAGGTGAAACCCCGCCTCTACTAAAAATACAAAAATTAGCTGGGTGTGGTGGCGTGCGTCTGTAGTCCCAGCTACTTGGGAGGCTGAGGCAGGAAAATCACTTGAACCTGGGAGGCAGAGGTTGCGGTGAGCTGAGATCATACCACTGCACTCCAGCCTGGGAGACAGAGTGAGACTGTCTCAAAAAAAAAAAAAAAAAAAAAAAAGAGAGATTTATGTATGTTGCTGGGCCAGTTTTCCTAAATCACATTTGATTCTCTTGATTTAAAATTGCTTGGTGGTTCCCCATCAATTATGTTTGGATAAATCTCAACCTCCTTATCTTGGAAGATGAGACGAGGTATATCATACAAGTCTGTCTGTCAATCTGGTTGTGCCCTTTCTTCATACACATTGAATTTGTGGTCATGCCAAACTTCACACTTGCAGCTCATTAAACACATTGTGTGGGCCTTGGAGAGTGTCAGCTGGTGTCACATTTCTCGTCCACCACCTATGCATCTTGTCAACTTGGGCAGGTTACTTAACATTTGTCCAAGTTTTCTTATGTGTAAAGTGAGGTAAACAGCACCTACTTCACTGCGTTGTTGAGAATATTTAATATGGCGATACTTTAAAGTCCTTGGAACAGAGTCTAGGGCAGAATAATTGTTCGAATTTTATCTATCATTATTATCAATGCTATTATTGTGATTACATGTCTTCAGTTCGTTCTCATATTAGCTCTTGTCTCTTGGGCTATTCTCCCACATTTCTTCGAGTTGGTCAAATTCCTGTCTTAGGATTCAGTCAAAATGCGAACTCTTCTATCTCTCCTGAATGTCCTCAAGCCATTAGCCTCATCCACACTGGTTTCCTGCCTTTTCCAGGGGTGTTTTTGTGTGTACAGTTATCCCTGGCAGCCCTTTGGCATCAGTGGAAATTATTTGTTGACATGTCTGTCTCTTCCAGTGTATTATAAAACCTTCAACAGCAAAGGCCATGCTGTGTTCACATTTGTACTTCTAGCACTTCATAAAAATGTTATCTTCTCATTAAACTTAGTAAAATACAAATAATATCCTTCAACAGTTAATGTGTCTGTGTTTCATAAAGTATTACTTAGACAAATCAGATATATGACTATATAAAAGAGAAATAAGATTAACAAAAAGTCCTGGTTCCATGTGGCCTCTATAGCAATATTTTTTGTTTGTTTGTTTGTTCATTTTTTGAGACGGGGTTTTACTCTGTCATCCAGATTGGAGTGCAGTGGCAAGATCTCAGCTCACTGCAACCTCTGCCTCCCAGAACCAAACAATCCTCCCACCTCAGCCTCCCAAGCAGCTTGGATCACAGGCATGTGCCACCATGCCTGGCTAATTTTTGTATTTTTTGTAGAGATGTGGTTTTGCCATGTTGCCCAGGCTGGTCTCGAACTTCTGAGCTCAGGACATCCACCCACCTTGGCCTCCCAAAGTGCTGGGATTACAGGCATGAGCCACCACACCTGGCCAGCAATGTTTAAAGTGGAATTGTAGGCCCACTGATGGAACCACCACAAAGCAAAAACCATAGTGAATCCTAAAAACCAATAGCATGCTTGCCAAGGGAAAAAAAATTAGAATCAGGAGCTCAAGTTTCAGTCTTTACTTAAATTCTGTAAAGTTAAAGTTTCTCATCCGGTATGTGTAGAATATTTAAAACATGAAATTATATTTAGGAGTTTCTGTCACTGTCTAACTTAGATTGACACAGTCAGTCCCTTATACTGACTTATAATAATTTATACTTTGCTTATTTCATTAACCTCTCACCTTTTTAACAAGCTGATCTGACTCTGTCAGTTTTATTCAAATATTCCAACATTACTGACTCATTTTTCTCACTCCCAAATATTCAGATTTTACCTTCGCTATTTGATGTTCAAAAGTGATATTTTGAGCGTGGATGATAATGAACAGCAAACCTTTGAGGAAGATGCCAAGCATAGCTGGATATTTGTGCCTTTAGTGGTATTTTTCACAAAGTTAGAGTTTGTGAGGTCACAAAGCATCCATATTGTGCTTTAAAGTAATGCATAGAAATGTGATAGCTCTCACTTGAGAATAATAAGAAACTATAAGTAGACCAAAGTATAACTTTGAAGACATTAAAACTTTAAAGACATTTACATGAAACTCTCAATGCTTATGTTGTATTTGATGTTACGGTGTGATGCCAGTGAGTTATCTCAGGCTGTGATAAGATCCCCTTTCCAGGAGCGATGCAAACTTCTCCCAATTTGTTGCGAAGGTTCTCATCAGTTTTATCAGAACCCAGAATCTTCCTGTCTCCTTTTCCACCTGGAGACATAGCTAGCCTCCCCTGTGGTCACCAGGCCAACTGTCATCATCTACTGGCTAGATAGCTCTCTGAGACTGGTCCAATGTAGATTTCTAGACAGCTTTCTTTCTATGTCCAACTCTGATCCCATGAAAATTGTGCAACATTTTAAATCAATAGACCCTTATGATTTTTATTTGGTTATCACTAGTGGTACTGTAAGTAATCTTTTTCATTATTATTAATACTATTACTATTATTTTAGGAATTTTCTTTGAAAAAATACAGGTAACTTTAATGAGGTTAAAAAAATCTGAGTTTGTTAGCCTGTCTTTTTGGTTAACTGGGTTATCTCTCAAACTGTTACCAGCAATGTATTAATATTTTCTCTTTCTTTTTTTTTTTTTAATTATACTTTAAGTTTTAGGGTACATGTGCACATTGTGCAGGTTAGTTACATATGTATACATGTGCCATGCTGGTGCGCTGCACCCACTAACTCGTCATCTACAATTAGGTATATCTCCCAATGCTATCCCTCCCCCCTACCCCCACCCCACCACAGTCCCGAGAGTGTGATATTCCCCTTCCTGTGTCCATGTGATCTCATTGTTTAATTCCCACCTATGAGTGAGAATATGCGGTGTTTGGTTTTTTGTTCTTGCGATAGTTTACTGAGAATGATGATTTCCAATTTCATCCATGTCCCTACAAAGGACATGAACTCATCATTTTTTATGGCTATGTAGTATTCCATGGTGTATATGTGCCACATTTTCTTAATCCAGTCTATCATTGTTGGACATTTGGGTTGGTTCCAAGTCTTTGCTATTGTGAGTAATGCCGCAATAAACATAAGTGTGCATGTGTCTTTATAGCAGCATGATTTATAGTCCTTTGGGTATATACCCAATAATGGGATGGCTGGGTCAAATGGTATTTCTAGTTCTAGATCCCTGAGGAATCGCCACACTGACTTCCACAATGGTTGAACTAGTTTACAGTCCCACCAACAGTGTAAAAAGTGTTCCTATTTCTCCACATCCTCTCCAGCACCTGTTGTTTCCTGACTTTTTAATGATTGCCATTCTAACTGGTGTGAGATGGTATCTCATTGTGATTTTGATTTGCATTTCTCTGATGGCCAGTGATGATGAGCATTTTTTCATGTGTTTTTTGGCTGCATAAATGTCTTCTTTTGAGAAGTGTCTGTTCATGTCCTTCGCCCACTTTTTGATGGGGTTGTTTGTTTTTTCCTTGTAAATTTGTTTGAGTTCATTGTAGATTCTGGATATTAGCCCTTTGTCAGATGAATAGGTTGCGAAAATTTTCTCCCATTTTGTAAGTTGCCTGTTCACTCTGATGGTAGTTTCTTTTGCTGTGCAGAAGCTCTTTAGTTTAATTAGATCCCATTTGTCAATTTTGTCTTTTGTTGCCATTGCTTTTGGTGTTTTGGACATGAAGTCCTTGCCGATGCCTGTGTCCTGAATGGTAATGCCTAGGTTTTCTTCTAGGGTTTTTATGGTTTTAGGTCTAATGTTTAAGTCTTTAATCCATCTTAAATTGATTTTTGTATAAGGTATAAGGAAGGGATCCAGTTTCAGCTTTCTACATATGGCTAGCCAGTTTTCCCAGCACCATTTATTAAATAGGGAATCCTTTCCCCATTGCTTGCTTTTCTCAGGTTTGTCAAAGATCAGATAGTTGTAGATATGCGGCGTTATTTCTGAGGGCTCTGTTCTGTTCCATTGATCTATATCTCTGTTTTGGTACCAGTACCATGCTGTTTTGGTTACTGTAGCCTTGTAGTATAGTTTGAAGTTAGGTAGTGTGATGCCTCCAGCTTTGTTCTTTTGGCTTAGGATTGCCTTGGCGATGCGGGCTCTCTTTTGGTTCCATATGAACTTTAAAGTAGCTTTTTCCAATTCTGTGAAGAAAGTCATTGGTAGCTTGATGGGGATGGCATTGAATCTGTAAATTACCTTGGGCAGTATGGCCATTTTCACGATATTGATTCTTCCTAACCATGAGCATGAAATGTTCTTCCATTTGTTTGTATCCTCTTTTATTTCCTTGAGCAGTGGTTTGTAGTTCTCCTTGAAGAGGTCCTTCACATCCCTTGTAAGTTGGATTCCTAGGTATTTTATTCTCTTTGAAGCAATTGTGAATGAGAGTTCACTCATGATTTGGCTCTCTGTTTGTCTGTTGTTGGTGTATAAGAATGCTTGTGATTTTTGTACATTGATTTTGTATCCTGAGACTTTGCTGAAGTTGCTTATCAGCTTAAGGAGATTTTGGGCTGAGACAATGGGGTTTTCTAGATATACAATCATGTCGTCTGCAAACAGGGACAATTTGACTTCCTCTTTTCCTAACTGAATACCCTTTATTTCCTTCTCCTGCCTAATTGCCCTGGCCAGAACTTCCAACACTATGTTGAATAGGAGTGGTGAGAGAGGGCATCCCTGTCTTGTGCCAGTTTTCAAAGGGAACACTTCCAGTTTTTGCCCATTCAGTATGATATTGGCTGTGGGTTTGTCATAGATAGCTCTTATTATTTTGAAATACGTCCCATCAATACATAATTTATTGAGAGGTTTTAGCATGAAGGGTTGTTGAATTTTGTCAAAGGCTTCTTCTGCGTCTATTGAGATAATCATGTGGTTTTTGTCTTTGGCTCTGTTTATATGCTGGATTACATTTATTGATTTGCGTATATTGAACCAGCTTTGCATCCCAGGGATGAAGCCCACTTGATCATGGTGGATAAGCTTTTTGATGTGCTGCTGGATTCATTTTGCCAGAATTTTATTGAGGATTTTTGCATCAATGTTCATCAAGGATATTGGTCTAAAATTCTCTTTTTTGGTTGTGTCTCTGCCAGACTTTGGTATCACAATGATGCTGGCCTCATAAAATGAGTTAGGGAGGATTCCTTCTTTTTCTATTGATTGGAATAGTTTCAGAAGGAATGGTACCAGTTCCTCCTTGTACCTCTGGTAGAATTCGGTTGTGAATCCATCTGGTCCTGGACTCTTTTTGGTTGGTAAACTATTGATTATTGCCACAATTTCAGCTCCTGTTATTGGTCTATTCAGAGATTCAACTTCTTCCTGGTTTAGTCTTGGGAGGGTGTATGTGTCGAGGAATGTATCCATTTCTTCTAGATTTTCTAGTTTATTTGCGTAGAGGTGTTTGTAGTATTCTCTGACAGTAGTTTGTATTTCTGTGGGATCAGTGGTGATATCCCCTTTATCGTTTTTTATTGTGTCTATTTGATTCTTCTCTCTTTTTTTCTTTATTAGTCTTGCTAGCGGTCTATCAATTTTGTTGATCCTTTCAAAAAACCAGCTCCTGGATTCATTAATTTTTTGAAGGGTTTTTTGTGTCACTATTTCCTTCAGTTCTGCTCTGATTTTAGTTATTTCTTGCCTTCTGCTAGCTTTTGAATGTGTTTGCTCTTGCTTTTCTAGTTCTTTTAATTGTGATGTTAGGGTGTCAATTTTGGATCTTTTCTGCTTTCTGTTGTGGGCATTTAGTGCTATAAATTTCCCTCTACACACTGCTTTGAATGCATCCCAGAGATTCTGGTATGTTGTGTCTTTGTTCTCGTTGGTTTCAAAGAACATCTTTATTTCTGCCTTCATTTCGTTATGTATCCAGTAGTCATTCAGAAGCAGGTTGTTCAGTTTCCATGTAGTTGAGTGGTTTTGAGTGAGATTCTTAATCCTGAGTTCTAGTTTGATTTCACTGTGGTCTGAGAGATAGTTTGTTATAATCTCTATTCTTTTACATTTGCTGAGGAGAGCTTTACTTCCAAGTATGTGGTCAATTTTGGAATAGGTGTAGTGTGGTGCTGAAAAAAATGTATATTCTGTTGATTTGGGGTGGAGAGTTCTGTAGATGTCTATTAGGTCCACTTGGTGCAGAGCTGAGTTCAATTCCTGGGTATCCTTGTTGACGTTCTGTCTCGTTGATCTGTCTAATGTTGACAGTGGGGTGTTAAAGTCTCCCATTATTAATTTGTGGGAGTCTAAGTCTCTTTGTAGGTCACTCAGGACTTGCTTTATGAATCTGGGTGCTCCTGTATTGGGTGCATATATATTTAGGATAGTTAGCTCTTCTTGTTGAATTGATCCCTTTACCATTATGTAATGGCCTTCTTTGTCTCTTTTGATGTTTGTTGGTTTAAAGTCTGTTTTATCAGAGACTAGGATTGCAACCCCTGCCTTTTTTTGTTTTCCATTTGCTTGGTAGATCTTCCTCCATCCTTTTATTTTGAGCCTATGTGTGTCTCTGCACGTGAGATGGGTTTCCTGAATACAGCACACTGATGGGTCTTGACTCTTTATCCAATTTGCCAGTCTGTGTCTTTTAATTGGAGCATTTAGTCCATTTACATTTAAAGTTAAAATTGTTATGTGTGAATTTGATCCTGTCATTATGATGTTAGCTGGTGATTTTGCTCGTTAGTTGATGCAGTTTCTTCCTAGTCTCGATGGTCTTTATATTTTGGCATGGTTTTGCGGTGGCTGGTACCGGTTGTTCCTTTCCATGTTTAGCGCTTCCTTCAGGAGCTCTTTTAGGGCAGGCCTGGTGGTGACAAAATCTCTCAGCATTTGCTTCTCTGTAAAGTATTTTATTTCTCCTTCACTTATGAAGCTTAGTTTGGCTGGATATGAAATTCTGGGTTGAAAATTCTTTTCTTTAAGAATTTGAATATTGGCCCCCACTCTCTTCTGACTTGTAGGGTTTCTGCCGAGAGATCCACTGTTAGTCTGATGGGCTTCCCTTTGAGGGTAACCCGACCTTTCTCTCTGGCTGCCCTTAACATTTTTTCCTTCATTTCAACTTTGGTGAATCTGACAATTATGTGTCTTGGAGTTGCTCTTCTCAAGGAGTATCTTTGTGGCGTTCTCTGTATTTCCAGAATCTGAACGTTGGCCTGCCTTGCTAGATTGGGGAAGTTCTCCTGGATAATATCCTGCAGAGTGTTTTCCAACTTGGTTCCATTCTCCCCATCACTTTCAGGTACACCAATCAGACGTAGATTTGGTCTTTTCACATGGTCCCATATTTCTTGGAGGCTTTGCTCATTTTTTTTTATTCTTTTTTCTCTAAACTTCCCTTCTCGCTTCATTTCATTCATTTCATCTTCCATTGCTGATACCCTTTCTTCCAGTTGATCACATCGGCTCCTGAGGCTTCTGCATTCTTCACGTAGTTCTCAAGCCTTGGTTTTCAGCTCCATCAGCTCCTTTAAGCACTTCTCTTTATTGGTTATTCTAGTTATACATTCTTCTAAATTTTTTTCAAAGTTTTCAACTTCTTTGCCTTTGGTTTGAATGTCCTCCCATAGCTCAGAGTAATTTGATCGTCTGAAGCCTTTTTCTCTCAGCTCGTCAAAGTCATTCTCCATCCAGCTTTGTTCCACTGCTAGTGAGGAACTGCGTTCCTTTGGAGGAGGAGAGGTGCTCTGCGTTTTAGAGTTTCCAGTTTTTCTGCTCTGTTTTTTCCCCATCTTTGTGGTTTTATCTACTTTTGGTCTTTGACAATGGTGATGTACAGATGGGTTTTTGGTGTGGATGTCCTTTCTGTTTGTTAGTTTTCCTTCTAACAGACAGGACCCTCAGCTGCAGGTCTGTTGGAATACCCTGCCGTGTGAGGTGTCAGTGTGCCCCTGCTGGGGGGTGCCTCCCAGTTAGGCTGCTCAGGGGTCAGGGGTCAGGGACCCACTTGAAGAGGCAGTCTGCCCGTTCTCAGATCTCCAGCTGCGTGCTGGGAGAACCAGTGCTCTCTTCAAAGCTGTCAGACAGGGACATTTAAGTCTGCAGAGGTTACTGCTGTCTTTTTGTTTGTCTGTGCCCTGCCCTCAGAGGTGGAGCCTACAGAGGCAGGCAGGCCTCCTTGAGCTGTGGTGGGCTCCACCCAGTTCGAGCTTCCCAGCTGCTTTGTTTACCTAAGCAAGCCTGGGCAATGGCGGGCGCCCCTCCCCCAGCCTTGCTGCCGCCTTGCAGTTTGATCTCAGACTGCTGTGCTAGCAATCAGCGAGACTCCGTGGGCGTAGGACCCTCCGAGCCAGGTGCGGGATATAATCTCGTGGTGCACGGTTTTTTAAGCCGGTCCGAAAAGCGCAATATTCGGGTGGGAGTGACCCGATTTTCCAGGTGCGTCTGTCACCCCTTTCTTTGTCTCGGAAAGGGAACTCCCTGACCCCTTGCGCTTCCCAAGTGAGGCAATGCCTTGCCCTGCTTCGGCTCGCGCATGGTGCGCACACCCACTGACCTGCGCCCACTGTCTGGCACTCCCTAGTGAGATGAACCTGGTACCTCAGATGGAAATGCAGAAATCACCCGTCTTCTGCGTCGCTCACGCTGGGAGCTGTAGACTGGAGCTGTTCCTATTCGGCCATCTTGGCTCCTCTCTCCCCATTATTTTCTCTTTCAAATATATGTAAGTATATTTGAGACCCATTTTGAGACAGAATCGAAAATACTCTAACTTTTGAAATGTGGTATCACTGTGTGCCTCTGAGGCCTGGTTCTACCTGAAGACCTGGCTCTGCCTAGGAAAACAGTCATAGTATTAATTGCATAGTTATAACATGAAAATGTCAAGGCTGTGTTAAAACTGAATTTATCCAATGACAGATGCTCTACAATGGTCTGTCAACAGATCTATGCAGTACCTGTGGAAACCACTGCTCATAATAATATTCTTACCACAATGAGATACCATCTTACACCAGTCAGAATGGCTACGATTAAACAGTCAAAAAATAACAGATATTGACGAGGTTGTGGAGAAAAGGGAACACTTATACTCTGTTCGTGGGAGTGTAAATTAGTTCAATCGTTGTGGAAAGCAGTATGGTGATTCCTCAAAAAACTATAAGCAGAACTATCATTTGACCCAGCAATCTCATTACTGGGGATGTACCCAGAGGACTATAAATCATTCTACTGTAAAGACACATGCATGTGAATGTTCATTGCAGCACTGTTCACAATAGCGAAGACATGGAATCTACCTAAATGCCCATCAGTGACAGACTGGATAAAGATAATGTGGTAGATATACACCATGGAATACTGTGAAACCTTAAAAAAGAACAAGATCATGTCTTTTGTTGGAACATGGATGGAAGATGGAACTGGAGGCCATTTTCCTTGGCAAAGTAACGCAGAAACAAAAAAACAAATGTCTCCTGTTCTCACTTATGAGTGGGAGCTGAATGATGAGAACTCAGGAACACAAAGAAGGGAACAACGACATTGGGGCCTACTTGAGGCAGGGAGGGTGGGAGGAGGGAGAGGAGGAGAAAAGGCAACTATGGGATTACTGGGCTTAACACCTGGGTGATGAAACAATCTCTACAACAAACCTCTATGACATGAGTTTACCTATTTAACAAGCCTTCACATGTACCCACAAACCTAAAAGTTAAAAAAACCTTTGTGAACTTGACAGATGAGAAAAATAATATTCTTCATTAGCATAGATAAATCTGTGAAGATAATAACAAGCTTTATTTACTTTCACTCTTTCTCATCCTTCTTTTACCTTGATTACATCCAGTGTGTGTGTGTGTGTGTTCAAAAGCCTTCCTCTAGGGTATCTTCTGATTTTTGCACATGAAGGCAAGACACATTTCTTTATGGAAAAGAGATGTAAATCTATCATTCCTCTCCAGTTACCAGCAACTAATTCCTTCATTCACAACGTATGTCCCACAAATGTGTCTTTGAAATAGGCCTAATCATAAATGTGATTGCTTATGTATTAACTGTTTATGTACATTTAAATATATTAAAATATGAATACCTATAGGTGTGTGTTTTACCTACTAAGATGATCTATCTTTGCTCTCGTCCATCTGTCTGTCTGTCCATGCATTTATTCCTTTCTCTACCTCTGTCTGTCGTCTTTGTTTGCCCACGTCTCAGTACATGTAATAGGAAGACTGTGAGTCTTAACTGTGTCCGCTCTGAAACCACGAGTATATTTTGGCCCTTGTCCTTTCATGCTTTTGCTCTTATACATTTCTTGCAAATGATTTTACTGTGGAGATGTCGCATTTACTCTCCCATCTGGGGTCTCAGTGTAACTTGTTTTACTCTCAGATATTCCAGACACAGAAAGGGAGTACACTACATTTTTTCCCCTATCCTTTCTCCTCCTCCTCATCCTTCTTCTTCTCACATATTATTGGCAAGAGAGGAAAGATTTACTCCAACATTTTTTATATTAAAGCATATATTATCAGCATATCAAATGGTTAACTTGGCCACTCCAGTGTTTGTTGCACATATAGAATTCATATCCAAGGACAGGATCTAGCCATCTAAGGGATCCTGTAGCTCACTGTCTGTGTGAGGGCAATCCACATGTCCACCCTTCTCTGGTCTCCTGTAGAATTTTATGATAGCTTTGCCCTACTCTTTCTCGGTCCATGAGTCTAGGATTCTAACTTCCACAGTTCTAAGATATGTCATTTTCAAAGTTTCTTCTGTGTTTCTTTCACGAAGCCATTGGGATGAGCAAGCATCTAGGACTTGGGCAGCTTTTTAACGGGTGTTTCACATCAGGAGCCTTGCGCCCCAGCGCCTTTGCCTGCCCTGACTGCACAACTGGGTGTCACAGACAATGATCACAGGATATCCTCATGCAATCATCTCCTCTCCGATTCTGCTCAGGGTTAAAATGTAGTTATTTGAAATAATAGACTGAATCAGTTTCTCTCTATAGTGGCTTTTAATCTTTCTGGATCATTGAGAATCTGATACAACTTTTAGTAGAAAATTCTACATGGATAGAGGATTTTACCTTCCATTTAGTGGTTTCAAAGATTCTGATATCCACGGCTCCAAGTTTCTGCTTTAGATATGTTATTTACATAAATGCCTTGTCTCCTATTAGTGGAGAATGAAAAAAACAAAATCTTTCCTCGATTTATCATCTGGATTCATTCAGAATTCTTCACAATGAACTTTATCTTTGTAGCCAAACATTTTAGTTAAGTACTTATATTCCATTTTGTCTTTGATAGAAGCATATTTATCTAAAATAAACAAATGATAGATAAAAATTTTCTTTCTTTTCTGCCTTTTTTGAGGAACATTGGTAGGGTGGAATAGTGGAAATAAATAACTGCAGTCAGAAAAAAAACAAGAAGAAAGCATTCATATGATATAGTAATAATAACATAGAATGTTCGAAATCACAGACAGTAAATAAGATATTGCATCTTATAAAGGAAGTGTTTAACAGCATTATAAAAATGTAACTATACCTTTGAAGGGACAGGTAACAAGTGTGAGAAATGAATGACATCAGATAACGTGTTTTCTCTCTATAGAACTGCAGTGGTGATGGCTCTGAATTCCTGGTATGTATTCATGTAGTACCTGTTCAGAATAGGCCATTGTATCAGAAGAGGAATTGTGGAGAGGCATCATATTAGAAAGCAAAGAGAAATAAATGGTAAAGGATGCATGCGCTGTACAACCAAAGCTATAATTACAACTGAGAAAGCATCAAGGAAGAAAGATAGAATAGCAAAGGCCAATGAGGTAATAGTGACTACTTTCTAGCAAAAGAAGTAAGTTCAATAAATTTTACATTTATAATGGGGCTAATTTGTCTTATGAGCAGTACTTTCTTCATGAGACAGTACTTGATTTAATTCAAAAGAATACCACTGGCTTCAGTCTAGAAGCTCTACTTTTTTCCAAAAGGTTTAGGCTTCTCATATAGAAAAATAAGTTTCTTAAGCGTAATTCACAAAATCGTCTGACCGAAAAGAATTTCCTACTTGTGCCATAAAGCTGAAGAGTGGAAGTTGGAATCCTGTGCTGGCCTTCTTTCGTGTTGTATACCCAGGAAGGCTTGGAAAGGAGGTTTTGTTAAGATGCTATTCTTCAGTTCCATCACAAGATTATTGATTTTCCATTGCACACTGTAAGAAATAGCTCTGCACTTAACTATTTAACCAGCCAAGGCTAAAGCAATTAGGCTCATCTTTTTTTGATGTCCTAGAAGAGATGGTTGGATGAATCTCAGCTGCCCTGTGGTGATGGAAATGTACTTCCAGCTGACTGCAGGTATTTTTGCTGTTGTCTCCCCTTAGTTCGAAATTCTTCAAATAAATAAAGATTGGCCTTGCTGCTTTTTCTTAAAATAAAATTTATCCCCAGACTAGAAGTCATGTTGGTTGGTTGTGTTTCACGCACTCTTCTGATTAATCCATTCCCTTTACTTGATTTTAGCACCTTAAAATATTGCAGATGCAATACCTATTTTTAAAGATTTCTTCCTCAGTACTTTCTAAGTCTGGGGATTATTTGCTTTTAAATATCTTCACTATCTGATTAGTTTCCTTAAAGAATACTCTCCTTTTACCATAATTTTCTTTTCTTCCTGGAAGTGTTTGAGGTAGTGAAGGGTCCTTGAAATATTGTAAGGATATTAGCTACATAAAATGAGAAAATGGGAACTGAGCTATGAATTTAGAAAGAGAATTTGTAATATGTGGATATATGCCAAAAAGAGACCATCAGAGGAAGTCAGGGAATTGCAACGCTAGGTTATATTTTCCCCTTTGCTCTCAGTTTAAGAGAACTTTTCCTCTTATGAAGGAAAATTGCTCCCAATTGCTATTTATTAGCTGTGTAGTAATTTCTTTTCTTGCTTCAGGTCAAAGACTGGGCCATCTATTCACTCAGAAACATGAGGAAGGTGGGGTGGGGGAGAGAGAAAGAAAGGAAAAGAAAATGAATACGTTTTGTTGCTCTAATCATTAGTGGGTAAGGAGCTATTGAAGTTTGCAGAAATTATCTCTTCCACATGTCTTATTACCTTTTGCCAGCAGGACTGGTTGTAACTTTTGATGCAATGGATAGAAATTCATTTCCTTCAGTTGAACAATTTAAAAATAAATGAAGATAAAGATGATGCAGCTATTCATGTCAGCCACGAAAGTAGCCACAGAATAAATGCAAAGTGAACTATGACTAGCCTTGGCTGCCTGAACCAAGTGATGGAGAAAAACCCACGGCATTCTTCCAAACACAGCCCCATCTCTGTCCTCTGCATATACACAGCACAGGAGGAGGGAAGGGCACCAATCTAGCAAAAGATGCGTTATCATTCATGTTCACTCCTTTCTTTAACTTCTTTACCTGAGGAACATGTAATATTAGTTCCGTAATTACCATGGGGTCATGTGTCAAGAATTTTGATAATTCTATCTAATTTTTGTGAATTTAGCAAAAATGTTCTTAATATCAGTAATTTACATATAATTCCACTTAAGGAAGTCTAGCTAAAGAATGAGAAGAGATGAAAGATAGGAAAACGTACATAGTTTAAAGTCCCCTAATCCTTTTAATTAAAATTCCAGGGTTTTGATGACAATGTCTTGGCATTTTTTTGCAATAGACAAATTCATTCACATTCTGTCATAGCGCTGCTTTTCAGGAAACGATGAGGGCAGAGATCAGCACTGACTCAGCTGTTAACTCACCTTTTTCATATTTTTAAAAGGGGTCTATTTTTTGTTTTAATCATTCAAAAACTTTTTCTCATCCTCAAGGAATCTTGAAAACGATTATATTGAATAAGAGTGATTTTTTTCTTCTAAAGTCTCAAGTGGAAATTGGCAGAATGCCCTTTCTCATCAGTTAGGAAAGATGTGACTTAAGTAATTGAATCTGTTTCGTTCTTCATCTGTGGAAGAGTTATCTATATTCTCCCAGGCTCTCTTTTCTTAGGCCATTGTGAAAACGTCTTTACACAGCTTTAATTTCACTTTCATCTTTCCTGCTAATTGACTATCTTGCATCAAGGAATGTTGAAATCCATTCCTGAGGTTTTTTTTGTTTTTGTTTTTGTTTTTGTTTTAAAAAAAGCAAGTTCAGGATGCTGGCCTGTTGATCTTTGAGGAGGCTGAATATCATCCTAGTTGAGCTGATAAATACGTTATGACCAGGGCTACAGAAAGTACCCTCATGTACGTTCTTATCACAAAGAATTTCCTGTTTCCAAGGGCTTCTTTTACCTCCCACATGCGCTACATCTCATCCTAATAAAGTGTCAATCTTGGGAGAAGAAACTTTCCCACATAAATGGTTACTTTCCCAATTTTCTTGTGAAAAATTTTCAAAATTGCTCCCTTGGCTCTGTGAAAACAGGGGCCTTGGTTCCTCTTTCAGTAACGTCCCTTGATTCCAGGAAGCCACTAGAGAGCAGAAATAACAAAATGAAGGCTTGGACTTCTGCAAGAACTGGGGTCCTTATGGGTCACTCGACCTGATGTGAAAAAAGGAGAAGAGTTTAAGGTGAATTTTAGACAGGAGAAATCCCACACTGTGGAGGAGGGCTGGAAAGAAAGCTTAAAAGTGGGCGACTTCTGACAGGAGGAGGCATCGCGTGAAGTGGAAAGTAAGTGAGAGGGGATGAAGTGAAAAATTGAGCATAAAAATAAAGGAATGTGTACTCCAGTTTCTATATCCAGAGAAACTCTCTAAATAGAGTTTAAAGAGGGTTTTATAGTCATACGGGCTGTGCCAACATATGACAAGGTGCTGGAGCAAGGCCTGGGTGGATATCAGAGCTCAATCATCACATGGCTGTTCTCATGACCTGTTAAGATAACAAAGCCATTTTATTTTGCATAGATGAAGCATAGGAAGTATTTGTGTTTTGCAAAGCCACAACCAAAGTATTTCTCTAGAAGCTGTGGAAAATTCAGATAGCAATAGTGCATTGCTATGGCATGTAGAGCCGAGGTCCTTGACCTTTTTGGCACCAGAGACCAGTTTTGTGGAAGACAATTTTTCCATGGAGAAGGGGATGTGGGGATGGTTTGACGATGAAATTGTTCCACCTCAGATCATCAGGCATTACTTAGACTCTCATAAGGAGCACATAGCCTGGATCCCTTGCATGTGTAGTTCACAGTAGAGTTTGTGCTCTTATGAGAATCTAATGCTGCTGCTGATCTGACAGGAGGGAAGCTCAGGCGGTCATGCTTGCTTCCGGCCGCTCACTTCCTGCTATGCAGGTTCCTAACAGACCATGGACCGGTACCAGTCCGTGACCTGGCGGTTGGGGGCCCCTGATCTAGAGAGAATAAAGTAGGGACAAAGTTTGATTTTTACCTCGATCTTCAAGCTATCTTAAAACCTAAAGCAATGTTATGCTTTCCTGAGACACAACCTATTTTGGGAAGTTGATCATCCTTCTTTGTGCTCAGCACTGCCAGGCCTGGCCCACACTCAGTGAAGGACCGGATAAAACTTCCACACACAGACACGTCCCACAACTTCTCCTGCTTCACATTCACCTTTGCCCCTTGGGGTGGTTATTCCTCTGTGACAACTCGATTGGGCCAGGGTGCCCAGATATTTGGGCAACATTATTCTGGATGTTTCTATGAGGGTGTTTTTGAGTGAGACTAACATTTAAGTCAGTGGACTTTGAATCAAGCAGATGGCCCTCCATTATGTGGCCATGCCTGAACCAATCAGTTAAAGATCTGAGTAGTACAAATCCTGACCTTCCCCAAGCAAGAGAGAACTTCCAAGGCTGATGGCCCTTGGGTGTGAATTGCAACATTGGCTCTTCCCTTGGTCTCTATCCTCATGGCCCAGAGTACAGATTTTGGACATGGCAGCCTCCACAATTGCATGAGCCAGTTCCTTCAAATCTCTCTTTTTTTCTTTTTGTTTTTTTCTCTCTCTCTCACACATACACACACAAACGTGCACATGCATGCTGTTAGTTATGTTTCTCTGGAGAAATCTGACTAATGTACTCCTCTGTTGCACCCACAAATGCATCCCACTTAACCACAGGGTTTGGTGAAGCGAGACTCTGTCAGGTCAAAATAGCCCTTAAAAGGAAAAGTGAAAACCTGGAGCTGATCACAAAAATGAAATGTGTCACTGATTAACACTAAAATCAAATCTTGAGATGTTTGTGAGACATGAAACATGTATATGCCGATTGTTAATTTCCAAAGGATATTTAGATAGAAGAGCGTATGTGCTCATTTCTGTTTTATTTTGTCTTAGTTTTTATAAAAAGCAGTTCTACACAAACTATACCATGAGGCGACAATAGAATTTTTAAAAATCAAGGCCAACTTTGAGAGGTGCACAGCCTGGGGGAAAAGTAGCAAACTTCCCTGAATTTTAGACACAGTGTGGCTGCCCTATAGCCCCCTTCTCTTGTTGACTGCAACCCAACCAGAGTAATACTTGCTTGTTTAAACATTGTTCATTGGTTCTCTTTTATGAGGTGGATAAACTCCAGGGTTTCTCCATCATCTGATTTAGAGACCACTCTCTGTTTCCTTCATCCTCTGCAATCCATCCTATTTCAGTCACAGGAAGGCCATGGAACTCCTCCAGAAGGGCCTGTGAGCTCACTCCTCTCTTTTGCAGCCACGCTTCCATTTATCTGGAATGCCTTTCCCTCGGAGCCTCCGCTTACCCGAGTCATCTCAGCTCACACATTCCATGTGCTGCTCCAGATCTCTGGAAGCAATATTAGATTTTTCTCTAATTCTGTATTGCATATTTTTACTAAAATATTTTAACCAAGGTGTATTAGGTACATGCCTATCTCTCCACCAATAGATTCTGAATCCCTTTTCAAGGAGGTGCCCATTCCTTACATATTGTTGCACACCTTGCACACAGCAATACCTGACAATTAGTAATTATTATTATTATTTTCAGAGACAAGGTCTCACTCTGTCACCCTTGCTGGAGTGCAAAGATGTGGTCATGACTCACTGCAGTCTTGAACTCCGTGGCTCAGATGATCCTCCCACTTGCCAAGTAGCTGGGACTACAGGTGTACCACCACACCTAGCGAATTTTTGTATTTTTTGTAGAGAAGAGGCCTTGCTATGGTGCCCAGCCTGGTCTCAAACTCTTGGCCTCAAGCGATTCATCCACCTCAGCCTCCCAAAGTGCTGAGATTACAGGTGTGAGCCATGTTGCCCGGCCCAGTAAGCACTCTTTTTTTTTTTTTTTGAGACAGAGTCTTGCTCTTGTTGCCCAAGCTGGAGTGCAATGGCGTGATCTCGGCTCACCACAACCTCTGCTTCCTGGGTTCAAGCGATTCTCCTGCCTCAGCCTCCCAAATAGCTGGGATTACAGGCATGCACCACCACGCCCAGATAATTTTGTGTTTTTAGTAGAGACAGGATTTCTCCATGTTGGTCAAGCTGGTCTGGAACTCCCACCTCAAGTGATCCACCCGCCTTGGCCCCGCAAGGTGCTGGGATTACAGGCGTGAGCCAAGTTGCCCGGCACAGTAAGCACTCTTTTAAAGGTCAGAAAGGAACGCATGCACAGTTCTGATAGGATTAACTTGATAAGAGAGTATTAATAAGTAGTGCCTTTCGAACTTTCAAATAGCTCCCACTCACATGAGTGAAAAAATGAAGCCTTTTAAGCAGAAATACCAAACAAAATGAAAACAAAAGCATGTGCACAAATAACAGGGTTCCTCGTTATGCATAAAGCCTTTATTCTCATCTCCATTTGGGAGAAAGTTGAAAGCTTTTATACTCACTTCTTTTTTAGAAGGAGTTAGAAATAGAGGAGAGTAAATAATATCATTCAGAATGAGGAAGCACGGGGTCTAATCTATTCTATCTCAAAAAGAAGGAAAGGGCCTCAGAGTGAGAAGGGACAGAAGGAAGCATCACAGAGGGACTGCCCTGGTCATGACCAACATCAAGAATTTGGTAGGAATTTCAAGGAAGCAGGAAGTATTGAGTCTAAAACTCTTTTTAAATCTCTCTTATAGACAAAGTTTGGAGTAACAAGCTTCAGATCCACTTCACTATTTGAATTCCAGGATAGCTATCTTCAGTATCCAAATGCATTTTCAGTGTCTACTTATTCTGAGGCTCAATTAGTCTTAGCTTTAAATTATTATACTAAATAAAATAATTACCCTGTGTTTTGAAAAGTGTTTTTCACAGTTGTCAATATAAAGAGTATTTCATGAAGAATGAAGTTTTAAATGGATTAAGGCGGGAAACTCTCCTCTTAATTGGTGTAAAGGTAAACACTTTCTGCATTAGGAATATGTGCAAAAATGTGGGCCTGTAAATGAGCACTCTCCCCTTATTCTGTGAAGATGCACTTTGTGAGCTTTGGGATCTTGCAGATAGGAAACACAGACCTACACAGAGTTATTGGGGAAACTCTCCACCCATTCTCTAAGTGTTCTCTTTTCTAAAATAAAAATTGGCTAGTACAGTGGTAACCACCTCCTGTATTTAGAAGAATGTTAGTTTTCTTACAAATGAAGTTGGACTACATTGTCTTTGGAAAAGAGATGGGGAGATATTGCTCAAAGGAAACAAAAGTTTAGTTAGGCAGGAGGAATATGTTCCAGAAATCTATTGTACTGCACGGTTACTATAGTTAATAATAATGTATTGCAATCTTGAAAACTGATCAGAAAGTAGATTTTAATTATATATTTATATGTAAAAATATATATTTTTTACCTTTAAAAAATATATAAATATACAGCTCTGCCATCTGATATATTTATTTATATATATTTTATAAAATAAAAATATATTTTATAGTATATGAAATAAATATATAAATAGAATACTTTATAAATATAAATATTTATAAAGTATATATTATATACAAATATATATATTTATAGTATATAAATACATGCATATATATTTATAATATATAAATAAATACACGCATATACATTTATATATGCAATTTTTATTTGTCAGTTATGCAACTTACATATGCAGGAAGTGACATCACTGTGCCTCCTGAGCTTGTCATAGTGGAGAGCTGAGGATGCACTAGTGAGCCAGAGGCTGGGATGATCACTTGAGGTCAGGAGTTCAAGACCATCCTGGCCAACGTGGTGAAACTCCATCTCTACTAAATTAGCAGAGTGTGGTGGCACGTACCTTTAATCCCAGCTAGTTGGGAGTCTGAGGCCAGAGAATCGATTGAATCCGGGAGGCGGAGGTTGCAGTGAGCTGAGATTATGCCACTGCACTCCAGCCTGGGAGACAGAATGAGACTCCATCACAAAAAAAACAAACAAACAAACAAACAAAAAAACAAAAACCGTACAAGTACAACTTCACTAATAATCAAAGAAATACAAAATAAACAGTGGGGAAAAAGCACTTTAAACATTATAAAATAGAGGAATGTACAGTATTGACAATAAGTTCAGGAAACAACAATTGAATACATTGCTGTGTAAATTGATATAGTATTTATAGGCTGTTTTATTAGAGGCAAATTAGAATTATAATGGGATAAATAACGCAAATTGAATGGCAGCATATGTTTCATAGCTATGAAAATATAGAAACAACTTAAATTTTCAATAATAGAGAATTACTTTGGCAAATTACATCTGTAGAAATAAATATTACATAGCAATGAAAAAATGCAATGAGAAGATATTCGTTTATTATTCCAAGTGTAAGAAAACATGTCTTATACTTACTGAGGGAGGTCATTTAGGGAAGAATTTAACAGCATGGATCTGTGCAGTCAGACTGCCTGGATTTTAATCTCTTTTCCATCACTTTCAGTAGACGAAATACTGGCAAGTTACCGAACTGAGTAATAATGCTCTAAGGCTTAGTCTACACAACTGTAAAAGAAAGGCATAATAGCGTCTGCTTCAGAGGGTTGTCATTAGGATTGTGTGATGAAATCCATGTAAAGCACATGAGAGAGCCCCTGAGACGCTAAAATGCTCCAGAAATGCTATAGCTGCTCCTGATCAAAAGGAGAATGACTGTTTCTATCAGGTGTGTGTGCGTGTGTGTGTGTCTGTGTGTGTCTGTGTCTGTGTGTGTGTTTGTGTGTGTGTGCATACATGTGCTTTCTGTCCAGGAGAGATGCATTGGAGATCAGGAGAGTTACCAAACAAGAGCAGGAAAGAAGGAGGAGGCCATTCTTCCCAGACAGAGCCCTGAAGCCCACCCTAGGTCGTCCTGCTGGACAGCTATGTGGCCTTATCCCACACTGAGTAACTCACACTTGGGAAATAATCCACTGAGCACCAGAAACAGATAAACACCGATAAACGCGGTCACACCTTCACTTGGGTGTCTAATCTCAAACATAAACTCTTAATTACTTTCAAACCAACGCCTCCTGCATTCTTCCACATCACAGCGTAAGGTACGTTTATCTTCTGAGGCTGCTCAGGTCACAAAAACCTTGGATTCTTCTTTAGCTTTTCTCTTTCATGCACAATCTGCATTCAATCCATCAGCAAAACCAGAATCTACCTTCAAAATACTGCTACGCCGTGGCTAACTTCAGGGACTCATTTCCTGCCATCTCTTCCAGATACGATTTCAGAGACTTTTCAGGGGGTCTCTGCTTCTGTCTTAGCCCCTGCATCGTGTTCCTAACCCAGCAGCATGAGTCATACCACTCTCATCAAGTGCTTCAGCGTCTTCTTGTTTCATTCAGAGTGAAAGGCAAGACTTCACAGTGTGGGTCTGTCCCCACCTGAGAATGAAGTCCTGCTCAGGATCCCTCTCTTTCATCGGCTGTTTCCAGGTCCCTCTGCCTTGGTACTGTTCCTCTGACTTCCAGACAGCCCCATTGCAGGGCCTTTGCACTTGCTGTGCCTCCTGCCTGTGGCACTCAGCTCCCACCTGCTGCAAGGAAGACTCCTACATCTCACAGGTCTTGGCTCAGTTATGTCTCCTAAATGAGCCCTTTTCTGACGAGCTCCTTTTAAAACTCTGAGCCCTCTTGACTATCAATTTACTTTACCTGCCTTAGTTTAATGATTTGCTCAATATCTTGCTTTTATATTTTCCATATACTATACTCTAAAACAATATAAACCCTAAAAGGGCACACATTTTTATCTTTTAAATTTTATGATTTTATACTAGTGTCTAGATTTTTGCTTGAAGCTAATAAATATTTGCTGAATAGATAAAAAATTCTGTGCAAAAAGAATGTTTCCATGTTCTTTTTTTGAGACGGAGTCTCGTTTTGTCTCCCAGCTGAAGTGCAGTGGCATGATCTCGGCTCACTAAAACCTCCACTTCCTGGGTTCAAGCGATTCTCCTGCTTCAGCCTCCTGAATAGCGTGAGCCACCATGCCTGTCCTCCAAATTTAAAGAGTCATATATTAGGGTTGGGGCAGCTGTAGGCTAGAGGATAAAAGAAATAGAAAACTTCCGTCATTTTAGCGTGGGTGATGTGTTACGAAAGAGGTTCATGTGAATGTTCTGGACATTCCTGACAAAGAACAGAATGTCATGAGGCAGTGGAAGTTGTGCATTTTGGGATGTTGACACTTCCATCCTAGACCAGGCCCATGACCACATACTCCGCTCTCCTCAGCCTCAGGGATAGGCAACACCTTACTGATGGTGTCCTTATAGTAAATGTGCTTGTGCTTCTATTTATATTCAGAATCCATTTCACTCTGCTTGCTTAGTGATTGTATTGCTTTCAGGATCATTTCATAGTATATAAGTTATGGGTGTATCTCAATTACAAATACACAAGCAAATAAACCAACAAATAAAAAGGCAAAAGCACCATGACTATTTCATAGAATCAGAGCTAAAAATAAGCCTCTCTGGCTTCCCAGCTGGGCTGTTGTAATATTAGAGATGATTAGTGCCACTTCATTCATTCACTCATTTTTTTAGATTGTCTTGCTAGCTTCAGTCACCTCCAGGGATCAATACATAGATATCTGATTTACTAATTGTTAGATGTTATGGGAGTCGCATTTTGTCTCAAGTCTAGCCTGTCATGATGGGTGCGAGGTTGCCTGTGATAGCACGCTAAAACGGGCCTTAGAAGGATGTCGTGTTCTTTTCAGTGGCTGTTATATTTCCAGAACCGTTGTCTACATTCTCATGATAGATATTGACTCTTAAGTTCCAAAGGTCTAGAAACACTTAGGAAAGTTTGGTGAGCAATAAACCCTAGAAAAAAGATAAACCATGACCCCCAAGCAAGCTAAACAAACCCCAGAAATGTAATTTAATACTGCTCATTAGTGCATTTTAAAGTAAGGAATATAGTTAGATTCACTTAAGAAATAAGGATTCTTGGACATTCATGAAATACACAATATTCAAAAAGCATATTAGGTAATTCAGTAGATGGTAGGGGAAGCAACCTGGGGAAAGAGAAAAGAAAAGGGTAGAAGGAGATGGAAATTTAGTGAAAGAGCCTCACACGGGAGTCACATTCTCTTGCTATTCTGGACCTCCTCTTTGTTAGTGGACTCCCATCTTCAGCTTCACACGGGAGATGCCATACCCAATCCAGCACGTCCAAACTACAGCTTACTATCTTCTCCATTCAAAAGCACCATGTTTCCCCATGTCTCAATGTCACCTTCTTTGAGACATAAAATCTCAGAGTGATGCTTTTGCACCTTCCTCTGTATTCACTTAATTGTCAAATCTTGTTGAATTTGCTATTAAAATGGCATTGGAAAAAATGTTCAATTTTGCCTCCCCCCTGGTGTCTGTTACAACTGAGCTTCCAACTTCCAGTATCTTTTTCTTTCTGTCCTGGATTCTGCTATCAGAATTTTCTTTCTATGCCAAAAGTTCTCCATCTTTTATGTGCTGTGACACTCAAGATAGATTACTTTCACATCAGCAACATACTCCCATGAACATAGCCAGATGTTGACACATTGTATGTATAAATAAAACAAATATTGCAGTTTTTCAGTGCAATATTCATTAAAATCTTTTAAAATCATGCATGTAATGAAATCAGCCATTTGAAAATATCAAAAAGTGTCATTTAACTGAACAAATAAATAAATATGACAATTTTGATGTTAAACATTTTTATATGAAATATTTCAAATATGCGGCAAGCAATGAAAACAATATACAGGCAGCCTGTACCCACCACTCAGACTAACAGATGTTTACATTTTTCCATATTGGTTTCAAAGTTGCCCTTTATGTTTTAAAAGAAAAAATAGCAATACAGTTATTCCCCTTCTTTTTCTCCCTGGAGGCTTGAATTTTGTACATAATTGCTATACATAAGTTTGTACTTTTTGTATGTTTACATTCATAAGCAATTTATATTGTTTGCTGACAATTTTTCTTAAATTGTATCACACTGCATTTTCCCTTTTGCACCTTGCTTTTTGTAGTCAACATATTTTGATACAGGTTGACATAGTTTATTTAATCCATGGTCTTATGAGATTCTAATAGCCAAATAAGCCAGCTTATCTATACATTGACCTACTGAGGTATAGTAGTTTTCTTTCAGTTCTCACATTCACTGTAACAAATACTGCTGCAACAAACATCCTTGCTCACTTATGGGAGACTTTCTTGTCTAGAGTAGAGGAAGTCTACTTAAGAAAGAAAGACTCTTCACACTGTAGAGTAGATCTCTAGAAGTAAACCTCTAAATTTAGAGTATTTCATCTTCAGGTTTACTAGGTATTACAGACTTGCTTTCCATATGGTTGTATCAAATAGCCAATGGCATTTGATCTTTCCCTCATTGCCAGGCACACTGAATGGTTGATGGTTTTCCAGTCTGATGAGTTGAAATGGAATGTCATCATTGGTTTAATTTGCATCTCTCTGATTCCTACTGATGTTTCAGAAATATATTCATATGTTTATTAGCTATTCTCATCTTCTTTTTTCTTTTCCATGAATAGCAGCATATTCACAATTTTTGACCACTTTTCTTCTATTGGGCTGTTTTTCTTTTTCTTTTTTCATTAATTTGTAACATATTCTATATTCTAATTTCTTTCTTTTTTTTCTTTTTTCTTTTTCTTTTTTTTTTTTTTTGAGATGGAGTCTCGCTCTGTCACCCAGGCTGGAGTGCAGTGGTGCAATCTTGCCTCACTGCAACCTCCAATCCCTGGGTTCAGGCAATTCTCCTGCCTCAGCTACCCAAGTAGCTGGGATTACAAGAGTGCACTACCACTCCAGCTAATTTTTGTATTTTTAGTAGGGACAGGTTTTCACCATGTTGGCCAGACTGGTCTCGAACTTCTGACCTCAAGCGATCCTTCTGCCTTGGCCTCCTAGGATTACAGGTGCAAGCTACCACGCCCGGCCTATATTCTAATTTCTTACAGTAAAATGGGATGTATACATTAAAAATATTTTCTTCTAGTCTACAGTTTGTTTTTTACATTATTTAAGGAGTTGTTTGTTAAGATTAGTTATTTTAAATTTTAATTGAGTCAGTCTTATCAATCTCTAGTACTTAATATTTCTTTACATAAGAAAAGCTGTTCAACACTGATAACATAGATTTTCTCTTAAATGTTTTAAAATTATTTTGTATTAACATTTTTAACTCAAATAAAAATATATGTGTGTCTGTGTGTGTGTGTGTGTGTGTGTGTGTGTGTGTCAGCACACATGGTTCAGATAAAAACCTAATTTTATCATTAGTATTTGTATGGTCTATGATCTCAACATATTTATTGAGTAGCCCATTATACTTTTACTGATTTGTAATGATATATCTATCATATATGTTTCCATATATATGTGGGCCTGGTTTTTGATCAAAAGTATATTTTAACAAAATAATCTTATGTAAAAAAGTGAAATATCTACTTACACTTTATGTGTTTTTCTGTATATATGTTTTACATTTTCTAATAAAAAAGTTTTAATAATTTTGAGCTTTTTTCAGATCTCAATAACATATATCACTTTTTAAAAAGCAGTTACATACTATTAAAGAATAACTACACAAACCTTTACTTTAAAAGATTTATAGTAATTGAACTTACATCATTTCAACTTACCATTCAATATGACTACAGTAAGTCAATTTCACTTTAATAATTACTTGGCCTTTGCTTTTCTTCACCTGAATGAAATATTTCTGGAATTATTCTAACCTAGGTGCAATGCATAAGTGAATGAAAGTTGATTAGGCATTTTAAATCCTTTTTTGCCTTTCTAAATTCTCTATAGTTTAAGATGAGAAGTTTTTATGACTATAATAAATTGATGTTAGTATTAGTACTAGTAGAATGGTGATGGAGGCTTTTAACTAGTGCTGCATTACAGATAGGCAGTCCAAGGGCAATAACAATCACATAAGCAGGGGCTGCTTATAATTTTGCCCCTCTTACACAAAATAACTTGAATGCAAGTGATTGGAAGGTACGTCATTGTAGGTTCATATTTTGGCAGAGATATTTACTGCTTTCAGAATACCCATGAGCTTCCCCACACTTGCCAACCCTCCTGCAGTTACGTGAGGCCACGCAACCACTTCTAGGGAATGAGCCACGAGTGGAAGTGAAATATATTCCCTCTTGAGCCAAGGCATCTGAGAGCTGGTGCCTAACGCTTCTGTGCTGTTTTCCTCCAGTGCAGCAAATGTTAAACCGTGCATTGCAGATGGTACCGTTGTGAGATATAAAAGCCCCAATCTCTGAACTGTTATTGCAAGGATACCATTGAATGCAGTTTAGTTTCATAAGGCAGTGGTCTTGTATATAAAACATCACTTTCTATTTGTTAGCACTGATACTCTAGGGATTGTTTGTACTGATGTTCCACAGCATAACATACCCATCCAACCAATCGATGCAGGTATTACCCAGATTGACACATTTCTTGAGGTGGGGGGGTGGGAGCTCTGTAAAATCACTAAAAGATTAAAAAAGATTTCTGTCATAATACAAAGAAAATTCGGGCCGGACATGGTGGCTCACTCCTGTAAGTTCAGCACTTTGAAAGGCTGAGTTGGGAGGATTGCCTGAGTCTAGGAGTTCAAGATCAGCCTGGGCAACATAGTGAAACCCCCATCTCTACAAAAAATAAATTGGCTGGGTGTGGTGGCGTGCACCTGTAGTCCCAGCTACTCAAGGCTGAGGTGGGAGGACGGCTTGAGCCCAGGAGGTCAAGTCTGCAGTGAGCTGAGATTGAGCTGCTGCACTCCAGCCTGGGCAACAGAGTGAGACCTTGTCAAAAAAAAAAAAAAAAAAAAAAAAAAAAAGAGGAAAATAAAATTAAAAGAAGTGCACTCTGGAGGCCAGGCACAGTGGCTCACTCCTGTAATCCCAGTACTTTCGGAGGCTGAGGCAGGCGGATCACTTGAGTTCAGGAGTTCAAGATCAGCTTGGCCAACATGGTGAAACCCCCTCTCTACTAAAAATACAAAAATTAGCTGGGCGCGGTGGTGGGCACCTGTAATCCCAGGTACTTGGGAGGCCGAGGCAGGAGAATCACTTGAATCCGGGAGGTGGAGGTTGTAATAAGCCAAGATTGCACCACTGCACTCCAGCCTGGGTGGCGAAGACTCCATCTCAAAAACACACAAACAAACAAACAAAGAAGTGCACTCTGGATGGGTTTCTTAGAGCCCTGCTTTTTAAACTGTGGTCCAGCAACATTGGCATCATCTTGATGGGAACTCACTAGAAGATCAGGTCCTGCCCAGACCTATGAATTTGCATTTTAACAGGACACTTGGTGATCTGTGCATGCAGATTTAAGGTGAAGAATCATTGATTTAGATGGTCACCTGTAAACAGTGATGACTCTCAACTTCAGTGTTCAGTTGGCTTCTATGTTTACTCTTTCCTTGCAGTAGTTCTATTTGAATGGCAGAGGCTAACAAGAAAAGGAGAAAGGCAGACTATATACACTAAAATTAAATATTTAACCTAGTGAATCTCCATGAATCCTTTTACTAGTTCAACGAGAGAGAAATGGTGGGAGATTGAAGTTAGCACATGGCACCCTGCATTTTAGGCAGATGACACTTAAGAGAACTTGCAATGTGACTATAAGAGCTATATTCATATTGCAAACAGTGGCCTCTTTTTGCAATCATCAATCATATTATATTTCTGTTATTGAGTTTTATTGGCTTAAATAAAAAGCTTCCTTTTTATTTAATTTATAGGTGAGATGGGATTTTAGAGATGTTTTATAGGTGTAAGCATAAGGAATTTATCCATTGTTTGATGTTTGCACATCAGATTTGTAATAAAAATGATCAGTTTCTTATGGCTGCTGAAACAAATTTCCACCACCTTGGTGTTTTAAAATAAAATAAATGTATTATTTCACAGTTGTGCAGACCCGAAGTCTCAAATTACTATCACTCGGCTGAAATCAAGGCATGAGCAGGGCCACACTCCCTTGGGAGTCTCCCTTGGGAGACTTCGGTAGAATCTGTTCCTTGCCTCTTCTGGCTTGTGGTGGCTGCCAGGGTTCCTTGGCTTGTGGCCACATCCTCAAATCTTTGTCTTCTCCAACTTCACTTGCTTTGTCCTCTTTGTGTGTCAATTTGTCCTTTGCCTTCCTCTGGAAAATCCAGAATAGTCTCACATCTCAAATTTCTCAACTTAATCACATCCCCACACCCCTTCCCCACTTTTTTGCAATTGAAAATAACATGTACAGGTTCCAGAGAACAGGACATGGATATCCTTGAGGGTGGAGATACATTTTTCAGCCAATCATAAAAACTTACAATGAAGATGATTGGCCAATATTGGAGATCCATATAAAGTTTGCTTTGCTTTTTTGATTTGTTTTAGGGTTCATTATCACACAACTTTGAGAAACTCCATTATTATGGTAATAATATTGATTGTACTTTAATTTTATGGCAAAGCATTTAGAAAATTTGGTACTTGTTACATTCTATCACAAAGTCAGTGACACACATCACAGCGTTAGCAATATCTTGGATATTAGTACTTGTTCTAAAAGAAAGATGGAATCACATCATTCCTTCTCAGTTGGCATTTAATGACTTTGACAACCTAGCTCTCAGCTGCCTTTATAATTTTATTTATTTATTTATTTTAACGCACTTCTCCATTTTTTTCTCTTTCTTCTTTATCTCTCCCCTCTTCATGCAGACATTGGTGGCACCATGCAGGTAAAAATAGTGGGGGATAATTGTCAGAAATCTAGCTCAAACCAAAGTTTACCAAACCCATTCAGTTAAGGGGGGTGGTGTGGCAGAGGAGGTGGCCAGCAGAAGCAGAGGTTTGAGATGAGGGAGTCGGAGGTGGTGTTAAATGTCACCATAGACGTGATTAGCACCTTCATTGATGCAAGACAACATTGAAACCCCACTAGGTATTAGGAGTGGCTGATGTACAACTGGTAGCTAATCTTGTAATGATTCTAGAGGAAGAGTTGAATTCTGAGTATGAACATCTCAAAGGGGTCTCAGGGATGGGTCTGTGGCTGGTGCAGAAGCTCACATTGACTTATTTTTGGATTTATTGGTATGTTTGTCTCTTCTACCTGGATAATCATTGAATTCTTACCTGGTAAAATTTGATAAGATAAGGGATCATATTCATTTCGCCTTTGTATCAAGAGTCATGAAGACTAAACTGCTTTGCACACAGTAGGAACTCCTTAAATATGCTGATTGTGAACACCTTCCTTTGGGTCAGATACCATTTCACACATATAATGATTTCCACCAGAGGACTGAAATTTTCCTAGAAAAAGAAGCTTTAAGAAAAAAAAGGTTTAATCTGAAAACTTACTAGAGATTCAGAGCCCAAGCTGGAGATTATAAGATTTTTGGCTAAGTTCGAAGATAACTATTGTAACAACTCGAGAGATGTTTTAGGTCAGTTGTGTGGGTGTCTCTACTGCACCCTGGAAATTCTCCTCATGTGTTGTGTCGTGCTTTATTCTCAGAGATTATTTTTGAGTTAGACTAGGATATGGTCCAATACTAGAAATTTATTATAGAGGAAAAATAATGCTGCCCGAGAATTACATGGACTACATTTTAAATTTAAAATAAATCCAAGCCACTTTGTCTTGGAAGACTAACTCCAGATCTCAGTTATGCGTTTACTTTTGGAAGCTCTTTTCAGGTTGATGGTCTCTTGATATAAAATATTCATGGTCAGTTCAATTTCTTTAGTGACCATTGAGGGTGAAGCTAATCAGTAACACAGTATAAGCAATGTGATGAATATAGTTCCATTTGTGGTTGTGATAATATCCTACCTCACATGCTTCAAACCAGATACAGAATGATTTGATCCTTGAGTTTAACTCTTCTTCATGAATTTGAATCCAAGGGCACTGAATACAAAAGACCACTTAATAAGTCTTCTTCATAGGGTCTATGACAACTGTTCAGTATGTGGGCAGGCTGGGCACTCAAGTGGGGAATAGGAAAGATCCAAGTGGGAAATAGGAAGGACCCAAATTGGAAACAGGAAAGCTTACGAAGAGAGTCGGCTTAGATACTACTTTCCCATGGCTGATGTAATAAAGTACCATAAACCCAATGGATTAAAACAACAGAAATAATTTTCTTATAGTTCTTCAGGCTCGAAGTTTGAATCAAGTGTCAGCAGAGCCAGTTTTTCCAAGGGCTCTGGGAAGAATCCTCTTCCTAGCTTCTGGTGATGGCCATGGATCCTTTGCACTCCTTGGCTTGCAGGTGCATCAGTGCTGTCTCTGCCTCTGTCATTCCCTGGCGTCCTCTCCAAGTCCCTGTGTCTTCACATTGGATCAAGGGCCCTTCCTATGCAGTATGGCTTCATCTCAGTGGAGCTAAATACACCTGCAATGACCCAATTTTCAAATTAGGTCACATTCTGAGGTACAGGGGGTTAGCACTTCAAACATGCCTTTTGGGGGAACACAATTCAACCCCTAAGAGCTTCTGATGAAGAATTTCTTTCCAGAAATACTGCTGTTGATATTTAGAGCAGCATTTTTCACAAGTAATTTTTGATATTTGCAGCTACTGGAAGAGAAGGAAAATTTACTCACAGGTTTTAAAAAACAAAATCACAGAATCTTAGGGCTGGAAGGGAACTCAGAAAACCTGAAGTCTGGTCATTTTCTTTTCTATTTAAAAGGATAAAAATAACACATGCTCATGATAAAAAAAATCCATTTGTATGGAAGAATAGAATTCTCTGCTCATACTCTCTTCTTGTTCTTAGGAAAGTATCAGTGTTGATTTTCATAATGATTTTTCCTGAAATATTCTGTTTATTTAAGAATATATATGCATATATCCATGTACGTATATATGCATGCCCATGTATACACATACAGACATGTGTATACATACATATGTGTGTGTATAAATGGAGTTATACTGAATACATTCTTGTACAATTTATCTTTTTTATTTTCTAAGACTTGCAGTCCAAGTGTATAGCACACCAATTTTCAAAATGAGCTTTGTACAGCCCTGGGCTCTCCACAGGTGTTTCTGGGGCAATGAAAGTTAAACATTTATTTTTGCCAAACAATTTAAATATATACTACCTGAAAGTCCCTTTCTACCACTTTTATTTCTGTATTTATTTAATATTTGGAAATTCTTTAATAGAATTTTATTTAAAATAGGAGTTTTATTGAAGAAAATGGGTGGAGTAGAATATGATAGAAAGACTAGATTAAAAAGGATTCATCAATTTTAATCCCTTTGCTTTATTGCTTAGGAAATATAGGCCCAGAGAGGGTAATTAAAGGGAGCAGTGAGTGCATCCCACCCTGCCCAGAGTCCTCCACCAGCAGAGGGTTCACCTACACTTGCTGGACGTCTGATGCAGATTAGCGAGGACTTCTTACTTCTTGCTGTTTTTTTCTTGAAGTGTGGGCCACTTGGCTTTATGATCTTTGTATCAGAATTTTGGAGAAGAACTAGGGTTGGAATTTTGTTGCAGGGGTGTGGGTAAAAGAGAGAAGGTAGCTTAGGAGATCACACAGAGAGACTGAACAGAGTGGAGGAGGGCTGAAGCCCAGAGGCCCTATGGAGGAGGAGAAAATGGGGAATGAGCAGCTGGGGAGCGCTGGGGAAGACACAGTGGGCACAAGGAATGAAAGCTGACAGGTGAGGAGATTGTTGGCCAGACACTGAGGCCCCTAAGTTGCAGATATGATGGAGAGAAGCGAATCTGGATAGTGAGTTTTAAACTCTGGTGTAGGGGATGAGGAAGGAATGAAAAGGAGATGAAGGTCATCATAGGTGACCGTGTGGGAGACTCCATGTGGATAGTCAAGAATTTCATGATGTTGGTGGCAGTTGGGATGTAGATTGCCATCGACACCTTATGAAGAAGGCTTCCATAACTGGAGGATGCTGACATGCCTAGATCTCGGCACTGCAAGGAGCGATGGTTGCAGTGTTCGGACTAGTCTTCGGTCCTGAGAGTCTCAGGAGGAAACAGATGACTCCCCTGAAGCAACCTGGGCAGGAGTCAAATACTCATGAGGTCCTGGCACCTCGCTGAGGAGATTGCTCTGCTCTTTGGCTGGCAGAACCTACATCATGGCTCTGTGGGCAGTCACTGAGAAACTCAACATGGCTCCTAACGGAGAAGGGGCCAACCTTGATAGAGTCTGTAAGGCTCAGTGTTATCAACAGAGTCCTACTATCTCATGCCCAGGCATTCACTTGGTTCGTTTAGGTCAGTATATTTCAATTAGCCACACCAGTACACTTTCCATTTTCAGCTCACGGTTTTGAATGCATCCTCTTGCTATCCTCTGAGAATGTCAAAGGCTAAGAGTGCTATAAAAGTGGTAGATAGGAAAGATGAGTTGAACTTTTACCCACCAGGCTATTAACCTGTGGCTTTCTTTTATTTTCATTATCTTTAGCATGTGGAAAACTTTCCATTATGTATTATTGTAAAGCGATGTATAGAAGATGTGGCTTTTGATGAAAAGTGCCCCCTTGATAGATAAAAGAGGATGCCAATTACCTAAGCCCAGAGCAATAAGGTGTCAAGGATCACTCCAGTTCCTCCTGTCAGACCACTTTAATTGTGCTCTGTGACGGAGTGATAGGAATATAGATAAGGAGAATACATAGACAATCTGTGTGGACTTAAGGCTTTTGATCATGGATAGCACCTAGCAACTGACTCTGCACCAATGTTAAAAGTAAATAATGCCAGGACCAGAATTGCTTAATAGTTTAATAAATAATCTATTAAACTAAAGAACTTGGAAGGCATTTGTTGTGACCATCCACACTAAAATAGATACGCTTGTTGTGTTTGGGAAGGGAAGAAGGAATGGACTTTAAAATAACCCTGAAGAATTCGAAAAATTACATCACGAAATAGAAGGACAGTCAAAGAGATCATTTTATGGCAATAGATTTATAATGCACTGATTGGTTTTATTTCTTACCTTTGAACCACATTCATGACTGTAAATCTTTTTGATAGTTTTTCAACATTGAAATTTTTTTTTAGAAATGGTCTTAAATAAAAAAAGTCCATGGTAATATAATGACAGAATTGATTTTTTCCCATTTTCTAGGTGCTCCGTATCAATTTTTTACTAAACTATCTCTAGTGAGAAGACAGGTTTCTAAATTCCCAATTCATTGTGAAACCGTGCAAAAGAAATGAAGCACTAGGAAAATGAAAGTTTAAAAAGGTGTACAAAATACAAGTGTTAATTTTTTTATTACTGGATTCGACAGACCTAAAATCACTCTGTCAAACTGTTCTAAATGCTTCCTCTCAATTGCAGTGCCTGTCTACTGCAGGAAGGTAATTGCTTTGGACCGATGTCATAGCACTGAGAAGCAGGTCTATATTTTAAGCTCTCCCAGCAAAGAAGTCTTCAGTCCAGCCTCTGGTGACCACCAAGTGCTTGTCAGGGAAGAACAGCTTGCTTTCCAGCAGTGAGCCCTCTAAGAGCTCATCCTAACAGGGCTCACAATTTGAGGCTAAATTTCTGGTGAATTGGGTGCCAGCTAACTCTACTTCTCCTTAATTTGGTTTGAAGCCTCTTTTATTAAATTACTATTTTTATTGTTTTTGTGGAGATGAGTTCTCCCCATGTTGCCCAGGCTGGTCTTGAACGTTTGGGTTCAAACAATCCATTCATCTCAGCTTCTCAAAGTCCTGGGATTACAGGTATGCGCCATTGTGCCCAGCCTAAAGTTATTATTTTTAAATGTGCAGTAATGAATTTGATAGTTTGCAAATGCTTTTTTATTTCCCACAACCATTTATTGCTGAATAATTTTCAACATGTATTCCAGTTTCAATCCTGGATTTTTCAAAAAAATTTATCCTTGGGAATTCTCTCATTATCCTTACTTTATATATTTCTTGTTGCTCAACAAGAAAAATATCTTTGTGTCTTTCCCTATGCTGCTAAATTCCATTCTGTTTATTATTTCAGCGTTACAGTATGAGTTCTAACACTGTTGCTAAAGGGGATAATTTTGCCTCTTAGATTATTGTCGGTTCATTTAAGAAGTGAATAGTCTATTTCCTATGTGGTAAAATTGAACATATTAAATAGTACTAGATCCCAAACTGACCTCTTAGAAAATCCTATTTTATTAAGCTGTAAAATTGAAATGTAATTATAATAAATTGGTTAATATTTGAGTAAAGCACCACAATTATGTCTGTGCCCATGTAACTTTATTATGACCTCTTGTCCTAGTTCATATTTACTCAGATTATATAGGAATGTTAAAGAGACAATAAACTTTAATAGTGAAGAAATATGTTGCCATTTCTGCCCTCTAATTTGCCAGGCTATCACTATCATAAGAAGAAATTATAAAACTTTGACAGTCTTTTGCTTCCCAACAGTCAGTGAATTATTATCTCGCATGATGAGCTCTCCTCAGTGCTTGCAAATTGATTTTTGGATGATTTGTTCCAGTTTTTTCAGGTAAGGAAAATAAGCCGACGTCTGTAGTTCCAGGGTTATCGTTCATCCCATTTTTAAATCTAGACACTACATTTGACCTCTTCAAGTCCTCTGGTATCTCTCCAGTGTCCTCCATGTGTTCTTAAAAATAATCACTGGTGGCCTTATGAATATTTCAGACAAGGTCTCAAAGTGCTCTGAAGTATGCAGTTGTTAGTCCCCTGAATTTGAACAAATGTTCCCTTTTCCAATGCTTTTTAAAGTAGAAGGAAGCAGGAAACAGCATAATGAAGAGGATAAAGAAAGAAAGTCATTAAATTACAGAAGCCTATCTGCTTCTGAGAGAGGATCACCAACCAGGTTTTCATAGAAAGGGTCCATGACAATGCAATATTTTTTCTTGTAAAAACAGAACATGATACTCAAATAGTGGTTTGTACATTTTTGTGCCCCTCTCCCACAATGAACGTATAATATCAACAGCACTTGTCGCTCTTACCAAGACTTCAACTCCAATTGCAAATCTATACAGCCCATATTCTAGAAGTCCAGGCCCTTGACAAAAGCTGTCTCAGTGCATCAGAACAAAACCTGATACTTACATGCTAGGGAAAGGGACCATGAATTCCCTGAAGGCAGAGACTGTGTTTCCGGGAGAACTCCAGGACATTGATTAAGCACTGAGTGAATGACTGCACAGCTCTGGGGGTCAGCTCTGCTTGGAGATTTGGCCCAGGTGACCATGTGGCCTGACTTCAACCCCTGGGAGGTGCAGGTTCTTTTCATTTATTAGGATGCTCTCTGATGCCCTTCCCAGAAACCACCTCTATGTCCTCACTCACTCATGGGAATGGAATTTAGGACAGAACTCTTTTTAGATTTCCATTAACCTGTCAGGACCAACCTAATGAAGGTCTTAAACTTTCAGGAAGTCCTGTGTATTTACATCTGATTTCAAAGTGGTTTGCCACCACTGCAGCAATAAGAACCAGAGGTACAGGGGCCTCAGATTCAGTTTTATGTGTCTGTGTCTTCTGGTACCTACTCCTGAAAAATGGTTGTTGAACTAGTCATCTGGCAAGCTCAGTTTACGGGTTAATTTGCTTATAAAATATTTAAGGAAAGAATATCTGTTTCCTGAAGCACATAGACATTTACATACATAAATCTGGCTACTTGGAGCAGATAATTTTGCAAGATTCTTCCTAAATCTACAATTCTGGGAGAAATAGAATGCATGTTTTCTAGGCTTTCACAACCATCTGGAGTTGTGGGGGTGAGAAAACTGCATTTACTGAATGAAGCTCTAAGTCTCCCTGCTAAAGCCAACCTTCCTCCCCTATTTACCCAGCCCTTCTCATAGCAAAACGTTGACAGGTAGACCAGAGGTGTAATTCATGAACCTCTTCAGCATTAAATATGAAACATCACTTCTACAATTCTCCAGTTGCCCAAGGGAGTGCATCATTGATAATCCATTTTTATTCAAATCCCAATGAGGAACATTTGACACATGAGATGCATCAATTATACTCAAGGACCTAATGATCAATGAACAGACCAGCCATGTGTTTAGCATGCTTGGACTACTACTCTATCTTAGTACTTTGAGATTAAGATAACGAAGGTTTAGATGCCATTGCCTTCATATATTCACGTCCTTCCATCAGAGGGAATGGGAAGTCCATTTGGTCATACCATGCATTTTCAGTTTCATTTGGCCCATATGAAAAACAGATACATTCACTCTGTCAAGGCTGATGGCCATTCCCGTGTTGAATTCTGGGCATTGCTGGTTAACATACTATATATTCATTTTGTAAAACTTATATGTTTAGAAAGCATATAATTAAAACTCGGTAGCATTTTTATGAAGAGTATAGGTGTAGCAACTGGAGAATGCAGAGACCTTAGTTTTGTGTCACCAATGGAATTTGATCTTCAACTAAAGGAAAAAAAGAAATGGAAGGCTAAAGATAAAGGAGAGACAGGGGTGGGGAGGGGGAGAGAGCAAAAGAGGGAGACTTGTTTCATCTTTTGTCCAATCGCACTGAAAAGAACTGGGCATTTGACATGTCTTGAACTGAAGCTGACCTGGCAGAGCCAATGGTAAGCAACATTTTGTTATATCATTTAATGACCCTCACAGACTTCTATCAAGGTGTCTGAGGCAGTTTTCCTCTTTCATACAAATCTCATGGTAACCTTTGCTCCCTAGTGGTTTAAATCACATTCTTAAGGGATTACACTGTTATGACAAAAGAAGAATGTTTAGATATTGTGCTTTGCAGCTCAAAATTTGTCAGATTAGAAACTGTGTATTTTATAATCTTTAGATCAAAGAAGCTCTCCATCAAAGCTTTGTGTCTACTACAATATTTTCCCAACCTTTGTTGAACCTGAATTGTTTTGGATTATCTCACATTGGGTTCACTGAGTATGCCTAGACTAATGTGAAGGGAAAAGCTTTCTTCCAAACATTTTAAACATTTCACATGTACGGGACTCGGGTGCTAAGCCCCAGGTATTAGTTTACAGAGTGGTGCAGCCTGCCTTGACAGTCTTTTTAACTCCAGTTTTATATGAGATGCTTTTTGAGATTAGTATGACAGATAAAACCCTATAGGGCAACCGTTTATCTTCCATTAAGAACACTGCTCACTTTCTTTAACAGGCTGACCAGAGTGCTCTGTAAAGAGGTCTTTTTATAGAGTTTTTACATCTCGATGGATTAGGTATCATTACCCTGTTGGAAAAAGAACAGTTCAATTTTCTCAGAAGAATGGTTTGTCAGAGTAGAGCAGTTTGTCTTTATCCATCTCTAAATCCAGCAATCATGTTTCCCAAATAGGCACAAAGCAATGATCATTCAAAGTTCAAATTGCCAATTAATTTAGAATCTGCTCCCTGAATTCTTTTCTTATTGTACTGCCATGAATCCACTAAAGCAAGCATGAGGCCAACATAGTGGTATCTATTATAAATATCTTTGTATGTTTAAGGGGAAAAATCAATGCAATCTTTCTATTAATGGAAGACATTTTACAATCATATTTTTTTAATGGATAAAACATTTCTAAGGAAAACCAAACTTAAGATTAAGTGCTTTAAAAACCACTGTTTTGGATAATAAAAATGAGAATGCAAGAATGGTAGCATGTGGAAAATATCCAGTTGCATTTGTTTTTGCATTTAAAATGTTTTCCATTTGTATATCATAAAGTATTTATATAATATGCAATTTTAAAGAGGTGAATGACGTATCATTCTATTCCAGAAAAGCAGAAGACGATTTTTTTCTTCAGTTTGTTTTTCTTCAGAACATCACCTTCATTGTAACATGCTAATATATTTTTCAAGGGAGTCTATGAGGACCAGTTTTGAAAGGATGCTGTCATTTAATTCATTGTTACCTATAGAATCATGTTCATCACAGCAAACCCACAGAAGGGATTTCTTTCTGTTTATAGTATTAGAAATAGTTGATTGTTTTTAGCAATTGCTTTGCTCATAACTTAGGATCACTTCAACTCCCGCAACTGGTCAATTCCTCCCATCTGTCTGTCTGCTAGAACACTTCAGTCTCGCTTTGTGGCCTAGCTGCAGTGAGATGTAGAAGAATGATGGTAAACACTTTGCAATCTAACCACTCTAGATCCAATTTTACTTTGCAATCCTTCATGTTATCTTTACATTATTTTCATCAATGTATTAATTTGCTTTATTTTCTTATATTGTATGCATCGTTGTACATTAACATGCTCTTGGGTCAAGAAAAGTGTGAACAAATAAAAGCATTATCTCTGTGAATAATTATGTGAAGTAAGGAAAAAGTAAAAAATGCCAAGACACATCAACATGACTAGAGCAAGAAGTTGTATTGGTCTAGAGCAGAGTCCAACAGTTTCTCTTATTTCAGCAGGAGCTGTACGTTGACTTATGCCTGACCAAAGCCTGCTAGTAGGTTTGGGGACCTTGCTTGGTGGTCGCCAAAACATCCAGTTGAGCAGCAGGACATCTTCATATAAAAAGGTCTGCACCTTGAGGTCAGGAGTTCGAGACCAGCCTGGCCAACATGGTGAAACCCCGTTTCTACTAAAAATACAAACAATTAGCTGGGCATGGTGGCACACACCTGTAGTCTCAGCTGCTTGGGAGGCTGAGGCACAAGAATTGCTTGAACCCAGGAGGTGGAGGTTGCAGTGAGCTGAGATTGCACCACTGCACTCCAGCCTGGGCTGCAGAGCAAGACTCCATCTCTAAAAGAAAAAAAAAAAAGGTCTGCACTATGACTGTAAAAAGAATTATGGTGTCAGAAAGTATCCCCTCTGCCCCTGAAGATCCAGTGCTTTCCTGAGAGAGGCAGAGTAAATATACAAGAATAAAATTAATTTAACACAACTAACATGTATGTAAATATATGAATAATTGTAGTTTTACAGAGCTACCTCTATATCTGCAGGAAAAGAGCTGCTGAGATGACTGAGGAAACAGGAACTAGAAACTGCTAGGTGAAAGTACTGGAATGTTAGCTTAGGGGTCAGGGAGAATATGAGAAACACTCAGCTGGACACCTGTCATGACTGGATGACATAGCTGGATTTAGCAGGCCTGCATTTTCTCCAAGTTAAGACCATTGGAAGGTTAAACTGATTCAGTTTGGAAAAATGTTTTATTCTATTTTTTAAATTTAAAGAATGGGAGTGATGCCTAAAATTACAGAATAGAGGAAAGAACCATTTACAAATTTAAAAATCAGTGTTTATAAAAACTACTATTTCTTGAAAAATTTTTGTCTTTGTACAGTGCTTCCCATTTTGTAGTCACTAACATCATTCTTATGACTATCTTGAGAAGTATCCATCACTATTTCAATTTATAAATCAATAATCAAATATGGAGGCCTACTTACATATGCTTGCTGTATTAGTGAAGGTTCTCTAGAGAAAGAGAACCAACAGGAGATGTATACATGAAGATATTTATTGTAAGATACTGGCTTACATGGTTATGGAGGCTGAGAAGTCCTACTATCTTCCATTCACCAGCTGGAGACCAGGAAGGCTGGGGTTGTAGTTTGAAGGCCTGAGAGCCAGAGAGCCAAGGGTGTAGGTTTTAGCCCAGGTCTCAGGGCCTAAGAGCCAGGAGCACTGAGGGGAGGAGAAGATGGGTGTTCCAGCTCAAGTGGTCAGGCAGAGTTCATTCATTCAACCTTTCTCCTCCTTTCTGTTCTCTTCAGGCTCTCAGTGAATTGGATTGTGCCACTCACATTTGGCAGGGCCATCTACTTTACTAAAGTCACCAATTTATTATAAATACTAATCTCTTCCAGAAACACACTTACATACATACCCAGAAATAATCTTGAACCAGTCATATGGGTATCCCTTGGCCTAGTCAAGTGGGTACGTAAGATTAACCATCGCAGTCACCCAGCAAATAATGACAAAGACTGGAACCCAGGTCAGTTTGCTTACAAAGACCATTTCTTAAACACTCAATTACATATTCATGGACTGGTTTATGTTGGCTCCCTTGAATAAACTCCACTTTTATGCTGTTTTTTTTCTTTCTAAGCTCTACTGAAATTTGTCCATTCTGGATATTTCACATGAATTAATCGTCTAATATGTGGTATTTTGTGACTGACTTCTTTCACTTTACAACACTAAGAAAAATCTAAGGAAAGTATAGAAATGTCCCAATTAATAGAAAATATCAATAAAGATAAATTGTAATAATAAACAATCAAAGGCTAATTCTGGAGGTTTTCAAAGTTCAGCTGTGGAGTATCATGTATCAGTACCTTATTCCTTTCTATTGTCTAATAATGTGATATTGTAAAGCTATACCTCATCTTACTTATCCATCCATCAATTAATGTACATTTGCATTGTTTCCACTTATTGGCTAATACAAATGATGACGCTATGAATATGTGTAGAAGCTTTTGTGTGGACACAAGTTTTTATTTTTCTTGGGTATATACTTAGGAGTGGAAGTACTTGTTAACAGGATAACTCCATGTTTAACATTTTGATGAATTGCCAAATTGTTTCCACAGTGGCTTCACCACTTTTTATTCCCAGAAGGAATCAGTGAGGGTCCCAATTTATCTGCATCCTCCCCATTGACTGTCTTTTTGGTTGTAGCCAAATATTGCATGTGAAATTGTCACATAGTGCATGTGAAGTGGTATTTCATTGTGGTTTTGATTGCATTTCTATAATGTGGTTTTGATTGCATTTCATTATGGTTTTGATTGTATTTCTATAATGGCTTATGATGTTGAACATCGTTTTATGAGCTTATTGACCATTTACAGATCTTCTTGGAGAAATGTCTGTTCAAATCTATTGGTCATTTTTTGTAGGTATGTATCTTCTTGCACTTATCCTACTGGAATTTACTGAAGTTTTCGATGTATAGATTAATATTCATTGAATTTGGGAAATCACAAGTCATTATTTCTGTGACTATTAATTCTGTTTCTTTCTGTCTTTCTTTGGTTCTTCCATTATACATATGTCGTGGTGCTTAATCATGGTCCACATTTCTTGGAGGCTCTGTTCTTCATTTTTCTTCTCTGTTCTTTAGATTATGTAATCTTTACCAATAGATCTTCAATTTTGATGATTCTTCTGCTGGCTCAAATTAGCTATGAAATCCTCTAGTACATTTTTTTATTTTGGTTATTCGTTTTTCACTTCCAGAATTGGCCTTTGGTTATTTAATTACAACTTCTTTTTATTGATATTTTCTATTAATTGAGAAATTTTTTGTGATACTTTCCTTTTTTTTATTTTGGAAAACCAGGTAGTATAAATTTTTCTTCAACAATTTTTAAGTGTACAGTACAGTATTATTAATTATGTGTGTATTGTTACACAATAGATCTCCAGAACTTTTTTATCTCGCATGACTGAAACTTTATATCCATTGGAAAATCCCCATTTCCCTTTTTCCCAGCCTCCAGGAAACCAGCACATTCTACTTTCTATTTGTATGAGTTTGATTAGTTTAAATGTTTCATATAAGTGGAATGAGACAGTACTAGTCCTTTTGTGTTTTGTGATTGGCTTTTTTTACTTACCATAATGTCCTCAAGGTTAATCTGTGTGGTAGTATATGGCAAGATTTCCTTCTTTTTTAAGGTTGCATGATATTCCATTGTGTATATATCTATCTATCTATCTATCTATCTATCTATCTATCTATCTATATATATATATATCTCACCTTTTCTTTATTTATTTATTGATGGACATTTAAGTTGATCGCATATTTGGCTATTGTCAATAGCGCTGCAATAAACATGGGAGTGCACTTATCCCTTCAAGAAGATCCTGTTTTCAATACTTTTGGATATATACTCAGAAGTAGAATTACTGGATTATAAGGTAGATTTATTTATAATTTTTTGAGGAATCTTCATGTTGTTTTCCACAGCGGCCGTACCATCTTAAAATCCAGCAGTGTCCAGTTTCTCTACATCTTTGCTAATACTTCTTATTTACTTAATGTTTTTTATTGTAGTCCTCCTAACTGGAGTGAGGTGATATCTCATGAAAGTTTTGACTAGCATTTTTCTGATGATTAGTATAAGCTAACCCCATTTCACATACTTGCTGACCATTGATGTGTCTTCTTTTTAGACATGTCTATTCAGTTTATTTGCCCATTTTTAAATTGGATTATTTGTTTTCCTGATCATTAAGTGGTATGAGTCTCATATATTTTGCATATTAACCCCTTATTTGATATATAATTTGCAAATATTTTCTCCCATTCTTTAGATTGACTTTTCTTTGTGCTGTTGATTTTTCCCTCAGCTGTGCAGAAGCATTTTAGTTTGATATAGACCCATTTGTCTATTTTTGTTTGTGTTGCCTGTGTTTTGGTGTCTTTTTCAAAGAAACCATTGCCCAAAACAGTGTCGAAGCTTTTCTGCATTCTAAGTAAAGCTTCTAACCTACACGTAAGGGCTGGATGATATCCCTTGTATACACCCCACTGGAGTGGAGCTTCCATCATGGTGAGCAGGAGATTATGGAGCAAATGGGTCAAATACCACAAACTCTAGGTATTCTTATTGAGATTTAGTAGTATAGTCTTGAATAAATGTTTCTCCATTTGCTGCAGTTCTTTAAAATACTTTTCAGAGACTGATTTAAATGGTTATATGTGTGTGGGTTTATTTATTTATTTATTTTTATTTTTATTTTTTTTTGAGACAGAGTCTCGCTGTGTCGCTCAGGCTGGAGTACAGTGGCACGATCTTGGCTCACTGCAATCTCCACCTCCCGGGTTCACGCCATTCTCCTGCCTCAGCCTCCTGAGTAGCTGGGACTACAGGCGCCTGCCACCACGCCCACCTAATTTTTTGTGTTTTTAGTAGAGATGGGGTTTCACCGTGTTAGCCAGGATGGTCTCGATCTTCTGACCTTGTGATCTGCCCGCCTCAGTCTCCCAAAGCTCTGGGATTACAGGCTTGAGCCACTGCGCCCAGCCTGTGGGTTTATTTTTAAAGTGATTTTTGCCAGTTATGGTTGTTTCACTGGGAAAAGTGTTTATTGAGCTCTTCACGCTGCCCTTCCAGAAGTGTTTCTTCTGATTTTTGTTTGTTTTTAGCTAACTTTACCGGTTACTCCTTTAGCTTGATGTCAGTTGTAACTGCTACTGGGTCTTTTTCTTGGATTCCTGATTTCCTTGATCAGCTGATTTTCCATTTCAATCACAGGTACTTATTATTTTCCTTTATTATTCAGCGTTGCGTTTATCCACATTCTATTTCCTTGTGGTTTTACAGAGTCACATTTCAAATTCATATGGTAATTTTTTACTTTATATTTCATACAGTAAATGTTAGGGATTCTACCTAATGTAGTATGTAAGGAATCATAAGAAATAACCCTTTGCAATAGTCAGCATAATATTGCATTAGCTTCAAAATATTTGTTAACCCTTGATTGTCAGATTCTCCATGGCTTCTTGTAGATCATTGATATGTAAGCTGAATATCATGGTTACAAAAGCATCCTTATGGTACACTCTAAACCGACACTGAACTATTAACTGGCATCTTTGGAAGTGGACACGTAGGTAAATGCACACTACATTTTCATAGCCCATGGAGACCATACCACAAATTCTCAACTAAGAAATCTGGTGGCCACCATGTTACAGAGGACAGAATACAAAGCCTTGTCAAAGTCCAGACTTTTTACTTTTTCCCATTTTGCTGGCACAATCTGCCACTCTGTCAGAGAAAAGAAAGTAGCAACTTACATCACTTGCTGTTTTTACAAAGTCATTTGAATGTTCCATGGTGGGGGAGCTCTTGTAGTGCTTACAGACAAACAACCTCTGCAGCTATGTCCTTACATATATGTTCTAAAGGTTTGCTGCCTTGATTAGAGGCAAGAGAACTGCAGGAAGGTGATAGAACGCCTACTAACCCATGTCTATGGCTACAGTTATCCCCTATTTCTCTTTCTACGTGTGTCTAGAATATTGTAAGTATTCAAAATATTTGTGAAATGAATTTATAGACTCTTACATCAATTTTTAAAATACCTTGCTCTTACTTGTATTAAGATACCTACTAAATTTACTTGTATCAATTTAGTCATGTGTCAGCATCATGTTTATGATTAAGGATTCCCTAAATTACATATACCAACCTTATAATTTTTCTTTTTAATTTTTATCCTTTTTACCTTCTCTAGCTTAGAGATTCCATCGCTGTCTGGGACTTTTACAAATTTCCTACACATACACACACACACACACACACACACACACACCTCTACTCTTCCCTTTTTTTTCATGATAATGGTGGGTATGTGTATTGTCTAGAAAGACCATCAGGAAGGTACCCCTCAGGGGTCTTCTCTTTTGCACCTCCAAATGGTACATCCTTAGCTTTGATTTTGGAGGCCAGACCAGGACTGTGAAACAATGAACTTTAGCTTCATGAGGGGGTGAAGGATGAATAAGTATTCTGCAGACAGTCAAAAAGTTCTTAGAAGGAATTGGAATTTGCATTTGTAGCAAAATTGCTAATGACCAGTTGACTTGTGCTGCTAGAGCATTGGCCAGAAATGTAAGTTTGGAACTCAGTTGTAAAAAGAATGCCATTTTTGGAGTTTTGTCTTTAACCTGTAAGATGGCAATAAGGAAAATCATTTTTGTAGACATGGGTAATCTTATCTTGGCTGTATTTTATAGAGATAACACTAATATCAAAAAGAGGTAAATAGCAGATCAGAGGAAGAAAAAATTGAGGACAAGAAGATAAAATTAGGAGTTTGCTACTGTATTGACCTAGGACAAATAATATGGGTCCCAGAACTTAAGCAGTGCCAGGTGGAAATAGGTGCAAATTATCCAACTTAAAGTTCTACAGCATCTGGAAGACTTAGATGTACCTTTTTGGGTTTCTGTGCAGACAGAAGCATTGAGGATGGCTCTGAGATTTCTAGTTTGGGTGACCAAGTTTGTGGTAACTTGGACACGAGCCTCTGGAATACGAGTAATTTTTGTGGGAAAGGCAATAAGTTCATTTGACATGGAGTTTGAGATGTCTGTATCACATCTCTGAAAATAAGTCTAATTGCAACTTAAAAATATGATATTTGGAGGTCAAGAGAGAGTTGGTGGCTGAAGAAATACATGGAGAGTCAGCATGGATCTCACAATTGAAGCCACAAGGATGGAAACTAAAAGAGTGTAGGATAAGAAGAGGAAAGAGGAGAGAGAACTTAAGAAAACCAAAATTTAATGGGCCACAGATGGAAGATGGATGAATAAAAGTAACTGGAAGGTGCAGACAGAGATACAGGAGGAGATGAAGGCGATATTATTTAGCTGGCCAGTGCAGAATTTCCAGAAAGAAGACCAAAACAGTGAGGGTCATTAAGACGCAAATAAATTCAACAATAAAGTAGGCGTGGGTGCCCTTTATGAAAATTGAGCAAAACAGGGAAGGCGAGTCAGATTGTTAGAGAGGTGAGGAGTAAAAGGAAGGAGAGGAAATGGAGACAGTGCAGAATTCTTGCAATAGATTTGATAATTTGCAAAGGCAGAAAAGGAAGTGGGGAAATAGTAACAGAATCTCCGTAAGAGCAAAACTGAGATGTGGTTACCAGCTGGAGATGCCTCTGCCTCTACCTCACATGCAAACATTCTCATCCCTGATTCTGAATTCCCTGTTGCTGCCCTCAAATGTTGATCACTCCCTAAAGTCAGTTTCTGCCTATGGGCCACTGTAAGTAGCTCAGAACTGAAAGAGGCTAGGTTGGCCCAACATTGCAGGCTCTCCTGCTCCTGGAATTCCAAGTTTGAAATCTGAGTGTGTTTTCTGTTTCATCTTAGTTAGGTAATACGGTACTAAGTCAGACCACTCTCTCTGATCCAGTTACATTTATAATTAATTAGACATCTCAGGGTTCCATCATGAATAACACTGTCTTATGGAAAAATGTGTTTTGATTTACAAACAGATTTTTGGAATAGAATTATCTATGTCCTATGGATATCAGCATAATTTTCAATAAACTGTGTGCTCCTTGTAGAGGTTTTTATTTATCTGCTCTCCTAAATTTTGTACTACTACCTTAGTTAATTCTTACCACTTTGTATTTAATCTTTAGTAGAGTTGAAGCTGGCCCAGTTAGGGAGGAAAGAGGTTAAAGTTTCAATTTATGATGTTTTGAATAACAAATGATGAGTGTCTCTGCATTGGGAATTGAAATCGTATTTACTATGGTCAGAGAAGAAAGGAAGCAGATGAAAGTCAGAATAGCCCGAAACCCTCATCACCATGGATTCATTCCAGGCCTGTTCTAGACATGTGCTTCATGCTCCATGAAAGTGTCCTGGCCTTGCAAAGTCTGCATGCTCAGGATCACAGCATCTACCTCGCAACCCTTCATCTCTCCCCACCCTATGCTGCCCAAATTTCATGGAATAAGTGACAGTGGTGAAAGATAGCAATCTATCACTTGTTGTTCAGGAAAAAGGGCTAGAAACATCGGTCCTTCTTTATGCTTCCTCATTCCACAGGTGGACTTTAACTTTTTAAAGGAAAGAATAGAATGCATGCTAAATTTTCCTGTTAGGAAAATTGGCATCTTACTACATATTTCTTGATTCACTGTGAAGGAGATAGATCTAGAATACCATTGTAAACCAAACTTCCAATTCTTTTCTTCAATACTTTTATATCTTGACATGACTCTTGAAAAAATCTGGCTGGAAATAAATTGACATTCATATGCTTTCAGGGAGAAAAACGCATAAATGGCAGTATCTATTATTGCAACTGACTTTTCTGAGAGATTTGTCTGTGGAAAAATTAATATACTTTTGCTAAGGTACATAGTCAAAGGGTTTTGAATTCACATCTTTTGGTTGGAGTCCTGATAAGGTAACATGGGCAATTAGGGTGCACTTCTACCTAATTATCTGAATAATTCAAAAGGTCATGAACATTTTCATCTACAGATAGTCATTTCTTTGAATTGTTCAGTTATTAGTAGATGTTATCCTGAATGACAATTTATAAGACAAATAAATATTTAAATGATCTTAATGTAATATGAATGTACAGCTATGTGCCAAATAATGATATTTTGGTCAATGATAGACTACATTACAGTAGTGCCATAATATTATCATGAAGCTGAAAAATTACTATCACTTCGTGGTGATGTTCATGTAAACTGACTGTGCTACCAGTCATATGGAAGTCTAGCATATACAATTAGGTACAGTACATAATACTTGATAATAAATGGCTGTTACTGGTTTCTGTATTTATATACTTTTTATTGTTATTTTTTTATTTTTATTTTTGAGATACAGTCTCATTCTGTCTCGCAGGCTGGAGTGCAGTGGCATGATCTCGGCTCACTGCAACCTCCGCCTCCTGGGCTGAAGCGATTCTCCTATGTCAGCCTCTTGAGTACCTGGGATTACAGGTGTGCACAACCAAGCCTGGTTAATTTCTGTATTTTTAGTAGAGATGGAGTTTCACCACGTTAGCCAGGCTGGTCTCGAACTCCTCACCTCAGGCAATCTGCCCAACACGGCCTCCGAATTTACTGTTATTTTAGATGTGTACTCCTTCTACTTGTAAAAAATGCTAACCGTAAAACAGCCTCAGGCAGATCCTTCAGGAGGGATTCCAGAAGACATCCTTACCATAGAAGAGGACAGCTCCACGTGTGTTACTGCCCCTGAAGACCTTCCAGTGGGACAAGATGTGGAGGTGGAAGACAGTGATGCTGGTGATCCTGGCCCTGTGTAGTCCTAGGCTAATACGTGTGTTTGTGTCTTAGTTTTTTAACAAACAGAAAGTTTAAAAAGCAAAAAAAAATTTTTTAATAGAAAAAAGCTTATAGAATAAATATATAAATACATAAAAGTATTTTTTACAGCTATCTGTGTTTGTGTTTTAAGCTGTTACTACATTAAGTTAAGGTTAATTATTGAAGAAATAAAAATATTTTTTATGGCTTTAGTGTAGCCTAAGTGTAGAGTGTTTATATATGAAGTCTACAGTCATGTATGGGAATGTCCTAGACCTTCTCACCCACTCTCCACTCACTCCCTGACAGACCCAGGGCAACTTCCAGGCCCGCAAGCTTTGCTCGTGGTAACTGCCCTATACAGCTGTGTGTACCAATTTTATGCCTTCAAACCATGTTTTTACTGTATCTTTTCTATGTTCAGAGACATACAAATCACCTGATCCCCCATTTTACTATTGTGTTACAATTGCCTACACTACTGAGTACTGCAGCATGCTGTAAAGGTTTGTAGCCTAGGAGTAATAGGCTATATCGTACAACCTAGGTGTGTAGTAGGCTGTGTAAGTACAAACATATATGGTACCTCTGTGAAGTTCTCACAATGACAGATTTGCCTAACAACACATTTTTCAGAATGTATCCTTGTTGTTAAGCAATGCATGACTGCATTGTGTGTGTGTGTGTGTGTGTCTGTGTGTGTGTGTATCTATGTGTGTGTATGTATGTACTAGATGATAGTGGCTGAATGTAGACAGATAATTTGAATAGAGTCAAATGAGATAATATTCCAAAAAAAGCTTTGCATACTCTAACACTAAATAAGTGCAAGGCATTATATTCTCATTATTATTTTTAATGACATTTCTCCTTGTATGCATACTGGATCTATTTCTGCCCTATTTCTATTTTCAGCCACTTTCTCTGCAATACGTAATGCAAAAAGAAAGTATTTTAAGACTCAGCCTGAAGGTGTGGTCTATGAACTATCAGTATTGTCAATACCCGGAAACTTGTTAGAAATGCAGAATCTCAGACCAGACTCCAGTTTGGATGTGCACATTTTAATGATATCTCCAGGTGATTCTTACATTTGAGAAGCATAGGTTGAAGAGGAGAGGCTACTATTCGTACCTAAGGCGACAGCACAGAGGGGCGGGGACATGTATTAGGATTGCAATTAGATTTACTTAATCACCTGATCCCCCACTTTACTCTCTGAAAAACTTCTAGTTTAGAATCCACATACAATGTGTAAAGATATCTACTTCCTTACAGATGGATGGCAGCTGGCTCTTCACCAGATGCCCAAGTTGTCATTTTGTAAGCTCCTTATAAAAAGGAGTGAAAATCGGAGAAAGTTGGAACTTGTAATTTACACAAATGCATGAGACATCAATAATTCCTTTACTAATACATTCCACTGGCCTTCCAAATCCTTGTTCCTCCAGCTTCTTGGCTCTCTTCAAACTACCACTCCATTGACACACTTTCCTCGTCAGTGACTATCAAACCAAGTGAACACAAATTCCTCTGATTAGTTTTTATTGTCAGGCACTCTGGGACCCCAAATGACATTCTCTAGTTAATTTCTCCCCCTTTTTAAACACACATCCCATGCTACAGAGCACTGCTCAAACTTCCTACTCTTTGCCTTAATGGAAGTTCTCATTCCCAAAGTCTTACTTTAGAGCTCATCTCACCAGCTACTGTCTTTACACCGTGTCTTGATTTCCTATCACTGGATATTATGTCCTTTTCACTTGACTACACAGGCCTCTTAGTAACTCTCTTCTAACACTTTCAGCCTGTATTATAGGTGTAAGTTTATGACCCTTAATATGCTGCCAAATCTAAGAGCTTTTTTCCTCCTCTTTGTAAACCTGGTTATACCTGGGACATTTACCCACCCAGAGTGATTACTTAAAAGTAGATTTAGTGAATTAAATGGAACCAGGGTTCTCAGAAATGTACATTTGGCTCAAAGGCTCAAGTCAGGAAAGCTGAGGTTCTGGGAATGCTCAGGTCCGTTGCCTTCGGTGCCTAGATCTCCTCTTCACCCCTAACATTCCTATCCCTCCTATACACAGGTGGGGTGCTGCGATATCTTCTCCAGACACTGGCATACACACGTTAACAAGGGAGGAGCTGGCCCAGCTGAGATTTTTTTTTCTACCTATTTCTTTGAAAGCCAGTGATGGGATGATTGCACATCTTCATTTCAGCATTTCATGCCACCTTTTACAACTCGACATTCAAAGTTTTTGTTCGGTCTTCATATTCAAACTATTCTCTCTTGAAAAAAAAAAAAAAGACTCACCATCCAGAATATATTAAGGCATGTAAAAAGGAGAATTTAGTCATGTAAACTTTTTTTTTTTTTTTTTTTTTTGAGATGGAATCTCGCTCTGTCACCCAGGCTGGAGTGCAGTGGCGCGATCTCGGCTCACTGCAAGCTCCGCCTCCCGGGTTCGCACCATTCTCCTGCCTCAGCCTCCCGAGTAGCTGGGACTACAGGCGCCGACCACCACGCCTGGCTAAAGTTTTTTGTATTTTTAGTGGAGACAGGGTATCACTGTGTTCGCCATGAGGGTCTCGATCTCCTGACCTCATGATCCACCCACGTCGGCCTCCCATGTAAGCATTTTTAATAAAACTATCTCAGTGATCTGTGAACACTGGTTGCAAAAATAAGGCTACAGGAAAACTTGTATAAACTCTGTATTATCAAAGAAATGCATTGTGTGAGTTTCAGTTCACTTGGGTAAGAAATAGCAGTTCGTACCATCTGAATATTTCAACTTAAGAACTTCTTAAACATGAATCAAACATTAAAATTAATACTAGAATGAACCCGTTTTTATGATTCTTTCTCTGGTTTTATGGTAGTTTTGTTTGTTCAGCGGCAGTATTTTTAGGTGTAATATATATATTTTTGCAGATATTAGAGCATTTACTTCATAAAACAGAACAGGTCCCTTTGCTTTCATGTTACCTACAAAAGCATGTCTTGACTTGTTGGGTGACAAAAATCTTAATGAGTTTATGATTTGTTGGGCACATAAAATCCTTTGGATGTGAAGACATGAGTTAGAACATGTATGACTTGAACCTTTTGAAATCCTCCTCCTCTGCTTTAGAAGGCAGTGTAATGCATTCATAATCAAGAGAATTTAGAAACATCTCCCTGAGCTTGCCTAGAATTGTATTTCAGAACAAGGTTCAGGTATTCATGTATTACTAGCACAAAGATGATTATTTGTCATAGCCATTGCTGCCTTAGAGAATGATAAAAGGAAGGAATTGTGTTTTCAAAAATATACAGTTTATTACTTTCCTCATTAAGGAAACATTGGCATATAACTAAAGTGAAGCGTTTTGTTTCTTTTTTTTTCTGAGCAAAGACAACAGGTTTATGCATAGTAGCAACTGTTCCTTTTTAAAACTTTCAAATTTTACAACAAGTTTAACCCCTATCTCTTGTTGCAGCTGTGTCAGCACCTGGTTAGCTTATTTGAGGACTCTGTGATTGACTGTCTTCTTCTTGGTCATTAACTCCACTAACAAAATTTTACTCTGTATCCACATTCTTAAAGACCAGATACGATTTGCAGAATTTTGGTTTAAACTGAGTTTATCCTAGAAAAATTAACAAATCCTGGAAGAACTCATCATTTTCTAATTCATACACTTACCCACCTGTCAAGGATGAATGCCATATCTTTCAGGTTTTAGTTCAATGGTTTATTCTGGAAATGGGTTTACTGACTCAAATTGCAGGGGGTTATGTTTGTTACCCTCTGTTTTATGAAAAGTTTTTATTGAATGTGAATTAGTCATTCTCCATTTATAATCCCTTTGAATGTTTGCTACCATTGTCACATAGAGGATCTTTTCTAACAGAACAGTATCCATCTTTGGGAGCTTTTCTCAGTTGCTAGTCAGTGCATTTACTGAACAACTTTGTACGGCCATTGTATATACTTAGGGTAGGGACCTCATTTACATGACTGTAATCATTTAGATGACTGTAATCTTGTTTTAATGTTGACAGATGTCATATATATAATGTATATTTATACATATGTATTGTAAATACAGATATACACATCTGTATTTATGTCTTTATATGTCTAATGCCTTCTTAAAATTATAAATACTTACTGAAACATTTAATCAGATCCCTTTGAAAGAAGATAGACTCTTACGTTAGAAAGAGTGACAACTGTAGTCAACAGTAGTTATATTTTTTACTTTTAGAACCTAAGAGAGAAAACTCAAAAAGGAACAAATGACGAAGATTAATAGCATCAAAGCTATATTTATTCCTTTATGTAAAAAAATAACATATGCTTATTTGATCAAAAACCTTAAATGATGCCAAAATTTTGAGTAAAGAAAAAGTCACAAAAATCATTTATCCCAGCTACATGACAGTATTTGGTTATCAGTTGGTAAAATTCTAAGTTAATATCATTAGAATACATGAAATATAAAGGTTGAGTCCATGAATATGTAATTTCCCATTAACTTAATTAAAATAGTATGGTATCCAACCAACTTTCCCAAAATGATGTACACAAGCATAGGACTGTAATTCATGGATCATTTGACATTTTAGAAGTTCTTTGTTATAACTTCTCTTTGTTTATATCTTGGATCCAGATGTTTGTGTAAAAAGCAAAAGCATTATATTCAGTATTTCACCCAGTAGCTTCAAATGTTGACTACCTGATATCACTTAGGAACCATTATAAAACATTGTTTAGATTAGGTGGCCCTGCTGTCTGCAAAACTGACCTTACATTGGAGCTGGTTTCATTAAATGACTTTAAGTTTTAGTCAATAAATAATCTTGGTGCTAAGGAAACTATCTAAGGCCAGTCCTTAGATAAAGAGCTACACAAACTAAGATGTCAACACTCTACTTTTTCTCTGCCACTACCTCCTCCCCACACCCATACCCTCATTCACTAAAAGTGGACTCAAGTTCTGTGCATCTATAATAAACAACAACAAACAAACCAACACAGTCAAAACTGATTTTCTTTTGTTTATAAGCATTCTCTGGTTGGGTTTAGACACCAATGCATATAAAACAGTCCCCTAGTCAGTGGATGTGAAACTTACACATGTATCAGAATTGGGGGGCAAAGAGACTGGTGTTGAAACACAGGTTTCTGGAAACCCCCATCAGAACTTCTGATTCAGTAGGTCTGGCTGGGAAATGGGAATCTGCATGTCTAACAAGATTCAGGTGATGTCAGTGCAGCTGATCCTTGGAGAATATTTTGAGAACCCCTGGGTTATGTACCTTTTTTTCCTGGGATCTACTTGGAAACACTTTTGTATAATGTTATGAAAACAGTAGTGCCCTCTGAAAGGAAGTTTATTCTTCTGCAATGCCCATAGAGGAATCACATAAATGCTGCTTAGCTATTGGGGTACTTCTTCACACCGGTCTAGGCTGCCACATAAGATACAGGACACACAGTTAAATTCGACTTTCAGAGAAACAGCAACTAGTTTTTCAGTATAAGTATCCCATGGATAAACTTGCTAAATTTGGAAACCGTACATTTAAATCATGTAAAGTTAATTCCTACCCTATTTGTTTTGTCCTGAAGTGTAATCTCTTTAATGAAGCAAAGTGTCATTTTAATAAAAATATATAGACACATAAGTACAGTCTATGGCTAAAGTTCCCAAGATTTCTGTACAGGTACATCAAATTTGTTGTAGTTTAAAAATTTATATAATTATACTGCAAGTTTGAAAAGGTCACTTTTATTTAATTATAAGGTGTAATTTGATTCCTTAAATGTTTAAAAAAATGATTCCCCCTTAATTAAGGTGAGTGCTACAGTGTTCAATGAGCAACTGATTTACCTTTGTTTAAAGAGGCTTAGAAGACAATGTAGCTTTGTGCAATGAGAAAAATAATGGCCACTGTGGAGAACTGGAGGTGCATATGGTTGGTGATCACAAGTCACTGTGGGACTTGGAGAGAGCTGATTGCCTCCATTTTCTAACTCGGAAAGAGGATTGCACTGGCACAAGGCTGCACATTTGGTAAATATTAGACTTCAGAAACTCAACGTCAAATTGGAGCTCCTTGATCACAGTTGAGCTGATGGGCGACAATCCGTATTACAAAGGTGTTGCCCATGTGGATTTCAAAGGATGACTGACTGGCCCTGTTTCGTGTTGATGTATATAACTCCTAGAAATGTTGGTTGGAGTTTCGGGAGTTAACCAGCATCAGGTCTATGAATTCTTAAATGAATCAAAATTCTACTACAAAGCTCGTGTTTTCATCTTCCCTCTCATGCAAAAGGAACCTTTCTAGGAGATGGCAGACTACTTTGGCACACATCCATGTGCTTGTTATTCATCAGAACGATGATGAGTTATTATTAGAAAGTCAAATGGCAGCTATCATCAATGAGATTTCATTAATATATATTTTAGATTTATTTAATATATAATTAAGTGATAAATGATTCCCTTTAATTGTCTAACAATAGGACTCCTTTGATTGCCTCACACGGCAAAGATGAGATTTCCCTTGTATTTCCATCTTTCCGGGTACAGAGTCCACAATTTGTAATGTTATTTTTGGGACAAATGCTAGGAATTAAGCCCCGTATCTACTATTTTAAAAAATGTCTCCTGGGCCAGGCATGGTGGCTCATGCCTGTAATCCCAGCACTGTGGGAGGCTGAGGCCGGTAGATCACCTGAGGTCAGGAGTTTGAGACCAGCTGGACCAACATGGTGAAACCCCGTCTCTATTAAAAATACAAAAAAAATTAGCCAGGCGTGGTGGCAGGCACCTGTAATCCCAGCTACTCGGGAGGCTGAGGCAGGAGAATCGCTTGAAACTGGGAAGCAGAGGTTGCAATGAGCTGAGATCCCGCCATTGCACTCCAGCCCGGGCAATGAGAGTGAAACTCCATCTCAAAAAAAAAAAAAAAAAAAAAAAAAAAGGCTCCTGACTTGTTTTTCTATAGTTGGGAAGGTTGTTCTATGTTTTTTCTTCAGAGTGAGAACTCGTGTGGCCCCAGGTTAGGAAATGCTTTCTGTAAGGGGCTGTGGAAACTGAAAGAAAAATGATGGTGACTTCAGTACCTTGGTACTTATACACGAGAAAAAGCTTTTAGGAGACTATTCTTAAAAAAAAAAAAAAAAGGTGCCAGCTTTCCAAGATTTCTCAGTAATCATACTCTAGCCTACAATTTACAAGAAAAAACTGCCTCCAGCTTTTTTTGGATGCAAAGCAACTGGAGTGCTGTTTTGGAACATCCCTGTTGAGGGAACTTGGCCACTAGAATTGCTGGAAATGAGACAGCGTTTGTCAAGCTGCTCAAGTCACACCTCAGCTAAACAAGTGTCCCTGTGTCTTTCAAACATTTTTCAAAAAAAAAAAAAACCATTTATTTCTCTTGGTAAAGAAAAGCTTTTATTGCTGAGCCACTCAATAAAGAAGGGTTTCAAGGAAAAGGAAAACTCCTGACATTTAAGAAGCCAATTTCTTCTCCCCTCTCCCCCTGAGCCCACTGCAATTTGGTTTCCTGCCACCACCTTCGCCTCCGTGACCATCTTAAAGTCCTCACTGACTTCCATGTTGCTAAGCACGGTGGCCACCTCTTAGTGCTCATGTGGCTTCTCTCTCTCGGCAGCATTTGATAGAGATGATAATTTGCCTTAAAACGCATTCTGTTCCTGGTTTCCAGGCTGCCATATTGCCTGGGCTCCCTCAAAATTTCCCACTGTTCCTTCCCAGGCTTCCCTGTCTCCCTGGCCTCTCCCAGGCTCACAATTTATGCCCTTTCCTTTCCTGTTGACCCTCTGGGTGATCATATCCAGACTCATGACTTTTTTTTACCTATAGGACATTTTCTAGATTTGTGTCTTTAATCCAGACTTCTCCCCTTGTGTCCAATATCCACTGGCTTCTTGACATTCCTACTTGACTTTTGGTCCACTCACAGCCCACCTCCTCTCAGGCAATATGCTCTATGTTCTGCCAGATGCTCAGGCCGATCCATGGAGCCATCCTTGCCTGCTGCTTTCCCTTTGCTTGTTTCCTGGCCACCCTATCTAAAATGTCATCTCAAACCCCACCCAGGTATTTCATATCCATTTTTTCTTCTTAGCATTTAGGGTTACCCAACACACTATACATTTACTTTTTATCTTCTTGCCTGTTGCTCTTCAGTCAACTGAGTTTCCACGAGCTGAGATTTTTGTTTTTTTTTGTTTACTATTGTGTCCCTAGACCAGGAACACTGCCTGATGCGGAGTAGTTATAGAAGTAGTGCTTGTTGAATAAACAAATGAATGAATAATAAACTACATGGTAGATAGACTTTACTAAATTTGAGTGAGATTAAAGCACTTAAAATAGACAAATGTCAGTCAAGTAGCAAAATGATAGCTTTTAACTTCTGACTCTGCAGTGGGAGAAGTGGATTGCTTAAGTTGGAGGGGAGGCAGGAAAGAATTATGACACTCACACAATGAAAGACTTCAAGGGAACCAGGGAAACTTCCCAGTTAACACTACACCCCGGAGTGATTCTGTCTCTGCCCAAACTAGAAAATTCTGTAAAAATGTGCCCAACTATTTTGTCTCTTTGTAGCAGATATTTTTACAGAGGGCCCTAATATTAGAAGTAATTTATCTGGAACTTCAATAATATATCAAACAGAAATTAGGAAGAAAAAGTGCTGAAACCATGGAAATACGGGAGGTGAGATTGAGATTTGTCTACTTTGGAGACAACTTTGAGAGGGTAGGCAGACTGAGTATCCTCTAAAACAGGGGTCCTCAACCCCTGGGCCATGGACGAGTACTGGTCTGTGGCCTGTTAGAACAGGGCCAGACAGCAGGAGGTGAGCAACAGGCAAGTGAGTGAATGAAGCTTCATCTGTTTTTACAGCCACTCCCCATTGCTTGCATGACCACCTGAGCTCCGCCTCCTGTCAGATCAGTGGCAGCATTAGATTTTCATAGGAGTGCGAACCCTATTGTGAACTGTGCTTTCAAGGGATCTAGGTTGCATGCTCCTTGCAAGAATTTAAGGCTTGATGATCTGTCGCTGTCTCCCATCACCCCCAGATGGGACCATCTTGTTGCAGGAAAACAAGCTCAGGGCTCTCATTGATTCTACATGGTAGTGAGTTGTTTAATTATTTCATTATATATTATAATGTAATAATTAGAAATAAAGTGCACACTTAATGTAATGCACTTGAATCATGCTGAAACCATCCCCCCAGCCCCAGTTTGTGGAAAAATTGTCTCCCATGAAACCAGTCTTTGGTGCCAAAGTGGTTGGGGACCACTGCTCTACAGTGAACACATCCACCTTGAATTAGGAATTTGACCAAGTCACAAGATCACTGAGAACTAATAGTAGAACCAAGGCTAGAAGAAAGACATTCTTAAGGCTGAGGATTTCATCAGTGGCTGGACATGTATTTATCCTTTAGTATATTGCTTAATATGCTTCACATACTGTTCCAGTATTCTCAACTTTCTTGTCATGTATGATGCTCAGCTCAAAACAGTACTTCCGTTATTATCAGAGAGCTGTACTTTGAACTGGGTGTATAGCTACTATTCTGGTATCCACACTTAGGAAAGAATGAAACAATCACTTTTTTACAGAATGGCAACCAAATAAGATTTATTTGGAAGGTCTGCCTCCTTTTCATAAGAATCGATCACAATGGTTTAGAATGTTCAGAGAAGACACATGGAAAAGTTGGGACAAGAATTGGGACACAAGATATTTATTGCCAAATGCTAATCTTAATTGATAGCTAGCTATGTACCAGTCCTTGTGGCCATGGCCATGTGTGTGATCTTGTTTTTTATTTATTTCTTTATTTTGAGACAGAGTCTTGGTCTGTCACCCACAGCTCATTGCAGCTTCTACCTCCCAGGCTCAAGTGATCCTCTCACCCCCGCCCCACCAAGTAGCTGGGACTACAGGCAAGTGCCATCATACCCAACTAATTTTTTTACTTTCCGTAAAGACATTATCTCTCTGTGTTGCCCAGGCTGGTCTCAAACCCCTGAGCTCAAGCATGCCTTAGCTTCCCGAAGTGCTAAGATTTCAGGTGTGAGCCACTGCACCCAGCCTCATTGAATGCACCTAAACAATCTCATTTAATGCGCGCGACAACCCTAGCACAGACACTGTAGGGAATTGCCATGGTAAGAGTATGAAGGGAGAGATACTTGCAATGAGTTTGGCAAACAGTGGTTAGCTTTAGTTAGCCCTGAGAATCTGTTTCTCAAAATAAAAGGGATTACATTTGTAGAGGAAAATGGATTTGCCATGGTAACAGACACGGTCTATAACTCATAGCCCTCTGCTGCCTTGAGAATTATTTCGGCCTCTATTTTACTTATATTTTCGGGTTCTCTTAACAATATAATGTTGATTTCCAGAACAATTGTTCTTGAATAAGGGCATGGCAAACTGCTCCTGGGTTTCAGCAGTAGAGAAAGGGAAACTGCCAAAAGAAACCTAGGTGAGGGAGCATTGTCTCTTTGAAGGTAGGAGATTAATTGATGAGCTATGATTTTTTTGGTCATAATTTTCAAAGTGGTCAATGCAACCAAAATTATACAACATGGTCTGATATGGTTAGGCTTTGTGTCCCCACTCAACTCTTCATGTTGAATTGTAATCCCCAGGTGTTGAGGGAAAGATCTGGTGGGAAGTGATTGGATGATGGGGGTGGTTTTCCTCATCCGGTTCTCATGATAGTGAGTGAGTTCTCATGAGATCTGATGATTTTATAAGGGGCTCTTCCCCCTTGGCTTCCTACACGTGCTTTCTCACCTGCAGCCATGTAAGACATGCCTGATTCCCCTTCTGCCATGACTGTAAGTTTCCTGAGGCCTCCCCACCCATGTGGAGCTGTGAGTCAATTAAACCTCTTTTCTTTATAAATTACCCAGTGTAAGAATGGACTAATGCATGGTCCAATTACTTGCATGCATTTGACCATTGTATGAGAAACAAAATCTTAAGACCAGGTAGCTCACTTTTTGGAATAGCTCTTTAGAAATTTTTTTTTCTTACAACTAAAATAATAATATACTTGGCCTATTTCTTTCAATGTTTTCATACATTTACTAACCATGAGCCATAACAGGCAAAACTTACTTCCACCTATCCTTTCAGCATCTTTACTCCTCTTCATCTACACCAATCAGATCTGAAAAAGTTAATGGGTTTACCCTCTGCTCTGCCCCCACAAAGAAACCCTTGACTTCAATCAACAGTCAAGTTTGTTAAGCATTGATGGAATAAGATTATTGGTAACAGAAAGACAACTCCTTACAGCTGGCTTTTCTTTTTCTTCCTCTCCTTCTTCCCACCACCACCCCCTACCCTGCCTTATTGCTTTGCACAGTACTCTGCACATAGAAGGTGATTAACATATGCTTTTTATTGAGTATTTAGTAACATTTGTGAGGTATGTTGCTGCTATTGTTGCTGTCGATAGAGGGAAAAAAGAGTGTTTTTACAGTAACTAGTGATATTCCAGAGTTCACAGATAAATTTTCCTGTTGATATATTTCTAAATTAATGTGTGACACTTCACTGGATATCACTTTGAACACAGCTATAACTTCTGAAGAAAATAAATCACTGAATCAGACAGTGTTTATTAGCCAATGTGCTGTTATTTCCTAAAGCACTACTTCTACTTGTGATAAAATTGGCAGCCGGGGAGATAAAGAGAGTGTTTGAAAGTGTTATATCCAAGGGTCCTAGATGAATTGCGAAAATACAGTGCGTATTACATGAAAATTTTTGTTCTTTAATGTTTCCTTATTTCTTCAGAAAAATACCATTTTAAAAATATTATTTATTTTCTCTATAACTCTGTTTAATTAAAGCATTTCACAATTATGATATTCAGAGGAAAATCAACATTCATTCATTTATTTTCCTTCCTCCTTTCAACAACTAGCTCCTGGTGTTTGCAAATTATAAAACGGTTTCTTATCTGTTTTCCATTTTACGTTGTATGATAATTATGCAACTGGTAACACTGCCTTCTCCCTAGTCATGGACAGTGTGCATCTCGGTTTTATGATTGCTTTTTGTTGCAGCTTGGGGAAAGATAAAAAGGCCTGTCAAATCTCAAGAGATTGCCGGCTAATGAATCACAAATAGCTCTGCAGCAGGCTGGAAGCATGCTGTCCTCTGTGAAACATGCAGGGTTCTCTTTCGCATTCCCTTCCATTTGCTCTGGTGGACCTGTTGGAGGACCCAGTGATTTCTAGGCTTTGTCATGGATGTTGGATTTGAGAGCTCAATTAGCAACTATCTCAGCCAACAACAATGCGGAGCTAATGGGAGGTTTGCTTGGTGGCCTGTGCCTCTGTGGCAAAGCCACACCTCCACATGTCCTGCGGGCTCGCTTCTTCACTCCTGTCCGGAAGCCAAGATCTGAGTTCCTCTACACATGCCCTGGCAGTGTCTCAGTCCTGTTTCTGAGACTCTTACAAACATCCCATATTTCAGTCAAATATTCTCCTTCTCTTTTTTTTTTCTCCCAGCCCCATAGATCTACCAGGCACATAGAACAAATGTTCTGTAATGAGTAAGCTTAGGCTGGTGTGGGTGAGGGTGCCTGGTAAGTTCCTTTATGGAACTAGCAGGGGTCACAAAGCAGACCATTTTCTCCTCCAGTGTCGCTCAAAGTTAGCTAGCCAGTGGCCCTTCAAAAGAAAGATAGAAGTTCAAAACATAAAAAAATACAAACAAAACGTCTTCATTAAAAAAAATCATCTTCATCAAAAAATACAAAATGCTCTGATGGTTACTCCACATTTTTAAAAGGCAATATGACCTTTGCACTTTCTGAGATAACCGGCTGATGATGTTCCCGGAAGCCTCTGCCATCTCATCTCCTGTTCCCCGCATCACTAGCCTTCAGATAAAATTTGTTCTTGCAACACCTCTGGTCTTTTGAAATGTGCAGACTCCTGTCTGGATTTCAGGTCAAATTCAGACTTTGGTTTTTGAGATGGAGTCTTGCTTCAGACCTCTTTTTTTTTAAAAAAAAATATATTTTACTTTAAGTTCTGGGATACATGTGCAGAATGTGCAGGTTTGTTCCATAGGTAAACATGTGCCATGGTGGTTTGCTGCACCTATCAACGCTCTTTTTTTTTTAAATATTACCATAAATACTGTTTGTTGCTATCTTTCATCTGGAACAAGCTGGCTGAGTAAGGTAGATCTTCTCGTATTGTCTTCAGGGCATGCCAGCGCAATGCATTTCCTGGCTACCAGCCCTCATGGGCTCACGTTGGGTGCTTGTGGCACACTCACACATCCCCATAGCTGGGACTGAGATTTCTCCTTTCATACATTATTCACAGCTTGCAGCAATGAGTACTTCCGCAGTCTTTTAACCTTATCCAAATGTAACCTCGCATTCACAATTATACATAACTTGGAAGAAGCATGCTGTACCATAAAAAGTTGCCTTCTGGGGAATTTGTTGTTGTTGGGCTTGAGCTTAAACTAAGATGGCTTAGACGGAAAATTGGTGAACAACAACATTTCTCCACTTTCTTTTGCATAACAGCTGGGAGGAATCGGTTCATGCTATAAGCCCGGGGTGTGCCGGCCAGCTGGCAGGAGCGCTCCAGAGCCAGGGTGCCAGATCCCCAACAGCTGCATCACTGCTCATCCATCTGTAGCACACACCATATGCCAAACCCCAAAGTAAGTGGGGAGGGGATCCCTTTAAAAAGAGATTTTCAAAGCCACAGAGAAAAAGCATTTTCTCCTATAATGCACAGGCTTTGATCTCGTATTCTCCTGCTCCTCTCGCCCTCACCCAGTCTGGACGCCCACATGATTTAGAATTGGTGCAAAATAGTAGGGGAGTGGTTTGCTTGGTCGGCTTCAGGAAACCGTTTCTCAGGTAACTTGTAAAGAAACCTACCACCTGCATCTATTTTTTACAAAAAGAACCATGTAATAATTTAATTTGGAAAAACCTTTCATGAAGTTTGCAAATCATTTGTTATGTCTTAGATTTCATCATGTAGCCACATTTTGAACTTTGAAAAGCACAGAATGAGTACCTTTGGGAAATATTCCAAGATTTTCTTCATCTTAGTAATTTTAGAAGTTAATAAGCCACAGTTAAGGAACACTATATCCCAAAAAGACCCTCTAGTCTTATGCTTTCCTTTCCAAGGTCATTGAAGATCATGAGAATTGAACTTGTAAAACAGTCTGACCAGATATTCCATTTTATAAAGAGATACGCATTTATGTAAATGTGAATTCTAGAATGAGGGTTGTTTAAGATAGTCAATCACTTACAGAAATTACTTCCTGCTGGAAATGAGAAGAAAATATTTTCCCACTCTTTTGTGAACATCTCAAAATATAGATGGCAAGGCTCCAGTGGCCATGGGAAGATGGAATGGCACTCTGTGGTCACTCAGAGATGGCAGCACTGACCTCTGATGCAGATTCCAGTCCATGTTTGGAGCTGGGGTGAGTCTTTTGTGAAAACCCATTGCCATTCTGTTGACTTTACTTGGCATGGCTCTTATTGTCGTTCTGGTAGTGGTGGTGATGGGAATACAATATCTTCATTGTACTTTTTTCTCTGTATCTACCTTTGATACAGAGACAATACAAAACAATACCTAGTTTTGTATTACAAACTACTTCACAGTTTAAATAATTCCTATTTATAAAATATTTTCTTGAAAGTCACACTCAATGCAGGAAACCATGTCATTTGGAAAGCGGTACATATGGGAACGGACCTGACCAGGCCAACACTATTTGGTGACATATTTCTATATTATCCTAAATAAGAGCCAAGCAGCCACGTGGCATAGTCTTTGCATGTATTGGAATTCAAAAAAGGAGTTCAGCTGCCAAGCGGTAGATAAAAAGGGATTTCATTTTTCAGAGAACATTGAAGAGAAGCCATTTTCTAATTTTCAGTAACACTTTTTAAGAGCTCCCTTTCTCCACTATCCAACTGTGTAGTCATTCTCCATATTATAAATCACAAGCAATTCAGAGACTGAAACAGGCTAGCAAAATCTTTTGTTGACATCACAGATGCAATACGTGTGTGCTTACATGAATATGTATGCTATGTATGATACACATGCAGATATGTGTAATATATACATATACACATATATATCACATACACACATATTAATACAAATGACTACACAATGCATGCATATATATATACACACACATGCATATACGTGTTTCAGTTTAAGCATAGATATTCATATAAAAACTACTCAGGCTGGGGACAGTGGCTCACACCTGTAATACCAATATTTTAGGGGTCCCAGGAGGGAGGATCACTTGAGGCCAGTTTGAGACAAGCTAGGGCAATATAGTGAGACCCTGTCTCTAAAAAACTACAAAAATTAGCCAGACACGGTTGTAGTGCATGCCTGTAGTCTTAGCTACTCAGGAGGCTGAGGTGGGAGGATCGTGTGAACCCAGGAGTTTGAGGCTGCAGTGTGCTTTATTTGTACCATGGCACTCCAGACTGGGAGACTGAGCAAGACACTGTCTCAAAACAAAAGAACAACAACAAAACAACCAATCAAGCAAACAAAAAATCCACAACAACAACAACAACAAACAACTACTGGAAGTCATTGTAGCAATACACTTAGGATGAGATAATTATCTCTCAGAGACCCCAGCTTCATATACCATCACTTTGGGGGTAAGGACTTCAACATATGAGTTGGGCTGGAAAGAGGAGCACAAACAGTCTGTAACAGAGGCCATCCATGGTTTTGTTTCTAGGTAACTCTTCTAGGCATCTGAAATATCTTGGTGGGAGGTTTTCATGGACACCCAGCTTTGTTTCTGTTCCTAACTCTAAGATGGCTGAATTGGGCAACAAGATCGATGTCGAGGTAGCACAAATGTCTGTTCAGAGTCCCCTGGGGTGAAAGGCAATATTAATCTAGAAATGGCAAAGAACTCTTCAACCTCACATGCTATTTTCAATTTAATGCAGATGATAGGAAAAAGAGGCATACACAGAAATTAAAAGAAAAACAAATTCAAAACAGATGTCAGGAAATACTTTGCTCCCCAGAGGAAGAAAAAAAAAAACAGATGAGAAGAATATTTTAACAAGGCAGTTTACTGAGTTAAGAAACTGTGATCATCATTTAAAAATAGAGACCTGGTGCTGGGCTGGGGGTGAGGTAGGCAGACACTAAATTTAGAGTGAGAAACGTGACCTTCCATAGAGAAAAATAAGCCCAGTGTGGGTTAGTCCCATTTATCATGCTCCACTGCCCCCTGCCTTAGTCTCTCCTTGGGTGTTTGAAAAGGTGTGCTAAAGTTGTGTTTATGAGACAGGAAATACATGTTTTAGCAAGAAATAAATCTGTCCCTACAGACATAGATGGCTGTGTATTTCATTAAGTTGGGAGCCAGTTGTACCCCTTTTCACCTTTGTTTCCACTTTAGATGCCATCACATGGACAGACTTTTCCAGACGAAGGTCTCATAGCCAGGTTTCTGGATGACTTTAGGTCAGGTTTATAGACCAACATTTCCTGAGTGATTATGGCGCGTAAAGTCCCCATTCAGCCTCATGTTTAACACTCTCTTTTATTTCAAGGGTGAGAGGAGAGTAGCATGGGTTGAGAAGTTGAGGAGAAGTTTTGGACCAAAACATTTTTAGTTTGTTTTAGAAATGCTTGTCCAAGAAGACTAAACATTTTAAAGCTTCTCAGACAACATATCACTGTAGTTTCTTCATCTCTGTCTCATGAAGTCACCCTCAAGAATGACTCAAGAAATAAGACTGCTGAATAATGATGCATGAATTAGTGCCGCTTTAGAAATGGAAGGTTCTGGCAAATTCTGCATGAATTTTTTTTTTTTAATTGTAGTCCTCAATGTTAAAAATATTTACAATATGTTAGAAAATCAATGAAGTATGTGCAGTCTAGTATAGTGAGTCCTGACAAAATTTCATACAAAATTCTGTTTTATTGACGTGTTCCCAATATCTAGTACAAAACTTGGGATGCAGTAAGTGCACTGTAGTTTGCACTGAAGGAAATATCCCATGCCCTTACTCGTTGTTTAAATTATTTCTTACTCTTTGTTTTTCATGCGGCATGCTGTTATTTGATACATCTCTCATCAGGTAAACCCCCTTTCTGGAATAATTTCAGAGTAAGTCCCCTGCTTCCCCTGCCCCTACCCCACAAAGAATTTGTTGTTCCTTCCTCTGAGCTCCCATAAGCCTCTGGGGCAGCTGCTATTATAGCAATTATAATATCTTATTGTGCTGATGTATCTGTTTGTCTCCCTTCTTCAAAAAAAAGCTACTCCTTCTTGAGATCAGGAGAGTGTGTTATTGCATTGCTTGTCTTTAGTCTCTGGTACATTTTTTTTTAGCGTCGAATTAATAGCCAATGAAAGTTTATTGAACTGAAATGATCTCAGAAATTGTCTTAGTTTGGGTTCATTTATAAAAGGAACCTGAGATAAAGTCTTGAATGCCTATGGTTTATTTGGAAGATGATTCCAAAAGTGAGGGCATGAGAAAGTGATGTAAAAATGGTAAAAACTCAGTAAGGGGTGGGTTGAGCTGGTATCACCTTGAGCAAGTGAGGTGCATTCCCTGTGAGAACCTTCTTGAAAACTGCATAGCATGTAGCTCAGAATTCCCCTCCACCTAAAGAGAGGCTGGGGCATTTCTCTATCCATCCCTCTACCCATCTGTAATAATGGTTGGCCTGGGAACAATCCCCATCACTGCCTGGCTACCCAGACTGCATGAGCTCCCAAGACTTTGGAGACAGCAAGAGACAAAAACGCTGACAGTCACACAGGACCGCTTGAGGTTAAAGCTATCAGCAAGTGAGGACTTGCCTATCCCAGCTGCAGATAAAGGCTGAGGTGGGCTGTGGGGTAAAATAGTATCTACTTAATCCCCAGGAAGTATTTATTGAACAATTTGACAACTGACCGAGGAATGAATGAGAAGTCTTGTGAATGTTGAGTGGATGGACTCACCATGTCTGATTAACAGATGTGCACATAGAGTGCTAGATTTCTTTCACTCCAGCTGATAGGTAACTTCTCTAGGGGTCATAGCATAAGAAAATGCAGAACTACAAAGCCAATTTGCAGCTGCATATGCGTGCATTGAAGAAGTAGGGGGATCAACAAGCTGTCTTTCTTGCTGCCTCAAGGAGTAAAGAGGGGCATGCTTGCATGTTTTTGTATATTCATGGGTGTGTGTCTATTTAGTGTTCACATTTATAACCCTCAGACCTCTGGTGCCTCATGTTAAGCTGTAGAAGTAATTTTTAAAAACCTGTATTAGGCAACCTACAGAATGGGAGAAAATTTTTGCAATCTACCCATCTGACGAAGGTCTAATATCTAGAATCTACAAAGAACTTAAACAAATTTACAAGAAAAAAACAACCCCATCAAAATGTGGGCCAAGGGTATGAACAGACACTTCTCAAAAAAAGACATTTATGTGGCCAAGAAACATAGGAAAAAAAGCTCAACATCACTCATCAGTAGAGAAATGCGAATCAAAACCACAGTGAGACACCATCTCATGCCAGTTAGAATGGTGATTATTAAAAATTCAAGAAACAATAGATGCTGGTGAGGCTGTGAATTAGGAATGCTTTTACACAGTTTGTGGGAATGTAAAGTAGTTCAACCATTGTGGAGGCTAGTGTGGCAATTCCTCAAAGATCTAGAACCAGAAATACCATTTGACCCAGCAATCCCATTACTGGATATACACCCAAAGGAAAATAAATCATTCTACTACAAAGACAGATGCACATGTATGTTTATTGCGGCACTTATCACAATAGCAAAGACTTAGAACCAACCCAAATACCCATCAATGATAGACTGGATAAATAAAATGTGGTACATATACACCATGGAATACTATGCAGCCATAAAAAGAAATGAGATCATGTCCTTTGCAGGGACATGGATGAAGCTGGAAGCCATCATCCTTAGCAAACTAAAACAGGAACAGAAAACCAAACACCACATGTTCTCACTCACAAGTGGGAGTTGAACAATGAGAACACATGGACACAGACAGGGGAAAAACACATACTGGGGACTTTTGGGTGGTAGGGGTGAGGGGAGGGAAACTTGCTAACGGGTTAATAGGTACAGCAAACCATCATGGCACACGTATACGTGTGTAACAAACCTGCACGTTCTGCACATATATCCCAGAACTTAAAATTTAAAAAACCTGTATTATAATTTGTCTAGTATCTTTGAAAACTCTTAAATATTCACGTACTGATGCTAACCCTGTCTTTTCTTGGACCAGAGAACTCACATCAAAGATGAGAAACATCCATGCAGAAGTGAGAGTGTTCACACTCAGTGGTAATGAGGGAGATAGTTTCTTAACCTTTAACTCTCATGTTACCAAGCAAACAAATCCTTTCATACAAGCCACAGTAAAGGAACTTGCTATAAAGGACAAGTGAAAATTATCCAATTAATGGAGCAATCCAAAAGTTTTTGGCGTTCTCTTTGTGGCAAACTTTTATCAGATATTTGTAGAATATTTTTGCCATCAAATTGTGTTTGACTTTAGAGAGCGAGGAAACTTGGTATTTTACCTAGTAGAGAATTAACCTGATTTAGAATTTAAAGGCTGTGATTCCATAAAAGAATGAGAGTGATGTTTAAACAAAAGAGAGGGTTTCAAAGATTTGGAAAGTTGTCTAATTGGAGATATAAGGCTATATTTTAAAAATAAATGAGCTTTGTGTTTTCTGTAAGACATATTCAGACTAACAGTACATATTATCCATCTTTACGTTGAATAAAAAACAAAATGTTCCGTTTCTAAGTAAGGACATGTCACATTCTAGAGGTATACCATGTGGTAGGGACCCACCAATGCCTGTGGCATTGAGTGACTTTGGGATCACAGGTGAATCAAACCTAGTACTTGAGAAATAAGTGGAAAAGAAGACCCTAGTGATGAATAGGTTGATTCAAGAAACAAGGAATAGCAAGTGCTAGGAGATAATTTTGGAAATTTGTCTTTGAAGGTGTCTTCACAAGTCAGCTGAATTTGGACACCATTTTTGATGGGAAATATTCATTCTGTCCAATCACATTTTGAGCAGTGACCTTCTCATGGATAAAACCAAGCTGTACAAATAATGATGTACTAGGTAAGAAAGATTAAAGCTATTTAGAAAAGATAAATTCTGTGGTATTAGAGCAGAATAGTCAATAATTTATTTGGTCTGAAACACACTCTGCATACCTGCAGAATTTAAGTAAGGTAAACCAGGGAGTTTGATATTTATCCTATTCTTAAGAGAATAAGACAATAAGAAGACTGGCTAGATTTTTGCAAAGAAGTTTTGAGTTATTTATGTATACATGAAATCTAAATGTAAAGTGCAGTCATAGTTCATTCTCCACTGAAGGCTCAGAAGGCTCATCTCTCTCACCTTTCTTGTAATGATCTTAAATAAGCCAGGTGGAAAAAAAATGAATTATTATTTTAAGAAATTGTATCCTCTCTGGATTGGAAGGAGCATCAGTCTTCAAGTTTAATTACTCACATAAAACTTAAGACTTCTCAATAACATCCTTATCAACAGTCTGCAGGTATGTGCTTGAGTTTCAGCATTATTTCAGTATTATTCAGTATTACAAGCATCCCAAACCTCCTACAGCAGTTTATTTTGTACGGAGGTAAATGATTTTTCTGATAGCTTACAATTCCTTGAGTGTTTCTCAGTATGTACTTAGATATTCTTAAAATGTAGTCTCAGGACATTCCAGGAATGATTTTAAGGCACAGAGTATTAAATTCATCATTTTCTAAATTATTCAATTCTTAATGCAGTTGAATAACAAATTAGCTTTGGTTTGGCAGTCAGTTTCATTACACTGCTAATTTATAAAAAGCTTAATCTACCTATGACCCCAGAAGGCTCTTTTATGCCTGCGACCACTGAGGCATGAATTGTCAATTGCCTCCTTATAGAGGAAGTATTGAAAATGGAAGACTGTCTAATAATTGTGAATCCAGCGGGCAACTTTGCCACTTACATTTCAGTATGTTCTAGCATGTCACACTCTGCCTGTGCCCTGCATACACACCATTCCAACCACAAAGGCCCAGTGCACCAAGATTATGTGGCCCAGTGCACCAAGAATACGCTACAGGGCTATGCCCTTTCCCTGCTGTGGTCACATTTATGACCAGCTACTGTGCCTACATGTATCTAGAGCAGTGGTTCTCAGTCAGGGATGACTCTCCCCAACAGGAGACATTTGGCAACGTCTGAAGACATTTTTGGTTGTCGTATCTGGAAGGGGGTGTTACTGGCACCTAGAGGATATTGTCCAGGGATACTGCTAAGCATCCTACATTGCACAGGACAGCCCGTGACAAGGAATTCCATAGCCCCAAATGTTAATAATGCCAAAGTTAAAAATGCTTATGTCAATCATTTATTATCGTCAGTAATATTAAGTGCCTTCCTGTGTGCACCCCTGGACATAAAGTGTTGGATTTAGCTCTTGTCCTCAAGATGGTTATCTTCTAAAACAACCACTCCTAATCAACGGAGTGTACAATGTACTGAGAAACAGTACAATAATCAATACAAGCATGTTTTCTATGGTTTCACATGGACATATTTAGCAAGAAGAGCTGTGGTGATTTCTCCTGAGAGATTAGATATTGTAAGTTCCTTAAGTTAGATTTGCACTGCAACATGCAGAAGAAAACCATGTGAGTCCTTCTGTGAATCATGAGTACTGGTTTCTATACTATGAGCTATAGGTATCAGAATTTATATTTATCAGATTGATGTAAGGTGTAACCCTATTAGTAGGTAACACTGATTATAATTCCAGAAAGATAAAGCTTTGTACAAAGCTCTTTTACATCCTTTTAAAAATATATATACATTTGCCAATGCAATCTCAAATTTCAGAATGTATGGCTTCTCTCTCAGTTTCAGTGAGGCTTAAGAGCCTGTAGAAATGTATGTTTCTATGGAAACATTAATTAATTGTTCAATGTAGTAATAAAGTGCCCTCATGGATTTGCAAAGTAACTTGGTGGAGTCTGCTTTTTCTAAGTGATACCCATTTTTATTGCAATGTTCTTTCCTTCAAATTTTAAATTTTGAGACATTAGGAGGTAGCCTCCATAGCACTTGGTGACTGAATAAAAAGGAGCACCACAAGAATAGGGAATGACAGAAAATTCTTCTAGGTCTCACTTGAGCAACGGCATTCATGGAACTGCCATTCACTGGATATTGAGGGGAAGAGCAGGAGTTCAGATATGGACATATTCAGCTTAAGACACCTGTATGACTTATAAGTGAGAAGTTCCAGTTATATAGTTGGACCCAGAGCTCAAGAGAGATGTCACAGTGGAAATGTAGCTCAGGGACTTTGTATGAGAAGTCATGGAATTAAACCAGAACGTCTGTTGGAAATATACAAATTAAGGAAGTGAAGTCAGCAGAGGAGACAGAAGAGATTGGGGGAATTTCAGAAGGGTGCAGGGAAATGGAAACGAAAGAGCAGACGGTCTCAAGGAGCAAGTCATCAACTGTGTTGTGTGCAACAGAGTGACCAATGAGACTGCAAACTGCTGCGTGTCCATAGGAGAGCTTATACACGTTCACAATTAGGAATCAAAAAATAAATTCCACAGGAGTGTGTGAGCTATGCATAGGCTGAACTTGAGCACAGCAAAGAGAGACTGGGTAACTGCAGTCAGAGTGCAGTATTAAAGCTGGGAGTCAACCAGCCTCTCTTATTGATGTGAGATGTGTCGGTGGATAGCAGGATCAGAACAGTGACCCCAGAAAAAATGAGTGCCAGCCACACCAGCTACATTTTCTTCACTGCAATCTATACCAGAGATGTGTTCATAACTGCAGCTAATGATCAGGGTTCAGGTTCTGTCTTGCATGAGACCACATTCAAGGCCCTGGAAAGCCACAGAAATTTGGAATGCATCATTTTATATTAGTTTTGTTAAAGAAAGTATGCAAAATTGTTAAACTCTGGGCTCTACACAGCCTGCAGTAGCCCAAGAGCTTTACCATTACTCATGTGGAAAGAGACTGATGAATATATTTGTTTATATTTAAGGAAACTGTTAAGCATACCTCTGTTATGTGTAAAGTAGTATAAACCCCCAGCATATCCTTCAGATATTAACTACCAGGTAAATCCAACTATCACTAGTCATTGTGTCAAGATTATGCAGGTAAGGTAATGACAATCACTCAGCATTTCACAAGAGGATTGGTCTGCTTTTGTTGCTCTGCATGTAGCCTAATACATGCAATATGTTTGGATTGTGACCAGTTTAAAATGTAAACATCCAAAACTAAAGCCATCCAGATTGGCAGCAAACTACTAGAAAGTAAACATGACAAGGATTTTTTTGAGTGCCCTTGCAAGTTAATCCTTAAAGTAACATGGCTATAGATTAGAATGCACGGTGACAACCAGACACTGAATGGCAAATTTTGATTGATAGAAACAAATTGGTACATCTTCCAAGTAACACGGCAGCATGTGAAGAATGTCCATTTTATGGTTTGTTTCCAGGGGCCACCCTCAAGATTGGTTAACTAGCAACCTATCATTTGATATTTGCAGGAAAGGTGCTGGATGAAAGCTTTTTTTTTTTTTTAATCTTCTTGACTTGTTTATGATGCCTCACTTGGGCATATTCCTCCATGCTGCAAGTAGACACAAGAATGAATAAAATCCATCACTCCTAGTTCCCGGGTCTAGAAACCTTAAGGTCAAGATGCAACCCCGTTTACTTTTGTACACACAGCACTGCAAACAGTGAGCCCAGTGGAGTAGGCTTTAGATAAGGTATGTGGGAGCGGGGCAGAGACAGCAGCCTGGAGGAGTGGGAAAGGCAAAAAGAGGAGTAAGAAAAAGCAAAAGGGGAAGGGCTGCTGAGCTTGGGACTATCTGGTCACCCACAGCCTCACTCCCTTTGGATTTGAAAAGACAATTCGATGATTTTGATTTCCATCTTCTCCTCTGATTTTATTTTTCCTTCCTCCTTCTCTCCCTCCCTCTCTTTCTTCCTCCTTTCTTCCTTTTTTTTTTTTTTTTTGGAAAAATTAACTGTAAAGTTAAGCTGCTTTTTGTAATTAATGGCCTAATTAATTTGTAATCAACTATTTGTAATTAATGGCCTAATTAATTTATATTCAACTATTTGTAATTAATGGACTAAAAGTTGTTTTTGTTTTTGTTTCCCTAAGTTCAAAGCCATTAATGGCAAATGAGCTTCAGGCAGTCCTTCATCTGACCACACTTTGTTAGTAATTTTCTATTTTTAATTTAGAAGACAGCACTCTGTGCAGAACACTGAATGTGATTTAGTCAATTATTTTCCATTAAAATGATAAAAGTTAAAGAAACAAAAAGAATGCCGCATGTCATATTAGAAATAAGGGCAGATACTCTTATAATTCAGTGTTGTTTCACATGGTTAACAGACCAAGTCTGTGGCTACATGAGACAGGTGATAATAGTTACCACAGCTCTGATCGTTCAACTCTCTAAGCTGCATCTTTATAAAACGTTACCGTCATATATTGTAAAGATTTCCTCTCGATAACACACGTGCCCGTGTCTTAATGTAAGTCTGACACTGGCCAAATAACAGGCCAATAATTGGATGTTCGACCATTTATGAAAACGGAAAAAGGGCTTTAAAATCATTTAGTGTACATTAGCACAGGAAGGAGAGGACATCTCACTCTTTAGATCTCTCTATGTTTGGCAGATGGCTTCACTTATTCTTAGTGATTGATATTGATGGGACAACTCTTTATTGTAATATGGCAGTTTACTCAATCTCAGGGCCACCCATCATAATTTATGTTGCTACAGTTTGAAATATTGAAGTCAGAATTCATACTTGAGATATTCTTGGATGTGAGATGGAGAGCAAAGGACATTTCCCTTCTAATCTAAAGGCCTCCCTCTTCCTCTTTCTTCAGCTAAAATAGCTTTGTATATATAAAAACTTCTCTCTTTTTTTTTTTTTTTTTTTTTTTGAGATGGAGTTTCACTCTTGTTGCCCAGGCTGGAGTGCAATGGCATGGTCTTGGCTCATTGCAACCTCTGCCTCCTGGCTTCAAGCGATTCTCCTGCCTCAGCCTCCCAAGTAGCTGGGATTACAGGCACCCGCCACCATGCCTCGCTAATTTTTGTATTTTCAGTAAAGACAGGGTTTCACCATGTTGGTCAGTCTGGTCTCGAACCCCTGACCTCAGGTGATCCGCCCGCCGTGGCATCCCAAAGTTCTGGGATTACAGGCGTGAGCCACCATGCCTGGTCCCAAAACTTGTCTATTTTAACATCTGACTGGAACTTTTGGAAATTCTTATCACCTTGCCATTACGGAGTTCTTTAGCCCGTTTTGCAAAATTGCTTGTCTTTCTGTATACAGCCATCGCTATTGCCCATCTATTTTATTACTTCTACGCGATGCTAAAAAGCAGACAGCAACAACAAAAAATATTTAAAACTGGTAACATTGGTTTACTTAAAGAAGTAAAGCTTTTAACAGTTTACGAAGCACACGTATTTTGTAGGTTTGCGTGACTTTGTCCCAGTATAAAAAACATAATTAACAAATAATAGGTAAATAATGAATGACTAAATAGAGCCAACTAAGCAACAAAATATCCATATTCCAGCAACTGCCCTGCTTTCTGCTTCCCCTAAAAGCTTCTCATTCCAATTAGTGGGAAAGCCTGCCTTTCAGTTGCTTGGGTCTAAAACTCCGGAGTCATCTTTGATGCCTCCGTTGCTCTCATTCCTCATCAGCAAATCTTGTCCACGTTGCTTTCAAAGTATCCAGAAATCGATGACTTCTCACCATCTCTGTGGATGCCACGCTGGCCTCAGCCTCCATCGTCCCTTGCTGGACGTTCCAGTAACCTCCCCGCCCTACCCTGGCTTCCCCGTCTTGTCCCTAGAATACAAGCTCAATAGATGAGCCTGACAACCCGTTCATCATCGAAGCAGATCGGGTCACCCTCTTCTCAATCTTCTGAGACTTCTCAAATCAATGTAAGTAAAAGCTGAAGCCTCTAAAATGGCTTATGTAGCTGTCCCAGTTCTAGTTCTGACAGCTCCCTCTTTCCAACCTCTTCCCCTTCTCCTCCAGCTCTTGCTGATGCCTTTCCAGCTGCAGGGTGCCCTCACCACCCTTCCAACACGCCAAGCCTGCTCCCAACCCCAGGGCCTTGGCATTTGCTATTCTCTCCACCTGGAATGCTCACCCTTCCTGTGTCAGCATTGCTCAGGGCATCTGCACCTCTTTCTGGGTGGTCCCCACTCAAACATCACTTCAGTGAGGCCTTCCCATGACCACCTGATTTAAAATGCTCAGCCCTCATGTAACATACCATGTATACATATGGCACATTTTGTGTATTATTTTGTCGCTGTAGAATGTGAATTCTGTGAAGCAGGGATGTAGTGAAGCAGTGTGCTTCACTCAGAGCTGTACTGCCAGTGCGTGGAGTAGTTCCTGGCACATACGTGGAGCCAAAACATATTGGCAAAATGAATGATCCATAACAAATGTGTCTAAACTCTGTTATCAAAAACTCCTGCAGTCCTATTTTCTATTCCCCACAGCACGGTTGCCTTCACATTACCTAAGCTCGCCCACTGCCCAGAAGGCCCTGCTGCAGCCTTTGCAAGTCCCGGCCCAGCTTCTGCCCCCTCTTCCTGACACTTCCTGACACTTGCGACTTGTCCCTGCCTCTTGGATATTTATACTTCCTAACTTATATGTACATTAAATTCCTCTAAAGAATTTAATGTATCTTTTCCCCTTTCTTTCTTTTTTTTTTTTTTCTTTCTTTATTTATCTTTTTTTGAGACAGGATTTCACTCTGTCACCCAGGCTGGAGTGCCGTGGTGTGATCACACCTCACTGCAACCTCAACCCCCCAACACAAGTGATCCTCCCACCTCAACTTCCCAAGTAGCTGGGACTACAATCAAGTGACACCCCACCTGGCTAATTTTTTTATTTTTATTTTTTTATTTTTTTAAATTTTATTTTATTTTTTTGTAGAGACAGGGTCTCACTGTGCTACCCAGGATGGTCTCAAACTCCTCCCACATCTGCCTCCCAAAGTGCTGGTATTACAGCTGTGAGCACCGCACCTGGCCTGCAAGAACATAGCTTTTTCAGCAAGGGGTGCATGTTGTTATTAGTGTTTGCTCAATAAATACATGTTGGCTGACCGAAGGAAGATATGCATAAAGGAAAATCAAATGAATGGCACGTGTTCTGCCCTTCAAGTGAATAGGAAGAGTGTGCAAAATCTGGAAAGAATTTATTTATGGGCGTATTAGAAATATCCCAAACACACTTTGATGGATTAGGCTGCTGATACTTTTTAATCATATACATCTTTGGTGCTTTTTCATCTGATTGAACTTCCTTTGAAAAAGATCATCCATTGAAAAATTACATTACCAAAGCTAAGAGCCACATTTAAAAGATGAAACTTCTTCTTTCCCCCTGCTCCCAGAATTATTCTTTTTTTTCCCCCTATTGGAAGTTAACTTTTAACATTAATTTTATTATCATTAACGATCTTTAGTTTAGGTACATTAAATTTGAAGAAGTTTTCTAATCAAAGCTACAACTTATTGTCACATATTCCTGAAAAGAAATGTTCTCAACATACTAATTCAGGCATTCATTACATATTTTATTTTTGATGCAATTTAATCATAGGGACTTATAGAACCTACAATTAGCTACTCCAAGAACTGAAATTATATTTAAGCTACTGCAACAGCAAAATTTTAAATCTTCAACAATATTTACTATGCAAATACCAACTAAGCAAACTCTCTTAATTTTTTTATAAAAGTAATATACATGTGAATTTAAGTTTACTATTTGTGTGTGTGTATGTGTGTGTGAAAGAGTGTGTCTGCTTATTTTCACACATATCTGTTTAACAGATATGTCTATATGGAATTATTAGATGTTAAAAGCATGAGAAGCATAATGTATCAGGAGTTCTCATCTAGAAATCCAAATTCATGGGTTCTAAATAATATTATTTATGTAACTGGAACTATTTATTAAATACATACTTTGTGCTAAGTGCTTTGCATACATACCTCATTAATCCTCCCAACAAATGTGTGAAACAATTACTGTTATTCCATTTTGCTGATTAGGAAACTGAGGCACAAAGAAAATAAATGATGATAATGATGACAAACATGAGGACCAAGTTTATTCAGCTTATAAATGCCCATCTGACTCCAATGCCCATATTCTCACACTGAAGCTTTGCCAAGATTTAGCCCTATTATTACCCAGAGTTGCTATCTTAAGTAAGTCACTTGGTGGCTACGATATGAATGGTGTTCTCTAGAATTATCTAACACAGGTGCTATTCTCCTATGGTCTTGAACGTCTTTATCTGTAAAATAAGGACATAATGGCTGCACTGCTGTCTCACAGTTGATTTGCGGTAGAGTTTTCACACCAACTCAATAAAGGACACAAGTGTAAATGGCAGTACTATGGCTGCATTTTGAATACATAAGTGCAGCAATGACAGTGTTCCAGTTTGAATTATTATTTTTTATATAATTAATCGTAGCACAGCTATTATCAGACGCAGCTCCAAGGACACTTCCCTGGCTGCTGATTCCCTTCTTTCCTTCATATGACTTATGTACATTCATTTTTTCCATCCTAAGTTGCTTGCTTCTTTGAGGGCAGGTACTCTATATTTTTCACAATTCTAAGTGTTCCTGGAATCATCAATTCTAATGTACATCTAGTCATCTATTTCCAGTCCAGGAATAGACTGATCTCAAACTTTTCCTCGATTGTTTTCTTTCATTATTAATTAATTAAGGAATTAATGTGCTTAATTCCTTTAATGACCAAGGTGATGAACAATCAAGGAATGCCATCTAAGTGCCTCATGTGTACTCCATGCTATGGCCCCGTTACTTCCCATCTTTTCAGATTTCTTGGCTATGTGCCCATCGAATAATAAACAAGTCTTTTATTCATATACTTTTTCTGTTCCTGTTTTTAAAAGACATGATTAAAATTGTTATTTAATCTATGATTTAATTATTTGCATTTCAATTGACCACAATTACAGGTAAGGGTTCACTTTTATGAATTAACATGTTTATTGACTTTAAATATATTCACAATATATGGAAGTTTTCTCACTTTCAGAAATCACATTACATACCACTCCACTGAAGAATTTAAGTTGATCAATGGGTTCTTTAGATCTACACCAGAACGGTATTTGTTATGTAGCCTCTTTGGTGTGGAGGGAAAAGTTCAGCGTCTGAAATTTGTTTCCAGGCTTCCTGTTTGCCTCACCCACTAGGAAGAGTAGGGAGCTCCCAAACTGCCTGCCTGGCTTAGGTCTAGAAAGGCGAGAAGCCAGGTGCTTTTCTACCTGTGTCCCAACTGCAGATGTTCTCAATCCAAGAGAATGAAGCACTCAAGCCACCTTGAAGTTACCACAATTTTACCTCTTGGAGGAGCCTCCACAGCTGGGATTTACACTTGACCTCGGACCAAGTCCTGTGTCATGGCTCTCACGCGTGGACAGTGATGGAATGTGCAGAAGCAACACTGTGGTGATCCTGCCAGTCGGCCTCTGCTGCATAGATAGGACGGGAAAGGAACGCCTTGTGAAGGCCTGCATAGAAACAGGAATGGAAAACAGAAACCATGGCTAGCATCCTCCCTATTTAGCTCAGCATTGACAGTTGACCGTCAGACATTTTAATTCATGAATTAGTAATAGTGTATAGCCATTTACTTATGATTATTATTATTATTTTGAGAAATCAAGACAGCCTTGTTTTCAGTAGCATCCACTACTGACTATCATTCATCTACTTGACATGCGCCTGACCTGAGCCCACAATTCTTCATCTTGTTCAGGATAGAAGCGATCCAACACCTGCTTTCTACTTCACAGCCTCTTGTATTCTATGTTAGCCTCACTGGGGACTGGATAAGTTATCAGAAAGAATTTACTCGTTTATAGTCTTATGGTCTTTTATCATATCCTCACAAACTATAAAGCAATAAAACACAACAAAGTCATTCTAATCTTAGTTTAAATAATTTTAGAAGCAACAGTCTCCACTAGCCAACTATGTCTGAACACTCTGATAAAAGACAAAGTGTGATACCCTTATCTTCAGTTTCTTTTGAAGCTTACTTTTTAAAAAATAAATGCATATTGAAATATAACATGCTTCATACATTCCATTGTATTTAGAATACTGAACTCATTGAATATCTACATAAATAAACTGCAGTAAATACATTGCATTCTAAATCATGAAACACTATGGACAGAAGTAGCTGTATTGGAACACACATTTCTATAGTCAATATAAATTTATATTGTTTCTACAAAGGACCAACAAGTAGATATTAACAGGTCAAACAAATAGGGCTATCCCAGTTAATTAGTTTAAGGGCTTCACTTAGAGCCTGCTCCAGGTGTTTATGCATTTACTTTGGCAAAATGTGCACTGTATCAAACTAAAAAGCTAGGAAAATAGATTTCTCAACATAAATATGTTACCAAGTAGAATTCCATAATTAGCAACACATAAAATCAGATATAGAAAGAGTAAAACCAGGCATGAAATTCAAAAATATTTGGGGGTTTAGACTTGAGAAAAGATACCTGAATTATACATATCTCAGAGAATATATGCTTTTAGCAACCATGGAACACATATACACACACATATGTATACATACATACACAGAACACATACATATAAAGATATATACACACATGCAAATATACACATAGAACACATTTTCATACCAACACATATTCACATACCAATAGTATTAACTCTTGATCAACAGTACATTATAAACTATTTTCTTTCTCCTGAATTGCCCATATTTTTTATTCCACAGGACCAAGCACATTTGGGGCACCCAATAAATATTTGTTAACTTTAGCTTAATTGAACTGCATGAGTTTAGGACTGTGCACAGAATCCCTGAATTGTGAAAGTCACTTAAATTGGTGTTGGAGGACAGGACTAAATAAATTTTTAATGTCAATTTCTCCTACTCTGCTTTCATAGTATGTTCAACATTTGCATACACCCAGGTACAGTGGACAGATCATTCTAAATTTTTAAGTATGCCAATTGGTGGTTCCTAACATACCATTAAAAAAAGCAAAAGCATATGACTATTTTGAATTCATTTGCCTATTTATGCTTTCAGCTTCTCTGACAATATCAGTTTTCTAACAAGTCCGCAATTGAGAATGGAAGCAATGCCTAGCCTTCTGAAAGAGGGAGAAATCGTTAACTTTCCTAACTAAAAGAGAGTGCATCATTTTGTCAAGTCTGAAGAAGACTTAACATGAAAGGAGGACAAACGAAAACACCCTTCTTAGGATTTTCTTGTGCGTATTTTCAAATTTGGTCTACGTTTTCACATAAGGACTTTTGTAGAACCTATATTTCTCTTTGAAGCTTTAAAAAAAAAATTTTCTCGTTGAGGAATAAACTATGAAGAGGGCTTCTATTATTTCCCTGTGGGTGAAACTGACAGAGGCAATGGTTCACTAACTTTCCCTGGTGTTGCATCGTTTGCAGCAAGTAAGGTGCAGCCCATGGTGTCTGAAGTGGAGGTGCTTTCCGGGCAGGAAGTGGACACATGATATGGCTCCTTAAGCGAGACTGTCCTAGACACCTAATCTAAAGCAAATAATGTTTCAGTATCCTCAGGTAGAGAGCCTACATTCCTAAAAGCTTTCTTGGGCAAGAAAGGGGTCAGCAAAAATAGCCAAAATAAAGCAGCAAACCAGATAAGACTATCTCATGACAGACCTAAGAACTGCTTGGCAGCGATAGTCAATCTCGGGAAATGTTTGGTGAACACAGGCACCTTAAAAGGAAGCAGGGGTGCTCCTGAGGGTATTGGTCTCATGGAAACAAAATATTGATCAGGTAGGTAGTTCCACTTGATAATCTTCAAACACTGACCAAATAATTGGTGACTGATTTGAAGAATAAAACAGATAATGTTTTAAATAGTTGCTTTGGTGTGGAAAAAAATACGATTTCAGTATACAGTACCCTGGAGAATGCGCTTATGGTGAATTGCTAATTTAAGATGATTTTATGTTAGAGGTATAATTTTCTTTTAAGATTGAATCTTTACCAGGAAGGTGCCCAGTGGCAGGGCCCCCCCTGGCTTATGCATCTGTGAAAACAGATGGAAGCGAAGGACGGATGTCAAACCAGTTACACGCATGCAAATGCCTATATACAGGCACATTAATGTAAATGCATAGGCTCTTTCCTAAAGTGTGAATTGATCATAAAATGATTGGGAGTCTTGAATTTCAACTGTGGGGTAGATTTGACTTTACCTGGATTCCAGGTATGAATACTCATTTCTTGCCAATGTAACACTTTCTGAAAGGGGACTCTGTTTGAAGTATGGGAAAAAAGATGAGCCCTGGGTGGATATTTTCTCCTGGGGTCTGTGCTTACAGTCACTGGATAATGTGGACCATGAGGGAAAGCATTTTCTTAAAAGCTGGGATCATTATGATTTTCAGCTTTCTCTTTTGATAAAGCAAAATGAAAGGTTATTTTCTGGCATATTGAGATCATTACTTTTCCCAGCATTAAGCTGTCTGAGTAGAATCGAGTCAGTATCTACCAGATACCAAAATACCCTAAGAATGTCTCATCCACTCTGGGTGTTTCTAACTCACTTGTGGTTTATTTTGTGTTCAGAATTTGTGTAGAGCTGCCAATTTGACAATAAAAAAGGAAAAATGGAATAGTTTGGCTTTGCTTCTTTGGTTTAAATTAACATCTGCCATCTTTCTGACCTGAATTCTGACAACACAATTGCTGTGAAATATTGTTTTAAACTTAAAACCAGAAATCCCGAGTGTAGCCTCCTGCGAAATAGGTGCTAGTTAGAACCAGCTGCCCAAAGCGGAACTGCTGAGTGCTTCAAGGTTGCCTATGATCTGAGCAGATCCTGGGCAGTGCCTTTTCAAAGAGGAGCTGCCACTTCAAATATTTCTCCAAGATGGATTAAGATTTATCTATAGCACAACCTATGTGTTATTTCTCTTCTTGCTTAATTTATCATTGTGGAGTTCCCAAACTTAAGCGGAAATAATTAGGATTTGGGTGGTGGTGGGAAGGTGTGTGTCGGGGGGAAATGAAAGAAAAAAGATGGAATATCAATGAATCTGCAAAGGACAGTCATAGAACATATGTTGTGGAAAAGAGGCATTGATTGTGGATGTATAACAAATATTGCAAGTCCAAAGAGGCTCAAACCACACCTCTACATATCTTGCTTGTGCAACAGGTGACGCTTGATCATCAAAAAACAATAATAATTTTAACTAATCAAAAAAATGATCTGAGGGTAGAATTGGCCACGGTCATCTCATTAAGCACACAGTTCTGTTTTCAACATAATTAGTCATCTAATTACTTATCCAAAATTAGTTAGTGCATTCATATGCCTAATTAATTATAATTTCATTCAAAGTACCCCATTGGTAATGCTTTTGTTCTCTGTTCCAACAAATCAAATTACTGTGGGACAGATTTGATTTGGAAATTGGTTTGGGTTGAGTCTCATCATAAACATATTAAAATATTAATGAATAAAACAGTGAGAGTATTAATTTCCATAATAAAGATAACTCCTCAACTGTTAACTATTTCCAAGGAATACTGCCTTTAAATGGCATCATAAATCCCCTAACTTCTCAGATTGAGTGCTGAGGTTGAAGGAGCAAAATCCAAGTTTAAACACCCCCGTTTCTGTGATGAGGCCCGGTGCACAAAGGACTGAACATTTCCAGGAGGGTAGCAAACCTGGCGGTGTAAAAGACAGTCTGTTTTCTAATCATCAGCACCGATTGCTCACTACTGTCTGTTCATTATCCATGGCTACCTTTTATCCTAAAAGATAATCTGCTTCTGATGGTTAATTTATGAGTTAAGCATTTTTTAGGGAAAAAGAGTAAACAGGTATTATGAGTCTGCTCTAATGGCTTTACATGTTAACTCATGTAATCCTCAAAACAGACCTTTGAGTTAGACACTGTCATTAGCCTCATTTTACAGAAGAGGTAACTGAGGCACAGAGAGATCGCTTGCCTCAAGCCACCAGAGGCAAGTAATAAAGAACTGTTTTCCTAGAAAACCAGCCTTTAATGATGCACCATTTCATAAGCTTTATCTGAGAAGTGTCATGGGACTAAAACAACTCTGAATATAAAGATGGATTATGGAGAAGATCAATAGGCATTTGCTCTTTTTGTAGGGAGGGCCATAGTTGTGATTTCCACCCACAATCAAGCATGACAATAACAAAGGAAGGAGACAAAAGCCCACGGCCGGCCTCAATGTCATGGTGCCATTGAGACAAGGTAGGAGAATGTCATCTGATCTTTTCAGAAAATATAAAGGATAATTATCAACGCACGCTTCTTTGAAGTAAATCTTCATTCTAATAGGGAATAAGAAAGTGAAATGAAGAAGGGAATCCTCATTGCATTCAGCAATCACTGTGAGAAAGACGGGAGTGATGGGACCTACTCTGATATTTCTTATCAAATATCTGTTACTAGTTGCTGTCCTAATCATTTTCCCAATGTTCTGAACTACTGGGGGTGCATTATATGACCTAGGGCTGGCCTTGAGGTGTCACCTCTACCATACCCTCATAATTTTATGACATCTCTGGTATTACCCAACAATGTCCAACATAGGTTGTGTGCCAGAGTTCTCTGCTTCGTGACTTAGTTACATACAATTCAAATATGTGTCAAATATTTGTATTTCCATGCTGGTTGGATCACCACTGTGCTAAATAACAAGGTGGCTTAGCCTGGTGGGCAGAGCCCTCTCTAGCAGGTGTGAGCCTTGGTTTCAATCCTTCCCCTAGTTAGTTGTGTAGACTCGGGCAAGGGGCTTAATATCTCTGAATCTCCGTTCCCCTTTTGCAAGATGAAGGCATTTTTTTATGTCTAAAAATGTACCCCACACATGACCCAGCAAAAATTATGTATTCTTAATTGCCTTACACACATACTGAAACTAAAAATAGAAATAATAAACATACCTTACACCAGGGATTAATGGGTGGTGATAAGTGAAGTGATTGTTTTGGTAACATAAAATGACTTGATCAGGGTTGCCTTGCTATGTTATATAATATCATAACATAGATTTACCTTTTTCTGCTATTAATTCAAAATTAGCAGCTAAATGTATTTCCAGGATCCTTTATGCACAGAGAAGTTCCTGGCATGAATTGGGGCTTAACTATATTGTAAACTATGTTAAAAAGAATCTACTTTTTAAAAAACTGGGCCACTGACTCATCTTTGTATTATAGTCATAAAAAGAAAAATTTAAACTCCTCAAGGGAAAGAGACAAAGCAAGAGAACCCAATTACCAGCTGAAGCTGTACAAATATCAGCTCACACACCCAGCTTCAGCACAATAGGTATTGTAATGATTGCCTTTCTTCACGAAAGCCCTGTGTTTCTATCCCCTGGTTTGCTATCTTCTCCTAAGGTTGCCATCTCATTTGAGCTGTGAAGAAATGACGCATGGGTCTCCTTTCCTCAACTCCACCTCTAGAATTCAGTACAAACATTCAACCATTCCTTTTCAGTCTTCTCAACAGTTTTCTTGCCTTAATGAATGTTTTTATGAGAAGAAAGGAAGGGAAGGAGTGAGAATGAAGTATGTGAATAGACTGGAGAAAATCTTAAAAGAGATTTTCTCTTTTAAGAGAAGAAAAGAGAAAAGAAATGTGATGGAGAGAGAGTAAAAGTGGAGAGAATGAGAAAATTAAGAGAGAAGAAGGGAGCTGGGAGGCAGAGTTTCATATTATCTTTCTTCGTTGTTGATTTTCCCCATCTCTCCTTTTCCTCCTTTCATCCTCCCTCCTCCCCTCTTTCAGACTGTGCCCATCAGGACTCAACTGAACTAGAAAGGCTCCTTCCTTGTCTTTCTTCCCAGGTCCACTGTGAATGATGGATTAATCTAAGGTCTATGCATAATTGCTCTGTGCTGTGCAAAACACATTTTCTTGAAGGGAGCTTTACACTTTATCTGTTTCAGCAATTAATGTGTGTATAATATGCCTTCATTCCTAATTATTTTGTCACCGTTTTGTTAAGTGCCCAGGATCTACATTTGAACTGAGACACTTTAATTATCAAATTAACACAATTTCATGGTTGATATGTCCAATTTATCACCAGTGGACTTTCTATATTTTTATGCTTTTTTTTTTTTATTAACTGGCTAATTTCTGGTCCTCTCCCCTAATGGTACAAAGAAACAATGCCCATATGAATACGTTCCATAAATATCCAGAAATTAAGGGTTGCTAAAGAGCGCCCATACTGGCAACAAAGTCACTCCTTGTGTTTTTTATTAAATTTTAGTCCATCAGTGACATTTATTTATTCAGAGGTTAGGAGCTTCAGTTCAGTTGGAAATATAAAATTTTCATAGCTTTTTCTACAACTAATTGCCTGAACTGAGTAGTCCCACGAACAAAAAGAAAAGAGCTTTGTGTTAATGAAAATGGGTATCTAAGCCTCTAGCTGACATTAAATTATGAAAAGAAGAAATACAAGAATTTACTTATTTTTTCAGTTGTCAAACAGAAATGGTAGGAGCAAAGGGGCAATGACTGAATACAAAAGAAAGTAATTAGAAGAGCCGGGATAATTTCTGAAGTTCTCTATTGAGCTTCTTTATTGTACAATACCTAGCACAGTTTCTATTATGTGTTAGGGGCCCACACATATTTGCAATTTTCCTTCTGCCTCTGATCAGCAGACTCAGAGGAAAAGCGACTATACTGGTTCTCAAGTTTAGACATTTATCTTGATGATGCCAAGTGGCTGAGTTCATCTGCCTATGCTGCCATCTTGATAAACATCATTTTTTAAAACAGCTTTATTGAGATATAATTTGCACACCATAAAATTCTTTTAAGTGTATAATTCAATGAACTGTAGTAAATTCACAGTTATGCAAACATCACCATAATCCAGATTTAGAACATTTTCATCCGTCCAAAAGGAACTGCTCTATTCATTTCCAGTCAATCCCGTTGCCATCCTCTGGTCCCAGCCCATAGTAATGTGCTTTCTTCTCTATATATTCATTCTTATAGACATTTCATGTAAGTGACATCATATAATATGTGGCCTTTGGGGTGAGACTTCCATTACTTAGCATAGTGGTTTTGAGATTCATCCATGTTGCAGCAAGATCCTGTTATTAACCTCAGCTTTACTGTTGCGGCTGCTCCTCCAAGAGGTTTTGGTTCAAATTGTTGGGTCTCCTGGAGTCAGTTTTTAGTTGGCTACACTGGGTGATGCATTTTTTGAATTACAAAGATGAACGATACCAAATTATGGAAAGGTGAAAAGATAATTTTTTAGATAATCAAGAGAATATTATCCAGAAGTCGTTGAGTGAGAGGCAAGGAAAAGTACAATTGGAAGAATGGGTTGTTATGTGTATCGATACGATATTTACAAGGAAGAAATGGCAGCATTCAATGACAGAGTATTTGTTAAAGAAACCTACTCTGAATGAAGGCAGAAGGCAATGCCTGTGAAAAGTACTTGGGTTGAAATATTTACATATTTCAATGTGAAAAAAATCAGAAGTGGAAATATCTCACTTGGAGAGTGAAGAGTTAAGAGGCATCAAATAAGATTAAGTAAGGAACAAAATTAATGTGATGATATTGAGTGTTCATTATTTTAGATACTAGATACTTTAAATATACAAAAATAAATACTTTTTCCTGCAGTATTAAAATATATAAATGTCTATATTAGACCCTGCTCTCTCACTGAATACATTTCATTAAAATCTAGAGTGAATACAGAAGTAATTTGCATGAGAGGGAAAAAAACCCTGCAAGGATGTGTAACACTGTATTTTTTGAAGAAGGCATTGTTTTCAACATAGCATTATTTTTAATTTTTAAAATAAAATTACCTACAATTTTTCAAAATTTTATTTTGTTGCTACTAAATTTAAAATTGGTTCTTTTTGCAGACCACGAGTTTTAAAAATAAACTATTTATTGAGAGGTTTTGACCGCTGAAAATCATAGCATGCCCTAGTATTTTTGCAGATTCAAAATTGTTTCTGGGAAGAAATACTGATAGGACTTAAGTACAAATTCATCTGCCATCTTGAGATGAATATACAAAATATTGATATCTTCCAGTCGAATCAGTTGGAGAAATAGCTAGGGCCTGGCTGAGCCATACTGGGGCCCAAGACAAAAGGAACAATGAACACCTTCATATACATGCTTTTATTATTTTTTTTAAATAGACTTTACTTATTTATTTTATTTTTATTTTTTTAAATTTTTTGTAGACATGGAATCTCAATATGTTCTCCAGGCTGGTTTTGAACTCCTTGCCTCAAGCGATCCTCCCACTTCGGCCTTCCAAAGTGCTAGAATTAAAGGCATGAGCCACTGTGCCCAGCAATAGACTTTATTGTTTTAAAATTTTAGCATTACAGAAAAATTAAAAATATAGTATAAAAAGTTCCCATATACCTCCCTATCCAGTTTTCTCTATCATTATCTGACATTAGTGTGGTATATATTTTTACAATTAATGAACCAATAGTAATACATTATTATTAAAAGTGCATAGCTTGTTCAGATTGCCCTAGTTTTTACCTAATGTCCTTTTTCTGTTTCAGCATCTTATCTAGAATGCCCCAGTACATTTGGTGGTTATGTCCCCTGAGGCTCCTGTTTGCTATGACACTTGTTTTTGATGAACTTGATAGGTTTGAAGATGACTGATCAGGTATTTTGTGGGGTAGCTCTCTACTGGAATTTGTGTGGTATTTTGTTCACAATTAGACTCCAGTTATGTGTTTTGGGGAGGAAGATCACAGAGGTAAAATGTCATTCTTATCACATCACATCAAGAGTATGTACCACCAACACGAACCGTCACTGCTGGTGTTAACTCTGATGACCTGGCTGTGATGGTTAATATCGAGTGTCAACTTGATTGGATTGAAGGATGCAAAATATTGTTCCTGGGTGTGTATGTGAGGCTGTGGCTAAAGGAGATTAACATTTGAGTCAGTGGACTGGGAGAGGCCTACCCACCCTCAATCTGGATGGGCACCACCTAATTAGCTGCCAGTGAGGCTAGAAAAAAGCAGGCAGGAGAAGATGGAAGAGCAGACTTGCTGAGTCTTCCAGCCTTCATCTTTCTCTCTTGTTGGATGCTTCCTGCCCTTGAACATCAGTCTCCAAATTCTTCAGCTTTTGGACTCTTGGACTTATACCAGTGGTTCTCAGGCCTTCAGCCACAGACTGAAGCCTGCACTGTCAGCTTCCCTACTTTTGAGGTTTTGGGACTCGGACTGAGCCACTACTGGCTTCCTTGCTCCTCAACTTGCAGACGGCCTGTCATGGGACTTCACCTTGTGATCGTGTGAGTCAATTCTCCTTAATAGACTCCCTTTCATGTATACGTCTATCCTATTATCTCTGTCCCTCTGGAGAACCGCGACTGACATACTGGCTTCGGAGGTGTTTGTCAGTTACCTTCACCTCAAAGTTAGTTTTTCCCCTTTTCATACTATAATACTTTTCATACTGTGAATAGTGACTCTGTCATAGGAAGTCACTATTCACAGCCCACACTTACCAGATGAGGAGTATGCTTTATCCTCTTGAGGGTAATCTACATAAATGATTTGAAATGCTGCTGAATGGGAGATTTGTCTCTTTTTATGTACTTACTCATGCTAGTAAAGGCCCATGGATGTTTGGATGGTCATTTTACCCTTGGAGTTACATTCCAATACCACTTTATATTGTTGCTTTAATTGTTCTAACTTTGGCCACTGAGAGCTACTTTAGTGGGCCTGTGTATCCCTTTGACATACCTTCATAAGTGTAGGATTTTATTTTAGTTTTTGTTTGGCACTTTATTATTTTCTGGCACTACCAGATGCTACAGCCTCATCATGTATGTTTCCTGTACCAGTCAGAGATTCAGCCAGTTCTCCAAGGAGCCCTGCTTCTTTTTATTAAAGAATTATACCAGAAACCAAGGTCTGGGCATTAGGTGTTCTTGCTGATCCTGAGGTGTCATTTCTTTCATGTCCTCTTTGCTGACAGAGCAAAGGATTATATATATATGACCACAATACTTTTAAATAATTAAATATAATTTTTCATAGGTGCTGAGATAGCTTGCAAGCTCAAAATAATTATTTTAAATGGATAATATTCTCATTTATGATTTGTTTTTATATTAAAATATTTACATATTTCAGACTAAATGTTTTAGGATATTTTTATTCAACAAACATTTTCACAAGATTGTTTTGAATTTTTTTAAGGGAATTAAATTTAGATGGTACAGATCCATAGCCCTTCTCTGGTTCACTTTAATTTGTTACAAAATATAACGTTAGTCAATTAAAAATAGGACTCTAACAAATGACATTATGCTAAGTTAATTTATTCTAAAATGCAATTATAGAATATCAAATTTAAATCTCAAACATCATTTAACTATATGAATTAATTTGTTTGGTTCATCCCTTGCTTTTTTCAGAACAAGTTACAATACCTTTCAATTCAAAAGTTTTGTTTTAAATAAGTGCAATTTGCTAGAAGCTTCATAAGTTTAACATTTTTTGGCACTTCATTCATTAAATAATTTCATTAAAGATTTTCACTGATTTTGAACAAGATGGTAAACCAAAATGTAAAAAATCATGTTACCAATGCTCAATAACATTCTAGATATTTAATTGGGATTCTTCAAAGGCTGAAACATGATAAAACCTGATTCAGGATGACTAGCAAAGAGAGTGAACTACCACACTAAAGATTTTTTATATCACATGTCAGCTTTGGGCAATAAATGTGTAGTTGAATTTTTCTAAGTATGCATATATCAAAATTTTTATAATCATCCTACACTGATCCAATATTAAATTATTATTTGGATGCAATTATAAATTATGTGTACATTTCAACCAAGTCCTTCGGTTTATTAATTTAGTAAAAACATTGTTTTATCATAATGTTGACTTGACCCAAATTTATATTATGTATTATCAATAGAAGCAAACAAACAAAACAACAGTACATATTAACTTATCTTTAATGTTGAACTCTTCATTTGATTTTATAACAGCATTTGCAATCATGTTTTCCCTTTGGCAGAATTAACTTCTCAAAACCTTACTTTGATTTTGTGAACTGGATGAAAAAGTATAACCGTTATCGGAATTAGCTTAGTTTTCCTTCAAAGAATCGGATGACACTGATATAAAACTGGCACTATTTAACATTTGACAAATTCTTCTGCCAATGCGTGAACAGGGATTGCTTCACTTACTTTAGATCCATAAGAAAACCTGTAATATAAAAATGAGTGAAATTAATTTAAACAAGAGCCACAATCTATCTGGTACATCATGCTTCCTTCACCGAGGGATAGTCCCTGGACCTCTTCTAACGCTGTTAAGTAATACTTGGGCCAAGTCTCAAAAATGACGATGACCTTGTGAAGGAGATGCTGATGCGTCCTTAGAAACGGTGTCTCTTCTGGTGTTCAGGGGATCAGTGGCTTTCCCATGGGCCTGCTCCTCTGCCCTCTGAGGATGATCAACACTGAAAAAAATCTGACTCATGCAAGTTACATGTTTATCACCAACTGTCTTGGAAACCAAAAACCCAGTGCTTTTTTTGCATTAAAAATGCACTATCCGGGCACAGTGGCTCACGCCTGTAATCCCAGCACTTTGGGAGGCTGAGGCGGGTGTATTACTTGAGCCTAGGAGTTTGAGACAAGCGTGGGCAACATGGTGAAACCCCATCTCTACAAAAAATACGAAAAACACCTGGGCATGGTGGCACACCCATGTAGTCAGTCCCAGCTACTCGGGAGGCTGAGGTGGGCGGATTGCTTGAGCCCAGGGAGGTTGAGGCTGCAGTGAACTGCGATCACACCACTGCACTCCAGCCTGGGTGACAGAGTGAGACCCAGTTTCAAAAACAAACAAACAGGAAAGAAAGAAAAGCTTAGAAAAACATACAAAGAGCAAAATGGAGAGAGAACAACATGTCTCACATGTAGAACTGAAAGAAGCTGCCCGGGTGAAGCACAATTTTCTAGAGAAACAGTGGTGAGAAAGGAAGCCGAGGAAAGTAAGCAGAAAGTGTCACTAAAACCCTCTTAAAAAGTTTGATCTTTTGCCGTTTTCTAAATAGGTCTTTTAATTAGATTTCAACTAATAATATGATCCAGTTGCACTGTAGGCAAGAACTTTTGGATGTTTTGATTGGAAAGGCAAATAATTTTTCTTTTTTTTTTTTTTTTTTTTTTTTGAGACGGAGTCTCGCTCTGTCGCCCAGGCTGGAGTGCAGTGCTGCGATCTCGGCTCACTGCAAGCTCCGCCTCCCGGGTTCACGCCATTCTCCTGCCTCAGCCTCCCGAGTAGCTGGGACTACAGGCGCCCGCCACCACGCCCGGCTAATTTTTTGTATTTTTAGTAGAGACGGGGTTTCACCGTGGTCTCCATCTCCTGACCTCGTGATCCGCCCGCCTCGGCCTCCCAAAGTGCTGGGAAATTTTTCTTTGCATTTACCTACCCCCTCTCTCTTTTTCTCTCTCTCTCTTTCTCTCTTTCCAAGACTGAGATTGGAAACATAAGCCATGAGCTCTAACCTTAAGGTCAGGTGAAATGATCCCCACACTTAAAATAACTACGTCGTGATACAAACGGATATAAAGCAAACCATAAATTATTTTGCATAAAAAGTAAGTCAGGAAGTGAGATCACACGTGACTTAAGTTAGAGAGGAACAAGAGATGAGTGACTGTCAGCATATTGAAAGATTGAGGAGAAAGGGAAGATGTATTTACGAGAATGATTTTTAAAACTTACATCCTAAAAAATTCCTTTAAAATAAAAGTTTTTTATTTGTTTCTAAGTGGCGATAAACAAGTGACCACAAGCTAACATATCACATATTTTAAGGTGTAGTATACAAATGGCAAAAAAGAGATGTGTTTAAAATATCTCATCCCTCAAAGCACCCCCTAGGAGTGTCTTCGTGCATTCCCAAAATTTCTCAATTTCCAGATATTTGCAATGCAAGTGTTTCGGGAATAAATTACTTCAAAGAAATATATGAAAGTACTAACGAGTAATTTACTTCATGGGAAATTATACATTTGAAACTCCAAATATGTTAGTATTCTGACATCATGTTTTCAGACTATATTTTACTGTAATTTTCTTTTTTTAATTTTAGTTTTTTTATTTTTTTCAATTTGCACATATTTGTTTACCAGTGGAAAGGGTTAACTACCATTGATTTCTTTAAATAGCCTATAGTTGTTAGGTCATAGTAGAGCATTTTCTCAATAGAAATCCCTCAGGCTTGTTAATCACACTATTTGTGATACTCTGCACACCGTACAGAGAAATAGCCTCCTTCCCAGTGCTGCTTCCATCTGCTCAGCAGGCATTTAAGCGAAGTGAAATGAAGGAGAAGACATTTTAGGCTTTCCTTAATTAATTCCCTAATCTACTGCTGTTTGTGTTTTCAAAAAATCAATCACAGCCTAGCTTCTGAAAAAAAATTAGTTCTGTTGAAACTTCAGTGAATTTAAGAATTGAACCAACTACTGAAAGGATCTAAGACCGTCTTCATTCAAGGGTTATACATTTATTTAGCATCCTATCTTTATCTGCAAATCTCAGCTATTTTTGGTAGTGTGTTGTTGAGGTCTATAGAGGCAGATACTTTTTACTTAGATTTTACAAGTAATTATTAACATACAAACATAGTATATAATCCAAACTTACAAATTATATTGTGCTTTTTATACAAGCAGGATGATAACTAGATAGACAGACGGTTGAACAGTAAGGAGGAACATTGAACGGTCTATTCAGAAACTTGCAGTGAAGCTAAAGAAAAGAAATACATTTTCAGTTTTTAAACATTCTAAGTGATAAGTGAGAAAATTCTGAGACTGTTTTTTCCCATAATATAAAACATAGGTCAGAATGAGTGAGTGTATCAGTCCCTGGCTGTGAGTGCTGTATTAGGCTTTAGGGAAGAAGGATAATAGATCTGGTCTTACTGATGGGCAAAGTTTTCAAGAATGGAGAAAACAACATTCCTTGTGTTTTGGGGACAGAAGGCAGAGATTTGAGTCAACCCAACGGAATAAAAAAAAAATCCCTAGATAAGACCCAGGGACAGGAGCGTTACACATATTTGTGTTGGAGATAAGAATGGAAAAGTCATTTTGGTGCATTGTAGAGGGTAGGGAGTGTGAGCTAACTGCTAAGGCGACAGGAAGAAAGTCCTGTGTGAAGATTATCTTAGGTGCACATGCCTGGCAGGAGTATATAAGATGCACGGAAGTTCTGGAAAGGTTGATTTTTGACTATTTCTGTAGTTTAGGGCTTGAATAATGGTGATGACAGAGGAAGCTGAACAGAAAGTTTAACCGATAGAGATATAGTGGAATTAAAAAATGAAGATGACCTAGTGGTTGGATGTGGTTTGAATAAGCAGAGTGCTATCCTCTTATCTGAATGTATGGGCTATTTATGACGGTGTATGCTCTCAGTGCTAACACGTGGCATGACACAGAGTGGAAAATAAATATTTGTTGGATGAATGAATGAAAGGATGAAATTGATGATAACTCCAGAATGTTGACCTTAGGCATCTGAAAAGGATAATTCTATCACTCAGAGGAAAAGAGGCTATAGGGCATGAAGTTGTTTTGAGAGTAAATATAAGAAGTTAGATTTAAACATGCAAGTTGGAAGTGAAGGTATTCTATCCAAGAGAAGATATTCAGCAGCCAATGTAATAAAACGAATTTGAAATGAATTGAATTGCATTGAAGAGGAAGGATCTGGTCATCTTTTGCCCAAAGACAATAGGGGAAGACTTGAGACTGAATGGTATATTCGAGGAAGAGAGAATGGAAAGAGAAAATACAGATTCAAATTTAAATATGGTTGCCATTTAAGCTCATACTACACGCCAGTATTTACATTCTCTCATGTAATCATCAGTATGATCCTTTGAGATGAACATTAAAACCTCACACATAGCGGAGGAGGAACCTGAGGTTGAGAAAGGTAACCTTGTTGAGAGTCACAGTTTGTGTACAGTACGGCCAAGGACAGCGCTCTGTCCTCGGGGCAAAGGAGCTTCCTATTGGAGGCCCAAGGAATAGATTATTGGAAACTGAACACAAGGAGTCAACAGTCAATCATCACTGAGTAGCTTGAAACGTAGTTTGCTTTGGCTGGTTTTGATTTCAAAACGAAATAAAAACCAGACCATGCTCTTATACATGCTCTGATTGCTTGTTCCTTTCTTTGCTAATTTTCCTGTTCCAGTAAGGACTTTCTGCATATTTTTAGTTGCTCGTTTAGATATCTCACATTTCAGTTAAACATGAACCATTAAAATGACTTATAAGGTTAAATGTAAATCTTTTTCCCAGTAAGAGACTTATTCGTAATTTTTTCTTGAAAACAATTAAGGGCCTATTCATGCTTTTAGATTTCTTTCTTCGGACATGCATTTTTATATCACTGTTAGCAAATGGTATCAGACACAATATACTCTCCTTTTCCAGCAATTCACAGAAGAAAAACAAATATGCACTGAATCACACTCAAAGTTATCCACACCTTGGCTAAGTCTTTTATTCATTACTATTATTTAACAATGAGATAATGAGACAAATCCTAGTCTGACAGTATAGAAGTAGATACACTAAGACAGCAGCATAGGCCTATTAAGGTATTAAGTTCTCACATGCACAGAGCATCACTAGGAAGAATCTTTAATTACTGTGGATCAAGAGCAACCAAAAATGTGGAGGCTGAAATCAAGAAGGAGTGGTTTACAGAAGGCTTGACCAGTTCAGAAGTGAGAGGAATTAAGCTCAAATTAACTCTTTGCCTCAAAGATTGCACAATTAACTATTGAGTCTAGATGATTATTTTTCTATCATGTGGAATTAACACTACACACCTGTAATAGTGCACTGCACTGAGATATCAGCTTAACTAAGATGGGGAAACCAAGGTTTACATAATAGGTTGATTTTTCAAAATAGTTACTTCATAATTTTTCCTACATTTCTCTCATTCCAGGATTATTAACATACTTACGGCAGAAATTCGTATTTTTCTCTTTGAGTCCCCAAATGCCTGTCACCGAACTTGACAGATGGTAGGTGCCACAAGATATTTTTTGAATGAATGCATGAATGTGTCATTAGATAAAATTTATAGGAGGCCATTGGTTTGGATGGAGCTCCTGCATTAGGCCCAACGGACCAAAGCGAAATGGAATTACTCATGCTGAAGTTCTTTACCACCAAGCTGAAATTAAGATCGTTATCTTACCTTCTGAGAAATCAGGAGAGGGTGAGACAATAGCCAAATTCCCCAACAGGCCAGTTTCAGCAGGCACGAGGAAGTCCCCTCTACTTCAAGCTTTACAAGAAAAGTAGCTTTGCAACTATCAATCCCCTTTTTGTTTTCTGTTTCTGCTTTCCTCTATAGACAGCCCTTGTCTGTCTATAAAGCCAACCTCCTCTGCTCAGCTCATCAGAACACTCATTCTATTTTACAGAATGAGGTGTTGCCTGATTCTAGAATCACAAATAATATGCAATTATGATCTCTAAAACCAAGATAAAAGCCCAAGAATGTGAAGCTAGATGACATTAAAGTCTCTTTTACCTCCCACATTTCTTGAAGTTCATCTTTCACCCTAAGACAACGCTCACATGGTCTGTGGTCCTTTTGTCACCATCACCCTCACTCCACAAAAAAACAACACAAAAGCAATATAAAATATAAAATGTATTAAAGCACAGATAAAAAGAGTTTGAAATTTGACGGCATCACCCAGAATGATAATATAAATTAGTCAAAATAGCAAACATGGATATAATGGTGAAACAGTGGTTTACTCTGTAAACTAGCCTTGTACTGTTTGCGCGTAGTTGTAGCAGAGGGTGATTATCAAAGTATTGTTTCTTAAACTATGACTGAGTCCCATAGTGGTTGAAGAAATCAATTCATGGGTTGGAGCAGTGTTTAGCAGTGAAGTGAAGTGAAGAGATGAAAGGAGAAAATTCATGAAACTTTTATTCACTTATACATGTTAAAGTTCCTAGGCCATGATCACATGGGTGTGGTGAGAAGGTCTGAAAAACACTGGTGGGCCAGGCGTGGTGGCTCACACCTGCAATCCCAGCACTTTGGGAGGCCGAGGCGGGCGGATCACCTGACGTCAGGAGTTCAAGACCAGCCTGGCCAACATGGTGAAACTCCGTCTCTACTAAAAATACAAAAAATTAGCTGGGCGTGGTGGTGGGCACCTGTAATCCCAGAATCTCAGGAGGCTGAGCCAGAAGAATTGCTTGAACCCGGGAGGTGGAGGTTGCAGTGAGCCGAGATTGCGCCACTGCACTCCAGCCTGGGCAACAAGAGCGAAACTCCGTCAAAAAAAAAAAAGAAAGGAAGAAAGAGACAGAAAGAAAGAGAAAGAAAGAGAGAGAGAGAGAGAAAGAAAGAAAGAAAGAAAGAAAGAAAGAAAGAAAGAAAGAAAGAAAGAAAGGGAAGAAAAAGAAAGAAAGAAAGAAAGAAAGAAAGAAAGAAAGAAAGAAAGAAAGGAAAGAAAGAAAATAAAGAGAAAGAAAGAAAGAGACACTGGTGTAGAGGAATGCTAAAGTAAATTATGCTTTTATAGTTAGGAAATTTAATTATTTTTCTAGGCCTTGATAAAAGGCACAAGAACTTTCTGCATTACCATTTCTGGCAGGCCATATCTACGCTCTGACAAGATACCAGCGGACCAGTTCCGTGAAATCATTGACTTGGTGTGATATAGGCGTAGCCTCACCAGATAAAAGGCCCTGGCTTTTATATGGCTTTTCTTTTTCTTTTAAACACTGTAAAACAACACTAGTTGTGGGGAAGGTCAGACTGATTCTGTTCTACAGCAGAAAAGCCTGTTAAAAAACACATTAAAAGAAACGCTTTTTATTATTTTCTCACCCGTTTGGCTCTCAGCTGACAGGCAAAGTCTTAGAGCATCTGCTAAGTGCTTCACAGAATAACTTAGAAGCAATTGTGAGCACTCATTGTTTGAATGTAAATTATGGCTAGAATGGCCTAACAAGAATTTCTTGACCTTTACTGCAAAAAATGCTCAATAATTACCCTTCATTTTCTTAGAAAACCCATTTTCATATAGCTTGCTATTAAATACACTATGTCCAGGCTCCCCTTACGATTCTGTTACTTATGTTAATAGCATTTAGTCAGCTCCTGTTTACCTGCATTTGTTCATTCATTCATTCACATTCATTGACTTTTGATCATATCCCAGGTTATGAGCTGGACACCAGGGAATAGCAAGACATGGCTTCTGCCTTCAATAAGTTTGCAGTCTAGGAGAGGAGAAAGACAGGCAGACCAGCCATCACAGTGTGGTGCAATCGATTTCCTAACAGATGGGGGAGGAATATCAAAATCATTCCCAGAGTCAGGGTAAGCCACCCTGAGGAAATGATGCTTGAATTAAGGTTTGAAGGATGAAAAATCACTGGTCCTGTGAAGAAGGAGATAATGGCTGGGGTTCAAAGTGGTAGACTGGTAGAAGGAAGACCAGAAGAATGGGAAGGGCCAGCACCTTTATAGTACACCATACCCAACCAGTAGGCCTCTTACTGCTGTATTGTAATAGCCTTTTAACTGGCTTCCTTCACTGCAGTTCCTTCCCCTACAATGTATTCTGCACTCTACAACTGATTTTAAGACCCCAAAGCCTTTGTTCTCATCTATAGTTTCCCTCAGTTATGGAAGATACATATTATTCTGCCAGTGGAGATCCTGCTTGACTATGCCCCATCTCCCTTTCTCCCCTCATCTTCTCATCTAACCTATGGATTATATGCATCACCAAAGCTGGTCTATTGGCTGACCCTGCTTCTGTTATAGGAGTTATTAAGAAATTATTTTAGGCAGATAAAGAGGTAAAGGGGTCCTTGGGAAGTTTTTGTTTATTTTAAAGCAGCTCCAGGAACATTTCTTGTCTACCAGGAAAGCCCCAGCTCTTGCTGGGCTGGAAAGCTCCAGAAACATTTCTTGTCTACCAGGAAAGCCCCAGCTGTTGCTGGGCTGGAAAGCTTTGATATGCAAATGCAGGCCATTAGAAACTGGGTCCACCCAAACATGGCTCCCTTCATCCTCCTCTTGCCCTTGCCCCCACAGGTGCCTGGCAACATGGCTGCCCCCACATATCCCTATGTGTGTAGAACATCATGGCGCCCTGCATTTGCATATTAAAAGGATAGGGTGGGAGGGCCAGGTTTTTCCACTGGCTACATGAGTGACATGCCTGGTCAAACCAATCCCCTGAGCCCTATGCAAATCAGACACCACCTCCTCCAGCTTCATCGTATAAGCAGCCACTTATTATTTGTCAACAACATGCGAAAGGCTCTTTTCTTTATGACCCTGTGGGAGAGTTCAGAGGATCAGAGTATGGATATGTGGCCACAAGCATAAAAATCTAGTTCCCTGGATTGACCTTGAGCAATTAGTCTAATATCATTTCTTTACATGACCTTAATGATTATTCAGTTACAAAATAATCTTTCCTTTGCTTAAGTTTGTAAGTTTGTAACTTTGCTTAAGTTTGTATTTCCTCTCGCACTAGGGTTTTCTCTTTGTTTGAGTCACCCCTCCCTCTGTCTCTATACAGGGGAGCTGTTTTCTTCTTCCTTGCTGCTCTCTTGCCTGTTAAACTTGTCGCTCCGCTCCTTAAAACCCCTCCACATGTGTCCATGTTAATCCTATCAGTGCAAGACCAAGAACCCTGGTGTTCCTCCAGCCATCGGAGCCGTAACACTTCTACTTTTTCCTTATTTTCTATTAATTACCCTAAAATATGCATGAAAGAGAGCAGAGATCGTTAAACATGCCAATTCCTTTCCCTAATCTCAAGTAAAATTTTTGCTGTATTGTACCCAATCCCTAGTACCATCCTCCCGGTTCAGGAAAGAGACATTATTGTTTTCTTCCTCTCCCTGCACGATACTGTAAGTGTTCCCAGTGGATTTGTCTTCTCACTGTGTGTGCACACATACACACGCTCAAAGACGACTGCATGATTTCACCCATTTGTGTGGCTTCAATTACTACATAATGACTGGTGACTCTAAGACCCAAGAGCTCAAGCTGCATTTCCAGCTGTTCCCTAGACACACCACCTTATTTTTAGGAACACGTTTGAGACTAGAGTTAGTCTTGCTTTTCAGCTCGAAGGAAATAGGTTTATGCACATGTGTGTTGGTGTGTGTGGACATCTCTAATTTGATGAAAATGGATTCATCCACCACTGTTCACCCAGGAATAATGGTCATCAGTGGCAACTGTGTCCTGAGAACATAATGCTGCACATTTTCTCTCTCCTATCTCATATAATCCCCATAACAACCCTGTGTGGTAGGCATGATTGTTATCCTAATTTTATTAATAACTAATTAGTCTTAAAGAGACTAACTTATTATTTCCTCAAGGTCATGTACCTCATATTTAGCAGAATCAAGTCAAAAACACAGGTCTAATTATATTTCAAAATCCTTGTTTTTAAATGTTGCACCATACTGCTCTCTCAAATATCTGTGCTATTTTTTGTTTGTTGGTTTATTTTGAAGCATTCAGAAGTGATCTCTGTTCATCTTATTCTAACTCCTATGGGTAAATATGTTGTTTATCTTCCTGTTTTGCCAACTAGAAACTAGAGCACAAGGAATATGAGGAGGGGTTTTTGAAGTCAGCGTGTTGACACAGTGAATGCCAGAACCAGGAGTTAAATGCAAATTTAGGAACGTACATGATATGGCATCATGAAATAGCACAGACTACAGAAATAAAATAAAAACAAAATGACTCTAACTTCTTATATATTTGAATTTTCATAAACTTGGAAGACTATAATATTGATAGAAAAAAGTATTTATTTGATCAAATACAGTTTTTCTAAGCTCACAGAAGCAAGGACAATTCTCAAAAGAATTGAGAGAGCTTGCCTTTTTCTTTTCACTATTATTTTTGCGTGGGCATTCTTAGGAAATATTTACTTTGAGTACATTATAAAGCCACAATTTTTTATGATCTGTCATCTGTGATGACAAAATGAAATATTACTGCAAAATTTCTTTTTTCCCTAAAATGACAGCTAACAGCTGAGACAGCTCCCACGAAAAGGCAGATAACCCAGACTTTAAATGTCAGAAAAAGCAAAAAACTAACTTATGAAAATGCCTTACAAACTTAAGCAAAGGAAAGATTATTTTGTAACTGAATAATCATTAAGGTCATGTAAAGAAATGATATTAGACTAATTGCTCAAGGTCAATCCAGGGAACTAGATTTTTATGCTTGTGGCCACATATCCATACTCCGATCCTCTGAACTCTCCCACAGGGTCATAAAGAAAAGAGCCTTTCGCATGTTGTTGACAAATAATAATAAAAAAGTATCTAAAGAAGTAACCCAAATGAAAAAATAACAGAAAGATGATAAAATGATAAATGCTGGAGTTGAAGAAACTTCTGTCGTGTTGGGTGTAAAAGTCATTTATGGAAAAAGTTTCTAGTTATTTTCAAAGACTGGTGCAGTGTGTCATAATTTTCTCCCAGAAATGACAGAGTCAAAAAATGTACTTAGTAGCTAAATATAGTACTTTATCAGCATTTGCATTATTTCTGTTCCCAAAGGAAAAACTATTAAATTTCCCCAACTTAATACCCTTTGCCATCTATTGCTTCCAGAACATTCCAGACAAGTGCTGGTTGAACCAGTTGTGCTTGTTCCTTGGATTTCAGCCAAATGTCCAGTCACTAGTTGATGCTTTTGACATTCTAGGCTGGGACTGAGAGTCTCTGTTGACTTCTATTCTTGTGTGATTATTCAGACTGCTATGGGCTAAGGCCCGAAGCCATGGCAAGTTGCCCCTGCTGCTTCAGGAATGACACCTCACTCAGAGCTAGTTGTCTTATGAGTTCTCAGCCACCATTTTCAATACAGCTTAATAGATAACTCTACAGCTTTGCATACAGTTTGTAACCAAATTATCCTTAGATAAGATGTTTTGTACTTCCTGACTCTCATTTTAAAGTCTTGTCTGTCTATTTTGATTCTTATACACACAGTCCCATTATGCTGTATGCAATATCATGTTATCAATTTGACATGTGTTTTAAGAAGAGGTGGCAAAATTTTTCTTGAAAGCTGTTCTTGAGTCTTTTCTTAGAAATACTGAATTTAGATACTGACTAATAAATAAAAACCCTCAATGTCCTTTCTAAAGTAGTTTGGGACCTAGAACTGAAAGAAATGTTGTAAAAGTTGTTATAATGTAAAATTAGCGAGGTAACATTTGATTGAAACATCTTTCTAAAACAATCATCAAATCAAATTAAATATGGAATGTAAGAATTCAATTTCACAAAAGCTTAAGTTTTGGGCACATATACACCATGGAATACTATGCAGCCACAAAAAACGATGAGTTCATGTCCTTTGCAGGGACATGGATGAAGCTGGAAACCATCATCCTGAGCAAACTATCACAAGACAGAAAACCAAACACTGCATGTTCTCACTCATAGGTGGGAATTGAACAATGAGAACACTTGGACACAGGGCGGGGAATATCACACATAGGGGCCTGTCATGGGGTGGGGGGGCAGGGGGAGGGATACCATTAGGAGAAATACTTAACATAAATGACGAGTTAATGGGTGCAGCAAACCAACGTGGCACATGTATACCTATGTAACAAACCTGCACGTTGTGCACATGTACCCTAGAACTTAAAGTATAATAATAATTTTTTAAAAATTATCTTTCATAGTTAATTATCACTTCATAGCTAAAATGTCAGTCATGATGCTGATACATGAAATTCTTGCTACCTGAGTTTAGAAAACAATCACCTGAATAGCTATGGTCATTAAAAAGAAAAAGTGAGTCCTCACATGTAATTGATGCACACTGCTTATACACATTAGGTTAGTGATTACTATTGTTTTTCCTATTTGATTCATTTGGGAAATTTGACCAATGGTAGCAAATTTCTCCTTAGAAAGTTTCTCATTTGAAATTGACCTTATCTTTTTTCAAAGATAGTGGAGTTCCATGGGCTAATCAGCAGTTCAAGCCATTATCTCCCAATTCCAAAGTCAATCACTTGTGATTCTGCTACCAAAACTCTCTGGTTTCCAGCCGTGGAAAGCTCATCCTCTGAGGGGAATCTTTCTTTACTGCCTCAGGGAAAACGTGAAGCTGACTTAGTTCTGGAGGCCTCCCTTTGTGGCCTTCATAGCAACATGGCAACAGAAGTTAATCATAAAATGCAGACCACATGGTCAATTTCTAACCAAGAGAGATGAATTCATTTGAGAAGTTCAAACTAGACATACCCCTAGCTACTGATACAGTAAATAGCAGGATTTAGTCACATTTAATTCATCAAGGCAAAATGATGACAACCATTTATCAAGAAACATCTATGTTATGGATGTTGTGTACACATCGTCTGGAATTTTCAAGACATTTTATTAAAGCACTTGGTATTACACCTTCTTCATATATGGGCAGATAGGGTCAGAAAGGTATAAGTAACTCGCTCAAAATCACATCTTTGTCACATCTAGTGACTTGTCGAGGTAGGATTTAGTCCCAGGACTGGATTGATACAAAGGCCAACCTCACAAACACTCCTGATCACACCTCAAAATTTAAGTGGTTAGATGGTTATATAGTTAGGGTTTTCTTCAGAAGCAGAATATGAGATGTGTGTGTGTGTGTGTGTGTGTGTGTATTGTGTGTGTATATAATATATATACATAGTGTGTATGTATGTGTATATATATATAGTATGTGTATATACATATATATATTGTGTGTGTGTTTAGAGAGAGAATAGTTTAACAAATTGGCTCGTAGAATCTATAGAGCAGGCTGAAGACCCAGGGAAAGTTTGCCATCTGGAGGCAGAATTCCTCCTTCCTCAAGGGTAGGTTTGTCTTTTCTCTTAAGGCCTTCAACTGATTGAATGAGGCCCACTCACATGATGGAGGGGAACGTACTTTACCCAAAGGTTACATAGTTAAGTGTAAATCTCATCTAAAACGTATCTTTTCAGAAACATCTACATTGGTGCTTAACCCAAAATTCTGTACCATGGCCTAGCCAATTGGACACATAAAATTCATTATCACAATGTAGTAAAATGTCAAGAGTCTGATTGGTAATTGATGGTTTGGGGGTCTTTCCAAGGTTCTATGATTTCATTGTTCTACACATGAAGGGAAATGCTGGAGTGGATGATTATAACCAAAGGAGACACATAAGTGTCCTCAAAGAGTTCACTATCAAATAAGGCAATTGATATGCGCATGAAGAAGTTGTATTAAAGGTAAAGTTCATGCAGTGGCTTTCTTGATCTCTTATAAATAGATTGTGGACATTTGCCAATGGTTTTCGGTCTTCACCCTTTCCTGAGCTATAGCTGCTAGCCATTTTTCAGGATAAGGAAGCAGAGATCACAAAGGTCAGTACCATAAGTCAGTATGACTGAGGGTGAACTGAGAAGTGTTATCTCCCTCCCCATCCTTTTCCTGCTGTCTCAGTTTCTGCCTCTGTTTTGCGAGTCCAGTGCAGTTGGTTCAAATGAATGATTCTGGGCATGCAGTCAACATTTGTGTGTAACTCCGCCCTAGATTTCTAGTGGAGCGGCAGAGCTACTTAGTGGTCGAATAGGGACCCTCCTCTTTTAGACCGTATGATTTCATTGTCCGCTCAGTTCCAGGCAGAGAACCTGGGGCGTGGTTAGTGGGGAAGAAGATATTGCTAAGAGGAGATCAACTCTACCAACCCTGGTACAGCTGATGAGACCAACATCTCAGACAGTTGTTATTCATATCCGTGATCTAACATTGACCTGTTGTGCCTCCAGTGAAAAGCGTTTTGCTTGTTGTCTGGGACCCCATGAAGAAACCTAATCTGAGAGTAACACTGCGTGTGAAGTGTAAAGTCAATTTACAGCAAATATGATTAATATGCTCCCCTACCCTTGCCTGCTCCAAAATTATTCTTCCAGGAAATCTCATTAATGGTTGAAAAAAAAAGATTCTCTTTTATTTCTAACCAAATGTATTGTGCCACCTGCTTTACAGCCCCTTTATCTTGCTGAAGGTCTCAAATCATGACCTGAAGAACAACAACATTTTATTAGTAAAGCTTTTTATACACATTCTTAATTTACTTTAAAAATGAATAAGCCATTAAAAACCAGACCAGTGTACTGAAAAAATAAATCAGCCATCAGCACCTTAGAGTTTCTAATGTAAAGATAAGATTTTAAAAACCAAGTTACTTAAAAATCTGAACAGAAAATTCACACCTGCAGATCATCTTAGAAATGTGCAAAATGCAGACACATTTTTAACAAATATAGAAATAACATCCACACATTGGAAATAGAAACTGAGAAACATGAAATCTTACAAACTTGCAATAAACTTTTGAAATGAAAAAATTAAATGGCCCCCCAAAGAACAGATCAGTGACTTCTAATCATTCTAATGCTAAGTTGGGAAGACATTTACTATTTTTTCTAACACATTAATTTTTATCTGAAGATGTTTCAAAAAAATCACTTGACTGAAAATATAAATTTAAAACATTAACGGTTTTACTTAGTAGGAAGGCTTTGGTTTTGCTAACTGCTGTACTGAACTTGAATGATGAGATTAATTATGTTATTGGATTATTCCACTGTTAACCCTCCTCTAACTTGTGAAGAGGAACTGCCCTCATGAAGATTATATTAGAAGTATTGGGTGCTTTACAGTAACAAGCAAGAAACAATTAGAAAGCAATATATGATCAAGTATTAAGTGGTATGATAAAGTCTCCAAACATAGCAGACGTCTAGACAGAGAGGACACTGGAACCAGCCAGGGGGATATCATGACAAATTAAAAATCTTCCTAAGGGAAATGAAGTGTGCATTTGACTAGACTGGCATGTACAGATACAGCAGCAAACTTCATGGTTATTAGCTTGTCCGTAAATAGCAAGTAGATTTAAAAGATGCCTCTTCAACTTTTCGAAATGTTAATCTGTATTCTATGGTTTGATAATGTTAACCTAACAATGAACACTGTGGTCACCCAAATAAAATTTATGGAAAAACTATAAGTAATCTTCACTACTTCTGTCATAAACCATAAAATTAAAAAATCCAATCAGCCAGCAAGTCCAATTCATCACTCTTACCCAAGTATCTTTCATCTGGCATCTACTGTTCATTCCCATGGTCGCTGCCACAGTTCATGCTGAGGCTGGCCAACCGCCTGACCCCGGGGGGCTGTGTTCATCTTTGTTCTAGCAAATGGTTCTCATGGGGTCTGTGTGAAGGGAGCATGGGGTGTGCGGAGCCCGGCCCTGATTCTTGTCCTTACTGTCCCTTCCTTGGGTTCTTGTCACTGTTCTATCTGGTCCCTTCTTTTATGTTTTGTTTTGTTTAAAATCCCCTTCTTGCTAAACTGACAAAATAACTATCTTTCAGAAGCAGAAATGTGACTCTACCATTCCTCTGTTCTGATTTCTTACATCATTCCTTCCTTCCTTCATTTATTCAATCATCATAACCTGCCATATTCCCAAATACACACAGTTCATATAAGAACTTTCCAAAATAACCTTTGAATTACTTGTCCTAGCTTTTTAACTCCATTTCAACAAATATTTGATTATGACACGCCAGGAATTTTGGCAGACCCAGGAAGAGTCAGCGCCATCTTTATGGACCCCCTTCCACCTCTCCTAAACTCCCAGCTGCTCCTTAGCTTAGATATTACGCTCCAGCATTTTTGGAGAATCCACAGCAATTGCCAATAACCTATCATGCTGTTCTCTGACTGTCAGCATTAACACATGCCAGTAGCTCTGCCTAAAGTTTCTTTTCTCCATCTTTTATCGTTCAAGACCCACTGGAATGTCTACAATGTTAAGCTGCAGGAGGGCTGTTTGTTCACTGATGGATCCCAAGCACTTAGGACAGTGCCTGGCACATAGCAGACATTCAATGAATGAATGTATGAATGAAGGCCCAGATTATATAGCTTCCTCTGGGAAGCACAGGACATTTCCTAGAACAGATAGCAGGGTGGTATTGCGGAGGTGATTCAGGGGATCCTAGGGGGTTCCCATCCAAGAGTGAGCAGACCAGCTACCAGCAGCTTTCCCAGGAAACCTTTCCTGCAGAGAAACTCCTCAACGAAGAAAGAAATGGGAAGGCTGGCAAGTGGAGTTCTGGAAGTGGAGTACGCTGGGCTTCAGATGTGCCAATCTTGTAAAAATGTGCACTTCTTGTTTGTTTACTTTTTAAAATTTCACTCATGTATGACTAGACTTCTCATGATTCACACAAAACACGTTTATCTTCCATATGTGGGATGTATGCATGTGATACATTTCAAATGAAATGAAATGTGAGGAAACGGTAAAACAAACTTCCAACAATGTCAGGAAAGGCTCAAACCCATGACAAATGAAGTTCATGAAAAATAACAGGTCTTTTTTTAAAATTTGTTTATTTGAAGCAACAAGAACAAAGCAAGCACAGGCCTTTGGGAAATATGATGTAATGTTGGCCAAAGGGAAACTTTGCAGTTCCATTTGGCCCCAAACTGTAAAGGGTAGGAAAAATCTAATGGAAAAAAACACCACTCAAGTTAGTTGCAAAGAATATTTGAATCAAAAGACACCCAGTTAATATAAGTTCAAAACTCTGTGTCCATGAGATTACATCCAAATGTGTTAAATAAGTTTCTGTAGTCTCAAAAAAATTGTTTACAATTTTAAAAATGTGTTCTCAACACAAATAAAAGATAAATGAGGTGATGAATATTCCAATTGCTCTGATTTAATCATTACACTTTGTATACGGGTATCAAAATATCACATATACCCCAAAATATGCACAACTATTATATACTAATTTAAAAAGAAAATAATAAAGATAAATATATATGAATGATATGATGGGTTTTTAAATTTTATTATTTTTTGGCTGGAGAATGGCAACTATTGCAAATCTTCTGGAATTTCTAGAAACTATAGACTGTTATGAAACTATAGACAACAGTCTATAGTTTCTAGTAATTTCGCCAAAATAATATAACGAACTCTTTTCAGGGGATTGGTTGTGAGTAATTACAAAACAATCTGGTGATTCTAGATTTACTAAGAATATCTCATGTCTGACCAGACCAATTTAAAATTTTTTGTTAGAATCTCAAGGCACATTCTTCTTATGTACAAGATGCCAGTGACAGTTACCTTCATAGCAGTGTGACTGTAATGTTGAAATGCTAAAGGAATAGAAGATACTGGGACATCACAAAGAATTATGACATCTGGATTCCATAGGAAAAGTTCAGAAATTCGACATCCTTAGAACAATCTTTTTCAAGAGGTTTATTAATAGCTAAAATGAAGGCATAAAAGAGAAGCAAATCTATTGTATGTTGACAAATTTTTTGAGAAATATCTAATATACTGTACTGCAAAATATTTTTATTACATCTCCGATAACCTAAAATAAATTCTTAACATTGAGGTTTATAATTTAGTTCAGATTATCTGGGATACAATAAAGGCATATTTGGGGGAAAATGTTCAATTAATCATGCTAGGTGACAAATAATAAAATTTCTAAGCATTTGAAAGACTAGTTGGGTATTATTTTCTTTATATTAAGACATTCATGGGCCGGGCGCGGTGGCTCACGCCTGTAATCCCAGCACTTTGGGAGGCCGAGGCAGGCGGATCACGAGGTCAGGAGATCGAGACCATCCTGGCTAACACGGTGAAACCCCGTCTCTACTGAAAATATAAAAAATTAGCCGGGCGTGGTGGCGGGCACCTGTAATCCCAGCTACTTGGGAGGCTGAGGCAGGAGAATGGCATGAACCCGGAAGGCGGAGCTTGCAGTGAGCAGAGATCGCGCCACTGCACTCCAGCCTGGGCGAAAGAGCGAGACTCTGTCTCAAAAAAAAAAAAAAAAAAAAAAAAAAAAAAAAAGACATTCATGGACTAGATTGAGATCTACTGATGACAGGCCATCTTTATTGCCCTTGTGACCACGGCTGGCATCACCAAACCATTGAACACCTCTTTCTCTAGGTGCAGCTCTACTAAATGCCATGTGAAATTAGTTAATCCAGTCCTATTTCCTGGGTCCCTATTATGCACTACAGCAAAGCTTTAGCAGAAATAATGGAGAGAAAGCATGATATTCAAATGTAGGAAATAGTAGAAACTTTACAATTTTAGGATCTGCTTCTGCATTTGTGGGAGCCCTACCATAGGACTCAGAAGCTATGATGAGGTTGAGAAGCCTAACGTCCCCACAGCTGTCATCCAGTAATTATGTATCACAAATTATGTTTATTTAAATGGCTTCACTTTGAGTACTAAATGTCAGTAATTCTGAAATATCACAGCATCATAGAAGATGTGAAATATCAGTACTGACTCATGTGTCTTCATTTTTCCCACCTTAATTTAATTTAAGGTCAGTTTTCTAAGACAAATCCCTGGTAGCTTGTTGACTTTCCAGCGCATTTTGACATGAGCTTGCTCTTTGAAGCTTAGATCCTCTTAATTTCCAGCTCAGAAAGTGATTGCTTCAATAGGTGATATAGGTCCTTCACTTTTTTTTTTTTTTAAACCACTCTTCAAATACAGTTTTAGAAAAAAGCCAGTATAGGCTTTTTTGGTATAAGCTAAAGCAACAAGTCTGTCCCAAGAAAGTTCAAATAGAGGCCAGCATCTATAGACACAATATAAAAATTAACTTAAAAGCAAAACAGTTTAGACTTTCCACTCCTGATACATAGTACTTTTATTTTAGCCAAGAGGAGGACTATGAAATCTTTTGAAAGAGGTCAAAGTTATGTTCTATTCTCTAGCTTAAAAAAAAAAAAAAAATTCCCCACCTGGAGGGCATTTTCAACACAATGTGAACAGTTTTCAGCAAACACATTCTTAAAGATTCTTACAACTCTGGTTTAAATGTACAGTGAGTGGATACATATGTTAATGACGCATGTTTACTGCCGAAGCTGATGCTGAAATAAAACCACTGGCTACTCTTCCATATTCATTCCATCCTCTGTGGTTGGTACAGCCAACCTGTGGCTTTTCTTTTCAGTTTTTGTATTTTCTCGTTCTCTCACCCTCGGTTCCTCCACCCACGGAGACAATTTATACGAACTCTGTATTGTTCTGCTCCTCCCGCTCTGCCACCTGGAATGTGTTCCCGGCTCCGGATCAGGCCCCACGCTGTCTTCTGTAAAACACTTCCTTTTCTGCGATCCATTCCCTCAGTGCCTGCTTTATCACATTTTGTTAGCTGATGCTCCAAGATGAACTGCGTATAGCGATTCAGTCACTGAAAGAGACAGATGACGACACTACCCATAGAGTCGACCGGACGCAGGTTAATAAGGAAACCCTTTGTGAGGTGGAGGCAGGGTTAAGAGAATCCATGAAAGGGAATGAAGTCTCCCCGAGCTGGCGACGGTAGGAAGCTGTTTCCACCCCCAGGCCGAGATGCAAGGGTTTGGAACCATATTTCTGGAACCTAGAGAAAGATTGGAGCCCTGAGGAAAGGGACTCTCAATAGAAATGATAATTCAGCCACTGTGAGAATTAAAACCATGGAAGACCCATGATTTTAGGTTGACCTCACAAGAGGGCAGAGGACGAGGGAGTCTGGGTAACTTAGAACCCGTTCTTCATGTTTTAGTGGCCAGTCTCCTGACCCTATAGGCACAGGGCAGAGGAGAAGAGGGTGAGTAATGATTTTGGCAGCGGTGGGGTAAATGGAAAGTAAGCAGGACACACCAAATGGGGGACTCCTGGGAACAAGACATTTTAACCTAAAATACTTGGTTTCCCCAAACGTTCCGTGCCTGGAGTTTCAGGCATGAAAAGGACTGCTCGCTTTCAGACAACACTAGTAGGAGCAGGCTGAAAAAGTCCCAAAGTTTGCATAATGCACTGTGGGATGTGAACAAATCTAAATGTGGTAACCAAATTGTTGAATTGTTCAATTCATATGGTAATCTGAATTCCCACTGGAAATCCCGGAAAGATAAAATAGCTCACAGCTGATACTAAGATTTGACCGACATGAATTGTAAGAAGCAGCACCTTGTTCCTGAAGATAGGTAAGGGAGATTGCATAATATATTTTTAAGAGCAATATAATCTTACTTTAGGAATCACATAAACACAAGCTCCGAAGTGGTTGCCTTTCTGCTTCTTAAAATCAAATTCTCCTAATTGCCATGTTTCAAGCTGAGCTGAGGAAGACAACACCAGACAGTCAAGTTTCTCTTCCATGACTTTTTAATTTTTAAATTTTGAAATTATCTTTTCTTATAGAAAAGTCACAAATAGAGTACAAAGAATATTTTCGTCCCTGAACTGTTCAAGAATATGTTGTTAACATGATGCCCCATTACTACTCATATTTTAGTATACATTTCTTATAAACAAAGACATTCTTATATATAACCACATTGCAAACATCAGGAAAATCACATTCTTGCTGAACTACCGTCCAACCCTCAGAGCCCATCCAAATTCCTTCCAATTGTTAGAAAAATATCCTTTATAGCCAAATGTTTCAGTTCTGAATCACACATTGCATTTAGTTGTCATGAGCCTTTTGCTCACTGAATCTGGAAATGTTCCCCAATTTATCTTTTACTTTCATGATTTTGAAGGTTTTAAATATTACAGTCCATTCATTTTGTAGAATACCCCTCAATTTGGATTTGTCAGGGTTCCTCATGAATGAATTCAGGTTATATAATTGGCTGGAATGTCTCAGAAGCCACACTGTCTTCTTCATATCACATCTTACCTGATGGAACAAAACTTTAAATTGTCCCATTATTGATTAAATTAACTTTGATCATTTGATTAAGGTGGAGTCTGTCTGGCATCTCCACTTTAAAAAGTCTTTTTCCCCCCTTCGTAATTGATAATTATTTAGGTATATGGAGTACTTTGAGATCATACAAAAATCTTACTCCTCATCAAACGGTGAACATATTCATGAGCATAAGCATATACTATCAGTATGCACTCATACGTTCCTATTTTATTCAGTGCATTACAATCGACTATTATCATTATTTATTTTAATGCCTAAGCTGCCCCATATTTGGCCAGTGGGAGCCTTTTAAAGATGATTTCTGTGTCCTTTTGACATGTTCCCATGATTTTTAAAGAGCTTTTCAAAATTTTCTTGCACAAGATGTTTGGAGCTCATTGTGTACATCTCTGCTCCAGTCTTAGACTCAACCATTTCTTCCAGAAGCCCTAGCTCCTTGTAGTGGAGAATAGAATTAAAAGCCAAGGTCCCAGGCACAAGACGTGCTTATTGTTTTTGTGGTGCTGCTAATCTCAGGCCCTCTTAGTGGACACAGCTAAAGACTCCATCGACAAGTAACTAAATTAAGGGTTATATGAGGTGGTTTTCTCACTGCTGGGAGAAGGGAATTATACATGTATACACACTTTTATGTCTAAATAATTCCCATATCTATTTGTATGTATTGAAAACCATGAGTTCACACTGATACCTTATTTCCAATCCAACTGCACAGGATTCTCTTCTAGCTTTCTCTCTTTTCATATTCTTATGCCCTTCCAATGGTGAGAAACCTGCCTCGTAAAACCCGGAAATTATTCGTTTGTATGATCAAGTCCTCTTTTCGCAGGCCATCTTCAATTGCTACTGCTGTTTGTTCCCCACACAGGCTGTGACACCCCAGATGCACCAACCCCCATGTGGACACCCACCTCACCTTGCCTGAGCTGCAGCACTCACCCTGGGCTGGGTTCTCTCCTCATGGAAATACTGTCCTGGCTCCACACAGGCTCCAGCTGCCTGCACTGGGCTGCCTTCTGTCCAGACACCCTTCTTGCCACCTCTGGTTCCCAACTCCCCAATGGGCTGTTACCTTCACCACCATTGAGAGGGTGCCCCCCTCATGCTAATGGCCCTTGCTGGCTTTTTATAAGACTTTTGCTCTATTCTCTGGGAACTCAGAATACATAAAAAGTAAATGTTAAGCTAAATATTACCATAAAATATTCAGGGCAGTAAAGGCTTGGTACATTGGACCATGGCATGCAAATTCTTCAAGAGCTCTTGCTTTCTAACAGATGATATCATATCAAAAATAATTCCCTATCACTGGGAACCAAAAAGATATATCACAAAAATCTGCAGTTTAATGATGGTGGTAGAGGCCATTTGTTCTACATCTTTCAATGTGCATCTGAGCATTTTAAAATATGGATTTCTATTCTTTAGTTTTCCATTTGCAGTTTAGGAAGACTGTTACCAGGTGGTGGAGATAACCTAGTCACGTGGAAATCTCTGCTGGCTTATGTATAAAAATCAAACTTTTTTGAAATGTAAATATTTTAAAGTAAACTTTACACTCAAAAGATTTTTTAAAGTACAATTTTACTGTCAACAAAATTATTTTTCAGTTTTTGAAGCATTTTTTTTCATAATCAAATTGCAGGCACTCACTATACTCACCCACATATTTAACTTTGTGTTAAATGCCGCATGGAATAATACGTCCTAAAATCTCTGTACTTCAGAAATTCTTCCAACCAAATTCTCTGCTTGTGACCACAGGATTCTTTGTTTCTAACCTAGTCAAGTACCACTTAAACAACATTGCTAGGAAAATGTAAAAGGTAGTATTTTTGATTTTGTTTCTTCACTCAATATCCTAAAATTTCTTGCTTCTAAGAATAAAATGTGCAGGGAAAATTGTCTAGCCCCAGTCAGAGGGCAGTTTTCAGTGTTGTCTGTTTAGGAGGAAGAGGGAGGTTCTCACTCCACTTACCATTTTGGTCTCCAACTGGAATTTAACAATGTTTCATGAGCATGTTTCCTCGTCACCATAATCCTTGGGAGGAAAAGGCCTGTTTTTTAAAAGAGAAAATTAAATGGTTTCATTCCAAATGTGGTTATAATGTTCTTTATTTTGTGGCCAATACATCTAATCAAAAGTTCATCTCCAGCTGGTATCACTGATGGGCATTTGGGTTGGTTCCAAGTCTTTGCTGTTGTGAATAGTGCTACAATAAACACACATGTACATGTGTCTTTATAGTAGAATGATTTATAATCCTTTGGGTATATACGTAGTAATGGGATTGCTGGGTCAAATGGTATTTCTGGTTCTAGATCCTTGAGGAATTGCCACACTGTCTTCCACAATGGTTGAACTAATTTACACTCCCACCAACAGTGTAAAAGCATTCGTATTTCTCCACATCCTCTCCAGCATTTGTTGTTTCCTGACTTTTTAATGATCATCATTCTAATTGCTGTGAGATGGTATCTCACTGTGGTTTTGATTTGCATTTCTCTAATGACCAGTGATGATGAGCTTTTTTTCATATGTTTGTTGGTCACATAAATGCCTTCTTTTGAGAAGTGTCTGTTCATATCCTTAGCCCACTTTTTGATGGGGTTGTTTGTTTTTTTCTTGTAAATTTGTTTAAGTTCTTTGTAGATTCTGGATATTAGCCCTTTGTCGGATGGATAGATTTCAAAACGTTTCTCCCATTCTGTAAGTTGCCTATTCAGTCTGATAATAGTTTCTTTTGCTGTGCAGAAGCTCTTTAGTTTAATTAGATCCCATTTGTCAATTTTGGCTTTTGTTGCCATTGCTTTTTGTGTTTTAGTTATGAAGTCTTTGCCCATGCCTATGTCCTGAATGATATTGCCTAGGTTTTCTTCTAGAGTTTTTATGGTTTTAGGTCTTATGTTTAAGTCTTTAATCCATCTGGAGTTAATTTTTGTATAAGGTGAAAGGAAGGGGTCTAGTTTCAGTTTTCTGCATTTGGCTAGACAGTTTTCTCAACATCATTTATTAAATAGGGAAACTTTTCCCCATTGCTTGCTTTTGTCAGGTTTGTCAAAGATCAGATGGTTGTAGATGTGTGGTGTTATTTCTGAGGCCTCTGTTATGTTCCATTGGTCTCTATATATGTTTTGGTGCCAGAACCATGCTGTTTTGGTTACTGTAGCCTTATAGTATAGTTTGAAGTCAGGTAGCATGATGCCCCCAGCTTTGTTCTTTTTGCTTAGGATTGTCTTGGCAATGCAGGCTCTTTTTCGGTTCCATATGAAATTTAAAGTTTTTTTCTAATTCTGTGAAGAAAGTCAATGGTAGCTTGATGGGGATAACATTGAATCTATAAATTACTTTGGACAGTATGGCCATTTTCACAATATTGATTCTGCCTATCCATGAGCATGGAATGTTTTTCCATTTGTTTATGTCCTCTCTTATGTCCTTGAGCAGTGGTTTGTAGTTCTCCTTGAAGAGGTCCTTCACATCCCTTGTAAGTTATATTCCTAGGTATTTTATTATCTTTGTAGCAATTGCGAATGGGAGTTCACTCATGATTTGGCTCTCTGTCTATTATTGATGTATAGGAATGCTTGTGATTTTTGCACATTGATTTTGTATGCTGAGACTTTGCTGAAGTTGCTTATCAGCTTAAGGAGATTTTGGGCTGAGATGATGGGGTTTTCTAAATATACAATCATGTCATCTGCAAACAGAGACAATTTGACTTCCTCTCTTCCTATTTGAATAGCCTTTCTTTCTTTCTGTTGCCTGATTGCCCTGGCCAGAAATTCCAATACTATATTGAATAGGAGTGGTGAGAGAGGGGATCCTTGTCTTGTGCTGGTTTTCAAAGGGAATGCTTCCAGCTTTTGCCCATTAAGTACGATATTGGCTGTGGGTTTGTCATAAATAGCTCTTATTATTTTCAGATACATTCCATCAATACCTAGTTTATTGAGAGTTTTTAGCATGAAGGGGTGTTGAATTTTATCAAAGGCCTTTTCTGCATCTATTGAGATAAGCATGTGTTTTTTGTCATTGGTTCTGTTTATGTGATGGATTATGTTTATTGATTTGCATATGTTGAACCAGCCTTGCATCCCAGGGATGAAGCCAACTTGATCGTGGTGGATAAGCTTTTTGATGTGCCACTGGATTTGGTTTGTCAGTATTTTATTGAGGATTTTCACATCGATGTTCATCAAGGATATTGGCCTGAATTTTTTTTGTTGTTGTGTCTCTGCCAGATTTTGTTATCAGGTGATGCTGGCCTCATAAAATGAGTTAGGTAGAAGTCCCTCTTTTTCTATTGTTTGGAATAGTTTCAGAAAGAATGGTACCAGCTCCTCTTTGTACCTCTGGTAGAATTTGGCTGTGAATCCGTCTGGTCCTGGGTTTCCTTTGGTTGGTAGGCTATTAATTACTGCCTCAATTTCAGAACTCTTATTGGTCTATTCAGGGATTCGACTGCTTTCTGGTTTAGTCTTAGGAAGGTGTATGTGTCCAGGCATTTATTTATTTTTCTAGATTTTCTAGTTTATTTGCATAGAGGTGTTTATAGTATTCTCTGATGGTAGTTTATATTTCTGTGGAATAAGTAGTGATCTCCCCTTTATCATTTTTTATTGTGTCTATTTGATTCTTCTCTATTTTCTTCTTTATTAGTCTGGCTAGCTGTCTATCTATTTTGTTAATCTTTTCAAAAAACCAGCTCCTGGATTCATTGATTTTTTGAAGGGTTTTTAATGTCTCTGTCTCCTTCAGTTCTGCTCTGATCTTAGTTATTTCTTGTCTTCTTCTAGCGTTTAAATTTGTTTGCTCTTGCTTCTCTAGTTCTTTTACCTGTGATGTTAGGGTGTTGATTTTAGATCTTTTCTGCTTTCTCCTGTGGGCATATACTGCTATAAATTTCCCTCTAAACACTGCTTTAGCTGTATCCTAGAGATTCTGGTACGTTGTGTCTTTGTTCTCATTGGTTTCAAAGAACTTATTTATTTCTGCCTTCATTTTGTTATCAACCTAGTAGTCATTCAGGAGCCGGTTGTTCAGTTTCCATGTAGTTGTGTGGTTTTGAGTGAGTGTCTTAATCCTGAGTTCCAATTTGATTGCACTGTGTTCTGAGAAACTGTTTGTTATGATTTCCATTATTTCGCATTTGCTGAGGAGTGTTTTACTTTCATTTATGTGGTCAATTTTAGAATAATTGTAATGTGGTGCTGAGAAGAATGTATATTCTGTTGATTTGGAGTGGAGAGTTCTGTGGATGTCTATTCAGTCCACTTGGTCCGGAGCTGAGTTCAAGTCCTGAATATCCTTGTCAATTTTCTGTCTCGTTGATCTGTCTAATATTGACAGTGGGGTGTTAAAGTCTCCCACTATTATTGTGTGAGAATCTAAGTCTCTTTGTAGGTGTCTGAGAACTTGCTTTATGAAACTGGATGCTCCGATATTAATTGCGTATATATTTAGGATAGTTAGCTCTTCTTGTTGCATTGATCCCTTTACCATTATGTAATGTCCTTCTTTGTCTCTTTTGAACTTTGTTGGTTTAAAGTCTGTTTTATCAGAGATGAGGATTTTATCCCCCGCTTTTTTTTTTTTTTTGCTTTGCATTGCTTGCAAAATACTCCACTGGGTATCACCAGCGGAGGTTGCAGAACAGCAAAGATTGTTGCCTGTTCCTTCCTCTGGGAAGCTTCATCCCAGAGAGGCATGTGCCAAATGCCAGTCAGAGCTCTCCTGTATGAGTTGTCTGTCGACCCCTGATGGGAGATGTCTTCCAGGCTGGAGGCACGGGGGTCCAGGACCCACTTGAGAAGGCAGTCTGTCCCTTATCAGAGTTGGAGCACTGTGTTGGGAGATCTGCTGCTCTCTTCAGAGCCAGCAGGCAGGAAAATTTAAGTCTGCTGAAGCTGCGCCCACAGCCACCCCTTGCCTCAGGTGCTCTGTCCCAGGGAGATGGGAGTTTTATCTATAAACCCCTGACTGGGGCTGCTGCCTTTCTTTCAGAGATGCCCTGCCCAGAGAGGAGGAATCTAGAGAGAAAGTCTGGCTACGATGGCTTTGTAGTGCTGTGGTGGGCTCTGCCCAGTCTGAACTTCCCAGCACCTTTGTTTACTCTGTCAGGGGAAAACTGCCTACTCAAGCCTCAGTAATGGTGAAAGCCCCTTCCCCCTCCAAGCTCAAGTGTCCCAGATCAACTGCAGACTGCTGTGCTGGCACAAGAATTTCAAGCCACCAGGCGCAGTGGCTCACGCCTGTAATCCCAGCACTTCAGGAGGCTGAGGCAGGCGGATCACGAGGTCAGGAGATTGAGACCATCCTGGCTAACATGGTGAAACCCCATCTCTACTAAAAATACAAAAATTAGCTGGGTATGGTGGCGGGTGCCTGTAGTCCCAGCTACTAGGGAGGCTGAGGCAGGAGAATGGCATGAGTCAGGGAGGCAGAGATTGCAGTGAGACGAGATAGCGCCACTGCACTCCAGCCTGGGCGACAGAGCGAGACTCTGTCAAAAAAAAAAAAAAAAAAAAAAAAGAGAATTTCAAGCCAGTGGATCTTAGCTTGCTGGGCTCCATAGGGGATGGAATCTGCTGAGCTAGACCACTTGGCTCCCTGGCTTCAGCCCCTTTTCCAGGGGAGTGAACGGTTGTGTCTTGCTGGCATTCCAGCGGCCCCTGGGGTATGAAAAAAAACTCTTGCAGCTAGCTCAGTGTCTGCCCAAGCGGCCACCTAGTTTTGTGCTTGAAACCCAGGGCCCTGGTGGTATACGCACCCAAAGGAATCTCCTGGTCTGCAGGCTGCGAAAACCACAGGAAAAGTGTAGTATCTGGGCTGGAATGCATTATTCCTTACAGCACAGTTTCTCACAGCTTCCCTTGGCTAGGGGAGGGAGTTTCCCGACTCCTTGTGCTTCCCAGATGTGGTGACGCCCCACCCTGCTTTGGCTTGCCCTCCATGGGCTGCACTCACTGTCTAACCAGTCCCTATGAGATGAGCTGGGTACCTCATTGGAAAGGTAGAAATCACTCGCCTTTTGCATTGATCTCACTGGGAGCTGCAGACCAGAGCTGTTCCTATGTGGCCATCTTGCTATTGCTCTAAAGTGGATTTTATAAACGGGTATCACACAATCTAGCTTTCACAGATGACAAAGGCCTTGGAGGAAGTTAATGTTTTGCTATTATTAACTTATCAAGCAACCACAGTCTCAAGGCATTCTTTCAGGCAATAAACCATATTCCTTTTGTTGTTGGCTCACTCTTTATTTTTATGGCCCATTAACCAGTGCTGAATTAAAATCAAATTTGTACAAATGATATAATACCCATATAAATAGTCTTGCAAACTAGTTAGTCATCTGAATACCCAGTAAATTGCAATGCCAAAACAAGGTTATGAATCAAGTACATGAATAGATTTTAAATGACTGATGTTCAAAAACATTCTTATTTTAAAAGGATAGCCAAAAATGGGAGACAAAATGTTAAAAAGTGCCGAACAAGATAAATTTGGCATGAACTTTAGAAAACATTTCATTTACATAGCAGAGCAGGAATTTTTGGCTGAATGAAACACACACTCTGTGTTGGCAAAAGCACAGAGTACTCTGTAGTGAGTCTTGTTTCTTGGTGTCTTCTTTTATTGGCCTTTGGAAGAGTTGAATGTTTCTGGACCAATTTGTCCACTTCTTAATACTAATGACATCAAAATACACTAAAGCTTTTCTCTGTGAATTCATCTGCTACCCTAAAAAAAAATGAAGACTAAACAGAATTTTTGCATGGGAAATTTCTGTGATCCTAATGAGAGGTTTGGAGTTCAGTGAACCAGCAATTATAATAATTTGAATCAAATTTTCTTTTTCAAATAACGAGCAGTTTTTATTTTTGAGAGAATAATTGAACTAATTAATTCTCTCCTAAATAAAGAAGGTGAGGCTCTCAGCTGCCATGTGATGGCCACAGAGATCGCTTCAGCTTCACCCCAACCACTACCATGTAGCTGTTGGCAGTAGCTGGAAATGTCACTTGAGGTTCCTGTAGACATATGATAACATCATCACTAGGTGGAAGGTTTTCTCAGGGTATTCACTTCTTACTTTCGGGTGGAGGGGGGAGGATTGCTGTGGTGCTGTGATGCATACTGCCCCCAGACATTTCTCCCAAGTGCTTCTGCAAGAATTTTTAGCAAACGTTCAAATCTTTTTCAAGTAGAAATCTGTTTGGACTGAGATGTTACACCTTGAAATAGGAAGAGCTTGTGTGGTGGAAAGACAAGGCCTTTGAATCAAGTGAACTTGGTTCCAATCCTAACTCCACCATTTAACATATGTGCTTATTATAGAACTCTTCTGTGAAATAGAAATGATGCTACCTGCCACTGGATTTATGGCAGGAATTAAATGAAACAACGCACACAATGCAGTTCAATGCCCAGACATAGAAGAAGCTCAAGAATAGAGATTACTATTAATAAAATAAAACATACATGAGAAGGCTAAGGTATTTGAATCTTCAGTTGGATCGGTTTAATCCGTTGCTTTTTGGATTTCTAGTGCAATTAATTCAGCTACAAAAACAGAAATGTGACGAGAAGTGGTTCTCAATGCTTGCAAACCCAATCCCCTCCTTTTAAATTCATAAATAGTTTTGCAATGTTTTGCTTATTATCTTGAAATAAAATGCATAGGCGAAATTAGATGCTCCTGGTTTATATATATAGCTATCTTAAATATATATATAGATTACATATAATCTATATATAATTATATGTAATATATATTCCAGAAAGTAAAGGCTCAATTAAGGCATACTACTCTACAAGAAATGAAGAAATTAGATGCTCACCCTTTGTTATGGTCTGAATGTTTGTGTCCCTCCAAAATTCATATGTTAAGATCTAATTCTCAGTGTGTTGGTATTAAGAGGTAAGGCCTTTGGGAGATGACTAGGTCATGAGGATGAAGCCCTTGTGAATGGGATGAGTGAGCTTATAAAAGAGGCCTAAGGAAGCTCATTTGCCCCTCTGCCACGTGAGAACTCAGCAACAAGGGGCCATCTATGAGGAACAGGCCCTCTCCAGACACCAAATCTGCCAGTGCCTTGATCTGGGACTTCCCAGCCTCCAGAGTTGTGAGCAATACATTCCGTTGTTTAAAACGTACCCAGTCTCAAGCATTTTGTTATAGCAGCATAAATGGCTAAGAAATTCCTGTATGTAAAATCTCCATGAATACAATAGATAAACACTCAGACTGATTCAGATGTTTCATGCTGGTGATGCAAATACCATGGACAACACCATATATTTTTTAAATGGTAAATAATCCCCAGGAAAGTTCATAATGATAAAAAAAAAAGTTTTTCTCATTTTAGACATAGCTGCATTCCTGAAAAAGACAATCTATATTAGAATTTTATAACAGTAGTTTGCATTTATAATTAAACAACTAAATTTTAGGAGCAAAAAATTACCAATAAGCTTTTCTTTACACGAACATCCTACAAAATGCGGAAAGCCATGAAAACTGAGACTATTATTTATTGTGCAGGGCAGTTCCATGCTTTGCATAAGATAGCCTTCCAGGTTCCTCTTTGCTAAGGAAACCAACCAACCAACCAACCAACCAACCAAACAACAACAACAACAAAAACCGCAAAAAAACAGGTCCGCAAGTTTTCAAAGTTTCCCTTTGGGTGAGTTCTTCTCTCCAGAGGAAGGCAATTTAGAACAATAGGTCCTGCAGGGAAGAGTAGACTGGGTGTAAATAGGGGAAAGGCCTGTAGGTAGTTACCAGGAACCTCAGGGTAGAGAAAAGCATGTAGAGAAAATGTTAAAAAGAAAGGAAGACTTTGTCAAAGGTAGCTATCTGAGAAAACAGGAACTGGCCCAAAAGTAGAAGCTTCCAGCCATGAACTGGAAATAGGTGGCTAAACCTACATCAGCTCTTGTCCAAGGGACTCTCTTAGTCTGTCTAGCCTGCTGTAATAGAATACCATAAATTGGGTGACTTATAACCAACATAAATTTATTTCTCATAATTCTGGAGGCTGAGAAATCCAAAGTCAAGGAGCTGGCGGATTTGGTGTCTGGTTAGGGTTCACTTCCTGGTTGGTTTATAGAAAGAAGTCTTTTCACTGTCACTTCAAATGGCAAAAAGGGTGAAAAACTCCCTCTGGATTCTTTTATAAGAACATGAATCCCATTCATGAGGATTTTAATATATGAATTTTGGGGAGACACAAACATTCCAACCATAGCAGGGACCAAGTGGAGCTGAGTCTCGGAAACAAACATTGAGTTGAATCTGATCACAAGGGTCAGATGACCCCAGTAGAGGAATCGCAAGAGGCAACTTCTGTGTTTTTCCCTATTCTGGAAAGCAAGGAGGAAGCTCCCCAAGAACCTTCTGCACTAAGGGTCTTCCCTAGCCCAGCACTACTCTCCACTGGCAACAACAAATATCTCAGCACCAAACCACTAGAATCACTCTCTGTCCACACAAACTGGAGACAGAAAAGAACCATCTTCTGAACTGATTTGTCTTCTGATGAGTCTATTTTGAAGATCCAGAGCAACAGCAAGATATTTTTGTCTTTCTCTTTCTAAACAGCTTTTGTTTTGTCTCTTTGAGTATTATTCTATTAAGCTATTTCATTAATGGCTCAATTGGAAACCTGAAAGTTTATAATTGTTAGCATAAATGTTTTAGAATGGTAAGTAGTATAATTATAGTATTTTCATTGTTGTAACGAAATAAAATCACACATACAACGTCTTGGTTCTTCCTGTCTAACAAGTATCCTATAGCATTAACTGTAGTCAGAGTCTTACATGAGAATTTTCACAAGTGAAAATATCAACTTAAGGTTTATATCTGAGTTATAAGGGCTCAATATTCTCTGCTTATAAGATTAATATTACTCACCTTTATAAAATTTAATTAATAAAAAAACCAAAACGTTTATCCAAAGTATCTGTCCCTTTTTGCTTAAATGTCAGAACATTGGTTGTATTTATCCACAATGTGCCTGTTAATCCATCCTAGCTCACCAGAATGCCCTTCCTGGAACTTGTGCCTTGACCAGCCTGTTTTTGCCCCCTCACTCCATCACGCTGTGGCTCCTTTATTTTGTACTTCTGTGCATATGCATGCCTTAACAGGAACTCTGGAGGACATATGTCAGGCACACATGATCTACTGCCATAAAGACTGCATGTCTGTCTTGCCATGTTTCTTGCAGGAAACTTAGTTGCCTGTGCATCCCCATACACACGGAATATTTCCAGACTTGGAGGAGGCACCCATAATTGCCAGTCAAATAAATGAATAACAGGGACCAATTTTTCAAATGTATATATATATTTTGCTCAGTCTTCCAAGCCAATCTATTTAGATATTCATGTAACAGCTTTATTGAGGTATAAATCATATACCACACAATTCACGCATTTAAAATGTACAATAAAATAATTTGTAAAATATTGTTATGCAAACATTACAACAATCAATTTTAGAATATTTTTATCACTCTTGCAAGAAACTCTGTGTCCATTAGCTGTCACTGCTTCATTTGCTCATAATCCCTTAAACGCTACACAACCACCAGTGTACATTCTGTTTCCATAAATGCACCTATTATAGACAATTCATATAAATAAAACTATATGTCTTGCTTGGTGTCTTGCTTCTTTCACTTAGCATAATATTTTCAAGGCTCATTCATGTTGTAGCATATATGTCTCTCACTCCTTTTTATGATTGAATAATATTACTTTGTGTAGATATTCCTAATTTTGTTTATCCATTCATCATTTGATGGAAGTTTTGGTTGTTTTAAATTTTTAGATATTTCAAATAATGGTCATATAGACATTCATGTATACATTTTTATATAGACATATATTTTCAATTCTCTTGGGTATCTACATAGGAATAGAATTTTTGGGTCATATAGTAACTCTTCAACATTTTGAGAATTGCCAAAATGTTTTTCAAGTGATGGTAGCATTTATATAAGCAATGTATGAATTCTTCACATTCTCACCAACACTTGCTACCACTCTTCTTTTTATTAGAACTATCTTAGTGGGTTGAAGTAGTTTCTCATTGTGATTTTGGTTTACATTTCTCAAATGACTAATAATTTTGAGTCTTTTAATGTGCTTATTGACAATTTGTATACCCTTTTTGGAGAAAAGGCTATTCAAATCCTTTGCTCATTTTAAAAACTATGTTGCCTTTCTATTTTGGAATTGTAAGAATTCATTATTTATTCTGGACACTGGATCCTTATCACATAATTTGCAAATATGATTTGCAAATATTTTCTTCTATTTCGTGGGTGTTATAGGGTTGTTCAAGTCTTTTATTTCCTTCTGAAACTTCTAACTAGTTCTTCTATTTGTGGTTGAAAATGAAGTATTGAAGTCTTCAAAAATTATTGTTGTGGTTGGGAGTGGTTGCTCACGCCTGTAATCCCAGCTACTTTGGAAAGCTGAGGTAGGCAGATTGCTTGAGCTCAGGAGTTCGAGACCAGCCTTGGCAGCATGGTGAAACTCTGTCTCAGCCAAAAATACAAAAAAATTAGCTAAGTGTATTGGCGCATGCTTGTGGTCCCAGCTACTTGGGAGGCCGAGGTGAAAGGATAACTTGAGCCCAGGAAGTGGAGGTTGCAGTGAGCCAAGATTGTGTCACTGCACTCCAGCCTGGGTGATAGAGCCAGACCCACTTCCAGGAGAAAAAAAAAAAAAAATTATTGAATTGCCTCTATCTCCCTTCAATTCTGACAGCTTTTCTTTCATGTACTTTGAATCTCTGTTGTTAGGCACCTATTAATATATGTTTACAACTGTTATGTCTTTATGTTGGGTTGGCACTTTTATCATTAAAAAATGTTCTTCTTTGTCTACAGGAAAAAAGTTTTATCCTAAAGTCATTTTTTTTTTCTGGAGTAGCTATCATAACCCTATTTTGGTTACAGTTTGAATGATATACATTTTTCAATACATTTAACATGAATCTACTGTTTGTTTGAATCTCAAATGTATCTCTTTTAGACATCATATGGTTGGGTCACCTCATTCTTCCATTATGTCAATCTCTGCTTTTGGATTGGAGTGCTTAATACATTTACTTTTAGTGTAATGACTGATAAAGTAGAATTCACCTTTGCCCTCTTGCTATTTATTGTCTATATTCCTTATATCTTTATATATTTTTGTTCCTTTATTTCTCTATTACTGACTTCATTTGTGTTAGATACACATTTTCCAATACACGTTTTTAATTCCCTTGTCATTTGTTTTACATTTTTTTTGCTATTTTCTTAGTGTTAGAATTCAATTCTTATTTTAAAATATTCCAATTCAAATTAATATCAGTGTAGTTCCAATAGTACACAAAAACTTAATGTACAAAGGTTTGTTTTTGTTTTTGCAATTTGGAAGCTCAATAAATTAAGGATGTTAGTTTGTCCCTTGATACCTTTTTCAAGGAAACCAAACGCACCTTTGCATTTCAGAATTAGGTACTATGTGTGAAATTTTATAATTTACCCTCTATGTATATAACTTTTAGGCTTGCTTCAGGCCATTTTATAATTCAAAGTGAACACATTTAGATTATTATTATTTTTCTTATAACCTTTATTCAAAAATTTCTTAATAATACATAAACTTGCTATTTTAAACCATACTATTTTATTTAATATCGCTGTCAGTCATTCTTCTCAAATACAGAATGCCTATTTAGTTTTAGAATTTCCTATACACTAGCTCTTCAATTAGATATGTATGTACTGAGAATTAATTCATCTTGCATTTCTTGTCTTTTTACCCATTCCTAATCTAATGTGAAGTTATCCATATCTAATCTAATGTGTACATTATAATTTAAGCTTTTAAAAGTTACCACATGACTATCATGCCATTTATTTATTTAAATTGGTAACTTTCAGTATTCAATGTAGAACAAGTGGGTGATGATAAGTTGCCTATCTTCATGTTTTATTTAAATGCATAAGTATTTTTCAAAGTTCCTTTATAGGATGTTCAAGTAGAGCCAAAATAAGTCTCATTTAAATACATTCTTATAGAATCTGCACATACAAACAGACACTTATATTGATACTAGCTTATGACTTTGTCATCCTCACTAAAAAGTCAGTTTTAATCAACAACTCTACAATATGCATCTTCTTTCTCCCAAGCAAGGAGGATGATTACTGTGGAGGAACACAGAGAAGAATGGACTCCAAAGAGCCTGAAGATAACAAAAGCAATATGAGGAAGGCCTAGAATGATGAGATAACTTGAATAAATACCTGAAATGATTGAAGTCTCAAGATATTAAGCCTAGAGACTTGGGAACATACAAGACTTACCTATATTTAAAGAATTGTCATTTCTTGGTGGAGTAACTAGACAATATAGACATGTTTCCACCATGGGTAAAGCTAAGGAGATGAATGTGAGCTACAAGAGATTAAACTCAGGGTAACTGAGAAGGAGGTTATTTAATGGTTAGGTATTTACAAAGGTGAAACGCAGTGAGTTCCTTGTTACTGTCATGTTCATGTATGGGCTGGGTATACACTTGGGAAGAATGTGGAAAAATCTTTTATATTATACCAAGTTGATATGTGAAATAGTTGACCCTCAGTATCCCTCCAAAACCTGGGTCTTTATGATTTTGTGAGACAGAGTACCAATAATTATTGAACTTTAAAGCTAATTATGTCACTGGCTCTAAAAAGTAAGTTTCATGGAATGAATAAAAAGAAAATTGATGAGATTAAAACAAAGGTCTTAAAACAACATGATTGAAGGTTGGGTAGACCAAAGGGAGCCCTTGCTGATCTTTCAGCATTAAAGGCCCAGGTCCCTTGACTCAACCCGTTTCTGGGAACCCAAATCCTTTTTCACCAGAGAGGGTAAAATGGTCTAAGAGTGGAGAAATTCCTGGGACCAGAACATAAAATGTGAATGTTGATAGGATTATGAAAGTCGGATTGTTTAAATGGCTTTCTATAAAGTAGTTGTGTCTTCTGTACCTAAATGTTTTATGAAAATGGATACTAGGACTGGGGACTATTTCCCTTATCTAGTACTGTAAAGCAGAGGGCATGTAAATTCATCCATGTTGCAATATTAATTGGACATGTTAAATGGGGACTAGTGGGATTGTTCAAGCCCACAGAGTGTACAGGAGAAGTGGAAGTGTGGACAAGTTCTCCACTTGATAGTCCTTTATGGAGCATTTACTGGGGCCTATGCCAAAGATCTGTGGGCACCTCCCAATGAGGACTACTGGGTCTCTGGGCTGGAGAATTTCCACTTGAGGGACATTTACTGCCTTGTGATGGGACATTAACTGAGTCTACCCCTGAGACTGAAGGACATAGAATGATCATGACATCTGAGATATCCATGCTGTCTGGGGTGGTGTCACAGAGGCACTATGATGGTGATGGCAGTGCCCAGAATTGTTCTGTGATAAGGTGAAGCTGGTTTGTGTAGGACCTTGCTGCCTGGGGAGTTAGAAGGAGATACTCATGAGCAGGGTGCCTCTTTTTCCCTAGGACTGACTCTGGAGCTGTATGAGAAGCAGCTGGATCCTATAGGGCCCAACAGAAAACTCCTGACTGACTGAAGAAGAGCTGCTTGTCTTGTGGCTAGCAGCTCTGGAGTGAGTGGTCAGCATCCTGTTTGGAGGCTGCTACTCTGATGGAAGAAAAGTAAAGAAAATATGTATTTTTTTTTCTGTTGAGCTCTGTACAGCTTAGAGAAATTGGGAAAGTGGACTTCTATGAGCAAAATTCACCTTTCTCTTTACCTGATTTCCCCAAATTTGGAAAGTATTCATGAGTACCTTGATTTTATGGCAATACAGTTATTTGGATAAAATTCAGTAAGAATCTGTTTTCTTTTGTAATGGGACATACTTGGAGACATTGGTTATTTTTCCAAGGCTTTGAATAGAATGGCACATTTTCGGGTATGACCAGGCTGCTTTGAGGAATTGAGATTGAATTTATACAGCTGATAAAATGTTCTGTGGAAAAACTGGTTTGGTATCTTGCCTATATAGTTCCCTTATAAGGATCTTGACTTGTGGCAAGTAAAGAATGGCACTTTCTAACAGGCCCAGGAATCTCAAGATATTGTGAGTCCTCAAGAAGAAAGAAAACTGTACAGATATTATAATCTGTTTGTTGGCAAATCCTTGGCCTGGCTTCTGACCTCAAGGCTTTTGAAAAGCCAAATTCAAAATTCTTTATAAAACTTCCAGCAAAGCCAACTTAAAAGGAGCGTATATGGCCAATCACTATTCTTGCTGCACTCTATACAAATAATCAGGCTGAATATAATGAGACTAAAATTTACTTGCAAATAAATTAGTCTTATTGTGATTTATCCTTGGTAGAAATGAGAAAACTGAAGGAAGAAAAATTTAGATTCTAGTCCTGACCATTATTTTTGAGTTTTTATATTTGCCTATAATTTGGGCTGAATTCTGAATCACTTAAGTCTCTAAAGAAGAATCAGGTTTTAATTTTCTTCATGATGCTTTTAGTTGGCTGCCTAATGGAATAGGTTCTTTTTTGTTTTTGTTGTTCTGTACTTGTGTGCATTATATTTCTACTATTCAAGTTAGTAATGTTATGTATCTCATTATGTTATGTACCTCTTGTGAAAAAACTGAAATCACGGTATTCTGTAGTGAGGATTCATCAGATCCCGTGAATCTCCCTCAGTTGGAATCCCACTGTTTCCATCGCTAATGCACTGCTGCTGATGCTATACAATATCAAGCACCATCCCTAAAGGCTCAAGGTCCACTGGGGAAGAGGAGAGCACGTGAGATTGTAAGAGTCAGATTACAGGGTGGAGCGTGGGCCTAAAGCAACTCCATCTTGGATGCTAATCCACCATGTTGACTTCTGGTTAACTTCAGTTCTCAAAAAGTCTCTAAGATTTCCAATTTATCCCTTGTTCCTTGTGTAGAGCACATATAAATCCTGCCCTTAAACAATTGTCCTACACATCCCTTTGGAAGCACAGATGCCCTTTTCCTATGGCATATAAGCCCTGGGTCTGGTGGGTAATGGCACGAGGATCCACTCTCTTGCCTTGCTGCCACCTGAGACAAAGACATGGTTTCCACTTGTAAGTCAGTCCATATGAGTGTTTGTTTCTGAGAAAACTAAAATAAATAAAAAGGAAAATTTTAAAAGGTGAGAGCTTTTAAGGTGTCTCTGGCTGAAAAAGAGAGATAAGCATTTTGGAGAAGAATCAGGGTTTTGAGGACGTTCTGAGGAAATCTTCAGAGGAGGGTAAAAATTATCAAACATATACAGAGATCAATTTGGTAAAGTGAAAATTCTTGTAGAATTGTATAAAAACTGGGCTCGGTGAGGTACAATGTGATACAAGGTAGGGAGGAAAAGAGAGATTTTGCCACCTGAGAAACACTATACAAGTATACAAGTGTTAAGTGTTATTCTATTTTTAGTAAGAAACTTGAACTGGGTAGTGAAGTGTCAGGAAGCCTGGTACCAGGTGATGACCAGGTCCACTGTAGACAAAAAGTGTATGATTCAGCAGAAGTAGAGAGCCCTCATTTCTAGGAGATGGTAGGCTATGCATGCAGTTGGCCTCAAGAGACAGGACTCTGGCTACCCAGAGATACTAGGAAGAGTGAGGCAATAACTACATCTCAAAATAAGGATGTATCCTTAATAAGTAACCAAGATACGACCTCAGATCTGACACCATAAGCAAAAAATCTCAAGGAAGATGTCAAAGCCCAGTAAAAAGAGCTAAAATATGAGATTAGAGTGGCACCAATAAGGAGACTGGCTTATTTCTGAGTTTTCAAAATACTAATGTGAGGTTTCTTACATTTTTTAACCTTACTGGGAAGACTGGCCTCAGAGCCTGGAGTAGAGCTGGATTAGAGACAGAAGCTGAAGGGTCCTAACCATGAGAAGGTAATGGGGGAAGAAGACACCAAAGAACAGCAGATGCATAACTTGCATCTTCACTCTGACCACTTGCTAACAGCAACCTGGAACATGACACTGTGAAGAGTTGAGAACACGTTTTACAACTCGGAAGGAAATAATGCCACAATCAAGTGACAGTGCCTGAAACAGGCATGGGACAGAGGTCAATGTGTGCATCCAATGTTCCTCACTCCTGCATAAGACCATTCTAAATTCAGGATGCGGCTCTAGAATGAAGTAGAGGCAGTGCGTGGCAGATCTTGATTACCAGACTGAAAGGTTATAATTTTGCATGAGAGCTAAGGGAAATTGGTTAAAGATCATGGCCAACAGAGATGCCTTTGGTGTTGGACTGGGTTAACTGAACAGGGTTGGAAGGAAGGTAGGTTAATCAGAGTAGCAGCAATTCCTCAACATCTGTGTTTGTGGCTCTCAGTTTTCACCCAAGTGTGAGAAGTGGGATTCAGTGCCCTCGTGTTAAATTTTCTGTGCAGTGAATTGTAAAAGCAATTGCCAATAAGAATGATTTCATGTACACATATTCCCCTGTGCAGCATGCTGCAAATTTATTCATAATCTTCTCCAGTTAATATGAGGAAACTCAGCTGTAGTGCCAAAATGACAGGATGATTTATATATAAAACTGAAATCCACATTAAAAGTTTCCTATTTGATCTTCTGCTCTGGAATTTGTAGGGGAGAACAAAGGATGTTCAAGAAATAACCCTTCCTAAGGTAAACTGTACAGGCAGGAGATTAACATCATTGCCTGCATAAAGTAGAATTTATGCATCGCGTTCTATGAATATATGGAATAAAGATACTAAAGAAATGACACCAAAACTAATGTCTAAACCAAGAAAAAATGATAGAATTTTAATCTGAAAATTAGAAAAATATATATTCTACTTCAAACCCATTTAATAGATGAAAAAAAGGAGGCCCAAAGAATTGTAGAGACTTGAAGTTTCTGTAACATTAGGGACAGAAACGTAACTTGATATTAGATCTGCCAAGTGCAAAGTTTTTGTGCTTTCCACCTCACCATGATGTATTTTGAATTTTCTACTTCTTAGAGTGCTACCATTATCACCCAGTTGCTGAGAGCAAAAGCCTTAGACGTTTTCTCACTGACTGCACTCCTTCTTGTATCCTCCTACTGAACTCCTTGCTGCCTCACTCTCAGGAGCTGATTTACACCCATTCTTCTGCTTATCTAACTTTTGGATTTGTCTTTTTTCCTTCTTCATTGACTCTTAAATTTCTCAAGTGGACTTTTGTAAGAGCATCTTCATTACCTTGAAGGCTTTTATGTTTTGTTTCCTGTTTGTTATAAACCACCCTCAGATTTATATTCATAAAACACAATTTAAATCAACTGTCCCAGGATCAAAAGCCTTCAATGGCATCCAGTTTTCTTTTCTTTTTTTTTTAAAAGATTTGTCAGTTTTTTATACATATATATATGTATATATATATATACATATATATATATAAAAACTTTAAGTTCTAGGGTACATGTGCACAATATGCAGGTTTGTTACATATGTATACATGTGCCATGGTGTGCTGCACCCATTAACTAGTCATTTACATTAGGTATGTCTCCTAATGCTATCCCTCCCCCCTCCCCCCACCCCACAACAGGCCCCGGTGTGTGATGTTCCCTTTCCTGTATCCATGTGTTCTTATTATTCAATTCCCACCTATGAGTGAGAACATGCAGTGTTTGGCTTTTTGTCCTTGTGATAGTTTGCTGAGAATGATGGTTTCCAGCTTCATCCATGTCCCTACAAAGGACATTAACTCATCATTTTTTATGGCTGCATAGTATTTCATGGTGTATATGTGCCACATTTTCTTAATCCAGTCTATCATTGTTGGACATTTGGGTTGGTTCCAAGCCTTTGCTATTGTGAGTAGTGCTGCAATAAACATACATGTGCATGTGTCTTTATAGCAGCATGATTTATAGTCCTTTGGGTATATACCCAGTAATGGGATGGCTGGGTCAAATGGTATTTCTAGTTCTAGATCCCTGAGGAATCACCACACTGACTTCCACAATGGTTGAACTAGTTTACAGTCCCACCAACAGTGTAAAAGTGTTCCTATTTCTCCACATCCTCTCCAGCACCTGTTGTTTCCTGACTTTTTAATGATCGAATGGCATCCAGTTTTCTACTGACTGAGGTTCAACCTCTTTACTGCACTCAAGGATGGTGCTCCACAAACCACCCCCAACCCCTAACCCACCTCCAGAGAAAATTGCTTCTTTAGTGCTTCTGGATTATATTATATATAATATACATATGTGTAGACACACAAAATACACACACACACACACACATATATATATGTGTCACCTTGAAAACTTACATACATTTATTAAATTACACTTCCCTGAATTCCATTATTGGTTTGCATGCTGATCTCTCCCCAGAGGCTTTGCGCTCAGAGAACATGCCTACCCTGACTCACCCAGGCTTCTCAGCTTCTTGACTGCTTCATTATCAGTGCTCAGGCATTTAGTAAGTAAATGAAACCCCCTCCCTTCTTTTTATGTGCCACCAATTCATTACACAAGCATAGCCATTCCAGCCGAACCAGTCTAGCCTCTGCCCCAAGAGTAGACATTGTACTGTCCCTCCTTTACACACACTTCCCCACCAATCTCTTGCTTTTTCTCTGAAATATGATATTCAAAATGGTGTTGCTCTGGTTCAGACTTCTGAAGCGGAGTTGGAAAGTCACTCCAAGAAGCACTACCTGCACAGCCTGCACCCTTGCAAAACAAAAATTTGCCTTGAGCCTTCACCTAGGCCCAACCATCACAACCACAACATCCAGGAAAATAGCTAGATTTCACCAGCACTGCAACTTCCAAACAGAGACACCCAGTGAACTATGAACTCATAGAACTCCTAATCCACCTCCAGAGGAAATTGCTAGCAGCCTCCACCAATGATCAGTCTTTCAAAACAACTTGTGCAATCACACTTCACTTCCTTTAAAAAGTTCCTACTCCCCTTCCTCTCTTTGGAACACAATTTGGCTTCTAGCCGAATCTGTGTCTCCCAAATTAGAATTCCTAAGACCCACATAAACGCCTTGTCTGACTGCTTTGCAATCTGGCCCTTCATCTCTTCTTGGTTGGTGCTTCCCTTCTCACTCATCCAGACTGCATTCTTTTCTACCACTGTAGTCCCTACACATTGTACTCAAATGCTACTTCTTTTATGCACCCTTTCTTGATTATTACAATAGAAAAAGATCTTTTTTTTTCTTCAGACCTACCACTTAAGAATTGCAATACAAAACACTTAGGATAAGGACCCCCAAAGCCCTGTGTTGCAATTATTTATTTGCAGGTTTTATTTACTTATGGATAGCAAGGTTGTCTTACCAATATTTGTATTTCCTAGAGCAGTTAGTGCCAAATATAACAGCAAATATGAAATGCTAGTTTAAGACAGAGCACTGACTATATTACTCATAAATATAATCACAAAAATGGCACTGCCAATGAAAAGGAAGGGTATTGTTAGTAAACCAAAACTTGTAGAAATACCTAAAAAGCAGGAAAAACCCCATATATATATATATATATACACACACACATATATTTGTGTATATATATTGTGTGTGTATATGTATATATATATACACCTATATACACACACGTACACGCACACACAGGAGAACATTTCAGAAGTCGGCAGATAAAGAAAAATTCTAAAATTTGTTTTTTAAAATAAGAGCAAATATTAAGCATCAGACTTCTCACTAACAAAATCTAATCATTGACAACAGTGGAGGAACAACGGCGAACAGGAAAATCATGCATAAGAGAAAAATTAAGGTGCTTTTCAAACATAAAGAGGCTCAAAAAGTTTATTTGGACATGCACCTTTTTAAAAACTATAAACAATTTTCTCAAAAATCTAAGAAACAAAGCCAAAAAGGAATCTGAGAAAAAAGAGGATATCAGTTTCAAGGAAGATGGAACTAACTTATGACTGTGAAGAAAAAATAAATCTCAGAATAACTTCTTTACTGCTGGCATAGAAATAATCATTCCAAATTAGAACACAAAGTCTGAGGGCTACATGAAAGTGTCTTCAAGAAGAAAATAGATAGCATCATACAAAATGAGTGCTTATTCTGTCAAGAAAAATGTAAGGCAATTATAAAGGAAGGTTAAGAAGAACATGAAAATAAATCATGATCTCAAAATAAAATTTTGACATAATTTGTTAGCAATTGATGGAGTTTAAAGAGCAGTGTCTTTTGAAATAACAAAGTCAAACAAACAGTATTCAGTTAATTCATAGGAAGGCTGACTGATATTCTCAATTCAAGTGTAATCATTTTGGATTTATGATAGCCAGAAAATATAATGACTTTACCATGATTTTCTTTTCTAGAAAGTGATTTATCACTTTTTCTATAATGACCCACCTTCTAAAGTTTTTGAAAAATGTTAACTTTATGGGGATTTTTAAGAATATATATATAAAATATAATATAAAATATAATTAGTTCTGTGGCTGTGAACATTATAATTGAAATATATATGTTGAGACAATGTTTTTATTCTAAGTTCAATAAGTTCTTTATTTTATTTCAGTTTCTTTTTTCCAATACATTTGAGTAAAATCAAATATAACACTTTAATTAAAATATTAAGTTTTTTCATAATTATTCTTTTATCTACTTTTTCCAAATTTTAGATTGCAAGTGTATTAGTTCATTCTCATGCTGCTAATAAAGACATACTCGAGACTAGGTAATTTATAAAGGAAAGAGGTTTAATTGGCTCACCGTTCCACATGGCTGGGGAGGCCTCATGATACCTACAATCATGGTCAAAGGCACCTCTTCACAGGGTGGCAGGAGAGAGAATGAGAGCCTAGTAAAGGGGAAAGCCCCTCATAAAACCATCAGATCTCATGAGAACTTACTCACTATCACAAGAATAACATGAGGGAAACCACCCCCATGATTCAATTACCTCCCACCGGGTGCCTCCCGTAACACATGGAGATTATGGGAACTACAATTCAAGATGAGATTTGGGTGGGGACACAGCCAAACCATATCATTCTGCCCCTGGCTCCTTCCAAATCTCATGTCCTCACATTTTAAAACACAATCATGCCCTTCCAATAGTCCCCCAGCGTCTTAACTAATTCCAGCATTAACTCAAAAGTCCAAGTCCAAAGTCTTACCTGAGACAATGCAAATCCCTTCTGCCTATGATCCTGCAAAATCAAAAGCAAGTTCGTTACTTCTTAGATACAATGGGGGTACTTTGGGTAAATACATCCATTCCAATGGGAGAAACTGGCCAAAACAAAAGTCCCATGAAAGCCTGAAATCCAACAGGGGAGTCATTAAACCTTAATGTTCCAGAAAGATCTCCTTTGGCTCCATATCTCACATCCAGGTCATGCTGATGCAAGAGGTGGGCTACCATGGCCTTGGGCAGCTCCATCCCTGTGGCTCTGCAGGGTACAGTCTCCCTTCTGGCTGCTTTCACAGGCTGGAGTTAAGTGTCTGCAGCTCTTCCAGGCGAACGGTGAAAGCTGTCAGTGGATCTACCGTTCTGGGGTCTGGAGAAAGGTGGTCCTCTTCTCACAGCTCCACTAGGCAGTGCCCCAGTGGGGACTCTGTGTGGGCACCCCAACCCCACATTTCCCTTCCACACTGGCCTAGCAGAGATTCTCCATGAGAGCCCTGCCCCTGCAGCAAACTTCTGTCTAGACAGCCAAGCTTTTCCATACATCCTTTGAAATTTAGGTGGAGGTTCCCAAACCTCAGTTCTTAACTTCTGTGTACCCACAGGCTCAACACCACATGTAAGCTACCAAGGCTGGGGGATTGCACCCTCTGAAGCAATGGCCTGAGCTGCTGTACGTTGGCCCCTTTTAGCCACAGCTGAAGTGGCTAGAATGCAGGTCACAAAGCCTCAAGGTTGAACACAGCAGGGGAGCCCAGGAAACCATTTTTCCCTTCTAGGCCTCCAGCCTGTGATGGGAAGGGCTGCCGTGAAGGTCTCTGACATGTTCTGGGGATATTTTTCCCATTTTATTGGTGCTTAACATTTGGCTTCTCATTACTTATGCAAACATTTGCAACCTGCTTGAATTTCTCCCTGGAAAATGGGGCTTTCTTTTCTATCACATTGTCAGGCTGCAAATTTTCCAAACTTTTATGCTCTGCTTCTTCTTGAACGTTTTGCCGCTTAGAAATTTCTTCCACCAGATACCCTAAATCATCTCTCTCAAGTTCAAATTTCCACGGATCTGTAAGGCAGAGGCAAAATGTCCCCAGTCTCTTTGCATAGCAAGAGTGACCTTTACTCCACTTCCCAACAAGTTCCCCATCTCCATCTGAGACCACCTCAGCATGGACTTCATTGTCCATATCACTCTCAGCGTTTTGGTCAAAGCCATTCAACAGATCTCTAGGAAGTTTCAAACTTTCCCACATTTTTTTATCTTCTTCTGAGCCCTCTAAACTGTTCCGACCTCTGCCTGTTACCCACTTCCAAAGTCGCTTCCACATTTTCAGGTACCTTTACAGCAGTGCCCCACTACGCGGTACCAATTTAGTGTATTAGTCCATTCTTACGCTGCTATAAAGAACTGCTCGAGACTGGATAATTTATAAAGGAAAGAGGTTTAACTGACTCACAGTTCTGCAGGGCTGGGGAGGCCTCAGGAAACTTACAATTACGCTGAAATGGGAAACAAACACATCGTTCTTCACATGGCAGCGGGAAGGAGAAGAATGAATGTCCAGTGAAGGGGGAAGCCCTTTATAAAGCCATCAGATCTTCTCAGAACTTACTATCATGAGAATAGCATGGGGGAAATCACCCCATGATTCAATTACCTCCCACCGGGTCTCTCCCGTGACATGTGGGGATTATGGGAACTACAGTTTAAAATGAGATTTGGGTGGAGACACAGCCAAACCATAGCAGCAAGTATGTATCATTTTTAAAACAAAAGCATATCATTTTAAGCAAATAAATTGTATTAGTCCATTCTTATGCTGCTAATAAAGACATACCTGAGACTGGGTAATTTATAAAGGAAAGAGGTTTAATTGACACACAATTCAGCATGGTTGATGAGGCCTCAAAATCATGGCAGAAGGCAATGGAAGACTAAAGGCACGTCTTATGTGGCAGCAGGCAAGAGAGCATGGGCAGGGGAACTGCCCTTTATAAAACCATCAGATTGCATGAGATTCATTCACTTTCATGAGAAGAGCAGGGGATAATCCTGCCCCTGTGATTCAATTACCTCCCAATAGGTCCCTCCCATGACCTGGGATTACGGGAGCTACAATTCAAGATGAGATTTGGGTGGAGACACAGCCAAGCCATATCATAAATGTATTGAAAGTACCAAACAATTACCCTGAATGCATTCATTTAAGGAATTGTAGCTGAACTCTAGAGACAGCTTAGAATTTAAGATAGAGATGTGGTTTTTCAGTCCACTGTGATGTTTATTTGTTGCACTTCCAAATAAAAAAGCAAATTGGTTGGGTGCAGTGGTTCAAGCCTCTAGTCTCAGCTACTGGGGAGGCTGAGACAGGAGGATCACTTGAGCTCAAGAATTCAAGACCAGGCCCAGCATGGTGGCTCACAAGTACAATCCCAGCACTTCAGGAGGCTGAGGTGGGCATATTGCTGGAGGCCAGGAGTTTGAGACTGGCCTGGTCAACATGACAAATCACCGTATCTACTAAAAATACCAAAGTGAGCCAGGCGTGGTGGTGCATGCCTGCAGTCTCAGCTGCTCAGAAGGCTGAGGCGTGAAAATTTCTTGAACCTAGGAGATGGAGGTTGTAGTGAACCGAGATGATGCCACTGCATTCCAGCCATGGCAACAGAGCAAGACTGTCTCAAAAAAAAGAAAAAAAAAAAACAAAAGTCTAAGACAAGCCTGCACAATATATTGAAACCCTGTCCTTAAAAAAAAAAAAAACAACAAATTGCCCTATTTACATTGCACGTAGAATTTCACTGCTTCTGAGTAAATTAAATAAATATTACTAGAGTATGTAATTCAAGATTACTCACCTTTTATTTTATTTATTTATTTATTTATTTTTTGAGACGGAGTCTCGCTCTGTCGCCCAGGCTGGAGTGCAGTGGCGGGATCTCGGCTCACTGCAAGCTCCGCCTCCCGGGTTCACGCCATTCTCCTGCCTCAGCCTCCCAAGTAGCTGGGACTACAGGCGCCCGCCACTACGCCCGGCTAATTTTTTGTATTTTTAGTAGAGACGGGGTTTCACCGTTTTAGCCGGGATGGTCTCGATCTCCTGACCTCGTGATCCGCCCGCCTCGGCCTCCCAAAGTGCTGGGATTACAGGCGTGAGCCACCGCGCCCGGCCACTCACCTTTTATTTTAAGGAGAATAAATCTCAAAATTGTTTTTGTTTTTGTTTTGAGATGAAGTTTTGCTCTGTCACCCAGGCTGGAGGGCAGTTTCATGATCTTGGCTCAATGCAACCTCTACCTCCTGTCTTCAAGTGTTTCTTTTGCCTCAGCCTCCAGAGTAGCTGGGACTACAGGCACATGCCACCATGCCCGGCTAATTTTTGTATTTTTAGTAGAGACAGGGTTTCACTATCTTGGCAAGGCTGGTCTCGAAATCTGGATTTTAAGTGATCCACCTACCTCGTTTTCCCAAAGTGCTGAGATTACAGGCATGAGCCACCGCACCCAGCCAACCTCAAGATTTTTAATGAAAATCATTTATTAATAGATTCAATAAGAAACAATTTTGCTCCAAAGACAATGGGGAAGTCAATCCATGTATTAGGCTCTTTTTATTTTAGTGGTTAAACGTAAAGCACTTAAACATAGACCAACCTATAGTGAAGCGTACTGACAATCAGGAGAAGCAAAATCCGGGATGGAGAAGGGTCAGAGGAACCTGGACTCCTGTATTGGTCAGTGGTAAATGAGAAGATAGTCTGTGGATTTGTGCCTGTTAGACCTCAGCTGGGATGTGATGGATCCAGAACCATGGTCCAGTGGGAAGGAGGAGGCCAGTGGAATTGCGTGGAGCTTGCTGGGAGCAGGGCTGCAGACCTGGGCCCTGATCTAGTGTAATTAGGTCCAAGTTTGAGGAAAGGGAACTGTAGACCAATGTTAGTGGCCAAAACAGATAAATGCAGGCTTTGGAGTCAAAGAGACCTGGGATGAAATCTAGCACTGCAGTTATACAACCAAATTATTTTTTCTTATTTTCAAAACAGTAACAACAATCTTTACCTGAATTCTTATCTTACAAACTTGCTATGTGATCAAAAGGGATTTGTGCAAAGCAGGTGGCATAGTGCTTGCATGTAGCATGCACTCCATGCATGGCAGCTATTAGGTTGGTGCAAAAGTAATTGTGGTTTTTGCCATTATTTGCAAAAACTGCCATTACTTTTGCACCAACCTAATACTACCACTATTCCTCTGGTGGCCATGGAGATCAGGGAGACCCAGCCTGGCAAAAGTTTCAGGTAGCTGGCCATGTCTGGGCAGGTGGCACTATTGTGACCTCAGAGGAATTTAAAGATGGTTGGGGGTTCACAGAAGAGCTTGGGTCCCAATAGAACTGAAGTGCTGACCAGATATTCATGCAGAAAATAATTGGTATGAAATGGATGTGCACAGAAATTGCTGGGAAAGATGAAGCCCCAGGATTCCTGGGTTCACACAAGGCATGGGTGCAACTGGATGTATTTTGACAAAGCCAGTTTGTTTTAGACCTCTGTCTGCTTGCGGGCAGGCTGGGTCTCCTGAAGTCCACATTTCATAATGGCTTCATTAAATTTGACTCAAAATTCCGCTGAACTGAATTTATAAGTAATGGCTCTTATCTGTACATTTGAATGATTGATAAAGTTTTAAAAAACATGTTTATATCTGGAACCCACTCTCTGGGATTTTTATTCAATTAGTCTAATGCATAGTCAGGACTGAAGACCCCTGAAGTAAATTCATTAATATCTACAACTAAATGAAGTTAAAATCTTAGGGCTGCAAATTAATTCTTCAGTCACATAAAGGTGCTACCAACCACATGCTCCTGACTCCAGTTCTAGAAACGATAACTCAGTATCAAGTTCTAATTTCACTTAGACACTATGAATGCTTTCCACAGTTTGAAGGCTATGTGATAGCTCTTTAAGTTAGGTAATTCCCTGTAAGACGTTCTCTTGGATAAAATCTTAAACAAATAGAAAACACCTGTACAAAGCTACTGGGAGAGTCTACTGTCATGCGAACATGTGAACATGATGTTAAGATCACAGCCATATTTGTCAAGTATTTAAACACACTTTATTTGTATTTGCATTAAAATAATCATCTTTAGCAATGGCTTGTCTGTACAAGGCTCTCCAAGACAAATCGAGACTGTTCAAGCCTGTTCATGGGTATTCTTGCCTTAGTTCTCAACAAGGACAGACTTTACCCTACTGATGGCACTCCTGGGGCTAATGTTTCTGACATCAGCATATCTCTGTTTGTAGATTTCTTATTATTCCACCCTAACATACATACACTTCTTGACTGATGGATTAACTTATTTATTTACTTACTTATTTAGTCCATTCAACTTTCCAGCAAAGATTAAGACAAGAAGGCTTCTAACCCATAGCCATGACCCCGCTTCCCACACCCTCTTTTGCAGAGTGTGTCCCAGGGCTGCAATCTAGATGTGGTGGCTGGGCTGGTGAGTGGCATGTTGGTTTGCCTGTTTAAACACCCGGAGTCAGTGTGATGTGGTTGCTTTCTGTTCGTTTACTCATTGCTCCATATGGCCCATTGACAGCCGATAGCAACTTTGCTCATCTTTACAGTTGGGTGTTTGACTGATGACAGATGTCAGTTGGAGATGGTTCTCTTACACATGGCCAACCAATCACCAGGCAATCCCCAAAGGTGGGGACAAGATCCCAGCCAACAGATGGCTTGGCCTCTCTCAAATAAGCAGTAATTAAACATTTTGGCTAGAAATCTCCCTTTTTAGGTTTCCATTAAGAAGTTGTCACTCAGTCCCATATGCACTGATTTTTTCCATCTCCAAACATTCTTTTGCTGTCATTCAGGCACTTGACAGAAGTTCACATGAGTGCATTTTCAGAGATTCTGATCAAACAAACCCTAGAAAATCAAAAGATGAAGCTACCGGTGTTCAATGCGTGGCAGAGAAATAATTGAATTATAGACAGCAGCTTTGTAAAAGGCAGAGGTGGTTTCAACAGAAGACATTGCTTCTATTTACAAAAAGACATTCTAAAGGGCAGTTTATTTTTCTTACAGCTTTCTTCATATTACTGCTAATGTTTATGTTTCAAGAATATTGTTCTTTTTCCCAATAGGGGAATCTTCATCTGATTATTTGTGTAAAAAATAAGTCCTATGTAGTTTGGACAAAAGCATGACATTTCAGATTGGGACCCATAAGCTCATTGCAGAACACAGGCCTGCAATTGAAAGTCACGACTTCATTCATAAAGAAAGGAGGCAGCTTTCTCTGGAACATTCTTCATCTCAACACTTCTTTCACACTCACTTCTAGAGATTCTCTGCTTTATGTTTTTTTGTTTGTTTGTTTTTTGTTTTTGTTTTCCATTTCACAGCATTTTTCTTGTGGCAGATTTCTCTGTTTCACAAATATAAAAAAATTTTTAAAATCCTGTATGTGTACCTAGTGAAGGAATACAATGAATAATTTAGAAGGATATAAAATATTTTGATGTAAAAACATGAAAGGTGCTACTAAAGTCATGTTTATTTTGTTCTTGCTTCTTAGTAAAAGAAATAACTTTCCCCAACACAAACGGTAATACTTTAAAAAAATCATGTTGAGGTTTTCCTAAAGGAAAGAAAAAATACTGCTTCAAAAATCTGAGCATCTTTGTCTTAGTGAGTGTTCCAGAGAAAAAAGTATATATAATGAAAATAAATTCACATCTGTGAGTTGTTGAAGAAAAAAGCTACATAATAAATTATGATTATCCATGTGCTTGCTTTTGTCAAATCCTATGTGTTACAGAACTTTCTAAGTATTTTCTTCTTAAAGTATTTTTTTCTTAAAGAAAAATTAAGCACAAAACACCACAGTCAATATAAACACATGTCTGGAATTGAATTTCACTGTATATCTGCAGCTTCTTCCTGGTATTGCCACTAGTGACCACACTGCTCACATATGCGGCTATCCACACTTCATCTATCATCGACTTGTTGGAGCTTCAGACTGAACACAAGTCGTTACCATATGTGGCAAAGGGATACACTAATGATCTTTCAATCCATGATTCACAGACAGGACAAGGTAACATACAGCTCCAAACATCCACAACACACTAAGCCAGAGCACACTAGTGGGGCCTGTCAATGTGTCATGTGTTATTGGGACAGTTGCTTATCCTGTTCCCTTTGGAGTCACCCTCATACATAATATTTAAATTTACTCAAGAGTTCTCACCTTTGGGCTAGTATTAGAAGCCTTTTGGAATTTATGCAGCTCATTTTAGTAATGGTTTGTGTAATCCACATATTTGCCATCCACATACTCGAAAACCAAGTCGTTAGAGATCATATTGAAGAATAATGTATAATATAATATAATTTATGCTCTGTTTAACTTAATCTTCAAATGTTTTTACTTTACAAGTTCTCACTTGTAAGAGTTCATAGAATTACTTAGCAAAAATGAAGCTAAATATAAATAATTTCTAGATACTGATTCTTCATGGATGCTGTTATCCCTCCCATCTGTGGCCATTAGTTCCTTCGCTGTGACTAAGGCCAGGAAACGCAGATCAGAGCTGAGCTTGGTGACCTTTAGGTTGTCCAGCTGGCCTGAGCATGGAAGTATGCATCCTCTCACCAGCAGTTTCCGAGGCAGGGTTTCCAGTGCAAGATATTTATTAGTTAATGCTCTCAGGAGTCAGGAAGGCAAGACAGAGAAGGGAAAGCTTAGCAAGGGTGAGACTGCAGATGGAGTCCTAGGATCAGCTGGTCTCTGCAGGGGGGCTCTAGAGCCTTGTCCAGCTTCAGAGCATAGTACTGGGTGTACTGGCACTGGCGGTGGTGGTGCTCAGGGTGATTTGAACTTCCAGGCCCTCTAGTCCTCTTTACTAGTTGAGCAGCCAACTCATTGCCCAAGAGCAGTATCTGAAGCTGACTGGTGTGAGCCATTATCGGGCAGTTAACAGAAGCTGAGGGCTGGATGCATGGATGCACATAACTGATAAAAAGCAAAGATTCCATGTTCCTTGCAGATGGGGAAGGAGCGGTGGGCACAGATCCTGCCTGCTACCACACCCTTGGGGAAATTACACTCTCAGAAGACCAGGTTTCTGGCCTGTAAGTAAAAAGCTCAGGGGCGAGGGGCAGGAAAAACACAATGCTTTTTGGATGCTGGGAGATTAGGTGACATAATACTGCAAGTGCCTGTCACAGAAACTGAAACATGTTATTCAATTAGCAATTGTTACTCTCTCTCCATTCTTGTAAGTACCCGTCCTTTTCCTGCTTAGCAATGTTTACTGTTCCTCGTTTTCTACAGAAAACATCTCACTTTGTCATGTACCAGTGTGAATGCGAAATTTTTACCAACTACTCCACAGATCAAAACTATGTAACCTGAAGGTATTGGAGTCTGTGAAGTCAATAAACCCTCTGAAATTGTGTGGGAAATCCAGAAAGTATGTTTTCATGGAAAAAGGCCCCATTGCTTGGAGAGGCAGGATTGTGTCTGAGTCAAATTCCAGCTAACCCATTTCTTGCTGAGTGACCTGGAGAGGCAGGATTGTGTCTGAGCCCAAATTCCAGCTAACCCATTTCTTGCTGAGTGACCTTGGGATGGTCTTATTTAAACCATGTGCACTTAACTTTTGTCATCTGTTAAAGGGAGATGGTGACTATACGACCTCATAGGTCTGTTAGGATGATTAAATTAATTAATATATGAAAAGCACTTATGTAAAAACACTGCATATCACATTGAAATTGTGTGTGTTACTATTTATATTACTACTATTACTGCTGTTGTTTTTAGTTATCATCATCATCTCATCCTATGCAGAAACGGTGTGTGGCTGAAAGCTGTTTGGGAATTACTGCCCCTGAGGCATTTGCCGCTCTAACAAAGTTGATTCAACTTGCTGTCCTCTAAACATAACCCTGTATCTACCTCTTTGCTCTGCACGAATTTCCCCCTGAAGTTTCCTCTTCTCATAAGCCACTTGCAGCCATCTTTAAGGGTCACGTCTTCCTCCAACAGTCTTCCTTCCTCACAGTCTCTGGCCTCCAGAAGCCTGGCTCTCCCTCTGAATTCCCATCTCATTGCCAGTTTATTCAGCCAGTCAACTGTAATCCCACATTGTTGGGGCTACTACCAAAATTCCCAATTGTGTCTCTTCCCTCTTAAAAAAAATGGTAAGCAATATGGGAGGCAAGGCCTTGCCTGTATGACTTGATGTTCTACTCACCAACAGTCTTATAGAATAAGCAAATCCTAAGCACACAGAGAAGACACTCATTCAAATGCAGCTCATCGCTGTTGCCAAAGTAACTACCAAAGAGTGAGTTAGTCACATCATAGGTGCTTAATAAATATAGACAGTGAATAAATAAATCTGTGGTGAAGATTTACTTAAGTTACTGTGTTTGGAGTTGGCACCAATACTGATGAATTTTATGGTTAATGTTAAAGTTTTAAAGCAGAACTGCAAGTAAAAGAATAGACTTTTTCAAGCACGACCATTTTTGAAGTAGCACAGGATGTCACTAACTATAGCGAGCTATTGCCAGGCACTAAAATAACTGTTGCTGTGGGGCTGGTTAATGATACCTCGTTAGTGACAGAAGATAATGAGAGGATAAGGGCAAGATTCATTGACCTTTCAAAGCCTTTTGATTTACTAAATGACATTGTTGGATAAGCTAATTAAATTTGGCTTTTCTCCTGCAGTGATAGCTGGGTTCTGCTCTCATTTGATTAGTAAGAAAAATCAGAGGCTGTTTTAAGGCTATCAGCCTGATTTATTACTATTCCTATCTGATGGTGCCTTGGGGCTCAATAACTCATTGGTTTTATTTTATTTATTTTAAAATTATCTTTCTGATGCTAGAGATGATCCAGGAATTCACTTATAGAGCAATGATAATACCACTTCAAATAATGTTTCTCTTAGACTCCCAGAACTTAATACGCTTTCCTTCTGAGTCACTACATTTGCCAACAAGGAAGATTCTGAAAGATAAGCTTGCTGATGATGAAAACATCACTTGGTGGCCAACCTCCTTATTACACATAAAGACAAACAAATCTGAATCTAAGAGAAACAGAAAAGCAAACAGTTTGGGCATAGTGCCTTTAGTGAGCAAGTTACCTAATTGTCAGTTTCCAGGGAATTTGCTGCCTGTCCACGCACTTCTATTTCAATGGTAAAAATGTGGCATTTTTCTCCATAAATACTGGTTTGGCTCTGCTAAACCAAGTCCTACATCGAACTACAGACTTCTCAGTAATGGGAAAAAACAGCTATGTTTACTTTTTAGACAAGCACAGATTTAAAATGTTTCACACCTATAAAAAGTTTTAAATTCTATTTTTGCCAGATTATGAATTTTAATTCTATTCTTCATTGACTGCAGTTAAGTGTAAAGAATATGAAACAATACTCTTTTTAAACTGAAATGAGTTTATTTTTCAGAACTTGAAAGTGTAGATTTATTTCCCCTGGACTTTCCAAGACACACTTGTAAATAGTCATTCAAAAAGTTGAGTTCAACTCTAATAATGAAACAAATCATAATTCACAGCTAGAATTTATGAGAATGATAAATTGAGTTTCTGACCGCTCTATTATATAATAGAAAACCACACAGAGTTAAAAGCCCGTATTAGCAACATACATCTACCATATGACCCCACGGCCATTCCACTTCTGGGCATTTGCCCAAGAGAAATTAAACGCATGGGTCCGTAGAAAAACTTGCACACAAATGTTCAGGACAAATTTATTTGTAATAGTTCCAAACTTGAAAAAACTTAAATGCTTACCAACAGGTGAATAGATTTTTTAAAAACTGTGGTATTGGCCTGGTGCGGTGGCTCACCCCTATAATCCCAGCACTTTGAGAGGCAGAGGCAGGAAGATAGCTGGAGCCCAGGAGTTTGAGAGCTGCCTGAGCAACACAGTCAGGCACCATCTCTACAAAAAATAATAATAATAAAATAGCCAGGCATGGTGACACATGCCTGTGGTCACAACTACTCAGAAGGTTGAGGCAGGAGGGTCACTTGAGCTTGGGAAGTTGAGGCTGCAGTGAGCTATGATCGAGCCACTGCACTCCAGCTTGGGTGACAGAACAAGACCTGGTCTCAAAATAAATAAATAAGAAAAAATTGTGATATAAACATACTATGCTACATGATTCATCAATTAAAAAAGGAATTATTGATACATGCAAAAGCATTCATGAATTTCAACATTATTGTGCTGAATGCAAGGAGCCAGCAAATAAAAAAAAACGTGAAATACATACTGCATTATTTCATATGTATAAAGCTCTTAAAGATGCAAAGTAATCATTTGTGACAGAAAGCAGATCAGTTGTTGCCTCGGGAACAGGTGTGGGGAGAGGGCAGGGACAGGGAGTATATTAGAGTTTTCCAGGGAAACAGAACCAACAGGGTGTATGTTTGTGTATATGTATGTACGCATGTATGTATACACACAGGAAAGGTTGAATTTATTTTATGGAATTGGCTCACGCGATTGTGGAGAGGCAAGTCCAAAATCCACAGGGTAAGGCCAAAATCCTCAGGGTAAGGCCAGCTGACTAGTGGCCCAGGGAGGGTTTGCATTCTGAGTCCCAAGGCAGTCTGCTGGCAGAAGTACTTGCTTCGGGGAAGTCAATCTTTGTTCTGTTAAGGCCTTAAACTACTTGGATGACGCCCAGTCATGCTATAGAGGACAATTTGCTTGACTCAAAGTCTACCGATTTAAATGTTCATCTCATCTAAAAGACAGCTTCACAGAAACAACCAGAATAATGCTTGACCAAATATATGAGCACAGTGGTCTAGCCAAGTTAACACAGAATTAACCAACACAAAGAGGGACAGGAGCAATGCATTAAGAAGGGGTATGAGGAAATTTGGGTGGTTATGTATATGCTGATTTTCTTAATTGTAATCATTTCACAGGTGTATAGATGTTAGTTCATCAACCTGTACAGTTTACATAAGCAGAGCTTATTGTATGTCAACCATATTTCAATAAAGTTGTTTTAAAAATTGCTAAGATAATTGATTTTTAATGTTTTTGCCACCAAAAAAATGAAAATTTGGTGATATGATGAATACGTTAATTAGCTTGATTGAATCTCTCTGCCATGTGTACATAGCTCTAAACATCATATTGTGCCCTACAAATATACACAACTAGTATTTGTCTATTAAAATAAATTTTAAAAAACACTTGTACAAAAAGAAAGCAATGTAAGTCTTACCCAAAAGATAACAGCTGAGCCACTGTGGTCAGAGCAGTGGAGAGAAAGACTACCATGGCCCCACCTACGTGTCTTAAATGACTTCTGAATAAAGCTCATTGGCAGAGAAATAAAAAACTTTACATCTAAAAATAATCTATTGATATTGCCCACAGGTTCTGCTTTTTGAAAATTACCTGCCGAAAAAGTACGTATGGCTTGCCTACTTTTGAGTCTTCTGGGCATAATTGAAGACTGCATCTTTAATATTTACAACTTTCTTGAAGTTATATTGTTTTGTTAAAGGATCTGTTCTTTGAGTGTGTGGGATCTGGTCGTGAGAAATGGACAAGAGTGTCCTGATGTGGTACACGGCTTCCTGCTGGCAGGACTCGTGTGCCGATGGAGGTCGCAAACGGAACACCCTGCTTGGTTTATCCTTTCTCCTCGAGCCCACTCCTGCATCCTCCACTAGTAATTGGTAGATAACGATTTTAGTAGCAAAACAAACCTTTCAATTATGCACTCTTGTGTGAAAAAAAATGACTGAAATTTATTTCATGGTTGTCAATGCTAACGAGAACCGGAGATATGTGTTAAATGTAAGTCCAGGTGGGAAGTTAATGTCATTTGGGTCCAGTAGGCTCAAGGCTTTCTAAAAGAATGATGAGTCATTCATGACACTTGAGGGGAATCTTTAAAATAATCACTATGTTGAATTTTTTAAAAATATTGTTTGTAAGAGTTTTCAAATTGTACATATCAGATTGAAAGCTGACATGACCATCCATGGGGGCAATGAAATATTTCTCTATGGCTGCTTGTCTCATTGATCTTCACCACCTATAACCGATTCCCTGAGTCGACCCAGGTGAAAATGCCCCCAGAATTTGCCTATATCAGCAGAGAGGAGGATCCTGCCAGACACCATGCGGACTCAGAACCCTACTCCACGCTGAATTCCAGGAGGCTACTACCAACCAACCGTGGGGAACAAGATTTATTCTCATCACGCCAAATGGCACAGTAAACCTACAAAGACCAACTCTGAAGATATTTGGTAGTATCACAGATCTAAACTATAAACAGACCAAAATGCTTCTTTAACCTGCATCTTACAAGCACATCTCTTTCTTAGCCTCCATTTTTATAGAAAGATTCTACTTTAACCATGTTTAGAAAGCTGAGGCTGGAGGAGGGAAGACTGGGAGAAGTTTCTCCTCTTTCTGTGCGGAGAAAAGTAGCACAAGATTATTCAGTCTGTACTTAACGTTCACGGTGTCTGATTCTAGGAAAAACTGCAGTAGGCTGTGATTCCTTATTTGTATTCTCTACGGGATAGTGCAGTCACTCTTATTAATAACCCAAAAGGAATATTCACTTGTGAATCTTAAACACCTTTGTGGTTACTGAATTAATTCTATTTTTTTCATAACACTCCTGTAAAGAAGTTACAGAGTGGTCAACACTATTACTTGCACTTTACTCGCCAGGAGGCAGAGCCAGAAGGAAGTTAAATGATTTGGTTAGGTGCAGACTCGTTCAGGCAGAGGGAGAAAAACGCATCGCCATTTATTGTCGCAAATTAGTTTATGTCTCCCCTTACACTTTCCCATCCACCACTCTCTAGTTTCTGAAAATTAACTAGTGCTTCTCCCATAAATATGTGTGTTTCCTCTTATAACACTGTAACTAGGACTTAGTCACTTACTTTTTTTTTTTCTTGAGGCAGCCCATTTCTCGACTGCTGTTTCCCCAGCAACACTAGTAACCCCAGAAAGGCTTGGACTACTTTTTAAATACGGGCGTAAGTATTCTGTGTGTCCTGAGCAGTCGGGGAGGGGAGCCATTTGCTGGCTGTTCATTTATTGTGCTTCACTACAGGGTAAAGGGATACTTTCCAAAATACTTGTCTGATGTCCCCACATTAAATCCTGTGTCTCTGAGCAAGCTTTTCCACTCTTGCCCTGCCTGTGTCTCCTGTGATCACTTCATAGTCAGACGGGAGAAAACGACTTCAGTAATTGCCTGCTTAATTGGTAAGCATGGATCTCCAGACCGCACTTTCCTGTCTCGTCATGTCGGGCTGCTCCACAACTCTCAGTTGTTCCAGTATCACGTTATTCCCAAGATGGGCACGTGATGACTTCCATTTTCAATCACGGTACTAAATCCCACACTTTGCTCCCTCGGGTTTCAACTAGTGAGGAGGGGGGAGACAGGAACACACCTGCAGCCACTTTGACATGTCACAGGGAGGCTCCCTTGTGCGTGTGTGCCTGTCTGTTTGCAAACCCCATCCCTGAAATCAGCCCGCTGGTGGTTCTCTGCTAGCGGACAGGGAGGCGCCCCTTGGGGTGTGCACAGTACACGGGCCCCACAGGGTTGTGGCAGGAGAACACAGGCTGTGAATTTCTCAGCAGGCTGAAGATGAAATTGCTTATTGAAACTGGAAATAAAAATAATGAAACCATAAGATCACACAAATCCAAGGATTTTAGAGTTGAAAGCAACCGTAGAGAACATCTAGCTTAATTCCCTCGTCTATGATAAAATGTGAATCTGAGTCCCAGTGAGGTTAAAAGACTTTAGAAGGGATAATTTCATGTTTTTCTTTGCTTTCTTTATCAAGGGCTAACAATAGTTTTTGTTTATTTTGGTCTGTACCGTGCCTTCTTTTAGAACTCTTAATTACACTTGTTATTGGGGTGGGAAAGACAGATAAAACGAAAATCACTTATATCTTTATTTCTGGACTTTACACATGAATGTATGATGTCAAGAAGTCACAGCATTTTTATGTTAAAGAACAAAGTTATAGCACTACAACTATCCTAATGTCATAATGTAAATTTACTGGAAGAGGTCCAAATTTCTTGTTTTGAATTCTGTTCATATTTAAGTCCTATCTTCTTTCTCCCTATTTTTCTTCATCCCAATTTAGAATATGTCAGATTAAGCCAGGAGGGATCAGAGTCAATTGTTTCTGTAATCTCTCAGAAGCAACTATCTATTTATGCTAATTTATAAATTAGATGTTTTTTACATTGTTACCAAGGCAGGCCACATCTGTCAACATAGCATGTAAAAATATCACATATTAGTTCATTCTCACATTGCTATAAAGAACTACCTGAGACTGGCTAATTTACAAAGAAAAGAGGTTTAGTTGGCTCAAGGTTCCACGGGCTGTACAGGAAGCATGGCTGGGGAGGCCACAGGAAACTTTCAATCATGGTGGAAGGCAAAAAGGAAGGGAAAACAGGCATGTCTTAATGGCCAGAGCAGGAGGAAGAGAGAGAAGGGGGAGGTGCTACATGCTTTTAAACAGCCAGATCTCATGAGCACTCACTCACTATCATGAGAACAGCAAGGGGGACATCCACACCCACAGTCCAGTCACCTCCTACCAGGCCTCTTCTCCAACACTGGGGATTACAATTTGACGTGAGATTTGGGCAGGGACACAAATCCAAATCATATTGTATCTGTAGAAATTTCAAAAATCTCAGAGCTTTCCTTGTTTCTTTTCCTGGTTCAGTAGCTATTTCTAGAATTTTCATTCTTCTTCCAGGGTCAGGAAATTTTTTGAGGATTTGTTAAAGACACAGTCTACAACTGGAAAAATAACATATCCACAGACTCAAAATTCTGATTACAATGTCTAAGGAATATAACAATCCAGGGCCAAGAACCTCTCTTATGACTTTTATAAGTCAGGGTTTTCCAGAGGGACAGAACTAATAGGTAGATGTATGTATGAAAGCGAGTTTCTAAAGGAGAATCGACTCACATGATCACAAGGTGAAGTCTTACGATAGGTCATCTGCAAGCTGGGGAAAGAAGAAGCCAGTAGTGGCTTAGTCCCAGTCAGAAACCCTCAACAGGAGGGAAGCCAACAGTGCAGCTGACGGCCTGAGAGCCTTGGCAAACCACTGGTGTAAAGTCCCAGAGTCCAAAGGCCGAAGAACCTGAAGTCTGATGTCCAAGAGCAGGAGGAATGGGAAGAAGCATCTAGCACAGAAAAAGAAGGAAGCCAGAAGACCCAGCAAGCAAGCTTATCCCACCTTCCTTCGCCTGCTTTCTGGACCCACTAGTAGCCAATTGAATGGTGCTGACCATATTGAGGGTGGGTCTTCCTCTCCTAGTCCACCAACTCAAATGCCCATCTCCTCTGCCAACACCCTCACAGACACACCCAAAAATACTACTTCGCCAGCATCTAGGTATCCTTCAATCCAATCAAGTTGGCACCTATTATTAACCATCACATGATTTATCTATAAGAAACAAATTCTAGGCCAGGCGCGGTGGCTCAGGCCTGTAATCTCAGTACTTTGGGAGGCCGAGGTGGGTGGATCACAAGGTCAGGAGGTCGAGACCAGCCTGACCAACATGGTGAAACCCTTTCTGTACAAAAAATACAAAAATGAGCGGGGCGTGAAGGCACGTGCCTGTAATCCCAGCTACTCAGGAGGCTGAGCCAGGAGAATCACTTGAACCCAGGAGGCAGAGGTTGCAGTGAGCCGAGATCGTGCCACTGCACTTCAGCCTGGGCGACAGAGCGAAACTCCGCCTCAAAAAATAAATAAATAAATAAATAAATAAACAAACAAATTCTATTGTTTTACCAGTGATCTAGGAGCTGTTAAGTTCAGTGTCAAGGAATACTAATTGTAAACCAATCAATACTAAGAACAAAAAGAGATACAGGAGGACTTGTACAAGGAACTGAGACTGAGCTCAGTGAAGACGCCATTAACCAGACCAAAGACATTTGAAATAACAGAAACCTCTTGCAAATTGACATAATGGAGCTTCACCAATAAAAAATTGTGAGACTCTTAATGATAATTACCTTAATGGGAAATATGCAGAACATACAAATGAGATTAAAAGGTGTTAATAAAAAGTCTCAGTAAATTTTATTATTTCAATAGAACCCAAAGTATGGGATACATGTGTGGTTAAAATATAAATGAGGTTTCTAAAACAACCGTCCCATCAAAGGTGAGCCAAAGGTCAAAATAATATAATCCATGTAGAATGTGTGTATTTCAAGAAAAGCAGAATTATATAATGATGTTGCAATGCATAGAGTTAAAGAAAATAAATGGAGTGCACTGGACCTCGAAAATTCCTGAGTTTACTCTTTGATGCAATACCAGAAACACTTTAGAGGTGGGATCTTGATGAGGATAATTCATTAGCCAAGACTCTTAGGAATTCTAGAAAATGAAGCACGTGCACATTTCATTGAAAAATACACAAGCTTTGGTAATTATACAGCTCAAGGACAAAGGGCAAGTTGTAAATTTAAACAGTCATAATTTAATGCAATTATTTATTGAATAATAATGATCATTTTTTGTCATGAGGCTAGATATCATCATAGGGAGGTAGGGGAGTGGCCTGTGGTGACTATTAAAATCAATATTTCTATACAGAAGAAAATACTGAGAAGAAATAATGTACATAAAGCTGCTATATAATAATATGAGGCAGCGTTTAAGTATTGGTACTAGGAACAATTTTTAAAATAAAATAAGAAACATGAAGGAAGAGATCTATGAAAACGTATTTGGAGGAAATTTTCTGGAGGGGGTATAATTACTTCGGATTTTTATTGTGAAGAAGATTTGGGGAAGGGGGCAATGTAGGGATGGAGAACCTGTTGTTCTTAGTTTTACCTAGTGCTGTGTTAAAATAGTTCCTTGCACTTTGAGTTGTAGGCTGAAGGAGGTATTCCAGTTAGTTTACCAGTTATGTTAGCTGGAGACCAGGCTTGCCACACCACCTCCCTCACGGCAGTTTGTGATGCCTCTGCCATTTTGTAACAGGTACGACCAATTGATTCGGCAAATAGATCAACCAATAAGGTTGTTTGGTGTCATGTAGACAGAGCAACAGTGTGGAGTGCCCAAACCTGTTATTTTTATCAAGCTGTTCTTTGGAAGACAGGCAATCAGATGGTCTCACTTTGTACTGTAGTCTTTGAGGGTATCGAGCTTAATGAAAATAAGGAGTAAGATGTTCTGAAAATGGAGGAAAAAGATATTTTCCTTGACAGGAAAGAATTGCCTTCTGAGTGGAAATTCTTATGTGGTCATTTCCAAGGAAGACATGAAGAAAAGAAAGATATATTATTTATTTGGGGGAAAAGGGATGATATGCTTTGTCTCTGTGTCTCCACCCAAATCTAATTTTCAACTGTGATCCCCATGTGTCAGGGGAGGGACCTAGTGGGAGGTGATTGGATCACAGAGGCAGTTTTCCCCAGGCTGTTCTCATAATAGTGAGGGAGTTCTAACAAGATCTGATGGTTTTAAAGTTTGTGGCAATTCCTCCTTCTCTCTCTCTCTCCTGCCACCTTGTGAAGAAGGTGCTTCTTTCTCCTTTCCCCTTCTGCCATGATTGTAAGTTTGCTGAGGCCTCCACAGCCACGTGGAACTGTGAGTCAATTAAACTTCTTTTCTTTGTAAATTACCCAGTGTCAGGTAGTATCTTTATAGCAGTGTGAGAATGGACTTATGCAGGGGTTTTGCGAACAGAGCGGTGTACATCCCAGATTACACCCTAGATTTACTCAATGTCGAGCAAATATATGCCTTTGGTAACCATGATGATCTATCTGAATTACTTCAAATGTAAAAGTACTTGGTATTTTGTATGCTTTAGCCTGCAGAAACTGTGCTATCTTAGTGTGGATTCTCCAAGTGCAGTCACGTTCCTGTTACCATAGACACCAGACAGAGTTTTATGTTTGTTTCTACTTTGAAAAAAATACCATTACCACTACTCTGGTAAATAGAAAATTCTTCTTTAATGTCCTTTGAAATGTACACATTGAAAGCTGCAAAACAAAGAAATTCTAATATTGAGTGTGCCTTTCCAACTACTCACTCCTTGGAGATTCGGAAATGTCAGATTGGTGAATTTGACCCTCCATACATGCCCCCTTTTTAGTGTTCCCTAAAGAAAGTGAGAGAGATTTTAGTGTCTACAAAATTGGGAACTTATTTTTCTTTCTTGTCTTTTGTGCCCTCGCTCTTAGCAACACATGTTCAGATGGGTCTTTGTAAGTTCAAAAATACCACTTTGATAGAGGAGTAAGCAAACGAGAAAGGGGAAACTCAACACAAATAGGCAATTATATACTCAAGGAATACGTCGTCAGCTGAAACCAAGAATTTGGGAAATACGGGTGTTTCCATGGGAGTCTAGTTTCTGTATATCATGTGACTCAGACACATCCATATAAGTCTGAAGGGCCAGAACCTACACAGATCTATTTGCATATCTTATGGAAAACCACTCACCAAAGTGGAGAGGGGGTTGATGAGACTCCCTGCACACAACAGCTGTGCATCATGGTTAGAGTGAAAGAAAGAAGTAGAGAGGTGATTTTGAGAAACTCAATATCATTCAGGTCAATTTTCAGCCCAGGGCTGATGAAGCCACACTAGACTCCTAGGATGAGAAAAGCTTGATAGAGAGTGAGTAAAGAGAGAAGAGATGCACAGGTAAAATCTCCCAAAGATTCCATAGCACGGAAAAGCAATGCCTGGTGCCCTGTGGACAGAATGAAGCAGAACTGAAGGACAGTATCTCCCCTACTCTAATCCTCCCATGAGGGTCAGCAGTGTAGGGGAACAGGAATGGGGGCACTGTGGACAGTGCAGTCAATGCCAGCAGCAGAAAGCTGACCCTACCTACTTCTGGGGTGCAGATACAGGAAAGGGACAGCTGCCAGAGAGCCACATGGTTTTCAGGGGAAGTGAAACCTCACCATGGTGCCCTGGATGGCCCCTCATATAACCCTACAGTAAACCCACATCTCAGTCCAACCTGAGAGGGACTTCAGGGATTTGAGAAAATCCCTCAATGCTCCAGCTTGAGTCTGAGCCAGAGATCCTGTTATTGTTACCCCAGGAAAACACGGGACACTCCTATTCTTAGTCTAGTCCAAGATTCTTGAAAAAAAAAAAAAACTAAAAAGCATTTCTCATGTCTCCAATTTTCACTGAATAATAAACCATTCTGGTTTTGTTCAGTTCTGCCAGGAGTGAGACTCCCCAGGGCTTGAATTTCAGCTCCTGCTGTTCACTAGCCATCTGGCTTTGGTCAAGTATTTAATCTCCTGAATGTTAGTTTTATTCATCTGTAAAACCTGGATAAAGTAACTACCTCATCAAATCATTTGCAGATTAAATGAGATGCATGTGAAATGCTTCCACAGTGTAGTTGGTGGGACTGGAGGCTCCCTTTCTGCCAGGTCCTGAGGCACTTCTCCAGCTACACCTGCACCCCTGGTTTTCCCTTAGACCCCTTGGGCTGACTTGCATCTTCATGCTGACAACCTCTGTCTGTTCTACACTCATATACCCAACTGTCTCCAATGCCTTCCGAAATGTGTCAGCATAACAGAGGGGTTAAAGGTGCCAAAATTACTCGCCATGGCTCAGTGTCCTCATTTGTTAATTGACACAATAGTAATGATTTTCTCTGCTATGTTAGGAAGATTAAATAAGTTAATATACGTAATACATTTAAAACATGCTTGGTCCATAGTAAGCACTGTGTATTTTAGAGCTTATCATTGCCACTGAATTCCTAAAAGGCATCCGAGATTTAACTCACCTAAACAGAACTCTGGAGCTTCTGCCATCTCCAATCTCAATCAGTCATTCAACAAACATTTGCAGAGCAACTATTCAATACTGGACTGGGTTTCTGTCTTCCTAGAGCCAACGTTCCCGGGGCACACTGTCAACATGTTAATAGAGAGTGCAGTTTTGGTCTTCCCCATGTGCGCCAAGAGCCCCACCAGCTGTGTTTCCAAGCCCTGTGGTCTGGCACGTGGCTGACTCTCCCACCTCATCTCATGCACAACCTTGTCCCCTCATGCTGCTGCAGCCACACTGGCCTTCTTTCTGGTCCAGAGGATGCTGGGCTGTTTCTAGACTTTCGACCTACTGCTCTCCCTGCCTGGAATGCCCTTTTCTAAGATCTCTTCCTGGATGGCCCCATCTTGCCATCCAGAGTTCTGTCCCTGTAGCTCCTCTTCAAGGAGACTGCCCAGCCTGTTCAGTGTGCCCAGCACCCACCCTCTCTCTCTCTGGTTCCTCACCCTGTTTACTCTCTTTATAGGTTTGCCCTCTCTGAAATCACTTATGTTTTGCTTCTCTATTGTCTGTCTGACACCAGAATGAAAGCTCCATGAGGGCAGAAATCTTGTCTGCCTTGTGTATCACTGTTCCCCTTCACCTGCAACAGCACCTAACCTTGGAAAATGCTCCACAGGGCTAAAACATCAATCAATAAATGATTGCCATGGCTATAAACATTCCTCCCAAATGAGGCCTCATCATATATCTACTTGGTCAGTGTTTCATTGTAAAAGAAGCCTTCAAATTAGACTTTAAATGAGGTAATACAAGCATTAATTGCATGTGTGTTAAAATATCATTAACGAGTTATAAGAAAGCTGTGACATATGACAAATTGGTTAATCCTGTTTAGACATTTCCTCATTTTTAAATATAAGTGGCTGCAGGCCTTGCTGAGCATCTCAGATCCTGCCATGAGCATCAAATATCAAGTAATCTTCTCGAGTACTTATGAAACCTGAGCCTTCTCTTATTCCTGCAAAGTTTTGCTCTGTTACCTGCTCTTGAGGAAGTAGAGATGTGCCTCTTGTTTATGGTTACTCCTGAACCCTATGTCCATACAATTATATAACCCAGATATCACTCAGATGGAAATAGTGAGGTTAGTTACACACACATGTTTTTAAATTTTTATCATTATACATATTGTCATATACAAATTACAGGTATATCTGCAATATTTTATTATTTTAGTTATCCAACTATTTATCAAATATTTCCAAAGTTCTTGCTGTGTGATAGGTGTCATGCTAATAGTTAAAGGTGCAGAGGAAAATGTGAAATGATCTCGGGGAGCTTCAAATTAAATGGGAGAGATATGTGTGAGAAATACCTTAGGCTATAGCATGGTCATTTCATATGGGTAAATATGTACAGTGATATTGAAAGCAGAGAGTAACCAAATACTTCTGCCTTGACGTCAGGGAAGGCTCCATGAGGGAAGTAAAATTTGTACTGAGTCTTCATAGGCATTTCCCCAGCAAGGAAGGGTATGGGAAGGGCAAGGAAGGGTATGGGAAGGGCTAGAAGGGCCATCTGAATTGCTGCGAGCATTCGTAAGTTGTAAGAGAAGCTGACACGCCTGAGGATGTAGTAGAAATGAGGTTGGACAAAGGTACCAGAAGGAACTGTAGGTAGGAGCTGAGTTAAAGGTCTTTGTTGCACAGAATTATTTGCATTTTGTATTTTGGAAAGCCAACAGAATATAATAAGCATAGGAGTTACTTGGTCAATTATTTTTTAAAGATTATTTTAACAATGATATTGAATAAAAGAGTTGAGTTGTGAATGATTGGAAGTCAGGACAAAAATACTGTCAGAAAAACTTGAAGGAGACTGTTTCAGTAGTTCATGGGAGAAATAACAGGGCCATATCAATGTTAGAATAAGTGGGATGGAGTGCTACAATTTAAAAACCCACTGGAGAATTGAGGAAATGTAGTTGTTATAGAAGGTTGCAAATCTTCTAGTTTGGAAGGTTAAATGACAATGAGGTTATCAATTAAGATCTAGAATATAGAAGGCAGAACATGATTTAAGATGAAAAAAATTAATTATACTCTGGTCCTACAAGACTGTAAGTAGCTGTGTGTGTTGTAGTCAGTGAGATATAACAATAGAAAGTGGGACAAGTGATTTGTTATTCAGATAGATGGCATTCGGAGCCTGTGCGTGGATAATATCCTTTACAAAGAAGAAAAGGCCAAAATAGATAGAGTAGAGTAGAGTAGAGTAGAGTAGAGTAGAGTAGAGTAGAGTAGAGTAGAGTAGATAGAGTAGACTCTCCTTCCGTGCTATCCAGCAGCTGTCATGATAAGGCCGAAAGCTGTCATGATAAGACCAAAATCTAAAGAAGCAATCTCCAATTAATGATCTCATGCTAAAAATCAGAAGTTAGCATCAGTCAAGGAAGGGGTTTCCCTAGAAATTTCAGAGACATCATGACCCTACAGACACCTTGATTTCAGATATCTGGTCTCCAGAACTGCGAAAACATAATTTTCTGTTATGTGAAGCCACTATTTTAAGGTGTCTAAGGGGTTGGTTTTTTCTGAAGGCAGTGAGGAAGAATCTGCTCCAGGCCTTTTCCCTAGCTTCTTTGGTGGCTCGCTGAGCATCTCTGGCATTTTTTGGGTTGCAGAGGCTCCATCCCAGTCTCTACCTTTATGTTTGTATGGCATTCTCCTTGTGTTTGTGTGTCTTTCTCGTTCTCCAAATTTCCCCTTATTAAATAAGAATACCAGTCATATTGGATTATGGCCCACCCCAATGACCTCATTTTGACTGAGTTACTTCTGTAAAAATTCTACTCCAAATAAGGCCACATTCTCATGTATTGGGGTTAGAATTTCAACCTTTCTTTCCTGGAGGACACAGTTCAATTTGTACTCAAGCCCTGTAGGTTGCCTCAAGTGTTTCCAAGTTACTCCCAGACTTTCATGAATAGGTTCTAAGAATCTAGGAGACCCTTCACCCTTTAACCTTGGGGATGACATCCCAGGAAGTAAACCTGGAACCATCCCCTGCTCTGTCTCTAATCAGAGGATTCACAGTCACCTGACTCTCACAGTTGGTCATATGAAGCCTTCCCTGACAACACTACTATGTTTGCCCCAGATGAAGTGTCAGTGCAAGGTTTTTCAGATCACCAAAGAGGGAAGAGCTGGGACTTCACAGCTCACATAACAGGTTGTTTGTGCAATTTATTTGCTCTCAAATTCACAAGTATGACAGAATTTTGCTGAGATCAATTATCGTCATAACTAGGATGACAATATAATCAAATATGCTCTACACAGTCATGGTTTATTCCTGCTCTCTAGGTGTAATTATGAATAGGTCTCCACTTCAGTCTCAAACAGGACCTGGTTTGGTAGCAAGGTTGGGAAGAAGTGTCTCACCCCATTTATTTCTAAACCATTCACAGAAGATGATACTTGTGCATCATCAAATTGTCTTAGGTAAGGTCATGGCAAGGTACCACATGGGTTCTGGTGGACAGAACCCCAAAACAAGTCATATTGGAGCTGAAGGTGAACAATCTCACATCCACATTTGCTATGGAGAGAAAGGATTTGTCTGTAAGTCTTGAAAGAAGACTCATGCTTGAGCTATGAGTGGCTGGATTTACAATGCTGCCTTGGAGGTCAGAGGTTCTTCTCCAAGTTTCTGAATTCAGCAAGTTCAAACTTCACCTATGGGTTCCTTGTCACGACAGACAGTGGCCAATATCACATGTTAAAGATTCAAGCCAGATCCAGTATAATGGATCTGTTGAATCATCAACATTGGATGATTCTTGTTCCCATATTTGGGATGCTCCTTTATGTTCATTATGGTAGTTTAAAAGAACATAATTATTTAAACAATCCTAAATAGATGATGTACAGCCATGTAGAATCAAAATGGAAAGACTCAGTTATCTTTTGCCTCCTTTCAGGTTGCACAGAACAAATATCAGTGTAATCCAGCGTAGACTCACTGACTTATGAGACAAGGAAGGTGAAAATATTCCTGCCTACATTGCTCCTCAAGATTAATTTTCACTAAGTTTGTACTAAATTAATTATAATAAAAAGTTAAATTGTTTTTAATACCCCATGGAACCCATGACTATTCCATTTCTTTTCTGGCTACTGAAATTCCAACATCATTTAGTTTACTGATTGACAAGCAGTGGGCATCAAACATTTGCTGTATTGAATTTAAGCCTGAGTTTCTGTTGATTAATGTTTAGGTTAAAATCTTAGCATCAATTAGCCTATTAACTAATTAACGTCTAGTATGGATTGGACATTGGGCTAATATAGATTTCCATCGGCAAAATTACCTACTATTATGCAGGTTAAAAACTACTTGATCTATTTCCAATGAACTGTCTCCTTATATTCATATATAGCCTTAGAAATGTCCAGAAGTCTAATATAATAGATATCTACTTCTGCATAACAAATTATCACAAACTTAGCACTCAAAACAACACAAATTTATTTTCTCACAGTTTCCATGGGTCTGAAGTATGGATCAGGATAGTTAGATTCCTTCTCAACTTCTCATCAGGGTGAGAATCAGGGTGTTGGGTTAGCCTGTGCTCCTATCAGTGGCTTGGAGTCCTCCCTGGTTGCTGGCAGGATCCAGTTTGTTGTGGTTGTATGACTGTAGTTCCCAGCTCCTGAAGGCTGCCTGCCATTCCCTACCATGTAGCCCTCTCCACACCAAGGCATTTGCTTCTTCAAACATAGGAGAATGTTTGCTGCTGCTTTGAGTCTCTCTAATACTTTCAAATTCTGATCTCTAGACTTTTGCAGATTAATCTCCCTTTCATTAGCTTAAATTTGACAATTAGAAATCTTAATAACATTTGCAATCCCTTCCCCATTGCCAGATAATACACACTAATAATGAGAATATTTCACCATATTTATAGGACCTGCCCATGCTCAAAGGGAACAGGTTGAACAAGGAATGTATATGAGTGGGGAAGAATCTTGGGTGCCATCTTAGAATATGAAGAACATCTCTTGTTCCGTTGAAAAAAGGCAAAACTGTTGTACTCATCTATAAAATGGACATAATAATACTTTAACTCATATGAGTGTTGTGCAGATTAAGTAACATAAAGCATGCATTTACCAAAGCACTCAGCAACATGATCATGCTCAGTGTAACTGATTAGAAAGGACACTGTTCAACCCACCAAGAAACCTAGTATTGCTTCATATTCCTGCTGGACCACAGTTTAACATATTTCACGGCCACAATTCCATCTTGCCTTTCACCCTTCTTCCCAGGACTGCCCAGGTGGACAAAAAATAAAAAGGTGCCATGGAACACTTGCAGTCACCAACTGTCATTTGAAACTATCATAGGTTAAATGTAGGCATTTAAAATTTGGCAGGAGGTAAGATGGAAAGGAGCACCAGAAGTCATATTCCAAATATTTAACAAGTAGTAAACTACAAGGAAATTCCAATAAAAAGAGAGTCCAGACTGATATCTGGAGCTGGACCTAAAGATCACTTGTGGGGCCAGATACTCACTCCAGTTGCTTGTTAGTGGTGAGGTTCTATGATCCTAAGTAGGGGACTTAGTGGCTACAAGCAGCTGCTAGGTACCAAGAAGTATGGAGATATTTGGATATTTTTTCAGCTGGTGTGTAGCATGTGCACACTGGCTATTGGCCCTGTTTGTAGTTTAAGAATATTTACTTCTAAAAAGTGTTCCCAGGAGAAATAATGCGTTAAGCCCTTGTCAGGGAATGCTGGAGATTAAACCACCAGATCACAAGGGAAATGCTGTTTTATACAGATACATTGATACGGTCCAGGATTTTATGGTGAGGAAGGGAGAAAAGACATTCAGAGAATTAAAGGGGGTTTTTCCTGAGTCCAGCCAGCTCTCTCCTCCCCTGTGTCTTGTTCTATTTCCATGAATACCTCTAACATCTATTACCTGCATTGGTTACATTGCTACAGAGCCCTGGTACCACTCTTGCATACACAAAGCCATCAAAAGCAGGCTTTATTAATTAGAGTGCTCGCCCAATGGAACTGTTTGCTTCCATTCATAATTCATTGACATCCTTGCTAAATAAATATTGGGGTATTCATTCATCCCAAGCAATTATCTAAAAGAAGCTACATCTATCACAAGGGTTCATAAACGGGGAGACTCGAGGATAAAAAATTCTAATTAAAAGAAGTCTACTTTTAATAGCAAATACCCCCATTGTCATTCATATGTGTTAAGTACTTACCAGTATTGGAAATGAGATGCCAGCTGAGACGATCCATTAAAATACAGCAGCAGGCCTCTCTCCTTGTGTGTTGCCCTGCGTGCATCAGGATCGGAGCAGAATAAACCCGGGGTCTGGCAAGAGTACCTGCGGAACTCAGACTTCTTTCCTATGTTCTAGCTGGACTCCAGGATCCCATGACCTGCTCACACCACTTGGACACCCAGAGCCTTGACACCACATTTCTGATGTTTAAAGGAATCAGGGCCAGCACGTGTTTCAGGTATCAGTGAGGAGAGATGCTCTGCAGGAGATCTCTGTCTCGCTTCCAGCTTTCAGAGCCTTGAAGGAAATCTCAGCACCGGCACATCCCTCTCACATCTTTCTGGTTTTGAACAGTGCATCATTAGGGCTTCCTCTAAGGCCCATGCCAGTCTCTAAGTTAAATACATTATGCATGGAAACAAGCAGTTTCTTGCCATGGTTACCTTCTTTACATGACTGCAGCAGGCTTCTAATGTGAGGTAGGTGCCGTTCTCCTTCCCTGTTGACTTGAAGCAGAGGCTTGGGCATTGTTTCAAATGAGTTCTTTCTTTTGTCAAAATTCTTTCCTTGATTTTATTCCTATAGTAAAATGTCCTCTGTATCATTATCCTCAAAAATATTATTGACATTTGTATTGGATTACATGCAAATATTTGCATCACAATGCCCTAGAAATTATTTAAAACAACTTAAATTCCTACTCAAATGTTGTCACCTCTGGCTTCACATTTATGCATTGATTGATACAACAGGCATAACTAAGTCCTGATGTTTAAATAGAAACTACCTACAACCTCACATTTAACCAAACATTAATGGTGATGTGGAAATGACAAATCAAATGGCCGATTTTCGTAAAGACAGAAGCCAGGTGCCGTGGCTCTTACCTATAATAACAGTGCTTCGGGAGGTAGAGGTGGGAGGATCACTCAAGGCCAGGAGTTCAAGACCAACTTGGCCACATAGCAAGACTCTGTTTCTACAAAAAAGATTTTAAAAGTTAGCCAGGCATGGTGGTGCACCTGCAGTCCTAGCTACTTGGCAGACTGAGGCAGGAGGATCACTTGAGGCCAGGAGTGTGGGGTTGCCTGGTGGACAGAGCAAGACTCTGACTCTAAAAAATAAAAAGTAGAATAAAATATCAATTCAGGATTTTATTTTTAAGTTTTCACAGAATCATATAAAACTAAAAGCATATCAGCTTATGTTTCTGAGACTTAATCCAAAATCTTTTCGGACTACTTTGAGCCAAAATCTTTGGGAGGCATGAGAAAATGACGACAACTTAAGAAGGTTGTGAAAACAAATATTAATAATAATGATTTTAAAAGGCAGAACCATTCTAATGAAATTGTGTAATAGATTTTCAAAATAGAGTATGACATGTAAATCCCAAGTGACTATCACTGCTAGTCTAGAATGGACTCCATATCTACAGGTGCCTTTGTTTCTGTTTCCTCATCTTGAACAGTGAAATAACATTGTCTGCCAGCCATCTGTTCCAAAGATTAATAAAAAAATTTCTTTCTTGGCATTTGGAATTTCTTGCATAAGACTCAATCTAGGAGTTAAGCACTTTTACATATTTTATTTGTTTAAAAGAATGTAGAATGCAAACATTACTTCTTGGAATTTCTTAAATAGTTTCATCTCTCAGTGCATGGTTGGTCACAATTAATATTAGTTTAGAAATGATTAGTGAATGTATTGCTTTGTGTAGAGCGTCAGTGTTGCACTTCTAGATGACAAAACTGCAATTCTGTGTTGTAAACATGAAGTATTAATACAATTACTTTATCCTGAGAGCAGCTGTCTTATTCTCAGAAAACTCTTTCTACAGATAATAGCAAATCAAGCCCATGTAAAGGTCTCTGTGAGTTATCAGAATTTCAAATAGCATCTTCCAAAGAAAGAAATAAAATATTCATATTATGGATATGTTTTCAGAAATATATATTTTTGAGAAAACGTGTCTTTTTGATTTCAAAAGATAGTTTCCTACTTTGTCACGAGCCATTGCAAAGTGTCAGTTGTGTGCATAGCATGATTCAAAGTAATTTAAGCAAAATGAAACAATTATAATGATAGCATTTTGAACTTTTTATAACATTTATTCTGAAGACTACCTACAAAGTCATATGTAATCTTATTTTGTTGTAAAATCTTTGAACGGATGTGGTATTCTGAAAGACAGAAGTACAAAGAAATACTTAAGTAATTCAAAAGTTAGCAATGAGTTGAAGGTAGATTCACACTTCCCATATCCTATGAAACTATTTTCCATCAATAATTGTCTATAAATTTTTTTAAAAGTGACTCATTTCTACGAGGCTGCCTTGTTTAATTCTCATCTTTATTACTTTCATACTTTCTTTGCCTTCTATAAACATTCATTTTATTAATTTGTTCACCTGCCCATTTATTCATTAAACAAACATTTATTAAGTACCTGCTGCATGTCATACATTGAATGAGGTTCTGGGAATATAGCACTAAATCAAAGAGAAGTCCTGCAATCATTGATGTGGTATTCCAGTGGGTGTATTTATGGAAAACTCTCTCTCTCAATCTCTCTTCTCTTCTTTGTCTTTTTTTTCTCTTTCTTCATTTCTTTCTACATACACACATGCACACATGCACACACAGATGGATCATATGTATATATATATGTGTGTGTATTTGATATATAGTTATAGTATATTCGATATTAACTACTTTTTTTAAAAAAGCAAGACAGGGGAAAGGAATGGCTAGAGGTAAAAGTAATGAATAATATTATAACTTTAGAATAGGGTATTCTACTAAAGAACTTATTCACGTAACCAAACACCACCTGTTCTCCAAAACCCTATTAAAATGAAAAATAAATTTAAAAAATAAAATAGGTTATTCATGGGGGAAGTGACTAAGACAGTGTAGCCAGGCACTGGCCTGGGTACAGGGATGAGGATGAGAAGCTAGGCAGCTCTTCATTGTGCAGGAGGTCACGGTGCAGTGAGGAAGCAGTGTAGTAGAGGATTCTAACAGATGCCTGTGACAGGCACCATGGATTTGCTCTCCAAAAGCCATTTCAACCCTTTTCCCTTCCCTCTTCCTTACTGTAATGACTAGAAAGGAAAAATCCTTAATATTCCGGCTTTCCTCGTGGCTTGAGGTAGTCATATGGCCCAGTTCTGGCCAGCAGGATTCAAGCAGAGGTTTTCAGAGCAGCATTCCCTTTCCAGGTAAGAAGGCACATCTTACTGGAGAATGTCCACACCTTTCCCCTCCTGTCCCCTGGAAAGTCAACCTGAGATCCTGAATGTAGAAAACTGAGGCACTCAAAGAGAAAAGGAGCTGGGCCATTGATGACATTATTTGCAGTTGCCCAACCCCAGACTCTGTACCCCTGTTCATGGGAGAAAAATCTACTTCTATTTGTTTAGACCATTATTAATGAAACTTTCTACTCCTTGAAAGTAACAGCAGGCTGCATAAAGCTCATCATCACTGGTCATTAGAGAAATGCAAATCAAAACCACAATGAGAAACCATTTCACACCAGTTAGAATGGCGATTATTAAAAAGTCAGGAAACAACAGATGCTGGCGAGGCTGTGGAGAAATAGGAACACTTTTACACTGTTGGTGGGAGTGTAAATTAGTTCAACCATTGTGGAAGACAGTGTGGCAATTCCTCAAGGATCTAGAACCAGAAATACCATTTGACTCAGCAATCCCATTACTGGGTATATACCCAAAGGATTATAAAACATTCTACTATAAAGACACATGCACACATATGTTTACTGCAGCACTATTCACAACAGCAAAGACTTGAAACCAACCTAAATGCCCATCAATGACAGACTGTATAAAGAAAATGTGGCACATATACACCATGGAATACCATGCAGCCATAAAAAAGGATGAGTTCATGTCCTTTGCAGGGACATGGATGAAGCTAGAAACCATCATTCTCAGCAAAGTAATACAGGAACAGAAAACCAAACACCGCATATTCTCACTCGTAAGTGGGGGTTGAACAATGAGAAAACATGGACACAGTGAGGGAAACAACACACACTGGGGCCTGTTGGGGGTTGGGGGGCTAGGGGAGGGAGAGCATCAGAGCAAATACCTAATGCAAGTGGGGCTTAAAACCTAGATGATGGCTTGATAGGTGCAGCAAACCACCATGGTACATGTATACCTATGTAACAAAACTGCACGTTCTGCAAATGTATCAGACCTTAAAGTAACATTTAAAAAAATAATAACAGCATTCTTTACTAATAAAAGGTAAGAACCTAATGCAAAGAAGTCCCAAGAAGGATTAGAGCAGCTTGACTTGGGGAATTTAAAAGGGAGTCTTCCCAGAGAAGGTGAATGTGTGGCTGGATCCCCAAAATAGTGCAGAACCCTTCCAGGTGGGGAACTGAGGCTGAGGGTGGGGTGCAGGAAATGCCTCCATCCTGTGACTGACAGCCACCGGGATAACTGATGGGAGAGCACGTTTAGAAAGAAGGTAAAATTTACTGAAGAGCCAGAGAGTTCTTGTGTATGTGGGCTATAACTATGAATATCTGTAATATTAGACTTCAAAATGGAGAAACTGTGAATATATTTATTATATCTCTTAGAAATAACAATAATAACACCATTACATATTAACATAAACCACATATATGGATAAAAATTAGTTTTCCAACACACACAAAAAAGTGAGAAGCATGACATTGTTTTATATTTTGCAAATCTCCTTAAATGTCTGGCTTAATGGAAGACAGCTGGATTCTCGTATCTGCTTTTGCATTCAATTTATTGTGAAACATTGTTTTGGCTTAAGGAGAGGGAAAAAAATCTGGCCACACACAGATATCAGGTTTACAAAGAGAGGAATATACTAGCCTTATCGGATAATTTACAGGTTCTTCTTTGATACTTCAGCAAAACCCAAAAAGTGGCTGTTTTTGAAAGGTCAAGTGAAATGTGGAACATGAAGTCATATCCTGGAACTTTCCATTTACTGTTATATTAAAAGCCATTGGTCTAGCTGGCACTTTGGATATTTTACCTATGCATAACTTGTTAAATTTTGCAGTTGACACACATTCATGTATGATTTTTTTTTTAAACCACATTTGTCATTATCATCACTGATCTAATTAGGAAACTCTTTAAGTGCTGGAAGACTGTCAGGCTCACAGCAGCAAATATCATGTGTCCAAAATTCTAGTTTTTGCTTGAAACTCAACATTTGGCAATGCATACTGTCAATTGTTTTTCTTGCAATGACAGCCTCGCTTTACTCATTTTGAGAAAATGTCTGCCAAATGCCCAATTCTGGATAACCATACACTGTCTGTTAGTTGTCCTTTCAAGTAAAAATATTGTCCCATAGGAAAAAAACCTACTAGCTCAGCTTGCAGCTCCAACATATCATCAGTACCTTTCATTCAGACCATTATCTTACTTTGGTTGGCAACGATAGCACTTCATGAATATTTCTCATTTTATCGCATAGAATAATAGAAAGTACACACGAAAAAGTCAAGTTTCAATAACATCAATTTTTTTTCTGTGTAATCAAGGACTTACTTAAGTGAAACTAGCATTTCAAAAAAATTGCATGCCAGTGCTAGTAAAAAAATACATTGACTACTAATATAGTTTGGAGCCACTGTCTTGATCCATGTTAAGGCATCAGCAGTGCCATTCACCCTTACTTTTATACCCAGAGGGAACATGCTATTTGCCATATCAAAGGCAAATAACATCTTAGTATTATTATAAAAGTACTTGAACCTCATCGTGAAAAGATCTCAGAGATCCCTAGGGGCCTGCAGCCAGAAGTTGAGAACTGCTGCAATAGAGCTGTGGTTCTCAAACTTCAGTGTGCGTCAAAATCACCCACCCATTAAAATGCAGATTGCTGGATCCGCCGCAAGGGTTTCTGCCTCAGCAGTTCTGAGGTGGAGACCAAGCACGTGCCATCTAACAGTTCCCAGGTGATGCCTGATGCCGTTGGTCGGAAGACCATAATTTAAGAGCCACTTCCACAGAAGGTAAATTTAGTTATTTAATATACAAGCTACCTCTTATTTGTAAGTTACAATCTATATTTGCACAATTGTAAGCATGACCTATATCTTGCTACCATTTAGAATTGCATTTTGCACAAACTTGGCAGTAAGTCAATAATTTGGTAATCAAATAACTGGAGTGGTATTATTGCCACAGACTGATAACTTGACAGAAAATAGGATATTATAAATACACTGTGAACATCTTATTTTCTTTCAAGTTATCGGTCTGTGGCTGATAAAGTTATCAGTCTGTGCTGGTTATCAAGTTATCAGTCTGTGCTGGTTGATTTTACATATCAAAATCACGGGATGCCCAGATATTGGGTTAAACTTTATTTCTGGGTGTACCTGTGAAGATGCTTCTGGATGGGATTAATCCGGATAAATCAGTTGGGGGCAGTTTAACTTACATCATTGCCTCTATGGTCCTCCAGCTTGCAGATCTTGGACTTCTCAGCCTTCATAATTGTGTGGGTCAATTTTATATATATATACTTACAGTCGCCCTTGGTACTCTCAGGGGATTGGTTCTAGGACCTCCCATGGATACAACAACCTGTGGATGTTCAAGTCCCTTATGTAAAATGGTGTAGTATCTGCATAGGACCTACAACATCTTCCCAAATACTTTAAATCATCTCTAGATTACTTATAACACCTAACATGATATAAATGTTTTGTAAATAGTTGCTATGCTATATTGTTTAGGGAATAATGACGAGGAAAAAAGTCTGTACATGTTTAGTACAGACGCAACCAATCATCTTTTTTTTTCTGAATATTTTCAATCTGCAGTTGGTGTAATCCATGTGTAGAACCCAGGGGTACAAAAGGCTGACTTTATATTCATATCCTATTGGTTCCACTTCTTTGGAGAACCCGGAATAATACACAGGGTCCTTGGTATACCACTTTCAATCAAGGTTGTCCATGAATGATCGGTAAGATCATGTACATTGTTTCAAGAATGACATAGGGTTTTGCTCCATTTTTTTTTTTTTTTTGAAACATTTCTGGAATGAAGAATTCTGCAATGGAGAAAATTCTTGGTTATATCTGAGCCATCCTCAGAAGCATTGCATTTGCAGAAAGTCTGTTTGTAGTGAAGAGCCCAGATCTCTCCCCATGTCTTCAATTTCCAGTTAAAATGAGCAAGCCCATGATCTTACTTTACCTGTTAGGAAAATCTTACTGAAATAAAGAAGGGCAACCTATCAAAATTTTAGAATTGGCCTTCAAGGTTGCTATGTCTGAGTAACTTTAAGGTCATTTCAAGTTAGAAAAAGAAGTTTGATGGGTGAGGAGTGGTAAGGTAGACAAGCTCGCATTTCAAATATCAAAATAACTCAAAATGTCCACACTTTAATTACTTTTGTCAAATCACATATTTTAGATTCATTGAGTTCAGGAAAGGATGGTTAAACGTCATGAAAAATTGAAAATGTACTTTTATTTCTGCAGTGATGAAGTGGCATTGCAGTTCTCAGGACTCTGCTGTTAGCTGGTTTTTCAAAATTTATTGGCATGATATCCCAGTCAGCCCCAATGTCAATCAACTTTATTAAATATTTATTTTTTTGCTAAGAAAAAAACAACATGAAAGGGAGCTATACTAATAATCAAGGGCATGAATGAATATCAAAAGAAGTAATTTTTAAGTGTCTAGTATCAGATGTGTCACTTTTCATTTCACTTATAAACAATATTTCAAGATCTTTAACACATTTTCTTTTCTCATAGATACAATTTATATTAGAAGAGTACAAATACATTTTTATTTATTATGGTTAGGTTTTAAGACATTCATTATACACATTGAATTACAGAAGGATTTAAGCATAAAACTTAATAGTATGCCGTCAAAAAAGGAGAAGAGGGATGAGATCCTGTACAAGAAGATGCTAAATCAACATTTTAGCTGTAGTGGGTGAATAATTCTTAGGAAAGAATAATGTCCAAGTTCATAGGACCAATGAAGGTTTTATTTATCTAAAATTATCACCACCAGCATTGACTTTCAGAAAGTCACAGAACTGGAATAGGTCATTCTATGCTACTTTTAAATTTTCAAACCAAAGGATGGATACACTTTAGTTAATACTAACTCATTTCACTGTTACAGCTAATGCACAACTCTCCAATTGGGGCAGTTAACACAATTCATTTGCATTCTGCAGATTTTTGGTTCGTGTTGCCTTTCAAATGAAGGTTTATGACAAACTATAAGCACTCACTCAGTTGTCTTCAGTAGCATAACTGTACCATTTACAAGTAGGTAAAATTCTGGTTTTCTCTGAAGTGTGTCTTTTATACGCAGAGGGTTATCTGAGTGTATTGAGCGCTCAGTCTCATTTTGACTTGGCTTCCCCAAAAGGATCTAGCCTGTTGCACCTGGGATGCCTACACAGTCTTTGTTCATCTGAAAGGCATGTTATTTAGAGACACATTAGAGTTTTAGTGATGTTGAAACAATATATTGAAATAATAAATAATTGCTTAATGGCAGCAGCTGTTAACTTGAACAGAATGAATGAAAATAGATGTGCCTCCTTTCCAGTCTCTCCCTTCTTCATCTCTTCTTTTTCCCTCTGAGATTTGAAGACCTTTGGCAGGAGGCTGAATGCAGTAGGCAATGAATAATTGCTTGGTGATGGTTGTATCTTTGGATTAGCTTTGAACTGCTCTACCTTTGAAAGATGGTTTTCAAAGTGATTCCATGGAGTGTATCATGGGCCTGCTCTCTGGTGTGCAGCCTTTAGACAAGTCAACCCTAAGGCTCTTTGCTGTCTCCCGCCTAATGCAGGTCGCAGTGAGAGGTAGCCCTGAACTTCCTGGGCCCTGCAGATCCACAGAGTCAGTGGCTGAATGTGTGGCTTCCACTACAATGGCAGGAAGAGCAGTGGCAGGAAGCCACTGTTTACCACCCACCGGCCAGGTGCTCCCGGCATTCCTCTTGGAGTTAACACTGAGTGAGACAGGGAGTATGCCAGCTTTGTAACCTCACTGCTCAGAGATCATGGAGTTAGGACATGGAAGAACTGCTATGGACCTCAGAGATTATTGTAGGGAATGACAAGTTTCAACACCCAGGCCATTTCCAAATGACCAGTAGTACCCACTAACACTCCAGCTGATGCTCTGCATTAAGAAAAATCTGAAGCTCTGTCTAGCTTCTGGTAACAGTGCCCTGTTGATTAGTCATGCTCGTCATGTGTGTAAAAAGAGGCTTCTTGAAATACCTCTCAGATGGCGGCCATTCCTTACATTGTTCAAGCCCATTCACTTTAAAATTTGGAAAATTGAGATTTAAAGGAATGAACTACCTGTATGCTGGTTTACCTCTCCACAGTGAATCATCCTGGGAAGAGAAAAGAATAACTGATTTTCTAACCTTGGGGATAACTGGTCTTTCATTATCCTCTTCACTATGAGGAATAAAACATTCCTCCTTATAGGGAATTACGTTGGATCTGCAAGTCCAATGTCTCGGTTTAGATATGGTGTAGTTATAAAGACCTTCAGCCACAGCTTGGACCTGAGTCTTTATGAATATTAAGGAGAAGAAAGACTTTATTTCTAATAAATTGCTATAATGTTTAATTCAAGTCCTATATAGAATTAAAATTTGGCAAGGGATAATGTGTAATGAGGAAATCAGAGATAAGTTTGGAGGAACTTTGATGGTATGTGGAAGATGAGCATTTAATGAAGAACTTTGAATGCCATGGAGGATTCTGGAATCAGTCATGTAGGCCAGGATTTTTCAACCTTGGCACTACTGACTTTGAGTCGGATACTTCTTTACAGTGGGAGGGACTGTTTGGACATTAAAGGATATTTTGTAGCATCCCTGTCTTCTACTCAATAAATACAGGAAGCACTCCCCAGCCAAGCTGTAAAAACCAAAAATACCACCTTTCCCTTGGGGGACAAAAATTATCCCAGTTGACAACCACTGATATAACTACATCAGTAGCTAGAAATCTCCTGGAATTATTTAAAAAAGAATTATATGATAATGGCTTTAAGTAAGATTAATTTGTCATCTGCATTAGTATGAGTTATTTATTTAAACTTTATAACCTATTTATTTAAACTTCATAACCTATTTTCATGATAATTTAGAGCGTTTTAAATGGAAGATTTAAAAGGAAGATGGCAGAAGAAGAAATGTCTTTTAGGAAGCCATAATTTGACAAGTTACGTTAATTACTACTGGCAGCTGGCTCCTAAAAAATTCTATACCTCCGAAATAGGGTCATACCTGCCCTAAAAGGAGATTAAAAGAAATTATCTTTTTCCCCCTCTGTGAAGGCACGCCCTGCGTGCACTGAGATATGTACATATCATCCCTGGAGAAGACAAATAACAGACTCCATTCTCTGAAATGTCTGTCTTTCTGGGGAGTACTTTAAGGATGGTGGAATTGATATTCTGTTCCTACCTTAGGTGGATAATCTTCATCAACTTCATTCTTATTAAAACGTAGAGTTTTCTGATAGCTCTCTTAAATCATTCTCTATTCCAAATACTTTATAACTGCCTTGCAGTTCTCCAAAAGGTTAATTTTGTAGTATTTTGGTTATGAGAACATTCTTTTAAATGATTGCAGCTAAGAGTACCTCAAACTGTCGAGATAATAATAACAACACTTTGTGCTTATCAAGAGCTTTTCCTCACCAGGGATCACAGCACTTGCCCACATGCTCTCTGATACCCTCAGAACCTCCCTGCTGTACTAGAATTTTAGGTGGTATGTCTGAAAATGAATCCCTTACTCATTATCAGACCGCATTTTGCTTCTTCACATTCTTAATTTGAAAGCCAAATATTTCTGTTAAATCTATCTTGGCAGTTTTTTCATGCGAATATTAAAATCCAGTGCTTTTGGAAATGGAAAGGTTGCTTTGTAAATATCCAATCACATGCTCTGCTTTTGAGATTCAATAATCGAAACATTTTCCCTTGCATCTTTGATTATCATGTTCTCCCAAGTATGATGTGAATTTCCTAAAATGCACTTACTTTAGATGGATCTTATAAAAATGCTTCATCAGTGTGCTGTAAAACAATGAGATTTTTCAATGGTGAAAAAGGCGTTGAGAGAACAAAGTCCTTTTCCAGCTCTTTGCTTCATTAAACAGTCTGAAGGGCCCATCTATAGGGCAAGGCCTTGAATGGCGAGGTTATCACAACAAAAACCCCAGCCTTGAGGAGGCTACTTCAGCAAAGAGACCCCTTGGTGTCTGTGTGTAGATGATAAAAAAGAACAAAAGCTCTGGCGCATTCACGGAGGACGCGTTCACCATGCCAGGCTTCACTGGGAAAGCGGAGTTTAGAATGAGCTTAAAACACAGCAGAACCAAGGAACTCATTCACTCCAGTGTTACTACAAATTTGGAAAAATAATCACTTCCAATTGGAGGGAATGGTTTTGAGAGGAGATGCATGGTGGTAATTAGTCAGTGCATATATTACTCATGAATAGGAGCTGCTTGATCCTGACTACAGATAAAATACGAACTCAGATGAAGATATTGATGTGGTGGCTTTGAATAAGCAGCCTGTGTTTTATTCCTGGCTATGTCCTTTTGACAAATAAAATAAATTGTAAGATGACTAAATGACAGAATAATGTTCATTAATAATACATCCTCCTCAGTAAACTCATCTTGATAAATATTATGAGCTTTTGGAATTCTACTGTTGTTCCAAGCATGCAGCAGAAGAAAGATAAGAATAAATTATTGTTGTTCACCTTTGCAGGTAGACATTTGACTGGTTATTTTCCAAGGTGACATAAATCACAGTATCCTTTGATCTTCCATCAGAAAGAAAGAAAGTGGATTACAAATATTTATGTAGAGTCTAATGTCGCAGGTGGAATGGCTGTGAAATATTGAGACCTACATAATAAGTAGCAAAACTTTAGGGATGTTGAGAGACTTGATACCCATCTCAGCTTTTCCAGTTTCTCCAGCAAACAAAATTGATGCAGGAAAAGCAATGTAGATGTATAAAAAGTGATTTTCTTACTCATGGGGAAATCAACCCATTCTTGCTTTTTATCATCAACTTAATAACTAAAAATTTAAATAAGCATTTATAATGCTTTCTTTTGTTTATATAATGATCAGAGTAAGGGTGTATGTATTTCATTATTAATGGGTCCTTCTAACTATTGTGTATTTAAAGTATAGGGAGAGACCAGCCCTTTGCCAGGCACCAAACCTTCTCTCAATGACACAAGCTCTCAGGTGCAGAATACTTCATTCAAAGGGGTGAGGGGAGTTGTTTCTGAGTCCTGCTCTCATATATAAATTTAAATAAATAAATAAACATATATTATATATGATATTTGTGGTGGGGAAAGGTGTTAGATAATAAGTAATACTCACTGAAATACAAGAGGATATGACATTGTTATTTGTTTGTTTGCTGTTTTTTTTTAAATATGGCAAAAGCATCCTACTAGTGCTAAAAACTTCAGTGCACCCACCCGAGCACAGCCAATTCTCTTATTTTTAAAGCTCTCCTCATTTCTTTATATTGTTCTCACTTCAGATGCACTATATAGCCGAGAGCAAATTGAACTGAAGTGGAATTCTTAGTAGGCATAATTTTCTCCACTTTTCTAAAGAAGAATTCTAGGCCAGAATCTGATGAGCTGATCTCACTGCTCCTGCAACGGTTAGATAAGCTTAGAACTGATTCCTCCATTGCTGGAATAGACAGAGCTCAAGAAAAATCAAGCCTTATCCTGTATTAAATGGACTTATCCCCTATTTACATATATTTCTGTATTCTTTAAGTCAAAATCCAATTTATTTAAAACACCGTCTTCAGCCTTACATATTTTACTGGTCATTAGGAAGTCCTGGCTGCAGCATTTGCTTAAAGCCCTGTCATAGGCCCAGATGTCTGCCACTGGTTTTTTTGCTCACATTCCTCTGCATTTATGTGTTTTTACTGACTCAGAGGATCTGAGCCATGCTCATGTGGGTAAGGACACATCTTCTGGAGTCATCCACTTTGATCACTTATCCACGCAGAGACTGCTTGCACTGACATCCTGGCATTCTGATGTGGTACACATTCCCGGTGAGCTCAGAAATCCAGCTGGGCTGGGGCTCTGCCAGGTCATATTTCTTTCTCCTGGGGTCTATCATATTGGTCACCTTCCTAATATCAGTCCATCAAAGATTGGGTTAGATTGGATAGAATGGGCTGTGGGAAGGTGGAAATGATGCTAAAGGCCTGAGCACAAATCTAATGACCTCACCAGGAGGCTCTTTACCAGCTCAGAGCCGGGCGCAGAATTGGAGACAAATAAACTCTTGCCTGTTGAATGTCGTTGGCTGTCTGCTACTGTTTTGGAGTCTCAGTTAGCCTGCAACTTGGTTAAATTTCATAGGGCAGGGCTGTACTATTTTACCTTCTTTTTTTCTTCTCTGTGTTGTCATGGAATCAATCAATTATAATGTATTTGCTTTGGCTTACTATACCCAATTAAAAAATCAATCAATCAATCCTGGCTCATAGGAGTATATGACTTATCCCAACACAGATTCCAAGGAAAACTAAATTTGAAGTGAGGAAAGGTAGGGTATATCTATTAGATTTCTTTTATGGGCTTTTGCTCCTTTTCTTTCTTTTTTTTTTTTTTTACTTGGGCTCAGTACCTGATGATCATTAATTCCACCCAGTTTTCTTTGAGGCCCAAGGCATGTGGACTACTCTTTATTTCGCAGTTTCACTGCAATACATTTAATTTTTATATTTAATTAACAAAATGGCAATAAAAATGACACCTAATTTATGCAGCCAGGCTGAGACTATATCTGAGATGTTTGATAGCTTTGTGTCAGCCGAATGAAATATGATGTTTGACAAAATCCTTCTTATGATATATGACACTTAGATTTGCTACTGCACGTTTTCTCATCACGGAAACATGATTTATATTGTATTCTTCATCAGGAAATAAAACCCTGAACAAATCCCTCTCTCTATACATCTAGATCTTTCACCTTATTAATGATCTTTCATGACTGAGAGGAGTGACTGCTAATAGCCACTCTATGCAGATTATAATAAGGTAATAAATAATTATCTTTTAAGGTTATGTACATGCTGATTTCCTCCCCAGTCGAAGTTATGTGAGGATAAATATGAGAATACACAGAGACGGGATTTCCAGGACTTAACACATAGACAATCAGATGAGCCCATCAAATGACACATGCTATTTAAGTACTGGGCAGGCTGCACACCCTCTCACTGCCCAGCCCAGACTACCTGTGAGTGTCATATACCCATCTTTCTTCCCCTCCTCCATGTGGCCATATTACATGCTGTTTCCAGAATGCTCGCTTTTATCCTTGCTGCTCCTGTGCCTGGAAGGGCTTCCTTGTATTCATCATTTCTTAACGAATTTTTACTCCATTTCAATAAAACATTTCATGTTCTTGGAATCCTTTCCTAGCTTGGAAACCTTGAGTATTCCCTCTTGTGGCCTCCTATAGAGAGGACGTTTGATGAATGTATGAATGAAGTGGATTGTCATTATTGTAAAAATATTAAAGAAAGGAGCCAATAGTATTAGAATAATTTGTTAGGATTGTTGCTGGGTTTTAACCCCCTTAAATGTGCTTGTTGTTTGCCGAGGGCTAGCTAATGTAGCTGGAGTTGTGAACCAGGGGTGTGTTCTTGTTGTTTCTTGCTTGTTTCCTGTCTTCCCCACTGCATGTCTCTGTTTATTTGCCCATTATGGACATTCTATGTAAGTGGAATCATACAATATGTTGTCTTTTCTAACTGTTTTTTTCCCTTAGCACAATATTTTCAAGCTTTCTTGATGTTGTATCACATATTAGTACTTCATTCTTTTTTATGGCTGAATAATATTTCATTCTGTGAGTCTGTCACAGTTTTTTTAAATCCTTTCATCAGTTGATGGGTACATTGTTTCACTATTTGGCTATTCTGCATAATGCTGCTGTAAACATCTGTGTGCAAGTTTTTGTGCATGTAGGTTTTTATCAATAAAATTTCAATAGGTGTATGTTTAACATTTTGAGGAACTGCCAGGCTGTTCTCCAAAGCAGCTGCACCATTTTGCATCCCCACCAGCAATACTGAAGATTCCATTTCTTCCACATCCTCGCCAACCCTTGTTAGTATATGTTTAACTTGCCTATTTATTTATTTATTTTACTTTTTAAGTTGCCAGATAAAATTGTATATATTTATCAGATACAACATAATGTTATGAAATATACATACACGTAGTGGAATGGCGAAAGGTAGTTAATTAACATATGCATTACCTCACATCATTATCATTTTGTGGTGAGAATGCTTAAAATCTACTCTTAGCGTTTTTCAAGAATACAATACAGTCCTACACCACATAACAACCTTTTAGGCTGGTGATGGACCACATATACAACAGTAGTCCCATAAAGTTCTAATGAAGCTGAAATATTCCTATCACCTAGTGACCATGTAGCCATTGTGACATTGCAGTGCAACACATCACTCAACAAATTTGTGGTTGAGATGGAAAACAATTTTAACCTGGGTGTGAATGAGGTTGACATCGAGGAGCTCCTAGAGGTTGTTCCTGAGGAATTGATTAATGAGGAATTCTTGAAATCAAACAGGAACGCATAGCTGAAGAAGAATTCAAAAGAAAAGTAAACTGCAGAAGAAAACTCCCAAAGAAAATTCAGTGAAGTGTTCAGCAGAAGTTTTTGCAGACCTCAAGCTCTTTACAAGGTTTGAAAACATGGAGCCCAACACAGAAAGATTTTCATTACAAAGAGAAATGTTCATGGTGCATTCCCTGCTTACAAGCAAATCTCTGATTAAAAAAGACAAACAAGCAAACCACCATGGTCATATTTCTGAAAAGAATGACACCTCTTCAAGAAGAGCTTCAAAAGGCATCAAGGCACTGTTTTCATATGAGAAGACAGCTCCATGTGTGCTATTGCCCCTGAAGACCTTCCAGTAGGACAGGATGTGGAAGGGGAAGTCAATGATATTAGTCATTAGCCCAGTCAGGACTAGGCTAATGTGTGTATTTGTGTCTTCGTTTTTAACAAAAAAGTTTAAAAAGTGAAGAAAATATAAAAATTGTAAAAGTAGAAAAAAGTATATAGAATAAGGATATCAAGAAAGAAAACAGTTTTATAGACCTGTACAATGTGTTGGTGTTTCAAGCTAATTATTATAAAAGAGTCAAAAAGTTAGAAATATTAAAACACTTATAAAATTAAAAAGTTAGAATAAGCTAGAGTTAATTTTTTATGGAAGAAAGAAAAATATTTTCATAAATTTAGTGTAGACTTAGTGTACTGTTTAAAGTCTGCTATAGTGGATAGTAATGCCCTAAGTCTTCACATTCATTCTCCACTCATTCTCTCACTTACTCATCCAGAGCAACTTCCAGACCTGCAAGTTGCATTCATTGTGAGTGCCCTTTACAGGTGTACCATTTAAAAAAATTTTAGACCAATTTTTACTGTAGCTTTTCTACATTATATTTAGATATACAAATACCATTGGGTTGTAATTGCCTGCAGTATCTAATACAGTAACATATTGCACATGTTTGTAGCCTAGGATCAAAAGGTAGTGCCAGATAACTTAGATATGTAGGAGGCTATATCATCTAGGTTTGTGTAAGTAAACTCTATGATGTTCACACAATGATGAAATCACCTAACAATGTATGTCTCAGGATGTATCTTTGTCATTATGTGATTCATGACTATTGTTATTAACTATAGTCTTCATCATGTTGTATAATAGATCCCTTGAACATATTCCTTGTATCTAACTGAATTTTTTTACCATTTGACGAACATCTCCCTGACTATCTCTGCTGCAGGTGCACCACTCCAGACCCTAATAGCAACCATTATTCTCACTACTTCTACAAGTCCAACGATGTATCTATACTACATTTTCTTTATCCATTCTTCCATTGATTCCATAGGTCGTTTGCATATCTTGGCTGTTGTGAATAATGCTGCAATGAACATGAAAGTGCAGGTATTTTTTTAACATACTAATTTCATTTCCTTTGGATATATACACAGTAGTGGGATTACTGGCTGGATAATATGGTAGTTCTATTTTTGATCTGGGGGGGAACCTCTACACTATTTTCCATAATGGCTGTACTAACAGTGTACAAAAGTTTCCTTTTCTCTGCATTCTCACTAACACCTGTTCTCTTTTGTCTTTTTGATAATAGCCATTCATTTATTTATTGATTTCAGACAGGGTCTCATTCTGTCACCCAGGCTAGAGTGCAGCTGCACAAATTCACAGTTGACTGAAACCTTGACCTCCCCACTCCCAGGCCCAGTTTATCCTCCCACCTCAGCCTCCCAAATAGCTGGGACCACAGGCATGTGCCACTATCCCTGACTAATTTTCTTTTTAAAATTTTTTTGTAGAGATGGGGTTCCCTATGTTGCCAAGGGTGGTCTCAAACTTCTGAGCTCAAGTGATCCTCCTGCATCAATCCCCCAAAGTGCTGGGATTACAGATGCGAGCCACTATGCCTGGCTGACAAAAGCTATTCTAACTGGGATGAGGTGATATATCACTGTACTTCTGAATTGCATTTCCCTGATAATTAGTGATATTGGGGATTTTATTACATACCTGTTGCCCGCTTGTATGTCTTCTTTTGATAAATATCTTTTCAGATATTTTGTCCATTTTTAAATTGGAGTATTTGGGGTTTGTTTTTGCTATTGAGTTCTTTGAGTTTCTTATATGTTCTGAACATTAGCTACTTGGCAAATGCATAGTTTGCAAATATTTTCTCCCATTCTGTATGCTTTCTCTTCCCCACTGTTGATTGTTTCCTTTGCTGTGCAGAAGCTTCTCAGTTTGATGTAATCCCACTTCTCTACTTTTGTTTTTGTTGCCTGTGCTTTTGAGGTCGTATCCAAAAAAATCTTTGCCCACAAGAATGTCATGAAGCATTTTTCCTATGTTTTCTTATAGTAGTTTCATAGCTTCAGGTCTTACATTGAAGAATTTAAGCAATTTTGAGTTGCTTTTTGTGTGTGGTGAGAGAAGTCTAGTTTCATTCTTCAGCATAAGGATATCCAATTTTCTCAGCACCGTTTATTGAAAAGACTGTCCTTTTCCCAATGTGTGTTTTTGGTCACTTCGTAAAAAATCAGTTGGCTGTAGATATGTGGATTTATTTCTGATTTCTCTATTCTGTTCCGTTGGTCTATGTGTTCATTTTTATGTCAGTCCTGTGCTACTGTAGTTACTATAGCTTTGTAGCACATTTTGAAGTTAGGTAGTGTGATGCCTCCAGCTTTGTTCTTTTTGCTCAAGATTGCTTTGGCTACTCAGGGTCTTTTGTAGTTCTATACAAATTTTAGGACTTTTATTTCTATTTCTGTGAAATATAGAATTTTGATTTTATTTCTACTTCTGTGAAGTATAATATTTTGACAGAGATTACATTGAATCTGTAGATCATTTTGGTTAATATAAACATTTTAACAATTTTAATTATTTCAATCCACTAACACAAGACATAATTTAATTTATTTGTGCCCTCTTCAATTTTTTTCATCAGTGTTTTATAGTTTTCAGTGTAGAGATTTTTCAGCTACCTGGAAGAACTTATCCTAGGTATTTTACCTTTTTGTAGCTATTATAAATGAGATGGTTTTCTTGATTTCTTTTTTGGATAGTATGTTATTAGCATAGCATAAAAATGCTACTGATTTTTGTATGTTGATTTCTGTATTCTGTAGCTTTACTAAATTTATTTATTAGTTTTAACAGTTTTTTGATGGAGTATTCAGTGTTTATTATATATAAAATCCTGTCATGTGCAAACAAGACAGTTTGACTTCTTTCTCCTCTATTTGTTTATCTTTTATTTCTTTCTCTTCTCTAATTGCTCCGATTAGGATTTCACATATTATACTGAATAGAAACAAAGAAAGTCTTTGTTTTATTCCCCATCTCAGAGAAAACAGCTCAACTTTTTTCTGTTCATATGGTGTCAGCTGTGAGTTTGCCAAATGCAGCTTTTATAGTGTTAAGGTGCATACCTTCTATGCCTAATTGGTGAAGAGTTGTTTTTTTTTATCATAAAGTTATGTTAAATTTTGTCAAGTGCTTTTTCTGCATCTATTGAAATAATTATATGTTTTTCCCTTAATTTTGTTAATGCAACAAGTCACATTTTTTTTTTTTTTGATTTGCGTATGTTGAACCATCTTTGCATCCCTGGGATGAATCCATTTGAGCATGGTGAATGATTTTTTTTAAGGTGCTGCTGAATTGTGTTTGCTAGTATTTTGTTGAGGGTTTTTGCATCTATGTGCATCAGGGGTATTGTCCTGTAGTTTTCTTTTTCAGTTGTGTTAACGTCTGCCTTTGGTATGAGGGTAACGCTAGCTTTGTAGAATGGGTCTGGAAGAAATCCCTCCTTCTCAATTTTCTGGAATAGTTTGAGTAGAATTGTTATCAATTCTTCTTTCAATGTTTGGTAGAATTCAGCAATAAAGCCAACAGGTCCTTGATTTTTCTTTGATGGTAGACTTTTTATTACTGATTCAATTTCATTATTCATTATTGGTATGTTCAGTTTTAAAATTTTTTTATCATTTAATCATGGTAAGTTGTACTTATCCAGAAATTTATTATTTTATTCTCGGTTTTCCAATTTGTTTTCTAACAGTTATTCAGAATAGTCTCATATGATCCTTTGTATTTCTATGGTATTAGTTGTAATGTCTCCTTTTTGAATCTCTGGTTTTATTTATTTGAGTCTTCTCCTTTTAGTTTAATTAAAGGTTTATTGCTTCTGCTTATCTTTTCAAAAAACCAACTTTTCATTTTGTTGAATATTTTGTATATATTTTTAGTCTCTATTTCACTTGTTTCTGCTCTGATATTTATTACTGCTTTCCTTCTACTAATTTTGTTCCTAGTTTGTTCTTGTTTTTCTACTTCCTGAAGGTACAATGTTAGGCTGTTTATTTGAGATCTTTCTAATTTTTTGGCATAGGTGTTTACTGCTATAAACTTCCCTCTGAATACTGCTTTTACTGTATCCCATAGGTTTGTATATCTTTTGTTTCCATTTTCATTTGTCCCTAGAAATTTTTTGATTTCACTTTTAATTTCTTTTTGTCCCACTGGTTGTTCAGGAGCATGTTGTTTAATTTCCATGTATTAGTATAATTTCTGAAAATTCCTCTTGTTATTTGTTGTTGTTGTTTGTTTTTAATACTTTTAAAATTTATTTTCTATTGACATATAATAATTGTGCATATTTATTACCGGGAATACAGTGAGGTTTCCATATGTATAAGGTACAGTGATCAGATCAGGGTAATTAACCTATTCATCATCTCAAACATTTGTTATTTCTTTGTGTTGGGAAAATTCAATATCCTTTTTATAGCTATTTGAAACTATATATTACTGTTAATTAGAATTATCCTACAGTGGTACAAAGCAATAGAATCAAGGCTGGTCTCTGTGGCACATGCCTGCAATCCCAGCACTTTGGGTGGCCAAGAAGGGAAGAACACTTGAGGCCAGGAGTTTGAGACCAGCCTGAGTAACATAGTGAGAACTTTGTCTCTAAAACATATTTCTCCCATCTAGTTATATCCTTTACTGAATCTCTCCCTATCTCCCCTCCTTTCTCCTACCCTTCCCAGTCTCTAGTATCCTCTGGTCTACTTTTTATTTCTATGAGATCAACTCTTTTTTAGCTTCCATACATGAATGAGAACATATGGTATTTAACTTTCTGTTCTTGGCTTATTTAACTTAATATAGTCTCCTCCAGTTCCTTCCATGTTGCTGTGAATGACAGGATTTCATTCTTTTTAATGTCTGAATAGTATTCCATTATGTATAATGTATATCACATTTTCTTTATCCATTTATCTGTTGTTGGGCACCTAGGTGATTCCATATCTTGACAATTATGAATACTGCTGTAATAAATGTGGGGGTGCAGATGTCCCTTTGACATACTAATTTTCTTTTCTTTGGATAAATGCCTGGTAGTAGGATTGCTAGATCATATGATAGTTCTATTTCTAGTTTTTTGAGGAACCTCTCTACTGTTCCCTACAGTGGCTGTACTAGTTTACATTCCCACCAACAGCACCTAAGAGTACCCTTTTATCCACATCCTTACCAGCACGTGTTATTTCTTTATTTTTATAATTGCCATCCTAAATGGGGTGAGATGATACCTTATTGTGATTTTGATCCTTCTTTTATTGATTTCTAGTGTCACCAACCACTGCAATCAGAAACAATACAGACAGACCTTAGAGATACTGCAGCTTTGGTTCCAGACCAACACAATAAATTGAATATCACAATAAAGTAACTAACATATACATTTTTTAGTTTCCCAGTAGATATAAAAGTTGCATTTATACAATACTGTAACCCCATCAAGTGTGCAATAGCATTATGTCTAAAAAATATACATCCCTTAACTGAAAATATTTTATTATTTGAGAATGCTAACAATCACTTGAGCCCTCAGCAAGTCACAATCTTTTTGCTAGTGGATTGTCTTGCCTTGATGTTTATGGCTACTGACTAGTCAGCGTGGTGGTTGCTGAAAGTTGGGGCGGCTGGCAATTTCTTAAAATATGACATCAATGAAGTTCACCACATGGTTTGACTCTTTCATGAGAGATTTCTCTGTAAATTATGATAATGTTTGATAACCTTTTATACACAATAGAACTTCTTTCAAAATTAGAGCCAAACCTTTCAAATTCTGCTACTGCTTTATCAACTAAGTGTATGTAATATTAAAATGCCTTGTTGTCATGTAAACAATGTTCACAGCATCTTCACCAGGAGAAACCACTTTCTTTGTTCATCCATAGGAAGCAACTCCTCATCCGTTCAGGTTTGATAATGAGATTGCACAGTTCAATCGCATCGTCAGGCTCCACTTCTAGTTCTAGTTCTCTAGTTCTCTTGCTATTTCCACCACATCTGCAGTGTCATCCATGAGTGTTGGAATCAACTTTTTTCAAACTGCTGTTAACGCTGATAATTTGAACTCCTCCCATGAATCATGAATGTCCTTAGTATCATCTAGAATGGTTAATCCTTTCCAGAAAGTTTTCAAATTACTATGCAAAAATCCATCACAGGAACCTATCTATGGGAGCTATAGTCTTAAAAATGTATTTCTTACACAATAAGATTTGAAAGTCAAAATTCTTCCTTGATCCCTGGTTTGCTGAATAGATGCTGTGTTAGCAAGCATGAAAAACCCGTTAATCTCTTTTTATATCTCCGTCAGAGCTTTTGTGTTACTGGGTGCATTGTCAATGAGCAGGTAATATTTTCACAGGAATCTTTTTTTTTTTTTCTGAGCAGTAGGTCTCAACAGTGGACTTAAAATATTCAGTAAACCATATGGTAAATACATGTGTTGTCATCCAGGCATTGTTGTTTCATTTATAGAGTAGATTTAGCATAATTCTTAAGGGTCCTAGGACTTTCAGCATGGTAAATGAACATTGGCTTCCACTTAAGGGCACCAGCTGTGTTAATCTCTAACAGGGAAGTCAGCCTGTCCTTTGAAGCAAGGCATTGACTTCTCCTTTCTAGCTATGAAAGTCCTAGATGACATTTTCTTCCAATAAGTCTGTTTCATCTACACTGTATATCTGTTGTTTAGTGTAGTCACCTTCATTAATTATCTTAGGTAGATCTTCTGGATAACTTGCTGCAGGTTTACATCAGCACTTGCTGCTTCACCTTACACTTTTATGTTATAGAGACAGCTTTTTTCCTTAAACCTCATGAACCAACTTCTGTTAGCATCCAACTTTTCTTCTGCAGCTTCCTCACCTCTCTCAACTTTCAGAGAATTGAAGAGAGTTAGAACTTTGCTCTCAATTAAGCTTTGGCTTCAGGGAGTGTTGTGGTTGGTTTGATCTATGCAGATCCCTAAAACTTTCTCCATATCATCGATAAGGCATCTCTACTTTTTTATCAGATGTGTGATCACTGGAGTAGCACTTTTAATTTCTTCCAGAAATTTTTCTTTGCCTTCACAACTTAGATAACTGGCATAAGAGGCTTAGCTTTCAGCTGGTTTTAGATTTCAATATGCCTTCCTCACTAAACTCAACCATTTATAGCTTTTGATTCAAAATGAGAGACATGTGACTCTTCCTTTCACTTAAACATTTTGAAGCCATTGTAAGGTTATTAATTAGACTAATTTCAGTATTGTGTTTCAAGGAATAGAGAGGCCTGAGGAGAGGGAGATAGAAGAAATAAAGGCTGGTTAGTGGAATTATCAGGACACACATAACATTTATCAATTAAGTTTGCTGTTTTATATGGGCACAGCGTGTGGCACCCCAAATCATTACAATAGTAATATCAAGGATCACTGATCACAGATCCCTGTAACAAATATAATAATAATAAAGCTTGAAATACTGTGAGAGTTACAAAAATGTGATGCAGAGACACAAAATGAACACATGCTGTTGGAAAAATGGTTTCAATAGACTTGCTTAACTCAGGGTTTCCATAAACCTTAGACTTGTAAAAAATGCACTATGTATGAAGCTCAATAAAAGGAAGCACAATAAAAAAAGGTATACTCGTACTTGATATAATTTTATTTTAAAAACTTTGTTAAGACTTGTTTTGTGGCTTGCCAACTGTTCTATCCTGAAGATTGTTCCATGTGCACTGGAGAAGAACATCTATTCTGTTGCCTTTGAATGTAGAGTTCTTTATATATCTGTTAGGTGCATTTTGCCTAAAGTGCAGCTCAGTCTCGGTATTTCCTTCTTAACTTTCTATCTGGGTGATCTGGCCATTGTTAAAAGTCAAGTATTGAAGTCACTTACTATTACCATATTATTTATTTCTCCCTTCATGCCCATTAACATTTGCTCTATATATTTAGGTGCTCCAATGTTGGATGTACATATATTTATAATGTTTCTGTCTTATTGATGGATTGTGCCCTTTTTCATTAGATAATGTCACTCTTTGTCCCTTGTGACTATTTTTGATGTGAAGTCTATTTTATCTGATATAAGTGAAGCCATCTCTGCTCTTTTTGGTTATCATTGGCATGGATTACCTCCTTCTATCTCATTCCTTTCAGCCTATGGGTGTCCTTAAGGCTCAAGTGAGTCACTTATTGGTTTTTTTTAATTGGATAACTTAATCTATTTATATTCAAAGTAATTGTTTATAGGTAAGACCTTAACACTGCCATTTGGTTGGCTGTTTTCTCATTGTTTTGTAGATATTTTGAATTTTTCCCCTCCCTTGTTGTTTGTCTTGATTTAGAGATTTTCTTTAACACTAAGTTTTAACTGCCTTCTCTTTATTATTCATGCATTGGCTATAGTTTCTTGCTTTGCGGCTTACACATAGACTGTTTTATACTGATAACAACTTCACTAGCATACAAAAACTCTAGACCTTTATACTGTTTCTCACAATGTATGTTTCTGATGTCACAGTTTACATCCCTTTATATTATGTATTGCTTAACAACCTATAGTAGCTATCATTATTTTTTACTGTATTGACTTTTGATCTTCCTACTAAAGATATATATCATTTAAAGAGTACCATAACAGTCTTAAGGTATTCAGAATTTAGTTATATATTTACCTCTACCTCTACATTTTAACTTTTATGTTTCCAGGTTACTACTTAGCAACCTGTTGTTTCTACTTGAAGAACTGCTTAAGCATTTCTTACAGGGCTGGTCTAGAAGTCATGAATTCTGTCAAATTTTGTTTGACTGGGAAAGACATTATTTCTTCCTCATTTGTGAAGGACAGCTTTGTTGAGTATAGTATTTATGGTTGATACATTTTTTTCTTTCAGTATATTGAAAATATTATTCCCTTCTCTCCTGACCTTCAGGGTTTCTGCTGAGAACTCCACTGATAGTCTAATGGAATTTCCTTATATGACTTGACACTTTTCTCTTGCCGCTTTCACAGTTTTATCTTTGTCTTTGGACAGTTTAATTATAGAGTTCCTCAGTGAGAATTTCCTTTGGTTGAATCTGTTGGGGTATCTTTTAGTTTCATGTATCTGGATGTCCATTTCTTTTCCAAGACTTGAGAAGTTTTCAGTAATTGTTCCACCAAGTAAACTTTCTGTCCTTATTTTTGTCTCTTTTCCTGTAACATCCATAATTTGACAGTTTATTTGTTTAACAGTGTCCTATAGACCCTATAGGACGTCTTTACTTCTTTTTATTCTATTTGTTTTTATTGCCTCTGACTGGGTCATTTCAAAGATTATTTCTTTTTGCTTGATCTAGCTTGATGTTGAAGCTCTCTGTTGTGTTTTGTTTTTGTTTTTGTTTTTGTTTTTGTTTTGAGACAGAGACTTGGTCTGTCACCCAGGCTGGAGTGCAGTGGCACGATCTTGGCTCATTGCAAGCTCTGCCTCCTGGGTTCATGCCATTCTCCTGCCTCAGCATCCCAAGTGGCTGGGACTACAGGCATCCACCACCAAGCCTGGTTAATTTCTTTTTTTGTATTTTTAGTAGAGACGGGGTTTCACCATGTTAGCCAGGATAGTCTCGATCTCCTGACCTCGTGATCTGCCCCCCTTGGCCTCCCAAAGCACTGGGATTACAGGCATGAGCCACCGCACCCAGCCTCTGTTGTATTTTTTTAATATCAGTCGTTGAATTCTTCAGATGAAAGATTTCTATTTGGTTATTTTTCAAGATCACTCTTCATTAAATTTCTTCTTAATATCATGAATAGTTTTCTTGATTATATTGAATTGTCCATCTGTATTCTCCTGTATTTCATGGAGTTTCTTTAAGATCATTATACTGAATCTCTTTTCCAGCAATTTATAGATCTCTTTTTATTTAGGATCTATTACTAGAGAGGTATATTCCTTTGGCAGTGTCATATTTTCTTGCCTTTTCATCAATGTGTCCCTGTGTTTATGTCTACGTATTTGGTAGAACAATCACCTCTTCTAAATCTTACAGCATGGCTTTTGTAGGAAAGACTTTCACTTGTAGAAGGGACTTAGTGTGGCAGTTGGAAAGAACATTGTGGCTCTGGTTGTGAGCAGATGGAGTAGCATACCCTCCTTGCAGCTGCTTCAGTGGCATTAAATGTCAGTAATAACTGTGGGTACCTCAGTGGCCTAGGCTATCTGTGGCAGTGGCAGTGTGAGTTGTTAATGTCCTCAGTAGCAATGGCTTTTGGGATTCTCCTATTCTTGTTTTCCCTACAATGAGAAGACTTGGCTGAAAGGATCCCTCTTGGCAACAGGTCTAATATGGCCCACAAGCAACTACTGCAGTACTGGGTTTCAGGGTGCAAGTGCCCAGAGCGGCTGTAGGGACAGGGTCCTAGACTCAGGGTTTCACGAACCTATTATGGCACCTGAGGCCTGGGGTGGATGTTCACTCTCTGTGCCAGTGTTGGGTATAAATTACCCACAAATCCAAGGTCTATGACTCTGAGGCCTAGCAGCCTGGGCCCAGGAACTGGGCTGTAGTACAGCATTGGCCCAAGTCTAGGGAAGAAAAGTGTTCTGGAGGATTGGGCCCAGAGAGCAGGATACAGTCGAAATTTGGGAACCAGAGCCAATAATGCTTAGTGACAATTCAGGTTCCAGGGGATGATGCAATGTGTAGTGGTGACTCTGGACTCTGGGACAGTGGGATTCAGCAATATCCCAAACTCTCTGAGGTCAGGGGCAGTGGCAGCAAGAACCTAAAGCTGGTAGACTGAAGCTGTTGCTTAGACCTGGGAGCAACACAGCAATAATTCCTCACCCTGGAGGAGGAGGTGTCTTGGCAGCCCAGACTCTAGTGGCTAGTCTAGCTCCAGGCAAACATGAGACTAGGGTTGTTTGGCCTGTAGGGTATTGGTAGGGGCTGCTGTGGTCCCTTTGCTCACCCTTGGGCCAGCTGACTCCTTCATTCTCTATGTGGCTATCTTGAGTTTCTGTGCTCTATAGGATTTGTGCTATAAATAAATATATATATAAGAGAAAATTATAGAAAGAAACAATTCATAAGTTTTAAATTGTGTACCATCCTGAGTAGTGTGATGAAATCTCATGCTGTCCAACCTGAGATGTGAATTCTCCCTTTATCCAGCACATCCACACGGCAGATTCTCCCTGCTGTGAGTCACATAGCTGCCTTGGTTATCAAATCGACTGTCCTGGTATCACAGTGCTTATGTTCAAATAATCCTTATTTTACCCAACAATGACCCTAAAGCACAAAAGTAGTGATGCTGGCATATTGTTGAAACTTTTCTATTTTATTATTAGATATTATTGTTAGTCTCTTACTGTGCCTAATTAAACTCTATCGTAATTAAACTTTATCATTTAATTAAGCTTCATCTTCATAATAATTAATTAAACTGTAGTAATTAAACTTCATCATTGGTACGTATGTATAGGGAAAACCAGTATATATGTAGGGTTCGTCCTATCTGCAGCTTCAGGCAACCACTGGGGGTCTTGGAATGTATCCTCTGAGAATAAAGGGGGACTACCGTGTAATGAAGCTCCAGTTCTTGCTGGTACATTTCCTCATTTGAGAAAATACACCACTTCGTGGATTCAACTGGACCTGTTAACTTCAGCCTCTCACATTCCAAATGTTTAGGACTTTCCAGGACATGTGGTTGGTTTAGACCAAGATACCACAAGGTGTTGACCACCATAGTTTTTAACACTAGAATCTACAATCAAGAGGCCTGCAAGGTCAGGGGAGAGGGGAGTGGGTGCAAGTGGCTGACACATGCGGCCAGCGTGTTACAATGAGCATAAACCAGTTTTGCTTCGCTTTTCATCACAATTCTGATGATGGATATTAACGTCTTCATTTTGTAAACGACAAAACTGAATCTTGAATATATTAAATAACTTTAGCAAGATGATCTACGTAGCTAGGAAGTTTGAAGTTGAGAGGTGAACCAGACCTGTCTGCTGCCATGCCCCACGTTCTGTCTGCAGTATTGTGCACTGTGGTTTCTTCTCCTGTATCCTTTTCTTAAATACAAGATATTATCCCTAAATCTTGCAACTGTGGCTTATTTTTTCTCTGAACCAGCCCTCTCCAAGGTTATCAATGTCCTTCAAACTCCAAACCAATTGGTCTCACCATAGTCTTTGTTCCCTGTGTTGGCCGAGCAGCAAGGTGCCTGATTGATCTCACTGCCACTTTTTCACACTCCTTGGTTTTCAGTTCTTAAGAAAACATTTCCCCCTTTATTAGCCTCTTGCTTCTTGGGTCACTCCTACTGTGGCTTCCACATTATTCTATTTCCTAAAGCGGGCATATTCTAGGACTCAACGCTGAAATTCGTTCTTTTTCCCTTTACTCTCTTCTTTGACAATTCATTGTCACCCATTTGTATGGATAATTCCCTAATGTCCATTTGCAATCTATTCACTTCCAGATACCTCCACCTGGGTGCCCTCTTCTTGTGTCTGCTGCTTGTTTTGATCAGCTGATACAACTTCATCTTGATGTTTTGAAGTTAAATCTCATTACGTGCATCACACACTCTTCATTTTGTCATGGCCTCCACCAGTTTCTATTGCTTATTTTAAATTGATTTACATATTTGTGTCCCTGGTAGACACTGCAGGCATTTAAGTTTGTGATCTCCCAAAAATCAACCTTTTCAAATATCAACACATCTTAACGACTCATCTAGCTCTGGGGTCACCAGACTGCTATTCATTGGCCAAATTTGTTCTGCTTCTTGTTTTTATAAATAAAGCTTTATGGGAACACATGACCATGTGTTTGCATATTGTCTACAGCTAATTTGTATTATAACAGCAGAATTAAATAATACTAACAGAGACAATATGGCCACAAAAACATTTACTATATGGCTTTTTACAGAAAAAGTTTGCTGCCCCAGATCTTGCTCCTATTCCAAAGTTCTTTATTTTGAAGGATGACACTATCATTCCTGCAACCACTCAGGTTAGAAACCATGTAAGTCATCTCGAGTCTTTTTTATTTAACCTCTTCTATTTTTCTAATCACAAGAACATTCTGTAAATTTCTTTCTTTTTAAGGCCTGTCACATTCCATTCTTCCATATTCTAATACTTATCACACTATTATACAAGTCCTTCAACTAATTTCCCTATTTTTATACTTTTGCCTTCTTACTCATTGTGCAGCGCACTCCTTATTAACTTTCCTAATTCCACAAAATCATTGTTTCTTCAAAAGTCTTAAGGAGTCATTTATTAGAATAAGCAACAGACTCATCTTATTATATAATTTTATTATATAGTATGCAATCTCTAAAAGGTTTAGTGATCACCAGGCTAACATATAAATGGGCCAGTCTAAATTACTTGTGTAAAAGGGATACATAATTTATCCAAAATCATATTTCTGGCCATGGCAAAGCTGAAATTACCATCCAAATCTTTAGGCTGTCAATACAGGACTCTTTTTATTATTTAGCCCTTCATACACACCCTTTCCCTGTCTGACCTCAGTCAAATCTCTAAAGATTTTTCTATTACCATCTAAATGAACCCTATAATAGTTCTGCAAAACATTTCCACCTCTCACCTCCGCATTTTAATCTTAGTCTTCATTCTGCACACTATCCTGTTTCTCTACCTTTTCTTCCTTTATAGGCTGCCTCAAAACCTCTTCCTCTACAAATCTTTTACTAGTTTTTCACTTTCTGTGTTCTCTGCTTCCCTTTTTGTAAGATTTAATGGCTTATAGCAATACTGTTAACATAACTGGCTCACGTTGTATTTACATATTCTCAAATATAAGTCTTTCTAGCTATATGATAAGCCTACCCTTCTCTGGGGTGGGAGCTCTGCTGTTCTGATTGCAGTGGGATGTGTTTTGGGGCAGTCTGGGACCTAGAAGCTACAGCCAGTGGCAGGGTGGGCAGAAGGCAGAGGGGCCTAAAAGAACAGGATGGGAAGAGCAAGCCCAACCAGTAGGGGTTGTCACTGCGGAGGTTGACCAGAGTCTGCTCAAGTTTCCCTCAGTGAGTGTTTCTACACACACAGTTCTCAACTTGGTTGAACATGCTGCTTGTGTTGAATGCTTAGTGTCAGGTGGGACACAGTAGGATGTTTAGCCCCTCACTACAGGGTTCAACGTCATTCATAGAAGGTGGAGTGGGTAAGACATAGGTCTGGGTGGAGGGCACCAGCTTGGGAGGATTGGAGTCCTGTGAAAATATTCATCCCAACAAGGAAAAAGAAAGCTGAACTGAAAAACAGTGCCAGAAATCTAGTTATAAAGACAGTGAGTGTGACGAGGGTGAGGAAAACGCTGTGATTTTTGTGAGCAAATGTGTTTCTAGGCTCATGGGAGCCTCCCAGCCTGAACTGGTGGGTCTGAGCAGACTGACACACAGGTGGCCTCGGGCAGGTTGGCTCGCCACTCAGTCAGACTGGACCTCTGGCTGACTTTGAGGATGTCCACAGATCAGAGGGTTTGGGGAAGACACAGACCGACATCCTTCCCTGATGTCTCCTGCCACCCGGAGCACTTATCACTGCGCTTGACGCCCCTCAGGCTCTCAACACATTTGTCGATGCTACCGAAGAGGATCGCAAGTCATCTTGTGTTTACTTAACACACTTACAGAAGAGCGGCAGCTGGGAGGACAGGGGAGGCAGGCGCAGAGCCGGGAGGGAGCACAGACACAGATGGAGGTGAAATGTTGACCTGGAAAGCTGCTTCCTTGAGAGTGAGCAGGGCATGGCAGAGATGCAGCCCTCCATTATTCTGCCGTACACAGCAGGCATTATTAGCAGTGAAAATAAAACAAAGGAAGCAAGGAAAGGCCACAAGAAGAGGAATGAATGATCCCCAAGGTCAGAAGCTGTGACTCAGCCCTATCTCCCAGGACAGGTCTGGCCCGTGGTGGATGCCTGAGAATGTGGTCATTGAGGGAGGGAAAGAGAAAACAGCTCTTTAGAGAGGGAAATGGGATAGTCAGAAGGAACTGATGATATAGAAACTGGCCATCCGTCTTCTGGATTTGAGGAAATATGCTGAAGAAATGGTTTCTCAATGTGTCTGCCCCATCAAATTCACATCCAGTTCAAGACAAAGCAAGGATACTGTAGGTAGAAAAGCTGCCTAATACCTCTTCAATGGATGACACCAGTTTAGGTAAAGAAATGACATCACCAAGAGGCTACAAGGGTAAAGAAATGGCATCACCAAGAGGCTAGAAGCCCTGATGGCAGCCACCCAATGAGCCCGAGGTGGATTCAAGAACGTTTTATCTTATTTTGTCTCCCTGTGTCCTTCCTCAACAACCTTCCTTAGGAGAGAAGCAAATGAGACATAAGGTCAGATGAGAAAGCAGGGCCCTTCAGTTTAAGAAATGGGCAGTTTCCATGGTGGTTTCTGCTTCTCTCATAATGGATTAACATTTAAGGTGAAGGAGGAAAAGTCCTGCTTGGTTTAGAATCCTATTTTAAGGTAATTTTAAGCTCTGCTAGTATTAAAATTTCACTTTTTTTTTAAGCCAAATGGAACCCAAATTTAGCCCCTGTGGAGTCTCCTGCTAGCCCTCCCAGTCTGAAACCCCATTCCAAATAAAACTCACAAGAGTGTTTATTTAAACTATCTATTTTTTTTTTTCATAACAAACTGGGATTTATTCTTAGAGCTGCTGATGGAACACTTTAATTTACAAACGGGTTTCCCAAAGCTTCATAAAGCCACCAGATGCAAAGAGAAGAGGCTGTATCACCGTGCTCAGCCTGTTTAATGCAGGCAATATTGTAAACAGCACTCTAGGGGAAGGTTTCAGAAGTACATTTAATTGCATTTTCCACTTCTTGTAACAGCAAGGGATTAAGCCGAGATGGAACGTAATGGAACCTGCTCCATCCTATCACCTTAAAGTAAAAGAGGAAAGGAATGCACAATGGTAGGCTTATCAGGAAAAAAAAATGCCATCATCTTTATTTGAATACGTTTGTGAATGATCAAGAGCAAACATATTAATTTGTATTGTGTTTTCTGGTGGTCAGTGTGTACCTAAAAAGTTACTCATGTTTATTAAAAATAATTTTTATCTCTCTGCATGGAATCTTGATTTCAGAAATAAATAAGTTCTAATCAGTATTTTATAGGCAGCACCATTTAAATAGCTTATATCCTAATGATCCATACAATACATAATAAGGAATATCTGGACTGGAGAAGTGGGCAAGTACTAATTACTCAACTTTCAGCTTATTTGGGCTGTTGTAATGCCACGAGGCATAAGAAGAAACAAAGATGAGCTAGGCATTTGTTTCCAACACTCCCATTAAGGTTATTCCCATTGAGATCATTCCCGTTGGTCATTAGATGAGACAATAAATGCAAAGTGCCCAGTATAGTGGATGGAAAGTAATAGGAGCTGAATGTAAGTGAATCCCTTGCCCCTCTTAACAATTAGTCAATAATAGTATTTCAAAATTAATCATACTATAGGTTGTTTTATTTTTGTGTCTGTATGTTCTCTTCTAACTTTTTCTCCATGACAGAACATTTGTTGATTTTTACATTTCTAGCGCCTTAGCAAAATCTTCAGTAAAAGTACAGAGATGCAGACTCCGAGCTAAATATCTAAAATCTGCCACTTACTGGCTAAGGTTTAATATATCTTTACTTCAATTCTCAAACCTTAAAACTGAAGAAAACAATTATCCTCACTTTATGGGATTAAGAATTAGCAAACACAAATGCTTAGCAGAGTGGCAAATAATAGACAATATATGTTAGTTCCCATAAGTCTTACCTCTGTTATACGGTGGGTGAAAGTTTGATAAAGGAATATGTGAGACAGAAAAGGCTGAAAAACACCAGTGTGGCTCAGTGCAGTCATTCTGTCCACAAAGGTCTCCATTAAATTACATTAAACAAATAATTAGAAAATTTGGAAGTGTGCAGAGGGATACCCCCACATGACATTTTAAATTTTATTGCAAGGCCACGTATGTTCGTAGTAAACCATACATACTCCCAATTTTTTTAATGAAAAGATTTGACATAATTTTCTCATATTGCAAAATTTAACTCCCATTTAGGAATCAACAAATCTGAGATCTTTTATGTTGAAATGAGAGCAGGAATGGTGGAGCGGTTTTCAAAATATTTATAAGGAGTCAGCAGTAGACAAAACACATCTAATAAGTTCTCTGGAAAACCATAGTTTTAGTTTGCCATTTGGCTGGCTATGTTTGCATTCAAAAACTCAGAAAAAATATGTAGCACAGTTTTCAACAGATGAATGCACTTCAGTATCAGTAATTATTAATACTTCAAAGTGTATTTGAATTTGCTTAAGTTTAGTTAATAAGAAAACTTTCTTCCTTTTTGCTTTTTAGAAAATTAAACATTAACCAGGCATTTTTCTTAACAATCTGCCGTTATGAGCCATACTATGGACTTTCGTCTTAACACAGGCAACACTGCCATATCTGTACATGAACAGACCTGACATAGAGTAAGAATAAGCCAATTGCGCAATTTAATGAAATGCTTTGGAGTTTAGGATTAGATAACACCTGCTTGTTTCCTCGTCTCCCCCAAGTATGACCACAATGGTGAAGAGAAAATGTAAACTTATGTTAGTTAAGAAATTATTGTATTAATTGTAGATTATTAAGAGATCTCAGATAGATGGTATTTTTAAAATGTTATGTAGAAAATTCTTCCCTTAAAAAAATCCATACCTTGGGCCCAGGGTGCTCCTATGCCCTTGCTCTGAAAGAGATAGGACACTCCCAGAATACAAAGTCCCAGGAAAATGAGAAAAGGGTGCCAAGGACCATTTGCCATACAGGAAAATTGGTCAGATCTAAAATTGTTAGGTCATAATACTCAGTCTCTAGTCTGTTGGAAACCAAAATCGCATGGGGGTGGATTGGGCAGAGAAAGATCACAAAGTTTCCTCTAGGCCGAGGAGAAGATAACAGGAAAGAGAAGGTCTGGTCTAAGAAATAGGACTACATGAGCTGTCATCAGCTTGCAAGGACAAAATTATCTCACTTGCCATAGACTGGCCAGACCAATGTCTCATGAGGCTACCAAATTTCCAAGCTGTATCAGTTGGAGCTCTATTAGGTTGGTGCAAAAGTAACTGTGGTTTGTGTCTTTAAAAGTAGTGGCAAAAACCACAACTACTTTTGCACCAATCTAAGAGATCTTTCTCTTTCTCATTTTCCGATTTCAAACTTGCTCCTGCTTTGGAAATAATTTCTCATGCTAAACACATACGCAATCATGTCCTAGCTTAGTGTCTTCTCCTTTCTGTGTTGCCTACTTGTTAATATTCAGTTGGATTTTGAGGATACCTCAGCTATACTGTTGGTCCAAGGATGGCTCAGACCAGTGGGATGTTCTTGGGATTGCATTTCACCAAGGTGCTAAATGTCTGCCTCCAAGGTAAAATAATGTTAGAGAATGCTGTAGTGTAAATAAATGCACATTACAATTTTTTTCAGATTAATTCATATCAGCCACCATTTAAATTATTAACCAATCTTGTAAATGAATTGTATACTTTATTTTAAAACAAACCTACAGAGGACCAAGTATAATGGCCCAGAGCTGAAGAATGGGATTTGGAGAGTCAGAAAAACATTGTTTTGAGTCCCGGAGTTGTTACTTAGAGAGCTTTGTGAGTTTACCTTGGAAAAGTCACATAAATCCCAGAGACTTGATTTTCTGATTTGTAACAGCTCACACAGTAAGTGATTATAAGGTAGTCCTGAATGTATTTAAAAAGAATGACTATTTTATCCTAAATTATTATTTTTCCACACTATAGAGATGATATAATAGTTGTAACTAATAATTATTTACCTTTTACTATATTTCAAGGGCTTTTCTAAGTATTTTATAAGCATTTTCTCACTTAATCCTCACAATAACCCTGAGATCAGTATTATCATTATCCTCATTTTCAAATGAAGAAAGCATGGTAGAAGCAGGTTGAGGAACTTAGCTGAGGCCACACACTCGGTGGGAGCACTGCTCTATCCAACAGCTATTTCCTGAGTCTATGTTATGTGCCAGGCACTGTTGTAGGCCAAAAGATACCACAGTGAATGAAGAGACACAAATGCCTGTTCTCAGAAATGACATCCTGGTGATAATGCTAATCTTATCAGCAACTGAAACTTATTAAACATTTACCAGGAGCTAGGTGCTACAGTAATCTCATATATTTTGTAAACTACTTCTTTGAGGTAGGTAATTGTTTTTATTCCACTTTACGGGAAAAGTTTTGTTTCTCAGCTGTGTTTGTATAACTACAAATTGCTAACAGTAATATTATGTCTGCTTTGTTGAATCCATCGGGGGATCTGAAATTAATCGAAATACCGATTTGAATCAGTTTTAGTTCTGATCATTTTTATGACTCCTTCAATAGTGCTAGTAAATTAAACAAATGAAGCCCAGACTAACTCACTAGCCACTAAAAATTTTGATTGATAAACACATTCCTGTTTGTTTTTTATTTGTAGTTCAGTCAAATTGGTGTGGGATGTGGCAGGCTCAGTCCCCAGATCAGTTTTATTGGTTAGGGTTCCTGATATTTAGCACTAATTAATTTTTGTGCATAACTTCTGAGACTTGTGGAGAATATTAAATAACTTATTTAAGGCCTGACCTGGATGCCTGGCTCACGTCAAGTGCTCAGCATGTAGAGCCGATTACAGATTCACTCCAGGGATGTCCCGGAGTGCAGGCCATTTGGAAAGGACTCCAGGACATCTGGCCTGCACCCTGAAGCAATGGACACAGGGACTGGAGGAGAACTGAAGACCCTCTGTGGCCATGGGGCTCTGTGCAGGAAGACCAGAGATAGGCACTGACAAAGGGAAGTACTTTTGGAAAACAAACCCTGTACAAGGACCAGAAGCAATGAGATGAAGGGAGACTCAACACCTGTGCCTCAAAAAGAGGCAGTTGCAATAGAAAGGGGCTTGTGGATAATGAGAATGCAAAATTTCACATTTCGGGGAAAGGGGAACCATGCAGGAATACACCAAATATTTGAAAATAGGTTCGGAGTTTAGATGGGGCACACACTAATTTGTTTTTTACTCCCCTCCTGCTGCCATGGACCCAGTGTGAGTCACCTGAGAAAGTGAAATAAGGATTAATTCATTCTACAATTTTCTGTTTTATCACTTGTACCTATTTATGAAATTCAGAAACCAGAAGTGTTCAGAAATATGAGTCAATTGCAGTTTGGAAGAAAAAGGAAAACTCGTTGCTTATTTCTTCAAACATAAGTTCTGGGATGGGACCAAACTAGAATTTGGGGCATGATGAAGTTACCAGAGGTCCACAGAGACAGTGCCTTGTATCTAGCAGAGGCTCAACAAGTATGTGTTGACTTTACAACTTTCTGGATTTGCAAAATGACTTAAAGACCACCTAATGACCACTTCATTAGATACCTCAGTCTTTAATCACTGATTGTCCATGCCCTGTCTGAAGCTTAGGTCAGCTTCATTTCCCATGGAAACCTTCATTCCATTCAGTTATTCTAATTGTTACAAAGCTCTTGTCTGAGTTGATCTGACATCTGCCATAATTCCAACCACTGTATCTGGTTCTGCTACATTTGATTTGAATTGGGGTGTTGGTACACAAATGGATCAGAGGACCCCAAATACGTTGCTTACTTGAGAATTTTGTCTTGGGCTCTGTGCACCTCAGAGTCACAAGAGTGTTATTTCTTCCACATCAATACACTTCTCCTCCAAAAACATCTTACATTTGAACTAAGTGTGCTCCACTTTTAATATTCTAAGAGAGGCATGATTCAAACACATGCAAATTCACCCACTCAGCTGAGTGAGTACCGAGGCAAAATGGACAACTTTTAGTTCTTTCAGACATTTTAAACTGTAAAAAAAACCCTGATTTACAAAAAACTGAATATTGCTTTTTTTATTTTATTTTGAATATTGCTTTTTAAAGTCTTATTTCATTCAAGTAAATTTAAATGTCTTCAGTGAAAAATGCAGAAGATACAAAACACAGTAATTTAATTTCAAGTGATTTAAATGATGAGAACAATAAATCAGATATTCAAGTTAAACTGTGATACAACCCATAGAATTTAATCCATGAAGGATATGGTATCACCTACAATATCCTATTCAATGCAAAGATGAAGAGTAAACCAAAAAGAAATAGGCACTACCAGAGCATACAATACTAATTTTACATGTAATTAAAACTAACAATTTCTTTTCATTTATAGAACATACTCTGATGACCTTTGAGGTTGGTGGCAGGATAGGACATTAGCTTATAATTGTGCTTTGATTTGCAATGAAAAATTGAAATGACTATTCCTTTCCTCTCTATTCGAATTAAAGCATGAAACATTACTGCCCTCTCCTGATATATTTTGGTAGAACACCTCCTAGAAGGAATTTTGACCTGAAACCAAATTTTAAAAATCATTCTACCCACTAGAAATGAACATTTTCCTTCACGAATTTATATCAATTTAATTTTAAAAATAATTATTTCACATGTCTTTTTAAAATTAAAAATGGTGCATTAATCTTTTGAAATCCAGATATAAATTAATGAGCCAGAAAATGTTGGGAAAATAATGATGGCTGTTAATATCATGCATTTATATGACATGTTCAAAGAGTACTTAATGGAATTTTTCTCATTTAGTCTCACATCATCTCCAGGAGGAAGTAAATCATTATATTTTATTTGTTTAACTTGTTAGGTCTGTTGTTGCAGCTCATAATTGGTTTTTCAAGTGCAAGTTGTAGGCCTTTAATTTGGATGCTTTTGTGACTGAGTTATGTTTCTTCATTCTACAATATCAACATAAGACGGTGCCTAAGTATATGTAAACAGATGATGAAGTCTCTTGCAATTTTTCTGATCTCCATCAAGAACCGAAGGGACAACTGCACATTTTCCAATGAAACGTAATTCATTCAGGGATTTTAACCATTTTATCTTGTCTGTAAAATGAAAAACCAAGATCAAAAGGTGAGATAAGGCACTGTTTGTATTTAATTATGATTTATGATCCACTTAAGCGTTGACACCTGCTCCGAATCAGAGTTTACTTTTTTATATTTTTGTATCTAGAAAAGAAAATTACATTTATTCTTTGCTTAAGGACTTGAGGGATTACAGAATGATTGCTTTTACTCTGGTTTATATCCATGGTTGCACAAAGGGAAATCCAGATGGGGAATATTTGCTTTGAATTTGTGCAAAAAATTTCCAGGGTTATGTTGATGTTTATTTTTTATTCCACCTTCTGAAAATTTTACATTTTGTAGGGTCTGCAATCATCCTTGCAGAAGGATGTTTCCAACTGTACATTTGGGTCATTTCATTAATAAGGATCACCTGGATGGTGTAGTGACCAACTCTTAAAGCCTTGTCCTAATCATACTGCTAAATAAAAACCAATTGGATTTTATATGTCTTTTTTTTTATAAAGCCCTAGAATCTTCTCATGTTAAGGCATCTTATAGCAAATTTGGTTAATAACCAAATAGCAAGTTTGTGCTTAATAACCAAAGTCTAGGGCAAAAATCAGTTGACTGTCATTTACCTCATTGTACCCTACAGCTACCAACATTCTGTTACTAAAACACAGGGACCTCCCCAGAGGAGGTTCTTCATTTACGGATTCTGTAAATCCATGAATATGCAATGCAAGCCTGTTGTGATCCAATCACTCCGTTGGCAGAGTGTATAATGGGGTGAATCAAAGAGAAGTGGCTTTGCATTCAAAGACCCCCTTCAAAGAAATAGCTGTGAAACAAATCTACAATGGAGAGAAGCCCCTTGGGGGAGAAATGAAGAGAATTCCTGATAAGAGAGAATCACAGGGAGTTCCTGCTTTGGATTGGGCCATCCAGGAAAGCCTGTGTGAGTCTGCGAGCCCGTGTTTCATCAGGTCTCATGGGCACTGACTACAAGACACCTAGATGACTTTGATGTGATACATTCCACTCAGAAAACAAAGAAACGTGGTGCTTTTCTTCAGTTAGAATCTTTCCTTATACTCATTAGAAGAGCTTATTCTATGCATATTTAGATACAGTTTTTAAAAATCATATATCACCTGTAGGTGAACATAAAAAGAAAAATGTAAATAAAATAAGTTGATTAAGGCAATTCAAAAGTTTTCACATGCTTAGAGTTCAGTCGGGGAGAACGTGGAACAAGAAGAAGCTGAAAGACCTGGTAGAGGAAAGAATCGAGAAGCCAAGCTTTGGGGAGAGTAAGGAAACAGTGCAGTAGTTGTAGGGACATGCAAATAGGTGTGTTGTGAAGGAATATCAGTAATGTTACTGGAAATCAGCTGGCAGAACACGAAGGGAAAGGAGGCCAGCGAGGAGGTAACTGGAGGGATCCCATCGCTGAGAAGGTAGGTGACGATGCGGCCATGGCTGGTGTGCAAGAGAAGGGATACTCCCTTCTCTGAAAGGACAAGAGGAAGAAGTGGAAGCTGACTCAACTAGATTTTTGATGGAAGATGAGAAAATCCCAGACTTTCAGTCTGAAGTCTTCTAAACTCTCTAACTGAATAAGAGGCAAAGTCTTCAGCTGAAAATGAGGATGTGTGGGCAGGAGGTTATAGGAACTTTAGGAATTCAGAAAAGTTATTAAATAATCTTTGCAAAAGAACAGAACTGTTAGCTGACTGGAGAGGCTGTCGTTGTTTTGGACAGTGGTACAGAACCGCTGAAGCTTGGGACTTATACAACCAGCCTACTGTGTGCTGTATGGGATAGGCCAGAGACGTATATGTTTGTTTTTACATTTATTTTTGTCTGAAAGTTTACCCAGCGAAGACCTTAGGAGAAACACCAAGAGAGTCAGAGTAATTGCAAGGAAGTTAATGTAATAAAATGTTGGGCAACACTGCCGAGCTCTTACGATGTGCCCACCTCTGTTTTAAATTCATTGTATAAATTTACCCATTTGGTCCTTAAAATTGTACAGTGAGGTAGGAACAATTTTACTGGCATTCCTATTTCACAGGTGAAGAAAGTAAGGCACAAACTGGTTAAATAACTTGTGCAAGGTCATAACCAATAAGTGTTAGAGCCTGGGATCAAAACCTGGCAGTCAGGATCCAGAGGCTGTGCAGAAAACGCCTGTGTGACAATTCTTCTACCTTTAATGCTTCACCCTGTGGTTTCAATTAAATATGATTATAAATTTTAAAAAAGAGGGGCTGATGGATGGAAAGAAAATGATAAGATCAATGAATTAGAGGATTTGATAAGGTTCTTATTAACCATGTTAGGATTTAGATAGTGAACAATGTATGACCAAAAATATAAAAATAATTTTATGAAAGTGGATAGGATAATCAAATTTGTGTCTGTTTAAAAATCCACACTGCCTCTGTGGATAAGGGATCAAAGATGAACAAGACTGGAGCACAAGGACTCATGGATTCACCAGGAAAGCCAGTGTCATATTAGGAATTTGACTGTGGCAGTGAAAAGCTATGAACGTGTAGGAGGGCAATTAAAGAGGAAGAATCAGCAGCACTAACTTAGGTTTGATTGAGAGGAAAAGGAGGCAGGGAACATTCTCAGCTTTCTGGATAGTTCAACTGACATTGGAAGTGTCATCAAGATAGAAACAGAAGTTTGAGAAGCATGGGTGAGAAAGTTTCCATATTTATTTGGGGCATTTTGATTTTAAGCAAAAGGCTATAGAGATGGAGAGGTTTAGTTGGTATTTGGTTATGTAAATATTAAGCCCCACAGAGCAATGTGGGCTACACTTCAGTAAGAAGGAAAGTTATCAGCTTCTGGGCTGCAGTAGAAGCCATGGAAGGAAATGGGATCAGCAAGGGCACAGGGAGCTGAGGGAAGGGCAGAAGACAGAGAGCTGATGGGCTGAGGAGATGCAAGAGGCAGGGAAGAAGGCAGAGGAGGGCCAGGGTGCAAGGGCAGGATGGATGCAGAGATGAAGTCATGGGAACAGTGAATGGGAGGCATTTCAAGAATCAGGGAGTGACCAAGAGCAGCTGAGAGTCACTAAAGACAGAGCTGTAAGTGTCCACTGGATTTATTGATGAGTATTTTAGTCCATTCTCACACAGCTATAAGGAAATACCCAAGACTGGGTAATTTTGAAAGGAGCAAGGTTTAATTGACTCACAGTTCCACATGGTTGGGGAGGCCTCAGGAAACTTAGAATCATGGCGACAAGCAAAAGAGAAGCAAAGGCACATCTTACATGGCAGCAGGAGGGAGTGAATGTGTGTCCCTGCAGAAAAAACTACCATTTATAAAACCACCAGATCTCATGAGAATTCACTTACTATCATGAGAACAGCATGGTGGAAACCACTCCTGTGATTCAAGTGCTTCCCACCAGGTCCCTCTGTAAACACTTGGGGATTAAAATTCAAGAGGAGATTTGAGTGGAGACAGAAAGCCTAATCACATAAATGAGGAAATCATTAGTAACCTCAATGAGATACACTCTATTAAAGCAAAGGGTGGATTGCAGGGGCTGGAGCAGCCACCGGAAGGAGAGGAGGTGGAGAAAGCAAGAACAGACAACCCTTCAAAAAGGCTTGTTTAAGGTAGTGGAGAGAGAGGGAGCTGTAGCTAGTAGGGTCAAGTGGTTATTTTAAGGTGGGAATGTGAAGAATGTTTAAGCTGTGCTTAGAAAAATCCAGTAGAGAAGAAAAAGCAAAAGATACAAGAAAAAACTATTAAGAGAGGTGATATAGTTTGGATAGATGTCCCGCTTATATCGCATATTAAATTGTAATCCCCAGTATTGGCAGTGGTGCCTGGTGGGAGGTGATTGGATCATGGAGGTAGAGTTCTCATGAATGGTTTAGCACCATCTCCTCGTCCTCGCGATTGTGAGTGACTTCTCGCAAGATCTGGCTGTCTAAAAGTGTGTGACACCTCTCTTTCTCCTTCTTGCTCCTGCTTCTGTGTAACCTGACTGTTCCCTCTTTGCCTTCCATCGTGATTGGAAGCTTCCTGAGGCTTCACCAAAAGCTGAGCAGACATTGTCACCATACTTCCTGTAAAGCCTGCAGAACCATGAGCCAGTTAAACCTCATTTCTTTATAAATTACCCAGTCTCAGGTATTCCTTTATAGCAATGCAAGGATGACCTAATTCGAGAGGAAAGTCCCTGAAGATAGCAGGAGCGGACAGTGTCCTGAGCACAGATGGAGATCATCCCAGGCGGGAACAGACACATCTTTCCTTGCAACGAGGGGAAGACACTGTGTGTGAGCTTCGGTACAAGAGGGTGATCATTGCTGGGGACAGAAAGCAAAGATGGTCCCCTATGATGACTTGCCTCATCTCTGAGAAGAAGGAAGTGAGGTCATTTGCTGAAAAGAAGTGGATGATAGGAAAGTCAATGGTCTGAGAATAGAAAAGAGACTTTTCTGTGTGACTGGCACCATTCTATGAATTTCTATTCTCCTTAATAACATGGAAGGCATCATTACTGTGACAGTGGTGCCATGACTTTGAAGAAGGAAGACTTATGTGACAAGATTATCCTGAATATAGTACTTAATGGAATCAGTGGATTAACTTAATTTTAGCGTTTCTTGAATATTTGTTAGCAAAGTACCATGTAAATTCTGTTGAGATTTTCTCTTGGAAGTCTTAATGAACTCTGGCTCCAATTTAGGTATCTTCGATAGGTAAAATTGCTTTTCTGTGTCGTCAGTTTTTTATCCTTAATGATAATGATGATGATGATAACAAAAACAACTAATTTTGATTGAGCCTTTAAATATACCAAGTCTTTTTATAAATACTTCAATCCCATTTCACTGTCACAAGCACTCATGAAGTAGGTAGTATTATATCACCTACTTTGCAGATAAAGAAATCAAGGAACATAAGGATTTAGTTATAACTTGCCTTGGGGCACATAACTAAGGAACGCTGCATTCAGGATTCAAACTCAGTAATGTGGTTCTAATGAGGGTGCTTCTAACCTCTAAACAATATTTTCTCATGAACTATGGTGAATTTTGTCTAATTGATGCCCGTGCTTTATAAGTAAAACCAGTCTGATTATTTTAAACATGTCAAATTTTCTGTAACCCCCAGAACCGTAACTCATCCCACTGTCCTCAGTCAGAGAATGTACTCACATTCTGAGAAGCAAGGGAACAGGATTATTGTCCTTCCCTCCACTCAAGTTTATTGTCTTATCGTTCATGGGTTCTCTGTTTTCAGATACACGAGTGGAATGCATTGCACTGTGTCTTTCCACGGCTAACTTTTCTTGCTCCTCTCTATCTCATTGTCTTCTGGTATTTGAAATCCTGCTCCTTTCCCAGGCAACTCCATCTCCATTTATTCAGCTTCAGAAAGCTTAAGCTTAGGCTCATCCGTGTTTCTTCTCCTCTCACCTACGCATTGTATTAATTAACCAGGTCTGCTGGCTTGACCTTAGAAACATATCTTCAAGCCATTTTTTTCTCATTCTTTCTGTCCTTGACCATGAGCCAAAGCCCTCATCGACACTCACATTTTTGGTTTCTGAGAAGAGCATATTATGAAGTGTAAACATTAAGAAAGTCATTTCCCAATATAACTGTTTCCAAGCTTTGTCTACCACTTGTGCTATCATCCAAATGTTGGTGTCCCCTCCTCCCTGCAAATTTGGATGTTGGAACCTAATCTTTAGTGGGATACTACTAGGAGGTGAGGCCTTTGGGGAGGTGATTAAGTCATGAGGTCAGAACCCTCATGAATAGGATTAGTGCCTTTGTAAAAGACATGTGAGAGAGCCTGTGGTGCATAGTTTCCTAGGACTGCCATAACAAAGTACCACAGCTGGGGTGGCTTACACAACAGAAAGTTATTTTCTCATTTCTGGTGTCTTGAAGTCCAAGATCAAGATTTTAGCAGGGTTGATTCCTCTGAAGTCTTTCTTCTTGGCTTGTAGGGGGCCGTCTTCTCCCCATGTCTGCTCATGGTCTTCCCTCTGTGTGCAACTTAATCTCTTCTCCTTATAGGAACACCAGTCATATTGATTTTAGGCCTACTGTAATGATTTCATTTAAACGTCCTCTTCGAAGGCCCCACTCCAAACACAGTCACATTCTGAAATACAGGGAGTTAGGACTTTAACATATGAATATGAGGCAGGGGACACAATTGACCCCTTAACAACTGACTTTCACTCGTGCCACATTAGAGTCTTTTCTCAACACTGTAAATCTCATCATATTATCCCAATGCCTTTGCCTTATGCTTGGAATAAAATCTGGGCTCGTTGCTGTGGTTTTCATAGCCAAATACACTGCCTTATTTCAGGTGTGAGAAGGCTATGGTGACCAGTTAAGCACTCAGTCTCTGGAGTTCCATTGCCTGAGCTCAGATTCTAACTCCACTTTAGTGACATGACCTCGGTGAAAATTACTTAATTTACTTAAACCTCCGTTTCATCATCTATAAATAAGGATAGTTTGATAGTAGAATGTTTAGGGTTCTGGATAAAATGTGGTAGTCCAGATAAAGATTTCATGGAATCCTTGGTCCTTATGAAGATCCTATAAATGTTGGCAATTCATGATTTTCTTATATTCATTCACCTCTTTCCTGAGATTGTGCAAGAACTCCTAGACCACCAGTCTCCGAACTCTTACCATTTTAAACTTTCTTACACTCTTGCTACACTGTGTTCCTAGATTTATCTCTCTATAACCTGATCTTATCTCGCCAAAAACTCCAAAAGAGCTGCAATCTGTTTGACATAAATGTTATGTCCCTATTCCAAGAATTAAAGAGCTGAAAATTTGGCCAAAAACTACACATCCATCTTTTTCTCCCAATAACTCTACCAATCTTAGAATCCTTAACTTCAACTGATGATATTGCCATAGTCATGGCACACACCCTGCACCTTCCAAATGCACAGATTTTCTTAGTCTTTGCTTATGAACCTATTCTTTCTTCAAAACTTTACTTTTCTAGTCATCCTCCATCCAGAGTCTCTCTTCACTATATTCCTTGAGCACCTTATGTGATTTTCTCCTGATAGTGCTTACCATCAGTATGTTTCACTTTATAACAGTGAAACATAATCTTAGGATACAACTCAAGGGTGTAAAAAACAAGACATATTAATTTTATTTTAATTTCCATATTGTTAGAGTGTATGTTCAAGTTTTAAAATGTAAGCATGCCAAAAGGTAAAAGTCCTGTACCTTACCTGCTTCGTAAGAACCACCATAAACTCTGAAAAGTTTCTTCTGATGTTTATATTACATTTTTATACTCTTTATTCTCCTATTTCTGTATTTATAAATTTGATGCATCACTGTTATTATTATTATCATTACTAGAGTCAGAATCTTGCTGTGTAACCCAGGCTAGAGTGCAGTGGTGTGATCATAGTGCACTGTAGCCTTGAACTCTTGGGCTTAAGGGATCTTCCTGCCTTAGCCTCCTGAATCTTTGGGCTATAGTCGTGCACCACCAAGCCCAGCTAATTTGTTGTTATTGTAGAAAAGATGTCTTGCTATGTTGCCCAGGCTGGTCTCAAATTCCTGGCCTCAAGTGATTCTTTTGCCTCATCGTCCCAAAGTGCTGGGATTGCAGTCATGAACCACTGCACCTGTCCTGGTCATTATTTTTTAACTTGCTGTCATAATTGGTGAGGAATATGCCATGCTACCTCACCTCTTCCATTCCCTATTCATATTATAACCATACAGAATTTTGAGTTTCTATTTCTTACCTTTGTTATTTATAGTAACATATGGTTTTACTTCAACATCCATCCAATAAAAATAATGTCTCTCGGTTCTTCATGTCATAAGATAACATTAGCACTTCCTTTGACCACTCCTTCATATTACTACCACCTTCACCACACAGGGCATTTCAGCACACAATGTGAACATTGAGAACATTTACATAACATACTATTCTATAACCATAATTAAGTATTCCAGAAGTTTTCTTTCTTTCTTTCTTTCTTTCCTTTTTTTCTAGATGGAGTCTCACTCTGTCACCCAGGCTGGAGTGCAATGGCGCGATCTTGACTCACTGCAATCTCTGCCTCCCAGGTTCAAGTGATTCTCCTGCCTCAGCCTCCTGAGTAGCTGGGACTACAGGTGCCCGCCACCACACCCGGCTAATTTTTTGTATTTTTGTAGAGACGGGTTTCACTGTGTTAGCCAGGATGGTGTTGATCTCTTGACCTCATGATCTGCCCGCCCCAGCCTCCCAAAGTGCTGGGATTACAGGCATGAGCCACTGCACCCAGCTGAGTTTTCTCTCAATTAACTCAATTAAAACTCAATATGCATTTGATATTTTTGAGTAAAAAAAATTATTCATCGTATGCCATCTAGTATAATACGATTGCTTTTCCTTTCTTGTATACATTTTTTTCCTGATATTTAATTGCTGTTTTCTTATACCAATTAGCTTTAAAAGAGCTTCAAGTTTTTAAAGTCTCCATTACAACGTTATTCTATCATGTCCCATTTTCCCAAATAACTCTTCCCTTCTGGAGCTCCCTGCTAGTCTCCTGTCCACAGAGGGCTGCTTTCTAAGCCTGCTGCCAAACATCAGCAGTTTTCTTTCATTGCTCTCCCAGGCAGATCCACTCTATCTTCAACTCCATGAGTAATGAAAACCTGCTACTTTTGCTGGCCAGCATCCATTCTTTTGCTATAAAAGGAGCCTGATTTTCCTCCTGGAAACCATCCCTATCCTACTCTCAAGCTTTGTTGTTCTAGTGTTGTCCTGCCACCATAGATGCTCTGTGTATAGACCCATTGTGACAACACTGGAGTGGCTGGGAAAAGAGGCTGACCCACAGGATGGGTCATCTGGTCTACCTGATGGAACCCTCCCTCTGTAGCAGATGCTACTTGATGAATATCCACATAAGACATAAATATCTGTACACTCTGTGTGCATATTGAGAGGTCCTTCTAAATGCTTCTTCTCCAGCTTCCCTCGCTGCTGGTCTTTCATTCTTATTCATATTAATTCCCCGAAAGCCAAATTGTTAGACCGTTCTCATAAATCAGCATAAGTTTTTCACTTTGGCTTTTTCTCCCTCCAGGTATGGTATAAAATGGAATTTAATGATTTTTTTATCATCCTCTTTGAAGGCCACCCTGATACGACTATCACGGGCAGAATTTCAGTCTAGTTGGTGCCAGGAAAATGTAAGACAGGCAGGATGTTTTTCTCCATTGTCCACTTATCATAGGGAAAGCCTCGTTAGTCCACAGATGGGATTGAATAAAAGAATCAATACAGCCAGAATAAGTGTCATGGGGGTCTGAACCATTTATGGTGCAACTTATGCTAGCAGAACCATTTTGACCCAAAAGTTGTATGTATGCAGTGCATGCATACATAAACTTTTGCATGGTTGAATGGGAACTTGATGTTACAGGGTAAAACAATTTGTTATGTTTACAAGGCTGAAGTAACAAGAAAAAACCCTTTTCAAAACTGTAATAGCTATTTGCAGAAGAGGAGATTGCTTTGCTCCAAAATACCAAGGTTCTTGCCCGTAATTCTTCTATAGGATCCCATAGAGCATCTCATGTTGCAGTTTGATTTTCTATAGATAGATCAACTTTGGATTAAGTAGCTGAGCATCTCACACTGCAGCCTTGCTACTGAAAAAGTTTTTCTTGCCCTGAATTCCACTCAAAATAAGTAGCCTTAATTATTCCTTGGTTCCTGGGTTATAGGGGCATACCCAAACCTGGTGTAACTTGTTTCTAAAATTCAGAGTCCCAGAAAACATTTTGATTTTTTCCTAGTGATAGGCTGTAAGGAGGCAAGCTTTGTCTCTCACTTTAGAAGGGATAGCCAAACATATCATATCCCTAGAGTACTAGAAATTTATATGCTATTGCAGGGTTTTGTTTTCAAACTTCATTTCTCCTCCCGTCTTCTGGTGTACATGTGTCTTACGGCTCTAGGTTACTTGCCAATTCCTGATCTCCAGGTTCAATGAGCATGATATCACTAACGCAGTGGATCATTGGAATGTTCTGTGTAGTAACAAGCTGGCCAAGATCCCATTGGACTATATTATGACAGAGTAGTGAAGATGACATAATTCTGAGGCATGACTGTGAAGGTACACTACTGTCCTTCCCAGGTAAAAGTAAATTGCTTCTGCTAGTTCTTTCCAGTCAGTTTAGAAGAAAACATAAACCATGTACAGGATATTATAAGTTAGGATATTATACTTGAAAGAATAACTACAATTACGGTCAATGCCTGGAAAAGTTTATAGTAATCCCCATGATTATCTGGATCCATTCAGCTTTTTTTAGGACAGATCAAGTGAGTTAAAAGTAGATGTGTATATAATCCCCGCCTGAGTGTATTTGAAATTTTCACTGGTGCCCTTATTTTCTGTAGTTCCTCTAGGGATGTGAGATTGCTTTTGATTTATTCTTTTTATTGAACAAAGCAGTTCCAGGGGCTCCTGTTTGCTTCCTTCTGTCCTTAATAACATCACTTCCTGACCAGAGAACCAATGTGAGGAAATCTTCTTTCCAGAATATGTTCTGTCTAGTCCAGCCATTCATTTAAGAATTGGGGAAATAACCCAGAATAAGGTTGTAGACTCACTCAAATAAATGTCAAATGGTCTTAGACTGTCTCAGAGGTGATAGGAGTCTTCACTTCCAGCAGTACCCCTCAGTAATATTTTGAGTTCTCAGGAATTAAGGTCAACTAAGAATTGGTGTCTAGTAATCTCTCCATCTCTCATTTTTCTCTCTCCAGTGTACAGCCATTCTGACAAAAAAAATGAGTAGGAAGAAGATTTGTAAAATACACTATTTATTGTGGCTATGTCAAAGGAAACATTCTCTAGGCTGTTGAACCTCACTTTCAACCAAGAAGATCTGCCTCTGTGAACAGACTTAATTCTGTCTGCTAGTTGGGAGGACATAAAATATTATTGTAGGTATTCATGCCATAATTTAAGAGATTTTGTGGTTAAATAAATCAATTAACATTTTAATATGCCACTGTCTATTTAATTCCTTGGGGCAACATGACCAATGAATCACCTTTATTGGTGCCTTTGGATCAACACACTCTGACACTATGCTCCTGCTGGCACTTCCATAATTGTACCCTCTTCTCTCTTGCACTTAAGCATTGCCAATGGCCCCTATCACTCAGGGTTCATCATTTGTACTAAAATTAGAGCCCATTTCAATGACTATATCTCTCGTTATTATCCCCAGCTATAAAACAGTTACAGAACAGTTTCCAAAGAGCTTTCTAAAGATACTAATGCTGTTCTCACCTATGCACTTTCTAATATCTGAGTAAACCAAGACACTTCAGAAGACCAAGTGTCTTCTGAACCCTGTCAGGTGACAGAGTAAAAGGAATAGGTGAAAAATGTGCTTATAATAATCTACCCCAACATTACCATCCCTCTAAAATGTTACATTCCTTTCTCCACATTATATCAGTTCTGGAATTTCAGACACATTAAATTCAGTACACAACATTGAGTCCATGGTTCAACCACTGAAGCAAACAAACTTTTCATCTACTTTCTGCTGCTTGAACTAATGCATTAATTTCAGATTCTCAGGAAAGTATGCCCAAAACAATACATTTGGTCTGATTCAACATTATATTTGGCTTCCTTGTCTAGCAATCTTAGCATTCATTTCCACACATGTTTTCTAGTTTTCTGCCAATATAAATTGGCCTGATTCAGCAAAGTTTGGGTGTACAAGTTGTCCCTTCTAAGAAAAAAACTTTGTAATCCCTCCACATGAAGTGTACTGAAGATGATTGTATTTATAACTCTGGAGGAAGGATAGTTGGCGATGACTCCATGCAACAGAACTGCTTCTGGTGAGATCTCACGTGACTTTTAAGCAAGGGGATACCAGTTTCCTCAGGCAAGAGAAGAAAAGGTAACTATGATGGCAAAAGAAGACTCAACAGGGTTTGGTTTTAAGATTCTCATTTTCATCCTGGTCCAAAATCTCAAGGTTCTGCTCATTTCTAATCCCTTTTCTAGACCCACTTAAATAATTTGACAAGGCTGTGAATTCAATGTGCTTAATATAATATTTGCTTGGAATCTGTCACGTGCTAAACAGTGGCTATAAGTAATAAGACATTTTTAAAGCCACTGAAAAACTTTTATTCTCTGACTGTAAGTTAAATTGGGGGTGCAAACCCTTACTTTATCTTTTTTTTTTTTAAAGATCTACATTGCAATCAGTAATAGAAATCCCAAGCCACAGTACTCGTAGCCATTATAAATACATACATACTGTGATAGTCAGATGCAGTACTTACTTTGTATCTCAATGTCTTTCTTTCAATCAGCACTTCCTCTCTTGGTATATTCAGGGTGCTAATACACACTAGGATGCTATGACTAAATACATTTGAATAAGTAAATTTATAAATAAACACATGAATACACATTAAACTGCTTTGGATAAATAATAATTTTTCAAATAGTTTGGACATTAACTTAAATGTTAAGCAGATTTTTTAACACAAAAGTTCTCAGAAGGTTCACATACTAAAAGTACAGTGTATGTGAAGAACATACATGTTCCCTGAAGTCTGTTCTTCAGGACACATTTAGGAAATGCTACTTTAAGCCTTAGTGTCTCATCTAGGCCCTCACAATGTGCCCGAATTAAATGTTTAGGATTTCTTCCTGTATTAGTTTTCTACTGCTGTGTAGCAAATTACCCCAAACTTAACAGCTTAGTAAACATCCACATAACCACCGATTCTGTGTTAGAAGCCAGGCATGGCTTAGCTGTGTTCACTGCTTAGAGTCTCGCAAGGCTGCAATCAAGTGTTGGCTGGAGCTGCCCTACTGAACGTCAACTGGGAAAAGGTCTACTTTTGTTGGTAGAATTCAGGTCTTGGGATGATAGAATTGAGGACTTCTGTTTGGTGCTGACTGTTGGCCAGAGGTCACTCTCCCCTCCTAGAGGCTGCCTTCAGCTCTTTGCCTATAGGCCTCCCAACACAGGCAACCTACAACAGGCAGCTTGCGTTTTCAAAACCAGCATGGGGGTGAGGAGCTCAAACAAGATGTCTACTCTCATCATATAGGATGTCACACTGTAACCACATGTAGGTGAGCACATCTATCCATCCCCTTTTCCTTATTGTGTAGTTAGAAGGACAGCACAGAACTCCTGCCCCCACAGATGCACACATTCCAGGAAGATTAGCCCAAATGGTGACTACCAGGAGACAGGGATCACAGGTGGCCACCTTAAGAGTCTGTCTGCCACATTTCCCTTTTGCGAATGGCTTTTTTTTCTGTCTGGTCTCACCCTATTAATTATCTCACTTAGGAAAAGGATGATAGTTTTCTGTATTACATGGGCTGGATTATTAAGTGTCTCTTTTCTGCTACCTGGTTCCTTCAGAGGAGAGTACAACTAGATGTTACTCTGTAATGGCCAAGTTAACACACTACATTTTCTTTCTTTTTATTTATTTATTTTTTGCTATGTCCTAGTACCTATTATCTACTGCCAAAAAGGTTCCTGCATCTGCCCTACATGCATAAAAGTACTGGGGAGGCATGAGAATCAGGACATCAGTTTGGAACTGGGACATGGAGATTTCACGGGGAAATTTAGGCTGCAGGAATTTCTGCAGCCTTCAGCAAAAGACACTCACCAGTGACTCCAGATGGTGTTCTTATGTGGCCTACTGGTGCCCTCTGCATGTGGCCAATAGGAGCAGCTATCAATATTCCACTTCTCCCCCAACATTTCCAGGCATTGCTCACTCTCACATATGACAGCACACTTTAAATTCAAGGACAGCTTCTCTCAAGCTGTTCTGTTTCTAAGTGATTTTGCCCTGCCATCATTTCTTAGTGCCCAGAAAATATAATCTTTATTATTAAGCTAATATAATTGTTTAGGTGAATGAGATGCCAAAAATACACAAGAGAGCATATCAAAGTCAACGTGCCTGGCTTGGGGTTATTCATGCTTTTGCAATATCTGTACTTCTTTTCTCTCCCACTAGAATAGATAATTAACAGTTGATTGAAATTTCAAAGCAGCATCTGTGTAAAAAAGCATCCAACTCATAACATTCAATAGTTGCTACTTTGAAAATATCCTCTTAACTAATTTGCTTTATTATCTTTCCAAGATGTGTCCCTTCCGATTTCAGTAACCTGGAACAAAGTGGCCCATTTGGCTCAGTCTAGTATTTCTTTTGGCTCACAACCTCATAACATAACAGTGCAATTGACTCCACATTCAGAGTAGAAAAATTGCTCTGCCAACATTTGCTAATAACATTATCTCTCTGTACCACTGGGCAGCTAAGTATTCTCTTGGTGGAACCAGGAAAGGAAAGAGATGTTCATTACTTTTTATAAACTTTTCCTTAACCTAAAACCTCTTTTTTTTAAAAAAAGGAATTCTTGAACTTTCAGAAAGAAAACTAGTTTTATAATCCAAAAGTTGATATTGAAGTTGTTTGTCTAGAGTATTTAATGTATTTTTCCATAGATGCAGTGCTCCAAGTAGTGGTTAGATGTATAGCACAGTAATACTGATCTGCCTCCTGCCTACCTCATCAGTCTTTTATTGTTCTACTCTGCCCCAAATTTCTATTTCATTTATTCCAGATTTGGCAACGTTTTCCTGTAAAGTCCTAGGAAGTATGTACTTTAGGTTTTGCAGGCCATGTGGTCTCTGCCACAACCACCTAAAGCTGCCATTACAAAGCAGAAACAATCATAGACAATATATAAATGAATGGGGCTATATTCCAACAAAAAATTATTTATACACACTGAAATTTGAATTTCACATAATTTTCATCTGTCACAAAATATTATTTATCTTTTTTTTAACAACAATTTAAAACTGTGGAGATTATTCTTAGCTTGCCACTTGTCCAACAACAGACAGCAGCTGAATTTGGCTGTCGGGCTGTCATTTGTGGATCTAAATCAGCTTTCTTCCAGTTCTTTGATGCTACCAAACTCTTTCATATTCAGTCCTATGTCCATATCCTTCCTTCTACCTGGTAGGCTCTATATTTTTCTACGCTCCTTTTCTTTTCCTCCTCTTTTACCAAAGTAATTTATATTCAGCCCTATCAACTTCAGAACTTACCTCTATTGCTATGTTTTAAAGGAAGCCTCCCATGAACTTAAAACCACGTCTGACTTTAGCCCCCTACCACAGTCTGCTTTCACAGTGCATCCTGTGCTTCTTTAGAAAAGTTTATTGTAATATAATCAATAATCAACTAAAAGTATACTCACATAATATCTGTTATGCATTACTGTTTATGTCTACAAGCTCCTTGAGAACAGGGATTATATTTGTTTGGTTACAAACATATGCCCTATGCATAACACAATGCTTTCCATATGGTACAGGATGAATAAATGTTTTTGTACATCAATCACATAATGCTTAATACCATTCTAAAATGTAAGTATCCCCACTTTATAGATGAATGAACTCAGCCTTCAATAAGATAAATAAATACCCTGCTTGAGGCCACAAGGCTAATAAGGTCATTTCTGCCTGCTTCAAAAGTTTTGATATTTCTACTATTGTAATAAAAGACATATTAACCTTTCACTGCACTGTATTAGTTGGTATTAAAATGTTAGGCATTTTCACTAAAATTATGAAATCTATTTGTTGCATCTAAAATAGTAGAAAGGATTATGCAAAACATAAAAATGACAATACAAAATCTCATTTTTTTCTGCCTATGTGTACATTGATAAGAATTTTTGCTTATTTCTGTAGTTTGGAGACTTTGAACTTAATCAATGCTTAGATGTTTGTCTTTTCTCCTCAATCTTGTCTGGGACTCAGTCATTCCTTTCAATCTTCCAACTCAATCTTTCTTTCTCTGGGGGATTTTTTTCTTCTATTATTTGCTTAATTGTCTATCATCTATCCATTAATTTTTTCATTAAGTAATAAACCTTGTTATTCATTAAGTCTTGTAGATCTATTCTTAAAGTCTTCTAGCTTTGCCATCATGATTTCTGTCTCTTTATATGACTTGGAGTAACTCTCCTATTTGATCTTTTAGGCCACGAAGTCATGCCTTCATAACAGTCAAAAAAAAAAAACAGTCAATGGAGCACATGATTTTTTAGTTCAAAAAATCAGATTTAAAACAAAATTCCAAAAATGTGCCTTTTATGTGCTTTAATATCTTTGAGTGCTCATATATATATATATATATATATTTAAAATTGTCATTGTTCTGTTTCATCAGTTATAATTCATTAGAGAACTGTTTTGTTTATTTTTCTCTCTCTCTGATCAGCTGTTTTCTGTACTTGAGGTGGTGGAATTTCTGTTCCCTCAGCATCCTCCAGGGCAGCCTCTTCAATGTGGAAGAAATAGCATTTTTTGCCCCTGGGCCTCTGGTGCAGCAGAGTTGGAATGAAGTTTCCCACTGAGACTCAAGAAAAATGCTTCCTCTGTTCACACCTATCCTTGCTCTTTCCTTGCTCAAATGTTAGCTTCTCCTCATTTTAGGGGGTTCAGGTTGGCAGACATACTCATATAGTTTATGTCCTCCTATTTTTTTCCCTGGGGGGATGAAGGATTACTGGAGTCCAAGATGATCCATGTATCCCTCTACCTTCTCACCCTATCCCACTCACACATGCTGGAATAGGTTCCTCATTTGCTCCCTAGGGGAGAAAATTACCTTCCTCATATGAATGTGTTTTCATGAGATTTAGAGGAAGCTTCTTTTCAAAAATGCTTCCTCAAAAGTAGTGCTGATTGAATCCAGGTCACCAGTGAGTCCTTTATATTATTTGTATGTAATGCATTTTTATCTGATGTTGTAAGTTTATCTTCTTATGAAACTGAATGTCAGATTAAAAATTTAAAAATATATTTTAGTGAACTTTAAAAGAACCAATCTGTTTATTCTTGTGTTATTTTTAAAGCAGGACTTTGACCTCAGGCCAGCAGCATAGCCCTGGTTAAAAGGTCCTCGTATGGAGATTGATGGGACAGGACGTGCAGACTACCGTTATTAAAACAATCCCAAGCACAATTTCTACCACAGTGCACTGGGAAAAATCATCATATTGTCTTTGTATGGAGAATAGATTCATTATTTAAAAGCACATTTTCAAAATTCTCAATACTGCTACTATTTAAAATTACCCTTTAGAAAATATTAATTTTTATTAAAGAAACTAAAAATTAGTTTCTAGAATTTGTGATTTTTTAGGGTAGGTAAAATATTGTTCATATCATGAGGACAATGCACATAATAGCTTGGGTAGATTGTTCATTTTTCAGCTAATAATTTTGTTGTTGTTTTGGCCTAGCTTCAGAGTCACAAATAAATTTTTGTGATTTGATAATAGTCTTGCAGTTATTTTTCTATTGTATTTCCCTGAAATTCTTTTTTGAGTTGCAAATTGCTGTGGTAATGCTTCCATTTTGTATTGTTCCCTGTTTGTTATTTGAAACTCCTGCTAGCAGTACCTCCTGATGCTTTCCAGAACAAAAACTTAATTTTTAAAATAATGCTTTACTATGCAACTTAACTATTTGGTCTGAACTATACCTAAGTATAGTATTATAAGTTAATTTTGCAACCAAATATTTTTGAAGATAAATATTGATGAAAATAAGTATAAATTTTAGTGTTTGGTCCTTGAAAATGGACCATGATATTAGGTAAGATTCTAATATCAAGGTTAGGTTTGAGATGATAAGATTGATTATTTATGTGTAAAGTAGTCACCCCATGGCCCAGGATGGTCTTATTTTGTCAAAAATATGAACAGCGATTCCATTGTGCAGTGCACCAATCTTGAAAGTTGTTAACAAAACAATAAACTATTGAATCATCGCAACTAGATCAGTTATTTTATTTCTTCCAAATTATTTTCCTCTGCTGAAGGAAAATAAAACAAACAAAAATAAAGCAAAGCAAAACAATTTTCAAAACATTTCAAAAGCCATCTTTCTGCCTAAAGTTCATCATCATCCTCCCTTTGTTTGCCTATCTAACCTGTAGCTATTGAACAAATGATTTAAATTAGGACACAACTATGGCTTTTTAGACTATATTCCTAACTCTGGTTCCATATGTGAGAGAATGGAGAGTTCGGATTTTAATCACAAAACACCTCCAAACAAAACTCCTTCAAATTGACTCCAAATGAAATGTTTGTCAATAAATAATGCAATTCTATCAATATCAATATTATTCTATCAATATCAATATTATTCTATCAATATCAATATCAGTAAGTAATGCCAATCCATTTACTATATATACATACTATATATATATGTAGATAATCTTTCTTGTAAAAATAAACTAAAAAAAGTCGTTAGGAGTTGTAATATTGTTTCCAACATTTGGGACATTTCTGTGCAGGTAAGAGCTCAATGAGTTTCCTTGAATAAGATTATAACCCAGTCAAGAGCAGTAGTCCTCAACTAGAGGGGATTTTACCTTCCAGGAGATATTTGGCAAAGTCCGCATGAATATCAAGGAAGACAATCTTATTTCAAGAGTCAGCCTGAGCTGGGAGGAAAGATTTGGGGCCCAATTCATCTTTCTCAGAAAGCCAACGTTTACATGACGGTAGGAACAAGGAATTAAGCTTCCAGAGTCACCTCCTGTCATGTGAAATCCAGTCGGGTAGTTGCTACAATCACTTTGGTTTAATTAACAAGTGTCTCTAAAGCATTTATTATTATTTCTTGGAAAAAAATCTCATTGATATTGAATATTTGAAAAATTAACTTGTCAAATCAGTACTAAATTACATTGCTAATGAGAGCTAGTTGTAGATATTGTTTCTATATATGAAAAAATGGAACTTTTGCATTGTCTGGATTTGAATTCAACAAAACTATAGATTAGGTCTATAAATTAGTTCTTCAAAACCAGACAATACATAAATTTGCACAGGAAAATGATAAGAAAAACAGTGCAAATCCAAACTTTTTAATTAGAAAATTCACACAAAATATTTGACATACTTATTCATAGTGACCAGTGTTTTTGATACTGCAGACAAAATACTATTATTTTTATGGGTTGAGTTGTGTCCCCTCGGAAAGATATATTGAAGTCTTAACTCCTGGTACTGTGAATATGACCTTATTTGAAAATCAGGTCTTTGCAGATGTCACCAAGTTAAAATGAGGTCATTAGAGTGGGCCCTCATCCGCGGATTGGTGTCCCTATAATAAGAGGAGGGAGATCTGAAGAGAACACCATGTGAAGATATAGAGAGAGGAAGATGGCCCCGTGAAGACAGAGGCCGAGATTGGAGTGATGCTACCACAAGCTAAGAAAGCCTGCGGCTGCCGGAGCTGGAAGAGGCAAGGAGGGATTCTCCCCAAGAGGCTCAGAGGGAGCATGGTCTGGCCAACACCTTGACTTTGCAATTCTAGCCTCTTGAACTCTGGGAGAATAAATGTCTACTGTTTAACATCTACTGTTTGTGGTACTTTGTTTTGGAAGCTCTAGGAAATAAATACATGCTTACCTATGGGAGAAATTATTTGTGTGGGATTGGGGGTGGGGAGATTTTTTCTTCCTGAAAAATCAGAATAATCAACATTGTGAAATTAAATCTCCCTTGAAGTATGATTAAAAACATTCTTTTGGGATCATACAGCACCATCTTCTGGGCAGTTGTCTCAATTACCTAACTTACTGAAAATAATACTTTCTTCTTGCAATAATAATTTTTAAATACCTATCAAGCACCTAGTATGTTCAAGGCATTGTTTAGCTTTCTTGGGAAGCAGTCTGTGTATCAAAAAAACTAAAAGACCAGAAAAGGAGGCTTAGACATGCCACACTCTAAGATAAAAAGGAGAGGAACAATTACACTTCTCATTTAAAAATTAGAAATTAATTTAGTGCTTATTATTTCATTTTAAAAAGTAAAATATGAAAATAAATTAAAATGTCAACCCTCTTATTCAGCAGTCAATAAAGTATTTAATTCAAAGAGTATTTCACTCAAAGAGTTCTATGTTAATTTGCATGTCTAGGCACATATTCTAGAAAATGTAGCTAGATCAATAAATTTCTATACACATATTATATATATTTATAAAGAGAGACCCAATATTTCATATTGGGTCTAAAATTAGTACCACTATATGCTAACAAAACAGCATAAATTGGTGTTTACAACTAAATAGCTTATCTTATAATCTTATGAAATTGCACAGAAAATGAAAAGCAATACATATAAATATTTAAATGGTCTTTATTAATTCTATGTATGTTAAATCAATCTACTTATTGAACATAAAAAGTTTATGTATATCCCTATATATAATACACATATATTAATGACTCTTCCAAATAATTCTTTTCCATTTATTTGGTCTTTTTTGAGATGCCCGTATGAGGAAATATTAACCAATATTGTCCTATTCAGCCATTATTCATCTAAATAAAAAAAAGTTGGGAAGAATTGCCCTTTATGTTTAGAGTGTTTGTAGCTTTTTGAGTGAATTTTGTATTCATTAACACTGCATAGTGAAAAGAGCCTTATAATTTTTATTTCATTTAATGCTATTCCAAACACACAAAATCCTATGGGAATGTAACTAAATTTACAAATTATACACTCATGCATTTCCTATGTCAATAGGACTTCAACTTTTAATGAAGAATCAATTCAAACAAATAAAAAATATTAAACTCCCTCAAATTTGTTGGTGTCCACTTTACAAAGGGAAAAAGCTAGAAACTGCATACTGAGCTACCATAGTTTCAACTATTCTGACTAACAGGGCACAGGGAGACCCTCCTAAAAATTGTATTTGGGGCGAGCATAATCTCTTTCACCCACAGTGTTATTTCTCTGCCAGTCATAAAATATGGCGCCCCTTTGACCTTTTTCTCTTCTGCCCTTCTGTTGCCTAAAATGAGGATAGAATGTCTAGGGCTGTAGAATCCAAGATCAGACGAATGGGGAAAGGAGAGCAGGAGCTGGAGCAGAAAGACAGAGGATCTGCAGCTTCTGGGGATTTCACAGATCTGTCCTACCTGGCACAGGATGGACAATGTACTTCATTTATATATTTTTAAAAATGTGTATTCAAGTCACAAGAATTAAGCATATTTTAATTGCAGCAAACTCAATCCTAATTAACACAGTTTATTTTGAGGACATATTTTCACGGAGAGCTGAAATAATTTGTTGATGGGTCTGAGTAGGGGGAGTGAGAAGGGATTTGTTAAAAATAACAGGTAGAACAAACAGGGAATGGTGGCACCATCTCCAGAATCAGAAATTACGTGAGAAGACTTGAGTCAGGAGGTGGAGGATTAATTTTTTTTGTTTTTATTTTTTGATTTGTTATGATAAAGATAACTATTGTGATGCTTAATATTGAGTGTCAACTTGATTGGATTGAAGGATGCAAAGTATTGCTCCCGGGCATCTGTGAGGGTGTCGCCAAAGGAGATTAACATCGGTGTCAGTGGACTGGGAAAGGCAGAACCACTCTCAATCTGGGTGGGCACCATCTAATCAGCTGCCAGGGCAGCTAAGATAAAAGCAGGAAGGAAAATATCTGAAAAGACTAGACTGGCTTAGTTTCCCAGCCTACATCTTTCTCCTGTGCTGGATGCTTCCTATCCTTGAACATCAGACTCCAAGTTCTTCAGCTTTAGACTTGGACTGGCTTCCTTGCTCCTCAGCTTGCAGACGGCCTATTGTGGGACCTCACCTTGTGGTCGTGTGAGTTAATTCTCCTTAATAAATTCCCCTTTATGTATACATCTATCCTATTAGTTCTGTCCCTCTAGAGAGCCCTGACTAACACAACTTTTAACTCTCCGTAACAGATAGTTGGGTATTAGAGGAGCGGCCAGGATTACAGGTATAAATTTGCAAATTGTAAGCTTAGAGATAATGTTTGAAATCTCGGGACAGGATAAAGTCACCTGGGGATCATGTGCGGAAAAAGGAGAGATTCCCAAGGGAACTTAGCCTCACTAACATTTAGAAACAGGAATAAAAGGAAGAACCAGGAAAGGAGAACCTATCAGAAAGATGGGAGGGAAATTAGGGAAATCTAGTGTCCTATAAGCTAACAATTTGAGTGCTAGAAGAAGAAGGGCTGATCAGTTGTAGAACGGCTGCTCAGAGCTCAAGTAAGATGAAGGTTGAGAACAGGACACTGCTGGCGGCAAGATGGTGACCTTTTACAGAATATTTTAAAGAAATTGGGAAGTAAAGTCAAATTCATGGCTTGAGGAGGGTAATAAAATGGTTGGAGAGAACACAGAAATATTCTTTTTTTTTTTTTTTTTTTTTTTTTTGAGACGGAGTCTCACTCTGTCACCCAGGCTGGACTGCAGTGGCGCCATCTCTGCTCACTGCAAGCTCCGCCTTCCGGGTTCACACCATTCTCCTGCCTCAGCCTCTCCGAGTAGCTGGGACTACAGGCGCCCACACCGCGCCCGGCTAATTTCCTGTATTTTTAGTAGAGACGGGGTTTCACCATGTTAGCCAGGATGGTCTCCATCTCTGACCTCGTGATCTGCCCGCCTCGGGCTCCCTACGTGCTGGGGTTACAGGCATGAGCCACTGCGCCCGGCCCCATAGAAAATTCTTTTAAGGAGCTTTACAAAGGGGAGATATGCCACATTTTAATTGGTTTTATATTTGGACTATTTCTTAGATTTCAAACAGTCACTTTTTTTTTTTTTTTTGTAAAATAGCACAACCTTTAATTAGTCTAATCTATGGTCATACTAGCTATTGCATGGAATCTACTTTCGTAGAGATAGCGTTTATACCATTTCCTTCCACCTGGAACATTAACACTTAAGGCACACTGAACATCTGATGCTTTGAACATGTAACTTTCTAAAATATTTGATGCTTACCCTTTATCAATACTTTGTCAGATTTTTAAACATTCTTAACATTTTGAAAGCATTGATAAATTGTCTTCTAACATATTTGCATGCTGATGTGAATTCTCATGCCAGAGTAATTCTCCTTTTTTTAGTTACTTTTAAAGTCTGTATATCTTTAGGTTCTTTTTATTTCAGTTGTTCTGGAATCTCATCAAGAAGTATTTAGCTATACATCATTTTCATTAAGTTCTTTTCTATTTGATGATCCATATGTTTCTTAAACTTCGAATATTTGCTTTTTTGTTCTCATTTTCTGTAACTCCTTATGCAAGTTTTTATTAATATTTTGATGCCCCCCAAGGAATCACATCTATGTATATTCTTGTATTTGTATCATCTCTCCCACAATGCCCTGGTATTTTGGCCATGTGATTTGCTTTGGCCAATGAAACCTTAGCAAGTACAATACAAGCAGGGACTTGCTCAACACTTACTGGTGCTTGACTTCTTGGAAGACATGAGGACCTTCCAAACTTCAACAGCCCTGGACCACCATGTAGGGAAGTCTAGCTGCTCTGCTGGAGGATTACATGAAGAGAAAGAGAAAGCGGGGAAAGAGAGAGGAATAAGAGGAAGAAAAGGAGGGGAAGGAGAGAAAAAGGAGGAGAAAAGAGGAAGGGAAAGAAAAAAAGATGAAGGAAAGAGAGAAATGCCCACTCAGCCTCCCTTTATTCCAGCCTCCTTCCAGCCGAGGTAGCAGACGTACAAGTGGGGAGCCATCTCAGGCACTCCAGCCTCTGCAGATACCACTCAAAACACAAAAGCCACCCACCTGAGTCAATTCATCCATAGACACGTGAGAAATCATCAAACACTGTTCTAAACTACTAAGACTTGTGGATTTTTAAATGCAGTAATAAATGACATATTTTTATTAAATAAATATTAGACTTCCGGAATTCTTATGAATTGTATCTTTTGATTATTATGAATGTCTTTTTGTCTTTTGTCTATAAGTTCTGTCTCATGTCTCATTTTTTTTCTATATTTTGGGAGATTTTCTCAGCTCAAGCCCATTTGTGATTTTTTTCAAAAGAATGTATTATTTAATATGAATATTAGCATTCAATAAGTATGAAGGAAAAGTAATTTTAAAATAAAACTTTTCTTTACTAAATGATTAAATATTTTAAATAACAGAACCAAAGAAAAATTAACGCATTACAAATTTTTCAGAGGAATTTTTTTACGGAGTAAAAAATAAATTAGAAGAAAAAAGACAGTCTTCTACAGTGTTAGAACTAAAAGCTTTAGTTTTATAACAAATCACAAACCAAGGCTGCTACTAATACATTTAAACCAAAGCAAGATTTTGCCATTCTATTTAGTTTATCATTCCTATGCAAACTGAATTCAAGTAGCAACTGAAAGTCTGTAACACTTTTGAAGCTTTTCCTGGACTAGTCGTATTATATATTCCATTACAGGGGTAGTAAAGTAGCTTGAATGAAAGCCCCAAGGTAGAAATACCAAGAAACAGCAGGAACTGGCAACAGGAACCCCTTGGTGTGCATGGATATCACACTGAGCTCCAGTCAGAGGTGTCCAGAGGAAGGTAGGATGGGGCACCAATTGTCACATCTCTTGAGACATTTCTGTCCCCCACTAGATTATATATACCTCTGGGGCACACACTATACCTTCACATTTTTAGAACATTTGACCCTCCACTCCTAGCCCTAGTGAACTGTTGATCACTTTTTTGTCATTATAGACTTTATTTTATGCTTTATCAATAGAGCAATAGAGTATATAATCTTTTGTACCTGGTTTACTTTGAGAATAATCATTTTGAGACTTATTCATGTGGTTTTGAGTATGAGTAGTTTTTATTTTTAATTGATGAATAGCATTCCATTATATAGATAAACCACATTTTGTTTACCTCTTCCCCAGTTGATGCATATTTGATTGTTACCAGTTTGTGGCTATTTCAAAAAAATTATTAAAGGTACTATGAATATTCATTTCTCTTGGGTGAAAACATAGGATTGGAGTGGCTGGGTTGTATAGTAGGTATATGCTTAACTTTTAAAGAAACTGACAAGCTGTTTTGAAAATTGATTGCACCATTTTACATTTATTCCAGATGTTCATGAGTATTTCAGTTGCTTCACGTTCTCACCAACATTTGGCATTGTCAGTTTTTTTTCTTTTTTAATCTTAGCCATTCTAAATGGGTAAGTAGTGTATCTCAGTGTGGTTTTAAATTGCATTTCCCTGATCTATTAGTTAGTTCTTGCACTGCTATAAAGAAATACCTGAGACTGGGTAATTTATAAAAAGAAGTGGTTTGATTATGTCATGATTCCACAGGCTGTACAGAAAGCATGATGCTGGCCATCTGCTCGTCTTCTGGGGAGGCCTCAGGAAACTTACAATCATGGTGGAAGGTGAAGGGGGAGACAGAACTTCACATGGCCGGAGCAGGAGTAAGAGAGAGAGGGGAGAGGTGCTACACGCTTTTAAACAACCAGATCTCATGAAAACTCTATCAGAAGAACAGCACTAGGGGGACAGTGTTAAATCATTAAAAACTGCCCCCATGATTCAGTCACCTCCCACGAGGCCTCACCTCCAGCATTGGGGATTACAATTCAACATGTAATTTTGGTAGGGGCACACATCCAAACCATATCTGCTCATGATTAGTGTTTTTGAGCATCTTTTCATATGCTTGTTGGCCATTTTTAAATCATCTTTGGAGAAATGTCTATTTAAGTCCTTTGCCCATTTTTAAAGTGGTGATTAGGGGTTGTTTTTGTTGTTGTTGAGTTAAAAGGGTTCTTTATATGTTCTAGATACTAACTCCTTATCAGATACATGGCTTGCAAATATTTTCTCTCATTCCTTAGGTTGCCTTTTCATTATGTTGGTTGTTTCCATTGCTGTGCAGAAGCTTTTAAGATTGTTGCATTTGTTTATTTTTGCTTTCTTTGCCTGTGCTTCTGGTGTTATATTGAAGAAATCATTTCCCACTTGAATGTCATAAAGATTTTCTCCTAGGAGTTTTATAGTTTCAGGTTTTACATTTAGGTTTTATTCCACTTTGAGTTTATTTTTGTACATCGTATAAAAAAGGGTCTCACTTCATTTTTTTGATTTGCTTTGGCATGTGGATATCCAGTTTTCCCAGCACCATTTGTGAAAAAGGCTATCCTTTTAAGATTGTGTAGTCTTGGCATACTCTTCAAATGTTATTTGAGGGTTTGTTTCCAGGCTCTTTATTCGGTTCTATTGTTTATATGTCTTTCTTTATCAATACAGTACCATACTGTATTGATTACTATAGCTTTAAAATATGTTTTGACATGAGAATGCATGAAGCCTCGAGCTTCTTCTTCCTCAGAATTGTTTTTACTATTCAGAGAACTTTGAGAGCCCACATAAACTTTAATTTTTTTTTCTGCTCCTGTAAAAGAATGCCATTGAGGTTTTGATAGAAATAACATTAAATTTGTGGATCACTTTGGGAATTATGAACATTTTAACAATATTAAACCTTCCAATCCATAAATATGGATTTCTTTTCATTTATCGCTGACTACTTTTTACAGTGTTTTGTAGATTTCAGTATATGTATTTTTACCTCTTTAGTTTACCTAACATATTTTATTGTTTTTGATGCTATTGTAAATGGGATTGTCTTCTTAATTTCCTATTTGGATTATTAATTGTTAGTGTATAAAAACAGGACTGATTTTTGTGCATTGATTATTATATTATCTTGCAACTTTGATGAATTTATTAGTTCTAACAGTGTGCGTGTATCAGTGTGTGTATTGTTTAGGGTTTTCTACATATAAGATCATGTCATCTGCAGAGATAATTTACCTTCTTTCCAATTTGGATGCTGTTTATTTCTTTTTCTTGCCTAATTTTTCTAGTTGGCACTTCCAGTAGTATGTTGAATAGAAATGTTGAGAATGGGCATCCTTGTCTTGTCTTCATGATCTTAGAGGAAACGCTTTTAGCTTTACACCATTGAGTGCAATGTTAGTTGTGGGATTCTCATATATGACCTTTATTATGTCAAGGTATTTTTTTCTATTCTAGTTAGTTATTATCATAAAACATGTATTTATCATCAAAATACATTGAATTGTGTCAAATGTTTCCTCTGCATCAATTGAGGTGATCATATGGTTTCTGTCTTTCATTCTGTTAATGTGGTGTATTACATGGATCTATTTTCATATATTGAAACATCCTTGCATTCCAGGAATACATCCCACTTGGTCCTGATGGCTAATCTTTTTAATATGCTGCTGAATTTGCTTTGCTAGTATTTTGTTGAGGATTTTTGCATTAATATTCATCAGGATTATTGATGTATGTTTTCTATTCTTATATTGTCTTTATCAGATTTTACTATCAGGGTAATGCTGGCCTCATAAAATGAGCTTGAAAAATGTTTCTCTTCAATTTTTTTGGAAGAGTTTGAGAAGTATTTGTGTTATTTCTTTAAATCTTTGGTGAAATTCTTCAGGGACACCATCAGGTCCTGATATTTATGTTGTTGGAAGCTTTTTGATGACTAATTCAATCATCTTACTAGTTATAGATCTATTCAAGTTTTTAATGTCTTCATGACTCAGTATTGATGGGTGGTATGTTTCTAGAAATTAATCCATTTTTTTTTAAGTTACCCAATTTGTTGACATGTAGTTGTCTATGATCATTTTTATTTCTGTGGCATAATCTGTAATGTCTCTTCTTCCACTTCTGATTTTAATTATTTGAGTCTTTTCTCTTTTTCTCTTAGTCTAGCTAAAGATTTGACCGTTTATTGATCTTTTCCAAGTACTAACTCTCAATTTCATTGATTTTTAAATTATTTTTCTATTTTCTATTTCATTTACTTTTGCTCAAATCTTTATTATTTCCCTTTACTTCTGCTTACTTTAGATTTACTTTGTTCTTCTTTCTCTAGATCCTTGAAATGTAAAGTTAGGTTGTTGATTTGTAATCTTTCTTCTTTTCAATGTATGCATTTAACTTCTTTCTTAGTACTGCTTTTGCTGCATCCCATATGTCTTGGTATGCTATATGTTCATTTTCATTTGCCTCAAAATATTTTCTAATTTCCCTTGTAATTTCCTCTTTGACCCATTGGTTGTTCAAGAGTGTGTTGTTTAGTTTCCATATATTTGTGAATTTTTCATTTGTCCTACTGCTGTTTTTAGTTTTATTACATTGTGATCAGAAATGATACTTGGTATGTTTCCATCTTAAATTTGACAAGATCTGTTTTGTGGCCTAACATGTGATCTGGAAGAATGTTCCATGTGTGCCTGAAAAATGTGTATTCTGCTGCTGTTGGTGGGCTGTTAGTTTCAATTTGTCTATAGGGTTGTTTTAGTTCTTTGTTTCCTTATTGATCTTTTGTCTGGTTGTTCTATTCCTTGTTGAGAGCAACATATTGTAGTTTCCTACTGTGATTTATATTACTGCCAGTTTCTCCCTTCAATTCTGTCAAAGTTTGCTTCATATATTTTGGTGCTCTGATGTTAGGAGTATATGTATTTATAATTATTATATCTGCTTAGTGAATTCATCCTTTTATTACTACATAATGTTCTTCTATTTCTCTTATGACACCTTTTGACCTAAAGTCTATTTCATCTGATGCAAGTCTGACCATTTCTGCTCTCTTTTTTGGTAGCCATTTACATGGAATATCTTTTTACTTTCTTTCATATTCAGCCTATGTGTATCCTTAAATTTAAACTGAATCTCTTGTAGGCAGCAGATAATTGGAACTTTCGGGTTTTTGTTGTTATTAAGTCAGTTTAGCCATTTTATGTCATTTGATTGGGTATCTTAATTCATTTACATTAAATTACTAATTTACATTTAGTTATTAACATTGAAGGACTTACTCTTGCTGTTTTATATTTTGTAATCATTAACATAGTTTTATAGTTATATTTTATGTTTTATCTTTTAAATTCCATTCCAAAATTAAAAGTGATTTATGAACCATCAGTACAGTATTACAAGATTCTGTAACTTTTAATAGATTTATCTTTATATAAGAGCTGTGTATTTTTATATGCTTTCACTCTCTTTGTATTTTTATATGCTTTCACTCGTTTTACTCTTGAGCATCCTTTCATTTAAACTTCCAAGACTTTCATTACATTTTTTTAAAACAGGTGTAGTGGTGATGAACTCTCAGATTTTCTTTATCTGGGTAGCTTTTGTTTTACTGGAAAAGTCTCTATTTCTCCTTTATTTTGAGGGTCAGTTTTGCTGAACATAGTATTACTGATTTGTTTGAGAAACCTCCCAAAACAGTGTTATACTTTTTGTTTTCAACAGTAATATTTATTTGAAATAAACTAAGAAAAAATATCTTTTACCTATTCCAATGCTCCTCACTAATTTCTGAAGATTTCCATTTCCCTCTGGTACCATTTTTCTTCAGTCTAAAAAACTTACTTTCACATGTTTTTGTTGTTGTGCAGGTCTGAATTGTGTAAATTCTCTAGACTTCCACTGAAAATGTTTTTGTTTCACTTTAATTCTTGAAACATATTTTTACTGGTTATAGAATTTTTAAGGGGCACGGTTTGTTTTTTTGTCAGAATTTTGAAGGTATTGTTTTGGTGCCCATAGTTTTCAACAAGCTGTTCTCTGTTCTTTGCATGATTGTCCTCTGTATATAATGGGTTGTTTTGCTCTTGTCTCTGGCTGCTCTCAAGACTATTTTCTTCATTTGGTGTTATTTTGGTTTTTCTGTGTGTGTGTGTGTGTGTGTGTGTGTGTGTGTGTGTGTGTGTGTGTGGTATCCCCAGGCATGAGGCTACCACTTCATTCATGCAATTAAAGTGAAGGTCATCATTACTGGAACAGGGTAAAATAATGTTTTACATGATAGGGTAAACATTTCTGATATTTTAGCAAAGATGTGTAACCTCAAGCTAATAATATGGAAATATCAGACAAGCCAAATCAGGAGGCTTTCTAAAATGTAACTGGCCTGTAACCATCCAAAGTTTCAAGGCTATTAAAGTAAAATACACACTGAGGAACTGTTTCAGACTGAAGGAGACAGAAGAGACAAGGCAACTCAATGCAACATGTAATTATAAATTGGGTTCTTTTGCTCTCAAGGTTATTTTTTGGGATAATGAGTGAAAGTTGGATAGGATCTGAGGACTAGATGGTAGTAATATCAGTATAACTTTCTGTTTTTTAATACTGTATCATCGATATAAAGGAGAATGCTTTTATTTTATGAAATGTATACTTAAGATATTCTGAATGATCAGGCTTCAGGTTGACAATTTATTATAATATGGTTTGGGAAAACAGGAAAAAGTCTATTATACTGTTCTTGAAGCTATTCCGTAAGTTAATAATTATTTTGAAGTAACATAAAATAAAAAATAAAAAGTTTTCCATTATCAATAAATAAATTTCATTAAAATAACTAGTACTCTAAATAAAAATGATTGTAATTGGCTCATATTTCTCTCTATATTATTGTATTTAGAAGTATCACACTACATATTTGGGTGAATTCTGATAATTTTGACTAGTAAACAAGTGACCTGATTTTCTCTCCTTTCTGTTTTATGACAAATGAGAATTTTAATTCATTTATTGTGTAGATATCAATTTTCCTTTTGTTATCTAAAATTAGGCAATGTTTTACTTTCCATAAAAATGTGATATATGTCTACACTCTTTTATAGTATATGTTTTACATGGGTTTATTTAGCTGTAGTGCCAATGTAATTTTTGGATACCCTCTGGGCAGGGACATGGTAACTGTAAACATTTTGTGCTCATGCTGTTGTGTGACTGCTGTGGTAGGCAGCAGTTAGCTACTGATATAGTAGGTAGGTAAGATTGCTTTAAACAATTAAGTCTCTAATGCTAATAAAAAATTGTTATTAATTTCAAAATGTAAACCTCACTATATAAATTTAAATTACCATCAGCAAAATCCCTGGTCTCTTAAGTGTATATAGAAATAGAGACATTTTATTAAGTGGGAATAGATTAATATTAATCTGGAAATTGAGTTTGACCTTATATAGATAATCTTAGACAATCTAAATATAAGTTTATTCAACACTTTCTTTCTTCTTTGTTCCTTCCTTCCTTCCTTCCTTCCTTCCTTCCTTCCTTCCTTCCTTCCTTCTTTCTTTCTTTCTTTCCTTCTCTTTCTTTCTCTCTCTCTCTTTTCATTTTTGAGATAGAGTCTCACTCTGTCACCTAGGCTGGAGCACAACGATGCCATCTCAGCTCACTGCAACCTCCACCTCCCAGTTTCAAGCAATTCTCCAGCCTCAGTCTCCCGAACAGCTGGAACTACAGGCACCTGCCACTGTGTTCAGCTAATTTTTTTTTTTTATTTTCAGCAGCGATGGGGTTTTGCCATGTTGGCCAGGCTGGTCTCGAACTCCTGACCTCACATGATCCACCCACCTTGGCCTCCCCAAATGCTGGGATTACAGTCGTGAGCCACCATGCCCGGCCTCTCCTTACTATATTTCATAATGAAAATTATTTAGAATTTCTGCACATAAAACCTAGCAGGCCTTATAAAGATACTTATTTTTGGCTTATTTCCAGAAAGCAGGCTAAAAGCCAGGATAGCCCATGATATCCAGAATCCTCTGTATGCTGGCAGGATGCAGTTTTATCCCTTACTGCCATCTCACAGAAAGTGAGCACAATGCCTAAAGCCAGTTGGTCATGGAGAGGCCAACTACCCAGTGTGCCTAAGTTTAAAACAGTTCAAACCAGAATATTATTATTCAAACTACATATCTTGCTAAAAAGCAGACTGAGGGTTCCTTAAATTAAATGTTTTCTTGAGAAATGAGTGTTTATGACATTGGGTCGAGTTCATGGAGAATCGCTAACCTCCTCCACAAATTACCATTGTTGACACTGAGCTGGATATAATACTATGTTTATAATGAGGCATTCCTTACATTTATAAGTTCTCATTACATCACTGATATTCTCTCTCTTGAAATATTTTTTTCTGGAGAACAGTAATTTTCTTTATCAAGTTTAAGAGAATGATTTCCCATCACTAAATCACTGGACACAAAGATAATTTGTTATTTGCCAACAACAGAATGAGAACATGGGATGAAAAGTGTGCTGCCAATTGTCTTTAAGCCATGTGCCTGTATCCTTAACTAATTTATAAACTTGTCAAAATAGGAGTTAGTGTCTATTATTCATCTTGACCATTGCCCTGAACACCATTTTTCAGTTAATATTGACTGATTTTGTTAGCGATTTTATATAAATGTGATATGATCATCCTTAACCAATACGGAACCTAACCCTTTATTCTGAGGCCAAAGGTTTGAGGAATATAAACCTAAACAATGTTATTGCATTTCTTCCACATTTCTGACAATTAAATTTGCAATTTCTTTTTACTAATTAAGGCTAAATCTTGAATTTTAAGTGATTTCATAGACCCTTGTGTCTTTCCTGATTAGGAGAGCAGGACTGTATTAAGTGTGTTGTTATCGAAAGAACATGGTCCTGGCATGGGGTTTGAGACCAAGAACAGATGTTCCCGATTTATGGGACTCTGACTCATTTTCATACTCTCTCAGAGATTTGTATCTCCTCCAAAAATTTAGGATTAAAAAACCTTTTATGCAAGTTTGTTGTGAGAGCCAGAAATAATTTATCCAAAGTTCTTGGCTCTGACAGATGCCTGAAAAATAAGTTGTCTCTCTTTCACCTTCTTTTCCTTCTCAGTAATATATCCCAATATTATTCCTTTCTCCCCAGATATTTTATTTTGTAAAGTTTTAATCATTGTCATGTTCTCATAGCTCATATCTTTTAAAATATGAAGTCTGAAATTGAACATAAATCTTCAAAAATCTGATGTCATTACTGGATTAATGGCAAGCTTATGGTTACTACCATTTTAATGTTTCCACTGAAATGTTAACATAATTGAGGAACTAATTTTCAACCTTTGGATGGTATTTAGATGATATTTGGAGTAGGCAGACAATGACCTAATTTCTAGGGGTCTACACTATGTGAAATGAAATATATGTACATATATTGTTAAATATGTGTGGATACTATTTCGATTCATATGTAAATTCATTTTATATAATTGAAGTATTATATGATACATAAATATGTAATGTAATGTTTCATATTACAGATTAGAGATGGTCCTCGACTATAATGGTTTGACAGATTATGTTTGACTTAATGATTTTAAACTTTTCGATGGTTTAAAAGTGATATACACTCAGTAGAACATCAATAAATTAAATGAGATATTCGACACTTCACTATAAAATAGGTTTTGTCTGACAAACACGGTGAAACCCCATCTCTACTAAAAATACAGAATTAGCTGGGTGTGGTGGCACATGCCTGTAATCCCAGCTATTTGGGAGGTTGAGGCAGGAGAATCACTTGAACTCAGGAGGCAGAGGTTGCAGGGAGCTGAGATTGTGCCACTGCACTCTAGCCTGGGCAACAAGAGTGAAACTACATCTCAAAAAAAAAAATTGGTTTTGTGTGAGATGATTTTGCTCAACTGTAGGCTAATGTAAGTGTTCCAAGCACGTTTCAGGTAGGCAGGACTAACTATGATGTTCAGTAGGTTAGGTGTACTTGTACCAAATGCACGTTTTACTTGGAATATTTTCAACTTATTATGGGTTTATCAGGATGGCGCCTCATTGTAAGTCAAAGAGCATCTGTATATATATTTCTTGATCAACAGAAACGAATGCTAACTGGTGTCCTAAGGTGTGAACAGGGCCTTTGGATATTTTACATCAAGAAGAGATCCTCATAGAAAAGACGACTAAGATCATTCAAGTTGACCAGTTTTTTTTTTGATTGCTGATAAAGTTATATTAAACGTAGATTTTAAAAATTACCTGATATTTTAAAAAAACACAGCACTTGAAAATGACTGTCCCCTTCCGGTTTAGCTATATTTGCCAATTCTGTGGTTTGGAGACCTGAAGTTGCCTATTCTTGTTTGTCATCTCTTTCCTCAAGAACCCACTCCCAAAGAAAACCAAGAACATAACTACCCACATTTTTACTCTCCTGACGTGAAATCCACAGTTCAGAGAACTGAGTAAAAGGTATGTTTTCATGGTAGAAAGAACTTTCTATGAAAATGCAGCAGGCATGCATGTGTACAGCTGGATTGCTCTGTGCCTTTTGCAGAAATGTTGGTAGGGAAAATTGGAAATATATACCCAAAACAATTAAAGCTCTATTAACCCATAAACTTTCCTTAGAAAAATGTATCTCAAGAAGCCCTCAAACATGTTTATCTGAGAATGGTTATTGCAGCGTTAAATACAAAACAAATCATGGAGCTCTTTAAATACCTCATGATTGGAGAGTGTTAAAAAGCCTGGTTTGCTGACTGCAGAATCCTGGGATAAGGATGATGGGGATTCTTGGGTAAATACTGGGTAAATCCTATTTCTCTCTTACTTTGAGGTCAGTGGGTTATTAATACACATACATACATGTGTGGGTGAACTCACATACACACGTATACAAATACCTACATACATCTATAAAAATGAACCCTTTTTCAAATCTCTTCTGCCCATCTCTGCTGAAAGGCAAAATAGCATTGAGGCATTCCCCACTGTTACTCCCTCTGTTCCTCAACAGATCCTATACCGACATTTGTCTGTCTGTTTTCAATAGGGGTCATGACTTTCTTTCAATCTAAAGGTAATCATTTGTTTTATAAAGTGACTCTTCCCCCAACTTTCTATTTTGATATTTCCCATCTTTGCACATGACAAAATTTCTGTGTCTTTTGCTGGCTGAATTTAGATCTGATTATTAAATTTAAAATGCCACTCTATTTGTGCAACTAACTTCTGTCAATAGGAGTTAAATGCTTCCAGTGTACTCTAACTTTGCCATATTTTTTACATAACATGCATTGTAATCGTATGCCCTTTTTCCACAGTGGTCTAAGAACCCCTGGAAGTCCAAAAATAGGTCTTTTGTATCTATTTCTCCAATGCCTTGCCCAGTCCCAGGAACATAGAGGCTGCTCAGTAAGTTTATTCAGATAAATGAATGAAAGCCATGAATGCAGGTAATTTATATGTCTATTTTATACAAACTAAAATATAGTTGTGCAAGATGTACATACTGTTCTCAAGATGAAAAGCATTAGATATTAATTTTAAGCTTTAGTACATTCCCCCTTCCTGAAACTTTCAATAAAATGAAGAGGAAAAGCTATATAATACTACTTTGAATAACAAAAGACACGTTACTACTATTCAGAAATTTTATTGGTGTTTATTATATGATTTTAGAAAGAAACATCATTCTGCTTTTCTGCCTCTTGTTCCAATTCAGACCTGGTTCCCAGTGCTCTCAATAGCACAGCTTCTCTGATGAAGAAAGGTGCTCTTTGGTCAAGATGAGGTGTGCTGTGTACCAGGTGATGAATGGCCAGCTCACCTGCAACTTTGTGACAGGGAGACAAATGACGTTGTGCCCAGGCTTCATCAATTTCTCTCTAGTATCACAAAAACAAGTTTTCCCTTCATACCCACCTTTGAGAAAAGTTTGAGGGAAAAATAGAAAATTAATTAGCCAAGTTCATGGGTAAAAGAAGGGAGAAAACTAGTCTTTTATTTCTATAAATGAAATCACATGCTGATTTGATACATTAAATATTTTGCAAGATTTTAGCTATTTGTAATTAATTGCACAGGGATACACATTCTGAATAGATTATTCTTAAAATTAAAAAAACTGCTGAATATGTTTTTGTTAGCCTTAGATCATTTAAAACATATCTGCACATTTATAGCAGCAGTGCTACAATTGTATATACAGATAGTCCTTGAAAAATCTGGGAGTTAGGGGCTCTGACCTCTGAACAGTTGAAAATTCATGTATAATTTTGACTCCCCCAAAACTTAACCACTAATAGCCTGCTGTTGACTAGATGCCTTACTGATAACAGAAATAATCAATGAAGACATACGGTCACCTAGGCTGGAGTGCAGTGGTGCCATCACTGCAATCTCAGACTTCTGGGCTCAAGGAATCTTCCCACCTCAGCCTCTCTGTTAGCTGGGACCACAAGTGCCTGCCCCTCTGCCAAGCTAATTTTTTTTTTAATATTTGTTTTTAGAGATGGGATCTTGCTATACTGCCTTTTATATGCTTATAAATTGTGTTCTCACAATAAAGTAAGCTAGAGAAGAGAAAATGGTATAAAAAAACATAAGGAAGGAAAAGTATATTTACTATTTATTAAGGGAAAGTCATATGAAGTCATCATGAAGGCCTTCGTCTTCATCATCTTCAAATGTTGAGTAGGCTTTGAAGGAGGAAGATGAGGAGGGGTTGGTTTTGCTGTCTCAGGGATGGCAGAGGTAAAGAAAATCTTCATAGAAGAGAACTCATGCAGTTCAAACCCATGTTATTCAAGGATCAGCTGTCGTTTGAAAGTATTCAGGTAAACACAAACTCAGTGGCATTGTGGGGGACGTTGTGTCTTGGAAAAGGGGGCTAGACTTGTATTAAGGTGTTAGTTCTCCATAGAAATAGAAAGGTAACAATTTCTTAAGAATTATTTTAAACAATATATGCAACAAAATGGACTTTTGCAGATAATAAATATCCATTTCAGTTGAAACATGATTTTTTTTTTTTTTTTTTTTGAGACGTAGTCTCGCTCTGTTGCCCAGGCTGGAGTGCAGTGGCGCGATCTCGGCTCACTGCAAGCTCTGCCTCCCAGGCTCACGCCATTCTCCTGCCTCAGCCTCCCGAGTAGCTGGGACTACAGGCGCCCGCCACCACGCCCAGCTAATTTTTTGTATTTTTAGTAAAGACGGGGTTTCACCGTGTTAGCCAGGATGGTCTCAGTCTCCTGACCTTGGGATCCGCCCTCCTCAGCCTCCCAAAGTGCTGGGATTACAGGCATGAGCCACCGCGCCCGGCCTGAAACACGATTTTTTTTTAAAGCCAAGATTTGAAAGTAAATTTTTTATATTTTGTTAAAATACATGTAAATCCAAACTGCTAATCTTGAAAAATTCAAAGTCATTGTTTGCAGCTTTACATTTGTTCTTAGGAAAGTATTACCTTAGCATTTTTCCCACAAACTCTGATAGCTTCCCGAAGTCATTTTGAAAAGAATATTTCTTTTTGGGTCATTGTAATACATTACTGCATCAGTTTTTAGTTGAAATTAAAGGTCTTTGTTGCACAACTAAACTTTTTCTAATAATATATTTAATGTGTTTTGTGTATTGTAAGATATTTTTCTGACACAAGCGTTTAAGCTTCTCTTCAATTCTAAGCATCATGAGATAGTTTACATGGTTAAACAACCATGCTGACACCAGTGCAGCTCATTTCAAATGAGATCCATTCCTGCAAGCTGAGTTGAAAGGAAAAGAGATCAGAGAGAAAGTGAGAGAGAGAGAGTGAGAGTGAGACAGACGGTGGGGCGGGGAGAGAGAGAGAGAGAGACCCAAATAAATAAAGGGAGATAATCAAATCTACATCTAACAACATAAGTTTTTTGTTTGATACGTGTTGGGACTAACAAAACAAATGGGTAGGGTTTTAATTGCATGTCTTCCTTAACATAAATATGACTCTGCATAGTTTCATGTGAAATTTGATGAGACCCAGAAAGCTATAGAAAAACCACATGAATTAAATAAAAAACTACGTTTTCTGAAGGGGAAAGGAAAAATGCACACACAAAAAATCTAACAAATATTAGACTCTAAATATGGTGAAGATATGATAATATTTTACATATATTTTACTTATGTAAGTATAATAATCATCCTGATGTGTTTGTACATATTCAAAACCTGATTTTACTGTATCACATTTCAGAAGAAAGAAAATTGAATTAAATAAAAATGCTTTAGCTCAACTTGACTTGCATAGAATTGTAAGAACAATAAGATTTGCATCAAGAATAAATCATGTTTAAAAATTTTGAAAATGATTTTGTTCCTGATAGATTTTATTTACTGACAGCCTCTGAATGCCTTTCAGCTTAAAGAAAGAAAAGAAAAATAATAGATAGAAATGTTAATTCTGCTTTTTCTAAATAATGAAATTCTTGGCAAGTGCTTCAGCAAATGATATCATGAACGGATCCCGTGGCATTGTGGAGTAGATGTTCAACTTCCAAGCTAAGATTCCAGCAAGAGTAAGCCATGTCATTTCAGTTGCCTTCAGTTCCTAATGGTGGCCCACTGGTCTTTTTGTCAAACTGATGAATTATCAAGTCAGCAGAAATTATTAGCTTAACTTTCTGCCCTGTTACTTCAAACCGTATAGAGATATAGTCAAGAGTAAGAAATAAAAATCACACAAGCGAAAAAGAAATTAAGTAAAGCAATGAAAACTTCGCAGTCCTCTAGATAATTTTTTGAAACTCAATGAGCAAAATAATCAGCCCTAATATAAATATGTGCATAAAGGAGTTTAGCCAATTCCGTTTTGGATGAATCAGTTGGGTTAACATAACCACGGTGACAGAAAAAGCAAATTCACCTAAAACGAATAATCTAGGCAACCGAAGAAATAAGGCGTAAACAAACTTTAGCAGTGGCCTCTATATCTTTTTAATATTTGTATTTTAATAATTTTAGAAGTTGAAATTTAAGATCCAAGGCATTTCTTTAGCTACTAATATACTCCGGAATGTTCCTTTCCACATTCTTAGTCTCTCATAATTAACTGGTTTTAGTACTTTTATTCCGTGTTCATATTCACATAAAAAAGTACTTGAGTACATTCAGAAAAACAATTTAAAAATAATACATGAGTTTATACAGTCCTTCCTACTTTTAATATGCCACACAACATCAACAAATCTAAGAAAAATAGAAATAAGGAAAATTAAGTGCAAACATGAGAATGCTTATCATGATATGAAAATAAATGCCATATGCAGAAAAAGGTAGAAAAAGAAAACAAGAGAAAAAGGAAGAAAAAGAAAGCAAGAGGTTTTCTTTTAACGTCCATATAGAGCTTTAACTTTTGCTGTAGTTTATATTTCCTATTGTTTTATCCATTTTGCAGTGAAATGGTCAGTAGAAAATGGCCATAAGTTGAAATTTGCGTTTCGGTAAAAATGACCTTCTACTTGGCTAGCACGCCAATAACTGGAATCTTGAAGCAGCAGTGCTGCGGTGAGCTGGGAGTTTTAGGGGAAATAGTCACTGAAGAAAGTCTGTATTCATAGATCAATGCTCATTACCTGGTCTTCACTGAAGTTGTAAATTTATTTCACTGATCCTTCTCGCCACTGATTCTATGCAACTCTCACCTACCTAAATAGATACAAATCAATGAAATAATTTACTCAAGAGCCCTGCTTAATCTATTTCCATATACTTTATCAAAAACTGAACAGGTTTTCTAACTTTTTCACTGTTATTTCATTCTATAATAATTATAGTGTTAATTAAAATATATATTAATTCAGTTTAATTAATTTTCATAATAAATGTTCCAATTTAAACATTTTCATGTTTAAAATTACTATAGTTTTTTTAAGGAATTCAGAGGCATCAAATATTTATATATATTTTTTGATCTATGAGTGCCTTAAACAACCACTTTGAAGTTGCATCATTATTTCTACTACCACTGTTGATCAATTTACACTTGCTTGTAGAACCACTTCAATTTGTGTAGATGCCTTTAACTTTTGCTTGTCAGTAGTAGCCTTTTGGGAGTGGAAATCGAAAATAGCCAATGCTGTTTATATTAAAAGTCATCAGAGCTCACTTTAGTTCTGTAATATATGTTAAGACTTTCAAACTGTATTGAAAATCTATTGATGGTCAGTCTGCTAGCTTAAGGATGTGAGGTGTTGTTAAAAAAAAAATGTAATTAAGAGATAAGCCAAAGAAATTCAGAAACTCTGAACAACTTCCAGGAGCAGTCCCTATGAGCAAGCCAATCCAGTTTCACTTTGTGAATGAATAGTCATGATAACTAACTACTACTGAGCACCTGTTTTGTCCAGGCACATTTATATTACTTATCTCTTTTAAGCCTCCAATGTTGCCACGAAGTATTCTTCTTGCATGAGGTGTCACGTACAAATACATCATTGACCTCCCTGTGTCACCTGGAGCCAAAGCTCATCCCTAAACCATGGCTTTGCCCTAAGATCCTGTGCCTTTTCTCCACATTAAAAATAAAAATTAAAAATCTATATTTTATTAAAATATTCCCATAGACCCTCTTCTCCTTTACCTCCAAAATATTGAATAACACAGCAAAGTCATGGAACAAAATGTAACATGACAAACGAACTCTGAGACATTCGCTAGATCTTCCTGATCATTTTGATTTTTTCATTTAAGATTGAGTGATTCTACAAATATCTTGGAGTATGAAGAAAATCCATTCAACTCTTCAAGTGTGTCTGAGACCTAGGGATCCCACTGTGCCTCGGAGCCAGCTTGTGTAATTTGTAATCAGAAGATGCTTGAGTTCCATCATTTGCATTACCTACCTGTGTGACCCAGGACAAAATAACCAGGTGATTTTCTTCTGAGTTTAATCTGAATGTCTTGTCTGTGGTAAACATAGCCCTGAAGTACAGTATCTCAAGAATAAAAACCATAGTTCATATTTTGTTTCATGCCTTAAGTTTTATTCCAAGGCTAAGAAGATTATCTATACATTTTCTCATTATTTGGAGAATTTCTAGAATTTGTAGCTGTTTGATAGTTCTTATAAATGTCATGAAGACATTGCTTGAAAACTATACTTAGTTATTTTCCTTCCCCCCCACTGAAAGTCTTTTTATTCATTGTCACCCAATACCTACCTGCTATATTAGGTTTTTTATAAACATTGTTAAAGCTTGGAAGATGGAGATTCTGCCTGTTTCAAAATTGTGATTTATTCATTAATGGAGATATTTTGAGAGTCTGTTTCCCTTGTCAAAGTAGATATGGTTTTTAAATGACCATGCTGCTCTAACTTTGACAAACAAGTAGGATCATTCATCATTATGGTATACATGTGCTGTTATGGACTACATAATGTTTTGGTTGAAGTTTTATTTGCAAGCGATGTGTGTGTGTGTGTGTGTGTGTGTGTGTGTGTGTATGTATATATATCTTTATATCTCTCTAAAGATATGCCATAGTATATAACCCTAACGCCTCATATATGCATATGCACACTTATGAAATTAAATACCTGGCTGGGTGTGGTATCTCACGCCTGTAATCCCAACACTTTGGGAGGCCTAATCGGCGGATCTCCCAAGGTCAGGAGTTCAAGACTAGCCTGGCCAACATGGCGACACCACGTCTCTACTAAAAATACACAAATTAGCCAGGCGTGGTGGCACAAGCCTGTAGTCCCAGCTACTCGAGAGGCTTGAGGCAGGAGAATCGCTTGAACCCAGGAAGTGGAGGTTGCAGTGAGCAGAGATCTTGCCGCTGCATTCCAGCTTGAGCAACAGAGCAAGATGCCATCTCAAAAAACAAACAAACACACAGAAAAGAAATTAAATACCTGACTGCAGTTCTAAATAAATAAAACAAAATGCAGCTTTCAGTTCTGTGTTGATTTAATGCTTTGAGTAGCAGGAAAATTGTAAATGTCTTTGTTACTGAGAAAGAATGTAAATCATGCTTCAGACTGGTTAACGTTTTTGATGTTGTTCAGATATCAAATACCATATGCCAATTCAGGTATTTGGCACATGGGTCTGGCATCCAATTGCTTATTTCATTTATGTTTTTTTCCCCCGGAAAAAAGTATGTACTTATTCATTCATATGAAACCTCCTTTCCCCCTCATTCCCCGACTCTATCCCTCCCTTCTTCCCTCCCTCCCTCACTCCCCTCTTTCCTTCCTTCTTTCCTGTCATTCTTTTGTTTCTGCTATCTGCCTATTTTCTTTTGTTTTAATGACTACAGGTTCTAGTACCTAAGGTACCAATTTATTGGTAAGAAACCAAATTACTTTTTGTAATGATGCCATTTAAAAGAACAACTTTCACTTACTGCCTTGTGAGAGAGGGGAAAAATACTATCTTTTTAATGCAAGAAAAGTTCAATATAACGTATCACCAAATGTAAATGCAATAAAGAATGACATTGAACTCTATGTTATTTGCCATTTAGCTTAGCAGTACCAACATATTCCAGAAACTGAAATTTCTCTATTGCAGATAAAAAGAATAATAAACAGGGAAATCTATGCCATACATTTATGAAACAAATATTGTTTTCTTGGTTTTCAACTTGCTTGCAGAAATAATTATTTTAATATTGTAGTTCATTAGCCAGTATACGGTAGACATCCTCTACAGGAAAAACTAAACAAGATGATGATTACAAAGGAGCAGGGGCTGAACTTATTTGTTCAAAATGAACATATGCACAACCTTAAGCATGCTCAAGTGTGTGCCAGGAAAACTACTACAAAGAATCAACGGATGTAGTGAAATCTGCATCATCAGTGATTGTTTCTGAGCTTGGGAAAGGAGTCGTTGCCTATTTGGATCCTCTGCCTGACCCCAGAAGAAGCTGCTTTGCTTCAACATGTCCAGTGGAAATATTGCGGGAAAGTGGTTACACACTTACACTAATAAATACTAGGCACTGAAATCATTCTCCTGTAATAAGAATAGATGAACATGACAAAGAAAATATTCCGCCAGAATTAGAGACTATTCCAATGCTGGCTGACTTGATGGGGAGAAAGGACTCATTCCCCTTCCCTCCTTACCGTTCCTTCCTCACCTAAATTATCACTTTATATTTACAATGAAGACTGCAGTGTTTCTCCCAACTTTCAAAGCTGTGTTTTTTTTTGGGGGGTGGGGGGCAGTGTGTACCTCTTATGTAAAGCAATGGTGGTTTTAGTTTTCCACCTTTTGGTTGGCATTATCTCCAAACAAACGCTAAAACACGGGTAAGTGGAACCTTCTGATCCTCTTGTCTTTGTAAAGAACTTTAGTCAGTTCAAAATATATTGAGAAAATGAAAACCTATATTTTAAGGAATACTGCTTTTCGTCATTTTGCTAAGTGTTTAGAAAGAATAATTTATTGTCATACCAATAAAAGTGAGTGGAATTTGCACTTGCATTGTCATTTTCCTGCAAGAATGGAAACGCCTATGGCACGGGGAGAAGCAGCATGAGGAACGCTGAAGAGATGGTGAGATGGCACATGGAGTGGCCTTACCACAGCAGAGGTAGATAAAGGTCAGAACAGACTCCTTCCTAGCCATTCCCTTAGAGGTCATCTGAATAAAATCACCCTGTGAGCTCTTCCTCAGGAATCACTTGCAGCCTCAATTCCTCTGCTTCTCGTCCCCCCAGCGCCATTGAAATCTGTATTCCACCATTGGTTGGGATACCAAAGTGCTCATTTCTACAAGTGTTTCACAGTCAACAATTCCATGCAATTAATGTGTCTCCCCCGAGCCATTCACTTCCTCAGCTTGTGTCCCCAGAAAAGCACCATGTTTCCATACACTAAAATATGATGCCTATGTGTATGTATCTGTCCACATGTGAATGTATTTGCATTTGCAGAAAAAAAAATTTTAAAAAAGGAACAAAAACGGGAGAATTTTGCATTTTTGGTGTTTTCTTTTTTTTTGTATTTGCGCAGACCATTTTAAGATTTTCAGTCTCAACAAAACACTATTAAAACAAAGAATCTAGTAAAATATTGTGCATGTACTGCTAAACAATTCTAGCAATTTTATTAAGCAATACCTTTATTATTTTTGAATATTCTTAACAGACTGGAACGAAACATTTTTTTTCAAAACAAAATATGCATACTGTACGCATGTCGCAGGGTTAAGTATGATGCAGAGGTTAAAGTCTGTTTGAACAAAAACAAATGCCCGGGGAAATTTCATAGCTATAAAGTTAATAACTAAATTTTGTTCACTAAGAGGACCTTTTCTATGGATTTCCTTCATCTCTCAGTCACACTGCAAACTTATCTGAAGTGCACTTCCCAAGTGTAGTTAGAGAATAGGAAGGAATGTAAAATTTTTTTTTTAATTATTTGTTTTGTTTGTTTGTTTGTTTTTTTAAAAACAGCCCTTATTAACTCTTCCTTCCACTGATTCTACTGTAAACTCATAAAAGCCTTTTATAGAAAGCAAATTCATGTACACTCAGCAGGTGAAATGTTCCCACAAAGAAAATAAAATACAAACAGTGATCAGACCTCTTTTCCTCAACTACCTAGAGCATGTTAGAGTGATAAAGTTTTTGCACGTTAATAAAAATGGCTGACCTATTTATTTTTTAAAAAAGAAGTTGTTCCTCTGTGATAATGCAGAATTGCATACACTGTATACCTGGAATAATTTTAAACCATATGTTAGGGAAATACTGGAATAAAATTGTGTATATTCTGTATATTGCAGGTGTTTGAGCATTTCTAGTGTCTCTTCCACAACAATAAGGGAGGAAAAGAAGTCCAGATATGTGTCCGCAATCCCTTTGTTTGTTCCCTGTAATTACAATGGCCAAAATGTGCTCCTATATTACTGCAACAGAACAAAAATCACAATGAAAGCCCACCTTCATTGTCAAAAGAAAAACTTCCTCACTCCCCGCATCCTGATTCTAGATAGCTGCTCCTGTCCAACTGGACCAGCAAGAAAGGGCTGGGCCACTTGGGGATGGGAACTGGAGCAATACAGTTCATGATAGTTTTTTTTAATTTTTTCCTTTTATTTTGTTTTCAACATAAAAATGTGTTAACTGTCTGATTCCACCTATTATGGAGAGCACTTGTTTGTTCAGCTAAAAAGGAACTCTTGTCAGGCCCCCTTGGCTCCGCTCTGTTTCTGGTTTGTGCAACAGGGGCTCAGAGGCCCACCAAGCGTGCACACCCATTCACTGTGGTTACACAGACAGAAGCAAGCGGATGTTGTTTGCTTAGGGGACGAGAAGAGGGCGAGGGAAAGGAAAGGCCGGGAAGGGTGTTGTTGGTTCTGTGGGTAGAAGGGAGACTTAGGGATTTTTTTTATTTTTATTTTTTTGTTGTTTTCTTTTTTTTGTCTTTTTTATTTTTTATTCTTTTTTTGTTGTTGTTTTTTGCTATACCATGAGGTCATAGCAATCATTCCTCTAATAGAAGCTGACAGGACATAAAGACAGAACTATCTGATGAACACACACAATGACTAGAAATATATAGAGAGATAGAGACAGTGAAAAGACTTAGTTTACCTCTGAGAAACCATCCCCCAAAATAAATCCTGTATTAACAAGTGCAAAAAATAAACAAACAAATAAACCCAAACCAAAACGAAAGCAAATAAAACCTCCAAACATTAAAACACAGTGTATAAAATGGTGTGAGAAATTTAAAGTCACTTTCCAGCCTTTTAGTCAATAAAAAGCTGTGGTTGTGTCCTTGTTTGGATTCAGGCCCATCTGTTTAAATTTTACCCTAAAGGCCTTGCAATAAGTAATTCGAGGGTAAAAGCACCCAGTTTCTGTTACATGAGACAGCAGTTGCCATTTTTCACGGCGGGCCAGCTGCTGCTGTGGTGACACTCGTCCTTCCGTTACTCCTCATTGGTTGAGTTTTCTTCCAGCGTGTTGATGCCTCCAAAGCTCAGTCCGGCTGTGTTCTGTGCTGCCGAGGCTGTGAGCACTGTGTGTAAGAGAATCAGTACAAGAACACACAGCTTGAGTCTGCTGTTGCACAGTCTTGTTGCTGATGACACTGTGAGCGATGTCCTGTGACAGGAGCCACTTTTCTCTACGGTCCCTTTGGATGGGTTATTTGATTTTTCTTCTCTCCTGACGTCACAGCATTCTGGTTCATCATTGGTTAGAAAGGTTTCATAAAGCCCTGTAGGAAGAAGGAAGTAGAGTGTCAGCAGGAAGGAAATACATTTGCGACATAGTAGAGTGAAGCTGTTGCTTTAACATTCTAACCCACAAAATCTTACAGGCAATTAGACATTTATTTAAAGGAAAATCAAGTCAATGCAATTGGATAAAGAGTCACCCATGGTCTCAAACCAGTATTGTTAGATTCCTCAAGTTGTTCTTTTATATTCCTGCCAGTCATACCATGAAAGTTCTGGGTTGTTGGGAATACAGAATAGAAGATTTCATTAAGTCAAAATCAGAACTTGAGGTTCCGGATCAACTTGGATATCAAGTACATGCAGTCATCCTTTCTTCTTTCACAGGAATGTGACCAATTGATGCACTGCGTAAACTGACATTAGCTAGTTATGCTGAGTGAAATAAGCAACAGATCATAACGTCATAGCTCTAGGAACCATGTTATCATCGTTTCCTCTCAGAAGCCTCATCAAGTCTTCTCTCCCCCTCTCTGGGAGAATGGGCAAAACCATCTATATGTCCAGTGGGTGATCGGGTCATTTTGATTTATTTTCTAAACATTTCTCTTATTTTTCTCCATTTTCTCCATTTGCTTTCTACAGAAGTCTGCCTCAGTTGAGGCTTCATTATCTTTTGCTGGGACCATCACAGAAGGAGTCTCTCTGCTGTTCATCTTCTCATTTGATCTGTCCTCCAATTGTGCCTATCAGGAATTGTCTGTCTCTCTCCGCTTCTCTTGTTCTCTCTTCACTTTCTTCCTCCTTGCTGAAACTCTTCCTTCCCTTTTTGTCTTCTTCCTCTGATAACACACATTGTTCTTATTTTAAAATTGACAGATGCATATTTTAAAACTTTGGAAGTGGTGAAAAGAATAAAACAACTGTGTATCTACAATCTTTCCAATCCTTTACCTTGCTGTATTACATAGAATATTTTTATGCAAGCTATATAAGTCATAGTGTATTTTTTTTCTACTTGACTGAACCATTTATCCATGGGTGTTAGAATGAACTTTCTACACAAATTTTGTCATATTAATGTCATGCATGAAAAACTTAAAAATGGGGATAATAGTAGAGTTGTTGTAAGGATTACATGAGATTTTTCATGTCACATGCTTGGTTCAGTGCCTAGCACATAGAAATAACATGAAAATTTGGGCTGCTGTGAAAAACAATAGTTATCAATGGTATCTCATTGCTTCAACCTAAACAATAAAATCTAAAGGTCTCTCCTCTCTCTCCAGGCTCACTGCTCAATGTTCCCGCAATCCTGAAGCATTGGCTCTTCCCAGAGCACCCAAGCCTGTATCACTCGCCAAGCTACTGTTTCTTCCTAAAATGTCCTCCACCAATTCCTCTACATACTTCTCATTTATCCTTCAAATGCGGTTCAAGTGAAACTCCCTGTATGAAGCTTGTACTCATACCCCTGGGCTATTAGCATTTTGCTTAACTCTTAATTATAGCAATTATTCTTATTTTTCTTGTAATCACAATTGCTCATTTTAATTTCAATTTTCTTACTTATCTGTCAATTTAAAAGCATAAACTATACATTCTTAGTTTTGTATTCCCAATATGTAGCAGAATGCCTGAGCAGAATACTTAATAAGCATTTATTGCATGAATAAACTCAGTATACCTATTTATTTAATTAAAAATAATCTCAAATAATATACACTTCAATCTTCATTTTCTTTTAAAGAAATGAACAAGATATCCTTATAATGATGCTTACAATATTCATTTCTTCTTAGGCATTCAAAGGTAAACTTCACCTTCGCCTAGGTAGAATATAAAAAAAAACTGAATTAATGAGGTCTTCAGCTCTGACATTTTTATTGTATGATATTTTCTTTTTTCATATAAGATATCTCACTGCTAGACTAATCATTTATTGAAATATACGTTTCCAATACTACATTCTACAACAAAAGGAGTTTACAATAAGATTATAAAAATAGAAATCTAGAAGTCCTTTAGATCAACATTTTAGAATGCTAATAATCAGAATATATTTAACAATGTTAGGTAAATAAGAAGCTCTTCCAAACTTGCTCAGAAACTGGTTTGCTGATCTACAACTACAGTCATCGCAGAAAAAAAAATGGAAGCAGTTCATTCAGGCCAATAAATGAACCCTTCTTTTTGTCTGGCACAATTAATATTCTTTCTTTTTTCTCTCCTGTCCATCTTTTTAACAAGTTTTTACTCAAATTTATGAATAACATGCATCTATATTAAGATAAAATAATTCCACAGAGTATTTTACAAAATAACAAAAAAAATCCTCCACCTCCCACATCTCAAATTCTTCTTTCTCAAAGGCAAATATTTGCATATCTTTCAGCTGCTTTGTATTTAGCTGCATTTCTGAGAATAACATGTTTTATGCTCTTCTTGATTTTTCATTTTTAGCATTATCTGTAGATTCCCCTCAGGAAGTGTGGAGATAAAACATTTATTCTCCTCCTCCCTCCAGCAAACATGCTTCCCCCCAAACCCTCACCCATTCCTCCATAAATAGTAACTTTGATACCTGCTGTTCCATTTACAGTATAAGGATGACATAAATGTAATTCTTAGCTCAACCATGTAGTAAAGTCCAATTTTCTATCCCTATACCACTTCGTTTTTTTTTCTACAGATAATACTTGTCTTGTTATTTTCCCTCTTCTAACTCATTCAACCCAAATGCATTGCCAGTTCTTTCAGCTGCATGAAGTGTTCTATCAGTTCTTTTCTGAAGAAATATCTCCTGCAGCCTCCCACCATCTGGACTGGTTGCCGTCATGCCTGATGAGTCTCCACTGCTCCGTGCACTGCAGTGCTGGATCCCCTGTTCCCTGTATCCTGTGCCTCGTCCCCTTCTTTCTCCTTTTGAGGGTTTACAACCTCTAGTGTCTTCAGTAGGAAAAGCTCATGAGGGCGAATTTCCAAGATGCCATATGCCTTAAAGTGTGTTTATTCTACCTCATATTTAATTGATTGTTTGGCTGGGTATGGAATTCTAATTTAGAAATGATCGTTCTTCAGATTTATTCAAGCACTGGTCCTATGTTTGGCTGTTGGACCTTCAGAACTTGTCCTTTAATTTTCTTACCTCTGCTGTTAATATTTCATATTACTTCATCCCTTAACTCTGCTTTCAGGGAATTTGGTGAGTTTTCACGTGACATAATTTCACTGAATTTTGCTTTTTTCCCTAGGATCAAGTTCCAAGAGCTCCTTTGTGTTATCCGAATGTTGCTTTTCGAAGCAACTGTTCTTATTTTATGGTTACCATGTTTATGTTTTTCTCACTCTGAGATATTTGGGGTACGCTTATTTGTTGTGTTTCATTCCCTCCCTGAATAAATTCCCTCCATTTTCTCTGTGTTGCCACCCTTTTGTGTTTGTTTGTCCCTTGTTCTTCTCATGGAAACACCATGCATTCCTAGTTGTCTGCACAAAATAACAAGCACAGGAAGTCTGGGCACCTAAGGAGGGCTGCGGCCTGTGAGCTGCACGTGAGATGACATGCCTGAACTGTTAGAATGGAGAAACTTTTATTTTTATTTATTTATTTATTTATTTTTTTTTTTGAGACAGAGTCTCGCTCTGTCGCCAGGCTGGAGCTCGGTGGTGCAATCTCAGCTCACTGCAAGCTCTGCCTCCCGGGTTCAAGTGATTCACCTGCCTCAGCCTCCCCAGTAGCTGGAACTACAGGCTCCCGCCAACACACCTGGCTAATTTTTTGTATTTTTAGTAGAGACAGGGTTTCACCATGTTGGCCAGGATGGTCTTGATCTCTTGACCTCGTGATCCACCCGCCTCGGCCTCCCAGAGTGCTGGGAATACAGGCTTGAGCCACCGTGCCCGGCCAGGATGGAGGAACTTTTGAAATTCTGTCTTTAGGTTGATCAGACTTCCCAGAAAAGTCTATCCAATATCCATCCAGGAAGCAGAAGGCCAGGGAGCAGGAGGGAGAAGCAGGATGTGGCTGGGGGAGTCTCAGCTTCAGGGTGGAGTTGTGCATGGAATCCTGGTGGTCAGAGTGGTCCCCCGCCCTGAACTCCTCCTACTGTTGCTCAGATCAACAATCTTTTCTTTTTCTTTTTCTTTTTTTTTTGAGACGGAGTCTCGCTCTGTCGCCCAGGCTGGAGTGCAGCGGCGCGATCTCGGCTCACTGCAAGCTCCGCCTCCCGGGTTCACGCCATTCTCCTGCCTCAGCCTCCCGAGTAGCTGGGACTACAGGCGCCCGCCACGACGCCCGGCTAACTTTTTTTTTTTGTATTTTTAGTAGAGACGGGGTTTCATCGTGTTAGCCAGGATGTTCTCGATCTCCTGACCTCGTGATCTGCCCGCCTCGGCCTCCCAAAGTGCTGGGATTACAGGCGTGAGCCATCGCGCCCGGCCCAACCTTTTCTTTATCATCTCAAAAAGAAAAAGTTCCCTCCAGGAAGAAATATGCCCCCAGTCTCTGGGATGGGAGTAGGGAATGGGATTTGGGGACCTGACTGCCTCTTAAAACTGACTTCCACCCAGTCTTCCTTATTTTGCTCTTTCTTCCATTGCATCTCGTGTTGTCAATACCTGACTCTGGATGTAAATCGAACTGACTCTGTTTCCTCTCTGCTACTTCATATTACTTTTTCTAAGTTTCAGCAAATCTGTTAGCATGCATCAACTTTCTAATTTCTAAGAGGTTTTGATTATTGTCTCCTTACCTATTCTTTGATTCTTTTGGATTTATGCCATAAAACAATGTCTTTTTGGTTGGGACTGCCTAGAAAATTTTCCAGCTCTTTTTTCTACATCATTCTTCTCTGACTTGAATTCTGACAGATGCCTTTTTCTCTGTCAAATGCATTTCTGAATAAGCAAGGACATGCAGCCTTCTAAGGCCATTATTTCTTTGCCTTATATAGAGTCAGTAGGTCACATAAGCAGATCAATGACACCCTTGGGACCTGGGGGCACAGACTCCTCCAGTTGGCAGTGCTACCTACAGATGGTTTCACCCTGCATTCCTCCCGGACACTGCCCTTGGTTGAAGTTAGCAGTCTTGACCTATTTCTCAGGCCCTAGGCAGCCTCCTAACGATGTACAGGTCCCAAGGCTGGGTCCACTTGACTCAAGTCAAGGCATCTCTCAAGGGCCATCCCAGCTTCAGATTTTTTTCCCTCTACCAAATTTCTCCTTCTTCACCCCCTCATAGGTAGCATGCCTGAGAGTTCTCCCGCAAAAACCACCTGCACACAACCTGCTGGGACAAATTTCCTAGGAAAGCCTACCTACAGAAATGACCTTTTCCTCAGCATTGAAGAAATTATAAAAACATATTTCCAAACAAAAATAATTTCTCAAACAAGAACCTCCTTGCACAAACAAGTACAATTGCACTAATTAGCATTAGGAAAAAACAAAAGCAAATTTTCCGGGTAGTGAAATGTTGTTCTGATATATTTTGCTTATAAGCTGTTCTATTTGAAATCTCTAGTGAATCATTACCTGCTGTTTGACATTACAGTACCAACCTCACAGTTTTTTTTTTTTTTTTTTTTTTTGAGAATTAAATAATACACATGGGCTGGATGCGGTGGCTCATGCCTGTAATCCCAGCACTTTGGGAGGTCGAGGCAGGCAGATCACGAGGTCAGGAGATCGAGACCATCCTGGCTAACACGGTGAAACCCCATCTCTACTAAAAATACAAAAAATTAGCCAGGCGTGGTGGCGGGCGCCTGTAGTCCCAGCTGCTCAGGAGGCTGAGGCAGGAGAATGGCGTGAACCCGGGAGGCGGAGCTTGCAGTGAGCCGAGATGGCGCCACTGCACTCCAGCCTGGGCAACAGAGTGAGACTCCATCTCAAAAAAAAATTAAAAAAAAATAATAATACGCATAAATTGTTTAGACCAGTGCATGGCAGGTAAGAAAATCTCAAATAATATTAATTACTCATGTTGTAAGTAGAGATAAATACTAAAATCAGAATTCATTATCAGGGGAATTCCTACCTAGAGGAATCAGGCAAGAGAAAGAAGAGCATTCAATTTGACTTATTGGAAAAGAATAAGTCAAATTATTCTTTGCTGCAGATGATATAATTTTGTTTGTTTTTAAATTTATTTAAATTTATTTTTATTTTTCTTATATTAATTATCATCCAGCCCCAAATGTCATAATTTCATATATGGGAAAAACTAAAAACTCCACCAAAAAACTGTTAGAACTAATAAACAAATTCAGTAAAGTTACAGGATACAACATCAACATACAAAAATCGGTAACATTTCTATATGTCAACAGTGAAAAATCTGAAAAAGAAATAAAGAAAGTTATCCCATTTATGATAGCTACAAATAAAAGAAAATATCTATGACTTAACTAAAAAAGTGAAAGATCTCTACAGTAAAAACTATGCAACATTGATGAAAGAAAGAGGACACAAAAAAATGGAAAGATATTCCATGTTCATGGATTGGAAGAATCAGTATTGTTAAAATGTCCATACTACCCAAAGCAAGCTACAGATTCAATGCAATCCCTATAAAAAAATTAGGTTGGTGCAGAAGTAATTGCAGTAATACCAATAATGTTCTTCACAGAAATAGAACAAATAATTCTAAAATTTATATGGAACCACAAAAGGCCCAGAATAGCCAAAGTTATCCTTAGCAAAAAGAACAAAACTAGAGGAATAACATTATCTGACTTCAAATTGTACTGCAGAGGTACAGTCACCAAAACAGCATGATATTAACATACAAAGACACATAGACCAATGGAACAGAATAGAGAACCCAAAAACAAATCCACACATCTACAGTGAAGTCATTTTCGACAAAGGTGGCAAATACATATGTTGGGGGAAAGGACAGACTCTTCAATAAATGGTGCCAGGAAAACTAGATATCCATATGCAGAAGAATGAAACTAGACTCCTATTTCTTGCCATATACGAAAATCAAATCAAAGTGTTTTAAAGACTTAAGGGGCCAGGTGCTATGGATCACACTTGTAACCCTAGCACTTTGGGAGTCCAAGGCAGATGGATCATTTGAGGCCAGGAGTGTGAGACCACCCTGGCCAACATGGTGAAACCTCATCTCTACTAAAAATGCAAAAATTAGCTGTGCATGGTGGCAAGCCTGTAATCCCAGCTATGGGGAGCCTGAGGCAGGAGAATCGCTTGAACCCAGGAGGCAGAGGTTGCAGTGAGTCGAGATTGTGCCACTGCACTCCAGCCTGGGCGACAGAGCAAGACTGTCTCAAAAAAAAAAAGATGACTTAAAGACTTAAATCTAATATCTCAAACTACGAAATTACTAAAAGAAAACACTAGGGAAAGTCTCCAGGATGTTGCTCTAGGCAAAAATTTCTTGAGTAATACTCTACAAGCACAGGCAACCAAAGCAAAAATGGACAAATGAGATCACACCAAGTTAAAACGTTTCTGCATAGCAAAGAAAATAATCAACAAAACGAAGAGACAGCCCACAGAATGGAAGAAAACATTTGAAGAATACTCATTTGGAAAGGGCTTAATAAGCAGAATACATAAGGGGCTGAAACAATTCCACAGGAAAACATCTAATAATTCAATTTAAAAATTGGCAAAAGATCTGAATAGACATTTCTCAAAAGGAGACATACAAATGGCAAACAGGTATATGAAGAAGTGCTCAACACAATTGATCATCAGAGAAATGCAAATCAAAGCTACAATGAAATATCATCTCACCACAGTTAAAATGGCTTTTATCCAAAACACAGGCAATAACAAATGCTGGTGAGGTTGTGGGGAAAAGGGAACACTGTTTGTGGGAATGAAAAGTAGTACAGTCACTATGGAGAAAAGTATGGAGGTTCCTCAGAAAACTAAAAATAGGCCAGGCACGGTGGCTCACGCACCTAATCCCAGCACTTTGGCAGGCCAAGGCGGGCGGATCACGAGGTCAGGAGATCAAGACCATTCTGGTTTACACCGTGAAACCCCGTCTCTACTAAAAATACAAAAAAAATTAGCCGGGCGTGGTGGCGGGTGCCTGTAGTCGCAGCTACTCGGGAGGCTGAGTCAGGAGAATGGCGTGAACCCAGGAGGCGGAGCTTGCAGTGAGCCGCGATCCCGCCACTGCACTCCAGCCTGGGTCACAGAGTGAGACTCTGTCTCAAAAAACAAACAAAAAAAAAAAACAAAAAATAGAGCTACCATATGATCCATCAATCCTAGTGCTAGTTTTATGTCCACAGAAAGGAGATCAGGATACGGAAGAGATACCTGCACTCCCACGTTTATTGTGGCACTATTCGCAATAGCCAAGATTTGGAAGCAACCTAAGCATCCATTGACAGATAAATGGGTAGAGAAAATGTGGTACATATACTTCATGGAGTACTATTCAGCCATAAAAAGGAATGAGATCCTGGTCATTTACAACAATATAGATGGAAATGGAGGTCATTATGTTAAGTGAAATAAGCCAGGCACAGAAAGAAAAACTTTGTATGTTCTCGCCTACTTGTGAGACCTAAAAAATTAAAACGATTGAACTCATGGAGATAGAAAATAGAATAATGTTTACTATAGGCTGGGAAGGGTAGTGGGGGGTTGGTAGTGGGGATGGCTAATGAGTGCAAAAATATAGTTAGATAGAATGAGTATGATCTAGTATTTGTTAATACAACAGGGTAACTACAGTCAACAATGATGTATTGTACAGTTTAACTAAAAGAGTATAATTGGATTGTTTGTAACATAAAGAAAGAATAAATACTTGAGGGGGTGGGTACCCCATTTACCCTGATGTGTTTATTACACATCTTATGCCTGTATCAAGATATCTCAATAATGTTATACCTATTATGTACCCACAAAAGTTAAAAATGTTTTGAAAACTAAAAAAAAAAAAAAACCACAGCAGAATATTTTCTGAGTTCTAGAGGCTGGAAGTCTGAGATCAAGGTGTGGGCAGGGCTATGCTCCCTCTGGGGCTCAAGGGGAGGATTCTTCCTGGGCCCTTCCCAGTCACTGGTGGCTACCACCTATTCCTGGAGCTTCTTGGCTGGCAGGCATCATTCCAGCTGCTGCTTCTGTCCCCACGTGGCCTTCCCTACATGTCTCGGTGTCTTTGCTGTTCTTATAACGCACCAGCATATTGGATCCCAGGCCCACCGCAATCTAGTATGGCCTCATTTTAACTTAATGAATTCCATGTACAAAGACTCTATTTTCAAATAAGCTCATATTTTGAGGATACCCCATTTAGCCTGATGAGATTATTATGCATTATATGCTTGTATCAAAATATCTCATGTACCCCATAAATATACAGACCTACTATGTATCCACAAAACTTTAAAAATAAAATATAGAACAGAATTTAAAGAACATCTATTTTAAATCATTTTTTTGTTTTCCAATTAGTCAAAGCCACTTACCAAAAAGTCCTCATTTTTCACAGCTCAAAACAATTATTCAAGTATAGGCATTACAAATACTATGTAAGCACAAGAAAGTCAATAAAGTTCCTTTATTCTAAGGAAATCTTAAGGAATCTGAGGGATAAATATTTTCGTTATATCTAAGGAATAAATATTTTCTAAGGAAATCCTTAGAATAAAACATGGCATTATTTAAGTACGATCTTTATCTCAGTAATTTACATTTTGACATAGAGTCCAAGAATATATGAGACAAAATTTTCAAATGTTTAAATTAGTAATGCACTTTAAAATTATAAAATAATTCTGATTGCTGAAGCTTAGAAAACAGTAACATAGTCTTTTTCATCTGAAAAAAGAAGAAACTACTGCAATTTGTTTTCTCAATCTTTTTTATTAATGTGAAGATGCATATATATACACACACACTACATGCATATAATTTGTGAATCTCATATATAAAAATATATTTAATGTGAAATTGTAGCTACTTTGCTGTTCTTTGACTTTCCAGTATTTATTTTACATCTGGCATGTTTATTATCAAGTGAGATTATATAAAAATATATATAGTGATAGTTTTAGAAAGAGCAATTTTTAAGTATTTTAACCGTCTAGGATAGTTTATATGGCGTGAAATTTATAAAGCATTGTGGATAATGTTTCCTAAAGGTAATTTTCAAACTTTTTCAATTTCTTTCATGTTTATTTATCTGTCATGGTTACTTTGCGTCAATTTTGATAGTTCATATTCTCTAAAAATAGCTTGTTTATAGGATTAGATTATTATAGAGTTGTGTATAATATTGTCTCATTTTAAAACCCTTAATTTGTCTAGATTCTCTTCCTCATTGTTAACATTTTATTTCTATTTTATCTTTATTTTCATCCTTGATTAGACTTGAAAGGTTTCTTAGTTTTATTTGTATTATCAAAGATACAACTCTTGAACATATCAGTACCTATTCTGTTTGTTAGTGAATTGGTATCTTTATTTATGTGAATTCTTCATCTTTCGTTTAATTTTCTTTTACTATTCTCTTTGTAACAATATTGAATTGAATGCCACTTTACTCAGTTAAATTGAGTAAAATATTCTTAAAAATAAAACACTTACTGCTCTAAATGTATTCTTAAAAATAAAACACTTACTGATCTAAATTTCCATTTGATAATAGCTTTAGCCAATTCTCTTATGTACGTATTTTGTAATTGTATTTTATATTATCTTTTGTACTTAAATTACTTGAGTGCTTTTTTGCTGTGTTTTGTTTTAGTTTTGTTTGATACATTTTATAGAGTACTTTTATAACTTATTTTTCATTATATTAAGTTCAACAATGTGATCTTTAGAAAGTTTTTTTTTCAATTGTTTTCCTTGTGTCTTACTATATAGACTTTTTTTTTTTTTGCAAATGTTAGTATTGGATAACCATGCTTAATCGCTATTTTAATGTATTTTTCCCTATTTAAAAGTCATCAAATGAGACATGTATGTTTTACAAATGTTTCTAATTATTTTGCTTTAAATATTTTGTTATTATGTCTGTAGGCACAGAAAGTTCATAAACACATTTCACTAGACATTCATCACTAAACTAGGAAAAATATGACATTCTTTGTCGTTATAAAGTGCAATTATTGGTTTATATTTGTTGAGGTTTTTGTTATTGTTTTATTGTGATTTTGAATGTATTTTGTTTGGCTTTCTAGTAATCTCTATACATACTAGCATGCTTGTCTGATATATCTTTGTCCATTATTTTAATTTTTTAAATTTTTTTCCATAATTTTTCTTTATACTTTTCTCTGTATCACATTCTTTATCTAAGAGTTTCACAATGATTGAAAAGGACAACCCAACTCACTTGCTCTTACTGTCAGCTCTGAGTGCTTGTCCCTACTTTCGTCATCGCCTAATCACATTTTTAAATATCTGAAAATGTTTCTTTACCATTCCTTTTGTTTTCTGTCATTTGCAATATGAGCATATTTATTTATTTATTTATGCTGTGTGTGTGTGTGTGTGTGTGTGTCCGTGTGTGTGTGTGTGTGTGTTGGTTTGTTTGTTTTGAGACAGGGTCTGGCTCTGTCACTCAGGCTGGAGTGCAGTGGCATGATCTTGGCTCACACTGCAGCCTTTAGCTTCCAGGCCCAAGTGATCCTCCTGCCTCAGCCTCTCTCAAGTAGCTGGGCCTACAGGTGAATGCCACCACGCCTGGCTAATTTTGTATTTTTTGTAGAAGTGGGGTCTACGTTGCCCAGGCTGGTCTCAAACTTCCGGGCTCAAGTGATCTGCCCACCTTGGCCTCACAAAGTGCTGGGATTACAGGTGTAAGTCACCACACTCGGCCCTATGTGACCATACTTAAATGTATATTTTTTCATAATTTGTGAAATTCATGCTGTTATTAATTCTATTAGAACTTATCCTTTAAAAAATCGCACACACTTGAACTTATATTTGTCTACTTAATGAAGATCATTAATGAGAAAATTGACGAAGTTTTACTTTCTTCAACAAATCCCTCACCACTTTTTGGCTACAATCAGATGTTTCAAATCTATTTATTTTCAAATTATTAACATTTCATATATTCCCTCCATCCCATTTTGTTTTATTTCTGTCTTATTTGGGGGTGATTGGGTTGTATTGAACAGAAATTCACTGGAGCTAATTTAGGCAAACAAAATAAAAACGGGGGATGGCAGGAATATTAGAAACATCCAAGTCTATTTTATGAAATCCAAGGGCAGAGTTATTTTTGCTCCAACATGAAGAGCAAAATTAAGGTATTGTATGGCCATGAGAAAGGAGTGCTCCACCTCGGTGGAGAGGTGTGATTCATCCCTGCTTCCTGCCACGTGCCTCCCTCGCCATCTCCCACTTGGCAGGCAAGGCCTTGCTGCTTTCCATCCATATCCGCCATACAGCAGGGAAGACTGGAATTGTGGATTTGCTGGGTCCCAGCGACACACCCCTGGGGGAACAAGTCCAGTTGGCTTGCTTCTCTTGTCCATGCCAGTCCAACCCTCCATGCCAGGGAGGGATTCTCACAGCTGGCAGTGCACACGTTGGTCTACTCTCCTTGAAAGAAAAATCTGAACATTAAAAAGTTAGGAAACAACAGATGCTAGAGAGGATGTGGGGAAATAGGAACACTTTTATACTGTTGGCGGGAATGTAAATTAGTTCACCCATTGTGAAAGATAGTGTGGCTATTCCTTAAGGATCTAGAACTAGAAATACCATTTGACTCAGCAATCCCATTACTGGGTATATACCCAAAGGATCATAAATCATTCTACTATAAAGACACATGCACATGTATGTTTATTGCGGCACTGTTCACAATAGCAAAGATGTGGAACCAACCCAAATGGCCCTCAGTGATAGGCTGGATAAAGAAAATGTCGCACATATACACCATGGAATACTATGCAGCCATAAAAAAGGATGAGTTCATGTCCTTTGCAGGGACATGGATGAAGCTGGAAACCATCATTCACAGCAAACTAACACAGGACCAGAAAACCAAACAACGCATGTTCTCACTCATAAGTGGAAGTTGAACAATGAGAACACATGGGCACAGAGAGGGTAGCTTCACACACCAGGGCCTGTCGAGGGGAGGAGGGCTGGGGGAGGGATAGCATTAGGAGAAATACCTAATGTAGATGACGTTTTTCCAACAAATTTTTCCAACTTTACCACTGTCTGGTTTCAACACCACTTGCATATTTTCTATTTTCTTTTTCTTTTTTTTTTTATTTTCTTTTTGAGACAGAGTCTCACTCTGTTGCCGGGCTGGAGTGCAGTGGCATGATCATGGCTCACGGCAACCTCTGCCTCTCAGGTTCAAGGTTCAGGTGGTTGATGGGTGCAGCAAACCACCATGGCACGTATATATCTATGTAACAAACCTGCACGTTCTGCACATGTACCCCAGAACTTAAAAGTGTAATAAAAAAAAAAAAGAGAAATCTGACATCCGTGTTTTTCTTCTCAGACAAATATATTTCTCCCTGTTGTAGCTGGTAGGATATTTTATTTATTCACAAAATTCAAGAATGTTAGAAGTTGATCTAATTTCTTTAATTTTGCCTGAACGGAGAAAACCATTTTAATGCGCCGATGGAAAGGTAGTCCCTATTGCTTTATTTCCTCCTTCAGTTTTGCTTTGTGTGTTTCAGTTTATTACATTCCCTCTGATCATTTTTATATTCTTAGTCTCTGCCTTGGACTTAGTCTCTGTTTTCCGGAGAGCTCTTCAAGACTGTCCTCCACTTTGCTTTTCTAGGTCCCTATGATTGAAACTGTATGTGTATAACATATTTGCATGTTTTCCTTTTGCAATTTTTCCCCATTGCATTGCAATATTTTCTTTTTCTATCTAAATTCATTTTCATGTTTTCCTGCATCCTAGCTAAATTCCGTTTCACTCTTCTTCCCTAGTTTAAAGGGCCTTTTTGTCCTCAAATTGTATTGAGAGCTGATGCTATCTAAAACTACTCCTGTAGTAATTTGTCTCAAATATATGCTATTATTTTGTTTCTGAATTCCTGTTTTCCTTTTTTATGTCAAGTATATTTTATTAGCATCCATATTTAATTTTCTGTGTTTTATAGGTTACACTGAGTCTCCAAAACGATATGTTAAAGTCTCAACCCCGAATACCTCAGAATGGGACCTTATTTGGAAATAGGGTCTTTACAGAGATAACCAAGTAAGAATGAGGTCATTAGGGGTTCCTTAATCCAGTAAGACATATGTCCTAATAAAAAAGAAAAGATGTGGACACAAAGACAGGGAAACACAGAGGGAAGATGATGTCAGAGACATACAGAGAAGGCCGTGTGACAGCAGAGGATTAGAGCAGCGCAACTACAGGTCAAGGAGTGCCAAAGATTGCTGACCACCTCCAGAGGCTGAGAGGCCTCCAGAACAGATGCCCCGCATAGCCTCAGGGGAACCTATCCTGCTGACATCTTGACCTCAGGCTTCTAGCCCTCCAGAACTATAAGAAAATACATGTCTACTTGGTTAATCTATCTAGTTTGTGGTACTTTGTTACAATGGTGCTGGGAAACGAATATACTGCATATTCATCTTAGAACAGAGATGTTTATCTATTTGCCTCCAGAACAGTGCGTGTTATTCCCCCCACCCCCGCCCCTCCCTGCATGCCTCTCTCTCTCTCTTTCTATTTTTGACACCTCACTTCCCCTGTGGATACTATTCAGAGTGCTAAGAGATCTAGTGTTCTGGGTTATCCTACTCCAGTTAGTTCTCTTCCTCTGAGTTTCTGTCTGTGTTACATTTCATATTAGAGATGATGGGGTCTTATTTGTACCCATCAATATCACCAATATTGAGGTCCTATGTTGCCCTCTTTCTCCAATAACTCTTTTGTTTGACTAGCATAAAACTTTAAATACTTTTTCAGATGGGATATATGAAACATAAACTTTCCACCATGTATATATTTATTTATTTTTTTAAATTAGCTTTTAAAAAACTTAGTTCTCTTATTCAAAAGATATTTTGCCTAGGTATAGGATTCCAGATTCACAATCTCCTTTTGCATTTCACTATAAGCAGCAAGAATCAATCAGGTTATACCTTCAACACTTTGCTGAGCAGTCTCCTCAGCTAAGTAGCTGAGTTTATCACTTACAATGTCCACTTCTTTCTGGAGTTTCATTTACCTGTGGCCAACCACAGTCCAAAAATGTTAGATGCAAAATTCCAGAAATAAACAATCCATGAATTCTAAATTACATGCTGTTCTGAGTAGTGCGAAAAAAGATCTTATGCCATCCTGCTCCATTTTGGCCAGGAAGTGAATCATCCATTAGTCCAGCATGTCCACACTGTATATACCAACCTCCTGTTAGTCACTTAGTAGCTGTTTTGGTTATCAGACTGAAAAAATATAGTATACAAAGGGCTTGGTACTAACTATACATAGCGTTTGACGGGGTTTAGTATCCACCGGGGGATGCTGTAATGTATCCCACACAGATGAGAGGGGACTACTGTATCTGTGAACTGCCTGTTCAAGGTGATCTGGACTTTTTCTATCATGCTCCACTAAATTTTTCCAACTTTACCACTGTCTGGTTTCAACACCACTTGCATATTTTCTATTTATTTATTTATTTATTTTTGAGACAGAGTCTCGCTCTGTCGCCAGGCTGGAATGCAGTGGCATGATCGCGGCTCACGGCAACCTCTGCCTCCCGGGTTCAAGCGATTCTCTTGCCTCAGCCTCCTGAGCAGCTGGGACTACAGGTGCGTGCCACCACGCCCAGCTAATTTTTGTAATTTTAGTAGAGATGGGGTTTCACCATGTTGGCGAGGATGGTCTCGATCTCCTGACCTTGTGATCTGCCCACCTCGGCCTCCCAAAGTATTGGGATTATAGGTGTGAGCCACCATGCCCGGCCCATTTGCATATTTTCTAGGCAATTTTTACAACAGCACTCTGCTTTTAGCATCACAATCTGTATTCATTTTCCCTTGCTGTTATAAAAAATTGTTACAGACATAGTAGCTTTAAATGATCCTTTTGTTATCTCATAGTTCTGTAAGTCAGAAGTCTGGGATGATTTAACTGGTTTATCTACTCTGGGTTTCATGAGACTGAAATCAAGGTATGGGATTTGATTTTCCAAGCCCATTCAGGAAATCAGCAGGATTTAATTCCATGTGGTTGCTATACTGATGTCCCCATTTTCTTGTCGGCCATTGGTTGGAAATTCTCAGCTTCTAGAGGTCACCTGCATTTCCTGGCTCATGTCTCCTTCCTCCATCTTAAAATCCAGCAACTGTGGGCTGAGTGCTTCTCATGCTTCCCATCTCTCTGATCTCTTCTTCTGTCTCGTCTCTTTGACTGATTCTTCTGTCCTCTTCTTTCATGATTACATTGGGATCACCTGAATAATCCTGGGTAATCTCTTCATTTTAAAGTCATCTGATGAGCAATCTTAGTTCCATGTGCAATGTCCCTTCTGCCACGTAATGTAGCATATTTACAGGCATAAACCAGAGAGAAGGTCACTGGGGTCAAACTCCTTCCACCACTTCAGGCCTTCCACCACTTCTACCTTTGTGTTCTTTTCTGTTGTGTCTTATTTTCTTCAAAATGCTTATATAGGATGGATCCTGGCTCTTCTACATAATACTCTTCTCTCATCACCTTTAATTGTCAAGTCTCTCCAACAGGCAGAATTATCTGCAGGGTGAGGGGATGGGAAACAAGTAGGCCCATTGCAGCAACCTTCCCAGTACTACCCAAAGGAGGTAAGATGAAGACTGATCCTGAGGCTCCTGACTTCCACCCCACACACTCATTCAATGTTTGTTGAAAGAAGAACCCTGGTTTTATGGAGTGAACAACACCACGCATACGTGGGAATGGAGACAGCCGGGCAGCTCAGATGCCTGCTTATCATTTTAATCTATCAGGTAATTCCTGGCCCTTTTTGTTCTCTTTCTCTCAGTAATTCCCCCAAACAAATCCTGATCACCCATGGGTCCTATGGGAAGAATGGTTCCCATTTCCTCTGCTCTTTTTAGAGCTTACTCTGAAGATTCTCAACTCTGGCCTCTGTCTTTTCTCTCATATACTTTTTTATTTTTATTTTTTAAAGTATCAATTCAGTTCTATTAGGTTGGTGCAAAAGTAATTGTGGTTTCTGCCATTAAAAGTTATAATAGCATCCCACTTTCCAGGCTTTATGGCTTCTGTGAGTATATCTCATTTTATGGTTTTTCATTCAATCATAATAAGATTTACAGAGAGACGGGAGGTAAAATTTTGGCTTCAGATCATCAGCTTGAACCAGAATCTGCCACATCCATAACTTAAATGCAATGATTTACTCATCACCAAGACAATTTATTTTTTTGCCATCATGTAAATCCAAATTTAGTGTTGCAGAAAATGATCTTTGAAGTTAGTATGTTGACTTTAATATCTCTTCATTTTATATTTGCTATGATAGTGATTTCACATGAATGTTATCTATAATTTACTTAAAAATAACTTACAAAAAATTAAAAACATCATCAGGATCCAAATTTTGTCTATTATTTTTCTCAAAGGTAAAAAATTGTAAAATAATCTCTAGAGAATTTGCTAATTTTCTAGGGTTATTTATAATTTGGCAGGTAAAACAATAAGAGAGGCCAATCTAAGAAACCTAGAAAAAAAAAGTTCAAATTATAGTGACCATCTGCAGAAAGAATTCTGCAAATTTTGGATATCTATACATTTATAATTTTTATCATATCTTTTTAAAGTCAGGGCAAATTTTAAGTAATTAAGGAATACATTTATAAACAAGTAGTTTTTGGGAGTAATGGAGACAGATGTATCAGATCTGTAATGATGAATAAAGGCTAGCATCATTACATCTAATATTAATAGAATTATATTACTCTTCTTCCAGTTGACATTAGTGAGAGTAAGGATGAGTCCTCCACTCTCTCCTATTCTCAATACCCAGCTGTATGTGGACAAGAAGCTCTACAAATGAACAATATATATTTGTTTAATGAGGGAAGGAAGCAAGGAATAATGAATGCGCTAATTCACTGAGTTATTAGAGGATGCTGCAATGAATTGAATGTAGTAGAACACAAAGCACCTAGATGTAGCCTAAGAGTAAAATGTAATGCAAGTACAAATAACAGGAAGGGAAGTGACACAAACTCTTAAGAAAAGGCCATACTGACCTGATTATGCAAAAGCCATTCAGAGCTGAAAGCTAACTGCACATTAGATGGAATATAGATTGCTCTAAAGACTGAAAAACGATACTAAATGAAATGAAAATCAAAGGCCCACATTAAAATGGCAAAGAAGTTAAACAGAGAATTTACTCATTCATTAAGATCATAAGCTAAGTTGAGGAATAAATTGGGCATTTGAAATGTCTTGAAGCTAAGCAGACAATTTCCTCAAGCAATATTCCTAAAGTTTTCCAGTATTTCACCAGGAGAACAAAGACTGTCTGCAGCCAAAGAGAATATAGTCTAAACAGAAATCTAACACACACTGCAAAATATCACATTTCACATTGTTATTTTCCCCAAAATGGTCACACAGTAATTTTTTTAATTATGAAAAATGTATTCTAAGAAAACAGAGAAGAAAAAAATGGACAAAGAAATGTACACTCACCAAATATATCATTTAATTTTCCTCCCCCTCTAATGAACCCTTAGAGGGTTGTCTTAGTGATCGTTGGACTTTATAGGATGGGGTACAGGAAAGTCACATGGATTCCCGGAGAAGAGGTCCGTGCTCTGTAGCTCAGTTGTTTGCATCTGCACCAACCATCCAAGCAAAGCAGGACTCAAAGCAGTGGGCATTGTCAGGATTGAATGACTTGTGTCTTTCCTTCCTACTCTGATAAGTTACCAAGTACCAGGGACTCCGAGTGGAGACTGGCAGTCACCTGGGAAAGGAATAAAAATTGCAACTCCTTTCTCTTTTATCACTATGAACTAACCAGTATGGCAAAATGCTTTTACTTTTCAGGTTAGATTACTCTCATAAATGGGAAGGGTGCCTAAGGAGTTTCATGAAGCACATTTAGGAATTTGGAATAATTTAAGTGTTCCACATGAATTTACGTTACAGGAGGGTGTAAACAAGTCGGATCTCTCATAGATGTCTGTGTGTCTTCGTGTTGAGTGCTAGCTACCTCAGCACTGGTTTTATTCACATCATTGCTCAAGAAGCCATGTGAGGGGATTTGTGTGTTCCTTGTTGAGAACATTACCTATTATGTTCTCCTTATATTTATTTTTGTTATTTTCCTCTGTGAAATGGCACTGAGGGGTCCACATTTTGTAAATCAGTGTTACTGTTTAGTATATTGCCCACAGTTATTTTTACATTGGAAATCCTTGGTAACTACAACTCTGCAAAGGAAATATTCTAGAACACAGGAAACTATAGAAATAATTCTGTGGCTGCAGTATCTCAACCCATAGGTTGTAATTGAAGAGACAGTATTGCTAATGCTTTGATCCATCAATGTATTTAGAGTACAAAGACCATTTCCTGCTTTTCTTTGTAAAAAGAAAACCAGACTTTCTGTGTAATGACAGAATGCATACAAAACTACCCCAATGTCTGTGTACACTCACGCATACACAGAACAAGCTAATGGCTTCAAGGCATGTAAACACCTCATAAATAGAGTTGACTTCCAAAATATGCCTTATTTTCAATACTTAGGGGAAAACTATTTTCCCAATTTGATCTGCCAGTTTTTAAAATGTTAAATATTAAAATTAAAAGTTGTGATTTTAATCAAAATGTTTTTACTCAAAACAAATGCTAAAACTTAAATGAGTAATCCTCTGGCTCTGAAGAAACACAATGATATTTTAAAGCAAATGTATTAGAAAATGTTATAGAACAGATAAGAAAATCATTCTCAATATTATAAAGTCAATATTAAAATTTGCAAAAGGAATATTAGTTAGAATAATCTGTTACCTTTATTTTTCAGACTTGAATTGAATGGACTTCCAGTAATTTTAATATTTCCAGTAGAAAATCAAATGAAAATAAAGTACTATAGCAATTTTCAAAAAGAAATTACGAAAGCATTGGAAACAGGGACATCTCTGAGAGCAGAAAGGTAGAGTTTGGGGGATGGGGTGTAGCTTCATTTGAAGAGGATACTATTCATTAGAATTGCAGCATTCCATTGAAAAGAAAGCTGTAGTTATGCATATTTTTCACTGATTGATGGAAAATAGGTATTTAGTTCAGATTCTGGCATGTCAGTTGCCAAACAGAATAATGTCTCAGGTAGTATATTGTTTCTTCCCCTAGTTACAGGGCCAGGTAGAGTGGCATCATTATGATTTACTTCATCTGACGGCTCCTTGGATTATTTCTCTGTTTTGATTTCCAATTGTTGACCTCAGAGGTCATTGGTTTGCACCTATTTTTGAAGACACAAGAACCTATAAGGTTTCGACATAATGGAAAGGACTCTGATAATGCTCACTAAATAGTAAAAAAAAAAAATGAGTTTGAAATGATAAAGATAAAATAACAAAATTAGTGATTTTTTTGAAAAATAACAGAATTTAACACTCAGTTGCAACTCTTACTTGAAAGACCTAGAAAATATTTATAATAAGAAAAGCAGTCATTCTTGTGATAGTTTAGATATTTCCTGTCTTGATGCAGATTACATTTTATTTCAAAAAATATATCTGAAAGTCTTGGAAGACCTATTAAACTGAGAAAATTTTTAAAAAATGTAAAAATCAGTTTTTGAAGTACATGTTTCCTAGAGGCGATGAAGAAGCTGATATGTTAGAAGCCGGGGTCCTAGGAGCTTCTCCACGACTTTCACAGTGTTGGCTGCATCAGTCACTCTACGCCATGTGAGTAGAACACATTCTTAAAATTCTTAATTTTTTTTTTTTTTTGAGATGCAGTCTCACTCTGTTGCCCAGGCTGGAGTGCAGTGAGTGGTGCACTGTTGGCTCACTGCAACCTCTGCCTCCTGGGTTTAGGCAATTCTCTTGCCTCAGCCTCCAGAGTAGCTGGGATTACAGGCTTGTGCCACTATGCCTATTTTTTTTTTTTTTTTTTTTGTATTTTTAGTAGAGACGGGGTTTCACCATATTGGCCAGGCTGGTCTTGAACTCCTGACCTCAGGTGTTCTGCCCACCTTGGCTTCCCAAAGTGCTGGGATTACAGGCATAAGCCACTGTATCCAGCCAATTCTGTGTTCTTATAAGAAATACAGATGCAGGAAAAGAAGAATGTGCATGACCGATGATGAGAGAGAGAGAGAGACAGAAAGGATTATGTATTGAATGAACAATTAGACATTAAGAAGCAACATAAAAGAGAAATAAGAAGGACCATGTAAAAAGTTTAAACACAAATATTTAAATAATTGACAAAATGATGTGAAACATTTTACTTATAAAAAGGAAATATTAATTATAATAACCTGTGGTAGCGCTCCTGACACGGGGCACCAGCTGTGGGGGTCTGACCCAAAGACCCTGACCCAAACGACGGATGAATAACATGCACTGACACACAGATATTCTGCTTTGCCAGTCCAGCTGAGTGTGTCTGGGCCGCTTACAGACTCCCTGGAGAGTACTGTAAACAGTTGCGACCGCGGCCCTGACCAGCTAGTGAGACTCACATTAATTTGGTAAAGATTAATTGACAAAGGCTTGAGTCAACACCACTAGAGGGTAATTGACATTGTGGACTTCCCGAGAATAAAGCGCTTAAGCACCCGTGGTACATCAAAGGTTAGTCTTAGGACCACATGAGTAAACAAGCTAGCTAGCTAACTTCCTCACATTCCTTTGTTACTACTCTAATTTATTTAACTAAAGGTAAAGATCAGGTTGCCTTTAACCATATCTATTACTGAAGTTATGCAAACTCTCAGGCCTTCCAAGAGGGTTTGTGGCTATCATAACTAATATTTTTCCCATCAGCCTGACTGAACCCCAACAATAACCTATGACTACAAAGGAGTAAGAAAATGAGCCATATAATATACTTCTGGTGAGAATCCATGTAGTTATAAACTTTTTGAATTTTTGGCAATAAATATCAAAAGGCTTAAGCTTTTGCATACCCTCTGACCTTTCCACTCCAATTCAAGTTTGTTTTAATGAAATCAATAGTAAGTACATGGAAATAAGTATGTTTATATATGTTCTTAGTAACATTTTTTATGTAGCAAAAAATAAAAAAGAAAAAATCCTATAATTAGTAAAACATTTGTGCAATTTACATTATGCTTATATGCTGTACTGTTAGTCATTAAACTAGGCTGTGAAAGCATATTTAATGGTTTGAAACACTATTTATGGTATAAGATGACATTTTCCTCTTGGTGGTAGCTGAAGGTTTTCCTTATCTTCTTTTGGCTTATCTGCACTTACTAAATATTTTTAAATGATTAAGCATAGATGTTTCAGTATAAATAATACAATAAATATGACTTTGCAGAAAGAATGCTTTGGCTTTTTAGGATATGTGAACAAAACGGCTAGAATTTTCAGAGACCGTTTTTTACTGTCTAGAATAGGCAGCACATGAACAGTAAGCAGGGTGTTAAACATGCGGATGGTTTGCAGTGCATCCTTATTACTAACAACAACAACAAAGCAAGGATGGTTTGGGCTTTACTTAGCCACTTTCCAGAGGAGACCTGTAAGGAGATTCATGTAGGCATTGTTGGTCTCATTAATGGCAACACATGTAGGGTAGTGGGCAGCTTTTGTTTAATTACCCCTTCTGGGAAAAGCACCCAGATGTGGTTTTGGGGAGCAGTCCTCCCCAGTTCAATGGATGCAGTTCAGGTGGGGCTAATCTAACCCCTCCCACATGCAGGAGGGGCCCCTGACTAACCCGACCGACCAGAGAATTCCATTCCTGGGTTACATGATTGCCCAAGTGTGGGCATGCAGCCCAAGTCAAGACATGAGACTCTAGCGCCACGTGTCTATGAAAATTAATGGAAATGAGGTGATAGCTTCCTGCTGCAATTTCTAAACAGAGAAGTTAAGACCTGTATCCCCTGCTGAAATAATCTAACAAACAGAAAAGTGGAGCTCAGAGATAGGGAGAAAGAGAGCTAAAGCTAGAGTTGGAGCTGGCACTAGAGAGAGAGAGAGCTGTATTTATAAATCCATATTTATATTGAATCTCTCCATGTACATCTACCACCAATACATCTTTATATATCTCAACTTATATACCTATCTATCTTATCTATCTATCTATCTATCTATCTATCTATCTATCTATCTATCTATCTATATATCAATCTATCGTTTTAATGAATAATATACCTTGATGTTTATCTCTGGATTTTTCAGTTATATAAGCCAATGGAGTCTGTTTTTGTTTAACACAGTTTTTGTTTGATTTTTGCCACTTGCAAGAGTCCTGACCCACATGCATACTTTCCTCACATAGACATTGTGAAGATGTAATGAGATCATTCATCTTGAGCGCTTGGCTGATTGTCTTATACATAAAAAGTATTCAAAATTGGAGACATCATATTACCCAACTTCAAATTATACTACAAGGTTATAGTTACCAAAACAGCATGGTATGCATAGAAATAGGCATGTAGATCAGCAAACAGAACAGAGAACCCAGAAATAAAGCCAAATACTTACAGCCAACTGATCTTTGACAAAGCATACGAAAATATAAATTGGGGAAAGGACATCCTATTCAATAACTGGTGTTGAGAAAACTGATGGGCCACATATAGAAGAATAAAACTGGAGCCCCATCTCTCACCTTATACAAAAATCAACTCAAGATGGATCAAAGACTTAAATCTAAAACCTGAAACCACAAAAATTCTAAAAGATAACATCAGAAAAACTCTTCTAGACATTGGCTTAGGCAAAGAATTCATTACTAAGACCCAAAAAGCAAATGCAACAAAGATAAGTAGATGGGACATAATTAAACTAAAAGCCTTCTGCACAGCAAAAGAAACAATCAGCAGAGTTAACAGATAACTCACAGAATGGGAGAAGATCTTCACATTCTATACATCTGACAAAGGACTAATATCCAGAATCTACAAAGAACTCAAATACATCAGCAAGAAAAAATAAAAAATCCCATCACAAAGTGGGCTAAGGACATGAATAGACAATTGCCAAAGGAAGATGTACAAATGGCCAACAAAGATAAGAAAACCTGCTCAACATCACTAATCATCAGGGAAATGCAAATTAAAACCACAATGAGTTAGCATCTTACTCCTGCAAGAATGGCCATATTCAAAAAGTCAAAAAACAATAGATGTTGGCATAGACGTGTTGAACAGCAAACACTTTTGCACGCTGTTGGGAATGTAAATTAGTACAACCACCATGTAAAAGAGTGTGGAGGTTCCTTAAAGAACTAAAAGTAGAACTCAAGTGACGGGTGCAGTAAAATCTCAGAAATCACCAGTTAAGAACTTATCCATGTAACCAAAACCCACATGTACCCTAAAACTATTAAGATTAAAATTTAGAAAATTGTCTTTCCAGGACTCTGCTTTCTCTCAAACAGACAAAAATTAGTGGCTAGTAATAATGCTAGTTACATTTGTAATGGCGGTAACATACTCAAGGGAGCCCAGAAGCTATGAATTAAACCTTCACCATGGATTTCATTCTTCCTTTGCGGAATAAGCTGTTTAAACTCAAGGAAATTTCATTTCTCTGTATCGCCTTTTCACGTCTGTAAGTTTGTGATAATCACACTCTCCACACTTACTTTCAAGGTTGCTCTCTGCCTCCTCTATACTTTCTTAATAGTTATGTATAAAGCCTGCAGGCTAGCATCTGTTTAATTTGCCTACTTCTGCAGATGAATATGCATTTCTTAGTTTATGAACCAACTGAGTTTGTGGCAATTTGTTAAGGCAGGAATAGAAAACTAATACAATCGGTTCTTAGTAAATGTTTGTTGACTGAGTAAATTTCAAGAGAAAATTCTCAGAAGAAAAGAAGGCAGAATATACTTCTTAGTAGGAAAAATATTATACAAGAGAAAGAATATAAACTTACACATATTCACCACATTTATTCTTACAATGTCTCCCTAGAACAGCAAGTCTAGCAAAGTATTTTATAATAACAGCAGGGAAATCATCAATGGTAGGCTAGATGAAGAAAACGTGGTACATATACACTATGGAATAGTATGCAGCCATAAAAAAGAACAAGATTATGTCCTTTGCAGAGACATGGATGGAGCTGGAGGCCATTATCTTTAGTAAACTAACACAGGAAAAGAAAACCAAATACTGCATGTTCACGCTTATAAGTGGGAGCTAAATGATGAGAACACATGGACACAGAGGGGAACAACACACATTGATGTCTTTTGGAGTGGAGAAGGTGGAAGAAGGGAGAGGATCAGGAAAAATAACTAATGGGTACTAGGCTTAATGCCTGGGTGATGAAATAATCTGTACAAGAAACCCCCATGACATGACTTTACCTATATAACAAACCCATGCATGTACCCCTGAACTTAAAATAAAAGTTTACAAAAATCAGGGAAATCATTTATAAGTCTCTAGAATCAAGCTAGTAATGAGAAAGTTACTCCAATTCCAAAATAAAGTTCAGGTGAAAAGAAAAAGCATTCTCAACAGCCAAGATGTAGAAACAATTAGAGTGTTCATCAATGGACAAATGGAAAAATAAACTGATATATAAGAATATAACATAGAATATTTTTCAGCCTTAAAAAAGGTAGAGATCCTGCCACTTGCCACAATGTGGATGAACCTAGGGGACATTATGTTAAGTGAAATAAGCCAGACACAGAAATAAAAATATTACATGATGGCACTTACATGTGGAATCTAAAAAACCAAAAAAGTTCAAATATAGAGAGATGATAAAACAGTGGTCTCCATGGTGGGGGAGATGGGGAGATGTAGGTCAAAGGATGCAAAGTAGCAAATATGGAGGATGAACAGGTTGAAGGATCTAATGTAGAACATGAGGACTAATAATAGCGTATTGTATTCAGGATTTTTGTTAAATGAGTAAATTATGGCTGCTCTTGCCACAGGGGTTGGGGGGAGGTGACCAAGTGAGAGGATAGACATGATAAATTTGTTCCACTATTAACCATTCTCCTATATATATGTTTGCTATGGTTTGAATGTGTCCCCTGAATCTCATGTGTTGGAAACTTAATCCTCAAATTTATATGTTGATTGGAGGTGGGGCCTTTGGAAGGGACTTAAGATCACATAAGGTCATCAGAGTGGGGCCCGCTGGTAGAACCTGTGGCTTTGTAAGAAGAGGAAGAGATGCCTGAGCTGGCAGGTATGCTCTTGTGCTCTGGGCAAATGATGTCCTCCACCACACTACAACACAGCTGGAAGACCCTCACTAGAGGTGTCGCTAAACCTTGGACCTCCCAGCCTCCAAAACTGTCAGAAATAAATATCTTTTCTTTATACATTACCTAGTCTTTGGTATTCTGTCATAGCCACATAAAATGGACCAAGACAATGTATCTTATAACATCATATTGTATATCTTAATGTACCCTAAATACGCAAAATACAATTTATTTATTTTTTAAAAAGAGCATAGAAAAGCAATGGACCAAGCTAAGTGGGAAGTCAGATGTGCTGGCTTTTCCTGTGGGCTTTCCTGTGAACTTGGGAAAGCTACTGAATTTCTCTATTCTTCAAATTTATTTATTTGCTAAATTTAATTGTTGAGCTACCGTGTTAGACAAATATGACCAAGAAAGTCCCTGCCTGCTTCTTCATGTGTGGCTGATGTTCCTAGCCGTTCACTGCATCCACTCTCGTGTCTGCATTCTCCCTTCAGGCTGAGGCTAGCAGTCCACAGTAAACAACATGGCACTCACCTGCTGGAGTGGGGCAGCAGCTTGGCCCCTTCCAGCTCTACAGCTCTGTGATTTTACGTGAGGAATTTCTTTAATCATTTGTCCACACTTGCTTTTGTGTGTGTGCGCAAATTGATGGAGCTCTTGATTTTTTAATAAATTTGAAGTTTCCTCATGGAAATTTTTATATCCTTTAAAATGTTATTCATCCCTTTGTGGAAATAATGACGGAAATGAAGGGAGATAGAAACCAATTTTCCTGGTAAGGATTAAGGCTGAGAATTTGAAAGCTGTCCAGAAATTAAATAAAACAGTTATATAAAAGTATTAGTCTATATTTCCTTTCAGAACCTTAAATATGAACCCATAAAATAAGGCTGGGAATGACAGAACAAATATACTTTCAAATGGAAGAAAATTTTCCTAGAGATAGAAAGTTTATCTGGCTAGTTTTGAGATTTTCTTACTCTTTCTTTTTCTTTTTAAATAGGTTTAATTTTTAGTGCAGTTTTAAATTTTCAGCAATATTGAGCAGAAACTACAGAGAGTGGCTTGATTTTTCAGAGGAAAAATTCCCTAACTGCAGTTTCCTGAGCTGATGGGTTTTCAGATTTAGGTCTAAAGTCTTCCAATTATTAAACCATGATTAATGGGACATAGCACACACAGCAGCATTGCAAATTGATTGTGCTTCTAAATTCCTTCAAAAGGAGATTCATAAAATTTACAAAAATAATTTTACTTTACAATTAAAGACTATCTGCAATGTTAATACCCTTTCTTCGTTACTACTCTCTGCGTAATTATCATCCTCTAAATCCTGCTGGCTGAGCTCCCTCGATGCCTTTGTAATTCCTTTTTATTTCTTCCTGTCCTCTAATCCTCCAGAACTTCTGAAGCATGCAGAATTCGCCTTCATACAAGAGTTGGAATTTGTTCTTTGCTTGAACAAATAACATTGAATATGTCTGTTTTACTCCAAAACTTAAAGGCATTGCTCAGCGTATTCCTCTGCTAGGGGAGTCATCACAAAATCCCACATACTAGGGGGCTTAAACAACACAATTCAGCTTCTCTCATTTCTGGGGCTAGATGTCCAAAATCAATGTGTTGGCAGGGTTGGCTCCTTCCGGGGGGTTTTCAGGAAAGCTCTGGTATGGGCCTTTCTTCTTGGCTTGTAGACGATCATCTTCTTCCTACATCTATTCACATTGTTTTATCTCTATGTGTCTATATCCAAATTTCCCCTTTTTATACGCTGTTATGGGAAGAATTGCATACTCCAAAAACGTACCTGTTGAGGCCCTAACTCCCAGTACGCTAACATGTAAATGTATTTCACAATATGTGTGTGTAAGGCCTTCAAAGGGGTGCCATGAGGCTTTTAGGGTGGGTCCTAGTTCAATAGGACAGATGTCATTATTGGGGTGCCATGAGGCTTTTAGGGTGGGTCCTAGTTCAATAGGACAGATGTCATTATTGGGGTGCCATGAGGCTTTTAGGGTGGGTCCTAGTTCAATAGGACAGATGTCATTATTGGACACAGAGAGGAAATTTGGACACACAGAGAGACCCTAAAGATGTGCTGGCATGGAGGCAAGACCATGTGAAGACACAGCGAGAAGGCAGTGTCTACAGGCCAAGGAGAGAGGCCTCAGAAGAAACAAAACCTTGATCTCAGATGTCTAGTCTTCAGAAGGGCGAGAAAATTCATTTTTGTTGCTGAAGCCCTGTAGCATGTGGTATTTTGTCACGGCAGCCCTAGTGGACTAACACATACACTAATTACATTGGACTAGGGCTCATCCTAATGACCCATTTTAACTTGAAGAGCTCCATAACCAAGTTATTTCCATATACGGTCACATTCTGGGGTGCTGGGGGTTAGGATGTCAACATCTGAATTTGGAGAACAGGGGATACAATTGAACACATGACACTGAGTTTGGGGTACCTATTCAAAATGTAAGTTCCATAAGCTTAGATGCCACATCACTTTTCAGCCTTTGTTTTAAGTTCCAGCATTCCAGGTAGCGGAGGTGTGTGGCGGCGGTGTGAACTCCATTCAGCAGAAGCCTCCATACTGCATTGACAGGAGGGTGGGATACAAGGACAAAAAACAGCTTTGACATGAAATACTGAGATGCTTCTTTCTGACTCCCAATGGAGGACACTTTGTTAAAGTGCATCCAACCATCAGCCCCCTTGCCCCTTCACAGCATTGCCACAGACACCCGTGGGCGGGAGCATTGCAGGCTGTGCAGAGCATGGCTGACCTTCGCTGCTTGTCCTGAGTGACACCTCCCACCACAGAGCTTCTTCTTGCTCAAAGGACGGAGTTGCTACTCACTAATGAACTCATCCAATGTTTGCTTATTGAACACAAACAATGTGTCTGGCACTTTTTTGGTGTCCTGTGGACACACCAGAGGACATAAGTTCTTACCTTAACCCAACTCACCAAAACGAGAAGGAGAGAGGAAAGTGTCCTGTGATTAAAATGCAGCCCAGTGAGCACCACAGCAGCAGAAGCACAGGGTGCTCTGGGCACACTTGCTCTAAACTCCCCCTTGGGGGTCAGGGAGGACCTCCTCCTGGGAGCCACAGTTACTTCAGGATTAGCCAGAGGAAGCTTTGACAGACGGGCATCCCAGGCAGTGGGGCTTCACATGCTGGGTGGCTATATCTGGGGTGTTGGGTCCCAAAGAGGAAGTGATGATGAATGAGCTCGGGGGGCGGTGGGAAACAGGTCAAATCAAGCCAGGTTAAGGAGCTTGCAGACTCTCCTAAGGGAATTAGGACTTCGAGCGAGGGGCATGATCTGTGCCAAAAATGGGTTACATGGCAAGCATCTCCCACACGATGAATGCACAGACTCTTTCATCCGTCTCTACTTCTTGGTAGACATTTATTTTACAGTAAAATTCATAAGCTGTGGTAAATGATACAGCAACAAAAATATGCCTTGCAGAACTGCATTTAATAACAGATGGCTAGGAATAACTCAAATGGCCATTAGTCAGGAACTGAGTAAACTGAGTAAATAAACAATAACAAGTCTGTAACCCATGACATCAGTCGCCAGTTGGCTGGAGGAGGTGACTTGATCTTGCCTGTTTTGGGTCTTTTGGATGTTGTGTCATGAGCACCACTTATCAATTCAAACATAAGCATGCACACTTTATTTCAATATTTCGAAAGTATGTAATATCAACTGCTGTAGTCCCGGTGACTTTAGTGCGGCCACAGGACCTGTTCCTACTCATTGGTGGCATCAGACGTAACTCTGAGGTTGAACCTTAAGGACCCTGGAGCTGCGGGGCCAGGGGGACCGAGTGAAAATGAACACTCATCCAGTGAAATTGCCTATTTACCACATCGGCAGACACGCCACTGCAATGAAGAGATGGCGACTGAGAACTATTTTGGCTTTTGTCTCCAGTTCTCAAAAACTGGCCTTTCCATGTGATCCCTTCCAAGGTCTATGATATGTGCATGTACGTTGATATCTATCTATCTATCTATCTATCATCTATCTATCTATCTATCTATCTATCTACCCATCCATAAGTTGATAAGTTGATAGATATCTCTCAATGTATAGGCACATATCATAGGCCTTGGAAGAGATCAGAAGGAAGTTTCTCTAGCTCTTCACAGTTCACAATGAAATGCTACATCTTAAAATTCCCTCTGGGGAGGCCCAGGTGGGCAGATCACGAGGTCAGGAGATCGAGACCAGCCTGGCTAACACGGCGAAATGCCATCTCTACTAAAAATACCAAAAAACCAGCCGGACGTGGTGGCGGGCGCCTGTAGTCCCAGCTACTCGGGAGGCTGAGGCAGGAGAATGGTGTGAACCCGCGAGGGGGAGCTTCCAGTGAGTCGAGATCGTGCCACTGCACTCCAGCCTGGGTGACAGAGCGAAATTCTGTCTCAAAAAAGGAAAAAAAGAAAGAAAAAAAAATGACCTCTATGAGAAGAATTTACTATGCAGCGAGCAACAGGTCCTATCTTGGGACAATTATTTCCCTTGTGATTGAAATTATTTTCATTTCCCTTGCAATGTTTGTTCCCGCGTACTTGAAGGTGGACTTCCTGGGGCTTTCTCAGCCCACTTACACACAAAAAAAGACTAAAACATGGCAAATGTCCCTAAGACAAGCCCAAAAAGACATCTCCCTCACTCCCTCAGGTAATGACATATTCCGTAAAGGAGGAGCTATTAGTGAAGGTTGCCATGAGCCTTACTTTCTGGCAGGAGTGAGTTTCGGTGGCGAGGTCGGCATTTTCAGACTCTCTATGCCTGGGTTCGTCACTCTTTTGACCCCATAAATTGGTTAATAAAGGTACAACATACCATATTTAGGACTGAACCAGTAGTGTCAGATGATAACATAATAACCGGAGAACCATCATCTTAAAATAGCATTCTAGAAGTTTTATTCCTAACTGAACTTTTTATTTTCAAGTTTTCTTCTTGGAGAATTTACACATTTATTCCATCAGTGCTGCTATGCCTAAATTAAATTCACTCTTTCTTTTTTTAATTTGGAATTAACTTTAAAACTAATTTTAAAGTTCTGCTTACAAATTGGTCTTCAGTTTTTAAACCTAAGGTATTTCTTACTTATTACCTACATTATCTGGAAATTTAGCTATTTTGATTGTATCTATATATAAATTGGATATTTGAATGATGTATAAATTATATAAATATATGTTGATATGGTATAGATATTATATATTATATATACAATCTATTATATATTATAAAATAGCTATAACACAAGGATAAGGTGATTTGGATTCATAATAATATTCACACAGACATTTTAGAAACTTTAGCTCTGTTCTTACCCTTTATACTAATTTATTTGTGTGTGTGTGTATTCATCCTAAGAATCTCACTAACCAATCTGACAAAATTAGCCATCTAAGCAAAAAATTTTCCTGAGAACAATGACCTAGACAGTCTTCTTTTCTTTATTTAACCAGAAAAATGTCTATGTTCCAAAGTGCTTGTAACATTCATTTTTAATGTGACGTGTGATGTTGAGAAATCAGGACATGTTTGTTGAACAATGAGATTTGCAATGCAAAGACAGCAGGCTGTGGGCGTGATCACCTTCCGTTAACCTACTGACTGACTTTTTCCAGCTGTACATAGCAAGGAAACAATGGCTTACACATGAATTTCAGGATGGGCTGGCTGGTCGTTTCCTGTTCCACTACAAATGCTGGACTAAGAGCCAGGAAATGTGGAGCTATTCTTGTTTCTGCAATTGCTTGTTTTGAGGGAGTGGTTAATCCTCAAGGCATCAAACTAGATGACTTCAGTAATTTTGGTTTGTCTAAGATTGACTGAATCTATAATTGCACAGGATAATTTCATTGTTCAAATTAGTCCAGTATCCAGAACAGCTACCAAGTGGGCATAAATTCTTACAAAGAATTCGCGAATTCTTCACATCTTCACAAAGATGTCTTACTTGCAGACAAGATAGGTAAATACTCTCATTGAATAAGATTTCACCTGTTCTGGGAAATCTCACTTGGCCATATTCTTCCTAAACTGACATTCCAGAATTCAAATCTTTCCTTTGGCTTCCCGCTTTGACAGCCACTGTGTGGTCAGTAGTTCTAAGTTCACTCAGTCACGTTGAATGCAGGGAAACCTTTGTCACGGGTGTGTGTTATCGCCTCCTGGCTGTAGAGGAGATCACTACATGCTTTGATTCAGCTTCCATCTAAGAAGAGACTCACCAGCTCAGCAGTGCAGGCGCTGGCACTGCCTCTCTGAGGGCAGTGCGCATAGTCTGGCTTGAGCAAAGGGTGACTTTCCTTCCAGAGGGTTCAGAGGGCCTGAAAATATTTGCCAGACACGGTGTCACTTCTGTGCAAGGTCAGCGAGTGACATCTTCCCTCAATGGCATCAAAAAGGACAGCCATCAGGTGCTGTGCTCCATCCCCGTGGTGCCCCCTGACATCGTGATGGGCCCTGACATGGCTCAGGCTGGGCCCTCAGTGGTTCCCTGGGGCAGCTGGCTCAGGACCCACCACTGAAGCACAGACACTTCTCAGGGCTGATTGAACTCCCGTCCCTGCAAGTGCTCCTGGCTTGGTTTTCTCCACTCTCCCTGGTCTGATGCATTTCATTTCTCCTCTTAGACCAGGCAAGGTGTAGCAATGAGAAGCAGAAGGATAACTTGAACTACGTTAGAATTTTCCCCAAAGGCTGTCGAGGTGAGCAAGCTCATGCAGGGCCTGCCCAGTTGTCAGCATGCCTGGAGGCAGAGGGGGGCAGAGGGAGGCAGAGCTCTCCCTGCTCTCCAACAAGTGTCACCCAGGTGAGCTGGAGGCAGAGAGGGGCGCCCACAAGCTCTCCCTGCTCTCCAGGTGAGCTGGAGGCAGAGAGGGGCGCCCACAAGCTCTCCCTGCTCTCCAGGTGAGCTGGAGGCAGAGAGGGGCGCCCACAAGCTCTCCCTGCTCTCCAACGAGCATCACCCAGGTGAGCTGGAGGCAGAGAGGGGCGCCCACAAGCTCTCCCTGCTCTCCAACAAGTGTCACCCAGGTGAGCTGGAGGCAGGTTGTCTTCCTCTCCCCACACAGACAAGCGTAAAACCTCATTCTCCTCTGCAGCTGCGCCTGCCGCTCCGCAAGCACCACCAGGCTGGACTACATGGGGTCCCATCTAGCTCGGGCCTCTGCTGTCAGCAGGCCTGGGCACTGTGTTCTGGCACTGGGCTCAGTACTCTTAGCCACTTGTGGAGGTGAGGCAATGAGACCTTACAGTGGGGGCGATTTTCCAAAATTCATAGCTACTGGCAGAATCCAGACATCCTAATTCCTCCTCTATTCCCTACATACATTCTCTTGCCAAAGGCAAACTTGACCTGCTGGGATCTTTATGAATATAGAATTCAGAAAAAGTAATCTTAAGTAGGAATGATCTGAACTCAAACCTAAAGATATTAACTGAAATAAACCTCAAAAAGTACAATGTTTTAATGGAAGAAGATGTCACGAACATATGAAGTTACTACATTTTACTTGGTTTTATAATCTACTCTCATTTTTTAAATTTTATTCTGGGCATACCATCTCCCTTCCCGTTTCTTTTTTGCCTTAAACTTTGACATATTTATTAAAATATTTTGTATGAGATTAAATGATGCTATAACTACACTGGTCTTTTTATTATTCTGTTTTCAGAGAAAAAAAAACCTGATTTTAAAAAATTAAATGAACATACGCATACGCAGGGGAAAATAAATAAATTGAAACGGCATAAATGTTCAAATTAAAATCTATAGAGGTATTTTTTTTTTCTACTGAAATTTTCCTCTAATGAGAACATCTTTTTTTTTTCTTTTATTATTATACTTTAAGTTTTAGGGTACATGTGCACATTGTGCAGGTTAGTTACATATGTATACATGTGCCACGCTGGTGGAGCTGCACCCACTAACTCGTCATCTAGCATTAGGTATATCTCCCAATGCTATCCCTCCCCCTTTCCCCCCACCCCACAACAGTCCCCAGAGTGTGATGTTCCCCTTCCTGTGTCCATGTGATCTCATTGTTCAATTCCCACCTATGAGAACATCTTTGTCTTTTAAAAATCTTTCTCAACTCACTGGTCATGTGAGGACTGGATTTTTGCAAATGTTTTTTCTTTTGCAGTTGTGAAGTCACTCACAAGTAAACCGTGAGATGCCAAACATTTAAAAAAAAAATCCTTCGAATGTGATCAATATGTAGATCAATGCATTTCCTCCCCTCAGGTTATTCCCTTCCGTTGCCTGCAGGCAGTGAACGTCCTTTCAGACTCTCTGCAGGCGCGCAGAGTCGCCACCAGGGGGCGCCCATCTCCCATTGCAGCCTCAACCGCCTGTCAAGTAAGGAACAACAGCAGCCCACAGTATTTTCCCCAGAGACAGAAACATAACCTTATTCCTGTCACAGCTCAAAAAGAAAGAAAAAGAAAAAAAATGGAATGCAGAATTTACATAGAATTCTTAAAATATGTTTTATCTCCATTGTCAGTAACCCCCAGCAGACCAACTTTTACTTTTATTCCTTCAATAATTTCCCTCTGTAAGAGAGCAGTAAATCATGGCTGGTCTATTTTATCTATCAATCAAATGATAATTTTCTTAATGTTTGTTACCATAGCACCCACAGCCTGTGCTCCTCTGCTGCCTCTGTTTTCTTCAGCTTGGTTCACTGTTAAAGGTAAGCAATCAAGGATTTCTCCAGGGGACTCTGGAATGAGGCGAGGGAGTGTGGAGAGGGAAGCCCACGTAATTACCACGATGACGGGTTGACATCGTAGAATCCAAAAACGACTTCCACCCCCTCACTTTAAAGATGAAGCAACTGAGTTTCTAAAATAGCACTGCATTATGCGAACTGAGCTTGCAAACCCAACAGAACCCACCTTGACAAATTTTAGCTCAATAATGCCTAACATTAAATGACATGTTTCACCCTGACAGCACCTCAGAATTTCTTTCCAATTAATTTTTAAAACATTTCTTTAGTCACGTGTCAGTTTTATTCTTTAATAGAAAAAAATTCAAGAGAAATCTCAGGCAAAGTGTCTTTCCTTTTATCTCCTAAGACAGAATTGGAATTAAACATATGCACGGGGATGCGCTTGTCATCAAGATCCGTGGTTAGAACATTTGGTCATGACCTTCTGTAACATCCTCAATCAAAAGCATTCTATAGTAATGGACATGCATTCTCAGATATTTCATTTTTTAAAGTAAGTTCCTGGCTTACTAAAGGATCATAGGTAGCAGATGATCAAAAATATATACATTTAAAACTTTCAAATTTGGTACATGGTGATGTGAGCACCATAAAGAAATGATGCACGAGATACTGAATTTAGTAAGTGTGACCAAAATGGTAAATAACTCCTGATCATTTACAGAAATTGTTCATTGATTCCAAGGGGTGATATTCCCTTTTTTGTGAATAATAGGAATCCTAGGTATCAGTATATAGCCAATAGGACAATGACAGGAAGAACTTGAGATCTCTAAGATTCTGGGTACAGAGAACGCTAAGAAAAGGAATCACCATGCCACTGGTTTGTCACTAAGGAGAAGCACCTTGAAGAAAACTGATGCTCACATGGACAGTATCTGTCATCAGGCCATGTGCAGTTACGTGCTTACAGAATACTTTTTTTTGAGGTCAATAAGAAAAGTAAGTGAAGAATCCTCGATATCCTAGAGGGAATTCTCCGTCCTTCTGGAAGCTGTGAATTGGATGCAGTTCAAATAGTAGGAAAACCATTATAATTAAATCTGTTGAATTTGAAGGAAACTCCACCTATTCCTTTAATTCTTAGTGAGAAATGATTGCATTTTAACATCTAGAGTGGAAATCAAATGCTTGATGATTTTTTTCAAAAAGAAAAATTGCTGGAGGCAAGAGGAAGGTCACCTTACTTGGTGAATTCTTTTTGATGAAGTTACTGCATTTTACTTGGTTTCATAACCTACTCTCATTTTTTTATTTTATTCTGGGCATACCATCTCCCTTCCCATTTCTTTTTTCCCTTAAACTTTGATATATTTATTAAAATATTTTGTATGAGATTAAATGATGCTATAACTACACTGGTCTTTTTATTATTCTGTTTTCAGAGAAAAAAAACAGAATGTAAATGGCTCACATTTACTTGCAAACTTATTTATAATGTAAACTATTTAAAAATCCGTGTACATTTGTAGGAGACGGACATCCAAAAATGTGCAACTTAAAATCTGGGAACAAATTATATGCACATATGTCTTACTAGTTTCCTTAGACGCATGACAAGCCACTCCACAGTTTAGCCAGTGGTCCTCTGGGAGCTGTCCTCTATTCTAACATCATCCAAGATGAAACCCATTCTGGGGCCCATGTCTGGGACTCTTATAAGCAACGGGCAGGCAGCTGTGATGGACAGGAGTAGAAATCTCCTTGCTCAGGTCCAGCAGTGCACTCTTTCATTTTCTTTTTCATTTGAGACAGGGTCTCGCTATGCTGCCCAGGCTGGAGTGCAGTGGCAGGATCACAGCTCACTGCAATCTCCAGCACCTGAGCTCAAGCAATCCTGTCTCTGCCTTCCAAATAGCTGCGACTACAGGTGCACATAACTGTGTCTGGCTAGTTCTTTTATTTTTAATTTTTTGTAGAGGCAGGGTCTTGCTACGTTGTCCAGACTGTCCTCAAACCCCTGGCTTCAAGCAATTCTCCTATCTCAGCCTACCAAAATTGTGTGGATTACAGGCATGAGCCACTGCATCTGGCCTCAGCAGTGCACTCTTAAGGGACACCTGTAACCGATGATGGGAAATGATGGCTGCTAGTTATCAACATGAATGAGAATTCTTCAAAGAGGCACAGGTCACACCTTAGAAAAGAAGATCAATATGAAAATTATTATCTTTTTCTGTCAGATTGTTTTACAGAACTTCAGGGTGAAATAACCTCAGAATTTATTCCATATATTTTCGAGCAATTTAAACATAAAATGAACATTAACCCAACTGAAAGTGACATAAGAACTACTGTTCTTAGGTTTCCAAATGTTCAGTGATGAGATTATCCTAGGGGGCCTCTCACGGAGATGGCACTTTTCTCTGGATCTGATAAATCTCTCTTTTCCTGCCACTTTTCCTTAATGACGTAGCTATGTCTATGAAGAAGCTGTTTTTACCAAACTCGAAAACAATTAAAACTGCAGACTGGATTCTCTGCCCATGTTGTGAAGTGAGAGATTTAATTCTACCCTGGCATTCTGAATGTGTATGGAGGAAGTGGGTGAACATTCAAACATATATTTCAGATTCACAAATACAGATACATGTAGGAAAAAGAAGATAAACGCAAACACCTCGCCCTTCATTTGGGTTTTTTGTCTACTTTGAGAACTTGGTTCAAAAACTATTGTTCTTCTCTAGGACAAAAGCCAATGTGAGTGTAAATGCATAAACACAACCTGTACATAAAAATCGAATAGCTTCTCTGAAGTCCTCATGTCACAGACACCTCATTGTCCCACAAGAAAAAAAAAATGAAGGCCTTATCTTCATGGTTATTTGTGGAATGTTGTATGCAAAATTCAATATGAATTAATAGCCTGTGTCTGGTGAATTTTGTCTCAAACTCAAAGCAAGAAGATATTGATATCCTCCTTCCCTCCTTCCCTTATTCCTTCTTTCCCTCTTCCCTCCTTCCTCCCCCTCCTCCCCCTCCAGCAGAGAGGAGCTACATAAAAAATGACTTGAGCATCAAGTCAGTAGAATAACACACAGGCCTGTGAAATCATTCTGCATTTCACTTTCTCGTGTGCAACGGCTATGGCTGGTCAATGACATAACTTGCCCTTCTCTCTTATCTGTAATCCTTGCAGCATATCCACATGGGGGAGGGTTTGGCCATTGCACTTTCTAATTTACTAGTGAAGGGGTGGTGCCTCTGAGAGAATGTACAATAGAAACAGGATGAAGGCCAATGCTCCTGACCTTCAGTCACGTGTTCTTTCCACAAGCTTGGGCAGCATAAGAAATACTAATCCAGGCTGGGCACAGTGGCTCACGCCTGTAATTCCAACACTTTTGGGAGGCCAAGGAGGGTGGATCACTTGAGGTCAGGAGTTGGAGACCAGCCTGGCCAACACGGTGAAACACCGTCTCTACTAAAAATACAAAAATTAGCCAGGTGTGGTGGTGCACGCCTGTAATCTCAGCTACTCGGGAGGCTGAGGCATGAGAATCACTTGAACCCCGGAGGCGGAGCTTAAAGTGAGCCGAGATCACACCAGCCTGGGTGACACAGAGCGAGACTCCATCTCAAAAAAAAAAAAAGAAAGAAATACTCATCCAGTTCTTAGGGCGAGCTTTGGCAGACTATCTCTTGATAGCTTATCACTTAGAACACTGTGGCTAATGAATACGTATGTAAATAAGCGATGCTGAAATAATTTGATAAATTCTCATGTTGAGCATCTTAATATGCTACTCTGTTTTAGAGGAGTTTGGCAAGTCTAATGTCAGAAGAGCATTTTCATGTGTCTCTACACATATGATGGTGTTTTATCCTTACACTTGAAAACAAAACGTGCTACAGCTTGAGCCACGTAATTCCAGGGACGCCTTATAGCATTATTGTTATAGAAGAGAATGCAGAGCCACCACTCGGATTATCACACCACCCTGGCAAAGTATCTTGTTCTCACCATTTAATTATCTTTTTATTTTTTAAAAAAAGGCTCTTGCTCTTTATATCTTATTCTGTCTAAATTATGTAATGCTTATAAATATCCAGAAAAGGAGTGCTGATATTGGTGTTTTGCCCAGTCTGACTCATTTGCTGAAAGAAGTAAACATCGTTTAATGGATAGACTTGTTGTGTGGCTCTAATAGACACACACACACACACACGTACAATTTAGGCAGATATTTTTAATGCTCTTAATACTTTTTACAGATAAAGTAACATAAAAATTCTCAGAAAATAAAATAAAAGAAAATAGGCAAGAGAACATAAACTTCTGACTAATTTGAAAAGCATTATTTCACTGGCCTTAGCACATCTCCTGTTCTTATGGAATTCAAAGGCAATGCAGGCTGAATCTAACCTATACTAGGTCACATGTAAGTATATCTAATGATTGCTAATATTTTGCCATCAGATTTCTTCTTTCACACAGTGAATAACTGTGGTCTCAGTTACAGATAGACCATGTGGTACAGAAGCTGAATCATTTCCAGACCTGTTGAGGGGAGCTTTCGGTGCTTCTATTAGTGAAAGTGCGGAAAACTACCAGCCGCATCTTCAAGGTTATATCAGTGAAAGGAAACAGCAAAGCAAACAAACATCACACAAGAAAGCAAAACCACCGGAGACTGGTGTACAGACTCCCACCCGGCACTGTACCTGTACAGATGAAACTGGAGAGGCCTCCGTAGATGACTTCATCATTGTCGGGCAATATAAATGGACACCTCGTCTGAACCTCCAAACAGTATTGCTTGCAAGGAATTGTCTTTCTGCAGTTAAACTGTGTGACTTCAAAATACTGGGAACAGAGCCAGGCTTTGTAGACAATCTGAAAAAAAGAGAAGAATGAAAAATATAGAGGCGTGACAACAGTTACAGTGATAGAGGCACTGTGAGAAGCGTGCAAGCGTGCTGTGGTTTCAAGTGGATCCTAAGAGAGCCCTCATTGTGAGAAAGCGTATTTACACAACGACAGCTGCAAGTGATAAAAACACAGCAACGAAAGTCTCCGCAATAAAAGCAAAACAGTATTTGATTGCATCCCTAATAGAATGTAAAAGGTATTTTGACCTTTAATTTTATGTGGCTTATTTGAAAATCAGTGGATTTAAGCAGGAAGTTAATTTTTCAAAATTCAGCGATATCTAAAGTAAAATAAATAATTGACTCTATTGCTCTTCTGTGCTGTAGTTACTTGCAACGTGGCTGATGAGCCAGTTCCCTCCACACGGAGTCCCACGTCTATGCCTCCATAGGACGCTAGATGGCGCGAAGCACTTTATAAAGATGGCCCAGCAGGGGTTGGGAAACTGCTGTTTAGATCTTGGACTTTGAGAGGCAGAGAACAGGCAGATATGGACATTTACATTCATGACTCACACCAAATGCATTAAAAATCTCACTGTCTGAAAGCCCAGAAACACCCGACATAGAGCAGACATCATATGCTGTGGTGTGGTTGGGAGTAGGAGGGAAGCCTCATCAGAGCCACAGCTTCAACCTTCTGGATGATGTGCAAGCCACATCAATGTTTGCTACGTATTTATGTAATTTCATCAAATGTGAAAGGACTGGGACTTCATTCATCTCTTTGTTTTGGTGGCTATTTGGGAAAACAAACATTGAAAAAATTGCCTTTTTCTGACACGAAGGAATAAGCTGATCTTAAATTCAAATACAACAATGGCAGATGTACCAATTTGCAGTACAGGTTACTGAAATTCAGTTATTCTCCAGGTCCTTGGCACTAATGGCTTTTACTTATCTATTTCTAGGGTTAATATTATCCAAGTAACATTTTGCCGGTTATATTTTACCTAGAAAAATGGAGGCGCAGCAGTTAAAGGTAGCCTAAGAGATTATAAATACCTAATAATAACAAGAATAATAGCTGGTATTTATCAACTTTATACTCTTTTCTAAGTAAGCTGTAAACTTTTTTTTCCATGTGATTCTCAGCATGCACTTTTGACCATAACTATTACTCACATTTTGAACAGGAATAATATTAAGTAATAGTACTATTAGGTAATGGAAATGGAAAATCCAGACTTCAAACCCATGTTCTGTAGGGCTCCAAAGACTGTGTTCCTAATAGTTATCCTATATTTAATCTGAAAACTACTTTTAAAGCACTTATGAAATCACAAGGGAGTTTGCAGATGAACCTAAAATCAGCATGGCCTTCCATGCCCCGGGTCAATATCTATTTGGTAGAAGGAGGATTGTATTTTTTTATTCATAACATTAGGTTGATCAAAATGACGCTTTATTCTGTGATCAAGGTGACTTGGTAGAGGTAAAATGAGATAAATATCAAAGTGAGATACACTTTTAAATGGCCAAAAGTAATTTTTCTTTGCCAGTCATCAATGGCTCACAATCACCATGTAACTTGTTAGTAAAACCTACAAATAATTAGAATTCTTATAGGTCTTTTGAATGAGTCTTCTCGTAACAGTGTACACTGAAAAACTGCACTAGAAGAAAACGTTACAATAGCCGAAGAAACCTCTAAGAATTCTTATGCCAACTGGGAAACGGAGGTGGGCTGTGGCTGTGTGCCCCAGGAGGACAGCAAGAGGCTGCCTCAGGGGGACAGGTGAAGGTGGAGGTGGTGCCGGCAGCAAGAGGCTGGAAGCACCAGCTTCAGAAGAAAAAGTGAAATGATTTCTTAACCAAACCATGGGGAAGTTGAAAACGTTTGTCAAAATGCCATAGACATTGACGTTTGTGTAATATGACATGATACGTAATATGACATGACATTTATTATGTAAACTAAGCTGTAGTATAGGAATGAGCCATGTATCCTCTGATTCCTGGGCTTAATAACCTTTCTCAGGTACTAGAGGAAGCAGGATAGGCTTATACCTGCAGTTCAAAAAATAACATTCCATTATGAGGACAGCTTGCTTTCCGCACATTTCTGGGATTCTAAAGTCTAGAGTTGCCTGTTTTTCTTTAAGGAGTGCCCTATGTAATGCCAGAAAGTGGCTCATGTTTTCATTGGCCAAATTGGGGTCCCCATTCCCACCGCTCCCTCACACGTTGCCTTTCCACCGTTATTCCAGTTAAAATGGGTTCTGAATAGGGAATCGCATCCTGCAGCCATAAAGTCTTAAGAAACAACGTCTCCTCTCTCGCAGACGGTGGGGCGTCCAGTATTGGAGTCTCTTCAGATCTAGCCATCCTCTTTGCAACCACTTTCCTCAGCATTGCCCGATGGGAACATATCCATTTTTATTCTGGCTCCTTAAATTCTATTTCCGCTATATTTCCTTTGCAGATTTTTTTTTAACTCAAAAAAAAAAAAAAAAAAAAGAAAAGAAAAAGAAACTAGTAAGAGATCACAGCATTTTTTTTTAAGTATCAGGTAGTAGTTAGTTATGAAGAAAAGTGATCGAGCATCATTTGCAAAGCCGCCGGCAGAATCCCAGACCTTATACACTGAGCTATGACGACCTCTCCGGCCAGGCTCCACGGTGGCATCCGTTATGAGCTACCTCCTGGGCTTTGAGTGTGCAATGAATATTCCTCATTTGAGTATTAAATATTTTCTAAAATTTTAGCTCTAGGGGTAAGATACATCAGAAAACAAGTGGGGGAAACCATGTGAGCTGAATCGAAATCCGAAGGACGGAGGAGAAATATTTTATTGCTACTTAAGAGATTAAGGATGAGAAGCAGATGTTACATAACTAAAGTCTTTATCTTCTCTGTGTAGATGTGTTTACAATAAAAGAGGCAAAGCATACAGCACATTTGCTAAAAATATTTCAGAATAAACTGGTAAAAGTTCGCATGGGAAGTAAACAAAAATTCTTCTAGAATCTTGAAAATGATTACTTGAAAAGTGAAATAGCACGTTAGTAAACACCTGAAAACTGTGTTATGTGAAGAACGGAGAATACCTGAGAATATACTGCGGCTAAGAGCAAACGAGGGGTGAGGTTCTTACAGTTATCTCGTGTCTGAGAAACGGCCAGGTGCCAATGACGATGGATTTAAACAATAAATTGTGGAATCACAAAACAAAGACAAGAGAAAAAACAAACAGGTAGCTACCAGCGTGATATAAAGACGAGCTTTCCTGCCAGAAGAGATGCATAGAAATACAATGAGCTATCTTCAAATGTGCCGAGTTCTCTAGAGCTAGAAAAATTCCAATAGACTTTCAATACCTCTTGTCAAAACACGATGAGGAAGATTCCTATGTTAGGAAGGTGAGAGAAGGCCATGGCTCCAAGACACTTCCCAACGTCTTTCTAGAAGTTTTTGCAGGAAGGGGTTGAAAAGGATGTTTTGTGGTGGCACCGGGCTAGAAGAACAAATTGACTAAATCTTAAAAGTAATAAAGAACTTCAAACAAAAGCACATCATGAAAAATGAGTATATTTGTCTTATTTCATAAGAACTATGGAGTACAAAGAAGTCTAGAAATCTTTTTTATAATGGCTTGGCCTTCTCCTATAGAGAGAAATATTAGGTAAATTGCTTTTCTATGTGTCACTGCAGAGTATAAATAATTATATGAAACGAAAGAATAACTGTGGGAAGGAATAAAAATGTGTGCGAGGTCTCTGGTGACAGAGTAATGGCTCGCCGACATCCACCCACTCTTCCCCTTGATGGCCAGTGCCTCCATCTACCCAAGAAGCAGCTTGATTTGTCAGGAAATTATGCTCTGAAAGGGTATTTCAAATGGCCCACCGCCCCCACGCTCCTCCACTGTGTCCTCTGGAAATGACTTATTGACTGTCACAATCTTTGCTGGACAGCTGCCCACCATACAGTGTTCTCAAGGTGCTGTCTGCAAGAGGAGCAGACTACACTAGAAAAATGGTCCAAATGACAGCATCATTTTTACTTAATACTTGAATCGATTTTTCTCTTTTTCCCCTGAAGCATTTTCTCTCTTGCTATCTTTCCTCATAAAGCCCTTGAGACTTGTTTGGGAAATGTTTTACAAATAAGGAAACGTATACAGGGAAATTAGGCATCAAATAAGTGGAATTCAACTCTCTCCACAGCCCAGTCCATAGTTTTTTTCAGTGGGAACTCTTGTAACAGGAACTCTTCTGAGAGGACAGAAAGTGAAGGGAGCATTGGATACGTCGGGGTCTCTGGAGTCACTAAGGTGAGACATTCCAGGGTGGAAAGCCTTAGAGACCACCTAGCTGAGCCTCTGTTAACGTCGGAAGTGGGGTCTAGAAAGATGCAGATGACAGCTGAGCAAGGTAGGGCCCCTGGGCGGCTGTTGAAATTACACTCCATGTTATTCGGAAGGTATCACTTGAGTATTATTCATTCCGAACATATCCTTTTTCTTTTTTTCTTTTTTGCAAGTCACTTCATTTTGAAACTCACTTGCAGTTCTGCAGAGTGGGCTGTATGAGCCCCCACCCTCTACCTCCAGACCTACGTCCACATCTACCCTGTGTTTGGATTCTCAGCTGAGAATCCCTTGGTCACACAGGCCTGTTTGAAGAGGTGATCAGGGAGAGCAAAGGCTGAAGAGACCAAGGAGAACCCAAGAGAGCTCATCTAGCAAACTCATTTTCACACTCTTAATGAAGATTTTTTTTTTTTAAAGCTTTGGTTATAACGGCACAGCCTCCGGAGACAGACCGAGGGGGAGTACTTTGCTTCCTGATTACGGGGAGTGATGTGAAGCCACGAACTCTAGAAAGAAATGCGTTACATGCAAATCTGGACAATCCTGAAGTAGCCCATGCATTTGTGAATAGAAATACTACACGGGACCAGGATCACCATGGTTAACAATGGTGCCATATAGACAGCTGGCAGGTGTGCTTGTGTGGTGTCCTCATGTCCTCTCTTGGTTCTGGGCATTCCATTTGAAGATAGCTAATCTGTGCAGAACCTTTCAAAAAATGCCCTATGATTAATATTTTTCCAGCAGAAGGTCAGCTTCTCATTACTTTTTAAATATATATTACCCCCATCTCCAAAATCCATCTCTCTATTTTAGAGCAAGGTAGAAGATTGCTAATGTAAATATATGTTAGCCTGCTGAAAAAATATCATGTTGGCTATATATTTTATCACAAAGAAAAATGTCAGATATTAAAAATGGTTGTCAGCTTCAAATCAAGAGGCTAAGCAGCTGCTCTCCCTTTTCCCCCACTTATTAGTAAGGACTAACTTTCCTTTCACATTTGTAGCATTTGTTGATACATTTTATTAGATCCATTTCTGCCAGCTCTAACCCCGCTAGCGGCCTGAGTTTTGGGTATGTGTGGGTGAAATAATTGGTTATGTAAGCATTAGTCTGCGACAGCAACCGCCTCAGGCTAATGCACTTTGACGCATAACGCATGTTGCTACAGTTTTAAGTGAGGGTGAAACTCAAAATAAATTTTCACGTTCCTATGTCTGAATGTCTGCTTTCTGCTATGTCTGTGTCAGTGTCTGGTGAAAGCACATTGCACCTAGAAATTGGAAATCGTGATATATTCTGAAAGGGAAACAAGAAAGGCCCCACTGCTTGAGGCTGAGCTGAGTCTGTGAAGTAAGCTTAAGGATGGGCGGTAAGCAGCGCTCTGAGCTTCTTGATCCCTTGTGGGGGGTCTTATGACATCAGCACCCCTTGCCTTCTAGGGCTTTGTCTTGGCTCCATTTCCTGAAGTAAAACGCAAATGTCTTCCTGTTTTCTGGTGGTGACCCACTTTTTGAATCCTGTCATCACACTTGGTCTATTCCCTTGCATTTCAGGGCCTCCTGAGCTTGTTGGCTCTGTCCCACATTTCCCAGTCCACCCAAACCATTCTCAACACCAAAATGAGGCTCCTGCAGTGCCCATCCACGCCAGCATCCCAGACTCCATTTATACAGGAGAGGGAATCAGTCTGAACATCACAGGGCCAACGCAAGCCCAGTTGGCCAATCAGGGTATGGCACCACGGAGCTGCCCAGACATATGATTGTACAGAAGGTGAAAAGCAGATCAACTCGGCTGTGCTTTCGCAAATAGAGAATGTGCCCATCCAGAGATAATCTGCACAGGGCTTAGGAAAAAAGGGAAACCTAAGAAGCATTTGTCAATATGTCTCCAGCGTTATGCAAAGGAAAACGTGTCCTAACTATGACACAGAGGCAACTTAGTTTTCTCTTTTTCTCTCTTCCTCATTAATAAACGTCTCATGTAACAGTCAATATCTTCCTTGTTTTATCTTTCACTTCATCTCACTATGATTTGGCCTCAGCTCGAACCACTCCACTGAGATTGTTCTTTCCAAGCTCCTTGGCCCCTCTGCTGACAAATCCAGCTGGAAAATCAGTTGTTGTCTTATTTGACCTCTTGCCAGCCCTGATCATGGTTGATTGAACAGCTTCCGGAAATGCCACTGGGACTTGTTTTATCCTGGTGTCCCTCTTAGTCCTCTGCCCCTCCTTCTCCATCTTCATTTGTTTGCTGTTGCTGTTGTTTGTTTGTTTTCCCTGCCATTCCCCAAAATGTTAGTATCCCTCCGGCTTCTGTTCCAAGCTTGTTTCTACACATTCTTTCTGGGCAACCGTCCATCCTCGTGATTCAATTGTAGTCTTTAAAATAGTGAAGCCTAAATCTTCATTACCAATGCTGATCTCTCTCTCTCTTTCTCTGTCTCTCTCTTTCTCTCCCTCTCTCACTCTGTTTCAATACCTCAAGCACTACAAACTCTAAAGTGGAATTCGGCCTCTTCTTTTCGGAGGGAAGCAGGTGAGAAACCTGGGGGTCATCCGGGTGCCTCTTCCACGCTCCACAGCTCTTCAATCACCACGCCCTGTGAGCCTGCTTCCTCAATAGCTCTATGTCTGCCCAAATCTCTTGATTTCTACTGACACCAGTGCTGCTCGCGCCATCAGCATCTCTCACTTGGATTTCTGCCTTGGATATACCCCGTGGAGCCTACCCTTGTGCCTTCAGTTGTGAACTCCTGCTTCATGCTGCAGTTAGAGCAATCTATAGAAAATTAATTTGATTATTCCAGATTATTCCACTACTTCATTTTTAATAATTCAGCACCCCACCCCATCCCACAGCAACACCCAGGAGAATGTTCAAAGCTCCTAACCGATTCACAGCTCTGCGACCTTGCCCTGCTGAGCAGTCGAGACTCATCTCTGCCCACTCCCACCCGGCACTCTGCTCTCTGGCCACAGGAGTGACAAGCAGGTCACTCGATGTGCAGCGTGCCCTCGGTGGCTCTGCACCAGGCTCTTCCTTCCACCTCCCTCACGAATCCCTCAGCCTATTAATTCCTGTCCATCCTGTGTGACCTCACTTGGAAGCCTTTCCTGCATTCCCTCTAGACCCTGCAATGAGCTCTTCTTCGGCAGTTCAGTACATGTGATGCTGTCTTCTCGTCTGCCTCCTTCCCAGACCCTATGCTCTTGGAATGAAGGCCAAGCTTTGTGCCTTCTTGTATCCCCAGTGCCCTGGATGTATCTGGCAGAAATTTACCGTCAGTGGAATGCCCACTGGAAACTAGTAACATGGCCTTTGGGCTTGCATAATGATGCCCCGCGATTGGTTAGCGTGAGAGCCAGTCCACCTGGCCCTGAGATCCTGCCCAGAGCAGAGACTCAAACCAGGAACCCTGATGAGCCCCCAACATATTAAATCCTAAGAATCCCTTTTCATATGACCAACCCAGTGGCCGTTATTGAAGGCCGAAAACAAAAACAAACAAAACAAACAAACAAACAAAAACTAAAGAAATAAATTTTTAAAAGTCCACTTCATGAAGTGAACCTCTCCTTCCAAAAAGACCCCATGGTTCAGGTCCTAAAGCACAATATGGGATTGGGTTGCAAGCTGAGAAAGATTGTCACACAAAGATGGGGAATGGTGTGGTTTATTGTTCTGAGCTCATGGAAGGCCACAGAGCTTCAGAGGGCAAAGTATATTTTATAGCTGTTATTTAAACGGACACACTACTTTGGCTGGGATTGTGGCAAAAAGTGTTGAGCAGAGAGGTTATACTAATTCATACCTTTCCAGAACAGTTCTATTATATATCCAGAAATGAATATTAACGATGATAATAACCAGTGAATTAACTTCACAGTAAATAAGGAAGCGTTTCCTTTGGTGTGAAGGAAGATCTCTTTTAACAAGCTGCCTTCACCGGATTATCATGTTAGTGACGAAGATGGTGGGAGCTCTGCTGTGGGCATCAAAAAAGAAGAAAGTCACTCCATAAGACTACTTCTGAGTGTTGGCCGTGGATGGATATAACTCAATAGCCTTATCTAGAGTCGGAATGGGCCCGTAGTAAATGAAAGCACCTTTTGTGGACTCTCAGCCAACAAGCAATGCCTTAGAAGTGCAGAGTATTACATGTCCTCTAAACATACCACTTATTTAACCTGGCCTGTATGGACTGTCACAAAAGTGCCAGTGATCCTATTAAAATTTATATCTCTAAAAAGGCAGCAAGTGAACACTTCAATATAAATTCAATTTTGGGCTCCACATCTTGAGTGAGTTGAGAATGTTGAAAAGGGTTTAAAAAGTGGGAAATCAGTCTTCTAAAGAAAGGGAAATGGAATTGAGTCTTAAATAAGAAATCTGAAACTAATCTAAGGATATAAAGGGATAATATATTCACCAAGGATAGGAGAAGAGAGAATGTGTTAGGCTTTCCTTCTTTTCCAGAACTCATATAAGATTTCATGGAGCACTTGATGATTAATAAATGAATGTTATCTTCCATAATCTACAATCTATTTAGAAAATACCAATAATACCAACGCACTGAGTAGAGCTATAATAAGTAATCAGTAAATTCACTATAAAATGCAGATGTATTCGTTTCTTCATAAAACCAAAGAGAAAGGAACTTACTGTAACAGCCTCACTTAGTAGAAATGGGCAAAAAAAAGAGTCTGAAGAAAGTTAATGCATAACTTTGTCATATAATCCAAAGTAAAGGATGGAAAATGTGACATAATAAACTATAGTTAGTTATCTAAGAATCTGATACTTTTACATAGCTGTGCACATTATAGAACTAGAATATATAATGCTTTTGGTATGTATCTAAAAGTTTTACTTCTTGGCCATATTGTCAGGTCACTTGTGTACCAAGAGTGCATGATTGCCACCCTACTTTACCAATGTCACAGTCACAAAAATTATAATTGAAACAAGAATAATCTGCTTTTGCTCAAAGAAAATCTGCTGTTCCTCAGTGGAGCAGGCTCTTTGCATTCTTTGTTTTTCCCACAGATGCCAGCATTTCTGATTTTGTCATTGCATTTGCTCCTCAAGAAACAGCAGCTAACACCACACTATCTTTGTTGTTTTCTGCATTATCTTAATGTGTCCTGCTAGTGAGAAGCTGGGAAAGGTATGAATGCAAACCCCTTTTGTAAATTAAGAGCCAACCGGCACCCTGGGAATGGAGTAGAATTGTGTCACGTGGTTCTTTAAACATGTTGCCTATTTAAACCTGGTCTGCATTACTGTCAGAAAAATGCCAGTGATTCTATTAGAATTTACATATTTAAAAAGTCAGAGTGAACACTTCAGTATTCTAATTGAAATACAGACTTGTAGCCTGTTACCATGAAACAGAGGACTGGCTGCCTAGGTACCATCCAATCTGTCTGTTAATCCCACATTTTTCACTGAGAGCCAACTTTGGAGTCTGACAGTAGATAGGTGCCTTGGGGAGCAGAGGTGTAGGGCAGGTTAAAAATTTCATCATAAGACATTTTCCCTGGCATCAGAAATAGTGCTGTAAAATTTGAGGAGCCAGGGTAAGATGAATCCCACTGTGAATGCTCCCGTCAGTGCACCTCCGTGTGGAGGGAGCAGAAGTCAATGGGGGCTGAGGGTTTCTGGAGAAGAGAAGAGGACGGCATGTGAGGGAGTGAGATGGGCATGTCAGAGAGAGGAGTGGGGTGGAGGTTAGTGTGCTTCTGATATGAGAAAGAGAGGGAGGAAGGGCAGAGCATGGGAGGAAGACAGCAAGGGAAGGAAGGAGATAATGAAATGTATATAATATAAACACCATAGAATACTAGTCAGCCATAAAAAAAAGAACAAAATTTCTTTTGCAGCAAGTTTGCATTGAAGTAACTCAGGAATGAAAAACCAAATACTGCATATTCTCATTTATAAGTGGGAGCTAACCTATGGGGTATGCAAAGGTACACAGGGTGATACAACAGACAGTGGAGACTCAGAATGGGGGAGTTTGTGAAGGGGGTGAGAGATAGAAAACTACCTGTAGGGTACAATGTACACTACTCAGGTGACCGGTGCACTAAAATCACAGACTTCACCATTATACAACTCATCCATGTGACCAAAAACCACTTGCACCACTAAAGCTATTGAAATTTAAAAAATTCAAGGCCAGGCATGGTGGCTCATGCCTGTAAGCCTAGTACTTTGGGAGGCCGAGGTGGGTGGAGCACCTGAGCTCAGGAGTTCAAGACCAGCCTGGCCAACCTGGCAAAACTCTGTCTCTACTAAAAAATTACAAAAATTAGCTGGGCGTGGCGGTGCATGCCTGTAATTCCAGCTACTTGGGAGGCTGAGGCAGGAGAATCACTTGAACTCAGGAGTCAGAAACTGCAGGGAGCCAAGACTGCACCATTGCACTCCAGCCTGGGTGACAGAGTGAGACTCTGTCTCAAAAAATAAAAAGTAAAAAAATAAAAAAGAACTATTTACTATCAGTTATTTTGCCAGGTGTTTTCAATGCACGGTATCTGTGATGTGAGTGATATTATTCTAATTTATGAATATGAAAACCGAGACTCAGAGAATGTAAGCAATATGGACAAAGTCCCACAGCAAAATGTAACAGAGACAGGGTGGGCTTTTAGGTCATTTTACCCTACACCCCGCCACCCCACATCAAACTGTGTTTTATTCTATACCAGTTATGCAGAGGTAAATATTAACTCATGATACTGTAAGTGTAGAGTTGTTTGTGGCTTGCAAGAAATATCTTTTCTGGGGTTAAGCTTTGGGGATTCAAACATGTTCTATGCTGCTCTCCATAGCTCAAAGAAAATGCGGCTGTTTTCAAAGAAGCTCAAAGAAGGCACTTCGGCAACTGTTATGTGCGTTTTGCTTTAGAGTGAAAGATTTTAAAGATGGCAAAGGCTCACAATGTTTGTGATCTTATTAACACAAGCTTGAAACCCTGCAAATTGGTGACATGAGTAACACTAATCTTAATTAGGAAGGAGCCAGAATTATATCTGGAAAAAACAATCGCCTATCACTAGAAGTAACCGCCGCCTCCAATTAAGAAGCTTATTTTTCTGGTCCCGGTCTTAAGACCTTCTTTCTCTCTGTGGCTTACTATTCCCCATAGAAACAACTATTTAACTATTAAATTATACAGAAGTGACACTAACTTGTATATGTTTTAATTGTACTTGCTAAACATTTTTAGTAGTTATTCCACCCATTTAAGATTTTTAGCATATTTCCCTTACATAAATATTCATTTATATACACATGAACTGTTATATAATGTGTACATTATACAACACACACAGAGCACAAGTGATTGCAAAGGTTAGGATAAAATTATAACTGCAAGTAGAATTTATTATTTTCTTGTCATACTTTAACAGATTATCTTGTGCATGTCCTGTGTGTGTTCGCCCCGCTTAGGAGAAGCCCGACTGAAGTTAAACAGCGATTGTCAACTTCTTTAGCACTGAAATAAATTATGTAAATTGTCAAATTGTGTGGCACAGACATTTAAAACTGAGCACTTGCTTGAATTATGTAAGCAAATTTTAATGAACTTTATATAACTGACTAGGCAAGACCCGAATATTAACATAAGGGCAAGAACCTGGTCTGTCTTTAGGCAGCAGTGAACTCTCCGCAGGAGGGGCCTAGCCTCTGGCATGACTCAGCCATTAGTGCCTGAATGAATGAATGAATGAATGAAAGAATGCCTCTAAACACAAGCTCAGGGTGAATCCAAATGGCCTTGGTCTTAGCAACACATTCCTGTTCTATTTAGTGGGATTTGTTTACTTGATCAAGGTTTTGCCATTATTATTATCAGTTTAATCTACAGACTAAACTAATGGCATCCATTTTCTCCGATACATTTTTTTAAGGCAAGCAATAGAAATTGGGCTAATAAGTACAATTTTGTATAAGCTGTAATGATGCTGAATTTTATTAGCAGTGACAGTAGTGAAAGCTACTATTTCTTTGTTCTGGTTGGCATAGCATCAGTTTCTAGAGCCAAAGAAAGATTTAGATATGTAAATGCTCATACTAAATTTATTGGCATCTTGTGAAAGTGTTGTTACATATAAATATTTATAGTTGTTAAATATATATGTATACATACACACACATATATATAAGAAAGTCAGAGCATCTGTTGAATTCAATCAAAACAGTGTTAATAACTCATTTTTTTTTGCAGTCATAAATGTTCCACCAACTTTTGTGGACAGCAGAAAAAGGAAACATTTTTCTTCCTAACTTTTGCCATGTTTCTGTATTTCCTCAGTAAATACTGAGATTCAGCAGAATGTATTATTTTGACATTTTAGATCATGTTATTGTCTAAAAGCTGAGAAAACATATGTCTTTAAATGGGAAGATTCAGAACATAAAAATAGATTTCACTCATGAACAATGGTTCCATAATTCAAATGAAGATACACAGTTAAGTTGAAAGGCAAGACTTTAGAATTCCTCCCTAAAACATTTTCAAGGACAGTTTCTCGTTGGGTGCTCCCTGTGTTCCATTGACTTGCTGCGGTCTAACCCCTGTGAAGTTAGTATAATACAGTGCATTTTCTGTTCTCTAAGTGTGTTGTGTGTATCTTAGAGAAAAATGAGCATCCTCCTACTTATAGAGTTAAGAATATAAGTACACACTCTGCAAGTCTTTGAACCCATCCCTGCAAATGTGCTTAGGGCACAAAACTCTAGGAAAGAAGACTTTTCTCTGCTACTTTGGCAGAAACAGAGGGCCTATCTTAGCCCATGTCTTCTTTATCCTGAGCTAAACATACCATCAGAAATATGTTTTTAGTATACAATAATGGATTATGAATAATCATAACATTATTGTTTAATTGATTAATTAATTAATTATTGATTATCAGTTGATTATTGATTAATGAATAATATTATTCATTATTATTGAAAACTATAATCAATGGAATTAACAATCCTTAATAATAAAATTGGTGGTAACATTGGAAGGTGCAGCTTTGGAGCAGACAGTTGATCATTATATATTTGGAATTAAATGGCAGCACCCAGTTTTATGCTCAGAGTAAAGCCTGGCAAAAAATGTAGAATAATACTGAAATATGCAAAAATCAAATTAATAAAGCACATATATCATGATGCAAAACATGTAATAAAATCTGGTCATTTAATTTTAATAATTTTCTGTCTTGAGAATGCATGTTTACATTCATCAATAAGATATGTCATTGTATATACAAATGATACCTCCATTTTTGAATTATGTATATAATATAAATATAATACAAATTATATATAATATAAATATAATACAAATTACATATATTTATATTTTCAGCCCCAAATTGGCAATTGGTAAAAAAGGTAAAAAATTGGTTAACTGGTTAAAAAAGCTAATAAATTTTATGTCCGTAGCAATGTCTTAAAATTTAAAACTAACCATTTACTTTCCTAGCATGTGTTTTGCCGTGCTGACTGCCATGGATCCTGAAATAAGCACCTTAACAAATTATTTTCATTCAATTGCAAATATATCAAGGCTCAAAGATAATTTTAAATCAATAACAATGATAAAGATTTATGGCTTAGTACTGATTGTGATACAAATTGCACTTTTTAATACACAAATCTCACACTGAACTTTGGTTTAAAAATTAGAAAAGAAATTAGTTATTAGATTATTCTTAGGTAAATGAGAGTCTCCACAGCTAATAATTTGATATTTTTAATGATTCCTCACTGAAAAACAACAATAACAACAGAAAGAACAAATGGAAATAAAACAAAGCAAGCACATCAATTTCATACCTAAGTGGGAATATTCAGGTAACATTTATTTTTATTTTATTTTATTTTATTTTGTTTTGTTTTTTGAGATGGAGTCTCACTCTTGTCACCCAGGCTGGAGTGCAGTGGCACAATCTCGGCTCACTGCAACCTCCGCCTCCAGGGCTCAAGTGATTCTCCTGCCTCAGCCTCCCAAGTAGCTGGGATTACAGGCACGCACCACCACACCTGGCTAATTTTTGTATTTTAAGCAGAGACGGGGTTTCACCATGTTGGCCAGGCTGGTCTTGGACTCCTGACCTCAGGTGATCCACCCGCCTCGGCCTCCCAAAGTACTAGGATTACAGGAGTGAGCTACTTACTGTGCCTGGCCTTATTTTTTATTTTTTGTTTTTGTTATTGTTTTTATTCTCACTGTAGCCTCAGCCTCCCTGGCTCAAGATCTTTCTGCCTCAGCCTCCTGAGTAACTGGGACAACAGGTGCATGCCACCATGCCTAGCTAATTTTTAAATTTTTAATAGAGATAGGATCTCACTGTGTTGCCCAGGGTGGTCTTGAATTCCTGGCCTCAGGTAATCCTCCTGCATCAGCTTCCCAAAGTACTGGCATTACAGGCGTGAACCACAGAACCTGGCCTCAGGTGACATTTAAACTTAAATTTCAACCAACGAAATGGTGGGGGATGGGGATGGGGATGGGGTGGGACCCAGACAATCAACAGTGTGTATGGAATAGATCTTTAAATGCTCACTCTGAAAGCTCAAATAACAAAGTAAACTTAGCAATCAACCTGCTCTTTCCATAGAGATACTGAACACACAAACCAAAGGAGCATCACATCCCCTGAATTCTGATTGCCATACTCTCGCCATATGCACACACACGCACGCACACACACACGCATGCGCACAGACGCACTTTCCATACATTAGGTCAGATGTCGTTAGCTTATCAAGGAATGAAACACCTTCTGCTTGTTTCCCTTACATTGGAACTGGACCTGAGCTATTCCTTACACATTAAAACAAACAAACAAAAACTTTCTACTTGCCACACACGTGGACGTTTCTAACTTTTTTTTAGAACTATGGCTTCAATAGTCTTTACAGAATTTAGTCCCCTGCATAAAGGTCGTTTTCTTAAGAGTCAGTGAGCTGGAAGGAAAACTATTGACCTTGGTATGTTCCTGGGGTTTAAACACACACCACTACCTAAACAGCAGAGCCTCCAGAGAGCAGGCTGCATTGGATGAAGACCTTGGATAAGGCAGACAGAAAGGGAAGCCAATTGTATGTTATGGAAGGAGGCGGTCAGAAAACCCCGGCAAAAATACGGTTTTATTTTATTCCTTAGAATTTAAGATACTCACTATTATTTAAAATCAGGTCAAGCCAGAAAATATCTTTTACATTTTTCAGCGTAAGCACAAAATAACGTTAACTATACATTTATTAGAATGTGTAAATGCTTAGATGGAAATTGTTTCTTTTACAATGAAAAATTATCCAATAATCTGTTTCTTTCACATGGTATAAATGCAAAAGTTCATTTGAAACAGATTCTTATTCACTGTGGAACAAAATGAGTACATGACAAAACATAAAATCCTGTTGCTCGAATTTCATAGACTATAATGTAAAACATACTTAGCATCGGGTTTCTGACTTTTTATAACCACTATCAACGCACAGCAATATAAATGATCATAGTGAATTTGAAACGGTGATTTCAAATCTCACCAATGCAACATATTTACAAAAGCAGAAGATAACTACTGATGCTGGCATAGCACTCACTGCATGCCAGCAACTAGATAAAGGTCTTACATGTAGTAACTCATTTAATTCTTACACAAACCTCTGAGGTAGACAGTAATATTTTTCCTCTATTCCATGGGTTTGAAAATACGAGGCCCAGAAAGTTTAAGTCCCTGACTGAAGTGAAGCCAGAGTTCATCTCCCAGAACTGATGCGCCCAGACATTGGGCCACATGACTTCTATAATGACTGCTAGATATTTGTATTAACAAAAGTATGCACTTCATTTGTTGCTATACATATTGTATCCAGACATTCTTGCACTATCTTATTTCAAGAGATTTCTTTTGACAAAACAGAAGAAAAGTATAGACTGAGCAATTCGGCACACCATCAGAATAGCACAGAAAATTCTTCTGCAATCCTTAGCCTAATGCAAGCATTACCGAAGCTTCTAAAACCTGCCATTCTGTTTGTGCATCATGCACCATTTCATGATACCCGCATTTCGGCTGCCTTGATTTCTCTTTTGAAATGAAATAAAGTTAAGGCAGTTTTTTACCTATGAGATTCTTCCTTAGAATAACCCTCGATACTTCCAGAGAGCCCTCTGTGTCTAGCATTGAGTGTGCCTATATCTGCACTAGTAGTAACTTTGATTACTCCAAGCTGCCACAAATGTTTAAGACACAAAGTGTGCACAACTCCTTCTTTAAAAAATGTGTGGTAAACACCAGGTCTATAGAAGGGCTTTTAAAGCATCCAAACAGTGATTAAGAATGAACTTGAACTTTCTGATCAAATATTCTTGATAACTGCATAAGGTTAAAAGTTTAGCAAACTGCTTTTCTGAAATATCTTTGTCGCACAAGTCAAGATCGTGTAATACTGGTGATTTTTATGCCTTGATAGACAAGAAAGTACTTGTGGTTAAAGCAGTCAACATCCCTCCCCCATTCATGCCAGTTTTACATGGTGAGATTGACAATGAAGTGGAAAAGAACATACCTGAAGAGGTAAGAGTCCTTCAAGTGAGAAAGCCTTCAGCATTTATTATTTGTGATGTGCTGGAGAAGAGAATGTATTTGCACTTAGCTTATTTATTTGAGCTTCAGTTAGTAACCGAATCTCATAGGATTTTAGGAAGTATGAAGTAACTATATACATATCAGAAAAAGTAAAATATAATCAAGTCTAACAAGACTTTGCTAATAATAAAGTCGGCAAAGAGCAATATTTCAAAATATGAGCTCTTCATATGTAACATATAAGGAACCAATGAAATCGCTATTTAATTAACTTATTCATTCCACCAACACTTACTAAATATGTTATGTAAAGAGCATACACCAGATATATTGCAAGGAGTGGTGCCATTATTGATCATTTATATTCATTGGTTAATTTCGATTAACAATTGTATCAATGGAGGTTAATCTCAAAGAAGGTTAATGGCAGCTACCATCTCTTATAGGCTATTTGGAAAAATATACAATGAAAGGTAATGAAGCAGCATGGAATTATGACCCTAGTTCCTGTCATTCTACTGACATAGTCATCTTATTGCCAAATTGACAGTCTAATTCAGTGAAATCAGGCCATGAAACATCTTTTGAATAATGTTAGACAATCCTGCATATCAAAGAAGTAGAGGGTGGAAAGAACTCAGTTATAGGAAAGTAGTGAAATTGGAAAAACAAGCAAGAAAAGGTAATCCCATTATCAAAGAGAAAAGGCACCTAGAAGTTCAATGTAAACCTCTGCCTGCAGGGTCGGGAGGGGTGAATCAATGACATCAACCACTCACAATGCTCCGTTGTCACATGTATCTCAAACATATGCCAAGAAATAATTCAGTCCCTTTGCATTATTGATATTATTATTCGAAACAACATCAAACCCATAGATAAATCTAAGGGTGCCGGTAATTCTTTTTTTTGGAGACAGAGTCTCGCTCTGTTGCCTAGGGTGGAGTACAATGGCCCGATCTCTGCTCACTGCAACCTCCGCCTCCCGGGCTCAAGCGATTCTCCTGCCTCAGCCTCATGAGTAGCTGGGATTAACAGGCATGCGCCACCACACCCGGCTAATTTTTGTATTTTTAGTTAAGACGGGATTTCACCATGTTGGCCAGGCTGGTCTTGAACTCCTGATCTCAGGTAATCCACCCGCCTTGGCCTCCCAAAGTGCTGGGATTACAGGCATGAGCCACCACGCCCGCCTGGGTGCTGGTACCTCTTGATTGATGATGCTTCTGCTTGTCTGCATGAAAAACCCTCCATTTCAATCATTATGGTTCTCTTCGTAAAACCGATTATCCTCTGTGGTTTAAGCCAACCAGCTTCTTAGAAGCTATGTCGTCTGAATGTTTTATGGTATTTACTAATATTGTTGTGCTTATAGCTTCCAGCGTAATAATACTTGAACTAGCAGTATCTCAGATAAAATATAAACCACATTTTAGACACACACACTCAAATATTTTGAAGTAATAATACATTTAGGTGAGCATATTCATTTTGGATTTCATTTAAAAAATTTTAATGAGGAAATCTATTATGAGAAATACATGTTCATCTACAATCAATACCAATCATGATGATGGGACTACGTGGGGCTGGAGAAAGGCACTTTTGGGCAGGCATTCTCTCTCTGAGCATAAGGAAGTTTCATTATGTCAGTCTTGTGATAAAGAGAGTGTCAGGATCATTTCTCATGCTGGGGGACGTGCAACACCTGCAGCATAATTAGGTACTCAAAATCTGTTTGTATTTTAAAAGTGCTTTATATAACTGTTATTATGCATCAGGGGACGCCTTCGGCTCAGCTGCTAACCTTTCCATAGCTGAGTTCAAGAGAGCAGGGTAAGGAGTCCACAGGAGATTCAAAGTGGGTGAGGAATTTGGAGGAAGGCTGGTTTATCGAGAGAAAGCAGCACCCCACACCCATGAACATTTATATTTTTATCCCTGGTGTTAAATCAATTCCCCTCTCTCCACCCTGACTCAGGGAGCAGAGATCATTAAGAACACATTTAAGTGCTTAATTGGGTTTTGAAGGAGGTTTCTCCATTAACATTAATTAAAGTCTCCCTGGGCTCATGAAAGCTCATTTGCCAGGTAGGGGTTTCCCAGGTTCACTCCTCTTTCCATTGCTGCCTCAGCAGAACTATTTTTCTTGCCTGGATTCCATAGGAAGCTTCCAGTGCAAGAGGTAAGAAAAACAGGGTAAAGCGAAGGGACACCATTGCATTCTGCGATGGAAGATTGGGCCAAGTAGAGAGAAGTCCTGTTGCATATGATTTTACCCTTGAGGGGAAGGATAATTAGTATTTTGGTGAAATCACGGGTCAGCTACTGCCAGGTGACTATGGGAAAGGCACCCAGAGATGCCTCATGCAGATTCGGCCTCCTCTCTTTATGGATAGAAACACTTTTGAATGAAAATTAATATTATGTCATGAGTACATTAACTTTATTAAGTTGAGCCATATGAAATTTCTGATATGCAACCATTTTTGGTCCATAAAAATGGCAATTTCATATGGTTTAATCTAGTAAACTAGAAATTCTAGATTTTAAACAGGAAGAAAAAAATGTATTCTACTCATAAAAGGTAGGGCACCTTTATTTTTCTCTCCCTCATCTCTATACTCCCTTAAATTTCAAAAGTAACTCTATATCTATGCATAGGAGCTAAAAGCATAGAATAAGGTCAGCATTATCTGTGGTTGCATGTTGAAGTGAAAAAGCCTATATTGATTGTGAATATATTGACGTTGTATTTATCTCCATCCATCCTCATTATTATTATTATTATTTTTATTTTGCCTTTCAAGATGTAAGAAATAGAATTATGGGGGGAAAATTACAAACTTCAAGATAATAAATAAAGATAATAAAAATTTATTACTTGCCTAGTAGGTATTGTGAGAAATACAAAGAAGATGTGCCAAGAGAAAATAGAAGCACAGAAAGCACTAAAGAAAGAGGAAGAGAGAGAAGAGAAGATAGCTGGGCCAGGAAGAGATAACACGAACGACTGGGGACACTTTGATAAACATTGAAAAAAGCAGTGTTAAGCCAGGTTTAGTGGCTCATGGCTGTAATCCCAGCACGTTGGGAGGCCAAGGTGGGAGGGTCACTTGAGACCAGGAATTCAAGACCAGCTTGGGGAACATAGTGAGACCCCATCTCCACAAAGAATTCAAAAATTAGCCAGACATTGGGGTGTATGCCTATAATCCCAGCTACTCAGGAGGCTGAGGTGGGAGGATTGCTTGAGCCTGGGAGGTTGAGGTTGCAGTGAGCCCATGGTTGTGTCTCTGCACTCCAGCCTGAGCAACAGAGCAAGACCCGGCCAAAAAAAAAAAAAAAAAAAAAGGAAGAAAAGAAAAAACAAAAAGGCAGCTATAGCTGTGGTTCTAGATACAAGCGCTTATAATTTACCAAAGGAAAGTAAGTAGAATTTGCTTTGAAATGAAAAATTGGCAAATATAGGTTTTGTAAAAATATTTACCCCACTGGAGTAAAGATGGGAATAGAAGAAAGATGTTCATGTGAGACAAAAACTTTTAAATAAAAAACTTCGTATTTCCTCAGTTATTTGCATATTTTTGCCAGTTTTATCTCAAATATCTTTTACAATATTAATGATTTTAAACATTATATAGGTATAATTTATTGGACAGTGGAGCCTTCAGATCGTGGTTCTCTTCATGGTTTATAATACTGGTATATTTCCCCCAACCCGTGCTGTGAATAATTGTAACTATTTGAAGTTGCATTACCTTCAGACTAGGAAAAAAACGTCTTTACATGGAAGAGTTTCACACAACAAATCTATGTCCCATATTTTTCACCTCTCGAATTTCAGCATCTCTATGAACCAACTACATTTTGGTTTTACTAGCAGCTCTTCTTCAAGGTCTTCTGACTGTAATATACAAAAAAGCTATTTTTGAGCTACGCAAAAAATTATCTTTTTCCTTGATGGAGAACTATTAATTGTTTTGTGACTTGGAATATCAAAACTGATTTGCGCATTTGAAATTAGCAACCCTGGCAGGGCCACAGAATATGGCATGAAGTTAAAGGGGAAGGAGAACTGAAAATGCTAGTTGCCCTTTAGAAACCTTTTAAATCTTCTGCTGGTCGGACGACTGTAGATAGCTTCCCTAGGAGCAGGAAAGTTTTGATGTTTCATCTCATAAGAAAGTAGTCCAGCATTTTTAAGCACTTCTAATCTATTTCTTTTTATTTTCTAAAAATAGAGTTGAAAATGGCTGAGTGTCAAAGACATGGAATTACTATGAAAGTTAGGGCACTTCTAATAAGCAAGCCTTGATCAAGCACTTGCATCTATATTTAAACATTAACAAGGCAGGTCTGGGAAGAATGGAGAGACGATATGTACGTCAATCCTGCAAATGACAGCAATTTCCTCCTTTGCAGTCGCCATTACGTAAGCGCTCTGAAACAAAGCCAAGGTAATTAGGTAGGTAAGGGCATGCCCTGTTATTCCTACCCTGGATGCCTGGCATCTACATTAGAGGATGTACAAATGGGAAGTTCAAAATCAGGGGAACAATGGAGCGAACCGGTAAGACTATCTGATAAAGGGGAGTCTGTTCCAGGATGGAGAGGGTCGCGGTCACTAGAAATCATCTTGGAGGTTATAGAAAACACTAGAGATTTCCATTATGAGCGAACTGAGAAAAGATGATGCAGTATTAACAGATTCCTCCTATCTCTAAGATTCGATGTTGATTCTCCTTAACCAACTGACCTAGAAATCAATTAAATACATTATCCTAATCACAAATCATCTTAGCCAATCCTTTAAGAACTGTCACAAAGGAGCTCTTCTTCACAATAGCTACGAATCAGCCCAAGTTGCTAAATATGTACTTAGAATTTCCGATATCACATTATTTTAATAATATTTCTTGCTTCATCGGTGATCTAGGCTGAAATGATGAGGCACTTGCTTGGGCTGGATGCGGAAGACTCAGAAACAGGGAGCTAAAATTCCATGCTAAGAGATTCTGTGCACAGTTCCTGGACAATTAATAAAGCAAAAGATAAAAAGAGCCTGCAATTTTTTTCGAGCACTCACTCTTTTTCAGTGATTGTTCCAGAAGCTTCATATGTTGTGCTCCTACCACATTCCAGATAATTCCATGCAGTAGGCAGTGTTGCTTTCCCCATCTTTATGGATACACGAACTGAGACTCAGAGAAGCCAAAACACTTGCCTATGGTTACACAGGTAGTTAGTGTCAGTTGCTAGTTGCAAGATTGGATCCAAACGGACCACCTTCAGTCCCCATATTCTTTTCTGACCGGCTGTACTGCTTCTCTTTCTGGGAAGTGTTTTGGGTTGAAGGGGAAGCTTTTAATTCTATGCATTTAAGAACTGACATAAAACAACTAAAACAGTTAAGTTGAAAAGGGATCTGCTTTAATTATGTATTTTGAAAAAGTACAAACATAAACACAGAGATATCTCCCCAAGTCATAATTTGAACACTCATATCAGAAAAATTCCATATACCAGCAAGAAATTTGGAAATACAGGTACAGGAGAAGGTGAGACACATGATAACACAACCAAAGGACCATAGCAAGGCAGTTTTCTCAGTCATCGATCAGTAGTGGTATCATCTTTTTTCAGTGAGAAAAGATTACAAGTTAAAACAAGAAGCATTTGTACTCCACTGTGTATGAAAACATAAACTAGCCATTTAGTAGAATGTATGAAGGTATCACGTTCCATAGTGTGGACTCAATAATTCTTTATCCATCTTAATCTTCATAAAATCTTGACTTCAAGGACCTCTTTGGGTATTGAAATAAATATCTAAGTGGAAAACACCCCCAACAGGCAATTGCAGCCAAGATTTTGGGGGAAAAAGAGGAAAAAAATATATGTAAGTGATTTGCTTACAGAGTTGCAAAGGCTGATTTCTATCTGGCTCTGCTACATGTTACATAAGCAGATCCCAGGCAGGAAGAGCAGAGCAACAATCAATACTGTACTAGCTAAACTGAATTCAGTGCCTGAACAACTACATTTACCACACAATGCCACAGCGAGAGCGTGAGGGAGAGAGGAAAAGCTTAAAATACATACATACAGAGTGCTTTTTAGTTACATCACTGATCAAATAATAAAGTCAGCAGTTATAGATGATATGACATGATTATTACACCATGCAAGCTTATTCTATTACTACATTGTTTTTATGACATTGTTATTTGAATTATTACATTACTGTACAATTTATAGGAGAAACAGAACAGCAGTAGAACTGCAGAAGTATCTTGCTGAAAAACCTTGGATTTTCCAGTAGTTCATATTAACTGTGGTTTCCATATCCAGAGTTTCGAATGAGAAATTAAATACTAGGGCCAGTGTTATATTCTAAACTCCAGCACAATTAAATAGAGGTTTCTGTATGCTCTGTTTTTAAAGAGTGATGAATTGACATGCTCTTTCAAACGTTCTCTGTCTTTCCTTCCTATATTTTTAAATAAGGCAAATGTGCACCTTGTTGGAATCAAGTGGAAAGGGCAACTTTCCCCGGGGCTTAGGTGAGCCCCTCTTTCACCAGGGAGATGCTCGGTGACTTTGCCTGCTTTCCCCAGGCACAAGACAACAACCTGCACAGCAGATTCTGTGACAAACAGTGACCTGATTATCCTTTCATGAAGGGATACGTGTCCTTGAGGTGGCAGGATTTTGTGTTCTCTGCTTTAATGAGGATGCCATTTTTATAAACATCAAAGACAGGCGGGACAGCCAGCCCCGGCAGGGCTGCGAGGGTCCGCCCAGCACTGCCTGTCAGCCGGCCCTGAGCTCAGCAGTTACTGGGTCATGTGAAAAAGAAACAGAAGAACCTCCGAGATCATCTGCTCTCCCTCACCAAAGGTTATCTGGCTTTGCTAAGTCAGGGATGGCAAGTGACGTCCCCCAAGTCCTTGCTACTGTATCCAGCATAAGCTTAGAAAAAAAAACCAAAACAAACAAAACAAAAAACCAAGAGCATTTTCAGCTCTTCTCCTTTGCTTTAAGAATTTTAAATGCCTTCCAATATGGTTATACTTAAGAACTGGCCTATGACATCTCTATTTTTGGTAATGACAGTTTGACTGATTGACACACAGAATCCCTTCCTAACATTTCAGGCAGACTTGATGACATGAAAATCCTCATGTTCTGCTTTCTTGAATGCTAACGAGCCACAGTACAGCTCCCATGCCCCACCGCCTCTCCACCTCCTTCAGCTTAATGATTCTCATCTCAGATTCATCCCCATTTAGCCTTCCTTTGGATAGGAAAGCCTGAAAATATCCATCATGCCCACGTTTTAGCTTTTACATTCTTTTTCTGTATAATTCTGCTTTTAATTACTTCATTGACAAATGCACCACAACACCATTCATCGTTGTATAACTTATTAGAAATCTTAGTAGAAATCCATAAAACAAGTAATATTTATGATCAGAATGCACTGTCTTCCTATTATTCAAGTTATCCCAGAAAGGAAATAGTTAATTATTATGTATGTGCTAATAATTGCCTCTATTGAAAATTTCTGCTGCCCAAACAGCAACATAAAAATAATCCAGGTTTGTCAACACCTACTTTTCTTTTTTTTTAAAAAAAGCCATTGCATCCAAATGCAATGTACAGTTATCCCTTGATATACACAGGGGATCAGTTTCAGGACACTGAAAGGATACCAAAATCCATGAATACTCAATTCCTGTCCATGAAATTGGGGTAGTATTCACATATAACCCATGCACATCCTCCCATATACTTTAAATCACCTCTGAATTACTCATAATACTAAAAACAAAGTAAGTTCTATGCAAATAGTTTACTGTGTTGTTTAAAGAATAATGACAAGAGAAAAGTCCGTACATGTTCAGTATGAATGCAGTCATCCATTTTTAAAAATACTTTCAATCTGTAGTCCATTGAATCCACAGATTTGGAACCCATCGATACAGAGGGCTGTCTGTCATTTGTTTGCCTGTGTGATTCAAAGAAACACCATTTTCAGGAACACTTTCCATCAAGCATTTTCTAAAGAGTTATGACAGAATTACACGAAATCACAAATGGTGGTGATTGATATGATTCCAGTCATTCCATTAGTGTTTAGTGTGGGTTTACTAGATGAAAGGCATTGTGTTTCTACTATCATCTCCCATGTTTTGGGGACATGTTAAGGCATTTTCTTCACTTGTAAACACTATTGTAGAACGTGAAGTCATTTTACAGAGGAAAGAATACTCCAAAAGAATAGCACAAATGTCATAGATGAGTTCAGTCCCTCACTGTCTCCTAATAGTGCCTAGGAGCAATCTGCAGCAGGAATGCACCCACTTCTGACTTCTGTCCCTGCTTGAGATAGTAGGAAAGGCTGGCGTAGGCAGACTGCGGTCCCTATGGCCTGCTATTGTTGGTTGCTCTCTAGCTTGTGCTGGAGCTTGTAGGTCACAACATTCTGTCTCAGACATGCTGTCTGCAAAAAGGACACAGAGGATGCTTACTGGATGGGGATAAAGGACCAGCAAAGTACCAAAATTTCTCAGGCTTTCAAAGCAGGGAGCCTCAATCTCCCCTATAGAGGAGTAACTTTCAAATGTTCCAGAGTAGCTGCATTTGGCTGGAAAGTCACTCTCTTCGGACACTGTGCAAGGCTCCTTTTGGGATAAAAAATAGGAGCATGGTTTCTTTCCCTGGCACAGTCCAGAGACAGCAGATCTCTAGACTCCCAAATCAGAAGAGTCCCCAGAGCGCATAATAATTCCAATTTGAAAACTAGAAAACAAATGTAAAGAGATGTGTTTCTTAATGCTAGACATCAAATTAGTATCAAATCCATGGAATAGAAACTGTGAATCTCATCTCCCTGTTTGGTAGCTTAATTATGGCACTATCTATCTATCCATCTGTCTGTCTATCTATCTATCTATCTATCTATCTATCTATCTATCTATCTATCTATCTATCTATCTATCTATCATCTACAGTCATCCCTCCATATCTGTGAATTCTGCATCCATGGATTCAAGCAACCTCAAATAAAAAATATTTGGAAAAAAAGGATGTTTTTGTCTGTACTGAACATGTAGACTTTTTTCCTTGTCATTATTCCCTAAACAACATAGCATAATAACTATTTTACATAGCACTTACATCATATTGAGTATTATAAGTAACCTGGAGGTGATTTAAAGTATACAGGAGGATGTATGTAGGTTATATGGAAATATTACACCATTTTATATCAGGGAACTGCACATCTTTGGATTTTGGTATCCTTGAGGGGTCCTGAATCAATCCCACACAGATACCAAGGGAAAACTGTATGTGGTTTTTTTTTTTTTTTTCTGTTTTTGATTATAGGGCATTATGATAAACACAGACAAAATACGTAATTTATATATCATAAATAATTTAGACTAGAAACTTAATTATTTTGAAATTACTGAACTAGAAATATATAATGAGAAAGGCTGGATGGAGAAAGTATGAAGAAAGTTAAACTATGTCAATAGTTAGTTCTAAAACATATATTTAGAATATAATAACGTAGAACATTAAAGAACTAAGTATGAAGAAAAGCAAAAAAATCAGAAGTATGCAGTGTCTTGCCTCCTAATTTTGTTGTACTTATCTCACTTATAACCCAAAAACGTATATAGCTGTCCCTTGGCATCCTCAAGGGACTGGTCCCAGGCCACCCCTTGGAAACCCAGATCCACAGATGCTTAAGCTTCCCATATAAAATGGGGTAGCATTTGCATATAACCTAAGTACATCTTTCTGTATACATTAAATCATCTCTAGATTATTTATAATACCTAATACAATGTAAATGCTATGTCATTAGATGTTACACTATATTGTTTAGGGAATAATGACAAGAAAAATGCCTGTACATGTTCAGCACAAATGCAACCATCGTAGGCCTGACTACATAGTACACATCAGCAACAAGATTTTCCATCCACAGTTGAATTCAAAGATGGATGCAGAGGGACAACTTTGTATCATTAATATATAATAATCCACAGGATTAATATTATATGCATATATGTATATTGGGTGAAAAGAGCAGTGAGTCAATTGGACACATTGGTTTATTAAACATCAATCTCTCTCACTCAGGAGAGATATATTCCCTATCTCAGCAGAGAGATTGGTGTTTAATATACACATCCTGGAGCCATTAACATACACACTAGAAGATAGAGTGTATGTGTATACCTGTGTGTGTGTAAAATCTCCCATAAGGGACACATAAACCATGATGATGAAGAAATTTGTTATCTCGAATCCAGAGGTCTATAAAATGTACAAGCTAACCGTTTAAAATAAGGCTCAGTTTTTAGGATGGAGCTAAACTACCTACAAGAAGGGCTTTGCCTGTTAAGCAGATATGACTTGTTGCAGGGGTCAAATCCATATAACATAGAGCCAGCATGGTGCAGCACAACCCATGGAGGGTGTGAAATCACTGCTCACCCAGCATGGGGTCTTAGACAAATCATTTAAATTCTGAGCCCTCATCTTCCTCTCAGAATTAGAGGAAGGGCACTTTGAATGGCATCCAATCAGTAAATGCTGTTTGCAAGGTGAGAAGGACATGAGTAGCACGGCTTTTTGTTAAGATGGGTGGATGGAGTATTAGTCAGGCAAGGAGTCAGGTCAGGTAAATGCAGCTCTGCCGGGCCCTCTGCTGACTGGGGATGGCTCCTGCCATCAAGGAGCTCTCAGTCCACTGAAGAGTGTGACAAAGACAGTACCCATTTAATCGAAGGTAAAAATCTGTGGGAGCACATGCGGCCAGGACAGGGCAAGTTCAAGATGCCTCATCTGAGCTGAATCAAGGATGATGAGTAGGTGTTAGCCTAGGAAATTAAGAAGAAAAGGGCTTTCCAGGCAGACAGTACAAAAGCAACAAGGAAAAGTCACAGGAAAATGTGCTTTTGAGTAGGCTGATAATATCAAATAACTAACTGTTCTTGTAAATTGCAGGGCAGGCAGCAGGTTCTATGAAACCCAACGGTGAGGTCATGGAAATAGGGCCTTTTAAGTCATTCCAAGAAACTTGGACTTAGCTTGACTTTGAAGAGGAGTCACAGAATAATACAGGATTTTTAAAAAGGGGGACCGTTATTCAGAGATATTTTTTGTTAGATCATTTTAACAGCTGTATGGGGGATGGATTTTAATGGTGCAAGATTATAGAAAGAGAAATAACATGGAAATATTCAAAAAGAAATATGAAAGCTCAAACTAGGGCAGAAACTTTAAGGATGAAAAGGAGAAGACAGGTGGAATAATTTACAGAAGGTCAAATTAACACAGGACAAAGTGATTGATTGAATGTGAAAGATGAAGAAAAAAAAGGAATTTTTAGATTGAATAATGTATCAGTTTCCGAGGGCTGCTGTAATCCAACTGAGTGACTTAAAGCAACAGGAATTTATTCTCTCACAGTTATGGATGCTAGAAGGCCAAAACTGAAGCGCCGACAGGCCATGCTCTCTCCAAGGCTCCTGGAGAAGCTAATGTTCGGTGCCGCTCTCCTGCCTGTGGTGTTGCCGGTCACCCTCAGTGCTCCCTGGTTTGCAGGTGCTTCACGCCAGTCTCTGCCTCTCTGGTCACATGGCCTTCTCCTATACGTTTGTGTCCTCACATGGCACTTCCCTTTTCTATAAGGACACCAGTCATATTGGATTAGGGCCCATCCTAAAGACATCATTTTAACTTGATTACATCTACAAAGATCCTATTTCCAAACACGGTCACATTCACAAGGACCAAGGGTTAAGACTTCAACCTATCTTTTTGGGAGAAGACAATTCAACCTCCAACAAGTATCAAAATTTTAGTTTGGATAAGTTAGTGTTATTTATTGTAAGAAAGTATTAAAACATGGTTTAAAGAGGAAGCCAATTAATGTAGTGGTCTTACTGGGTGAAAATAGCTTATTGGGTGAAAAGACATAGTGGTCTAGAGCTCAGAAGAGAGACTGGGGATTAAGATGAAAATAGAAACACCACCAACACACCCCAAAATACGTATTTTCCCAATAGGTATGAAGGGAAAGAAGAACAGCAGCACAGCCTTTGGGAAACAAGCACTTATGAAGCAGGGAGAAAGCCACCTGCTGGAGAGGGACCATGGGAAGGAATCCACCACAAGGGCATCATGGTGGTCAAAGACACCTGGAGATTTCTAAATTTCTGAATTTTAAGGCTGCATTAAATCAAATCTGGTAAGAAAGTTAATTTCTGTTGGTAGGAATGTCACTTACAAGTCACACACTTAGAAGTCAAAATGAAGGGTGAATGTAATAATTGTGTTATGGGCTGGATTGTATGCCTACAAAGTTGATATGCTGAAGCCTTAAGCCCCAGTAACTCAGAATGTGCCTGTGTTTGGAGATGGGATTTTTAAAGAGGTAGTTAATTTAAAATTCTCCCATATGAGGACACAGAGAGAAGATGGCTATTTATGGACCAATCCAAGGCCTCATCAGACATCAAATCTACCCATTCTTTGAATTAGGACTTCCCAGCCTCCAAAACTCTGAGAAGTAAGTTTCTGTTGATTATAAGCAACCCAGTTTCTGGTAGATTTTTATAGTAGTCCAAACACACTATAACAGCAAGTTCACTTCATCTCTATCTCAGTTTCCTAACCTACAAAATGAGTATGACAATAACAATGGGACTTTTGTTAGATTTAAAGAAGTTCATGGCTTTGAAATATGTATTTAGTAAGTGGTTATCTATTATCATTTGTATAATAACTGAGAAAACTGAGATGTAGAAAGATAAGGGCACTCCATTCAGACTACACCTTGGCTCTTAACTATAAAACGTGCTTTAGAAAATACACGTGGAGAACCAACCTGATCTAAGGTGAAACTCTGTAGTATATTGTATCAGGACACATTTTTAAGAATTCCATTAAAATATAAATTAGATTTTTTGGTCAGTATGTTTGAGTGTGGTTTCAAATTTTTAAGTGTTTACATTATTATTCAAAGAGGAAACTGTCAAACTAAAGATATTTCACCTTTTTTTTTTAAGACTGAATTCAAGTGGAATGGGAGAGTGTTGCAAGTAAAGGTATTTTAAGTACAAGAACTATGTCTTAGAATGGTGTCTTAGTTCTTTTTTTGCTGCTAAAACAGAATGCCTGAGACTGGGAAATTTAAAAAGAACTGATATTTCACTTTGGGAGGCTGAAGTGGGCAGATCACCTGAGGTCAGGAGTTTGAGACCAGCCTGGCCAACGTGGCGAAACCCCATATCTACTAAAAAAAAAAAAAAAAAAAAAAAGCCGAACTACTCAGGAGGCTGAGGCAGGAGAATTGCTTGAAACCGGGAGGCAGAGGTTGCAGTGAGCCGAGATTGCACCACTGCACTCCAGCTTGGGCGACAGGGTAAGACTTTGTCTCAAATATATATTTGACTTCTAAGTGTGTATATATATATGCACACACTTCCAGCATAGCCAAAAGCCTCATTATCATCTCCTCAATCTTTCTCATATCAGATATGAAGACCACCTGAACTGAAAGGGGCCGTGGATGTCCTCGCCGAGCACCACACAGTGATGTGATCTCTAGCAGATTGGAGTGGGGTCATAGAGGAAGCTGCGATAATAACAGCAGGAAGCTGCTAATAATTCTCTGCAATTTTAATAAAGTTAATGGCGCCTACTCAATGAGAGCATGAATTCCCTTCAGCTCCTGGCTCAGTAGCCCATTAGCTGTGTAACCACGAGCACGTTCCTTAAACCCACTGTGCCTCAGCTTCTGCCCATGTATAAAAACAGGCTCATCATGACACTTAGCACTTCAGTTGCTGTGAGGATTTAAGGATCGATACAGGCAAAGCCCTTACAGCAGTGTCTGGCGTACACTGGGTGTCTGTACTGCAGTTGCTTAGAAAGCCTGGCACAGATTTTTGCAGTTCCTTACTATCTGTAGGATCTTGTTAACATCACTTATTCTAACACTCGGTTCCTTTACCTGCAAAGTGGGAATGCCTGTGTCCCAGGCTTATTGAAATTGGTTTTATGAAACACATAAATATGAAGTGCTGTGCAGAGCAGTTAGCAGAGGGTTGGTGGAGACAGCAGTCCCCTTCCTCCTGGAAGACATACCCCACGGAATGGCTCCCCAGGCCCTGGCAGCAAAGCATCTCATAAAAAAGTGCCTTGGCTGGGACACTTGGGAGGGCCTGCTGACTCTAGATGATATTGGGAAACATTATTTTCCTATTGGCACTGCTTCTGCTATTGAAAATAAAAACAAGTTCTTAAGCCCTTGGAACATTTATTCACTGCCCTCTACTTTTTAAATTGGTTTAAATTGGCCTGGATAACCTGTTTCCTATCCAGCATTCCCAGCTCAGAAGAGTCTGTAAATATATCTTCAAAGAGGGTCTTCGACAATCCTTGATCAAAGACCTTGCGGTTCTAAGCACAGAGTTGGCCTTCCTCCTCCTCTCCCGTTTCCACCCTCTCCTGCAAGCAGCCGAGTGTCCTCACAGTGCGGCCATAGAAGCTGGGTGGGAGGAGGAGGCCTCATGCTGGGAAGGCCCTTCCCTTCTCCTCCTCAATGTCCTGCTCCAGGTGAGTGCCCAGCAGGCGCTGTCAGGCTGTGACCTCCAGGAGGAATTAAAGGGAAAGGTGGAAGAACAGGCACCTCTGGGACAAGGGGGTTTCTTTGGCCTATCTTATGGAATTAAGTAGCATGTTGGTTTTTTCCACTGGTAAATTACAGCCCTTACATAATATTTGAATAAGTTATGAATGATATGTTTTGAATTAATTTACATTTATTTTTAATTAATTGATTAACATTAATTAACACAATTCATAAATAATTCAAAGTGACAGCCGTCTGCTCATTACTTATGCCTTTTTGTTTACCTAAATGATCCATTTTGCAGTATGCCATTGTGGAAACAAGGCTCGGTTTATAGTCTCCGTCTCTCTTTAGGTGAGAGACAAGTTCTATATAACCTTGTATAACTTGTAGGTTATACAAGTTCTCTGGGTTTTCTAAGTGAACTCAATTTGTTGGACAGGTGAGCTCTCAACTACCTTCCAACTTGTACTCTATCACAAAATAGACTAATATTCTTCCCTGTCAACCATACCCTCCAAAGAACATTTAGGAAGTCTCCAAGGTGTCTCTTCCCTTTACCACCATGACAGTTTTAGGCCAAGCCACCCTCCCTCTCAGCCACCCACTTTTATTCTGGCCCCAGTGCGATTCATCTCCACACAGCAGGAAGCCAGGATGACCCAAATGCCATCGTTCCTTCTTTCAAGCCCTTCCTGTCCACTCATTGCACTTGGAATTGCACCCAAATGTCTCCCCTGTCAGGCCTCGTCCTGACCTGACCGCTGCCTGGGGCTCCACCATTTTCTAGGATCTCTCTCCCTAAAGTCTGCCGCTGCGTCTATTTCCTTTCTTTGAACAGGCTGAGCTCTTTATGCATCTTACATATTTTATGTGTTGAAATGCCACCTCCCTTGTCCTCTACCCCTTCCTTCTCCTTCTTAAGATCTCAACTTAAATGTCATCTCCTCAGAGTGAGCCCCTGCCCTGGGCCACGCAGGTGATTTCAGCGCATCCCCAGCCCTGACCCCCATTGTTCCCTGGCACAGCTGCCACCAGTTCTTCCAGGGCACGTATCACAATGCATGCCGTTGATGTATTTGTGTACTTGATTCCTGCCTGTCCCCATCCAAACCCTATCTCTAAAAGACCTAGGACCAAGTCAAGACCGTATCTGCCTTTGTTGATACAGAATTCTTGGAACATGGTAGGAACTCAGTAAATATTTCTGGAAGCAATGAATGGATAAATAAATGAGTTGTGCATCTGTTTGTAGAGAAAGAACTAGAGACATTTAACGCTACCTCCTCTTCTGGTCTCCTTATTTGTTTTAAAGCTTTATTTTTTATTTCTTTTATCTATCGTGTTAGATAAGCAGGTCATGCTGCACATATGAGCAGAGCTGATGGGGATCATAAACAAAAGCATAGCCTCTGCTGTGGCTACAGGAGGCGGCGGCAAGCAGGACACAGAGAAGTGATATTCCCATTGGATTCCATGCTGTGAATTCTGTGATTCACCCAATTTAGCCAAAGAAATGGGGGGCTTCCACCTCCTACCCTAATTAATTGGCTGGACAAAGCAATACCAAAAGCTTCTGAAGTCACAAAAATCAGGTTAGCCTCCTGGACTCTGCAGAAATTTGCCTTTTGTAGTGAACTCATCAATTAAAAGGCATATCATGGACTTCATAACAATCTGTGCCATTATTTTGTATCAAAATTAGCTATATAATTTTCCCTCCACTGGAAGTCATTTCACATTCTGCAATAAATTATTCTCCTGTTCATACTGACTCTGTGCAATGACATTGCAAAACACGGGGAGAGAGCAAAGTTTGGAATTTTATAAAATAAATAGGAATTGCCATAGCGATTTTTCAGGGAAAAGATGTTTCTTGTCATTTTCTGATGGTCTTACATTCAATTCAAAGAGGCACACCATTGATAGAGTATGTGCTGTCACTTTCAAGAGTTGTGAATTAATGCCACATCCCCTATTTACTTCTTATGTAAAAGCTATATGAGCTTTATCATAGTGACCAAGCATATTATGAGTTGATTCATTTGTTTTCGTCTGAAAGACAAGATGAATATGACCTTTATTCTTAAGATGACTGATGAGTTTTCTGCAAGGGTAGATGTGTCTATTTTTCTGAAAGAAATCCTCTGTGTCAATCTAGTTTTTTTGGAGCTTCTGTGATTTGCTTTTTGTACATCTTTTGAAGCTAATCTCTCAATTACCCCCTCCCTTTAGTCTGAGTAGTCCTATTTTTGTAGCTGATGCAAACAAATTCTTCATCGATGAAAACAGTATCTCTCTACCTTTCACACCATGTTTTTGAAAAGAAAACACAGAAAGGCAGTCTATGGTTGGTATATGAGAAACCATTTTACACATTGTAAAACTATTTCCAAGGGTAAGTTGTTGTTATAAAGTTCAAAGAAAGACATGCTCAATATTTGCCTACTAATTTTTTTAGCTTCCATATACACTGAGTTACCTCTGATCCTAATTGATCATCAGTAGGTAGTGGAGATAAATATGTGTTTCCTATTATTTATTTAAGACCCAATGAACTCACTAAGAGCCATTCATACTTTATAATGTATTGGCTGAGCAAGAATATTGTCATTTTTCAATTTAACACTAACTTTAATTTATAGAGTAGCTATTACAATAGCTGGAGATAGCAATTTTAGTTTTGAGGTACCAGAATCAGAAAGATGCATCCACAGTGCCCATGTGGGATAATCATTATGGCTTTGTAATATTGTTTGTTTCTAAAATTGGCAATGTATTTACAAAGCGACTAAGTGAACACTACTTTTTTGCTTTATTTAATGATAATATAATGATAGCTACTTCTATATAATGAAAAGCATGGTTTTCACGTGGATCACTGGAAAGTCAAAAATTTGTCAAAATTTTAAAATTTACTTTTCACGATGTCTCTAGTATAAAGTGAAGTCCAGAATAAAGTGTTTTTTTAAATTATGTTTCATGAATTACATGCAAGAAATGCCTGTTCCCTGGATCATAATTTTTGTCTACATTTAGGCCTCCAAGTTATCTGGCTCAGCCTCTTATCTCACCAAGTAATAACTCTGATTTCCAAGTCAATTCATTTTCAAAATAGTTGCATCTAATAATAAATCCTTACTGTAAAATAAGTCCTAACAAGATCATTTTATACATTGATAGCTTAAATATTCTTTTTGCTGTTTTTCTCCTTTGTATATTTCTTCCAAGAAATGTTTGCCATAAGAGGCTGAAAAAATCATATCGATTAAAAGAGCCTATCACCCAGGCGGGAAGAAGTCATATTGTTCAATTGTTTTTTCCAAAATAACTTTCTTTCAAAAATATTAAAATAAGGGATTTCTTTTTTTTTATATTCAGCCCAAATTAAGCACCCATTCACCATTGAAAGAGATTTGTCACTTCACTGTAGATGACTCCCAAATTCCTACATCTCTTTCTAATACTGTGATTCTACTGAGATCTGGCCCCACATCCTGAATGGAGTGTGCATGGTTCCTCCTGAATGAGCACCCCACCCCTACCTCCAACTTAACACTCAGCACCTGTAAGATAAGAGTACACTACCTTTCTCCACAAATCAACTCATCTTGTCATCTCTGCTGGCTTCGCAGGTACCCAAGCGTCCTCCTCTCTCTCCGCCCACCCTCCTCTATCTCATTCTGCACAATGAGGTTCCTGAAACCCAGAGCATTTTGCATATTCTTCATCTGTGTACTTTTGATTTAATTATAAGATAAGCATCAGGGGTAAATATAAAATATTTTCTTACAAATTTTCAGGGGTAAGTTTTCCTTACAACGATAACAACAACAAAATCATTTTCTGCACCCTTCAAGGCCCAGCTCCTTTCTGTCTTATATTCAGTTCACATCATACAGCCATTTCTTTACATTTTATCTCAATAGTTATTAAGTTGTGATTTTATTATATTTAACAATCTTTTTTCATGAAGAGAACAAAACAGATAGACTTAGACTCCTGCTAGAGTATTATAAGCTAAAGCTAAAGCTTGAAACCCTGTTAAGGAACGTAGAGTAATTTTATTATTTCATCTTCTTCACTCCCTCCTTCTAAGAAGATCGATTTTTAAAAAAAGTCTTTTTCTGTTTTTCAGAGCAGGGTGAGAGGCCACACAGCATTCTCCTGATATATCCTCAAAGATGCAGTTCAATCCTGTTTAAATACTTTGATTAGTATTAGCTGAAGATTGTGATTTGATCAAGAACATTTTTCTATTCAGAATGATTCTGCCAGAGCTTTTTGCCACTGAAAATATGAAAACGAACAAGCCTATTTAAACAAAAGAAAATTATAGTTTATATTTGCTCTCAAATAAATATGCCACATTGAGGATTGTTTTTTATGATAAATTGCCAAACATCATACTTATGTTTGGACATAGAAAAGAGGAAAGGGGAGAATTTCATCTTTCAATGATACTTTTCAAAATTATAATAAACAACTAATTAAGTGGTAATTTTCTGGATTAAAAATGCATCTCTATCACAGTTGGGTCACACGTTAACAATGGTTTCCATTGGAGTACTTTTATTTGAGAAATTCTAGTGTTTCCATTACAAGACCTATTTGTAAGGATTTATTTCTCATCTGTAAAAATTTACTCAGGGTTGCAACTGAACATTTACTAGCCAGGGAAAAAATTCTTCTCACCCAATTTGTATTTTAATTAGCTTGGCCTTTTTATCACTTTGGATTAACATAAAGGAGAAAAAATAGATGGAAATGCAACAGTGAAAAATAATCTATTTGTTGACATACATATTGGCAAAATATTACCAGTTACCCTAAGCATGGATTCCTTTATCTTCCTTAACATTGACAAGGGCAAATTTTAAGAGTCAAGAATAAAAATCCATTTATTTTAAAAATGTGTCTAGTATCCTCTATTAGAACAAAATTCCTGGAAAGATGACAAAATCTGTGTGCTTGCATTATCTTGACAGATATGAATAATCAGTGTTTTTGATGATACACCCCAAAGGGGTTTGATTTGTATATATGACCAAAGCGCATGAGAAAGAACAATGCAATTTAGTCATTCTGTAGAAATTCTAATATAAAGGCAACTTTTAAAAATCCTTAGCAAAAAGATGTTTAGTGGGAAAAAATATGAGCTTTCTCAAATAGGAGGGAAAAATATTATACGCTGAGGTTACAAGTTAAATGTACACTTGAATCACATATACTTGAAAGAGCTTTCTACATCTTAAGGGACACATGGGGATATCTGTTATTTGGACTGAAAGGAAATTTAATTAATTCAATGTAGCAAACAGAAAGTAATGATGATAAAATGAGATTAGGATAGTAGAAGGGAAAGCATGGATATTAAAAAATGACTTTGGGATTTTGAATTCACAGAAGCAGAAACAAATAATAACAACAAAACCCCTCTATTGGCTCAATCTGTCTGACTTCCATAACATAGAAACGAGCTGAATATAAATCAGTTTTCATTATGCAGTGTCTGGAGAGGTCACATCTGGGGCATTTTGCTCAAGTTTAGCGCATTATGGTGGCTTAGCAAAGACGTGAAAAGCAAAGCCAAGAGCACCAACAATGATCAAGCATCTTGGAAGATACTCACATTGGCAGGAGAGTTATGCACCTGGGAAAGAAAGGTGTCCTACCCCAAGTGCATGATCATTATCACAATGTTATCACCACTCTGCTGTAGCAGCAATGAATGAGGGAGAAACATTATTTAGAAAGGCAAAGAAAAAAGAGGACAAGAAGACAATAGAATGTGAGTTCTTTAGAGGGAACAGCAAAGGAGATCGTCATAGGGCAAAAAAAAAGGAGAAAAGGCCCAGGTAATCGTTGAAATTTGGAAGGAAATTTTAGGCAAACGCTTTCACTGTACCACATCCAGGTGTTCTCTGTAGCAAAAATTCCAGGCATAGAATTCAGGTTAGAACCTATCATTCCTGCTGAGGTATTGCTGGTTTAGTTATCCAACTGCTTATGGCTTACTGTTGGTATTGTAAACAACACCTGAAAGTAATCCATTCATAAACCTAAATTCTTGCAAAAATTTAGCAAGTCAAAACTTCCAAAATTCCCTGTGGCCTAAAGAAAGGTTAACAGTAAAGCTTAAGTTAATAGCAATTTTTTTCTTGGAACTGTATCATCTAGTATGGTAGCCAGTAGCCACATGTGGCTTTTTAAATTTAAATTCAGATTAATTCAAATGTAAAATTCAGTTCCTCAGTTGTACCAGCCACATTTCAAATTTTTGATAGCCACTGTGTTAATATTGGACAGCACAGACACAGAACATTTTTATCCCCACAGAAACTTCTAATGGGTAGTATTTTCTAGAATTTAATGGAACATTTTGATAATATACAAATTTTGAGTATATGGATTAAGGTACAGCCTTTTATTCTCATAATACAGAGTTCAGAAATAGGCAATTTCTAAGTGAATAATGATGGATATGAATAAACAGTACAATACAGACAATTCAAAAAAAATTTCTGGAGAGTTGATTTAAGATAACATATATATATATTTGTACACACACATATATATATGTATATACACAACATATATATATGTTGTGTAGACTCTAAAACATGTACTAAAAAAAACAGTAATGACATGGGACAAGTTGAAATGTCAGAACATTTCCTGATTCCAGAATCTGCATTCTTCCCCTTCATCTCCAGCCTACTCAGAGGAAGATTTCTACTACATTTAAAATCATTTGGAAAAATGGCAGAAAATTATTCAGATTACTATCAAAGCAAAATTTATTCTTTGAGATTTTAATAATTTTAATAAAGATATGATAGGGAGATAATTTTGCATTCAGTCACAGTTTTGTACTTAGATTATTGTGATGATTTATAGCGAGGAAATCTACATTAAGTAGTTTCTTGAAAATCTTATTTTCTCATTGTTGAATGGATCTAGAAGAATACAAAAACAACATTATCTCAAAAACTTACATCTCAAATGGTCTCCAAAGTTCAGACAAATAAAATTGCAAAAGAAAATGCCAGGAAATTGTCTACACGAAGTGATGTTTTTATTCTAATGAAAATATCAACTTTATGAAGCCAAAAATATTTAGTGAGTGACCGTAGGTTGGGTATCTTTGTATAAAATGAACTCAGGTAATCAAGAGCCACCCTGAAGGGTGGCAAACTCTTATTAATTTTGAGTACAGATGTAGAGAGATGGCCAAAACTATTTCACTATGTCATTTTCACTATGACATAGATAATTGAACTTTTATTTTGTACTCTAACTTCCTTCCTTCCCTCCAGCATCTCTCTTTCATAAAACACATCATTAGTAAATCAAAATGTCTTTTAGGTGTTGTTGAAACATTTTTGTTCTATAAGATTTTCTTTTGGAATGGTGTTTGTTAATTAACCTAACAGTTTTGATTTTTATGTTGACTATCAATTAATCACTTTGTAAAAACATGCACCAGGCTTTAAGGGACACGCAGTCAATTAGTATACAATTAGTACAAATCACTCATTCTCAACCATGGTCCTCAACCTTCCTTAGTATCACTTGATGAGTTTTAAAATAAAATAATGTGTTGTCTCCTAATCAGAGCAATTAAAACAGATTCTCTAGGGGTTTTAGAGAATCTGTTGATTCTCTAAATCAACTGATTTAGAGGTTGAGCCACTGGTGTTTTTTTTTTTCCCAAGTTCCCTAGTTAATATTAATATGCAGCCAGGGTTCAGAAGTACAGACGACATAAATTCTTCACCACTACTGGGGCTCCAAATTAGAATTACATGCAATGCTAGTTATACACCAGAAACCACATTATCTGTTTATTTGAGAGATATTTTCACTGAAACAAAAATACCATAGGAAAAATATTTCTACATAATTGAAATTAACTAGAAACTATTTTATATTATTAACCAAAAAGTTACTTACTATGCTTGTATTCACAAAAGAAGTATTCAAAATATTGCCCTCAGCTATAGTGACATGAATTATTAATTTTTTTTTTAAACAAAGGTATTAGAGAAGAGCCTGCCAAAAGAAAGTTGATGATCATATCTTATTTCTCACACAGGACTTTAATGGTGGTTTGAATTACAGTAACACTGGATGATAGAGATATGTGATAGAAATATTATGCATATATTTTATTTTCATTAACTTCTTTGCTGTAATTTTCAGAGAGGATAGGAAAATGCAAAATATATTCTTCATCAGTTTCGGCGCATTGGTAGAGCTGAGTCTTCTCTAATAAACAGTATGGCATTAAACTCTCTCTAACTATACCCTACTGATATGGTTTGGATTTGTGTCTCTGCCCAAACTCATGTCCATTTGTAATTCCCAGTGTTGGAGGAGGGGCCTAGTGGGAAGTGATTGGATCATGGGGTCAGACTTCCCCCTTGCTATTCTTGGCATAGTGAGTAAGTTCTCGCTGGTTGTTTGAAAATGTGTAGCACCTCCCCCTTCACTCTCTTCCTCCTGCTCCCAGCCATGTAGTATGTACCTGCTTCTCCTTCATCTTCTGTCATGATTGTAAGTTTCCTGAGGCCTCCCCAGCCATGCCTACTATACAGTCTGCAGAACCGTGAGCCAACTAAACCTCCTTTCTTTATGAACTACCCAGTCTCAGGTAGTTCTTTATAGCAGTGTGAGAACAGACTAATATACCTGCATATGTTAATATTGGCATGCCTACATATTTACCACTTTGTAGACTGTGTAGAGTGACCATTCAAAAACAAACCAGGAACTGCTGTATATTTAGCTATGTTAATCAGAAAAAATAAAACAGGCAAGATTTTCCTCCCCAAGTCAGTTAAGAGCAGTTGTTAAGACCAGACGCCTCTATTTCCCCCTCATTATTAGATGGAGTGAATTCTGAAAGCACAAACTCAGAAAGTCCACAAAAGTCACATTTCTGGCAGATGAGACAAGAAGCCACAGACTTAGCAGAATTTTACAAGATGAAAATTTCCATTTTTGTCTCAGTTTTAAAAGACACGAATTTGGTAAAAGGTGAAGAGAAGATTGTGCTTTTTTTACAGCTGCTGTGGACTTGCTGCCTTCGCCAGTGATGACTCAGTGTCTCATTAAAGAGAGAAGCCCCTGCCTACAGCTACATCCCACAGGCTGAAGCCTCGGAGACGGGTGGCAAGGAGAGGTTATAAACTTTGATGTAGCTTCAAAGAGAACTCTTAGCTGAAGGTAGGGGAGTGCAGAATTCTGTTATGGAAAAGTCAAAGAAGATGGAGTAATGGACACAGTGCAAGTTAGCTATGTCAGGAGGATAAATGGATTTATTTGTATTCTGCTACCAAGAGGGCCTTTTCCTAGCCATGTTTAAGTGGGTATTACACAGTTGGATTTTGAAAGAAAAGTGAGATCACATATGCCTGTTAAAGAATGGAGCTTGGAATGTGGAGATTTTTATTTCTTAGTAATATCTTTATTATTTTATAGTCTGATTTTTCAAAACTAGTATTTAAAGTGGTAATGTCACATGCTATGGAGAAAAGCAGAGAAGGGTGTCTGAGTCTGCCTACAGAGTGTCCCCTGACCCCAAGTCCTCCTTCCTAAAACCAAAAAGCCCTGGAGAAAGCCCAGCATGCAGAGGGGGACTCTGGCAGTGGGAGAGGGCAGGAGGCCCTGGGAGGGCCTGGTGGAAGTGGAGCCTCTACCACCCCCACTGGGCATGGGAGGCCTGGCGAGGTAGTGGGAGGTGGGCTTGGTGTCACTCCTGGAGAAACACCCACCTCCAAGCCCAGTCACGTGGTGTGATTGCTGGAAGGTGTCAGTTTGTCACAGTTTGCTGGATGAAGAGGCCTCAATTCCTATGAGCTGTTGGCAAAGAGTCACGGTTCCCGGCCACAGCACACGGGCCTCTTCATGGAGAGGCTCACAACGTGGAGAGTTGCTTCTCCTGGGACAGGTGGTGGGAAACAGGAGGGAGAGAGAAAAAGAGGAGAGAGAGGGAGAGAGAAAGATAGAGAGGGGAGAATAAAGAGAGGAGAGAGGAAAGGAGAAAGAGAGGGACAGACACAGAGAGGAGAAAGAGAGAAAGAGAGAGAGGAGAAGGAAGGAGGAGGGAAGGGGAAAAAGAAAGAAGGAGACAGAAGACAGAGAAGGAAGGAGAGAGTGAGCCCACTCTGGAAGCTGCTTTCATAGCCTCACCTCCACAGGTGCATGCCATTACTTCTACTGTATTCTAATTCCTTGCAAGTGAATCACTAAGGCCAGTCCACACTCGGGGTGGGGGAAAGAGATTAGACAAGGGCAGGAATGCCAGGTGGGACCACGGTTAGGTTTGTTGTTACTGTTACTACTTTCATCCCACTTTAAACAATATAAACAATATTATTTTCTAAATATATCTCAAACTTACTGCAGACACCTGTTCTTAAAGCCCAAAAGGCATGTGTATAAGCAGTTAAAAGCACAAAGACAGTGAACATCAGGGAAGGTATAGTAGAAAATGTTATCTTTGAACATTATACATATTTTAATATCACTTAGAAGAATATTATAATGTACAATTTCATACTTCGTTGTCCTTGTCAAACTTAATAGATTACCCCAAAATAACACATTTTCTTTTTACATTTCTATTATTTAATGACATAGTTATGAAAAGAAGTATTCTGTAAAATATTAGTGAGTATGAAATGTAAATTTAAATAATAGTCAACCTTTTATTTTACAAAAAGCAAATTTGAATCAATTCATACTTGTGAAGATCTGAAATACTGGGACTTCTTTCTTTTTTTTTTTTTTTGCAGTAATCCCTTCTTTCCTTGTTCCTTCTTATATACTTTCAGAGTTATTTCTTATTTCCATTCATCAAGTGATAACTTTGTTTTTGGAGCCCCAAAGTATGTCTACAAAGTAACAAGCTAGATGGCCAGGAGGTCTTTCCTAAATGCATTGCCCATAAACTCAGAAACACTCAGTGATTGATTCCCTGTCCTCTTGGCAGCAGGCAACACTGGGACTGCTTTTTAGATGCTCCCATCTCCTGGGGAGACCCCTCACCCCCAGCAGAAGGCCACCTTGCTCCCTCTAGTGAGTGCCTATGTGCCACATTGAGCTGGGGAAAGTCCTCTCCGTGTCCTCAGCATCTCTCACACTTGTTTACATGATGGAATTCAGGTCGCATACTTCTGAAAGATTAATTCTATAGCAAGGCCTATAACAAGCTGGGCTTATTCAGCACCAACTCCTCAGCACAACTCCTGCCTATTTATCTAACTTAACCTCCCGTTCCTCTCTACCTTGTATTTGTTTCTCCAGCCACACGGGTCTTCTCGCATCTCTGTGAATACCCCAAGCTTGTTCCTGACTCAGTACCTTTGTGCATGCCACCCTTCACCTCATCTGTTCCTCTCCCGGATCTTCACGTCATTAACTTCTGCTCAAATGGCACCTCTTCAGAGGGCCTTTCCTCTCAACACCTCACACTGTCACTCTGCAGCCGTCATCGCTTAGATCACTACCAGTTGTTGTACGATGTAATCATGGACTTACTTGTGTGTTGTGTCTCTCCCATTAGAATATGAGCTTTATGATGGCAAACACTTTGGTCGCCATGACACCCCCAGTGACAAAGTAGTTCTCTTTTATAACAGATGTTTAAGGGAGCAAGTACTAAAATATATATATATATATTAAGCACACAGGAGCTTTCCATGAATAAAATGAGTTAACAATCATTGCAGGCCAATTACACACAGGCAAGACATTGGACTTTTTATGCGCTCCAACTCACTGAATCTTCACAGTTGTCCTGTGAGCAAGAAGTTGTCATCTTCACTTTACAGAACAGAGATCAACAGCATTAACTTGCCACGGTAACAGCTAGGAATTAATAGTCAGAATTTCAACTCTGGTTGTTGGGTGGAAAGCACGCACGCTCAGCCTTACGCCATACTGAACAGCATTTTGTGAGAAATGAGACTTAAATTTGGCACTGGACATTGCATGGAGATGGCACGATCTGCAGGGCTGGAGGAACTTTGTTCGTGTTCCACAGTGGGGATAGAGGAAGGAAAGTAGTTGCAAAGGGATAGTGAATGTTTCCGACACCATAGTCCACAAAGCACTCTTGGAGTGGGGAATGGTCATTTCTATAGCCCCTACCACAGCTGTCCAGGCTCACTGATGCTTGTAGAGAAGTGTCCTCAGAATCACCAAATATTTGGTATCTGCCCACTTGTAAGCCTTGCCCTGGGTAAATAAACCACCTAAGGAATGTGGTATGACATAACCTACACAAGACTTTTCCTTCAGACGCTTGTCATCATGACAAAACCTCTTTTTCATTACTACTGATGTCAACATCCCCAGTGCAATTAGAATTTGGGGAAATCATATTTTTGTTGTATAATTCAGTCAGGCAAATGCTATAACTACAGCTATTGCTATTAGCCCATTGACTTACAGCCCTAAAACACCCAGCTTAATTATACTCACTCAAGGAAAACACACAGTAGTGGTAAGTAAACATCACTGAACCTATGGAAGGCCATATTTACTTCATCTTTCCTTTCAAAGATGTTTATTTTTTAAACAATATAAGATTGTTAAACTCAGGATGTATTCAAAATATCTTAATTTTCTCACTTGCAGGGACTTTACAAATACCCCTTACAATTTCCTACCCCATAGAAAAAAGGATCATAAGTGGTACATGGGAAACATGTGTCCATTTCACTTACAGACCTGCCATTCCCATTTTAAAGCAGGACAGATAGACAGCTCTCTCATGGGTTGCATATCCTCAGCCTGAGTGGCAGTGTGCTGGCAGAAAACACAATCGACTGCTTCCCGCTTTGCTACCTCTTTGTTCCTTTATTGGCAGAAGGTTTTTGTCTTCCTTCATTTTCCACAAGAAAGTTCCTTTGTGTCTTTCTTTCTATTCATCTCTTTATGTTTTAGTATCTTCTAATACTGAAATAACCCCTTTTAAATTACAGTGTGGGTCTGTATTTAATGTCTCTGTGACTGCTGAGGATGCTGCATAAAATAAGTCCCAAATTAACAGCCGGACCCTGCCCTCTCCAAGTTACAGAGTAACATTCACAACCTTGTTGAGTTCTTGGCTGACATCCTTACCGGGTTTGGAAGGAGCAAGGATAATCAATCCGTTTTATAGATAAAGAAAGTCCATTTTGATATAAACGAATGGAGAGGACTAATCCACAATGTACAGTAATTAACATTTATCATGTTCTCAACATATACCAAGTATATACATTATATACAGTATCTAATGCTCACAAATGCTCATAACAGCCTTTAATGTTGTTATTATTATTACAATTTAATAATCTGAGGCAACTTGGGCACTGTTGAAAGGTCTGTTTGTCTAGTAAGTGACAGAGCCAAAAATCTGAACTCAGTTTTGTCTGTTCTGAAGCCAACCCTTTAATTGCATTTCTTTATTGTCTTTTAATAAAGGAAGGTAGAATCTTATCAATGGATGAACACATTTATTGGTTATCTAACATAGGAAGGTATTATTAATATGTTAAGAACTTGGAGAAATTGGATATCAACAAAAGCAATGATAATGAACATTATTTGATAATATATGTTCAGTACCAAAATATGCTTACTCACAACAGGGATATTCAGAGCCTACTCATCCCGGCTCCAGAAAGCCCATTTTTAAATTTTAATGAATTTTTCAAACTAGTTGTTGAAAACAGACGTTATTAAAAGTTAAATTATATAAATTTAGATTATATTAAAAACAAAGATAAATATGTAAATCACATTGCTTCCTAATTATTGTACTTTGTTGTACTGCTGTCTGCGCTCTTGAGATTTATTCCACTAGGCATTGCTGTACAGTGGAAGTACTACATAACAGCACGCTGCTGTGCCTCTCTTCCTAACCCTGTGTTCAGTGATGCCACATAAGGAGCTTGAAGTCAGCCATAACGGGAGTATTTACACCACAGAAACTGGCAAAAAAATATAGATCAGGGCTTGACTTATGATTTTGTTGACCGTCTAATCTTTAAGTGATGGAGAAAATGTCAATAAACCACATTAAATTAAAAAGTGCTTCATATATGTAGCTGTTACAATTTGAGTAGCATGACAAATGAGGAAATCTTCCTCCAGTATTCAAAAACCATCACCTAATTTGGGAAAGAATTTGCTGATATCATTGACTTGACAAATGAGTAAAGTTTTAATACATATCTTCAATGCTTCATTTTCTTCTTACTTGTTAATGTAACTGAAAATAACAACCAATAAAAGTTGGGACTACCCTTGTTTGTCAGTTGCAACTATCCTTGTTTGTCAGTTGCAACTACGGTTTGACTACAGATATAGGAGTTTGCAAGAATCAGCAAAAGCATCCATGAAAATCAATGGACAATATGGAATTAACCATAAAGATTATTGTATATTTCTATTTTTGTAAAGTGCATGCTACACATCCTTCATATCAGTAAAATGTATACTAAGCTTAGGGATGCATCTAAGTCTGTTGTTGTATTAGTCTGTTTTCACACTGTTATAAAGAACTTCCCTGAGACTAGGGAATTTATCAAGAAAAGAGGTTTAATTGACTCACCATTCCACATGGCTGGGGAGGCCTCAGGAAACTTAAAATTACGGCGGAAGGGGAGGCAGGCACCTTCTTCACAAGGCCACAAGAGAGACAGAGAGACAGAAGGGGGAAGAACCCCTTACAAAACCATCAGATTTCATGAGAACTTACTCCCTGTCACAAGAATGGCATGGGGAAACCACCTCCATGAGCCAGTCACCTCCCTCCCTTGACATGTGGGGATTACAATTCGAGATGAGATTTGGGTGGGGACACAGAGCCGAACCATGTTAGTTGTTAACCATTTATGTATTCATACCACAGGATTTGGTAGGAATAAGACCGTTGTGACTACTGTGATCTCTCCTCCCATGGGGCATAAAGTCATTTAACTAATAATAGGGAATTTAGAATACTTGATCCATCTAACATATTCTTAATATTTGGAGAAAATATGAGTGTGTAAAAGAGCTATCCTGAGCACTAATGAGGCTTCAAAATTGTTTCTTCTGCTTTTTTTTTTTTTCTGCTTTGAATTTGATATCATCTAGGCTCTAGAAGAAACTCTGGGATAGTTTTAAGGGCCCTCAGAGAATCATTGAAATGGGTATCTCTCCTTGATCTTGAGAAACTGTGGTAGGGAACTCTCCTATCTGTGAAGAGGTCAGCGACCCATTTCCCATCACTGGAGGCCCTGAGGTGGCCAGGCATGTGCAGGTGTTTCTGCAGAGCAAACCATTGCCTGTGAGTCATGTGACCACAGAAAGGCTGGCTTTGGAGGACTGTAGGGACTGTGATGGTGGTGGGAGGTAGGGGATGGGGGGTGGTGATGCAGCACTTTGGAGAGCTTCAGAGCTTTCCTGTGGCCTCTGCAAGTCTTTCTCCTACCAGGAGTAGAATAAGAGGGAGAATTCAGCTCTCAGCAACTCATGCTTCGCTAGAAGTATTTAGCAAGTTGCAGAGCTCCTTTACATAGTGAAATAGGCTTCTGTTGCAATTAATAAATAGTGAAAGGTCACATTTTATATAAACAGTAAACAAATATATAAGTGAGTCCAGTCCAGTTCATATTGAATGGGAGTAGCTTTGGGAGAAGATAATTTGCTTCACATAGAATATACTTTTGGGAAACAATGTACCCTCTCATTTGGTAATGGCAAAAGACCGCAAAGCAAATTTTGTTCTGACCTTATTGGTCATCTCCATACATCTCCATGTATCTGATTATAGGTAAAATCAATAGAAATTAGATGATATTTTAATAACTTCTAATGACATAAATGTGGGCATTATTTTTATATTTTATTGTTAATTTTAGATTGCTAAATCTGTATTTCAAGCAAAATGAACATCGTTTTGTTTTTACAATGAAGGATCTAACTCATATTGCCTCCACGACACATTTGAAATCTAAGATAAAACACAACGTTTACATTGCCATATCCCGTTCCTGCAGCTAGAGAGAGGTAATGGCCTCTGAGTCAAAAGTTCATAATTAGTTGGTAAGATTGGTCAAATCTACAATCACAAAATTTAATTAGGCTAAGCAAAAAGTCCCTTCCCCAGCCCACAACCTAACTGTGTAAATACATGAAATGTTATGTATTTACCCACAGCTAACTAGATAAGCTTGATATAATCCATCACGGTGATGCAGAAGCCAATATGCTGCAGTGATCTTGGCACTAACGACATTGCACGAAGAGTACTGAGCTCCTTTCTTATCCTATATTGACAAAATAAAAAAGCTTCCAAAAGCAGGAAGACTAGAATGATGAGTGGCCTACAAAAGGAAACATGTTTATGAAAGGCTTAAGGAATTGAGGATGTTTAGATGAAACATGTTTATGAAAGGCTTAAGGAATTGAGGATGTTTAGATGGCACAGACACAGAAAGAACTCTAAGCTGCCTTTCAATACTTGAAGTATGCTCATGATGAAACAGGATGTGTGGCTCCCTATGACAGGCGTGAGCCACTGCGCCCTGCCCAGGTATTTCTTTATAGCAATGGGAGAACAGACTCATATACCATGTATATGACTCATTGATTGTCACATGTTTAAGGAAATCTTTCCTTCATTACATTTCCACGATTACATCTCCCCTGAACTTCTATAACCCCAGGATTTCCTTTCTGCATCAGGGGAAAGTGTGCCCTATGCTTCTGAGCTGCTCCTGGCCACGTGTGCCTTTTCCCCTTTTCCTCCATAAGCTGATAAACTTTTTGATGTAAAGTCTTTTTCTTTATTCATCTTTGCCAAGCAGAGTGTCTTACAAGTAACGGATCTTCAATAACTATTTTCTATAACTTTACCTGGTAATCAGGAGTCCCAGGGATCTATCACTGAAGAACTGAATTCATTGAATTTCTGCGCTGGATCCTCTGGCTTTTGTAGGTCAGAGATCAGGAAAAACCGCAAATGCTGTGTACAATGTCCTCAAGATCTGTCACTGAGCCTCTGGGGTCTTGCAGATTTGTCTGTCCCCTGAGCCTGCTATCATGCCCACAGGACATTGAGAGGCATGAGGACATTGCTGGAGTGAGTGAGTGAATGCATGAGTTTCTTTTGTCTGACATTAGTCTAGGCCTAGACTTGTCATAGAAAAGGGAATGAACAAATCAGTAGAAGAGTCAAAAATGACAAGTCAATTCACAATAGTTACTACCAGAAGTAAAATTAGTTGCAGTTACCTGCTTTCAAATGGTTTCCAATGTTTTTATTAAGGTAGAGGAGGCATATATAGTTATCTGAACTTAATAACCAACTGACTAGTTTCTCACTTAGCACCTATGAGTAGTAGATAGTCCATGCAGACAGTACAGCAGCTACTTGAAAGCGAACAATACTCCTCATCTTCAAGAGGTTTGAAAGTATCATTTACATACCAAATCACATATTTAACAATGAAATCCACAGCTCTACACTCCATGAGAGCAAGCACTATGTCTATTTCACTCTCTGCTTTACTGTCATTACTTGGTACTTGATAGCAACTCAATAAAGATTTTCTTCATGAATAAATTAGTGGTATTTGAAGAGAGGCATAGCTCTGAAACATGGAAGAGACATGGAAAGTTTAATCAAGAATATAGAACTGAATCTGGGTCTTTGTACTGCATCATATACATAAGCTAAGATAGGAGTAGAAGTTAAAATGAAGTCGGGTTGTCATGTTCATGACTAAACCTATATCTAAGCATCCCACAGACTCCAGTTAAATTAGGGATAATTAGTTAAGATACTCGGGATGAAGTCATCGTTAACATTGTTGCATATAGCCAATAACTAGTTCTGTGAAACTGTCTGCTGTGAATGGTTGCAAATGCACTCCAGAAGACTGAGGTTTAAAACGGTTGTCTTCTTTTGATGAGCTGCCATCATTTGTAACACAGACCCTGCATGTTGGAAATACAGTACTGTCACATTTTGAAAGTCAGGTAAGATTATTTGATATGGGCAATGTTCTGTTAAAACATGAACTTTTTCAACTTCAGTGCAACTCGCTAGCAGAGTTTTGATTTTCAGAGCACTCATGAATTTGTGTTATAATAAAATCCCCCACTCTGATTTTCCAGCTCTGTTTCTTCCATTCCTTAATTTAACATGGAAGCAGTGATGCTTTGTAAACAGACTGATGTATTGGCTTATTTAGGATAACTTAGCAGGTCATGAAAATGTTCCTTCTCTCCTCATTGTCCTTACATTTTAAAAATCCTGATTCTGAAGTCAGATGACCTGGACAACCATGATTTTCTGAAATTACACATGCTAGCTATCTGTGGCTGACAGCAGTGTGTGGCTAGCTCTGTTTTCTCCTTTCTTCCAGGGTTCTAATTTAACCACATTACCCAGGGTTAAGGAGTTAAGGAGTTCTATAAGCCTGGGTTCTAGCCGATGGAATGCAAATGACGTTAACATGCTTCTCTTCCAAGTCTGGGCTGTAAAATTTTCCCATGCACGATCCTCTCTTCTTTTCTTTTCTGTCACATTTCGAAGATGGTTATCTCCACGGGCTTATTGGAGCCTGGGTTCCTGAATCACTTCTTAGGAGAAGGTCACCTGCCCTGCATTGAATGGAAGAGTTTATTGTGCGAAGCCACTAAAATTTTGGACTGGTTTGTTAGAGTAGTTAACCTATCTGAGCTAATTCATGGGTAAAATTAAAAAGTAAATAAATACAAATGTTTTAAACTTACAGTCCTGCTGTCTGAGGTTCCCAGGGGAAGGAGGCAGGTGACATCAGGGTGGAATTAGATAGAAATCTCTCTCTCATTTTACCTTCCCTCTGCTCTTACTCCACACTGTGTACCTTCCCTCCATCCCATCTCCACGCCCATGCACCTTCCAACCTCCAGTCCCATCCCTGGATCCTGCCACATCACATGTGACCTCAGTTCCCTCGATGAATGCTGTTGGCTGCGTGGCCATTCTTCTCCTCCCCTATCCCATCAGCAATGATTTTAATTTTGCTCTACAATCTGACTCATGTACTTTGGGAGAAGCTGCCCCCGTCCTCAAATCCTGATGATGGTCAAGTTCAAGGGTACTCATAGGACCAAAATGGTACAATCAGGTAAATCTCCGAACTACTGCTGGGGAGTCTGGAAGAGTGGGCTTCTCTCTCTATTTTTATGGACAGCATGATGTGCAGGACCTGCTGAGAGTGTTTTATCATCTGGGGGTAGGCAGCCTGTGAATGAAACCAACACATATTGAAGTCACACTGAGAAAATGGCAGAAGATACAGAGAACAGGGGCAGTAGCCACTGATTAAGCTGACCCTAGAGATGAACCTGCCTCTAGATTTCCAGTTACTTGAGCAAATAAATCACTAATTTCATTATCAAACTAATAAAATAAATATATTAGAAAGGAATCTTTACTATTGCAGTTCCAATTTGGAAATTTCAAGGCACAGGTTTATAGGCATAAGGACTTGTCTCTCCCCGCCTCTCCCGCATCCTCCATTTCAAGAGTATCCAGGTATGGAAATATATCAGGGGCAACAAATCACATTAATTAATTTATTTGCTATTTCTGAAATTGTGTACAGGCTTAAGATCCAAATAAATAAATAAATGAATAAATAAAATTCAGCATGCTTCTACATATTGTAACAAGTAAAACAAGCTATCATGAACAGCATATGGAAGGCCAGGCATGGTGGCTCATACCTGTAATCCTAGCATTTTGGGACATCGAGGTGGGTGGATCACCTGAAATTAAGAGTTCTAAACCAGCCTGGCCAACATAGTGAAACCCCATCTTTACCAAAAATACAAAAATTAGCCAGGGGTGGTAGCATGTGCCTGTTGTCCCAGCTACTCAGGAGGCTGAGACAGGAGGATCACTTGAACCCAGGAGGCGGAGGTTGCAGTGAGCTGAGATCACGCTGCTACACTCCAACCTGAATGACAGAGCAAAACTCTGTCTCAAAAAAACAAACAAAAAAGCATATGGAAGCTGCAGCATTTCTTTTGGACGATGTTGGACGATGCTTATACTATACATCAAACCAAAACAATAGTCATCTCCACGTATCTGTTTCTCTGGAAGAGTTAATTCACTTCCAAAATGTATGTGTTATAGGCACAAAAACAATCATTTCCCTCAGAAAACATGATTTCTTTACACACATGCAGAAATGTAACTTATGATAAGAATAAGCACTGTTAATACAAATACATCAAATAGGCTACCTGATGGGATAGATGCTCCATTTTTTCCCCAATATTATCAGGGTGAAAGACATCCCATGGAACCATATTAAGTTGCATAACCCACAGGCGCTCTCTCTCTCTCTCTCTCTCTCTCTCTCATTCTTAAGCAACATCACTTCATTGTACATGGGGACCAAAACAGATCATGGAAATCAAGGTGAAAAGTCACTTTACAATGTTTGCCATAATTGTAACGTATGCACATGGTTCCCAGTGTGTGAGTATTTGGTTAACAAAGAGAATCACAGACTCGTTGCGTGTATAGGAATGATTCAGGGCTGTACCTTTAAATGTTTAATAGTAGGAGCAAGGACCTTTAATGGGTAGCAAAGGTGAGGAAGAGTTGAGGGGTTTTGGTGACCATCTGTCCTGGCTTGCCAGGGACTTGCCAGAGACTTTGGAAAAGTACTGCATCCCTTGAAACCCTTCAGTCTGTTCCTGACCAAGATCATTGGTCACCCTAGGGGAACTCCTTTTTAACCCAGCAGCAGGGCTCAATTCTTTGTGTATAAATGTGTAGGCTCCCAACACCCCACAAAATGCTAACAGACACACACACACACACACACACACACACACACACACACACACATCTCAGTGGACTCACAGTTGATGTGTCTATGAAATGAATCTTTGCTTGATTATTACAGAAAGCATTTTGATTCACTGAAGTTTCTGAGCATGCAGGTGACCACATATTTTTATGGCCACTATAACCAATTTATTTATTAATGGTTGATACGGTTTGGCTGTGGCCCCACCGAAATCTCATCTTGAATTGTAGCTCCCCTAATTCCCACATGTTGTGGAAGAGACCCAGTGGGAGATAACTGAATCATGGGGGCAGTTCCCCCATACTTTTCTCATGGTAGTGAATAAGTCTCATGAGATCTGATGGTTTTATAAGGGGAAATCCCTTTCATTTGGTTCTCATTCTCTCTTTGCCCGCCACCGTGTAAGACGTGCCTTTTACCTTCCACCATGATTGTGATGCCTCCCCAGCCATGTGGAACTGTGAGTCCATTAAACCTCTTTTCCTTTATAAATTACCCAGTCTAAGGTATGTCTTCATCAGCAGTGTGAAAATGGACTAAGACAATGGTCTGTACAACCCATCCAATTATATCTCTTTCCTAGGAAAATTATCCTAGGCCCTTTTCCTAGATTAAAAACATGTTGGATAAACTCAAATTTTCCCTCTGCCTAATTGATACACACAGCTACCTCACAGCAATAGCTGATGCCAATCTTTTGGTTGTGTTGGAACATGGTTCACCCGGCCTTATGGAATTGTGGCCAGCTTTAATTTGATTAATGCAAAGAGTACATCTGGTAGATTCAGATACAAATATTTTAAAAAGAAGAATGTGTCTTTAAATCTTTTTCTCCATTCGTGATATTCAAATCCCCCAGTGTGAGAATGAGGTCATTATTTTTGTGTTATAATTTTTATTTTCCATTATGACTTCATAGAATCTTTTCAATTGTGGCAAATTAAATTTTTTATCAATTATATTGCCAACTTAATAATTATCATGGTCATTTTATGTAAGCAATTAATTAACAAAACTGGTTTATAATCATTGGTTTATATACAGAAATGATTTGTTTCTCAGCATGTTTGTTTTAAAGACTGAATTAACTAACTTCTATCAGAAAGCCATTGGGAAAAGCATATGAGGTGAGGGAATATGGGTTGTTTTGTTTTGCTCTCCTTCATAGCTACTGCTATTGTGTAAACTTTATACAATTTACCATAAAGGGAGGAATGTGTCTTTCTTTTATTTGTTAATTACACAAAGAGAACATAATTTCATCTTCACTAAAAATTGTTTGGTCAGAAATATAGGGGTATATGTGAGGAAAAAAAAGGAACAAAGTGCCCTTTGCAGCAACCTTCACCGCAACCCAACATCAGTTTCGACCCCTTGCCTTAGAAGGAACAACTATTAATAGTTTGATATTTATCTTTCCAGGTGTTTTCCTGTGCATTTGTGTTTATATGCATCTGTGCAGCTACTCAGGTTTTTGCCTTTATCATTTCTAACATATGCATCGAATTACATTACTGTTATTCTATTGTTTAATTTGCTTTTTGGATTGATGATGTTTTAGACTTTGATGGACTTTGACATTGTTCATTTTAAATAGCTGCGTGCATGCTTCATAATCTAATTAACCATTCCATGATCACTGGATATTCAGGTAGTTCCTGATTTTTCACTCTTTCAAACACTGTTGCACTAAATAGGCTTGCATGAAAGTTTTTGTATCACTGTAGGAGAGATTTCCTAAACATTGTCCATCATGTGAGAAGGCAATTTACCTTTTGAAAAATGTAGTCAAACACACCTTTATGAAAGCTAGATGTTATCCACCTTTTTTATTTTGCCAATCACTTGATTACCAAAGTGTTTTGATTCTGGCTATTTGATTATTACAAGATTAAGTAACTTTTTAATATATTTTTCACCAATTACTCTTCTTCCATGAATTGCCTATGCATAACTTTTTCTAACTTTCTATTGAGTTGCTTGTCTTCTCTGCATTGATTTGTTAAATTTCTCTAATATTCTTTATCTAGCCATATTACAGAATTTGGTTATTATTAATATTTAATTACCTTTGTTCACTGTATTTTTTAAAACATTAATTTAACTGCCAAATGTAAAGATTCACTTTAAACAACAATTTTAAGGCATGCTGTAGACTTTATTTTTTATTTATTTATTTTTTTAGACAGAGTTTCACTTTTGTCACCCAGGCTGGAGTGCAGTGGCTCGATCTTGGCTCACTGCAACCTCAGCCTCCCAGGTTCAAGCAATTTTCCTGTCTCAGTCTCCCTACAGGCATGCATCACCACACTTGGCTAATTTTGTGTTTTTAGTAGAGATGGGGTTTCACTATGTTGGCCAAGCTGGTCACAAACTCCTGACCTCAGGTGATCCACCCGTCTTGGCCTCCCAAAGTGCTGGGATCACAGCCATGAGCCACCATGCCTGGCCTACTTTTTTTTTTGTTTTTTAATGGAAACATATTTAAAGACATTTTTACAATACTTTGGTCTATGAATATGAGGTAATTTTACCCATGTAATTAATATATTGAAATTTTTTGGTCATTTTTTTCCATAAGTAAATTATATAAACATAGACTAAATAAAAAGTATCTCATAAAGAAATCAGTACCGTAGCATCTGTGTGGCAAAGTCTAAAACTATAGAAAGGATATGATTTGCGTTTTCTCTAGGTGCTGGGAAATAGTTATTTCAGATGCTCTCTTGTTTCTTCTCTCAAGCTTCCTGAAAATAGTATAAAGTGTTATAGCCTCTATTCCTAAGATCAGTAAAGAAGACATAAAGGTTAAATGCTCTTGCAAAGCAATCTAACAAAAGGCAAGGTTCAGCAATCAGGGCGACGTAACATACAAACTGCATAAGCGAGCTGAAAAGGTGGTGAGAATCTCCTTCTTTCCATTCAGATAGCTTCCTTCTATCACACTGATGGGTGTACTCACCTGGCTAGTCCCAGGTTTACTTTGGCACAGGTAAGAAATACACGTGTTTTGTGGGTTTGTTTACATAAAGACCTATCCCTATTATGTTATCATTTAAAATTAATGAAATTACATTTTTATTCTACAAAAGGATATAAGGTTGTTCATCACAGGTTGAGTGCTCTGTGTACACCCCACCTGGAAAATAGATGGCTACCTGTACTGTTGACAAGGTTTCACACCGTCACGCAAACATTCATTTCCTTTTTGGCATCATTTCTTCTTATTTAGGTTATTTTCTCACTACTCTTAAGTTTCCCACCCTCTTGTTTTTGGCCTTCATTCTGTAGAAGAATTAGATCCCTATAACTACGTGTGTGTATGTAGATAAATAAACACACACATACATGGATACACAAACATAAATACTTATATATCTAAACTATGAATACAGAAGTACAGTGTTATGGGAAAAGCACACCACAGAGGTTGACCAAAGTCCCAGCACCTCACAATGCAATTTTTAGGGTCAAAAAAACCCACAGGAAATAAAAGTATGCACAAAATCACCTATGCAAATTATTAACACAACTCCTGTCTATTGCTCAATAATACTGCAAAGTTTTCTTCAGATTAGGTTCACCATGAGTATTTCCCAGAGATATGCATGACTGTAGCATGGGCTGGGCTGTCTGGCAATGCCTTCATTTCTGATATGGGATGTACAGTACAGCCTGGCTTGTAGTGTCTCTAGAACTCAACCCACCCAACTTCCTACACCAGGATGTTTACCGAGCCAGTGTTACTTCATGTTCTCATCTGTTTTGTTTTACACCTGGGTTAACTGAGGTCCACAAGTCAAGTGTTCCACTGTAGGGCCAGGTATACAATTCAAGTTTCCCCATAAGCACTTGGCTCTTGGCCAAGACTCCCCTCCACCATGCTTTGTGCATTTTGTTTTCCCTCAAAATAGAGCAAGCAGTCAATAAATGCTCACTGATCACGTATTTGGACCTAACAATATGACAGAACCTAGAAATACAGTAGTTAATGTAAAGCTTACAGCCTAGGTGAGAATGTAGATACCACATAAAATTGGACCAAAGAGGTACAGTCAAGCAAAGTGATGTAAGAAGTACAAATTGATAAAAGAGAGTCTAAAGGGGATTGGAAACATGAAAGGTTGCCAGGGAGGTGGAGGGAAGGAGATGGAGGTGGGCATGACCATAAAAAAAAACAACATAAAGAATCTTTATAGCGAGAGCGCTGTGTGTTGTCTGTGGTGGTCTATACAGTAGTCCCCTGTGTATGTTAAAACACATATACAGTAGAGACCCTGTCTATGCTAAAAAAAATGTATTCCACTCATTGGAGAAGGATGCATTCCAGGATCCCCAGTGGATGCCTGAAACCACAGATGGTACTGAATCCTATATGTACTGTTTTCTTCTTGTACACACATACCTACGAAGAAGTTTAAAAGATTAACAACAATAATGAATAATAAAGTAGAACAATTATAACAATATGCCAGCCTCACTCCACCCTTGTGCTTTGGGCCATTCTTAAGTAAAATAAGCACTACCTGAACACAAAGACAGCAACACCACACCAGTCGATCTGATAACCGCGATGGCTACTAAGCGACTAACAGGCTGGTAGCATAGACAGCCCGGACAAAGGGAGGATTCACGTCTCGGGCAGGACAGAGCCAGATGATGTGAGATTTCATCACACTACTCAGAATGATGAGCAATTTAAAACACATGAATTGTTTTTTTCTGGAATTTTTTTTTTTTTTTTTTTTTTTGAGATGGAGTCTTGCTCTGTCACCAGGCTGGAGAGTAGTGGCGCGATCTCGGCTCACTGCAACCTCCGCTTCCCAGGTTCAAGGGATTCTCCTGCCTCCGCCTCCCAAGTAACTGGGAACACAGGCATGCACCACCACCACACCCAGCTAATTTTTGTATTTTTAGTAGAGACTGGGTTTTACCATGTTGGCCAGGATGGTCTCAATCTCTTGACCTCATGTTCTGGCCGCCTCGGCCTCCCAAAGTGCCAGGATTACAGGTGTGAGCCACCGCACCCAGCCTATTTCTGGAATTTTCGATTCAATATTTTGGGACCATGGTTGATGGAGGGTAACTGAACTCATGGAAAGTGAAACCACAGATGAGGGGGGACTACTGTGCCCAAAGCTACCTATGTGATAAAATTGTATACAACACCCACACACACACACATACTCGAGGAGTACAAACAAATCAGTAGAAACACGAATATGATTCTTGGATTGTATCACTGTCAGTATCCTGGTTGTGATAATTGTACTATATTTCTGCAAGATAATACTGTTGGAGGAACCTGGGTAAAGGATGTGTAATATCTCTCTGTATATTGTTACAACTACATGTAAATCTACAACTATTTCAACAAAAAGCTCAATTAAAGTGGGACTAATAATTTATCCTGATGAATTAGATGATATTCTTTAAAAAGTCATATTTAAGCTAAGACCCAGAATTAGAAGTTAGGAGGGTTAAGAGAAGTCAGGGTCCAGGGGACGGTATTCCAGTCAAAAGAAGCAGTGTGTTTGGAGGCACGAATAAAAGTTTCATTTGCCAAATGTAGGGAGAACAACAGGGTAGTCAAGAGTAACTGAAGGGCCAGATTTTTTAGGGCATTAAAACCATAATAAGTATTTTGTTTGCTTTTCTCTGAGGGTAGTTTATTTTAAGGATGATAGTAATGTGATTAGATGAGTGTTTTTCTATTATCTCTCTGGGTGTAGAGTGAAAATTGGATTCGAAATCAGGAATAAACTGGGAGTGGTGGTGCACGCCTGTGGTCCCACGTCCTTGGGAGGCTGAGGTGGGAGGATGGTTTGAACCCAAGAGGTCCAGATTGCAGTAAGCTATGATCACACACTGCACTCCAGCCCGGGAGACACAGTGAGACCCTGTCTATGTTTAAAAAAAAAAAAAGAATTTAAAAAAATAGAAATTGAGAAATTGTGGGTGGGAGTACAGTACTTTAGTAGCTACAGCAATAGTCAGGGGGGTTCACGAGAACTAAGCAAAATGATGGTGATGTGGCTGGAGGAAAATGGGTAGATTTGGGAGGTCTTTAAGAAGCAAAAGACATGGAGTTGGTAATTGATTGGATAAATTTATATCTTGCAGAGTGGATAGTAAATGTTATTTACTATAACCAGAAACACCTGAAAAAAAGTCAGGGGTCCAGGGATCAGATAGTATGATTGATTGTGGAAAGGCTTTGGAGATGAATATGTTTATAGTATTTTAAAATAGGTCCTGTATCAAGGTTTGAACTTATTTGTATTTCTGTATGTGAATTTCTGTGTTGCAAATCACCCATGGTTTATAGAGTCATATTTAGAACAGAACAACTAAGAGTGTCCTTTTTTCCCCATTATATTGTACTCTACACAGGTAATGACAGCAAGTCACCCAAAGATGTAAAGTCATGATCATCGTTGGTCTATGTCAGGCAACAGTTCCAAGAGGACAGAGACCTCCAGAGAGGGAGGAGACGTGGAGAACACTTGTGATGTTACAAGCAATTCTGTTTTATTATATAAGGAAGAAATATGTTTCTTTTTTTTTTTTGCAAGCTCCGCCTCCCGGGTTCACGCCATTCTCCTGCCTCAGCCTTGGAGTAGCTGGGACTACAGGTGCCCACCACCACGCCCGGCTAATTTTTTTTTTTTTTTTTTTTTTTTTTTTTTGTATTTTTAGTAGAGACGGAGTTTCTCCGTGTTAGCCAGGATGGTCTCGATTTCCTGACCTCGTGATCCGCCCGCCTCGCCCTCCCAAAGTGCTGGGATTACAGGCGTGAGCCACCGCGCCTGGCCAGAAATATGTTTCTTATAACATCACTTTCAATTGTGAATGATGCAGGATTATTTGAAACTGACCACCTATATGAGGCCATCAAAATGTAAAAGTTTCTATTCCAGGAATAATCAAGCTTTTTTCAGAATATTGAAAATTTATTTTCTATGTCAAACTTTTGATCATTCCTTGAACTGAATTATTAATGGTTTCCAAGAACAAATCCTAAAGACCAATTTTACTGCAATCTCATTTATCAAGGCAATACATGCACTATACACTATGTTAATTTTTAAGTGGGGATCAAAATAGGAAAAACTATACATTTTAATACATTAAAATATTGCATATATTTTGGTAAATGTACCACCTGGACTTAGTAAAGTACTAATATGAAGTTAATAAAAATTATGTATTTAGCAGAAGAGTGAACGAATGATTAAGTTAAAGGTATTTCAAGATGTTAGGTGTGATTTTCAGTATAGAAATTCATATTAAAGTATAACTTTAAATATAAAACTAAATTATTTTGATTACATTAATTTTCTGTGAGGTTTTAGTCAAGGATAAAAATAAGGAAAACTGGAAACTTTGTTGATAGTTATATATATATATATTTTTATTATTATTATACTTTAAGTTTTAGGGTCCATGTGCACAATGTGCAGGTTTGTTACATATGTATACATGTGCCATGTTGGTGTGCTGCACCCATTAACTCGTCATTTAGCATTAGGTATATCTCCTAATGCTATCCCTCCCCCCTCCCTCCACCCCACAACAGGCCCCGGTGTGTGATGTTCCCCTTCCTGTGTCCATGTGTTCTCATTGTTCAGTTCCCAACTATGAGTGAGAATATGCGGTGTTTGGTTTTTTGTCCTTGCGATAGTTTGCTGAGAATGATGGTTTCCAGTTTCATCCATGATTTTAAAAGAAATGTTAAAGGCAGTATCAGCTATGCCAAATTTAAGTAGTATATTCTTAGGTACGTTCTGAAGCATCCGTCTCAGATTTCTTATGTATGAAATAATAATATTCTTCTTCATTTGGTAGTTTGTAGTAGACAGAATTCTAAGATGGCTCCATGACCTCTACCACTGATGTTACTCTCAAGATTATGTAACATTACATGAAAAAAGGAATCGTGCAGCTGTAGTTAAAGTTACTAATCATTTGACCTTAATATAGAGACATTATCTGGGTGGGCCTAACTTAATCGCACTCCAGTTTCAACTGGCTGGCAGTAGAAGAGGAAGTTAGAAAGAGTTGAACCCTGCAGGGGTGGTATTTGATGTGTAAGAAGTTCTGGCCTTTGAAGATGGAGGAGTCACAAGACAGGAAATGTGGGAGGCCTCTGCAAACTGAGGGCAGCCCTCCACTGGCAGCCACAGGCAAAGGAAAAGTAATTACTTGGGACACAGCCAGGGACAATGGAATTGCTCCAATAGCCTGAATGAGGCTAGACGACTGGGGCTGCAGAGGAGGATGCAGACTGGCTGAGACCCTGAGCTGAGAACTCAGCCAGGCTGTGCTCAGGTATTGCAAGATAGCAAGTGGGGGTCATTTTAAGCAGTTAAGTTTGTGATAATTTGTTAGTCAGCAGTTGAAAATGAATATATAGTTTTCAAGATGGTCTAATACAAATAAGGTAAACCCTCAGAGCCCTGTGTCTGTACAAGTGTGTGCTTAATAAATGTAGTTCCTTCTCCTCTTTTGCTACTGGACTATATATATATATATATATATATATATATATATATATATATATTTATATATTTATATATACAAATATCTCACACTCCAATTTCAAACCTAAGCTTCATGGCAAACTATGCTTTGTCGAGGAACTTTCTGACAAATGAATTAATATGAGCACATAACTCTCTATATGTTATAAGTAAGAATAATCATGAGACCTCAGGACTCACATTCAGGCGGGTCTCCAACTTCCTAAGCCAGTGCTTGGGTTTTAGAGAGAAAGTGTACTTCATTTGAAGGCTAATAAAATAAGCATAAAGTACATGCAAAGACATGAATGTCTCAATATCATATTTGTACATGTATATAATATATGCACACAAATGTATACACACTGGTACGTATATAAAATTAACATGTTTGCTGACAAAATAAGCAGACCTTAGAATTTTTTTTTTTTTTTTTTTTTTTTTTTTTTGAGACGGAGTCTCGCTCTGTCGCCCAGGCCGGACTGCGGACTGCAGTGGCGCAATCTCGGCTCACTGCAAGCTCCGCTTCCCGGGTTCACGCCATTCTCCTGCCTCAGCCTCCCGAGTAGCTGGGACTACAGGCGCCCGCCACCACGCCCGGCTAATTTTTTGTATTTTTAGTAGAGACGGGGTTTCACCTTGTTAGCCAGGATGGTCTCGATCTCCTGACCTCATGATCCACCCGCCTCGGCCTCCCAAAGTGCTGGGATTACAGGCGTGAGCCACCGCGCCCGGCCTAGAATTTTTTAAAAAGGGAAATTCATTGCCAGTATTTTTTGGAGCTATCTCTTCACTTACATTTATATGATTCCTTATAAAATTCTGTTCATTTCATAACTGTAGTGAAGTCAGTTTGCTTAATAGTTCCTGTTTTGTGTGATACAGTTCATGTAATGACTTTGTAGGATCATCAGAAAGTATAAATGAGTATCAAAATATATTTTCAGCCATCCAAAGGTAGTATTCATTTCACAGACTCTCAAAATCATCAAAAGCCTTGAGAAAACTTTCAGGCAAGAAAACAAAGGGTGTAAATCGTGCGTTGCCTCAAAATGTCAACACATTTGTTAAAACTAAGGAAAGTCGGAGTCATATACACATATACGTGTATAAACTACAATATAAAAATGAGAATAAAAAAGGCATTTGCAAGTCTTCACCAATGAGAATGTACATGGCATTAGCATGCCTTTGATGGGGTTCAGGACATGCTACCCAAAATATGACATCTTGGCATTTGAGAAAACAGCAGAAGCCGGAAGGTCACTCACATCTTCCCCTGTCTCTCTCCTTTGAGGCTGGTTATAAAACCTAGGAAGAACGTTCTGAGCTTTCCCTGAAGCAGGTCATAATATTCTTATGCACTCCCCCAATACACAGAAGAAAGGAGCAGAAGACACAGGGAATCCAAGAAGAATCTGAACAAACAAACAGACCTTGTTATGTTTCCCCAAGTCCATACCAATAGGTCATAATGTTTTGTCCTCCTATTTCTCCACACTGTGTATTCTTAACATTAAACCTGGCATAAAAATACTCAGGTTTACCTGTTCTTTTGGGGGGATGCCTTCATTTTTGTGTGAAGGCTCCAGTGTCACATAAAACTTACATTAAATAGATTTGCATGCTTTTTCTCTTGTCATTTGTTACAGGTGCCTCAGCCATGAACCTAGCATAGAGGAGGAAAAATATCTTCCATCTATGTTACAGACATTTTATTAATATCATTCTCAAATTTACTTTCCTTTTTAACAATGGCCCAGGATTATTGGAAACAGCATCAAGAATTAAACTATCACAAAAAGCTGTCCTAGAAGAGCTGCTCAGAACATGATGCTTTTGTTCCTAATGACTGAATAATCATTTTTAAGAGACTCTTCTATAGCACATATATCAGGAGAAGAATGATGAAAGGCACATTATGTGCTAGACACTACACATACTGTTTGAGTATTTCTGGTGAAATAACGGCTCTTTTTGCTGGTATCCATAGAACAGAACAGGGTTGGCCTTTCTGAGAGAGAAGAGGGCACTTCTTAAAGCAGTGGTGCTGAGCATGGCATCTTCCAACCTCCCAGGGTCCCAGGGCATGCATGGATACCCTCAACCATTTGCAAGTTTTGGTGGGTAGTTCCCTGCAGCTTGCTGGGGAGAGGAATCGTCATGCTCATGAGCTTCTGTAACATCAAAAAAGTTAATAGTCACCACCCTAGGGACATCTGAGAAACTACATTCACTGAGGTCCAGTGATCTGTTTTGATTTTTTTTTTCTAAATTTTAATAGTCAATAATTCACTTTCGTACATAATTTTTATATGTATGAAACTACATCCTGGTGAAATTGCAGTTTTTAAATAGAACCCCACCAGTGACTATGCAAATGGGAGACAATATGTGCATTTTACACACTTGGGTAACAACAGAGTCATTTTCTTTTTAGAACATCTACGGCACCAAATGCACCAGCGAATGACTGTGGTAACGCAACTGTAACAGGATAAGATCATCTTGCAAAGCAAGATGGTGGCTCACACCTGTAATCTCATTGCTTTGGGAGGCACAGGCAGGAGGATCACTTGAGGCTAGGAGTTTAAGATCAACCTGGGAAACGAAATGGGACCCCATCTCTACCAAAAAACATTTTTTAAATTACTTGGGCATGGCAGTGCCAACTCCATGGGAAGTTCAGGCAGGCGGATGGCTTGAGCCCAGGAGTTCAAGGCTGCAGTGAGCTATGTTCGTACCACTGCACTCCAGCCCAGGTGACAAGACGAGACCTTGTCTCTAAAGTAAATAAATTAATTAATTTAAAAAAAAATAGTATGGCAAAGCAAAACAAACAAAAGGTTAAAGTCACATGATCAGTAGTTATTACCTACAGCCCAAGTATTTTTCTGCCCTTTCTTTGGGTTATGGAAAGCAACAAAAGTTTTTAGAGTTGGGAGTGGTATGGTATGATAATTATAGTATTTTAGAAAGATGGACCCTTTAGTATTATATTGGCACACTGGGTATGTAAGAGAATACTGACAGGGAGATCAGTAAGCAAACTGTGGTCATGGAACAGGCAGAATTTGTAGAGGTCTTACCTGCTTGGAAGCCAAAAAAATAAGAAGAGAAACAGAGGGAGGGATTTGAGAAATGTTGCCAAGAATTGGCACAATACTACTTCATGACTGGTTAGATAAGAATGGAGAGAAAAGGGAAGATTGAAAGATGTTGCTCTCCTGCGGAACCTGGATAACTGATGGATTAGTGTAAGGTGCCCTACATGCAGTATAAAATCTTTGATTTCAACAAGAGATGATACGTATAAGACATGCATACGGTTACAAAAATTATACAAAACTACTATTTTTGCCTTCAAAATAGCCAGTGTCGACCTTCTTTAAGTGTTATTCTATTAACTTTTTTGATCTCCTTTTTTAAAGTAAATTATTTTAAAGATTAAAATTTCAAAAGTATCTATATTTTTTTATTTTTTTCACCAAACATCTCTCTAATGGGGTAATGAATGTGTGTATCAATTAAGAGGGTTTAAATGCAAATTATGTATCTCATCTCCAAGGTAATAAACTGTCATCTGTCCTGGTGAGACAGGCAAAGTCAAAGTATAATCACGGGTTCTGCACTTGACAGACCAATTAAAACACAGTCAATCAATTCTGTCAACCTTGAGAGCCTGTATGGACCCTCACCCAATTATTAGGTAATATATTAGTTGTCTATTATTGCGTAACAAATTACTCCAAAACTTCACAGGTTGAGCAGTGATTTTTTTTTTCTTTATCTCACAATTTCTGTGGGTCCGGAATCTGAATGTGACTTAGCTTTGCCTCCAGCTCAAAGTATCTGATCTCCAGGTCTTCCAGGTAAAACATAGATTAAATTCAAATGTCAGATACATAACAAATAATTTCTTGGTCTAAGCGTGTCTCCAACATTGCATGGGACATACTCAAACTTTTAAAAATTATATTTGTTTATCTGAAATTCAAGGTTGTCAGGGTGTCCTGTATTTTTGTTCACTAACCTTGACCACCTTACTTATGATGGTGCATGAAAATGCTGGCTGAGCCTGCAGTGTTTAGACCTGACTGGGGCTGAAGGAGCCACTTCGAGCTCATGCATGTGGCTGTTAGTGGGCTTCTCATAGGACGTTGAGGTGAGGTCCTCAGGTCCCTGAGAGCTGCTCAACTGGGGGGTCTCAGTTCTTTGTTCTACCACGTTGGCCTTTCCATAGGGCTGATCCCAACTCCCCAGCATGACGGATCCAAGAGAAAGACCAACTGGGAGCCACTACCTGTTACTCTCCTAAGCTCACCAGCGGCATCCCACCCCTTCTGCCATATTCTATTCATTAGAAATGAGTCAGTAAGCCCAGCCCACACTCAGTGGGAAGAGATTACATGAGGAGATCAATACCACAAGGCAGGAATCGTGAGGGAGCATCTCCAGGCAACCTACCACAGGCATATTCCCAATCAATTACATTTTCTGATGTCCAGAATAGCTACTAAACACATAACTTCATCTCTTTAATCAGAAAATTAAATTTTCTGATGTCCAGAATAGCTATTAAACACATAACCTCATCTCTTCCTGAGGTTGTTCCTTTCTTCCCACAGAACATGTCCCAACAGGAAATAACAGATTACGTAGTAGATGCCAATGAATCTAGCATATACTCAGCTATTTGTATTTTGTAGAATCGAACAATTAAAAAAAGGTGGTTTCACACTGAAATACATACACATAAATTCTGGGTCTAATAAAAAGGTATTTAAAGCCTACCTGTCATGTAGGCTGAGTTCAAAAGAAGAAGATATTTATATGCCTGCTGTTTTGATGATTATAAGAAAAACTTCAACATATTCCATCTCATCTTTGTATAGAATATAACAAAAAATTAAACTCTTTAGAGGAAATAGTTGCAGACTTCCCATCTGACAAGGGATTAATAATCAAACTGTATCAAGAGATAAACACATCATTTATAAAAAAGTAAAAAAATTATGCATTTATATTTAAAATTTAAAAACATTCTATAGTTGGAAAGCCATATTTTTAACTTAGCTAATATAAGAATTTTAACTACTAGATATTTATTTACTGAAGATGTCTGATTTGTTGACCCTAACAAGTCTATTTTCATTAAAAACAAAAAAAGAGAAAAATATTGTTCAAATCCTCCCAAAAACACTTCCAAATTAACAAAAATTACCTTTCTCCTAAACGTTATGTAAGATACAGAACATTGTATTCACATTCTAGTTTTTCCCTGGGTTCCAGGAAATTATTTGAGCTTTCTGGTAATTTGAAATAATTGTTTTCTTCAACTGTGACTCACAAATAAGGAATACTGAGTATCTGCCCGGAAACTGCCAATTTAATACTTAAAAATTACAGAGTCACTTTTTTTCCTTCATAGCTGAGAATTATTTTGAAGACTATATTTTAAAATATCTTAATTACTTGTGTCTCCTTGTCTATATAAATAATTATCCTAATTATTAATACAACTATAATGTTAGCAAACAGTATACAATTTTAAGAGTTAGAGAATAGGCTATTATTCTCAATTTTGCCTCAATTTTCTTCTCTCAGGAAAGAAAGCATGACATATTCAATTTCTACTCTAGGCAATTTCCTCTAAAAACTCAACTACCCAGAAGGAAAGCTTTCTATCCCTTTCCTTGGTCAAAATTTGGCTGTTTTAGGATATCTACAGGCCACGAAGAGCTATTATCAGTATCTAAATTTGGATCTTGACTGTCAGTTTCTCATTGGCATTGCTTTGGAAAATGGCTAAGTGAAGTCACTCATTCTACTAATGAAAGGGTTTTCTAAGGCCAATGACTAGAAGATGAACCATGTAAACTATTTCGGCTTCTCTCCTTCTCCATATTCCCAATTTCTAACTGGTTCCCACCCACCTACCATCAACCAATTTCTAGCTTTTTAATTACTCATCTGTTATTTTACAAAGTATCAGTGAGAGAGTTTAAGGAAATGATTCTAACCTATAAGCATCAAATCAACATGACTTTAAAATAATAAGCAAGCTGGTAGGAGTTCAGCGGATGTGCCAGACACTGGGTAAGTGCTTCACTTGTTCTGTCCTGCGTTCTCCCACAAATCCTTTTAGATGAATGTCCATCCCACGTGTTACTATCTCTGTGCCTCTGACCTTGCTGCTTTAATAATTAAGAGAAAAAAATACTCGTCAGAAGCCACCATGTGTTTCCATCTTATACAATGATTTAAAAATAAGAGCAGTAGTTTCTACAGGATGTTCAGACATGGATCTGAAGTATCCGTTGCCTTGTTAATCATAGACCACATTGATGATCAGGTCACCACTCAGGCACATTTGTGGTTTTAAGGATATTTCGCAGAAGGTAGAGTCTATCATTGGCTGGATTGTTTTATAGCTTTTCTAGCCCCATTCGTACTCAAAATAGGTCTTGATCAAATGTTAATTTTTGCCATTCCTAAACATGTGATCTCATGCTCTTTCATTTATCGTCTGCCAAATTAGACTTTTTAAAAAATTGGAATCACTCTTGACAAGTCCATATTATTTGCTATTTGTTTATGGAGTGTATATGCAAAGAAGATAATGTAAGGCATCAGACTGTAAGCTCCCTGGAATTAAGGATTATATGGGGTTTTGTTTTTCCTCCTTTTGTTCTCTGACTGTATTATAGTCCTTAACCCTCATAGCACCACCCATGTGATGGATGAATAAATGAGTGAATGAATGAATCTATCATATTTTTCATAATCTAGGAGCCTAGAGCAAAAACAAATGCCATATCTTCTGAATATATTAATTTTAGATGTCCAATAAAGTAGCTTGTTTACATAAAATGAAACTGCTTACCAGCTAATTAAGGGACAAGCATTGTTTGTTTTTTTAAAAATCTGATGATAGCATTTTTGCCTGATCCTAGTAAGCTACAAACATGTAAAATAACTAGCTATGAAGCATAAAAGCTTAAAGAATATGCTAGAAGAAGATCATTAGCTTTTAAAAATATTTTAAATATTTTTCACAATACATTGGAATTTGTTATCTATTTTAAATATTCTGCCAAACTTCCCCTTTTGCTCTACCAAATTATCCTTTCCATATTGCAGTGAGGTTACTAAAGAAGGTCAGAAGTAATGATGATTGGCTTCAAAGAAAATGAATGTCATCTATCCTTAACTGGTTACCCGTCTATTCATTCATTCAGGTCTTTCCTTTTCTTTTCTTTTCTTCTTTTTTTTTTTTTTTTTTGCACAAATTATCTGCAGTACCTCAAACTCTGAATTTCTACATCAGTTTCTAACTAAACTGAGCTTAAGGCCGTCTTAATTTGAGCTCTAATTTTCTTCTCCTTTTCTCAAAACATTCATCTACTCTGTACTTCCCCTGGACATGGAGGAAGAAATTGCTGCTTCATGCCTCAACCATTTTTCTCTCTGTTTTTTTTGTTTTGTTTTTCTTTGAGATGGAGTTTCATTCTTGTTGCCCGGGCTGGAGGGCAACAGTGCCATATCAGCTCACTGCAACCTCTGCCACCCGGGTTCAAGCAATTCTTCTGTCTCAGCCTCCCGAGTAGCTGGAATTACAGGTGCATGCCACCATGCCTGGCTAATTTTTGTATTTTTAGTAGAGACAGGGTTTCATCATATTGGTCAGGCTGGTCTCAAACTCCTGACCTCAGATGATCTGCTCGCCTCAGCCTCCCAAAGTGCTGGGATTACAGGCCTGAGCCACCGCACCCGGTGATGCCTCAACCATTTCTAAAGTAAAATTCTCCAGAGATATTCTTGATCCTTCCTCTCTTCATACTTGCATCATCAATCATGTCCTATCTCTCTGTCTTCAATCCCTCTATCTCTAGGCACTCAACTTTGCCTACAAATGCTTCCTAGTCTTAAACACATGCTGCCCTCAATCTTGCTTTTTTGCAACATGCAGTTTTATCTCTTTCTCCTTTTCTATCATCAAACCCCATGATCTCCCTTTGCTACCTTCATTTCCTTTCCACCTGCTAAATAATATCTTGGAATCAACTCCCACAATTTAATGGAAATCATTCTTCCCAACGTCTTCAGTTACCTTATAAATACCAATTAGAATTGCATTTGCTCAATCCTTTTTCTGCTGCTTTCTATAGCACCTAAGCTAGTTTGTTTTGTATTATAGAGATGAGGTCTTGCTATGTTGCCCAGGCTGGTCTTGAACTCGTGAGCTCAACCGATCCTCCTGCCTTGGCCTCCCAAAGTGCTGGGATTACAGGTGTGAGCCATCATGGGTGGACACCTAAGCTAGTTTATTATTCTATATATTCTCCATCCTGCAGATAGACTGAACTATCACATGATCAATACTGTACTTTTTATGTCTGAACATTAGAATCCTTCCATGGACAGTCTCCAACTGTTAAACTTCCCTCTTTACTCCATAGGGTCCAACTCAAATGCTTTCTTTCCACGAAAATAATTTCTGACTACTCTGAAATTTCAAGGCTTGTAGTTTTCTCTCTTTTTAAAAACTCGAATTATGCTATTAGTTACTTGCACAAATGTTATATCTCAGTTACATACAAAACCACATGAGGTTTGTTAAACTTTATATATCATTTTTATCTTTTCACCAATACTGTGATAATCAGGTTTTCATCAAACACTCAAGAGTGCCCCATGTTTATCCATTATGTATTTCCTCATTGACTGAATGATACATGCAAACATTTTTTGATTAACTTCCAAAACATAATCACAGAAGGTCCCACCACACTATAATCTAGAGTCTTAATGCCTTTATGTTTAATGGCAAACTATTCTTAGCATAAAATTTTTCCCAACTAGCTCATTTACCTTTATTTTCATGAAAACTCAAGAAACTTAAGAGTCTTTCTATTCCGAATTGCCACCTTTAGGCAAATTGTGACCAGTCAGCTCTAATTAAACGGCAAATAGTCTCGAAAAAAAGTAGTTTGTATCTCTTTATTTGTACTCTTTACCTGTGAACACTATGAGATTATACACTTTTGTGTCAAACCCGAAAGTCCCACAACTCAAAATTGCATCCCTGATTTTTCTAATGAGCTAAAGGAAGGCACATGATCAAAAAGAGAAAGTTGTATCCCTTTGTATTACAGTTTGGCATAATGGAGCTTTATCTTTGTTTAATTAATTTAATATTTTCTATGAAATAAACTATGATGCATGTCTATCTTTTTATATGTCCATAGCACATGCAAATATAAAGATCTGTATCTATTCAGGGACTGTATTCCTACAAATATTCATTGGTGAATTTTTAAATTTATTCCAAAAATATCTATTGAGTGCTCGACACATGCAAGGTACTGCTAAATGCTTTGGGGAACATAAAAATGAATTAGACAAAAACCATGCTCTTAAGGGACTCACAATATATTAGGGAATGTAAGAAATACACACAAATAACTCTGGTACATGGTTGACGATGATAAGTCCCATATGAGCATTACTGATGAAATGCCATGGGGATTCTTGAAATAATGAGGTATTTTGCACAGCAGGAAGGAGCAGAAAAACTATCATAGAAAATGTGGAACTTGAGCTGATCCTTTAGCAATTGGCATAATTTGAGCATGAGGGGAAAATATTTCAAGGAGAGCAAACAAAATGAGAAAAGACATAGAGGACATTCCAGAGTGTGATGGTCCTGCTATAGGCCTCATAATGCCAAAAGAAATAGAACACAGGGGCACAGAAAGGGCTGCAAAAAGTGACGGTAATTAGACACTTGAGAAGGGATGAGTTATCTCTCCAGGCCTAAGTATATGAAGGCGGTGCATCCATTGTCCTGACTTCTTCGAACCTGACTGTATTAGTCCATTTTCACACTGCTATAAAGAACTGCCTGAGACTGGGTAATTTATGAAGGAAAGAGGTTTAATTGACTCACAGTTCAGCATGGCTGTGGAAGCCTCAGGAAACTTACAATCATGGTGGAAGGGGAAGGGGAAGCAAAGCACCTTGTTCACAAGCTGGCAGGAAGGACAATGAATGGAGGAGGAACTACCAAACACTTATAAAACCGTCAGATCTTATGAGAATTCACTCAATATCACGGGGCAGCCTGGGGGAAACCACCCCCATGATTCAATTACATCCACCTGGTCTCTCCTTTAAAACGTGGGGAATATGGAGATTATAATTCAAGATGAGATTTTGGATGGGGACCCAGCCACACCATATCATTGACCCAGAAAGCTTTTCAGTCTGCATTGATGGTGTTGACCACTGAGCTGGTGTGCCTGCATGAGCAACAAGGGGAGGAAGCAGCGAAGGACATACGCTTTCTGAGTTGTAAACTTATGTGGTATAATGCATACCTGACTCTGCTGGTTTGAGCAACCTCATCCAAAGTTCAAGTTGTCATATGTACACCAATACTCCATCCCAGACTTTGAGGTCAGGTCTAACACATATGACAAATAATAGCGTGAATAATAGCAGTGATAAGCGAATGCTTGCTATGAATGTTATCCAGAGAGCAAATCCTATAAATGAAACATCAAATTTTATTTAAGTAATACCTGAATTAGGGTCATAACAAAGAGGATGGACTCTGGAGGAAGCAATGAATAGGAGAGGGAGAATTGGTGAACCTGTTGACTAAGAGGATATTGGCATGGTAGCCAGCCCCCAAGGTGGCCACTAGTGAATCTGGCCTCATCATATCTCTATGTGGTTCCCTTCCACACTAGTAGGGTTAGACTTTTTAACCAGTGGAGTAGTGCAGTAATGACAGAGTGCGACTTCTCAGGCCAGGTCATCTTGTCCTCTTTGGGATCACTCACTCTACAGCAAGTATGTTGTAAGGACCTTCCGGCCAACTTTTGGGGAGGCCCCTGTGATGAGGTCCTGCGGCCTCTTGCCAACAGCCAGCACTAACTTGCCAGTCATGTGAGTGATCGACCTCGGAAGTGAATCCGTTAGCTCCTGCCAGGTTTTGAGGGGACTGAACCTCAGGAGAGATGCTGTGCCTGTAGAAGCCAGCTAATCTACTTCCCAAATCCTCTTATGAAAGTTGGGTGAGATAACAAATATTTATTCTTGTTTATGCCACTAAGTTTTGGGGGTAATTTTTAATGTAAAAGAGCTAGATAATTCTTCCATTAAAGGGAAATAATTAAAAGTTATACTCGTCAGATTACACACTGTAGAAAAACTTCAGTATTCACTGGAAACATACTTCCAATTTTAGACGGAAACGGTCAGTACAGAGGAACGGACGGGAGCCCTAAGGAGTTGATGAGGAGTCCCTCAGTGGTGGGAGAAACTTGTTAGAACCACATTGGCCGCACTGAGATTATGATCATGGCCTAAAAGTGAATTGTCTGGCTGGCTGTATTAACTAACTCATATAATTAGGCTGTATTCCTTGGGAATAGGGAGAGGGTTGTAAATCACTGGTGAAATATTTATTTATAAACAAGATCACCTTACATGTGTGCCAATAAACATGTACACAAGTGACATCAGCAACATGGTGAAGTACGGCAGCTCCAGACTCCTGTCTCTCCTCAGAGACATCAAAAACAAGGAGAAACTGCCAGAGCAAACTTTATCATAACTCTCAAAAATGGGCAAAAGTTGACAGCAACCAGGTGAATGCTGAGTTAAAAAAAAAAATTGGCAACACAAATCGGTTAAAAAAATATGAGTGGCGCTTCAGGTTGCTCTTGCCTCACCTGCTCCCTGGCTTGGGGGCAGTTTTGAAGATGGCATCCCGTGTTCCCAGTTTGGAACTCTGGTGTCTGGTTCTGGATGAAGCAGAGCGGATCTTCATTATTTATTTATTTATTTATTTATTTATTTATTTATTTATTTACTATTTTTGTTGTTGTTGAGACAGAGTCTCGCTCTGTTGCCCAGGCTGGAGTGCAGTGGCGCAAACTCGGTTCATTGCAAACTCCACCTCCCAGGTTCACGTCATTCTCCTGTCTCAGCCTCCTGAGTAGCTCGGACTACAGGCGCCCGCCACTATGCCCGGCTAATTTTTGTATTTTTAGTAGAGACGGGGGTTTCACCGTGTTAGCCAGGATGGTCTTGATCTCCTGACCTCATGATCCACCCACCTCGGCCTCCCAAAGTGCTGATGTTCTAAACTGTCTAGGAGTTCCCTAAAAGACTGAAGAAAGACACTCATCTTTGTTTTGCCTGACAGATAAATCACTTAAGATGAAAAAGTGGTGGGCATTGCTCAAAAACATTAAAAGACAAATGAAAAACCTACAGCTACATAGGGCAAAGGATTATGGCTGACATACGATCACAGCCTAATGTCTGGGAGAAAAGCAGGTAAGCATTTCTTTGGAAAATCAGGCGTTTGAAAGCACTTAGATATACAGGGGGAATTTAGAAAGCTACACATATGCCCAGGGAAGGGCACATGCTTACAAAGACCCTGGAGAAGGGGGAGAATAGGATTTCCAGTTAGTATATTTAATACTCAAATGTCCAGTTTTCAATGAAAAAACATCACAAAGTATATGAGTAAGCAGGAAAGCATGACTCATTCAAAGGAAAACAAAACAAAACAAATTGACAGAAACCATCCATGAGGAAGAAAGGAACTTACCAGCCAAAGACTTTAATTAACTGGCTTAAATGTGCTCAAAAAGCTAAAGGAAGCCAGGAACAAAGAACTAAAAAGAACCAGGAAACAATGTGTGAAAAAAACTAAAATATCAGTAAGAGATGGAAACCATACAATGTAACTGCTATGGACTGAACTGTGTCCCGCCCTCCCCCTCAAATTCGTATGTTGAAGCCCTAACTCCAATGTGATGGCATTCGGAGATGGGGCTTGGGAAGTAATGAGGTTTAGATGCGGTCATAAAGGTGGGCCTCCATGATGGGATTAGTGTCATAAAGAAGCAGTAGAGAGCTTAACTTCCTCTCTGCTCCAACGTGCACACAGAGAAGACGTCATGTGGGCACAGAGCATGACGGCAGCTGCCTACGTGCCAGAAGGGGCCACAGAATGAAACCTGCCATGCTGGAGCCTTCGTCTTGGATCTCCTAGCTTCCAGAGCCGCGAGAAGTTCATTTCTATTGTTTGAGCCACCCATCCTATTTTTTTTTTAAATGATAGATTGACTTGACTAATACAATAACCAAATAGAAATTCTGGAGCTGAAAAGTGTAATAACTAAAAAATTCACTAGGAAAGTTCAACAGCAGATTTGAGCAGAGAGAAAAAATAATCAGGAAATTTGAAGATTGAAGCATAGATTCAATGATTAGGACCTGTGGCATATATTATATGTCTATGTGTACTTTGAAATAGATTTATGTTACTCTGCATGCTTATTTATCATGCAATGCAAGTAGGTAAAATATAAGAGAAACCTACAAATCTCACTATTGAGATTCACAGATTCACCTGTCTTCTCTAGTCCTGTATAATACCTAAGAGAAGCTGCTTGCACTTTCATGACACATATGCCCTAGATATATGGGTGAATAACCATGTGGTTATTCCCATACAACTTCTGAGGAAATGAGAAATATTCAACAACCATTGGAAGACTGCCCTAGGGCTTGCATAGAGAGAAGGACATAGGTACTGCCACCTCTAAGCCCAGGACAGCATGGCTGTTCTTAGACTAGACAGTCTGGCTTTAAGTAGCTAATGCATTTTTTCACGTTCTCATGTTGCACTTCCAACAAATGAAAACCCACTGTGTACACTTGTACACCATATAGACATCAAGTCAAATGGAACTGAAATGAGTGCAAACCATATATGTGTATGTATAGGTAATAGATACCATGGGTATATTGTTTTATATATATGTATTCATATTATAGTGTATAGCATATATATGGTATATAGTATACAGAGGATGCATGTAGTATACAGTATATATTATACATAGTATATATAGTAAGTATTAGGATTCAAGTGAATGAAATCTAGAGAAACTTCATGAAAAAGAATAAGCAAAGCTGCTGCCCAGGGGGCTGAGAGAGAGTCAAAGATTCCTAGAAATAAGGGTGATAATATGTGAAAGTGTCCAACCTGAATAATAGAAAAAAAAGTAAAGATAAGTGCACAGAGTGTAAGGGATGGATGGAATACATTCAAATGGACCAATATATGCATTCTGGGAGTCCAAAATGGAGAACAGAGGGAGTAAAGGGCATGAAGAATATTTGAAGAAATACTGGACAAAAACTTCCCAAATTTGTTGAAATAAATAAATCTACACATCCAAGAAGCTATATGAATCCAAGTAGGAGAAACACCAGAAGTCCACGCAGATACTTTATAGTCAAACTGTTGAAAGTCATAGAAAAAGAGAAAATCTTGTACATTGTTGGTGGGAATATAAAATGGTTCGGCGGCTGTAAAGAAGTTTGAAAATTCCTGCAAAGTTAAACAAAGAATTACCACGTGACCCTGTAATTCCACTCTTACGTATATACCCCTCCAAAATTGAAACAGATACTCAAACAAATACAGGTACACACATGTTCACACAAGCATTATTCACAATAGAAAAAGATGGACATAGACCTGGTACAGTGACTCGTGCCCGTAGCTCCGGCACTTTGGGAGGCTGAGGGAGCAGATCCTTTATGCCAGGGAGTTTGAGATCAATCTGGGCAACATAATGAAACCCCATCTCTATTAAAAAAAATACAAAAATTATCTAGGTATGGGTGGCACGCACCTGCGTTCCCAGCTACTCAGGAGTCTGAGGTGGGAGGATGGCTCGAGGCTGGGTGACAGAGTAAGACCCTGTCTCAAAAAAAAAAAAAAAAAAGAAAGAAAGAAAAGAAACAACAAAGCTGGAAATAGCCCAAGTGCCCATGAATGGATATATACAAATTGTGATATATACATACAATGGGATACTACTCAGCCTGGAAACAGAACGACATATTGATACATGGATGAAACTTTGACAAACATGACTGAACCTTGAAAACATTATTCTAAGTAAAAGAAGACAGATACAAATATCCCATGTTAAATTAGTCTGTTTATATAAAACATCTGGAAAGATAAATCCATAGGGATAGAGAATGCATATTGATGATTGCTGAAAGTTAGGAGGAGAGTGAATAGGGAAAAACAAATTGATGTGTAAGGGGTATAATTTTAAAGAGATGTTTTGGACTAGACAGAGCTTGTGGCTGCACAGCAGTATGAATGTTCTCAATGCCACTAACATAACTGCTCACTATAAAGTGGTTAATTTTAGGGTAGGTGAGTTTCACCGAAATAAATTATTCTTAAAATTGACATGCACGCATAAACAGTATTCTGAGGAAGGTGTGCAATAATTTCCTTGCTGCAGAATTGAAAGTGCTGTTAGTGACTAAAAACATATGGTAACCAGAACCTTCACACCGTCTCCCCAACCACCCATCAGCATCAACAGTTGGGAAAACTGATGAGGTACAAACATATCCAGACTTTGTAATTATCCGTGGAACATCACAAGCATATACAATGCCACATAGTAATCAATCTGGTTCCCTCTGTTTATGAGTATTTGCTTTACAAATACTTTCTAGTTCAGGTATTTCCCATTCAGCAGCGACACACACAAATGCACATGACAAGCTGGTGGCCTCCTGTGCCTCTTCATTACCCTCTCAGGAGCCTGGGTGGTTTTATTTTCTTAGGGCTTCTCTAATACTTTGAAAACGTCAAATAAAAAGTAAGTGACTCAAATTTCTCCCAGAATTTTTACAGCATTTCTGAAGACAGGTTTATTTACCTATACGGAATTCTGATTACCTAATAAGAAATGTATCACCACGCCTAGATGATCTGAAATTTGTTTAAATTATACAAGATCATGACTAGTATATTTAAAATCCTGTATGTTTTTCTTTTCCTTTCTTTTCTTTTCTTTCTTTTTTTTTTTTTTTTTGAGACAGAGTCTTGTTTTGTCGCCCAGGCTGGAGTGCAGTGGCACAATCTCAGTTCACCACAACCTCCACCTCCCAGGTTCAAATGATTCTCCTGCCTCAGCCTCCCGAGTAACTGGGATTACAAGCGCCTGCCACCACACCCGGCTAATTTTTTGTATTTTTAGTAGAGATGGGGTTTCATCATCTTGGCCAGTCTGGTCTTGAACTCTTGACCTCAAGGTGATCCACCCACCTTGGCCTCCCAAAGTGCTGGGATTACAGGCGTGAGCCACCACACCTGGCCATGTTTCTGTGTCTTCACTGTGATATACAGATAATTCAAAAGACTTCATTCTTCCCATATAGGTCCTTATTTTAGTTATTAAAAATTTCCTGCTATAACAAAATTCATAGCTATTTAAAATATTTGAAGTCATATCTCAATTGACTAAATAAATTATATTTAATAGAAGATTAGTTTTGTCTCTCATTAAGAAATATATATGATCTGAAGACTTTTTTTTTTTTTTTTTTGAGACGGAGTCTCGCTCTGTCGCCCAGGCTGGAGGGCAGTGGCGCGATCTCGGCTCACTGCAAGCTCCGCCTCCCGGGTTCACGCCATTCTCCTGCCTCAGCCTCCCGAGTAGCTGGGATTACAGGCACCCGCCACCACAGCCAGCTAATTTTTGTATTTTTAGTAGAGACGGGGTTTCACCATGTTGGTCAGGCTGGTCTTGCACTCCTGACCTCAGGTGATTCACCCGCCTCAACCTCCCAAAGTGCTGGGATTACAGGCGTGAGCCACCGCGCCCAGCCTGAAAACTTTTTTTTTTTTTTTTGAGATGGTGTCTCGCTCTTGCTCTTGTTGCCCAGGCTGGAGTGCAATGGTGCGATCTCTGCTCCCTGCAACCTCCGCCTCCTCAGTTCAAGCGATTGTCCTGCCTCAGCCTCCGGAGTAGCTGGAATTACAGGTGCCTGCCACCACGCCCGGCTAATTTTTTCTAGTTTTAGTAGAGTCGGGGTTTCGCCATGTTGGTCAGGCTGGTCTTGAAGTCCTGACCTATGGTGATCCACTCGCCTCGGCCTCCCAAATTGCTGGGATTACAGGTGGGAGCCACCGCGCCCAGCCCAGAAAACATTTTTTATGTTGGATAGAAGCAAGCAATGATGCAGCTAACACTCTCTCTTATTCCTAGTACATGTTCTTTATGTTCTTTATTTGCTACATTTTGAAGTTAAAATAGTAAGTCCATCAGATAAGACAAGCAGACACATCAAAAAACTGTCAAAGTATGAAAAAAACTATGTGAAACATAGATAGCCACCCATTCTCCTTAACAGTGTTTCATTAGCTGTTCATAAATCCTGTTTGTTTCAACTTTATCCAATCCACCACTGTCACAGGATATTGTACTTTTTATTTCCTTTGCTTTAGAGAGTTTTCTCCATTCTCTGCCCTTAGCAAGGTCTTTGCTCCAGCGTCCCTGCCACCCTATATAAAATCATAACCCCTCAGTTCCATCACATGAACACATTCTTCCCTTTCCTCATACTTATCACTGACACTATGTTGTATATTTACACATGCCTTGTCTATTTACCCACTAAAATATATGCTCTCTGAAGCATCAAAGTTTGTCCTGAACACTGTTTAATCCCCATGACTTAGAACAGTACCTGGCACAAAATAGATGCTCAATAAATACTCATTGAAAGAGTTAATAAATGACTTCTCCTAAATATTCCGGATTTTTTTGGCATTTTTTGTTTTATAATGTAAGTAAGTAATATATTACAGAGGTATACCATGTATGTTAGGGTATGATATACATTATATATGTCTACACACACATACATACAGTACATATATTGGGAAGTGCTCACTATTTACTGATGGTTTAGAAAGCAACGAATGAGAGGATAATCAGATTCAAATGTGCTGATCTTTTCAGGGAGTAGGCATCTGAGTGTACACATGAAATCCACGAGTCTCCATCTGCAGTCATCCAGCTGAGAGCCATTTGGGGATAAAACGAGCTATTTCCTGGATGAATTCATCACCAACACTCCACCAGAATAGCTTGGAATATAGATGTTTCAATGACTAAAAGAACATTAAAGAAATACGGTCATTCCTCTGAGTCACATAGAATAAATGAATGGATACGGAAGAATAAATGGAATTAAAAGACAAGCTATTTTCTAAGAGCAGCAACCCCTGTAGTGAGCCTGTTCAACTGTGAGAACCTGTTGAGTCTCATCAAGGAACTTTCAGGAGAACAAGGGTGGCAGGTAACAGGATGTTTCCACTTCGGGTTCTGATAGGATAATGGCAAAATTACACTATATTCAATGGGTGCTTGGACTTAGTAGACTTTATCGGTTGATTCCCTTTGTTAAGCTTTTGAATTTGCTAAATATCCCCCTCACGGTATCCTTTGCTCATGACCCCTAATCCCCCACAAACCAGCAAAAAAAAAAAACAAAAAAAAAAACCAGAAATACATTTTGCCACAAATTATGTTCAATGAGTTGGATGATTTCATATCATGAAATTCATGACAGTGATTTTAGTAACCTGTGTAATTCCCTCCTCCCTTCCAAAATAGGAATAAAGGGAGGAAAAAAGATGTCGATACGGTTTGGCTGCATCCCCACCCAAATCTCATCTTGAATTGTAGTTCACATAATTACTATGTGTTGTGAGAGGGACCTGGTGGGAGATAATTGAACCATAGGGGCCGTTTCCCCCATACTGTTTTCATGGTAGTCTCACAAGATCTGATGATTTTATAAGGGGTTTCCCCTTTCGCTTGGCTCTCATTTCTCTCTTGCCTGCTGCCATGTAGGATGCGCCTTTCACCTTCTGCCATGATCGTGAGGCCTCCCCAGCCATGTAGAACTCTAAGTCATTAAACCCCTTTTTCTTTATAAATTATCCAGTCTCGCGGGTATGTCTTTATCAGCAGCATGAAAACAGACTAATGTGTGAAAACGGACTAATACAGATGTATTTCTTGTATCATTATTTTATTTTGAAATAAACTTACTGCAATTTAAGTAAACAAATTGACACTGAGGTGTGCCTTTATGTGCTACTTATACACATTTGTGTACATACTGTCTACAGTTTTTTATAGGCTGGAATAGATTTCTGGGTTTATCTTCAATTTGCATGTCATTGAATAAAAGGAAAAATAGTGCCACCCTTAACTGACAGATTTGGAAAACAGTTATTAATTGAAGATTTAGAGTATCCTGAAGTCCTCACTTGAGACTGTGAGGCAAAATCAGAAAACAAAGGCTTTTGATTGCTCTTAGTTGGCTAAAGCCTACTCTTAATTAACAACATTGTACCTCTATCATTTCTTTCTCCTTAGGCAGATTATCTAGTTTGCCATATTTTGCAGTTTGATTATACTTAATAACTAGTTCAAATATACAATCAAATACGTAAAATCCTCTTCCCAAATATATTTCTTTATTCTGGAAGTTGATTCTTTTCCCATTAACTATATTGATATGAAAAACAATTGACAAATTATGCTCTGATTTAGTGTTTCCTGGTTCATGTGTTTAGGTGCTAAGCATAACATAGGTTGAGCATCCCTAATCCAAAAATGTGAAATCTGAAAAGCTCCAAAATCCTAAACTTTTTGAGCACCAATATGACACAAGTGGAAAACACCACACCAGACCTCACGTGATGGTGCACAAGACACACAGTTTATTTAGCATCCCCAAGGGGAAAGTAAAATTACTTTCAAGCTATTTGTAAGGTGTATACAAAAAAAAAAAAAATGAACTTCATGTTTAGACTTGGGTCCAATCCCTGAACTATATCTCATTATGTATATGCAAATATTTGAAAATCTGAAAAAAAAGGTTAATTGTAAGCACTTCTTGTTCCAGATACTTTGGATAAGGGATATTCAACCTGTAATAATAAAAACTCCCCTCTGATATGATTTATCTGATATAGTTTATATTGATAAAAGATAAGTTAAAGCTGCCTACAAAATCAAAGATGTAACATTACCTATTTCTTGAATAAAAAATAAGAAAAACAGTTTTATGCTTTGAATGAAAAGGAAAACATTTTTAAAATGAAATGTTTTGTTTATCTCAACTAAATATTGTAGATATTTTACTTTAACAGTACATATTCCAAACTGATTTAATTTTCAAGTAGAAGATAGTCATAAAACATTTAGCTTCTTACATAATTCAGGAAGAACACTGAAATGTATAAGTGACATAAAATATCCTGCTCCTATTGATACACAGTCATGCATTGCTTAACAATGGGGATATGTCCTGAAAAGCACATTGTTGGGAATTCCATCACTGTGCAAACATCAGAGTATGTGATCCCTACTACATTCCCAGGCTATATGGCATACAGCCCATTGCTCCTAGGCTACAAACCTGTACAGCATGCTACTGTACTGAATACTACAGGCAAATGCAAAACAATGTTAAGTATTTGTGTATCTAAACATAGAAAGGTACTGTAAAAATACAGTATAAAAAATAGAAAAAAAACTGATACACCTGTATAGGGCACATGCCATGAATGGAGCTTGCAGAACTGAAGTTGCTCTAGGTGAGTCAGTGAGTGAGAAGTCAATGTAAAAGCCTAGGATATTACTGTACACTAATTTTTTTAAACTTTTTTTCTCTTTTGTAATAACACTTGGCTTAAAACACAAACACATTACACAGCTGTACAAAATATTTTCTGTCTTTATATGCTTATTTATAGCTTTTATCTATATTCCATTTTTAATTTTTAAACTTTTTGTTAAAAGCTAAACACATGTGTGTATTTATACGCACTAACCTAGGCCTACACAGGGTCAGGTCATCAACATCACTGTCTTCCACCTCCACTTCTTGTTCCACTGGAAGATCTTCAGAGGCAATAACAGGCATGGAGCTGTCCTCTCCTGTAACAATGCCAAAGCCTTCTTCTATAATACCTATTGATGAACCTGCCTGAGGCTGTTTACAGTTAAAATGTTTTTAAATAAGTAGAAAAAGTATATTCTAAAATGATGAAAAAATATAGCAAATATTTAAACCAGTAACAATTATAATCATTATCAAAGATTATATACTGTATATAATTAGAGGCACTAGACTTTTATATGACAGACAGTGCAGTAGGTTTGTTTACCCCAGCATCACCATAAACACAAGAGTGATGCCTTGTGCTACAACATTACAATGGCTAAGACGTCACTAGGCAATAGGCATTTTTCAGCTCCGTTATAGTTTTTCTTTTTCTTTTTTTTTTTTTTTTTGAGCTCTGTCGCCCAGGCTGGAGTGCAGTGGCACGATCTCAGCTCACTGCAAGCTCTGCCTCCTGGGTTCACGCTATTCTCTTGCCTCAGCCTCCCGAGCAGCTGGGACTACAGGCACCCACCACCACACCTGGCTAATTTTTTGTATTTTTAGTAGAGATGGGGTTTCACCTTGTTAGCCAGGATGCTCTCGATCTCCTGACCTCATGATCCACCCACCTTGGCCTCCCGAAGTGCTAGGATTACAGGTGTGAGCCACCGCGCTCAGCCAACTCTGTTATAGTTTTATGGAGCCACCATCGTACATGTGGTCCATTGTTGACTGAAATGTTGTTAGGCGGTGCGTGACTGTATGAATCCTAAAGTAAGCATTCATTTTGGTATTTTTTAGACCTTTCCCTGGAAATAGAAAATGCTATGCTATTATACCACAAACCAAGGGCTATGGAAAACTTTCCTGTGAATCTCTAGGCCTCACTTCCCTACTCCTTTCTCACTAGGATTTGCCTGATCTCCAGCATAGACACTAACAAAAGGCTTCCCAGAAGAAACAACTCCACTTTATATGTCTGGTGATAATTAATACTGAGTCATCCTCATTGTAATGGTCACTTGAACTGGCCATTTCATAGGCAAGCTTTAGGCAGTGGCTCTGAAAAATTAGTATTCTCTTACATCCTTGTGAAAAACGGGGAATTTTCTTGGAACCAACCCTCAGAACCTCAGGAATAGAGCCCAGGAATGTACATTTGCAAGAAGTACCTTCCATTGTTTTGAGCTACAAGGCTCCAGGGGAAATAAAAACCAAAACCAAACCAGAAAATATAAGGCATCTTTCAAGAAAGGCAGTTTTATTTCAAGACTTGGAGAAAACAACCGTATTGTTTTATATTAAAATAAGCACAAGTATTTTATGGCATAGAAGGCAAGAGTGGCACACAATTGGAAGATAAAACAAGGGAGGATTTCAGCTTGCCTTAGACCATGTTAGCTACGTCTCTAGATGCGGAGAGCACTTGTTTTGCTTTCCTTAACTGTGAGATAAACTTAGTGTTGGAGAAGGACTCTGCCTGCAGATGGCTACTGCTTGTATGTGCTGTCTAGCTATCTCGAAGAACTACTGCCAATCTCACCCCCATTGGGCACCAGTCCAGTCAAGGAACATAGGGAAAGGAGGGACAAAGGAGAAGAATGCTGCTTCAGATGCTGCAGATATCTAAAATGAGTTGAATCCCAGGCACCATTTTTTTGCTTTCAACCTTCCTAATTTTCTCTAATCCTTAAAATAAAGATTATAAGGATTAGTAGTGTTTTCTCCCCATTCATTATAGCCAAAATGAATCTTAGGTTAGATAACTCGTCCACGGTCACATATTTACTAAACTTCAGATTCAAAATTCCAATACAGATCTTTATCACATACAAGGTGTAGTACTTTGAAGGAGCTACCTAATGATAACTATAACAACACTGCTACAAACAAGAGCTAAAGTGTATTGAAAAAGTCATTCATTTCACAAATATTTATTTAGTGCCCTAACATGTGCAAGATTCTCTTCTAAGCACTTTCCAGATTTTCATTCATATAATGCTTAACAACGCTATGGGGTTTATACTCATATCGTCCCCATATTAATGTGGAAACTGAGGCAAAGAGAGCCCGAAAAACTTGTCGAAGCTCAGAAAGCTGGTAAGCGACCTAGCTGAGAATGCAAACCTCAGACTATCTATTAATATCTCTCTGTGCTGCCCAAGCTTCTCATTGTTTCTTTAGACTGTATCTCAGTAAACCTAACTTCCTTAAGTTAAGGATAAGAGTAAAATACGTACCTCACGTGGTTATCGAGAGGATGAAAATGAGACCATGTACAATGTTCAATAACATTTCACTGAAGAAAGAATATTGGAAATGAGACTTCTCTCTGAGCTTCTGATGGGTTGGAATCTTGATTGTTGCTACCCATGTACTGAATTTCTTTTTTTTTCTTTTGACTTTTGTTTTAGATTCAGGGGGTGCATGTGCAAGTGTGTTACAAAGGTAGATTGTGTGATGCTGAAGTTTGGGGTATGATTGAACCCATCACCCAGGTCGTGAGCATAGAACCCAGTAGGTAGTTTCTCAACCCTTGTCCCCTTCCCCACTCTTGTAGTTCCTGGTGTCTCTTGTGCCCATCTTTGTGTCCAGGTGTACTCAATGTTTAGTTCCTGCTAATAAGTGATAACATGTGGTATTTGCTTTTCTGTGTCTGCATTAATTCACTTAAGATAATGACCTCCAGTTGCATCCATGTTGTTGCAAAGGACATGATTTCATTATTTTTTATGGCTGTGTAGTATTCCATGGTGTACATATAATACATTTGCTTTATCTAATCCACCATTGATGGACGCCCAGGTTGATTCCATGTCTTTGCTATTGTGAATAGTATGCAGTGCATTTCTTTCAGTGACATCTCAGATTCTCCACCTCTTGGTAGTGTCTCTCAGGTGCCTCCCCCTGCTCAGTGTCTTCCCTCCCAATAACATCCACTGCCTTCTTCACACTCAGTGAGACGACAAGTTCCTTCCCAGAGCTGGCATGGCTCTCATGCTCTCTATTGCTTAAGGCTTCCCCCAAACATTAAAATGGAAGGAGTGGGAGGAGGGTGGAGGAGGTGGAAGAGAAGCAGGAGGAAGCAAACAAGAAATGCTTGGCTGCAAAATGGAAGCATTGGATTACTTTGGTTTTTGAACTAAAGTAATGATATTTTAAAGTCAAATGTTATTTTATTTTAAATCAAAACCCTATGGGCATAAAATTCATGCTCATCTGTCAAAATCTGATTATTTTAAAAAAACACTACTTTAACAGTTTCTCAAAGCTACCCACAGAAACTACTGGTTATTCCAGCTCTTTTGCAAGTCGGTATTGTGAACTGTCAGTGTAAATTCTGACTGAATTCCTTTAAAATGCAAGAACTTAAGGAATTGAAGAAAAATGCTTGCCAGAATACATTGTGAAAATTGTTCAGCAAGATGTGGGCAACATTGAAAACATTTTTAAAAGCAAGTCATTGCCAACTTGGCACTATTTCCAATTTCACATAAATTTCCCTATCTAATTTAATAATACATGAATTAATGAAAAATATAGAAAAATTACACAATATCATCACATTAATAGCAGTTCCCCAAACTGGATTTTCTCTGCCAAACATACATTGCCAAAAGAGTATTTGTAATACATCCAGCTACATTTTCAGATTTAATCCGTGATAGTGTTTATTTTTAAAACTTTTTCAAATGTATCAGAATAATAACTAGAAGAAGATACAGTAGCCTAGTGGTATTTAAAATAGTTATAGTTAAATTTGTTCACAGCTTATTTTTGTGGGACTAACTTTTTAAAGAATATCTACTGAATATTCTTCAGTAAAATTAAAAAAATCTAGGAAGGTGTAATATGCTACCTGAAAGATGAGTGGAGTGAGGGGCAGAGAGCAAAGATGCAGGAGGCTTTAGCTGCCAACTTCAAAACTACCATGGTCCTAGAAAAAAATATTTTATTCAAGCTCTTATTTCAAATTGTTGGTTTCAGCTATACTGAAGAAAATTTTAAGGTAAAGTACTTCCCTTTAAATTGATGAGCAATGAGCTATCAACTGACACTTAGACTTCACTCGGTTAACATTTATTAAGGAAAGACTCAGCAGGCAACATTCCTAGTTGCAATGTACAAAGGCGATGGTCTCTGTAGCAGGAGAGAGAAAATCAACAGGTAAAAAAGAAAATATATATATATTTTTCAGAGTGGCAAGAGCTGATAAAAACACGATGGTATGATTGAAAGTGTTTGCAAATTAAATTCAAAGGTAGGTAAGGGTGAATGTCAAGGCAGAATCAACTACACAGTTACTGGGAGCAGCTGTCATCTTAAGTTACACTCAAGCACAAGGTATTCAGAAAAAAATTTGAAAATTAATGTATCATGATGAGTCACCACCCAGACCTACATAGATTAGAGTTTTTTTATTTTATTATTTATTTATTTATTTTTTCATATTCTACTGGAGCCGTGGTAGAAAAGGCAGATGATTTATATCCACGTTGAGCACCCCGAGCCTCTCAGTCTATGTAATGGGCTTCTCCTCCACAATTTTTATTACAATATTCTTCTGGGCTTCATTATAACTTGATTATCTCCTTCTCTCACTAAATGGTAGGCTCTGTGGGAAAAGGATAGTGTCTTTTTCATTGTTTTTTACCTCCAGTGTTGAGGACGTAGTAAGCACAAAATGAATGTTTGCTAGAATGTTTTAGTGACTAATTTGATAATGAAAAGAAACAGTATTTTTCTCAATTTACCAGTAAAATCATTGAGATCTTGTACAATTAATTTATGTCTGAGTCTCATTTTTTGCTCTCTAAAATGAGCTATAAGACTAAAGTTACTTCCATTTCTACAAGTTAAAGGGAAGGATATCTGACTTCAGAATATTGAAAGGAGGGGGCCAAACTTTATCTTTTATTTTAACCATGAAGACAGCCAGTTTCCCAAAGGCTACACTTCAGAAAATGTAATTAAAACAAAGAAATAAAACAAAATCAAAGGCTCTCAGAATTTTTGGAGAAAGACAATGACTGTCAGAGTGATCACACATTTGAAAGGAGGCCTAGCCCGATAGATATAATTCAAACTGAAGTTAAACCCACTTACTGCTTAAGTTTCTACCTTAATAATCAGGCTTATTTTTATATTTTAATAATGACTTCTTAAGTTATTTAACAGAAGGCAATATGGAGCAGACTAAATGAATTACTGTTGAATAGATTATAGCCACATGGATGTTAACCGTACATACCTTAGGAGTAAAATGAGAAAGAAGACATATTTATAAATATTTTCATAGATTCACACAGGTCAAATACTGTTACCTAATTCTGTGAAGAGTTCCTGAACCATCAAAGGGAGCACATCTTACAGTAAAACCCATCTGCTGTCCACCCAAATATCTCCCATACTGTATTCAAAACCATTTCAATATTTTTGCATTGAAGTTTGGGCAAATTTAATAGATCAGGCTTTTATTGTAATGTGTCAAGAAATACACACACACTCGGGAGGCCAAGGCGGGTGGAACACGAGGTCAGGAGATCGAGACCATCCTGGCTAACATGGTGAAACCCCGTCTCTAATAAAAAATACACAAAATTAGCCGGGTGTGTTGGCGGGCGCCTGTAGTCCCAACTACTAGGGAGGCTGAGGCAGGAGAATGGTGTGAACTCAGGAGGCGGAGCTTGCAGTGAGCAAGGATGGCACCACTGCTCTCCAGCCTGGGCGACAGAGAGAGAGACTCCATCTCAAAAAAAAAAAAAAAAAAAAAAAAAAAAAGACAAAAAGACACACACACACATACATATACACGTTTCTTTTTTATTTTTATTTTATTTATTTATGTTTTGAGACAGAGTCTCACTCTGTCGCCAGGCTAGAGTGCACTGGTGCAATCTCAGCTCACTATAACCTCCGCCTCCCGGGTTCAAGTGATTCTCTTGTCTCAGCCTCCTGAGTAGCTGGGATTACAGGCATGCACCACCACACCTGGCTAGTTTTTGTATTTTTAGTAGAGATGCGGTTTCACCATGGTGGTCAGGCTTGTCTCGAACTCCTGACCTCAGGATCCACCCGCCTCAGCCTCCTAAAGTGTTGGGATTACAGGCGTGAGCCACTGCACCTGGCCACACATATGTTTCTTTATTTCACTGTTTCTTTTGAAATAATTTTAGATTTACAGAAATTTCCAAAAATAGTCCAGAATTTTTAAATATACTGTTCGCCCAGCTTTCCCTAATGATAACAACTTACATAACTACAATGCAATTCTCAAAAACAAGTAATTAACATTTGTGTAACACTCTTAAATCTGAGAGTCTCTCCAAATTTTACCATTTTTTTCCCCTAATGTTCTTTTTCTGCTCTGGGATCCAACCTAGGATCCTATACTCTATTTAGTTTTTATGTATGTCTTATTCTCAATCAGTGACAATTTTCATTCTTTCTTTATCTTTCATGATCTTGACAGTTTTGATGAGCACTGGTCAGTTACTTTGTAGAATAGCTCTCATCTGGGTTTTGACTGATATTTTTTCATGCTTTAACTGACATTTGGCAAGACTCCTACAGCAGTGAATGTTGTCCTTCTCAGCGCATCCGATTGGAGGGTCATGATGTGATGTTTTATTACTGGTGATATTAACTTTGATCATGGACGTCTCTACCAAAAATACAAAAATTAGCTGGGCATGGTGGCGCATGCCTGTAATCCTAGCTATTCGGGAGGCTGAGGCAGGAGAATTGCTTGAACTGGCACCCAGGAGGCGGAGGTAGCAGTGAGCGAGATCCTGCCACCGCACTCCAGCCTGGGCTACAGAGCGAGACTTTGTCTCAATAATAATAATAATAATAATAATAATAATAATAATAAATAAATAAATAAATAAAAAAGAAGGATATAATTTGAGGCTACACTAACATCCTATTTTTCCTTAAACTTTCGCTGGCTGATTTTCCAATTGATAAGTGGATCTTTCCTGCAGCAATTATCACTGCCACATTGACAAAGAGCAATTTTATATTTCACCTATTTCTTCTACACATATTAGTTGAACTCATCTGTAAGGAAGAACTGTTCCTTATTTATTTATTTATTTATTTATTTATTTATTTATTCGATTATGTATTTGAATAACGTTGTTGTCTTGGATTTTTGTTGTTGTTCCATGAATTATAATCCAATTCTGTCATTGTTTGATTGCTTAATTGTCCTACTTTGTCCCTGGGAATTTCTCCTGTTCATCTGGCTTTCTTTGGACACACCCGTTCCTGTTTGAACACCTCATTTTCTGCAGCCACAAAAAGCTTCAGGCTTATCTTGCATTTTCCTTGCCCCGACCTGAGCATCAGTCATTTCTATAAAGTGTCCTGGTTCCTGTTCTTGGAGACTGGTATTTACAGAAAGAAGGTATTGTTTCCTAGTCCACAGAAGATACTCCCTGGGAATTCCCCTAAGATTTGCAGGGGGCTGGAGGTCCCACTGGGACAGTATGTGGTCACGAGTTCCTAAAATTTGGACATAAATACCAACTGAATCCATTCTTAACCACTGTCTGGCAAGGTTTCAGGACCTTGAGGTTATAGGATTAAAGGCTATGGTGCTAAAAAATTAAAAATACAATATCCAAAGTTCCTGTTCTGATCATTATTCCAGCTACCGTCCTGTTCTCTCATCTCTACTCAGTGAGACAGCCAGGTTTTAAATTGATCTAGAAAATTTCCAAACCAGGATAAACACACGATATGAATATATTCCCTGCATTTGCAGCCTCAGGCCCAAGATTTAATCAGATGTGCTTGTTGTTTCATTAAACAAGGTGAGTTATCATTCACAGTGTTGCTTTAATTAAGCTCATTTGGACAATTAGAATGATTCATATTAATATTTGCATTATTTCTAAATGACAGAAAATGAGCATACTTTACAAGTATACTTGTTTATTTATTGCCATTTCCAAAGTATCCACACTTAGTTGGTTGTAATAAAAAATAGGAAAATATTATTTTCATCTTAAATTTTAACTGTAAGCTAAAATTTCATTCTATTTGAACATTTTAGCAGTTGCCATTTCCTTATTGATGGGTCATGGAATGAAATATAAAAGTACAGCATCTAAATGACAATGAAAAATGGTGCAATTGACTTAATAAATAGCTTGTTGAAATGTCTAATATCCATGAAGGTTTACCTACCTCTGGCAGGTTTAAAATGTATTAGCTAAACGAGAGGAACAGATTCACTGTTCAAATGTTAATTTATTTCAATAAATCCCTCAAAGCTGGAAGAAGAAATATCTAAAGCAATCAAAATTCAGGTGTTGTTAAATACATTAAATTCACATTACATAACAAATCTTTCTTATGCATTCTTAAATCTATCAGGTTACTATATAAAATGGAATGCTGGAATTCAGAGTTTGCAAAATACCCAACCAATCTTGCAATATTTGCTTGTTTCTTTATATTCCTCTTTTTTATGTATGTTGTATTGTAAATTATGTTTTTCATTTTTTGTACAAATTATCTCTAAAATATTTAACCAAGGCTACTGAAGTCTAGTTCCCCACTGTAATTCCTCAGTTTACTTTTGTGGTTACTCACTGTGCTGCTGTATTCCAGATATAGCCTGTTCAACATCCATCCATGGATTTAGTCATTTGTGTATTCATTAATTCATAGACCAAAACAAAGGACCACTCAGCAATCTGATATTAAGAATTAAAAAGCGAAAAAGAGAACGCAATAGCTTTATAAAGCAATGGCTTTCAATGTAGTACAAAATATAGGCAGCTGTTGAAATTATTGAAATATAATCAGTAACATAAAGTAGTAGCCTCCAAAACATGGACAACAAAAAGTGCTGTAAAGAGAAACCAAAAAATAACAAAAGCAAAACCTTCTGTTCTACATTTACCTCCGAGATTACTATGTAAACTTGAAAGGAATTATCTTCTCATGTGCATTTTTCCTCATCTGAAAATGAGAATATTTTATGGGATTATATGTCCTGAACTAATTTTATTACATACGTCTACATAATTATTTATTAGAATGTAGTTATTTCCTTTAATTTATTTTATAACTTTTTTTCTATAGTTCCTTCTTGAATTAACATGTTTTGGCCACTACTATAATGGTCTATATTTGATATGTATTATTCTCACATATTTTGGAAAGTAAAAATAAGCAAACAAACAAAAACAATAAGAAAAACCCTGGTACTTCACATCCTGACAGCTGTGGTGGATTAGGCTGTAAGAGATCAACCCTACAGCCAAGAACAACTAGAAAAGCTGAAAAAACAACCTATTTACACAATTAGAGGGCGCTCTAGTTTGAATGTTTGTCCCTTTCAAAACTCATGTTGAAACTCATTCCCTAATGAGGCAGTATTAGAGGAGAAGCCTTTAAGAGGTAATTGGGTCATGAGGGCTCTTCTCTCATAAATGGATTAATCCATTCATGAACTAATGGATTGATAGATTAATGGATAAATGCATTATCACGGGAGTGGGACTGGTGGCTTCAAAAGAAGAGAGACTTGAGCTCGCAAGCTCAGCCCCTGCACCATGTGATGCCCTGTGCCACCTGGGGACTCTGCAGAGCCCACACCAGGAGAAGGATTCCCACCAGACGCAGTCCCTGAACCTTGGACTTCCCAGCCTCCATAACTGTAAGAAATCAATTCCTTTTCTTTATAAATTACCCAGTTTCAAGTATTCTGTTATGAGCAACAGAAAACAGACTAAGACAGAGGGCTACCAAGGAAGTGAGTATTTGAAGGCCTCAAATCTTAGAAGGAGTCAAGGCCTAGCAGTGAGCCCTTCATTTCAAAATTTTTTTTTTCTCTTCCATGTTTGCTTGAAGAATTTGCTGAATTATAAGCTGTGATGCAGTGGTGGATAAAATGAGCAATAACTGGTATGCAACAGAGTGATAAATTACAACACTGGGGCTCCAATGGAAATGAGAGGGGAAAATATCAGTTTAGCATCTAGCAAAGAGAATGAGATCTGGTGAAGACCTCAAAGCTAACCAAAAACAGATCAAATGAAAAAAAATTAATAAAATAAAATAAACCTAAAACCTATGTTCAAAACAATTGAATCTGAATTGGATCAAGGTGATCCTCCCCAGACTAATGTGCCTGCCAGGGCAAAACTAAGTACCAAATAGTAAATATTTTAGGCACTGCAGGCTACATATGATTTCTCGCCACATATGACTGCTCTCTCTCTCACTCTCTCACACACACACACAGACACACACAGACACACACACATTTTAAACATGTGAAAAACATTGTTAGCTTGAAGAATGTGCAAAAACAAGCTGTGTGCCCGATTTGGCTTTCAGGCTGTAGTTTGCCAACTTGTGACCTAGGCCTTGAGTTGAACTTGCATGACGTGCTCCATGTCCTTGTCCATACTTGTCACCTTCTATTTTATTTTTTGTTGTTGTTTGATTTTGTTACAGCTATCCTGGTGGGTATGAAGTGGTGCCTCACTGTCATTTTTATTCGACTTCCCTAATGTCTGATCGTTTTAAGCTTTTTTTCATGTGTTTGTTGGCCATTTGTGTATCTTCTTTGGAGAAATGTCTACGTAAGTTCTTTGCCCATCTTTGGTATCTTTTTGTTGTTGAGCTGTAGGATTTCTTTATATATTGTGGATATTAAATCATCATCACAAAACTATAAAATAAAATAATTTACAAGATCGAATGACTGAAGAGCAAGAGAAGAAACATATCAAGCGATATACAATGTATGTTTTATTTACTTCTCTATAGATATATTATATTTCAGCCTAAATTGTATAGGTTAATAAATAAAAACATCAGAATATTTGTGCCATACATAGTGTTATTTTAATTTCCTCTTCATTTCATGTTTGAGATGTTTGTTATTATAGCTGTAGAGTAAAACAGATCTGAAATGTTTAAATCAGATTTCTCAAGTTCCTAAAAGCTGTAAGACTCGTGGACTCAACACCATCCCCTGTTTTCATTATTACAAACTCCAAAAGCAATGTAGATTTTTTTCCCACAGTCCCATTCCTGTGACACAATTACATAGCCTATGGCCACATTAATGAATAAAATTCACGAAGCATTAAGTGTTCTCTTCAAGAAAATTTTTTTTTAATCTCCTGAACAATTTAATTTAGAAAAAGCCCACTCAAAAATACAGTAGATACTATCTTTTAGCAGACTGAGTTTTTTTTTCTAGGAGATATTCAACTAGTTGAGTAGTCTAAATACTACTGTATTTTTAGTAACTATGTCTGAAAGTATTTCCTTAATTTATTATTCAATGTCAGAGTACTTTTGCAAAATCAATCCAAATATAATCTATTTCTCTGGGTTCAGTTTTTCATTCAAGATGTACAAATAATTAGAGACATATTCCTAATTTCTTCTGATCATATCATTTGAACCATATCGTTTAGCCTACATGATTCAGGAGTGACACAAGTGGATAATTGTGAGTTTAAAAATCCAATTTGGTTATATTAATATACTTAATATTGTAGATCTACATTCAGAGAGCATCACTCTTCTTAAATTAGGCACCCTGTATTTCCATCTGACCACCTTCATGTGCTCTGACTGTCACAACTGGTTGTTTGGTATTGAATTTGAGGTATTAGTGAATATACACATGTAAGTCCTGGAAATAAAAATTGGAATTTGGGCCAAAACTTTAAAAGATTTAGTTTTGAATTTAGCAGTCATCAACAAATAAACGAGAGATGGAATTGTAAAAGGAGACAAATTCACTGAAACTATACAGACAGCATAGTAAGTGCAGCATCTCCAGCTTGCATTTTCCTTTAAAGAACTTGGATGTGTTATCTCAACTGATAATGACAGCAATCTGTGGAATTAACAAAGAAAATATGAACATGCTCATTGTAGAACTGCAGAAACAGCTTGAGAGGTTTAATGACATCCACCATAAATGTTTAAAATGTGGATCCAAGACCAGAAATTGTATTTTCTCATTCCTAGTCTACCGCTTCTTAAAGTACGTGAATAATAATTACACTTAAGAGCAGGAGAAAAACATCCAATTAAAGGAGACAGAGTTAAGTGAGAAAGTACATCCACAAGATCTTGGTCAGCCAAGGGAGCAGTGTCAACAAGATGGCAGTGATAAGAATGTCAATTGCTGGAGAGAGTTCGGGGCTTTGCCACCTTGGTAGCTCTATGCAAATGTTATGTATTATTTACCACTGTTGTTATTATTCTGTGAACACACTAAAGACCATTAAGTAATTATGAACACAGGCTAACTCCTGGAAAATAAATGCAAAAGTCTTAGGAGGTCTTATTGGAGTCTTTTTCTGAATACAAAATGACAATAACCAAATGAGGTTTTTCAGTATGCATGGTGATAATAAGCTATTAAAATGAATGTGACCAATAGTTTTCAGAATAACAGTTGCTTGAACAAAATCAACATTTACATTCAAACTTCTGCTTACTCCTTATAGTCATAGCCTCACACTCCCCAGTTAGCTGGTTGTAAGTTAGTAAATCATACCTCATTGCAGAGTTACAGACACTCACAACATCTCTACAATGTGTCCAACACTTTGCTTTAGGGACCCCCAAAAAGCATATTTTTTTCTTCACTTCTTTTAGTCTGATTGCATTAAAGAAAACCACATAATAAGTCATAAAATCTCATATTTATCAGTTCCTTCTTGAGAAATGTCAGAGTAAAGGTTGTTTTGGTAATTAAAATGCTGAAGTTAAAAATGCTGATTGCTTACGCAATAATGGGATTTCTAAAACAAATGGCATCATTATATCCACAAACTTTTTTTTAAATTTATCAAAGTGCTCATTGTATTTACTCATATTAAGTTAAAAAATCTCAAAGTCTTTAAACTTATCTTCTGCTTATGCTTTAGATGTTGTCATGAGAGGATAATGCTTGTAATCCATGAAATTCTAACTCTGACACAGTGAGGATGGCAGAAAAGAGCCTGAGTCCCATACAATGTCATGGCACTGCCAAACTAACCCACATGGTCTCATTGAATACTATACAGCCATAAAAAGGAATGAAGTGGTGACACATAAAACAACATAAATGAATCTTACAGACTTTACATTGAGCAAAAGAAGTCAGACACAAACAATATATATACTGCATCTTTCTTTACACCTAAAATTCTAGAAAAGGAAAAATAATCAAAGGTAGAAACATAAGAGCAGTGGCTGACTCTGGAGGTTGAGGACTGAGAGGGAAGTAATATGTTGTGAAAATGTGTAGGTTACACCAGAACATCCATTTGTCAAAACTGCACTGCTAAGATATATGTATTTTGATGGATGTAATTTTTACCTTAAACACTGTAAAATAATAAGAAATCAACTAGCGGTGAGGGGAGTGGGTGGAGGTACAAACTAAGAATGGCAGAATGTTGATAACTACTGAAGATCGGTGATGTGTGAATAAAAACGCATTAGTTCCATTCTTACTTCTTTATATATGTTTGAAAATTTCTAGAACCATAAATTTAAAATTATCCCACAGTAATTATTTATTATAACTCAAAGAGCTCTTTCTTCTTTGAAACCAAAGAAAAGCCACCAGACAGACAAAAACGACAAAAACAACATGATATGACTTCTCACATTGACATGATCGCTGTTGGACCGTGGTAATGGAATCAAATCACAAAGATGTTCCTGCCTCCCATCTGCGGCTGATGGGACAGACTTGAGGATTGTATAGCAACAGTCAAATCCCACCATCGGGTTCCACTGTAATTTTTATGTCTGAATTCTGGCAACAATTTTGTTATTATTTGGTATCAGTGATGATTTGGTATTAATAATGAAATCTGATACTTCAATGATTTGCAAACAGGGTTGAATAAACTGTCATTTACCGTTTTGAGGATTAAGGGAAGTGGCTCCGATCATGTTCTATCAACAGCAACTATGGCCACAACAAAAATGAACGACATTTTATTTTCAATAAAAAACTGGTAGAAAAAAATGTTACCTGATATTTTTACCATAAGAATTAACAGTGACTTTTGTTTGCCAAAGTACCATGTCAGCCAGGCGAGATGGCTCACGCCTGTAGTCTCAGCGCTTTGGGAGGCTGAGGGAAGTGGATCGCTTGAGCCCAGAAGTTTGAGACCCACCTGGGCAACGTGGTGTGACCCTGTCTCTACAAAAAATAAACAAAATTAGCTGGGTATGGTGGTGCCTGCCTGTAGTCTCAGCTACTTTGGAGGCTGAGATGGGAGAATGGCTTGAGCCCGGGAGGTCGGGTGTGCAGTGAGCACACCATTGCCCTTCAGCTGCAGTGACAGAGTGAGAGCTTGTCTCAAAAAAAACAAACAAAACAAAACAAAACAAAAACCCCAAACACGTTTTTGCCATGGGAAGTCTCATCTGAAATGCCTGACTTTATATGTTTCTTTTCTTAATAACACGTTTTCATATTTATAAGTCCATTTACTTCTAAGGCAGATGTGCCCATTCTTCTAATCAAAGCCATGCTATTTCCAGGGCTCTAAATCATTTTAATTGAAAGTGTGCCCACAAGTGAATGAAGTGTAAAACCTTAGACCAGTTATTCATAACCTTTACTGCCATTAGACTCACCTAGGGAGGTTGGAAATCCCAGTGTCCACACTGCATACCATTAAACAAGAACCAAGATGTCTATTACTTGAGACAAGAGATGAGAGAACAGAGGGAAAGAGGAAAGTTATAGTTTAATTGACTACCAGGCACTGTCATCAGGATAGCATCCCTGAATTAGGCAGAAAAAACTAACTTAATGGGAGGATCATATTTTCTGATTTATTTGATTGATTCATTTGGATGATCTCTCTTTTTTATTTTTATTTTTATTTTTTTTTTGAGACCGAGTCTCGCTCTGTCACCCAGGCTGGTTGGAGTACAGTGGCGCGATCTTGGCTCACTGCAACCTCCGCCTCCCGAGTTCAGGCGATTCTCCTGCCTCAGGTTCCTGAGTAGCTGGATGATTCCTTTTTTATTAAAAAAAAAAAAAAAAAAAAACTTGCTGGTGCTATAATGGCATTGAAATGGATAACAGAAAATTGAACAAGGAAATGGAATCAGTCTTAAGTCTCTACTGTTCTTTATCATTCTTTGCGGCACTAAAGACAATTCACCCTTTAACAATTAAGAGAATTAGGTAATCTTTTAACACAAATAAAATGGTTTTGTGACTAATTGCTAAAGAGTACTTACAATACACTTAAAGAAAATCTGTGTTCACTTAATACAAATATTGTAAGTGGATATATAAACTTGCTGTGATTCATGATCATGGGCAGTTAATTACCTCAAAGTGATATTTTAGACTGTAAATTGTGATGTAATTTACAACTGGCATTAACGCTGTCATGATTATCTTCTAAAGAGCCATTAATATTATAAAATATGTCATGTGACACCCTTAGTATAATACCAGTGTATTGGGGTAGGGGAATAAATACAGTGCTAATGGCATTGCATTCCTCCATTATTTTTTACCCAGGAAATCACTGGAAATCTCATTAAATTTCTGTATTACTTTTTTGTATTTTGTGTCTATGCTTTTTTTTTTTTTTTTTTTTTAGACAGAGTCTCACTCTGTCGCCCAGGCTGGAGTCCAGTGGCGTGACCTCGGCTCACTGCAAGCTCCGTCTCCCGGGTTCACACCATTCTCCTGCCTCAGCCTCCTGAGTAGCTGGGACTAAAGGTACCCGCCACCACGCCCGGCTAATTTTTTTGTATTTTCAGTAGAGACGGGGTTTCACCATGTTAGCCAGGATGGTCTCGATCTCCTGACCTCGTGATCCGCCCGCCTCGGCCTCCCAAAGTGCTGGGATTACAGGCGTGAGTATCTATGCTTTTCGGCACTTTAGTTCTTGAATGTCCATAGCAATCATAGCCAAAATTTTAAAAAGGAAATTGAGAAATATTGCTAACCATATGAAAAATTGCCAGTAGTTTTCCATGAATTACAAATAGACTGTCTATGTTTCTAAAAATTAATGGATAAAAGGCGTGAAACAATAATTTGGCACAAAGGAAATACAAGTGCTCAGTGATTGAAAATATATTCAACCTCAACTGCAATGAAATCAAGCCAATGTCTCTCCTGAAAATCAATCCTGAATATGAAAACTATTTATTAACCACAGATGAATCGCAACATGACTTACAATAGCAAAAGGATGGCTTGCTACAGTAGATATAACCTATAGGTTGTTTTTCTCAAGACATTCCTTTTTCCTGCCTTAGCAGCCTCTTCAGGCTTCAACTCTGTCTTATCTGCTCATTATTTTAATTCCTGAAAAACATTTGAGGTGTTGAGTTTATTTGATTTCTAATTCAATGGAAGGCATTTAAGCTGTAGATCAAATACGTTTTGTCTGCTTGTTTATCTATCTCCTACAATGGCGCTATTCCAATAGAAATGTACCTGTCTATTTGTCTCACTCTACTTTTAATGAAGCAGGCAGCTCATTAATGGTGAGTACGTCATCTTACTTATTTTTCTAACTGTTGAAACCTTGTAGGCCCTCAAAAAATGTTGATGGATGAATAAACAATTCAACAATGAGCAAAAGGAACACCTGTCTTTGGTGAGATGCTTTCTCTGTACACAGAAGAGGTTAGAAACAAAAGACTTGGACAAAGTGTTCTTCAGTATGATGTCATTCATCTCTTCTGATTTCTCTCTCACATTCACTGGCATACAGAGTTTTTGACCACTTGAATTATGACCAAAACTATTTCTGCTTCTAAATGCCAGAGGGTGATCACTATCATTTTACTTTTCTTAAATTTCTGAGAAAAGTCCTGAGGCAAATAAGAATCATACACAGGCAAGAAAAGTCAGAGTTTATTATTTGATTCGGGAAAGTGTAAGCTGACATTTAATCAACTAGCATTATCCATAAAAGAGGTCTACACGAAGGTTCACGGGAGGAACAGGTGCAAGGAAGGTCGAGCTGAAGAACACATTCAAATACAAGGCAGTGTGGCTTAAACTTAATGTGGAGATTGGTGGTTAAGACAGAATCAGCCCCATTTGGTGTGATTATTCTCAATTCTGAGTCTCAATTAACATTTTGCTCACCTGAGAATTGACTATAATATAGTTGGAACACATAGCAAATTCCTTAAAAGCACATTGCTTATTTAATGGATTTGGTTAGTATGCAGCTTAAATTTCAACTTCATGTTGATGGTAGTACTGAGTGTTTTCTTTTAAATAATTTTAAAATTCTAATACTTGTCCTCGAAGTTTTACAGTAGTGAAGATTCCTCTTAAGCAGTCCTTTATAGCTATTTTATGTCTTCATTTTAAAAGCACAATACTCTGATGTATTAGCTCAAACATCCCAGATGCCAATTCCACATGGCGCTACCAATAAGTTGGTATGCAAATGTTGGGTTAGGTTTTATTTGTTTTGTGTGTGTGTGTGTTTAGCTTTTAATGTCTTGATACTTCAGGTATTAAGATATAACTTCTGGGCTGGGTGTGGTGGCTCACGCCTGTAATCTCAGCAATTTGGGAGGCCCAGGAAGGCGGATCACTTGAGGTCAGGAGTTCAAGACCAGCCTCGCCAACATGGTGAAACCCTGTCTCTACTAAAAATACAAAAATTAGCCGGGCGTGGTGGCGGGCACTTGTAATCCTAGCTGCTTGGGAGGCTGAGGCATGAGAATCACTTGAACTCGGCAAGCAGAGGTTACAGCGAGGCAAGATCATGCCACTGCACTCCAGCCAGGGAGACAGAGCGAGATTCCATCTCAAAAAAAAAAAAAAAAGTAATTTCTCCTAAAACATTGAAAAAATAAGTAGTTTTATTTTCACCAATAATGTTTTTACATCAAAGTATCACCAAAGTATTACCATGAATTTCATTACATCAAATATATAGTAGAAAGGTGATTATCTTGACATGAAAATAATGCTAAAATAACTAGAAGAGGAACAACAAAATCCTGGTTTTCTTTGTATATTGAGTTATGGACACATATCAACCACTTTATCATAAAACACAATACAATTATTTATTATTATTATTATTATTATTTTAGATGGAGTCTCACTCTGTCGCCCAGTCTGGAGTACAGTAGCGTGATCTTGGCTCACTGCAACCTCTGCCTCCCAGGTTCAAGTGATTCTCCTGTCTTAGTCTGCAAAGTAGCTGGGACTACCGGCACCCACCACCACACCTGGCTAAGAGATGGGGTTTCACCATGTTGGTCAGGCTGGTCTCAAACTCCTGACCTCAGATGTTCCACCCACCTTGGCCTCCCAAAGTGCTGGGATTACAGGCGGGAGCCACAGTGCCAAGCCATCTGGATTATTTAAGGCCATATATGAGTGAAAAGACTAGTGATAAATTAGAAAATATGGCTAGGGAAAAAAAGGTATCAACTTGTTAAGAAAAGAAACTCAGAGCTGGCCAAATATCCTAAGTGACGTTATAACACATTTTTTTTCCCCCAAGAAATGAGATAGCTCCTCAGCTGTTCCCATCTCCACTATCAGTACTGTTTGTATTATTTTTTTGCTTGAAGGTACTTCATCTACAGTCTACCTGAAAAAAGGAACAGTAAAGGATGTCTTGTACAGAAAGATAATTCCTGTTCCATCCCAGTATGCTTCTTTTAAAGATAAACATATTTACCATTAAGTTTAAACTACCATTAAAACTGTATGTCAATTCTAGAGCTATCTAAAAATTAAAAGGATTGATATTGCTTCTTTAATTTGAAAACTGTCAGATCTTAAAACATACAGTATCTCAGAACTTTAAAACCTTCTAATTAATAAAGCATTCATTTTTGTATACAGAGGTTTACTGGCTTAGATGTAAAGGCTGTTGTCCATTAGACAAAAGGGTTTTCTTAACACTAAACTGTATTTAATCATTTATTAAATTATATTTAATAAATGATATAATATAATAAAAATAATTAATGAGCTAAATCATCACAATAGAGTTTCCCAAAAACTATTCAGTAAAAGCCTAAAAATGGGAGAAAATTTTTGCAACCTACTCATCTGACAAAGGGCTAATATCCAGAATCTACAATGAACTCAAACAAATTTACAAGAAAAAAAACAAACAACCCCATCAACAAGTTGGCGAAGGATATGAACAGACACTTCTCAAAAGAAGACATTTCTGCAGCTAAAAGACACTTGAAAAAATGCTCATCATCACTGGCCATCAGAGAAATGCAAATCAAAACCACAATGAGATACCATCTCACACCAGTTAGAATGGCCATCATTAAAAAGTCAGGAAACAACAGGTGCTGGAGAGGATGTGGAGAAATAGGAACACTTTTACACTGTTGGTGGGACTGTAAACTAGTTTAATCATTGTGGAAGTCAGTATGGCGATTCCTCAGGGATCTAGAACTAGAAATACCATTTGACCCAGCCATCCCATTACTTGGTATAAATCCAAAGGATTATAAATCATGCTGCTATAAAGACACATGCACACGTATGTTTATTGCGGCACTATTCACAATAGCGAAGACTTGGAACCAACCCAAATGTCCAACAATGATAGACTGGATTAAGAAAATGTGGCACATATACACCATGGAATACTATGCAGCCATAAAAAATGATGATTTCATGTCCTTTGTAGGGACATGGATGAAGCTGGAAACCATCATTCTCAGCAAACGATCACGAGGTCAAAAAACCAAACACTGCATGTTCTCACTCATAGGTGGGAATTGAACAATGAGAACACATGGACACAGGAAGGGGAACATCACACACCAGGGCCTGTTGTGGGGTGGGGGAAGGGGGGAGGGATAGCATTAGGAGATATACCTAATGTAAATGACGAGTTAATGGGTGCAGCACACCAACATGGCACATGTATACATATGTAACAAACCTGCACATTGTGCACATGTACCCTAAAGCTTAAAGTATAATAATAAAAAAAAAGACTGCAAAATTAGACATCTCCAAAACTGTTTTCTGCACTTAGAAATTGTAGCAATAACGTCAAAGAAAATCAGAGGAGAACCCTACATCTTTTACGAAATTAAGAGATATCTAAAACCTGTAATCACAACACATGAAGAAATAAAAGAAAATGGAGAAGGGGTAACTGACCTAGCAGAGTAAGAAAGCTTAACTCAAGTTAATGGCCACTCTGGTGAATTTGCACAGAGTACTATGGAAAAATGTGAAAATTCTCATCTACCAATATAAAATTATCCAATCAGCTATTTTAGTGCCTTACTCTTAACTAAATAATAATAAGTACCACAAGATATTTGAGGAAAGCTCCCTACATAAAGAGACGGAAAGCAAAACAAACCAACAAGGGAAATCTTGGAGAAACTGTCAACATGACATAAACACGAAGTATTGTGAATAAACTAGAGAAGTAGTTCTCTTGGAAATTTAAAATGTAATTGCTGGAAGTTTTTAAAAAACAGAATACTTGGAAGATAAAATGGAGAAATCTCTAGAAAGCAACAAAGAAAAGAAAAGTAAAAGAAATGACCAAAAACAGGATCAAGAATAGGAGACAACCAACTCATGAAACTCCCAAAAAAATAGAACACAGGGAAAAAGGAACAGGAATTTTTTTTTTAACAGAAATGTATTTTCCAGGACTCAAGGCATGAGTTTTCAGATTGAAAAGACTCTAATCATAACGTGATAGGAAAATAAATTTCTGGACCTCAAAATCACTACATGAAAGGGAAATGTCAAGCAGGGAACTATGTCAGGCAAACCTGCCTCCAAATTATTCCTAAATAAGATAGCTACAAAGATTAAAAACAAACAAACAACAACAAAGAAAAATAACCACATACCTCCCTCACAATTTGTCCACAAGAAAATTCCTTGTGGACCTCAAGATCTTTACCCTAAAACAGTTCTGTTGGATTTCACCCTGGCAATGTAAACTGGTAGCTTGTCTTCACAGGTGTGGGAAAAAGGACAGAACTCAAAGTCATCCCTCCGCTCACCTGAGACAAATGCATATCTGATTGTTTTCTCTACCTTAATATGCTTATGTAAAAATGTAGATTCACTGAGCCTGACTAAGGCATAAGTGACTATTCCTCTATCCTCCTCGCACTCGTAAATTGTATATTTAGTGAAAGGCAGATCAATGACTCAAAAGAATGCAACCTTTTGTCTATTATCTGTGACCTGGAGGCCTCCACTTCAAGCTGTCCGCCTTTCCAGACCGAACCAATGTACATCTTACACATATTGGTTGATGTTTCATATCTCCCTAAAATGTATAAAACCAGGCTATGTCCCAAAAACCTTGGGTACATGTTGTCAGGACCTCCTGAGGCTGTATCAGGGGTGCGTCCTTAACCTTGGCAAGATAAACATTTTAAACTGATGGAGACCTGTCTCAGATACTTTTGGTTCACAATAACTACAACTTAAAATAACTTTACAGCAAAATTAGAACAAGGAAACCAAAAGGTACAACAGCAAGTCACTGACTGTGATTTACCACCTGACCATCTTCTAAATGTCTCTCAGGTCTACTCTGTTTCTCTCCAGCCCCACAATCACTACCCCTGCAAAGGCCATCGGCATCCCATCCTAGAACTCTAGGATCACTTTCTAATTAGGCTTTAGGCCCCCAGCTGGCCTTCTGGAATCCGCTTTCCACTTAATAGTCTGAATAATCTCCTTCAAATGCGAGTTCTTCCATTTTTTCCTTGCCTTAGGATACTGTGCTAATTTCTTAATGAGACTCTGGGAGTTCCCTGTCTTAGCCCTTCTTAGTTTTATTTTGCACCACTGTCTATACTCCCTGTTCTCTTCTCCTAGTTCCACCTCATCTTGATTCTTCAGAAAGATTTATTTTCCTTTAGATCCTACATTGAACAATTTTACCCCATCTGACTCCTACTCCTCATACATGACCCTCCCTTGAATAGAATGTACTCTTGACTCTTCCTCTGCAAGATTCCTATTCCAATTATCTCAGTATTAACATAATTTTCTCTTGAAAACTTCCTCCTGCCCTAGTCTTGGTTAGGTAGACACTTTGTTGGCCACTGAGCTCATCCCACAGGGTTTCATTGTCTTTCACCCATTTATGTTCCCCATTAGACTGTCTGCCCTGGAAGGAACCCTGTTTATTAACTGCTAGCATCTTCAGTGCATAGCACAATGCAGCACACTTAGTAGGCACTTGAGAAGATTAGCTGAATTGAGAAATGAACTGACGAGTGAAAGCTCACGCAATTCAAATAGTGGAATCCAAGCCATAAAGTTGTCATCTGGTGGTGGTGGAATGAGGTAATGAATCTGAAAGCATTTTCACTGTGCTCCTTCATTTTTCTATGAAAGTATCAACCCAAATACTCCTAAGGGGGTTACCCTGTGGATTCTCACAATATGCTCCAACAGTTAACTACTCTGTAAGAATTCTCAGCCCTCACTTTAAATTAAATTCAACTTAAACAAAATTAAAAATATGACCTTTTCCCTCATATTGGCTCCTTTCTGAATGCCCTTTCTTTGTATCAAAATAAAAAAGCGAAAGAATTAAAGAATTCTACTACCTTTCATTTGTATACAGTAATACATTCTTTGTTTTCTTATAAATATAAATTTCTTATAAATATAAAAATATAAAGATGTACCCTGCTTCACTCTTATCCCTCTGAGCCAGACCCTCCGCACTAAATATTACCTTCTAATACTCATCCCATACCCATGTGATGGATGCAGCCAAACTCACTTTGTTAAAACGCTGCTTTTCAGTGGGTATTTAAAAAATAATATATTCTCGTTGCATGTGTAGCTTTCTCTTACTGACTTGGAAAGTCTTCTATAATCTACCTTCAGTGCTTTCTCTTGGATACTTACTTTGTCATAAAATGTAAAATACATAAAAACTACAGGCAATTTCATATTGGCACTGAGCAAATGCAATTTCCAAGGTACTTTGTTGGGTTTTCCTTTTTTTTGATTTTCTTTTGAGTAAGTGTTTTCTGTATGAGACATTGAAACGTAATCCTTTCAGGTCTTCCACCCTTACCAAGAGTCAGCCATGAACATTTTTGCAGTTATTTTCTATGCTCAGCTTGCTTCTCTATTTTTACTTAGCAGGGTTTTTTAAGTGTTTAGCATCTCTCTTTGCTTAAAATTATTTTTGTGTTTGGCTTCTTTCTTCCAAGGTAATAAAAATGGGCATATCTCTTTCCAATAAAAATGATAAATGAATTGAAGCCCAAAATATCTTATTTTTTATAGATATATATATATATTTATTTATTTATTATACTTTAAGTTCTAGGGTACATGTGCACAACGTGCAGGTTTGTTACATATGTATACATGTGCCATGTTGGTGTGCTGCACCCATTAACTTGTCATTTACATTAGGTATATCTCCTAATGCTATCCCTCCCCTCTTCCCCCACCCCACAACAGTCCCCAGTGTGTGATGTTTCCCCTCCTGTGTCCATGTGTTCTCATTGTTCAATTCCCACCAACGAGCGAGAACATGCAGTGTTTGGTTTTTTGACCTTGCGATAGTTTGCTGAGAATGATGGTTTCCAGCTTCATCCATGTCCCTACAAAGGACATGAAATCATCATTTTTTATGGCTGCATAGTATTCCATGGTGTATATGTGCCACATTTTCTTAATCCAGTCTATCATTGATGGACATTTGGGTTGGTTCCAAGTCTTCGCTATTGTGAATAGTGCCGCAATAAACATAAGTGTGCATGTGTCTTTATAGCAGCATGATTTATAATCCTTTGGATTTATACCCAGTAATGGGATGGCTGGGTCAAATGGTATTTCTCGTTCTAGATCCCTGAGGAATCACCACACTGACTTCCACAATGGTTGAACTAGTTTACAGTCCCACCAACAGTGTAAAAGTGTTCCTATTTCTCCACATCCTCTCCAGCACTTGTTGTTTCCTGACTTTTTAATGATGGCCATTCTAACTGGTGTGAGATGGTATCTCATTGTGGTTTTGATTTGCATTTCTCTGATGGCCAGTGGTGATGAGCATTTTTTCAAGTGTCTTTTGGCTGCATAAATGTCTTCTTTTGAGAAGTGTCTGTTCATATCCTTTGCCCACTTGTTGATGGGGTTGTTTTTTTCTTGTAAATTTCTTTGAGTTCTTTGTAGATTCTTAAGTCTTAGGACTTAAAGCTGAGTTTTCTCTTTTTAAGAATCCACTTCTTCTGCTTATTGCTGACTTACTTGCAACTGGCTGCCTACTTTTACATATACACTGGTCAAAGAATAACACCTAAATCTTCAGTTAAGTCATCATTGCAATGAACACAATAAGCAATACATGGGAAGTACTGAAAATCAAACACTTTAAAAGATTTTTAGAAATGTAAATGAAAGATCTTTTCTAGGAAATGAGAAAAACTATTGATTGCTATTTAGTAGATATAAAACTTGCCTAACATTATTGTAGAGACATTAGTAACCAAGACTATAATTCTGATTTTGCAAGAACTCAAATAATACTTAGTTTTACACTTAATCTTTTATCATCTGTGACAAAACGTAGCAAAATGAAAGATTATCTAGAAGCAGAATCAAGGTTGTAATATAACTATTTTCAAGAGTTAGACGACCCATGCATAAAATCATTTATTGAGACATGCATATGTGTCTAAGAATACATTTTAATACACGTTTAATAAACTATCATTAAAGCATATCTGTACTGGGGTGCCAATCACCGATTTTTAACAAAACCATTCTATGATCCCATTGAGAGAGGTATTGACTTTTATCCATTTTGTCTATAATATCCTAACAATTTTACATATGGGAGGTTTAAACAAATTAGAGGTTTAAAAACATGTAGAATTCCTGGGAATAATCTTTAGATGCAAATTTTAAAACCAATCTATCCCCAAATTCTGATACTAAAACACAATGTTCAATCTTAGTTTGGAAGAAGTAAGAAACATGCAAAACAGATTACACTTCTAGTTTGATTTAGATCTTTAATTCTTAACTTATATTAAGAGCATATACTAGACTATTATAAGAAATAGTAGCATATAACATATGAATGTTTATAATATGTACAAAATAACTTATTAGAAATAATTGAATTATAATATCCACACCACAAAGACAAGATATCTGGGAGTTATCCAGAAAAACTGAGAGAAAACAATGAGATAAAATTGAGAGAAAATGAAGCATTAAAACATAAGATATAGAATTTTCTAAAAATAAAATGTCAGAAAATTTTCAAGGTAATTAAAGAAAAGAAGCAAAAACTAACAAATGAGTAGAGCATTAAAATGTTAAATTTTTGGAATAAAAATGCTTAGAAAGCATTCAAAATCCAGTAGCATCAGTTAATAGAACTGACACAGGTAATAATCACTGAAGATTCTCATACTTTTCTATCACTGCTTTCCATAAAAGGCATGCAAATACGGTAAGGAGATACGACTGAGCATAAGAACTCTGTCAGAAAAAAGCAAAGGAAGCAAATAATCTTTTTTCTATTAATTTTGTTTCATTTTATTAAAAAAGTCCTAAGCAATTATTTACAAATGACAGTTTTCTGACAAAATATGTCAATCAAGTAAATATCATTCAAAATATAACAAAGCTTTTTGAAAATTTTCACCTGTTTGTTATCAACTGCACAATTCCGGCTTTAAATAAAATGGTAAGCTAGAATTTGTATTCGTATCTTTTTGCACAGAATGTGTCACTGCCCTAACATGGCTCTTTAAGTTACTGAGTTATTGAATGCTTGCAAATTGCAAAAAACTGTAATTCATTCTGCGGTGAGCCATGTTATGAGTACCACTTTTTTCAAACCTTAAAAATATCTTAGGAGAGAGGCAGCATTTACAAAGTATGAGTTTCAAATGGGAATTTAGATTTCTACACATTAAATTAAAAAGCCTATATACTTTGAGCGGAAGGAGAGGAGTAATGGAAACTTTCACGTATTGTGGTGGGACTAGAAACTGGGGCTGCCTCTTGATAGCGCAACTTGGAAATACTCATCAACATTTTGAACATTCACACCCTTTGCCCCAACGATTCTACTTTTACTAATTTTTCCTACAAATGTTCTTGTACATGTAGGCAAGACTATGCACAAGAATGTTCATGGTGACACTGATTATAGAGCAAAAAGATAGGGGCAAACTAAAGGTTCATTAATAAAGAATGGTTTAGGTAAAATTCATAAAACAACAATAAAGATTCAATTGACATGGTCCACCTATGGCATAAAGCAAGCACAATGCATACAGTATAATTGCTGCCATTTGTATGTCCATTTATAAGTAAGTGAATTTGTTTTTCCAAGACTCATCTTACATACATGTTTCTACATAGACGTATGATTGTCCAGAAAATTTTGGTTAAGCAGCAGAGTTCAAGGAGTTCAGTTTGGTAAGTCACAGTCCTAACGTCTTAAAAAAGTGCTCAAAGATGGAGGCAGGGTGTCTCTCAGCATTGTTTGATTGAAAGATGTGAGGGAGAATGTGCCAAGAGATAGGGCTGGGCCAACTGGTCCTCCGGCCATCATAAACATCCCATCAAAACCATCAGGGTTGGGGTGGTGGGCGTTAGTGATAAAATGATGAGTCACAAAAGAATGTTGAACTGGTGAACGTGGGACAGAAGAACGCTGTGATTAGATGTATATTAATATATTGGAAGATCACTCAGCCAGGAGCATGAAGGAGGTATTCAGGGAAAGACCAAAAGCAGGAAGGTTATTAAAATGACAATTGCAGTATTTAATGGAGATATGACAAGAACCTGGATTCAAGCACTGACAGCCAAGAACACCACTGGATAAACAGGATGGAACAGATAAAGGCGCAATATAAGGAGTATACTTGTTAAAAATTGGTGATTAATTAGATATGAGAAGAAAGTGCTTATGCTATTTTCTGCCTTGTTCTTAGAGGTTCATAAATATAAAAAGAAACACATATAAATATTTAAGATAATTATTAATTCATTAAATGTGCATAACAACTATATAAGGTAGGTTCTAATACTCTCAACTTATACAGATGAATAAATAGGAGTACTGAAGGTTTAAATTACTTTTCCAAGTTCATGCAGTCAGTAAATGGTGGGCTCAGAATTACAAACCAAGGCAGTTGAACACCACTGCCTGTACATTTAGCCACTACATTCTACCTCCCCTCAGACTCCCCTGATCACTTTCAGAGCTTCTAAGATGATGCTTGGATTCCAACTTAGGTGAGTGGGTGAAAAGAGCCACCACTAATCTAACGAGGGGAAGCTGGAGTTAATGGAATGACCACAAGGCCAATTTAAAGGGCTGAAATTTGAAGTACTTGTGACACACCAAAGTTGAGGCATTTAGCAGGAACTTACAGAACAGAACAAGGCACCAGTTATAAACTTCAAGCCTCTTGGTAAAACCATGGTATATTGAGATATAGACATGGAAGAGATGTTCTAGAAAAGGTAAGCTCCAGTCTTTTGACTTGCTAATTGTATGACATATATACACTTCTCTAGGGGGTCTTTTAAAGATGTGCCTAAAAAATAAACAGACATTGACTGGCAGTAAGAAAATATGGCCATTTTCATCCTTTAAAATAAATCTGAAAACTATGCAATTCAGGAGAAAAACACCCCATCAAAAGCCTTTCCTTTGGAATTATTTCCTTAGTTTCTCCCATGCTAACACACAAAAAACAAAACCAAACAAAAAAGACAAAAAACTTAACCAACAAAATCATCTTCTTTTGACCTATTCCACTGTTAATCAGTGAAACCCTCAACTTCAAACGGACTTCTTCCAAATCTTTGACTCATTTTCTTACTTCCTCACATCAACTCCTTAGTTGCAGAGAATGAGGTCAAGGGACCGAAATAATATTAAACAGTTAATCATGATGAACCTAGAATGGGTAATAAAAAGCAAATCTTGAGATAATCAGGAATTATTCCTATAATCCCTCCATTATTACTATTGAACGAATAGGGCTCCTTTGAGTAAAGAATGTTGGTTTATGGACATTCACTAAGTACTATATCCCAGGCCCTGTGAAAAGGATCTACGACAGGACAAACTCACTCATTGCATTGTTATCGATTGCAGGATTTCCTCTTATAACAAAAGCATAAGGTGACCTTAATAATCTTATGATCTCCAATGCTCCTTTTGGCTGTGAATATCTCTGAATTTATATTAATAAATTGTCTCAACAGGAGCCATTATATCTTTTAAAAAATTATTTTTATTTTTCAAACTCACAGCTCAGAAAATATCTTTCACGCATGTTGATCAGACTGGGGCAGTATTCAACTCATCACTGGTGGTATCATTAAGAATGGTATTTCCTATCAACATTTATAAAAAAGAATTTATGTGACTAGAAATAAGCTAAGGAAGTCTAAAATGTGGAGAAATGGAAAATATTATTGCACACTGAATTTTAACATATATAGAAAAAGTTAAAGTGGGTGAAGCAAATCTAGAAGACCTTTATCAAAAAAGGATAGCAAATGTTTTTATTTTTGTGGGTAAAATAGTCATTTTACTTTTTCCCATCAATATTAAACATCCTAATGATGGGCCTTTAAATTTGAAAAGTGGAGTTTCCAAGATAAATTAATGAGCTGAAGAGAACAGGCTGGCTAAAGGAACAGAACAGAAGCAATTTTATTTTTCCGAATATTGAGAAAAAATATGAGAACATCGCAAGAGATTGATATTGAGTATTAATCATTTCCCTGTAGTTTGTGCAATTTTCCCTGCTAGAAGAACATCCTGATCTCCACTGGAAACATAAAATTTGCTTTGTGAGTTGAAGAAAAAGCTAAGCTTAACAAGTTTGTTCCAGGTGTTTAAACACTGATTTCAGGAATAATTAGTGAGATGACTTTCTGAGGATTAAGATATTTGCCATTTTTTTCTACGAAAAGGCAGCCTATTTTCAGATCTCTACATGGTAAAAAGTTGCACTCAACTTGAACTGAACTTTGGTTTCCACCAACTTCCATGGGTTGTTCCTGGCCCTGCGTCTAGAACTACACAGATTCTGCCTGCAATGTCTTTCATAACACATCCTTTCAAGTGTTTAAAAAGCTCCAGGTCCTCCTAAATGGCATCTTATCAAAAATAATCATTTCAAATGTGGCATCATTTTGAGATGCTGTACCTGTTAACACTTTTTCAATCACAATTCTATCCATATCCTTGTTTAAAATAAGAATTCCAAAACCTAAAAAAACGGTATATATTTCATTTCTGTCACATCAGAGCAATTAAGGTAGAGTGAGATTTTTCCTCTCTTCTCTATTAATGGAGCCTTAACCCCTTAGTTTCTGGTTTGTTTTTCATACCCATACCACCCACCCTATTAGCTTATCATGGATACAGAGTGTTTGCTAAACTAGGACTCCTTGTCTTGTATTTGCGAAGATTTTACTTAAACTCAGGCGAGATCTCTGTATTTTTCCAGGGATAACAGTTATTTCCATTGGCTGGTCATGTGAATCCAACCTTCTTTTGTATATGCTCTGTAATTCCTTATCACCTTCAAGTTGCTATTTTTCCTCTTCAACAACATTTTCTAGGATAAACTTTAAACAGCTCTATGCTCACCTACATGTAACGTGGATAAATCTACATACATATCTATCTCTTATTCAAAAGACTGGTTAATATACCTTGTCAGATGCCTCATTACAAACCATAAAGAAGTCTTAGAACATAAATAATCCATGGCATCAGACAGCATATGCTAATTTTAGATTCTCGTGATGACTTATTATTAAGTAAATACCAACCAATCATTCAGTGCTAGAAATTAACTATGAGTCATCATTACACTACCTGTTCTCTAACTCCTTTTGTTCTCCCTTTTGAATTAAAAAAATACTCCATTTGTGATTTTCTGGTACCTCCACCCTAATCCCTGGTTTGTGAATGAACACCAAGGATGACTGAAGACCAGCCTAAGAAGGGAGTTCTTCCAGCAGCTTCCTGGATGTGCTCCTCTGGTCCTGGGAACCTCAGATTTTGATGGGCTCAGTACATACTTTCTCTCTCCTCACACAGTTTATGCTTCAAATTTCATAACCATCCTTTGTCCACTCTTTCAAGTCCACAATTCTGTAAGGAAGGAGACAGGCAAAGTGGAGGCTGAGTTGCTTTACCATTCATAAATTACCTCCTTTCAAAATGATCCCCAATACGATGTCATTTCTGCTCCAACAGTAACATTTGCTCCACCAGATTCCATAGAGTCAAGGGTGTTCCTGTTCCCTTGGAAGTCTGCACACCTTTGAATGCCACAGACCACACCTGGATATACCCAGAGCTTTTATTTTTTGAGATCCACCACAGACTTCACTTTCTCTTTTGAACTAATATAAAGCTTAGCTGTTTGTTTGCAGAACGCTTATCTTTTCATGAATGAAGTTTTCTGACTTTATTAATAGACCATTGGAGTATTGACAAGCAAGGACCAGTTAAGAGACCACTACTGGACTGTGACCTTCCAGATTTTCAGTAGCAGGATTCAAGTCTCTATCTCCACAAAATTGCAAATGCTTCCGTGCTATAGAACTTCTGATTAGTGTGAAAACAGTTCCATTAAAAAACATTGTATCTATAATTCCTCAGTGTCTGTTGAATAGTTCTAACAGCTCCACTCAGATTTGAAGACACTTCACCAATCTTGCTTCATTTCAGGCTTTCATCTTCAAATCACTATTTTAAAATTATTGAGAAAATTCAACTGCACTGTTCAATTTCAATCTTACATGACTGTTGTTTATTTTTGGAGATTGAGGGAATGATTATTTGATCTGCCTCTGAGTTTATTTCTGATGTTGCCACCTCAAATTTTTTTTCTCTATTTTTTTCTCATATAGCGCTTTTTAAAAACACAAATCTGATCAACTTCCTCTGCTTAAAGTCTTCCAATGACTCCTAATTACTCACTTACCCCCAATCAGACTGTGAGGGATGAAATGAAAGCCTGCCTGTTTTCACAGCCCAGAGCAGACTCTAGTACCTGTACTACAGTCGACCTGCAATAAACATTTCTCAAACAGAAGGAATGCACAACAACTAAATTATGAAAACATTCCATTGTGCTTGTCCCTGGTCTTATGTTTATCCTTCCTTCTTTGCCCAACTTTTTGTTTTAAATTGTAACTTATCCAAGAGACTGTTTGAATACACCTGCCTTTATTTTCTCTAGGAATCCAGGACTTTGGGAGGCTGAGGCAGAAGGATCGCTTGACCCCAGGAGTTGATCAGCCTGAGCAACATAGCAAGACCCTATCCCTATGAATAATTGAAAAATTAGCCGGCATGGTGATGTGTGCCTGTAGTCCCAGCTATTCAGGAGGCTGAGGCAGGAGGATCCCTTGAGTCCAAGAATTCGAGGTTACAGTGGGCTATGAATGTGCCACTGCACTCCAGCCTAGGCAACAGACAAATGAAAACAAAAAATATTTTCTCTAGAAATTTTTTCACCAGTAGGAAATAAAAAAGTGGCTTTAGAGTGTTTTCATTTGTATTATTGTCCTAACACTTTGACAGTATTTTTCAGTCCTTCCTATTATTTTTCTGAATCATGGTATCTCATACTTCTAATCAAAGACGTATTTCAAAAGGCCTATCATTTTAAAATATTTTGCTTTATATCCATGAAAATCCTTTTAGAACTTATTTTAATATTTCTTTCCTCTAGATTTAATACGCTTACCTAAACTCACCAGAGACAACCTCAATTTGCATTTCTGAGATCTGTTTTAAGATACTTGACCTTGTACTTAACTTTCTGGTTAACAGATTAAAGTACTACATTTCTGGGAGTGGGGGGAAGAACAGTATCTAGGGCACTTGTGCACATTCACATGCAAAATTCTAGAAGAAAATCCCTAAATTCCAAGAAAGTATCCATCTGCTAGATAATATCATTGCATAGAGGAGTAACTGTGGGTTAATCAAAACATTCTATTTCTTCACCATGCATTGACTCATAGAATGTTGCGTATCAGTTGTGTTTGTGTGCCTGTGTGTGTGCACAGTAGATATACTTGTAAACTCATGAAACAGTGGCCAAACTTTTCTGAAATATTTCTAACTTTTCAATAGTTTTTATTACTTGTAAAGAAATTATAATTCATTACAAAAGAGCTGAAGTTATATTGATTGATATGTGACAGTTATGCCAAAGTATCTACTATCCAATAACTCAAGGTATATTATTCAATGCCATGTAGATCATTTCTACACTATGATATTAACAAAACCTGGATGAGTCAATTTGTTCACTTTAGCCTTCTGAAATGATTTATGTCTATTGCCACAAATTTGATTTACTGAAGAAACTGAATCAATTGTAAAGATGACTATTGCAATCCACTCCCTCCTGCCAAAGGCAGTCTATTCAATCAAGAGCTATCTTGAAATCATCAGTGGCTTCTCTAAAAATATGGAAGTACTCAGTTAACATATGATTTATTTTTCACGTCCTAATATTATTAGGACACAACCATTTACTGTATTTTTGAGAAGCATAGTGTGCATATTATAAGACAAAATGGCATAATCCAATATCATATGCATAAAAAATAAAATTAAAATAATACAAATAATATAAAATCATATAATGGCCTGAAATCAGAATGCATGATGATGATGAGCTAATTTTTCCAAGTATTTATTTTTTCCAAATTCTTTCACATCTATTTTAAAGTTAACACTCAAGACAATCTTATGAGACATTTTATAACCCCTTTTTGACTAAAGACAAATAATTCATGGAATATAATGGCTTGCCCAAAATTAGTATGTTTCAGAGCTGAGGAAAAGCAAATGGAAGACTTGATTTTTACACTGACTTCCAATATTTTATTATACAGTCACTTATCTTTTTAAGAATATAATCTGGCTGGGTGCAGTGGCTCACGCCTGTAATCCCAGCATGTTGGGAGGCTGAGGCGGGTAGATCACTTGAGGTCAGGAGTTCAAGACCAGGCTGGCCAATATGGCAAAACCTTATTATCTCTACTAAAAATGCAAAAATGAGCTCAGCATGATGGCATGCACCTGTAATCTCAGTTACTGGGGGCGCTGAGGTAGGAGGATTGCTTGAACCTGGTAGGCGGAAGTTGTAGTGAAGCAAGAGTGTGCCACTGCATTCCAGCCTGGGCATGAGAGAGAAACTGTGTCTCAACACACACACACACATATATATATATATATATATATATATATATATACACACACACACACACACACATATATACATATATCACACATATATACAACACACATATATACATATATATACACACATATATACAACACACATATACATATATACATATATATGTATATGTGTGTGTGTGTAATCCTACTTTTCATCAAATCGTTTCATTAGCCTCGAGTCATCCAAAAAGGAAAATATACAAATTTCCAAACAATTTTTTTAAAAAAATCTGTGGTAGTGAAAACAATTTTGAAGGCAGAAATGCTAGGAGGCAGGAATCAAGAGGCTGGGATTGGAGTCCCACCTAAATAATATAAAATCTGGAAAAATTAGCATCAGTCACATCTTAGTGCACCTGAAGCAAAGTTTAATGGAGATGAGACCTGCTTACACTTCCTTCCATTCTCCTTCTGATAAATGAGAATGTTGAAGCATAGCTGGTTTGAACAGAGCTTCTCGGGCATTCCTGGTGCGTGAAAATCTGGCCAGTCACAGGTATTAGAGCGATGCCATGTAAATTACCAACTTTATTAACGATTGACCTTTCCTCCATGCAAGACATTGTAATAAGTGAATTATATGCATCATTTTAATTAATTCTTAGACCAATTCTCCATTTTCCCCATTTTATAGCAATGAAAACTGAGACTGGGTTAAGGAACTGGTCTACACATAGCCAGTAGATTAGTCCAGATTTGGACTCAGCTTCCTTATGGAAGATCACACTGAGAGGATTGAGTAATATAATGGGCGTTGTATTACTTTTCATATTAAAATGAGTGTTGAAGGTTTGTGAATTGTCTACAGAATACTTTAAGTGGGCTTTAGACCCTGCAGGGACAGAATATAAGAAACCAGCAAGCAAAGAATGTGGCTCTTCAGCATGGTGCCCAGGGATAGTGTCTCCACTGGGCCTTGAGGGTGATCTTAATTAGAGGATTCCCTCACATGATCCAGCCAGGCTAGCCAGATCCTGGTCTCCACTGGGCCTTGAGGGTGATCTTAATTAGAGGATTCCCTCACATGATCCAGCCAGGCTAGCCAGATCCTGGTCTCCACTGGGCCTTGAGGGTGATCTTAATTAGAGGATTCCCTCACATGATCCAGCCAGGCTAGCCAGATCCTGTCACAAGAATGCCTAACCCCAAAATCACACATTGAAGGTTTCTGTCATCAACAAAGGTCAGAACAGAGAACTGGGACTTTCACTAAATTTTTAGATGTTATGACTTTCTTTAGGTCTAGTTGATAATTTTAAAAAGTTATAGTTCTTCTTGCCTGCAACTTTGCTATCAGGCAAGGAGAATTATAGCTTTTACCTGCCTCTAAATACCAGCAGCCACCAAGACCTACAGAAAGGGGAGCCTGGCACCTAGCTTAGTCCATTGGCTATAGCTAGCCTGGCCTCTTGTCCTCACTCAGATGGGCCTTGGCCTGCTGACTTGTAAGAGGGAAGGTGTTGGGTGCTGCATTCTTCCACCTTGCAGCTCTGTTGAACTACATTCATTTCAAGAGAGATCATTTTATAAAACCAATTCAGTATGAATGAGGTTCCTGTGGCCAAACCATTCTATAATGGGCGATATTCTAATAGACTGTCATTCACATTATTTTAATACATTCTTTTCTATTATCAGGCTTTTGGTATAATTACCACTTAATCAAATGTCACTGAGTGTCCTAGATATGGTAATTTATCTGGCTTGTGAATAATTTCAGCTTGATGAAACATGATAGCAATACTTTTAAAAAACTTTTTACTGACTTGAGCTACTGGACCTCAAGTGCATCTTACTGAGTGATCATTTCCGCTTTTCTTCTCTTTACCTATTTGTGGTTGCAATACCAGCATTCAAATGGCTAATGGTTTGCTCTTCTGTACTTGCTAATTAGCCTGAACAGCCATCAGATATTAAAGGTATCCTGGTGACTGATTATGGGTGACTCTATAAACCTTTGTCCTTGCCATCCCTCTTTATAGAGTGGTACTCCAGCCACCGAAATCCTAGTTATCCTTCAGATCTCAGCTTAAAAGTGCTTTACTTTTTCCTTTTTTTTTTAAGACAGGATATCACTGTGTCACCCAGGCTGGAGTTCGGTGGCAGGATCACAACTCACCACAGCCTCAACCTCCAAGGCTCAGGTGATCCTCCCACCTCTGCCTCCCGAGTAGCTGGGCCTACAGGCATGTGCCACCATGCTAGACTAATTTTTGTAAAGATGGGTCTCACTATGTTGCCCAGTGCCCAGGCTGATCCTGAGCTCCTGAGCTCAAGGGATCTACCCACCTCGACCTCCCAAAGTGCTGGGATTACAGCTGTGAGCCACAGTGCCTGGCTACTTTTCCTTTTCCTAAACACCCTTTGACTTCTTCCAACTTTTCATCTCCTGCAATACACACACACACACACACACACACACACACACACACACACACTTTTGTTTGGCTCTCACTATTCTGTAATTTTCCTTTCCAGACTCATCACACTCACATCCTCTGTGCTTAGTGTATTGTAGGTGCTTAAAACAAACTTTTCTTGTACTTTGTTCAAATTATTTTTTAAAACAATTTCTAATTTATCACAACTTAAACTCCAAAGTGCAACTAGTATGAGAAGTCCTCCCATAAAGCATTTTCCTTCTGTTAAATAAAGACACTTTAAGAAATGGCCTTGACAAACCTTTGGTTTCTCTGCTCTCCTCTCTCTCTTCTATTGAGATACAGTGTTTTGAAGAAACAGAATGAATTTCTAAATGAATAGTACAATGCCTCAATCAATCCTTTTATCCATGTCCTGGAAAAACAATTTTCTAATCTCATTTTTTAAAGGAAGAAATAGAAGAATAACCTTGCAATCCATATGCTAAGCCTCTAGGTTCACAGCAGGAAATCAGGGTGACAGCACTTAGGGTCTCCAGGCTCAACCACAGAGTGGTGGCCAACGCTATCAAAAATTTACCCCTTTTGCAGAATCTTGAACCATCACAACTCCAATGCAAACCAGAAAGGGTTTCAGGAAAAACACTAACCCAATAGGTCTACCAAAAATGTTGTAACTAGGTTTTAAATTAGAGGTACAGTGTTTCACCAGTGTGACACTGTAACATCTTAGATTATATCATGAGGAAGAGCTTCTCAATGAGTTATCAAAATGAGGTACAGTGTTTCACCAGTGTGACACTGCAACATCTTAGATTATATCATGAGGAAGAGCATCTCAATGGGATCAAGAAATGTGCAACATTCAAGAACAAACGTGTACCATAAATATAAAATAACTATAATTCCTTAACACATTGCTTTAAACATAAAATTTTTAGGAACTGAAAATATGCCTTCTGGAATTTAGAAGAGCACAAAGAATGAAGGCATAATGAGCAGTAAAGTTTGATTTAATAACAAAGATTAAAATCTCAATGTAAGAATTTTCTAGAAATTCATATAGCAATTTAATAACAAATGTTGTGAAAGGAGCACTCTACCTAAGTCATGGCAATCTGATCTCAACTATCCAGGGAGCACCATGTTCTGACACAGATAAGTGTTTTCCAACAAGCCTCATTTTCACTGTCCAGTAGCTTCACTCCTGGGAATACCTGGCTTCACTCTCTTTTTTTTTTTAAATTTTATTATTATTATACTTTAAGTTTTAGGGTACATGTGCACAACGTGCAGGTTTGTTACATATGTATACATGTGCCATGTTGGTGTGCTGCACCCAGTAACTCGTCATTTAACATTAGGTATATCTCCTAATGCTATCCCTCCCCCCTCCCCCCACGCCACAACAATCCCTGATGTGTGTGTGATGTTCCCCTTCCTGTGTCCAAGTGTTCTCACTGTTCAATTCCCACCTATGAGTGAGAACATGCGGTGTTTGGCTTTTGTCCTTGCAATAGTTTGCTGAGAATGATGGTTTCTAGCTTCATCCATGTCCCTACAAAAGACATGAACTCATCATTTTTTATGGCTGCATAGCTACTTTTCCAGAGAAAGAAATTGTCCTTACAGATTTTATTGCCTAACTTTACCTTTTAAAACTTTAGACGATTTCTGTCCTCCCTGCTTTCATTTCAGGTCATAGGATTTGGGGAAGTGAGGTGTGCGAATGAAACACTCGATTTTTGCTTCAGAGTTGCCTTTGGTTCTGGAGAACTCAGGAGGGATTGTTTAGGGAAAATCATGCAGATCTCCCTGCCCAGGATGGACCCTAGGCTCAGGCCTCCTAGAGAAGGCTGCACTGAATAGCTACACGAGGCACTTCAGGGCTGTAGCCTTTGTTAAAACCACAGTCTGACTGGAACACTTGTGGTATAAATTGAGGTGGCTGGCTGCTCCCAGAAGTGAGAGGAGCTGATGTGTTTATTTTGGCTCTAATGATGAGGAATTTGAAACGTTGTCTACTTGATGTCCAAAGAGAAAAGATGCTGAGAAATATATGAGCACATTGTCTCCATTATACGTAATATTCAATATTTGTCAATATCACCATAACGGAATATTTAAATTTCGATCTGTATTCCTGGTCTTATTATGAAATTGTGGGGAATCACACTCTGAATCAAACTAATTCTCATTTGGTTCTCAATTTGGGTAAAAAACACATCTTGGTAGCTATTAAAGTAGTTTATATTTACAACCCAATATTAGTAAACACAACATAAGGGACACTGGATATTTTGGGGTTTCACCCTCTTCCTAAACTGATGTTTCAAATACAGAATTATCACATAAGGTCTTTTTCACAGACTCTAGTCCTGTGCATTTTTGCAAGCCGCGGGGCTGTGTCACCATAGTTACAGAGGGATATTGGAATAAATGTGCTTCCAGGAATAATTGTTTCATATTTGTGTACAAACAGCTGAACTGCATATTTCCATTCCAAGTGCGATCAGTCTAAATTCAAACCCTGTCATGAGGAACACCATAGAATGCTCAAACAAGAATAAAAATGAAGGTTTATGCTAACAAAATTCTTTCAAATACATGAAAATGTTTCTATTATCTTATCTTCTTGTGCCATAGCCTTTTTCTATGTCTGCATTTATCTTTTCTCTACTTATGAATGACTTTTTAAAATAGTTGACTATAACCTGTTTCATGAATTACAGGAATGCAAGATGGCCCAGAACATTAATAAAATAGGTAATAATTGCAGTGAATATAGATTAGGATGGTAAAAGAAGATTAAGAAATACTATTAGTAACAGTTTTAAATATTCACTTTTTCTAAAATTGTTTATAGAACAATAGTAAATACATATTTGGAAACTTCAACTTTATAATATTGAATGAAAATGACTGCTTTATAAAACTTTTTTTAGCAGTTAGAGAAATTTCATATTTAACTTTTTTTCTGGTACGGTATCATTCTCAGTAATGTAATATTTTGAAGACTGTAGTGCAATCGTTCAATTGCTTGTCAAGACGGAGGATCAATTTGTTAATAAATAATAGAAATGTTTTAAGAGATAAAGGCAATGTTCTCATAGCACTGTAATGTTTACCATGTTCTTATGATCCTATACTTTCCTCAGAGGTCATGAACCATAGAGGACACCCAGTCTCACCGCTGTGTTTCACAACTGGAGAAACAGAGGTCCACAAAAATTAAGTATTAGGTTGACGTAAAAGGAATTGTGGTTTTTACCATAAAAGTGATGGCCAAAACCGCAATTACTTTTGCACCAATCTAATACCTTGTAGACGTTTACATGGTTAACTAGTAGCTGAGCCAGCATTAGAATTTTGTTCTCCTGACAGTCATTCTAATCTGTTTTCTCTATACTTTATCACGAAATAACAATAGGATTTAGATAATTGTTCATTAGAACATGAAGCAATTTTTATATAATAGATATAATTTTCTTTCAAATAAATTAGAGAAAAATATTATGCATATTTGTAAAGACTCAGAAGGGATCGGACATTTAGAAAAGAGAATCAAAATGTTTATAAATGTTTTCATAAGACATTATAATTTTATATATCCTAAAATATTAATTATTAGATGCTGAAGAGGACATATTTCAAAGGACATCAAAATAGTCAATGAAAAACCAAGAGCAAAATTCACTCAGCATCCTATGTATACTGTCTATTTTTGAAAATAGATTCATAAAATATGTTCTTTAGAAATAATTGCCAGTAAATTTAAATTATATTTCAGTAAAAGAACAATTCCTGGATATGGACATTAAGGTTTAGTTTCTGATATTAGGTCTTTGCAAACAAACCCATTTTGTTTATAAAACAATTAGCTTTTGAATGCATAGATTTTGTTAAAGTAGCAATAAAGACCCCACTTTCAAAAACATTCATTTATGAGTCCCATAACAACATAGGAATGACCCTTCTCACCCCACTCAAATCACCCAGCTTGCAGAAGGGGACAGAAACACATTCAGCAGTGTGCCACCTGGCATACAAATAGAGAATTTAAGCATGGAAGGGAATTACATCAACACTGCTTAAACGGTGAGAAAAAAAATCTGCAAAGGAGCAGCAGGAGTAGAAAAATACAACTAGAGGGTGTCCTTTTCACTTACTGTGATAGTTCACAGAGCTACAGCCGGAGCAAAGCCCTTTCCAGTACTGGAGGCGGCCCTGGGTCAGTGGAATACAGACCCAGTCTCTACGCATGGCCCCTCAGGAGCAGCTGTGGGGCCAACATATTTCTATAGAAACAACTGCTCAAACTGAATTCCAATCTGCTTTCAAAAATGATTTAAAAACAATATTAATGGGATTCTATTTCTGATAAACAATTTAAATAAAAAAGTAAATTTAAGAATGCAGCTGCCTCTTTCTTATGGTAGTTATGCTTTAAAAAGTCACTGTGAACACCTAGTAGTGGATATAGAGCCATTGCTCCTAGTAAATTACATGGGTAAGGTCCCACGAACCTTTGTTCACATCTCCCCCAACCCATCAGTACATTCTTTTTTTGTTTGTTTGTTTTTGTTTTTGTTTTTTGTTTTTGTTGAGACAGAGTATTGCTCTATGGCCCAGGCTGGAGTGTAATGGCATGATCTCGGCTCATTGCAACCTCCACCCAATGGGTGCAAGCGATTCTCCTGCCTCAGCCCCCAGAGTAGCTGGGATTACAGGTGCGTGCCACCACACCCAGCTAATTTTTGTATTTTTAGTAGAGACGGGGTTTCACCATGTTGGCCAGGCTGGTCTCGAACTCTTGACCTCAAGTGATCTGCCCGCCTCGGCCTCCCAAAGTGCTGGGATTACAGGAGTAAGCCACTGTGCCCGGCCTACATCCTTGTTTTATGCCTGTTTCTGATTAAAGACACCTGATTCAATATATAATGTTGATTCATGAACATTGAACTCATGGCCAACAAACTATAACCCATGCCCAAATGAAGCTTCTCTAACATACACTCTGTAAGCCACATCACAGAATTCTTGGGCTTAGGAATACCAGACAGTGCTTCAGCACTCCACTTGGGAGTCATTTAGGCTGTAAAATCACCAAAAAAAGCACAAGAAATGAGAAAAACATGGCACTCATAGGCTTCAAAAAGGACGCATGCTTACAATATGAGAGCTGGCCCCAGCCAGCAGGGAGGGCATGGCTCTGTGCGACCTCAGTTGGAGACAGACCTGTGGAGGGACTCACATTTTTCACTGCTCTGGGCATGTCCATGAATGACAGAGGAAGTTCCGTGAGTATTGATGTGGGGGGCAGGTACGAGTAAATTTTAGCAAGTAGGTGAATTCACAACTATAAAATCAGCGAACAGTGAGAATTGGCTGGATCTGGAAAAAGACCAAATACTCATATACTTGAGCTGTTTTAAGGAGGTTGATCCATAAAATGCATTACTAATGTATAGTGGCTTCAATCCCAAAGCAAGTGAAAGTCGAAGTGAAAGCAATCAGCTGTTACTTTCTCCTTTTACCTGAGGGGATAGAGAATGTTTTCAATTTGTAGATGGAATCATTTCTGTTCATTGACATGGGTGGTATTTTCCTTGCTATTCACAAACTGACTGTGATTTGCAAGTTTCAGAATTTCTCACTGATGAATAATTCAGAGAAAAGGATATATCTTTATTTTTGTATATTTTCCTTCCAGTTTCCCTTAAATAAAGGGAATGTATTATGTTCATTCATGCCACTGTTTCATTCATGAAGTTATGTTTAGAAGTAAAAATAAAAGTCTCAGAAAATTTAGAAACACACATTTTAAAGGAAACTAAACATAAATTAAATATTCTCATTATAATTCAGTTGCTGTGATGGCAGATCAAATTCAAGGAATTCAGACCTTTTGACAAACCTTTATTAAGTATGGTAGTAATAGTCTAAAGATTTGCATAGAGGGACATCATTTTAACCTGGGGTGCTCTTCCTAAACAGAAACCCCAGAATATGATTATAAAAAATGCTTTATTGGTGAATCTGATCATCTGATTTGCTCTTTTAGTTGAGAACATCCTGCCCGAAGGACCAAGGCTGAGGCCCAGCTTAGCTCTTCAGCTCAACCCTCCCTTTTGTATTCTTTTCCAACCCCTCCTTTCCAAGCACTCTGCCCAATCAGCTCTGGCTCTCTAGAAGGATCCTTCATATCTTCTTTGATTTGCACATTCTTCCAGAAGGTTCTTTCACCCTCTTAATGAGAGAGCGCCTTTAGGAGTTCACCAGTAGTAAGGTTATTTTTTCAACAATGAAAAGTGAAAGCTGGGGGGAAAGATTGTATTTAGAATTTACAAAAAGTTTTTTCTTGGTAGAAATGGAGTCTCTATTTACATTTAAAGCTAAGACTTTTTAAAAAACCTTTTAAATGGCTCTCCACACTAATTTACATTTAAAGCTAAGATTTTTTAAAAAACGTTTTAAATGCTGTTCACACTAATTAGAAGCAGTTACTTTTTGGGGGAAATGTAGTGACGCTTTAAACACATGACTAAGGAACACAGTGAAGGATTGCTCTCTAAGTTCTTGTTGAGCCTATCAAGTTGATGGTGCTTTGTCTTGCTGGGTGAAATGAAAAGCAATATTCTCAGGCTCAGGAAGAATTTGGGATAGAGGCTCATGTTACTGCTTGTTATTGCTGGTAGTGTTTTTTGTGGTTTTGGTTTTGAGATTTTGAGAGTTGCCATCAAAGATGAGGAGAGGATGAGGACACCTAAAGACCTCTGAAGTCTTCGTGATCTCCTCAATACCACGGTCAGGATGAAGTGCGGAGGATGGATTTAGAGAGAATGCCGTTCCCTCCTCATCTGCCCCACACCCAGCATCAATATGCTTGCACACAAGCTCTAGACGAAGTCTTCTGCTAAAGGAAGGGAGGATAAGAAGGAACTAGGCACCAATTTCCATGGTCTCATCTTAAATCTGCTGGAAGTTAAAATTAGTGGCTTCGGTGCTATGAGAACATCAGATTCCTCAGGCCTTTGTATTAAGTGATACTTGACAACTTCTATTGGGCACTGTCATTAAAACAACAACTCCTGAATCCCTCATATTATCTGTACTGCAAATAAAACGGATCAAGTGTTTTGAAGCTATAACTAATCTTCACCAGTCTTCACAGGTGCCAGAGAAAGCACGTATAAGACTTCCTATTAAATCCCACAGAGAAATGACCTTTTCCATTCTTTCATCTAAAATTGAACATTTTCTTTTAATTTTCCACCACTTTAAAAGTAATTTGAAAATCCCAATCATGAGACATGTTTGTGACTTTTTCATGGCTGTCTCAAAATCTGTAGCCATTTAGAAATATAGTTGATTGTACTTCTTTTAACCTCCAGCAAGGCATTTTTCACCTTTCTGGTAAATGATAATGTACTGTTTTTGATTCATGGGTACCATCACTACAGGCAGCTGGAAAAGGAAGGGCAGATGGCCTTGGCCTCATTTACCTCCACCTACCTTTTCAGTCGATTCTATCCCACGATTCAACTCTAGAATATCCTTTACCGTAAGTGGGATATTGGGATAGATTTACTTTACTCAGAAATATAACTTCTAAATCTTATCTTGATCCTTTTATTAGTTTTATAAATTGCATCTTTCCAAATATTAATTTTTTTTTTCAGTTTTAGGAAATGCTTTTAAGTAATTCATTAAGCTAGTACGTCAGGGAACTGTGAAGTGATGGTGAATTTCTTGTACTTTTCCTCTCTCTTGCAAAATTAATGTCTTACTAGTATTTAAAATCTAATATCAGCCAGTCATGGCGGCTCACACCTGTAATAACAGCACTTTGGGAGGCTGAGGCAGGCAGATCACTTGAGGCTAGGAATTCAAGACTGGCCTGGCTAACATGATGAAACACTGTCCTCTATCAAAAATACAAAATTTAGCCTGACATGGTGGTGCATGCCTGTAATCCCAGCTACTCCGGAGGCTGAGGCATGAGAGTCACTTGAACCCGGGAGGTGAAGGTTGCAGTGAGCTGAGATCATGCCACTGCACTCCAGCCTAGGTGATAGAGCAAGACTCTGTCTCGATGATGATGATGATGATAATAATAATAATAATAATAATAAAAAATCTAATATCTTCACGAGTAGAAAAATTACATTTCAGGAGCTTCACAGTATACATTCTACAATAGTTGAATTCTTATCTATATTTATTTGTTGATTGCTATCAATGCAATAGCCACTGGAGTTCTAAATGAATATGCTCCCATTCTACAGAGGAGAGAACAATCTTTGTGTCTAACATTATCAGGAAGACAAGCTGGGCAAACTCACACACTCTCAACCAACCCTGTCCTCCACTTCCTCCGTGGTATTAATGGGATCTGAATGTTAATTTCATGTAACATAAAATTGTAAGTAAAGCCCATTTTCAGTAGTAGTTTCTTTTTCTTATTAGGAAATGATCCTGAAAATAATCTACAGTCTAATTATAAATTTAGGTTCATAAATGAGTTGATTTGAAGTGTCTCCAAGTCATTTTATTTCCCCCTTACTCTATTACACAGTTACAGCAGGATCAAGGAAGAAAATGAGGAACATCTTTTGAAGTGGCTGTTTCTAATCAATATTAATCCATTCATGAATAATGATCAATTGAATGAAAAGAAAAGCCCCCCCAAAATGACAGAAATCTCTGTTAGAAACCCGCATTGTTCTTCTTTTATCCCAAATAATAGGTTTTCCTAAAAATAAAATATATTCTTTCATTCCCCAAAAAAAAAAAAAAAAAAAAAAAAAAAAAAAAAATGTCAGAAGAAAAGAGACTCTTTAGGCCACATCACGGCATGGCTTCCACTTTGGAAAATGTAAGTATCTGGGTGGTCAGATATTTGTTCTGTTGGATCAGAAAGCCTATAACTGGTTTTTAAAAAGGTCTGATATTGATTTCCAGTGCTCAGACCCAAGTGCAATATGAAAATGCATAATTCTGTTATTTCTTTAAATACAAAGTTAGATTACTTTGCAAGAGGATAAAATTTACTGTGTAAATTCTTAAACATTGAAACCCAGTGTTATATCTGTATTGCTTTCAAATATAACATTTTTAAACATTTATGTTTAAATTCTCTTTTTTCTTTTAAATGTATCATCTCTCTTTGCAATTCTTCAGGGAGTTGAGGTGTATTTTGGGGCTCCTTATTGATTGCTGAGGCTTGTCGAAATGTAATGTGTCCCCTGAGTGCCATTAATGCTGATAAATAAGAAGAGATGAATACTTTTCCTTCACATCATGCCTGATACTTCACCACTCAACACTCATGTCCTTTCGTGCCCTTAATCCTATGAAAGCTATTTGAGGCCATTATTGTATAATTTCCTCTCTGAAAAAGTCAAGAGCTGGGAGCTGACCAACTTGCACACAGAAAAGAGTTAAGAAAAGTATCCAGGGATTAGGGATCATGGATGTATCATAGCACATGTCGAGATTTTGGGGTCAGACAGACATGAACATCAGTCTTGACTCTACCACTTCCTAGGTTGGTTGTTGCTTAACGTCTCTAAGCCTCTATTGTCTTATCTGTGCAATGCAATAATAATAATAATCTTTGCAGATTGCTAAGAAAAGTAAAAAGAAATATACATCCCTACCACCGTGTCACGCAAATAACAGCAACATAAAAAATTGTGGTGTCTGTGGTTATGCTGGGAAAATCTGGCATTCATCAGTAACTAAAAAGCTGTTACATACAAAGTGTCATATTTCATCCACTATATGATGTGTGCATTTGCGTATTTTAACATCTCCAAAATTGGGATGTTTCTTCGTGATGACATCTTTTTAAACTTAATGAAACGCAGTATAATCCTTGTATACTTCATTTAAAATAATAATGAAAAATATTTGCTAAATTTGAGCTCTTACTATGTGCTAAGCACTGAGCATTTTACATAGATTGTCTGACCTAATTCTTACAATCCCCATGGGGTAGAACCCCTTTATGTAAGAGGCTAAGTACCTTTTACGTGGTTGGTGCCTGGGTAGGGAGCTGGAATAGGGGACTGAGTACAAGTATGGGAAATGAGGTATAACTGGATTGCCTCTTAGCAACAATGTGATTTTAGGAAAGCATTTATCCTTTCGCCTTTCTCAACAAAAAAATAGTGTCAATATATTTACAATAAAGTCACTGGACTTAGTGATTAAAACATGTCCTCTAGAGCTAGGCTGCCTGTGTTTGAATACTGGCTTTAATTGCCACATATATGACCTTGACCATCGATTGATATAACCCCCTGAATAATTGTTTTCCCATCTGTAAAATAAAGACAATAATTGACCAGCCTCATGGGTCTGTTGTGAAGATTAGACACATTAATATTTGCAAGCTCTTAGGAAAGTCCTTGTCACCTATTAAGAGCCATTCGGATTAACTTCTATTATTATTACATAATACAGTTGTGAGGTATAAAAGGAATTGTTTGGAAAGTATCTGATGCTATGTAATGTTGGACCTGTTTGCCCCGCGTGTTTCCCGAAGATGTGGGTGCAAAACAATTCTAAAAAAGTTACAGCTTGACGGCCGGGAGCTGTGGCTCATGCCTGTAATCCCAGTACTTTGGGAGGCTGAGGTGGGCGGATCACGAGGTCAGGAGGTCGAGTCCATCCTGGCTAACACGGTGAAACCCCGTCTCTACTAAAAATACAAAAAAAATTAGCCGGGCGTGGTGGCAGGTGCCTGTAGTTCCAGGTACTCGGGAGGCTGAGGCAGGAGAATGGCGTGAACTCGGGAGGTGGAGCTTGCAGTGAGCAGAGATTGTGCCACTGCACTCCAGCCTGGGCGACAGAGGGAGACTCTGTCTCAGAAGAAAAAAAAAAAAAAAAAAAGTTACAGCTTGAACTCAAGACATCTAGTAACTGCAATGAAATAACCTGAAACTTATTTTATATTTTAAAAACCTTTATCTTCTTCTTATTGTTTGGTTGTTAGCTTTGAGACTTATGTGTTGGGTTTATTTTTAAATGTGGTTAACTTTCCCTAGGTACTGAGGCAGAAAGCAAAGGTGCTGGGTGGTCAGACCCTACTCATCCCTTTGGCAATGCTTCTCATGATTTAATGCACGTGTGAGTCATCTAGTAGGTTTGTGAAAATATAGCTCCTCCCACCTTCCACCTCTGATTTTGTTGGTCTGAGATAGGGGCCTGCAAATTTGCATTTGAACAAAGCCCGAGGGATAGTGATGCTGCTAGTTCGTAGACCACTCTCAGAGGAGTCCGGGACTCCCCAGAGCTGTTGTACAAAAACCATACCCCAAAAGAAGCAGAGGAGTATGTGATTTCTAGGAGCACTGGCACAGCGTCCCATATGCACATTTTGGAGAACTGAAGGGTTAGCAGCACTGGATAATTGCATCATTTATTTTCTCAAAATGAAATTCCACATTTTACTTCCCAGTAATGACAGGCCATTTCTCCATTAAGGCAAACACCAATTTTCAAAAATAAGCCATTTACTTTCTCCTTTAACTCTAAATAGATTTGTACTGTTTTCAGAAGATATTGTGTTTCCGACCTTGACAAGTCCTGTGAGCAATAGAAATGTTATTCTATAGATCACAAACATATACACAAATATACATGTATTTCCTAATTGTGTTCCACTATAAATTTTATTTAAAAAATTTCCTTTTCAATTCTCTCATTATATTTCCTATTCTCAAGTAATTGTCATTTGCAGTTAGACAACATGAAGACAGATTTGCCATGTAAAAACTGCTAAAATAAAGGTGGTGCTGACCTGCCCATTTCAAAGATGTAGGATTTATCTGTGTCTCATGCTCAACTGTTATTCCTCCTCTGTTTGCCTGTGGTTGTATACATTCCTTTAAATGCCTCACTTACATTCCTTTTTTTTTTTTTTTAGACAGTGGTGCAATCTCGGCTCACTGCAACCTCTGCCTCCCGGGTTCAAGCGATTCTCCTGCCTCAGCCTCCCGAGTAGCTGAGATTACAGGTGCCCACCAACACGCCCGGCTAATTTTTGTATGTTTAGTAGAGACAGGGTTTCACCATATTAGCCCAGCTGGTCACAAACTCCTGACCTGAAGTGATCCGTTCGCTTCAGCCTCCCAAAGTGCTGGAATTACAGACATGAGTTACGGCGCCTGACCTTTCTCTTTCTTTCTTTCTTTCTTTCTTCTCTCTTTCTTTCTTTCTTTTTGTCTTTCTTTCTTTCTTTTCTTTCTTTCTCTCTCTTTTTTTTTTTAATATCAAGCTAGAAAATAAAACGTGAAAGGAAGAAGGGATTTACAGGAAGAGAGGAACAGTTGTGTATATCACTGGCAGTGGAATACAAATAGAGTCATGTTTGAGGATGTCCAGGGCCATGAGACTGCATTCAACTCCACTGTCTCCTTTTCATTTCCACTGTGGCCATCCGAAGTCTTCATTTTGTCCATTTTCAGTTTCAATGTTTCAATATTTTCTTTACATTCCTGATCTATTTTCCTAATGAATCCAATTTTAATAAACAATGTTATCTTAAATAAGCTACTCTACTTTATCACAAACTGCAATGGGACAGCCTTTCAACAACTATATCTGTGAAGCTTGGACAAGTCATATGATCACAGTCCTGCAGCCCAGAGAAGAAATTTAGGTGAGAAGTTTGAATCTGCAGAATGCCAGCTGATTTATAGAATCAAAGGTAGTCAGAAAGATTCAAGAAAAGTATTGTTACTGCCCAATTTTTTCATCTCCTAGTATCACCCCCCACCGCCCCCGCCGCCCCGAACACTTGCATATATCTTTCTTTGGCCAACATGCTGGATAATGGCAGTGATTTCTAACAGATACTTGGTGCTAAGGACAGAAGCCCTAGACTCTATCAATTGACAAACACAGGAGATGTCTCTTGACTGGATGAAGATTAATACTTCTCATCAGCCTACTTTGATAAAAGTAAGACAGTGAGCAGATTGTCTAGGTGGTGGAGTGGTCTTTCATTTTTGGTATGTTTGAAAACATAGAATGCAATGGAGAGGCACAATAAGCACAGTTAGCTTATGCAAAGTAACCGAAATACCCTGTGTGTGTGTGTGTACATATGATCGAGCCAGCCTCCTCAGTGCCTTGCATTGCTGTTAAGAGGGGAAGTTCTAGGCTAAGACTTTGTGAGTTTGGATTCCTACTATGCTACTTGACCTTGGGCAACTTACTTAACTTCTCTGTGCCTTGTTTTACTTATCTGCAAAATGGCAAAAATAATAGTACTCATGGAGGTGGTGAGGATTAAAATTATATGTATATCTAAATTGTGCAGTATATAATACATATACATATATAATTGTACATATATTATATATATACACTTGGGTACATATATATGGTTTGTTGTATATATGGGATATACATGTATATATGATAGATACATTATATATAGTATATATGGATAGAGTATATATTACACATTATATATTAACCATCTATAATGTGTGTGTGTGTATATATACATATTTATAGGCATTTTTATCTTCAACATTACCCAGGGTAGTAGTATTTCATATATATACATATACAGACACACAGATAAACTATATTTGCACATGCAAACACACACACACACACACACACACACACACTGATGCATATATACAGTTTAGAATGTTTCTCACAGAGAGTAAATTCTCAGTAGGTGTTTGATAGCTAGGAAATATCAAGGGTTCAATATGTAGCTAAGGATATAACTCTATTAGCAAAACAACTAGACATTGCCATAGCCAGCCAAGCAACACAATTAGCTTATCAAATACTATAGATTTTGCCATAATTGGTCCACATGCCAATGTCTGCCAATGGAGTTCATTCATTAGCCATGAGCAATCCAAACCAAGAGAATGAAGACTAATGGAACAAACAAATCATTTGTATTTTCTATAAGCTTTTTAAAACAGTGGTAATGGCAAGAGCTAATGGAGACAATTCAAATATACTACAGTTTATTAAAAAAGTAATTCTACACAGTTGAGTGAAACTATTTTTGGCAAAAACAAATTGACAAAGGGACCAGATAGTAATAACCATGTTCTTAAGTATATTTTAATTGAATTACTTTTGCATTAAAATGTTACAAAACATGAAAAATGCCTCAGGATATCAATAAGATGGTGGAAAAGTAAGTCCCAGTCCTTATTTCCACAGCAATATACAGCCCAAAACCTTTATGAGAACTCCAGAAAGCAGAGAAGAAGTGGCAGAACCCTGGATGAGTACAACGATGAACAGCCTTATTGAAACAAATACACAGCATATGCAGATGCCATTTGTTACATCAATAACATAAAATAAGGGTGGAGAGATACAAACGAGTAGAGTTTTTGTGTACAATTGAAGTTAAGTTGATAATCGCTTAAAATCAATTATAACCATAAAATGTTTTATGTTAGCCCCATGGTAACTATAAATAAAACACCTATAGAAGAGATATAAAAGGAAATGTAAAAGGAATCAGAGCATGTCCATAGAAAACAAGAGTCAATGACTCAAAAAGGAAAGCAGTAAGAGTGGGGGAAAATACATGTATCTAACATCAAAGCTCCCAAATGTATGACGCATACGTTGACAGAAGTGAAGGGAGAATTCAACATTAACACAGTAACAGGAGGAGATCTTAACACCTCACTTTCAACAATGGATAGAACAATCAGACAGATGGTAACTAAGGAAACAGAGACTATAACGACACTACAACCAATTGAACTTAACAGACATGTATAAAACACTCTACCCCATAAAAGCAAAATACACATTTTTCTTAAGTTCACAGAGAATGTCTCCCAGGATAGATCACACATTAGGCTACAAAACAAATCTTAACAAATTTAAGAAGATTGAAATCATACCAATTATCTTTTCTGCTCACAATGAAATGAAACAAGAAATCAATAGCAGTGGAAAAATGGAAATTTCCAACAGTGTTAAAATTAAACAGCACACACTTGCACAACTGAGTTAATAAAGAAATTGAAAGGGAAATTGATATGGTTTGACTTTGTCCCCACCCAAATCTCATCTTGAATTTTCACATGTTGTGGGAGGGACCCAGTGGGAGGTGATTGAATCATGGGGGGCAGGTCTTTCCCATGCTGCTCTCATGATAGTAAATAAGTCTCACAAGATCTGATGGTTTTAAAAAGAGGAGTTCCCCTGCACAAATTCTCTCTCTTTTCCTGCTGCCATCTATGTAAGACGTGACTTGCTCCTCCTTGCCTTCTGCCATGATTGTGAGGCTTTTCCAGCCAAGGGGAACTATAAGTCCATTAAACCTCTATCTTTTGTAAATTGCCCAGTCTCGGGTATGTCTTTTTCAGCAGCATGAAAATGGACTAATAAAGAAATTAAAAGATATCTTGAGACAACCTAACAAAGCTTATGGGATGCAGCCAAAAGCAGCACCAAGAGCAAAGTTTATAGTGATAAAAACCTGCAATCAAAAGAACGATCTCAAATGAATAAGATTTATACCTAAAGGAATTAGAAAAAGAACGAAGTAAACAGGTAGCTAACAGAGGAAAGGAATAAAAATTAGACCAGAAATCAACAAAGTAGAGAACAGAAAAACAAGAAGAAAAAAAATTAAACACAGAGTTTTTTTTTGAAAAGATTAACAAAATTGACAAACCGTTATCTAGACTAAGAAAACAAGGGAAGACTCAAGTAACTAAAATCAGAAATGAAAGATGAGACATCACAATTGGTGCCAAAAAAGGAGATAATAAGCGACTACAGAACAACTATCTGCCAGCAAATGGAATAGCCTAAAAAAATGGATATGTTTCCAGAAATATAAAGTCTACCAAGACTGAACTATGAAGAATTAGAAAATCGCAACAGATTTATAACTATTAAGAAAATTGAATCAGTAATCAGAAACCTCCCAATAAATAAAAGCCCAGGACCAGATGGCTTCACTGAAGAATTCTATGAAACATTTAAAGAATAATTGCCAATCCTTCTCAAACTCTTCCAAAAAACTGAAGAGGAGGGAACACTTCCAAATCCATTTTATGAGTCCATCATTACTCTGATACAAAAGCCAGACAACGATACTAACAGAAAAGAAAATTACAGGACAATATCACTGATGCATATTGATGCAAAAATCCTTAACAAAACACTAGCAAATCAATTTCAAAAGTACATTAAAAAGATTAGACACTGTGACTAAGTTGGATTTATTTCTTATGTACGTGATGGCTCACACACAAAAATCAATCAATGTAATACACCACATCAACCAAAGAACACAAATCACATGCTCCTCTCTATGATGCAGAAAAAGCATTTGACAAAATCCAACATGCTTTCATGATAAAAACACTCAACTAACTAAGCGTAGAAGAAAATTACTGTAACATAATAAAGGTCATATATGAAAAGGACACAGGTATCATTATATTCAATGGTTAAAAACCAAAGCTTTTCCTTTAATATCAGGAGCAAGACAAGAATGCCCACTCTTACCACTTTTATTCAAAATGGCATTGGAAGGCCTACCAAGATAAAATAGTAGAAAAATATATAAATAAAATCATCCAAGTTGGAAAGGAAGAAGTAAAATTATCTCTTTTCACAGATGAGATAAACTTACACATAAAAATCCCTAAAGATTCTACCAAAAAAATTGTTAGAACTAATAAAAACAAATTCGGTAAAGTTGAAGAATACCAAATGAACTCTCAGAAATCAGTTGTGTTTCTATGTGCTAACAACAAACAACCTAAAAATGAAGAACAATCTCAGTTATAATAGCAGCTACACACACACACACACATACACACACACAAGACTTGTACACTGACAACTTCAAAAACATTGCTGAAAGAAGTTAAAGACATCAGTAAATGAAAAACCATCCTTTGTTCTTGCATTGGAAGACTTATATATTAAAATGTTTATACGACTCAAAGCAATCTATAGATTCAATGCAATTTCTATCAAAATCTCAATTGCATTTTTTACAGAAACAGAAAAAAATTCTAAAATTCATATGGAATCTGGAAGGACCCTGAATGGCCAAAACAATCTTGACAAAGAAGAGAAAAGCTGGAGGCCTCACACTTTCTGATTTTGAAACACATTGCAAATTAAGAGTAATTAAAAGGGTATGGTATTGGCATAAAGACAAAGACATAGACCAAAAGAACACAATCGAGAGCCCAGGAATAAACTCTTGTATATATGGCCAAGTGATCTTTGACAAGCATGCAAAGTCTACACAATATGGAAAGAAGAGTCTCTTCAAAAAATTGTACTGGGAAAACTGGATGATCAAGAACCCTTATCTTACACCATATACAAAACTAAGTCAAAATGGATTAAGTGCCTACATGTAATACCTGAAACTATAAAACTCTTAGAAGAAAACATAGTAAAAGAGCCTCATGATATTAGAATGGACAATGATTTATTAACTGTAACTCTGAAAGCACAGACAGCAAAATATAAAAATAGACAACAGGACTACATCAATCTTAAAACTTACACCTATGGATTGAGAAAAAATATTTCCAACCCTTTATTGGGTGGAGGGTTAATATCCAGAACTTACAAAAAGATCTTGCAACTCAACAACACAAATAGTAACAACGAAAATCAACCCAAGGAACATATAAATTAAGAATCTGAATAGACATTTCTCCAGAGAATACAAACAGATGGCCAACATGCATAGGAAAAGACGCTCAACATCACTAATCACCATGGAAATGCAAGTCAAAACCACAATGAGCTATCACCCCATACCCACTAGGATGGGCAGCATAACACAAAACAGAACAGAAAATAACACACATTGGTGCATATGAGGAGAAACGGGAAACATTGCGTACTTTGTTGGGGGCGGGGGGGCAGATTGTAAATTGGCATAGCTATTATGGAAAACAGCAAGAAAGGCCCTCAAAATTAAAGATAGAACTCCCATATGATCCAGCAATCCCACTTCTGGGTATATATCCAAAAGAATTAAAAACAGGATCTCGAAGAGATATGTGCATACCCATGTTCACTACAGCATTATACGCAATATCCAAGAGGCAGACGCCACCTAAATGTACATCCACAGATGAATGAAGAAAATATGGTGTATACGCATGCAATGCAACATATTCTGCCTTTAAAAAGGGAAGTCCTGTCATGTTCTACAACATGGATAAACCTTGAGGAGATTATGCTAAGTGAAATAAACCAATTAGAAAAATACTGCATGAATCCTCTTATATATGACAGATGGTTATGAAGTAATCAAACTCATAGAAAGTAGAGTGATGATTGCCAGGGTGTGGGGAGGGGCAAATGAGGAGTTGCTCTTTAATAGGTGTAGCATGTGGTCATGAAAGATGAAAAATTCCTACAGATATTTTGCTCAATGATATGCATATAATAATACTGTACTGTACTATTAAAAACTGCTGACAGTAAATTTATGTTATTTGTTTTTTACAATTTTAAAAATCCTCATTTGATGGATCTATTACCCACAGCCACATGAGGACAATCTAAATTATTATCTTATAAAGCATAAACAGATGATTTTTAATATTAGAGTATGTAATCTAAGACAACTGCATATTTTTTCTTCCATCTGGAAAATTGGGAAGAAGGCTCACAGTTTTACCAATGGCCTTTAAAACAATATTTATGTTCAGAATTAGGTTTGTAAATTCTGATTTAAATTAAAATTTTCTTATTTCTTTTTTAAATTAGGGGTCCACTTTTTTAAATTAGAAAAATGGTGGATTATATTTATCTTCATATAAATGAAGTTATAACATAAAAGTGTTCATATTTTTTAATGGAGCAAGGTACCCACAAGCGCCATAATGAGGCCCTGGGACTGGACACATTTCTTTACTTTTGCCAGACTCTTTTCCAAAGATCCTCAAGTTGATGGCTTTCTGAGGCATTCTGCCCCACCTGCCTTGGGGTCACATCATCACTCTGTGCTAGACATCAGGTGCTGCTCACTTGCCTAGGACACCACCAACTGTGTAGCACCCTTGCCTTTGTATTCCTCCTCAGCCCTGCTGAAACAAGCACCCTTGGGCATCTTATTCTGAAATTTCAAGAGGACAGGTCTAAACTCTCTGCTTTCCTAGCACAACAAACATAACCAGCCATGCTTTGAGTTATGAAAAAAGGTACGTAGAATAGTCCATGTAATTATCACAAGCCTCAGACAGGCTCTCTTTATTCAACTACAGTACAGTCTATTTTAAAATTCCATCATCTTCTCTTTCACGGGCAGTCTATCCAGCCATGTCAAGTAACAATGAGCATGAAATGCCCAACTGTGAATCGATGATCCTATCCTCATTTCCGCAATCTTGTTTAATAATGCATTACGCAAAAGAAAAAGTCTGTGTTAAGTCAAATGAAAAGAAAAAAATACTTTCTAATTACCAACCATACCTCTGTAAGGGACCGCAAATATTTTACTTCTGCTAATAACAATGTGTAAACTCAGACTTAACAATGTCCACTGAGCATGTGATGACGATAAGAGTTAATTATTGGTTGTGCATGAAATGTTCCAAGCTTTTAAGATGCGTGGGTATCATGACGCAAATCCTGCCACAAGAACGCTCCTGACCCAGCAGCGACTCTACGCCAGCCTGGACTTGGGTCTCGCTTGTCACACCTCTCCGCAGAAAGCAGAAAAACATAACCATCCCTTTGGATTCTAAGGGTCAGACCCCATGGACGTTTTCCCCAAGGCATCTAGTTCAGAACATGCTGGTTAGTTTATTAGTTGTCCTTAGTTATCTAAAAGCATTTCTCAATTGTTCTGAGATTGCTTGAAACTAGTTTTAAATGTTATTTTATTTCAGTTCTGTGGAAATTACAAAAGAGCTTCTGGTTGATTGAGCAATCAGAGGCATTTTCAGAAGAAAATTAATAATCAAGTTACTGTGTACTTTATGGATCAAATAATTTAATTTAGCTCTTAAAATTATAAATTATTGGATTTTTTTAAAGAAACATTTCATTTGCATTAAAAGTGTTACGTTCACTCGGAAGTAAATTTAGCACTTTAACAAATAGCAATAATTGTGTCAAATTATTTGGAAAATTTAAAGTGCATATAATGAAAATCTTAATTTTTTTTTAAAATTTTACTTTAACTTCTGGGATACATGTGCAGAGTGTGCAGGTTTGTTACATAGGTATACATGTGCCATGGTGGCTTGCTGCACCTATCAACCTGTCGTCTAGGTTTTAAGCTCCATATGCATTAGGTTTTTGTCCGAATGCTCTCCCTCCCCTTACCTCCCACCCCCCGGCAGGCCCCTGCGTGTGATGTTCCCCTCCCTGTGTCCACATGTTCTCATTGTTCAACTCCCACTTATGAGTCAGAACATCTTAACCATTAACAGAGTGTTTATCTCATTTAGTGACAAGTCATATATTTTCAGACGAAGCAGGCATTTAATATTTTAATGGTTTTTATAAATATGTAGTATAGTTTTATATCACTTAAAAATATAAGAATAAGAGTCACTGAAAGCTGCTACAATTCAACCATAACACCTTGCTCATTACCGTTTCCCTCATGTTAAACCTCTCTTCCATTTCAGATGCCAGCTCCTCCTTTGTAAGATGCAAAGATGCCAATACCTGGACACTGTTCATCCTTCAAGAGAGTGTTTTTGCTATCCTTTGGCAAATGAGAAATCAAGCTGAGTGTTATAAATGACACAGTCACTCCAGTACTGCACACTGTGTGTGGTGGACACCAGTCATATACAGAGCATTTGGCATTTAGAGACATCTGTGAATCATAATTGTGAAATAGGATTTCCTGGGGACATTCTCATTAGCCTGATTCTATCTTACATTTTCTAGCCTGTGCATTTTCAGATATTTCGAAAGAGAAAAATCGCTTCTTTCTTCATTCCCCTCCTTCCCCACCTGGTGTCCTTTGCTGAACTAATCACAAGCATGTCAAAAGGACTCTGAATGCCCAACTCATGGCTCCTGGCCTTGTGTCTTATCTCTGTGGCTCTGAAATAAAAGTGACGTCTGCCCCTTGTTGACATCAAAGGGTCCTCAGTTCCTAGTATGTCCCCTTGGAGAGTAAAAGTTCTGTGGAAGGCACAATTAGTTGTGCCTTGAGAGGAGATAAGAAACTGAGGGCCGGGTGCAGTGGCTCACACCTGTAATCCCAGCACTTTGGGAGGGCGAGGCAGGTGGATCACGAGGTCAGGAGATCGAGACCATCCTGACCAACATGGTGAAACCCCATCTCTACTAAAATACAAAAAATTAGCCAGGCATGGTGGTGTATGCCTGTAGTCCCAGCTACTTGGAAAGCTGAGGCAGAGGAATCACTTGAACCTGGGAGGCAGAGATTTCAGTGAGCCGAGATGGGGCCACTGCACTCCAGCCTGGCGACAGAGCGAGAATACGTCTCAAAAAAAAAAAAAAAAGAAACTGAGGTAGCTGATTTATCTCCTCCGTGCAAGATAGCCATAAGTAGACCCTCTGACCTATTCAAGATTTAGGTTTTATGTGTATCCCTTGTTTATATTCTCTATTGCAGTGGTCCCCAACCATTTTGGCACCAGGAACCGACTTCATGGAGGACAATTTTTTCATGGACCAGAGAGGATGATGGTTTTGGAATGAAACTGTCTCACCTCAGATCATCAGGCATTAGAATCTCATAAGGACCCTACGACCTAGATCCCTCACATGCGCAGTTCACAGTAGGGTTCATGCTCTTATGAAAATCCAATGTAGCCACTGATCTGACGGGAGGCAGAGCTCAGGCGGTAATGCTCCATAGCCTGCTGCTCACCTCTTGCTATGCGGCCCAGTTCCTAACAGGCCACGGACCAATACTGCTCCTTGGAACTGAGGGTTGGGGACCCCTGCTGTATTGTACGTAAAACAGTTCTGTGCAATCAAGACAAATTCAGTTACTAAGACTCAAATGTATTTTCATAAACTTAATTGTGTAATAATATTTTAACTGAGTTCCTGTAAAAAAAATTAAAAAGCTTTATAGATGAAAACTGCTGAGCCTCATGGGAACACCTATAGCAGGTGTATTTTAAGTGCTTCACATAAAAGCAATATTCTTTTTAAGAGTTAACAAAAAGTAGTTCCTCACACAGCAATAAACCCGTTGCTAGTCCTCTTTTGAATTGCAAAAGAGAAACTTAAAACAATCAGTGAAGCTGAGGGGACAGCTACTAACATTAGCTTTGAAATCTCATGCTAATCCTACTACGTGATAGAGAAAAACAAATAGATGTTTACTTGTTTATGCATTAATGCATATATTAGATGATTTGCCTTACATATGTCTTCATTGAGGTAGAATGATTCTAATATGTGTCTATTTTTCCCTTTTCCTGAGCGTTTCCTTACTAGAGGTATTATTTTGATTGTGGATTTTTAGGCTATTGCAGTGGTTCTCAAAATGCATCAGAATCACTCAGAAGGCTTGATGATGCACAGACTGCTGGCCCCAGCTCCAGATTTGCTGAATGTGTGGGTCTTGGGTAGAGACACCAGAGACTGCATTTCTAAGAAGATCACAAGTGACATCAGGTGACACTGATTCTGTGGTTTGAGAATCACACTAGGAGACCACTGGGGTATGACAACTACCAAAGAGTTACTGACTTCAGCTCAATTCTGCACATCTGTAGTCCATTAAGTGATCCCATGCTAAAAGGAGACATCGTTGAACTCTAAAATATCAGTAACTATCAAGCTTTCCTTTGTTGCTGAAGCAGATATCAGTGGCCGGTAAACCTTCCTATATGCTGATTTGGTTTGCATAACAAAGTCTGGTGATAAATGCAAGATAAATAAGTTCTAGAGATCTGTTATGCAATACGCGTCTCTGATTAACGATACTGTACTGTATACTTAACAACTTGTTAAGAGGGTAGATCTCGCGTTAAGTGTTCTTACCGCAATAAAAATAAATTGTGAAGGAGATTGTAGTGATGGTGTGAGAGTTGCAGATACCAAGATGAAATCACTTTTTTGAAACCCAAATAAAATAGGACCAGAAATGCGCGAAGGAGAGGAGGTTCATGCTTACGGGTCTGAGATAAGACCTGTTTCCCAGGACTTTCTCCCCTTTCTCATCCTTCACGCATCTCCTGCTTTGATAAGGCTTATCACAGACATTCTTTAGGACTGCAGTAATGCAGATAAGATGCTCCCGGAAGAACACTTGCCCAGTAACAGCATCTCCACCAATGAACCGACAACAACTCTGGCTTTGAGCCTCTGGAACCAATGAACTCTGTTTCTAAGCAGCTTATGCAAATCTCTCCCTTTTTGCTAATAAAAGCTTCCCTCTATCCTTCCCTCACCGGATGCACTGGTGGCGTGCCATTCTATCCATTCCAGATTATAATCCTTATTTCTTATTCCCGAATAAACTCAACATATTTAGAGACAATTTTCTCTAGTGTCTTTTTTTAGGTTGACACTGTCAACTGAGGAATTGCAAGGTTCATACATTTGGAGAGGAGAGCTTCATTTCTTAGAAAGGCTTGCAGCCTGCGGGCTGGCCATCCTGACACACTGGGAAGCCACTGGCAGAAACCAGAAGCGGGCACTTCAAAGGAGGGAAGAGTAAGATAGGCACTGATGCTAAACACATTGGCTAAGTACCGTATCAACAGGTTATAAGAAGAGCTATGAATATTTATGGAGGGGGTCTGCACCTCATAGTGAGCAAACATACATGTTACATATGTCCTATATTCACTTTAGGGTGAAGGCCTTACATTTACATGCATACAAATTCGGTTGTATATGTCAAAAGGTGAAATGGATGACACAGAGGAACCCTGTGTGCAGTCTCTGTAAACCGGCCAGAATCACTCCACAGTCAGGAATGCTGGTAAGTTGTGTTTCATGGGAAGGAAAGTCTAATGGTAGTTAGCGAGGGAAGGAGTATAATGAGGTGTGTCTGACCTGCTGTTCCATTGTGGGCAGGAAGTAAGTTTTTCAGGTTTCTCTGGGGTCCCCTTGGCCAGGAGGGGTTCATTTAGTTAATTGGGAAGCTTAGGATTTTATTGTTATTTCTCAACAGTGTCGTAGTCAGTTTGGGCTGTTGTAACAAATTATCATAGGCTCAGTGGCTTAAATCACAAACACCATTTCTCACAGTTCTGGAGGCTGAAGTCCAAAATCATGTTGCCAATGTGGCTGAGGGCTGGTGAGGGCTATCTTCCAGGTTGCAGGGTGCCAACTTCTCCTTGTGCTCTCACAAGGAGGAAAGATGGCAAGAGAGCTCTCAAGTGTCTTACTATAAAGAACTAATCCCATTCACAAGAGCTTTACCCTCATGACCTAATCATCTCTCAAAGCCCCACGTTCTAATGCCATTACTGGGGCTTGGAAAGCAATACCTCAAACACTGGCATTTTGACATGTTGAGGGGCCTTAGCTGCTTCACAATGAAGGTTCTTCTAATTTTTGTCTTGTCCCAGCCACCCCAAATACAAGAAGAGACCTTTTCTTTGAGATTTCCTTATTTGACCAAGAAAGCTTCTTTCCAAAAGGCATGAAGTTGTCTTAAGACTTCTTCCCTAGGAATCTCGTCACATAACCAGGAAAGATTAATCTCCAGAGAAGAAGAGACTGGGTCACAATGCTTAGGTATTTTTTATATATTTTTCTGAGGGCAACCCCAAGAGACTTCCTGGGGAACTTACCTGCATAACGAGACAACCTTTGTACCCATGCAGCTTCTCCCCTCACCTTCCTTCTGCCTCCTGACTGTTCACTCTCCCTCCTGATTTACCACTTCTCAAAAAAATTGTCTGCAGTCCTCATCCCCCCACTTCCCTACGGAAAAGGGTACATAAGCTTCTCTAACACACTGGATGACTAGGTAGTCACTCTGTCACTTTCCCTCCTGCACACTAATAAAATTGTATTAATAAATTTGTATCCCTTTTCTTCTATGAATTTGCCTTATGTCAGTTTTTTAGTGAACCTTCAGAGAGCAAAGGGGAAAGTTTTCCTTCAACCCTAAACCATTGCATTGGGAGTGGGTTTTCTAAATATAAATTTTGGGGAAAACAAGCATTTTAGTCCACTGCAGACGGAAATTTTCTTCTGAGACTTGATGCTTCATGAGAAGCCACATTGCCACCTGGCAAAGTTCTCTAGTCAAAAGCTGTCTGTTTGTTTGTCTTGTGAAAAGAATCACCAACAATCTCTTTTTAGAAGTACATGTGCTTCATAATAATGTCGAAATTCATAAGAAGTTCATAATTCAGAATTCAGAAGTTCATACTAATGTGGAAATGGTCAGAAGAAAAACAAGATCTGCCTGCTATAAGACTCAGCCAATGAGGACATGTGGCTGACATAACTGTGAGATAATAAATTTGTGTTGTTTTAAGTCACAAACTTTGTGATGATTTATTTCGGCAGCAACAGAGAATTAATCCAAGTGTTGAGTGCTCATGTACACACACCAGCAACTCTGCTAGATTTAACCAGGGTGGCCTAATGTCTAACACAGGAATAATCCATTAATTCATTAGTAAATGCATAGATATTTATTCCTATACTTAAAAAGAGGAAGACTGGAAATAGCATTGACTGAGCACCTAGTACATGCCAGGAATAATTCTAAATGCTGAACATTTATTGGTAGTTTTACTTCTCATAACAACCTCAAACTAGATGAGACAGCCAAGGTTCTGAAAATATGAATACTGCTCTAATTCACGCAAAAATCAGAAGCTGAGTCCCCTCAACATCAAAGCCCTAATTCTTCAACTACAACTTAAATTAAAAGAAGTGCTTCAAATTATAAAATAACATAAACAGCATTTTATTTTGTTTACTTACTTCCCTAGCTATGTGTCACTGTAACTTGTGGACAGGGCAGTGCTGAAGGAAAGGCATTATGAGCCAGCTGGACTTTAGCATGGGTGGAGGTGAGAACCAGAGAGAGAGTACACTTGTGCTGCACGACATGTGAGAGGTGGTATTGGGGACCCTGGGCCATGCAGGAGGAAAGGGTAAAGAATCAAAAAGGTATGGTGGAGAGAGAGGAGAAAAAACTCAGAAACCTGGGGAACTGTGTGACGGTCAGCCAGACAGAGGTCTACTCTTGGAGATGGCAGCAAGAGAGAAAGAGAAGGAGGAAGTGCTACATGCTTTTAAACAACCAGATCTCATGAGAACTCACACTCATGAGAGCAGCAAGGGGGAAACCTGATCCACTCACCTCCCACCAGGTCCGCCCCCGAACAATAGGTATTACAATTCTATTTTAATGAGATTCGGGTGGGGACAAGAGCCAAACCTTATCAACATGCATCTTCTTTGGAAATTTCAAGAATAAGTACTTTTTTAGAACCTGTCATCATTTTGCTCAGAAGAATTTTGGAGGCTCCCAATTTGGACTTCTGTTTCTGTAGTCCCTTCCTAAGGCCTTTGGTTCCTCAGTAAAGTCCCTTATATTTATAAACTATGGTGGGAGAGGGTTTTGTTTGTGTAAAAGCCCCTGATAAATTTGGCTTCCCATCTGCAATGGCATGAGGTCCAGCAGCAACTGTGCTAGAGAAAGAAGATTCCGGAGAGTAGAAGACATGAGAATGAGAACGTGATCACCCACCCTGGCTGAGATCCCCAACCCTAGGACGTCACTCAAGGTTTGGAGAGGACTAAGGATTTCAGCAGGGCATGGATTTGAGACCTTCAAGCCAGTTTCCTGGCAGGGAGGCTGCAGGGGGCATCTGGGCACTGCCTATCTTTGTTCTCAGTGATCTTTGCTTGTGGGCAGCCCAGTCTTTGGGCCGGTTGCCCTCATCCATCTGGGGGCAGCAAGTTACAGTGAGGTGACAGGTCGCACAGCAAATAGTCTCTGCACAACGAGGTCTGCAAACCCCAACGTTACAATTTGTCATCTTAGGGAACAAAATGTAATCACACACAGTAATAGAGTTTTTGAAGCAAAAGGGAAAAAAAGAAGGGAGGAGGGCAATGAATTAAGTTACAAGGTGTTCTGTGGAACATTATGCATGAGACTTGGTCTCTAACTCTAGTTTGAGAAATCTTGGTCTTGTAATCCACTAATTTTGGCAAAATGATGACAGGTTCTAAAGAAGTATTTATTCTTGAAATTTCCAAAGAAGATGCCTGTTGATAAGGTTTGGCTCTTGTCCCTACCTGAATCTCATTACAATAGAATTGTAGTTCCTATTGCTCGGGGAGGGACCTGGCGGGGGGTGAGTGGATCAGGCTTCCCCCTTGCTGCTCTCATGAGTGTGAGTTCTCATGAGATCTGGTTGTTTAAAAGGCGTGTAGCACTTCCCCCTTCTCTTTCTCTCTTGCTGCCACATGAAGACTTGCTTGCTTCCCTTTTGCCCTTCTACCATGATTGTAAGTTTCCTGAGGCCTCCCCAGCCATGCTTTCTGTACAGTCTGTGGAATGATGACCAAATTAAACCTTTTCTTCATAAATTACCCAGTCTCAGGTAGTTTTTTATAACAGTGTGAGAATGGACTAATACACCTGTGCAGAAAATGTTGACTGGAAATTGAGAAAAATAGAAGATTAAAGATTTTAATATGGTAGGACATCTGTTCTCAAGCAGGGTATGTTAGTGCATTTAATCATTGATAAAGGTTCTGGCCCCTAAAAAATTCAAAAGAAATCTAGGATTGTTGGCTTCCTAACTTCTGTCTGAAAGCTGTCTTTACTATGTCAAGTTATTGCCTTTCTTAAAGCCTGTGAGTTGGGGCCCTGGGTACCCACTCCTTAACAAACACAGGAGCCGATGTCATGCTGCTAATACAGGTACAGTTAGCAGAGTTTAACACCTCAGAAACTTCAGAGATTTTCTGTGAATCTCTATAGATGTGACCACTGCTCTGAAAGTAACTAAATTTCAACACCGACTCACATTTATAATTTAGTTCTTAAAGATGATTTTCATTAGATATTTTAGGATATCTGAATCTATGTCAGATTTAACAAAAATGTAAATCTACAACAACATAAGGATGCTCAATAAACAAATATTTAAATATATGAAATGTATATAACAAAAGAGAAACTTAAATCTCAAATGAACTCAGTAACAAAGTGATTTACTAAAGCTTAGATGCTTTTCGATTACTATATAACACCAAAGAAAACTTAAATTGCTTAGAAAGCAAAATGACAGTTTGGATAGTCTTTCTAAACTACAAATTAAGACATTCTATCTATACGATTTTTCTAGTATTTGTTCCATAGTCTGCTGTTTTCCTCAATTCATCCCCTATCCCTCACTTAGAACTCATTCTCAAGAAATGTGATATTAAATACACAGATCATGCAGTTCCCTTCACCAGAGCAAAGTTTTAGACATTAAAAGACTTCAAGTAGTAACTGGATTAGTAGTTTTTTGAAGTTTATGATTCAACAGAAAACAAAAGTAGCTAAAACTCAAACAGAATAATTTTCTGGTTAACAGGTGTGGATATGGAAATGTTCTGTTGTGGAATCAACCAGGACCAACACATTTCAAAACAATTGCCTAACTCACTATGAGAAATGTAGTTGGCCTTTGAACAATAATTTGGAAAACAAATGTCAACCATACAAAGTTTACTGTTTCTGCTTTATCTGGGCCTTTACAGTGTTACCATTCTACTGTTGCAACAAACATTTGGTGAATAGATAGTGGCCTGGTCAAAGTACATACACATCAAGAGGGAAAGGAGGATAAATCAAACACAAAGGGTTCTGAGATACAATGGAGAACATAGGAGATATAATACAATTGCATTAGTCCATTTTTACACTGCTATAAACAAATACCCGAGACTGGGTAATTTACAAAGGAAAGAGGTTTAATTGACTCCCAGTTCCACATGGCTGTGGAGGCCCCAGGAAACTCACAATCATGGCAGAAGGCAAACGGGAAGCAAGCACAGACCTTCTCATATGGCAGCAGGAGAGAGAAGAGAGCAAAGGGGGAAGAGTCCCTTATAAAATCATCAGATTTAGGGAGAACTCACTCACTGTCATGAGAACAGCATGAGGGAAACTGCCCCCATGATCCGATCATCCCCACTTGGTCCCTCCCCTGACACATGGGTATTATAGGGATTACAATTCAAGATAAGATTTGGGTGGGGACACAGAGCCAAGCCATATCAATCACGTAGAAAGCAATAGCTGCCTTAGGAGATACGTTGTGTTAAAAACAACAACAACAACAACAAAACCAAACCTTACAGCAGGTCTTCAGAGAGAGAGAAATTACTTCTAGTTGAGGGACCAGGAAACGCCTTATAAAAGGAGTAGCTTTGAAGTATTTGAACAGATAAATGAACAGGAAGGGCATGTCAAGAGAAGGATCCCTTTTCTTTTTTCCAGGACTTCATTCACTCATAAAAAAATGTTGCTACTAAAGAGCTGAAACATAATCTGGAGACAATGATGGCAAATATTTCCATAAATTCCTTGCAGAAAGCAATGCAATAACACATGGACATAAATTAGAGACGTTAGTTTAATGAATCATTTCTTGAGGGGTTTTCAAACAAACAGCTCAGCAGGGCTCACTGATAATTCAGGGGTCATTGCGAGGCTCTCCATGGCTCATCTCATTATCTGCATGAACAGTATCAAGTTTAGGTTGATAATGATTTCAGTATCCCATTTGGGCCATGCATAAAAATATATATTTGCAATAAATAAATGACTACATGTAATGAATATATGCACACGTGTGCATATGCATATTTATATACGCATATATATATGTGTGTATATAGACATGTGTCTGTGGATATATATATGTATACACATTTACACATGCATGTTTATACCTATTTTATATACGTAACATATGTGTGTGTGTGTGTGTGTGTGTGTTTAAAATAAAGCAAACTGCTGTTACAAGTGCAAACTCTGGAAAAGACAATTTCGACTGATTCTTGGTTTTATCACTTGCCTGCTGTATTACCTTTAGAAAATTACCCAACCTCTCTGAGCCTTAGGCTCTGCAGTTGCCAAGAGAAGAGTAACATGATAACTGCTACAAAAAGTACTTGAGCTTCAGTGGGATCCAGGTGAAAAACATTTAGCAGTGCATGATATTTAGTAAATGCTCAGAAACAGACCCCATCAAAATATATTTTTAACCTCATTTATTGGCTATGTAGTCATGTCTACCATATTATAAGAGATATGGAAGAGATTTGTGAAGCAAATAGAACTGTTTGGAACACTAGGCCTCATTGTGTAAGACGGGTTAAAGAAGAATCCCTGGGAAGCATGTTTTTTAAAGACATTCAATAAAACACAGTGTTGGAAATTAAAAATGCAATACCTTCTGCCATCATCAGAAGAGTAAACTCTATGGATGACCCCTGAATCACTGAACTCAAGATATTCTACAAGTGGATCTTATCAACATTCTCCATGTGACATCTTGAAATCCATCACAATATGCACGAGTGAAATGTTGATTTCGATGAGTCCCATGTATTTTTTCTATTTACACACAGGTTTCTTTGGGATTGGGTGCCAAGCAATGCAGGAATGGTTCCTATTGGCAGCTACTCTTTATGAACATTTCAACCACAAAAGCGTATTCTGAAAATGCCACTGTTTTTTGTTAGTTTTTGGTTTAAAAGCAGCTAAAAATTCTGGACATTTTTGGAGATCCTGAACTATTTTGCCAAATCTCCCTTTAATCTTATATTCTCTACTATCAGGGAAGCTTTCATTCCAGGCCAGCTGGTCCAGAAACTCCTCAAAACATGCTTTGAACATTCCCCTCCCTGAAATTCTGTTCATTCCTCTGTCACTCTTATAATTTATTCTTCTCTTTTTCCCAGATCAAATCATTCTCATCCTTTTTTCTCAGTTCTGTTTCTCTTGCTGCAATTTCTCCTTGAACACTCAAACCTACAGTGAATATCTCTCATGTCAACATTCATGTATGGTACCATGGATTTGCTGGGTATTGTTAACTGATTTATTTTGTGTCTGCCATGTCTTTTTACCAGACTCTTGAGGTCTGAGATACTATGGTCTTTGCCTTCCCTTCCCTCAATGTCTAAAATAGAAAAATGCATTATCTAGCCATATTTATAACTGAAGTGTTACTTAATAACTGCTGTGATATCATTCTATAAAAGACAAAAACTGAATATGCTTTTAAAAGTGGACAGTTTAATAGATATTAAAGAAATATTAATATTCTGTCATATTAATTACAAAAATTATAAAGTTTTGCTCTCTAAAAGTTTTGTTTCCCTTTCCTCCTTCCTTCATTTCCTCCCTCCCTCCCTCCCTCTCTTCCTTCCTTCCTTTTGCTTTCTCAGTGGCAATTTCTCTCTAGTTTAGGAACCAAATAAAAAATGTTGCTGCCTCTAGGGGGTGGCATTTTAATAACTTTTTAAGTGGGGTCTAAATCAAAGAGCGCTTAAGGGCTTCAAAGATTCTGTCTTTGTTAGTTTGCCTTCAGAACAGAGTGTGTGTTCCCAGACAACAGTGGCAGAAGGAAAACTATGCAACCACCTTCAATTATAATTTGTTCATTTGCACCTTAATGAATGAATTAGTATGCCACATCAGTTCTACTCCACTGTCATGATAAAACTTGCATTTATATAACCTGTAATCATTTTTACTATGGGCACAAGGGAGAAATTGATTTCTAAAGTTGATGACAACAAATAGGTTATGCTATTGCAAAGCCATGAGAATTTGCAAATGACTTGTGGCAACATGCAAGAGACAAGTTGCAATTAAATATATGCCAATAGAAATAATTGCTTTGATGATGGCTGCTATGGCACTAACAAAGAGAAAATAAATGTAGGCACTTGTATGCTTTTACAAGTAAATAAATTGCAATGGAAATAAAATGAATCAGAGTCAAAGGAAGTGTGCATAGAGTTGCTAGTCATTTCTGACTCAATAGCAAATTAGAGCCTAAACTTTGTTTGAATTGCAGCACAATTTCCACTAAACCACAACGCTCAGATCCCCAAAGAATTCAGACCCCAAATTGTATTACTCTTCACTTCAAGATCAAAAACCCATTGGAATCATCAAATCCATTTGAGGATAAACTACTAATGAAACATCTCACCCTTTCACATCATGAAAATTGGTGGAGTCTTAGTTATTTGCCAAGTTCAGCCAATATCTTTTTAATTATGAAAAATTTCAAATATATAAAAAGAAAATAGAATAATAAATGAGCCCTCACTTATCATCACTCAACTTCAACTCATACCAAATCCTATTTAATGTATATTCCTACCTGCTTTTTCACATTCTGGATTAGTTTGAAGTAAATAACCGACATTATATTAATATACTTCATTTGTAAATCATATTTTAAGCATAATTCTCACCTGAGTATCATTGTCACAAATGTAAATTAAATACCTCAATGTAATCAAATTGCCTTTATCACAATTTTAAATAGCTTGTTCAAACTAGAATGCAACAATTGTAATAGGCTGGTTTTTAAGTATTTTCTAATCTATAGCTGCCTATCTCTTTCTTTCTTTCCCTCCTCCCTCTCTCTCTTATTCTCTTTTTCTCTTGCCATATTTTTGGCTAATAAAGCCTACTATTTTTCTTGTAGAGTTTCCTACAATCTTAATTCACTGATTGCTTATCAGTGATGTTTAATACATCTTTTCTCCCACATTTCCTGTAGGTTTGTAGTTAAATGTAAAGGTTTGATCAGTTTCAGCTTCCATTTTTCTCAGTCAAGTCTTACACATATAAAGATTTTACTCTGTAGAACAACAATGGATCAGCAACCCAGAGCTTGCATTCTTCACTTCTCAATTCATTGTCTAGCACTCTATTACCATAAATATGTGCTTAGACAGATAAACAAAAAGCTACTAACTGCTTAAGTATCATATACAAATGAGCTGGAGGAACTGAGGAAATGACTATGGAAGGAAGTGACTTTTCCAAGTCTTGAAGCCTATTGGTGGAGGCTACTGCAGGAAGTCCACCGAATGAACAAGAAACTTGACTGGCTCAGGAAATAGTAAGTAACAGGTAACTGGAAATTTGGCTCTGTTGCTGGTGAGTAGTGAAAGACCAGAAGCATCTACATATATGTAGACAGTACACGCGGTAAAATATGTGGAGAAGACATTCAAGGCAAAAGGACTGTAGGGGAAAAAAAAGATGTTAGAAAGAATCCAGATTTATGGATCTGGAAAAGAAAAATGAGCCATGGAAAAAAAGTGAGGGAGTTAAAGAACCAGAAAAGCTAGAGAAGAAATAATGCAGGAGGAAAAGTTTCCCATCAGAAGATGGTGCAGCAGAGCCGGTTTTGCAAAGATGCAAGATAAGGTGAAAAGTGAAGGAATTAATATTTGTTGTGAGTCTACAACTTTTTATTTAAATCACACGGTAACCAAATACATATTAAGATCTCAATTTATAAGTAAGAAATCTAGTTAAGCCATTATCAAATACAGTCAGCTTGGCTGGTGATCCCCAACATGGTCAGCTCTTCGCTGGTCTTCGCACTTTGCACTTTCTTATCTCCTTAAAGTTAGGCAAGGCCAGATGATTCACTTTAGGCAATGGAGGGTGAGTAAAAGAGGAGGCGTGAAGCATTTAAAAGCCAGTGTATGATTTTCTATGCCTTTTTCTCCTGTCTAGGAAAAGATGAATCCTTGTTCTGAGATGTTCTGGGATGGCACCATCATAAACTGGGTCCCTGAGAAACTAGTAAACAGAAGTCGCACTGCCAGCCTGCAGTGCATAGGTAGAGATGGGGGAATTCAACTCTTATTTTCTTAAGCTACTGAAATTTGGGGGCTGGTTGTTACTCGAAAATAATCTACCCTTATTGACTGATTCTCCAAATGACAAGGTTACCTGATGGTGGGGAAAAACGGGGTCAGGTGACAGCTTTATGATATTCATGTAAACAGGAAGGAATAGTTGTATTCATTTTCTAGGGCGTGCTGTAACAAACTATGATCAACTGAGTAGCTGAAAACAAGAGAAATGCATTGTCCAACAGTGCTGGAGGAGAACAGTCTGAAATCAAGGTGGTGTCAGGACCATGCTTCCTCTGAAACCTGTAGAGTAGCATCTTCGCTTGCCTCCTCCTGACTTTGGAGGTATCAGGCAATCGGTGACATCTCTTGATTTGCAGCTGCATGACTCCAATTTATACCACTGTTGTCACTTGGCATTCTCCTGTGTGTCCTCGTCGCGGGGCATTCTCCTCTCCTTATATCAGACACCAGTCACACTGGATTAGCGCCCACCCTAATGACCTCATCTTAATCATCTGTGAAGGCCTTATTTCCAAATAAGGTCACATTAACAGATTCTGGGAGTTAGGACCTCAACATATTTTGCTGGGGGGACACAATTCTACCACCGACAAGTGTCTGGAGGGATGTGGAGCTCCTATGATCCAGCAAACACCGTGTGTGCTTTTACAACTTTCCCATAGGTGAGCATGTACCTGTCTGAGTGGGCACACATATGGAGCAACCAGGATGAATGTGAGCTTTTGGCAGGTCTAAAGTAAGTGGAGGGATTGGGTTATCTATACATACCTTTAGGCTCATGATAAAGGTAGAAACTATCTTCTTATATCCCTTTTCATAGAACTATGATGTCCCCAAGACTCAAAAGCTTACCATATAATAATTGGGATCGTAAAGTGAAAAAAATAGATCTTAACCAGGAAACAACAGAACACATAAACAATGCCTGAAATTCTACTAGAATAATTAAGTCCTTCAATACTGTGCATGTTTCAAAATCCTTAAGTCAAGAATTTTTATTTCATTTGTTCATTTCTATTGAAACTATCAGATATCCCTCTAAAAATCTTAGGATTTCTAACAGGCACTAAACTTAGCATTTTCCAAATGTTCAAAAAGAATTGCATACAATCTTATTCAGAACACTGTGTTGATTCTTGATGAGGTTGGTAAACTTGGATTATCTGATTTGTTCATAATAAAACATGGTTTTGGCTGGGTGTGATGGCTCATTCCTATAATCAAAGTGCTTTGGGAGGCTGAGATGGAAGGATCACTCGAGCCTAGGAGTTTGAGATCAGCCCGGACAACATAGTGAGACCACGTTTCTACAAAAATAAAAGTAAAAAGATTATTGGGGCATGGTGGCACACGCCTATAGTCCCAGCTACTCCAGAGGCTGAAGTGGGAGGACTGTGTGAACCCAGGAGGTTGAGGCTGAAGTGAGCTGTGAACACAACACTGCAGTCCAGCCTGGGTGATGAAACAGTGAATGGACTGTTTAAATCAAAGCAGTAAATTTATTTAATATTAATTAATTTTTTAAAAGAAGAGTATATGATTTTAGTTTTGGCTTGCTTATGTTTAAGAGCCATAGTAAATAAGACAAATTTTTGTCTATTGAAGAACTGGCTTCAAAATTTGCCCTAAAGTTTTCTTGGATCAGAATTTCCTCAGTGGTCTTGATAAATAAAAGCATAAAACATTCTATTTTGTTTCAAAGTGAAGTTTCAGTAAAATCCAGTTCATGTTGTGTTTTCTAACCTTCTCAAGAAATGGCAAGAGGTAACTTTGGGTTCTGAGTGATTGATAGGTAGCTTCTTTTACTGAGAACGTGTAGTTGAGTAAGAGTAGGAATAGGCATAAATAAAAATGAAATAGCCTGGTTTTGCTCATTGCATTTTCTGAACGTTCTAATCAGTCTATACGTAATAAGAAGCTAGAAAAGTACTTATGTTTTTAGTACCATTTGTAAGATCATATTTGGAATGTTTTTCTTTTTACTGAGAAACAAAAGCTGCTCAGTACTGTTTTAAAGTATCTTCTTTTTATTAAACAATTATAGAGCTTACAATGCTCAAAACATTTGAATAGCATGTCCATTCAGGCATTCAAAATAATTTTGATAAATGGATCTAATTTTGATCTAATCATCTTATATATGAGCATTTGTTATTGATCTTGAACAACAAGATGGAAATTACTTAATTTTTTAGATGATTATAAAAGCAGGGAGGATGCAGTGCCATAGCTGTGTGGATGTGAAATGCAAGGCACAGAGTATACATCCAGGCTAAGCCTGTCCACATATGTAACATATTAAAGGGGTGAAAACACTGGCAGTGACATCGTCAGCATTGCTGAAATAGGTTTCCTGTCAACTGCCCGTCTTCACTTTGGTGTTCAAGGCCATCCAGACACGGAGGAGTGGGGTCTGCTCTCATGCTCCTTAAGAACAGAAAAGCCAGGCTGCTGTGTTCTCAGCACCCAGTGCAGTGACTGCCATAGAGTACCGACCCAATACACCATGTGTTATAGAACAAAGAAATAAGTGATTGAACAGTAAAATGTGGTTTTAAGTAAAGGAGTCAAAATTTCCCTACAACTTCACCTTAAAGTTAAAGGATCTTCACTGTAATACAGAAAGGGGGTCAGACACAAGCATCTACCCCAAGCTCGTAAGAGCCTGACAACCTGACCTAGGATAAGGTGATTTTGACATTAAGGGGAAAAAAAGGCACATTTCACCATTTCACCAATATCTGATTCTGTGAACAACTTCTTTTTCTTCCTTCTTTCTTCTCCTCTCCCTCTCCCTCTCCCCTGCCCCCTCCCCCTCCCACTCCCCCTCCTCATTTTCTCTCTCCCTCTCCCCCTCCCCCTTCCCCATCCCCCTCCCCTCCTCTTCCTCCACCTCCCTCTCCCCCTCCCTCCTCCTCCTCCTTCTCTCTCTCCCTCTCCCTCTTCCTCTTCCTTTTATTCCTTCTCTTCCTCCTCTACCTCCTTCTCCTCCTTCTTCCTCATCTTTGCCTCAAACAATTACTAATAACAAGATCCCTTGAAAACGCTTACCAATGTGTATGATGATGAACATAATTTTATTGTGAAGGTGCTCAGGCGACGTTTGAAAAGGCACAGAAAAAGCCACAAGTACAGAAATACTGCTTTACAACCTACTAATAATTTATCAGGTATTAGGGAAAACATGAATGGGTGGTCTCCTGCTTAATTAATTTGGAGAGGAACCTGAATTTCTCTCCGAAGTTCAGTTCTGAGCTCTCTCCAGTGTACTTTTCCTCTGACAGCCCTGCCGAGAAACTTCTTGCTACAAATACACATCTCTCAGTTCAGTGTCCTTCCTTCACTTTAGGGCTTTCTCTCTAAACTTTCCAACCCAAAGAAACATGGAAAAACGTGCAGAAGCAGAAAAGAACAACACATGTATGGATATCATATTTGTGGTCTTTTGTTGTTTTGATGGTCCTTATCAAAACTTACATTTCAACGGTTCCAGGGAATGGTTACTGGGGAATGGTTGACCTCTTGCAGAGACATTTTGACTAATAAGTAGTATCCCTGTAATCTCATTCCATTCCTGGGGTGAGTCAGGCAGTGAATGGACTGTTTACATCTAAGTAGAGAGATCCTCTTTTAGAAATATCACTAATTAAATAGATCTTCTGAGCTACAACATTATCGACTTAGCAAATACCCTCAAACTGCACTAAAATATATTTTGCCTACTCCCGTTCACTATGCAGCATTACTAGTTCCCACAGACTGCTTGCCTACATGTCAAGCACCTTGCTGTTTTAGGTTAGAATCCGATGAAATCGGAAGTTCAATTAGCAAGCAACAGTGAGATGACAAAGCCTCTCGTGGGCTCTGTTTAGAATTTCCCTGTGTGCTAAAAGCAACACAATAAGTTACGCCACTAACATAGAAATCATCCTAATGCAAACAAAGACTCATACAGGTGATGACAAATCAGGATTTACTTTGATAGAAACAATAAAGTCATTCTTAGCATATGCAGAGACTCAATGCCAGTGAGAGAGAGTATAGCACCCTTATTCATGAAGTGTTTCTCTGGGACTGATGGTTTCTGTGAAATCTAGATTTAAATATACAGAAACTGCGTACTATGCCATAATCTTAATACAAAAAAAATAGGTTATGCATTGAGATTCATCTATCCTTGTGATGAAGAATGATTTTAAATATCTAACCTTGAAGAAGGCATTATAATCACTTTGGCTTTATTCTACATTTTGCTTCCCCTTTTTAGCCTCTGCTGTCTATGAAATTCTCCAGTGCAAAGCCTGCTGTAAAACTGCAATCAAAAAAAGGCCTGCCTATGTGGATGAGTAAGTTCATGATGCATTTACCAACAAAAGGGGCTCAGCCCAATTTTGGAGGCAAGAGCTTCTTATGATAGCCATCATTTTCCATTTATTTTATTCCTTCCATGACACACTGTTTATCAATATGATTAATTTGGACCACACTTTCAACTCTGCCGACTGATTTTTGCTTTGGAAAATAAATTAAACTGTGGTTTACAGAAAATCCAAAACAACAGTGGCTAAGCAATACAGAAGTTTCAATAGTTCTCATTTAGTCGTAAGCAATTTAGGGTTGGTCCGACATCCCATGTTGTCAGGGACCTCCACTTTCTCTCTTATTGTTGATCTGTTGCCCTCAATATACAGTTTCCACATTATTTTCCAAGGCAGGTGTTCACGTTCATGCTCACAAAGGGGAAGGAATGGCAGAAACACGTACATACTTTTAAGATCCGAACTGGGTATCCTACAAGGGCTTCTAGTCATACGCCATTGGCCAGAACTTTCTTATGTGGGAAATGAAGCCTTCACTCTGAATGCCTCTGGATACAGCTAAACTCCAGGCGTTATTTTAGAGGGAAAAGAGAAGAAGGAATATTGGGGACAACTAGTCCCTTGCACAAGGATGAAAACAAAAGGGCAAACGCAGAAAAGCGAAAAGTAAGGCAAGGAAAGAAACACTGCAGGTAAGCTGTATGTGCTTACACTTGGAAAATTAATTTAAAAAAATAAAAACTGAGGGATAACTCTTCTTACCACACACTTCATCTCCTTCATAAAACACAATTCAAGCATTAATTATCATGATAAAAGACTGGGTTGTAAAGCAAACCTCTTAGAGAGAGCCACTGATCACTCTCATACAACCTAGGCCTGGGCACCACCAGCGGGCAATTACTGAGTATGTGCAGGTTCTGGGGCCTCAATTAGACTGACCTGAATGTGGTCATTCTCCTGATGTCTTGTTTCCGGCTGAAGAGCTGGAGGACAAAGTCTTGTCCTCATTTCCTGCTTGGATGTATGAATCAGTCATGCGTTTCCCATTTGATTCCCGTCTCTCCCAGCTGAGAGAGAACTTGGAGAGGAATTAATTACAGAAGTGGCCTGAGTGTTGCTCCACGTGGAAGCAGGACACACACAAGGCCTGCAGCTTCACCGGGAGCCTCGTGGGCCTCTAAGCAGGCTGCCCCGCAGATTTCCCTGACACTTGCTGGAAGGGCTACACGGGCAGAAGCGTACTGATGCCCCTTGTGCAAAATAATACAACATTTCATTTGACATCATGGCTACCTTGAGAGGCAAAGAGGGTAAAGATCATTATCCGTTGACCATCTACTAGGCAAACATTCAGACAGACTAAAAATTGCTCAAATCAGGATGGAGTCTAGGGAACTCATGCAGACTAGTTTACTGTACTAAAAAGAAACATGCATTTAGGTAAAGCACTCTTCTTGTAAAAGGGACATCTTTCTGAAGATGCTATCTTTGATTTCAGTGCAAACATACTGAGCATTGTGGTTCTTTATGATAATAAAAGGTGGATGGTGGGAATACTTTCATGTGAATAATTTGAGCGTTTTAATCCTATGTATATAAAATATGTGGTTCTGTGTACTTATTTTTAGGTACATTCCTAAACAGTCATAATTTGGCTCTTTATACCTCATTATAATTCTTAGAAAAATTCATGAGTCTTTGCATCTAGGAAACAAAGGGTTATTGCCCCATACTAAAAGTTATAACACCAATATGGCAGTATGACTCTAAACTGAAGTCCATAGAAAGCTCTCCACTATGTGGCATATAATGCCCTTTGTATTAGTTTTCTTGTCTGCTGTAATTAGCACAAACTTGCAAAGATAAATCACATAAATACTTTTTTTTTTTTTTGAGATGGAGTCTCACTCTGTTGCCCAGGCTGGAGTGCAATGGCCCAATCTCGGCTCACTAAAACCTCCTGCCTCAGCCTCCTGCGTAGCTGGGATTACAGATGTGCACCACCACACCTGGCTAATTTTCTTACAGCTCTGGAAAAAGCTCAAAGTACCATCAGCAGGGCCACGCTTGCTCCAGAGACTCTGGGGGCAATTCCACTCTTCGTCTCTTCTGGCGTCCGGTGGTTGCAGGCACTTCTTGGCATGCCTCGGCTTGCAGCCACTTCACTGTAATCTCTGCCTGTCTTCACAAGGCCCTCCTCTCTGTGTCTTCTCTTCCACCTGTGTCTCTTATAAGGACATTTGTGATTACATTTAGGGCCCACCCTGACCATCCAGAATAATCTACTCATGTCAAAATCCTTAACTTCATCACATCTCCAAAGACCCCTTTTCCAAATAGGCAACGCTAACAGGTTCTTGGAATTGGCCTGTGGACATATCTTTTGGGGGCCACTATTCACGCCTCTGTTCCCTTTATGATATGGATCTCCGTGTACATTTTAACTTCACCTCCTACAATGCCCATCCCCTCAGTGCATCATACTCTACCTATTAACTCACCATTATCAAATAGGTCAGGTTGTCACTTTCGTGCATTTGCACATTCTATTCCCTTTACACGAAATGCAGTTCCCTGCCTGCCTAACTTGCAAGCTTCTGCTCATTGTGTGTCAAAAATTCCCAATTATTGCCTCCATGTCCCTTTCTCCCAAGAAAGTAGAGCACTTTTCTTCGGAATTTCCATAGCCCCTTATGTACTACTCTATCAGAGTATGTATCAGATGAACTCCAGTAGGCATCACACATGTCCTCATCTGAGTGTGGTTCCCCTCCCACAGAAGCTCATGATCCATCTCTATATTTATGTTTCAATATATGAAGTATAATAGTTTTTAGTATGTGCACTATAAAAAAATCTCAGTATCTTTCCTTATTACAAGGAAATTTAGGTGATTTAAATACACATAAATGAAAAAATAGAATTGCCTATGTCAAGTGGTAAAAACAGGACACATTTAACTGGTGTATATCTTTCCAGTATTTATATATTTTTCATTATGTATACATCTGTGTATATATAAAAGTCACTAAAATCAAAATAATCTGTACATTCTTTGTTCTCCTGAAACCTAGTATATACTTAATAATAAGTTTAATAGATTAATGAAATAATAAATTAAAGATTTAAAACCTACCACCTAAACAGAGCTAACATGATCACAGAATAAATGATGTTATTACTTTGGCATAAATATGGGTCTCTGCTTGGATTTCTAAGCAATTATTCCTAAGATTCTATCAAAAAGGGCTTTATTACTATCCAAATGTTATACAGTTTTTAAGAAGAGAAATGGAAGAATCCCTTTGGACAGTGATATTATGAAAATAATTTATTCTTGAAATCATATAATATAATGATAGTTGGTAAGTTTTCTTCACATTCTTAACTTCAGTGTCTTTCCAAAGATGGCTTTGAGGCCAATGTAAGATGATAGTAATTGGGGCTTTGTTGTAAATGTCTAATTCGTTCATTTCCTAATCCAAAGGAGAAATAGAAAATATAAGAGCTATAATGAATTTTTATTTCTTATGAATTCAAATTAACACAGATCACCCTGCAGGAGAAAAACTCGTCATGGAAAGCTTGCAGTTAGAATGCCATTCTTCCGAATCATGCACATGTTACTTTGGGAAAGCTAAATGCCTATTAACCTGAGGCACAGAAAGTGCAAATTTGTAAACTTGGTTTGAGGAAAAAAAAATACCTCTACTTTCATATTCTGCATTCCAAATTGCAGTTTGGGGGACGTTAGCTTTCCTGCAAACACTTGTCTGGAAGGAATCAGAGGGCTTCCTATCCGGTGAACAGCACATGCAGTGGATGAATCAGCACTAGCTGTGAGGCATACATCCTTCCCGCCCCAAAACAGGCTGCTTTCTTCACTTGGAAAGATACTCAAGTTTCTGGAGTTTGCTTGGAGAGTACAAACAGGCTCTTGCAAAGTTCTATCACCCTGTGTTCTAAAACTGAGGAATCTCAAAACTTACAAAGCCTAAATCAGTAGACCCTGGACCACTCCAGAGCCAAAATCTGTCCTGGGTGGTCACAGTGAACTGAAATCAACATAGCCTTCAGTTAATGAGGCTTAAACTCTTCTGCAGATAGATCCAAAAGTAACTTATTAGTTTTAAAATTCTTAATTTATCATCCATTAAATGACTTACATCCTCCCACCACGCCATGCTGAGCTGCTTCTTTAAAAAGAGTCAGAGGGTATACTGGAAAGCAAAACAGTTGTATTAGTCCGTTCTCATGCTGCGAACAAAAACATAACTGAGACTGGATATTTTATTTTATAAAAAAAGGTTTCACTGACTCACAGTTCAGCATGGCTGGGGAGGCCTAAGGAAACTTATAATCATGGCGAAAGGGGATGCAAACACGTCCTTCTTCACATGGCAGCAGCAATGAGAAGTGCAGAGTGAAGTGGTGGGGGAAGCCCCTTATAAAATGATCAGATCTCCTGAGAACTTGCTCATTCTCAAGAGGACATCATAGAGGTAACTGCTCCCATGGTTTAATTACCTTCCACCGCATCCCTCCCACAATGCATGAGGATTATGGGAACTACAATTCAAGATGAGATTTGGGTGGGGACACCGCCAAACCATATCAATAGTAAACTTGGAATTCAGAGATACACATTTCAGTCCTATTATCTGGGCCAGAATTTCAACCGTGAACCTAGGAGAAAGTTCTGAAATAAGAGTTTTGAGATATTGGCCAGGCACAGTGGCTCATGCTTATAATCCCAGCACTTTGGAAAGCCAAGGAGAGAGAATCGCTTGAGCACAAGAGTTTGGGACCAATACAGACAACACAGGGAAACCCTGTCTCTACAAAAAATTGAAAAATTAGCCAGGCATGATGGTGCATGCCTGTAGTCCCAGCTACTCGGGAGACGGAGGTAGAAGGATCGCTTGAGCCCAGGAAGTGGAGGCTGCAGTGACTGTGACTGCAACACTGCACTTCAGCCTATGTAAGAGAGTGAGACCCTGTCTAAAAAATAAAAATAAAATAAATAAATAAATAAATAGTTTCAAGATATCATCACAGTGAAAACCCCAAATATAAAACAGCAAAGGTGGTACTTCATTAGACTAAACTTTTTCTTAAGAGTCTCCTTAAACCTTTTGTTATGATAAAGTCAACTAACCACAACAAAGAGACTCTTTCAACAAAGATGTCTTTTTTAAAATTAGTCAATTAGTAGTTATCATTGAGGTTGCTATTTTACACAGGTCTTAGCATCTAACTTATTTTCTGGTGGTTGTACAGACCTTGAGAAGTCGAGATCAAAAAGATTAGTAATTAACCTCCCAAAATCAGCTATTCTTTATTCAGGTAGAAATGGCAAAAGTTAAACTTGCAGCATCAGTCAAGGGAAAAGTCATAACTGATGTGTTAACATTTTATTACAGTTTTAGAAATGTCTAAACATATCTTTTGAAATAAAAATTTAATCAAGCTTTTCCAGACTTCCCCATCCCAGAATCGTATATACATTGACAATAAGAGAGTAAGAAGGCTGCTCAGATCTCTCCCACCCCGAAGAGGCCGTGATTCTGTGTATTTATTCTTTGAGCTGAATAGGGCACTGTTTTGTGAACTCCTGCCTTGGAGCGCAGCAAGATGCAGAGAGGTCTCCTCATAGCCTGCACAGCCGCAGAACAGGAAAGGTGTTGAAGGAAAAAAAATCATTACGAGATGAACTAAAGTCCCTGTTTCTTTCGTCTTTCAGACTCACACAATTTCTTCCAATATTCATGTTTAAACAATGTACATGGAATTCAAAAAACATTAAAATTTCTTTTGGATCAAGTCCTTCTGACAATACTGTGATGTCTGTGATTTCTATTTTAGATACCCTTCAGGGTAAGATATGCCATGCCTCTATTGCAACAATTAAAACTTCTATGGGACAAATGACATGCCAGCCATGAATATTGCAGGCACAGAGAAATATAAATTATAATTTGCGTATAACCACATCATTTTACTCTCATAGTCCACAACTATTCACAGTATGCCTATTCATTGAAAGGCACTATACTCATTTGCAAATTAAGTTCTGCCCTCTAGGCATTTGAAATATAGCAGAGAATAAATATTTAATGAAATTTCAACAACAAAATAAATAGTATAGTATCATAAAAGATAGTCATACAAACTTGATTTCAAACAATAGCTCTTAGAGATGGAGTAAATCAATGAAGATCTTCAATTAGATAAGATAATAGAAAACATTTGGTGATAGATCAATGCTTTAAAAATGTGTTCTACAGAATACCTACCAATCTGTTATCAAACATGCTTGAAAAGTTGCAATAATGTATCATCATGAAGGTTTAGATATCAAAGGTCCCAAGAAACTCTTAAGAAAATCTTTAAACACTCATTTAGCTCAGCATTTCCCAAATACATGTAACTATTAATCTAACTCTCTTTTTCCTAGTAATACCAATTACTGGGATAGCAAATACAACTGAATCGGACCCTAAATTTTCTACTGCTAGCATCTGTTAATGAGGTCATTTAATCTCTCTGAACCTTTCTTTCTCTATCTGTAAACTGGGGATGATAATAATACAGGCTCTGATCCCTTTGGGATTAGTTCATGTAATTATGTGAGTTACATAATCATGACATGAGCAATTATGCATCATATAAGGTATACAGAGCATCTAACAGAGAACAAGGTTCTTACTAGCACCTCACTAAATGTTGGGTCCCTGTTCTCTCTTCCTTTCATTCTTCATTAAGGAAGAATAGACCTAACAGGAACGTCATATTTTAAAGATCACAAATGAAAAGTAGATGTGAGACTAGCACCAGGTTCTCTTGATAACCAGCTCAAAATTCTCTGGAGATCGAAGATTTTGAATACCAGATGTTGAGACCTGGAGAAGGAGAGTAGACCCAAGAAAGGTGAAAGACCTAACATGGAATGGATCAGAGTAAATGAACTGACTGAGTTTCCAGTGTTTTAGTGTCTCAGTGACTTAACATTTCAGTGAGAGCTGGGATTCCGATCCCAGTCCCTGGGATCACTTTGCCTTGCTCTGTCCCTCCTACAGCAGATGCAAGGTGGAGCCCAAAAGGGGCCACAGCCAATGGGTCCAGCTGTATTCCTAAACAGACTGAATAAAAAGGGCTCTACACATTTCCAGGGCTACTCCATCTGATTGCAAAAGATACTCAGCACTCACGCCTTTCTAAGCATCAACCTGGTCTCTGAAATAGCCACAAGAGGGCAACACTATCATCTCTTTCTTTTTCTTTTCTTTCTTTCCTTTTTGTTTTCGTTTTTTTTGGGACCATGAGATTTAGTCTGACTCACCACACAAAAAGCACATGTTTCAATGTATAAAGGCCAAATAAATCTGGCCGAGCATGGGAGAAGGTCAAGATTACTCATCAAAAGAATCTACCTTCTTTAGAGCAAGTTACATTCATTGAAAAAATTATGAGACTGCCCATGGTGATCAATAGTTTTAACATACTTAATATCCCTTAAAATGGAACATAGTTTTTCCTATTGCCAAAGCAAAAATAAAAACATTTGGGACGTTTTCTTTGTAATGAAAATTATTGATTTATTAAAATATTCACTTCTCTGAATTTTCCAATGATTCCTTCATTAGCATGTTTTCCATGTTATTTTATAATTATAAAGGATGCATATTGTAACATCCATCAGTGTCGTTTTCTCTGTCTACTTTCCTACGCAAGTACTTCTCTGCTGTAGTCAACCTGGACCAGTCACCATCCCACAAACACATCATTCTCCCCAGCATAGCTTGCTTACATCATCCCTCTAAGGTATGTGAGGAAATTCTGTCTAAAACATTCACCATCAGGAGCAGGGAACTATTTTCAGAGAAGAATTTATCTGCTCTCATTCAGCACATGACTTCAGTGGACCCTTTTTATTGGGTTAACTTCCCATCCAATAGGAGATCAATAAGTAGATCCTCTATCAAATTCTAAAATATAATTTATTTCTCAATGTTTCAGATTTTATATTACAAGCTAAGCTGTATAAAATAACTTATTATTGATATTAAGCAGCTTTCCCTTGAAAAGACACATTTTATAATCAACATGGTATTGCTCACAGATATTCTGAATGAGACGCTAAGACTTACCCTTGTCTTTTGGACCTAGAGGCTGAGGCTGTGCCGTAGTTTCACTAGCAATACCACGATGATTATAATCCCCAGAGCAACAGTGTTGGGAGGCGGGTTGTAATGGCAGGTGTTTAGGTCATGAGGCCAGAGTCCTCATGAATGGATTAATGTCATTATCATGGAAGTGGGTTTGTTATGAAGGTGAGTTTGGGCCCCTCTTGAACTCTCTCACTCTCTCTCCCATGTTATGCTTTCCACCATGTTAAGATGCAGCAAGAAGGCTCTGACCAGATGTGGGTTTCTCAGTCGTGGACTTCCTTGCCTCCAGAGCTGTAAGTCAAATAAATTTCTGCTCATTATAAATTACCCAGTCTGTGCTATTCTCTTAGAGCAGCACAAAACAGACTAAGAGAGTATCCTCCACTGGTTTAAAAAATTAACCTTAATATAGCTTCTAACTGTATAAACTGCTCAATTATATTTTCCCTAGTTTTATAGAAAAAGAAGTATTACATAAATTCAGTTGCATTAATTTGAATAGGATAAGTATAACACATTTAAAATTTTAGCAACTATTATCCAAAGAATAAAAATAAGTAAAAGCAAATAAATGTCTTCGGCTGTGATACCATGTGTGTATGTGCATATGTATTATGTGTTTAGCTTTCAAGTATGTGGTTTCAAAATCAACAATTCTTTCCTGCCTAATCATATTCAATAAACATATGAAAGCTTCATTTGACATTTTCTATTTGAACACTAATGAAGACAAATTGAAAGCTATTTTAATATTTTTTCATGTTCTCGAAGAGACTCTGGAAAATACTTGGTCACATTCTACAGAAATATTTTTTATAAAAAATGTATATTAAACAAGCAAAGTCATTCCAGAAAGTATCTATCATGTAAATAATTAGGAAATGTCTCATTTTTGTGCTTTGCTCAATTTCAGTTATGATTAACTGCTGCTCCGTGTAATAATATATTGCATATTTTCCATCAATTGAAAAAAAAATGGAATAATAGGTATATAAGGAAATTGACTTAAGCTTTGATTTTGAATTATCAGTTTAATTTCTAATAATATGAGAATGCTATAAAGAAAAGAGCCAATAGAACAAAAAAGTAACTCTAAGTTTGAAGAAAGTATCAACACAGGATATTATCCTCTCATCCTGATAAACTATCACAGTAAAAAGAAAAGAATGTTCTAGAGAGGATTCAGAGAGAATTTACCCAACCTGGGTAGGGAGTAGTATTGGGAAACAAGGAAATAAATGTGAAAGCCAGCCTCCAAAGTGACCTGATGCCCCCTCCCGATAGTCATGTTCTTATAAAGCAACCTGCTATACACACACACACACACACACATACACACACACACAGAATGATGAATGGGGCCACCAATGGGATACTACAGAATGGTGTTTTGAGACTCTGAGGCTAGATCATGAAGAATTTTGTGGCTTTATTCTTGCTCTCTCTGAATTGCTCATTTGGAAGCCAGACCTCATCATTTGGACAATCAAGCAGCCCTTGGAGAGGCCCAGATGGGAAGGAAATAAGGCCTCCTGCCAACAACATCAGAACTTTGCGCGCCCTTTCCTGCCATCCAACCCCACAGCTCCAATCAACCCTTCAAGTGACTGCAGTCCAACATCTTGCCCTAATCAGGCCCCTGACCAGAATCATCTAGTTAAACTGTTGTTTTAAGGCACTAAGTTTTGGGGTAATTTGTTGTGAAGCGATAGATAGGTGTGTGGGATTAAGAAGAATTTACACGTTTCCTCCTCCACATTCTTCAACTGTTTTTTAGGCAATTAGCATGTATTCATGGGCAGCAAACTTGCCTATGTTGCTTCCCCCTGGACTCCCACCCTTGGAGCAAGCTCTGGTACATAATTGGCTCTCAACAAATGCTGAATAAACTCAATGAGTAACTGCTTTCAATTAAAATTATGCCACAGGCCACCTAGGAAAATGGCCAGAAGACTCTCTGCAAATGTAATCTGCCACCATCTCTCCCCAGGGAGTTGCTGAAGACTAATGTAACAGAGTCCACGAATTATGTCCAGTATTTCCAAAGTAACTTAGGTCTGATCTGCAATGAATTGAGCTATAAATTCATCAAGTGTTTCAACAACATAAAAAAGAGTCCATTTACTAATGATAAGGCTGTAACCCACACATATCCTAGTGAAAAGAAGGATAAACATTTAGCTACTTTATCTTATATGTTTTAGACAAAAACGGAGAGAATTGCACAGCCCAGAAGACTGACTACACTGCAAATTTGTGCACTGACCTCAGCCAGGCCCAGGAAACTGTCCAACAATTGTTCTGTGATTCTTCTGTCAACTCGCTCCTGTTCAGCACAATGATGGCTGTAAAACTGCCTTCATTCTCTGGCCGCATTTAATGCCAACCGATTTCTCTGTCCCTTCCCTCCCAGCAGATTATGTTACCTTGCCTCCTATTGTGTAGAGTAGACAAAAACCACCAGAAAGCAGCTCACACCTCCTGCAGCTAAGTCTACACATCATCTGCTCCCACCCCACCCCCAGTGAAGAAGCAGCCATTGTCTGGTGCCATGTCCACTCACCACCCTTCTCCTTAGGACCCGGTGCTGATCAAAAATGAGGGTTGGTGTGTTCATCTGCTCTAAAATGTGTTCTTTCTTTTGAGGAAAGAGGTGGGACTGGGAAGGCGTGGAGTTGCAGAGCTAGAGAAGAAGGATCTGGAGGCAGCTCTGTGTCTAGCACTTGGGTGAGGCTCAGCAGATGGGTTTCCTGCTGTTTCTACACTAGTCACTCAAGCAAGGACCTGCGTTAAAGCAGGAGGATCATGGAGAATCTAAAAGAATGCATTTTGCATTTTGCATCTTCCCTTGGCAAGGGCCTTATCAGGAGGTCATAGAAATAAAGTATCTTGGTAGGCACAGTGGCTCACACCTGTAATCCCAGTACTCTGGGAGGATCACTTGAGCCCAAGAGTTCGAAACCAGCCTAGGCAACATAAGGAAATACTGTCTCTATGAAAAAATAAAAATAAAAAATAATAATAGTAATGAAAGGAATCTAAGATGTTCACAGAGATAAGAAAGGAAGAGGTCAAAGGGACTGGAGAATGCCAGGGCCTTCTCCCTGATTCATGTCCCTGGGTCCTGCCCTGATTCTCAAGCTGTTTTTCAAAGTTACATGGAAATGCACAGAATAGAGATAGGCATCTATTTATTTTTAAAATGATCTAGCAGTTTGTACTACATTTTTTAATAATAAAGGTTTGGATGAGCTCTAAATTATTTCTGACTTTAAATATGAATGAGAAATGAAACCAGCCATTGTTCACAAAGTATGCATGTTATTATAATATTCCTCTCTCAAAGCATCCTTTGTTTTCCTCCCAGTTCTCTCCCTTTGAGCTCTTATCAGATATGATTTCTTTGCTAAAATGCCATCTCATCCTACTTTCTGCTTTTCCTTTGTGGCCCCCTCAGATTTTAAACAAAGTTAGAACTTAAAATGTAACAGGCAATAGATCCTGGGCTTGCTGTGAGCCCGAGTTGCCTGAAAGCTCAGAGTTACAATAGTCTTTATTTTACATTCTGTATGATGCTAGAGAGAATGATGAAATTTTATCCCCAAAACAAACCAAGAGGTTCTTACAAATATGAATAGTATATTTCCCTGAAGTTCAGTTCTTCAAGAAATATCACTAATGCCAAGGAGTATTGGCTTTGTATACTTGAGTTATATATGAATAGTGAATAGTGGTTATTACAATGTAATTGATTTTTAGTAGGTAAATAATTTGGAGAGACATATATATATATATATGTATGCATGTCTATATATATAAATGATATTGGTAATACAGTCAATTTTAATGAAAAACTACACGTTCAGATTAAACATACATGTACATACTTTACCAAGAGCTTTTGGGTATTCTGAAATAGAAGTCAATTTCTAAACTTTGAGAATGAGCTTTCTGAGGATTGTTTCTCTTTTTATAGCCATAAATACTATGAGATTTTGTCACAAATTCTGGTTTCAAGTGACAAAACATTTAGCTGAGTATTTAAAATCTAAAAATTTGAAATATTGAACATTTGAAATATTTTGAGATATTGAATATGAAATATTGTCAAATGTATTTCCGTTGAACAATATAGGTTAGAAAGGAATTGAAAATATACAGTTAGCACTGCAAGAAATGGTGGGTATTACAGCATATTTTTTTCCAAATTTTAAAATATTATTGTTGAAAAATAAGACATAGAGGCATTTACTGTTTTTAATGAGGTGTTATGGACAGAAAAACAAATAATATACTGATTATCCTGAAACACAGAACAATCAGGGTTTGATATTTTCAATAAAACATATAATTAAGATCTCATTAATTTGGACGCTTTTATTCTTCACAGCATTTTGAACAAAGTAATGATCACCACCGTGGCTTGATAAATCACTAACACTATTTATTGTACCCTGAAGAAATAATAGCTGGTAACTTACAGGGCCCCTTTAAAAGGAATCATTTTATCTTTATAGACCACCTTGCAAGTTACAGATGCTTCTAAATAGGGTTGGCAGATTCCATTTCTTATGTAGCTCAAAAAAATCACTTTATGTTCTGTTGAGTGATAACCCAGAAATAACCATAGTTGTAGGCTGTTAATTAATTATAGCTTGTGTTATCACCAAGGAAACAGCCGGAAACCAGCAACAATGACTTTAAATGCCCTAGTCCCAAACCAAGCCTGGGACAATTTTCTTATTGCTATAGTAACTCTCCATTAGTTTCTCAAAATGCTCGAGAATTTCTATGTTTCTACAAAGTCAAAATGCTAATTTACTAATAGGATGTTTCCTACCCTTTACATTTTTCTGAGAGTTCACAGCAAGCTATAGGAAATTTAAGTCTGAGATGCAAGTTGGGGCAACGTCAAAGGAATACAACGCAGAGGGAGCCCAACTCTACACCTGCACCACGTTGATCAGGAAACCCACACCCTTCTCAGGGAATGTTGCTAATGACAGCACAGCCTCTGTGCTCAGGACTCCAGGAGTCCTGCTGCTCAGCTGTAAGCCACCTAGAGAATTCTCTTTCTCCTCTGCTTCACTTCTCATCCAAGAACCTTGTTTGATGAACTCTACTCCAGCCTGATCGCTTCTTATTCCACACCTGCTCAGAACTAATTAAACTTCAGACAAATGGCACATCTTAAGACAACTTATCATAGAATACACTTCCATTCAGAGGGAAATGATGGAGTGGGCAGATCACATGGATTTACACTTAAGGCTGAGATTGAAAAGTCTCACTGTTAAATCACTATGACATGGAGATGCCAGACATGTCGAGACACAGTTGAGTAAATGCTCTCTTCCAGAGGCACAGGCTTAACTGGTAATTTATTAACTGTTATTGAGTTCGAAGAAAAGAAAGTTCTACACAAGCCAAGAAGTTTTCCTTAATGGGCTGATATGGCTCCTTTTTTTTTCTATGATACGGGAAAAGTAATAGCATCTTTTATAGTTATAGTATCAACTAGCATTAGTACTAATTTGTTATTTCATTATTTGTGGCATTTCTGAATCCTTAACTAAATATATCTACTAAAACAACAATTTTTAAAAAGCACTAGTATTTCTAATGTTCCTAGTTCAGAAATGTTAATTTTTGCACACTTGAAATAACGTTTCCTTTATATTGCGTATTTTTCAAGATCTGATTATTTATGTGATAGTGATTACAAGAACAAGAAATCATAAGGCTTTATATACAAATTGTCTTGAGAAACTCTTGTATAAGGACAGAGAAAGAAGTATGACTTGAACGCTTTAACCAAGGAAATATAAAACATGTGTCTATATTTGTGTAGCACAGAGTCACCCGAGTACTAAGTCAAAGCAGTTTTGAGACATCAGAGCGATCTCCTTCCCTGAAATTCTCCCCGGCCCCCACACTCTTTTTCAGTGCAAAGGACATGGGGTGGTTTCCTTCTTGAGAAGGTATATTCCAGAAATAAACAACAACTAAAAATATTCTATTTTGAAGGAAAAGATAAAAGATTTTGTTAAAAGATGGGGATTTAAGAATACATACATTTTAGTGGGCCGGGAGCGGTGGTTCACGTCTGTAATCCCAGCACTTTGGGAGGCTGAGGCGGGCGGATCACGAGGTCAGGAGATCGAGACCATCCTGGCTAACACGGTGAGACCCCGTCTCTACTAAAAATACAAAAAATTAGCCGGGCGTAGTGGCGGGCGCCTGTAGTACCAGCTACTCGGGAGGCTGAGGCAGGAGAATGGCATGAACCTGGGAGGCGGAGCTTGCAGAGAGCAGAGATCGTGCCACTGCACTCCAGCCTGTGCCACAGAGCCAGACACGGTCTCAAAAAAAAAAAAAAAAAAGAATACATACATTTTAGTAGAACTGGTTTATTTTCATTTCATATATATGTAAAATAAAAAGTAAATATTCATATATACATGACATAATATATTCATATATATGAAATAAAATATATATTCATATATGAAATAAAATATATATTCATATATATATGTATTTAAAAGTTCGTTAGAATAGAGGGGAAGAGGACTTAAAGAAAAAAATAGAGTTTTTTTTTTTTTTGAGACAAATTCTTGCTCTGTTGCCCAGGCTGGAGTGCAGTGGCATGGTCATAGCTCACTGCAGCTTCAACCTCTTTGGCTCAAGCGATCCTGCAGCCTCAATGTCCCAAGTAGCTGGGACCACTGGCATGCACCACTACACCCAACTATTTTATTTTTCTGTAGAGATGGGGTCTCACTGTGTTGCCCAGGCTGGTCTTGAACTCCTGGGCTCAAACGATCCTCTCACCTTGGCCCCCCAAAGTGGAAATTATAGATGTGAGCCACCACACCCGGTAGAAAACAGATTTCCAAAAAAGGGTATTATAGCCCTTTCTGCCACCTGCATCCCTACGCACCGCCCCACCACCCCACCCACTCCCACTCTTCCTAAAGAGACCAAGTTCCAGATAAAAGGGCTGGGAATGATAGACGTTGGGGACTCCTGAATAATGGATGGAATATCTAACAGTAAGGGAGTTTCATAGATGGTGTCAAGTTCCTCTGATGATGCCTGGGGGCACCAGGAGAAAGGTGACTCGACTCTTGCTTGTGCTTAGCACTTTTTAGTAGCTGTTCTCAATACTGTGTCGCTACCACTCATCCATCTCTGGGGATGAGTGCTGCTTAGCTTTCCATCCTGATCTCTTCCTCTCTCTCCCATTGCCTCTCTTTAAGATGCATTCCCAGCTTTACTTCCACCTGCCACTACTGGCTGCTCCTCCCCAAGCACTTTTCTCTGGGGAGAGAGTATGACCACTCACCCTACTGCTCAGGGAGAAATAACAGGAGTCATCTGCAAATTCTCTTTTTCTTCTACCTCTCACCTAATCCATCAATATAAACTTTCTGCTTTTCACAATGGTACTGCTATGCCACTATCATCTCTTGCTGGGCTTCTGAAAGTACCCCCTCATTTCATTTCCTGTGTTCATTCTATTCTTTCTATTTTCTTCAAATTTATAACATTTGCTGCACACAAGTGTGAATCCACTGTAACACCATGACCCAGTTGCTATATAAATGATATGTACGTGATATATACATGGTACATGTATGACAGCATATATTGGCATATAAATTATGGCTTAAAAGCAAAAATCGTGTTTGAATAGTTATATAAACAACTCAGTGAAAAGAGGGGTTTGGCTAAATATTCTCATTAATATTCTGTAATCATACAGATACAAACCTATCATCTTTAATGAGTTTTACTTCTTAATTTTTTCTACTTTATATATTGAAATAAATTTAGACTTACAGAGGAGTTGCAAAAATGTTACCCTTCACTCAGCTTCTCCTAATGTTAACATTTTACATAACTGTAGTTTATCAGAACTAAGAGAAATAAATACTGTTATAATGCTGTTAACTGCAATCCTTACTTTTCCCCTTAATGCCTCTGTGATGTCAGGGACTGATCTGAGATCCCACATGTTTTTTCTTCTCCTGCCTCCTCAGTTTCCTCCAATCTGGGACACTCCCACTGTCCTTCCTTGTCCTCATAACCTTGCCATACTTAGAGAGTGCTGATTGGTCGTTTGGTAAAATGCCCCCCACTTAACCAATGGACACTATGAGTGGTGTTGTCTGATGTTCAGTTCAATCTTTTTTCCCCCTGAACTCTTTTGCCCTTGTGTGATCCATCACCTTTTGGCTAAGTGGCTGGTGTTAGCTCTGCTTTAGGGAATAAACAAAGGGTGTGAAACAGACAACAGAAAGCTACAGCAGCATGAAGAATTGATTGCAAGATATCCAGAGACAGCAGCTCTGGAGCTCAAAGCTGCAATCAGCAGTGAGAACTGAAAGACAAACCCCAGATTGATACCTGGGACATACAAGCCTTTCTCAGATTTCCTAGGGGTTTAAATACTGCAAGTTAGTAGTTGGGTACAGTTTGAATATTTTATGACCTTATTAAACTCTAAGGATTCTTTTTAGCACATGTTTGCAAGATCCCTGCAGCTTCATAAAAGTGAATTTACCTCAGTAATAATCAACAATAGCTGAAGGTATTATGTGATTGATTATTGTTATCTAATACACAACTTTAGGAATAAAAAGACAAGATAATTTTGTGACAGTTTTCTTCCAAAATATAGTCATTGGTTTTATAACCTGAAAATGAGCTAGTCAAATTTAGCTTATTTATAGTATCTATTATGTGATTCACCTCATTTGCAAGCTACAATTTTGGTGGCGTTCTCCTGACCTGATTAGAATTTAACACAGTTATTCAATTCACATATCTATCAGCCACTGTGTACATGGACTCTGTATACCTAAGGTGCAAGATTAATTCACTTACGATCTTTTCACATTACTTTTCCTGAAACTATCAACCACTGAAGTTCATTATTCTTACGAGGACTACATGCTTAAAAAGAAAAAAAAAAGAAGTTATCTGCTTTTATTCTTGGGAAGTAATTGATGTTTATACCTTTGTCATGCTTAAAAATATTCTGGGAAACAACTAAAAGATTTTGGGAATAATATTCCCATTCCTTGCACCAGAAGACCAATTTGCCTGACAACATGCACTTGTTCCCTTAAACAAGAACAAATTCATGGCATGTAATTATAGCCCAGTTTAAGAAGAAAAAGCCTTTGAAAAATTAGTAACATAGGAAGTTAAGACGCAACTCTCAAATAAGGTTATTTACCTAAAAGATAAATTGGCTAGTCCATTTCTAATGCACATTCTTAATGCAAGTATGTATTACTTGCCTTACAAATTCAAGTTAAATGCAATTTAAAATGGCATGCATTAAGCCAGGTTTGGTGGTTCACACCTGTAACCCCAGCACTTTGGGAGGCTGAGGTGGGAGCATCACTTGAGCTCAGGAGTTCAAGATCAGCCTGGACAACAATGCAAGGTCCCATCTCTATAAAAGTTTCTTTAAAAAATTAGCCAGGCATGGTGGCTCATGCCTGTGGTCCCAGCTACATGGGAGGCTGATGTGGAAGGATCACTTGAGCCCAGGAGGTTGAGGTTGCAGTGAGCTGTGACTATACCACTGGACTCCAGAATGGGCGACTGAGTGAGATCCTGTCTCAAAAACAAAACAAAACAAAACAAAACAAAAACAAACAAAAAAAACCCTGCCTGCTCTGTATTAGAACAAGTACATCTAACCTCTAATGTCCATGTACCTTTACAGAAATCTAGATTTGGCCTTTAGTTTTGCTTTTCATACAGTCTGCAAGTTTAGTAACAAAGCTATTAAATAACTACGAAATTTCAAACAAGCAAATTACTCCTTCAAAGTTTTATCTGGAGTGTGAAAATCTGTTTTTGGTGGTTTTTTTTATTTTTTTGCTTTTATACATATAATTTATATCCCTTTATCGTGACTAAAATAAAATCATATTTCTTATCAAATTAGAAGTGAATAAATTATTATTTAATTAAATAAAACCAGGCAAGGCATCTTTTTTTTCTAATCAGGCACAGATAACATATGAACCTTTGTGTGCCTTATATTGATTTTTAAATTAACTTTCCTCACTTTGAGCGTAAGTGTATTTGAAACAAAAGAAGGTGAACCATGGTGGTGAACAAAAATCTGAAGAAAGATCTGTCTTTATCCATCTGATACAAAAAGAAAAGTAAACCAAACACATGTGTTACAGACTTTGCTTTCTCAGGCAGGATGCAACAGGGAGTGTGTTTCCCACTGGTTATACCATTAAGATTGGGAGTCAGGCTGCCTGAGTTAAAAGCTCAGATCCACTGCTTAGCTCTGGGACTTCAAGCAAGCACATTATTCCCTGTAAATCTGTTTCTCCATCTACAGAAAGTGGGTGGCAATATCCATACCCACTTCATGTGGTTGTAAAACTAAATTATATAATCAACATACGGTGGTGACCAGTGGCTTTGGCACATATTAAGGAGTAATTCAATGTTAGCTATTATTCCTATCATTATGATTTCAAAAATCTCTAAAGCTAACAATAACAATATCTCATTTTATAAAGTTCAGTTAAACAATAAGTATTTCCTCCTCCTTTGGTTCTTTTTCTTTTTCCTTTCTAAATAAAAACGTCTTCAATTGTCTTAAAAGCGTATCTGGCAGGGCGCAGTGGCTCACGCCTGTAATCCCAGCACTTTGGGAGGCCGAGGAGGGTGGATCACTTGAGGTCAGGAGTTCAAGACCAGCCTGGCCAACACGGCAAAACTCCGTCTCTACTAAAAGTACAAAAATTAGCTGGGTATAGTGGCGCGTGCCTGTAATCCCAGATGCTCAGGAGGCTGGGGCAGGAGAATCACTTGAACCCAGGAGGTGGAGGTTGCAGTGAGCCAAAATCCCACCACTGCACTCCAGCCTGGGTGCCAGAGCGAGATTCCATCTCAAAAAAAAAAAAAAAAAAAAAAAAACAAAGAAAAGAAAAAAATGCATATCTATGACAAAGAAAGGAGGTAAAGGCAGTTTAAGTTCTTAGAAATTAATTACACTGAAAGTTTCTTAAAATAACAAGGTATGCGGCTATTTGAAGAACAAGATTCTGTTTTGTTCAATAGTTTGCAATCTGTATATGCCAATTCTTTAAAAATAGTATTAAAAGGAACAAATTCGATATTTCTACATTTTTGTCCCATTTATAGAAAGTGCTATTTCATAGCATATTTTTAAACATTTTTTTCTCACTCAGTTATAATACTGAAACTTAACAGAATGGCCCTTGCTTTGTTAAATCCAAACAATGAATTAGAAAAAAATAATACCTCTTGGAAGATAAGCAGTCCATTATTTCACAACTGCAAAATTAAAAGTGATGTTTTACACAAGAAATCTTGAAATGGGTGAGGATACCTTAAGGTCTATAAAAACCAGATACTTACCAATTTTAGTTTTAAAATAGAGCTTCCACCTTTAAATGTCTTAAAATTTTATTGAATGCTATAGAATACAAGATTATCTTCCTTTACATGTTTTGTCTTTTTAGTGAGAACTTGTTTAGTAAACTTGGCATTCAGGCTGATAGAAAAATCACAATTCAAAGATATCATCATTCAGAATGTCTTTTCCTATAAGTTACATTAACATAATTTCTAGATTATTCACAAAATAAAGTGTCTAAAGGCAACCCCACCCCCTCTTGGTTGACTGTAAGTCAAATTGCTTAGTATCTTCTTCAGTTCTAAGAAATGATGGTGGAAATTACATTTCTCCTTAAGTGAACATGCAATTTGATGTCTCTGGAAACTTGGCTTTTACACAACTGTTTCCATGACTTGGAAAGTCCCTCCATAGCTCTTCTCCTAACTATTCATTCTCTAGAATGCCACTGAGCTGCCACCTGTTCTGGGAAGAGTCTTCGAAATCCCTAAGCCCAGTAAATTCTTGTTTTTGTGATAAGCACTCCAGTGCTTACCCTGGTTTTGCAGTAGCTAACTGTGTGATCCTTGACAATCACCTGCCTCTGCCAAACCAGGGAGATGGCCTGGTGACCTCAAACTTTAATATGCTGATGCTGATGCAGTTATTATGACACTGTCACAAATATGGCCACAAATCTTTCACTGGCCATTTCCTTAAGTTATCTGAGCTATTTCATTCTAGTACGTCCACCTGTACCTCGAAAAACACTTAGGTTTCCATGCCGAGAGCTTAGAGGCCAAAGGAAAGTTATATAAGATGATGGATATTCCAGGAAAAGGGTGAGAACAAAGTTGTCTTTTAAGTAAAAGTGACATGTTGGAAAGAAACTACAAGCAGCTCTCATCTAGCAGTTGGCATGCCAGACTAAAGAATGATATATTTTCTGAGTCTGGAAAGATTGCAGTTCATGTATTAGCTATGCACAAAAAAATGAAAAGCAACAACAACAACAAAACACAAACCTTTCCCAAAAACTTCAGTAGCTGCTTCAAATAAAGACGACTATGATGGGTAGATGCATCCCTGGGTAGAAAAAGGAAAATGCCCAATAAAAGGCATTTCAGCCATTTTAAATGTCTTAGAAATTTCGACGGTCCTAATGGAAATTGAATTACTTTTTGGAAGGGATCCAAATGTGAACCTTTGAAAACTCAGAGATGTTTCGCAAATCTATATTACTCCTTGTATGAATTGATTTCTCTAGTTCCATGACCACAGGTGGGATAACATCTGACACAGAGCTTCCGTCCCAAGTTCAACCCCCATTACACAGCACCAAGCAGCAGGTTCCTTCATTCCTTCACAAAGCCGAAGCCTCCCAAATAAGACATGACTTACCTTCATGCATTTAACGAGTTACTGTCAACCCCCACTGATTAGGGTTTGTGGCTGCCGGTCTACTGCTGTCTTGTTCAATTGAAAGCATGCTGCTAGATTAAAAAGGAGTTTTCTGGGATGGTACAGAGTATCTGTTCAGTGTCACAAAAATGAACCCCCACCTCCCAAAAACGACACCATTTCAATGATCACTTCTGATCCGAGATGAGAGTTATATAACCAAAATGTCCTAAAAGGCCAAGCCTTCCCAAAAGCTTACAGCAGAATTAGAGAGTCAGACTGCATGCAAGAGAAAAGTGCTGACTGTGCAAGCCCAGAAAGCTAACAATTGGTGCAGCAGCTGCCCTCATTTTGCATAAAACTGCTGAAATTCATAGGTACTTGTACTTTTTTCAAAACCTAAGTCATTCTTCAGTATGATTAAAATGCTACCCTTGAGTAACTCACAGTGATGGTATTTTCAATGACTTTCTTAGCATAGCTGGTCTCCTTTTTGCTTTTCTTTCTTGTCTCTTCATTCTCACTCATTAAAATGTACCAGTTGCCTGTCTATTGTACACCCTCACTGTACACCTGTGTAGCGGAACCCTCCCTGAGTGAATGTTTGTAGAATGTCAGTAGCACCAGCCTCTGTCCATTGCCTTTTTCCCCTTGCAAAGTGGCTTTTAGCAATAAACAGGTTGCTAATCTCTGGTGTAGTTATTAAAAGATCAGAGGCATAACAGAATGTTCCCAGAATTTCCCTTATAGTACTTAATCATTTATAATGTACGTCATTTGAAATACACTCAAAAGAGATTTTTTCCAACTCTGATCTCATGCAAGAGAAAAGCTATCAAGTATTTGTTATGCAGAATACTTTATGTCTACTGACCAGGGTACTGGACCAAAATATAAAAGCTTAGACATCTCTCTTTTCCAAAAGCCCTCTGCTAAAAGCTCCATTCTCAACTAGGTTGGAAACTGTAAAAGTAGTGTGGCCTGGGGAGCTATGCTGGTGCATAAATCTGTGTTAGATTCTTATTCATATGTTTGTCCCAACACTGCCTCTTTTTGAATGCTTCAAAAATTAGGAAGAATGGCCCCATATATCTGAGAAAGCACACATTTCATACAAAACAAGACCTCAGTGCCACACAAGACACATCAGGTATCGTTCAACACAAGAGTTTACAAACTAAAGAAAAAATAAATTTCCCTAGATAGAGACACTGCAGGTTTTCCAATGAATGTTCTTTAAGCAAGTAAGTGTACTCCATCAAGAAAAAGTAAAATGTATTTAAAGGGAATTGAGCCTGCATAGCCACAGCTTCATCACGGTATGCAGAATGTGGGGGAGCCTAGAAAGGGCATCAATCCAGGAAACAACTGTCCTTTAACCTGCACCACGGCAGGGATAGCAACATCTTTCCAGTCAATTAAAAAAAAAAAATCTCAAGAATTGTTGTAGAGCAAAAACAGATGTAAGGATATACTGATAATACATTACACATTCATGTAAACTATTTCTAAACCTGCTATAACTTGTAAATATCTTTAAAATGTCACTTCCCATGATAGAAGGACGTGTCAGCAGAATGCAATTCTCAGGCTTCAGGGGATAAAATAGTCGCCGCACTGAGACAGCCACCAGTCCACCTTCCGGTGGTACCTGTGCTTTTCCTGATACCTGACATTCAGAGACAGGCCAGAGCAGCCAGGAGGAGTGAGAATGCCACATAATTTACTATGTTACACGGCTGCTTCTTCAGCAGTAGCCAACGGCTCACTTCGACACTCCGGGTAGCTGTCAAAACTACTTACCACATTGTAACACACTGTTATGAGTTGAATTGTGTCCCACAAAAAGATATGTTCGGGTCCTAACCCCCAGTACCTCACAATGTGACCTCACTTGGAGACAGGGTCTTTACCGAGGGAATCAAGTTAAGATGAGGGCATTAGAGTGGACCCTAATCCATTATAGTTGGTGTCCTTATGAAAAAGAAGAAATGTGGATACATGTGTAGAAGAAAGACGACATAGATACAGGGAGAAAACAGACATCCACAAGCCAAGGAGAGGGGCTGGGAAGCTCTCAGGAATCGATTCTGCCAGTACTTTCATCTCAAATTTCTGGCCTCCAGAAATTTGAGACAATCATTTTCTGTTGATTAAGCTACCAAGGTTGTGATACTTTACTATGGCAGCTGTAGCAAACTTGCACAAATGCCATCTATTTAGCTATTGATTACTTCATGGTTTGCTGTATGTCCACCCACACAAACACACATACACACTGGCATGCGAGCTCATGAAGGCAAGATCATGTCTCTTTTGTTCACTGAAGATCCATTCTAACTGCATAGAACAGTGCCTGGCATTTAGCACTGTTCAATTAACACTTATTGAAAGAATAAATTGTTTCAAGGACGTAAATTTATAATATATACGTAATTTGATGTGACAGTTACTGCAAAAAATTAAATCAAAGAACTTAGATTTAATAGCCCAATTATTTCTTAATTATTATCTCTAAAACATGCCTTGTCAGATGTTTAAACATGAGAATAAAACTTCTAGGTTTGATTTCTCTTTCTCAATATAGCTATATCTACCTCACAATTTCTAGGTGAAGTTAATGGTTGGCCCACTTTAGTAGTAAAATATATTCACTAGTAGATTATTGGCCGGGCAACATGGCTCACACCTGTAATCCCAACAATTTGGGAGGCTGACAGGGGCAGATCGCTTGAAGCCAGGAGTTTGAGACCATAGTGAAACCCCATCTCTACTAAAAATATAAAAATTAGCCTGGCGTAGTGGCATGTGCTCCTCAGGAGGCTGAGACATGAGAATTGCTTGAGCCCGGGAGGTGGAGGTTATAGTGGGCCAAGATCACGCCACTGCACTCCAGCCTGGGTGACAGAGTGAGACTCTGTCTCAAAAAAGAAAAAAAAAAAGGAAAGATTATTAAAAGGTTATTAAAAATACCTTTCCTTTTTGACCAGAAACATAAATTGACATTAGAAAGCTTATAATCTTTTGAATTCTTGAATCAATAAAGTATCTTAAAACATAAATAAGATGCAAAAGCCAAAAACATTAGAACAGTAACAGATAAGCAATGATATGTATAAACCAGTGGTATTGCCTGGGCGACAGAGCGAGGCTCCATCTCAAAAACAAAAAACAAACAAACAAAAAAAGCCCAGTGGTATTTTACTTGAGGCAAAGTTTTACTTGAGGCAAAGTTGATTAATAGACATAATTAGTTACTATCCACGGCCAACCTTGGACAATGCTGTCATTTCACAGATAAGAGAGGGACGGCACAGAGAGATAAAGTAAATTGCCAGACTTCACATAAAAAGGGCAGCCAGAAGTTGCAGGAAGCTTTAGATACAATAGGGTATTTGTAAAACAATCCTTTTTGTACATCTACACGACCAAAAGTCAAGACCTGCAGCCAGAAGGTTAATAATAATAATAATAATAATAATAATAATAGAGGCTGTTTTAGAAAATGAAAGAAAAGACAGACACTGATCACTGCATTTAGCATTTCTTTTTAAAAGTTACTGAGCATCTACCATGTGCCAGGCATCACAGTGAATTCTGGGAATAAAGTGTGGAGGAAGGAGCATCAGTGCAGATGTCACTACTACCCAGGACACAGGATATTTGGGGATGTCATTGGAAAGCAATCCTTTTTCTTCACTTCTTTATTTAAATCTCTTCCATGTAAGAAGTTTTTCCTAGCTCTGGGGATAAAGTCCAAGATGGGTCCCTGGAAGCACCTCCTCCTTCTCAGATGATAGAAAACTGCTGAGGACTAAGCTCTAATTTTTTATCTTGCCCAAATTCCTACCTAAGGGGTCTAGGGAGTAATGCCCTACAAACCATAAATTCTCATCAGATGGGTTTTCTTTGACCCTATAAATCGTGACTTACTTTTCAATCTGACTCTGGCATAATGTTACGAGAAAAGGAAAAAATATTTAACCCCCAAATACATTTCCTTGCCATACCTTGAAATTGTCCTGCAAAGTCCCTTGTGAGAAAAATCCACATCCTATAAAGAATCTTCTTGGCTCTTTGTTTTCCTTCCTTTCTTTCCAGATCCAGAAGATAATCAACTAAGAGCCAGGCACCCTTTTAGGTCTGATAAGAAACACTTACAACCCTCTCTCTCTCTGAAGTCGTCTATCTGAGAGCTTCCTCTGCACAAGAAAACTTTGTGCCCACAATCCTTTACCTTAACCTGAACATTCCTTCTCATTGATCTTGTCTTCAGACAAATTCAACCGTCAACCAGAAAATGTTTAAATTTACCCATAGCCTGGAAGCACCCGCCCTGCCCCCGCTTTGAGTTGTCCACCTTTCTGAATCAAACCAATATATTTCTTAAATATATTTGATTGATGTCTCACGCCTCCCTAAAAATATATAAAACCAAGCTGTACCCTGACCACCTTGGGCACATGTTCTCTGGACCTCCTGAGGGCTGTGTCACAGGCCACGGTCACTCTTATTTGGCTCAGAATAAATCTCTTAAAATATCTTACAGTTTGAGTCTTTCTGTTGACACTGTTGTAGATCCTTTGCATCTCAAAGTCATGGTCTCAGTTTAGGAATTAAAATCTTAAGCCCACAAAATTATAAAAATTGTCGAACTTTATTTGAAATTGTGACTGCTCCCTGCCTCTTATCCTCAAATTGTCTTCCCTTGTTTCTGCTTGTCTCCCTTTGTTGCTGACCTCTAGCATTGGACCCTTAGGAAGGACAAGTGAGCTGGGAGTGAATCTTTCTTTCATGGGGTGCTTTTGTGCAATCTTCAGAGATTCTTTCCCTTCCAGTCCCTGAAGATTCACCCTTGCAGGGGCCCTCACCCTGGGAAGTGCATCACCAGCACAACTGCTTGGTTCTGAGTCCTTGCTCAGTCCCAGGAAACAGGAAGCTCCTCCAGCTCTTTACTCAGCACCCTCAATCTCTTCAGCTGCTCCAGTTCACAGGATCTGCTAAACACTCATGCATCCTTTTCCTAACAAATTCTGATAGCAGAGATAGCCCTCTCACGCAGCAATTTTTCTTGGTTCTGTTTTCAAAAGTGGCCAGACAGGTTCTCACTGTAAACATTTCCAAGGGCAAGGGAGACACCAAGGTCTCTCTCTGTCTTTATGTTATCTGGCTGAAGTCTCCAAGATTTGTGGTGATGGGCAGGTGTCTTTAGGGGTGAGGGTGAGACTTAAAGTATATCAAAGATTCTTTCTCCAAGCATGTGTGTGTGTGTGCGCGTGCATGCATGTGTGTGTAATCTCAAGTAATACACTGGGGTCTTTCCGCCCTCTTACACAGACTGGAGGTGACTGGTCAACCAGCATCACAAAACCTGTTTGGTGCTGTCCCCTTGCAAATTATCTGAGTGTGACCTACAGTCTTAGTTTGGAAGGTGCCATCTACCATCCTGGACTCTTGGCAGAACTCCTGGTGAAACAGCTCCATTTTAACAACCTGTTATTCTGAGATTGCAAGAAGGATCTAACCACAGTGGACATGGAGGAGTCAATGGTCTCAGGTGGGGCATGGGGTATGGACAATGCTAAGGAGATAAATAATGGCTCATTTTAGGAACTAAAGGAACACTAGTGTGTAGCACAGCATCAAGTCCAGAGGAGGAAAGGAAGCAAGAAATGGAGGTGGTGAGGAAAAATAAGCACGAAGTAAAATTCTGTTATCCACGCTAACTAAATAATCTATTAACGGGATTTTAGGTTTGCTTTGATATTTTTAGTTACTATAAAGAGTTACAGGAGAAAGAAGAAGGTCCCTTAACTTCAATTTATAGCTTATTCAGCTTTCCAAAATTTTAGATTTAAAATCTAAAATCTAAATGAGAGTATTTTTGTCAAGAAGAAGGAGGAGAAAGCTAACTTCTCACTATTCTAGGTCATCCAGTTTAGTCATTTGGCTTCATGGAAATTTATCCAGATTCTATACAATGTTTTCAAATTTATCAATATTTGGTGCAAGCAGTGGGGAAATAAAGGTCTTTGCTCTGAGACACGAACAAATTAACTTGCTATTTAACCTGAAGCAAAATGTCTAGCCTCTCTAGGAGTCCATTTCCTCATGGGGAAGGAGATGTTATTTAATTTTCAAACACTCCATGGCTCAGTGGGCCCGCCCATAGGTTTCTCCCTTCAATAGAAATGAAAAGACGGAGACAATTAAAAGGAAATAGCTCAATTAAAAGAACAGGGTAGGGATTATGTTAATGTTTATGTCCGCCAGCCATCATTATTGATGATTAAATTAACCACAATAAACAATATGATTCTTTGAGAGTTATCTAAAAGAAATTAACAATGGGAATCAGTCAAGGTGACTTGAGAGGACTTATTTTCACAATAAAACTCTATATAACTCTAGGCAGTTTACATAAAAATTGATAAAAATGAAAAAATAACATAATATTTCTGCATTTAGAATGTTGAGTATCACAAATGAGAAAGAAATGAAGAGGTACTTTCTAAGATATTTAGCTAAAACAATAAAAAGTAAATTGCTATATAATACCTGTAGAGATTGGTAGCTGAGGAAGTAGTGTTAAAACGTATAGGAAGTAAGTAATCAACTGGAGGGATCTTGTGAGAATGTAACAAACGCATGATGCCAACACCAAATCCACTTTTGGATTTATATGCAGCACTTTAGTATATTGTATCATCCTTTTCCTTATTAGCATTCTATCTAATAAGTTACTATTTTAGTGGATGCTCAAGGGAAGGTATTAATTAAAAACTGTAATCTCTATTTCACTAGAAGTCACTAGTTCAGTAACTTATTAAAATGATACTGGGAAATATTTCCACAGCTTTCAGACGAACTGTGGCAGTGTATAGCTAATGTACCTGAGAAAATCTCAACAGCTTAAAATAAATAAGGTCTGCAAATAATAGGGTTATTTTTGGTGTTTAAACTCTCTTCTAAATGTATAGAGTATATGTGCTGTGACTATATAATTTATCCTTCAGACTGGGACACCTTTGAGAGTGAAAGAAGGAGCTATTATTAGGTAAGCCAAGACAAAGTTGTAAACTGGGGCCATCACAGGCCTGTGTATAGACATATCTCATTACCAGGGTAGTAAGGCTGGTGATACTGCATAGTCCAATTTCATCACAGAAAGGTTTCTTTAAAAATCTGTTTTTCAAATAAAAAGGTACCAAGATATAACATATTCTTAACATTATTGAAATTTGGGGCAAATTCCATTATTAGACTTTTTCTCATACAAATGCCTACACTAAGGCAAACTTTTCATAGGAGAAAAATACAATGAGAAAATTATGGACAATTGGGCATTGTCAAGAAATATATGGATCATGTTGAGTGGATGCTAGCAGCCAAAAGATGGCCTGGAAGGAACAATAGGAGAAAAAACAAAAACAAGGAACAGGGAAGGAGGAAGGAGAACAAAACAGTCTCTACCATTATTTTGCTTATGGCAACCAGAAATGGCAGGAGATGTCACCAGTGGGGCCCTCCAATGGGGACATCCAATGATATCCTGCTTCATTAAATCAAACAACATCATTTTAACTTCACATTATGTGCTAGATGCTAGGAGAGAGATGACAATATAAGGCATAGTCCCCTTGCTAAAGAAATTAAGGGTCTTTTGAGGTGCTACATGAGAAATGAGAATGTTAATGTTCTCAGAGAAGTCCAGACAATAATAACTCATCTAATTAGTAAATGTTGGTTGCCATTCTTTTCATGACTGCAGTCTGTTGACAGGTGATTTTTTAAAAACAAGATCATCTTATTGATCACACTAAATGAATTGATTACATTCATTACACTTATACCTTCTGTGGTGGTTGCTGAATTGATTATGTTCACTAGGTCAGCCCTGGAGATGATTCCAGGAAAAGCCAAGATCTTCCCAACACTAAAGGCAGTAATGGCCTCATTCAAGGCCATAGACATGGGAAAAAGACAAATGGCAAGCCTCCTAGTACCTCTTCAGAGCTTCCCAGGAAGACGCAGTCAAATCAGCACCTTCTTAGATTCACCTTTAAGATTCCTCAGACTACACAGCTGGGTCGTCGAGAAGTGTCACCGTGGACTCATAGGCGTGTCTGCTGGGGGTTTATCTTCCTACGTCATTAGGGCTTTGGTTGGACAGCAAGTTTGCAGTTCTCTCTGAAACTGCATTAGCTTGCTAGGGCTGCCATAACAAAGGATGACAGACTGAGTGACTTCAAAAACAGAAATTAATTTTCTAACAGTTCTTGCGGCTGGAAATCAGAGATCAAGTGTCAGCAGAGTTGGTTTCTTCTCAGGCTTCTCTCATAGACTTGTAGACGGCCGTCTTCTCTCCATGTTTTCACGTAATTTTCCCTCTGTATGTGTCTGTGCCCCAACCTCCTTTTTGTAAATAAGGTTGCCGATCATATTGGATTAGAGACCATCCTAATGATCTCGTTTTATCTTAATAACCTCTTTAGAGACCCTATCTACACATATAGTTACATTCTGAGGGGCTGAGGTTTAGGATTTTGTCTTAGCTCAGGCTACCATAAAAAATCTCTTAGACTAAGTAGCTGAAACAACCAATATTTATTTTCTCACAGTTCTGAAGACTGGAAGTCCAGGTTCAAGGTGCCAGCAAGGTCCATGTCTGGTACGAGCTCTTTAATTGGGTGGCAGACAGGCACTTTCTCACTGTGTCCTCCCGTGGCAGAAAGAGACATTTTGTGTCTTTTTCTTCTTATAAGGGCACTGATCCAATCAGATTAGGTGACTTATGTCCTCATCTAACCTCCTCACAGGCTGTATCTCCAAATATAGTCAGATTGGGGGTAAGGGCATCAACATAAAAATGTGAGAGAACACAGTGCAGCTCTTAATGGAAGCGTTCTGTGTTCGCAAAAGATCTCTGCTAAGGCCAGCGCCACATCCAGTTCTGTAGAAGTGCAAGAGAGAACATTCAGGGAAGTGCCCCTGTGTTCGTGCTCTAATAGGCACAGCTGTGCTACCAAGAACATATACAGTGAAAGCTCTTTACAATCAGGAAAGCATCTCAACATCCCATTCTGATATTTAAAGCACTCCGGGGGACTGAGTGGCTACTGACTGATTATCAGGACAGCCATGACAGCAAATGATCATTCTGCCCCTGAGTAGACTACAGCTTGTCATGGAAACAAGCCTTTTAGGCAAGGCCAAGTACTCATGGAAAATATTCTGAAAAAGCACATTATTAGCACTTACTGAAAGAACTGTAGGGCTGTAGTGCTATTCTCGTTGAGTTATAGCTTATCAGGAGAATAAGCACAGTCCTCTCTCACCCTGCAGTAGAGATGGGGTTCTCAGCAGTCTATACTGCTCAACTCTCACATCAGGAGCTCTGCGGATTTTTTTGTGACTTCTGAATGAAGATTACAAAGTAGAAAAGTATCAATAATACTTGGCTGATTAGTATTAATCAGACTAGACGTGTGTGTTTACGTGTTTATATGTTTGCATGTGTAATATACATTTAAATAGTACAAAATTACTTAAGATCATGGCAGAGGCCAAAGGAAGCAAGATGGCCTGGAGGCATATTTGGAGGATAGAGCACTACCCTTGGTGGAAGGTCTAACACCTGGGACTAGGGATCCAAGGTCTGGTTGGAACTCTGGCATGCAGCTCAGTTGACTGGCACTGAGCACTGAGCCAGCCAGCCCAGCAGGGAAGCTGCAAGGACTATTCCTGAAGTTGCCATTCCAGAGTCCATGCATAAGAGCCTACTTCTCTTGCTCATCCTCTGCAGCAATGGGAGCTGAATCCCTTCTTCCTGCCCATTATATTTCCCTTCTCTCCAGGTCTGAGAAATGATGAGAGGAGGAAAAATAATTACTTAGAGATGCTCCAGGACTCAACCTTTGTTCTGTGTGTTCCTGATGTTAAGGTAAAACTGCATGCACAAAATGCCAAAGAATCTTGACAAGGATCTTGAAATGCTTTTCAAACTCACTGCACCCACATGGTACTGCTAAGTTAGGCTGACATGCCCATGAATTACATATACTATCAACCAACAAAAATGATTGGCGGGCACATCTTGTCCTGAGAGGCAGTCACGTAGGATTCTAATCTTATTGTGTCTACTGTGCTCCACAGTCTGCCCTGGTTTCTGTCCATATTTGAAAATTACTTACTGTTAAAATGTGGCTTCCTACATTTTGATTTTTTTTTTATCTTCCAAGAGGTAGGGCCTTGAGTTCATCTCTTTGCTCCACATTTGTCAAGTAGAATAACCTATTATAGTTTCCAACGTTATGCCCTAGGTACCTAAGCCCTGGTGCTAGCCTCATTAACTAGTGGTCATTAAAAGGAGGGGAATAAAAAAAATTACTTTGAAGTTGAATATTAATCTATCTTCCTATATATAGAAAATTCTTACATCCTAAAAATAATCCAGGGATTGGCATATAAGGCTCATGATATAAATGATGGCCATTGTGAAAAGTGGTTAAAATTGGAGTGGTTAATATGCTGTTACATAATTAATCATGGTACAGATGAACTTGTCTGATATTTATTCATTCTCCCTCCACCAGCCTGACAAGGTTCCAGAAGCAGATTAATAATAAGCAATTCATACTTCATCCTCATTGTCCTTTTCAAAAAACAGAATTGGGCATTTTTTTCTCCACATTTCATTATAAAGGGCACAATCTCCACCTTTAAAAACCCATTTTGAAGGAATAAGTTTAGAATCTTGCTCCTTGCAAAACGATCATTGCTTACGTATTTTCTTATTATTTTAGCTATCTGGATCAACAACCACAAAAGCTTAACATTGGTAGAGTTCATGTTTCTCCCAGTGTTACAATGGATTCAGAAAAAAGATTTTCCCTTAACCAAATAAAGGCGATATGGAATTTTAGATGCTGGCAGTTGTGACTAATTCACCTGTAAACAAACATCCAAAAAAAAAAAAAAACCCAAACAGTATAGACTAAACAATGTGAACTTTAATGCTCAAGGATATGTATGTGCTCTCTCATGGATACTTCTGGAAACTGAATGAAAGCATGTTAAAATGCTGGTTCTTCATTATTATTCTTGGATAGAATGAGTAAATAAATATTATAGTAGGTTTTGCTAGGTTGGAAATTGATTTTTTTCATGTGTGGTTGTTCCCAATGCAAATTATGTTCATATGGTACTGATAATAAGCAAACTTGACTTTAATTCAGAGTAACTAACTTTATAACCTCATGTGCTTCAATCATTGATGCGTCTCTCAACACACAGCACAATGACTGGTAGATAGCTGGAACTGAACAGGTATTTGTCATATGAATGAAAGAATGAATTGATGGTTAGGAAAACGTAAGCAATACATTTATCCAACTGTATGAGATGGGAATATCAGAGTCATTATCTTCAAATATTTTACCAGTTAGAAACCAGTTTCTTCACTGATGGCCAGGAGCATTTCTACATACGAGGAAGGCTGAATTCAAAAGATTATAAGGAGCTTCCGTGTTTGGAGCAGAAAGCTATGCTGGTGCTTAAAAATGTTCATTCTCCGGCCTGATGACCATCTTCACGAAGTGACATGGTCATAGGTTAGAGCAAGCACAGCTTTCTCAATTATCCTGGTAAAACCAATACTGTTATAGATTGTGCGCACCGTATTTACTGTAGAAGCTGCAGACTCGGGGAGATGGCAGACATGAGAGACCAGCATAAAAATTTCAGAGACCACTCTCTCACCTTTTGGTCACTGGGAAACAAATGGAGGTAGGGGGTTGTATACAAATTATATAACCTAAGATAGAATGTATTATGCTCTGGGAAGGAAGTGTTGTTGAACGTTTTATGTAAACATAGATAATTGTGTGTGTGTGTTTTTCAGAAAAATGAACAGCTTATTACAAAAAACAGAATACTCATAATAGAGTAAAATGATCAACATTCATAACGCATCTAACCTATACTGTACTTTCCTAAAATAAATATCTGAAAATAAAGCACACACACATTCACGTACACACACACACAGCATAGAGGGAAGAAATCAATCCAGTTAATGAAAGAGAGAGGTCCCCCTGCTGCCGGCTCTGCTCGTGTCCTCCTCAAAGCTCTGTGGCTCCTGCCATGTCACCATCATGAAACTTTCATCCTAATCCTTTTACCTACAAAATGCTTGTTGATTCAAATTCCTTGGTTTCCCATTTCCTAAACAGTGCAGCTCTTCACACCCCACCAACACCCTCAGAATTTAAAGTAATGGTATGCACTACCAAGAGGAAAACGAGTAGCAGAATACTCTAATTCCCAGCATGGATTTCTGTTAAAATATCTGTTTAACAGTTCTGGTTCTTCCTTTACAAACATGTGATACAAGAGCCCAAACTAAAATGAATGCAGAAAAGAATAACGAGGTACACATAATTATAGCATTCTGTGTACCATATTGTTGAAAAAATGAATTATTTACATAAAATTATCTATCAAATAAAATCATTTCATAATAATGCTCTTTTTAAAAGACCATAATGTTTCATTACAAACAATCAGACAAGACTATGGTGTATAATAAAAAAAGACAATAGAACTAAAATTTTTCTAATTGTCTTCCATGACATTAACTTAATACTATGTTCACTTTATACCTCAACTTCAGAACTGTACCATATGTCTCATGCAGGTAATTGTTAACTAAAGGATTCACCAGTCATCTGATTTTTAGCATTTAGAATGCAATCAGGCATATTAACATATATGAATTTGGTCTATTATCAATAATTTATGCACATATAGGCATGGATTATTAAAGAGTAATTATTTTTAAAAATAGTAGGTGATTAACTTGGTGGTTAGTATTTTCTATGTAATTATGCTTATCTTAGGCAAATTTTAAGAATAATTTGAATTAGAGAATAAATATCAACAAGGAGGAGATGGCCCTCAACCTTGCTTTTTGGCAGTAGTTCTCAAACCTGAGCATCAGAAGCATGTTGTAAGGGTGGGCGTGATGGTTCACACCTGTAATCCCAGCACTTTTGGAGGCTGAGGCGGGCAGATCACAAGGTCAGGAGATCAAGACCATCCTGGCCAACATGGTGAACCCCATCTCTATTAAAAATACACAAATTAGCTGGGAGTTGTGGTGTGTGCCTGTAATCCCAGCTATTCAGGAGGCTGAGGCAGGAGAATCAGGGAGTCAGAGGTTGCAGTGAGCCAAGATCGTGCCACTGCACTCCAGCCTGGGTGACAGAGCGAGACTCTGTCTCAAAATAAATAAAATAAAATAAAATAATGCAGACAAATTAAAATTTACCTCATGTTTAACCTGCATAAACACTTAGAAAACTTCACTTGTGAATCTTGAAGAATATCCTAAAGTCTTTTGTAATGACAGTTTATGCAACAAACCTTCATATATCACTGGGCTCAAAAGCAATTCACTGGGCCAGTTTAGATGAGATCCCACATACACACTTTTCCCCAGTGAAATTATTTAGATACCTGATTAACTCAATGCCACAGAGATGGGCTCCAAGAACTTTGAAGCATAAATGCAGTCTTAATTATGTGGATACAGTAGTGACCCTTATCCATGGTTTGGCTTTTTGCGTTCCAGTGACCTACTGTCAACCATGCTCTTAAAATATTAAATAAAAAATTCTAGAAATAAACAATTCTAAAAGTTTAAATGTTACTGCATTCTGAGTGGCATGATGAAATCCTGTGCCATCCCCCTCAGTTTCACCTGGTAGGTGAGTCCTCCCTTTGTCTAATGTGTTCTCACTGTACATGCTGCCTGCCCATCAGTCACTTAGTAGCTGTCTCAGCGATCTGATTGAAAAATGCTAATATATCTAGGGTTTGCTACTATCCCTGGTTTCAGGCATCCCTAGGAGTCTTGGGGTATATCCTCCCCTCAAAAGGGGTTACTACCATATTCTGATTTGGCCAACGTGGAAATCTTTGCAGAACATGGAGAAACTAAGCTCAGACTTGGGATACTGAAAGGATTTAATTTTCTTGCCCACTAGTAATGATGCTGCCTCTTTAAAAATCAAATCTGAAATATCTTTATCACAACAAATACTGGAGATAAATTAAAGCAAATTATTATTTTGTCAAATGGTTTTTCTATGACAGGCTTTTCTCTGGAGTTGTTCATTTCCATGTCAAAGAAAAAACAATATTGTGCATTTCTAAAATAAACAAACCATTTATAAATTATTCTCACCCAACAGAAATAGTTGTTACTTTGAAAAAAAAAAAACAATGTTGAATTTCTTTTCCTGCTGTAATAATTGCCAGTCAGCCGAAATGGCACGTGGTTGCACATATGTGATTGCATAATACATTTAGGATAGCAATAAAGTCACAATCAAACCCATGTTGGATGGTTTGCAGTTAAGAAATACTTTTTATACAAATAGTTTGATTTTTTAATTGTTTGCTAATTATTTAATTATTTATTGTAGCATCATGCTGAACAGTCATTACACTCATATCATTTCTTATAAAAAGTCACTTTACTCTCCAAATCAGTTGAGGGCAGACTCTAAGATGGCTCTCAGTAAGCTTCACCTCCTGGTATTCATGCCTAAGAGTAGTCCCTTTCTCCTGATCATGGGCTAGCCTAGCAAAGCTGATGGGATGTCCTTTCCCTTCTTAGGTTTCAAAAGGTAGTGACTTCAGTCTTGCTAACAGACTCTCTCCTTTGCTGGCATAGTGACTTCAGTCTTGCCAGCAGACTCTCTCCTTTGCTGGCTTCGATAAATCAATCAGCCATGCGGAAGAGGTCCGCATATTCAGGATCTGAGTGAAGCTTTCAGCTAACAGGCAGCAAACAACTGAAGATCTTAGTCCAACTACCCAGAAGAACCAAAATCCTGCTAGCAACCACAGAGCTTGGGAATTAATCCTTCCACAGTCAAGCCTTCAGGTGAAGCCTCAGCCTTGCCCAACCACTTGAATGCTGGCTTGGAGAGATCCAAAGCAGAGCTTACTTAAGCTGGTCTAGGACTCCTAATCCAGACACTGTGAGATAGTAAATGAATGTTGTTTTAAGCCACTGAATTTGTGGTAAATTATTACACAGCAATAGGTAACCAATACAGTGTCTTTCATTATTCACTGGTTTTCTTTCAGTTATGTATGTTGTCACATGGTTTTAACTTATGTGTATGTTAGCTGGAGGTATTCTGCATCATTAAAATACATTTTCATTGAGAGATGCCACTGAAAAATACAGGCTTTGGAGTCAGAGAAGAAAAATCCATATTCCTGTGCAAAGAATTTAACCTCTCTTGGCCTCAGTTTCCTTGCCTAGAAACGGGATTACATTATTATTACTTCAGGGTTGTAGCAGATATATGAACTGACCATATGTTCACTTAACAGGGTGTCTGAAATTACCACTATTAAAGTTCTGAAGAAAACATGATAATCAATGACTTTTAGGATTTTTCCTTATTGGTAGCCACTCTGTCATTCTACCAGGCCAACTCATCACCTCTTCCACACAATCTATTACCTCAGCAATAGATTTTTAGGCCTCAGCCAGGACTCTGTAAGAATTGTCCTACTGGAAGTTAGAGCTTTCTCACCATCAAGATGTGCCCAGGTTTGGATGTCCACAGGCCTGGTGATTTAGCCTCTGACTTGATGGATTGCAGCTTTTTGGCTCACAAAGGACTAGTGTCCACACTTGACCCCACATTTTAGTACTCACTTCTGCTTGGTTTCTCTTGTTCGGGCTTTTTTTTTTTTTTTTTTTTTTTTTTTTTTATCATTTTCGTAATCCCTTATGGTTTGGATGCAGAGAGGGGTGATTGTGAAAACAACTCAAAATACAATTTCTAGTTCTTAAAAACTCTTTTAAGCCAATTTTTGGTTGCCTGGTATGCAGCTCTCCTGTGGAATGCATGTGCTTGCTCTGACAGAGCAAATTTTCAGTAGGTAAGAATCCCACTAATTATGGAGCTATTCTGCACACTGATCATGTCTGGGAAAAAAGTAGCATGCTTGAAGTGATTAGATTTTCAGACTATTCCATTACTCTGTTTATTTGGTCCTTAAAGTACATAATTCAACATTTCAGATTTGCTCTGAAAATGAAAAAGTATGCATTTTTCATAGTTTACATGATATGTTCAATATGATACTTATGCAAGTTGTTAAATCAATTCTGCAAAGCAGCAGTAAAAAGTGGTCTACAGTTTTAATACATGCTAAGCACTGAAGACAAGTTCTTCCACAAGGAAATAGAAGGCCTTCTTTTGCCACAAATTTTAAAAAAAAACTCACCTTTTTTAGAAACATATTTATGAATGAAGTTACACACCATTTTAGCTTTAGTTTTTTATCTGAACAAGCAGAAACGTCTTCTTTCTTCACATAACCATAATCTCACAGTATTGAAAAAGTGGTCACAAGATTGTTTTTGTCCATGGAAAAGAATAAAAGGGAGGAGTTACTATTATGTTTTCATCTCTTGAATTCTATGACATAAAACGAAGCCTGATAATTAATCAGTATTAACAGATGTTTTTAACCTGTATTTTCATGCATCAGGGTGCAATCAATAAACACTTAAAAATAAAGATTTAGTTACAGATCTTTCTATAAGGCACAGATAATGAAAGTATAAACATTGTCATGAGAAAGGTAACCTTAAAATGTAACTTCACTCTAATTATCACCTTTTGAAAGAGATGTGGGATCAAAATAGTCGCTTTACCCAAGGGTAGGTTTTCTTTTTGACTAAAACTTTATTCTTAAAGATTATTTCGATCATTTCATCGTTGTGTCATTTGCAACTTAGAGGCCAAAAGGCCTGCTGAAACCTGCATTAACCATTTTGAATGGGGATAATTATAAAGTAAATGGTCACTCTAGTGCTCTCAGTGACACCATGATAACTTCCCGGAATTAATGATAGCTTCAAAGATTTGTCCCATAAGAGAATATGGTTTATATTTGAAAAAAAATATATCTTAACAATTATAGTAATGGTCACACAAACCACTGAAAGCATTTTTAAATTAAAATTGACCTACAGAAAGAAAATTCAAAATATCAAAATAAAAATTCAGTTCCTAACAAGGTAATTATTTTAAAAGCATGCAATTAATGCTCATGAAAATTGTAGGGAACAAATTTGGTATTGAACAATACACAGAGATGTCAGAGATGATATTAGAAGGTCAACAAATATTTCATTATTATCTATCATGTATACTTCAGTAGGAATTATAAGTTTGCTACAAAATGAGTTTTATGAGTCCTATTATTTATTTATTATGCATTTTTCAGAACTATATTCAGGACCTTTTCTCATTTTTCATCAATATTGGGTGAATAGTCCAGTTACATGGCTAGTAAAAAAGTCTTTTACAATGAGAGTATAATTTAGTAGACTGCAGCAAGGAATGTAACTTGTGACCTCAGTGTCCACTGCGTGACAGTCACTCAATAAAGTTTCATCTATGTGTGCCTATGACAGTAAAGTTGCAATAATTATTTTAAAATAAAGCACCCTGTGTATGCAGGGTAACTTCTTTTGGATATGGGCATATTCTATGCAGTTTTTACAATTATCCTTTCAAACCTGAAAAATATATAGGATCTGTGCACTTTATAATATGTTAATATCCATCATTGATTCCATTTGTTTATATTTTGCTAATAAGTATAAAATCAGGTCTGCTATATGGCAGCCATTCAATTTCCCCTCCCCAAAAATTGAGGCACCATGTCTGAGCTCTCACAGCATCTTATAATGAAAGTAGAAATATAAATGAAAATATCCAGGATTCATTAAATACTTTCAGAAAGGTCCTCTTAGCTTTGTTAAATATGAAGTAGAGATTTCTGCAAACCCATGCAGAATATGAAAAAGGTAAAAAAAAGATCTAACATCTATCCATCTCACTATATCCATTATTGGCTGGTGGATGCTCTCTTTCTACATGTCTCTAGTGCCACCCCAAGTCTAGTGCCTTGAAGTGGCCTTTCTGTTGATTGATCCACATGTAGCTGCAGCACCAGACTTCAAGATTATTCATTTCTCCTCCTTTCAAGTTGGCCAAAATTCCCTTTTCTTTTGAGCAGCTAATCTTGGGCAGTCAGGAGTTCAGTGTCTGATTAAAAATTGTGATCTACATTAGAACTCCAGACCCTTGGGAAGTGCTATTTGTATTTTAAAAGATCATCTTATAAATCAAATTCTTCCAAATAGGTCATACTGTGGCCACACTGATTAAAGAGGAAGGAATGAGGTCCACAAACACCTCAACTATGCCATTGAGAGGACCATAAAGCACTAGTCTTATGTGTTAAAAAAAACTACAGAATGGAGGTTTCTGTGCTGGCAAAGAGAGTTATTTAGAATAGATAAAAGAATACACCAGTAGATTAAAGCCAGGGATCACGCAGTAAATCAGGAGACCTGTGGTTCATGTTAGATTGGCAATTAGCAAATTCAGCCAATATAATTACCTCAATACTTCTCCCATTTCACATATAAAATGTGTACACCTCTCTGGAGATGTATAGAATGAGTTAATTCCAAAGCAAACTTTTCCGTGGTGCCTATCTCTCAGACGATCACCACCACTACCTAGAACCACTTCTTGTCTTCTGACTGACAAGGCTATCCAACCAACCAACACATCATTTAGGATACAACAAACACATCTAGGAAAAGAACATCACACACTTCCTTTGTGAAGTCACTTGATTATTTAGAAAAAATTTTATGGCTATCTTTAAAATTACATTGCCTTTGGAATAAGTTCTTACTTAACAATAATAACATTTAATGTAAATAGATTAAACTTTCCAATCAAAAGACATCAAGTGGATGAATGGATAAAAAAAGACCCAATGATCTGTTGCCATATAGAAATGGTAGTGATTTGCCATATAGAAACACCAATAGTGAGCAACCTGAAAACAAAATCAAGAAAGTAATCCCATTTAAAATAGTTACACATAAAGTTAAATACCTGGGAATTAACCAAAGAAGTGAAAGAACCCTACAATGAAAACTATAAAACACTGATGCAATAAATTAAAGATGACATACCAAAAAATGAAAGTATATTCCATGTTCATGGATTAGAAGAATCAACATTGTCAAAATGTCTATACTACCCAAAGCAATCTACAGATTTAAGACAATCTCTATCTCTATTTTGATAGAGATTAATAGAATGCCATTCTTTACAGAAATAGAAAAAACAGTCCTAAAATTTATATGGAACCATCTCTATTCATTTCTATTTTGATAGAGATTAATAGAATGCCATTCCTCACTGAAATAGAAAAAAAAATCCAAAAATGTATACGAAATCACAAAAGACCCAGAATAAACAAAGCTATCATAAGCAAAAAGAACAGAATGGGAGAAATTGTATTACCTGACTTCAAACTATACTACAGAGCTACAGTAACCAAAACAGCATGGGACTGGTATGAAAACAGACACATATATCAGTGAAATAGAATAGTGAACACAGATAAATCCACACACCTAACAGTGAACTCATTTTTGACAAAGGTGTCAAGAACATACAGTCTGGAAAAGATAGTCTTTTCAATAAATGGCCCTAGGAAAACTGGATAGCCATATACAGAAGAATGAAACTCAGACCCCCATCGCTCACCATATAAAAAATCATATAAAAATGGATTAAAGACTTAAATCTAAGACCTCAAACTAAGAAACTTCTAAAAGAGAACATTGGGGAAACTCTTCAAGACACTGAGCAAAGATATCTTGTGTCATACCCCGCAAGCACAAGTAACAAAAGCAAAAATGAACAAATGAGATCATATCAAGTTTAAAAGCTGCACAGCAAAGGAAATAACACAGTGAAGAGACAATCCACAGAATGGAAGGAAATATTTGCAAACTACCCATCTGACAGGAAATTAATCACCAGAATATATAAGGAGCTCAGACAATTCTATAGGGAAAAACATGTAATAATCTGATTTTAAAACGGGCAAAAGATCTGAATAGACATTACTCAAAAGAAGACATACAAATGGCAAACAGGTATATGAAAAGGTGCTCAACATCAATGATCATCAGAGAAATGCCAATCAAAACTACTGTGAGATATTATCTTACCCCAGTTAAAATGGTTTATATCCAAAAGACAGGCAATAACAGATGCTGGCAAGGATGTGGAGAAAAGGGAACCCTCATAAACTGTTGGTGTAAATGGAACCTACCTGGAGAATAGTTTGGAAGCTCTTTAAAAAACTAAATCTAGAGCTACCATATGATCCAGCAATCCCACTCCTAGGTATATACACGAAAGAAAGAAAATTAGTATGTTGAGCAGATATCTGCCCTCCCATGTTTATTGCAGCACTATTCACAATAGCTAAGATTTGGAAGCAACCTAAGTGTCCATCAACAGACAAATGGATAAAGAAAATGTGGTACATATACTCAATGGAGTACTATTCCTCCATTTAAAAAAGAATGAGATCCTGTCACTTGCAACAACACGCATGGAACTGGATGACATTAAGTTAAATGAAATAAGCCAGACACTAAAAGACAAACTTCACATTTTCTCACTTATTTGGGGGAGCTAAAAATTAAAATAAAATAATTGAACTCATGGAGATAGACGGTAGAAAGATGGTTACCAGAGGCTGGGAATGATAGCCTGGGAGTGCACAGGGGACAAGTAGGAATGGTTAATGAGTACAAAAAATAGTTAAAAATAACGAATAAGAACTAGTATTTGCTAACGTAACAGGGTGATTATAGTGAAAAATAATTTAATTGTAGATTTTAAAATAGATTTTAAAATAATTAAAAGTATACAATTGGATTATTTGTAATCCAAAGGACAAATGCTTATGGTTATGTATACCCATTTACCCTGATGTGATTATTACGCGTTGCATGCTTGTATCAAATTACCTCATGTAACCCATAAATATATACACCTACTATATACCCACAATTTTTTTTTAATTATCCTGCCTTTAGCTCTTGGGTTATCCATGTGTTTTGCCATTAGAAGATATTTACGAACTTCACTGTTAGGCTGTAGTTGATTGTAATCGCTGCTAGAGAAGCAGGGCACACAGAACAGTGAACAATTCTGAGAGCTAGTTCTGTATGGACACAATGGGTAACACAATTTTAACAAGTGATATTCTTCATGCCTCCTGGGTTCCATTCTGTGACAGATGACAATCATCAGCTTAATGAAAAGTCATGATCAGATTGGCTTCCCAATCCATGATCCTTCTATGTGCATTCACAAAGCCTTATTCTACTGAGAGAGAAAGGCATATGGTAAAATACTACACAGTGAATAAATGATATAGGGGGAGATTGTTATGGAGAGGTTTTGCTTAATCACATGAAAATAAATGCCAATCATAATGTGAAATATAAAAATCAGAACCAACCTTAAATATATTTTTTTACTAGTTTTTCTAAATCCTGTTCATATTAAAATGTACCAACTATTTATAGAAAACCAAGAAAATTCTGTTTTCCTGAAACAAATAGCAAAATAAATTTGAACAGTGTTACAAAGAAGAGCTTAAAAGATAAACATACAAAGCCCAACATGAATAGACTGTCAGTTTTATGTTGAAAGGAGTTCTCACATACAGGAGGCATGGCTAATGACTAGGCCCCAAGTGGCAGAGATCAGATCTCTCAGCTCAGTTTAACAGGTTCTTAAGAAAGATTAACCACCCAACCACCACTGCAGTAAAATAATGAAAAATCAATTCAACATCATTTATTTATTTACTCAACAAATAGAGATGCAAGAATACCAGGCTCTATGCTAGATGTTGGAGATACAATGATGAACCAAACAGAACTGAACCCTCTTTGAGTTTGTGGTCTTGGGAAGAAATTAATCAGATCATCACAATAAATAATGCAGAATTGCAAACTGTGAGAAGTGAAGGAAAGGTAGAGGGAAATACGGGAAAGAATAATGAAAGGATCCGGCCTGTTAGAGAGAATTCTTGGAGGACTGGTGATGCTTGAGCCAAACTATGGAAGACGAATGGGTGTGAATCAGTGAGGAACATTGGGGCTCAAAAATCAGTGTGGGACAAGATCTCAGAGTGAGAGACAATGTGGGTACATTCAAGGAAGTAAAAGGACATCAGTCGTGGTAAATCAGATTTGGGAACTGAACCTACACTAGAGCCTTGTGCATGTTGTCTCATTTGACAATCACAATGACCAATCAAATTGGTGTTAATATGATTTTCATTATGCATATGTAGGAACCAACACTTACAGAAAGTGTAAGCAACTTATCCACAGCTACCCAGAAAGTAAATTATAGATCTGGATCTGATAATCTCGATTAGTCTGAAATACATAAAGACACCATACAGCTAGACTAGGGAATTTCTACCCTTGCCCTCATCTCTTGAGTACTACTGCCTCTTTTAGTGCCCCAGCCCATAGCTGCATAGTTCAGGGCAAACCCAATCATTGCCAGCAAAGCATTTTTTCCTATCTACTGATTAAGCATATGCAGTAATGCAAGGCATCCATTAATTTCTATAAATTCCAAAATGCTAGAAAAGGATGGTGAACCATCAGCTCTCAAGGATGGAGTTTTATGGAAATTTTATGAAAATATTCTCTTTCTATATTCTAAAGTAACAATGCTTGGTGCTTGTCCAAGAAGTGGTAAATATTTAAAATAGAAGTGGGCTCAGGAAAGATTTTTTTCTTTTAAGTTGGGTTGATGCAGCCATGAATGCTCATTGCTCAACTGATTTAAATTCTCTGTGGCAGCTGATTTCTCTCCATTCCACACCTTTTCCCCTGGGCTTTCAGAAGGCCACACCCTGCAGGTTTTTCCTTGTTCCTCAGGCTTCCTGTGTGTCTCCTTGTCTTCCCTGTTGGTGTGTCCCATGTCTCTGAACATTGACACACCCATGTTCTATCAAGGATTGGCCTATGAAACCAAGAATCCGTACCTTCCACTGAAAAGACATTGGCAATATCCAACATTCCTATGTGGTTATTTATGCAGGCATAAATTGTTATTTAGGACTTGGAACAATTATACAGATACTTGAAAAGAATCAAGCAATTAAAAATACACATACATGTGCATGCACACACACACATACACACACGACAATGCTGTTAAAACTCTTGAAAATTTTCCCAGAAAAACTAGGGAGAAAGACTTTAAAGGTATCAGGAAGAACAATAAAGCAGATTCTGTGAGGCACCTACAATCTGGATTTTGTCAACAAGTCTCAGAAGACTTACCTCAGCTGTACCCTATGTCTCTCATTTAAAATTATAAACGTTGGGGGCCATAAAAGACAAGGACAATAATGATTAATATTTCACATACTCTGAAAAATATTTATGCAGAGCTACAACCTCTGTCTGAATTTTATTTCTAAACCAGAGTTAAAGACTTTTGGTGTGGAAGAAATTTTAAAATGCCCAGTTCACGGGAGTTCCACAGTCCTCAGATTTTCAATAATAGTAAGATTGGGGACTGGAGATGGCACAATAAATTCAGAGTCGACAAACTAGCAATGGAAATGCTTGCAACTGGTCATCCAATTTGTTTAGGCTGCATATTTAGGATGTGGAAATAATACGTTTCCTTTAGCAGCAAGGTGGCATCTCAGCTTTCAAGACCTTAGGGGTGGTTTGAGCTGTCTTATAAGCCAAGGACTGTTGGAAAGGAATGCAAATTCGAGGACATGTAAGGATGTTTAAGAAAGGTTGTGGATTTTTCTTTGTTGCAGTGCTCAGAATACATTTCTTCTCCTGGGAATGCCTTGTTGTAATCCTGCCCACAGGCTGAAGGTGAAATGTAGAATCTTGTTTTTTTTTTTTTTTTTAATCAAGACAGGGTCTTGCATCTTGCTCTGTTGCCCAGGCTGGAGTGCAAATGGGAGATCATGGCTCACTGCACCCTTGACCTCCTATGCTCAAGTGATACTCCCACCTCGACCCCACAAAGTATTGGGATTACAGGCATGAGCTTCCCAGCTGAAATGTGCAGTCTTAAACTGACTTGAAATCATGGGTTTATTCCTCATTCAGTTGTTCAGTTGTTCAACTCTCACTGAGCTAGGTGTGGGGCTGGGCACTGCAGATGGAGCACTGAGAAGCCGTCATTGTCGTACTCTTCACCATGCTTCACTACAGCAAGCAAGGCAGATATTTACAAATAACTCCAAGTCTGACGTGTGTCACTAAGAATGGCAGGACATTCGAAAGAAAGAACTGTTATGCCAACCCACTCCCCTGCAACGGCCTCACTACTGAACTGGAATAAGTGGGGTCTGGATCGACTTCCTTGAAGAAATTACATTTGAAAGGTTGAGACCAGGACCCGGTAAATGGGAGTGGAAAAGAAGGGGCTATTCCAGGCAGAGAGGACAGCTTGGATGGATGTCAAAGCAGAACACGCCCCAGGCTGGCTAGGAGTTTGAAGATGGGAGGTGGCAGCAAGGTGTGGCAGTGAGGAGGCTAACATGGAGGCCACAAGGTTGACCTCTCTTTTTCTATATTAGATGAGAAAAAATGAAACCCACTGGCATGATCTGATTTGCACTTTATGAACCGCACAATCCTCAGCTTATGAGTGTATGTTAAACTCACATCCTCACAGCGAAATGAGCTGTGACTTCAAGTGACAGAGACAGAGACACCAGTAGGTCCAAATTTCCACGCGCTTAAACAATAGTTTCCCACGTGAACCTCATTTCTCTCTGAAAAAACAATAATCATAGCTGACACTTACTGAAAATTTACTTATACCAAGCACCAGTCTAAGCATGTCACGGAAGTTGTCTCATTTAATCTGAGTTAGATACTATTATCACTTTCATTTAGTGAATAAAAAATTTAATAATAGTAATTTTTTTAAAAAATTGCCCAAATTAAAAAACAATGGCAAGTAGTCATCCTGTTTTGGTGTCCACTAAAACCTTCAGGGCTCCAGGGCAGTGATTTCATAGATAATTTCACATCACTGACTTGTTGTTGCTGGCACTGCAGTATTCACACTGAACTCATAGATTGCTGGATATACTATATACCATCTTCACCAGTACCACATGTTTTCATGAAGAATGATAGTAGTAAATTGCTTGCTATATTTGTGCCCCTGCAGCAAGTCACAATTGCTGAGTTCATATTGCATTTCATATGTTTTTCATGTCACTGTCATATTATGTTATGGCTGTAACACAGCATAAGACAATTGTTCAGTCAGTTGTTGCCTCAAGAATATTTACAATAGTATCGTATCAAAAAAATGCATATCTACCCATTCACACATTAACCAATGTTGTGAGGGCACCGGTTTCAGCCCTATTACAAGAGAGACACTTGGCGTAATAAAGTTGTCTTAAAAGGGAAGTAATGAATTTTAGACTGCATGAACTTACACAATCTTCCCTTTTAATAGCAAAATAAATATGATTTTGTGGAGGTAGAGTATTGCCTTGTTTTACAGCAAAAGTACCATATTTTATCAGGAAAATATGATATGAAGAATTTCACATTAAGGATGATCTATGAAAACCACATGAAAAATTTTAAAATGTAACCTGGAATTGTTGAATATGTTAATATTAGCCTTCTTGCCAAAAGCAGGAACATCTTTTCCAGAACTGGGTAGAAGGGAACACAATGTAATCAAGTAATAATCCAGGGTCTATCTTCTGCCAAATTGAAAAGTTGCCTTTGATTTTTCCATGAAATAGTTAGTATTCATTATTGCACAATAGATGTTTATGTACTAATATAATATTTTAGAAAATGGTTATGAATAAATAACCTGGACAGAATAACTGATAACCACACAATTCTAAGTGCATGCTATCTGCTATAATAAAAATGTTCACTGCTACATCTTAAGTTAAACCTGGAGTACAAGAAAAACAATCTACATTAAAACCTCATCTATTAAAAAGACCTACATGCATATTATAAACAAGTGATAAAGAAAATGCTGAAAACTCGTCAATTTTAAATATCTAAAAATTTTTAGATCATATATATTTAAGAAATGGGAGTGACACAATTGAATTGTAGATGCTGGTTAATTAAGTAAAATTACACGATGTGTAATAGGTGACTATCTGTTTGTTGGTCACTTATTTTTCTTCTTTTGTGAATTAACCCTTCATGCATTTTAATAATGTTTCCATTTGAGCCTTTTTTTCTCCACTACATTGATCACATACTGAGACTACACATTAGGAACACAAAGACTACTGTATAGGTTGCTAAAATGTTTTTCAATCTTTCATTCAACTTTCCATCATTAAATGGAATAGTAATATATAGAAATATTTTTAATATTTTATTTTTTGTGATGGAGTCTCTCTCTGTTGCCCAGGCTGGAGTGGAGTGGCGCAATCTCAGCTCACTGTAACCTCTGCTTCTTGGGTTCAAGCGATTCTCCTGCCTCAGTCTCCCAAGCAGCTGGGATCATAGGCATGCACCACCACGCCCAGGTAATTTTTGTATTTTTAGTAGCGACAGGGTTTCACCATGTTGGCCAGGCTGGACTGGAACTCCTGACCTCAGGTGCTCAGCCCACCTTGGCCTCTGGCCTCCCAAAGTGCTGGGATTAGAGGCGTGAGCCACTGCACCAGGCCAATATTTTATTTTTAAAATGCCATGTAGTCAAAACGATCTATTAAAAATAATTTATTATTATAAGCATATAATCATTAAAAAACTTCTCTTATTGAAAATAATTTGAAAAACATATATATATAGAACTTTTATGATGCCAATTTTAATAGTTAAATATTGATTCCACCTGGAATTAATTTGGTAAAACATCTGAAGTAATAATCTAGTTTTCTTTCTTTTCTTCTTTTCTTTCTTTCCCTAACTCTCTCTCCTCCTCCCTCCCTCCTCTTTGCACATTTTTCAAATGTATATCTAGGTATTTTATGAGGAATTCTTATAGTTTTCAAATGGAATTTGTAGGCTATTTTTTTCTTCTATTATATTCGGTAACAAATTACCATATATACATAGGGAATTTATTAATTCTATTAAATATAATTAAATTTAATTATAATTAAATATGTTAATTATATAGTCAGCCTCATCATTGCTCACTCTACTATTTTCCCGATTAGATTTTCATTAAATTACCTTGAGTTTTCTGGGGATAAAATTACATTATCTCTAAATAATAATATTTTCCATCTTCCTAATTAAAAGGAATAGTTCTATCATCAAATGCATTTCTCCCATGATCTAAGTTGTTATTTATTTTTTATCATACAGATTATTTCCATAAAATTTACTTCTAAATCTTGATCATGAAGTTTCTGTAAAATTACAGTTGTGTGTGGAGTGAGTGAGTGTGTGTGTGTGTGTATGTGTTTAATCAATTCTTAGAAGTGGGAGTCATAAATATTCAGGCTATAATAAATATCTTAAAATAGTCTAATTCTTAATTAGTATTTGTAAATGTGTTTACCCTTGCACAGTGTTCTAGAAGCAAGCGTTTCAAAACTTCAGCATAAAGATAAAATCAAAATTGCCATTGCCTGATAAAAATCCAAAGATAAATTATAATGCTTACCTTTAAAATCAACATTAAGCAAAATAATAGCCTAGCAACATTGGCATTGTCAAAATAAACTTCAGGACATTTTACTAAGTATAACTTGACATAATTTTTAAACTTAGTCTTAAAACTCATATTTTAAATACATATCGATGAAATTCTCTGCTTTACATACATCCTATCTTCATAAACAACTGCCTTAATTTCTTTTATTATGACGCTGAGGAACTGAAAGACTAACATAGTTAATCAAAGAATATATACACTTTCAGTTTGTGAAAGATATACTGGATTTTATGTCCACCTCAAAATGCTCAGCATCCTAAGGACAAACCGAGGGCCATAAGGAGAGAGTTTTTTTTTTTTCTTTTTCTGTGTGAAACAGACTTTTCTGCTTGAAAGCAACAGTACATACTGTACTACCTAGACTGAAACAGATTTAGGATTAGTAGTGGGTGAAAACTGGCAAGTTTTCCTTCATATAAATCTTGCTAACAACATAGCAGATTTCATTATCCTGAAAAAAAATCTTAAAACTTTCTAAAGCAAAAGCAAAACAAAATATGTATGACTTTTCGCCCAGAATAATTATTGCTGCCACAACAGTCAGTTCACTCTGAATATGTGGAGAATTGTATAATCTCATCAGGGGGCCTCAGAGTTATCTGTCCTCTAGCTGTAAATAAATAAGAAATTGGATAACCAATTTTGAATTTTACTTTCCATTTAAAGTTATCTATCACGTTCTTGGAAAGAGATACCCAAATTAGGTGATACAATGTGATGTGGCACTTTAATAGGTTTTCCATTTTCTAACTACAATATTGAGAAACTTTACTTGGACACATCAACTCTGAGTTTATATCCGACATGTAAGACCTTCTGCTCGATGTTGACGATCTACTTCCCGGTGTTTTCTACAACTATATTTGTCCCTTGAACAACACAGGTTTGAACTACAGACCACTTATATGCAGATTTTTTTTTCTTTTTTTTTTTGAGATGGTGTCTCGCTCTGTCGCCCAGGCTGGAGTGTAGAGGTGCAATCTCTGCTCACTGCAAGCTCCGCCTCCTGGGTTCACACCATTCTCCTGCCTCAGCCTCCCAAGTAGCTGGGACTACAGGCACCCACCACCATGCCCGGCTAAATTTTTTTTTTTTTTGTATTTTTAGTAGAGACGGGATTTCAACGTGTTAGCCAGGATGGTCTCGATCTCCTGACCTCGTGATCTGCCTGCCTTGGCCTCCCAAAGTGTTGGGATTACAGGTGTGAGCCACTGCACACGGCCTAGATGCAGATTTTTTTCAGTGAAAGTTACAGAGAGTATGCCTGCTTCTCCTGTGTCCTCTTCTACCTCTTCCCTCCTTCAGCCTGTACCACCTCTGAGGCAGCAAAACCAGCCCCTCCTCTTCCTCCTTCTCCTCATCCTACTCAAAGTGAACACTAGGAGGATGAAGACCTCTATGATTATCCACTTCCACTTAAATAATAGTAAATATATTTTCTCCTCCTTATGACTTTCTGGAAACCATTTTCTTTTCTCTAGCTTAACTTGTTGCAAGATACTGCATATAATACATACAACACACAAAACATGTGTTAATGGACTGTTTATGTTATCAGTACAGCTTTTGGTCAACAGTAGACTATTAGTAGCTAAGTTTTGGAAGGTCAAAAGTTACATGCAGATTTCTGAGGGGGTCTATCCCCAACCCTCACGTTGCTCAAGGGTCACTTGAATTATTGTATCCTCCTCCCAAATATGTGTTCTTTAAAACAGTATTTACATATTTACATTACATATCAACTCATAGACTGCTTTTTCTCTTGCTTGCATTGCCCTATTTCAACTCGACTTTATTCAAAGCACCATGAAGGAAGACACCAGTCCTTACACCCTGTCTATAAAGACCCGATGTGGAATTGACTTCCCCTCTCCAGTGAGGGTGGGTTCCCATCACACTGATGCTCACGGTGGCACCTTGTGCCAACTTTCATTCAGTCAATGTGGGAAAATGTTCATCCCATCCCGACATTATCCATTCTCACCTCCTTCTTCACTCAGTTTCTTATGTGGATCTGGGACACAATGCATACTGTTGTTTAACTCTTTAAGTATTTTTCTTTCTTCCTAACATCATTTCTAATAATGCAGAAGTTTTTTCCTGAAGCTAGGCTGGAAGACATTCTGAGCACCCTGTTTTATCTTATACTCAAACCATTTTTGTCCTGGGTCCCTAACCATTGTCTGTGCTTTTCACTATTGACTCAGAGTGAGTTCTTGTTCTATCAGGTATTGATTTTGTTTGCACAACAGATATCAACCACATCAGACTTTCCAAGAGGTATCTCAGGTCTTCATAAAAGTAGGTATCTATTATCTTCATCTAACAACCCCAAATTTGTCTAGTGTAAAAATGATCAAGTGCAGCTTAACATTTCATTATATCAAAATTCCTCTGATATTTGTTTGTGGAATACATTTTTAATATTTAATTGTCTCAATATGCTGAACTTTGTGTCTTCCTGGCCTAGATGTAGACTGTAACATCTACTGGGTGTGTAAGGTGCTTATTTCTCTATAAAGCAATGGGATCCATGTACGGCAGTAACAACTCCACTCCAGTCCTTGTCTTCCTTCCTGCATCCTGTTTCGTAATATCACCAATGTATTAAATGGAAGGATTTTTAAGAATTCAAATATGGCCTCTGGCTCTTTTCCTTCTTTATTATATTCAAAAATACATGGGCTAGCTGGGCGCAGTTGCTTACATCTGTAATCCCAGCACTTTGGGAGGCTGAGGCCAGCAGATCACCTGAGGTCAGAAGTTCAAGAACAGCCTGGCCAACATGACGAAACCCCGTCTCTACTAAAAACACAAAATATAGCCGGGTAGGGTGGCACATGCCTGTAATCCCAGCTACTCAGGAGGCTAAGGCAGGAGAATCGCTTGAACCAGAGAGGCAGAGGTTGCAGTGGGCTGAGATCACGCCATTGAACTCCAGGCTGGGGTGACAGAGCAAGACTGTGTCTCAAAATAAATAAATCAATTAATTAAATACATGGGCTTAAATAGAAGACATTTTTCTATTCACAGTGGTACTATTTGTTCTCTACGAGTTTGGCCCAGTAGAGGTAAAATTACTGTCTCTAATCATGTGACTGTTGTGTGCTCTTTGGAGACTATCCCTATGCAGGAAGTCTCTACAAGGGTTCCCAGCAATTCCTGTCTCCAGCATCCATGCCCTGGAGTAATCCCCTCCCCTCGAGTGTGAGCAGGGATCACTTACTGCCTTAGTTCTGATGAAAAGGCTATGGCAGAAGTGACAGGATGCAACTCCCAATATGAGGCTGTAAAACGATTGTGCTTGTGGCTTGCAGCTTGGGTTCACTCTTTTTCTCTCTGTCTTCCTGGATTCCTGACACACAGAAACGATGAGATAATAAAGATTTGTTTCTCTCGGTTGCTAAGTTTTGAGATTATTTGTACACAACTGTAGATAATACAATCTATTTCTTTTTTTCCCCCAACTTTTATTTTAGGCTCTGAGGTACATGTGCAGGTGTGTTACATGGGTAAATTGCATGTCAGTGAGGTTTGGGGTACAAATGATCTCATTGCCCAGGTAATGGAATAGTACCTGCTAGGAAGTTTTTCAACCCTCACTCCTCTCTCACCCTCCCCACTCTAACAGTCCCCAGTGCCTATTGTTTCCATCTTTGTGACCATGTGGACTCAATGTTTAGTTCCCATTTATCATTACAATTCATTTCTTACACACATACATGTAATACCCCTGAAACACAAATCACTTACACGTACTCAAAATCTAAAATAAGTAATCTCACTTAAGAATTCTTAACTTTGTTCCAGAAAATTGTTGACTAACATTGAATTTTATCTTTTATTACCTGAGACGGAGAAGAAAAGTAGATGGCAAGAATATCACTTTAAATAAAGCTGAGTATATAAAATCATAATTCTACCCAATGCAAATATAAACAAATATAAATAAATAATATGACAGCATCAGTGAAGTTTCTTGTGCTTCAGAGGTTAACTGGCCTCACATACAAAGTGCAGATTCACTAAGCTGCATATGTGTTGACTAGATTTATTTTCTTCACAGGAATCTACAGTTCTTTCTAATTTTCGTTTGGAGATTTGCATGATTTATTTAAAAGTGATTCCTCAATTAAAATTGGATCAGATTAAAACAAAGGTAGGTTTTTCCCCAAATTATATACGTTTAAAGATTTTTAAAGCTATATTTGTTAATAAAGATAATATTTATTGTTGGGTGTACCATATGTGCCTGTCTCTAAACCCAGGCAGTTTTCTGCATATAGGCCATGATTCACACAATATCGCTGTAAAGCTAATCCTGTCATGAACAGAAAATGAGATATAAGTTTTGTACAGAAAAGGATGAAGTTGAATAAAAATAACATTGACTCTTGCAAGAGGCGGTAGATTTCATATCACTGAAGAGGTGAAAGTCTAGATCAGAAAGCCACCAGGTGAGGATGCTGAGGCACAGGTGGAAGTCCCCATTGGGAGATTGAACTCTGTGGCCCCTCCCCTCTGTAAAAACTACGATTCTAATAAAATAATTAAGTGGTGCTAAGATTTTAATTTTTTATGTAGCCTTTCTAAATTCTTTCAAAATCTTTAATAAGCATGATGTATGAAATATTAAAAGAGGGAAAATTATAAAATATTGTAGAGGTAATCTAATCACATGAACAAGTGGAATAAGCAAATTGATAAACTATTTCTCTGACAGTGCAAAATAGTTTTTGTTTTTATCTGCAAGTGCAATTGCTCATTAGTTAATTCTCAATCTCTCTGGAAAACTGAGAAGCCAGTTTGCCATGCGGTGTTGAGACAACAATTTACTTATATGTTACATGTCTGATTCTTCTGAAGACCAAGCTCGATGGTACTTCAAAAATGGAACTGAAAAGTAACAAAAATGGAAGTGACTCTGGGTTTAAACTCCGGGAAGCCATTTTGCCTCTTACTTTCTATTTCTATCCTCAATTTTTATTAGGACACTATGGCTACAGAATTCAATTTCAGTGTTCCCCAGAGAGAACTGAAAGATGAATGCTACTAAAGAGAATTCCATTTTGAATCGGTGCTACTTTGAATTTCTTACATGTTTTTATAGTCAGCAATAGCAATAAAGATATTTTGCTAATTTTGAAAGACAAAACAAAAAGAGGAAGGTAATCATCAAATTGTTTTAAAGCCAAACTTTAGATGGTTCTTCTAGTATAAAACTTCTCATACATTGCTAACGTGATATTATAAATACATATTTATTCCTTTCTAGAGGAAAATAAACTAATAAAATAATAATTATGTTAATTGTATAAAGGAAAAACAAATACATCATGTTTTAGCATTTTTTTATTATGAAGTCAGATTTTCTCTCTCTCTAACTGGCAAAAATTAATTCTGTTAAAACTCAAATGTCTTTGACACTTTTCCTAGAGAAATTTCAGCTGACAAGTAACATCATAGTGGTAGTCACTTAGAACAGGATGACTCCACATATGCCTTCATTTCAGAAGTGACCCTGTCTCTTTAGGATTTCTAATTTAATTCATTCAATACATTAATCTAGGAAGAAGCAATCATACATATACCCATACAAATATATGCTTTCTATTTATTTATTTAAGCACAAATTCATCGAGTACATGTGCAATTTTGTTAAATCCATAGATTATGTAATGGTCAAGTCAGAGCTTTTGGGGTATCCATCACCTGAATAACATACATTGTATCCATTAATTAATTTCTCACTTTCGTTTTTGTGTGCCTTCTTTGTCATTAGCTAGAAGACATTTCATAACTTCTTGCTTTTCATGTTTCTCGTATTTCTAGGCATGCTATCTAATATCACCTGTTGTTATATCCCCATTATCTTTATTTGAGGGGCTGTCTTATCTACTATTACCAAACAATGCAAATAAAAGCTCATAATGGGAGTTTTGGTTGGTTTTAACTCATCAGTATATTATGCTACAGGCACTTCAAATATGGAAAGAAATAACACTTTTATCCAAAAATACTGACTTCGGGGCAAGGCACCCTCTATTCTAAGAATGTAAAAGTGAAACATCAATTTCACATACACTCACCATCAGCATTGAGACCTTAAATAAACATTGGTCTTCGTAGAGCTCAGATGATTCATAACCTTCCAAAGCCCAGATTTGTTCTGCACTTTCTCTGGTGCTTCCTCCTCAGATATATCTCAATACTCATTAACAAAGAGAATTTTAACTGCTCTAGTATATCTTACTTGCCAGATAATCATAGTTTCATATTTCTTTACTGAGACTATGTTGTGTAATTTATGGAAATAAAATATCTATTTGTTAAAATGGGGCATTATACCTTTGATTCAAAAAACAGTAAATTATAAATGAGAGATAAGATGAATTATGCCAAGTATAATTTATTTCATTACATAAACATAGAAAACCAGAAAGACAGATCACAGGGTAGCTATACTGTTTTTTATAATGATGCCTCCTTACCCTGACAGTTATCACAACATAAACATAGAAAACCAGAAAGACAAACGAGAGGGTAGTTATGCTCTGATTTTATAATGATGCCTCCTTACCCTGACGGCTATCACAAATGCAGCAAAATGAGGTCAATGATGTCCCCTTGGTAGACTTGGTGATGGCTGGGAAACTGTCAGTAAGTGTCACAGAAAGCTTGCCTTGTCAATTTTTGACCTTTCTTCTTTTTCTGCAGTCATTGAAAACATGTTCCAGGATGGCATAAAAGGTCAGTATCTTGCTGGTTTTTAGCCCAATCTTCAACAAAGTCCTAGTACAAAACTTTGGAACAGGCAAAATGACAACACTGGGGATTGAGGAGCAGAGCAACATGAATTGTGTTTTCTGAAGGTGACAGTGAATAAGGCATAAAATCCTCTTTTGGCATTCTATTCCTTGTGAAGTAGCAGTTCTCTTCATGTCACCATTCAACCCTTACCCATAAGATGTATTCCAGGTACTTTATAGATCACTCCTTGGGGTGGAACCACTGTTCCCATTCATCATCATGGGAACAATGACTCTTATGAAAAGCATTCATCAAATTCCTCTCTAAACATGACTGTGCTGGGCATCGTAGCAAAAAGTGAAACTTGTATTATTCTCCCTGTTAGGAGTTTACTATTTACTGCTGATAAGATTGATACAAAAATATGCTCTTTATTGTTTATAAGCCTTAAAAACTCAACTGCTTTCATGCTCTTACCTCAGTACATGGACATGATGAAGAAAAGCTTAAATCAACAACTGTCCACTGACCACACTTTGTTTTAAACTAGCCAGAGAGAAATTCCACGACACATTAGAGTTTCATAAAATAGAGTTTAAAAACTACTGCATGAATAATAATAATCATAACAGTCATCATCATCATCATCATCATCATCATCACATTCAGGACATTGATGGGCCCAAGTAGGGTCGGTTATTTTTACAACTTCAACTTCCTGCTTCATGTTGTCTTTACTGCATAATGATGGCAAATTAAGCATAGCAGGCAGAGTAATGGCTCCCCGCAAAAGCCACTTCCTTATCTTTGATTCAAAAAACAGTTATCTCTAGAACCTGTGAAAAGACAGCTTACATGGCAAATGGGACTTTGCAGATGTGATTAAGTTAGGATTTTGAGATAGAGAAATTATCCTATATTATCTTGGTGGGCTTAATATAATTACAATGTTCCTTATAAGGGAAAAGGAGAAGTCAGGGTGTTGGAGGAGAAGATGTCACTAAGTAAGCTGAGGTCAGAGAGACAGATGCTGTTCCTGGCTGGGGCCACAAGCCAAGGAACAAGGCGGCCTCTAGAAGCTGGGAAGGCAAGGAAATGAATGCTTTCCTAGAGCGTCCAACAGGACTGCAATCCTGCCGACACCTACATTTTAGTTTAGGGAAACCTATTGTGACCTTCTGGCCTCTAGAACTGTAAGATAATAAAGTTGTGGTGTTTCTCACCCCTACATTCGTGTTCATTTGTTATGGCAGCCATGAGAACCTAATGCAGTGATGATGTACTGACTCTGAAATACATCAGTTTTGTTCACATTTGGGATATGAAAACATTAATCCCTGTGGTGGAAGTCTACAGCATGCTAATGCATTTCTTTTTACTGTTGACTTAATGAAGGAAACTCAATTGAAAATTAGTGACAGCTATTAGCACAGTCTGAGGAGCAGAGGTCAGGAATGCTGGGAAAAATAAGAAGGAAAGATAATGTGGGGTAAAAGGTCCTAAATTCAGGAAGTCTAAGACACAGTGAGCAGAATGATGAACAAGAGACAGGAAAGAAAGCTTTCGTCGGTGGAGATGTCCGTCTTGCCCTGTTCTGCAGCCCTGTCTATTGTCACTGGCAGTATTTTATAGAATTTTCCATCTTCTCTGGTGGGGAAATCCAGTGCTCCCAAAAGAAGCCTTCCTTACAAGCAGCAAATATTATTTCAAAAAGAGGAAAAAAAACTCGGGTTTCTGAAAACAAAATTTTCTTTATTTTCTTCTCAAATGATAAAAGAGAAAAATGAGGAGACAGAGAAGATGTGTGACTAAACCCTGCCTTAAGCTTTACTGGTATACCTCATTATAATTTCTTCTGATGAGAATCTACAATATTCTCATACTGAATATTTTCAGCTTATTTGAAAAATAAAATCAATCTTGGAGACCAAAAAGCATTTTGAGCTTTGGAATTGCCCTGGAAAGCCAATAAATTATGAGTTAACATAAGACATATGTATGATCATGTATATCTTCCAAAAGCTTTAGAATAATTCGCCAGGCTGATTATTAATCTTCAAATTATTTACTTGCAAGACATTTTTTGCTGCAAAGTAAGATTGTATTATGTGCTTGGGATGATGTGTTTCAGTAGTCCTCTACTGTAGGCTACTAGATTTAGCATCCATTGATGGGAATGGTCTGAAGCAATTACTACCGGGATGTTTGCTAAGTGTGACTTTCTATTTCAATAATTTCTCCTGTACTTATTAACTGTAATTCTGCTGTAATGAGGAAGATACAGCTATTTACTTGTTTATTTATTTATTTATTTGAGACAGGGTCTGCCTCTGTTGCCCAGGCTGAAGTGCAGAGGTGCGATTTCAGTTCACTGCAATCTCCACCTCCCAGGCTTAAGCCTTTCTTCCGCCTAAGCCTCCCAAGTAGCTGGGACTATAGGTGCACACCACCATGCCTGGCTAATCTGTCTATTTTATCTAGAGATGGAGTTTTGCCACATTGCCCAGGCTAGTCTTGAACTCCTGAGAACAAGCAATCCGCCCCACTCAGCCTACTAAAGGGTTGAGATTAACAGGCAGGAGCCACCGCCCCTGGTGTCAATATTCCTTATAATCAATGTAAACGTGATGGGGGAGGTGATAGGGATACTGGCATTTCTATTTTGAAACATAATAGCCAGCTGCATACCTACCTCTGCTGCTACAAATCATGACAACCATGTACTTGAGAATAAAATATGAAGATTTATGAAGCAAAAGCAAGAAAGGGAAGGAGAAGAAAAACAGAAGGAAGGAGAGCAATGACAGTCACTTGTAAAATGAACACATTCTGATTTACTGGTGGAGAATACTGGCTAACTTCAAACCAAAAGCATGGGAGAGATACTTGATATTTATCATCTACTACTCATATAAATGTAGCATTGTTGGTTCTATGTATCTACCTCCTTTCAAACCATCTATCCATCTCCTTCCTTGCAACCTCTTATGATTCGTACATAACAGTGCATTTACATGCAACTTTGGTATTCTAGGTAAATAAATAAAACTTTACTTGGTATACTTGTCTATGTTCCTTAGCATTTACATATAAATGGAACACATCAAATATATCATCCTTTCACTTGTCAGTCACAAAGCTCCTCATTCTTCCTCATTCAGTGAGAAAGAAGTATTTGCTTTTAGATTGTCGCTGTTAGACAAACCACGTCTTCTCTAGCAAATGAAAGTCGTATTTTGCTCCTAATTTTTCTACTTACAACATTACGAAAGAAAGTTGATTTGAACAAAGTCTAAGCTGCTATTAAATTTTGAGAAAAGAATCCTCCCTCGCCAAAGGTGAAGTTTGGAGCTATGGGTTGAAGCAATATGCAAAACCACAACTCAGTTGTGGGTGAAAATTTAGATATGTTCTTCCTGTTAGTAATTCATCATAAACTAAGTGCGTTTCTAAAGAGAAAAGCCCCATCAGTGAATCTAGCCTAAAATACTATAAACGTGTTTTCCCAAATAGCATAAAGACAGCACATATTTAATATAAGTGTATGAAAGAAGGAAAGAAAAGCCCAACTTAGAAATGTTATTCAGAAAATATTGACTCATTTATTATTTTTTAAAGAACATATTAAATATCAATGTACTATGATGTTGACTAGGTACTATGATATTTAACATCTATGTACAAATGATGATGTTGAATATTTATGTACTGTGATATCAGATATCCATGTACTATGATATCAGATATCTCTGTACAATGATGTTGGATATCTGTATATTACGATGATATTGAATATATATGTACTAAGGTATTGGATATCTCTCTACTATGATTTGGAAATCTACATATTATGATATTGAATACCTATTTACTATGATGTTGAATATCTGGGTACTATGATATTGGATGTCTATGTACTAAAATATTGGATCCCTCTGTAGTATGGTGTTGAGTATGCACTATGATATTGGATATCTATGTACTAAGATATTAGATATCTCTGTACTGTGATATTGGATATCTCTGTACTATGATATTGGATGTCTACATACTATGATATTAAATATCTGTGTACTATGATATTAAATGTCTCTGTACTATGATATTGGATATCTCTCTGTACTTTGATATTAGATATCTCTGCACTATAGTATTGGATACCTCCTTTCTGTGAAACTATGTTAGACATCTTTTTCCTCAGGACCTTACTCGCTGCTGTGCACTTTGTGGCCTCCTCTTGCTCCTGGAAGATCCCAGGCTCTCCCCTCCACCAGGGCGAGGTGCTTTCTGTCTCCTCTGCAGAAATGCTCCCTGACAGTTTGTATCCATCCCTCACCTCCAACTTTACTTTTATTCATTCCTCAGATTTCAAAATTACTTCCTCAGGAAGGCCTTCTTTGACTTTTGAATCAAGATCAAGTTTTTGTTAGGTGAGGTTGTAGAATGAGGTTTCTTTCCCTGTGTGTTCCTTCCTATACTTACTTAATATCTGCCACCTGTGCTTGACAGCGCCAAGAGAACAGGCGTTGTTGAACAAATGAATAAATATGGTATAAAAAAGTTTAGAAAGTTTAGGAAACTGACGGACAGGACAAATATTTGAACCTTCATATGACTGCTGTTAGAGGCCGTGAGATTTTCCCCATATCTGAATGCCCAGGCCCCTCCACAATCTTTGAAATTTAGAAATGTGTTTGGGTTAATTATTTTTTACCATATTTTCATAAGCAATCAACCATAAAAAAGGAAAGAGCTTGCGAAGGGTCAAATCACATGTGCTTTTGAGATGAACTAAAGAATGTGGCCTCCATAAATTGCTTGTATATAAATAGGTCCTAGTCTAGAAGTGTTAATGTAGCTTCAACATTTCTCAATTTTTTTCAACAAAATAAGCACTATTTTAAAATACACAAATCAAAGGGTTTAATTAGACTACTTCTAGATATTTTTTCTTTTTTCTTTATTCATAGTAGCATACTGCTTGGAAAAACTCAATTGATGGTATCATGTTATCTTGAGTCATAAAATAATTTAAATTTCAGGCTCTTGATATAACAGAATAAAATATCATACAGTTATTAAAATGAATAATTGTAAAAAGCAAAAAGCTAAAATAATATTGGTCATCTTATATTAAGTGCAACAAGTACATAGAACATTATATAACAAAAACAATGAAACAATGTTAGCCAATTACCCCAATTATTATTATATATTCTAACTTTGCATGTAGAAGAAATTAATACACAAAACTAAAATTGTGTGATATGAACATGTGTTAATGTTCTTATAATTTTAAAAAATAGGCATATTGACATTTCAAGTAGATAAGTACACAGAAATTAAGTAGTTAAAATTTTCTTTTTCATTAAGTAATTTTTAAATTCCATCTCACACACATAATTACACTATTTTTCCATTGTTTCTTAGAATAATCCTGGCTCTAAAATACTGTGCATTTTGTATACTTTTTAATACTCTTACTGTATTTCTTCAAAAATACTTTTTGTCTCTAGAGTATAATAACAGAACTTCAATTTTTTAAAGTAGTCCAACAAAATATGGCAATGATCTATTACAGTCATTTTGACTGTTTGGAAGAATTTTATTTTCATTTTATTTTATTTCTTAAGAAGAACTTCTTAAGAAACAGAATATTTATGAATCTAGAATATAGGTGTCTAAATTATTTGATCATTTTTCAAGTGAGTTAACTTTTCATGGGAAGAAAAAAAGAAATTAAGGTTGCAAAAAGAAAAGAAATACAAAAATTTGAACAAAAGTTTGTGATGATACATTTGCTTTTTAAAATTTGAAACAAAAAGCTTGCATTGTGCTTTCTCTTCAAGTTTGTTCAGGGCTATGGCTATTTGGCACAGAGAACTGGATTTCCTTTTCAGACCCAATCACCAAGCTTCCTCTTTTGAGTAGCCTAACAAGAGTTGTTCATAAGCTGGCTGAGTGTTTCCTTCAAGAAATATGAAGCCTCCATCTAAATACTATTGAGGATAGAAAAAAAGATAAAAGCTACCTCTAAAGTTCAATATCCTAAAGAACAATGCAATTCAATTTCACAAGCATGTATTTAACTTGAAATATTCTATAGGGCCTATTGCACAAAGAACCTTACTTAGGGAGAAAGACATCTAGTTATTTAAAGCAGAATGAAGTAATTGGCAAGACAGAATTTTGAGGGAAGAAGCAATTGAAATTGGTTTGAAAGATCTCTTCGAAAAGAGGGAGGATGAGCTCATCCTTGAAGGAGTGAAGTAGAGCAATTTTAATAAAACAGAGCTGCCTCTGGCTAGCAAGTGGTGTTTCCCATGAGCAGGGCCCTATTTCAAGCCTTTCATAACTATTAACCCAAGTTAAGCCCTGCAACAGCTCTGTGAGGTCAGGGATATTATTGTCCCATTTTAGAGATAATAAAACTGAGATTTAGAAACGATAAGCCTCATGCCCGAGGTTGCACTGCTGCTGTAAACAACTTAACCAGGACTGGAAGACTTGCAATCTAGACCCAGCATTTGGGAGCTTTGAGGCGATCTATGCTGCCTTCTGTATGGGAAATCAGGAAATGTGGATTCATTAACATATCTGTAAAAAGTTGTTCTCTGGATTTCAATTCTATCTATAATTTGAGCAGTGTATGTGACTGTATTATTTGTAGGTTCTCCTCCAGCCCTAAAATTCTGAGGACAGGGCCTCCCAGAATCAGGAAACAGCCCTAGAGAAGGTGCCAAGCAACAGAACAATAGGAAATGTTAGGATGGAGAGACAGTGGTGTATTGTTAAATTCTGGATTCTCAGATCTCTAAGCAAGTATTTTCAAAAACAAAACAAAACCAAAAAACACCTTTACCTCTAGCTCCTCTAACTTCACTGCTTTTGAGGAAGTTTTGTGATAAATATTCCATTGCTAATTGTCTATGGTGGCTTCTTGGTCTTTTAACAAACTATGTATGTTATGCTTCAAATTAATAAAATTTCAGCTAATTACAATCCTCCATCCTTTTACACTATTTGAAGAACCTTCCATATAATGGCTTAAGTGAATCATTAGACAGTCAAAGGTCAATTCTTCAGTCTTGTTATTAGGTGCTTAATATGAATAGATTATTTTTGTGTCCTAATAATATAACCATATTTTTGAAATGCTTGCAGTCTGGATTATTCACATCTTTAAAAGAAAAGAGATTAGCCGGGCACGGTGGCTCACGCCTGTAATCCCAGCACTTTGGGAGGCTGAGGTGGGTGGATTACCTGAGGTCAGGAGTTTGAGACCAGCCTGGCTAACATGGTGAAACCCCCCTCTCTACTGAAATATAAAATTAGCCGGGCGTGGTTGTGCAAGTCTGTAATCCCAGCTACTCAGGAGGCTGAGTCAGGAGGATTGCCTGAACCCGGGACATGGAGGTTGCAGTGAGCCATGATTGTGCCACTGCACTCCAGCCTGGGCAACAAGAGTAAAACTCAGTCTGAAAAAAAAAAAAAAGATTAGAAAGCAGTCAAAATAGTTCCATGTGTTTATTATGCTGACATGCCAAATATAAGTTAATATTATTTGTAGGGAAAGCACCAATCGCTAAAATAATGGAGGGAGAATGGAAAGGACACCTATCCCTGCTAAGATACTGTTTAGATAAGGCAATAAAACCAGAGCATGGTGACAGCACTATTGAGCTGATGTGCTACTCACTGGAGAACCAGTCTCACTAGTGTTTGATAAACTAACTAATATTAAAGGAGACAAGAGACTATAGTGGTGGGCACTGAACTCTTGCCTTCACTCCTTCTTACTCAACAGGGTTATCAATGACTTAAGACTACATACAGTGCTTTGAAACTAGTAAGAAACAAGATGATAAAGACCGAATCAAAATCCAAAGTAATCAAATGTGGAAGAAACATAGAACTAAAGTGCCTGAGATTAATTTAACAAGGATAAATGCAAAGATCTGAAATTCAATCTATAAATACATGTACAATCTCTATAAATACATGTAAATACATGTTCAATCTCAAAAACATGTACAGTTTTTGAGACAGTATTGTTTCACAAAGACCTGGAATTTTTCTATGCCCTAGCTTATTAAGAGCAAAATTCAATAAAGCTGTTATACAAACACATAACCTATGAGACTGCTTAACTTTCCTATACAAGAGCTGATAGATCATACTTGAATTTAGGTATTGAGTTCTGAGCCTTGATATTAAGAGAGATATCCATTTCTGCAGAATATATTCCCAGCAGGGAAAATCAACTGAAGAAAGATTCTAGAACTTATTTATTCATTCATGTATCCAAACATCCGAATACATTTATTGAAAAGCTATTTCATAGCAAGCGGTTGGAATATAATAGTGAAAAAGGCAGAAAATTCAGATAACCAGCACTGGCCATAATGAAGCTGCAGAGCTAAGAGATTTTTTTTTTAATATTTTAACTTTTTTTTTTATTATTATACTTTAAGTTTTAGCGTACATGTGCACAACATGCAGGTTTGTTACATATGTATACATGTGCCATGTTGGTGTGCTACACCCATTAACTCGTCATTTAGCATTAGGTATATCTCCTAATGCTATCCCTTCCCCCTCCCCCTGCTCCCTCCACTCCACAACAGTCCCTGGTGTGTGATGTTCCCCTTCCTGTGTCCATGTGTTCTCACTGTTCAATTCCCACCTATGAGTGAGAACATGCGGTGGTTGGTTTTTTGTCCTTGCGATAGTTTGCTGAGAATTATGGTTTCCAGCTTCATCCATGTACCTACAAAGGACATGAACTCATCATTTTTTATGGCTGCATAGTATTCCATGGTGTATATGTGCCACATTTTCTTAATCCAGTCTATCATTGTTGGACATTTGGGTTGGTTCCAAGTCTTTGCTATTGTGAATAGTGCTGCAGTAAACATACGTGTACATGTGTCTTTATAGCAGCATGATTTATAGTCCTTTGGGTATATACCCAGTAATGGGATGGCTGGGTCAAATGGTATTTCTAGTTCTAGATCCCTGAGGAATCGCCACACTGACTTCCACAACGGTTGAACTAGTTTACAGCCCCACCAACAGTGTAAAAGTGTTCCTATTTCTCCACATCCTCTCCAGCACCTGTTTTTTCCTGACTTTTTAATGATCGCCATTCTAACTGGTGTGAGATGGTATCTCATTGTGGTTTTGATTTGCATTTCTCTGATGGCCAGTGATGATGAGCATTTTTTCGTGTGTTTTTTGGTTGCACAAATGTCTTCTTTTGAGAAGTGTCTGTTCATGTTCTTTGCCCATTGAGCTTTCTATCAAACACAGTTCTGTCTGACTCCAGAGCACATACTCTAGTTACTCTACTGCTTTCCTTTTCATAATTTGGTGCTCTTCATGTTGTCCTAATAAATTCATTATCTTATTAAAAAACAGTGTCCTTCCTAATGACACACCTCCCTGTGCAGCACTAAGATGAGTGGGTCTCTCCGTTTGCTTGAGGAGGTCTCACTTGATTGATGTTTCAGTGTAACTATTAATGGTTTCTCCTAAACACACACACACACATGCGCATGCGTGCACACACAAACACACAATCTCAATTTGGACAACAAATAATTTGTTCTCCTTGCCTAATGCCATGATGCCATTTCATTTGAATGCATAGCATAACTTGAATTGAATGGCTATTCACTGCTAAAAGGAACGAGTGTTAAGTAGGACTGTGTGGTAGAGCTTTGGCTCAAGTTGCAAGAGTGCCATCACCAGTTAGCTATGTTCTTCCTGGGCACAAGAGTGAGGGATGCTAGCCCGTCATGGTCTGGGCACCCAGGACTTTGCACTATTCCAGGACTAAGTAATGTATCTCAAATATAAGTCATTCTGGACTTGCTGTTTCACTCTCTGTAATGCTCCTCTTCTGTCTACCAGACTTTCTTAACAGGGGTTCTGTGAGGAAAATTAAGTCCTAATGCTCTAAAAAGGCCATTGTATGTAGTGAATTAACTTCTCTAAAGTGCATCTAGAATGGCAGTAATTATATCAGTCCTTGGAGAAACCAAAAAACGTTGCTAAAATTAGTTTTGATGTCCTGCGGTGAACATGAGGGACCACTTCATTGCACCTTTTTATCAATATATTTTCTGTCTGTGTTAGACACTTTTTGCATTGTTATAAAGGAGTACCTGAAACTGGGCCATTTACAAAGAAAAGAGGTTTATTTGGCTCACAGTTCTGCAGGCTGTCCAGGAAATGTGGAGGTGTCATCTGCTTCTGGGGAGGCCTCAGGAAGCTTTCAAACATGGCAGAAGGTGAAGGGGGAGCAGGCATCTCACTTGGCAGGAGCCGGAGCAACAGCATGAGGAGGCGCCACAGTCTCTTAAACAACCAGGTCTCTGGAGAACTCACTCATCTCCAAAGGGCTGACACCAAACCATTCAGGAGGGATCTGCCCCATGATCCAAACACCTCCCACCAGGCCCCACCTGCAACCCTGGGGATCATATTTGAGATGTGGAGGGAACAAATATCCAAACTATATTACTATCATCACAAATTTCTTGGCAAAGTAGCTCTAGATCAGTGCCTCTCAACCTTGGCTATATGCTACAATTATCTGGAAGCTTTAAAATAGTAATGATGTTCAGGTTCTATCTAAAAAACTGTCAGAGTCTCCAGGGCAGGACCTAAGCATTGGAAAGTGTCAGCTGCTTCCCCGGGTGATTGAAATATGCATTCAAGAAGTAGAATGTCTGCTACGAATGAGTGACTGTGAGGAAGTCAGGTGTCCACTACACCCCAGCCTTCAACCTCTGGATGTGAGGAAGGGGTGGCTCCAAAATTTTATGATGTCAATGTAAATTTAAAGCCCTCAACAAGATACTTCAATTTCCCTGGGGGTCTCATGTTCCCATAGTCATGTCTGGTCCCAGCCTGTTACCTATGCTATCTTCATTTTTCTTTGGAATTTCAATAATTTGCCCATTCATAACTTCAGATTATGATTGGTTTCATTTATAATTGTGTGGCAATAGTTAAGGTAAAAAATAAACTTATATTCATGGTGGCAAATAACTTATGGTAAATTAGACATTCATCTCCTGAAGTCTTCTTAATCTACTCCCTCCACAGCAGCCCAGGGAGTCCCTTAAATCCACACCTTTTGACTCTTTTTCCTCAACCCTCTCATTCACCCCTTGACCTTTTCTTTCTTTCTCATCTCAAGATAATCTTTAATGTCTGACCTTATCCAGAAATTTGACTATTATCTTGTTGTTTTTGTCACAACTAGACTACCTTTAAGGAGGCATCTTATCAAAAACAGCCTGACCCTAGGAAGAATTCTGGAACCTGTAGTTAATATGACCAAATGGCCATTTTGGTAATTCTGTGAAGTAAACATTGATTAAATTAATTTTTATTGTACATTATAATAACTTTATGCTGGAAGAGAGACCAGTTGCCATACATCAATGACTAATAACTGATAACTGTCTATGGTTAGAATAAATGTGTCTTCTAAAATAAATCAATTTAAATTGTTTAAGCTGCATCTTCTTAACTAGTCACAGATTTGGTTTCTAGGGTGATTGCCCATTATATATCAAATTAATCTAGAGTTACAGATTATGGAAAGGATATTAAAGAGATAATTAGTTATTTTTTAACTGGAAATACACTTCCCATTTCTTCAGTTTAAAACTTCTAACCTGCACATTGTGCACATGTACCCTAAAACTTAAGGTGTAATAATAATAAAATAATAAAAAAAGAAAGATAATATATGTGCAATAAAATGATGTAATACAAACATTTGCTATTCTACACATTAAAAAGTTAAGGCACAAATTCAAAAAAAAAAACTTCTAATTTTGTGTCGTGATAGAAGCACCATCATCACAGATTATATACTATCAGAAATTCTCAGAGAAATAATAGATTTCCCTAGAGATCATTTTTCACTTAGCTTACAAGGTTAAATGAACTCCCAGATGCTCTGCTGGAACACAGACCCATCTCAAGAAACACACAAGCAGCAAATTTGCTGGTGGATGTTGAGATGAACACTTAGGAGCTGGTAGATTGCTGTGTGTTTGAAGAGGACCCAGGATCTCACAGACAAGCAAGGCTTGTCCACTTATTGCTATGTTACTAGAAAATGTGAACAAATCAATTTTCCATTGAACTAGGAGGCTGTAATAGAAGATCAAAAAAATCAAGTGAGAACTGAGAAGCTGCATATTTCTGCTCTACTAAAAGATGAAGTAAATTGACTAAGGGCATAGCCAATTTGAGAATTCTACAACTGTCATATTCTGAATAAGAGGTCTAGTTTCAGTGGTGTATAATCTCTCATTTTATATTGAGTTGACCATTATTGTGTTAAAATGCAAAGAAATCTTAGTCAGTGGACTCTCATTTTTCAATTTCTATATTTGTGAAAGTAGGAATTTTATACCAGTTGACTGTAGCCTGATTATCATTGACACATAAGAAGTTAATGCTCACTTTTACTTATTTCTCAGTAAGTGAAGTGGGATCTTTTCTCTATCTATCCATAAAGACGGAGAATAGGTGTAGTTTACACTAACCAGAAATTTATGTTAACTGGAATTGTAGGAGACCATACGATTTGGATGAGGTTATTGGTTTAGATTTTACACTCAGTTTATTTTGCCAGCCTACCTCTCCTGAATCACTAAGTGACTTCTGCTTTTTCCAAAATAAACAGCAATAAATGCTCACAGATAGAGTACAACTTGCATCACTGGACCTAAGTCATGGGAATAGAGCTATGCGAAGAGGCAGCATCACAGCGGAAGAAAACATGAAGTTGAAAATCAGCAAATCTTTCTTTAAATTCTAGCTCTGCCACTTAAAAGCAAGGCCCTTAAAAGACTGTAATATCCTCTCAATAATACATTTGCCCCATTTTGCAAATGCAGAGAATATTTTATCTCTAAGAATCCCTGTAAGATTTCAAGAGCTTAGCTGAAGGCCCAAAATGTAAACCATGCCCAGTAAATGTAATTATCATTATGAATCTTCACATGAGAGTGGGATACACACACCCTGACGTGGCACAGTGACATCCCCTGGCTATATTCTTTTTTCTGTGACATCGATCTTCTCAACTTCATTGGCCTCAAAATGGTCATATTCACCAAATAACAGGTGGATTTCTGGAGGCAACAGGTATGTTTAAAAGATGCTTGTTGCCATTAAGTGTCCTGCTTTGGTTCTATGATGGGTTTAGTAAGATTTGGGGGTGGGGGGTAGTCTTAGCAACTTAGCACCATTTGTAATTTGGCCTCTATAAGAAATACACAGACAAAAAGCCCAAAGTGTCAAAAAGAGTCCTATCTGTATAGGAACAAAATAGGCATGTTCCTATAGGTCTGGCCCTAAAACAAATCGTTGAGATGTTCCATAGGTTCTAAAAACCTTTTCCGGCTGTGGAGCTGAGAAGATACTAAAATAATAGCATCTTAGAGGTTGATTAGAAAAAAAAAAATCAAAAGTCTACTTAGCCCCAAATGACGTCAGCGTCAGCAGACCCACTTGAGGTGTTTTCCTTCATTAAATTAATACACGCAGACAGCTGTTTTGGCTGTTTCATTTCTCTCAGCGGTGAATCTGTTTCTTAAACGGCTACTCCAGGATTATATAGGGATGTAAAAGTTTATCTTCCACTCATGAAATAATTACATTTTAACTTGCTGACAAACCTATCAGTTTCAATGCAGTTATTAACCCAGCCAATTCCTACCTTAAAAAAATTATTACAATAGTACTTGAGCTTTTTTACTTCATTCAAACAGGCTGATGGTACAGTGTTCTCAAAGATGAAAAGGAAGCACTTGAAATAACTAACAATTTGATGCCTGAGATGTGGGAACTTTTGATAAGTATTTACATCTTTCATAACAAAAGAGTGTGAGAAAGAATTAAGGGGGAAGGAAAGCGGCGGGGGAGGGGGGGAAGATACTGCATAAACAGAACAACCATCTGACAAAAGCCACTTCTCCATGTTCTTAGGAAGCCCTTTCTGCAACCTACTTAACCTGGGGCTGAGTTTTCTCATTGCTATGAATACCATGGCAGCAGTTCCACAGAGCTACAAAGCTGCAGCCCAACACTGTTGAGAAACTGAGCTGTCTGTCACATACAAAGCTGGGTAAGGAGTTCACCCCATTAGGGGTGCCATCTTTATAAAATCACTAGGTCAAAAGTTCTCCGAGGGCAAGACACACCAACGGCAACAGTAAGCTATTAGCCAGTGAATTTTGTGCATGGATTAATATATTTCTTCTGTAAGTCATTTCTTCTTAAAACATTTTTAAATAACTGCCTAAACCTAAACCTGTTCTCAGAAATAAGATTTGCAGTTACAATTAATAGGTCAGAAAAATTTCCAAAGAGAAAATTCACTTTGCTGAGAAAATAAAGGAAGTAAACAATTTACAAAACATCTCCTTGAATCTAGATTTTTTTAAAGGTAGAATCCATTGATGTATTAAAAGGGTAACCATTATGACTAAGTGGAGATCATCCCAGACAATGTGACTGGTTTAATATTTGAAAACAAATCTGTCATTCACAGTATTAGCACAAAAACAAGAAAATAAAGCAAAACAACATGTTTTTAAACCTATGATCATTTTAGTCAATGCAGTAAAAGCATTTGACAAAATTCAGTATCCATTCATGACAATAACTGTCAGGAAACAACGAATAAAAAGAAACTTCCTCTATTTTATAATAAGCATCTACCAAAAAATTAACAACTGGCATCATATAGTTAACAGGGAAATATTGAACATTTTCACCCTACAATTAAGAATGAGATAAGGATGTCCACTTTCATCACTTTTATTTATCATTGTACTAGAGTTCCTAACTAGTTCTCTAAGGCAAGAAAATTTCAAAAAAGCATAAAGTTTAGAAAGAAGAAGTAAAACTGTATTTGCAGATGACATGATTGTTTATGTAGAAAATCTAATTAATCTATAAAACAATTATTAGAATTAATGCAGAATACAAGGCCAGTAAGCAAAAATCTATTTTGTTTTATGTACTAACAATATATTTTTGTTCATCAAGAGACTATATTAAGAATATAAATAGCCAAGACATGACTTGTCAAAATATTTTAAAGACATATATCTGAAAATAAGTGGTATCCGGGACATACAAAGGACTTCTACAACCCAATCATATAAACGTAAGCAACCCAATTAAACAAATAGGCCTAAGATTCAAGCAGACACCTCACTAAAGAAGAGATGTACAAGAAAGCACATGAAAAAATGTTCAGCATCGTTATTCATTAAAGAAATGCCAATTAAAAGCACAATGAAACACCATCACATACTCAACAAAAGGGCAATATTTAAAAAACAAAAACGAATACCACCAAAACCTGCCCCACATGCAGGGGTACACTGACTATCCTGTATTGTTGGTAGGGTAAAATAGTCCGATCACTTTGAAAAATGACCTGGCGGCTTCTTATAAAATGAAACATATTCATGTCCTTTGACTCAGTTTTTCCATACTTAAGTATTTCCTTTAAAATAAAAAAAGGACCACACAAAAACTTGTAAGAGAATGCTTATTGCAGATTATTCATATGGTTCATAATTGTCAAAAACTAGAAATCATCTAGGTGTGCCTCAACAGCACACTGGCTGAACAAATCATGGTACACATACACAAAAAGATGTCTAGACATAAAAAGGAAGCAGCTACGGACATACAACACCATGGGAATATCTCAAAAACTTTACAGAAGAATCCATCCTCTACAATCCAACTTAGAAAAAGTGTCAGAACAGCCAAAGCGAACTCAATGGCAGACCATGTGAGAAAAGGAATGGCTATTGCTAAAAAGGGGCAAGAGAACATTCTTGGGAGCAATGGTAATATTCTAAAAATTGATATTTGTATTACACTGGTTTACACATTTGTCAAAATACAGTATTAACTTAAGATTTGTGCACCACTTCATTTAATATACATTTTACCTCGAAAACAGAAAGGGAGAGAGAGCAAAAGAAAAGCAAATATTGACCTTTGAAGCATTTATTGGTGAAGTATACTGATGTCAGTTTGAAATACATCAAAATTGATAGAAGAACAAATTAATGTATGTATATAAAACAAATATAGTAAAATGTTAATTATATAACATATGTGATGGGTATGTGGACATCCAATGTATTTTTCAGTTTTTCTACATGGTTGTAAATTATTCTGAGTGATCTGAATATGTTTTAAAAATTATAAACCTTGAAATGTACACCTTATATTGCATGACTTGATTATAAATGGAGAATTCTAGAAATACTCACCAAGGTTAACACAAGTCAAATGTTCCTTAAGAAAGAAAATTCATCTTTGAGAAAGAACTAAATCCCAATATTTTTTTCAGATGTTCTAGATATCCTAGTTTGAAGAGGAAAATGTATACTATTTATTTTGGACAAGAATATTTAAAAGTTTATCTGATCTGCTTAAAGTTAAGAATTGCTGGTTTTGTAAAGTGACAAAGGGATTAGAAACATTATTGAAAAATAACTTCTATAATGCTTGCCAAATTGCCCTAGAAACAGAAGTAGGCAGAAAAGTATCTCTTATGTTGCAATCTGACATGAGTTGTTTCAAATTTGCAGAGCTGAATTTAAGAATAATATAGGCTGGGCCCAGTGGCTCATGCCTGTCATCTCAGCACTTTGGGAGGCCGAGGTGGGAGGATCACCAGGTCAGGAGATCAAGACCATCCTGGCTAACACAGGGAAACTCCATCTCTACTAAAAACAAATAACAAAACAAAAAAACCCAAAACCAGCCAGGTGTGGTTGGTGGTGGGCACCTGTAGTCTCAGCAACTCAGGAGGCTGAGGCTGGAGAATGGTGTGAACCCAGGAGGCGGAGTTTGCAGCAGTGAGCTGAGATCATACCACTGCACTCCAGCCTGGATGACAGAGTGAGACTCCATCTCAAAAAAAAAAAAAAAAAAAAAAAAGAATAATATAAAGGGTGTCGATGTTTGATTTTTAAAAAAGACTACTTGACAAGGTATGCCAGCAATAAAATCTTAGATATATCACAATCATTCATTTTAAGGTATATTTTTTATGTTTTTGGTATTTTTATTTGAATTCAGAAATGTCATGTATTAGAAATAAAAGTTGAGAGAAAGAAACTTCACACAACGCATTAGCTAAAACACACGCATATTTTAAAGAATTCACAGATAGTTATACTTTTATATTATATATATTTAATGCTTAGCAACCACAGTTCTAGGGTAATTGGTTATCTCATTGTAATCGACTTATGTGTTAATTTAGTATCCAGAGCCTAAAAACAGAGAAAATATTTTTACCATACTCTGAGAACCTCAGTCCTCATACTTAGTGTGATATCACATCCACCTGGCTGATGTTGGGGTTATAACATCTAACGAAAAATACAAATCAATTTCCTGGAAGGAAAATGGTGAGAACATTTGCTACCTATAGGACCAGCACTAACAAACCTTCCTCTGTTCTTCCCCTTTAAACCTGGTTTTCACCAATACTCAGTTCTTGCCACTGCTCTGGTTCTGCTGTTGTGGATATTGATATGTTGGACTAGGTCTTCACAGTGAAGAATGACATTTCCCAGCTATCTTAAAAATACTTTATGTGCCCTTGGGTTGTGGTTTTAAGAAAAAAAGCCTTATCTACAGAAAGAAGGGCTCCTCTCCAAATGCAATATTGTCCCATCCCCTTTCCATATTCTTTCTCTCATGAATTATCTTTCTCTAATTAGATAGATCTCATTGATCTGAAAAACTCTCAAATTTCTTGTTAGGTAACTTTTCTTTCATGTAGATGGAGGTAAACCAGAGTCACTCCACTTTCAGAGTACGTGTCATGATTTCAGCACTTCTTTGTCTTCTGACAATAAACCACCTTCACAGTGACACTAAGTTTTTGTTGCCAAAGTCAATAAATTTACCTGGAATATTGTGAGTTGTTTCTGAGTAGGGGAAAGAGAGGGTCAGAGCAGAAAGCAAAATATCTCACCCTTGGCTGCATTATTCTTTAACTGTTGGAAAAAGGTCATTGACCATTTAAGAGAAAAAAAACCTACCTGCTTTAATTTTATGTATGTTTTAATATTTGGACTTAAAAATACTTTCACTTAATATTTTGGAATATCTGATTTTGTCCATTATAACTGCAGTTCGGTTTATGTAGAATTAGAGAATAATAGAAACAAGACATCCAAGGGATTTTCTAGTTCAACAACCTTAGGTTATCAATGAGGGGCTTGTGGTATACATTTTGAAATTCTGAAATATTGACTAATTTCTCTAGGTATTTTTGTAATACAATTAAACACTTTGTCGACAAGAGTGGAGTACTGTACTTATCTGAGTTGAGGAAAGGATTTTATGGAAGACGTGGTGGGGGTTGGAGTAGCTGTGGAAGATGAGAGAAACGTATTAACTAAAGCATGGAAATATCAATTCAATACATTCCCTCTGACTGAGATGTGTTAAAGTTTCGCATAGGTGGCGCGACGAAGCCAGCTTGCAAGAATGTGCCACATTCCTTCATTTATTCAACAAATAGTTACTTAGCATCACTCTATGTACTGTTCCAAGGGTCAGAGAAGCAGCAGAAGACATTTTTTAAAGTCAGTCATAATGTTTGCGCTGAGTTTTGAGAGAAAGAGAAGAGGACACCGTGTTCTCTGAGTGAGTAGTAGATCGATTGTTGAAGCCTAATGCGTGGAGGAGAGGTAATTAAATACTAGAAAACTGAGCATCTGCTGATTCTGCACGTGTTTTTGTGGTTTATTCTTATTTGAGAGGATGGTAATACAGAATCTTGCCTGAAATTGGATTTTTGTGAACTAACCGAATTCTCCAAGTTAAAATCTAGGTGTTTTCGTCAATTTCTGTCATCAGGCTGAACCTGTCTCACAGTTCCTATGCTGTGTTGTTGTCCAAGGAGCTCCTTCAGAGATGGCCTTAATCTAAGTTTATGGCAAGCTTTTTAGTTATAATTTTCGGCAACTTCGGTATAAATAAACAAGACCGCCCCTCTCTTTAACCAAAGCAAGCTGGTCACGAGATTGCAATATGTCATCTAACCACAGGTAGATGCTACCTAAAAGATCTCTCTCCAACCTCCAAACCAATGTTTTCAAAAATTATGTTGCAAGGTCTGTTAGGATACCCTTCAAGTATCCACTTTTGTATAATTTGTCATATTGGCCAAATCCCAGAAAATTCAGCATATTAAAAAATATCAGACTGACTCTATCTCTTGCCCCCAACACCATCTCTGTCAGAGACAGAAAACTGTGACAATATTTGATATCTGACAAGATTGATATATTTCACTGTTGGTCCAACCAACAGAAGATGAGAGCAAGTCAGACCAGACATGACCACCTGAAGTATGTAAGTCAATAACTATGAAGTTGTTCATTTCTATGACTAGACTGGATCTATTGAGGAATTTAACCTGAGGTAAATTAAGGCAACGTGAGGATCATTACAGTATAAAATGAGCAAATGGCCTATTCTAGGCTTTTGCATCAGGTGATGGAGAGGCAGAGTCTGCTGTGAGTAATACCGAAGAAGTGTGAATAATGGGACTTAGTCATGAAAGGAAAATGAAGCAAAGAAGTCAAAGATTCACTCCCTGTGTGGGTGAATGGGAACATGATACTGCTAAATACAGAAGTGGAAGGCTAGAAATTCCAGGGAAAGGGAGGAGAAGAAATATTATGAATTTAGAATTTATTGAATGTGAGACGTCAACAGGGCACTCAGGAGGGAATGGTTAACAGGAAGTTACACATTTAGGACTAGAGAATTGTAGAGGGCAAAGGAATGGGGTGATTTCAGCTGGCACCCTTGGGAGGTAGAGATAGGTGCAAGGAGACCAGTTACTACTTAGTGGGCAATCTGCCCCTCTAGGGGTATTAATAGGCAAAGACTCCTTTTGGTGGAGCACAAAATCCGTAGGTTTGATCATATAAGTGAATGTGCAATAGGAAATATTCAACTGAATAAAACCACATGAGGAGGAGGCTGAGACAGAGAAAACAATATAAATAAAATGATAAAATAGCAATGTCAAATACAGTAAGAACTCAAAGTTAAAGTATTAGAGACCAACATATATTTTTAAGAGAGCCAAAATAGGATGGATTGCCCCAAAGAGTGCTATTTGGGGAATATTTCTGGAGGGTGAGATTTGAAATAGAGCTTTAAGTGCCTGGTGAGCATGGCAGGCAGCCTATAGGCAGGAATAATAAAGTGTTACCTGAAAAACTCGTTAGGAGAAAGAGGGAGAGAGAGGGAGAGCAAGAGACTATGAGCCTTGCTCTCTTGGTGGCCCAGAGATCCTAGCAAGATTTAGGTCTCAGTAAGAACAATTTAGAATTCAGACAGTAATTTTGTCCATTTTGTTCACTGCTATATACAAGCACCTAAATACATAGTTGTTCCATAAATTATGTTTTGCATAAATAAACTATGAAAAGCAAAGCAAAAGACCAGCTTTGCCAATTCACTTGGCTCTCTTGTTGTCTGTGTACCCCTAGTTAACAAGTCTGCTGGCCTGGGAGTATCTTTCAATTTTTCACATAATGAAAATAGGCTTTTGTTCACTGCACAGGTAAATGCGTTTAATGAAGTTGATGCCTGAGACGAGTGGAAGAATTTTTAAAGACAAAGATACCTGTCATTGGATGTGATCAGGGTCAAAATAATGATGTCTCTTGATATTTAACCACAATTGTCCTCCAGCAAACCTTTTGAATTATCAATTTTTTAAAAACTTTTTTAAGGAGAGATATTAAGAAAACCAATATTTTTCTCACTTCAAATAAAACTTTGGTTCATATTAAAAAGGTTTTAAGTCACAATTTTTAAAATGCTGGTGTAAAAAAGTGAATCAATGTGACAAATCAAAAGAAAATGGCAAATCGGCATTGATATAATGGTTAAAGTTTTAACTATTGATATAACGGTTAAAAACCAAGTGAAGAATGCAGACTCATATAACGCAAGAGAATATTTTAAAATTGTGTCTAAAAATAGGGCATAGAACAACAGTTTATTGGAGTAGTCTATAAATAACATAAAATAGTGAAATAAAAATGTTTTAAAATAAAAGTTACTGGATGCATTATAATAATTCATATTAAGAAGGCAGCATTTGTGGTGGGTTAAAGTGCGAAAGAACATGCAGCAAATTTACCTCAGAAAGAAAAATTCATTACAATAGTATCAGAAACATTACAACATAAATTTATTATTTATTTATCTAACAATCTATCTATCTATCTATCTATCTATCTATCTATCTATCTATCTATCTATCGATATGTAAGTTTGAGACGGAGTCTTGATCTGTCACCCAGGCTGGAGTGCAATAGTGCAATCTGGGCTCACTGCAACCTCTACCTCCGGGGTTCAAGTGATTCTCCTGCCTCAGCCTCCCGAGTAGTACGGATTACAGGTGCCTGCCATCACACCCAGTTAATTTTTTGTATTTTTAGTAGAGGCAGATTCTTGCTATGTTGGCCAGGCTGGTCTCGAACCCATGACCTCAAGTGATCCACCCACCTCGGCCTCCCATAGTGCTGGGATTACAGGCGTGAGCCACCATGCCCAGCCTACAATATATATTTAAATGTTAATGTTTATTTGTGAGAAAAATTCTCACTTAAAAATAAGTCCAAATATACAGAAAACTTTCTCTTTAAACTAATTTTTATTGATTTGCAATTATGCTTAGCTATTGGTAAAAGTTTTGGAGTCATCCACTTGCAAATGGGTGTGTTTAGAAAAGGTAATCCCAGTCTAGTTGTGATTAAACCATGACAGTATGTAATAGGTACTGAGTGACCATGATTGAAATAAATATTTGCTAGGTTGGTGTTATTAAATTTATGAGAAGGGGTCCTAGAGAAATATTTAAATAATAATATTTAATTTGTTTGTAAATGTGCTTAATGTGCTTAGCATAATTCAAGCAGTTCTTCTGATAATATATTTAAATTTGCAGCTTCCGATTTTATTAGCAACATGAGGCATTTCATTTTCAGTGTTCATATTAATCACACAAAATGATTTTCTTTTTAGTTTTGGTTCTCCTGTAATTATCTTTTCCCAGTTTTTCTTGCATATACCTGAGTACTTTGATATGTCTAAGACAAAAATTGATAATAAAATTAGGATTATTTTACTGACAGAATAACCACAAAAATCCTTTACTAATTATATAATGAAAACTTTCAGCTTATTATGCTAAGATAAAGAAAAAGACATTTGTACTTGGCACATTACTTTAACTGGGCACTTTTACCTAGTAATATTATTTTATGCAATGCAAACATAAATTTTCACAAATGTTTTTACTATTTAGAAAGAAAAAAAGCTATGTAGAGCAGTCTTTGACTTGGTCTCTTCACCCTGTAGCAGACTTACATTGATTGATGGGTTTGAGCTTGTAATTTAATGTGGCAAATTTTTGTTGTCCACAAATATCAGGAGATTGTATGAGCTTTTCTATAGGGAAGGGGAGTGGCAACTATGAACTCAGCAAACCAGAGTTAAACTTTATTTTCTCATATCTTAGTATACTTATTCTATAAATAAGAGAGTTGGAATAATGCAAAAAATCTGTTAATAACAAAATAAAACATAATTTATGGCCCAGAATAAACTTGAATGGACCCACATGATCAAACAATCCCTTACTTGTTTTGACGAGCTATAATAGAGCTATGTCATGATTGCAGAGTATGTTTATACAGCTTTTTCCCACTTTTCACAAGAAGTTTTCTTTCCTTAATTATTCTCTAAAACAAGGAGAACACCATATTTATACAAGTCTTGTGCAGAATAAATAATTTTAGAAATTTTATTTTTAGTACTTAACTTTTTAGTGTTTTATTTTGGATTTCCACATACATATAATAGTGTAATTATCCTGCAGCTACTTTTAGGTAGTTTCAACAATATCAATATTTTCCCAATCTTACTTCATCTACTCCTACAAACACAGTTGCAGAAATTTTTTTTATATTTTGAAATAATTATAGATTTACTGGAAGTTGCAAAAAAATAAATATACAAGGAGATTCCATGAGACGTTCTTTCAGCCTCCTGCAATGTGGTGATATATTGCATAATTATAGTAAGGTATCCAAATCAAAAATTTGACTTTGGTGCAATCCACAGCATTTTCAGATTTCCACAAGCACCTATGGGTGTATATGCATGTGTGTGTGTGTATGTTCTATGCAATTCCATCACTTGTGTAGTTTCAAGGAGTCACCACCACAATGAAGGTACAGAATGACTCTGTAGTCCCTTAAAGTAGCTCTTTACAGCCACCCTCTGCCCTCTCTCCGAAGTCCCTGACCTAATCTAGTCTTCAGTTTTCTAATTTTGTTGTTTAATGAATTTTACACAAATGGCATCATGTCATATGTAAACTTTTGAGACTAGCTATTTTCCACTCAGTATAATTCTCTTGACCTCCATCCATTTGTATCAATAATTTGTTCCTTTCTATTGCCTAGTATGGATGCGTCACAGTTTGTTTAACCATTCACTCATTGAAGGACATTTGGGTTGTTCCAGTTTTGGGCTACTACAAATAGAGCTATTAAAACCATGCGTGTACAGGTATTTGTGTAAATACAAATTCGTCTCTTTGAGACAAATGCCCAAGATTGCAATTACTGGTTCATATGGTAAGTATGTGTTTAGTTTTAAAAGAAACTGCCAAAGTATTTCCAGAATGTCAGTGACATTCTGCATTCCTACCAGCAATATGTGAGTGATCATTTCTCTGCATTCTCATTAGCATTTAGTGTTATTTTTTCATTGTAGCCATTTTGATAGGTACATAGTGATATATCATCGTAGTGTTATCTGTCTCTCCACAGTTTGCATTCCCAAATGGCTATTGGTGATGAGCAGAAAAAAATTATTTTTAATTGGCATAATGCCACCAATTCACCTGTGATTTATTCTTTATTTGGACTTTTTATTATAATGCTTTAAAAATACTGGTCACATTTATATTTGGGACAGATTTTTTTTTTTAGATGGAATCTCGCTTTGTCGTCAGGCTGGAGTGCAGTGGCGCAATCTTAGTGCGCTGCAACCTCCGCTTCCCGGGTTCAAGCGATTCTCCTGCCTCAGCCTCCCGAGTAGTTGGGACCACAGGCACACGCCACCATGCCCAGCTAATTTTCGTATTTTTAGTAGAGACAAGGTTTCACCATGTTCGCCAGGATGGTCTCGATCTCTTGACCTTGTGATCTGCCCACCTCAGGCTCCCAAAGTGCTGGGATTACAGGTGTGAGCCACTGCGCCCGGCTCACATTGCTTTCTATAGTGAAAATAAAGTTCCGATAATTCTTTTTTCTAATTCTGTTCATCTTTTATGTTCTATTTCCTAAACATTTTTTGTGCTTACACAACAAGGAAGAGAAGTAGCAAGAAAAACACATCTGAAATCTCTACTAGTAACAATGCCATAATTAAATTCACACACACACACACACACACACACACACATATTTTTACTAAATTGGAATTACACCCTGTATGATACTGTGCTCGTTACTTTCTAGAATTTAACATACTATGTATCATCTTTTTATCCACCATTATTATTCCACATTATTATATTTCATGGCAGCATAGAATATTTTTGTGATATTGTTTACTTGTTTATTTTTAAGGTTAATTTTCTGAAAATTGTATTGTTTTCTCAAAATTTAAATATTATTTATAGTGGTGACTCCTAACACTTTCTGTTTCTTAATTTTTGTTCATTCACACTTTGATATAAAGACATCTCTGAGAGAATACATAGGATCTATGTCAAAATTCTCATCTTCCACATTGTTCTGCAATCTTACTATTTATGTCCTATATAAGAAAAAAAGAGAGCCCTGCTAAATAATTGCAGAGTAAGTCATTTGTGCTGAAGCATTAATGCTTAAAAATTCTGGCATGTCTGAAACAATCACATGAATATTAAGCCAATAGATACATGTTTGACTCCATGAGACTAAAAACAGTGGTCTTTCTCTCACCATTGTATGCTTAACACCTAGCAGAGTACTTGATAAATTGGAGACATCAAATAAATATTTGTCTGATGAACAAATGAAGTACCGTATTGGGATTTGCATTTGAAAAAGTGTTTGTTCAGCCCTCACTAATGCTCTCTATTCCCTCTTCCAAGTTTGCTAAGCTGGTTAAGGCCGGAGGGGCCAGCAGCTCCTTCCTCCTTCCTCTTCTCCTTGGCCTCCTCCTCGTCCTCCTTCTCTCCTTCTCCTTCTTTTCCCTTCTCCCTTCTTCTTTCTTCCCCTTCTCCTTCTTCTTTTTGTTTATTTGTATTTATCTCAGCAAGATCACTCGATAATCTGGCTGATTTTGTCCTGCCTTGGCCCTTCCCGTGCAGAGCTCACCTGAAAGTCCTGACCACCTACAGGTGTTGTTACATTCTTAATTCCATCTCTCCTTTCTTCAACAAAACCTATCATTCTGAGTCCAGTCACCATAAGATGCTCATTTCTTTTACTAGGTGATAAAATCTGCTGGATACCCACAGGTTTCTGCATAACACATAGGAATCCCGGGAGCTAGCTTCTACTGAGCTTTACCAATATGCTAGGCATCATTCTGAGCTCTTTATGTTTTAGCTTCTTTATTCCTTTTTACAGCTCTTTCAGGGCACTGTCATTATTATTCCCATTTCACAGTGAGGAAGCAGGCACAGAAAGTAGAAGGAAGTGGCAATGGATCACTGATCCAAAGAACAGGATCTACACTGTGTCTTCTGTCCAGCTAATTCCGTGGCAGCAGCTGCAGTCAATTCTACTCTCCTGCACGACGCCAGACACCCAGAATCAAAGCCCAGAGTCATTACATTCTTCCAAGTAGCCACGGAACCTGCATCATCAAAACCTGCCAATGATTTACCAATGGTAAATCACTGTGGGCTCTCTGCATTTGACTTTGGCTGGTCTATATCTTTGGAGGTAGTTGTAGAGTCCTGCTGAAGTCAGAAACATTTAAAAGTCTTCTGATCCACTTCTTGGTTCTGGGGAACTGATGCCTGCTCTTTCAAATACAGGGCAACTTTGACCCCTCTGCCTTGTGCCTACATTCTGACAGTTTCTGTAGACTTAAATCTGCTCCCTTCCTCTCTTATATAATGTGTTCATTAGCCCGAGCCCCTGCCTCTCAGTCAGGCTTTCTGCTCTTTCTTGAGTTCTACATTCAGCATGTGTCTTGACCCCACTTTCCACATCACTGGCTCATACCTTCGATTCCTGGCTGAGGGTCTGTATCAGGCCACATTTCTGTCCACCTGTGCCCAGCCACTGTGTGACGACTGGAGCTAATTTAACCAGAAAAAAAATCCTGCAGATATATTAAAGAGATAATTTGAATTTTTAGCAATGGCCATCTGTTTCCAATACCTTAAGGAGAATCCCAGTATTAGGAATTTTAAGTCTCATGTTATGAAAGTATGAGAGATGATTTTTGACATGCTGGCACCTTGGACCACGTCATTCTATTTTAGCAAAGAGTTGGTCTTGTCTCTGCAAGTGGAGAAGTAGGATATTTATATAATATTTACATGGAAGTTTTGGGAAGGGTAATGTCCAGGAGGGGTCATGTCCAGATTAATGGTCATATGCATGTCACATATACTGGCATTTTCGTCATGTATTTTTATGCATTACTGATCATTCACTCAAGAAACATACAATGAGCAACTACTATCCCCAAGGAGCTGTTTTAGGTGACAAAGCATTTAGTACTACATCACGCACCCATATTTGTATATAGAAGTAGCCTTGGAATTGCCTTTGAAAGTGTCTGAAAGTGGCACAATAGATATACAAATTCGAGTCCCAAGGACACAGAATATTATCATATCCTTCCCTATGGTTTATGTAGGTACCACTTTTCTCAAGCTGATGTGAGAGGAGCTGACGGGACTTTTGCTAGCAGTCCTCCCTCTGCCAAATGCCATGTAACTCTCCTGCAGAGCAGAGCTATGCTGTCAGAACATCACACGACTGCCAGGTGCAGTGGCTCATGTCTGTAATCCCAGCACTTTGGGAGGCCGAGGCGGGCGGATCAAATGAGGTCAGGAGTTCAAGACCAGCCTGGCCAACATGGTGAAACCCCGTCTCAACTAAAAATACAAAAATTAGCTGGGCGTGATGGTGGGCACCTATAATCCCAGCTACGCGGAAGGATGAGGCAGGAGAATCATTTGAACCCAGGAGGCGGAGGTTGCAGTGAGCTGAGATCATGCTATTGCACTCCAGCCTGGGCAACAGGGTGAGACTCTGTCTCAAAAAAAGAATAAAAAAAAAAGAACATCACACGGGTGCAGTGTGCAAGACCCAGGGGATGTCTTGGGTGGAGTGTGAAACTGGAACAAGAAGAACAGGTTGAGAGACTTCCTGAAAATCAAAAGTAGGAAGGATGACTGACCTAGATTATTGACAATGGAAACATAAAGAAAGAAATGGATGAAAAAGGAAGAGGTAAAATTGCAAAGGGTGTATTTGGACGACAAAAGAGATTAAAAAGAATAAAAGTGAGGCGTTTCAAGCAAGAAGTCTGGTAAAATATAGCATGCCTTTTAAAAAAGAAGTCTAGGAAGATAATGCACAAGCGGATATGTAGAAGTCGGTAAAGAGAAATTTTATTTTGAATCTATTGTGAAGATCTTGGGGAACCTGGAGGTTAAGACATCAATCTGGCCTTGGAGTTCAGAAGAGAAATTGGTCTAGAAATGTAGGCTAGGCAGCAAAGTTGCATTAAATAATAATAGCCAATTTTCGCACGGCACTTAGTATGTGTTGGAGGCTATTCTCGGTCCTTTAAATATAGCACATAATTTGATTGGTGCAATAACCTGAAGTAGATGTTATCAACATCATTCCAAATTTACAGTTAAGGAAACAGAGTCACACAGAGCTGGATGCCATGCCTAGAATTCCACAGCTAGTAAGTAGGCAGAGGAGGCTGTCTCCATGAACACACTCTCATTTGCTAGGGTACTCTGGCCAGAGTTGGCATCAGCAATTTTCTTCAAAGTGTTTGTGCAGGAAGAGGTGGGGGTGGATAAACGGGTGATATATATAAGGCCAAGAGATTAAATAATGACATAAATCATGGCAGGCCTTCTATCATCTGTCCCCTCTGGAGGCCAAGCTAAGTGATTCCTTCCAGTTAGTGCTTTGTATAGAAGACAGGACTAAGGGCTGGCCTAAGGGAGAGATGAAAACACAGGGGAAGAGTGGCCAGAAGCTAGACCAAGAACACCCATATTTGAAGGACTGAGGAAAACAAAAGGGAGGAATTGAGAAAGATAGAAAAGGAGTCACCAAGAAGAATGTGGGAAAACAAGAAAGTGCCCATCATAGAGCCACGGGGACTGGGGGCCTTGGGGAGAAGGTGGCTTTTGTGGCCAGCATGGGAGGGAGTGGTCAGGGCTGAAAAGACAAGCCAACACAAGCCTGTGGGAGATCTGGTGAGTGTGAAGGCTGAGATGTGAATAGAGCTGTTTTTGCAGTGGGGTTCAAGAAAACCAACTGCAGGAGGATGAAGCGCAGGAATAAGATGTGAAAAGGGAAGCATTAAGTTTAGGCTGCTTCCTGGAGTACTTCCAAGTGTGAGAATGCTTAGGAGACAGAAGAGTTTTTGATGCAGGGAGAGGGGAATCAAGGGCGAGAAAGGCTGCAATGTGCAAGGCTTCTTGGGGATGCCATGGGTGAATCCCCAGCGTCTGTGGCCGGAACTGGTTTAAAATGGAGAAATGAAGTGGGGCTGGTCGTTGGAGAGGAGTCCTCATTATTGCCAACCTCATTAGACAACACTAATAGTTATAAACAGATAATTTGCAAGAAGACGAAAGAATCCAAATTCATGTTGCCAATACTAAATATTTAACTAATGGAAAATATAGGCTTTGAATTGGCTGTGAAAACCTCAAATGACGAGTTAAATTTTAAATACTTTGTGCCCTGGAGATGATGTTTCCATCCCTGATTTTCCCAGATGGGGTGTGAGTCACAGCACAGGAAATAACACTGGATTTCACATTATTTTGCTTATACAAAGGATGTGAACCTTCTGAAACCAGCCGCCCTGTAGATGAAATAAAAACCCAAAGGGAGGCAATTAGGATGACTGTGCTCCACTGAGTCGACCCCACGTGTCCAGCAAAAGCCGGGTCAGAGCTCTGTGGCAGGAAACCAGGGATGGTGAGAATCTGCCAGCGCGGCCACAAGCGGAAATGTTTGCTTCTCCCCACGCCAGGAGGCAGATGCCAGATAGAAAGACCCGCCAGTAAGATTCATAACTGTGGAGACTTGAGCGTGGTGAGAGGATGATCTAGCATGGCTGTGAAGCAGTCAGGTTTTCCTGATTCCCCCTCCTATTTATTTCATCTTCTTTTGAGGCACATGTGCTAAATTAGACGGATTTAAACCTTTATAATAAAACATTGTGTCCTGGTCATTTGTGGGTTATAGTTCTCAGAACAAACAGCAGTTATGGAGTCGTGAGTGTGTGGATAAAGAGTGTTAGCCATACACGCTTATGAAATAACAGGGCACCGTGTGATGTTAAAGATAGCTAGGATAAGCAGCATGTCTGAATACATGCTCCAGGTATTTCAGCTCCTTTCTCTTCCATCAGCATTTTTATTCTCTTTCCTCTTCACTGGTTCTCTCACTTGTGCTGTATACTCGAACAGATTTCCCTTTCCCAGAAAAACATTATGCTTCTGTTCACATTTCTGCTCAGTTTCTTTAACTCTCAAACTTCTTAATACATTGCACATCGCTCTATCCAATTTTGCACCCTCTTTGTCTATCCCTCCTCTCTAAGTGACATCTCTGATACTTCTGCTCTACTAAGACCAGACTATCAAAGGTCGATAATAACGTTACTGGCCAAACCTAGTGGATTCTCTTCTTTCTTACTGTGGAGATGCAAATCCCAGAAAGAGGGTATGTGTTTCCCAAAGTAATTCACCCCATCTGCAGGACCTCTGTTTTACTGGTGTCCCTGGTTTCATACTGATTTTTTTTCTCTCCCTCTCTTATCCATCTATCCATATCTAGCTCTCTGTCCTTTCTATCATGTGTCTATCCATATAGTGTATTTCTTTGACCTCACTGAGGCTTCTTCCTCCTCTGCTCCCTCCTCCTTCCACTTTTATGGATGGGTGTTTCCTAGCTCAGCTCTTTGTGCTTAGCCCAGGATGCCTCAACAATCTCTTCCTCCTGCCCATATCTTACTCTAAAATGTAAAACCCTGGTGATCCATAGGCACATGGCCTTACGTGTGTTATTAGTCCATTTTCATACTGCTATAAAGAACTGCCCAAGACTAGGTAATTTATAAAGGAAAGAGGTTTAATTAACTCACAGTTCAGCATGACTGGGGAGGCCTCAGGAAACTTAAAATCATGGTGAAAAGTGAAAATAAAGCAAGGCATCTTCTTCACAAGGTGGCAGGAAGGAGAAGGGCCAAGTGAATGGGCAAAATCACCTTATAAAACCATCAGATCTCATGAGAACTCACTCACTATCATGAGAACAGCATGAAGGTAACCATCTTCATGATTAAATTACCTCCACCTGGTCTCTACCTGGACATGTGAGGATTATCGGGATTACAATTCAAGATGAGACTTGGGCGCAGACACAAAGCCTAACCACATAATTCTGCCACTGGCCCCTCCAAAATCTCATGTCCCTTTCACATTTCAAAACCAATCATGCCTTCCCAACTGTCCCCCAAATTCTTAATTCATTCTAGCATTAATCCAAAAGTCCAACTTTAAAGTCTCTTCTGAGACCATAAGCCTTCTGCCTATGAGCCTGTAAAATTAAAAGCAAGTTAGTTTCTTCCTAGATACAAAGGGGGTAAAGGCCTTAGATAAATACACCCATTCCAAATGAGAGACATTGGCCAAAACAAAGAAGCTACAGGCCCCATGCAAGTCTGAAATCCAATAGGGCAGTAATGAAATCTTAAAGCTCCGAAATAATCTCCTTTGACTCCATGTCTCATATCTAGGTCAGGCTGATGCAAGAGGTGGGCTCCCACAACCTTGGACAGCTCCACTCCTTTGGCTTTGCATGGTACAACCCCACTCCTGGCTGCTTTCATGGCTGGCATTGAGTGTCTGCGGCTTTTCCAGGCACACAGTCCAATCTGTCAGTGAATCTACCATTCTGGGGTATGCAGCATGGTGGCCCTCTTTTCACAGTTCTACTAGGTCCCTAGTAGAGACCCTCTGTGGGAACTACAACCCCCCATATCCCTTCTTTACTTCCCTAGCAGAGGTTCTCCATGAGGGCTCCGCCCCTTCAATACATCTCTGCCTGGACATCCAAGCATTTCCCTATATCCCTGGAAATCTAGGCAGAGGTTCCCAAACCTCAATTATTGTCTTCTGCACACCCACAGGGCTAACACCACATGGAAGCCATCAAGGCATGAGGTTTACAACCTCTGAAGCCATGGCCTGAGTTGTATCTTGGTCCCTTTTAGCCACAGCTGGAGCAGCTAGGACACAGGGCATCAAGTCCCAAGGATGCACATAGCAAGGGGCCCCTAGGCCTGGCCCACAGAACCATTTTTTCTTCCTAGGCCTCCAGGCCTGTGATGGGACAGGCTACCATGAAGACTTCTGACATGCCCTGGAGACATTTTCCCCATTGTCTTGATATTTAACATTTAGCTCTCTGTTACTTATGCAAATTTCTGCAGCCAGCTTGGATTTCTCCTAAGGAAACAAGTTTTTCTTTTCTACCACATCATCAGGCTGCAAATTTACCAAACTTTTATGTTCTGCTCCCCTGTTAAACATAAGTTCCAATTCCAAACCCTCTCTTTGTGAATGCATAAAACTTAATGCTTTTAGGAGCACCCAAGTCAGCTCTTGAATGCTTTGCTGCTTAGGAATTTCTCTCACAAGATACCCTAAATCATCTTTCTCAAGTTCAAATTTCCTCGGATCTCTAGAACAAGGGCAAAATGCCACCAGTCTCCTTGCTATAGCATAGCAAGAGTCACCTTTAGTTCCTAACAAGTTCCTTACCTCCATCACAGACCACCTCAGCCTGAAATTCATTGTCCATTTCACTATCAGCTTTTTGGTCAAAGCCATTCAACAAGTTTCTAGGAAGTTTCAAACTTTCCCACATTTTCCTGTTTTCTTCTGAGCTTTCCAACTATTCCAGCACCTGCCTGATTCCCAGTTCCAAAGTCACTTCCACATTTTCGGGTATCTTTATAGTAGCACCCCACTGCTGGTACCAATTTACCATATTAGTCCGTTTTCATACTACTGTAAAGAACTGCCCCAAACTGGGTAATTCATAAAAGAAAGAGGTTTAATTGACTCACAGTTCAGCATGTCTGGGGAGGCCTCAGGAAAATTACAATTATGGCAGAAGACAAAGGGAAAGCAAGGCACCTTCTTCACTAGGTGGCTAGAAGGAGACGTGCCCAACAAAGTGGGAAAGAGCCCCTTATAAAACCATCAGATCTCGTTTGAACTCACTCACTATCATGAGAACAGCATGGGGGAAACCACCCCCATGATTCAACTATCTCCACTTGGTCTCTCCCATGACACATGGGGATTATAGGGATTACAACACAAGATGATATTTGGGTGGAGACACAAAGTCTAACCATATCACAGTTGTATATGTTTTGGCCTGCAGGATTTTTCTTAATGGTGAGACACAGTTTCAAATTGAGAGGTTTTCACACTTCTCTTGAAAACTTTGAAAAGCTAGAAATACTGAGCCTGTGTTTTGTTTCTACCTGAAACCAGCTGCATAGCACCCTTCTGGATAGAACATGGTCTCTATGACTCATCCTAGAGTTCTCTCCTAGGATTGTCAGCCATTTAGGCTATTTAACTGGGCCCTATAGACTCTTTTCATGACTACTGTGGTTACTATTACTATTGTTTGCTAAGAGTTAAATCTTTAAGTATGAAAATGAAAATGTTTCTGAAGAATTGATATGGTTCGACTTTGTGTCCCACCCACATTTCATCTCAAACATTAATTCCCATGTGTCAAGGGAGTGAGGTGATTGGATCATGGGGGCAATTTCCTCCATGCTGTTTTCATGATAGTCAGTGAGTTCTTATGAGACCTGATGGTTTGAAAAGAGGCTCTTCACCCTTTACTCGCATATCTCTCTCACCTGCTGCCATGTAAGATGGTGCCTGCTTCCCCTTCCACTATGATTGTAAGTTTTCTGAGGCCTCCCCAGCCATGCAGAACTGGGAGTCAATTAAACTTGCTTTCTTTATAAATTACCTAGTCTCTGGTGGTTTTCTTTATAGCAGTGTAAAAACGGACCAACACAATAATCATAACTAATATCAGACACCTCAAAAATTCTATGTTTAAGAAAATCTTTTGCCTTTTAAAAAAAAATAGTTTCAGAGCATGTTTAGTTTCACAGCAAAATTGAGTGGAAAGCATAGAGTTCCTATATATCCTGTGACCACACCCATGTACAACCACCCTGCCTCTATCTGCTATGAACATCCCACACCAGTGACCTGTTTGTTACAGCTGATGAACCTGCACTGAGACATCATCATCACCCAGAGTTCATAGTTTACATTATTGTTCACTCTCAGTGGTGTACAGTATATGGGTTTTGACAAATGTTTAATGACATGTACCCACAACTATAGCATCATACAGAGTAGTTTCACTGCCATAAATATCCCCTGTTCTCCACCTGTTTATCCTCCTCTCCCCACTAACCTCTGGCAAGCACTGATCCCTTTGTCTTCATAGATTTGCCTTTCCCAGAATATCATATAGTTGGAATGATATGTAGCCTTCAGATTGTCTTCTTTCACTTCATAATATGCATTCAATCTTCCCCTGTGTCTTTTCTTAGCTCGATAACTCTTTTTTTTTTTTAAGTGCTGAATATGGGTTCATTGTTAGGATGTGCCACAGTTTACCCATTGAAAGGTATTTTGGTTGTTTAATGGCTTGGGCAATTATGAATAAAGTTGCTATAAACATTTGTTTACAGGTTTTCTTGTGGGCAAAAGTTTTAAACCCATTTGTGTACATACCCAGAAGAACAACTGCTAGATTGTATGAAACATTTTTCATTGCTCTCTTTTTGACTGAAGCCTTATTGAAGGGTAGGATAGAGGGATAGAGGAGTTTTTTTCAATAGAAAGTTCATCTCAGAAGGCAGAAAGCAACCTGAGTGGGAATTTGACAAGTTCAGGCTTTCTCTCACCTGACACTAGAGTGCCTGTTTAATTCAGAGCTAGAACACAACTTATTATTTTTTCTGTGAAACTACAAGGCATGAAAGTAAAAGCAATGGTAAACTTTCAGAGCACAATGCTACCTAGATTTATGTGGCCCATGACATTTATAATTAATTTTTCAAAATTTATTTCTTATTTGAATCATCGTCTGTGTGACAACTTAAGAAGTCATTGCTAGGGACCAGTAGGAATCAGCTAAATAAATCATATCATATCTCAATGAAACTCTCCATTTGGCCCATGTTAGATTAATGAAATACTCAGGTATTCTAAGCTGTGTTTACTGGCTTTGTGTCAGGTAACACTACTTAGTATACTAATGGAGAAAACTTTCCCACCCTTTGTGGTTTCACAGCAGTTTTATTTTCATGGATGATATGTAATGTGCTGCCAACACTCTGACCTCTCGTTACAGCCTGAAATTTCTTATCAGTTTTATTTTAGAAAAATAAATTGCAGAGAACACTTCCTAGACTTCAATGCTAGGAAACATGCTGGCACGTGGTAAGTTTATTCTCATATTTCCATTTTTTAAAACATATTTGAAATTACCATAAACTCTAGGAAATGGTAGCATTTCCTTAAGAGGTAAGAGTTGATAAAGGTGAATCTTCACCCACAGTTCCTGTAAAAAAGAGGGATTAGACAAGTTATCTATCACCTTCAAGAAGTTGTATAAATTACCTTGTTTTTATTTAGCTCATGAGCTTTAATTAAATTTTTTTATTAAAGCTCATGGGCTTTAAATGATGACATTCATATGGCATCTGTTGATGTGAGAATATAAGGCCACAGTTAGAACACTGGTAACATGCAGAAAAAAATTCTAAGGTTTAGATAAAATCATTGGAAAGAGTGTTTCTTACTTTCTTACTTAGCTTTTCCATTCAAGATGAATAAATGCTGCCTTAACACTAAAGAACTTTATTTTCGAATAGTTTATGGTATGATTTAAAGTTTTTACTTTAAATCACAAATGGTAATAGCATTGTCAGGAGACAATGACACATTAAATATATTCAGAGCTTAGTATTGGGAGGGAATTTCGAGGCATTTGATCTAACTACCTCAGTTTACTGGTGAGAAATCCAAAATCCACAATGGTTTCAGATTACCTATGAATGTAATATTGGCCTCATAGGTAATATTGGCCTCAATCCAATTCATGAGATAATTGGTTAAGTGAATGTGTGTCTACAAACACAGTGCAGAAAGCCAAGAAAGTGTAGCAAGCACAGGAGAAGCAGGAAGGCATTCTATTCCCTGGCTTAGAACATTTACTAGAATACAACCTTAACATTCAGAGTTTTCAGATGATGCTTAAGGTTTCATTTGCTAAACTAGTAGCTATATCTTCACAGGCAAAGATAAATTAAAACATATATATGTTTTCTGAACCCACTGCTATTTATTGATGAAGGCTAAATGGCCAATTGAAGACAAACACATGGAAATTAAAATCTCAGATAAAGTTGAAAACAAATGTTGAGACATTTGTTTTGGTTACTGAAGCCCAATAAACAAACACTTTCCAAGGAAGCTTCCCTGTTCCATTTATTTACTTATTTTTGGCAATCTCTGTTCACGTTTATTTTTCCACTTGTGCAACTACACAAGAGCTGCTCTTAAAAGACATTTCCCAGTGCAAACAGAGCTGTTGCTTCCACCTTTTGTATTATTTCTACGTTGTTAATTCTTTTGTAAAGTGGTTTAGACCACATTGATTAACTGACAAACACTCCACAGCCTGATCTTAATCTCTCATACTCTATCCCCTTGTCCTCTCACTGCCCTCAAAACCCAAAGCAGTGAGAAGGAAACAATACATAGGAAAACATTCTTCATTTATTCATTTGTTCTCTCTTTCAAAAAACATCTCCTTCATGCTAATTTCCTGCTGCATGCCATATTAGAAAATAAAGAAACAGTATATTCTATGTCAGAAAAAAACAGCATTGAAGGAAAAACGTAGACACCTAAGTGACCAGCCCTCATATTTGGCATAAGAAACATTTTAGAGCCGCTTTGACAGGAGACCTAAAGGACACTTTACTCAGAGAGGGGACCAGGAAAGCTCTGGCAGAGATAATGGGCCCCCACTCAACAAGAGTGCTAAAAATAGCAGTGAGAACAGGGACCCCACACAGGCGGAACAGTGTGTGCCAATGCGCAGAGGCAGGGGCCGCCTGACATGGTAACCACTGTCGCCGGCAATACAGGGATGCCCAGTAATGGCCATGAGAAGCAGGCAGGTATTCCTCATGTGCAGGAAGTGCACGCCTGGGCAAAGCCAAGGGCAGCAGGTCCTCAGGGAGTGATGGGAAACGAGAGAGAAGCAGGCGAGCACAAGGTGAGGTTAAACAGGAAGACGCACAACGTTTAACAAACCCCTGGACTTCACCACCACTGGGAAAATCATAAAGAAGAGCTGCCTTGATTTACTCACTGTTAATGTTAAACATTTCTAAAGAGTAGACCAACAACGCAGAAACATGTATATGGAGACAATAGCGAGCCTGGGAGTAATTTTTGGCGTATGACAAAAGTGGTATTTTAATGTAAAGAGAGACATTATTTAATATTTTTTGTTGGCTCAGTCAATTTATTAATACACTATTTTTTGGATCAGGGTTTGGTTTTCAGAAAAATGAGCAGAAAGTGCAGTGTTTCTATACACACCTTCATGCCTCATCCCCCTTAGTAAGATCTTGCCTGAGAGAGGTACATCTGTTATAATTGACGACCTTGAGTTTGGTGATGGCTTTTTACATACAACACCAAAAACACAATTCAGGAATTAAAAAAAAAAGGTAAGCTGCACATCATTAAAATTAAAACCTTCTGCTCTGTGAAGACCATTAAAAGAATAAGAAGACAAGCCACAGACTAAAAGAAAGTATTTGAAAATATACCTTTCTTATAAAGAGCTGGTATCCAGTTCCAAAATATACAAAGAACTCATAAAACCCAGGAAAAGAAAACAACGAACCCAATGAAAATAGGGGTTTTTAAGATCAGAACAGACACCTCATCAGAGAAGATATACAAAAGGAAATTAAGCGTGTTATTTTTAAAAGAGTTGTCTTCACTTCGCACCCTAGAGCTAGCAAATTGTAAATTGATAAAAGCTTTTAAGGTAAAACATACAAATATATATATATATAAGGCCTGTTTTGTTAGTATACAATAAAAAAGCCTTTCTCAGCCTTAGAAGACACAATAGAGCCAAAGACTGATAAGTCTTACTGCATAAAAACATAAGAAAAAAACATTTTTTTCATCAGAGACCACAATAATATTGTCCTGCAGTATTTTTATAGTACACTGCACATATTTTCTCTGACAGAGTTCAAGAAATATTTGCATTCCAAGACTTCAAGATAAAAAAGCCACACAGGCCCTGAAGCAGAGCTTACGTCTCCTGGAGCGAAAGTAAGTAAAAATCCCCTGTATGTAAGAAAATCCCTTCTAAGCCATTCTTGTCATGCTTCTTATTTTTTATTTTTTATTTTCTTGAGTCAGGGTCTCTCTGTGTCTCCCAGGCTGGAGTGCAGTGGTGTGATCTCCACTCACTGCAGCCTCGACCTCCCAAGGCTCAAGTGATCCTCCCACCTCAGCTTCCCAAGTAGCTGGGACCACCTGCGTGTGCCACCACACCCAGCTAATTTTTGTATTCTTTGTAGAGATGGGGTTTCACTATGTTGCCCAAACTGGTCACAAACTCCTGGGTTCAAGGGAGACGCCATCCTTGGCCTTCCGAAGTGCTGGGATTATAGGCATGAGCCACCTCGCCTGGCCCTTCTTGCCATATTTCTGACATTCTTTCTGTGCATGTGAACTGAAGTCTTGTATTTTGGAACCAAACCAAATGTTTAATTAAAAAGTGAAATGAATACTTCTTTATATCTCACTTCTTTCATCTCAACCTCAAAGAAGCAAGAGTGGGAGGGTGACAAGATGATAAATTAAAAAGCAAGAAGCCCAGACACCTCTAGGGATTCACAACCTCCACATTTGTCCCCAAGTGGCACAGCTGTGTGATCCTCAAACAAGACTACACACAGAGGTCCTGTAGATGGGAGCTCAGCAACGAGGGTTATCTACTCTTTACATAACATCCAATTATTTTTCTAATTCTGAGACTTGGCACCTTCCTCCAATATTATGAGCTAACAATTGACATTCCAGGTATTATTCTCTGCTAGGAGTAGATGTGCTCAGTCCCAATGTGCTGACTTCTTTCTAAGCCTTTTGTTCTATAAAAGATGTTCCTGGGCATCAAATTCAATTTTTGTAGAAGGTACACAGGATTCTGTGGTTAAGAAAAGCATTGATATGTTTTGTACCTAGCAAATCTCAACACAGATTTCGACCTAGTGCTGTCTTCTGCAAGGTGGTGCATATTACAGGTCTAGAACTTTACAGATATTATAATTGTATACAGTACGATATACACTAAATTCTCCATATTGATAATACATAGTCACTATCAATTTGTTAATGATTTTGCTTTTCTCTCAATTCATATTTATCAAAACAAAATTATTCTTAAAATATATTTCTTCTAAGGATTCTTTGCAGACTATATCAAATTTTGCCTTTAAATGTAAGAACATCTCTGACTAATGGCAATGTAACCTAATCAAGGGTATTAGAGGTGAATAAAAGACATTAAGATTGTCTTTAACATCATCATGTTTTTGGAAAAGAAATCCATTTGTACATGAGGAGACACCTTTTAATACTTCACTGTGGGACCTAAAGCCACCTTTAAAATATAGAGTAAAAATCAGAGTATTCATCCTTGATTTTAACTGTCCTTCTAAAAGACCAAAATTTAGAGAATTATTTTGTTAAAAGAACCCATAAAACAAAATCCTGAAGGATAAATAAAGACCCAAGCTATGGATTAAACCCAAGGTCTAAAATTTATCATTAAAAATTATAAAAGGATAAATAATTTATATGCTTTCTTCTAAAAATGAGATCTTGTCCATTTTTTTACTATAGTCTTTTCCTTAGTAGAAAAAAGAATTAAATATAATTTAGAAATGTCCTTGTATTAATCAAAACTATTTATTAACATGAAGTAATTAAACTTGAATGAAATCGTGCTATGATTTGCATAAATATTCACATCTAATGTCATTTATGAACTAAACAATTGAGAAGAATATTAGACACATTTTCCAGTTGCAGAAAATTAGTGTTAAGAAAATGCTATGAGAAACATTCCTTTTCCTCTGTATCAAACTTCCAAAACTCTACTCTCTATATAAATTCTCTAAACACTTCCTACCACCATGATGTAAAATGAAAAATCATATTCTTTTCTGACATGCATATTTTGTTTTCAATTAGGTCAAAAATATTTTCAAGTTTTCAAAACTTTTTTTTGAATTATGCTAGCAAATCTCAACACAGATTTTCACATGGTGCTGTCTTCTGCAAGGTGGCATATACCGTAGGTCTAGAAGTTTACAGATATTGTAATTGTATATGGTATAATATACACTAAATTGTGCATATTAATAATACAAAGTCATTGTGGATTTTTTAGTGTGATTTTCCTTTTCTCTCAACTCATATTTCTCCAGGCAAAAAGAGCCAACAGAATTCTAAATTGAACTAAGAAAACAAACAGACACTGGCTCTTTTCCCAGCTTTTGCCCTGGTCTCAGCTCCCAGCCCTTCTCAATCATCTCAAAGACTGAGTTAAAAAAGGCAGTAGGTTATTCACATTCTTATGTTAAGGTAGTCCCTTATTTACCCGTTACATATTTTCCTTGGCTTTTCAAACATTGGCTTTGACCCTCATCTTCCTAGTATTTCCTGGGAGGCTGAACCCTACTAAGGAAAGTTTTCTCTATTTACCCATAAATGTGTGAATTCTGCCATTTTGTGTACTCCAAGTTAAAGATCATTTTTTTTGTGTGTCCTACAGTAACTATAAATCACCAGCAACCTTCAAAAAACTTTCTGATATTCCAAAGAAATGCAAATACAAAATGTGAAGTTCGAGCAAATACAAAGTTCGTATTTTGCCTGGTTCTCTAAAATGAAAGAAAAAAAAATAAACTTGTGTCTGAATTAATGAAATAATCTAATTATCAACTAACATACAATGCATATTACATATATTTGAAGAAATGTTAGATTACATCAGAAGTTACATAAGTGCATTTATTTATACAACCACCCAACAAAGATCAATTGCATATGAAATAAGTAAGAGGAAAATAAAAGAAATGGGTATGTGAAATGGGTGTAATGACACATGGCAGGTGGTGAAGGGTCAACTCAGCAGGCCCAGGCTGCCCAAGCCCTGCCCATTCAAAATAAAGGCCTGTTTCATGAGGACTGGCCCCTGCCTGGCTCCTGGGACATGCCCTCTCAGTCACTGGAATACTCTGCCCTATGAGAGCAGCACTATGTCTACTCAGCTAGTTCCCAGAGAAACCCTAGACACGAAGGCTTGGGTGAGCTTCCTTGGCAGCTACACTTTGTGGGTGTTGTCTCACTGCATTGCTGAGAGAAGCATGTGCTGTCTATAGAATTTCACTGGGAGACGGTAACTGGAAGCTTGCACCTCATTTCTCCTGGGCTTGCCCTATGCACCTTTTCCCTTTGCTGATTTTAATCTGTATATTTTAACTGTTGTAAACCACAATCATCAGCAGCATACAGCTTTTCCAAGTCCTATGAGTCCTTCTAGGAAATCATGGAGCCTGAGGGTGGTCTTGGGGAACCCGGACACACATGGATGTGCATAGGATGGGCAGACACATAAAAGCAGAGATAGTTCCGACGGATTGAGGGAAGAGGTCAGAAGATGTATGGTCTGAATCTTGAAGAGGAAAAGAACAGTACTTTCATCTCTGCGTATCTACTAATACCAGATACAGTGCTTTGTGATTTTATATAAATTATTTTATTTAATATTCCTAAATGTTTTTTGACATAGGAATTATTATCCAACTCTATTTTACTAACAATTAGGTTTACAGTTAGAGTTAATCTAATAAGAATCACACATAGATTAAAGAAATGGATTTAAGGTTCCAAGCTATGTCTGTTAGACTCCAAGGTTTGTGTTTCTACACAATTCTATGGGCCCAGAGGGCATTATTCTATGTAACCTGTTAAGTAAATTGCCAATATCTGGGAGAGGGTACAGAATAGAGAGGAAGGAAAGGATGTTGCTGGACCAAATAAAAAGCATGCATATCAAATTTTGAAATTTACTATGTAGGAGATACAGGTATATTGAGTAAGAGAAAGTTTTGTTGCTGTTGTTTTGCTTTGTTTTTGCCTCCAATAAGCTTCTAAACTGAGAAGCATGAGAGTGAAAGATGAAACCGATGTACAGGTATTATAATATTAAGTATTTGAGGATAAGATACTTATGATATATGACAAAAGCCTTGTTACAGAGGTTCAAAAATAAGGACAGGTGTTTGTGGAGAGCAGACAACATCCACAGATTAAAGAGTATTCAGTAGAGAACAGAAGATGTAGAATATTTATATTAGCAAGGAAAAACAAGAGGAAAAGGCATTCCAAAAAAGCAGATACCATTGTTAATGCCTTACATCAAATCAGAAACTGTGCTTGTTGCTTGATATAATGATAAGGAAGGCTCAGTTTCTTGCCCTTGGGAAGTTCATAATCTAGTTTTTAAAAACTGATGTGTAACCAAATCGTTTCAATAATAGATCTTTATCAGAAAAGAGCTAAGAATGAAGGGCTATCCACATTGGAACAGAAAACCTACTAGTTAGGTGTAGAATAGTAAGAATGTCTTTCCAGGTTCCAATCCACCTGCCTGACCCCAAAACTCATGCTCACAACCAGGCAAGTGGGTGAGATTTCCAGCTCTACCATTTCCCAAGCTATGTTACCTTTGGCAACCTATCTAAGTTCCATGAATGTCTATTTTTCTCATATGTAAAACAGAAATGCTTTTATTTACCAACTCACATTAAAAAAAAACTGTCATAGTACAGTGAGTGATATGCAACAAACACTCAATAAAAGTTTGCTGTTACTATTAATACACATGAAGATGAATGAAATTTAAATGAGAAATATTTAAGTGTGGAATAGATGGTATGGATTTTAGAAGGGGGCAGCACCAAAGTCACACTGAAGTGTCAAAACTAGGGAGCTGGAAGAATGTATTAGACTGTGAGCTCTCAATTACTGTACGACTTTTATATGGATTTTTTGTGTTTTCAGAAATCATGCCATTGTTTAAATAAATGCAATACAAATTTTTTTTTTAATTTTTTTTTGAGACGGAGTTTCACTCTTGTTGCCCAGGCTAGAGTGCAATGGCGCAATCTCGACTCACTGCAACCTCTGCCTCCTCAGTTCAAGCAATTCTCCTGCCTCAGCCTCCCAAGTAGCTGGGATTACAGGCATGAACAGCTACGCCTGGCAAATTTTGTATTTTTAGTAGAGACAGGTTTTCTCCATGTTGGTCAGGCTGGTCTAGAACTCCTGATCTCAGGTGATCTGCCCGCCTCGGCCTCCCAAAGTGCTGGAATTACAGGCATGAGCCACCACACCCGGCGGCAATACAAATTTTTAGACCATTTTGTTGAGGTATGCTCAACATACAAAAAGCAGTATATATTTAATGTATACCACTTGATGAAATTTCAAGTAAATAAAATAAGTATTACCTAATCTGATCTCTATTCTGGAGTCATTATAAGATAGGCTTTATTTATTCATTTATTCATTTTTTTTCACTATTGATTGATCCTACAGGTCACACTTTGCATTTTTTATTAACTTTACATTTTGGTATATAAACTTTACTTTTAACATTTATATGTTTAATTACAGCATAAAAATCAGCAAGTCTGCTTCATGATTTTTAAATTATTTTTAGCTTCTATTAACATTATGTGAAACTTTGGTACGGTCACAGAAGTTTTCAATTTAGATTTTTTTAATATAAAAGGAAATGCTACATGGTCCCTTGGTTTATTAAATATCTCACTTTTTGGTTTGTTAAATATTGTCATGTTTTTAATATATACTACGAATCAAACTGTATAATTATATATATATATATATATATGTCTCTTTGTTTACTTTTTTGCCTAGCATTCTTTATAAATCTTAAAGTTTATACAATTTTTTTTACTCTTTCTTTACCCTCCTAATTTAAGTACTTGTTTTACCTATCTTAGCACCTGCCTGGGTCTCTGTGCTCTGGGAAAACCTCTATCACACAAGATTCTGATGAGCAAAGTAGTTCAGAGGAGATCTATCAGACTGCTGTCTTCACTGGTATATATAATGTGCTAATGCATTCCTTATGTAATGAGCTTCATTTTCACCAACCAGAACTTGGAATGGAATCCTACTCCACACTGGCAATGATGCTATGGCTGTTGATGAGATGGGGCACTGGGGAGTGTATTTGTCTGGTGGGGCTGTCATAAACAAATACCTAACGCTAGGTCATTTATACACAACAGAAATGTCTTGCTCACAATTCTGAAATCTGTGAGGTCAAAGATTAAGGTAGCAGATTTTGCATCTGGTGAAAGCCTGTTCCTCATAGATGGCCCCTTTTAGCTGTGTCCTCAAATGGTGAAATGGGTGAGCAAGTTTCCTCAAGCCTGTTTTAATAAGGCACTATTCACATTCATAAGGGCTCCACTTTCATGACTGTATTAGTCTGTTTTCACACTGCTGATAAAGACATACCTGAGACTGGGAAATTTACAAAAGAAAGTGATTTATTGGACTTACAGTTCCACGTAGCTGGGGAGGTCTCACAATCATGGCAGAAGGTGAAAGGCACGTCTCACATGGTGGCAGACAAGAGAAGAACTTGTGCAGGGAAATTCCCCTTTTTAAAACCATCAGATCTCATGGGACTCATTCACTACCACAAAAACAGTGCAGGAAAAGGGCTGCCCCCATAATTCAATCACCTGCCACCAGGTCCCTCCCATGACATGTGGAAATTGTGGGAGTTACAATTCAAGATGAGATTTGGATGGGACACTGCCAAACCATATCAATGACCCAGTCACCTCTCAAAAGTCCTCACCACTTAATTCTATTGCATATCAGTGATTAGATTTCAAAATAGGAATTTTGGAGGTCCACACACATGCAAAGTCTATAGCAGGGAGCAAGTTCAATAATGACATGGATAAGGTAATAAGGGTAAGAATGGCTGAGGTGGAAATCAGGGTTGCAGGACATGGAAGATCCACTCAAATGCAGGTCTCAGGAGTGACTCATCTGGGGAGAATGTCTGCCAAGCATGTCAGAGACAGGGTCTGGAGCAAATGAGTCAAGGCACTGCCTGCTTCCAGGTAGGACAACAACTGCCTTCGTCCTTGTGGTCTACAGCATATGGAAATCTTATAAAATCTTCAGATTTTTAGTTGTTTCATCCATTCAACTTCAGGCAGAAGCAGAGATTGAGAGAGTTTATTTGATAATTCAGAAGCACATTTCTTGAAATAAAAAGAAATTAGGCTAATCTGGAAAGGAGATCTGAGTTGTAGAAAATGTCTTTGTATTATAAGATTCTGGAGAATTTCTTGTAAAGTGCTGTTTCTGGTTTTGTTTTCTTTCAGGGTGTTGTCTCGGTTTTCCTCCCTATTTTGGAGTGTGTGGTCAATGTGCAACCAGGGTATGGGTGTGGAAAACGGCTTCTTGCTTCTTTTAAATTTCTCTGTCAACTTTATTTATTCTGGCTTTTTCATTTATGTATGTCCATTTTATATTGCACTTAACTGACAATGATGCATAGTAATTTCTTAAAGATTTTACTTCCCCACCAAACTTCACTTGAAATATTTGACCACTTTTTCTAAGGAGTTTTTTTCATCTGTTAATTCAACATATTCTTGAAATGTATATATGAATTCTTGATCGACATTTTAATACATGTTGGTAGTCTTTTGAATTTTGAGAGCAGATTACATAATTCCATGTTGACATAGAAGTAACTGAATCCTGATGACATTTCTATTACAAGTAGAAATGATAAATATCAAATTAAAATCTGTCCGATTTTGGCACCTAAAATAGATATATACTTTCATTACTAAGAGACTAAGGTTAAAAACATTTCATCTTAATTTTCTTAATTTGAATTAACCTTAATTTCATGGTTAAAAAAACAGTTCCCCAGAATAATTACCACTACTCCACATTCTTCCATTTCTATGTGAAATATATTAAAATTTTCATGATCTACCCACAAAGGGATAGCAGCATATTCAATCCTACTTGCTCTTCTTGAGTGTTGCCATAAAGTCAAGCTACTGAAATCCATAATAAAAATTTCATTACCTTCTCCTAATTTTTTATGATTAATAAAAACAAATTAGCAATTAAGAAATTTATTTTATTAATATTGCATTTAGTAGGGGAAATAGCCATATGAGAGGCAAATAAGAACAGTGAAAAGTCAAATACTTTAAACCATCAGTAAAATTCTTATACGATTTACAATCAATATTCAAGAAGTATTGGCCGGGTGCGGTGGCCCACGCCTGTAATCCCGGCACTTTGGGAGACCGAGGCGGGTGGATCATGAGGTCAGGAGACGGAGACCATTCTGGCTAACATGGTGAAACCCCATCTCTACAAAAAAATAAATAAATAAAAAAATTAGCCGGGCGTGGTGGCGGGCGCCTGTAGTCCCAGCTACTCGGGAGGCTGAGGCAGGAGAATGGCGTGAACCCGGGAGGCGGAGCTTGCAGTGAACTGAGATCGCGCCACTGCCCTCCAGCCTGGGCGACAGAGCGAGACTCCGTCTCAAAAAAAAAAAAAAAAAAAGTATTAAAATCAGCAACTGTCTGGCAAAAACAGTCAGAGGCCTGTTCTGTACCTCTGTCTGTTTTTCTGCCATGGAAAGGCACTTGATTATCGCAAATAACAAACAAATTTCTGATGTATTTTACAATTCACAGAAGAAAATTGTAGCGGTTATTGCTTTAATTTAATTCAACCCTAATTCATTAAAATTTACTTGTCATTACCTAAGGCAAAATGGAGGCCACTATGCCAAAAAGTTTGATTCCATTCAACAAATATTAACAGGTACAAAGATGTATACATGACCGTTTTTCCACTCTCATAAACTTTGAAAGCTGGAGGAAAAATAGACAGCAACACTCACCTGTGTACATGGAAGAATGAAAGGAAGGCTGACCACCCACTGCTGTCAATCTTTATAGCCACAACTGGTTAAGAGGGGTTGATCCACTTCAATTGTGTGCAAGTTGCCTCTTTTTAAAACTAGCCATTGTAAAAAGTATGAAACTACAATAAAATAGTAAGTAAATCAATTTCTATTTTCAACAGTATAGCTGACCAGACATAATTTTAAAGCTCCGGATATAAAATATGTAGTTTCTGATTAAAATTATTATGTAACAAACACTGTCAAATGTTTTAATGAATAACTGAACTTCTGGAAGAGTAAGAGAGGAATCGAATATGCAAACAAATAGTTATAATAATGGGTGATTTTAACATTGGGAGTATGAGAAAAACATTTTGGCAACAAACAAGAGAGAAAATCCTAGTATTTAAAGAAGATAATTATTTTATAGGTGTATTTGCATGGTATGGAGTCAAAGTACACACAGCAACACAGGCATAATTACCTATTAAAATAAATATATTTTATGATTATCTAATAAAGATACAACAGCATGATTATAGTTGGTATGTCTTGCTGAATTTTGAGAAAATTTTCTCAATAAAATTTTTGCCATAAAATATGAACTTTAATATTTTCCAAGGTCTCTGAGGTTTTACTTTTACCGATATACTCACTTTTCTAAAATGAGCTTCAGAATTCTACTTTATATTTTTATACTCAGTTTTAAAATTCTACTCTATATTTAAAAATCAGTCATAAAAAAAGGTGTCATAAATTTCTCCTATTCAACAAGGTATTCTATTTTAGAGCGCATTTATTATTTTTCAACCTAAGCTGCATATAAATTCTTTAAATATGACCTTTGAGAGAGAAATCAAAGATTTTATCATTTACAGATGATACTTCTCATACGTGATGCTTCTTATAGACGATGCCTCAAGTTTTATTTTAACAGTTATAGATAAGAGACATGATTGTTATATGCCCAATTATGGCAGCAGAAAAAAAATGGAAGTGTCCACCATGTGGTTGTAAAGTACACTTGGCCCTACGTGTCCATGGGGATTGATTCCAGAGCCTCCCTTGGTACCAACATCTGTGGATCCTCAACTACCTTACATCAAATAGTGTTGTATTTGCACACAATCTAGGCACATCCTCCTGTACACTTTAAATCATCTCTGGATTACTTATAATACCAAGTACAATATAAATATTATGTAAATAGCTGACACACTGTATGTTTAAGTTTTTTTTATGTTTTAATATTTTTTATCTGTAGTTGGTTGAATCTGTGGATGTAGAACCCGTAAATGCGATGAGTCAACTGTGTATCTTTTTTTTTTTTTTTTTTTTTTTTTTTTGAGACAGCGTCTCGCTCTGTTGCCCAGGCTGGAGTGCAGTGGTGCGATCTCAGCTCACTGCAAGCTCCACCTCCCAGGTTCATGCCATTCTCCTGCCTCAGCCTCCCGAGTAGGTGGGACTACAGGTGCCTGCCACCACGCCCGGCTAATTTTTTGTATTTTTAGTAGAGACGGGGTTTCACCGTGTTAGCCAGGATGGTCTCGATCTCCTGACCTCATGATCTGCCCGACTCGGCCTCCCAAAGTGCTGAGATTACAGGCATGAGCCACCACGCCCGACCAACTATGTATCTTTTTAATCAAGATAAGTTTATGACATCCCTCTTAGGTAATAAATCAATATTTATAATTGAATCTCACAGTAATTGTCAAAAAAATTTAAAAATGCTAGAATAATAAAATCTTGTCTGGAAAGGTCTAATGGTCCCTAACTTTACTTATTTGCATATGGTTGTTCTTAAACTATTCATTTTAAATTTACTTCCTTCCTTATTTGACACTTTAGTGAGGTAGCAGAGAAAGGATCCAAACATTCAATGCTTTAGGACACCTATCCTCAAAAGTTCATGGTTGAACATTCTTTTATCTTTCAGGCAGAACATAAGTCTCATCTATGCATGCAGATAGTAGAGCAAAAGTCTACTTGGCTACAGACAGTCAGACACATTTGTTCATATGATATACTGTAAATCCAGGGAAGTCACGAAGTTTTCTTTGCATTGCTCACTTTTGGTCCACTACCAATAAAGTCAAAGGTTAACTGAGGTCAACGTTTCACTTCTAGAAAGCTGTCCTTCAGAAATAGTCACACAAATACACATACATACATGTACAAAAATGTTTGTTGGAACATTATTTGCAAAACTGAGGGAGCTGGAAAAACCAAAGTGTCCCTTAATGGCCAATGCTTAAATGAATTGTTTTACATGCAGTCCATGACATACGATGAAGACATGAAAAAATATTAACATAATTCTGTTTGAACTGTTGAAATGTTTTGGAGTCAGATAATGATTTTATATAGTCATATTATTATAATATAATACACATATACATGTATACTTATGTATACACACAAAATAATAATATAAGATTATTAATAACTACGATCGTTAATAATTTAAAGGGTGACTTTCACATATTTTACATGCTTTTATATTGTGTAAGTTTTGGCAATGAGTCTAGTTTGCTAAAATGAAGGCCAAAAAACTGGTTTATGATTGAGCAAGAAAAATCATTCCCACAGCTGGAAAATATTCTTCAAGAACTATTTGCAGCATGGTATATTATGATATTGTGATATGAAGTCACTCTTATCCAAACCCATTGATAAAGCTGGCCATCCTACTGGAGAGGCTGAAAGAGAAATCCATGCATCTCTAGACTGTATAACTTATGGCATGTGTGTGCGCATAACGCTATTTATTGCCGTAACCAAATTACCATGTGAGACACAAGTTACATTGTGATCATCAAATTGGCAATTTTTAAAAATGCGGATTATATTCCTTCTAAAATGCTAATTTATCTACCATATTTCTTAAAAAATAAGACACATGTACATATAAGAAAGAGCATTTTGGCCATGTAATTTTAGAACTGTCTAGGGCAGAAGCAGGTGCAAAAGAAGGGAGGGATGGGGTTTGCAGTTGGGTCAGGGGATGGTGAAATGAAGTGAAGGGTAGGCAGGGGCAGCTGGTCAGGAGGCAATTACAGCACAGTTTCTGCTGTACATATTCTAATATTGTGGGACTTATTTAGAAAGTGCCATGGCGTGGATATTATGTAAGTTTCCAGTATGACTTTTAATTACTAAGAAATTATTGGTAATTTATTATATGTTGGCTTCATTGATGTCTTATTTTGACTTTTTGTATCCACTATAGAAACCTCAAAAATAAGCTCTCTAATCAATGTGCCATTTGGGAAGAAATGTTTCTGTTTTGCTATCTGAAGAATTAGATCTCTTCATTCATAGAGGAGCAGGGGATAAAATGAAAATATAAGATAAGTACCCTTCTTAAAACATGGGGTATCCCTGTGGCACTTAAAATTATTCAAGTCATTTATGCATTATGACATCTCATCCCAATGTATTATTTTCTTTGAAAATGGCAGAGAAGAAAAAGAGAGGAATATGTTTTTGTCTCTCCAATTATTAAAACAGTCAAGAAAAAAATGTATTAACCTATTCTGTATATCCCTGTGAACTTACCAACAGTACTTTTTCTGTGATTCATCTAGTGCTAAAATACAGGCTCCAAAGTAATCATAAATACTTCAGATATAGCCAGGCGCATTGGCTCACGCCTGTAATCTCAGAACTTTGGGAGGCTGAGGCAGGCAGATCACTGGTCAGGAGTTCGAGACCAGCCTGACTAACATGGTGAAAGCCCGTCTCTACTAAAAATACAAAAATTAGCCAGGCATAGTGGCGGGCACCTGTAATCCCAGGTACTTGGGAGGCTGAGGCAGGAGAATTGCTTGAACCTGGGAGGTGGAGGTTGCAGTGAGCTGAGATCGTGCCATTGCACTCCAGCCTGGGCAACAGAGCGAGACTCCCTCTCAAAACAAACAAACAAACAAATAAACTTCAGATAACACTGGGGCTGTGATGGTTAATATTGAGTGTCAACTTGATTGGATTGAAGGATGTGAAGTATTGTTCCTGGGTGTGTCTGTGTGTGTGTTGCCAAAGGAGATTAACGTTTGTGTCAGTAGACTGGGAGAGGCAGACCCACCCTCAACCCAGGTTGAGGGTGGGTGCCATCTAATCAGCTGCCAGTGTGGCTAGGATAAAAGCAGGCAGAGGAACATGGAGAGACTAGACTGGTTAAGTGTTCTGGCCTCCATCTTTCTCCCGTGCTGGATGCTTCCTGCCCTTGAACATAGGCCTCCAAGTTATTCAGCTATTGGACTCTTGGACCTATACCAGTGGCTTGCCAGGGGCTCTCGGGCCATTGACCACAGTCTCAAAGCTACACTACTTCCTGACTTTTGAGGTTTTGGGACTGGGACTGGCTTCCTGGCTCCTCAGCTTGCACACGGCCTATTGTGGGATTTCACCTTGTGATCATGCAGGTCAATATTCCTTAATAAACTCCCTTTCATAGATACATCTATCCTATTAGTCCTGTCCCTCTAGAGAACCCTGACTAATACTGGGGAGAAACAGAAGCATGCTCCTCTTTTGCTGCTTTTTTCCTTTTCAACCTGGAATTTGTCTTTTCTATTCCCAAGCACTGCTCACTTTCCCACTTTTCCTGAAATGCCTTCATCCTTTCCTCTTGAATGAGCATACTTTCCTCAAGGATCAGTTCGAACACAGCATCCTGTATGAAGCTTTCTTTTGTGTTTACTTTCACCTTACATAGATTCTCCCTCTGGAATACCAATGCTTCCCTTGTGTACCACAGGCTTTTCTGTTTTTACACTGACTGATCTTTTTCATGAGTGTAGGTCTAGATTCTTCAGCGCCAGGGTCCTGGAAAGTAACAACCATTTTACTCATCATCTCTAACATTGGGGTTTTGGACACACCTGGAATTTGATAACAAATTCACCTGTTTGCTTTGTTGACTTAGAATACAGGAACGTTAATTTCAGTAAGCTCCTTAGAAGTCTCACTCTGATTGTATTTCATGTATGGCAAGTGTTCTCCGCGTTCTCCACCAAAATTAAAATAAAACGCAAGGTCAGCATTTTAATTACTCTCTAAGTCACCCAAGATACAGTTATATTGTAATATAATTTCAACAAATGGTGGTTGTTTCTCTGAAGAAAACAGGACATATGTCTCATAAAATACCATGGCACTGCCTAAGAGAAGGTAGAGGGAAGGACCATTGAAACAACAATTTGCTTATGGAAAAGAGAGGCCAAAAGATAGTAGTAGAATTACAGAAGCAGACCATCTCAGATTTAGATTCTCATAGTCTTCATTTTCACTCCATTCAGCAGACGCCCTTCCACCCTGCTCCCTGCCCCAATGGTTTGTACTGATTTACATACAAAATTCTACCCAAATAGTTCTTCTTATTCTCCCACATTCAAGGGGAAACAAAAGTGCGACTTCTCCCAACCATCTGGTTTCAGTGGCTGTTGGCTCCGGTGATGACAGCGGGGCCCTACACTGTCCCTGCACCTGCTTCCTGTGCCTTGTATGTGTTTTTCCCTGTATATGAACAAGGAGTGTTAGGAATAAGGGATAAGGACATGGTCTCCCCACAGTCGTACACTGGGACCCTTGCAGCTCCCTCCCTACCCTTTATGAGAGACAATTTCTACTCCCTTCTTCTCTCAAGTGTTGCTCCTTTGGGCACACTCTATTGACTACTTTTCTCAATAAGAACATTCAGAACTGAATAAAATTTTTTTTTCTGAAATTAAGGGACAGTATAGGATAACAACAGGCATATAAGTTATTATAGTAACTCAAATCCCTAACATTGTCAATGGAACAAGGACTAAATTTCCCTTTTCAAGGGTATAAACTGGAATGTTACAGCCAAATACTAAACAAAATACTTTTGATGTGGTCCAAACACAAGATAGAACTATATTTCATACTATCATCCAGAAACTGTACTTTTAAGAATTGTGTTAGTTTTTAGCTCCTGCCCCACACTGTTGTTGGAATAAGCTGGATTTCTATGTCATTTGTTCACAAATTGCTGTCAAGTTCTGATCTTTCTCATATTGATACTCGTATGGTTTACTAGAACTAATACTTAACAAAAATATGCTAGATTATTTGAGAGAGAAATGTAATAATGTCTTCAACATACTTTAAAATGGGTTAGAGAAAAATACACATACATACATACAGAGAGAGAGAGAAAATGTAGCAGAATGTTAAATGTAGGTGTTTATTGTGTTATTCAATCAATGTATCTGCAGGCTTGAGATTTTTCATAGTACACAGTCAAGAACAAGAGATTTAATAGTTATGGGAGGCACTATCCAAGTACGTATATGGGTAGAGACAGATCCTACCATGGAAGTTTTTTTTGTTAACAGAAGGTAGACATTTTTGAAATGAAGTGTATAATGTCTGTGCCTGGGTTCTTTTGTATACTCACAAGTATAAGACATATTCTCTAAGAAGTTATTAGGCAAATATTGGTCATATGCTTTCCTTCTTTCAGGGTCCCTAATTTCATACCAGTTTGAAAGCTTTCTGGTTCTTTTAATGAGGCTGTCACATTTTCCTGAAACACAAATCAGAGCACGTCATCTGCTAAGTGTCAAGTGGCCAGCAGGGTACAATATCTAAACTTGCTACCACCCAGGAAAATAGAACAAGAGGTTCTCATTAGAGAACCAAGAAGGGCACTCACATTTGAGAGAAGAGGCCAGAAGAGCTGAAATGTGAAAGGGAAACAACACTACAGGCCCCATCATTGGAAGGTTTGTCATCCGAACATTATATTTGAACTCGGCTATCATTCATTGAACACATGTGGAAAGCACTCTTCAATTCTGCGTATAGCATTTTGTGTTCATACAGCCAGGTACTGAACAAAACACTTTTGATAGGGTCCAAACACAAGACAGCACATTACTGTATTTTATACTATCTTCTAGAAACTGTACTTTGAAGGTTTGCGTTAGTTTTTAGTGTCTGCTCTACTACTCTTGAAATCAGCTGAACTTAGATGTCATTTATCCACAAATTGCTGCCAAGTCTGAGCTTACTCAGTTTGATACTTGTTCTGTTTACTAGAACTAATGATGAACAAAAATGTACTGGATTATTTGAGGGAGAAATGTATTAAATGAATTAAATGAGGGAGGATGTTAATTACTATAAAGTTCTTGACCAAGTTGGAGATTTCTTGGGGTAATAAGAATTCACATTTCAAATCAATGATTTAAAAATACTTGAAGAGCCAAGGAATGAACTAATAAAACTAGGCATAATTATAGCCTAATTTTATGGTAGAAACTACTAAAGAAATTCTCAGGGAATTCTTGTCTCTTCTAGTCAATAAAATGAACACAATTAAATCAATAAAGATTATTTCCTCATATAAACTATTTATTGAGAGTTGTTCAACCAATACTATGTAGGAAACCAAAGACAGAGACACACATACCTAAAGTCTTCATCCAGTGCTGCCCAAATACAATTTCCCTCTTTTTTTCCCCATGGACCCAGGAGAGTTATAAATAGTAAGAAAGAATGTGAGAAAAAGCAATCCCAAAACCTATAAATCACTGGACATAATGCTTCTGAAGACAGATTCATTGAGAAGAAGAGATTTAAGGTATGTAAACATCTATATTCTTTTGAGAAATGTATCAGTACTTGGGTGACAGGTTTAGATCTTGAAAAAATAGATATTTGAAAGGTATAATATTTTAGAATTCATGTAATTCCTTTTGAGGACAGCATCTTTGGATTACAAAGAGTGTCCTGCCATTGCAGGCAGCCGACTTCTTAAGTCTAATTTGATGTCTCATGCACGCAAATAACCTTTCTTATCAAATCCACTCATCAAAGGCGGTGATTATAAAATAAAATATTCCAAACTAGCATGCAATGTGCTATAAAGAGTTATGATACAAAGCTTTAGAATTTCTGATTTCCCTTACCAAATGTCTGACTAGATCCTTAACCATCTGAGCATATTTTTTTCTCATGTGTAATGTATAAGAAAATTAAATTAGATTAAGAGCTATTTTGGCTGAAAATGTATATAATCCTGCCTTTAAAAACAGTTGTATTATTAAATCTATCTAATTATTTTAATATATTTTAAGCAAGTTATTCATTCTAACAGTAAGAACTCTATTATTTTGATACCTGAACAGTATCAAACCATCCAAAACATTTAGCATAATCTTTCTCAGAGGAGTGAATAAAGTTCAGATACTTTTTGACAATTTATTAGTTCTATTTATAAATACACCTCACTTGCAACACGTGGAGCTGCAAATTTTTGCATTTAATATCATAAGGTTGTGATTATAGATTTATATGGGAATCCTTAATGGACTCACCTAGTAGAAATTCTCTGGCAGCAGAGACAACCACAGAGACCCTCTGCTGGGTCAATTAATACAAGTGTTCTTCTAATGAGCCAAGAGGTATTTAGAAGCTCAGGGATCAATTAATTTGTAAGTCAATAAACAATTTAGGAAAGTAAGTAGAGAATTAAAATGGACAATATTTTTTTAGAATACTAGTCATATTAATATGACCTTAAAAATTATTTTTATGCAATGCTTGAAACTCTCACTAATGGCATTTGCAGTCAGGGAAACTGAGTCAATAAAAAGTCTAGTGAAATAAAAGTCATCTTTGTCTTCTATTTCAATTTCTGAAAAATAGAAATTTGTACACTTGAACTTTCAATAACTTACTGTGAACTGAGACCTCAAGGAGTCCCATAGTTTAATAACGAGGACCAAGAATCAGGGTCTTCTGCATCAACCTGACTTTACTATCTGTTTCACAAATATTTGCTCAGGAAGATAAAGCTGTAAGTCAGTAAATAACTTCATGGTTGGCTTCAGGAGCTTTCCCCAAACCAACAGATTGCTCAAACAGCACCCCTCTCAGCAAATTGCTCTTTTATAGAACAAATGTTTATTTATCAATATTTGCTTCAAGACCCTCACCTCTAGGAGTCCACTAATCCTAAATCACAAAATCAGGACCTTGGGCCAATCCTCCTAAGGTCCCTATAGGGAAAGATTTATCTTAAATAACTTGAGTCCAGACCTCAAAAAGCCCACAAATATCCATTCCTAGGCCCTCCCTTCTGAAAATTACTGAAAGTCATCTTCTTGTGATCTTCCTTACTGGAAGCAATAAACTGAGCTTTGCTTGATCAACAGGTTACTCTTGGTAGTTGCTCAAGACAACCTTCATATCTCCTCCGTGTGACTAAATTTCAGACAAGTTTCTTGATTCCAGGACTCTTTTTTTTAAAATAATTTTTAAGAGCATTTATTTTAGGATTGATTAGGGCAGGAGGCTTTAGAAAACCTGTAACTAATTTTTTTTCCTGCCGCTTAAAGGTGTATGTCTTCTTCCAACCTGCTGCCAGGTTTTCAACCCAGGAATGTCTTTCTCAAGGACCTACAAGCCATTCCTTCGAAAAGTAATCATCAAAGAAGATAGAACTTCTATCTCCCAGTCCTTATAGGAGGGTAGAAGCCTAACTTCAGCAGATGCCTTGCTTCAAAGTATAAATGCCTCCTGTCACAGAAAGTGTATGATTTCTCCACAGAAGGTTAGTACACTCAGACAACCTACCATCCTGCTCCCTGCTCTCTGCGTTTAAAACTCTCCAGCCCTTTGTCTTAGCAGAGTTAAGCTCCTAGTTGGGTTTAGTCTGTCTAACTCTTATTGCAGTAACCTTAAATGAAGCCATTCTTGCTGTATAACTTTTCTGGTGCAATTTTTGCTTCATCATGATCCTTCAGGGAGTTGGCAGTCAACACTCATTTTCTCACATAAGAAATGTGCATTTTTGATGTGAACAGAGTATTTGCAAAACTCAAAATACTTGTTGAAATGAATGTTGAGATTCCTAAATGTAATTTTTATTTCTAGTTGGACCTTATCTTTTTCTCAGAGAATTCAACAAAATCTAATCATGTAATTTGGTTAGTTAACATTTTAAAACGATTCAAAACAAAAATACCTAGAAAATAAAATTTACAAATAAAATATAACATATCAAACAAGAAAAAAAGTCAGTGTTGAATATTTTTAAATACCAGAGGCTGTTCTTTGCATTAATTTACTATTTACAAAAACACTATGGGGTTGGTGAAGTTACTATTTTCATAGTACGGATTTTTCGGAAAGTCAAAACAAAAACAAAGTGGACATAGAACTTACTCAATGTCACCTAAAAGAGTTCAACAAAGAGAGTCTGGTTTTCCATTCTGTGTTTAAACCACTGTGCTGTACTTAATCGCTGGTAGGGATAAATGCTTATATTTGTTTTTATAATTTTTTTTTGCATAACTAGGAAAATTAAAGAAACAGCCTTTTTTGATTTTCACTAAAACCTCGGATTTGTGCCACTTCAACACAAAAAGTCACTATTATGTAACGTATTACAGAGTTTTATTGTGTTAAAAATACATATTTGAGAAATATGTGGAATGTTTAGAAAGAAATGTGCTTGTTCCAGATCCTAAAATAAAATAATTTCTGACTTTCCATGAAAGTAACAGTTCAAAAGTATCTTCAGGGTTTCATCATGCAGAGCACCTGGCAAACCAGGAGAATTAAAAATTCTTCACATCAAAGTTGCTTTTTAATTCAAATGAATGCAGAGTGCCAAAGGAATGACTTACACTGTCAGTACCAACCTTCCTTAGAAGATGCCCTTAAAGTCAGTCCATTAAACCAGATGAGAGGCAGCTGCTGCATGTTCTGATCCCACTGTCCTCTCTCCCTGCCCAGACACTCTAGTTTTTCAAAGTTTTTCCTGAACATTGGAAACATCTGCATTGGCAGTGCAAAGCCCTCAAGAGAGCTATCAGGGTCTGACTTCTGGGAATTTTGAAACTCCTGGCATCATAACTATTACCCTCTTATGATCATTTTGCTCCATAGTATCTCTTTGTTTTACTTTTACAATGATGTTAAAAATGCCAATCTTATATTCATCTCCTATATTTTAAAATATTTTTATTTCTGTTACATATCTATCAAAGAAGACTGATTCTCATTCTGCTCTAACTCCTCCACAACAACTTTTTTAATATATAACATTTGTTGCTGGCACATAACCTATATGTATCCACCTTCATAATTGTGACTTTCGTCCTTTGGAATTAGAATGGTTAAACAGTTAATTTCTAAACAATTAAAGTACTAGATGAAATTTTAAGGGAGATTTGCTCTTGGAAAAAAAAATGTAAGGAGGAGGAGCTAATGTCTTTTGTCTAATTACATGCACCACCAATTAATATCCAGACTTTCAAGGAAGATATTATGCTCCTATAGTTTTAGCCTATTGTAAAACAATATTTGAGACCCATGAAATGTATGACAGACATATTAGAAATTTGCCTGTATAACTTTTTAAAAATTTAAGTAGATTATATTTCAAGAACTCCAGAGGAAATTAATATAGAAGAAATGGCTTTTTTTTGAAAGTCACACACAGTTACTTCCATTCAGTTTCTCTCTCTGCAATTTTTACCTTCATGAAAAGTGGTTGCAATACCAAGAAGGAGATTGACACTACGAAGATGGGTCATTTAAGTAATTTCTGGCTTGATATAGGAAAGGGAAAAATATGTTTCAAAGGATCCAATTTCAAAAAATAACCTAAAATACTAATCAGTAGAGGGGATCACTTACTCATGATTTGGAGACAAAAACTTTAAAGCCAAATTTAGTTATTAAAATCTAACATTTTTAAGCACCGTTTCTGCTAGTATTAAACCCATTTTATAGTTGAGGCCAGATGAGGGCCTCCAGTAAATGTACCAAGAACACATAGCTAATGAGTGGAGGAGCTGAATTGTGAAACTTGGCACAATGACTTCAGAGACCCCTTTTAATAGTAAAACATGTAGTGCCTTTCAGGTGGTTAAGCTTACTCATTAGCTTACTCACTAACTTCTTCATTTATTAAGTCATTATCTGAGTAATTCTAGCATATCTGCCTTGGAATATTTTGACTCAAATTGATTCTTCAGTAAAATTCCAAATTGCTACATGTCTTGGATGTTTCAAGTCTCTAACAGGGGTGTCCAATCTTGTGGCTTCCCTGGGCCACAGTGAAAGAAGAATTGTCTTGGGCCACACATAAAATATACTAACACTAATGACAGCTGATGAGTTAAAAACAAAATCCCCCCAAAAAGTCTCATAATGTTTTAGAAAGTTTACAAATTTGTGTTGGGCCTCATTCAAATCTGTCCTGGGATACATGCGGCCCACGGGCCGTGGGTTGGACAAGCTTACTATAGAACATTTAAATCTGTTTATACTAAAGAACTGTTTTATTTTTTATTCTAGTCTAAAATGAAACATTGTAGAACACAGATAAAGTTATATGAGATAAGGAAAGTCTAAAGCTCGAACGAAGCAATAATATTTGCTAAAAATAGTATTTCGACTAAATCTCTAATTTTAAACAAAACATACTGATGAAGGCTTTCTCATATCATTTGGCTAATACTTCTACGAAACCCACTAAAATCTTTAAAAATATTCCAAAGTAAAACAAACTGGGTTGAAAAAAAAAACTTTGATCGTTTGATAACTGAAATAACCCAGGACTTTATTGAACAAGATCAAGATTTGAATATGTTAGCCCTTTTGACAATCTGAAGAGGTTTTGAGGCAGCCCTGGCTTTTTGAGGATGAAGATTTTTCTCTTTTACTAATTACTTTTAAACTGCTTTGACAAACATATTACCACTGGATTGATTGCTGAGAGCTTAATTAGTGCAATTAAAGAGCAGTTCTATCATAATGTCATTGAGATCAAGATGATGCTGCTGAAAGATTCCATATCATGAAAAATCTCCCTGAGACTGAAAACTGCCCATCCCTAAAATGCCGAATAAATGACATACTATCTTGAAACAGTTTGCTAACGATACATCTTGTCACAATAATATATCTCAAGTGACTTAATAGTCTAAAATTCTTTCCTACAGCCCTTTCAAACTCAAATGAAAAAAGTTAATTTCTTTGCTATTAAAAATAAGTTATTATAAAAGCAATTAAACTAAAATCAATTGTTTACTACTCTCCAAAGCATGTAAACAGGTACTGAACTTGACTTTTTATAGTTGAGTTTGTTAGTGAGTTAAAAACGATCTATTAATCACCTACTTGATGGAAGGTACTGCTCTCAGAGGACAAAGGATGAAAAGACACAATGCTTTCTGCCCGAGAATCTCCTGGTGAAGCAGGATAAGTGAAAATCCAAGGGGGAGGAGTGTGTGAAGTGTTATGAGGGCTTCAAGGGTGAAGTGGGTGCATCTAATTAACAGCATAAGCAACACTTCTTGGAAAAGGTGATATTTGAAGGGCCCCTAGAGGACAGGAAGTTTTTGAGAGGAGTCCTCTGCTCCAATATACTGTAGTCTTTAAGTGTTTTTACCCGATCAAGGCATAGAAATATCATAAGCTTTAGTAGAAGTAGAGGAAGTTGACTTAACTAATGAGGGAAATATTCTTTTATCCTTAATTCTGCCATTTGCATGACATTGATTATCTTAGTGTGATGGTTAAGTTTATGTGTCAACTTGGCTAAGCCATGGTACCCAGAGAGTTGGTCAAACACCTATCTAGATGTCACTGTGAAAGTATTTTTTTTAATGAGATTAACATTTAAATCATGGACCTTGGGTAAAGCAGATCACCCTCCATAATACGAATGGGCCTCATCCAATCAGATAAAAGCTTTAAGAGAAAAGACTTATCTCTCCCGAGAAGAAGGAGCTCTGCCTCCAGATGGCCTTTGGATTTGAGCTGCAGCATCAGCTCTTTCCTGGGTCTCCAGCCGTGGCCTCCCCTGCAGATTGAGGACTTGCCCACCCTCACAGTGGTATGAGCCAATTCTTTACAACAAATCTTTCTGTCTCTGTCCATGCACACACACACGTCCTATTGGTTATGTGTCTCCAGAGAACCTCGACTAATACACCCAGGGGCCTCGCTGAGGATGTTACTCCTCAATGAAAAGCAATTTATAATATGCTTCCATATCGACAGCAAAGGAGAAAACTCAGATATAGTTTGGTGAGCATTGGAATTAAAAACAAGGGAAGAAAGGGAGAAACTGCAATAACTGCTATTTTAAGAAATGTAGAAAGGCACATTCTGCAGAACACATGAGAAATAAACATAGCTTTCAGCAATATAATAAAAATAGCCCATTAAATTAATTTTCAGCAATAGCATGGGAAATGGTCTTGAATAGTTGTCCTGGGTAAACAGAAATATATTTTGGCCTGGCTCAGGATGAGAAATGGATAGAGGTCATACACAGAAGGGAAACTGTGAGGCTTTGACAGTCAAGGAGAAGAATATGAGAAAACGCAGTCCCAAAGCAGTTCCCTAGCCATACTGGCAACGTGCACTATGAATAATAAATTTTAATATGTAAATCACAAGCTACTTCTTCCCCTTCTCAATTAACACTCTGTCATCCTCCTGGCCTCAGCCCCATGTAACTCTCCCAGAGAGGCCTTCCTCAACTCCATGCCAAACGTAAGCTGTCTAAATGCCCTCCCAGAATGACGCAGCCCTGGTAGTACTTAGGGGTGTTGGAGTTTTACGTTTATTGGTGGGATTATCTGATTGATGTCTACCTCCCAAATACCTTGTGAGCTCCCGTATGTAAACACAATGCACTGATTATGTCTGTTTTTATTCACCTAGCATCATGCCTGCACATAGGAAGAAATCACTATCCATAAGCTAAATGAACAGATGAATTAATGTTGTATGACCAGCAAAATGAATGCTTTAAGCTAAGCTAGGTAAAGTGCATATAAATCTCATTAAAAGTCCCAAATTTCCGTGATTCAAAGACAACTTTATTCCTCATGTCTTATATCTGAAAACTAGAAGTATAATAAAGTCAATGGCTTGTCACATTTTAATTGTGTTCTTCTCTTTTGTAGTCTCAAAATTGACAGCACATTAGATTTGGTAAAATGAAATGTATGTTTGGTTTTCATATAATCAGATTTCCATCTATAATACTTATGATTTTAATAAATCTGATTTCTATATGTTACAGCAATCTATAAAGAGTATTTTTTATTTTTTAACCTGCATACAAAACTGTAGGCCTTTTGAGGAAGAGATCACTAGACAAAATAGACTTCAGATTATTTTAGAATAGGAATAATTTCTTAAACTGTATAATTTTGGTTCTAAGAGCTTTGAACCACTGACTCTTATTAGATGTGAATAAGATTTACAGAGAGAGGAATCAGAGCTTCAAGTTGGAATCTGAGATTTAATCTCTTACACTTGTGACATTACTATACTATAGCATTAAAACTAGTATTCAAAATGTCAGCAATCTGCATTAAATATAAATTAATATAACATTAAATTTTAAATTAATAGCATTAAATATAAATGCTACATAAATATAATAGTTAAAAAAGCTTTAGAGATAAAGAATACTATTTTAAAGCAAATATATAAAATTTTGTAAGATTCACATAAAAATTCTAAGGAATAGTTACTATTGGTATTATTATCATAATTTTCACGATTTTGAAGATTAAATGTTTTATTCACCGTTTAACAGCAAGTAAATGGAAAAGTCAGCATTAAATGTAAATTTTCTAAATGTAAAGTCTTGTTCTTTGTCCACCAGATCACTATAGCACAGTACAGAAGGCCAAAAAAGAATGAGAAAGTCATCATTTATGATAGCTTATTAACAATAGGATGGTAATTGAAATAAATAAAAAATATGCCCAATATTTCAATATATTGCAGTAATTCTAAAAAAAGTGAATTATCTATTTTTCCTGCATATTCTGTATTCAATATGAAATTGAACTAGTTTTGTGTCCATTTTTGACTCTTTTGCTTTATAACACTTTCTGGCAAATTACTCTGGGGAATGGTCATGTTTTCAATCATGAGAACATATTAGATATCTGAAACTGAAATTATTCTTTCATATTATGAAATCCCCATAAGGCTTTGACAAGGAGAACCAGTTTGGCAGGGGAAGAATATATGCTCTGAAGTGAGAGGGACTTTCTTCTTTTTTTCTTCTCCCTCCTCCAGCTTAAGTAAAGAACAATCAAGACTTTAACAGGGCTTTTTACCACCCATCTTTGGATTCCCAGTGCCATCCAACACATATTGTTGAACGAATGACCATATGAATACATGTCCCCAATTCCTTGGTAGCTCTGAGTGCAATACAGTACACTTGGCATTATGCAAAGCAGAGAAAGATAAGGAGGAATAAAATCCAGAAGATATTCTGATATTTGTACAGAGTTCTACATGGTAGCATAAGGGTACCATGAAGTTCCTGAGAACATCTCCTTTTATGGACCACAGCAGGCAATACTTATTGTTTGAATCAGAACTCCAGGAACATATAAGCAGGGAAAGCCAGCAGAGAAACTCTAGTTCATAGACACGGTAATCCATTTTTTGCTGGAAAGCCTCTCAGAGAAATCCCTTTTGCAGAGTATTTGTCTTTAGGGTATTTCCAGTGGTCAAAGTACTTGAGCAGTGGAACATAATGGGATATCAAATTCTGCTTGTGTTTATAACCTCACAGGACATGATAGCCTCATAAATGCTAGGTAACTCACATAAGGATTGAAAAGACCTGATTTTTCAGCAAACTTCCTAAACGTACAGCTATGACCTAAGTGTTATGAAGCAGGGCTGCATTTGTAACTCCCATCTTCCCAATGATGAAGGCTCCAGAGCTGCTGTGCATGTCTGTGATTGTTTTGGAGATGAAGACAGTGCCTTTCACAGTTGCCTCTCTTCGTGATTGCCAATTAGACTCTTTGGTGTCACTCACTTTAATGATTGCTAATTAGTCACTTTACTGGCACTTCTGCTAGAGCCTCAGCAACCTCAATACTTGGATCCCATCAGTTCCTTTCCTGTTTCCCAGCATTCTAAAGTTTCAGACTTATGCAATGACATCAGTCCTCATGTTTTGTAAGGTGCTAAGCAGTTTTGCAGGCCACACATCTCAATGGACAGCAACACATTTTAAACAAGGACTCTACCTTCCACCACATCAATTATATCCATTCCCCACATCTCATTTACCATCAGATATTCAACAATATTATTGTAAGTAGGTTGGGAACTGAACTGCTTGGGAACAGGCAGAGGTCATGCCTCATTTATTTCTATATTTCTTGTACTCAGTAGAGAACGAAGTTTGCAGATCATTTTCAATAACTATTCATTGAAGGCAAAAATGAACATTTGCTCTACAAGAAATATAGATGCATCTGTACACAACTTCTTTAAGCAATTTTGCACTATGTTGCTACCTAAAATTTAACCAAAATCAAAAATCTTTTATGTACACTCAGGGTCTTTGTTTAGGTGGCTTTTCTCAGTTCCCTCAACTCTTCTGCAGGGTATAGAGGATGGCTTTGCACATGCAAATGATCTCACCCTTCCTCTCCATCACTTCTTTTCGTTAATTCTAAGATAATTACACTCTTGAGAAAACTTGCCCAGATCTCTAGATGAGGACAAGTTTTTCTGTTATATGTGCTCATGGCACTTAAAAGTCATATTTTTCCATACATTTGTGAAATTGTTTTATGTATATCTTCCTCCACCTCCCACCCTTCTAAATCCTACAAGCCTACAAATTTTTACAATCCATTTTATCTCTAGAATCTAGTTCGGTTACAGGCATAAAGTTGAGTGCTCGAAATATTTATCAACGTTAACAAGGTTCGGTTTCCTCTTGGCCAAGATTGCACACACACAGGATATTCATCTGTCCTTACGGATCGGAACAGAGCTAAGCTGATTGGACACTATGGGCTTTTTCTCCAGGACCTGGGTCGATATGTACCAGACTCATCTCATAATAATTAACTGGTGAAGAAAAAAGACCTTCACTTTTTAGCTGAAAGGAATTCTTAGGGGAAAGATCATAGAAAGAGTTGCCGGCAGGTGAACAGGGAAAGCAAGATCTGAAAAATCTAGGAAGAAGGAGCTTTTGTATTAAACCATGGCCCAAATCTCCCTCTTTTCCGGATCCCCACATCTCTGAGGCTACAGAGCAGGTCTGGATATCAGGGGACAGAGATGCTAGACGCCCTCTTACGTTAGTGCTGTGTCCTGGGCTGCAGTAGGTGAACCTTGCTGCTCTCACATGGGATGTGGGAAGAGCCAGCCAAAGACTGGCAGAAAATGGAGGCACACAAGGTGACAAAAGGAGGTTTCAGTTTTAATTTCTTACATCTTCTTTCCAATCTCATTTTTCCTGAGAAAGAAGCACAAAAATGAGTGTGGCCTCTCTTTGCTTCTCCTCATTCCCTTCTTTTCATATAATATTTCAACTCCCTGCTTTTGGATATTGAAGGGAGTTCATTTTTTAACATGATTCATGGAGGTAAACTTTTTTTGAGAAATAGTAGTATTTCAGAATATTTTCTTAATATATTCCATACAAAGACTTCACTAAGAGTCTACAAAGAGTTATCAGTCCATAAAGATTCTGAAACCTACTTTTAGTAAGGCCTCTAGCAACTTGTAAACAGAGAGACCTCATTATACATAAAGTAGAACATGATATAGTTATAGACACGAATTCCTCCGTGCAGCTTCTGTCTGTGTGTCCCCAGATGACTCCCATCATTTGATGAGTTCCAGACCACCCGTGGGTGAGGAGCATCATCTACCACCTACTCCCACACACATCATGACATGTTTGCCACAACACATACAATGTCTTATTTTTAAGAACATGGACATTGAATTCTAGATGGACAATATTAATATTTGAAAATTATCTGGAGTAACTAAGAATGGGCAAAGCACTGGTAATTTTCACTCGCAATCCCACAGAGATATCACTTGGCAAACAACTTTCCAAGTGTCAGGGCATATCTTATTCTTCTGGATGATGAATATATTGTTGATAAGGTACTTACAAATAAATAGAAGACTTTTGTTTTAAAAAATGGGGATTTATAACCAACAGTTTGAAAACTTTGATTACTTAAAATACATTAGGGTGTGCACCACACAGTTATGCCATGCACAAGACCTGTGGAGTGGACATGTGTATCCACTGGGTGATAAACACTGTGCAAGATTTTGTTATTTACCTACAAGAAACAAATTTTAAAAAGAGTGCCTATGTTGAACCAACCTTGGATTCCGCAGATGAAGCCTACTTGATCATGGTGCATAAGCTTTTGGATATGCTGCTGGATTCAGTTTGCTAGTGTTTTTTTGAGGATTTTTGCGTTAATTTTGATCAAGGATATTGGCCTGAAGTTTTCTTTTTTTGTTGTGCCCCTGCCAGGTTTTGGTATCAGGATGATGCTGGCCTTATAGAATGGGTTAGGGCGGACTCCCTTTTTTCCCATTTTTTGGAATAGTTTCAGTAGGAATTGTACTGGCTCTTTGTACATCTGGCAGAATTCAGCTGTGAATTTGTCTGGTCCTGGGCTTTTCTTGGTGGTAGGCTATCACTGCCTCAATTTCAGAACTCATTATTGGTCTGTCCAGGGTTTTAATTTCTTTCTAGTCCAGTCTTGAGAGTGTATGTATCTAAGAATCTATCAAATTCTTATAGATTTTCTAGTTTATATGCATAGAGATGTTTATAATACTCTCTGATGGTTGTTTGTATTTCTGTGGGGTCAGCTGTAATATCCCCCTTATCATTTCTGATGGTGTTTATTTGAATCTTCTTTCTTTTCTTATTAGTATAGCTAGTGGTCTATTATTTTATTAACTTTTTTTTCAAAAAAAAAAACACCTCCTGAATTCATTGATCTTTTGAATGTTTTTTTCCTGTCTCTATCTCCTTCAGTTCAGCTCTGATTTTGGTTATTTCTTGTCTTCTGCTAGCTTTCGGATTTGTTTGCTCTTGGTTCTCTAGTTCTTTTAGTTGTGATGTTAGGTTATTAACTTGAGATCTTCCTAACTTTTTGATGTGGGCATTAATGCTATACATCTCCCCCTTAATACTGTCTTAGTTGTGTTCCAGAGATTCTGGATGTATACACAAATCAATAAATGTGATTCATCCCATAAACAGAACTGAAGACAAAAAAACCACATGATTATCTCAATAGATGCAGAAAAGTCTTTCAATAATATTCAACATCCCTTTATGTTAAAAACTCTTGATAAACTACATATTGAAGGTACATACTTTAAAATAATAAGAGCCGTATATGACAAACCTACAGACAATATTGTACTAAATGGGCAAAAACTGCAAGCATTCCCCTTGAAAACTGGCACAAGAGAAGAATTTCCTCTCTCAACACTCTTATTCAACATACTACTGGAAGTTCTGGCCAGGGCAATCAGACAAGATAAAGAAATAAGGGGCATTCAAACAGGAAGAGAGGAAGTCAAATTATCCCTGTTTGCAGATGACAAAATTCTATATCTAGAAAACCCCATTGTCTCAGCCCAAAAGCTTCTTAAGCTAAAAAACAATTTTAGCAGTCTCAGGATACAAAATTAACGTGCAAAAATTGCTAGCATTCCTATACACAAATAACAGTCAAGCTGACAGTCAAATCATGAATGGACTCCCATTTACAGTTGCAACAAAAATAATAAAATACGTAGGAATACAGTTAACTAGGAAGGTTTAAGATCTCTCCAAGGAGAACTACAAACAACTGCTCAAAGTAATCTGAGATGAGATGACACAATCAAATGGGAAAAAAAACATTCCATGCTCATGGATAGAAGAATCGATATCATTAAAATAGTCATACTGCCTAAAGCAATTTATAGATTCAATGCTATTCCCATTAAACTACCAATGACATTATTCACAGAACTAGAGAAAACTGTTTTAAAATTTATATGAAACCAAAAAAGTGCCTGAATAGCCAAGGCAATCCTAAACAAGAACAAAGCTGGAGGTATCAAGTTACCCAACTTCAAACTACACTAAAGAGCTACAGTAAACAAAACAGCATGGTACTCGTATAAAAACAGACACACAGACCAATGGAACAGAACAGAGAACCCAGAAATAAGACCTCACACTATCTGGTCTCTGACAAACCAGACAAAAACAAGCAATAGGGAAAGGATTCCCTATTCAATAAATGATGCTGGGATAACTGGCTAGTCACATGCAGAAAATTGAAACTAGACCACTTCCTTACACCATGCACAAAAATTAACTCCAGATGGATTAAAGGCTTACATGTAAAGCACAAAACTATAAGAACCCTGGAAGATAACCTAGGCAATACCATTCAGAACACAGGCATGGGCAAAGATTTAATGATGAAGGTGCCAGATGGGATCTAATTAAACTAAAGAGCTTCTGCATAGCAAAAGAAACTATCAACAGAGTAAACAGACAACCCATGGAATGGGAGAAAATGTTTGCAAACTATGCATCTGACAAAGGTCTAATATCCAGCATCTATAAGAAGCTTAAATAAATTTACAAGAAAAAAACAACTCCATAAAAGAAGCTGGCAAAGAACGTGAACATTTCTAAAAAGAAGACATGCATGTAGCTAACAATCATCTGAAAGAAATCTCAACATCACTGATCATTAGAGAAATGCAAATCAAAAACACAATGAGATACCATCTTACACCAGTCAGAATGGCTATTATTAAAAAATAACAGATTCTGGCAAGGTTGTGGAGAAAAAGGAACGCTTATACACAGTTGATGGGAGAGTAAATTAGGTCAACCATTGTAGAAGACAATATGGTAATTCCTCACCTAAAGACAGAACCTATCATTCAACCCAGCAATTCCATTACTGGATATATACCCAAAGAAATACAAGTCGTTCTATTACAAAGACACACACTCGCATGTGTTCACTGCAGCACTATTCACAATAGCAAACACACAGAATCAACCTAAATGCCCATCAGTGATAGACTGGATAAAGAAAATATACCATGGAATACTATGCAGTCATAAAAAAGAACAAGATGATGTTTTTTGCAGGGATATGGATGGAGCTGGAGGCCATTATCCTAGCAAACTAATACAGAAACAGAATACGAAATACTGCATGTACTCACTTATAAATGGGAACTCAATGATGAGACTAGATGGACACACAGAGGGGAATAACACACACTGCAGCCTATCATAGGGTGATGGGTGGGAAAAGGGAGAGGATCAGGAAAAATAACTAATGGGTACGAGGCTTAATACCTGGGTGATGAAATAATCTGTACAACAAACTCCCATGACAGGCGTTTACATATGTAACAAACCTGCACATGTAACCCTGAACTTAAAAGTTTTTTTTTTAAAGGTCAATATCTGTATAGTCGTCACACACTTGGGGTTTACTCTTCAAGTTTATGGTGTAGAAACACAATATAATATAAGAAATGATGAATAATAACATAATGTACTTGAGAGGCTAATAGAAATATTTAATCAATTTCACTAAACTCCTGCACATTCTGCAAAGACAAGACACTAAACCTTCCAGCAACAAGGACACCTGTGCCCCTAACCCAGCTTGCTGTTTTACCTCAGCAAAATTAAGCCGTGTATCTTCCACATTCAACTGAAAAAAGCCACAAAGTTCTCTATCTTAAAGGTATCTGATGAACTCCTTATAAGTCTAACAAGCCTGTGGATTACAGCTGGAGGTGTTTGTTTCAAGAAGACAGAAAACATGAAATTGTGGCAGACAAAACATCCTGAGTTGATTCCTGGCACAATGGAACACCTAGTTGAGATGGAACCAACTGAAAGGATGGTTGTTCAGGTGTGGTGGCAGACCAGGTTCAGAACATTTATAAAGGCTTACAGAGTTTGTCTATTTTCCCCTCTAGGGTCACATAGAAATGACTTTGTCAGTTACAAGATGTGACAGACATTGCAAGAAATTCCTCCAGGTGACTGACTACAGGTTTGAGAATGAAAAGGAAAAAGTGAATGATATCTGTGGAGACGACACAGTTTTCAGAAGCATATAGGATGCTGACTTTTTAATTGCATGGTGTTTGGAGAGTTCGGGCTCCACTCAGGGAGCTGAAGTCCAGTGATTCAGAGACTGAGCCTACTAGAAGAGCATCCCTGATCCAGCTCCCCAGAGGTACCCTGTGAGTGAGGGCAGCCCTATCATTCTACCCCTGCAAAGATTAATGATACAACTACGGAAGCAGAAGTAATAACTGGAATGTGAACATCATCAAACCAACCACATCAGAAACTACTGTTAAAAAAACTCATCTGTCTCTACCTTGCCCCATATTTAATGTCTTGTTTGTGCCATATTCTCACTACCTTTGCCCTCCACCAACACTCTCGCTCTTTGCAACATTCCATAAGTCGTTAGTAAATGTAAGATGGTATAAATTATAGTGCACATTTAATTCTTAGAAGGCTATTGTAAAAATTAAAAAGAAATAATTTGAAGACAGACAATAGGAGTAAAAGAGAGGAAATAATAGGATCAATAATTTTAAATGTTAATGATAATATCATTCAAATTATTATTATTATTATTATCCTGCTGAAAGATGCCTGGGCACCTGTTATCTTTTAAGGCACTCTGGTAGGCTCCAAATGTACACGTGTTTCATTTTTACAAGCCTGTCTGGGTTTTTTTTTGTTTTTTTTTTTTTTTGGTGAGGCAGAGTATCACTCTGTCGCCCAGGCTGGAGGACAGTGGGACAGTGGCACAATCTCGGCTCACTGCAACCTCCACCTCCTGGGTTCATGCAATTCTCCTGCCTCAGCCTTACGAGTAGCTGGGATTACAGGCTCCCACCACCACACCCGGCTAATTTTGTATATTTAGTAGAGATGGGTGTCACCATGTTGGCCAGGCTGTTCTCAAATTCCTGACCTCAGGTGATCAGCCCGCTTCGGCCTTCCAAAGTGCTGGGATTACAGGCATGAGCCACTGTGCCCAGCCACAAGCCTGTCTTAAACTTACCCTCATATGAAGAATTAATGGCTCCAGAAATGGTACCAGATTGATGGTCTACGAACCCTACAGTATTGTCCTCTTGTTGCCGCACATATTCTTTCCCGCACCACAGCTTCCTTATATTCCTTACATTTCTCATTCTATAAACCCTCTCTCAGTTGATGGTCACCTCCTCAGAGAAGCCTTCCTCGCCTTACTCAACAGCTTGCTATGATATCCTATCCATACTCTGGAACTGCAATTCTACAGTATTTTTCTAATTGGCTATTTAATTTTCTCTCTTCCTACTTTTCTATCAGTTTTGCACTGTCTGTAAATAGGATTTTTTTAATACCAAAAGGAATAAACTATGATTGAAAAAAGATTAACTTATAAGACTTTGATAATGGCTGTACATCATGGATAGGCAAGAATAGATATTTCTGTTTTTCTTTAGACATAAAACTGGTTCAATCAGAACTCCAAGGAAAAAAACGTACACAATTTTGTTTTCTTTGAAAATAAAACATCTGTGACCAAAAAAACACAGCTGTTGTAATGACTTCACAGGGATATTAATATGTAGAATAATTATGAAAAACAGAGCAATCTGTTATTAAGAACAAGTGTGGCTGAATTAGAATTTGTTGCTAGAATTTTGTGCAACAGTGGATCATCCACTGTTTTATCATCTTTAGAATTGTTGGAAGTGCTTTCATAACCATTATTACAGCTTGATGGCTTTATCTTCTCATGATAGCCCTGATATGCCCAAAAAGATATCTCCATTTCCATACATTTTATGTGTGAGGAAAATAAAAATCACTCTGGTCAAGAGATTTCTCAAAGCTGAGGCTCCGTGCTGCTGGATAAAGCAGAAATGGCAATGAATGAAATGGAAAAGGAGTTGTCTGGAAATCTTTGTACAATAAGAAATAACTCCAGAAAAAAAAATAATGGAAAGTTAAATTTACTTAGTGCCTTTTCCTGTACATCGTGTGAACTCCTGGAAGCAGGTAGACCAGGCTCTCTTGGGTGTGCTGCAGTGTGGTGGCATTTGACTTGGAGTCTTAGTGGATGAAAGTGCATGAGGTTAACTATATCACCTTCTGTCTACAGAAGGAAATGCTATGTTTATTCTACCTGTAAAAATATTGACCGCAGTAAAATCAGCAGTTAGGAATGTATAGAAATAAAGAAGTTTACAGTTCTGAGGGGGTTGGAACAAATTGCCAGTAAAAATAAAACAAAAATATTCTGGCCAGGTGCAGTGACTCGCAAATGCAATCCCAGGGAGAGTAAGGCAGGAGGATCACTTGAGTCCAGGAGTTCAAGACCAGCCTGGGCAACGTGGTGAAATCATGTCTGTAAAAAAAATAAAAACAAACAAACAAAAAATAGCAATGCGTGGTGGTGCATACCTGCAGTTCCAGCTACTCAGGAGGCCGAGGTGAGAGGATGGCTTGAGCCCCAAGTGTTCGAGGCTGTAATGAACTATAATTGCACCATTGGACTCCAGGCTGGGAGAAAGAGTGGGACTCCATCTCTCAAAATTATATATATACACACACATATACATGCACACACACAGTCACACACATATATCCATTAGAGAAAACGATGGTCTGTGCAGAAGACATTGTTTTCATTATTTAACACTTTGGTTGTCTATACATAGGTCTAATGATTTGATTTCAGTACACTAAAATTTATTTCTACTTCATAAATGTGGTTCTGAAAATTGATATGATTTGAGACTCAATTGTTAGAACTACTGATAAAAACAGAAGATTGTGACATATAATAAAAATATTCATACAGGACCAACACTTGTCTTCTTGCCATGCTGAAACCGGTAGGCGAAAATTACCAAAAGAATCACTTTTTGATAGTCATAAGAGGACAAATTAATTCAATAATTTGGGTAGCTAACACCAAAAGGCAGGTAGACAGAAGGGTTAGTTGTGTAATTATTCACATTAATAGCTCCAAATAGAGATGGCTTGGATGGAACCAGGCACTTGCTGACTTTGTTGATAAACAGAAAAAAGCAACAGAATAAAAGGGCAAAACCCAAATGGACGATGAAAAGATGAGAGCTGAAATCAACACTGCTTTTCATCTCGAGTAGATATGGCATAGAACGGTCTATCCATGGTTGCCTGTGCTGTTTGTCCCCAGGCCCTGATGTTCACGACCATGATTTGTGGTCCAAACTGATGGATCATTCATTGCTGCATAACTGAGCAATGAGATTCAAGTGCATTGGAACCATGAGTCTTGCAGTCTGTTTGCTTTACCTATGGGTTAACTACTGTGCTTTGTATCAAGGTGTTATTAGTTTAATTTCTGACATTATAAATAGCATGACAGTGTTTCCTAAAAGTTCAAATAGTGCAAATGGGAATGACCCAGATATCTCTGTAAAAGTCTAAACGACTGTGTGATTTTTAATGACAGATAGAAGAACACATACAACCAATTGGATTAGGGGGAACAAGTAAACAAAACAGAGAATACTGAACAATATATGGAAATAATTTGGGTTTGGGCATTGTGAAGAACAGAATGTAAAAGCACATATGGAAACTAAGTCTCACGAGTAGAGCATAAGACAAGCAACTGCTTCTAAACCAAGCAAAAGAGTTTGTCTTCCAAAAGGACACCAATTCCCAGATGGACATAGAGGCGTTACTGTTTGAGCACACCACACAAATGGATACATCATCATATCATTCTCTTGATTGCTCAATGAAACTAAGTTAAGTCACATTTCCTGCATCAGAAGTTGCAAGTAAGATATTTCTAGTTTGAACAAAAGGGAAAATTTTGACAACAGATGTGTTGGCCTATATAGTGTAGAGCTGATTTCATCAGATACTACAAACAATTGTGCTTTTTGTGGTACATAAAGAGATGCGCCAAATTACAGCAACAACAATGTCAACAAAAATGTGAAAAATGTTCTTAGCTCTTAGGTACTTTGATTTAGAAATGGAGTTTAAGTCATCATCTTGATTTCTATGAAGATTTTAATGAAACCACAAAAGCATAAAATGAAAATAGTTGATTTTTGATATCTTGTCCAATGCCAAATAGACTCTGCTAGTTTATCTGCATACTTGGCAGAAAGTACACATATGAATGTTCACAAATTCCATACAGACTATACATTCTATACGCCAAACCCCTCCCTGGAAAAACCTTCTAAGTGTCTTGTATACCCTGTAGACAATACTACTAACACAGGGTGTGATTTGATTTCCAGTGGTGTTGAGGTTTTCATAATTAAAGTTGTGGTTACTGTTCAGTTTCCTCAAAACATAAAGCATCATTTTTTTGAAATCACACATAGGAAGAAGATAGCCTTTGTAGACAAGATGGTTATCATTGTTGTCAGCCATAGAAAATGTGTTAAAATACTGATCTGCCATAAGATCATACTTTCAGAGTTTGAGACAAGAAGGGTGTCCCTCACTAATCTGATGTTCATTGAGGATAAGAATAAAGAAAATTACTAGAGTAAAAACCAGAAACCTACATGCTGCTTCTCCAAAAGTGTCTGATGACCTTTGAAGAGGCAAGGAGACTTGAGAGGGATGAACTGTCTACATCTTTGTTCAATGTTATGTGTAGGTTATGAAAAAAACTCATAAAATTACATATATTTTTGAAACATCACTGTTTTAGAATGGAAATATATGTATATTTTAATTCTGGTAATATATATTACCAGAAATGGGCAAACAAGCTAAACTGTTCTTTCTCAATTTCTTTATTAGAATTGTAAACTACCTTGATTTAATAAGTTCAAATTATCTCTGGGTTTTAAAAGTATTTTCCCTGAGAAAGAGCAATTTGAGATACCATCCCATGTGTTTTGAAATGTTAAAAATATCAGACATTTTAGGCACAAATAGTATGATGAGTTTATAGATGCAAAGGACCTGAATGACAAACAGCTGGTCTCCCAAAACAAGCCTGTAGATACAAAGTAAATGGAAATTTTTGGAGAGCAGACAACTGATTCCTACAGGTCTAAAACTTGCTGTTGCTAGTAAACGAAATCATCAGGATCCCAGGCTCCAAAGCTATTGCTGAGACGGTGTTTAGCTTGATGTCCTCACACTGGACTGACATCTGGAAGCAGTGCCATGAGTGTCTGGTAGGAGTAGAGCTGCCAGTCAGGTGAAATTTCTGTTTAATCATGTTCAGTTTTACCACAACATGTAAAACGATGTGCTAAAGGCTACAGGCAGTCCCCAGAAGCATTATTGGAAAAGGAAATGTATTAGTCCATTTTCATGCTGCTGAAAAAGACATACGTGAGACTGGGCAATTTACAAAAGAAAGAGGTTTATTGGACTTACAGTTCCACATGGCTGGGGAAGCCTCAAAATCATGGTGGAAGGCAAGGAGGAGCAAGTCACATCTTAGATGGATGGGAGCAGGCAAAAAAGAAAGAGCTTGTGCAGGGAAACACCACGTTATAAAGTCATTAGATCTTGTGAGACTTATTCACTATCACGAGAACAGCATAGGAAAAACCTGCTTCCAGGATTCAATTACCTCCCACCAGGTCCCTTCCACAACATGTAAGAATTCAAGATGAGATTTGGGTGGGGACACAGAGCCAAACCATATCAGGAAACAAAGATTTAAAATATTCTACTGGAGCATGGACAGAATGCAATACATAATTTTTTAAATACAGGCACTAACTACTTAAGCAGTCCTATTTTTAAAGTTTTCTTTTTAAAATTCTTAGATTTATCAATATTATCCTTCCATAATATATACAGCCTAATAAATTTAAACATCCAATAAAAGGTTTAACAAGAAGTTAAAATAAATTGCTATATCTCAGAACATGAATGAATATAAAAATAGTCTCATTTTTGAGATATATAATTTTAGTTATACTCTTAATTACTATTAACCGACACTGATATGAGTTTTACTGTTTTATCTAAACACAATTTATGTAACAGAAAAGTCATATAGAACACTATATAATTTCTAATAATGACCTAAACTTATATTTTTATTAAAGCCATAACACCTCTGTATATCATGATTCATTATGTAATATTGCTGTGTTTTCATTTATCTTACATGGCTATATGGTCATCTCTACAAATATGGTCGTGCTGATCACCAGGTTTATCTGCCATGCTCAGGAAAGTTACTCCATTCCTCTGATGTACACTTTCTTCAAGTACATCTTTCAGAATGATTTCAGATCCACATCCAATGCTATTCTATCAATAAAGGCTTTTTAAATAAAAGCAAACAAAATTAATAATCCCCAGTGTCCCTATAGCACTTTGGATACAGCTATCTTATAACTGGATTGACATTATAGATACGTGTGTGTATACAGGTTTTTCTCATCTATTACAGAAAGTCCAAGGTCAGAAGCCCTGCCTCGTGTAACTTCATATGCTTACAGCTCCTCTGGTAGACGGAGGCATTTAATTAATAACTAAATATGTTTTTGCTGCATCTGATAATTAAATACAAAACAACGAAATCACAAATTAGCAAATCTGCCATATGCATGCAGATAAAGTCAATAATTGTAAGCTTTATTGTTTCCAGATGATCAGAATTTTTGTCCTTGTTAGAATATGAAACATAACAATATTGTTTGAGTGCCTTATAAGTTCTGGTTTTCATGCCAAAAAATCAGATGAAGCTAATAACGTGATATTTTATTAGTTTGATGTTAGACTAGATGAAATATTGATTATCTAATTTAAGAGCTATCACAGAAAGCAAATCATGTACACATAATCTATGTGTAAACAAGAAAAAAGAATGCCTAAAGCTACATCTGGTGATGAATGTATCTCATATCAAAATGAGGGAACCAGGAAAATATTAATCACATGGCAAAAAAATTCAGGCAGATATCATGTCAAACCGTAGAAAGTTCAAACATAGAGTCTTCTCATTGATAGGTCCATGACAGGCTAACTACCAGTAAGGAATTGAAGAGCTTGGGAGAGGACTGTGGCAGATTAAGAACAATTTATGTTGGGGAAAATAAGAAAGCCCTGGAGATGTCTGCTTTCCTGTCATTGTTAAAAAATGGCTTTGGATTCCTAAAAGTCAATTGAATTTTCATGTGATTTTGGAGGTTAAGCAAGTTTTGGGCAGAAAGAGATATGGGAATATGATGATTAATGATCACAGGGAAAGATATCTGTTGATGCAATTCGAAAAGAGAAAATGGTGGAAAGAAGACAGGGGGAGAACAACGTGGAATTAAGAAGTAATTTTAGAACTGAGGAATTCCTGGCAAATGAGACAATCTCAATCAGGAAGGGAAGGAAAATGAAAGAATATACTTATGAAAGTATTAAGTAGGAGTTTGAATTTTATTCTTGTTCCTTTTATTGTTTTGACAATGAGTTCAATGTTCTTTGACAAGGGAAACGAAAACAGTAATTCTGACAGTGGCCATCGAGTTAGAGGCTGAAAGGGATTTTTTCAGGTTAATCCAAAAAAATCTCTGAGAGAACAGCTAGAAGCGCAGTTTTCATTCAGAACCATTAAAAATGCATATATGTAGGAAGAGTAGTAGATAGGCAGTGATAAAATTTTAAATGTCATTAGGGCTTCATCAAATGTGTATTCACATCTGTCTATATGGGTGTTCAGTACATATCTAACACACACACATAAACACAATGCAGCTTAATGACAATTATACTTCACCAATAAAAAAACGATCAACACACTCAGAAGCAAAACTGAGATGTCTGATTTTTAAGTGTTTTCATTATTTTTGTAAATGAATTAACTCCAGAAGTTAAAAAAAAAACACATACCTATGATCACCTTATAAAATTTATTAATATAGGACCTAAAGGACAATTCATAAATACTGAAAGTATTCATTTTCTCAAAGATTTTGAAAATTATAGACCTCTGGAGTTGATAAACTATTAGAACTAAATCCCTGTCTTCCGTTTAAAAGTTATATATACAATAAAGTTTTTTTTTTCTTTTTCTGAGAAAGGGTCTCACTCTGTCACCCAGGCTGGAGTGCCATTGCACAATCATAGCTCACTGCAGCCGCAAACTCCTGGGCTGGGGGATCCTCATGCTTGACCTCCCAAACTGCTGGGATTGCAGGTGTGAGCCACTGGGCCAGGCCATATTGAAGTCTTTTGAAGACACTTTGTCTCAGAATAGCAGAAATTCAACTTTTTGGTTCAAAATCCTAGGTTATATACCACACACATGATCTTAAGTCACTATTATACTATTTCAATAATATATTTTACAGTATCATTCTGCAAATTAAGGACATTGTAAAGAAGGCAAAGATTTGAAGACCCAAGGGAAAAAATAATCAGTTACTTCCTTACGGCTTGCTTTTTTTCTTGTTATTCTTAATTTAACATATTCCTAATTATTCTACATTTCTTTTATGAGTACGTATTGTCTCTTTTTCTTCAGATTATAGGTGACTTTGAGATTTGTCCATACCTTATGCCTATTATCTAGTACAATTTTTATTTGTTATTTTAAAATAATATGCTGATAGACAACTCTATTGTTTCTCTGAGGGAACTCATTATCTTTAAAACTCATTCTAATATTCCATTTAAAACGTCAGATATAAAAGTAGCATCAAAATTATCATCCCATCAAAACAGATCACACACAGTTTATAAGTCAACTGAATCAATTATTATGTATAAGATTAGAAGTTTACAACTGGGCTTGTCAGCTTTAAAAGCACCCTGGAAGGCTTGACAATTTTACATGTATTAATTCTAAAGTGGGCAGGGATGCAAAAAAACACTCCACTGTTTTGGTTTTGTTGTAAAAATTAATGTCCTAACACATCATTTTATACCTTAGTCCATTTTGTGCTGCTACAACAGAATACTTGCGACTGGGTAACAAATAAAGAATAGAAATTTTTTTTTAATAGTTCTGGAGGTCACAAAGGCCAAGTTCAAGGTGTTGGCAGGTTAGAGTTTGGTCTCTGCTTTTAAGATAGTGCCTTGCCATCAGAGAAATGCAAATCAAAACCACAATGAGACACCATCTCACATCAGTTAGAATGGCAATCATTAAAAAGTCAGGAAATAACAGGTGCTGGAGAGGATGTGGAGAAATAGGAACACTTTTACACTGTTGGTGGGACTGTAAACTAGTTCAACCATTGTGGAAGTCAGTGTGGCGATTCCTCAGGGATCTAGAACTAGAAATACCATTTGACCCAGCCATCCCATTACTGGGTATATACCCAAAGGACTATAAATCATGCTGCTATAAAGACACATGCACACGTATGTTTATTGTGGCACTATTCACAATAGCAAAGACTTGGAACCAACCCAAATGGCCAACAATGATACACTGGATTAAGAAAATGTGGCACATATACACCATGGAATACTATGCAGCCATAAAAAATGATGAGTTCATGTCCTTTGTAGGGACATGGATGAAATTGGAAATCATCATTCTCAGCAAACTATTGCAAGAACAAAAAACCAAACCGCATATTCTCACTCATAGGTGGGAACTGAACAATGAAAACACATGGACACAGGAAGGGGAACATCACACTCTGAGGACTGTTGTGGGGTGGGGGGAGTGGGGAGGGATAGCTTTAGGAGATATACCTAATGCTAAATGATGAGGTAATGGGTGCAGCACACCAGCATGGCACATGTATACATATGTAACTAACCTGCACATTGTGCACATGTACCCTAAAACTTAAAGTATAATAATAATAAAATTTAAAAAAAAAGACAGTGCCTTGGACACTGTGTCTTCTGGAAGAGGAGAAAGGTCATGGCCTCACATGGCAGAACAGCAAAAGAAGGAGAACTCACTCCAGTATGTGCCTTTAATCGGGACATTAATCTATTCCTGAGGCTCCACCCTCACGACACAAACACCCCCTAAAAGACCCCACCTCCAACACCACAGCGTGGGGGATCATATTTCCAACCCAGGCAAATGCATTCAGAATATAGCAATGCCTAACTTTACTTTGCTGCAACTCTCATTTCTTTCCACTTTGTTTAATTTTTTTTTATTTCCATTATGTCACATCATGAAGATGTCTGCTAAGAACTAAGCTGCTGGAGCAGCAAATATTTTGAACAATGACTCAATAAACAGAAGTTTTTAAAGAGAAGATCTGCTTTCACAGTGTCAAACATGTCAGGTAAACGGTATTTCATGCATTTACCAAGTCAATGTCCTCACACAATTTTAAGCATAGGGGTGTGCATTATTTAAGGTGTCACTGATGGGATCAGAATTTTACTTTCTGTTGAATGTGTATGGTTTAAGAAGGCTAAATAAAATGGTGATTTATTAGAAAATAAGAGAGAAGAAATGCTGGGGTTTTTGCATTCTTCTACTCTGCAAAATATATGATTTCAGGCACTTATTTTAATGTGAATATGTCTTTTTAGTGTATTATAGCAACAACTAACAATTTATTTATCCAACTGAAAGGATGGAACTCCTGAAGTTCATTTCATTGTTTTTCAGGTAAACAAATGAAAAACGATTTTTGTCTGGGGCTCTGTTTTAGTGAAGGCAGAAAAAATATCCTCTCATTTAAAAGGACTGAATAAACCTTTTGTCATTTGCAGATAATATTTGACTGAGAACAACATGCAGATTGGTTTTAGACCCCAACTTTCAGCAGAACAATCTATATTTATTGCTAAGCACCTGTTTCATTAAGGTCAAGAATACAAAGAATGCATTATCCCGAATGAAAAAAGAGATTATACCCTTTGTCTTAATTAATCCTTTGGAAATTTTCATGAAAATACAAATATGAGAAAAAACACTTTGATAAGTCTTCCTATTAGTAGTGTAAGATTTAGAAAAATACAGTTCATATTATGTTTTATTCCAAAAGGGACTTTTAAGAGATGTTTGAGATTTCTGGGCCCCCCTCCATCCCTCAAGCACCCCACCCTGTAGCAAATGCAAACAGTCTTTCTCCTATAATGCTCTGAGTTAAATTCCTTGGTAGATTTTTATTATGTAAAGACATCATATTGTTTGGCTTAATTGTGATTAATTTAGATAGGTAAGCTACATTGAAGGATTTCAACAATGATCATAAAACAAGTGAGAGCTATGATGGCCTTGATGAGAATATACCTCCATGGAAACCACCTGTTCCACATGGTTACCATCACCACAGGTTACCTTGAACATTCTAAACTCCTTAACCCTTCCCCTTGGGGCTTTGGATGCATCCCTACCTTTGAAAACTTCCGTCAGATATTATGCTTCTTCTAACCATTTAAACAACACATTCCAGATATTACATATTTTTTCAGACCATGAGAGAAAAGTGAAAACAGGCACATGATTAAATCTAGATGTTTCCCCTGATAGTTGTGTTTTTCTGTAAAATTTAACCTCCTAAAAGCTTTCAGGAAATATAGCTGAATTAATTTTGACACTGTTAAGTAATGAGTATTTATTTTTTCTTTAAAAAAATACAAATGGAAGTGCAGATTGTCCATTTCTGTATTTATGAAAATGGCCATCAAAGAGTGACAGTTCCACAGAAGGCAGCCCCACATCCCACAGTGTATCCAGCCCAAGAGGCAGCCCAGTTAGTTAACTTCAGCTTTGAGAGCACTCTTGCAGGCTCAGAGCCCACAGGCTCAATTCTACCAGCAGACTGGTTATGTTTACCACCAAGCTCAAAAAATAAAACTGAATGTGAATGGTGTTTGGTGAGGCAAGCCATCTCCAGGCTTAGATTCATAGGAACTTCAGCCAGGCCAGCTCATTCATTCAGTTTTCCTGCCCAGTTCATTCTTTAAGGCATTTGAAACTGTGGCCTTTGCAGAAGACAGAAATGTTAAGACAAAATAGACCAACATTTTAACGGGCCCTTCAGTAACTAGTACTGCTTAATAATGTAAGTTTTCAAAAAAAAATCCAGAAGGTAACAAATGATCTTTAAATTCCAACAGGTATATGAAAAGGCACTCAACATCACTAATCATCAGGGAAATGCAAATTAAAACCACTATGAGATATTACCTCACACGCACAAAAATGGCTCTTATAAAAAATACAGGAGATAACAAATGTTTGCAAGGTGTGGCAGAAAGGGAACCTTAATACACTGTTGGTGGGAACGTCAATTGGTACAGTGATTATTAAAAAGAATATGGAGGTTCCTAAAGAAATAAAACTAGGGCTACCACATGACCCTGTAATCCCTCTTCTGGGCATATACCCAAAGGAGATGAAATTACTACCTTGTAAAGATACCTGTATTCCTATGTTCATTGCAGCATTATTTACAAAAGCCAAGATATGGAAACAACCTAAATGTCCATCCGTGGGCAAATGAATAAAGAAAATGTGTGTCTGGTGTGTGTGTTTGTGTGTGTGTGTGTGTGTGTGTGTGTGTGTGTGTAATGAAGTATTATTCAGCCTTAAAAAAAGAAGACCCTGCCATTTGCCACAACAGTAGTAGACCTAGAGGACATTTTGCTAAGTGAAAAAAGCCAGACATAGAAAGAAAAATATTGCATCTTCTCACTTACATGTGATTTTTTTTTTTTTTAAAGAGCTCAAACACACAGAGATCAAGAATCAAGGAAGAGCACGGTGGCTCTTGCCTGTAATCCCAGCACTTTGGGAGGCTGAGGCGGGCGGATCACTTGAGGCCAGGAGTTTAAACCAGCTGGCCAACATCGTGAAATCCTGTCTCTACTAAAAATACAAAAATTAGCTGGGTGTGGCGGCACGTGCCTGTAGTCCCAGCTACTTGGGAGGCTAAGGCTGGAGGATCCTTAAGCCTGGGAGGCAGAGGTTTCAGTGAGCTGAGATTGCACCATTGCACTCCAGCCTGGACTACAGAGTGAGGCCCTATCTCAAAAAAAAAAAAAAAAAAAAATCAAACTCTGTTACCCATGGGCAGGGAGTAGGGGAGGAAATGGAAAGATGTAGGTCCAAGGATGCCAAACAGCAGATTTGTGGGATGTACAGTGAGGATTAATGTTCATAAGTTTATTGTGGAGGGATTTTTGTTAAGTAAATAGATTTAAGCCGCTCTTGTCACAAAAAGTAGCTATGCGAGACGATAGATATGTTAATCTGATTCACTACAGTATCCATTTTGCTATCTACATATCCCATAACATCACATGATAAACCACATATGTACACAATAAAATTTATTAAAAACTCAATTCCTTTATTCGTTTCCATGTTGTTTGTAACATAAAGTTCAAAGTTCTTGATACCGGTATCGAAGGCCCCCCTAAATATGACCTCAACTTTTCAATTTTATTCTACGCACTAACCTCAGCCCCAAAAATCCTATTTCTATTGAATATAACATATCTTTTCACTCAGGTCTTTCTCCCTATTCTGTCTCCAGTTGCCATCATTGCATCTGCTGCCATTCTAACTTATTCTGTTCATTCTAGGAGAAAAAGATCATCCTGGGTGAAGCTGCTGTGAGCCCTCATGTCTCCTTAAATTCTCCAGACACGTCTGTCTACTCAACAAATATTTAGGGAATGCCTACTGTATACCAAGCCTGGTTTCAGGTCTGGGAGATCCAGTGTCCAACAACACAAAGGACCTTGACTTCAGAGAGCTTTTGCTCTAGCAGGGAAAACAGACAGTGCATAGATAGACCAACATGTATTTGCTGTAATTGCAAGAAGCAGTAAAGGCTATGGAGAGAAATTCCAGGGGCAGGGATTAGAGATGACTTTGAGGACTTCAAGGATGACTTTGAGCAGGTAAAAGTGGAAGACAGGAGAAGTGGCTGGGGTGATGGCAGCACCATGGGAATATGTGGAAGGATGTTCCTAGCAGACAATACAGAAAGTTGGAAATTATTGCAGAGAGCATAGCATTGGTGAGGAATGCTGAAGGCCTGGGAGAGGTAAAGTGCAAGGACAAGAGGAGGGAGCAGCAGGTGCAGGCCTGGAGGGCATGGCAAAGAAGAGTGGGTTTTATTCCAAGTGTGAAGGGAAGCTGTCAGAGGGTTTGAATCAGAGAATGGTACATAGTCTATTTTGTGGTTATGAAGGGTCTCTCCAGCTGCTGTGTCGGAAGCTCAGAGACAACACTGCAGTGGTCCTGGTGAGAGCTGCTAGAGGCTGATTTATATGGAAGGAAGGATGGCAGGATCTGCTGGTAGACTAGATTGGAGGTGGGGAGTGAAAGAAAGAGAAAGTCATGGATGACTGCAATGCGTGGCCTGACAACCGGGAATGAGGAAGAATTAAGTAACAGCGAGAGAAGAGCAAGTGTGGTGGGCAATGGAGATTAGGAGTCCCATCAGGCATGTGCAAAGCTTGAAGTGCCTCTTACGTAAATAAACAGAGATGGTCAAGAGAGCTTCATAGTAGGTCACTGGATGCTGGTCTTGAATTTCCAGAGCTGAGCATAACTTTGGAAGTTACCAGTTTTGATTATTTCCATATTATTGTGAGAATTATTTTAGTCTTATTATCTCCATTGTATGTGGAAAAATCTGTTTTCCCACTATATTAAAAACTCGGTGGAGAGAGAACATCATCGGCAGAGTGGTTTGCCTCGTGACAGATAAATGCAAGTAGATAGTATAAAATGAAGGCTCAATAAATACTGATAGAACTTGTGATAATACATTTTTCTTTATGGGTAATTTACTTGATATAATAATTTTTGTTATAAGAACAGTTTTAAAGACTTTTAAACATGTTTAATGTTGTTCCACTGGCATTATTTATTAAGAATTATGATGTAAAATACCTTATCACTCAAAATATCAAACTTCAGGAATATTTTTGTTGTTGTCATTGTTAACTTATGACATGAGGATGCTGTATATGAGAAATTAAAGATTTCAGTTAGTCCAGAAAGGCCTTTAAGTAGTATTAATTTAAGAAAATATTGTAATATGTAATTATCTTTCCCTGAAGTCAAGCTACCTGTATGTATTTTTTCTATTCCTTCACTAATACGATTTTTAAAAATATACTAGATTTCAAAACAAAATAGTACATTTTAAAATAAATAGCATAATTGAGATATAATTTACATATAATACAGTTCACCTGTTTAAAGTGTACAATTCAAAGGTTTATAGTGTAATCACAGAGCTGTACAACCAACACCACATTCTAATTTTAGAACATTCTTGTTACCCTTAAAATAAAACATGTACTTATTAGCAGTCACCTACCCCAGCTCAAGGCAGCCACTGTTGTGCATTTTTCTCTATTTATTTTGGAAACTTCATATGCATAACATGACTAATTATGGGTCTCTAGTGAATGACTTATTTCATTTTACATAATATTTTCAAGTTCATCCATACTGTACCAGGTATCAGAATTCATTTTTTCTCTGAATAATATTCATATACATATTTTTATTTATCCATTTATCTTTATCCACTTATCACTTGCTGGACATGTGGATCATTTCTACTTTTTGGTCATTGTAAGTAATACTGCTATGAACATTCATTTAGACATTTTTTCAATTGACTTTTTTTTTAATTTCTCCTGGCCATATACATAGGAGTGGAATTGTTGAGTAATAGTAACTTTTTAAAGAAACATCTATTTTTAAAAACTATTATATAATTCAGAAAATATTTTTAATTATCAGGAAAAATTATCTTCTTTTACTGATAAAATATGAAAGAAAAAGACTGCTGAATTTCTTGTGTATGGCCAAATTTTAATTGAATAGTTGGTTCTTTCACGAAACTTGTGAAAAACACAAGTACTCTTCATTCAACATTGAATGGAGATACTAAGTTGTTTTCCAGGGAGAAAATAATTATTCAGATCTGTAATAGAATTTCATGTTAAGCTGACCTAGGTTAGGCATTTTATTAGGGATTTTCTAGTTGGCAGGTTGTAGGTAACTACAGGTTTGTAGGTAACTGAAGGTTTTTAACTATAAAAAATGGCAGTGGTATCTAGCAGGAAGATAGGGCTTCTTCAAGTTTTCTTTCCTTCATTTACTTAGAATAGAGGACATCTGTTTCTAACTAGCCCAGAGGAGATTCATGTATTTTATATGGTAGCTTTTTTTTGTTTGTTTTTAATGGAAAGGAAGTTAAATGAGAAACAAGCAATTGAGGAAACTTAGGGTTAAGAAACCTGTTTATGTATCGTTAAAAGCCCATATCACATCCTTTTTTTTTGCTTTTTATTTTAAACATCTCCCATCATGTCCTAGATGCCTAGATGTTTATTCTCCATTAAAAAAAAAAAAAAAAAAAAAAAAAAAAGGGGCAAACACACCCAAGACAGTAGGGATTGCAGAGCGACTTTTTCTAGAGTGCCAAAATCAGGCCTTTTGGTTCTTACATTGTCTCAGCCTCTTAATATTGAGATTCTTTCAAACAATAGCCTGCTATATTTATTGAAATCATAGGAAATAACTAGACCTGATGCTCAAATTGATAATTGAAGAGCCAAGTGGAAAAATAAGCTTAGAAATCTCGAACTGCATTAAGTAGAAGACTAAATGTTGCTCAAAGTAACTGAATGCTCTTCCAATGCAATGCAGCGTGGCTCCACCCTGTGTCATCATCTCCCAAGCCACACACTCTTGCTAGCCCTTTCTGCTCCGAAATCCCACTTTCTGCATAAAAATGAATTAGCCTCAGCAATTAGAAAAAAATAGTAATAAGCTATCCTGTTCTGTCCTATACAAAAACATTACATGACTTTTGACAACTGGAAATATTCATAGGAATATTTGGCCATTAATAGAAACATGAAATATATTATGTATTATTATTGTTTTATGACACTTGAGATGGTAAATGTTAGAGGATATTGTGCTTTTTTATGAAACCTTTAAAAGCAATGTTTCAGCTCTTTATCTTATCTTGTATAAGAACAGTATTTGGATATCTGAGATTAGTCATAAATGCTCTAAACTAATGCATAATCTAAGGAACTTATTAATATTTGATATACTCATGTATATTAATGTACATATTACATATCATATAGTGGTATATTAATGACATTAATATAATGTATTACTATATATTATATATAACAGTAATATATAATCATTGTAACCATTGATGAATAATACTAATGATAAAAGGAAGTTTAATAATAAAAAACAAGCTGAATTGCTTGCCTGGTAGAAGCCAAGTCACTAACCAGGTGTGAATCTTGAGCAAGTCATTTAATCTCTCTTAAACCTTTCATTTTCATCCAGGAAATTAACTTTCACACATTGACAATAAAATGCAGTTCTAGTATTCTGACTTCAGCATAACCTTTCAAATTCAAGTTGTTTTTTCTTGAGCAGTTTGCTAAAAAAGCAGCTTCACAGATGAGGGAAAGACAAGCCTGGCTGTGCACGATTACAGGCTTGCAACTACGCACACGCCCCCAATCTCACAACTGATGCAAAATCAGAAAGAAAACACCAACCAAACCAGTCTCATCACCTGAAAGCAGGGCCAAACCAATCTTTCACTTATTAAAAAAAAAACAAAAACAACAAAAGCTGGAAAATACTACGCTTTCCCTGCTAAATTTAAAACTTGGATTTAGGAAGCTCATTTGCCTTTTGTTAGAGAACACTGTGATTATTCATTGTGAAAATAAGCCCAACATCAAAATAAATGATTATTTGCGAATTGTATTTTAACAAAATATATTTTAACAGCTAGTAAATTCAATTATAAATTTGAGATGTATATATGCCTGTTTAAAAAATGATTTTCTATTTCAAACAGAAATTGGCTCAAATATACAAATTCAGCCTGCTGTTTATACAAAAGTGATTTGAGATTCTACTGTTAGCTTATATATTCTCTTTTAGTAGTATATTTACATATTACATATTGTTTTATAATATTATATACAAACGCATACATATGTACTCAAACACACCAGTCTTGGAAATCTTATTCCATATTCATCAAATAGAATTGATTGCTCTATTTCTCACTATTCTAAGGCTTTAGCTCCAGGAAATTTAAATATTAATTATAAAGCATATTAATAACTACGAAACCGTTGTCTAGGTTTCCTGGAGCCAAACTCTCACAACAATGATTTTTGTAGCAAAAGATTTATAAGAAATAGATTTAAATAGAAATCCAGATGTTAGAAAAATGGGTCTTTGAATATTCAGTCTTCAACGACCAAACACTTGTCAGTTTGTCCTTGAGCTGTAGGTACTTCACACAATGTCTCTTTTACAATGTTATTTCCAGTTTTCTTTTCAAAATTTCAGTATATCTTATTATATGCAGATTCAGCTCCTCACTTTAGCCACCATAAATGGAGAAGGGATTAATACAATCAGAAGTCAGCAACAAGTTATTAGCCATTTCAAAAGACTGCCTTATAACTGTCAGATTATAAGGCTTTCAAATAGACTCTCCTTTGAAATTCCTGAAAGAACAACTGGTTTCAATTGGTTTAACTACAATTATTATTATTATTATTATTTTTTGAGTTAGGGTTTCACTCTGTCACCCAGGCTTGAGTGCAGTGGTGCAATCTCAGCTCACTGCATCCTCCACTTCCCAGGCTCAAAAGATCCTCCCACATCAGCTCCCCAAATTAGCTAGGACCACAGGTATGCGCCACCATGCCCAGCTAATTTTTCATGTACTTCATAGAGATGGAGAGGTTGCTATGTTGCCCAGGTTTGTCTTGAACTCCCGAGCTCAAGTGATCCACCCACTTGGGCCTCCGAAAGGGCTGGGATTACAGGTGTGAGCCACAGCATTTGGCTTGCAATTAATCTTATATTTTCCTTTTATAAAATCCATATCCCGGTAGAACACCTAATTAAAGCTCAAATATGTTTGTGATGATCATATTGCTATTTGAGTGATAGCATTCATTTTCACTGATGTTTTCACACCCAATTCCTCCTCTTCCCCTCCATAACTTTGGGGAAAATCAGCAATTAAGCTCAGTTCATTTCATGATTCTGAAGAATTGCTGCCCAAAGACACTGTAAACAGAACAGAAGAGGAATGCTATCTCATTTGAGCCTACAACGGAGGGTCTGATTTCATTACTTTTAAATGGAAAAATCAAGGAAAATCAGGGCCAGAATCACAACAGAGGTCGAAAGAGTTTTGTATTCTACAGATTTCTAAGGCAGCACCAAAATACAACTAAATTTTATTAAGTACTGAATATTTTTCAGACACCACATTACATACTTTAAAACCTGTCTAATTTAGTCCTTACTATAATCCTGCAACATTATATTTTATGCCCAGTGTATTGATATCAAAATAGTTGAGAAAGTAAAAAGCTAGCTCTGCCACCGTAGAGTTTGCCTTGTGAGGCCTTGATACTCTGCGGCTGAACTCAATTTCACAGAACAGCAACGCCAGACAAGGACATTCTGTGACCATGATGGACCACGAGCTCTGCATTCACACCTGAGCACAGACAAAAACACAAACTTTGTTCATACCACAGAAATGGTCAAAATTCTCTCCATCCTGGCTCATGGGATGGACTGTTGCTTCCTTAAAAATTACAGCTTTAGTTTCACTCGAGTACCCTCTCCTTCTAAATAAGATTTATTAAGATTCTCCAGTTATAGAAATTCCCACGCCCATCCTATGTTCTGCTTCCTGACAGCATCTAGCCCAAAGCAAGGCTCCACTCTTAAGCCCTCCCCAAATCCCCTGACCTGCCCTAAACCGTCTGAGTCCTCCTAATACCTTCTTCCTGAGATGTCCCATGCTTTCCCACGCTGGGTTCCTCTTTGCTGCTGCAGAAAGAAGGCTGTTCACAGTGACACCGGATGGAGGGCATCCACAGTAAAAGTCAAGAAGTTTGAAGTGACTTCTTCAGGGGACAGATATTTTAGTGAGCAGAAGCAAGTCTCAAATCCGACTCTTCCGTTGTCTGTACATAGTGTGACTAGATCGTATTGTCGCCCAGTGCTTATTCTACATGGCTTTAAAATATATGACATGTGATTGGGGTCACTAGAAACTCAAATATTAGATTTATAGGCATTCAGAGGAGAGAGAAATTACAGACGTTTGGTGGAAGGGGTTGGCAAGCAAAATCTATAGAGGAGGAGAAAACATATGCAAATGTGCAGAGGAGAAAAATAATAATGCACAATGTTACAATACTTCATAAATTCCCAAATACCAGCCAATACCAACAAGATGATAATATTTAACAAGTCTGCTACGGTGAGCTCAGTCCTAAGTGCCTTACATGAATTAACATGCTTTCTCATAACAACATTATGAGTCAGGTAACTATTTCTATTCACACACTACAAATGGAGAAACTGAGGCAGGGAGACTTTATCTTTGCTAAGGTCTGATGCAGCTACTAGATGGCCACTCCAGGGGCCAATCTTGTATAATAGAAAAAATAACTGCATATCTACTCAGAATATTGATGTTTCATTTCGTATGTTAAAATTAACTACAATCATATTGTGATTTTACAAGTATTGCTGTTTCAACATTTTATGAAAACAAGGTTATTCCTCTCTTCACCTCCGTCTAATGGCTTCATTGTTGAAAAGCATTTTGAATACCTGAAAGCAGTTACCCCAAGCACATCACCTTCACTTCCCAGTCATCTGAGTAGCAATGTTTCTGGCTGTCTTTGATGGCTTTACTGAAAGTCAAATGCCAAATATGTGTAATGTTAGTACATTTGGTTGGTTGGTTCACTTCTCTCTGGAGTTTATCTGAAGCATACATTGCACTAACAAAGTGATCTTTAGAAAAACCTGGTTTACTTTGGCTGGGTGTCGTGGCTCACGCCTGTAATCCCAGCACTTTGGGAGGCCAAGGCGGGTGGATCACGAGGTCAGGAGATCGAGACCATCCTGGCTAACATGGTGAAACTCCGTCTCTACTAAAAATATGAAAAATTAGCCAGGCGAGGTAGCACACACCTATAGTCTCAGCTACTCTGGAGGCTGAGGCAGGAGAATCACTTGAACCTGGGAGGCGGAGGTTGCAGTGAGCCAAGATCATGCCACTGCGCTCCAGCCTGTCCACAGAGTGAGACTCCATCTAAAAAAAGAAAAAAGAAAAACCTGGTTTAGTTCAATATCTAGACCTTGACGTTGTAAAGTCACACTGAGGCAGGACAGGTGAGCCCCAGCTTGGGACTCGGCTCATGAGGGTCCTTGGCTTTGTCCAGGAAATAATTCAAGGGCCAGTGGTGGAGCAGAAGAAAACAGCTGTATTGAAGCAGCTGTGGCACAGCTCCATGACTGTCCTACAGAGCAGGGCTACCCCACAGGCAGGGAGGGGCAGCTCAGGGCAGTTCTGCAGTCATATTTAGTTCCGCAGATTGAGGGGCAGTTTTTGCCGAAATTTCTAGGGAAAGGGGCAGTCATCAAGGGTACTTCTGGTTCATCAGGTCATTGTCATGGAAAGGGGTGGTAAGTAACTCCAGAGTGTTGCCATGGCAACGGTAAACTGACATGGGACACTGGTGGGCATTTCTTATGGAAAGCTGCTTCCACCCGCTCCCTTTTTTAGCTAGTCCTCAATCTGGTCCAGTGTCCAAGCCCTGCCTCCAGAGTCGAGTTCCGCCTCTTACCTCAATACCCCAAAAGACTAAATATTATACCACATCTGTATTCCATTGTGTTGATTTTAAAAATTCTTTTGGCCACCTATTACAATAGACATCAAAACAGCACCACTTGAATTCACTTCAAGCCAATATGTCTTCCAAAATAATATTTTCAAAATAAGCATTCAAAAGAACACATCCTAGTGTGAAGGACTGCATAAGGATTCGAAAATAAGACAACATTTTTTTAGGGGTTTTCTTTTTGGAAAATAAACCTATCTTTGATATTGGGGTCTATATTTGGGGAATTATTAATTACTACAAGCTTACCAATTATCACTGTCCTAGATGATGCTTTCTGGCAAAATAATTTATTAAAATGTGAATCTGAAGTTATTTTTTCAACTTTTTCACTTGGACAAAGACTCAAAACTATAGAAAAGTTGCCTTAGCGATCTATTTTTGTGTTGTTCTTATGCTACACATCCTTCTCCCTCTCCCATTCCAAGTACTCAGCAAGTCTTCCATATTTCCTTGCCTCAGAGGAGGTTTGTACTGTGGGAAACTAGCCATTGTTTAAGACTGAAGCATCCCATCTTTTTTTTTTTTCTGTTATCTGAGCTAACTAAGGTTTATTACTATTGCAATAGAGGAAGGAAGTGTCTTTGAAGGATGAAGGTAAACGTAATAATAGAAAGCACAAGTATTGCCTCAAGCCTAGATCAATGGTGGGGTTCCATGAATAGAAGAGATCACAGATTCTCTTTTTCACATTGTCCCAGCACTAGCGCTGGCAGGTCTTCCAGGAGAATGGCTGAAAGCACATGAAGGGATGCAAAACCAGAAAGAGGCTTGGACCTGCAGGAGAACAGGATGTGCCATCCCAAAATAGAAAGAATTTTGAGCTGAAGACAATTAAGGAGAAATAGATGCAAGAAAGGTCTCTGCCCGCTATTTGCCTAAAAGCAGGGCATAGTTTTTCAAAGACAAAAGGTATCCATCCCTCCTCCTTACCAGGGAGAACAAAGATTAACCACTGAAGACAACTTTAGACCTTTATTTTATGGAGAGGGCACCAGAAGAATGTACATGGACAAGCTTTGCTAAGGAGCCTTTATCTGCCATTGTCTCTCTTCCCACAAGCAGCCGCTCCTAGAGACTCAGAGTCCTTTTCCTTTGTCTTATCATTGCCATAAAAATTTACTGTTCTCTTTTGCAAATGCTACGTAAGCTGGAATTCAAAGACATCTTTTTGAAAACTATTCATTCTCTGGTTGTTTCCCATGTATAGGTGAAATGTACGTGTTAATAACCTTTTATTTTCCTCTTCTTAATCTCTCTTTTGTTACAGGGATCCTTCCAACTAAGAACTTATGGAAGCTGAGAAAAAAATTACAATTACTTTCCTACAGGTCCAAGGCAGTATGGGAGATTCAAGACATCAGACTTACGGGACACATGTCAATGAACAAATGGGTGTTTGGGTGGTTATTGGGCCTATGATTTGAGAAGCTTCTCCTATATCTATCTATCTATCTATCTATCTATCTATCTATCTAATCTACCTATCTATAAATCAATTTTTTTTGGTTCATCATAAGAACCTTTGAATGGGCCCAGGTTTGAAGGCCAGCCGTGCCATCAATAAAACTGAGTACAAAATACATGGCTCTGGCATGATTAAAATAAATGTAAGGTAAATTTTCTTGCACACCTGAATTGTTTGAAGAAGAGTTACACCTTTCACATGGAAGTATAGAATAAATTAATATATGTTACTTTTATTAACTGAATCCTGCCCTTCTTTGCTCAGAGATGTCAAAAAATGTGCTCAAGATCACACAGCAAGTAAATGGTAGAGCCTGGTCTGTATGATTTAAAGCCTATACTCTCCCCCACTTATCTGCTGGCTGTAGCCTGAATCATTGCATAGATGACAGGATATTATGGCAAAACAGCAGTCAAGCTAGTAAAGTATAGTTTGTTGGTAGGCAGCAGAGAATAGAGCAGATCTGACCTTTGTTTATTTAACAAGTATTTATCCTACAATTCCTATGCATAGAGGAGACATAGACTGTAACCTCAAAGATGTCCAGAAAGATTAAGCTGGTTATGTGACCTGCTAGCTGTATGGCCATATGCAGGTTATTTAAGTTCTCTGAGCAACATTTTATTCACTTACAAAATACAAGAAATAGGTGTACCCCTCTAAATGGAAGCTTTGAGGGTCAAATGCAGCCCTTTTGCAAAAGTGCAGTGTAATCACTATAGAAACTACTCCAGACTGAGAAAGTACTACCCTCACAGAAAACTGGGTGGCATCTAGTTCCTGAATGATGACAGTGATGACAGTAAGATTGGAAAGGTTAGGTGTGGGAAATGGTTTGAGAGTAAAGGAAAACAATTAAGACCACGAGAAATTGTATCTTTGGAAAACCAGGCTGATAGTATGTTGAGTATTAAATATCAGTATACTGAGTTCTTACTATGTGTTAGACACCATGCAAAGTTCTTTAACCCATTTACTCCTTATAACAACCTGTTATAAGGTTGTATGGCTATGATCCATATATAACAGGAAAGGAAACAGACTTAGCTAACCAGAGACCTGCCCCACATTACATAGTTTCATGAGGAATAAACACTGGGTTTGAAACCAACTCCATACAGCTGCAAAGCTCATATTCTTATCTGTTCTCATTACTAATAATAACCAGGTATTCTTACGCATGTATTCTGTAACACAGCCATCTGAACTGTGAATCTGAGGAATTTACTCCATGCTCTCCTTGTCAGCATCTTCACAACCCTGTACATTACGTTTCCCACACCCTAGGAGCTGAGACAGCTCCTCTGTCAGCCTCATTTGTGGATTGGTTGGAGTAGAAATTACCCTGGTGTACTCACTGTTTTAGCACAGATTTCGGGAAGAAAGAATAATTTCAGGACTTGCAGGATGGAAACGTAGGTAGCTTCATTGTTTTAGAAGAAAGTTGTATCTCAGGCATTGACTATGTCATGAAAGGAACTGAAAAAATCTCACAAAGAGGACAATGAGTTGATGATTCTGGGCTAAGTAGAATATAGAATGAAAGTAGCATGTGATAACAGAGTGACCCATTTCCAGGATGGACTAACTCAGTGGTTCTGATAAGAAAAGGAAAATGTTCACTGGGGGTTTGAATATTTAGGGTTTCAATATTAACTGGAAAGGTTGAAGCTCTTAGGTATGAACTGCAGGGTTTTAAGGAGAAAATGGCTGACATCTGATCCACATGCAATAAAGAGTTCTCATCCAGCTTTCTAAAGAAAACAAAGATGACAATGAGCGGAGTCAGGGTCTGAGAACGCAGACGTGGAGAAAGAAAAAGCAGAACGCAGAATAAAGGCCATATAAACTAACTCATCAGTGTGGCAGAAAGCATTGTGTGAAGGCAAAAAGCATGTGGTATTTACTTGCTGTTCTGTGCCTATTAAGTGTACCATATTAACAATCAACCAACATTCCACCATGTGAGGAAGTTGACTTTAAATATAAGCACCTACCATGAAATGAGCAAAGGAATTTCATTTAATTTGATGACTAAGTTTAAAATGTTTTTCAGCTTTATTAATGTATGCTGCTTTCACGACATTGCCAGCCTTCACATTGTTTTATTAAAATAATAAACAAAACAATTTAAGTAATCTTGTAGCAGTTAGCAATTGCATTTAGAAAAAAAAAATCCATAGTGGTGACTACTCTTTTAAGATCTCTGCTATAAACAGACAAATTGAATACAGCATGCAGGGACTCTGAGTGCAATCACATTCCAGCTTTCCAAATTGAGCACTACAGGGAAACTCTGAAGCCCCGCCCACCATGAATTCTGAATGTCTCGTGAGGGATTTACTAATATGGAGGCATTCACTGATATTTTCCCAAATAAACATTAAAGTTTGTGGTTTGTCAATTTGCAAAAGTGGACATGAATTCTTTAATAAACGCCAGACTTCAAATCTTCTAAATATCAACATGTTGGAAAATCTCATGTTGGATAAACAGGTTTATCCATTTACTAGGCTGACATCTGTGGATGAAGAGGTAGGATGGTGCCAGGCTATAGTTGGAAATGCATTCATTTACGTGGCCTAGGAAGATGGTCCTTACTATTTGTATATTCCTTCCTCATTATTTATTTTCTTATTTTTAAGTTGTATATGTATATGTGTATATCTGGGCTTCAATTCTGACTGATATTTTATGATATTTAGCTAAAGATTCTATCCTATTTGGTACAAAACCTATTGAAAATAGAGTTTAAAATATCAGAACATTTTATAAAATAGAGAAAATAGTCTTGAAAAACTAAAAGAAAAGAAAAAAATGAAGCAAAATATTGGCAAACAACATCCAGGCTTAATTTACTCCCCCATGTTACTGGGAATTTTTAAAAATTAAAACTTAAGGCCAGGCACAGTGGCTCATGCCTATAATTCCAGCACTTTGGGAGGCTGAGGAGGGTGGATCACAAGATCAGGAGATCGAGACCATCCTGGCTAACATGGTGAAACCCCGTCTCTGCAAAAAAAATACAAAAAATTAGCCGGGCGTGGTGGTGGATGCCTGTAGTCCCAGCTACTCGGGAGGTTGAGGCAGGAGAATCGCTTGAACCTGGGAGGCGGAGGTTGCAATGAGCCAAGATCGCGCCACTGCTGCACTCCAGCCTGGGTGACAGAGTGAGACGCTGTTTCAAACACCAACAAACAAACAAACAAACAAAAAACACTTAAGGCCAGGCGCAGTGGCTCATGTTGTAATCCCAGCACTTTGGGAGTCTGAGGCAGGTGGATTATCTGAGGTCAGGTGTTCGAGACCAGCCTGGCCAATGTGGCGAAACCCTATCTCTACAAAAAATACAAAAGTTAGCCAGGCCTGGTGATGCATGACTGTAATCCCAGCTACTCAGGGCTGAGGCGGAGAATCTCTTCAACCCGGGAGGTGGACGTTTCAGTGAGCCGAGGTTGCGCCATGTTGCACTCCAGCCTGGATGACACAGCGAGACACCATCTCAAAAACAAACAAAAACTTAACGTAAGCTCAAAAACGTAGTTTGGAGTACAGCAGAACATAACCTAGACAAAAACAACCCATGAGTCCTGCACAGAATAGAGAATGAAAGAGACAAAGTTGAGAAGACTCGATGCACTGAAATAAGTGAGAGATAAAATGATATAGTCAAATATGGGAGGATGGTAGTTTAATTTCTTTTTCCTGTGAAAATAAGTTAATTTTCATTGTCTGATTTCAAGTTAAGGAATTCGGTACTGGCACAGAAAGAAGAGGAAAGAGGACAGAATAGATAAGATCAAATATTATATTCAAATAATTAAATATAAAGAAGATCATTCCTTGGAGAGCTACACATGGCTCTGCTTTCTTAATTGTTCACATTTAGTCTACTAAACAGACTCAGCTGTTGGAATTTTGGGGCATCTAGGAGTTTGAGGGGTGAGAGGAGTTTTTTTGAAATGAGTGAAATGAAATTTGACTAATACATGTACTTAAAAAGAAAGGAGCTCTCCAAGGTACTTGGAGATAAATATTGTTTTTCACGTGTGCATTTGTCCACCTACTCGACTGCTATTTATTGGTTGTGTTATGTGTCAGTCAATTTTCTAAGTGCTCGGGATATTTCAAGCTACAAACCAAAGGTACCTTTTCTCCTTGAGCTGCCATTTTAGGGTAAGGGACAGTAGATACACATAAACATGATGGATGAGTAAATGTATAGTATTTTAGAGAATGATCACTGCTTTAGAAGAAGAAATAAAAAAAGCAGACCTAGCCAGAAATTGCCCATTTACTTATTTGGACATTCAGGAAGCATGCTGATTTTCAGACAGAACATTCTAAACAAATTTGAGAACATCATGGTCATATATTTGGAAAAGTGAATTTGAAGTAGAACTGAACGAGATAACAAGGCCAGAGTGATTCACAGGAGAAATGAAAGTGGGATTGAAATGCCAAGTGAACCATGAGGCCACAGTGATCCTGTGGGAAAGCAAATTGGAATAAGGTTGAAGTAAACTAGCAAAGCAAATGCACAGGGAAATGGCGCAACACTCAGAGGATGTGCATCCGAGTCAGCCTTCAGGTGGGAACTTGCGCAAGGGCATAATTTAGTGTCTGCCTTCAGGAGAGCTCTGCTAATAGCTGATAAAAATCACTAAGGAATGACTTGTGATATGTGTTTACAATCAGTCACAACTTACAGAATTAAAAAAATATATTATTTACAGGGGTCTCCAACCAGAACCACAATATTCAAAATTCTCAAAGAGGAAAAAAAAATTCTCTGGTCACTCAATTCCAATTTATTTGATTGCAGGTTATTAACAATAAAGTTGTATTGTGCACAGAATACTGAATGAAGAAGAGAATTCTTACGTTATACTGTATCAGAGGATCCGGGAGGAGGAAAAAAAAAAAAACTTTTCAAAGAAAACACATTAAAGGATGTAACTACTAAAGCCAGTAAAACTACTAAGTAATGGTTTCCAAAAAACCTACTGTTTTAAGAATGGTGTTCATGCCCCAAGGATGTCCCAGGGCACTGTTTCAGGAGGACAGCACTCAGTCCATGGTTTATCCAGGGGTTTCCGTCTGTCCATTATTATGAAGGCAATGGAAGCTGTTAAACAATAGCTGCTTTGGGTTGGGAAAAGGAAGAGTTGCTGAGGAACCCCATTAACTCTTTATCAGCCAAACAGAAGTTTCAGCATATAATATATAATATCAAAACATTAAATGAAATTAAATCTACCTGACCTAAAATAATGAACACTATTTTCTGGCCAAAGAAATGGTTTTCTTCCATTACAGCCAACTGTCTTGATATTACCAAGATTAGCAAGTAGAGAGAAAAGAAGTAGCTTGAGAAAGAGTTTTCAGGTATTATTCAGTTAGAATTAAGTATCAGTTAATTCTAGAGATAGTAACTATCTCAAACTACAGAGAATGGACATTTTAACAAATGTAGTGCTCTGGTTAAAGTTGCCAATAATATCTTGCATTAATTTTTATGAAATATGCTTTAAAAATTGGAATTGCGGAAGTAAAATGAATGCTGTAAGGATTAATTTTTTAATGCTTTATGATGATCTTTAGTGTCTTCTGTCAACATTATAAATATTAATTGTAATTTTTACATGAGAAAATTATAGCACACAGAAATTCATTTGTACTAGCTCAAGTTATACTTTTAACATTGTTTTTGGGGGTTCAGAGAAATATAATTGTTTTCTATATGTATAAGAAAAAATGCACATGAAAGCAAAAATGATCAGTTGCTAAAGGGGTCAGTCACACTGGTTCTCTGATGAAGATTTTCTGTTCTAAGAGTTTGTATTGTATTTCATGATTGAAAGAGTACAAATGAATTTCAGGCCTCCCTAAGCAACTTACATTCCTTCACTCAGTGTATCTTCACAGTAAATGTCTAGAAATAAAATGTTGAAGAGCCACGATTATTACAACAGAAAGTAAGGAGAGGATTGAAGCTATACCTGAAGAAATGAGCTCAGAGATTATGAGATGTCTTTTGACATAAATTGGAAAGCAGGGAAACATTTCATAAGGTAGGATTAATTGTGACCACAGTAGCTAACGCTTATTAAAGAGTCACACAGTGCCTGGCACCCAAATAAGCTTTCTACATTCAATTCCTCATGCATGAAGTTTATTCACCCAATCATTAATTTATCCAACCCTTATGATGTGATTCTCAACAGGGTTGCTTCTGTCACTGGTGGACGAACTCTTCCCTGTGTACGACTGCCTGCCCGTGCATCATAGAACGTTTGCATCACCATCCACTAAATGCTGGCAGGGTGCCCCAGTCTTCTAGAATGCTTCCCCGCATATTTTTCAACACATGGGGTAAGGTGATGCCAAGCCCAGGGTAGACCCCTGCCTGTGAGAGCTGAAAGAATATGACCTCTGACCCTGAGAGTCCATGCAGCAGTGGGGTCCTCTCCAAATCTCCACGGGATAAGGCTAAGAAAGACGTACCCAGTGATCTATGCTTTACACTGTATATTTTAACATACATTGAGGTACTTTCTCTAAGGTGTGAGGTCATACATCTAAACATTAAAAAATAGGAATATATAAAGTAAGCTTTATAAGAAGTGATTTTGCATTCACACAGCATGACTAGAAGGCCCCAAACTCACTGGATAAAATGCCTGCATCTTTAAACTGCGATGTGATACTGGCTCTAATATAAAGAAATGCATCCATGAGGACAAAATATGTGCCATTTCAATTAATCACAATTTATGCAATTGGAATTTCATTTGCAACAGAAAATTCATCCAGAGAAAATCTGACTTATAGTTCATCCCACCAAATTAAAACAAATAGTAAATCCCAGTAACTTTATACATATTCAAAGAAAAAACACTATTTACTATTTTACAATTGATTTCTTAGTGTAATAGAAAACCTATATAGTTTTTCCCCCGATCTCTACTTAAACTTAGTAACATAAAATAAAACTAACTTTCCAAGTCCTGATAAAATGTTTTCTTTCATTATAGTTTCATACAAAACGGTATATTAAGTTGACTATTATATCCCCCCTTATAAAGCACTAGTTAGAATAACAAATTCAAATGTATTATTCTATCTTACATGTAATGGTTTTAGTAGCTTCACTATTAATAATTAAATTATGCTTTGCTTTTGTCTTTTAATGGGGGTATATACAGGTATATCGTATGTGCTTCAAGAGGAGTTGCTCTCATCAGCTGGTTAGTGGGTGGCTAGCCCAGTGTCCCACAGTTTAAAGTAGCCCATTGCCAAATAAACTATATATACCTAGGAGTACAAGAAAGACTTTTGAAAAATACATAGGCATAGACCACTTTTAATTCTGTACTCTCCTGAAATTGGTCTGTTCAGGATCTTGGTGGAGATAGAAGAACTGGTTCTCCTTTTCTACCTCTGTTTTCACAAGCACCTTTCTTCTTCAACTTACACACACACACACACATACACACACACACACACACAGAAACACACACTCACACACAGCGTATCTCTCACATATCATAAATCTTACTAGGTCCCTATCTTAAGGGATACGATTTTCCAGGTTGCATGTAAAAAAGGAGACAATTAGAGATACTGTTAAAGGTAATAAAGAAATAAATCCTCTTCCGCTTGCAACAAAAATGCTTTTGCAATTGAAGGAGAAAATAATGGATTTATCTGTTGACCACAAAGAAAAACCTCATTTCCCAGAGCTGGGCCTTATGTTCCCTCTTAATGCTATTGGATATTTTTCTCGTATTTCGTATCCTCTCCCCTACGCCACTGAAACAAACACAAATACTTATTTTTCCTTTAATTTCTTGGACCCTTTCTCAATCTCTCCATATAGACGGCTCATCTTATACCACTTCTTACAGTGTTTCTCTCCAATATAGTTTTAGGTGTCTAATCTTTTTGTGCATCCTTTAAAGAAATTCATCCATCCCTAAAGTTTCACTGATAAATATTTGTCTTCTATCTTTTCCAGAATTTATCTGTATATATGTGGTTTCTTCTCTACAGGCCACCTACTAGATTCAGTTTAAGATAAACTTTCCTTCAGTTCATATTTGTCTGGTGAATGATATTAAATAATTTTCATTTCCCTAGGAGATTTGAAATATCCAGATTTTTTTTTTTTTGAGACAGTCTTGTTCTGTAGCCCAGACTGTACTGCAGTGGTGTGATCTCGACTCACTGCAACCTCCGCCTCCTGAGTTCAAGAGATTCTCCTGCCTTTGCGTCCCGAGTAGCTGAGATTACAGGTATGTGACACCATGCTCGACTAATTTTTCTTTTTTTTCTTTTTTGTATTTTTAGTAGAGACAGGGTTTCTCCATGTTGCAGGCTGGTCTCCAACTCCTGACCTCAGGTGATCCACCTGCCTCGGCCTCCCCAAGTTCTGGGATTACAGGTGTGAGCCACCGTGCCTGGCCCCTCCAGATTCTTTGAAAGGAAGTTCTGCAAAAATGACATGTTGAAGAAATTTAGGAGTGTGAACTCCTAAGCTCAGTATGTCTAACTGGATCTATCATTGGTTTCTCATCTGAAACTACCATTTGGTAATTGTTACTATATGAATGGATAAACCAGTTGGCAGTTGCAAAGGGAGATGGATGTCAGAGGATTAAGGAGAAGAACTAATGAGGTCATTCTGAAAATTATCCAGGAAATGGTACTGGATATCATAAGGAGGGAGGAATTCAGAGCCATTGTTCTCCACATTTGCTATTCCCCTGGGTCATCAAAGACAGCAAAACATTGCCATCAAACATTGCCTTCAATATGCACTGTCATTCTCCAGGTGGCATAGTTTAATGTTCACGGGTATTTTAGAATCTCAGTAGCAAAAGTGCCCTTGTGCACCACTGCACAATAAGAAATTTTTTTTAATTTTATTATTATTATACTTTAAGTTTTAGGGTACATGTGCACAACGTGCAGGTTTGTTACATATGTATACATGTGCCATGTTGGTGTGCTGCACCCATTAACTCGTCATTTAGCATTAGGTATATCTCCTAATGCTATCCTTCCCCCCTCCCCCCACCCCACAATTTTATATGCATATCCAACTCCAACCTTTCTTGGGAATCACTGATACAGAGTTCCAGTTGTCAAGTCTAGTCAATGAGGTAACGGTTGGAGCAGGAGAGATTGCCTTCTTAAGGGTGGCTGCTCTTAGTTTTCAAGTCTTGGTGTCTGGAAGGTTGGTAGTACCTATCTATGGGAATAAGGCAAATCAGAATGATGGGTACATTTAAGATAAAAATAACAAATTATTTTGGTTTGAATTTTATCCCTAAAATGAGGATTGATTTCTTTTCTGATTATGAAAATATGTGATGAATCCAAAGAAAACCAATACTAAAAAAGAAGTAATTACATGCTATGTTATAACCTCTTATTTTCATTTTAAAATATAATAAGGATGCATTTTATATCAACAAATGTAAATCTACAATGGCTATATAAAATTTCATTATATGGAGTTACCTTTAATTTGTGTAGACAATTCCCCACTGCTGAATATGGAAGAGTTTTCAACGTTTTGGCTGTAAAATAATGATGAGCTTTGATTATACCTCTCTATACATATTTTTAAAAATTCTAAACAGTGCTATTATGGGGTCAAAGGGCAGGCCATAGAAACTTTGGGTACTTCTTAACAACCTGCACTCAAAAATTTCTTCCAGTTTAAATTTCCACAAATAATGCATGAAAATTTCTATTCCAACATTCAGAAGTAATATGATTTTTCAAATGCAAAAAGTTGAAGATGTTGGAAAAGTCAAGTGGAAGTGAGCCAGTTGATTGAAAATGATTGTCTGCAGATCAATAAAGAGGCCAGAGCAGAAGTAGAGGTTTGAGAGCTACTTCTTTGATTATTCGAGAAGTCATTAAAATTAATGTAATTTTTCAAATAAAAAAGTATGTGAAGGAAGATGACATTTCTAGGTTTCTATGTTAATACAATGTCAACATTTAAAGGATGGTACGAAACGGATCCACAGAAAAAAGTTAGAGCAGGATGATCAACCAAGCAGCAGGAAGAGGATAAGGGGAAGTATAACAGAAAGCAAGGTAGATGGGATGATTTTTAAAGCAGAATTAGAATACTGCATAATAATAATTAGCACTTGAAACATTTTGCCTCCCAAAGCCTCAAAGCACTTTGCAGCCTAATCATTTGTACCCTTGGTACAGAGATAGTAACTCAATAGGAAAACTTAGGGAAAACGAATAAGATGGATGGCTCAAAAGTTTACTCGACCTTGGCAATTTCAGGAACTCAAAACCTTGGGTTAAGAAAGGAAATGTTGACTCTCAGCTAAATTACTGTATATATAATATTTACGCATTCTCAGTTTCAGATGATTTCTAGAGCCATAGTTCAGCAGCTGCAGCTTAAAAGCTGTGAATTTAAACATCTCAGTATAACAGCTGAGGAACTTGTTCTCAGAGAGAGAGAGAGAAAAAAAAATATCCCAGGAGACATAGAGAGCTTCCAAGCTTCCAAGTTTAGCCCACCAGTTCTGTCCTTGTTTTCAACATGGGGTTTTGGCAAGATTAACCTGTAGAAAATCCGGCAAATCTCAAACATTTCAAGAAACTATATGAACCCCTATTTTTTATTGCATTTTAAATTAACATACAGTAAATTTGACTTTCTTAGTGTGTATAGTTCTATGAATTTTAACACATGGAGATTTCTGTAACTACCACCATCAGGATTAAGAAGAGTCCCGTCACCCCCAAAAACTCCCTCATACAATCCACTTACTGTCACACAATCTCCTCAATCCTGAAGTTGATGGTCAATAATCTGTTCTCATCTTCATAGTTTTGTCTTTTCCCAAATGTAATAGAAGTGGAGTCATGCAGTTTGTAACCTTTTCAGAATGACTTCTTTCACTCAGGATATGCCTTTGAGATTCATCTATGTTGTTGCTGCATGTATCAATATTTCATTTCTTTTTATTGCTGACTAGAATTTCATAGTATAGTTGTACCACAGTTTGTTCATCCTTTCACCCCGTGGAAGATGCTTGGGTTGGTCCCAGTTTGGGGGCATTATAACTTCTAAAAACATCTATGTACAAACTTTGGTATAAACATATATTTTTCTGTCTGTCTGGGTAAATACTTGAGTGGGATTTTTTTAGTCAGATGATAAATTGATATTTAATTTTATAAGAAATTGACAATCTGTTTTTCCAACGTGGCTCTACTATTCTGTGCTGTTTACTATTTTGCTTCAACAATGCACGAGAGATCTAATGCTCTGCACATTTACCAGCCCTTGGTATTGTCTATATTTAAGTGTCTGTATTATAAACACTTAATTTTAAATCATTCTAATGGGTTGTGGTATTCTATAGTGATTTTAAATTGCATTTTTGTAATGGCTAATGATGTTACATTTTGTGCTTATTTACTATCCATATATCCTATTTCATAAAGTGTCTGTACATGTTTTCTTCTCATTTTTTAATTGGTTTGTTTCTGTTTTCTAAACCATTGAGTTTTAAGTGATTTTATAATATTATACACACAGACATATTCTGGATACAAGTTATTTGCCAGATATATACTTTGCAAATAATCCCCATCCCCCTAAGTTGATGGTTTGTCACTTTACTTTTAACTGTCTTTTTTTACCATCTCAATTTTCATGTATTTTCTTATTATTGTAAGAGCTACTACTTCTCCATCTCTATTTTCTTTTCATGAGCATCTGTATGTTCAGATAAATGGGAGTACGATCTTAAGATAGCTTGAATTTTAAGATATACCTACCACAGTGCCTCTGAACTCACCTCTTCTGTGAGGATTCATCTACTGAAAGCTTTTCCTGGCAGCAATATATGTACCTCTTTCTGATGCCTTTATCTCTTAATTCTGTTTCAATTGATTGTTTTATGTTATCTATGTATCCCTAGCAGAGAAACTGAGGACTCCTTGTACAGGGTAGTTATTTGTGTAGATCATTTAATATGTATTATTCATCTCATCCATTATTTTCCAAGGCAATACAGCAAGCCTGACAATCTTAGAGGATTGAGTTGCATTCTAATGACAAATAAGGTTACTGTAGAAGGACGAACACTGGTAAATTATTGTTTAGCAAGGGGACTCTAACAGAGTGTTAGGAATTGCTGTTTTATCAATATAATTGATATGATTTAAAGATCAAAACAACAGAAGATAAACTGAAACTACAGGCAGGAATTAACCATGGGTAGAGATACAGCTCATGCGTGTGTTTAGAGAGCATTAAACTTAAGATACTCAAAATCAGTGAAAATCTATCCAACTTCTGAAGATCCTTTATGATTAAGAAATAGCATCTGCTGTTCAGTAAAGAAATGAGTCCAGAAAAACACTTTCAGACATGAGACAGCTTGGAAAGCGTTTGTCTACTAATGACAGGATGAAATTAAAGTGAGAGCAAGTATAGTCTAACCTAGTTTTGACACAATTGATCTTAGGCTGAAGAACCATGAAGTCTCTTGAATAAGGGCACTAAGAAATTAGGACAAGCATGATTCATATAAGCCCCAATGTTTGCAATGTGTCTTTCAGAGTTTTCTAATTAACCCCAGTGAAATTTCAAACACAGTTTTTTCTATTGCCTTAAGTGGTAAGGAAAAAAATAAATGTCAGATAGGACTATGATGTGCTAGTTTTTACTTGGGGAATTACAGCTGCTGACCCGCTGTCATTAGATCACTTTGATGTGTGGAAGCATGAGTGGATTTCTGCTGATCTCTCTCTAGGCTTACCTTGGCTCCTTTGTGATAAATTAACATCAGCGAAGCGTTCAGGGGATATCTTTGGGAACATGAACAGAGAAATTCTGACAGGCCAGAAGAAGAAAAAAAGCTCTGAGAATGGCATAGATATGTTCGATTTTGGAAGTTTAAATCTTTAGTTTTCAAAGAGTTAATTAAAACAGTAAAACGTTTTAATTACGCATATGCATGGGGCATGCAAGTATGCACACACAAACACAAACATACACGTTTTCCATGGCTGATAATTAAATACAGATTTATACGCCTCAATTTAAAATGCTCTGGGCACGTAAAGTCTGATATGGTTTGGCTGTGCCCCATCCAAAGCACATATTGAATTGTAGCTCCCACAATTCTGTGTTGTCTGAGCCACCCGGTGGGAGATAATTGAATCATGGGGGTGGTTTCTCCATACTGTTCTCCTGGGAGTGAATAAGTCTCACAAGATCTGATGATTACATAAGGAGAAACTTCTTTCGCTTGGGTCTCATTCTCTCTTGTCTGCTGCCATGTAAGACGTACCTTTCTGCTTCTGCCATGATTGTGAAGCTTCCCCAGCCACGTGGAACTGTGAGTCCCTTAAACCTCTTTTTCCTTTTAAATTACCCAGTCTCAGGTATGTCTTTATCAGCAGTGTGAAAACAAACTAATACAAAGCCTAACTGAATTTTCTTATTTAAAAAGAATTCTTGTATTTCAAAAGAAGTTAGTTTACTACAAAGTAATATAAACATATCTGACAAAATGAATTGTCATTAGGAATATAACTGAAAGAACACCCACTGCTATAAAAATGCGAGTATATATAAACATAAACATGCTTAAATAGTCAATTATTTGGTAAAGATAACTGAAAATGGTCTCTGCAATTAATCTGGACAGTAATACCATAATCTGCATGTTGGTAATAGCAATTTTTAAAATTAACATGTTAGACCTATTAGAAAAAAAAATAGTTCCACAATGGGGCCAATATGTTCATGTAAATAACAGAAACTTTGTCATAATAAACGTTATGTCATAATAAGTAAGTTAAAACTATATATTCTGGTTAAAACAAAAGCCTATATAAATATATTCTAACAAGTAACTGTGTGACATATCAGTTACTTGTAACCTTTAATGGATTCATACGTTCTTTTAGATTAAAACATGTCCCTTTAAAGAGGAATTCACTGACTGGGTCACATAAACTTTTGTTTCTTTTTTACATTATGAAATTATTCAAATTATCCCAGGCTCCAAAACCCTCTCTCTAAAACAAGCCTCGAGGGGAATTGCCTAATTTCAAAGGTGTCAAGCATCCGGCAGGCATCAAGGGATAAAGGCCTGTTCTCCAGGTGCGCAAGCCAGAACTGAGAATAAATTTGGGTCAACATAGATAACATAGTAGGTCCTGAGGAATTACCCCATCAGAGAAGGACAGTGGATGAGACAGCCTCCTGATACAAGCTGATGTCAGGAGTCTCTGATGTAGGTAGAAGAGTCATTGAAAAGATTGCTTGTCATCACGACGATTCATTAATACGTACAGTAAAGGACCCAGCACAATCAGTTAAAGAACCAAAGAGACCAAATACTGCTACCAAATAACCAAAGAAACAAAAGCACAATGAAATCTTTTAATAAACAGAAAAGGACACAATTCTTTCTATCATGAACTGTTAGGTACATGGCCTCTGCCCATGAAACGTGTTCCTCTTCCTGGCTAACCCTGCTTATTTTCCAATAAAAGTATGAATTTTGGACCTTTTCTACAGTGTTACTCAGTCTCACCTCTGTTTTCCCACGGCACCCTGACCAGAGCTTTATCCATTCATTTATGTTCTATTTCATTTGCTTAACAAGATCTTCCCACCAGAGAGAGAGAAGCCTAATGCTGGAGACTTTGTCTTAACCATGTTAGTTCTCTCAGTGCTTAGCATATGGCTGGCTGACTCTCAGCAAGTGAAGGAATGGGTGAATACCTGCATAGTGAATAATTATTCAAGAGCAGAGAAACGAGACCATAGCTCTGGTATTAACAAGTTGTATGACTTTCAGAATCACTTCACCGATCCAGGCCTTCAGATAAAAAAGATGAGTAGCAATTGGGTAGGCAGTCAGGAAAGAGAATGCCCCAGATGGCAGAAAGGGAATTTGAAAACGGAGATTTAAGCAAGCAAAGTACATTAATGAAACAGCAAATTATTTGGTAATCTTAGATGTTCCTCAAACTTTCTGCTTTTGACTTTTCATACAACCCTCAATATTCACACTATATGTCCTAGATGTGTGCAATTCAGTGGTCTAATCTGGACTTCCAGATAAAAGGCCAGCAAGGCTGACTTCCAGCTCTTCCAAGATGGCCCCGCAGGACAGTAGCCAACCATTCACCAGCTTGGCTCCCATTGCAATGTGTGTGTGATGATTGGAAGATGTGATGAATTAATTACATCTTTTTCCTTTTTTTAGATCTTCCGTAAGCTCTGACTGCCATGTGAGAGAGGAACGGGCATCACCTGAAGGAAAGGATGATGTCTCAGGACTTTCTAAGAGCAACAGAATGTTGGAAACTATCCATGGTAGGGATGCAGTTGGCTAGTTACAATGCTTGACATCCCTTCATCTAGTGGCCATGGGACTCCAAGGTATCTTTCCATAAAGAACCAAAGCCAAACTCACAATCTGCCTAAACTGCTATTCTCAGCTTTCAAGAGGAAGATGACTGTTAATACCCAAGAGTAAGAATAAGAAGCAAGGGTTCTATAGCTAACTCATGCCTTCTTTCCACAGCTCACTCTTATTCAGCAATATGGGCTCCCTTAGCTCCAACCCTCAAATCCCCACCTGGGCACCTTTACCTTGTTCTCTCTCCACCCTGGGACACTCTCTCCTGCCTATTAATGAGGCAGGCTCAGTCTTATGCTTTATAGCTCAGTCATCTACTTAAGGAGGCCTAAAAGCTCTGTCCAAAGACAAAACCTCCATCCTAGCAAGATAGTCTGCCTTTGTTTACTTCATAGCATATATCCCAATCCATAATTATTTTTATATTTGTTTCCTATTTACTACCTATATCCACCACTAGCATGGATACTTTTAAGCTACTTGATCATCTACTATATCCCCAGAGCCATGAAAACATCATACATAGTAAGTGCTCAGCAAATTACTTGCTGAATGAATGAAGTATATCCATATAGACTGAAGCAAAATCTAAGACATTCCTCTAAATTTAATATTTGTAAGATTTTTTTTAAATGACAAGATTTTTATGTATGACCTGTGATCATTTTAGTATATTCATAACATGTGGATGTATGCAGAAGATGGACTCATTCCACACAAAAATGCCATTGTACAAATACTATCTGTTGAGGCAGCCCAGCAGGTACTACATGACAAATAGGAGGCAAAAATAATATTGCAAATCACCACAGCTATAGAGAAAACATAGTATCACTTACATCATATTGATGTAAGCTGAAATCTGTCCAGAGCTGAGGCTAATCATTTGTGAAAAGCAGCTGACAATATAGAAAGAACAAGCATCTAAGTTATATATGAACTATTTTCACCATTCTCCTTATAAAGTTTTAAAAATAATATGAAAACCAGCAGGATTGCCTGAAATGTGAAAAGAACACTGACGATTTTTATTGTGATTTTTAGTGGAAACATTTTAGTTATGTAAAAACTGTTAAAGGGATAGTCTTTGTACCCTAAAAAAGAACTCTGCTGAACATTGTCATTCACATATATATATATATATACATCTGAGATATTTTATTAGGATGCATTCCTATATTAGGAATTACAGAACTAAAGAGGATGGACTTTTAACATATATTTTAACATAGCTCTCCAGAAATAAAAAGTTCTTGACCACTGATGGAGTCCGGATATTTGTCCTCATCCAAATCTCATGTTGAAATGTAATCCCCAATGCTGGAGGTGGGGATTACACTTCAACAGGAGATTTGGGAGGTATTTGGATCACGGAGGCAGATCCCTCATGAATAGCTTGGGCCATCCTCTTGGTGATGAGTGAGCTCTTCTTCTGAGTGTATGGCACCTTACCCCCAACTCTCTCTCTTTTGTTCTGGCTCTGGTCACGTGACAAAGACTGTTCCTTCTTCACCTTTCACCATGATTGTAAGCTCCTGAGGACTCCCCAGAAGCCGAGCAGATGCCAGAACCATGGGTCCTATAAAGCCTGAAGAATCATGAGCCAATTAAACCTCTTTGTTTTATAAATTATGCAATCACAGGTATTCCTTTATAGCAATGCAAGAATGGTCTAATATAATCAGTGACACTAATCATCAATATTATCTTATTAATTTTCCCAGTTTATTCAACATCAAAACCAGTACATTTTAGTTAAACTCACATTAAATGTTTGTATTTTTTTCATTTTATGAGTTGTCTGTCTGTATTTTTTTCCACTTTTATCTCAGTATGCTCATCTTCTTTTGTTGTTGTTTGACTGGAATACGTGTTGCAAGTAATTTTTCCAGCTTCTCATTTGCATCTTTTTTATGATGGTGTTAGATATGCCAAAGTTTTGTGTCATGTGAAGTATTATCTACTGATACTCCCCTTAGAATTTTTAAAAATTAATTTTATGCTTATAAACTTCTCTGCCATTTTGCAATCTTCTATTTACGTATTTGTTTTCTAGATGACTAACATGGCTTTTTCACAATCAAGTTCATAACGCAGCTGAATTTGCATACTTACCTAACTTGAAAATTTTCTCTCAAATAGTGAGTTATCCTAGAAGCATTTAATAGAAAATGCTTTGTTTCTTAACTGACTTACAAGCTACCCTTTTGTATACTAAATCCTTTGATGTGCTAGGTTCTCCTCCAAGTTTCTTGCAGACAACCAAGAACAAAATGAAAGAGAAAGAAAGTGAACAAAAGTAGAGTTTAAAAAGCTACAGCCTTTCAAGGTCAACATTTTAAAGTAAAACAGCATCTTTTTCTTTGAAATCTTATGGATTCCCACAGTGTAAAACATGCTTCTATCTAATAATCAGTATTAAAGAATCTATTAAGAAATTTCAATGATTTTTGTTTCCCTTGGCTGAGCTCTCATTATGGACTGTTTTGCTGCTTCCTTTCTCTATGAAGAAAAATCATTCATTGCTAGTGTTTTCTCAGTGTTACAATGCTTTTCCAATAAGCGTTCATTCTAGTGGTGTGTGCTTCCTCATCAACAAACATGAAATTTATCTTCTTAAATATCAAGAGTTCAGGTTATTACAAAACCTAAGGCTTACAGTGTGGTATAGTCCAAAATCATACTCCATAAACTACTGGAAAATTAATCAAATTATATTACATGAAGTTTTTATATACTCATATCTTTTGACTTGAGGTATTTCAAATATTTGAGAATCTCTTATAGACCTCATTTCAACTTTAATTTTTCTGTCTCATGTGTTTGGTCCATTTATGTGATTTGCCTGGGACATTAATGAAATTCTCAAGAATGTTAATTTTCAGAAAATATAAATCCCTGAAAAGTTAGCAATTTAGAGATTATTCAGGAATATAATTTTGTGCTAGTTTCTAACGTAATATTGCAATTATATTAACTGAAGACAAAATATTGCCACCTAGACTTCAAAAAACATCTTAAAGGTAGTTGCAGAACTGTTAAGAAAACAACCTAAAAACAGTAGCCATTAACATATTAAAAATGATATAAAAATTAAGAATACATGCTAAGCTGGAAATTTAAAACATCATTTAGAAACCAGACACTTTGACTGGAGGCAGCTGTTGCCTCTCTTTTTGACTTAAACTTTTATTTAACTCATTCTACTAAAATTAATATCCCCACGAAAAGAGAGTTATAACCATAACTTTTAATGAGGCTCAGTTTTGCCCCTTTCTTTTTTCTCTGTTTTACATATTTTGTTTGTAAAGTGACTGTTAGAAACATTTATAGAAATTTACACATTTGAAATGCAGAGTGCTATAATTACGTGAGTGTAGGTTCTTTGCTATGGTTTGAATGTCAGATCCTCCAAAATTCATGTTAAAACCAAATCACCACAGTGACAGCATTGAAAGACAGGGCCCCTGGAAGGTGATTAGGTCATGAGGCTCCTTCACCATAAATGGATAAGGCCCTTCTGAAAAGGGCTTTCAGGTCTCTGCCATGAGAGGACACAGCCTTCCTCCCCTACAGAGGAGGCAGCCCTCATCCAACAACCGAACATGCCTGCACCTTGATCTTGGACTTCCCTGCCTTTTGAATGGTAAGAAAATAAATTTCTGTTCTTTATAAAGTACACAGTGTATGGTATTTTGCTACAGCAGCACAAACAAATGAAGATATTCTTTAATAACTGTTCAAATTAGAGATTCTGTGAATCACATAATTACCAGGAAAGGACTTGAGGAAGTATTCCAAAGGCCATCTTTCAGAAAACAAAACAAAACACACTCTCCAACAAAGCAACACCCCCAAATCTGTCTTTTGTTGAGGGTCTGTGATGCCTAACATGACACCATCCAGGATCATGTCTTCCGTTAAGGTCTCAGGAAAAGCTCAATACTTCTAAGGGAGTGTCTTTGTCATTGAACATAGGTAAAATCAGTTCTACAAACTGTTTGAAAATATAGAGTTAACATTAATGGGAAATGGGGAGGGGGAGAGACAAAAAGATCTATTATGACTTGGGGAGAACCAGGGGACCAAATATCCTGCAAAGAGGAAAATTACCTGTAAAAGGGAGAGGGAGACTGAAGAGAGCAGAGAGAAATGGAACGTGAGAGGGAAATCCAGGGTAATGATATAAAAATGTGGTCATTGGCCCAGTGGCATCAGCATCACTTGGAAATGTGTGTGAGATACGTAGGTTCTGGGCCCTCCCCAGACCTATGAAATCAGAAACTCTGCCGTGGTGCCCAGAGATGTATTTTCACAAGCCCTTCAGATGACTCTGGAAAGTATGATCTTTTTAGAGCCACAAACATGTTTACTTCAGAATTTTTGCCTCATCTTCCAATTAAAAACAATTTTAAAATTGCTAAAATATGTTTATATTTATTTTGATGCATATTAACATTTTCCTCTAAGAAAAACTATTTGTAATTCAGTTAAAAAAAGAACAAAAGGAGAGAGATGGGGAAAAGAGGAGCAATAAGGACAAAAGTTAATATGAAATACTAATGTTATTTTTTGTTTTCTTCCATCTTTTATTAAGTTCAGGTGTACATATGCAGAATGTGCAGGTTTATTACATAGGTAAATGTGTGACACAGTGGTTTGCTGAACAGATCAACATATTACTTAAGTATTAAGCCTGGAATGTTAATTTTATAATATACAAATAAGCCAGTATTTCCTACATTTTAGCTGAGGAATTTGTTAAAACATGCAGACCTCAGGCATCTCTCTCAGGGATCTGGGTTAAGCAAGTACAGTGCTGATGCTGACTGTATTTCAGACAAAACACTAACAGTGACTCTGAAGCAGGAGACCCCTGAACTACTCCATGACAACCACTGACCTGAAGCTTCTCCTCTGGATGGAAAGATAATTATTCTTTTGATTGTATGGTAAAGTACAGAGTATTCAGTGTGAAGCATTTTTTTCTTCTGACTCAAACGCATCCACATACCAAGATTTCTGCAGGTTGTTGGTGTATAATTATTTGCCTCAAAGCTTTTAAGCATCCAGATCAGCCATTTTTAAAGGAGTGTTTCTGTTATTGCTGTATAAGAATGCTTGTGATTTTTGCACATTGATTTTGTATCCTGAGACTTTGCTGAAGTTGCCTATCAGCTTAAGGAGATTTTGGGTCAAGATGATGGGGCTAAATATACAATCATGTCATCTGCAAACAGGGACAATTTGACTTCCTCTTTTCCTAATTGAATACCCTTTATATCTTTCTCCTCCCTGATTGCCCTGGCCAGAACTTCCAACACTATGTTGAATAGGAGTGGTGAGAGAGGGCACCCCTGTCTTGTGCCAGTTTTCCAAGGGAATGCTTCCAGTTTTTGCCCATTCAGTATGATATTGGCTGTGGGTTTGTCATAAATAGCTCTTATTATTTTGAGATACGTCCCATCAATACCTAATTTCTTGAGAGTTTTTAGCATGAAGGGCTGTTGAATTTTTTCAAAGGCCTTCTTATACACCAATAACAGACAAACAGAGAGCCAAATCATGAGTGAACTCCCATTCACAATTGCTTCAAAGAGAATAAAATACCTAGGAATCCAACTTACAAGGGATGTGAAGAACCTCTTCAAGAAGAACTACAAATCACTGCTCAACAAAATAAAAGAGGACACAAACAAATGGAAGAACATTCCATGCTCATGGATATGAAGAATCAATATTGTGAAAATGGCCGTACTGCCCAAGGTAATTTATAGATTTAATGCCATCCCCATCAAGCTACCAATGACTTTCTTCACAGAATTGGAAAAAACTACTTTAAAGTTTATATGGAACCAAAAAAGAGTCCACATTGCCAAGACAATCCTAAGCCAAAAGAACAAAGCTGGAGGCATCATGCTACCTCACTTCAAACTATACTACAAGGCTACAGTAACCAAAACAGCATGGTACTGGTACCAAAACAGAGATATAGACCAATGGAACAGAACAGAGCCCTCAGTAATAATACTACACATCTACAACCATCTGGTCTTTGACAAACCTGACAAAAACAAGAAATGGGGAAAGGATTCCTTATTTAATAAATGGTGCTGGGAAAACTGGCTAGCCATATGTAGAAAGCTGAAACTGGATCCCTACCTTACACCTTATACAAAAATGAATTCAAGATGGATTAAAGAATTACATGTTAGACCTAAAACCATAAAAATCCTAGAAGAAAACCTAGGCAATACCATTCAGGACACAGGCATGGGCAAGGACTTCACGTCTAAAACACCAAAAGCAATAGCAACAAAAGCCAAAATTGACAAATGGGATCTAATTAAACTAAAGAGCTCCTGCACAGCAAAAGAAACTACCATCAGAGTGAACAGGCAACCTACAAAATGGGAGAAAAATTTTCACAACCTACTCATCTGACAAAGGGCTAATATCCAAAATCTACAATGAACTCAAACAAATTTACAAGAAAACAACAAACAACCCCATCAAAAAGTGGGCAAAGGATATGAACAGACACTTCTCAAAAGAAGACATTTATGCAGCCAAAAGACACATGAAAAAATGCTCATCATCACTGGCCATCAGAGAAATGCAAATCAAAACTACAATGAGATACCATCTCACACCAGTTAGAATGGTGATCATTAAAAAGTCAGGAAACAACAGGAGCTGGAGAGGATGTGGAGAAATAGGAACACTTTTACACTGTTGGTGGGACTGTAAACTGGTTCAACCATTGTGGAAGTCAGTGTGGTGATTCCTCAGGGATCTAGAACTAGAAATACCATTTGACCCAGCCATCCCATTACTGGGTATATACCCAAAGGATTATAAATCATGCAGCTATAAAGGCACATGCACACGTATGTTTACTGCAGCACTATTCACAATAGCAAAGACTTGGAACCAACCCAAATGTCCATCAGTGATAGACTGGATTAAGAAAATGTGGCACATATACACCATGGAATACTATGCAGCCATAAAAAAAGGATGAGTTCATGTCCTTTGTAGGGACATGGATGAAGCTGGAAACCATCATTCTCAGCAAACTATCACAGGGACAAAAAACCAAACACTGCATGTTCTCACTCATAGGTGGGAATTGAACAATGAGAACACTTGGACACAGGGCGGGGAACATCACACACCAGGGCCAGTCGTGGGGTGGGAGGAGTGGGGAGGGATAGCATTAGAAGATATACCTAATGTAAATGACGAGTTAATGGGTGCAGCACACCAACATGGCACATGTATACATATGTAACAAACCTGCACATTGTGCACATGTACCCTAGAACTTAAAGTATAATTTTTAAAAAGTTAAAAAAAAAGGGAGTGTTTCATATGCACTTTCTTAGCCCAATTTGGAAACTAACTTAAACATGTATTCCCCTCTTATACATGCCACTAGTTTTATAACTGAGATGTAATATTTGATTAATATTTAGCTTTACTAATATAACTTTTTATTTAGTGAATGGAATCAATTTTTCATCATGCCAATGAAGGATATGAATGGAACTGAGATTTGTTGAACACTTGATTTCTATAGTAACAAAGTAATTTGTTTTTCACTTTGTCATTGCCACAATATTTTTACAGATTCATGCTAATAATGATACAGTTGTCGTCTTATATCGGAATGTGAAACTCAAAAGCCTTCAGGGACCATCCAGACAATAAGAATGAGAAGCAAACTAGGAATCCACAGAGACCCTGAGGATGTGGTCAGCTTCACAGTCCAGACTCCAGGCAGTGGCACTGAGTGTGGCAATGCACAGCACACAGTAAGTGGGGCCAAATTCTTCAAACTTTCAGATGGGCATGGTGGCTCATGCCTATAATCCCAGCACTTTGGGAGGCTGAGGCAGGTAGATCACTTGAGGTCAGGAGTTCAAGACCAGCCTGGCCAACATGGTGAAATCTTGTCTCCACTAAAAATACAAAAATTAGCTGGGCATGGTGGCACATACCTGTAATCCCAGCTACTCGAGACACTGAGGCAGGAGAACTGCTTTAACTGGCAGGTGGAGGTTGCAGTGAGCCAACATCGAGTCACTGCACTCCAGCCTGGGCAGTAAAGTGACACCCCATCTCAAACAACAACAACAACCACCATCACCACAACAAATTCTTCAAACTTTCCAGAGCAACAGTAATCTTAATTAATGTAGTGAAATTGTCTGATTTGTGAAGATTTTCCAGATCCAATAAAATATGATTGAAGACCACAATTGACTTTCAATTCTTCTATTTTCTACATCTGACCAACTTGTGCCATATATTCCAATCAAGCCATGTAATAAATGCATTTCTTTCTATTTGTACAATCCATATCCTTTATTTGGAAAACTTCTTTTCACTCTTCATGCTACCTTCTCTGTAAGTCTTTCATGGATCGGTAATCCTTGAACCATTTTCTTTTGAATCCCCCCTTACCCACAAAGTGTATTTTATAAAACATTTCCATTTGCAAAGATTTAATCGGCATAATCCTACAACATAGAAAATGTTACTTTTCTTATGTTAAAGGTGAAACCATTGGAGCTCAGGTTAAATTACCTTTCAACAAGCCAAGTAAATGAAGGACCTACATGGAGTTCTAATCATATGATCTCATAAATTCTGTTTGTCATTGGACAATATATCTCAAGATTTTGTCATTCAAATCAGACCTCAGTTCAAACACTGATTCTTAGTTCTAATCATATGATATCATAGATCCTGTTTCTCATTGGACAATATATCTCAAGATTCTGTCATTGGAATCAGACCTCAGTTCAAACACTGATTCTTACCTGAAAACTTGAGAAAAATTGCTTAATTTCTCTAAGCTACAGTTTACTTCTCACTAACATGGGGATCCTATCTGTTCCACAAGATTGTTTTAAGAATTATAATAGATAATATTTATAAACGGTCCAGCATAGCACTTTAAATATAGTTAATGGTCAATATAGCTTAGCTTTCATAAAAATAATTTAGAAATTACTTAATAAATAGTACCCATTCTTATTATAATTATGATCATCCATCCATCCATCCATTCATTCATTTTGCTCTCAAATATCTATTTAGTATTTATCTCACTCAAGAAATTTTGCTAAACCCTTGGTAGGTATACATTAGTAAACAACACACATGTGAACTTCTTATTTTTAATACATCACTGGAATTTGGGTACTAGGCTGTGGTAGGCTATTTTCTTAGACCATTTTCCATTGCTCTAACAATGGAATATCACAGACTGGTCAATTTATCAAGAAAATAAGCTCATTCAACTTATGATTCTGGAAACTGGGAAGTCCAAAATCATGGCATCAGCATCTGGTGAGGGTCATCCCATGACAGAAGGATGGAAGGCAGAAGCAAGCGTGCAAGACAGAGCAAGAAGGAGAAGCATACTCACTTTTACAACCATCCATTCTCACAACAGCAAACCCACTCCCACGATAATGAAACATGAATCCATTGAAGAGGGCTCTGCCCTTGTGAGTCAATCACCTCTTATTAGCCCCGCTTCTCAACACTGCTGCATTTGAGATTAGATTTCCAACACATGAATTTGGGGAACACATTCAAACACCTTCAGCATAGGGTTGACAATCAAAGAATGTTTGCTCAGTTCAACTTAATTTTCTAAACTTATTTTTCATCTATAAAATGGGGAGAAATAAGAGATGTTTTATGAGATGACTATTAAAAAACAATACATTAATATTCTGAAATAGTATAAAATACACAAAATATTTTATATAGAGTTAATTAAATGACTGTGTTGACATTATTTGGATATTTACTGACTTGCAATGGCTCTTTGAAATGTTCTAAATCATATGACTTATATGTTTACACTTGCAGTGGTTATGACTTTGTGTCTAAATCATAATTGGTGAAGCTAAGACTCAAACTCAGTTCTATGACTCCAATTCACAAATTCTTGACTAGTATGAAGTGCTGGTTTTGCTATACATTACTGAGACGTATAAACTTACAGTCTTATTTCTAATGTTCCTAAAGATAGCATAACTGTAATAGTTGATGAATAGCTCTAATTAATAATTTCTTAAAATATCATTAAAAACAAAACAAGAGGAAAACGACAATAGATACCCATCAGCTTCTGATGTACACACACACACACACACACATACACATATTAGACAATTTGTAAAGCATTATGATTCTGTAGGCAATTCCCATCAGAAAAACACAGCTAAGTCGTTGCTTGTTATGATTCAAGGAATGCTCTTTATACCTTTGATGGTTGTGAATGGCATTCTCTTTAAGTATAGTAGGAATAGGATTTTACATGGAATGTTTGTCAAGCTCTAGTCTACTGAGAGGAAATGGAATTCCAGATTCTTCAACCTCTGCTAAAGCTGAAATATCTAACATATAAAAAATATTTTTATTTTAATAAACTTGAATAAACTGCCTCTGGGTTTGATTTCAGCAGTTTTTTAATATACTTATACTACATAAACAACATTTAAATTTCTAACTTCTCTATCATGACCAAAAGGTTGTATCATATATCCTAAAGTTGCATTCTTGATTTCCTAAAGTAAATATTTTATATGTATGTATATATGCTCACTAGAGGCAGAAAATACAGACCTTTTAGAAAAGGGAACAATTTGCTTTTGAAATGCTGGATCAATCGAAAGCTCTGGCGTTAATTTCCACAGTGACTGCTGGTACTCATGTTGCCTGAATTTTAAAATGTTGGTTTCATTAGGAGTAAAAATCATTTAGTCTTCTCCTGCACTCTAAACATTTTATACAAACTAAAGTCATCCAATTTCCAAACTCCTGCCAGCACAACAAGCATTAAAGTCTGGGATACATATGTATGTGGTGATGTATACATTGGCCAAAAAAAGTTTTTGGATATTCCTAAACAAGAAACTTTAAAAACACACAAACTTGAATACATAAACTTATTTAGAAAAGAGTAGATTCTGCTTAAGAATCCATGAAACACTATGGCACCCTTTTTAAAAAGACAATTCCAGTAACACTTCATTAGGACATACCCCTGTTAAATTAACTTTACAGACTTCTAATGGATTTCTTAATTAGACTTGTTATTAACAAGAATATTAAATGAATTAAAAACAGCTCTGACAGCCTCTTGTAATAAACAAAAACTGAAAAGCAAGATTCATGCTCTTTACTTTTCCCTACTCAATCCAAAGCTTTTAATAACCTTACAAATGTACTGCAATTAATTATTCAACTGTCAAAAAATAAAAAGCTTGGATCGTTACATGTCTGTTTGAAAACACATTTTTGTTATTTCAAAGATGAGGCTGGTTACTGGAGCTGCTCTTCTAGTCTTGCTTTTGAAGAGGCTGTTCCAGCATGGATGGTACATTGTCCTAAACACCGTTGTTGTTTAAGGACATTAATTCAGTATGTCTCTGTCTGCAGAAGTACCCCTTCTCTTCCTTCATTTGCTAGATAAAAAGAAGGGCATTTAATCAAAAGAGAAGAATAGTCGAATTCATAACTCAGAATTCTTGAATGACCAATCTCTTTTGAGTTTAAAAAGAGAAAGAGAAGGAGAGAGGAAGAAAGGGAGGGATGGAAAGACAGAGAGGGCACAAGATTTTCCCCTGTGGACCACACCAAAGCCCTTATGATCTGATACTGACTTTAAATGCATATAGCTTTATATATGCACTGTGCCCTTCAGTTTTATTTTTATTTTGGTGATATATGTGTGTGTGTGCAGGTGTCTGCATGTGCCTTTACTGATAATGACATGATAGTCTTCTACTATAAACATGGAACAACAGATACAGAAAAGAAAAAATATTGTTTCCTTAGGATAAAGAAGAGCAGCAGACTCTGCTATACTTATTGATTGAACCTCTATTCCTCAATGATGATGGCTTTGTTTCAGTGAGATTTTAAGTATAGCTCCAAGAACTAAGTGTGGCCACCCTCCAGAGTTCTATATACTTTGCCAAGAAGTCCAAAAGATTCCTTGATAACTATGAATAGAGAAGTTTCAGAAAACAAGCACTGTGGAGCTGACCACAACCTCAAGGTCTCTGTGGAGCCCTAGCTTGCTTCTCTCATTCTTATTGCCTGGATGGTCCCTGAAGGCTTTTGAATTTGATATCCCAATGTAGGAAGTGAAAACCACCCAAATGCCTATCAAAGGATGAATGGAAAACCAAAATGTAGTTTATCTGTACAATGGAATATTATTCAGTCATGAAAAAGAATGAAGTACTGATACATGCTACCACCTGGATGAACTTGGGAAGCATTGTGCTAAGTGAAAGAAACAAGACACAATAAACCACATATTATATGATTCCATTTATATGAAATATTCCAAATAGGCAAATGTATGGGACAAAAGTAGGTGAGTGGTTGCTTCAGGCTGGTGGGGGAGGGGGGCAATGACACTGTAGAAAGGTAGTAGCTAAAGGAAACTGAGTTTCTCTTTGTAATGAGAAAATGTTCAGAAATTGACTGTGGTGATAGTTTGACATATCTGTGAATATATTAAAACCCACTGAATTGTATATTTCAAATGTGTGAATTGTATGGTATGTCAGTTATAAGTCAGTAATGCTGTTTTTAAAAAATTAGTTGAATCAGATATGATCCAAATGTACTTTTTCACTTAAAAGAACCAGACATCAATATCAGTATCTCCACTCAATCAAATGTATTTATTTGACATGTGATTAGTATAAAGTCTGAGCCCAAAAGTTTCCATCAATAAACCATGTCAATTAAATGTAAAATTAAAACAATACGTTAGTAGTTCTATATGTATTGCTGTTGGAATATATGCTGATAATTCCATATGGCTACTCAGCAAGTAAATTTGAATTCTTAGCTTCAAATTTTTCTTAGAAAATCTATTAACATATTGTAAGTTTAGTCAACTAAAAAGACACTATCATTTATCATTTTAAGTCATGTTTCCAAAACATTAGAAACCATGGCATCAAAATAGTTTATATTTCTTGATAATTATATAAATGTTCTTTTGTCCATTTGTCACAACTTTTCTCCTCACAGTTTATAATAATCACTGTTCTATCACCTTCGCAAACACTATTGTCATGTTTCTTATATCTGTTTACTAAAGACCCTTAATTCATTCAGACAGATATATTAGTTGAAATCACTCTACTTGCATTCTGAACAAAAGCTACTTAACAGACTACCTGAATATTAACTTAAGAGCCAAATGATTATCTTTTGAAAAAGATATTTACATTTAAAAGGGCTATCACTAAAACTAAACTTAAATGTAAATTAAGGTATAAGGAAAAAATATAAATTAGGGTATGTTTAGCATGGAAACTTAAAACTAATGCTACATAATATGTTATGATTTCATTTAGCCCACTTTATATAAAATTACAACAACCATAAAACAAAACAAAAAAACCACATGTCATGAATTCAATTGTAATTAACTTAAGATACTATTCAGGCTCACTCACAGAGAAAAGGATCCACGTCTGTCCTGTTCTTTTTATATAAAGAGGCAGTTACAATTCAGCCATAATAGGTATTCACTTATTAGATATCTTCCTAGAAAAAAATCTGCCATATATACACATATGCTCCTTGACTGAGTTGCATCCCAATAAACCCATCACAAGTAAGAAGTATTCTGTCAATAAAGTATCTGATCCTTTCATAAACTCATCACACAGTTGAAACAGTGTAAGTTGAACCATAAATTGGGAACGGTCTGCATATAGATGTGTGGGTATATATATACGCGTATATACACGTATATATATACACACACACATACATACATGTATATATACACACACATTTATACATGTATATATACACACACATTTATACATGTATATGTGTATATATACACATATATACCCACATATATACACATATGTACCCAACTCTAAAACCTCTAGAGTTCTCAAACTAAAGAGCGATTCAGAGGTGCAGAGAAAACTAGAAATGAAATGGTGGAAATATAGTGGCAATTTAGTGTTAAAATATCTATGGTTGATAAAATATTTTTATCATCAATTCTATATAACCAATTTTTTAAAAAATCTACCTGTGGAGTAGGGGTGATGTTTACAGTCGGAACAACAATCTAAAAGTCAAAACATAATGTATTTTGATACTCAAACATATCAGAAGGCACCCTTCTGCTAGAATTAATGAGATAATTGAAATGTACAAACATGATAATAGCATGCCATATGCAGAGCAATCTAAATTATGAAATTCATTCTAAATAAGCTATCTCTTTCACTCACATAAAGAGGTGGGCTGATGCATGCTTTTAGCTAAGTGGCCTCAAACACAGACACTCTCTAGGATACCGAAAGAAAATACCATTTTGACTTTGCAATATCATTGAGTTAGGAAAGCTTGGCATTTGTGATATTTTAATATGCCATATATTCCCAGTTCAGAGACTACTTTATTTCAAATGACTCAAGCCATAATTGAAAATAGATGTGTTAACTATTAAAAATAAAGAAAAACTGCAATTTTGCCCAACTCTTTCACTAGAATAAACAAAATTATATCTCAGAGACAAAATAGAAGCATGAGCAATTTCTGAAGTCAGAATTCTAGTTCCATCTAAACCATTTTTGCTGCTAAACTTAGACAAGTTTAGAACCCCACAGTCCATATCCTGATTTAACTGGCCAAAATGCCACCACGGGCACTCGATAGCCATGACCCTTCACAGGACCCTTGGTTCTATAATCATCTCAGTGTAGCAGCTTTTTAAGTTTCTTTTCAGATCCAGGGAGAAGCCTATTATTGACACCAACTAATGCTTTGTGACAGGACTTTCATCCCTGCCTTGAAGGAGAAAAAAAGTGGGGAGCATTCAGCACATGACTAGAGAAGTAGAAAAGAGATTCATTCATAAAATATTTGGAACATCAATTCTGTGTCAATCACCATGTGAGGAGCTGGAGCTACAGGTGAACAGAATGGAGATCACCGTCCTCTGCAGAAGACAGGCTCATGACTGTGCGACAACACAGTCACAAAAATAAACATACAGTGACACACTGTGCTGAATTCTCTAAGGAACACACACAGTTTTGTTCTGCGTTATGGGCTAAGTTGCCCCCTCAAAAGATATGCCGACGTCCTAACCCTTAGTACATATAAAGGTGATCTTATTTGGAAATAGGTCTCTATAGATGCAGTCAAGTTAAGATGCAGTTCCTAGGGTGGAGCCTAATCCCATATAAAGAGCATTCACATAAGATGAAGAAACATAAAGACAGATACATGCAGAGGGAGACAATATGGAGAGACACAGGGGGAGTGCTGTGTGCTGACAGAGGCAGGGATTGCAGCAATGCACCCACAAGCCAAGGATAGCCTGCAACCTGGAAGCTGAGAGTGGGGCAGGAAACAAATTCTCCTCTGGAGCCTTCAAAGGGAGCACAGACCCTCCAACACCATGATTTCAGACTTCCAGCCTTCAGAAGCAGGAGAGAATACATTTCTGTTGTTTTCAGCCACCTGAATTCAGGTGTTTTGTGATGGTAGCTTGAGAAAGCCAATAGACTACAGCAGAGCAAACCAGAGATGTCTGTGTTTATCTCAGGAAGGAAGGACTAGGTCAGGCAAGAACTCCCTGAAGGACAGTTGGAGCCTGAGATCTGAAAGACCCATAGGGTCAGAGCAGATATGGAGCTGAGGGTCAAGTGTCATTTCCAAGCAGGAACCAGCATGGTCTGAAAAGGTGAGGAAGCAAGACGTACGACGCATCCCAATGGGAAGAGGTGGCTGTGAATGATGCTGGGAGAATGTGGGCAGTGTGGGGTGGAAACAGGCAAGATAGGCAGTGCGAGATGGTATAGACTGAAAAAGAAAGCCATTGGGTGGATTCTATGTATGACTCTCTTCCTGAACCTCCTAACACCCTGGAATTGCATGAGTAAATGCTAATCTCCCTAATAACTAATATCCCTGATAACTAGTTTGCCTCTGTACAGACTTCTTCCTCATAGCAAACATCTTAAATGATGTTGCATTTTTCCAGGCTTGTCTTTGTTAGATAAAAACAGGGGCTTTCTTTATACTGGAGTGTTCTGGGCTCTGGGTCAAGCATTGGAGAACATTTTTTCAGCTTTCCCCAGGGTCCTCGGCAGATCACCTGAAACCGCTGGGCCTTCATTCTTCCCAGCAGTTATAGCCAACAACCCGATAAACCTGCCAACACCCACTTGGCCTCTTGCACCCTGGGGCCAGTGTGCCAACAAAGCCCATTGCGATTTATTCCATCCTGCTGCTCTGCAGACAGGCCTCATGAAAAGAGGGAAAGCTGCCACTTGAACTTAGTGCTCTTATAATAACACACACCTACTGCATTTGTCCTCAAGGCAGGAGGAATCAATACGAAGCACAAACACACCCTGCTAAGGTTTTCCAGGCTAGGCTTTCCCAGCACAGGTTTGCCCAGAAATCCTCTCACATGTTTCCTCTTAATTGACCTCATGGGTGATATGTCCAGAATATAATGGGCTGAGTTATTTCATTTTAAACTAGGATCAGCTCTCCTAAATACTGCATTCATTTGTAGATTCAAGTTCTACATTGGCCTTTTTCTTTGCACTTCCAGGGGGCAAAAGAGCTCGAGCTAAAACCTGAACCATTGCTAATACAAATCAATATTTCTCTATAAGGCAAGCTTAATTATTTTGTGGTTTCTCTCTCTCTCCCGCCCTCTCTCTCTGTCTCTCTCCCGGCTAGCTTTCCATCTATGCCTAAATTTAAAAAGTAAACAAATTCCACTGATGTAGTATATCAGTAAAATTACCTTTTAGGAAATAATACAAATATTGTGATATACGACTACCAAGCTGTGTGTGTATACTGCATTATACATCTAAGTAGCACTTCCTGCAGCACTCAGTATACTTGAGTGCCTAATATAATAAATGCCATTTTATGGTATTGGAGGAAATATGGGAGAATAATTTACAGATAAACATTGGCAAGCCTAGTATTCTAAACCCAACTCAACTATTAGCTGTGTGACCATTATGGAGTCACCTGACTTCTCTTACCATCTTAGGCTGCTCATTTGCAAGTGGAGATAATACCTGTATCATAGTTTTGTTATGAAAATTAAATAACATATTTGTAAACATCTTTGTTCAATGCCTGACACTTTGAGAGTGTCCAATAAATGATGAGCATTGATAATCATCACAATATATAAACAGAAAGTACAAATAACAACATTCATTCTTCGACTTCAACCACATCAGAAGAGTGCCTCATATGTATAATAACATGATTTCTAATATTTCTGTGACAGAGGGTGAAAAAGTTGTTCAGGTGTTTTCCTGAAAGAAACTGTTCTATTGAAACTGAAATCCAGAAAAATTGAATTTTGTTATAAAATCCCAGATTCTTTAATTTGACATTATTTACTAGAATAATGTTAAATTTCAATTACTTTGGAACTTAAGAGTCTATAATAAATATCATCTGTTGGTTACCAAATTTTTAAACAATTGTTGAATAATAACATGGTTAATAATTATTGAATGTTTCTCATTGGCTAAGGACTCTGTAAAGTACTTTTCATGGATTAGTTTAATTAATCCTCACTACAGTTTTATGAGGTGGCAACTACCATTATCCCCATTTTACAGATGAGGTTACCAAGGCACAATTTGCCGTTATGATACATGCAGCACATGGTGAAGCCAGTTTAGAACACAGGCCTATGCTCCTGGCTCACACACACTGTCCTTGCATCTATATCATCCTAAGCACTTGGGGCCACATTAGAGCAACTTCACCCAGGACAACACGGCATTTAACAGAGTGGTAATTACCCACTTCTCTTAAATTGAAATGTATTCATATAGTCTATAATCTGATGAGATTATTGGTAGAACAAAACAGTGTTTAAAAAATTTAAAGAGAAGGGTTGCGACTGCAAGACCAGCAGTAGTAGCACAAGTAATTAAGGAATAGTGAACACTCTATTAGGAAAAAATAAATAGGAGATGGCCCATGCTTGTCTAGAAAGCCCCTTCCTATTTTTTTTAAATTTTAGGTTCAGGAGTGCACGTGCAGGTTTGTTATATAGGTGAACTCGTGTCACAGGCATTTATTGTACAGATTATTTCATCACCCAGGTATGAAACCCAATATCCAATAGTTATTTTTTCTGCTTCTCTCCCTCCTCCCACCCTCCATCCTCGAGTAGCCCCCAGGGTCTGTTGTTCCCTTGTGTTCATGAGTTCTCATCATTTAGCTCCCACTTATAAGTGAGAACAAGTGGTATTTGGTTTTTTCTTCCTGTGTTAGTTTGCTAAGGACCACGGCCTCCAGCTCTATCCATGCTCCCACAAAAGGCATAATCTCATTCTTTTTTATGGCTGCGCAGTATTCCATGGTGTATATGCACCACATTTTCTTTATCCAATCTGTCATTGATGGGCATTTACACTGATTCCATGTCTTTGTTATTGTGAATAGTGCTGAAAAAACATCTGCATGCATGTGTCTTTAGAATGATTCATATCCCTCTGGGTATACATCCAGTAATGGGATTGCTGGGTTGAATAGTAGTTCTGTTTTTAGCTCTTTGAGGAATCACCACACTGATTTCCACAATAATTGAATGAATTTACAGTCCCACCCACAATGTATGAGTGTCCTTCCTCCCCCTCCACAATCTATCAACTGCCATACTCTGCTGGAGATGGTTCCTTAAGCTTTCCAGACTGTTCTGGGCCCTGACCTGCTCCCCTCTTAGTTCCATAGCAACCCACAGGTAGCACCAAGCGTGTTCTGTTGGACCCATTGATGTCCTTCTTGACTATCTACTTGTAGCCTGTGAACTTGTAGAGGAATATCTAGCCATACACACACACGTGTGTGTGTGTGTTTGTATTATACATATAAATAAAATAAAAAATTTTATTATAAAGACAGCTTTGGTCATATTTTGGGAATCCAAATATAAGTATTATGCAGTTTCTGGGTGAGAAATGTAATTGTGAAAAGTGCATCTTGGTCAAGAAATACCATAATTGCACATCGGCCAAGTAATTTATTAACATATTGACTATAGATGTGTAATATGAGCTTTTACCTCCAAAATCCTGGACCTAAGATGATTTTTACATTCTACCACCTCAGATAATAAAGGTTACCTTACAAACATGTTCTTTTGCCAATAACAGTGATGTGGAATTGCTAAATGCAAAGAAGCTTAATTACCTTTGAGCAAAATCAGTAGAAGTTAATATCTCTGTTGCACTAATCTATGACATCATTCCTTACATTTATCAATTGAGGGTGACAGTGGGACTGGCAGTGATTACAGTAAAGAGAATATGAAGGATTTATATACTTTTAAGTGGAAGAAATATAGAGCTACTTGCTGTATTCATATTTGTATATTGAATAAACCTGAAATTTTTAAGAGGTTGCCATTAAGAGTCTCTAAGAACATAAACTAAAAATTAGGTTTCACATCAGGTGAGATTAATCAATACAAAGGTATCAAATTCAGCTCTGAGAACTACATACAAATTTCAGTCTTTAATTTTGAAGACATGTATCTTCCAGAAAAGTTGCAGAAATAGTACAAAGAAATGTAATACATCTCTCCACCAGATTCCCCAAATGTTAACATGTTAGTTCATTTACTTTATTATTCAGTGTGTATATATGGTTGTGTATACATATTTTTTGTATACTAATTGAGAGCAAGTTCCAGATATAATGCCTGTTTACCACTACATACTTAAATGTTTATTTAAACAAGAACAATCTTCTCATAACCATACTACAAGGATCAAAATCAGGAAATGAATATTGTTAAATTTTATTATCTAACCCATGGAGCTTATGGAATTTTCCTCAATTTCCCACTAACATTCTTTATGCAACTTTTCATTTTTTTTTTTCTGATACAGGATCCAATCCAGTTTCCAATAAGAATTGTATTTCCTGTCAACTATTCTGTTCATTTGGTCTAGAACACTTACTGAGTCTTTCTTTGCTATTCATGACCTTGGCATTTTTTAAGAAAGATAGACCATTAAATTTTTAGAAACTATCTTTGCATTTGTCTGATGTTTCTTCATCAGACAAATGATGACCCATAATCGCTTAAGTAAAATGACCACTTTAGACAGCATTGAAACCATCACATCCTCAAAGCCATTCCAGATATTGCTACTTTTGAGGGACTTTACTGTACATTTTTACAACATTCTTGGATAATGATTCCTCTCTTTGTCTTAACGTTCTTCCTTCTGTGTCCTCCTGGTTAATTTCCAGTTCATTTAAATTCAGCTCCAGAGCTCACCTCCCTCCCAAGTCTCACTGTCTCTGAATCTATACCTTGGGCTAAGGACTTCTCTGTGCTACTAGGGCTCCGATTGTTTCACTCATTATGAATTCATCCATCTTTATTGTTAAAATAAATATAAATGAACAACTGAGTGAAGCTTTGAGATTTCTAATCATTTTTAATACATAGAATAATTTATCATTTTGTTAACACTTTAACACACTGGGATGACATCTGATCCTGTCCCCCTTTCATAATTATAGTCTAAGTCACCAGAATGTCACAACCTTGTCCGCCAGCATCTCTCTCATTGATCTTTTCCTCGTTATTCAAAATTCACTACCTCAGTTCAGACCCTTCATTGTAGCACTTCTTGAATACTAAAAGGGGTTTCTGAATTTTCAGTTATTCTTGTTTCAGACAATTTTGTAAATAAGTCATTAGTCTTCCTTAGACATTTCTTTGATTAAGAATGTGAAGAGCTGAAAAGGAAAGAAGGGTGAGTTTTGCATACCAAAGAGGATAACTAGACCAATGAACTATAATGTTAGTTTAGGTCCTGGCTCAGGTGACCTGAGATGAAGTTCAAATATTCTGATCTGGAATTGAAGTTTTTCTCTAACTTTGAGGTTATTTCACTATTTATTGACATTCAGAAAAAAAAAAAACTTATTGTTTGTGCTGTTGTTTCCCCTTTAGTCTCTCTTTTTATCCTTATATGTTGTTCTTCCTGTATAAAGTACATATACCTGTGGCCCCGTATGTGGTACCTGTAACCTGATTTTTTCCTGAAATCACTGCTGTGTCCTTTCTCACTTCTACCTTTCCACTTTCACTATCACCAGAACCTTGCTGTATTCTTCTCTCTCTCTGGTCGTACTGCGTCTGAAGTACATGTGCAGAATCAAGTTTATGCACTTCTTGTGACGTCTCTTCTATGAACGAAGACATCTGTTACCTGAATCTCAGGTTTAAGTAACACTCTATTTGTTAGTTATTTGAATCCTATATTTACATACCATTGCATTTATGTCTTATATTTATGCAAATTCCCATTTATTTGTGTTTTAGCATCTCAGTTTTGTGTGCTTTCTGAAGTCGATAATCATATCTTTATCATCATTATGTGAATCCACAGTAATTTTAAAACAATAATGACAACACAACAAACCCTACCTCTTCACTGCTCCTTAATTTTGAGCTAGGGACAGAAATGAATGAGATACAATATCTGCAATTCATAAATGTGAAGGCAATTATATAAATATGTAAAACTTCATTTTATTTTATTAAATAGAATATTACATCGAGTAAAGTTATCATTTCTTGTGCCCCTACTATTATTTTTTCAACTGTCAAGATTGACGGTTGGGAAGCTGTCATCTTTATAATCATAATCTGAGGAGTGATTCATATAATTTCTGGAGTTTCAAAATCATGAAATATGTGACTCTTGCCCTTGATGTTGAAATTAACAGTAACCTCTTAGTGACCTCTTTTCTTAAACCTCTCTCCATAATCCTTGCAGTATTTCTTCTGTTCTACTTATTTCTGTTAAAGTATGAATATGTTTCTAACAAGGTTATTTATTACACTAATCAGGTCTACTCTGTACCTCTTAGAGTTATTCTTCAGTCATTAAATTTTCTTTCCTAAGAGCAAGTAGTTAATAAAACAATCAGAATCTATTTAAGCTTTTGTTTTAATTATAAGAAAATAGCCTCTAATTATGCTGTTAAAGGTTAATAAACATCTTCTTCAAAGTGTCAAGAAGTAAAAATTATGAAAGTAAACAGACATTTCTTGACAAGAATATATCCCCTCCAGAGGTGTACTAAAGGAAAATGCATGGGAAATCTAAGATAAATAGACCAATATCTTCAAGCTGCATTATATGAGTTAGAAATTAATTCTGAGATAGACATATTCCCTTACTACATTCTATGCAGAATGTAAATTTTTGGAAAGTGAGACTCTATCTATTCTTTTTAGTATATTCTCAGCACCCAGGTCATTGCCTGCTACAGTCAACAAATGTTTCCTGAACAAATAAATAAATAGAAATGCAACATGTGTCAATAAATATACCTCATGGTTACTATTTAGTTTCAAAATATGATATCGTTATTTAAGTAGATTAATGCATCGGGCAAATTGTGCATTAGCAAATTAGATAATATTAGGAAAACGCACAGCTAATTTAATAGAATTTCCTTCTTTACAGGGGAGAATGTGGTGATTTTAAATGTTACTCCAAAAGATAAGAAAATCAGGAGTCCATCAGTCTACAAACACACACTGGACTCATTTATGTGTATTAACATTCTCATAAGCTGAGGATCCAGGAACACCACTTACAGGCACCACGGAGTCCCCACCTCAGTCTTTCTAAGGGTCAGTCCCACTTCACTGTTTGATATTCAAGGCACTATAACACATATATTCATAATGATTCGGACTTTATTATAAAAGGAAAAAGCATGAATAATTATATTCTAGTTTTGTATAAAGTGGTGCAAGTTTTTTATTGTTCTTTAATCTTATGGTACTTAGAATATGGTTGACAGAATTACATCACATTTTTAGGAAGTAAAAGATGTGTGCTTTACCAGTGATTTACTGTCGTTTATATAATATTAAAATATTGTGCACAATATTAAATAGAGCTTAAATGTATAAACCCATTAATTTTCTCTTAAATACTCTGAATTGTTATCTACGAAATCAGTAGTTAAAATTTAATAACTAAAATTTAAAATGAAAGGCCTTCCTTCAGTTTATAAGATTTACAGGCTCAGCTCTCATAAATATAAATAGATGAATCTTCAATATCATCAATATATAGTAAATGAAAAGCAACACAGGCAAGATAAAAAAAGCTGAAATGGTTTGCAGAGGAAATTCTACCTAAAGTTTAAAGATAAGTGGTGTTTCCTGGCTTATAAAATTTAGAAACGCATTGCTAAATCTTTTCATAAAACTGGTTTATAACACGTAACAAATCCCCTTGTAATGAATGTACTTCACATTTCAGAAAAATCACATTTTTGTTATGTCTTGAGCAACTATCCATAATTCACCCCATGACAGTTTAGTAGACTTATATACATGTTACCTGACCCGTTCCGTATTAGACTCATTAAAATTGCACTGTGCTAAGAATATAGCTACATTTTAGGCAAATGTTTATACTGTATATAATATGTTCCAGGAATTATAAGAGAGTATTTACATGTGTAATTTTATCTTCGAATAAAACCCTTTCAATTGCTTCTGAAGTTAGCATTATGATTTACTATAGATTTTTATGATCTAAAGTGTATTTACAAATTAATGTAATTTGCTTCTCTTAATGTCCTAGTTGAATTGTCATATCAATAAAATCTCACCAATCAAAATATTCATTTGGCATTTAAATTAAGTTAATTAAGCTTCATTAATTTATAGATACCTTATGGATATACTACAGCAAATAATTAGTTAAGTCACTTAAGTTATGCCAAACAGAGCCTCTTCTGTCTCTGCTTCAACTTTAAGAATCCAAGACGCGAGTATCTCAGAGCCCAGAGGAGCAATTGCGCTTCCTCCATCCCTACTTTGCCTCTCAGGGTTCATGTTAGTACTTATCCTATCCCCAATTCTACTTTAGTTAAGTAAGTGCCTGGCAAAGTCCACATCGTCTTTAAAAGAGCATATCCATGCACTGACACAGCCAGAGAGTCATCAGTCAGATTCTCACTGTCCCCGCTTACTTCATGGCTACATGCCATGGAGCTATCCAGCCCTGAGAGCCTTAGTCCCACATCTGCAAATGCAGATAATCCTGTGAGCTCATGCAGCTGTATGGGTAAGTGGGTGACATGACAGCAAGCTCCTGACACTACGTAGGGTTCCTGATGTATGGCAGACGCACTCTGAGCTGAGCCCGGAGCCGAACTCGAGGCTGTGCCACAAGATGCAGCTGATGGAGCCCCAGGCTTCTCTTTGCAGGAAGCTCCATTTTCAGATTTCTGTAGAGAAATTCAGAGTATAGAACTATGTCTTTCCTTCTGTCCCGTTCCACAGTCAAAGGCCAGAAGTCCGGGGGGAAAAAGCTAGAAGGAAAATACTCCTTTAGTGAGAGAGTTTGTGAGGCCTGAGTCAGAGAATCTGCTACTTCAAAAAGAGGGTGAAGAAGGTTAATGCAGAGTTAGTCAGTTCTGCACAAAACACAGGGTGCCGCTGGCCAAGGAAAGACCCAGGCCAGGCAGTGCAACCAGTCCTCAAGAACCTGTGCAGCCCGGGGACCCAGGGAGCCTTCCCCTTATCAGAGGCCCAGAGAGGCTGAGAGAGAACGGAAGCCCAGACCCAAGAACTGGCAGGGAGTTGCCAAAGCAGGCCCTGGCCCCCATCAGATTGGATGTATTATTTACACAGGTTTTAATGTCAGAGTTTGCAATGTAATCTCCCTTTGTAATTGCTTCTGACAGTGGCTCACCATTCACATTTGCTACCCGCAGTTTTATGTTGTGTCTGTGCAAGTTTCTCGACCTCTCCAGCCACCACTGAAGCATGATAAATATTGCCCTTCCTCCCATGGAGGGAAGGTTTTGGTCTCTGCAGAATTCACAAGCAGGCTGGCTTGCAGGGTATAACTCCAGAGTACGGAAGGAGGAGTGTAGAGAATGTCTAAGTAGAGGAGGAACTAACAACTGTGCAGAAGAGCTTTGAGCCTAACCTGTCCGGGGAGGCCTCTGCTGAATAACATTTTTCTCTCTTCTAAATATCACAGGTAAAAAAGGCAAGGTTGTGCCGTAAAGCAATCACTTTAATTGGAGTGATCATTGCAATTCTCTAATTACTTAAATTGGCAGCAAACAAAATAATCCAATTGATCATTAAGCAGGCTGCTTAATTATATTGTAATTCACCACCCGAACCACGAGAATAGGGCTCCAAACTGGATATTACGCATTTCTTCATGCAAGTCATCACTCAAAACTTACGTTGTGAGGGGAGAAGATGTTTGATTTATTATTAATTAATTAATTAATTAATTAATTTTGAGACAAAGTTTCATTCTTGTTGCCCAGGCTGGACTGCAATGGTGGGGTCTCAGCTCACTGCAACCTCCGCCTCCCGGGTTCAAGAAATTCTCCTGCCTCAGCCTCCCAAGTAGCTGGGACTACAGGTTCCTGCCACCAAGCCTGGCTAATTTTTTTTTTTTTTTTTTTTTTTTTTTGTATTTTTAGTAGAGACGGGGTTTCACCATGTTTGCCAGGCTGGTCTCAAACTCCTGACCTCAGGTGATCTGCCTGCCTCGGCCTCCCAAAGTGATGAGATTATAGGCGTGAGCTACCACGCCCAGCCAGATGTTTGATTTTAGTAACAAATTTAAAAAACAAATGTGGGAAACTCTTTAGAAACCCAAATTCACTTTGGGTAACAATCATTAACTTTTTTCTGCTTATTCAAATTGCTTTATTGTTAATCAGTGCATCATTTATCGGTGTCATCATCTCTATGTATAATGAAAAAAATGTCACTATATTGGGGAAAGCCTCTTTCAAATAAAAAACAAAATATGCTTATTGGAAAATTTTAGAAGAAATTCTACCACCTGCAAGCTTATATGGTTATATAAAAATCAATACCCAGCAAAAAAGATAATATTTTGAGAATATTGTTGAAATCAAACTAAGAGCCTTAATCTTAAGTAAGTAAAATAACTTCCTTGAGAAATAGTTTAAATTTTACTATAAAATTATTATTGAATATTCTCATATTCTAAATCAATAAATTTTATTTAAGTCTATGAATGTATTATCTCTTCAAAACAGAGATATATTATTCACTTGAAAGTAATTCTGGTTTTATATTTAAGCTAAACTTGTTTCAACTGAAGAGAACCTGACCAATTTTATACATATAAGATCTCTTATGAAAGAGGGACATGGAAAGATGGGGTATTGGACACAGATGTGGGACTGATAGTCATTCCTTTTGCTTATCTTCAGAGATGTGCCTCTCCTCTCTCTCTCTCTCAACATATATATATATATATATATATATACACACACACACACACACACACATATATATATATACACACACATATATATATATAGAGAGAGAGAGAGAGAGAGTCTTAGAAAATAATATTTGGATCAGAACTTTTTTCCTAGTTTCCTTTAACATTAAAACTCGAGAACTTGAGGCCTTGCAGAGCCACACTGAATTCATTATCTGTTTATTTTATTTTTATTTATTTACTTATTTATTTTGGGATGGAGTTTCACTCTTGTTGCCCAGGCTGGAGTGCAATGGCGCCATCTCGGCTCACTGCAACCCCTGTGTCCCAGGTACAAGCTATTTTCCTGTCTCAGCCTCCCAAGTAGCTCGGATTACAGGCATGCACTGCCCTGCCCAGCTTTTTGTATTTATTAGAGACGGGGTTCACCATGTTAGTCAGGCTGGTTGCGAACTCCTGACCTCAGGTGATCCACCCGACTCAGCCTCCCAAAGTACTGGGATTACATCATTATCTGTTTTATTGTTCAATAGTTTCTTCAGAATAGGCTCTGCTTATCTGTCAAGTGTTTGGTGGAATATGATGAAGAAGAAAGACAAAGAGGAGGAGGAGAAAAGGGAGGAGAACTAGGGGGATTAGGAGGAGGAAGAGGAGATGAGAAAGAGAAGAATTAATCTCCTAAGAGATGGAAGAGAAGCAAGTGTATTCAATACTACACAAATTGTATAATGTGATTTTTCAACCTCTGAAATATCATGTGTTGGGTTATGATTTAGTGTACAACAGTACATCTTCCCCAAAATAGCAGAGCAGTTTAATCAGATTTTTACATATTTCAAAAAGGTAGTATCTGTTCTTTAGTCATTTTTGATGGCCAGAGCCTAGCTTCTTGAAAAAAAAATGTTTTGTTAGGTTTGTTAGGTGTTTCCTTGAAGAACATTCGTTCACTGAAATTTAGGGCTTACTATGCATTGTAACCCTTTTAGCACAGAAGTTACAGCAGCAAACAATGCAAACAAACAAGCACAGTCCATGTTGAATTCTTAAATGTGACTCTTGTAGAAGCAATCTTGATGGGGTGGTAATGCTAATTTCACATAGCCCCTATCACATTTGGGGAAAAGATGGAAACTTTGGAAAGGGGATGGGGTGACGGTTTGCATACCGTGGGGAAGGCAGAACCTGCTCTTTGCTGACAGAGCCAGGAGCAGTCCAGCAGTGTTGTTAGTAGGTTTGGCCTACTAACAACACTGCTACCAGCAGAAGGGACACTGGAAGCCCCTTTTGTGCTGGCACCAGACCACTGGACTGCTCCTGGCTCTGTCTCTGCTGCTCTGGAAAACTGATAATGGTCATTTCTCTTTGGATTATTTTGGTTTCTCAGAAGCACAGCCTTTTTGAGATGGAAGAAAACACATTTTGTGGAAAGGAACACTCAGACCCAGAAAGTTTCGGTGGTTTACCTAAAGCACAAAATCCATGGGTCCCAAATCCCATCTCCATATGCATTCTCCATGCCACACTGTTTTAAAAATACAAGTGAAAAAGCAAGCACGGACACCCATGCAGCTGAGGAACCGAAAAGAGGCTCTACATCGACTCTAATTTTTCTTTATTCTGAAAATAATATATTTCAAGTTTTATCAAAAATGCCTACTCTCAGTACCGTGTCTGTGCACTAATGTTGTGCGTTGGTATTCTTGTGGGATGTGTCACTGTTGTGCTGATTGTTCATACTGGAAAGGTGTCGGCATTCAGAGAGACTGAGCACAGGAAACACAACCCAACCAACCCAAGCTGCGTCCCTGTTGTCTACACGCAGGTCACTGGCCTAATGATTCTGAGATTTTTCCCTGAGAATCTTCCAAGAAAAAAAAAAAAATTCAAATGTTGATGAAGATGAGTTCAGAAGGGAGAAATTGCTCCAAAACATCACAGAAAATTAGTGGTAAATCTGTGAATATTCCTTGAGTCTCTTTTTTTTTAGTGTTTGTGTTACCAATTATTTTATTTGACATATTTTCATTACTTCTAATTGTACATTATTATTTATTCATTTTTATCAATCTTTTTTAGAAGTAAGCTCTTCTTTGTTCTTTTCAATAGCACAAAAATTATCATTGAAATTGGGCCAGTCTGACAGCTATATGTATAGTATAGTATTCCAATTTGCTAAAATTTATCCCCAAATATGGTATTCCACATTTCTTGAAAGAAAATACTAATGATCCCACAACAAATAAAATACTAAGAGCAACCGTGGTTGCCTATGCTTGTTTTCACAGAATATAACTAAATCACTCCTTACTCTCACCTTTGGTTTAAGGTATGGCTTGAACTGGAATTTGGTTTGACGAGGTAGAGGTGGTGGAAGACATCCGGTGGTAGTAAATTTTATGTGTCCATTTGACTGGCTAATGCCCAGATCACGGGTAAAACATGATTTCTGGGGTGTTTCAGGGCGTTTCCCAGAGAGATTAGCATTTTACTCTGTAGACTGAGTAAAGATGACCTGCCTCGCCCCTGCCTGTGGGCATCAACATGTCTGTCGAGGTCCTGGATTGAACATAGGCAGAGGAAGAGCGAGCTCTCTTTCCTCTTGAGCTGGGACATCCATCTTTCCTTGTCCTCAGATGTCAATGCTCCCAGTTCTTAGACTTTTGGACTCAGACTGGGACCACACCCTTGGCTCAGTGCTGTGGGGTCAGTGGGCCTGGGCTGGAAGGAAACCGTGGGCTTTCCTGGCCCCCCACCCTGCAGGGACCAGATCGTGGGACTTCTCCGCCTCCATGATGGCAGGAGCTGATACTTCATAACAGATCTCTTTCTGTACATGCATGTATCCTATTGGCTCTCTTCCTCTGTAGAGCTCTAATACACACCCCATGTGGAGGAGACGGCAGCAGAGAGGAGACGCCATGCTAAAAACTCAGCCAGTGTTATTAAAGAAGGGGTAGTAGAGAAAACTTCAGGGAGTAACTCCCAAAGTTTGCATGGTATAAAAGACACAGAAAACAGTCCGGATAAGGAGTGAATCTTTCATTGCTCGCTTATGTATTTTGCCTCATGACAATAACAACAACAAAACAAAACAAGTTAAGGCAGCTAGCAAAAATAAAAAGAGTAGACTACAATGTTAGAATAAAGGAAGAAATAATGAGAAAGGGAATAAATGCAAGAGAAATAAGATTAAATCAAGAGAAAAGTAAAAAACCAATAATATCTCATTTGTTTCTATCTGAGCTTCCTAGACTCAAAGTAAGGAAGGGAACCAGCTCAGGCTGAGGAGGCATGCGGTCTGCAGAGGTTGTATACGGTGTCCCTGTGCATCCTTAGGTGTTCTGGGGAGGAACAACTACTCATCAGGATAGACATTTCTCCTCTGCGTCCTTATAAGCGCTGTCAAGGCCATGTAACGAACTATCTATTCAGCATCAGCATCAAACCTTTGCAACAACAGCAAAAGCTTTAGGGTTGCTATTTGAATGTACACTCACACACACTCATTCCCAGTCCGAGTTTAAAAGTCCATTATTCTTTGATGTTCATTAATGGTAAACTCAAATTAAAAACTAAAATTAACACAGAATTTTTATCCTAGGAAAAAGATAACAACGTGAAATATATCGCTATTGGTGAGATATAAAGGAGAGACATGGCAGAGATGGAACCAGCTTGGACTAAAGGGGGATCCACCGGCCGAGGAAGGCAGGTAGCCCAAGGAAGGAGGCGGAGATCTTCCCAAGGCTTCCCTCCATAGAAAGGAAGGAAGGAGAAATCATTAAGCAAGAGAAGGGCCATTTAACCAGGGAAATCACCAAGTTTTTTGGGATTAGGGCTAAGAAGACAGTCAGGGAAGACAAGCTGGTTTGGAAACATTGACTTTGAAACGCCCGTAGAATTTTCAAACAGAGATAATCGAATTCACAGGTTTCCAGGAATGTGCATTTGGAATTGGCAAAGGAATCTGCTGAAGAAGCTAAAGTCAATAGTGGATTCCAGAAAAGGAGGAAAATGAGGATGGGTCTTCTGCAATGTAGACTGGATGGGACTAGGGGGGAATGTTTGGAATCCAGAGAGAAAAATGATAAACCACTGAATTGAATAAAATACCCAAGGACTTGTCTGATGATTTCTTCCAAGAACACTACAAATAAAAAAGCAAACTAGATACTGAAATTATGTACTTAGAAATGTCTTTCTCACTCCAAATGTAAATATATTTTATGGTTTCTTTCAGTACTTTAAAATTTTATTTTTCATTTAGTTTTTTAAAGGTTCTGAACTATATTTTTAATATAGTATGATGTACTACATTGTCATTTTAAATGGAGAGCAGTTCACCAAAACTATGTCATTATTAGTATGTTCTTTCTGCTCATGTGTTTATCATGTAAATTCACATACAAGCACACATGCACACTCACACACACTCACACAGAGGTATTTGTAATCTATGCTCCCCCACTGGTCTACTGGTGTTCTGCCAAGGCCATTTATTTTTATATTTTAACATCTTTATATTTGTTAAGGCACAGAAACCAACCTTCTTAAAAAAGATTGTTTGAAAGTCTTCACTGTCAACTTTGTGTGTACAGGATAATCTCTTCACCACGGTTGTGAAGAATGCTAAGAAATTATTTTCAACATTCCTTTTTCTAGTTTTGTTTCCTAATACCACCCACCATTAACCCCGTATGTTTTCCAAAAAACAATTTTTAAAACTATTCTATGTCAGTTCATTATTTTGTGTCATTATACACGTGTTCTAAGTGTTAAATGTTGAATGCCCTTGTCAGTATTTGTTTCTCTGAAACATTTATGCCTTAATACCCACTAAGGTCTTATTTCCCAAGAACAAGGATATTCTCCTACAACAATGCAGTTATCAAAGTCAGTAGATGTAACAGTCACATGATATTTTCATCTAAGAAACATTTCATATTGCAATTTTAACAAATATCCCGAAGATTTCCCCTGTTCTGATGGAGAATCGAGTCCAGGCTCACATGTTGTACTTAGGTGCCATGTCACCTTCGTCTCCTTTTAGTCTGAAATGCCTCCTCAGCTTTACTTGTTTTTTCCTGACATTGACATTTTGAAGGCCAAAAGTAAGTTATTTTATAGAACATCCTTCACTTTGGGTTTTTCTTATGTTACCTTGTGATTAAGTGCAAGTGTTATGTTCCCCACCAGAATAACAAATAACTATTATTTGTCAGAGTATCATATCGGAAGGACTCAGCGTCTGTCTCCTCCCATCAGCAATGGTAATTCTGAATTACTCAGCCAAGGTGACGTGTGAGATTTCCAATACAGTCGCTACTTTGCCCTTTAACTAATAAGGAATCTTTGGGGAAAAACTTTGAGAACATGCAAATTGCCTATTCCCTGCCAATCTTTTTAGTTTGCAAATTCCTACCTATTAATTTTTAAGATTACCATCTCCTCTGTATGAAAGTTTCACCAGTCACAGATAATGATTATTTCATCTTCCCCACTTCCTGTGAAGCCTGTCCATGTCCCTGTCATAGGACTCATGGTAAACCTGTGTTTGCATAACTGTCTCTTCCATATTAACTTCTCAAAGGCAGAGACAACATATTGCTAGCCGTTAACGTGCTCAATGTTAAGAACTACTTGCATTATTTATTAATGGACTTAGATCGTATCAAAAGAAACTTTCCTAGGTTTGTCATTTTAGATTAACAAGATAATATGCAAAATGGAGCCTGCTTTGTCATCCCTTGAATTTAAGAATATTTAGTAAAACTGTATTCCTAATGTATAACAATGGTTGCCTAGTAGTCTATCTGAACTTCTTTCTAAATATGATTTTGCTGTTTTGACCTTGCCTTGACATCTTGGAAATGCAAATATTATATTTTACTTCAGGATCCACTGCTCTGTAGGGACACACTTTCTCCCATCTCATTTCAAAGGTATACAACTCATGAAATTCCTGCATGCTGGCATGCATGTGATCTTCATTGTCATTCTGTAACACAGGCTATTTTGAATGAGTCTTATGCTAGCATCTGTGCAGTTTTATTTCTAAGAGAAACGACAGTCAAAGGCGTGCTTGTAATTTGTATATTGTATCCTTATGTGCCACTCATGTCTGATCACAGGACTGTTCTGGAAGATAGGAGATTGTAAGCTCTGCAGTCCCTGGACTCCTGCTGGCTCCGACCCTGCTGTGCCTCCTCTCCTGCTTTGTATGCATCCCAGATCAGTCGCAGCACAGGGGTCTGTGAAGATACCTGATATCAATACAAACGTTTCCATTTTATTTTGCTCTGAAAAAATCAGTTGATAAATGCTGTGGATGGATGTGGATCTTTAAGCTGTCATCTGCTTCTGTAGAATCTCCAGGTGTCAGCTGACAAATGTGAACTTCAAAATAACAAACATAATGCCATTTGTTTCCAAGACCATACGAACTCATTCTTTAGACATCTTTTGACTATGCCTTGTGCTCCTGGCTAAAAGAGCAACCAGAATAAATTAAATGTGGTTCTTAACATGAAGGAGTACCATGCAATAATCTGATGAAACAGGAGTGAGTGCTATGAGTGCTCTTTTTCATTTCACGGAAAAAATTACCTTCCAGGCATTTCCCAGTTCCCATGAGGAGTTTCCTCTGTGTTCCACTTCCTAACTGCCAAAGTTGACTTTTGAAATGTTGGAGCTGAGTCCTTCTTAAAACTTACATGAGTAGGCTTTTTGAATTCAGAGGTTGGAAGGCTTCTTCAGATGAACAAGTTAATGTAAGTAAAATAGGTTTAATGAGTTTTTACAATTGTTTATTCACGTTAGATTAATAACAACAACAACAAAAAACCATTTACTGAGCACAAAATTTAAGCACATTCCTTGCTATTTGAGCAGTGAAAAAAAATGAAGGAGAAAACACTTTTGCCGCAAGGAGATTCCAGCCTGCTGGGGAAAATGGCAACTTCACAGGGAAGCTCAGCTGTGGATGACAGTCAGAGCCCCCAGGTCAAAGATCATCTCTCACAGACTGTGGCCTTAAAAACAGGCCAGAGCACATTGATCCGTTGTGACAAACAATCACTGCTGTATTCCTACTGCCGAAAGTGTGATACAAGAAACACCAGCATCAACATCATTAGAGAGCTCCTCAGAAAGGCAGCATCTCAGCCCCCAACTGAGAACTTGAGATGGGAATCTGCATTTTAACGTGTTTTTCAGGTGATTTGAGTGCAAAATCCTATTTGAGAAGCCCTGACACAGCAATTGTATTCTTTTATTTACACTTCAAATAGTGACAGATATTTGCAAAGCTGATTTTGTAGAAAAGATTGTGACGTATCCTGCAGAAATATCATTTATGTATTCCCACAAAGCACTAGTGTCCTTTACTTCTGTCCCTCTTTACTGAAAGTCTTTGAAGACATTGCAGCTAAATAGCCCTGTGCAGTTACAAGGAAATCAAAAGAAAACATTACCATTCTGGTCACTGGCAGCAGCACCAGCTGTTATGTAATTTTGTTATAAAGCTATTTCCTGCTACTGGAGGGTTTGAAATAACATTTACTTGTATAATTTTAATTCCATTTAGTTGATCCATCCGGGGCCAAATAAAAAGCATAAATTAATCCACTATGAATATGTCAGGCAGATAACCATTTTAGAATACGAGAGAATTAAAAGTTGTTTACAAATAATTTATAGCCTTATAAAAGTACCTTTACAAGGATCTATAAACATTCACTGAAAGTCCCATATTTGGCCCCTTATTGTTCAGGAGAGCAGCATTTTCCAAACTTTCATGGTTCTTAGCACTTTGGAATATACGAGATGTATTGGGAAAGATGCTTGGAAAGAAGAAACAACTGAAAGAATGGAGATAATGCACCATCCTGATGGAGTCTGGGGTAATGAGGCTTTCTCTATTTCTGCAATCTAAAAGTTCATCCCTCAAATTTAAATATGCAACTGATCAATTTCAAGGACTTTGTAGCTATATAATCCAATGATTCTAACTTTATTTTTTTGTTTGTATATGTGTGCATGAAAGTGAGAGACACAGATTGATTTACCAAAAATCTTATTCCCTCATATTGGGAAACTGGACAAAAGAGCAGCAGTTGCCAGTCATTCTTCCAAGGTCTCCCTGTCTTCCCACCTGTCCTGGAGTAAAGCAAACATCAAACCACAGCCTTTCAACACGTAGGTCGTTTTAAGTGGGTGCACCTTTCCTAGTTCACCCTGGTTGTTCTTGCTCATCCCCAGTGTAATAAAGACCAAACCTAGAGTCCAGGCCCCTAGTTCTTGGAGTTTTATTCTTGGAGGCTGGACGCTGATATTCTTCTGAGTAACTCAGACAAACGCTCCACATATAAAGTATGGATGCCACTTAAACACTACAAACTGCTATGGTCAAAGCCTCCATACACCTTCCTCCCTCTGTCCAAGAAAGGCCCACTGGCTCTAAATCAGCTGAAAGTTTATTCTTCTCTCAAGCTGGAAGAGTGTTGGTGGCAATAGGACAGGGCTTCTCTTTGGGTCACTTTTCCAATCTACAGTTCAGCTAGCAGCAATACAGTCTCTTCACCCTCCGGTCTAAGAGCCATTAGGGACCTCAGCCCAAATTCCCCCATACAGGTGAGGCTGACACAAAGCTTGAAAGGCAAAGAATTAAGGTTGCCTCTACTACTGGGACCACGTGCGGCCACTCAGCACAAAAATTTCCCCACTTGAAACATGGGCAGGAAGGAGGTGAAAGCAGGAAACAAAGCTGCTGTATAAACACAAAGAAGTAGGAAACAAGGGGTGATATCTGCAAAAAAAAAAAAAAAAAAACCTAGCATAAGTAAAAGACAAAAAAAAAAAACAGACATAAACAACCATTATAAAATAAGAGTGTCATACAACAAAAGATATAGGAATTCAAAAGTTCCTGAGAGAAAAGACAAAAATGACCCCAAATAAGAAATTTTTAAAATTAAGGGGCATGGCCAGGAGCAGTGGCCCACACTTGTAATCCCATCACTTTGGGAGACTCATGCCAGAGCGTCCCTTGAGACCAGGAAGTCAAGGCTCCAGTGAGCTGCCATCGTGCCACTGCACTCCAGTCTGGGTGGCAGAGCGAGACCTTATCTCAAAAAAAAAAAAAAAAGTAAAAAAGATTAAGGACTATAATAGGATAAGAGCTCTAGGAAGGTGATAAAGTATGCCCAAAAGAAAGCAATGTTCTAATAAAAACAAAATAAAACAAAAACTCTATTTTCCATGAACCAGAGAAGAAACACGAAGATATTTTGAGAAGAATGCAGTCCCGAGAGTTGAATAACCTCTTTTCTAGGCCTGATCTGACACAAATTCATTCTCTGATTCTAGCAAGTGGTGATTCTCAGTAGGTTTCAATTTCCCCATCTGCAAAATGAGACCGTGCCCATGAGTCTAAATCATGTGTGTGTACATACATGTGTGTATGAGTGTATCAGTCTCAGGTTATGGCCTCTGTAACTTACAACCATTAATTAGAGCTTTCTCCTTAATCTGATTGTTCTTGAATGTTATGAACCTATAATACTTTGTCCAGGCCAATTTCTGAATTTTCCTATGAAATTTAAAATGATTTAACTTGGAACTCCTAGCAGCCTCTTGCAGGAAAACATCTCCATCATTGAAATTTCTGTTTAAAACAGAAACGAAATGTTCCCAGTCCCCAAAGCAGTGTAACATATCACTGGCTAGAACGTAGATTTTCAGTTAAGAGATAATTATATTTTTCAAGATGGGGTAAAACAATATGATATTTATTGCTCAAACATCATAAGTTATAATTTACCTCAGTGTAGGTCAATATATTCTTTCCTGTTGAAAGGCATTTCTCACCTGAAGGCAAGAATTGCTACAAAAACATTCATCCACAATGATAGGGAGGCTTTTATAAGAGGCATTTCACAAAAGATATTCACAATGTTACAGGCAAGGAGGGGTTTTATGGGAGGCTTGAGCAAAGTACATTATTTGGGAAATAAGGTAACCTGCCAGCATCTTTCGCATGCTGCAGATTTGTGCAATAACTAATATAAACATAAATAGCTACCATAACAGAGAGGTGAGGAAGTCTCTGTAGTCACAGAAGAATCTCTCTGAAATGTAATGACTGTACTGGGAGCAACTGTAGTGGTGCAATGGCCCTGGAGTATTAGCTCAGTCAGCCAGAAGCACCCAGTGCTGTCTAGGTCCATCGGCTGGATACCCTTTCAGAACACTAAGCAGCCAACGTGATCCAACAAGAAGCAGGTCCAAGGGCACTAGGCAGGCCACCCTAACCAGAGCCTCACCAACCTCACGGAAAGGGGTTCGCACGGTAACACCAGATTCACGTTGTGGTTCCGTTTCAGACATCTTCAGAATGTGCTTTAAATATGTCTTTTATTTGCATACCATTGATCCAGGGATGCTTTTAATCCTTTCTAACGAATGATTTTGTCATATTTTTTTCCGATTTCCAATTTCATAGAGTACCATTAGGTAATCCTAAAGAGAGCTGTGTGAACAGAGTGGATTTGACATTTGCAGGCATGATCCACTTTTTAAGGCTGGAGAACCCCGAGGCAGTGCCCTGAGCGGCTTCTGTCCAGGCCAGCTGCCCAACACGGATATATTAGTACATTTTGAGTCAATGTATTCAAAAGACTGCTGTATTTTGGTCTACAAGTTGATGCCAGGGTTCATTTTATTTTATTTTTCCTATATTTTTTCTGATTAAAAGAAAAAATTACAAAGGCATAAAAATAACAAATATTAAAGACAAACATAATGAAAGAAATGAAAAAATGCTACACTCCTGAAATAACTGTCTTCAACAGTTTAATGAACATTCTTCCAATTTTGTCCTTATATGTGATAACGTAGTTAAAATTATTTTTTAAAAACTCAGTTTCATATATTTGTTTTAAAATTAAAATGAGCTATATGTACACTATCTGTATATATACATGCTGAATATAGATTCTTCCCCATACTTACCAAAATGTATTAGACATATTTTAATTGATAGCAAATTTTGACAATTTATGACGATCTCATCTAATGTTAATATTATATTTAGCCTTTTTAAAAAATAAAAATAAAAGACTTACTAGGACCTCAAGTCAGAAATTAATTAGACATTAAGCAACAACATATATTGGCCTGATTGTCTACTTGACATGACACCCAACTTCACATTTTCTGTTAACTTTTCACTTTGAAATAAATACAGATTCATAGAAGGTTACAGATGACTACTCAGAGAAATCTTGTACATATTTTCTACAACTAAGGTAAAATTCAAAACCAAGAAACTGACATGTCTAATACCCCTAGAACTTGTTAAGATCTCACCATTACACATGCACTCTTCTGTACTTGTGGTTGAATGGGTGTGTCTGTAGCTCTATGCAGTTGTTACAGGTGTAGCTTTGAGTAACCACCACCAAAATCAAAATACTCTATCTAGCATTAACACGAATCTCCCTAAAATTACCCCTTTATAGCCAAACCCACCCTCCCATCTCTAACACCTGCCAATCCCTAATCTGTTCTTCATCTCTGTGATTATGTTAGTTCAGAAACGTTACATAAATGAAACTACGTGATTTGTATCCTTTTGAGAAGGGCTATTTTACTCTGTAATTTCCTTGATAGTGATCCAAGTTGTTATTTTTGTATACCAATGTTTTGTTCTCTTTTTATTTATTGTTTATTTTTGAGACAGTGTCTTTCTCTGTCTGCTGGGGCCCAGGTGGGATTGCAGTGGTGTGAACAGGGCTCACTGCAGCCTTCACCTCATGGGCTCAAACAATCCTCCTGCTTCAGCCTCCGGAGTAGCTGGCACATCACGCATGCACCACCATGCCTGGCTAATTTATTTTAATTTTTTCGTAGAGATGGAGTCTCACCATGGTGCCCAGGCTGGTCTCTAGCTCCTGGGCTCAAGGAATCCTCCCACCTTGGCCTCCCATAATGTTAGGATTATAGGTGTGGGCCACCATACGCAGCCTTGTTCCCTTTTTATTGCTGGACAGTTTTTCATTCTGTGGATATACCACATGGTGTTCAACCTTTCTCTCACTGAAAGACTTTTGAATCATTTCCTGTTAGGGGCTATCACAAATACAGCTGCTATGAACATTCAGGTTTAAGTTCTTGCATAAAAATCAGTCTTTATTATCTGGAATGTGTGCCTCAGAGTGCAATTATTGGGTTGTATGGTATGTCCATTTTTAGTTTTGAAAGGCAGTACCAAACTATTTTTGGAATAGCTGTACCATTTTACGTATCCACTAGCACTATATGAGAGATCCATTTTTTATATCTTTACCAGCATTTAATGTTATTCCTATTTATTATTTTAGTCACTCTAATAGATATGTACTAATTTCTCATTGTAGTTCTAATAGCCATTTCTCTACTGGTTAATGATGAAGATCTTTTTATGTGCTTATTTTCAAACTGTATATCCTATTTAGTGAAATGTCTGTGCATGTTTTTTGAGTATTTTTAACTGGATTTTTTGAATGTTGAATTTTGAAAGTTCTTTATATATTCTAAATACAAGGTCATTGTCAGATATGCAATTTGTAAATATTTTCTTCCAGTCTGTGATTTTATCTTTATAACAGTCTTTTGCAGAACATTTTTTAAAATATTGATTAAACACAATTTATCAAGTTTTCCTCTATGGATTATGCTTGTGATGTCCAATCTAAGAACTATTTGCCTAGTTTTAGGTAGCAAAGATTTTCTCTGTCCTTTCTAAAAGTTTTATAGTTTTATATTTTAAATTTACAAACTATTTTGAGTAAGGCGTGGGATTCATATAAAGTGTGAGATACAGGTCAAAGTTTATCTTTCCTCTTTTGAATATCTAATTGCTCCATAACCATTTATTAAAAGTGCTACCCCACAGCCAGGCGTGGTGGCTCACGCCTGAAATCCCAGCACTTTGGGAGGCCGAGGCGGGTGGATCACGAGGTCAGGAGATTGAGACCATCCTGGCCAACACGGTGAAACCCCGTCTCTACTAAAAAAAATACAAAAAGTTAGCCAGGCGTGGTGGTGGGTGCTTGTAGTCCCAGCTACTCGGGACGCTGAGGCAGGAGAATGACGTGAACCCGGGGGGCGGAGCTTGCAGTGAGCCGAGATGGCGCCACCGCACTCCAGCCTGGGCGACACAGCGAGACTCCGTCTCAAAAAAAAAAAGAAAAAAAGGGCTACCCCTCATCCACCGAATTAGTTTTGTTCTTCACCAAAAATCTGTTTGGCATAGTTCTGTAGATCTATTTCTGGATTCTTTATTCTGTTCCATTTATCTATGAGTCTATCGTTCTGTTGGGGGTGCACTGTATTGATTACTGCATCTATCGAGTAAGATCTAACATCAGGAAGAGTGATTCTTCCCATTTTATTCTTCCTTTTCAAAATTGTCTTGAATATTCTAGAGTCTTTATCTTTTCACGTACATTTTAGAATTAACTTTAAGTTGTCTGTTTATAAAGAAACATGCTGAGATTTTAATAGCAGTTGCCTTAAACCTGTCTATCAATTTGTTAAGAATTGACACCATTAGTATATTAGTCTTCCAATACATGAACATGATATATCTAATTGTTTAGGTCTTCTTTGATTTCATCATATAGATCCTGTACATGTTTTATTTTCCTTTGAAAAACTGCAAAGACATTGTATTTTTTTTAAAAAAAATCTCTGTTTCAATTTGTTCCTTGATAGTATAAAGAAATTCAATTGACTTTTTTAGGTAACTTTTGGTTCTATGACCTTATTGAACTCATTTATTAATTTTAAAAAGTTGTTTTAATTGCTGTACACCTTGGTGTTTTCTATAATCATGTCATCTACAAACAGAAAGTTTTACTTCTTCCTTTCCAATGTATATGCTTTTTTTTTTCTTGCATTACAGCTGAGACTAGAACTGCCAGTGCTATATTAAATAGCAGTGAGAAAAGCAGACATCCTCATGTTAATTCTGATCTCAGAGATAAATCATTCATTCTTCCACCATAAAGTATGATCGTAGATACAGACTTTATATTGATGTTTTTAATAAAGCTGAGGAAGCTCTCTCTATTCCTAGTATAATGACAATTTTTATCATAAACACGTACTGAATTTTGTCAAATGTCTTTTCTGTGTAAATTGATATGATCCCATAATTTTTTCCTTTAATTTTTTGATACGATGGATTAGATTGATTTTCAAATATTGAACCAGCCTAGTATTCCTGAAATAAATCCCACGTGCTCCATATTTATTTTTTTCTTTTATTTATTTATTTATTTTATTTTATTATTATTATACTTTAAGTTTTAGGGTACATGTGCATAATGTGCAGGTTAGTTACATATGTATACATGTGCCATGCTGGGGAACATATTTATTTTTAAAAGCAAAGAAAGCATATCATTGGTACATAAGACTTTAAAAAATTATTACCTGATATATTTCACAGAGGAAATATTGTGTAGCTTTAATATTAATAGACACTTGCAGTAAAATCAGAATTTATATTTTGTACATATATTTATTTTAAATGAATATAAACAGCTATATCCTTTGCACTAAATTTTTACAGGAATTTTAAAAGAGAATGAAAGGCTCCTTCCATTGCATGTTAGACATGAAAAAAAGATAAAGAATCTTAGGATTCTTCAATGAGATTTGTATATTTTAGTTCTTATGAATTGCTATGGCAACACAACCCTAAAATTAGAGCTGAAATAGATGGGAAAACATTATTTGAAATGAAAATACTTTTACAAACATCATGTATAAGACAAGAAATAATACTGTTGCAGCATAATAAGAAATATATGTTTGGTTTCTGCCCCCAGTTCCTGACACTTAAATCATAAAATCCTTAGAATTTCCTGAATGGTCCAGGTGAGAGAAGTGTCTTTTTTTAATTCATAATAACTCCTTTTTGACCATACCTGAATTTATACTAATCAGGTGACCCTTGGATGCTTGGGACTCATCACTGGAAAGACCAAAGTATGATTAGAGTAGCTGGACATTTTGGTCCCAACCCTGGACCTCTGGGGAGAGGAGAGGGGCTGGAGATTGACTTGATCACCAATGCCAAGTGATTTAATCAATCATAATTAGGAAAGGAAACCTCCACAAAAACCCTAAATAATGGGGTTTGGAGAGTTTTTGGCTTGGTGTACACATGGAGGACCTGGGAGAGTGGTACGTCTGGGTAGATGGGAGCTCCGTGCCCCTGCCCCATACCTTGCCTCTTTCATGTGATTTTTCCTAAGTTGTGCCTTTTGTAATAAACTAGTAAGTAAAGTGTTTCCTTGAGTTCTTTGGGCCATTATAGCAATTTATTGAACTGAAGAAGGGGTTCATGCTAGTCAGAAGTTACAGGTGACAACTTCGGACTTGAGACTGAAATGGGGAAAGTATTATAGAAATGAGCCAATAATGTGTGTGGGATCTGTGTTAACTCCAGGTAGCTACTATTAGAGTGGTACTGAATTGTAGGGCACCCCAGTTGGTGGGTAAAGATAATTTGAGAATTGCTTGGTGTGCAAATAACTTACACATTTGGTTTCTATATGAGTAGAAGTGTTATGTTTGAGTAGAAGAGTAGTTTTTTCTTTAATTGCCTTTTTAAAATCCAAGGTGCTCCAAATCATCGATTTGTAGAAATCATATTGAGAAACGTGTGTGTAGCAAATTACAAAGTATTCTCAATGCTTCTAAGGTACCTTAGCACGTCAACTATCACTATAAATAGCATTTCCTATTAATATCCTAAAACCATACACAAAAATCTATAATTCACATTAACATGATAATTGATAAATAATATAATTGGTATATCTTGCATAAATACATTCATATTAATATCCTAAAATGATACTACTAAAATTGCATTTATGGGAAATAATTCTCCAGAAGCTCTTGCCTTTCTGCATATCTTGTGAGGAGGCACTGACTCTCTTGTTCTGGTCTATTTTTTTCAACGACCTTCTGGTAATGAACGACCCTGGGAGGCAGAGAAAGTTTGTCTCCATGGAGCAAACAAAGGGCAGGGGGATACTTACTGCCCATTATAAATGATTTGTTTTCCTAATTTCAAGCTGCCTCTGCTGTAATGCAATGCACTGGGTGGGCAGGGGTCACTTGGCTCTCTTGATGTTACCCCTGTGGGAATTGGGGCTCAAAAAAACTGTCACAAAAATGGTGGCAGTCTGTCTGTTGCTATTCTGTGAGTAACAAAATTCCCTTTGTGCCGATCCAGGATTCTCGTGACTTCTACCAGCATCCATTAAACTGTGGCAGGAGAACTCGTCACATTGCAAGGAGGGTAAAATCTCAGGCCTTTCATTGTTTTTTACAGACATGTTATTTCCTTAGCCCTACTTTGAGTGAACTAATTAGCAAATAAACTCTTCATTTTGGGAGACAAATGGCACTTTTGAAGTTCCGAGAACACGCTAATTTATAAAATGGCATATCTAGGTCGAAAACCAAATTCATCATTCATTTTTATGTTAATTTATCTCTTTTAAAAAATAATTCATACAAGAGATACTTTTCTTTTAAAACATATGTCAAATCATGTCACTCTCTTCTTCAAAACATGCCAGTGACTTCCTCATCCCACTCAGGGTAACATCGAAAGTGCTACCCACAGCCTACGGGGCTCTTCCAGACCCCATCTCCTGGTACTTCTCGAAATTGTCATGAGCCTTGCTCCCCACTGTCCACCCTGCAACCATCCGGGACTCTTCCTTGCTCTTCTTCAAACACACAACACACACCTTCTTCTGAGGGCCTTTGTGTCTGCTTCCTGTCTGTGAAACGACCTCCCTGTTTATCCTCCTGTGCTATGTTGCTCTAGACCTCTGACCACAGCAGCCAAGAGCCCACAGAACTAGTATTAGAACAGAATTGCTTCCAATGGTAGTAAGCACACCAAATTGTTTTAACACTTTCCTAACATACTTCTGCTCTTATTTATCTAATTTTTTTATCTTGTACATTTTGGTGTAGATCTCTCTTAAAATTTGGCTTTCCTTATAATTCTTATGTTGCTAAGGTATAGAGCAGTAAAAACTGCTGACCTGGGGAATAAGAACACCCACAGTACTTGGCACATAATTGATGACTGGGGCAAATACCTACTGCACCAAATATACCTCTCTTCTTTTTACCAATGTTCTCAGCTAAAAGACTGCACTTCTGCCTCACTGTTACATCCAGATATGGAAACGTAGCTAATTTCTGAGTAGTGATTTATAGCAGAACTTGTAGGTGATGTCCAGGAATGCTACTCAGAGAAGGTTTAGCTACTCTTTCCTTGATATGATTTGGTTGTGTCCCCACCCAAAACTCATCTTGAATTGTAGCTCCCACGATTCCCACATGTCATGGGGGGGACCTGGTCGGAGGTAATTGAATCATGGCATCTGGTCTTTCCTATGCTGTAATCATGATAGTGAGTCTGTCTCATGAGATCTGATGCTTTTATAAAGGGGAGTTCCTCTGCATGTGCTCTCTTGCCTGCTGCCATGTAAGATGTGACTTTGCTCCTCACTCACCTTCCACCATGATTGTGAGTCTTCCCCAGCCATGTGGAGCTGTGAGTCAATTAAACCTCTTTCTTTTATAAAGTACCCAGTCTTGGGTATGTCTTTATTAGCAGTGTGAGAACAGACTAATACATTCCCCCATCGCTCTTTCTTGCTACAGTAAAATCATCTGGGACACAGAATAGTAGAACATGAAAACAAAAAACAATAAAGGTATATGGTATTTAGGTCCCCAGTGTAAGAGTTCTGTCTACTTCTACTAATATATGACATAAAAATATATGACATGCCTACTTCTGCAAATATATGAGATGAAAGAGAAACAAATTTTTGTCCTGCTTCAGCCAGTATTGTTTTGGAGTTTCTGTTTTATGCATCAAAATATAATCTTGAATGAAAAACTACTCAAAGAGATTTGAGTAGGCTAATGTCATAGCCCCATCATTCTCTGTTACCCTATCCTATACCATTTTTATTCTATCATTTATCATCACCTGACAATGATGCCTTTATGATTAATTGTTCACTTGTTTGTTGCCTATTTCTTCTCTCCAAACCCCAACTAGACTACAAGTTGCAGGAGAACAGAAGCTCTTTCTTGATGGCTGGTATATTCTTAGCATCTGCAAACACAAGTACTCAGTAAATGTTAAATATGGTCATTGAATCTTTACAAGTGATCTTGTGCAATGAATATATAAATGAGGACTCTTATTTGGAGGTAAGACCATTACTTCTGCATTAAAAGCACTTACTGGAGATCAGGCTTCACTTTTTCACATTAAGTGAGGCTCAAAGATAAAATTGAGTGACCTGTTGGTAGCAGATCAAAGTCTTACAATCATAAAAGGCTCAAGGGTCCTATTATTCTGCAGACTTTTGGTTGATTCCACAGCTTGAAATCCCTAAAGGACACGCTGATTTCTCAATCTGCATATCAATGAACAGCCTTTCCTTAGCAAAGATGTTATCTTTAAATTACAAATGGAAACTTGACTCCATGTAAAACAGAGATTTGGAAAAGAAAGTATATACAATCTAGGGTAGGCACATGAGAAGTTTTTGACAACTTAGAGATAGTAAAGTGACCAATAATTATTCTTACAGTTGAAATATCTTGCGCATTATGACTACTATCCTCAGCCAACAAAACTCCTGGATGCATGCCATAATATATTTCCTGAGGCTTAGGAAGCGAGTCTAACTATTTTCACCGTACGAGGAGCAAGGGCATAATCAAGACCTAAGTGCACAAGGCCCACCGTGAAATTCCATTTTCCACTAACACTGGAAAATTAGGATGATAACACAGACTTAGATAAATGGGTCATTTGGTAATAGAAGAGAGCCTTAGAACTTTGGTGAATTTTTCACCTTATCAAAACTGGTAGAGTTCAGGGGAAAAAAACAGAACAGAATCTTAGACAAAGGGACTTCAAGTCCATTTGGTAGGATCCACTCAATTTGCATTTAAAAAGATTTAGGTGCAAAGCTATGGAGTGAGTTGCCCAAAGTCAATCTGGTCAAAGAGGAACTAGAACCAGAGCCCATTCCAGAAAGGCTCTTGTCTCTCCAGGGCACCATCCCATGAGCCCCTTTCTACAATTTTAGCAGAGAGTCCCTGACCTGGTTCTTCTATACATCCTGAAGAGCAAAAATTACCACAAAATACTAAGGCTGGCAGCACACTGCCTAGGAAATGGAAAGCCAAGAAGGCTCCATATAAACAACTTGCCCTCGTCACCCATGCTATGCCATTCCCTGCTAGATGTAGCCCATTTCCCCCACTCCCTTTGCATTCCTCGGGATCCTTTCTCTCCCATTTTTCCATTTTGTTAAAGATGGACTCCTGGCTGTCACTTTCAGCCATCAGTCTGTAGTGGGAGAGGGTGTGTGAAAAAATCAGATTTTGCAGTATTAACAAAATTGTAGCATCTAAGGTGATTTTACTTTTCATCTGTAACATAAGCCTTGGAGTCCGGATTTCAGTTTGAGATTGCCATAGAACACAGTCTGGGTATAAAATGAAGTGCAAAGACGTATGTTTGGGAAGAGGTGTGTGTGTCTAGGCGTGTATGTTTATATGTGTGCATGTGTGTGTATGTGTATGTGTGTGTTGGGTGTGTGTGTGTGCATATGTGTGTGTGCATGTATATGTGTGTGTGTGTACCTGTGTCTGTACGTGTTTGTATCTTTGTGCAAGTGTAACACATTTTGTGTCTCAGTCCTGATCCAGAGCAGAGGGATAAATAAAACAGTGACAGGATCAAACCTCATTATGTTCTCTGCCCTACTTGAGTTCAGGAAATGCGCTCTACCATAGTCTTTAGCTTTATTATTTAATGATGAAAGAAAATTTCTCTGACAGGTCTTATCATTGCAGATAATGATTGGCTCTTCTTATAGAGGATAACCATTGAATTGCTAATTTATACATGTTTGCTAACATCCTTCCTTCCCAGCTTTAAAATTCCTAACAGTGAAAGGATCTTTACCTGAAAACAAAGAAAAGTGTTTTTTTGTTTATTTGCTCATTTGTTTTCTATTCTCTTAAGAAATCTTTGCTTGGACTAAGTTTATACCCTACTACATGTCAGGAACTCTAAAGGGTGAGGGTGGGAAACCACAGATAAATAAATCATGCTATCTTCTCAACAAGGAGTCCATTCTGTAGAGAAAACCAACATCAAAAAATAGTTACCACTCTTGTGATAGGCTACAGTAAGACTACATACAGAGTCTTGCATGTGGGTCACATACATATGGGTCAAGGAAGGAAATGATTAATTTTCTAGGTGACTCAGGGAAGGCTTCATGATCTGGACTCTGTGAAATTCGGTAGAATCAGCCAGACAAATTGGAAAGGCCATTCTAGGAGGAAAAGAATCACTGGCACAATAGAGGCAGGTGTGAAATGGGATGCCATGTATTAAAAATGACAAGTGACAAGGAGTTTGGAAAAACAAAAGTGTAGAAAATAAATATTTCGTAGTCTCAGTGTAGGATTGACTTACCAATTGTTCCTACTCTGTCAAAATCTTCTGCGAGCAAGCCTTCTCATGGGAGTGAGAAAATAGGAGCCAGCATTACAAGGAAGGGAGTTAAGTAAACTCGGGGTCAATTCCCTTAAATAAATTAGAGAATAGGCACATTTTTATAACAAAAAGGGCCTACTATTCTCTGACCTAAGTAACATAAACTTGTTTCTTTTTCATATAATAAACTGGGAGTGGGCAAACCAGGCTGGCATGAAGGCTTGGCTCCAGAAAGATATTTTGGAGTCCAGGTTAGTTCCATCTTCTACCATTGACATCGTCCAGTTCCAGAGGTAGAAGGCGAAACTAACTTGGACTTTAAAATTTCATCATTCTCATCTGCATGTTGGAAGGTGGTTCACCATCAAGTCTGAGCTCCAACTTTAAGATGTGGGGAAAGGTGAAACACAAGGCAAGCAATTTCAAGCAAGGTATATGCAAATCTCACAGATCTGCCTGTTCCTCTAAAGTTGGTTGGAAACTGGTCAGGTGGCCACACCTAGGAGCAACAAGGGGCTGATACATGTTCTTGGAGACTAGCATGCAAAACCAGGAAGAAAGGAACATAGGTTTGGGAGAGAAAGCTAGATATCTGCAATACCCCCAAATTATCAAGTCAGTAGAAAACCCCAAAACTAGGTAATCTGTGATCCAGGAAAGGTGTGTTCATAATTCTTTTGAAAAGCGATCTACATATTAACCCTCACTGAATTTATTAGCTCTGTGATTTAAAGAATGATCCTAAGTGTTCTTGCCTCTACTGGGAAGATCTCCTTATTAGCTGATTTGGAAGATCTATTTTTTGTTACATTTTCTCTCCCTCAAGTTTTCTGTGACCTGTATGTTGTAAAGACCACCCCGTTCTTGAAACTCTCCCACCCAAGCCCATAAGCTTCTTAAATGCTGCTTCATCCCGGATCTCTTCAAGTTCCATTTTCACCTCCCTGTGTACGTTCTGGTTCTTCCTCTTCCTTCATCGCTTGAGTGGGCTCCTATCCTTGCCCACCTTCTTAGGCTACCCTTTCATTGGTAGCCTCCATCCTTTCATCATCAAGTAGCAGTTCTAATTTTTCCCTTTAGATGCAAATTTCCAGCTTAAAACCCTTTGAGATTCCATTCATCTAAAAGTATCTCCTGTGGGGTTTCACCAAGACCTGAAATTCTACAGGTCTAAAATTGATTGGTGCTATCTCCTCTTCCCAATTCTTGCCTCCTCGTTTTACTCATTGTGTATCCAATCTCCAGTCACTGGAACTTAACATTTGAATCTCTGATAGTCTCCACTTATTTGCTGTTGTCATTCCGTTTGTTGACATGTTCTTCCACCTTTTCTTTACAAATAAGTCCTAAATCCATCAACTTTTATTTTTTTCTGGTTGTTTCTACCCTAGCACAGTACCCTGTTCTCTCCCTCATGGACAATTTTTCTAAGTGGTTTGACATTAGTCTTGCCGTGTTGAAATAAATTTACTCATTTTGGACTAGTCCTTTTGATGTGTGTCAAATTTCAATTCATTCAACATTCTAATAGAGTAATTTTTCATCCTTTCTTGTGATGTTTTCATTGGCCTAGGATGCTTTCCTCTCTTATACTTACTTGAATGGAACAAATGTTTTGAATTCTGTCTCAAAACTTCTTTTATATCCTCTACCACAACAACCTCAGCCCAGGCAATCATTCTGGCATTTAATTCATACTCATTATATATTGCCTTGATGCTTTCCATAAATGAAAATCTTATATATTACCTATCAACTAGATTGTTGTATCATTGTGATATGAATCTTATTTATTTTTACCTGTGTTCCATAGTACATATTAAAATGAGTTATCTTTAATATAAAAATAATAAATACTGCTAATCTTCTAAGTAGCATCTGAATTTTGGAAGACGGAACCACTCGTATGAATATGTAGAACTATACTGTGTGTTGAAAATCACAGATTCTTAACTGATTTGTATTTCATTTCTTAAGTATGCTGCTATGTTTGTACCCTTTAGAGCCCCAAGCCAAAGATTATTCTTATTGTGGATTTTGCACTTCTCCCATCTTCCATGTATAAGCCATCAGCAAGTCCATTTATTTCTACCATATTCCTTCTCAATTACTGTCACTCTGCTCCAAGCCATCATTGTACTTTGCCTGAATTACTACAAACCCTAAGTTTTCTCCATGCTTTCATGCTAACATTCCATAATCACCTCTCTATTTCAATATTCAGTTTTTTTGAGACAGAGTCTCACTTTGTTGCCCAGGCTGGAGTGCAGTGGCACAATCTCAGCTCACTGCAACCTCCACCTCTTGTGTTCAAGTGATTCTCCTGCCTCAGCCTCTGGAGTGGCTGGGATTACAGGCACACGCCACCACGCCCAGCTCATTTTGTGTGTTTAGTAGAAACAGGGTTTTACCATGTTGGCAAGACCGGTCTTGAACTCCTGACCACAGATGATCCGCCTGCCTAGGCCTCCCAAAGTGCTGGGATTACAGGCATAAGCCACTGCACTTGGCCATAATATTCATTTTCATAATCAATATCCATTCAGGTCTTCCTGAGGGCACTGTGCCCCCTCCTTATGTGGTCACTGGAGACAGAGCAAAGAGAAAAGCAAAGTCTCTGTTGTGAGAATCCAGGCCACCCTCTCCCCTTGGCCACATGGCCCCTTGTGTCTCTTTCCTGCCTTCCTTTCACCTCACAGTCTGATGCCTTTCTTTTCTTTTCTTTTTAACCTTAAATATGTCCAATTTTTATTTGACAATTAAGCTATTTTTCTTTTTTTTTTTAGCTGATTTCATATTTTTTTTTTATTATACTTTAAGTTTTAGGGTACATGTGCACAATGTGCAGGTTAGTTACATATGTATACATGTGCCATGCTGGTGTGCTGCACCCACTAACTCGTCATCTAGCATTAGGTATATCTCCCAATACTATCCCTTCCCCCTCCCCCACCTTTTAAACTGTTGGTGGGACTGTAAACTAGTTCAACCATTGTGGAAGTCAGTGTGGCGATTCCTCAGGGATCTAGAACTAGAAATACCATTTGACCCAGCCATCCCATTACTGGGTATATACCCAAAGGACTATAAATCATGCTGCTATAAAGACACATGCACACGTATGTTTATTGCGGCATTATTCACAATAGCAAAGACTTGGAACCAACCCAAATGTCCAATAATGATAGACTGGATTAAGAAAATGTGGCACATATACACCATGGAATACTATGCAGCCATAAAAAATGATGAGTTCATGTCCTTTGTAGGGACATAGATGAAATTGGAAATCATCATTCTCAGCAAACTATCACAAGAACAAAAAACCAAACACCGCATATTCTCACTCATAGGTGGGAATTGAACAATGAGAACACATGGACACAGGAAGGGGAACGTCACACTCTGGGGCCTTTCTTTTCAAACACCAAACTCCATTAATGTCTTCCTTTTTCTCCATAATACTTTTACCTATTTCCCACCCCAGGGCTTTAGCATCTGCCTTTTTCATGCCTGGAAAGCTCTGCCTGAATTGTGTGCAGGGCCCTATCCTCTTCATCATTCATGTGTCAAGCCCAATGGCACCTCTCCCACAGGTCTGCTCCAGCTGACGGTTCAAAAGTAGCACTTCCCACCCCACATGCATGACATCAGCACCCACTTTAATTTTCTTCATTGTCCTCTTTACTCTCTCATATTATTTTCGGTATGTCAGATTTTTGACTCTTTCCTTAAGACTCTCAGTTTTATGAAAGAAAGAATGTTTTCTTGCTTGTGGCTTTATTTCTTGGGCCTGGCACAGCAAATAATGGATCAAATTAATCATATATTCTTTCAAGTTTTGAGGAAAAAGCTTAAAACTTTGGAGAATCATGTTTAATGCACAGATTGTTTTCCTCTTCCTGAATTATAACTAAACATTTTAACAACAGTGGAAAAGACAGCCAGGTTTTGACCAGCAAGGACTACAGACTTGGTGATGATTCAAGAGTCAAAGAGAAAGAGCCAAGGAACAAAAAGAAAGAAAGAGTCACCTTAACAATGGGAGAAACACTGCCCTTGTCGGTGCCAGTCTGAACAGGAGCCAAGAAAGGCTTTAAATGAGTTGGAGACCAGAGAAAAATAGTCAAAATACGGTAAACCCAGATAAGAGCAACGTAAAAGGCTCTGGCTGTGAAAACTAAGACTAGGAAATGATTTTTTCAAGAAAAAATTTAAAAATAGAGTTACGTCTCCTGTTTTGTTCACGTTGTTTGTTCCTCGGACGCATTTTGATTCAGCTAAGGCAAGCTGACCACTGTTTCAAGACGGTATTTGTCAAAGGCTGGGCAACTGCTGTGTCATTGTCTCTTCTTGGTATTATGCAAATGTGACCATGTGATATGTTTTTGTGTAAACAAAAAAGTAACACCATTAAGGACCAGAACAGGGGGAACAGAATCAACAAAGGAAAGCTCTGTAACTTAGTGCACTATCATTCCGTATCTGATTCATACCTTTGAGCTTCCTACTTAGCATTTGTCTTAATTATTATATATGTCTTGAAAGCATAATATAGTGTTTATCTGTTCTGTCTAGAGGAAAGCAATCACAGCATATCAAATAAACTTCCAAAATCAATGGTCTTGCTAATTTAATTAAAAACTGACACATAAAACCTTGTGTACTACAAGAAAATTGTGTAAAGAGAGAAGGATCCAAATTATGAAGAAGGAAACATCAATCTAGTTCTGGTTGGAACTAAGTTTTAATAAAACAAAATGAGTGTATATTCCAATACATGTCTGGATAATGGATATATCCTTGCAAGCAGGTCCTTGAGCCCTGTACAGCTCATAAGCAAATGGCATCTATTACAACTAGCAAATTGCATCTATTTTTCTTCATAAGCAAATTGTATCTATTTTTCTATTCTGACACCATATCAGACCCTCATCAATTCACATACAGTTCATTAAAATAGTCTCCCATTTTTGGTGACTGTTCTCACCTATCGTCTTACACAAATCCATAATAATAATTGTTCTAGTTCCTCGCAATTTCAGCCTATGGTGATCATTCCCACAAAAGATGCCTTTGGACATTTACTTTTCATGTGACTCATTTACTCCAGAATTATAGGCTTGCTTCTAGGAATTCTGTGTTTCATTCTACATTCTTGTTGAACTCTCCAGTGCTGTAGGTTGCTTAGCCAAAATCTCTGGATATGAAACACATTATCTACACTATATATAAAATTTCAAAAATAATGAGAAAGATAATTTTGTTGACTCATGGTGCCTAAATTACCATAAATGACATAAATCCTTTAAAATAGATTCATTTTTCAAAGTCCTTAATGACTCCGAAGTAGACATTAAGAAAGGCATAGGGCAGAAGCCTGGATAAGGCATGGGCCCTGCTTTGTCCATAATATAACACTACTGTGTGAAGAAACACACAAATACCACAGAGGGTAACAAACATGACAGTGACGCCAGAAATACACGTGTTACAGAAGTGCCACTGCATTGTCAGAGAAGCAGGAAGGGATTCACAGGCAGATAACACTTGCATCTAGTCCCAAAGGCTGAGAACATTCCAGTTCCAAAAGATAACCCTTGCAAACTATCCAGGAGCAAGAGAAAATCAGGAAATGTCAAAAATCAAGCACGGTGCAGTGCCAGTTGAATTTGGGGCAGGAGGCATGACTGGCTATGGGGTCAGAATTTAAAGAAGATTGTTTCAACTTCAACCTATGGTTACAAATTGTTTCTTTTCTTAAAATTTAATGTAAGGAAAGATTCAAAGTAATTTTGAAAATATATACATGAAATATTTCTTGTACTTTTAAGCAAATGTGCATACTTAAAATGTGGAGTTCATATTTAAGATCAAAGAATTCTAAGAATAATACGTTCATTATGACTCCCTTAAATAAAAAGAAAATCCTGTATAATTCAGTTTGAAACTTTCATGTGTAATCAATGTGTAGCCTAAAATGAGTCTACGCGTGCACATCCACACACTGCTCCATACACTGCTTTCTCACCTGGGTTTTGCTGTTGAGAAATCCAAAGCCATTCTGACCTCTGATTCCTGGTATATCACCTTTTCCCCCCTCTCTGGAAGCTTTTGGAATCATCCTTTCATCATTTATGGCTTGAAATATCTCAGCAATGCATATAGGAGTAGGACTAGTTTCATCATTTACAGGAACACTTCTTGAAAGATTTCATTACAATTTCCTCCCTCTTTTCTCTGTCTCTTTTAGAGAGTCAGAAGGAAATAAAGATTCTGAATTTGATAGATAAGACATATAGACATATAACATTATGCTATTTATGAAACATAATGTTATATAAATATATAATTTATAAATTTTAAGATTTACAATGCATATGTATTTTTGCAAGAATGAGTTTAATGATACGCTTCTCCACTTCAGGGTCTAAATAAATGTTCAAATAATGTTATCAACATTTTTACATTGTCAAACAAGTTAAATTTTTATTCTAAGATATTTTTGTTCAGATCACTTTTAAGTTATGAAATATGATTTGGTAAAAGAGGCATGACCTCTGCTTTCATATTTTAAATATTTTTATGTCTTTTGGATGTGTGGCCAATGATATAATGTAGCAGGAGTGATCCATCAGAACAAGACTATTACAATGGCTATTGTGATTTTAAGACCAGTTTCAAGATGTGAACTTTTAGAAATAAACAAATTGTTTGAGCTCTCAGTGTAACTGATATTAAAAATACACTGTGAGCACATATGACTATCAGCATTCTCTTACCTAAAGAGAGCCAGGATTCTTTACCTGGCATCAGTAAATACACATTTTTGGAAGTACTTAACCTCCAAGGACTATTACAAAGAGTGTGTTTATAAGTTTGAAAGGGGTACAAATTTTCAAAGCAATATGTGTCTCCAAGAGTTACTGTCTAGCAAAATACCCTGTAACCTTTCTTTCCCCTGCTACAGAATGCAGCTTTTTCCCTGGCCCTGTTTCTCTCTTTTCCTCATTAACTTTCTTCTTTGGCTCCCAGGTAAAGAGAGAGGTTTTCTACACCCCTATTCTAAGGACAAAAAAATCATCTTAAATACCCTTTATCTTTCATAAGGGAGTATATAGCAATGAGGCATAATTGCCATCCAGGACTTTAGGTGAAATTTTGAAGGATATCTGGTACCTGAACATATAGAATCTATACTTTAAATTTATGGAAAATCGTTTAAAAATGTGCTATGACCTAGGGACTCTCAATAAATAGTCTCTCTATCCTGTGAAATATGCATTTTCTGAAATGAATGAACATAGGGAAAAGGAAATTGGTCAAATAATCATCTGTGAATATAAGATTAATACGTACCTGATACACATGAAAATTAGACATATATCACAGTTATTTAAGAGATTTAACAGAAACTGTGATTTGGAAAGTTGGATAGTCTAAAGCTATCACTAATAAGCAAGGTCCTTCCAGGGTGAAATAATTGAAAGTATTTTAATGCATGCCTGTTTAAGAATATGAGTTTTCTTCTAAATTTTAGACTTGAAAAACCCTTATTTTTCTGTATTCATTCATCAATTTACACCTGCAGTTTAACATCATAAATCAAACCTAAAGGAAGCAGTGATTAATATGTTAAAGATGGACAACAGTTAGAAGAGGCTTTTAAATGATTGCTTCTTATGGGAATGTCAAGTATCAGATTATTCTCATCCCTTATTACTGTATGAAATGATGTTAAAATACACTGTAATGTTGACTAAACTGCCCTCATACTTTTTATTACTCGTATTTTTCACTTGTGATATATGGAGCAGTTCACTTCTAACAGCAAGTAGATCTCACTATCATTTCCGTAGCCACTCACTTGGGAGGTCCCTGTGCCATGCCTCACTCCACGTGAAGCCCACAGGCTGGGTGGCCATATCTGCTCACACTTTCCTCCCAACACAGTCCTTCAGATTATTTTGCAGCCTGCTTCTTTCACTGCCTGGTATTGCCATTATTATTATCATCATCATCATCACTGTTACCATCACTACTTCTTCCTATTAGGCTACTACTTCTTAATTACCTATTACATGCTATAAATGCTGCCTTCTAAAAGGCACAGAAAGATAAAGTAATCGGCAGTAGACACACAGATAAAATGTGACATAACTGCAATTCTAATATATTCTGACTTTATAGTAGAAACTTGCCTACCATATTAAGATATCAATCTCCTTTGAACGAAAGAGATATGTTTTATCTATCTTTTAATCCAACCCGGTCATTTTTTTCCAAAATATACTCCTAATAATCAGTTGTTTAAATAAATCAAATAAAGAATATCTTTTCTTCTTTTACCTGAAAATAGATACAGATAAATTTGAGAAATTACTAGATCACACTTTTAACCAACCAAACAAACCAAATCAAGGCTAGCATGGCAAATGCGAGTAAAGAAAAAAAATACTCGGTAAACCCAAGTGCTTTCTCAGGAAAAAAAATAGAATAGAAAAAAAAAATCCAACGTATCTGGGAAGAAATATGAGGTTTCACCCTTAGTCAAGGCCAATAATTTTGTTTTAAGGAACCAACAAATTACTGTCAGTTTTCTGAAGGTTTCATAGAGGCAAAGGAGAAAGCTTCTGTGTTTTTCTTTTCTTAAGGAAAAAATATGAAATATTGGACAAAATTCCAATGATGATGTTTTAGCCCAGCTTTGATTCATTTCAACAGCACCTTCTGGATGGCGGCTCCACTATGGGAAATTACCAGCCATTTATCATCACCTACTTCCTGCTTGCTGGGGCCTCATAACCCAGCTGACAGCCTCTGCCATCTGTTCTTGGATAATAGTCAAGGACAATAAATACCTCAGAACAACAAAACATCACTCTTTGTGTTTATTTTTTCGGCCATTACCACATACCAATTTCATAAACACACTCTATGGTATTTCATTAACTTAATCACTCATTTCACAAAATCCTTTCTATTGAGGAAAAATATCAATTCTCTGAAATATCAAGCAAAGCATGTATTTAATTACTTTTGACCATATGTTTAGCACTGGAACATTTGCTTATGATAGAGGTAGGATTCAAAATTAGTATTCTGCACCATCTAATGTGAAAAGTTGAGATCTGGAAGAATGCCTGTCACCTCAGCAGGTGACAAAAATGGAGATAAGCAATGGCATTGATTTTACTTATATTGAATATAGAAGGCTATGTGTGAAAGAGAAAAATGGAAAGAAAGGGAATTCATGGCCCAGGTACCTCATAGAATTGTGGCACCCTTGGAAAAGTGCTATCTATAGGGAAAGCTGGTTTGAATCTGCAGCTTCATCACATACTACTACTGAATCTTAATCCCACTTTTCTCATTTACAAAGTGGGGCAATACCATCTTACCAACTTCACAGGATGGTTAGTAAAAGACGAAAACACTGTAAAATGCAGTCTTATACCCCTTTACTAATAAAGATCCTGGCAGTCAATGCAGCTTGAAGACATATGAGTCTACAGTTTGCATGTGACGGCCCTGTGATTCACTGGGACTCCAAACAGTAAATTCAACAGCTTCAGCATGCTTTTAGAATACCATTCTGTTATGAGTCCATTTCAAATTTTTTAAAGGCTATTTAAATAAATCATTGTATTTATCTATTTATGGGAAGTAGGTTACTCAACTTGTATTTTAGGAATATATTTTCAAAAAGTAATCACTCAGAGATCTCTTGCCTACATTTAAAGCTCCCCTATGGAGATTTTTTTTTTTTTTGCTAGGAATGAGTCTACAAAATGCAGGAGAGCAAACCAAATAGACAAATGTAAGGAATATTGTCTAAGGGACTACCAGATCTCCAAAATGCCACTACTTTTTGTATCCTACTATTCTCAACATTCTGTGTCAGTTACCTGTGGGCTCTAAGATTCACGTACAGAGAAGAAAAAATGGATGAGCATTAAAGACAAAAAATGAAGATGTCATAGTAGAAGGAGAAATAGTAAGTTATAAGGAATAGATTAGAAATAGATTTACCATGATTAATCTATTATGCTAGCAAACTTATATAGAGCCATGCATTAGTAGATTGATTAGATAAATCTTATGAATCTCTTTATTTGAAAACCAAAAGTATTACATTGCCACTCAGTTTTGGACCTTTACTCACGAGTATCTGATTCTTGCTCCTGGTTCTGAATGATACTTCTACTTAGAACTGTGCCTCAGATGTCACACAGCTCCCAGATAAATGAGGGTAATCAAAGTTCTTGAACATCAGTGTTTCTGATGTTCAAGATAGTAGGTGTAGGACAGTCAGGAAGGGAACACAGACCTCTCACAAGGCTTATAAGAGTTTCTACATATGAACTGCAGAGATTGAGGTGCTTTCCCCAACCACACGTGGGTTCCTTAAAGACAAAGACCTAAAAAATGAGGCACTGCCAAAATCATAAACAGTCTCTTCGGAAGATCAGTTTATCAGTGTACAAATACACTTACTGCTAAACTATATCTTTCAGGGTATTCTTTCCCTATTTCAATTGTGACTTGATTTTTAACCTGTTTCTCTGTAATGAAAATACAATTCCAAATATAAATGTCATTTTAGGAATAATAATTGTGGACAAAATCACAATCCAATTTGTTATAGCTGGGCAGAGGGAGAATAAAAGGAAAAGCAAGAGTAAGAATGGATAAAAACGCACTCTTATAAGTGAGTCTGAGAAAGTGCTGTGTTTGCATTTGATATGAGGAAAAAGGGATTACCAGGTGATTTTAAAAAAAGTCAATAACATGGGCAGTCTGAGATGCAGCATTCTTCACAACTTTGTCCAGAGACGAACAATGAGAGGCATGTGATCTGAATCAACACTTGACTAACTTATTATTTTTTTATTAGATTAATTGTTGTCCATAATTTTGTTTTCAACTGGGCTAGAGGTGAGCAAAACTGAACAGGTGCACAGCTCTCTCACATGGATGCATCCCTGCTAGACTGTAAACCACACATGGAGATGGAGTGTCTAACTCCTCTCTTCTGTATCTCCAGGACCTAGCACAATAAAATGTACTGAACAAATGTGTGCATGGAAGAATGAACGACTGGCCAGCTTATGAATATTCTCTTGCTTACTTTACCAAGAGACTTTATTCCCAGAGTGCTATTTAATGAACCCACCATTGTCCATCTATGAAGGACTGTTCTCACAATTCTCGCATCAAGTGGGCACATTCCTAAACATCTTTCTCTACTCTTTCATGGTGACACCATCCAAGAGCTTCCAAAAGTGGACTGTCCATGGGAGGCCCCTGTTGCCATACACACATTTCAGCTGAGAATGAAAGAACAAAGAGCCTTAACAGAAATTAGTTTATCAAATAAGTTAGTGACCCAAACTGCTTTAGGCAATGTTGAGTCCCTGTCTTGATGCCATGTGATGTAGAATTGAACATGGGTATGTTGGAGAGTCTGGAAAGACTAAGCTGAGAAATGAGACTGTGACAACTTGGATATCTAGAGGCCCTAAAGGGAGCCCTGGGAAACCAGAATGACCTAAGCATGCCTGGGAATAACACAGAGACCCCAAATAATTGGGTACAGAAAAAGCACCTGCAATTATGAGGGTTTGGGCATACGTGAAAGACAGAATGAAGTCATCAAAGAGCCACACTGGGCATTTCATTGTTTTGATGAAGGCTGTTTGGTGCCTGTAAATCTGCTGTCTGTGAGTGTAAAAGGAAACATGGAGTAAGTAAACTTTACTTGTGTATTTTTTGACATGTAGTCTTTTAAATCCACATCTGCATAATTTTGACTGTGCAGAAAAATATCCTTTTAATTTTTATTTTTTCTAAATAGGGCATATTTGGCATCACGTCAGTGGCATTCTGCATAGGTACAAAACTGAATCAATCATGTTTTCAGTGAATAAATGCGGGGGAAAAAAGAAAGCCGAATCCTTAAGCATCAAGAGCATGTAAACCTCGGTAAATGGCAACGCCACAATTTGTGTCATTTTAAGAAATAGTTTAAGCATTTGAAAATGCTGAAATGATCAACTTTGTCAAAGGTTAAGACACATTTCTGCCCAAAATAATTTAATTGCAATCCATTTTAATTGAAAGTTAGCCTAAAATATTCAGGACAGGGGAGAGCAAACACATTACTGCCAAGATATTTCAGACCAGAATTTTTGTTTATGGTTTTCCTTATTTTTGAGGAGTAGCGTATACAATGAATTCTCAAGAAGTCAAGAATGAAATACCAATTTACGAATTATCCAAATTATTGTTTATCTTGTGTCCTTTCTTCTGCTTTTTAACATTTTTTATGAATACTGGCTCACTCGGAGTTTTTAGAAAAATCAAGAAGATAAATCTGAATGTACTACTTTCATCACCGTTAAAATCTTGGATGTTCTTCGGGGTCACGAGTGAAGCCAAAAGCAAATTCCAAGTGTCTAAATTTTGGTAGCTTTTTACCAAATGGCAATGGCAATCTTTCTACTAGGATAAATTTGTGTATAAAAATAATTGCTGAAACACCAAGATTTTACAAGTGCATTGAATCAACAGCAAATTCAGTTAAGTTTTGGGAAGGTTTAAAACTTCATTTTAGGAATTCTTGATATATTCAAACAGTTATCTGTGACTTGAGGGTAAATGATCTATCCAGGGTATTTTTTTCCCTGTGCATTAAAGAATAGCTGGTATTTGCAATTAAATATTAATTTTATTAGATCACACCTGTTTAGTTTTCATAAAAGTTAACATAAATTTATCTGAATTATGAGTAATTAGATGGCAATTGTGATACAAAACATGAAATTAGAATATTTCCAAAATACATGTATAATTGAATATTGATTAAAGTGGTAAGTTATCTAGTAAACTTGTATCTTCTTTCTTTGCCTGACTTTTGGAATTTCCCTTGAGGCAGGGCTTATATGATATGATGGGACTTGAAATATTTGCTAATAACATATCAGGCAGGATAACCAAACAGATTGCACAGCTAGTCAGCTGACATCTCAGATGAAAGATGGTACTGGTAGCTACTAGGCACTTCCACCACTTCTATTACGAATAGATTACTATTTCTTGCTTTTTTACTTGAATGGAATTAAATTTTCTTTGTGTACTTGTTCTTGGTTGGCAGGAGAGACACTAGACATACAGAAAGACTGTAATTATAATAGTCATGAGTACTATTTTTGACAAATATCCTTATAGTGAAAAGTACCACCATCATAAAGTTAGAAAATGTTTAATCTTTATTTAGCACATAAAGATAAATGAAATGATAAAAAATTTCAAATGAGTAGTAAGAAATCCATGAAAATTATAATATTCAACATCTGACTTGCAAAATATTAATTTTATTTCTATAAGTTGTTTTTATAGGAAACAGAAATGAGTTCATTAACTTCTAAATTTCAAAGCATTTTAGAGTCACTTAGAAGAAAATGCAATTTACGACCTTCAGGATGATTATTGTATTGTGAGATATTGTATTGCCTTAAGTATCATGTGCTCAACAAGTTTGTCCATTGGTGGAAAGAAAATAGTTTGAATTTTAGACTGTTAAATATATAATAAACCATCTCCATTTCTATTAGTAAGAAAAACCAAAAAGTCTTCCTAGCTCGCACTGTACAGTATAATAATGTTTTGTATATTTGGTGACATCAAGAAAGATTTAGAACAGAGAAGAGTTTGCTATTTAAAATGGAGTTATTCTCGGAGGTTAGAAACAAGTCTCATCCTTTTCTAACTCCTTTCTTTGTCCATTTATACATCTATCATGTGTGAATTTCTCTAAGCTGACTTCTGTTGGAGTAAGTGGGTATCAGTTTACATTGCCTTATGAGGAAGACGTTGAGCCTGTGTGTCATGTCGCAGTGGTAACTGAGAAGAGGCCAAGCACCTTTCTCATGTACAGTTTTGATGACTCTCCTGCTCAATCATCATCCCCCACCCTCCACACTTCCTTCTGAGATATGCCTTTGTCTTACAGACACCTGAAATCCCCCTACATTAGCTGTAGTTGATGGATTAAACATAGAAGTCATAGGATAGGTAGGATTGTTTGTAAGCATTCTATTAGAAACTCTAGCACAGAGTTTATAAAGACTGTTATAAAACTTACTGATAGAAATAACATGTAAATGTAAAACTGAGAAACAGTAAAGAGAAAAGAGACCAACCAGTGATCCAAATGCCTAATGGAAGTAATAAAGATGAGAGTAACAATAGAATTCCCATTAAGATAACTCAATAGTTTCGTGATGCCAAGTAATAAAAAGAAACAGTCAAATGAGCATAAAATGGAAATGAGTATAAGATCGAGTATGGATGGAAATATTCCAGAGACCTCTTCCCTCCCGCAGCTTTAGTAAATGCAGTGACATATGAGTAACAGTCTTCATTTGAGTGACCAAGTTTAATACGTATTCTGCACATAATAGGCTTCCATCATTCAGCATTGAGACTTCTTCAGAGACTGACTGAAAGATTTCAGTACATCCAAACCTATCTTTTAGATAAAATGTCAGTATGCAAATGTAAAATTTGATTAGAAGATTTTTACTTACTTTATTATACACATCAATTAAATGCCAGATGCAACATAAGGAGTAATTCAGAGTCATTTTCTTTAATTTTTATTATGGGGTTGACTTTGCCTCCAACTGAGTGAAATGTAACTGGATTTAGGTCTGTTTGATTGTACAGCCCTTCCCACTACTTTCATAAAAAGAAGAAAGCCATTTAAATTTTCTTCACTCACTTGGAGTTTTAGAATTGCTTCATGCTGAAAGAAACAAAGTATGAAAGAAAACTTTGTGAATGATTCTCAGTATTTGCTTTTCAAACGCGAAGATATATTTAACTCAATTAAAATATTTGGTAAAATAATTTCTAAAAATTAAACATTGTCTGAACATTTTCCCTCAACAGTCAACATAGACAAAGAAGGACTCTTATTTCTAATAATACTGAAGATGGATGGAGACCGTATGATCCTTGGGACAACCAAGTAAATAATTGACAGTGTTTGACCTCCGATTTCAAATATTTACCTAACCACGTGCAAAAATTTTACTCAGATGACACTTTCTAATGATTTTACTCAGTGTTCCTTAGAAATCTGCTATACTATCATCTCATTTTTATCTGGCAAAGAAAATGTATGTGTGTGTACATGTGTAAATAATTTTTTAAATGCCAAGTAAAAGTATATTCAGTATTTTTAAGCTTTGAATCTGTATGTAGCTAAAAATATTCTTAATGACTTGTTAGACTCTCTCAAATAAATAATTTAAATTACTTTTAATCTACCTCAAAATGTGATATTTGCTATGATGACTAGGAAAGAAAAGATGGAATACTGGCAAAACTAGTTAAACTTCAAATATTTAGAAAATCTCATTAATCTGTGGAAAACTTAATTCACTGATCAATTAAACATTGCATAGATCTGTAGCTTATTCTAGCAAGAGGAAGAATTCATTTAAAAAATACCTTAAAATATTATTCCAACTATTTTTATTATATAAGAGAGTTTTATTAAAAGTATGGTTTGTCCTTTGACATTATTTACACCATTGCTATGAAAAAACATTACTTAGTTCTAAGAAGAAGGGAAGTACTGGCATAAAACTGGCATGTCATAAAAAATTAATAAATTCTACTAGCAGAATAAAAAATAGATAACTTTATTTCATGGCAAAATAACAGAATGCCTTGATTCAGCTTAACCTAGGCTCATCTTGATGTATATGAAATTGAAACTCTATAGAAAACATTTACTCATTTTTTGGTTGTTATCATCAACTTCTAAAATTCAGTAATTATCAAGGTCCAAACAGATCATTCATACATTTTAGAAAAACCTTCTTTGCATGACTTTTAACAGCATTTGTAGTTACCGATAAATTCTTAAAAATAAAGATACATAAAAATGAAATCCTCTCTGGATGCAAATCATCTGTTCTTTCTGGCATCTATACACATTCTTTATTTCTTTTTCCTCAATTCAAAAGTTTTCAATGTTTTAGCATTTGGGTAGCAGTCTAAAGAAATATAAGCAAGCATAAATCTTTTATAGATATATAAAAATATTTTTAGTTAACGCTGTTGATCTCTTTAGCAAAGGTCATCTTTTAATATATTTACTCTAACTGCATTAGAGGGTAATTTTTAGAATTAAGGTGGTCCTGCATCTCCTTGACGAAGTACATATTGTGTTCATTTTTAAATTAATTAAGCAATAGATTTCAAATAAACACTTTCAATACACTTAGGACCATAAATTTAATCTAGGAATTTAAACCTTAAGAACATTTAATGCTGTACATTATTCTAAAACATCTTATTTTATGCATATAAGTCAACTTCTAAGACTAGAATTATTTACCTGATGAAAATGATATTAATATTTTAATCAAATATTTATCCATGGTTTTATTATTTAATTTTTATGGCTACTTTTTAACCCTAGAATTTTATTATAATTCTTGAGAAAGAGTATGCATTGACAAATGTTGACTGAATTAAATTTTACATGGTACTAGGTCATTATCCTCTAGTCACCATAATTTCCCAGAAGAAATAAGCAAGTTTTTAATAAATTCAATTAGCAGATTATACCCCTAAATGAACAGTGATAAACACACAGGACTTTAAAACTGCTGAGAGACCTAAGTCTATCTCCCCAAATTTTGTCTTTCACACCATTCAATAAATTCCAACACTGAGATCCTAGGAGTCAAACGATGTGTTTGGGGCACATACATCATTTGCTTGACATCACACAGCTCATGATACCATGAATCCTCGAGTAATAATAAAACAACCGTTTAATGCTATCACTGCATATCTAGAAAAATATCAATTATGATCAATGACCAACTCAGGACTGCTTCTGGAATGTTTTCAACAGGAAAAAAAAAAAAACAGAAACGGAAACTTGTATTTGTTTAGAGATTGTCTTGGATCAGGTGCCATAGAAGGTCTTTTCAAATATATTTAATCTTCCTAACAATATTTAGGGGAGTCCATGGCAGGAAGTAGAAACTGTAGAATACCGAGCTTTAGGCCCACAGATAACATGACAAATTTACAGCTAAATAAAACCTCCTTTATCAAAAGCATGACATTATGTCAACCTTCTAGATAACGATCCATTCATTCATCTCCTTTTCTTCAAATCCAAATCCCTCAAAACTGACACTCTAACAAGCCCTTCTGTCCACTCTTCAATTCATGGAAATTGAGCAGAAAGTGGGCTGTAGTCTACATAATCTCCAAATCCCAAGTCTGCGTTGTCATCCGTAGCTTCCAGCATGACAGCAATAGTGCAAAATTTTACTACATCAATTCCCCTATTAACACTCTCTCCTTTACCTTATTATGTGAAAATTAGGCACTCAACAAAGATGAATTGATTTATGAATAACACATAAATAAATGCTTTACATCAATTTGAACAGTGAACTATGTAGTCAATTAGTTTGCACAATCAATATTACCAATCTCTCCCTGTGTCTCTCCTTCCCTCTTATCTTCTCTCTTTTGTCTCTTTCCCCCAATCCCCTGTGTCCCTGTGTGCAGGTTCGCATGCCTGTATGTATTTTTTCTGCTAAAGTAATCAGTGTGGCATATTATCAAGGCATTGTACATTTACTGTCCTTCAAAGAAACCTAAAACAAATACTCCACCCAATAGTGTTTATGAAAACAGGAAACGATAAAAATAGTGATGGCCAAAACAATTTTATATATTCATATAAGTTTGTGTTTAAAGCATAAAACCTCTTACAATAGTATTTGAGTGACCCAAAATCAACTGTGACAATTTTCTTTATTAGTGAGAAAACTAAAGTAAATTAATATTGTTTTTCCTTTTAGAAGGATATGTTGAAATGGTGCTGTCACACTGACAACTCTGTTAAGCCCAGCATTCACAATGTACCCTTGTAACAAATCTATACACGTATATCTGAATCAAAAATTAAAAATTAAAAAAATAGAAAAGGAAAAAAGAAAATTTTGGCAAAATATTTGTGTCCACTGAGTTGCCTGTACACTTTCAGATCCATAGTTTATCTTTTATGATTATATAATTTCAAATTTTAAATATCCCAATAATTAATTTAGCATGTTATTATTTTAGCATGCATACAGATACACACATAGTTAGAAAGCGTTCAAGGAACATGAACAGACAAGACAGCGACCACGGTCCCAGAGAGGTTTAATATCAGAGTAAGGGAAAACAGAAATCTTTCAGTCTCTTTAAATCAACACTTTCAACCTAGTCATTTGGAAATTGTCAAACCATCCATAATCATGGAAAAGTTTATCTTCTAATTAATTGGAGTCTATCTAATCTACCATATAATGAGAACATTATTCTAATCATAAGAAACACAATTCTTTTACAAAACAATTTAAATAATAAGAATGGGTTCAGGGCATCTCTTCTCTTGTCCATAAATTTTAGTATATTAAAATTGTTAAAAGAGAGTATCTCATATGTTCTACTGATGGCACTAGAAACACAGTGGTATAGAATGCTGAGGAACATTTTTCTAATATTGCCTGGAAGCTTATGCTTTTCATGGCCCACCATCTACACATGCTTCATTTCATAACAAGCCAAACTAGTACTAAATAATTGCAGTTGCATAGCTGATTTCATTTTTATATAAGCAAGAATGGGCTTATTTCTAATGCATACTTTCTAATTGCTATATTTTCCAGATAATTGCTTTTTAAGAAGATAAATGCAAAGATTTTATAAACATGCCCTGCCTAATATAGCTGTCACATGCATCATCTGTGACCATGAGTGATGGAAAAGTGAAAACTCAGAACAATTCCAAATAACTGCAAAATCAAGGCTCAAGTAATGCAGCCTATTTTAACAGAAAGAGTTCAAGCGTCCTGCTCAATAGATGATCATGTGATCTCTCTAACACCATTTTCTGAAATTTGCCCCTTACTGGCATAGTGTACCCTCTGACTTTTCTGCCTAGGTTTTGGATATTGCTGGGGCTCCAATTGGTATATTTAGCCACTGGTCACTGACATACCAAAACAAAAAAAGAGTAATATTAAAGGTTGTGGGGTGGAAACTGCCAAAACCCAGCTGTGTATGTGGAAGGGGAAGGTATCAGTCTTCGAGGGCAATGGAGAGAAAATTATCTTCAGTGGAGGAGGAATGATCTGTGGGAGAAGGCACCTCAACAAATACAAAGTAGTGGGAATCTTGCAATATTAAGGTCTCTGTCAATCTCAGGAAGCTACAGCCTCTAAAGAAACTCAAGTGCCTCCTCATAAGAAAAGGGAATTTTCTAGTTCAGCCATTGTGAAAGACAGTGTGGCGATTCCTCAAGGATCTAGAATCAGAAATACCATTTGGCCCAGCAATCCCATTACTGGGTATATACCCAAAGGATTATAAATAATTCCACTATAAAGACACACGCACACATACGTGTATTGCAGCACTATTCACAATAGCAATGAATTGGAAACAACCCAAATGCTCATCAATGATAGATTGGATAAAGAAAATGTGGCATATATACACCATGGAATGCTATGTAGCCACAAAAATGTATGAGTTCATGTCCTTTGCAGAAACGTGGATGAAGTTGGAAACCATCACTCTCAGCAAACTAACACAGGAACAGAAAACCAAACACTGCATGTTCTCACTCATAAGTGGGAGTTGAACAACGAGAACACATGGATACAGGGAGAGGAACATCACACACCGGGGCCCTGTTGAGGGGGGTGGGGGACTAGGGGGAGGATAGCATTATGAGAAATACCTAATGTAGATGATGGGTTGATGGGTGCAGCACACCATATGGAACATGTATACATATATAACAAACCTGCCCATTCTGCACATGTATCCCAGAACTTAAAGTATAATATATGGAAAAAGAAAAGACAATTTTCATTCGTGTTCATTTCTATTTTTTTCCCATGTTGGCAGTATGCTCAATGTTATACTTATTTAGAGAAAGATATCATGCCTGTTATTTTAAGGAACTGAACTTTTTGAAGTCATTTCAAGTCACTTAAAAACACAATGATGATTGGAACTTCTAGGTATGCAACTCTATTTCCCCTGCTTCAGTTTTCTATTTGCTTGAGACATTTCGATATATTCAAATTGAGACAGACCTTAAATGATATTTTGCATAGAGGGTGTTACGTTTCATACATGCCCTCAGAAAATATCAGCAGTGCTTTTGTAGATAAGGTGAATAAACAGATTTTTCAGTCAATCCTTGAAGAAGTCTATGTTATCAAAGACATTAGCATAAAGCAGCAGGTGTATTACCTTAATGCTTTATGGCTTCTACAAATAATGCACATACACACACACACAAATGTGTACTCGCACACGTACACACATGACCCTCCTGCATAGGTACAGGAGGTAAATTAAGAAACATAATTCAAATTATGCTTTCTGTACAAGATTTAAAGAATGTCTACAGTAGGTTCTCCTATGTAGTATTTCATCTCCCACATAATTACTTTGAAGCCTCTCCTTTTATATAATGACAGTGACAATGCATGAATTTTTGTGTGTGCATTAAGGTCTAACCGAGACTATCAATCTCATACACATCAAATTATATCTTCCCAGGGCTTTTGTTCTTATAAATAATAGAGGTAACATAAAGGGTACTGAATTGTGTAAATGGCTTCCTTCTAGCAAAATAATATAAAAGCTTACAAAAGAAAAAATAGTCAATATTAGATAGTACAATACAATTGTAAACGACAGTAGAAACTTACTGAGACCAAACCTATGAATATCTAAATTTTAAATGAAAATCACTTTTGCTGCTAATTGTAAGAATACATAATTATTTTAAAAATCAATCAAAAAGAATAAAATAAAAAGTACAATTTATCCACAACATTATGTAGAAAAATATCTCAGTTGTTTTTCATCTGGTAGTTAATTACTACTTAAACCAAATTTTCATCTCTGTTAAGAAGCTGTAGGAAACTAACCCCTTCAGGAAGTACAGATAAGAAAATCATCATGACATTCAAAATTCAAGGTTGAAGATTATATGTTACAGTGACAATTACAAGACTATAACTTGGCAATCAAATTAAACTAAATTTTTCTAGGTAATGTGATAGTATCCTCTATAAGACTTAGGGATATGCCTAGATGGTAAAACCTAGGTTAGTATTTTGCTCTCTGTCCAGAATTTGCTCTATGGACACACACAACATGCACACACAATACACACACAGGCATACACACAACACTAATTTGTCATAGATGTGTGATTTCCTTTCTATTTAACTTCACATTTTGAGCACCAATCCCTCTTGGTTTTCCACCTTTATCTTTGGTAACAATCCCTTTTTTCTTTGCTGAATCCTCATGTTCCAATTTCTTAATACACGAGTAGCTCAAGATTCAGAACTGAAATGCCTATGCTCATGTTTTTAAGTAATCACTGTCAGTCCCGTAGTTTTAAAATAATTTATAGACTGATGTTTCCCAAATACATACCTCCAGTCCTGGATTTTCTTGCTTGAACACCAACCTCATAGACCCAGTTGCTAAGGAAAATCATTAACGGGATGCCTAATGTGCATATCAAATTTAATGTGTCTAAAACCAAAGTTATAATTCTTCCTATCTCCAGAATGTGCCTTTCTCAGACTTGTTTATAAGCAGAGTAGAAATTCCATTATTCTAATTTCTCTGGCTAAAAATTGCAATCTATAATCCTCTGACACCATGCTTTGGAACTGGTTCTTCTGCATAGGATCATCTTTCTTCGTGTCATTTCATGGTTTGCACTCTTACTTACTCAGGTCTCTGATCAGCATCATTTTATAAGAGAAGTCTTAAAAGGCCACCTTACCTGAGGCAGTGGCCTTCTCCCTCCATTATCATTATTTACTTACTCTAGCTTATTTTTCTTCTCACTTATCATGATCTGACATAATTTTCTTCCAAGCCAAATTACATTTGGGACTTTGTGTTGGTGTCTTCTTGCTTTTTGCTGCTCTTCCCGCCAAGACTAGAAAAGTACATAATGCTCAATAAACATTTATCAAATTAAGGAATCAAATCATTTTGTCTTATGTCCCATAGTATGAGTTTGTCCTAAGTTATTTTACTGAACATTTGTGTTGTTTCCAAATTTTCACAACAAAGATGCCTCAAGGAATTTCTTTAGACATGATTCTGAGCACATGCAAGAAACCATCTCTAGGGATGTGCCTACAAGTAACATTATATTGGGAGGCCGAGGCGGGCAGATCACGAGGTCAGGAGATGGAGACCATCCTGGCTAACACGGTGAAACCCCGTCTCTACCAAAAAAATACAAAAAATTAGCCAGGCGTGGTGGCGGGCATCTGTAGTCCCAGCTACTCGGGAGGCTGAGGCAGGAGAATGGCATGAACCTGGGAGGCGGAGCTTGCAGTGAGCCAAGATTGCGCCACTGCACTCCAGCCGGGGCAACAGAGCGAGACTCCGTCTCAAAAAAAAAAAAAAAAAATAACATTATTAGGGTATGGTGTATCCAATCTCATCTTTGAAAAATACAGCCAAATTGCTCTCCAAAATTTTGCACCCACTCCAGCAGTTTCTGATGTCCCATTTTTCTACATTTCAGCCAATATTCGTTATTGCTAGATTTTTTAATTTTTGTAAATCTAATGAGCATAAACTAACATTTTATAACTTATTTTTACTTCAAATTCATTTCCAAATTATTAGTGAAGTTGAACACTATTTTATGTTCTCTTGTTTCTGTTTTGCCTATCCAGTCTTCTGTGAATTTTAACTAGTATAATGGGATAAGAAGCTAAAAATATTAATTATCATAAATACAATAAAATATGACTTGGTTTCTTTATCTAAACAAGTTGTATAGAGTATGTTAGGGTAATCATACCTGCATTCCTGTAGGCATTTGGTAAATCCCAGGCTAATTACATGGGTCATAAAATATATCTAGTTGTGTACAACGAGTCATATTTAAATAATTTTGATCATTTCCCCACTATATGGCCTAACTCTGATATAATGTTATTATTACTTGAATGATACCATCACAGCTTATGAAACAAGATCACAAAAACTAGATAAATATCTCAGTTGCTTTTCATCTGGTGGTTAATTATAACTTAAATAAAATTCTCATTTTTGGTTAAGAAGCTGTAAGAAAGTAGCCTCTTCAGGAAATATTGTAGGTAAGAAAATCACCATGGCATTCAGAATTCAAGGTTGAAGGTTGTGTGTTACAGTGACGATTGGAAGACAGCAATGCAGCAATAAAATTTCATTACGTTTATCTAGGTAATGTGATAGTATCCTCTATAAGACTCAGGGATACACAATAGGAAGCAAACAAGAACAGGGCAATGTTAGCTTTGCAATGTCTTCCTTATATTATCAATATTTTAGAGTTAGAATGACTTAAGATTTTCATCCCACAAGGAAAGACGCCAATTGTACAGAAAGTTAATAAAAACAGACCTCCTCAAACTATTATGTAGGTTAATGTCTTTTAAAAAATGGCCAGATATTCTAACTATGTTATTTTAATAAGGTTTTAATTCAATATTCATAAAAACAAAATATTTCAATGTTTTTTTGAATAGCTAACTTACTCCACAAACTGAGATACTGGCTAAGTCACATGTTTATTGTGTATCAGTTACTTACAGTGGTCGGTGCCTGTTGGATGCTTACCTAGGCACTAAGCCTGGCTCTAGAAAGAGAGGTAAATAATATTAACTTATATAGACCCTCATTCAGAAACATACAGGTGAATAAGAGATAAAAACAATAAAAGTAGCTTGAGATTTAAAGGAGCACAATGAATGATTGCTATATCATTAGTACTTTGAAATATTCCTGACACTTAACTTGACCTCGATAGTATTTGTTGAATGAATGCAGAAAATTACATGACTGCAGGGACTTGAAGGATGATTAGAAGGTATTTTAGGCAAGTGCCTAGTAAGAAATGAGTTTGTGCTATTGGGTGGGTCAGGGCAATCCCAGAGGAAGTCCTGACAGATGGAGAGCTGATAAAGGAAAACAGATATAAGGGAGAGGTATAAGTCACGGTAGGTCTTCCTAATCATGTGAAGGATTTCTCTCTTTACCTAAGAAAAATATAGAGCCCTGAAAGCAATGTCAGTTGGGGACCAGCATGTGTGACTGCCCTTTAGAATGATTGCTGTAGTATCCATTAGGCAGTGGGCCAGATTGTGCAATGCTCCCCGACCTCAGATTGAAGAAACCCACAAGGAGTCTAAAGCCCCACTTCAGGCTGGAGGTGATGGGGAACTGAGCTGAGACTGTGCTGACCAGGATCGAGGTGGATTCCAATGTAAGAATTCCCCTAGAACACTTAAACGCAAATTTGGGAACTTGAAACAATCTTGTAGATTATTTTACTCTCTTTTTAAAAGAGAATTGTGGACATTGGGCTGAGAGATGGAGCGACTTTTCTTGAGATATGTATCCAACTTTCCTATCAACACTACTTTCCTGTGCTCTTCTGCAAGAATGGATTCAGCTCACCTCTAGGCGCTCACTACAGACCAACCCAAATGCAGTTAGAATTCACAGTTTTTATCAGGAGGCTTTGTTTGTATTTTGTAAGCTAAATTATTAGATTACCTCCTGACTATAATTTCTCAGGGTGTAGGAATATCCTAATAAAGCCAATGTCTTCATCACACTTTTCAAAGAACTAAGGCAGTGTCTCATTCGCAACTGTTTTAGGGTATTCTCTTTTTTCATAAGTAGTGTTTTGGGGATTCAGAGATGAATACAAAACAAAACACACACACACACAATAAAAAAAAATCACTATTGGTAGGAAAAAGGTGGAAATAGAGTATGTTTCTTCATATAGACATATTCTTAGCTAAAAAAAAAATGCTGTTACTTAAACCCAATATCAGTTTTACCCAATCGGAGAGAAATTACTGAGGCTCCCTCCCTTCCTTCCTTTTCCTTCTATTTCTCTCTCCCACTTCCCTATCCTTTTTTGTTTTAATGCGACAAATTTCCCATTGTTTCCTTGAACATTTTTTCTTCAAATTCAATATGACTTGGACAATTTCCTAAAAATAAAGCTCATGATTTAATTGTATAGAAAGGTCTCTGAACTGCATCCAATACACCTATGTTCTAACTTCAGCTTTTCAATCAGAAGATCTATGTTTTTCAGTGAGTTTTAAACTCCTACGGCTTTAATGATCTTATGTAATAAATGACAGGTTTGGCCAAGAAGATCTACAGATTATTCAGTTCTAACCATCTATGAAACCAGGAAAATTGAATCTAAAAATCTATATACTCAGATCATAAGAGGGAAGTCTTTGTAAGCACTGTGGTTAGAAAGCGGCTGAGAATAAGCTATTTAGAGAGAAAACATTGCCTGTTATAATGTAAGGCACACTCGACTAAAATAACATCTGAGATCTCTCCAGAGTGTCTCTGCCACCCCTACTTTGGGGTCCTTGGCCCAGTCACTCAACCTCCCTAAGATAGTTTTCCCATCTTTTAAAGGGATAACGTAAAGTTGTTTCTCTGTCTCAAATACTTCAGGCAGATCAAATAAAAAACAATGATAATCAATAATGCAGGTATTTATATCATGGTGACATGGCTTATTAATATTTTCCTATTTTCCTTAAATGTTACACAACAAATTTCCAATTGCATTTGAGTTTGCCTTTAAATAATTAAGGAGTGCTTAAAAATTTAACACTTAGTTTGATTCTATAAAAGGTTTAATTCATTAAATTATTCCTTCGCGTCTAACCCTGGAATCCACATGCTTATATTTGCTAGTTTTCATATGGATCCATCCACCTTGCCAACGCCATCGATAGCCTTGCAGGACCAATAAGCATAAACAAAGACACAGAATTCTCTATGCTTATATGTCATTATAAATACATCCATATATGTATATTTAAAATTTTATCTTCTTGAGTAATTTTGTGGCAAATCTTTCTCTTCTGCATGAAGAAGGCCTAGTTAGTGGAAAAACGGACAGGGCAATTTCGCAGCTCTCTTAACATAGACAGACTCTCTGGTCTCAGTCATGTCTATAAAAGGAACTTTTATTAAATTGAAAATCATTTCTGATTAAAATTTCTTTTTATGAAAATCTTACTGCTTATTGTTTTATAAAGCAATGCTAAAATTAACAAAAACGATCATTTTTATTTTTCATTGTACTGATATGCAATTTAATTATTAGTTTTACAATTTAGACACTGCTGAAATGTTATTGCAAAAAAAATTTCTAGTTAAAACACATTTTCTCTTCTCATTTTCCAGGTGACTTTTGGACTCATGACTCCATTTGCTGTTAGCTGAAAATTTATAGAGGTAACAATTCATTTCCTAAGAAGAAAGATTGCCATGTGCTAGCCAAAATTGCTCAAATATAAGAACTTACTCTCAATCAGAAAAGTTGGCTAAATATGAGAGGTTCTTTTTATAAATTTGAAGCAATAATGAGTTATTGTTTTTAGAGATAAAAGTCATCAACATGCACATAGTACAGTCTAAAATTAGTGATACAGGCTTATTTTTAATATACCGAAGTATATCAAAACAAAAAGATAAAAATGGATTAGCCATTATCATATAAAATGTACACTCCTCTCCTTTTAATAACAGATGAGTAATGAACACATTAACAGAGAGGCAATTTAAAATCTGACTATAAAAACTAAATTGAAGAAGATAGTGAAGATTAAAACTAAAATCCTTGGACTATCATGTGGGGCACCAGTGAACCATGGTATCTGTGTCTGCTGCTCCATTTTCTATATTTCCATCTGTGACTCCAAATGCCAGCAGGATTCTGGTGAATACACTTATCTGTTTTAAAAATGACTTGCTTTTTGCACGTTTAGACACTCTCATGACATACATTTCTTAAGCTGTGCATGAGGAGATTGTTCCACTTTGTTGCCCTGGAGTAGGAGGAACATAGCAAGAGGTGACACATACCAGTCACGTGCAGGAGGCTGTGTTTTAACTCAAAGAATTTATTTTTAATTGAGGTAAAAGTCATTCTCAATTTCGGATCTTCCAGAAATAATTGGTTCTCTAACCATATTCAAAGACAGAAATGATTCATGTAGCTAAAATATGTCTAAGCCATCAAAAAAAGCATTCGAGCACACAAAAGTTAAAATATTAATACCGTTCCTCCCCCATTTTCTAAGTCAGTGACCTTTAGATCAGAAATGATGTACTCCTTATAACTGCATTCTTGCCAATAATCGTTTCCCAAATGCAAGCATACTAAAATTGCTTTCATGCTGTTTAGAGGGCTTAGGGGCTACATTTAAAATTGGTGGCTTTTAATCCAAATAATTATTTTGTCTTTTTTTTAAATCTACATTTAGAATTCAGTCTTTTTCCCCCTTTCTTTCTAAGGAATTTAGAAACTATTTTCTCATTTGTATAATTAGGCATTTTAGAAGAACCAAAATGAAAATACTCAAAGCAGTGTAATTCCAACCTGAATGAGTGGATTTTTCATTTCTTGGGAAACGTATCTGAACAAAACATTGCTGATTTCAGAAAAGTATAGGATGCATTTCAGTTAACATGTCTGATATTCTTTTGGAACTCAGTTGAAAAGGCAAGTAAGAAAGTTATTCTCCACAATTAAGGCTGGAGAATTAAACATGATATGAAAGAAGAGGGAGAATATGGCATGTTCCCTCATTAATATTCCATAATGTCTTTATTTTAGAAATTTAAGCTCACAGTATGAAACTTATCTCAGAATAATTTCTGTGCTACTTCCAAGCTACCCGGTGGTGGTGGCCAGTGGGTGACATCATGAAGCTGTGCCGCAGCCTCAAGACCATAGCTGAATTCTTGTAGGAACAGACATCAGCAAGTCCCCCTCTCAATCTCATGTTAGCCATGAGATCGTGATAATACTACAGGTAATAATTGTGAGAGCTTTCATTTTTCTGAGTGCTTACTATGTGCCAGACCCTATGGCATGTGTTTTACATGCATCTTCTCATTACAAGAAAGTATACTCCAAACTTGATACAGTATGTTTGCAGTTTACAGGTAAGAAAACTGATGATTAGAAATTCCATCATTTGTCCCAGGGCGCAGAACAATTGACTCATGGAGTTTATCACACATTGGCTCTAGAAACGAACTCTTAGCTGCTGCAATACCCAAAAGGATGATTTAAACAAAAAGCTTGTCAAGGCATGGCTTTCATTTGTGACAAAGACATCATTTAATACAATCACATTAATAATATTCTGTGTTTTCCTTAAGTCAGAATTCTAAGAACTTGAATGTGCTTCCTTTCCAGTGAAATAGTTGAAGCTATTACTGTTCATGGCATTAAATATGTAATACATCCTCCTGCTCTCTTTCCAGCTTCATCAGGCGTCATAACCAACTGTTCCTAAAAGAAGTGGAGACATTCTCCTTCCTTCCGGTTAACTAATTCGGGACTTGGCTTTGCAGATTCATAACAGAGACGACGACAAATTCATTATTAGGCCTATTTACTTAATAGCATATTATCATGTTTTTGTTTTTATTATTTCTATTATCTATTAGTTTTTGTTATGGGTATCACTTATGGGTTTCACAGGAAAAAAAAAGATTAAAGAAAGCAGAACTTTATTCCTAGGAAGGAAAAAATTCTAACTTGATCCTTCTTGGAAATTTCCATCTATGTACATATGACACTAAAATGTTCTATAGCCTAAAAATGTGGCTTATCTTTCCATATGGTGCTTTTCCAAAGAGCTAGACAAGGGTGTTGCAGATTAAACAAAGTGGGCTCAAGTCCCTGCTGCTGGGAAACATCCTCTCTGTACAGTGAAACATATTAGTTGAAGAAAACATTTGTTGAAACATTTTCCAGCAGACAACCTGTTCCCACGCTGAGAAGCTAATGTCTTGCCCCTTATGCACCAGTTAATTCATTCCAAAAACACAGGTAGACCCAGCCAGGCTGTATCATTGAAATAATTATCCATCAAGGGATGCAAACCTGGGAGTGTTTCAATTTTGGGATTCAATAGCCAGATCTCCAAAAAATTTCCCGAAATACCCTACAGCACACAAGTCTTCATTTATATATACAGTGCAGGCAAAATGTGTTTTCCATTGCCTAAATTCACATGTACATTCAAAAGCCCCAAAATGAGCATTTTACAATCCTTGTTACAAAAATTATTATGACAATGGTACTAGTGAGCACATGGATCAAATCAGGTAGTAGAAGTGGATCTGCTACTCCCTAAGGAAACATGCTCAATCTTACCAATGTTGTGTTCCTTAACATCTCATATATATATATATGTGTGTGTTTGTGTGTGTATGTATACATATATAGATGTGTGTGTTTATATATGTATATACACACATATGTATATCTTATTTATTTATATATATATATATTTTGAGATGGAGTCTTGCTCTGTCACTGAGACTGGAGCGCAGTGGTGCAATCTCTGCTCACTGCAACCTCTGCCTCCAGGGTTCAAGCGATTCTCCTGCCTCAGCCTCCTAAGTAGCTGGGATTACAGGTGCCAGCCACAGTGCCCAGCTAATTTTTGTATTTTTAGTAGAGTCAGGGTTTCACCATGTTGGCCAGGCTGGTTTCGAACTCCTGACCTCAGGTAATCCACCTGCCTCGGCCTTCCAAAGTGCTAAGATTACAGGCATGAGCCACTGCGCCTGGCACCTTAACATCTCTTGAGAGGAAACATTTCAAAAATATTTGTTGACAAATTAAAAAAAAATTACACTGTAAACTTAATGCAAAATTGGCTTTCAAGCTGAATAGTGAGTTGGTTGGTTGGTTGACTCCATATTTTCTGTGCTATGATATTACTGAGGCACCAGTGATTTAGAGTACTTGAAAACAAAATCTATCTGTCCTGAAAAGTGAAATAATTGATTATTCCTGATTTGTCTCTATTCCACAGAAATTTAACATTGCTAACATTATCAAAGGTATCATTTGCACTTTGCTCTGCTCTAGGCTGCTTATAATTGGAGGTAATTCATTTTCTATTATTCTGAAGGCAGATTCTTATTATATTTATACATTGGTGCAAAAGTATTTGTGGTTTTTGTCATCAGTTAATGGCAAAACCGCAATTACCTTTTGCACTCAATCTAACAGATTTCAGTCATTGCATTTCTAGAAAATACTACAAGGGCCCAAAATGTAGGAAACCTAAATCCAATCCAGGTCGAAGACAAAAATCCTATTGAACTTATAAAGTAATTCTAATTGAACAAAAATAAGAGTACTGCATAGTAAAACATTAGGAATTTAAGTACGCAGGTCTTAAAAGATTGTAGGCTTAAATTAAATAAATGAAAGATTATAAATAAGCAAGCCAACATTTAATTCACAAGCCTGAAAAATAAACATATGGATAATGCAGAGAAAGAAGGAAGAAATAAGTAATGAAACGAATATAGATTTAATAAATTAGAAGGCAAAATAAGAGATATTTTCAAAACACCAGAGGAAGGTTCTTCGAAACTAGTAGTAAATTAGAAAATCTTCAAGCCAAAATAAAGTTGTTGTTGTTGTTGTTTTTCCTTGTAAAGAGAAGTCCAAAATATACACTAAACAGAGGGTTATTATTTCTTTGGCTTAAAGACACCCACTTAGGAAGCCCTCACTCCTCCCTCCTGCTCTGTGATATCGGGGTGTCTCCCTCTCAGAGGCAAAATAATGCCTCGGAGTTGAGAACCCTGGGTTGGAGTCCTGGTTCTCTCACTTACTAGCTGTGTGACCCTGGGCAATTTACTTAACTACCCTTGCCTTACTTATCATTTCTTTCAAATGAGAAAAATACCGGAAGCCACCACACAGGGCTTCATGAGAATTTGATGGGCAGCATTTGTAAAGCAGGGAAAACCACACCTGTAACAGTGAAAACATAATTAGTCTATAAATCCATTCCCCTAATCTTCCTCTACAGAAGGATGAGCGTTCTGTCATGGACTTCACTGTCTACACTGAAATGCTGGACTACAAGCACCTCTATGTGAAACTCTGCCATTTTCTTAATTTCCATCTCATTATTTTAAAACATTTCTACTAATTCTTGACATTTCTCCCATTAAAAGGTAAGGTGTAATTTCTCTCCCTCTAAGTATGAAACAACTTTAATGTCTTATTTTGATGAACAGAATGTGTTGGAAGTAACGTTACGTGGCACCTGAGATTAGGTCATTAGAGGTAAAACAGCTTCTCCCAGCTCTCTTGTGGGAATCATGCCGTTGGGATCCAGACATAATATTGTGAGAAACCCAGGACACGTGGAGAAGGCACATGATAATGTTAAGCCAAAAGCACTCACTACAGATCCAGCCAACAGCCAGTGTCAATGATCAAATACATGAATGAAAGAATCTACAGATAATTCCAGGCCCCCTATTGCAAGTTGGAGGAGAAATGAACTGAGCCTACAGAGATCTGCCCAATATGCAGACTTATGATAAAATAAATATTGTTTTTAAGCCATTAGGTTCTAGGGTGGCTTGTTACACAGCAATATATTACCAGCACAGACTTTGTTACTTAAAGGGGAGTTTTGCCATGTCCAAAACCCTAAAATACATACGAGTAGCTTCCTGATTGGGTGGTTGGGGGAAGCCACACTTGGTGACATACAGCTAATTCTAGAAGTGTAAGCAACGGTTGCAGGGCACTTACTATATGTCGAATATAATTAAGCAACTTGAAAATTGAAGAGAAAAAACATATGATTGTGTTGACTCCGAAAAAAATAGAATTCATCCCCAAGGCTAAGGATGAGGCTACTTCGCCAGTGAAGGAAGAGGTGAACGGCATCCTTTGAAGCAGGATCAGACCCAGCCCGCAGAGATGGAGAGTGACTCTGCTGGAAGGAAGGCAGGTGAGGTTAAGCTAACGATGCTGCCGTGGGTTCCACGCACTCAGCAAGAGTGGGACACCTGTGCTGGGCCGGGCACCAGGGATGGTGCCGAGTGGGGCAGAGGCCTGCCTTCAAGGAGTTCACAGTGAACAAGATGAGAAGGGCTGGGCCCTGCAGGGTCAAGAGCCCCAGTTGTGTACAAGACACTTTGGGAGGAAAGAAGACTACCTTTTCTTTTCCCCCTGCCGTTGGTATAGCTGGTGCCCCAAAACTTCCACCTCCCTCCCTGGCCACCTCTAAAATGATTGGTATAGGTCCTGCCCTACCCCTTAGCTCCCCTATCCTGGGCTAGAAGGCCAGAGGGGCTGTCCTCTAGAATTCTTCCTCCCCTCTCCCACACCATTCATTCAGTTCATGAAACAAATCTTCGCCGAGAGCAGTTTATGTGCCAGGAACATCATTCTGTCCTTGCAACCTGGAACAAGACCAGCTACCACCCTAGCTTCATCCCCTACTTGCACCAACCAGTCCCGGGTGAGATCTCAAATGCTAGAAGCCAGGGATGCCCAACTCTGGGCGGCCCCAGTCAGAACCTCTGGGATCTCAGTGAAGCTGGCCTGGCCTCTGCTCCTGCTCTCAAGGGGCTGCTTTTCAACCAAGAGCCTTGTGAGCCTGGTCTGAGCCTTGCACAGCCACTGAGTATTTTTTATTCCTTAGCCAGTGTACCTCCTACCTCAGTCTATGTGAGAGGAAGAGAATGTGTGTCCCTGTGGGTCTCCGCAAGTGACAGACGTGTTGTTTTTAACAGTATTATTAGGTTATGATTAAAGCCTCATGAAATCCTCCAAAAAAAATGTTGAATTCCATAAAATTTCCCTCCTTAAAGGAAAATCTTAGCAAACTGTTGTCAAAGAATATCATAGATTCAAAAGACAAATAATATACTTGGATAAAATAAATGCATGTATATCCACATCACAGACAAATAATAATTACCAAAGATGCATCTATATTTACATGAATTAACAGGCATATACATATGTGTGTGTGTTTCTCAAAATCAAAATTTTAAAAGGGGAAAAATAGAAAAACAAATGACAGGAGGAAACAGAAGAGAACTTCCAAATAGCAAAGAGAATATAGATAAATGATGATGATTGATAGACAATCAACTTTAGAAGTGATGAAATGAATACAAATGAAAATTACAATGAAATGCTTCCTGTCTGCTCTCAGATTTACACAAACGTAAATGGTCTAAAAAATTAAATGAGGATAAAGATATGGGGAAAAATAAACTCACAGCTGTTACTAGGGAAGAGGAAACTGGTACAGCTACTTTGACAAGCACCTGGGCAGTATCTAATGTAACTGAAGATGTATGTATTACATATGACCTATCTGTTCTCCTTGCAAGAGTATACACTAGACAATCACTCACATTGTACGAGAAGACTGGAGAGTTAAACAAGAGTACCCATTACACCAAAATTTATTAAAGAAATTCCAAAATATCTACTTACCTTAGTGGATGAATAGATGATTTAAACACTTAAAAGAAATATTGTATATATTAATGAAAAGATCTCTAAAACATAATTTCAAGTAAAAAAAAGACAGTATGATACAGTGAGCATTTTGTCATTTATAAACTTTAAATAGACATGAAACCATGAAATATGTTGTTTCTAAATACAATATGTGTGCAGATGTTTGAAAATTGTACTAGGACGATACATGTCAATTTATGATAATACCAGCCTCTGGATTCTCAATCATGGTTTAAGAGAATTTGAACATTATTTGTATCATTAAAGTTAAGTTATATGAAAATACTTGAAAATAAATATTGTTTAAGTGGAAATGAAACAGAATGGTCTCTGGAAAGTAGAAAATGGGTTCATGAGCCTATGCGCAGGGAATGATAAACCTACGTCCGTTGTGAAAAATCCTTAATTCTAAGAATATTATTTGAGGATGGACAGAGTCAACACGGAGGTTTCCTTTTCATCAGTGGGGGACCAGGGGCTGGGCGAGCTGACACTAGTGTTGAGAATGACATTGGCACTGTGTGGAGGAGGTAGGTGTCAATAAAACCCAACCGTATGTTTTGAAAATGATGCTGCAGGCCACGTATAGATGAGTAGGAAGGTGGAAGGAGAGAAAGAAGTAGAGGACAGGGAAAACGGAGCACTCTCCGTGCTACAGTCTAGATATCACAAGAGCAGAAACTGCCCTGCAGGTGTAACCATTTTTGTGTGATACTTTGTGTAATTATTTCATTTTGTTCCCCTCCTGGTATTTAGCAGTCCTTTAAAAAAAATGTCAGTCTGTCTCAGCTGTGCTAAGGGAAAACAAGGAAAGGCGTTTTAGTCAGAGCTTGAAACGGAGTCCTCTGTCGGTAGGATGGTAAAATGGTGCAGCTGCTGTGGAAGACAGTACTAAAGTTCCTCAAAAAATTAAAAATAGAATTATCATATGATCCAGCAATCACACTTCTGGACTTATATCCAAACAAACTGAAAACAGGATCTGGAAGAGAGATGTGCACATTCATATTCACGATAGCCAAAAGGCAAAAACAACTAGAGTGTCCATTGATGGATGAACGGGTAAAGCAAATGTGGCACATAAATAACATGGAATATTATTGTAGCATTTAAAAACAAGGAAATCTTGTCATATACTACAAAAAAGATGAATCTTGAGAATGTTATATTAAGTAAAATAGGCCAGTCACTAAGGAAAACTAATGGGTTGAGTGCAGTGGCTCACGCCTGTAATCTTAGCCACTTGGAGAGGCAGAGGTGGGAGGATTGCTTGAGGCCAGGAGTTCAAGACCAGTCTGGGCAAAAAAGCAAGACCAAATTTCTACAAAAAGTAAAAAGAAGAAAAAAAAGCAAGAGAGAGATAAAAAAAGAGAACAAAAAATTAGCAGGGAATGGTGGCATACACCTATAAGCTCAGTTACTTGGGAGGCTGGGTTTGGAGGATTGCCTGAGCCCAGGAGTTCGGGGTTACAGTGAGCTAAGATTGCACCACTGCACTCCAGCCTGGATGACACAGCCAGACTCTGTCTCAGAAGAAAGAAAGGAAAGACAAAAAAGGAAGGAAGGCACGAAGAAGAAAGAAGAGAAGAGAAGAGGAGAGGAGAGGAGAGAGACAGGGAAAGAGAGAGAGAAAGAAAGAGGAGGCAGAGAAGGAGGGAGAGAGGGGAGTGGGGGGGAGAGAGGGGAGTGGGGGGGAGAGAGGGGAGGGGGAGGGAGGAAGGGGAGGGGGGAGGGGAGGAGGAGTGGGGAGGGGAGAGGGTGGGAGGGAGAGAGGAAGGAAGGAAGGAAAGAAAACAATAATGCATGATTCCAATTATATGAACAATCAGAAGTTATTAAACTCAGAGAAAACAGAAATTTGCCAGGGGAGGGGAAGAGGAAAAAAGCAGGGTTGCTGTTCAGTAGGTATGAAGCTTCAGCCACGCAAGACAAAAACGTTCTAGAGATCTGTTGTATAACTATGTGCATATAGTTACCAATACTGCAATATACATTTAAATGTGATTGGGGGTGTGATTCTTCATTTTATACGTCGGCTTGCCTGGGCCATGGATTGCCCAGACTCTTGGTCCCACATTGTTCTGGGTGTGTCTACGCTAGTGTTTCTGGATGAGACTAGCACTGGTATCGGGAGAATGAGTAGAACAGCTGGCCCTCCCTGCTGTGGGTGGGCCTTGTGCGATCAGTTGAAGATCTCAATAGAACAGAAAGGCAGAGTCAGAGAGAGCTCCTCCTCCCTGAATGAGGTAGGACATTGCTCCTTCCTGACTTTTAAACACAGGCGGGTATACTGGCACTTCATGGACTTCAAGGCTGCCAGCATTTGGACTGGCACTGGCCCTCCTGGTTCTTAGGCCTTGAGACTCCAGCTGGAAATATTCATTGACTTTCTTGCCTGCTGCAGATTTTGGGACTTCTCTTCCATAATCACACGAGACATATTTTAAAAATAAATCTCCCTTTCTCTCATAGGATAACTATTTGTCTATCTAACTATCAAATAGGACATACACCTCTATTCACAGCCTATTGGCTCCATTTCTTTGGAGAACCCTGAAGAACAGAGAGGGCAAATTTATGGGTTTTTTTGGGTTTTTTTCCCACAATGAGAAAAAAAAAAAAGAAAAGAAAAGAAAGAAATGAGTCCCGCCTCCCCTGGAGGAAGGGAGCAGCCACAGGGATGGGCATCAAAGGTGAGGACTCAGATCACAGGGAAAGGTGAAACTCCCGGGGAAGATTCCAAACTTGCAGTTATGTTTTGTTTCCTGCTTGTTCTACTCACAGACACTAACTTTGGAGCTTTTTTCCTAATGAAATTGCAAATATTTTGTTATGTTTAATCTTGAATGAAGAGGCAGACTGTTATATTAAGAGGCAACCAATGTCATTCCATCTTTTCTTACTACTGAAAACATTACAAAAAAGAAACCTGAAAATTGGCAGGTAGGCGGCCTCCGCAATAACCCTGACTGGGTAAATTCTTTCTCTCTCCAGGCCAACTGGGGAATGCCTTTCTTGAGGGTGCTGCAGACTGTGGTCAACAGTGGGATATTCAACTCATCATTTTTCCTCCAAAGTCAATGGAATATAACAACCAATTTACTATCAAAATGGAGTGATTGAAATTAAAGTATAAGTTTTATAAAATAGCTCTGTACTTCTAGATTTCAGTCCATGTTTTATTTGAACTACCTTGGTTTTCTTATTTCTGGGCCCTGACTCCATCCAGCCACATCAGAAAAACAAATCACTACTTTATCTGTGTGCCTGTAATTATTTGCAAGGATTTAATCCAGTTACTGCATCAAGTTATTTCAGTTAACACAGCATAGCGCTTAGCACAAAGTAACTATTCAATAAATAGTTGTCAAGACAAACTGGAATAGGTTTTCTTGGAAACAACATAGAATGTAGAAATAAAAATTTTATCCTATTTCTTATTGGGCAGAAAATGGAGAACAAGAAATCTACACTCATGGAGTGACCATTCTATGCAGGTGCTACGTTCATTCCTTCCTGTTGGCAAGTCACTTAGTTCTCATAGCAACCCTGAGCAGTAGACACTATTGATATTTCTGTTTTAAAGATAAGAAAATTGATACTCAGAAAGGGTAAGTACTGACCTAGCTTTTCCAAGATGTTTTCAACTGTGTTCATCTGTAATATTTCTTGTTTGTTCACTTTGCTCATTAGATTTGAGAGGAGGAGTTTAACGCCAGATGTTAGATGACTTTGAGTATGGGCATAGGGATGAGACCTTTTGTCAGAGAAAATACCAAATCTCTCATATCACAGCAAGATCAAAAAATCTTGAAACACATACTCACTTACCTAAAAGTGATCATTTTAAGCAACCTAATAACGCCGCCTTGTCTAACATCATCAAGGATTGGAGAAATGCTTCTCTACATCTAGTCTTTTTGTAAGTACATGTGTTCTTGTTAAACAGGCCAGGTGTTGTCTGCATCTGTCTCCTATATCCTGAGATTCTACTATGAAGACAGAAGACACAGTTTGCATCTTAGGTCTTTTACTTACTCTTTGTGTGATCTTAGGCAAGTCACCTAAACCTCCACCCACATTTCCACATCTATAAAATGAGAATAATAATGGAATACAATAAGGCTGATATGAAGATTTGATAAGCTAATGTTTATAAAGTCCTTAGAACATTATAAGTGCTGGGAAAATAGAAAACTGCTGTTTAAATTTTCATTAAGTAAACAAATATACCAACTATTCTCTGGATAAAGATGGGAGTTTGTCCTTGGATCACATATACTCTTATTTCTACTCTGAAATATTGAAATGCAGGCACCTCTTTTTGAAACTTTGCCCTTTCCCTAATTTCAATCCTGCATCTCTTTTTTTCTTTTTTTTTTTTTCTTTCTTTTCTTTTTTTGAAGACAGAGTCTCGCTCTGTCACCCAGGCTGGACGGCAGTGATGCAATCTTTGCTCACTGAAACTTCCGCCTCTCGGTTCAAGTGATTCTCCTGCCTCAGCTTCCTGAGTAGCTGGGATTACAGGCACCCACCACCACATCTGGCTAATTTTTGTATTTTTAGTAGAGAAGAGGTTTCACCATGTTGGCCAGGCTGGTCTTGAACTCCTGAGCTCAGGTGACCCACCTGCCTCAGCCTCCCAAAGTGCTGGGATTACAGGTATGAGCCACTGTGCCTCGCACATCCTGCATCTCTTTGTTTCTGACCATAGACATCTGAATATGATGCCAACATTACAAAAATAAGTTGACATAAACTTGACCTATTCATCGTCCTCTTTCAGTTCAACTAACACTTTATACATTCATATTTTTTTCCTATGAAGGGACAAAAATGACATCTCTGAAGATGCCTGTCCTCTCTATAATGTCACAGTCCTTTGTCTACAGTAGGTACTCAATAACAATTAGCCTCTATTTTCCATTCTTTTGCCCCTGGTACCATGTTGGCGGGTCTGCTCCCTTATGGCTTGCTCTTACCCTGCCTTTCGCATAATTATTTTCCCCATGACTATCCCCCTGTCAAAGTCTCATGATTGTTTCACAAACCCTGCATGAATTCACAAGGTCACCTCTGTTTCTTATAATTATCTCCCCGTCAACTCTGGTGGCACCTATGGCCTATAAGATGATGGTGTGCCAAAATATTGATCCCCTTCGCCTTCAGAGCGAGGTCATAACCTGGAGTGTGTGGATCCCATAGGCCAGCCACTTCCTCTGAACCAGCTTCATTAACATTGTGTACACACAAACTAACTCTCTGTGTGCCCTGATATAAAAAGGGTGGGGTGCACTGGTCCATACTAGTCATTTGATGCTTAGAAATTATCTTGAATATATTTTCTTTTACACTAGGTAGGCATTCTTCTAGGTTAAATTATAAACCCTCCTAAGAGTGATAAATATTATCACTTATATCTTCATCGAGCAGCAATATGGTATCTGCTTGGTGAAATGTGTTTCTTAAAGCAAGTCTCCATGGCATGAGTGTAAGTCTTAACTTTGCTAGTTAAAAGCCTTATGGTAAGTTAGACATCCATAATGCCCAATCTGTAAAGTCCTAATCTGCTAAGAGTATAAACTGATGTCCTCCACACAGGACTGGTTTGAGAATTAAATGAGCAAGTGTATCTGAAGGTCCTGTCGCACAAAAATTTGCAATAAATGACACCACCTCTCTTAAGTAACTTCAAAACTATTGCTGAAGATAAAGAAGATGTGAAATTAATACCTGCATAAACAAGATGGAAACTTCCTGGAAAAGAAACATCTATTTAAAAGTTAAAAATAAAAGTTTATCATCATAGAAAATGAAAATGTAAATGTTAAGATTAAAATTCCAACACACTCACACAGCGTTTACGTTTAAAGTGGGCATCATTCTCTAGCTGATTTCTGTCAACACGCTTTCCTAATGATTAGCCTATTCTTTGTGAGAACTTTCCCCTCACACAGAGATCCCATCACATTGCATAATAATCCAAGGACATTTGCCACTTTTAACAAAGTCTAAGTGTTTGGGGTTTTCTTTTGCCATACAGGTTGTAAGCAGAACTTATTTTTAATGTCTATTTCAAAACCATTTATGTGTTATTTTTGATGGAAATGTGTTAAAATTGAAAACAAAATACAGATTTGGTTTTGAAACAGAAACCAGGAAAGCCTCCTGCAAACACACAGGCTACAAGATTGAATTCAGATAACAAGATCCTTACTCTTCCTTCTTTTAGTCCAAAGCAAATGTCAGTAGCTGCTATTTCATCCCTCCTTTGTAGAACAAATGCCAGACAAGCTGACATATGGAAGACACACAGTGCTTTGAGGTCATCCGAATATTGATAGAAGTAAAAGGACAAGTCAGTCCCCATGCAGCCCAGTACTCCCCACCCCACAGTGCATTGAGCATGGCCAGCAACAACCAACTCCAAAACGCCTTGCTGCATCCACCTGCTCCTGGATGACACTAAAACTAAAAACACTCAGGTGCTGTCTGTGGATTGAAATGCAGAAATAACCGCTAGGTAAGGAAAAATAAAAATCTCTTATAGAGCAAATTTTTCCATATATAATATGAAACATAATGTCTACAAAGAATTATTTTCAATACAAAAATGCCATGGTTTATATAAAATAGTGTTTTTCCAGTACTATAAATAGATGCACATTTAAGCTAACTTCATAACAGATATCTTCAGTTTGTCTGGAATTTAATCATCCAAATAAAAGAAATAAGGTATTTTACATCTTAAATCTTGCATCTTTAAATTGGAACATATTCATATCCTTCAGAACTGAAGCATAAAGATGTTTTAAAATACAAACCTGGTATCCATCCTAGGAAGCAAGCTGGGTATTCTCTAGGACATGGGGCCCTGTTTTGTGAAGAGGGAGAGGGAGAGGTCTGATTAAAGGGGTCATTTAATTTATGATCTGTAGATTTCATTCAACTGTCTTACCAGAGAATCATTCGTAACAGTCAATCTACCAAAGGATTCTATGTTTGGCTTTTTTCTTTTTGCATCAATAAAGAAGAACAACATCCTTCCTAGGCACATTATTTACTTAACAACTTAAAGAAGCTTATTGAAGATTTTGATCCTATACACCTTTATGTGAGATAAGAAAAATCTGTTCTCAAAAATAAAAAATATCTGACCACCACCGCAGTGAATGGTGAAGGACCCATGAGAAAGAACTCAGTGGGTTGAGAAGACAACAACTAACTCAAAAGCCACCAACTGAATGAAAACAATAGGCTAAGGCAGGAAAGCCTGGTAGATAAAGCAGCATAGGCAGGACAAGTGCAAAGAAGGCAGCTGGAGAGGAAAACAAAATAAATCACTTGTTTCAGGAGTGCTGACAATTTTTCCATTTTTTTCTCCTCCATGTTTCTTTTCAGCATTTCTACAGGCACACAAGTTATCAGTATTTCCATGCTGACCCAATCGACCATAATTCACCACTCTGAATGACACAGATATTTGTGATCACTTCCCCTTGAAATTTTGCTTTATCTCATTCTTGGAATTGCTTTATAACTAAACTGACAAATGCATTTTGTTCATTTGTTTATTTCTTCAACATATATTTATTGAGATAGTCCACAATGAATAAAATAAGCATGCTCCCTGCTCTCATGTAGCTAATAATTAGAAAAAGAACACAAATGCATTTAAAGCTATTGACAGATCAGGCTAAGTGCTGTGGAGCATATAAACAGGGCACCGAGAGAGAAAATAAAATAAGGTCGAAAGTAAGACTGGCTGGAAAAAACTCTGTTGGAAGAAAAGAGATTTCAGCTGAGATAGAAACCAGAAGAAACAAGCTATTCACAGTGTGGGCAAAACACTCCTAGAGAAAGTAAAGGAAATTGCAAACAGGAACTGTTCAAGGCAGGAAAGAAATTGTTATAAACTGGACCTGGTGGAAGGTCACTGTGGCTGCAGTGTTGTGAGCAAAGGGAGGAGGTTGAAGAGGGAGATGGGGCTAGAATATTGTGTGCATTTGGGTTTTGTTTTATGATAAGTGTAAAGGCAAGACCCTTGAGTTTTCAATAGAAGACTTATCCTAATTTTTACCTTAAAAAGATGATTTGGCCATTGTGCAGAAAATGAATTAGAGTCAAAAAGACTGAAAGACAGGAGACCACTTTGAAAGCTTTTGCAGCTCTCAGGTTAGAGAGATGGCAGTGGCCGGACCGGGATGCTAGCCAGGAGCGAAGACGATGGGTAGCTGAATTTGAGATGCAATTTGGAGGATTTGCTGGAAGACTTCATGTGTGTGTCAGGGATAGGATGGAGAAGACTGTGAAGGAAATGAAGGAGTAAAGCACTCTGACTGACCACTTGTTAGGTGGCAGTGTCATTTAGGGATACGAGGGATATTGGGGATAGACTGAGGGTCAGGGAAAGTATTGATGCTTAGTCTGCAGGGGTGGAAAGGAAACCAGACTCACAGTTTGGAGATGGGCTAAGATATAGGAACAATAGCAAAAGCTAAACAACATATTGCTTTATATTCTTATGTCTGCCCAAACCTCTATATTCCTAGTATTGCTACCTTAGGGGATCCTCACTATCCAATATCAGGAACAGTGCGGTTACACAGAACTTACTGTGATGATGGAAATATTCCCATTTGTGCTGTTCACTAAGGCAGCCACTAGCCACGTGTGGCTACCAAGCACTTGCACTGATTACTGTGATGGAGGAATTGAACTTTTTACTTTCATTTATTTAAATGGCAATAGCCGTGGTGTCTGGTGAACACCTTACCAGGGAGGTACATGTCTAGAATATCACCAATGGATTCTATTCCAGAGACATGAGGACGTTATGTTTATGCGCTCAGGTCGGTTAAGATGTGATGATTCCTCTTTTCCGCACCCTGTTAGAGTGAAAGCACTCAGGCAGTGAGACAGTCAAGATGTGTACAGAGAGGATGGAAGAGCACTGACCTGGGTTTGTGAGAATCAGCCTTTTGATAAATCAAGAACTTTTATTGATTTGGAGAGAGATCCCATCATGAAGTATCTCATTGCCTTGCAGCATAGCCACAGCCCCATGGAACCCTGGTAATCGGTGGGCATTTTGGAAGGAACACAGCTTGATGTCAGAAAACTCAGGGATGCCTGATAATGTAAAACGAATTTTAACACGTTGCATTTTTCTTTATTAGATTATGGTAAAATGTGCAATCTGTTGCAAACCTCAAATTTGTAAAGACTGTAAAAAGCATCAATCATCTAACAAACTTAATTTTTAGAGCAGAATCACAGACTATTCAAACTGGAGGTACTTAGAAATCATCAAGCCTATGACTTGAAAGAAGTTGAGTGACTCCCTCAAGTTGCACAACTAGCTAATAGCAGAACTACGACAAGAATGTAGGTCTCCTTATTCTTGGTGTGTACAATTTAGACCCTCAGGTAACCATGTCATATGATACGATTTAGCCAAACAACACAAACTGAATCTTTTCATTTTTCCAGAAAAGGCCAATATAAAAATTTTAGAAACTTGAATGTGTGGGCATCCTGTCATTCTGTCAAATTTCCCTTATGAATAGATTAGGAGTGGAAAGAAACAGGTGTCCTCTTTTTTGTGTGTTCATTATTATGTAATCTGTCACATATTAATTGAACACTATTTCTGGTGTTTTCCAATTGGCTTTTATCAGGCCTTTTAAACTGAATAATCCCTAATTGTGATGTTTGAAACCTGTTTCAAAAAAATTCTCCTCTAGGAGAAGAAAAAATAATGCCAATGCTTAGCCAGGAAGCTTCTCATTGAAGTCTAAATGTCCACATCAGAACCACAATTTGATGGTGAGCCAGAGAAGAGATTTCAAAAGAATGGTAATGATTTGGACAAAGGGGAAATACCCCTGGTACTTAAAGCCATCAACATCTGAGCCACAAAGAGACCCATCAAACACTAATAGAGATAATCTATGCAGAGAATAACGTGCTATCATTGGAGTGATACAGGAAAATCTTTAATTGTGTGTGCCATTTGAAAATTCTAAGAGGAACAGAAAAGGCTTTGCAATTCTATAATTAGATGTTCACAAATCTGATTCCTAATCAGCTAGACTTTCTCACCTTTATCCACCATGGGATGTGTTCCCTATGCCTGGATTCCCTGGTATTGGCAGGAGGTTTCTGATACTGTTGCACCAAAATGACTTGGTCCCAGCAGTGAGCACTCTGGCATCTGTGTTCTCTATTCCACTACTCTTTGGCCAGTTAGGATAGAAATTGTAACCACTGTGCATGTTTAGTATACAAAAACACTCAACCTACACGTGACAGATATATATGGGCCTAAATATTAAGCGTGTTTCCACCTCCGCCACACTTGTCTTTGGTATTCCATTCCCACTGGACTATGTGACAGAGAAGTCTGGAATTGTCTGTGCAGTGAGGGAATGAGGGAGGTGTCCGCCCATTCTAACTCAAGGCTTCTCCTTATCCCAGTTGATCACTATCCGTGGCTCTTTCTAACTTTGACAAAATGTGTTTGGTTTATTTGAAGAGAAATGTTAAACCTTGGTACTAGAAGTAATCATTTCTACTGCTGTGTGTGAGTGTGTGCGTGTGTGTGTGTGTGTGTGTTAACTTCAGTAGGCAAGGATGCCTGCTACCCAAATCTTCATATTGTTCATGGTACCTGGCTTATTAGGAAGTCAAGTGCAGCATGCGACTGACAAGTAGTTCCGGATGAACTTGCAGTTAGTAGTTACATTCTGACTGTTTAAACTCTCCCAGCAACTCCATCACATTCTTCCCATCCTAAATTACAGTGTTAACACTGCAGTCCATTATTAACTAGTTAGCACATTTCAAGGACAGTAAGAATATTTCACTATTATCTTTTTAAGTTAATTTTTTCTAGTATTAATATTACTTCAGAATGAAATAATTGTAAATACATGTGTGCACATGCCTTTTATTAATGACAATGTTAAGTTTTCTAATATCTATCAAGAAGCTGTGAACTGTGAGAAGATGGCAAAAAAATTCTGTTTGATGAACTCTTTAGCTAGGTTGGATGGACATAAAATTATAAAGAACTATTAAGTCATCAGAAGAACAGTCCTAGCAACTAGAGAACCATGTTTCATAAGTCTGCTATCCCAACTTAACATGCTACTGCTAAGAAGTTCCAGCTTTCAAATGATTGCGTGATTTTTTCCTCTACTATAGGTGTTATTACTTTCTACATCTAGGTATTCTCGTTCCTTAGGGACAATGCACATTTCTCCCAGTCATGCCTGATTGTAATGTCTGGCTCTCTGCCCTGTCACTCTACCTAAATACCAAACACAATAATCCATGAGAAAAATTGAGGCGCTCTGCTCCACTGACACCATGAGGAAGACCTAGAGGAGGCTGTGGCCTTCTGATCACAGCTGAGGCCGGAATTCAATCCCTGGGTGTCTGATGCAAGCTTAAGTCTAGATAACTGAGTCGGGCAGGGCTCTATCTCCCTCTTTGCTCCAAGGTTGGTTCCACCACGGATAACTGGGAATGAGATCCTTCTCTAAACAGAGAAATTTCTGTGATTCATGGAATGACATCTGGAATATGCCCACAAAGCAGTTTTTTTTTTCTTTGAAACTGAGTCTCACTCTGTCAAGCAAGCTGGAGTACAGTGACGCTATCTCGGCTCACTGCAACCTCTGCCCCCCAGTTTCAAGCAATTCTCCTGTCTCAGCCTCCAAAGCACAAAACAGTTTTTCTAAGAATCATGGCTGGGTACGGTGGCTCATGCCTGTAATCCCAGCACTTTGGGAGGCCAAGGCGGGCAGATCATCTAAGGTCAGGAGTTCAAGACCAGCCTGAACAACATGGAGAAACCCCGTCTCTACTAAAAAAACACAAAATTAGAAAATTAGCCAGGCATAGTGGCGCATGTCTGTAATCCCAGCTACTCAAGAGGCTGAGGCAGGAGGAGAATCGCTTGAACCTGGGAGGCAGAGGTTGCAGTGAGCCGAGATCGCACCGTTGCACCCCAGCCTGGGCAACAACAGCAAAACTGTCTCAAAAAAACAAACAAACAAACAACAACAACAACAAAAAAAAAAAAACAGAGAGAAAAGAAAAGAAAAAAAGAAGCATTACTCTGTTCCATTGATAATCTGTCTCTGCTAAATTTTGCCTGCTTAACAGAGAGGTAAGCTACTGAAAAGAGAAAAATATACTGTACAGTACCACAATGTTGATTTCACCCCAGGGGCTTGCAAATCATTCTGCTCAGATGGGAAATTTAATAATTCGTCAATGAACACACTGCTCTTAACCAATGAAAACCATTCCATTTCAGATCCAGCTCAGATTAATTTATTTTTTATTTATTTATGTATTTATTTATTTCGCTTTCTGTAGACAATGAACCCTTTAAGGAACAGTTCTCAGGAACTATTATGGTAACTAGGCATAGCAGTAGAAATAAGGTATTTGATCCCATCTACGGAGTTTTCTATCAAAGTGAGAAAAATACATTTATATGAAACCATGTCAATCTGGGACAGACATTTACAGCACCATATAAAATTGTGGAGCTATTAAACAAACCTGCTTTAACCAACAATATCTACAGTACTCTAGTATGTCAAGAACTTGTGTGAGAGGTTACCACTGTTTCCCACGACATGCTCTTAAGAATGTCATGAGTTCTCATCCAAACTTTATTATAATGGTGTCAGTCACCTAGATCTATAACTCCCTCATAATTTTGCATGGTAAACATAAATAAAAAGACACATACACATAGTCAACTCTATATTACCTGTTAAAAATTTTCAAGTTCTTATTAATATAATTTTGTTGGGATGTTTAGAAATCTTCTACTGTTTTAATGTCTCCTACCATGACTTCTCTGTATAGCCTGAATTCTGAGTAAAGAAACAAGCAAACACCAATTTTCCTGACATGAATTTTCTTCATGGAAATATTGTTTTTCTTGCAAGATTAGGTTATTTAAGGTGACAGTTACATGCCTAGAAAAAACAAATCATTTCCAGGCTTGGAAACAGAGTAAAGAAATTAGAAAAAAAAAAAAATATTACTCCCCCTGAGCCATCTTTAAAGTTCCTCCTGAAAATGTTTAGGATGCCTAAGACTTTTAAGGTCAGAAATATCCCAAAGTCTTATATGAAATATAAGTAAATGTGCCACAGGCACTATTGTTTCATTCTGTTGTATGCATAGTTGAAGGGCATTGCCCAAATCATATGTAGAAACGCAAAGATTTGGCTTGTTTGCTGTGAACTAAGGGAAGTGAGGTGGGATTGGCCTTCTGTGCTCCCTCAACATCTCTCAAGAAACCTAAAATGGTCAGTTCATGTATAATAATTAACTAAGCAAATGAAATGGGCACAAATAGAAAACAATAATGAGGAAAGCCTTCATGAACTAGATAATACTTCGTCAGGGGCTCAAGAAAGGAAAGAGCTTTGGCCCAAAAGATAAGGAATTATTTTCTAGATGGAGAGAAAATGACATGCAAAAGCATTTTGCAGCAAGACAGTGGATGAAAGTGTATATGGAGATGTGTATAATATGTCAAAACATAACCTGACTGAAGCATCGGTGTATTCCAGTTGTCTGATGAAATAATAATCTCATCAGCCCCTATTTGCACAGTACTTTAACATTGGTAAAAATGTTCTGGAATATTATGGCACTAGCTTCCTGATGGAGAATAACTATGATAGAGGAAAAATCATCCTCATTTTACAAACAAGACAACTGAGGTTCAGAAATGTTAATGAATTATCCAAAGCTACCTACACACAAGAAAATGGTAGAGGGAGTATTCGCCGTTCTTCTGACTTTGTAGCTAATGTTCTTCTACTAAGCCACTGTGTGGTTTACATAAAGGTTAAGTACATGTTACATGTGGATAGTGGGGAGCAAGGATGGGAAAAACATAAGAAACAAATGAAAGAGCTCTTAAAATTCAATTTATTTTTAATAATGCTTCCCTTCCATGGTATATTAAAGTTCTCATAAAAATTCTTAAGAAATCAGAAACTCCTTAATCTGTAGTTCTGGAAAAAACCACAGGATGTCATCCTGTATAATACTTTTTAGGCAAATTATTGTGAGTTTTGAGATGGAGAATACAGATTTTTAAAGGACAGCATAAAGCTTCACTTCTTAAAGTAAAACGTATCATTTTAATAGCAGCAGAGCACTTTAATATATAGATGTTTATAGAAGGATGCTTGGGTTCTTTCAAATTTTTGCTGTGAAACTTTTGAATAGTAAATTATAAACACAAACATAACTAAAATGTAGTTTGATTTATCCATAGCAACGGCCTTTGCCATGTAGCTACCAGTACTACTCAATTCCTCACTGCATTAAGCTCTTCCACTGCTTTCTCAGCAAGGAATAATGGTTGCTTATCTTCCTAATAAAGGAGGGGGGTGCAGAAAGAGATATGAGATTATGAAAAAGATGCTCATGCTCAAAATCTTGGAGGAAAACACTAGGTTGTATTTTTCCAGAGGAAAAAGTAAATCACTCAAATGTTCTAACCCGTAGACATTTCCAAATCTCTATTCTTATGCACAGTTTTATTCTCCATAACCCAAGGCTTTTTCAGCACACATTCATCTAACTCTATGAATATGATTCCAACTGTCTACTGTGGCCCCTAATTGGGCTGAGGAATTGGCATCCCTTATGGGCAGATGCAGAACTCACACACGGAGTACCACTTTTTCTTGCCTTTAAAGATTACATTTCCACTAGCACCTGATAATTTGATCTTAGCCTATCTCTACTTGCAGCTTTAGGTAGACACAGCACTAGATTCATCTCCACCCTCAGGCAATGTACTTGAGAAACAATGAAATGTGGTTCAATGTTTTTGATAAAAGGGGCTAAACGAAAAGCACCTTAATGATTAAGAAAGATGTTGACTTTCTTGCGTTTAGCAGAAAACAGCACAAAGAGATAAGCTACCTACTACAAATTATTAGCTGTGTCTTAAGTGATAAACTATTTAATGTAGATGTTATTATTAAGGTGTTATTTAGCACAGCATGTCAAAAAGTATCTTAGGGACATTGCAAAACTGATTTCCCATCTTTCATGTCTATATATGTTAGTGCTGCATTTTATGTGAGGCACCAACAGTCTAAACAAAATGTTTCTAGATCACAATTTATGAATTACATGCTTGAAAAATAAGTTATAAGGTCTTATTTGCTCCAATATCCATTTGATCCTAATGTTCATTTCTTCTTCACCATTCCCTCATATAGCCATTCATCTATCTTCCAGGCCAGCAGAATTTTATAGTTTCCCCAAAAGGATAATATTTCTAAAATAAATAAGCTTCCTAGACTGGAGCTACACTACACCAACAAAACCTGTTGAAAAATGAAAATTCATTTCTACCTGACACTAAATAACTGTTTTGACTGATTATTTTCTCTGAACTGACAGGTTGTTCGGGCAATGTAGACACAAGCTTAGTCAATTTAGCACACGAATGATACATGAGGGGTTCCATATTCAAAGCAGAAAAACTGTACAGTTATTCACTGAATACTGAGGGCATTTGCTGGGCTCAATAATGCTTATTTTAAAAGAAGTATTCATGATGTAGATTATGAAGGTCGTTTCTTTTTAACTTGTTAATCTTATGAACAACATAAGATTGGAAAATATTGGCAATGGTTAATAGATTTCATTAATAACTGATGAGGTGACATCTATGTCAAAGACTTCAAAAACTATACTGAGTTACCACCTTCATAAGTCTATCATAATCACGTACACTCTATAAAAGTTATATGCAAAACTGTTCCTTGCATTATTATTTATAACTGAAAAAGTAGAAACAAGCAGAAAGATCTACAATGAGATACTGGCTAAGGGAAACCCTCATACACAGTTGGTAGAAATACAAATTAGTACAGCCACTATACAGAACAGTATGAAAGTTCCTCAAAAAACTAGCAATAGAACTACCATATGATCCAGCAATTCCACTACTGGGTATATACCCAAAAGAAGAAAGGAAATCAATAGATAAAAGAGATACCTGCACTCCTGTGTTTTTTGGAGCACTATTCACAATAGCCAAAATATGGAATCAATCTAAGTGGCCATCAATGGATGAATGGATGATGAGAATGTGTAAATATATAAAATGGAATATTACTTAGCAATTTAAAAAGAATAAAATGTCATCATCTGCAGCAATAGTAACCTCTGTTTCCTTGGATGAAACTGGATATCATTATGTTAAATGAAATAATCCAAGCACAGAAAGACAAATATCACATGTTCCCACTCATGTATGGAAGCTAAAAAAGTGGATCTCATGGAGGTTGAGAGTAGACTGGTGGTTCCCAGAGGATGGGAAGGGGTGGGAGGAGGAGACATGAAGGGCCAAAATGACATAAATGTATTCATTACCACTGAACTATACAGGTAAAGATGGTAAACTATATATGCATACTCTACCACAATAAAAACAAACACCTAAATTAAGGAACATTTTTATATCTCATTCTTCTCTGCCACATACTTCAATGATGAATTTGAAAAGCTGAACTCAATTTCAAAGTGGCACATTGTTCCTCATTCTTCTCTATGACATTATACAAGGAGCAATTCTCCAAGTTGAGTCAATTTCAAAATGGCATAGTACACTAAAAATTGAATCACATCCTGTAGACTAAGGGGATTTTTGTCCCTTGTGGAAATATTTCTAACCCAATTGATTTAGATGTCACTCTGTGTTCCAGTGAACTCAGGAAAGTTTTAATTACATAGAAAATATGTTATGATTTCTCACAGGAAATAATATATGGGAATCAGAGTGTGATTTTGAAAAGAAAAGTATGAAAGAAAATGAGTACCTTGTGAGATTAAGCACTACACCAGCTTGATTCTATCATACTAATTTATCAAACCCTGTGTTATTAAAGAGAACAGATTTCTTGAGGCTTTGTTCTCCTTACGATTATTATTAGAAAAGCCTATAATGGAGTCCATGATTCAATAGGAAGTCATATTCTTCTCAGTGTTATTTACCATGAGCGAGGAGAAGGCTGTCTTAATGGGTGCTAGTGAAACCTTAATGAGGAACCCCTTCTGTACCTGTATTTTCTCTGCATGAAAGCAGCATGGGTGTCAGCAACTGGGGCGTATTCTTTGTTATAAGCCTAGAAGTGCAATTTCCTATAAAACGTATATTTTAAAGCCCGCACATAAGGCTTTAAAAATGTCACTTAAAAGGTTACATGCAACAAAAAGTCAAATGGAGAGAGAACTGCAGTGGTGGGCTCTATTTTCCACCCTGTCATCCCATAGGCTATTATTAGAAATATCAGCAGTCTGCTTTCCAGAGAGAAAGTAAAATTTGACTGCATTCAATATAAATACTTCTGTAGATTTGCTCAATTTGCCTTAATTTGCTCTCACCTCTGAGTCCCTCTGAAACCAAACTCGCTGGACAATAGGAATGCCTTGTAAAGGTTTCTGCCTTGAAACTAAAAAAATAATAATAAATAAAAAATTTAATGACCAGTCAAAGTAATTCTACTTTCATTTACTGGTAAAGTTATGTGGAATTTATAAATCATACGAGAACACAATTATGCACTCATAAATCTGAAAATGGACAGGTGATCACACAGATCAGACATTCTCTGTCTTCAATGACACAGAGTTCTTTCTATCCTGTATGACTGCTCAGTTACCACACGTGCAATGTTTGTTTTTAATGAACCACCACGAAGACCAGATGCCCTTGTAATGGACAGTTGACATCTTCCCAAAGCAAGATGTTTCCCTTAAAAAGACAGTCAAGATGCATGATCTGGTCATTCGGTGTTATAAATTAAATGGCACTTCCGACTGCCTCACTTTGCATCCGTACAATGCATTTTAGCTGATTTAAGGCCAAATACAAAGGCCTTCTAGCATAATGGACACTATATATCCCAGTTCCCACTTTTGCTTTCACTAGGGTACCCCTTTATCTCATTATTTCCTTCAAGGAGAATGCCAAGTGATACGCTAATGGATCTCCTGCTGTTAGAGGCTCAGTTGGAAACTGAGGCCACTGGCAAAATTATTAGTTAGTAGGTTTCCACTCAAGATACTGTACCCATTACTTCTCCTTTCGTGTCACAGATAAGCGTGAGCAATACTTTACTGTTTTTACATTTCATGAAATATGTTTCACGTTAAAGAAACCATTGTCTTAAGCAATGCCGCCAATTCCCAAATCTTACTAAAAACAAAAAATCTAAAACAAACAAACAAAACCCTGGTTAACTTTCACATAGAATGCCAAATGGCATAACTTTTTACAAATTTTATTCATGTTTATACTTCAAAATAATTTATTTTAAAAACCTGGGCAATTTTTAATAATCATGGCATCTAGACATCAGAGTAGTTCTGTGACAAACATATTTAACCAGGAATTAAGAAGTGATGTTAATCTGCTCTTTCTTCGTGAATCTTTTTCTTACCTACCTGCTCCCCCATTAAATTTCATCTCTCTTAGGGAATGCCTTTTTGTATGTTATTATAACTAACAGTGTACTTACAGTCTGTTCTCCAGTACATAAAACTTTACTTAGAAGAAGTTGTATTTCCTACTTTCTTATCCACGTCTTGTACTCTTACAACCACACAGTGTTGTGCCTGGAGCTGAATTAAATTTCATAAGACTAATGTGCACTAAAGAAGAAAAATTTCTGGACATATAATTGAAGGCCAAGTTGACACTATGAAATATGCATATTTATACTAATAGTCAAAACACATCTTCATTTATTTGACAATTAAGTCCAAGATGCTATTTGTAGGAGTAATACTAATATAGCAGTAATCACTAATACATCATTCTGTTCTCACCCACTGTACACATACTTATTCAGGCAGACATGACCAAACAAAATCTTTGAGATCTACTTTTAAATACCTATAAAGAATGTATCATATTGTTCTCTATGGCATGGAATCATATATCTGAAAACTGAGACTGAGATTTTTGGCAATTTTCTAATTCCAACTAAACTATGCTTTTGATGCATTAGGCTTCAAGTCTGATAATTCCTCTTAAGACACAGTTCTGTGTTTTCTGATTGTCTACTGAACATCACTTGTTGGGCAGTGACTTGCTTTTTCGAAAACCGTCTAAAACTCAGTATCTCCCCTCACCCTTCCAGTTGCTCTCTCTTCTCACTTTTTATCTTGTCAGAAAGCAACAAATTTTGGAGTCCTTCTCGATAACTCCTTTTTCTTTACTGTATTTCAGTTGATCACCAACTCTTATAAATGCTACTTTAGATAGATATAGATAGAAATGTTTTACAGTTTTTACACTTCATGAAAGATATTCTCTTAAATATATTACTTGAGATATATATGAATGAACTATTATATGTATGTGTATGTATTCATTTCCATCTTATTTTCTTTCTGTTTTCAATGAAACTCACATTATCACTTTCTGGATTTGTGTTACAGCTTCTGAACTAGTATCTTCGCATTCAAGATCTTCTCACTGTAATCAGTCAAGATACCGTTTCTAAAATATCGATCATTCATCTGTCTATTTGTCTAATCTATCATCTATCTCTCTCTCTTCTATGGCTTGGATAGACTCTCTTCGCCTAGTTAGATCAACCCATTTATGCCAGGTGTTCCATTATTGGAACACTAAGCTTGTGAGAGTTATTGATAGCCTACTGCTCAAGGTCATCGCCAAGGTCTGATTTTTCATAAAAAATTTGCAACCTCTGACATAAATGGGTTAAGTACATTCTCTTACCGTGACACAAGAGTTACTTGAAACTTTGCTATCTGTCCACTCTTACCTCTGTCCAACTCTTTGAATCCACTGCACAATTCCAGGCAGCATTCTTGTTCACTCATTATTCTCTCAAAACACCATGGGGTCTGTGACTTTAGGGCCCTTTCTGAACTATTTTTTCTCCCTGAAATGCTTCAGCATCCCCACCTGACTGGGAAAACGCTCAAATATCACCCCCCGTCCAGCAAATTGCATTACACCAGAGGCATTTCTTATAGTACTCAAAAGTCATCTTTGTACAAATATATAATTTTTAACCATTAGAGCCCCTAAAAGCAGAAATACTGTTTTTACCATCTTTTTACCTGATGTCCCTGCCATATGGTAAGCTCTCAACAGTATCTTTTGAATGAATAATAGGGGAAAATATATTTTTCTTATAATCGTCTAATAGGAGGTTTAGATATTTTGCATATACAGGTATGATCTAAATCTGGCATAAAAAGGCAGCCGTTTGAAGACAAAAAGGAGTTCTGAAATACGGTTTGTAAAATATATATATATATATTTATACTAGGACATAATTCAACACTCTCATCTCTTAGATGATTGAAGATCAGTTGTTAAGCAGAAACGTTGAGGATTTATGCTTACTTGACTGGCAGCTGCGGACAGCTACCTAGGTAACTGAACTCAAATCTTCTAGCCTTTTTAATCTAGGGACCTAAATGTGTAAATATAGTAGTCTTTTGGAAATATTCTCTTATGTTGGAAAAATAGCATTTTTTCTTATTCTTTTGTTGTACTTTCATATATTATTTTATTTATTTAGAGACAGGGTTTCCCTCTTTTGCCCAGGCTGCAGTGCAGTGGCACCATCATGGCTCACTACCTCATGGGCTCAAGCAATCCTCCCACCTCAGCCTCCCAGTAGCTGGGACTACAGGCTCACGCCACCACACCTGGCTAATGTTTTTCATTTTTAATAGAGAAGAGGTCCCACTTTGTTGCCCAGACTTCAAATATTTTTAATGCATAAGTAATAATAAGACCTGCCAAGATTGTGCTTGCTATACTGGAGACCTGGGTTGAAGACCTGCTTGCTATACTGGAGACCTTATGCACATGCCTTCCGACTGTGTAGGGGTGGCTCCCATTATTTTACAAATGAGGACCAGACTCTGAGAATATAAAACTATAATAATGAGTCATATATTTTAAATGGGGAAAATTATCTTTTATGACAGCAGCTAAATGATCACCTTAGTTTTGATTTTTAGTTCGTTGAATTATGAGAAAATTACTTCCAAAATTTGGTAAACATAGCAGAAACAATGCCACTGAGTTTACTAAATATCCAGAATTCAGAGAGTAAGTCCCTCTTGAGAGCTTTTTATTACAGAGGGAAGCATGAACAACCAGGATGCACAGCAGGACTCGCTCCTGAAAATCACTTGGCTGGCCAATTGCATTGACTAGTCATGCACAGGCTTGCCGAGACCTCAAGCAGCAAGACAATTGGTTTTCTTTATGATAAGCCTCTACATATGCTTGCTGAAATCAAATCAAGAGAGAATTCATCTCACTTGATGCAGATTATATATATAGCCAGAAATATTAGAAGTATTTCATGAGTACCTTTTTATTTTTCAAAGCCAACCAGAAAAACATCAGTTAAGCCACATAATTCTCTCTCGTGCCACAGCCTCTCTCTGACTCTGTCTTCTTCAATCTCCCCTTCAAAGACTTAAAAAAGATAAAAACTCCTACAGGTTTCAGAAATTACAATGATGCATGTTTTCATCCTCCACATGTCATAGTCTACAAAGTATAAATTTATATGTTAATAAAAGTAAATTATACCTATTGTATTATCAAAGATGTTTGGTTGACAAAACATCTTTGCATATGCTATTTAATTTAAAATGAGTTTAATGTGCCACATCAGGGTATTATAAGTGTCTGTAATAGGATATCAGCATTTTAAACGCTCTGGTGGCAAATACTATATCTATCTCTGTATCCATCTCCATATCTGTCTATCTGTCTATCCTTCCATCCATCCATACACACATATATTTGACTGATTCATCTCTGCCTTTACGTCCTTGGGTAATTCAACTCCTGTGTGATGCTTCTGGATTCTGGTTTCTGAGGAAGGAAATATAAGAGTATGGGCATGAAGGTCCTGTCCTTGGCTGATATCTGCAGAGAAGCCTTTATAATTTTTTTCCTACTCTCTTCTGTCTTCCCTTCTCTCCCCTTCCTAAGGAACCCACCTCCCTAATAACACTCCCAACCTCTATATTTTCCCCATGTAGGCATTCTCCAGAACTACTGATCCTCTCTTACTTTCTCTTTCATTCTGTCCCACCTTTTAATGGCCTCCGTATCCTGTCTCCAATTATCTCTGTAGACTAATGTCACTTGCTCCTACTCCCTCAACAAACACAACAACAAAAAGTAAAAAATCCAAATTTTAGCTACATTTCATTCATTAGGCTTAAAGACTAAATTTGGTATCACTTATGTTTAACCAGATTATAATGCAAGCACACATAGTTATATATAAGAAAAATCTGAAAGTAAACATTGCATTTTGAAATGAATGAGGGAATAAATGGAATATGATTATTGTATCTTGAGTTCTCTAGAGGAAAAACAAGCCCAGAAAAAGACGGAAATGAAGGCAGAAATTTTTATAACAAGCCTCATGAAAAAAAAAAAAAAGGAATGGCAAGGTGTGTGGATTTCACTTGGTGCAGCTCCCTTAAAAATTAGCATGTGTCTTCAGGGAGGATTAGCATGCAAAGTAAGACATGATGCATTTTTAGAAAGAGAGAATAGTTGGTCTGGTGATCTTAAATTCATGCCCCTCTTTTTTGTGTTTTATTTTTGGAAACAGTCTTTGTTTATAAGAGAAAGAATGTCTGAAGAGCGTATTCAGATGAAATAAACATGCTTTTATATTTTCATATAAAGGAAGAAAATTTTAGGAGTTAGTGACTTTTAAAATAAGTGTTTAAAGCTCTTCATGTATATGAAATACATATATAAAACACAATATAAGATGTTCTGAAAATAACATAAAATATTTTTAAAAATTGTGTCAGAGTACTCAAGAACTCATAGATAATTGCTGACCCTGAGAAAATCACGCATCTCTTCACTCCACAGTCACCTCACCAAGACAAGGAATAACTAGAATTGATCATTTCTGAGGTCATTTCAAGCTCAGTTTTTCTATCATAATGCACCATTTTATAGATGATCTTTGTGAATGACCATTCTGTTTTTGATGCTAAAATATTAGCCTATCACTTATTTTATTCCTGTCCAAGTTATTTACCTCCTACTCTGGTCTTTGTGATATCGTACATCCTGGTCCTCATAAATACCACATTAAACCCGTATAAACTTATTTTCTCTTTTATTTCCTCTTTATTAATAACAGTGTAAAAACAAATCCAGTTTTTTAACTTTATTATACATTTGTCCAATATTTTATTTTTCATATATATGTGTGTGTATATATATATATATATATGAAACACATATATATGGAAAATATATATATTTATATATGGATATATATATATTCTATATATATGGATATACATACATATCCTGTTTTACCAAATTGGTCTCATATATTTGCTCACATATATGTGTGTGTATGTGTGTGTGTATATATATATATGAAACACATATATATGGAAAATATATATATTTATATATGGATATATATATTCTGTATATATGGATATACATACATACATCCTGTTTTACCAAATTGATCTATTTGCTTTAGATACTATTATGTGCAGAGTTATTTGAATTTTCATATTTTAAAATAATCAAGATACATGTATCACGAATACTTTAGTCCTTTATGAAATTGTGTAGAATTACCAGGCTGATACCAGGTAGAGAACATCAACTGATTAATCAACAAGCATTTATTCACCAGAAAAAATGTATTTAGTGACAGACCTCTGGAAAGGGAGGCAAAGATGGTGGGGAGGCAGTGACTAACTGCCTAGTTTACTCTCCTCCCCCTTCTACATATTTATATTCCATCTAGAAAAGGTTCAGGGGTGATGAGAAATTACTTAATGGGTACAATGTATGTTACACTGGTGATGGATACCCTAAAGCCCATATTTCACCACTACACAAGCTATGCATGTAACAAAATTGCACTTGTACTCCATCAATTTATTAAAAAATAAAAGGCAAATGTAAGCATGAATTTTTTAAAAAATTAATGTATATGAACATGTCAGAAAATAATTTTTTTCCAAAATGTAGTATTTGCAACAGAAGCTTAGGAGAAGGGGAAAAGATCTTGGAGTAACATAAAATACTTAGGAAGTGGGACTTCAGCTAATGTGCAAAGGATTCAGAAAACCAGACAAAAGGAGGAACACAAATGGGAAATGATATGAAAACAGATGGAAAGGTAGTGGGTTTTTTCCACATTTCAGGGAGAGAAGGCTTAAGAAGGAGCAGAGGCAGAACTGCTGTGGTGAAAAATGTTGGGAGAATCAAGAAAAGTCAGCAATTCTCTCATCAAGAAGGAAGACAGACAGACCTAAAGGGAAAAATGCAGTGTTGATGTCACATGCTATAGCACTCTACAGAGAGCAAATGGTCTACAATGGGAACTGGATATAATGAGGGAATTACAGTCAACTTTAAGTAGAACTGTTTTAGGAAAGTGCTAGGAATAAGTCCCACAAGTAGGAGTATAAGATTATAGTTACACAAACAAGCTGAAGGGTGACAGGTATATTTGTAAATTACCTTTTCTACTTCCTATTAATCTACATCACAAGCATTAGTACACACAAGCAATAATTAATATGTTTTGGCCAAATACGAATATGTGAGTATCTTCACAATTGGTGTTCCCTCTATAAACTGGTGGGCTTTTGACTTTCACACACCTGCAAACTCAAATTCCTTTAGGTATTGATATTTACTATATTAGTTCATCCTCATACTGCTATGAAGACATACCTGAGACTGGGTAATTTATAAAGGAAAGGGGTTTAATTTACTCACAGTTCCTCATGGCTCGGGAGGCCTCAGGAAACTTACAGTCATGGCAGAAGGGGCAGCAAACATGTCCTTCTTCACATGATGGCAGGAGAGAGAAGTGCCAAGCAAAGGGGGAAACACTCCTTAAAAAAAATCAGATCTCTTGAAAACTCACTATCATGAGAACAGCAACATAGGGGTAACCACCTCCCACTGGGCCCCTCTCATGACATGCAGGGATTATGGGAACTACAATTCAGGATGAGATTTTGGTGGGGACACAGCAAAACCGTATCATTTACCCTTTAAGGCTAGCATAAGTTTCTAATGTGTTCTCTGTATGCAAGCCACTATTTACTAGCTGATTATCCTTGGACAATTCTCTTAGCCTTTCTAAACTTCAATTCCTCCATCCATAAAATGGGAATGATAATAATTGTAATGAACCTGTAGCTTTGTTTGAAAAATCAAACATAGCCATGCATGGACGACACTTAGCCCCATAAGCCGCACATGACTGTTACTTAACGTTAGTTGCAGTTATTAGCAATAGTTCCTATCAAAGCACAACCTACTAGTTGCACAGTTAATTGATTGGCTTGAATAGGGAATAGAAGCCTATCCCAAATTTGCAAGTATAATTTGGTCTTCTATAGCTTATTCAGTTATTAAATCCTAAACCTCAATAAAATTGGGGGATGTTTAGTAAGAAAAATCACATAAGTGAGCTGTAAAGAAAAGCATTTTACAGAAGTGAGAAAAGTATTTTATGGAAGGGAAAATAAATAGGGGAAGCTACCTATTAGGTTGGTGCAAAAGTAATTGCGGCTTTTGCCACTAGAAGTAATGGCAAAAACCATGATTACTTTTGCACCAGCCTGCCCTCATCAGTGCACTTGGAATCTGCACCAAAAGAAGCATGAAGCAGGTGAATCACATCCCTCCTGCACAGCGAAGAAGCAGAAGCTGTCACTACATCACACGGCCGAATTATTGAATCCATTACCCAGAATAACTTGATCAAAACCAAAGCCGCCAAACAAGATATAAACTGAAATAAAATATAGCTGAGTTTGCTCGAGCATCCATTCATTGAAAGCTTTAAAACAAACACAAATCGTTTGGAATTGTCTGGTACCAATACTATAGAACTCACAATATGGAACATTTCTTCATTGTATGGTTTTAAAAGATTGATTTGTGGGTGCCCCATCTAGACACTGATCAAGAAGACTAACATTTAACCATTTATTTTCAAGGAAAAAATGCTAAAAGATAAACCCTTTTCACTATTTCTAATTCTAGCTTCTTCTATATCATAGTCCATTTGTTCAGCTTTCTGATTGCTTTTTGAAGCAACAGATGCTTCTTACTTTTTAACTCTTCTTGTACAATTTTGTATGGTAAAGGGAAATAGACTTTAAAGTACAAAATTATAGTATTATTTAAATCAGTCTTAATTTTATAATATACTTGGTAGCCTCTATACTTTTTTCCAGTACAGCAAAGTTATTTTCTATTTTTCTTAATACTGCCCAGTATTTAAATTTCACCTTTTCTCGCACTTAAAAGTACATAATATATGAGGTAAACCTGATCCATTGATTTAATTTTGTTGTCTTCTTATGAGACTATGCTAATCTATATTATATATATTATATTATATTATATTATAGTCATGATCCACATGAAGACATTTTAGTCAATAATGAGCCACATTAAGAACAGTGGTCCCATAAGATTATAATGTAGCAGAAAAATTCCTATCATGTAAATATTATCACTGTGTTGCAACTGCCTACGGTATCAGTACAGTAAGATGCTATACAGATTTGCAGCCTAGGAGCATTAGGCTATACCATATAGCCTAGGTGTATCATAGATTATAACACCTCATTTTGCTTAAACACACTCTATGATGCTGGCATGACAAAATCAGCTAAGGATGTATTTCTCAGAACATATCTTTGTTGTTAAGCAATGCATAACTGTATATTGTATTTGTTGTGTGTGTGTGTATATATATATATAATTTATTAAGGAAAACTTTATTTGTTAAGTTGTTGGGGAATTTTATTCATGATGTAATTATTCTATTTGGGGAATTTTTATTATATTTCTCCTATACTTACAACTCAAACCATAACCAAACCACAACATAAATCTACTACTATTTCAAGGTACTTCCTTCCAAAAAGAAAAGCCTTCTCTGTGTTATATTCTAACCCCCCTAAAATGCTGCTACCTGAAGATCCCTGTGTAAACAGGCTTTAAAATCTTATTTTCTTCCTTTAGTGAACAATTAAGCTCTCAGTCAACGAACACTGCTGTGGCAGATTCATTATCCTTTTTGCCAAAAAGTACTGTACCTGACTGCCACGTGCTAGTGTGTCCAGTGCAGCCTGTGCATTCGACTGAAGCCCCTCTTTCTGCAGATCATTTTATCTTCCAACCCATGTTGGAACCAAAAGTATGCAAATGGGAGGGCTGAACCAGCCACAAATAATCCAATAAAGAGTCGCATGTGGGATGCTAAAATGCAAGTTTTTGAGAAGAAACTGAGTAATGATCTAGAAGTCTTATAAACCTACACATGTTACATGGGATCCAAAGGACCATCCCATTCTCTGTCTACCTCATCCATTTTCCTTACTTGTCTAATGTTCACTGGCATTTTAGCTTGTGATTCTTGACTTAGAGAGTCAAATTAGCCTTAGAAACGTCACCATGGTGAGTGCAAAGATGAAAACTCAACAGATTTGGTTTTAACAACTCTGTACCATACAGTGCCTTAATGACCGTAAGTCATCTTCCTGAGTTCAACTTTCCTCATAAGTGACATCTAAAAACGACATCATCTGTTCCTGCTAGAGTGTTTATGGAAATCAAACATAGCAATGAACCTATATATGAAAGCACTTGGAGTATATATCCCTATCTATATAAAGATTTATATATATATATATATATAATTTAAGATGAACATTGGGAGATATTATTTAAGATGAACATTGGCAGACTGCTTCTACCTTCCATGAAAGTGGTATCATTTATTTCCAGGAGTAGATTATTTTTTTGTTTAGCAAAACATATTACTAGACCTGTTTGTTTATGGGAGTGGAGAACTCCCACTGAGTAACCTAGGTAAGGAAAGTATGATTCATTCATTCATTCATTCATTCAACAAGTATTTATTGCATGCTGACTATATGCTGGACACCACTCAAGGTGCTGGAGGATAGCAGCGAATGAGGCAGAGGATGTCCCTGCTTGAAGGAGTCTCATAACTTGGGATAGGACAGAGGGAGAAGAGGATAAGGGACAATCACAAAGTGAGCTTATTGCTGAATAAGACAGTTTCAGAGAGTGATGCAAGCTTTGAAGGAAAAACTAATAACAGTACAAACAGCAATGAGGCAAGAGAGTAGCTGAGAAAGTTTCTACAGTAGAGTCAGGAAGACCTCTCTGAAGAGCTGGTACCTGAATCATTCAGAAGACAGCTATCTGAAGATTTTGGAGAAAAGCTCTCTGGGCAGAGGAACTGGGCTAGGCAAGGGCTGTGGGATGGGATCGAGATCCATTCGACTGAAGCACTCCAGAAGGCTAGTGAGGCTGGAGAACAGTGGGCTACAGGAAGGTGATGAGTGGTGACTTCACAGATGTAAGTGGGGCCAGATCTCGCAAAGATGGAAGAATCAGAGACACTGATGGCTGACGTCTGGCTTCCCTATATGCACATAACATGTAAATGCTTTTCATCAACAGGAGCTCAATAAAGAATTGCTGATTGATTATTATTACAACAGCTGATGGATTACAGTACATCCTCAATAAAAGCAAATTGTTCTCCTGAGAGAAATAATGAAAAAAAGCTGCTCCTATGAAGAGATAATTTACTTAATATAAGGTATTTATTTTGTTGGAAGTCAAATGGAATCCTTCTAATCCATCCTCCATGGCAGCTCAACTGACTTGCAAGGCAAAGTCTAATGCCATTCCCCTCTGCTCTTTCATAGTATATGGCCTGCAAGCTGCAGCCTGAAATACAAGACCCTGCAGTGATCTGATCCCTGCCAACTTTTTCAAACGCATCTCTCAACAAACTCACCTTCCTTTCTCCCCGATGACCCAGCCAAAAAAAACACGATAGTTCTGTAGACACTCCATGCCATGCACGCATTTGCTCATAGTATTTACTCATCCTGGAGTGTCCTTGCACTTTACCTCCAACTTACACTTTAAAAAAGTCAGCTAAATTTGTGCTTTGAATTTTTATCTAAAACACTTCCCTAACTACCCTGTCTGTACTAGCTGTTCCACTCCACGCCCTGTGCCCTGATTGCAGCCTGTGCATAGCCCCATACCACTGTGTGTTTAGGAATGTATGCTCTCCTTCTCAGACCCCAGGCTTCTTCAGGACACAGGTTTGGGGTGTATAAATCCTGGAATCACTAGCACTAAACAAACACTGACAAAGAGCAAGTCTCAACTCAGGCATGATGCCATGCCTGAAACCTCAAGTAAAGAGGGTCATGTCCAGCTCAGGTCCTTGCTGTGCTCATTGCATTCTTTTATTCTTATTTCTGTAACAATCTACAAAGTGTTATTATGAGTGATATTGTGCTCTACTCATGCTGGTATTCCTAATACCTGAGAAAGGTAGTTGGCACCTATTATTTCTTGAATATACAAATATTTGAGAATTATTTAACACATCTTATATTACAGCTGTTTTGAATTCGTCTTTATAATCAAACATCATCCAGGCAAATGCTTGATAAGATAAGGGCAAATCTTATATTCAAAAGGATTGGAATCATTGACTGTTTTAAAATATTTATTATTTAACTTGCCTTCTTGTTTTTACAGCATTGCTTTGGTGAGTGAAAAGGAAATCATTTAAAATTATAATTAAAAGAAACTTCTGCCAAAAAAAAGAAGAAAACAACTTTACACAGTGTTAAAGGTTATAAACAAATTCTATGTCTCAACCACTAAGTACTACGGCATTAGTCAGAGGAACAAAATAAAAATTATAACCTGCCCTATATAACACAGTGTACAGCTAAACTGATGAGAACATGCCTGTTTATGCTGTAGAGCAAATTTGTTAGCACTATAAAGTCAAGGCAGGGAATTTTAGAATTTAAAATAAAACGTTCCTAAATTTATAAGCTTATTTGGTTTTATTTTATTTTAACATAACATTTTTAAGATACAGTAAAATGGCATCCAAACTATTTTAGCCAACTTTCTCAGCAGCATTCTCATAACCTTTAATTTCACATCAGTTTTACTATATAAGATTTGGGATTAATAAATATGAAACAATCTATAGACCAAGTGTTCTTCAGAGATGACTTTCATCCATCACTCCATGGAAATATATCAGCCAGGGGACAATATTTGCATAAATAATTTTATAAGATTACTTTTATCTCAAGATTTCATTTGCATGAGTATTTTTTCTAAGAATAATAATAATCCAAGAAATATATTTGGTATTTGTGTTATATCACTCTGTGTGAGACCTAGGAACAATAATAATAAAAGACCCCAAAGAGAGAAGATAGCAACATTCATTGTGTTTCTCTTAGATCTTGAGACCAGTATGAGGCCCTATGGCAAGATATAAAAGATTACAAGGCATACAACTTATCTTTAAAAAGTCGGCATCCAGCAGTCTCACTGCTTGGTATACACACAAAATAAAGGAAATCAGTATGTCAGAGATGTCTGCACTCCCAATAGCCAAAATATGAAATCAACCTATGTCCATCAATGGATAAATGGATAACTAAAATATGGTATTGACACACAATGAAATATCTACTTGGTTATAAATAAATGAAATCATCTTATTTACAGCAACATGGATGCAACTGGAGGTGATTATGTTAAGTGAACTATTTTAAGAACACAAAGATAAAAATCTCATGTTCCCACTCATATGTGGAAGCTAAAAAAGTAGATCTCATGGAGGAAGAGGATAGAGTGGTGGCTCCCAGAGGCTAGGAAGGGTCAGATGGAGGAGGATGAAGACAAATCGTTAATGGGTATGAAAATACCATTCGATACAAGGAGTAAGTTCTAGTATTCAACAGCACAGTAGAGAGACAACAGTTTGCAATAATTTGTTGCTTATTTCAAAATAGCTAAAGGTTAAGAATTTGAATGTTCCCAACCCAAAAAAAGATAATTGAGGTGATGGATAAGTCCACTATCATTATTTAATAATTACACATTGTATGCATTTATCAAAATATCACTTGTGCCACTATTATACATTCATTTAAAAAAATAAACATGAGTCATAATTTTAGTTGGAAAAAACAAATAGAGATTTGGAGATAAAAATAATAGTAACATCAATAATAGCAACAATGGGCAAAAATGATGGCTTAGTTACCACCATAGGCAAGATATTACTATTGTAAGGCCTTGAATTGAATAGTCGGAGTCTCTAAGTCTCAATTTGACAGGTTCCTGGATGGCAGATCTTGTATCAGGCCTCACAACCTGAACCGTGGCTGGGGGCCAACTCAGCAGGAGCAAGCGAGATCAAGAATCTAGGGGGATTTATGAACCAGGTTTCAACACCACATGGTACTTCTCAAGCGTTTCTGTATATTACAACCCCCTGGAAAACTTCAGCAAACCCCAAACCCAAATCTCATACCACACCCATTAAATCCAGATATCTCAGGGATGAGATTTGGCATCGGTAGCTTCTATATATAGCTTTCCAGGTGACTGCAATGTGCAGTGAAGAATGACAAACCCAGTGCTGAGACCAGGTAAGGTCCTCAGACCAGCAGCATCAACTGGCCTGGGAGCACGTTGGAAAGGCAGCATCTCCCCGACCCACTGGATTAGAATCTGTATCTTAATACAATCCCCAGGCAATTTTTATGCACAGTAAAAGCTGAGACGCTCTGCTTCCAACAACTATGAAAGGTAGGAGGAAGTAGTTGCCATAATTCATGGAATTACATTTTCACTAAAAGTGAAGGCAGAGTTTCACTTATTTATTTCTCTATTATTCAGTTAACTGAGCTAAAATATTGGCTATGCCCACACAATAAGAATATATCTGAATTGAAGTCAGCATTTATCCATGCATCCAACAAACGTTTAAGTCAATGCCATGCATCTGGCACTATATAAGGCATTATAGAATTTTGGTTTCCAATGAATAAAAAAATAGACATCATATGCCCAGCATATAAGATGTTAATCATTGCATACATTGCATGTTGCTGAGCTGAAATGGTCTATTTTGTTTATTCACAACAATCAATTCTTGATATTTAGCTATGTCAACATATAGCTCCTGAAAATATCACTAGGATTCATCTTAGTCAAATTTCTATTTATCTATTTCAGAAATGTGTAGTTTTTGTGGAAGGACAGACACCAGCACATCACAGAGGGATACATACATAGGTAAAAAGATCACAAAGACCCACGTTAGATGATAATGGGGAAAGGAAAGAGAGTTGAGCATACAGTCAGTGCCTAACACTTAACATAGCTATAGCACATTGTTTATCGTGAACAAATGCCTTAATCATTCTCCTTATGTTGTATGTGCTCATGCCAGAACCCCTTTTAACTTCACTTAAAGAGCTGGCTATTGTGTTCTGCTCTTAAATTGGCTGTTTCAGGAAAAGGAGCTGATGCAGAAGCATCGCATTGGAGTTTCTGCCTTGCCCTAATTTCCACATGGATGAGGGTCACAGCACATGCAGGCAGATGGCACATATCATGGAATAAGACAGCATCCCACACAGCTGACTGTTGGCTGAAGAGCAGGCGTATGTCATCAGGTTTCGCAGTTCATTCTCCGTTAGGGGCACCCAGCCAAAGCACACTGGGAAATGCATTCACCCATCCAGACAGAGTCCGCCATGGGTTATGGTCTTCACTTAATTCCCAAGAAGATGTTTATGGCCTGGTGATGATTGTACTCAAGAACACAGTGATGTTATACTTAAGTTACAAACACAAATGCTTTTGCTAAAATGATTATTTCCATTGATGAGGTGGCTAACTGAATGAAATTAGAGATAAGAAATAATAGACTTAAGGTATTAGTATAACCAAAGAAGAATGTGTCAGCGAGGAGGGCTAGCAACCATAGTTTAATAAACTCTTCCCATTCAAAACTGGAATATGACACAGTTATTTATAATTATGGTTTCAAAGATGTGTAAGTTACAGGAAGGGCTTCCAAATAGAGATAAGAAAAACTCAGGACATAGAAATGTAAATACAGTATAATTTCCATATACAGTGTATTTGGTGGGGGGGGGGTGAAACGAAATGACAATTTAAAATATGAAATCGTTTTATTTGGATCAAAGGGAACAAATAAAGGGGGAGGATTATTAGAAAAATAAGCAATTTTATTTTCTTAATGGTTTTTTAGTTTTCGAGTCTTTACATGTTACTTTTTATGATGAGAAAAAATACATTTTCAATTTTGAAAGTGGAGAAGGTTTGCTGAACCACAGAGGAAGTAGTACCATGCCTAATGCCAAAAATCATTTGACTCAAACTAAATCCCTTTGTGCATCCCCTTCTGATAATTCACTTCCTGTGCAGCCTCAAGGGAGATCCAGGTGGGTCAGAGCTTGGTCTGCCCATCAGCTAGATTTTCCATTGAGAGAGAGAAGTTGAGAGTCAGGAGACTGAAACTCCTCCTGCCACTGAGTTTCAGATGATTTTTTTTTTTTTTTTTGCCAAAATTTTTTATTTGAGCACATGCAAATTTCTGAAGAATTACAAATGTGTAATTTATTTACATGACTTATTTTTGACAGATATTTATTTTTAAGTAGAAAAATCACAAGTCTATATATGGATGAGGATAATTTATAAACCTAATACCATAAAATTTACGTCTTCAGAAATACTCATCTCAAGAATATCTCTTTAAAAATACATGTAACATTTTAATACAGAATAAAATACAGAACGCCAAGGTGAATTTTTAATGATAGGTTTACACAGTTGTGTGATAGCTTCTGTTGACATAAGGTTTACACAGTTGTGTGATAGCTTCTGTTGACACAGGAAACACTACTACATACTCAGAAACATACGTCTATTACTTCCCATTTTCACAATAGCAACCAGGTTTAATATTATTTCCCCTGTTTACAGACACGGAAACTCAGGTTAAAAAAAAAAAAAATCTATCCAGTGCTAAGTAGCCAATAAATGGCAAAGACTGAACTTGAACCCATATCTAATTAACTTTAAATCATGTGCATTTTCTACTCAACCACTCTCCACTTGGCTACTTAATGCATTCTTCTAGTTAATTTTAGCATCACAGGACAGAAAAAAATACCTTTAAAAAAGACATTTAGAGTGTGTGTGTGTATACATACATACATACATACATATATATATATATATATATGCTTTCACTTAAGTTGCAAATCATAGCATGCTCCAGTAGTATAAGGAAACTGTTCATAGGTCTAAAACATGGTCTTAAACATATTTTTAAGTGTTAATGTTTAAAGTAACTCTTTAACCGTACAGAAAGAAAAGTGAACACACCTCTGGAACCACCACCCAGATCAGTGATGATCCTTGCCTCATACTGCTGTACAGCAAAAATAATCACTGCCGTAGATGTGTTTTGGCTGTCTTTTGATCTTTATACACACAGAATCATATATTTTATTTTCTACTGTGTCTATCTTCTTGCTATTTTGTGTATTAAGAGGTCATCCAATTGCTTTGCTTTATCTTATTGTATAAATGTACTACAATTTATTTGGTATTGCCACCACTGATGAGCATTTAGAGTTTCCAGTTTTAGACTATTATAAATAATGCTGCTATAAATACATGTGAGCATTTTCATTAATGTACCTAGGAGTCAAGTTGCTGAGTCTTAAGGATGTATATATTTGGCTTTAATAGGCACTGCCAAACTGTTCTTCAAAGTGATTGCTGACAACACCACAAGCAGTTACAGTTGCTCCACATCCTCACCAACACTTAGTATTGTCCTTTTCATTTTAACCAATCTGAAGGATATAGAAGTATCAAAGTGTTTTTCAGTGTGCATGTTTTTGATGACCCTGGTAGCCAGAATAATGTCCCCACCTTCAAAGATGTTCACCTTTTCATCCCCAGAATCTGTGAAGATTTTATCCAATTTGGTACTAATTGCCAAATGGAATGCTGTTACTATTTATATGTTTTACTGATTTTAATCAGTTTAACTCACCCAATTGTTTTGGGTTTAGGTATGCTATATTAGTATTTACAACCTGTTTATCCTATCCACTTAATACAATTTTTATCTCTTTTCTTGTCCTGTTTTGACAACAGAGAGCCTGGGTAGTTTTCTACAAATTCTCCTCTGCAAGTTATGAACTCAAATTTCTCTGTCTCTACCACCATGCAAATACTGGGAGACAAAAAAAAAAAAAAAAAAAAAAAAATCCCTGTTTTACTCTCCAGCTGTTCTGTGCCTGGTTTCTTAGACTTCTGCCCTGAGCAGCTTAATCAGCAAATAACTGAAGGCAAAACCGGCACCATGTATTGACTTTATTTCCTTGTGCTTTTCTCCTCTCTGGGATTTTAATTTCTCATTCCCGAGTATCATAGCAAAATTCAATTCCAGGTTTTTGCTCCCAAACTCCAAGAGGTTGCAGTAAGTTCAGATGCTCGTTCTGACTCTTGGTAGCCACTCTCAACCTGAGTTCTGGGAGTTCTTGGTTTCTTACCCTGCATCAGCAATCAGCAAATCACACTATGGGGAAAACAGGATGCAGCAAACTTGCCTCACAAAAACGGGCTTCCCTGCTCTTGGTAACAGCCCTTCTAGCACTGACCAGTCAGCACTGAGAGTTTTACACATCTTTTAAAATTGCATCTAACGTTTCTAGATGTTCTCAGTGGGAACGCTGGTCAACAAGCTATTCCTTTATAACTAAAATAGTAATTTTACCTTTCAGATGAAGAACATTAACACTTCCTATCCTGTACTCTTTCACATACACTCCCTGGAAAACTGCCAACTTCTTAAAAAAAAAAAAAAGCAACAAAATGGTGTAGACAGGTAAAAACCTTTCACATTCACATCCTAACATAATAACAGTAGTATCTTCCAAATGATGCAGTGAAATAAAATGTCATCTGATGGGATTTTCGTCTTTTCTAAAATTGAGAAGCCACTGCCTTAAAATAAACTGCCTGAAGAGATGCTGATCCCTTCTTTTCTATTGTTTTTCCTTCTTATCCTATATTCTCACAGGTAAAACGACCAGTGACTCAACGCATTGTTGATTAGAGGACCTAGATTATTTCCTTATTCTTAATTACTGAGTAAAATATTTTCACATGAATTTTTTCTCTATTAATGTAATCTGTATAATAATGTGTTTGATTTCTAATATAAAATAAGTAACACTCTACATCAATCAATTTGATGAGACTCCTGAATTTAGCTGTATTTAATCATGGCATAGGTATAATATAAATCTTTTTACATTGACAGCTATCTTTAAGAGCTTGTCAGTAAAATTTATGAGGTTAATTTATGAATATATGAATTCATTAGTTTAAATCAGAGTGTTCTCATTAGGAAAGAAATTCATATGGTGATTCTTTTTTATTTTCTAAAGGACAATGATTTGTATTTACATAATATTTTAGTAAAGATTTGACATCACATCAAAAATTAAAATGCACTCACCTGTTGACCAAGCAAGTCTACTAATATGAATTTACAGATATTACCACTCATTGGGTAAAGACTTACATACTAGAATGCTTATTGTAGCTTTATTTATAAATCAAAAGTTTGGAAATATCCTAAAGAGACTGGTTAAATACATGATATTATATGTAATCAGTGAATCACTGTGCAGATTGAGGTAATTTATATATAATAATATGAGCAATCACCAAAATGTTGGTAAAGAAAACAAAACGAAAATGGAATTAAATGCAAAGGAAGCATAAGATGAGGATGTTCCCTGGAAAAATACAAGAACATGAATAAATCCTGTCTCTTCCCTCACTCTATGCCCTCAGTAAAGAGTTAGTTTTCAAAATTTTGTCCTTTTTTACCATACAGACAAGATGCATTTTCACTAAAAATATTCTACTAAATCAAAAAAGAACCTCATCATGTTGACACTTGCAGCTCCAGTTCATTCCTTTTAAATTCTTGCATGGTGTACTATGTTTTATCGAAAAAAAAAAAAAACTTAAACCTTCCCCTACTGATGGACATATAGATTGTTTCTACAAAGGCAGAATTGCAAACATAACAATCCCATGAAACCTTAATAACATAAGATGCTGCTTAAAATTAATAAACTTTTGTATTAAAAAAGGTATGTACTTTAGAATTAGTAATGTCCTCCGGTGACAACTTGTATGGCCTGAACAAGTTACTAATATCTGAGTTCAATTTGTCATAAATAAATAGAGGAGAAAAATGTAAAAAGGAATTACTTTAAATATAATTAAGGAATATTTATATTATGGGTGTATAGTAAACATTACATAATGCAAACAACTGAGTTAAATATTACATTTTCCAAATTTTAAGCCATTGAGCTTCTTCACATATTTGAAATGGGGGAATATATGTTATTTCAAAACTGATCTACCTAGGCATTTATTTTTTAAAACTGAGCTTAACAAATTTTAAAAAGCTACCCTAATTTTTACCTGAAGATTATAGAAAAGAGTAATTTGTTTCAAAATTATGTGTATTACAAAAAGCTACAAATGATAAAAACAAGTAGTATTGTTTTTTAATCAATGAGTTACATTTTACAGATTTCAGTATACAGAAAAATTGGGCAGAGTATACAGACAGTCCCATATGTCACCCCCCATACACATCTCCCTTGTTGTCATCTCACTACATTTGTTACAACCGATGAATCAATATTGACAGATTATGATTAACTGAATTCCCTCATTCACATTAGGGTTCACTCTTTGCATTGTGCAGTTCTATGGGTTTTGACAAATGCCCATCGTCATGGGTCCACCATTACAGTATCATACAGAATAATTTCACTGTCATAAACATCCTTTGTGCTCCACCTGTCAATCCCTCTTCTCCCTCCAAATCCACGATAACCACTGATTTGTTTACTCTCTATACTGCTGCCTTTTCCAGAAAGTCAGGTAGTTGTAATCATGCAGTACATAGCCATTTCAGATTGGCTTCTTTCACTTAGCCATATGCATTTAATGTTTATCTGTGTCTTTTCGCAGCTTGATAACTCATTTCTTTTGAGCCCTAAATAATATTCCATTGTATAGATATACAAAAGTTTGTTTATTCATTCACCTATTGTAGGACATCTTGGTTGCTTCCAAGTTTTAGCAAATATAAATAAGCCTGCTATAACACCCACATGCAGGTTTTTGTGTGAGTATAAATTTTTAATTTATTTGAGAACATACCAAGAAGACTGATTGCTAGTTAATATGGTAAAAATGTTTAGTTGTGTATGAAACTCTCAAATCATATTTCAAAATAGCTGAACCATTTTGCATTCTCCCTAGCAGTGAATAAGAGTCCCTGTTTATTCACATCCTTGCCAGCATTTGCTGTTGTCATTGTTTCCAATCTTAGGCATACTAATAGGTGTGTGGTGGTATCTCATTATCGTTTTAATTTATGTTTCCCTACAACATGCAATGTTGAGTATCTTTTCATCTGCTTATTTGTCATCTTAATATTTTCTTTGGTGAGGAGTCTTTTCAGACCTTTTGCCCATTTTTAAATTTGTACTGTTTGTCTTTGTTGTTGAGTTTTAAGAGCTCTTTTTACATTTTGGATAAAAGTCCCTTATCAGACATATGTTTTGTAAATATTTCCCCCAACCTATGTTTTATTTCTTCATTCTCTTAACAGCACAGTTTTTAAATGTTAAATAAATAGTATACCACCAGTTATACTATTAACTAACTTTGTTACTTTCCTTTTCATCCCACCATGTGGGAACTGTCAATCTTCACTGTTTATGCAGATATGCAGATTCTCATACACAGATTTTTACATCTTGAGTCATACCTCTGTAGATTAAAACATCAAGAAGCATATGAATATGGAATTCAGCAAGAGCTGTATTCTGTTTGGTTTTCAATGCTATGTGATAAAATTTATATAATCTTTTTTTAAGATGTACTGGCTATGCAGTTGTGTTTTCTCCAGTTATATTTTATTTTGTTTAAAATGATTGAATCAGATATTTTCTTTGCCACACATGTACAATTAAGTCCTGGGTTGTAGAGTTAATTATTTCATATAAATTACCTTTCATGAGAGGCATATTTAGTGAATGCTACATATACTTACCTTTATTCAATCCTCTTTATGTGCAAATAAAGGTTTTCAAGTAAGTGGTAAGTTGAACAGTCACAGAAAATAAAAACAGTGTATCCTGGAAAATTATTTTTTAAATGTCATGGCCACCTTGAATGATAATTAAAAGGAAAGCTACAATATAACTGAGATAGTACAGGGTATTCAACTTTGTATATAAGAGACTTTCTGTCTTTTAGGAAACTATATTTTGTGGTGTGCTGTGTCCTGCAGTCTATACCAAAAAAGGTGACCCTAACTAAGCATCGTGATTCAAATACAGGTTAGGCCCTGGCCCCTACCCGTCAGCTTGCCATCCAAAATGATAATGCTACATGGACTGTTATCAATACTTGTAAGTTACTTTGGCCAATAAATTATAGAACTTAAAGAACTACAGATTTTAAAAAATACTTGAAAAGGCACTCTGGATTTTAAGCAGATTAAATTTGCCCTGCTGATTCTCCCATTTTCAAAATGAGTATTTTAAAAGTTGCCTGTTAAGTCAAAGATCGGAGTTTTTGTCCCTGGTGGCATATCCTACACTGTCATTAATGATATAGTTTCGATTTATCTGATAAGGTAAAGTCATTACAGATGCCCCCCAAGTCGATAGTGCCTGTCTAGGAAGGTCACCTGACAGAACCAGGGTACCCCTGGCCACCCGGACCTGGCCTGAAGGGGGCGAGCGATGAGGCTGCGCCACCTAGTGGCTGCGACTTCGAGTCTCCTCTAGCAAAATCAGATGTTCTTGGCCAACGTTGCCATTTGAACGGTAATCTCTGCAACCATTAAAAAAAAAAAAAAGGAACAAATTAACAGCATTTGCAGTGACCTGGATGAGACTGGAGACTATTATTCTAAGTGAAGTAACTCGGGAAGGGAAAACCAAACATCGTATGTTCTCACTGATAGGTGGGAGCTAAGTTAGGAGGACACAAAGGCATAAGAATGATACAATGGGCTTTGGTGACTTGGGGAGAAGAAGAGAGGGGAAAGGGAAAAAAACTGCAAATATGGTGTGGTGTATACTGCCCGGGTGATGGGTACACCAAAATCTCACAAATTACTACTAAAGAACTTACTCGTGTAACCAAATGCTACCTGTACCCCAATAACTTATGAAAAAATAAAAATAAAAAATAAAGAAAGAGATCATGTCTTTTGCCAGAATATGAATGGAGCTGGAGACTATTTCATCCTTAGCAAACTAACACAGGAACAGAAAACCAAATATATCATGCCTCACTTGTAAGTGGGGGCTAAATGATAACAGCTTATGAACACAGAGAAGGAAATAAGAGACACTGGCGTCTACTTGACGGGGGAGGGTGGGAGGAGGGAGAGGAGCAGAAAAGATAACTACTAGATACTGGGCTTAGTACCTGGGTGATAAAATAATCTGTACAACAAACCCCTGTGACATGTGTTTACCTATGTAACAAACCTGCACATGCACCCTCAAACCTTAAACAAAGGTTAAAAAAATAAAGAATTATAAATTCATTGCTTTATTTGATTTGTTTAATGATGAGATAAAAGGAAAATGAGTTACTGTGCCTGCTTCATATGTGGAGAGAGAGTAAGACCTTGCTGAGAGCCACATGGTACATAACCTCTGGCCTTTGACATTTAGTCCCGGGCTGTTTCTGTTCTGTATTCTTTACTTGCACGGAGCAATAGTCAGGAAGCAATGACCATAGGTCATGCCAGGGATGCTTTAAAACTCTGTGCTTTTCTAATTACACAACGTCGAAATGTCAGGCCACAAAACTCAATTTTTTGTTACCTTATTTGAATAAATATCTGAGATTTTCATCAGTATTTTGATGTCCTAGAGACTTGAGTTGCCTCTTTTTGTGAGGGTTGGGAGTTCTCTGAAATAAGCAAAACTATGTTTGAAAGTATTAAGATCATAATGCTGTTGCAATAATGAAAACCTCTACTGATACATGTATTAAATGAATATTTTAAAACTAGCCTGTTCCACAGGATGGAGTATTAATTAGTTTTGAAATGGAGCAGACATTTCAGCTTACTTAACTCTTCTCAGCAAATAAAACTGATGTCCCACCCACACCTTCACCTTCCAGGACTTCCCGCTGTCTCTGAACTCAGCTTGTTATGTGAGGTTCCTAAGGAACCATTCCACAAAACTGTTTGCAATATACACTTGAGGATTACTACAGTTCAAGTATTGAGATCTAGTCTAATTAAAATAAGACATCAGAATAGAGGGAAGGATGGAAAGAAGTAAGGAGGCATCTTACTCTCTGATGTTCAGTTCTTCAACCAGGACTCTAGAGACTGCTCTTTGCGAATATATCAAAGCTAATTTTAAACTTGAAAGTTTTCCATTTTAATGAATGTGAGATCATAAACTAGAAGACTTAAAAAATCTTTATAGATATAAACATGTTTAACTCTATAAATAACTTTATTATGCTTTGCTGAAGAAAATACTTATGATGCAGAACTGACTTCAATTTCTAGCTTTAGCACTAAAAAAAGACGGAGTACTCTTCTGTTACTTGGACTGGGACTTTGGACAATTCACTTAAGCTTTTGGTCCACAGTTTAATCAATGCAATGGGGAGATTGGATTACCTAAGGATTTAACTCTGTCCCATTTAAATTTCTGTGATTCTGAGTTGTGTGCAATTACACTGCTCTATTTGTCATTCTGGCCTTTGTTATTAAGATTGTTTAAAAGGTCATTATGTGCTTAATGACTTTTAACATATTTAAATGTTATTATTAGAGAAATAGTTATGGTTCTTCAAAGTTGAAGATAACTAAATATAATATTGTTTTAAATTTTAAGCTTTCTTTAACATATACACAATACATAGCCAAAGTCCCTTCTCCTATGAAATTCAACATATTTACAACTTTTGGAAATTCATGATTGGACATCTTTGAGTGGCATTATTTTGCACACAGAAGTCAGCCTCCCTAGCCCCAAAGGATGGTGCCCATCCCACATGTAAAATGAATCCAATCCCATCCTAATATCCCCCAAATCTCAAACCATTACAGCATGAACTCAAAATCCTAAGACTCGTCAGCTCAGAACTCCCAAATTTCATCATCTAACTCATTAGGCATTGTTCGGATATAGGCATGGGCTGTTTCAACTGCAACATTCCAGGAGTGAGATTTTACTTCCATTTTATTCTGCCTGCCCCTGTGCCAACAAACTAATCATCCTTATGTTATCAGTAAAGGCCTTTCTCCTTGGAATTACTTTTAGATTATCTCTTTTCACAATATGGAAACATCAATGATTAGAAGCATTGTGCCATTTGGTGCCTCAAATTGCTGGAATCTGAATTTATCCACAGTCTCTTCTATGTTCTAAGTTGCTATTATTTATTTTTCATAACTTCTGCCAAAAATGTTTCAACAAAGATACACGGGGGTTGAAGGACACTTCATTCATAAACAATGGCAGAAAAGATGGTAAAACACTCCTGGTATCTTTATGTGTTGCTTTTAGTTTTAGACTACCATGAACAAAAATGAACATTTTTAAGTATTTGTAAGAACATGACATTCGAAGGAAAAACAATCTATGCTTTATTTTACCACATTAAATTAGATTAAACACATTAAATTTGTATATTAAGTTGTGTATTTTCATGTTAGTCCAATAACAAACGAATTCTCTCATATTCTGTTTGTTTTATCGTAGGGGGAGAAGGAAATTGGGAGTTACCCTACAGGGACCAAATTCACTGAAAGTTTCCTGACTGTTGAAAGAGAAAATTAGGTAATAGAATTATCTGCCTACTTTTACACTGAGGAATCATTTATTTTAGTCCCTAGTCATCTAACACCAATAAATATAATCAAGCCTCTGCTGTTCTTAGCAGAGAGGTATTTTTTTTTTTATTATAAAATAGTGTGGAGAAATGTTGGCATCTGTCAGCAATGTCACTAGCTCTAGTTTTTTGTTTTTCATTTCAATGCATTTGACCTCTTCATATAGATAGGCCATCCCTGAATAGAATATATTCTCTCTACTTCTACCACGGTGCACAAAAAGAACAGGAATCTATGAGAGATGACCTTCATGACTCTAGATCCCAAAAGACCACCTCAGCTGCCCAATTAGAAACAACTCCAGAGCTATTTTTGAGGTCAAAATTACTTGACTCTCATAGGGCTCCCCATCTCACACCACACACACAATAACAGAAAGAAATGGTAAATAAAAATAAAAAGTTTAAGCAAGTAAACTCCTATCTAACAAAGGTAAGGAAAAATACAACAACAAAGTCCTCAAAAATATCTTCTTTCATTTGCAACTCAGAAAACAGCATTAAAGAAAAAACTCAAGCAATTATTTGATTTTCCAAGTTATTTTGTTTCAAAAAATTAGTGACTAATAAATCAAAACCCAAATCCATCAGAAGGAAGGAAATAATGAAGATCAGAGCAGAACTAAATGGAATTGAAACAAAAATATATAAAAGATAAATGACACAAAAAGCTGGTTCTTTAGAAAGATAAATAAAATTGACAGACCATTAGTGAGATTATCCAAGAAAAAAAGAGAGAAGATCCAAATAAGCTAAATTAGAAATGAAATGGAAGATATTATAACTGACACCACAGAAATACAAGATTATTCAAGGCTACTGTAAACACCTTTATGTGCATAAGCTATTAGATTAGTGAAAAAGTAACTGTAGTTTTTGCATTACTTTTAATGGCAAAAGTAGGCGCTTAGCAATGCCATTACTTTTAATGGCGAAAACTGCGATAACTTTTGCACAGTAGAAAACCTAGAGGAGACGGATAAATTCCCAGAAATGTACAACCCTCCTAGATTAAGCCAGGAATATATAGAATCTCTGAACAGATCAATAACAAGCAGTGAAATCGAAATGGTAATAAAAAAAATTGGTCAACAAAACAAAGCCCAGGGCCAGGTGGATTCACAGCTGAGTTCTATCAGACATTCAAAGAGTTTGTACTAATCCTATTGACACTATTCCCAAAGGCAGAGAAACAGGGAATCCTCCCTAAATCATTCTATGAAGCCAGTATCACCCTAATACCAAAACCAGGGAAGGACATAACAAAAAAAAAAGAAAACTACAGACTAATATCCCTGAAAAACATAGATGTAAAAATCCTCAATAAAATACTAGCAAAATGAGTTCAACTGCATATCAAAAAGGTAATCTACCAAGATCAAGTAGGTTTCATACCAGGGCTGCAGGAATGGTTTAACACACCTAAGTCAATAAATGTGATACACCACCTAAATGGAATTAAAAACAAAAATCACATGATCATCTCAACAGACGTAGAAAAAGCATTTGACAAAATCCAGCATCCCTTAATGATTAAAACCCTCAGCCAAATCGGTATAGAAGGGACATACCTTAAGGTAATAAGAGTCATCTACGACAAACCCACAGCCAACATTATACTGAATGGGGAAAAGTTGAAATCACTCCCCCTAAGAACTGGAACAAGACAAGGATGCCTACTTTCACCACTTCTACTCAGCATAGTACTGGAAGTCCTAGCCAGAGCAATCAGACAAGAGATAAAAATAAAGGGGATGCAAATCGGTAAAGAGGAAGTCAAACTGTCGCTCTTTGCTGATAATATCATTGTGTACCTAGAAAACCCTAAAGACTCATCCAAAAAGCTCCTAGAACTGGTAAATGAATTCAGATTCAGCAAAGTTTCAGGATACAAAATTAATGTACACAAATCAGTAACACTGTTAATCACCAACAGTGACCAAATTGAGAACCAAAATCAAGAATTCAACCCCTTTCCAAATAGCTGCAAAAAATAAAATAAAGTACTTAGGAATATACCTAACCAAGGACGTAAAAGACCTCTACAAGGAAAACTACAAAACACTGCTGAAAGAAATCATAGACAACACAAACAAATGGAAACACATCCCATGCTCATGGATGGCTAGAAATTAATATTGTGAAAATGACCATACTGCCAAAAGAAATCTACAAATTCAAAGCAATTCCCATCAAAATACCATGATGATTCTTCACAGAACTAGAAAAAATAATCCTAAAATTCACATGGAACCAGAAAAACAGCCTACATAACCAAAGCAAGACTAAGAAAAAAAAAATTGTGGAGGCATCACATTACCTGATTTCAAACTATACTATAAGGCCATAGTCACCAAAACAGCATGGTACTGTTATAAAAATAGTCACATATACTAATGGAACAGAATAGAGAACCCAGAAATAAAGCCAAATACTTATAGCCAACCAATCTTCCACAAAGCAAACAAAAACATAAAGTGGGGAAAGGACACCCTATTCAACAAATGGTCCTCGGATAATTGGCTAGCCACATGTAAAATAATAAAACTGGATCCTCATCTCTCACCTTATACAAAGATCAACTCAAGACGGATCAAAGACTTAAATCTAAGACCTGAAATCATAAAGATTCTAGAAGGTAACTTTGGAAAATCCCTTCTAGACATTGACTTAGGCAAAGGCTTCATGACCAACAATCTAAAGGCAAATGCAAAAAAAAAAAAGATAAATAGATGGGACTTAACAAAACTAAAAAGCTTCTACACAGAAAAAGAAATAATCAGCAGAGTTAACAGGACCACAGAGTGGGAAAAAATCTTCACAATCTATACATCTGACAAAGAACTAATATCCAGAATCTACAAAGAACTCAAAATAATCAGCAAGAAAACCACAAACAATCCCATCAAAAAGTGAGCTAAGAACATGAATAGACAATTCCCCAAAAAACATATACAAATCATCAACAAACATATGGAAAAATGCTCAACATCACTAAAGATCAGGGAAATGCAAATCGAAACCACAATGCGATACCACCTCACTTCTGCAAGAATGGCCATAATCAAAAAAATCAAAAAATAATAGATGTTGGCATGGATGCAGTAAAAAGGAACATTTTTACAATGCTGGTGGGAATGTAAACTGGTACAGCCACTATGGAAAACAATAGGGGGATTCCTTAAAGAACTAAAAGTAGATCTACCTTTTGATCCAGCAATCCCACTACTGGGTATCTACCTAGAGGAAAAGAAGTCATTATATGAAAAAGATACTTGCACAAGCATGTTTATAGCAGCACAATTTGCAATTGCAAAAATATAGGACCAGCCCAAATGTCTATCAATCAATGAGTGGATAAAGAAAATGTTATACACACCATGGAATACTACTCAGCCATAAAAAGGAACAAAATAATGGCATTCGTAGCAACCTAGATGGAATCGGAGACTACTATTCTAAGTGAAGTAACTCAGGAATGGAAAACCAAACATTGTATTTTCTCACTCATATGTGGGAGCTAAGCTATGAGAACACAAAGGCATAAGAATGATACATTGGACTTTGAGGACTGTGTGGGGGTGTGGGGTTGGGGGAAGGGTTGAGGGTGGTGAGGGCTAAAAGACTACACATTGGGTACAATGTACACTGCTCAGGTGATGGGTGCACCAAAATCTCAGAAATCACAGCTAAAGAACTTATTCATGCAACCAAACAATACCTGTTCGCCAAAAACCTATTGAAATAAAAAAAAAATTAAACAAAAATTTAAGTTACATTTTCAGTTTCAAACTTTTTCCTGAGCCCCAGACCCATGTATCCAGTTTACTTCTGTGTGTATATAGAGAGAGAGAGAGTGAAATTATACAGGTACTACAAATATTTCTTAAAACTAAGCTAATTACTTATTTCCCCCTAACCAGGTATGCCATCATCAAATAGCAGCTATTTAGAAAGTAACCTGTTCAACTATTTTCTTGCTGGTATTCTAAGTATTTGTGCATATGTTTGCACGGGTGTGTGTCTTTCTGTGTGTGTGGATGCATTCATACATGTGTGGATTTGGGGAACAAACAGCCTGATCAATAATCATAAAGAGAAAAGAAAGTTTACAGTGGAAGTTTTGGGGAGAGGATCACATGTATTGAGTATGACTTTAACGCTGTGGGTAGGAAGTATTTACCAGTCTTTGTGGGGATACTGCCTTGATATGGCTGAACAGTGACTACTCTGAATACTCAGGAGACATGTGCTCTTACACAAAAACCTGTTGCCCACTCCTAATTCCATCTAAGAAGGGCTACTGATTTTTGTTATTTCGAGGTATATGCATAAAACTGATCATATGCTAACAACTGAAATGTCAACGCCAGGCATTACTTTGTTGAGATTGCTCACCCATTTACATTTTCCTGGTGCACGGTTCCGTCTGACACTTTAGACCTGCATGAATGTCATGATTTAGAATTCCTTTACTTTAGTGAGGAGCTTTGGTGGTAAACTCTGTTTTTGTTGAACTAAAAAAGATTTTTATCTTGCCCTCCTTTTTGAACCAAAATTTTCCTGGGTGTACATGTTCGAGACATTAGTTATTTTTGGAGGCACTTTGTCTCCTGGTTCCCAGGGACCCTTTAAAATGCCGATTGTTGGTCTGACAGTGGTCTTCTTATCAGCTACTTGTAAGACTTGACTCTTTATTGTTTTGCAGTTTTAGGATGTCTCTGGGTGTGAATTTCTTTTTTTATTTCCTTTTGTTGAGATTGGTGAGCCTCCTAAGTAGGAAGATTGGTGGATTTATCTTACTTAGTCTTCAAAATTCTTATCTATCTTTAATTTTTTCCTTCTGCCAATTATTCTCTCCTCTCTCTTGCAACATTCATTTGCTTATGGAAGAGCCTCATCTGTCTACTTTCCATGCCTCTGGATCTCTTTTTCATATTCTTCATCTCCGTCCCTGCTTTTTAATGCTTATGGCTCTTATCACCTTCCTTAATAATATCTACAATTCTCAGGTCATTTCGTATCAATTATCAACACTCTGTACCTCAAACTGTACTTCAGGTTGAATAATGAATTTGTGCTTTACCTCTAAGCCAAATGAATTGGTCTGGTTTAGACTGGTCCCTTTTTCTCAATCTCTGTGATTTCTAATAGTCCAGGGGCATTTTCAAACTCTATTTCTTGTCATCACTTTAAATTATTATATTTCTGAAAACTCAAATCCCAAATTTTCATTCTTGTAGCTTTGTATTGCTCTAAACTCAGATTCCCTCACTCCCGCTCCACTATTCTTTAACCTCATTGAAGCCTTCTTACCCTTGACCCACTCATCACTTCTTACCAGTGTTATTAAAATAATCCCACTGCCTTGAATCATTTCCCAATTCAAGTTCCTCTGCCTTAACACCACGAAAATGGTATTTCTATAACAAAAGTTGATTATGCCCTTCCCCTACTCAGATTGTTTGTTCAGTAGGTCCCCAGTCAAGGAAGGTAGTGACCTGAAATGTGACCGCTTCTCCAGATCATTATTCCACCTGCTCCATAAAGCTCCATGTTAGTGGAAACAAAACTACTTCTAGTTACCCATGTGCACCATTATTTCTCCTCTTCTCTGTGCATTTTCTTGTTAAGTATTTTATTTGGAATACCCCCCTCAACTAGCCAGCACTGACACACTGACACACAGACACACACACACACACACACACACACACACGCACTCAAACTTGTCTTCCTAATGCAGCCTCTTCATTGTTTAAGAATCCACTGAAGTGTCACGTTCCCCTGGGAAGCCACCCACCAGGGTGAATCAGGAACCATTTCTTTGCTCCATACCATTCATTTATACTTCTTGCTTATAATTTGCATGTAATCTATTGCATTTATCTTTTTTTCCCACTAGATTGCTGCCTTATCAGTGGAGTGTCTTCTATCTTTGTCTTTGGTCTCAAGTAGCATGTCTTCCACATTTTTGTCATTTAAAAAGTTTAGATCTAAAATCATCCTTGTAATCCCTCAAACTAACATTTACTTATTTCTAGAGACCTATTCTCCCTCCTTCCCCTATAGCATTTATTTGGCATCTTTTTTTTTTTGAAACATACAGTAGTCTAACTTGTATTATAGTAGAATTGCCTATCTCTCGTATTAAATAATAAGAACCTCCATGGCAGTGAATGTGTTTTTTTTCTTTTTATATGGTGCTTAGAGTGGTGCTTTCTAAATATATAAAATATAAAATCAATAATATATACTTTTAAATTTATAAATGACATGGATTTGGCCGCCACTGAATTCTAAGTAATATATTCTTCTCTAAACATTTGGCTATAAACCAATTACAGGTGGTCCCTCACTTTTAAAAAAGTATAAATTGCCAAACATTTTCTTTTTTTTTTTTGAGATGTAGTCTCGCTCTGTTGCCCAGGCTGGAGTGCAGTGGTGCAATCTCAGCCACCACACCCAGCTAATTTTTTGTATTTTTAGTAGAGACGGGGTTTCACCATGTTAGCCAGGATGGTCTCCATCTCCTGACCTTGTGATCCGCCTGCCTTGGCCTCCCAAAGTGCTGGGATTACAGGCATGAGCCACCGCACCTGGCCAAATATTTTCAGTAAAGTAGAAGAAATTCTGAGTCTAATGAAGGCTTGAAGTAATATCTGCCTTTCAAATTAAGATGATTTTGATAACACAAACCATAGTCTCTTCACGTGATTTATAAAAATCTTAGGTTGGGTGTGGTGGCTCACACTTATAATCCCAGCACTTTGGGAGGTCGAGGTGGACGGATCACGAGGTCAAGAGATCAAGACCATCCTGGCCAAGATGGTGAAACCCCGTCTCTACCAAAAATACAAAAATTAGCTGGGCATGGTGTGACCCTGTAATCCCAGCCACTCGGGAGGCTGAGGCAGGAGAATTGCTTGAACCTGGGGGCAGAGGTTGCAGTAAGCCGAGATTGCACCACTGCACTCCAGCCAGGTGACAGGGCAAGACTCTGTCTCAAAAACACACACACACACACACACACACACACACACACACACACACACACACAACAAAGAAACAAAAAAACAAACAAAACAAATAAACAAAAAACTTACTGTTCATATGAATGGTTTAATTTCCTAATTATTTTCTACTTGTAGACACAGACTTGGCCATGATCTGAGAAAATTATCAAATCTACAGTTAAAAAGCATGATTTTTAGGGCACAGATTATCTTTAGGCCATTGAAAAATACTCTGTGAGATACACTATAATGATGAATCCATGTCATTATACCTTTGTCTAAACCCATGGAATGTACACCACCAAGAGTAAGCCCTAATGTAAACTATGGACCCTGGATGATGATGATGTGTTGATGTAGGTTCATCCACTGTAACAAATGGACCACTCTGATGAGGGATACTGACTCTAGGGGAGGCTGTGCCTTGCTGAGAGATGTGGTGTGTAGGAAATCTCTGTACCTTCTGCTCAACTGCACTGTAAACCTAGAGTTTATCTAAAAATTTGTCTAAAAAAAAAGTAAGGTTGCAAATATCAAAGGATTACTTTCTTCATTGCATAATTTTATTTGGGAAAAAATCCGTAAGTTGAACTCAGAGTTAATAAAAAACTATCTCTAGTCATTTTATCAGGAGCGGGATTGGAGCACCTCTCAAACAAGACGTTTTCAGTGCTATGAGCTTCTAAATTCTAGGAACTTTCAAAAAACATTCGCATTCCTCATCAGAGGAAATTTCTTGAGCAACTTTGTGTGGATTTGGGTTTCAGGATTTCTCACCAACTTCCAGCCACCCCACACTTGCCTTCCTCTGAATCTTACTAGCATTAAATGAAAACCTTTTCATCACTAGAAATGGGTGCTGGCAAATACATTAAACTAGGCTGCATCATATACTTCCAATTTAATCTATAAAGCATATGCCTTATTGTTAGCTTGGGAAAGCACTTACATAGCTTGCTTTTACTTTCATATCTTGCTGTTTATGACATATTCAAGGATGTAGAGAAGACGTTATCACAGAATGTCCAACAACCAAACTGGAGTCACGTCTTTTGCGAGCGGCCAACTGAACTAGTAGCACAGGTAACTAAATATGAAAGGCCTAACAGAGAAGCTTCCTAACAAATAAAAGCACTCGGCATAATACCTTAACCAAGACATGCCACATAACCTGAGGATTAATTTAATTAGCATTACATAATGTTCTGTGAAAACTGAATTACCTCCCATCTCACAGTTTGAGATAACATCCTGTCATCCATCATCACTGGGAAAATCATGGGTTCTCCAGCCCAATTCACATTGAGGCAATTATGCCTAGCTAATAAGAAATGTCAAGGAATAAATATATTCTACAACACTAATTTTATACATATTTTAAGCCTGATACTTAACACCTGCTATAGCTCTACTCAGAAGAAGAAAAAAGATGATAAATAATAAATAAATCTACATAAATTTCTTATTTTTTTCAACTCTTAAACCCAATCCTGTAAATTTATTTCTATGGCTAAAATCTTTTAAAAAATTGTATGAGGATGTTATTAACACTTACTTCTGCTCCAAGAAAGACTAAATTTATGAAATCTTCCTAGATTAAAAGAAGTCAGGGTTGGAGGAGGACAGCAGAAAAAGCTCTATTTTCCCATTAAAATCAAATCCTTCCTCTTGCCATTTTTGGACATGGAAGTTTTCTGACATATGCTGTTCTCTCCTCTCCCACTTTGGCAACCACTCTTCTCCTTCCCTTGGTGTCCCCTGGCCTGGACATCACAGCCTGGCTGGGTGGCCATGATTGTGCTAGAGGTCCCGGGGTCACAGGGTGCTCCAGAAAGCATCCACATGGAGTCCTGGACCCTGGATTCAACTGCGTGGTGGTAGAACTCATTGTTTCCAGGACATGTTGCTAAGACAGAATAGAGCAGCCAATAAAGTATATCATCTACCAGCTTCCACATTTTATTTAGCAGACTTTTAAAAGTATTGAAAGCATGAACAGTGTTGCCTGTTAATGCTTTCTGTTAATAGGGAAAATTAACCCTGATAACTAGCAGATACACAAATACCTGGGAAAAGCATGGGAATCATTTTTTCTTTAAAATTGGAGTTGTATTGTTTTTAGCCATTTTGATATTCCCTGCTGGTATGTTTCATGCAGTTCTCAAGAACCACATCCATTAAAAATAACTTGAAAACAGAATTATTGTCACATAATTCACCTATTATGTATTATAATTTTAAAGATTCAAAAAACAAAAAATGTTAGCAAATTAACAGTAAAGAAATTTTTAAAAGGGAACTGTATTTATCTACATTTTCTAATGAAGAGATAATGATACCATTATTAGTTGTAAAAAGACACTCTCGTTTTACAGAGGCTCAATGAACATGTTTACAATTGAAAGACTATTAGCTCAACTAAAGACTATGCTTTTTTGGCTAAGTATGTTTTAGAGATTTTAGAAACAAAATTAACTTACATAAATCATTAAATATTAATTTAGAATTTTAACTTGATTTTTAACTTTGATATTTATATATTATTTAATGTGTCTACTATCTCAACTTAAATGACTTAATTCATCTAAATTAACAAAACATATAACCCCCTCCTCACTTGTTGTGATACTACATATTTGGTTGAGTAATTTCTTTTCATTGAAAAATTGATTATGTTGGTACTATATAACTATCATATGTCTTACAGTAACAAGACTTTGCAAATGAAATGTACTAAGATATTTCATTCTTGAAGAATGTTCAACTGTGTTTGAAGGTGGAGATAAATTCCAGTGACTCTTTTCATAACAGCACATAAAATTCATTCATCAGTTCCTTAGGGGACAAATGTTTCCTTTTTGTGTCCAAGGGTAATAGACCTGAATAGAAAACTAATGAAATAGAAATTGCTTTGTCCTACAGCCAAAAAAGACCTTTAGAAGGTATGTAGCGGATTTATCACCAGTGCTGGAAAAACACACAGTTAAGGCCTCTTCAGCATTTGAGTCTTCGGTTAAAGGTTAAAAAGACCTTTAAAGATCTTCAAAGCAGAAAACCCTGCAGAAGCCTGTCAAGATAATCGTATTTTCATGTGTTTTGTTTTGTTGTCATTGTTGTTTTTCGTGTGTGGATTTTAATATCTCATACCACAGTTAAACCATAATTACTCATGCTAAATTCTCCATATCACCAGCTCAAGAAATATAATCTGTTTCAGAACTTAGAAAACAATACAAAGTATCATACAAACTGATCTTGACAATGTCATCACCTCATTACCAAGTTTCGTAGTGAATTCTCAGTTATCTTACTAGAGCTATTGGCATGATTTTCACAATTGATCCCTTCTTATTTCATGCACTTTCTTCATTTGGCCTCCTGGATACCACAGTGTCCTTTCCTTTCTCCCACCACTTCAGGTACTTTTGCTCATTCTCTGTTACTTATTCTCCTCAACTCCTTAACTTCTAACCTCTTCTCTCTCTTCACTCCCTCCTTTGTGACTGCACCCACTACCATAGCTTCAGACATCATCTGTGTGCTGATGACTCCCAAATGTATACCTCTAGCTCAGAAATCTCCACCATAGTCCAAGCCCATATGTGTACCTTTGGCTTGGCACCTCTGGTTAATATTTAATAGACATCTCAGAAAACCACCTGACATTTTCTCCATCAAACCTGCCTCCCACTCTCCCATTCCCAAAGTCGTCTTCATTTCAATTAGTGAGGACTCCATTCTTCCAGTTTGCAGGACAAACCTAATGAATAGCCTCTACACTTCTTTCTTTCACATATACAAAATCTGTCCACTTATCTACTGTGTTGGTTCTACCTTCCGGTGAGACTTACAACCCAATGGCTTCTCATCACCTTCCATCACTTTGTACAAGCCCCTCTCCAGCCTCACCTGGATCATCACATTAGCTCCTAACTGATCTCTACTGACACTCTTGCTACGCTTTCCTCAGTCTATTTTCAACACAGTGTCAAGTAAGACAGGTCGTGTCCCTCTTCTAAGCATAACCCTCCATTGTTTCCTATTTAATGCAAAGGAAAAGCCAACACCTATGGTGACGCCCTCTAAGGCCTTATCTGATCTGCCTTCCTCACCGCCACTCCCCAACTTCAGTCTATGAACCTCTGTCCCATCATTCAGAGAAAATGACTTCTCTCCTATTCTACTCATCTCCAAGTTTCCCTGGTTTTTCATACTTTTACACAAATACAAACACAAGGAAATGTTTCTCTTCAATGCATTCTGTGGAGTTTTAATACCCACATAGCTTGTTTTTCTTTTTCTACATTGTATTCTTTTAATCCAGTGAGATACTATACATTCATCCTTTTTTAATTTGACCCAAGCACGTTTTTCTGTAAGTACTACTGCAGTTTTCCCAGGGTACCTTGAATTTGGTGTGTCTCTGCCCAGGGGTTTTTGTCCTCTTCTTCACATCCTACTCCAGCTCTTTGGTTTCAACTGTTGATCATACAAACCACTCAGAACAACACGTAATAATGATGGGAAAGTGAAACAAAAAAAAAATGTCAAAATTTCCAACAGACAATATGGTACTTAAAAGCAAACATATAATGGTTACTATAAGAGGATAAAAAAATTAGCTTTGAACTCCCTAATATCATTGTAAGGGAAACATTTGACTAGTTAGGTCATTCCAATTTTCTTACTGTAGAAGAAATGTCTGTACTCAAGATTAATTTTTTTCTTCTATTTAGCACTGATATTCTGTAGAAGCCACATCTATACTCAAGGTTTATTTTTTCCTTATACTTAGCACTGATACTCTACATGTAATATTTAAAGGGAGCTTTAACAAGCAGCCAATGAGATTTATCATTGTGTTTGTTTCAGGAGTGTTGAGAATGTCTCTAAAGGCATTAGACAATAGACAACAGAAGACTTACATTGTCAGTATCATGATAGTTCTTACTCTTAGGCAATAGTTTTGTTTTTGTTTTTTACAATACAGGCACTGTAAGTATTGTACCTAACCAGTTTCCATATTAGCTTTTGCTACAATGAAGCTTAAAGACAAATTTGTCAGTCCTGTCTAATAAATATATAGTATTTCATGGCATGGTAATTCTACAGAAAATATATTTCCCCCTCTCCATTTCTGCTCTCAATTCTGAGTAAACTATAATTGGATGCTTTACTATGAAATATGTTGTTCTTTTATATTATTTTTCATATTTTATCTCATCTTGACATGTTTGTGTCTTGTAAGTTGTCTTAAATGCTTTCAAAAATATTGGAAATAAAAGAAAAATATACAAAGGGACACCGAATAATATGAGGGGACTTCAAAAAGTTTATGAAAAATAAAATTAAAAGATAAAAATGAAAAAGATAAACTTTATTTTTCAACATGAGCTCCATCAAGGTCAAGACACCTTTGTAAGTGATGATGCCAGCCATTTAGTCCATATCTAAAGAACAGAGGGTCCTGGGAATTTAACCATATCAATGCAGTCTTTGGCACATTATTAACTGAATAAAACTTGATGTTCTTTAAAGATTTTTTTAAAATTAGGAAACAGAAAGAAGTCACAAAATGCCAAATTAGATCTGTAAAGTAGATGTCTAATAATCTCCCATGAAAACTCTTGCAAAATTGCCCTTGTTGGATGAGAGGAATGAGTAAGAGCATTGTCATAGTGAAGAAGGACTCTGTGGTGAAGTTTTTCTGGGCATTTTTCTGCTAAAGCTTTGGCTAACCTTCTCAAAACACTCTCATAATAACCGGATGTTATTGTTCATTGACCCTCTAGAAAGTCATCAGGCAAAATGTCTTGAGCATGCCAAAAAACTGTTGCCATGATCTTTGTTCTTATTGGTGGTCCACTTTTGCTTTGACTGAAACATTGCCACCTCTCGGTAGCCATTGCTTTGATTGTGCATTGTCTTCAGGATCATACTGGTAAAGCCATGTTTCATCTCCTGTGACAATGCTTCAAAGAAATATTTGGGGATCTTTATTACACTTGTTTAACATTTCCCTTCAAAGTTCTCTTTTTGTCTGCAGCTAATATAGGTGCCACCGTTTTGGCACCCACGGGGTGGAAAGTTTGCTCAACTTTAATTTTTCAGCCAGAACTGTGTAAGCTGAACCTATTGAGATGGCTATGGCCTTGACTATTGTTTTGACTGTTAATTGTGGTCCTCTTCAATTAGGACAAACGAGATTAATTTTATCTTCACAAATTGATGTGGATGGCCTGCCACTGCAGGCTCATCTTCCACATCATCTCATTCCTTCTTAAAATGAGTTATCCATTGTTAAACTGCTGATTTATTTGAAGCATTGCCCCCATAATTTTTTTGTAAAGTATCAATAATTTCACGTTTTGATCCAAGATTCGCCATAAATTTGGTATTAGTTCGTGCTTCAATTTCAGCAGATTCATGTGGTTCTTTTCAAACTGATGTCTTATCATTCTCAGTGCCTCAGACTAGATCCTGTTCAGGTATGTTAGAGCAAGTTAATATGAGTTTCTTTTAGTGAAAAACAATTTTGAACCATGCATAGCTTTTTACATAATATGCATTTTCCACGAACTTTTTGAAGACCCCTCATAGAAACAATTACACTATTTCAAATAATTATACTCGTGCATTTTTTAGATTTTTATAGTTTCATCTTGATCCCAATTCTCCTTCCACCTAATTTAATTGCTCAATAAATGCACCCTCAATTAATAAACAGATACCCAACAATTTAATTGTATTTAACCTTGTATGTAATTACCATAAACGACATTTTAAAGTTGGAGAGTCAATATAAATTTTATGAGAACCCCAATACCCATAAACACACTAAAAATTAAATGCTGATATGTCCTGAAAATATTTATATCCTTCAAGTCACCAAATCCTCCTATAAGAGGAGATCCTATCAACACCACCCCCACTAAAAAGTTTTACTTCATATAATTTTAAAATACAAGTCAAAAGGAAAAGAGGCCCCCAAATCAATGTTCTTTTGGTTATTTAAAATTTAAAAAGCTGAATATTTGATTTTCATTTATTTATGTCACTAAATGGTTTAGGCCTCATTTTCCTCACTAATTATGTGAGCATTCAAACTAAATGATTTCTAAGGTTCTTAAAGCATATCTGAAGGTAGAGAAGTAGTATGAAGGAAAGTGCAGTGTTAATATTCTTGGTCCAACAGATATGTTTTCCGAGTTTAAAGTCACATTTTAAATTCAATTCTTCTAATTTGCTTCTAGAAAAAAACGAATGCCATCCATTATAAACAAAGTTAATTTGTGTAACTTCTACAGAGATCAGAAATTAAATCCCTACAAAACATTTGGGCTGCTATAATAGTTTCACAGCAAAAGAGGCACCTAATGAAACCACTATACAATCATAGAAGAGCATTCAAATTTTTGAAAAATCTTCTCTCCATATAATGGAAAATATTTTCTTATTTCTTAAAATGGCAAAAAGTACACGAACCACTTTCTTGTTATATATTTATCTCTACATATATCTGCATACCCAATTTAATTAACATATTTACAATGGAAAAATATGTGTCCATGTGGAAATTTATATCAATTATTTTTTAAGTAGAAATGATGTGTCCCAAACTTCACTGAAAACTTATATATTGGTAGTTCAAGTAGTTTCCAGTCTATTTTGAAATAAGCCCTTTCAAAAGTCACTGGACTATGGTAAGGCATATATCACCTAACAATCCACCAAATAAAATAAAAACAAATATTCCATTTTTGCCTACCCAAAGAATAAACATGCAGGGTTTAAAGATGGGAAAATAGTATGTAATTCTCTGTTCTGAACTTTCCATCTCAACTACTAACTCACTTCTGAGGTTTGGAAAGTCCCTGATCCTTTCTTTCCTTCCGTATCTTGATGAGGCCCCAAACTCAGGTAGTTTTGCTCCTGTTGTCCTGCTTGTGGGTGAGTACAGGGATCCGAAGAGCTGGTGGTGCCTCTTATCTTCCTATCCTGAGAGTCACTCAGCTTCAACTTCTCTAGGGAACCCACTACTGAGAAACATTTTGCAAGCAGAAGCTAGTTGGTTCTTCTGTTTGTCTGATACCTAGATAAGTAAATCTTCCTTTGTTTGTTTCAATATTTGCAATATTCATGATGAATAATTATATTTCTTAGGGGTTTCTGAGTTAATGATGGCATTCTCTCTTCCATACCCTAGAACTTACACAACAGCATACACTAAACTCAGGAGCAACTCTGTCCTATGATATCTGAGATGTGCTCATGTAGAGTCCAGGCCTCTCTGCCCTATGAGACTCCATCCATGAAATACTCTATTATAAATCTAATAGCTTTTCATTTATAATTTAGTTATGGTTCATAACCTGCCTCAGAGAAACAGCATGAAATTTAATGAGATCAGACCTAGGGGACGCTGTGAGCTTCATAGAAGACAGACAGCCCATAAATATTGTACCAAGTATTAGAATGATCTCCTAAGTTTTCAACACATCTTAAAAAAAAGATACCTTCGAAATCAGAAATCAGTAAACCGTCCTCAAAAATTCTTGCTTTTAGACTTTGCTATTAATACTTATACACTTTTGCAAAACTTAATTACATAATACTGATATTAAGCTTTTTGTACATTCTTACTTATATTTATTTATATAATCAACATTTTGCTGATAATCTACATGCTGAACATTACCCTAGGCCTAATACACAGAAGAAAGGAAGAAAGGAAGGAAACTGATGTGATTCTAGTTTTCAGGAGAGACTCAATATAATTGAGAAATGCTAGCCATAGCTTTATTTAGATATAATTTTTGCATATGAAAACACTTTATCCAGTTATAACCAGTAATCAGAATTTACTCTTAATAGTCATTGCTTATGATTGTGCAGAATTGCAGCACACGCTTGAAAACTAGAAAATGTGAAACTCAGAATGCTACTGTAAAACTGCTAAGTTCCATCTTTCATCCAAATAAAAAAACGGGAACACGTGATTGTAAGCTCATGCCATTAACAGAGCAAACCAATTCAATACAACATAAATGAGTCATAGGGACCTGCTAAAAATATTGGATTCTCTGAAGAAGCACGGAGCCACTGGGAGAACAATCAAACATCTGTTATTTACAACAGGTTCACAAGCAGAGCTTGTGTGAGCTCATCACAAAGGTTCACCAACACAACCACATTTTTCAGAGATGAACCGCATGAGAGCATATTTTTCTTCCTTATTTCAATAGTGTTTTCTGTTGATGTTCATGTGCTCATTGTAGTAACTAAAAAATAAGCAAGCAGTCCCTTGGCTCTTTTCTGAAGAAAAGCTAAGTGCGAGGGCTTTGGAAGACACTGCAAGCCAGAACAAATGCAACTGCCTAGAGTCCTATTTCAGCATCCACCCTCCCACTTTCCAGCCCTGCACTGTTTTATTATTCTCTCTGGGTCACGGAATTATATGGATAATGATGCTGCAAATCCTCCCTTATGAAAGCTCGACTCAACCGAAATGATGTTTGGAATTATTTGGCTTCACTCTATAATTTTTAATGATTCACAGAAAATGCCAAATAGTCACTCTTAAACACCTTCAGAAAATGCATCCTTTCTACTTCACCATCTACTGTTGCAGTGATATGTTTATGCTTTTAGTTCAGAGTCACATTAAAATTACTGAAAAGGTTAGTAAGATTGTCTCCAGAGAATTTGCTGGTGTGCGTAAAGGTGAATTCATTATACAGAAGAATGTACTAAAACAGGCATCAATTAGGTGAATTTAAATGTGGTCTTATTGACGAGTAAAATAGTCCTACCGGTAAAACTGTTCTTTTATATACACTACGTATACAAACATGACACACAAGTACACACACACACAGGCACACACATACAAGAACTTAGGAAGGGTCGTAGTATCTCACTGATCTTATTTTCAAGAAAAGGGAACATAAGGGACTTAAGTGAGACCTCTCAGAAAGATGGGCTAGAGTTCAGTCCCCCTTTCTTATGGAAATCAGTGATAAGACTATCTTTTCTCGAGGCTATAATAGTAAATGAACTAAAGTATGTAAATGTCCAACATCTCTCCTGAGACATGGAAGGTGTTACATCCACAGAGGCCAGACATAGCCTGGTTGTTTTGTTTTGAGACTCTTTACTATCATTGTAATATCCCATGGGCCACGTATAATTTCTTACCAGCTCTTCTAGATTACAGGGCCCAGATCTGTTCAATATTCTTCACAACCACTGATGGTATTCCTTGTTACGGTCTGAGGAGCATTTATGGCACAGTGCTGCTCATATTGAGATTACAGCCTAAAAACCCTAAGACGTTTTCTGAAAATTATTGTTAAGCAAGGTCTCCTATACTTGCTTAAGAGTAATACCCAGTGCTGGTAGAGTTAAAATTTGGAAGTGAGATTTTCAACTACACAGCCAGTCAAGACATTTTTGGGTCTTGAGATTCCATTGTCTAGCCTCTTCTCCATCCTTTCGAGTTCTCTTATGGACAATACACCTAGGATCATTTCCCAGCTCTGTTGATTTTTAATTCTGTCACTTTGAATCAGTCATTGAATCTCTCAGATGTGCAACTTCCTTATCAATCGAAAATGTTGTATGTTCAACTCAAATTTTAATGGAGTAGAACAAAAGTAAATAAAATTTTCACTCACATTTTATAAAATTATTATTTAAAACAATGAATAATAAGTACTTAAAATAGTGAAGAAAATTTGAGGAACATGGAAGTGGTACTTTCTTAAGATAATAATATATCTTGTGAACTCATAATTAAAATATTGGCACCAGTAAATAAATGGGCAGAAAGATCCATGATAAAGAATACAGATGATAAAAACAGAAAGAATTACACAGGGGAGTTTTTCATATAACAAAAATATATTTAAAAGCAGAAGGAAAGATGGATTATTCAAAGTTGGGGCTGGGACAACTGGATAATCATTTAAGAATGAAAAAGAGTCAGATCTATAGCTCATAAGCATAGTCTCTTACACTGCATTAAATTAGTAATGTAAAAATGATTGGAAGAAAATCAATGTACATAGTTTTATATAAGCTGCATGGGAAAGGCCTTTGGAATCTAATATCAAAGGTAGAAACAACTACACAAAAGACTGATGAACGTTACATAAAGTTAAAACTTTTATATAAAAACATACTTTAAAAGTTAAAAAGTAAATATTTGCCACATATAGGTGAACAAAAGACTTTATTTTGGAGAATAAATTAAATATGGTAATATACAAGACCAGAAAACCCACAAAAATAAAACAACCAATGACAAATAATTACATGAAAAATGTGCACACACAGTACAGTAGTGAAGCAGGACAGGTTAGGTTGATGCAACATTTCTTGTTCAGAAGACTGTCCTATGCCTGGAAGAATATATATTAAAATGTGAGTAGCTTCCTGTTGATAGCAAAGGTGTTTTTTACTGTAATTTCTAAGCTTTTATTTTCCAAGAGACATAATGGTTTTCACAATAAAAACAAAAGAAATCCTACTTCTATTACAGGGGTAAAATTGCCTTGAAAAAAAAAATCTACCTCATTGGTTCGTAAGAATGAAAATCAGAAAAGGCTGTGAAAGCCCTAACATGTTCGGAGAACGTGAGCTCTCTGTTTTCCTGGACACTCCGGGGTCCGCATGAGCAGGTATTCATCAATTAACACTCTGTTGAGTCCACCAACCAGCTATGAAGCATCTTTAAGCCTATTATCCAATCCACTTCTCTCCAATCCTTCCATAAAGGTGTCATGAGACTTTCTCAAATAGCTTGCCATAATAGAGGAAGATTGACTATTATAGCTATTACACTTTCAATCTAATAATATCTCACACATATTCGTCAAGGCGTTTACCTTTGAGAAACTGATGCAACATGTATTGTCTTAGAATGCTGCGGTTCAGGTCTTATCCACAGAGTCTAGCATAGGGTAGCACATAGGGGAGGTGCTCCCTGTAGACACGGTGGTGAAAACACAGTCCTAATATCAACTATAGTCAGGCCTGCCTCATCCTCAGCACCACTGTGTAGAAAGAAAACTGATATCAGAGAAGATACTGGGCGAGAAGAGAGTCAAGGCTGCCCAGCTGGGAAACTTGGTTATAGCTAACATAACCCTTAGCAGAACAGGCAATTATTGCCTTTTTAAAATCTGTGATTCTTTCACATTATTCTTTTTCTCATTATTTCAACAATTTCTTCTCTTTACTATAATCATCACCAGTATTAGCAAACAGCAATTCTGTCAATACTTTGACTCCTTCACAAACTCCCTACTTAAACTCCAGTGACCTAAGGTGATTTTAAATTATCTGAGGTAAAAAATTTTCCAAGGTCACTAGTGACCTGCGAACTGTGGACTTTGTTGTCCCCAACACGATGCTCATCAATGTTTGACATCAGTTACTACCTCATCTTCGCCTTTTTCTCCCCGCGCCCCCACCGCCCAATACTTCCCTTTTCTTTCATTGGTTCTCCCTTTGTTCCTTCACATGGAGATGTATTTATTCCCCCAAATCTAGATGCTCACTTCTAACTCAAGAGTGTCAACAGCAAATGCACACCCATATCGAACAACAAAGGTACCTATAGCAACTACACCAAAAACACCTTTTCTGTTTCCTCTCCTTTCTGTATGGGTGCGGCTGCATGTTTGGGCTTTGATCTTGTGTTCTAAAGACTTTCCAATAGCTTATTACTATGACTCCTTTTCCTTCCCCTTCTCTTTCCTCCTGTCTTCTCCTCTGCTGTTAAAGGATTAATTTAATGAGATTTAGTTCTCAGGGGAAATGCTTTAATGAAATTAGTAGAGGAAAATAAACAACCACAAAATAGCCTGATGCACCATACCCCTCTTATAGCCAGGGATTGGAGCTTGTCCCAGGGAGGCAATGCAGTTGCTGTCTTCTGGAAGGTAGAGGGGCTGTTGTGTTTACCACAGGAGAATTTTAGTGATTGTGCTCAACTTGACGATATGGTGCTATTCCTATTCTCTCAGGATCAAGCTATGAAAAAGAATCCATGAGCTCAGATCATAGCGTTTTCCAACTAAAATAAATAAATAAAAATAATCAGGGATGGGAAGAGCTTTGTTAAAGGATGCGCAACTGCAGCTAGATACAAGGAATTGGTTCTATGTTCTACAGCACTGTAGGGTGACTATAGCTAGCAATAATATCTAGTTTCAAACAGCTAGAAGAATAGTGAATGTTCTTGACATGAAGAAATGATACATGTGAGATGATGGAGATGTTAATTGCTCTGATGTGATCACTATACATTGCATGTATCAAAACATCACTAGGTACTCCATAAATATTTATAATTACTATGTGTCAAAAATTAAAAAAATAATAGTAATAATGAAGAAGAAAATGAGGTGAGGGTCACAGAAGACGTCATTCAGTTGTACTTGTTGGATCTGGTCCACTTGAAGAAGCAGAAGGCACAGATGACTTAAGTGTTCTCCCCACACCAAGGGCCGGCTCCACATGAGCTGGGCAGCAGCTATTAAGTGTTCTCCAAAACACATTTACAGTTCTCTTTATTACTGGCCCAAAGACAAGAGCAACACCAAACCATCACTTAATTTTCACTTCAAGTTCCAGCATAGATTTTAATATCTAATCTGATTTCCTGGCTTTGCCTGCTCCTTAGCCCTAGTGTGATCAATGGAAAGGTTAAAAAAAAAAAAAAGTCTAAACAAAATCCCTGCCTCCATGTTCTCTGCTAGCCTACTGTCCTGCATTGCAGTCCAGATATAACCCACAAACAAAATAGGGTGCACACATAACTTTTCCAAAATCTGCATTATAGTAAATTCTATTATCCAAAACACAAGCATGCTATCAAGCATCTTAAACAAACCAAACACTCCAGCCTCTTTTCCATTTCATCCTGAGTGCATCCTATTACTTAGCCCTCGCTGGATCACTCACAGGTCTTTGAATATGACCTGTGCTTTCATGACTATAAGGTTTTGTTCATGCTGTCTCCTCTGAACCTTATGCCCTTCTTTTCAATTGACTTCTATTGGGAGATTGGCATTTATTCATTATTTTTTCTTAAATAGCATTTATTGAGTCCATTCTACTTGCCATGCAATGTGGTAGGCCCTGTGCCTGTCCTCAAGGGGCTGAGACTCCAGACTGGGAAGAGGCTCATTAAGGAAACAATCACACATCTACAATATACACTACAATACATACACAGACTAAGGCAGAGACCTGAAGGGACAATGCAAAATTTCACTTTAAATATATGCAAGACCATAAAACACCATTTCAAAAGCATAGAAGAGGAAGGGTTTCTCAATTCAGAGACCAGGGAAAAGTCCAGGGTGGCAAAAGTGAAGGTCAAGTTGGGGAAAGTGTGTTGCCGAAATGTTTCTTTTTTGCACTCTCACTCCCTCCCCAGCGACTCAAAGGTCAGATTCTGTTGGAAGCTTGGAGTTCAATGATGTGGACTGTTCTTAGTCTCAATGAGGAGGCTAAGAAGTAGGTAGATGAGGATGTTGTGATAGGATTTGTTACAAAGTGAGGACGACACCTTGAGAGAGGCAGGTTAGAGGTCCCCTGTGGTAGTGGACTCAGCAGATAGAGGCCAAGGAATTGGGGCTGGAGAGACATTTCTATGCTTTTTTAAAGGCTCAATTCAAATATCACCTTTCATGTTAGATTTTCACTTCCCAAAGGAAACTGACATTCTGTGTACCATTTCCATAGCAACTTGCTCATCCTTCTGCTCTTACGTCCCTGGTATTTGTCCCTGGATGTTATCAGCAGGTTTGAGCTTGCCCCCCACTGGGCTATAGGCTCTGGGGCTGCAGGCTCACGTCTGGATCCCAAAATTCTCACTGTACCTGCGCATAGATGGCATCACCGCCCAGAAGATGCTTGTTGAAGAAATGCGATTAGAGTTGTTCTAGAGGCTTTTCTGCGGATGGGGGGGAAGGGAGGAAATCTTTATGTATCTGTTAAAAATGTTAAACCATCTTCATCATGTTGCATTATAACTTCTTTATCTCGTTTCTTTTTCTTGAATCGCTAGAATTTGAAAATGTATCTTCAATCATATTGAAGTCCTCAAATAAGTGTTTTTGTTTCATTAAATGATTTCTTTGATATCATGCTGGCATTAACTAGGCTGAGTCTACTGTGGTCAAAAGAAACGTGAACCTAAGGTTCTTTGCCTGGGGTTTCTATCTCCCTAGCTACTGCTGCCTGGTTCTATCACCAACGTTTTAAATACTGGTATTAGCGCATGTCAATTCTTGTCCTCGTACACTTTTGAATTACTTTGACAAGGAATACCAAGTCACTATTATAGAGCCAATCCAGATGAGGCAAGGAATGTCACTCATACATGGGGATCTAAAAAATGCATTTTCCATACCTTCTTCTTGGCTCCAATTGAAGGTATGGAGGAAGGTAAGAACTTCCCTTCTCAGAGTGAGGAGCCACTTGCTACCAGATTTCTAGAGTCTCATCGGAAACTGTCAGCCACAAGCAGAATTCCAAGGCTTGTGAAATTACAGGTCAACTGCCTCCCATGCCAATTCTTCTTCCTTCCCCAAAGGTACAAAGGTTGTCATGAACTTTCACCTGCTAAAACAAGAGCCCTAGAAAAACACTCAAGCCTGCTCTGAGGAGTCAATACTACTTATTCCTTCCTTCCCTTGAAAAGAGTATAATCAAATTAAACAAATGCACACTATGACCAAATGACCACTCCAGACCTTATAACCTTTCCAGTATATTTGCCTTAAAAATACTATTTATTCAACCAACAGAGTCATATAGACTTAGGTCCGGTGCCTAAAGATGTCAATGGGGCAGTCAGCATTCTGGGAATTCCTGTGTGAAGATTTGATCTTTGGAGAGTCTAGGTATTCAAGTGGAGGAATAGTGGGAAGAAAAATCCACAGCATGCTTCCTTTAGGCATAGGACATAGTATAAAAATATGTGGCATATTTGGCATAGGTAAAATCACCTGTCAAGGCTAGAGGAATGGGGCTAGCTTAGGAGGGCTGCCAGGCCCCATTACAGACATAGCCCTTTGTCATACAGACAAAACGTTGTTATCACAGCATTTTATGTGATATCATTAAATCATTAAATTAATTTAATTTAATTAATTTAATTAATTAAATTAAATTGTGTGTATCTTTACCTTAGAAATGCAATTCTAGCTACAATTTACAGAAAAGATGAAAGGGGAAGATATTTATCTTTGAAATATATCTGTACATGTATATACCCCACATTTGACATTTGAATGCATACATACATATTTTTTTAAAGCTGGTATAAAATAGTACTTATGTTTATTTTTGTTGTAAGCCTACAAAACTATTTGACTTTAAAAATCATATAAATCATCTCAATAAAGTCAAAGAAACGAAGGAGAATAGAATAATAAAATACCAAAAGAATTCTGAAATTCATCAGGATACAAAATATCTACCTGCTATAACACCCTACAGATTTATGGCTTTGATGAGACACTGTCTCCACTTTGGGGTCAGAATCATATATATGACCAGATAGAATAAATAGTCCTTGTTTGTTTTGTTTGTTTTTGTTTTTATGAGACAGAGTCTCGCTCCTTCGCCCAGGCTGGAGTGCAGTGGTGCAATCTTGGCTTACTGCTACCTCCGCCTCCCCAGTTCAAGTGATTCTCATGCTTCAGCCTCCTGAGTAGGTGAGACTATAGTCGCACATCACCACACTCAGCTAAGTTGTGTATTTTTAGTAGAAACAGGGTTTGTCATGTTGGCCAGGCTGGTCCCGAACTCCTTACCTCAAGTGATCTGCCTCAGCCTCCCAAAGTGCTGGGATTACAGGCATGAGCCACCGTGCCCAGCCAATAGTACTTCTGAAGCCACAGATGTGTAAATGTGTATAAACACAATTGAGAAAAACAGAAATATCAGGAGCCTTAATAAGGTTAGACAGTTTTGTAACTCTCCTCCTAAAATTCTGTCCCAGGAATAATTAGAATTGGGCATAGAATGTATAATCAATTATGCTGAGCACATTATTATTTATAATACCTAAAAATCAAAACTAAATTTAATGTTCAGAAACAGGAGAATAAAATATGTCATGGTAAATTCACATAATGGAATATCACATACATTAAAATCACTTCTTATGAGAACATGTAGAGATATAATAAACTGTCAAGTGAGAAATGAAAGACAAAAAACATAAAGTATGATCAAAATATTGCTTTAAAATTTTTTATCATCCACCTATTGTTTTTTCAATCATATTATTCTGTCAATGTATCTATAGTCTGCGATTATACTGTAAATAATTAAAATGCAGATTGTGAGATAATGAAAGCAAACACAAGCAAACAAAACAAAATAGTAGAGACCTGTAATTCAGATGGTTGAAGGAAGCTTGAGTTGAATTTTCTAGAATATACATACTTGAGTTTAGAGAGGCAGCTTCTTATTCTGAAACCTTTAAACGTCCATAGCATATTTCTGCCATGGTATATTTTGAAAAAACTTCTATATAAAGCCATGGCCCAAAATCTTTTCAGTTAATTTATTTATTTTTGGATTTCTTAATAACCAGGCCATAAACAAGTACAGAAATCTTAAAGTCTATCCCTTTTGTGTGTCAAAAGGAAAAATTATCCTGGCTAGACTATTTGCGAAGTCAGTGACCTTCTTTGAAGTATTTACTTTTAGCTTGCACTTTACAAGCTTTCTTTTTCCTTCCAATGAACTCCACAGACAGGAGGACATGGTGAACGGGAGGGATGAACTGTGTGCTCAGCGTATGGCCGGCAGGAGGTGTGTGAGGGCCACGACAGGGAGGGGAGATGGGTAGGAATCTCAAGGTTTCAGTTACACACACAAAATCTAGAATGACCTACTCATCTATATAAATGTTTACAGGGCTTCTGTTTTTGCAAAATGCCATCGTTACCCACAGACATGGTGCCTGAGAAGTGAGCAGGGGTGTCCAAAGAAACAGAGCTGTGTCCTACACCGTCCTAGGGACAAATCCGAATCTCTGTGACCTCGAGCAAGTCACCAGCTTCCCTGAACACTGCTTTCGTCTGCGGTTTTGTATTAGTTCACTTTCATACTGTTATAAAGAACTGCCCCAGACTGGGTAATTCATAAAGGAAAGAGATTTCATTGACTCACAGTTCAGTGTGGCTGGGGAGAACTCAGGAAACTCACAATCATGGTGGAAGGTGAAGGGAAACAAGGCAACGTCTTCACAACGGGGCAGGAAGGAGAAATGCTGAGTGAATAGGGAAGAGCCCCTTATAAAACCATCAGATCTCGTGAGAACTCACTATCACGAGAACAGCATAGGGGAAACCATCCCCATGATTCAGTTACCTCCACCTGGTCTCTCCCGTAACACGTGGGGATTATGGGGATAATGGGGATTACAATTCAAGATGAGATTTAAGTGGAGACACAAACCCTAACCATATCAGGGGCTTCAGGAGGCTATAGATAAAGTGTTTGGCAAATAACTGGTGGTTTGAGACGTATTTGTTCCTCTTTCCGTAAAAGGTCTTTAAGGCCCTTTAAAGGATTGTCAGCTGTACTTCTCACTCACCTTCCATTGTTCTGACTTTTCTCTCTAGGCCCATATATTTTGTGTAATCTGGGATAGCCTCAGTTTCCTATAGTTTAAATATGTTAAAATATGATAATTGCATCTAAAATTTAATGTATAATTTTTCATAACCTTGTAAATCTTCACATCAAAAAAAATTATGGCAGGAAAATATGCATTTTTTTCACAAAACATTTTCTTAAGTTTTTTTTGAAAATGTGAAAACCTTTAACTATAAACGTTCCTATGATAGGATACAAAGTGTTTTTCTCCTTATTAAGCCCTGCTAGGTACATCTAGGGCTTAGCATATAATAGTTGCTCAATAAATATTTGTCAAAGAAGCGAGTGTTAGATCCCGGGGGCTGGGTGAGGGAGGGGTAGTTACAGAGCCAGCCCTCACTGTGCAAGTGACTTTTATGCAGGAGAAAGCAGCTTAGAATCATGATAAAGATTATAAAATGTAACTCCAATTCCTCTGAGTGGACATGGGCTCTGTGCCCTGATGGAGGGCATGCACCTTCCTCAGGACCTCCTCAGCGCCCCCCACGGGGTCAGGGAGGTGTCATTGCTCAGTCCAGAATGCCCCTCATCCAGGAGGTCCTCAGCTCCCACTGTGGTGCTGCACCATGGGCAACCTGGCCTTCCCTGGTGCCTCCATTTTTACAACACCAAGCAACCTCTAGGGGGAAAAGATGGATCTTTCCATGGAAGCTCCACCCAGCACACTGCCACTCCATTCCCAGGTGTCTCCATTTAGTTACTGAAGAATTAGGTTTCTTAAAGCCTCAAAGCTCTGCACCTGGGTGTATTTGAATCCACTGACTCCATGCAGCTGTTTCTAAGAAGCAAAAACACGTTCACAGCTCTTCTTTTGCTCCCATTCTTTTAGTGATGAGACATGCTTCCCTCCCTCGACATCCCCAGGACATCTGAGTGTCCCTTCGGTGGCCATCAGAAGGGGTGGGAGACCTCCCAAGCATGGCTGCTTCAGAGTCCCTGCCTGAGTGCCCAGGTGCCCATGTGCCCAGGTGCCCAGCTGCAGGTACCCAGCTGCCCAGGTGCCCAGCAGCTGTGCCCACACAGGCTCTGCATTGCTTTCAAGAGGAGCCAATGTTGCCAAGCTCATCTCTTCCCACGATTTGCCATTTGACTTCCACAGAGAGGAACTGTTCTCTCTGTACAGATGCCAACCATGACTGTGATGACACCAGGCTAACAGGTTGCTCCTGAGGAAGCTTCGGCACCACCCAGTGGACAAGAACAAGCATTCTCTGGGTCCCTGAAAGCTGAATTATTTTTGCTCTCATGCCGGCTCTTACGTTCATACGTGTATGAGTGTGTGTGCGTGTGAGTGTGAACATGTGAGTGTGAGAACTCAAGGGTGTGAGTGCATATGAATGAGAGTGTGTGTATGAGGATGGGCATGTGTATGCACGAGTGAGGGTGTGTGAGGAGTGTGTATGTGATGGTGTGTGGTGTGTGAGAATGTGTGTGAATGAGGGTATGTGACTGTGTGTGAGGATGTATGTGTGCACGAGTGAGGGTGTATGTTTGTGAGAGTGTGAAAGTGTGCATATGAGTGTGTATGTGTAAGGATGCAAATGTAAGAATGTGTGTGTGTGTCCATGAGAAAGGGTGGGTGGTGTGAGAGTGTATGAGTGTGAATGTGCATGAGTGTAAGAGTATGTGAGTGTGCAAATGTAAGAATGTGTGTGTCCATGAGAGAGGGTGAGTGGTGTGAGTGTATGAGTGTGAATGTGCATGAGAGTGTAAGAGTATGTGAGTGTGCAAATGTAAGGGTGTGTGTGTGTCCATGAGAGAGGGTGAGTGGTGTGAGAGGGTGTATGAGAGTATGAGTATGCATGAGTGTAACAGTGTGTGTGTGTGTGTGTGTGTACACGTCATGTCAGTTAATTTTTCAGTTTTCTGCCTGTTTTTTTAAGTGCACATTTCACATTCTGCTAAAGCTGAGTGAATGAAGGCTTGTTTTCAGCAGTCACTGACAATAACGCCATTCCCTGTTGATGGTCTTTCCCCCTACTGGTGCATGACCCTATGTTACAGGGCAAAATACCCGGCCATACATGTGTGACATTCAAGAGACGAGTGGCACTAACCACGGAAATATGTCTTTGAAGCCATGTGTCTTTATCAGCAAAATAAAGAATTTGACAGAATCAGGAGCCCAAAATAGTTATTTATTTGATTGTTGGTCTGTGTATTTTAATAAAGATTGGCCACACTGACTTCAAATGAAATAAGTGGGCAAAGTCCAACACGTGAATGAGATGAAAGGGTCACTGGTCTGGTGGAGCTGGGGCTGGAGGACGGGCTGCCTGATTCACCCCCTGTCGCTCCCTAATTGCCCTGGGGTGCATCTGCCAACTCTATGGTTTCAGGGAGAAAAGTTTAAAAAAAAATCACTATTTTACATAATCCCTATGCCCAGTTAACCTCTACATTTTAAAATTCAAATACCAACCTGCAGACATCAGGGGAGGCAAGACTGTCCCTGAGGTGAGCTGGGGAGACTTAGTCAGATGAAATGACCGGAGCGGGCTGTCCATTTCCCCAAGGCTGGTCCAATCTTGTGACACTTAACGCCGACATCTGGATCCTGCTCTCATCCGACGGCTGCAGGTGCCTAGGGGAGGCCATCCTCTCAAGGGAGCCCAAAGGACGGTAAATCCCCCTCCTTCCTCCTGTCACCAGCCCTGACACTGTGCTTGTTCCAGAAGCCTCAACTATTTATAGATGCAGAGGCTGAGAAGCAGCAAAAGAGAGCAAGCTGAAATGACAGAGTGGCCTCGTTATTCCTCCTCCTCTCCACTACCCCTAAACAAGCTTCCCAGTCGGCTCTTCTCACTATCTGTCCCAGGAGCATGTGCACGTTGGACTCCTGTGGAAATCCTACAACCACAGTGCACCCAGATGACCTCCTGGTCTTTTATTTCACTAACAGACATGAATAAACCAGGCACTGGGAACATATTAAAACACAATTGCTGGACAAGTTACAAGGTTGAAATATGCTGGTCCTAACCAGACCCTGCTTTCTCCTAGGTCGTGCAAACTTCTCTTCAGGCCCGCATTGATTCCTCTAACCCTCTAACAACTCTGTGAAAAGACAAAGCATTGTTGCCTTCATTTTGAGAAGAAGAGGAAAAACAAATGCTCTAATATGCTTTAAGAAGCCGAAAACAGCCAGCAACTGTGATGGCGATGTCATCTATAAGGAGGAATCTGCCCTGCTTGCTCTCTGGCCCGCCTTGGGACTCACGGCCCACCCTCCTTGCACTCATCCTGAGGCTCTTCTAGTTCTTCAGACAGGCAGCACTCTCCCCTCCTTCCTCAGCGCCTAACACAGGCTGTTCCTGCTGCCAGCATTGTGCTGTTCCCAACACACTGCCTATCTGTCTGTGCCCCATCCACATTCAGCTCAAATATTTCATCCCGAACGAGGCCCCCGGGACCTCCCACTCAAAATTAGGCTGCACTTTCAGGCTGTCTTGTGATTCCACTCTTTTTTTTTTCCATTTTCTTCCTCAACACTTTTTAAAATGGGTACTCTTTTGAGTGAAGATGCATTCATTATTTATCTTCTTCTCATGCTGAACTACAAGTTCTGCGAGGGCCAGCCAGCCGACCTTTGCCTTGCCTAGGTGTCCTCCTAGGCAGGGGTCCTCCACGAGATGTGCTGCATTGGGGCATGAATCAGGATGTCTGAGACTTACACTGAAAGCCAGCTCAGCCCAGGTGCAGTCGACTTTCCAATGGCCTCTGCCATAGTATGGTCCCAAACTCTTTCAAAAGCCTATGTTTGTTTTAATTATAAATGCAAAATTAAATTATGTTTAGGGCCAATTTTAGTAACAAATTGTTCTTTATTCAAATATTTAAAATGGGAAGTGGGCATGGTAGTTCACACCTGTAATCCCAGCACTTTGGGAGGCTGAGGAGGGAGGATTGCCGGAGCCAGGAGTTCAAGACCAGCCTGGGAAGCAAAGTGAGACCCTGTCTCTACAAAAAAATTCAAAAATTAGCCAGGTGTGGTAGAGTGCACCTGTGGTCCTAGCAGTGGGAGGATTGCTTGAGCCAGGGAGGTCGAGGCTGCAGTGAGCTGTGATTGTGCCCCTGCACTCCAGCCTGGGTGACAGAGTAAGAGCCTGTCTCAAATATAAATACATAAATACCATCAGTAAGTTGAACAGACATAATTGCAGACATAAGAAAGCATAATTTTATTTTGTTTTCCTACCACCTTTAAAAAAATATCTGATTTAGTAATCTTTCTCAGACACTGAACAAATCTTCTGAGAGAGTTCCCATGCCATATCTGCCTATATGTAGTCAAGAGACAGACTTAGGGTCACTTTATACTGCAAAATAATTTTAATTCTGTGATTAGAATCTACATGTAAAGATGCGCTTCCAAACTCCAGAATTAACCGAGCATTAGGTCTTCCTGTTTTCCACAGCTCATGGCAGGAAGCCTGCAGTGGGGACGGAGAATACAGTTCTTTCACTCCCTACGCTTTGCTCCATGTGGCTGCTTGGTTTTGTCCTTTCTTAGCTGGAAAGTTGAATGCTGGGGTCCCCAGAGAGGCCGTGGCAGGACTGAAGCTGACTCTAACTCAATGCAGGGCCTCTTCAGAGCTCTCCTGCTGGGCTCCTCTCTCCTGGGATTCCCTTATCCTGCACAGATGCATTTCTGCTCTGGAAGGGTCACTTGCGATTTTGTCCTCTGTCGCTGGACTCCCAGTGGAACACATCCTGTGGGGTCTCCTGGACACCTGCTGAGGGGACCCACATCAACCCAATACTGACTTTTGCCTGTATGGCCCAGATCTCCTGCAGGAAAAGTACTCAAATGTCCTTGCTCCACAAACTCTGGCAATAGGCCAACCCTGGAGCCACCTCCAAAGCATCCTTTCATCCATTTGTTCCCCATCTCGGCTGCCCAGAGCACTCCGGATTCAGGGCACCTGCACCTCAGGCCACAGCCCTCCTGACATTCCAGGCAAGGGCGAGCCACCAGCCATCTGTGGCTCCCAAACGCAGAATCCACCTCTCAGCGCTCTGTTTTACCAACCTCCAGCACCCGCAGGAAGATTAACCCCCAGCTCATCACTTCACAAAGGGTGCAGGGGAGCACCTCGCTCCTTTCTGAATCTTCTTTCTTATCCTTGACCTTGCTAAGGGGTCTCAGAAGAGTTTCTTGATGCCACTCCCTGTGTAAATGTGAAAGGTCAGGAAGAGGAAACGAGTGTCATACTTGCTTTGGCATTTGGCAGCTCCACAAAAATAGGAAGCTGAGAGGATCTCAGTCTCACATTTTCCTACAATCATTTAAAGTCAGCTACTGTAATATTAACATGATCGTCCTCAGCAATCCTAGATAAATATGATTTGCTGCAGGAGGGATGAGTCCCAAGTGGAATCAGAGAGTACCCAGGAGGACTCTGGGGATAGAGTGGGCCAGGAAAGAATTATCTGCCCAATGTTCCTTTCATCCCCAATTTAACTTTGGAACACACTTTTCTAAAATAGAATACTGACAATAGACTCTCTGGCTGGTGGAACCCTTTTAATTGGAAAGACATGAAAAAAACCTATCATTTCAGTTCAGTTATCTCTAGTGAATTACTTAGCTAACAACAATGAGGAATTTTGGGAAAACTCAGTACTTATCAACACGCACAGATGTTGACAAATATCTTCAATTTGGTGTAAAGTTCCTAATTAAAATAACACCTATCCCTCTCTTTGAATAACTGGCAATATTAATCCTGAATGTTCCTTAACACCCAGAAATGCCTTTGCCACCTAGTTACACCCTTTCCTTCCCATTGCTAATTGGGGCTTCATTTCCCCAGGACTCCTGTGAGTCTGGGGACCAGGTCATCTACCGTAGTTACTGGTGACCGTCTCATCTTCCTTCCTAGTTAAAAACAAGAAGGCTGGGTGCAGTGGCTCACGCCTGTAATCCCAGCACTTTGGGAGGCCAAGGCAGGCGGATCAGGAGGTCAGGAGTTCGAGACCAGCCTGGCTAACATGGTGAAGCCCCATGTGTACTAAAAATACAAAAAATTAGCCAGGCGTGGTGGCGCACACCTGTAATCCTAGCTACTCAGGAGGCTGAGGCAGGAAAATTGCTTGAACCCAGGAAGCCGAGGGTGCAGTGAGCCAAGACCTGTGCCATTGCTCCAGCCTGGGTGACAAGGCGAGACACCGTCTCAGGAAAAAAACAAACAAAAAAACAAAAACAAGAAGGCTTTTTAAGGATACAAACTCCCACTTTAGCATTTTTGTTTCCACAATACTACCAAAGGTAGGGTAGGGGAATGATGAGTCTTACTGAATTGGTTTTAATTTAACACGATTATTGTTAAATAATTGATCATTTTCAAATAATTAAAAATTATATAGTAATGAATAAAAGATAAAATCTTTTTTAAAATGATTAAAAGATTATATAGAAAAACATATGTTGGAATTCAAGCACAGAATGCTAGTAACTTGAAATGAAGAGCAGTCTTTTATGACATGGAATATATTGATTTTAAAGAGAAAATTTTATCTTGACCAAAGTTGAATTTTGTTTCAGCAGTAGCTCTTGAATGGATCGATGGATCTCTAAATGTGCTAAACTCAGACCTAATAAAGAGCAGCAACATGGAAGGAAAAGGGGTGATTGATTCGTGAATGCAAAGTGCAGAAATGCAAATGATTAAATTCCCCTGTGGATTCATGTTTTGAGCAGGATATTTTGAGCAGGGAGTCTCTACGGACTCTGTTCTGAGTCCTCGGTGTTCCGTGGTGTGTATGTTGATAGGTTCCTCTCATACAAGACTTACTTTCTAGATAGGAGAAGGGCAGAATATAACAAACAGATAAGCTACAAATATCATTTACGATGGTGCCATGAAGAACATAAAATAGGCTGATGTGAAGAAGCGGCAGAGCAAGCAAGGGTGGAGCAGCTGGGCCTCGAGGGGAGGACGGCGGGGGCCGGGGGCCAGCCTCTGAAATGCTAAGGGTTGAATGAGGACCACAGGAAAAGCCAGGGAAATGTCTGGGGAAGAACTTTCCAGAATGGTTTCTCCTGTAGTATGGTAGAAGCAAGCTGGGAGTATAGGGGAGACAGCAAGTGGGTGACAGGTTTCAGATGAAGGCAGAGGGTAGGGAAGCGCCCACCTGGTAGGAAGTTCAATTTCACATGATTGAAAGTCTCTGAATCTTCCCACAGTATAATCAAGCAACTGTATGTTTTTGTTTTAGAAAATAGGTCACATTATTATTTATTTATTATTATTATTATTATTATTGTTATTATTTTGAGACGGAGGCTCACTCTGTCGCCAGGCTAGAGTGCAGTGGTGGAATCTTGGCTCACTGCAACCTCCACCTCCAGGTTCAAGCAATTCTCCTGCCTCAGCCTCCCGAGTAGCTGGGACTAGAGGCACATGCCACCACACCTAGCTAATTTTTGTACTTTCAGTAGAGACGGGGTTTCACCGTGTTGGCCAGGATGGTCTTGATCTCTTGGAAAATAGGTCACATTATCAACATTAACAGGTACTTCTCCAAAGAAGACATACAACGGCCCACAATCGTGACAAAATGCTCAATATAACAATCATCAAAGAAATGCAAGTTACAACCACAATGAGATATCATCTCATACCAGTCAGAATGGCTATTAATAAAAAGTCAAAATAATAACAGATGTTGGTGAGGGCGTGGAGAAAAGGATACACTTATATGCTACTGGAAGGGATGTAAACTAGTTCAACCCCAGTGGAAAACAGTATGGGAATTTCTCAAAGAACTAAAAATAGATCTACCATTTGACCCAGCAATTCCACTACTGGGTATCCATCCAAAAGAAAAGAAATAGTTTTAATCAAAAAGTCACCTGCAATCCTATGTTTATTGCAGCCTTATTCACAATAACAAGATCACGGAATCAACTTAAGCGTCCATCAATGGATGATTGGATAAAGAAAATATGGTGCATATACACCATGGAATACTATGTAGCCATAAAAAATGAAATTATGTCCTTTGCAGGAACATGGATGCAGCTAGAGGCCATTTTCCTAAGTGAATTAATGCAAAAACAGAAAATCAAATGCTGACTGTTCTCAGCTATAAGTGGGAGCTCAAGAGTGGGCACACATGGACATAAAGATGGAAACAACAGACACTGGGCACTCCAAGAGTCTGGATGGAGGGAGGGAAGGAGGGAGGGGGAAGGGCTGCAAATCTACTTCTTGGATGCTATGTTCACTATTTGGGTGACGAGTTCAACTGAAGCCCAAACTCCAGAATCACTCAATATGCCCATGTAGCAAACCCGCATATGTAACCCCCGTGAATCTAAAAAGAAAAAAAAAAAAAGAAAGAAATTGATCCAGTGCACATGCACACACACACACACACATCACCTGGGAGCCAAAAAAGAAAAGAAGATGGGTCACAAACCGAAGTGTAGGGAAATTAATTACAGTGATATGTCTTATGTCTTATATATTCTTATTGAATTGGGATAATAATTTTACCTACTTTAGCAAAACGAGTTGCCTAGAGCAACACTGTTCAATACTGTGGGCACTAGTGACATGTAGCTATTTCAGTTTCTCAGATGAAATACTCTGTATAAGTATCACCCACACAACATTTATACTAAAAAGTGAAATAAAATTAGAAATTCAGATTGTCAATTGCACTAGCCATATGTCAAGTGCTCAGTAGCCACATGTAGCACATGGCTGCCATGGACACAGAGCATCTCCATCAGTGCAGAGATGTCTTTGGAACAGCACTGGGAAAAATGCCTGAAATCCCAAAACCAAAAATTAGGCAAAAATATATTTAATTTTCAAAACAATAACATTCCTCAACAGAATACTGGCATAGAACTTTAACATTTTAAAAATAAAGTACAACAATATTAACTAAAAAAATTCTAAACACTACTACTATTATTAATTATAATAGTGACTAACAATTATGCATTGCCTTATATGTGGTAAATGTGTGCTAAATGTCTTAACCACATTCTCTTATCATTTTCACTTAAATCTAATGACACAGGCACTGTTATTATGTGCACTTTATGGCTATGAAGGTGGAGGCTCAGAATAGTTCATTAACTTCCCCAAGGCTAGAGAGATATTACATGTGGCCCCAAGTGTCAAACCTAGGAAGCAGACCCCAGAGTTTGTGTTCCCAACAATTTTTCCCACCTGATGTTACTGTAAGTTTAAAAACCTTTTACACGGACATATGGTAGGATTTTACTCTGAGTACTGACAAGCTTAACGTTACTAAATTCAAATTATATGACATTTCTGTTAAATTGGATGAGCTTTAAATAATCACAGAAATACCAGCTATAGAAAAATATATAACTATGTTTTGAACAGTATAAAATGTGTCAGATGTGCATGGCAAAGCCCTTTTCAATTGTTTTTAGAACTTAACAGGAAAAAGAAAAAAAGGGTGAGGAATGAAAATTCTAAAGCAGTTTTCCAATAAAATAAAACAAGACTTCTTTTTTTCTATATAGGAAAGATTTTTCAGGGGAAAACCCACAGGGGGTGTCAAAGACAGTGTATCTCTGTGCCATTCCAGGGTTCATGTCGAAGCAGTCCTACCTCCAAAGACCACGGACCTATTGCCAGAGAACTGAATCAGAAATTTCAATGCATGGGCGAAATCCCTCTCTGAATACATAGAGGTCAGAGGCAGAGGTTGGCAGAAATGTGGCTCCTGGGTCAGGTGACCGAAATGCATTACCTAATGAAAATGACACCAAAGTGCTGCAGACAAGAGTCTCGAAACGGAGGTCACTGGCGAGGATGATGGTGATGAGAAGCAGGAGGGCACATTTTAAATGGTGTCGAAGGACAAATGGCACGGAACAAAGAGACCCAGCTCCAGGAGTTTAGGATTCTGCTCTGTCATGGACTGGACAGGAAGGCTGATCAGACAGCTGGCTTCCCTGGGGAGATATTTTTTGTATTCCCCTTGTCAACAACCAGGGAGAAGTCACCCTGCCCGGAGTCACAGCGGTGCAAGAACCAGATCTGCGCGCTAGTAGGCAGATTCTCAACTCAACCCAGCCAGTACTTTTCACCTTCTCTGACTCTGTCCTTCATCTGTTCGCCCTCTTCCAACGACCTTGTCTCCTTCTTCTTTTTTCTCGTCTCTTTTCTCTTTTCCTGTACTCAGATGCTACTGACTACGTTTTATGACAGTTTTTAAATAATTGATATGATATAATCCATAATTTTTGACTACTTTCTTTTTAGGATCCTAGTAAATCAAGAATCACACTGGAGTTGAATTTTTGTAGTTGCTTTCTCAGAAATGAAATTAAAACAGTTTTGGTAATAAATTGACACTGTAAAGAATTATACCTTGGTTATATGGACCTTGGCCAAATGGAGTTTCAAGAGACTGTTGTGTGAGCCTAAATTTGAACTCTAAAAATAATAATATTGAAATACTTAATTTTTAAAAACCAGACATCAGAGTCATGGCAGATATTTTTGGAAAAAAATATAATTGGGGGATTTTCAAATTCTCCATGTGAATCTGGGAATGGGACAGTGATGCCAATAAAAATACGTTTTTCTTCTAGAAAAAGTCTTAAGATTCTTGGTATGTGTAAGTGAATGAGTTATGGCAACTTTGAAAACATTTCAGGCTCTGCTTCTTAACTTAGTTTTATTTATTTGTCTTCATTCCCTTTGGCAAATTGAAGACATAATCAAAAGTAACATCTCATAAAGACTTTAAGTTACAAACAATATAGCTCCCTGCAGATATAACTAGAGCTTAACTTGCACCTTTTTTATGTAATTACCATTTAACTTTAGCATTTAAGTAAGTGACAGTGAACAAATTATGCAAGAAAGTTTAAGAAAGGAGCTAAATGTATATTAATTGCCTTTCACTGTTAAATTTAGCCGATTTAACACTTAAAGCAATCCTTGCAAGTAAGTCTTATTGTTCCTATATTTTTTACACATGAAGAATATGAAAAAAGAGAAGAATTAGAGAACTGTTTGAGAGTTAGAATAAAGAAGAAACTGCACTGAGACTGTTATCCAGTTCTGCTGTGCTCCTAACTCCATACTTAGCCATGACATTATGCTTTAAGGGTTAATGCACTCGAAGCTTCAAATGAGAATGTTTACAATTCAAAAAGAAAAGAAAAAGAGTTACAGTGTTTTGTTGGCAGAGAAAGGATGCAAATTAGGGAACATCACATTCTTAGTGTGCAATTAACAAGTTCAGTAACATCTAAAAGTTTCCAGGACTTGACTTCCCCAGGGAGAATTCAATGTAGGACATCTGGAATGATAGATTTTACGTTTGTTCAGAGAGTTAAAGTGGTTTTTGCATTGTCTCCTGGGGCAGATTTACAGCTACTTTGTTTAAGTGGAACAGATCAACTCTGTACACTGAGAATGCTCATCTTAAAATTTAGGAAATGAAAGCTAGAGAGCAATGATACTATCTCAAGGTAGGATAGAGTGTTAATGGAAATAAAAATATCTTTTAGACTAGTTTACTAAATATGGTCAGAACAAACACTTTGAAGGAGATGGGAGAGGAATGATTGATGAGTTTCTGAATGATGTCTTAACCAAAGGATCGAATGATGCATTGAGGAGGATGAAGAAAGAATGAGGGAAATTTCATTATTCCTGCTATAAACGCTCGTGCAGAGTTTCTAACAGTCATGGAGAAGGTACATTCAAAACATGATGGCAATAATAGAGTTCACCCATGCATTCTTACGGTGATGTGGAAAATCTATTTAGCTTTACATAAATCTGAGCCAATGCAATTCATAATCTGTTATGGGTTGAATTGTGTCCCTCCCCTAAAATTAATATGTTGAAGAACCTCAGAACTTTAACTTACTTCGTAAATTCAGTTAGTCAAGGTACGATAAGGTCACACTGGAACAGGGTGGTCTTCTAATCCTTTATAACCAATATCACTTATAAAAGGGGAAATCTGGACTCAGATGCATACACAGTGAGAATGTCAAATGAAGATGAAGGCAGAGATTGAGGTGATGCTTCTGCAAGCCAAGGAATACCAAACATGGCCAGCAAATGGCCAGAAGCCTGGAGAGGAGAGCAGCACAGATTCTCCTCACCGCCTCAGAAGGAGCCAACCCTGCCAGCACCTTGACTTTGGACTTCCCAGTCTCCAGAGCCATGAGACAATACACTTCTGTTATTCAAGCTACTCAGTTTGTGACACTTCGCTACAGCAGCCCTAGGAAACTGATAAAGTATCCCAGGACATACTTTCCTTCTGATGATCGATACGGACTGAATCAGATTGTAAGGATATGGCCCACACGCCCTTTGCCTTTGAGATCTGAATCAAAGCAAAAACAGGTCATCTTCCTTCTCACATGCACAGAAATCAGTTTTTCTTAACACCATATGTTCAAAGTCAAATAGGACAGCAACAAATTAACAACTGAATATTGACAGGAGCAAGTATCTAAAATCCATTTATACTGTGCAATTTATTCTCATATACTATATATGAATGTTGTGCTTTGATGGTTTTTGTGATATATTACACCAATGTGAAAATGAGAAAAAGGTCATACGAATAAAAATAATAGTCAAGAAGAGTCTAAAGATTCTGTAAAAACAAAGAATAATGTACAAAAATAACAAAAAGAGTATGTCAATAAAATAAACAAATGCAAGGTAGGTTTAAACAAGATTTGGAGAAGATGTATGTTTTCTTAAAAACTGTTTAAGCCACAACACTAAACTCTCCATTATTTTGTGGAACAACTGAAGACATGACATATATCATATCTATTCTTTTTATCTTAATCTCTGAGAACAGACATTAATATATTGTTCTTGTTCAATAAATGTTTCTTAAATCTCTGAATGAATGAACAAATGAAGCAAATAAAATCTTACGGACAAATGAGAATACGACTCACCACATCAACCATAATTACTTACATTAAGAAGAGATGAGCAGATGAGACATATTAAGATTTATGGAACATTCTTATTACTTAAAATCATTAATTGTTGATTTTGAATATGAAAAGTTCAAAAATAAATTAAAAGCCTAATTCATCTCTTTTCAAATTAGACTCTAGTGAGAATGGGTTGCAATTAATGCCAATTTTCCTAGCTTCCTTTGATCAACATTGAATACCTGAATTTAGTACATCTAAAATAGAATGGCAAGTTTTTGAAATATTAGTTCTGTGTGAAAAAAAAATGAATTTGTTAAAGCAATCTATGGGGAATTATATTTTGATACAGATACACAATGTAGCCAAACACAAACTTTTTTTTTCATTTAAAACCTCAATTTTCTTGAGAAATCAAATCTAAATTGACTTTATATTATGCCAATCTGGCCCAGCTTGAAGCAATCTAGAAATTACTTTAATTCTGGCTATTTATGGATTAACGTGTTATACTTGCTGCTAAAGAAACCCAGACTATGTGATTCTTAATTGTTTCTTCTGGGGTCTCAATCATAATCAAATAAAAATGTGAATCTGAAGCCAAAACTATGCATTATAAGTAAAAATTTTCTCACAAACCTGGAAAAAGAATGGTGCAGCTGACATATTTAAAAATAATCTTCTTAATTTGGTATATATTTATGGCTATGCCAAACCAACAATATCTACTCACTATGGTTGTATGGCTAGAAATCTCCCCATTCACTGTCTGCCTGAACAACTAGAAGAGCAGGAGCAGTTATTAAATGAACTTTAATTTCAGAATTTAGATAAAAAATAACAGTATACTTGGGTTGGTTCCAAGTCTTTGCTATTGTGAATAGTGCTGCAATAAACATACGTGTGCATGTGTCTTTATAGTAGCATGATTTATAATCCTTTGGGTACATACTCAGTAATGGGATTGCTGGGTCAAATGGTATTTCTAGTTCTAGATCCTTGAGGAATCGCCACACTGTCTTCCACAATGGTTGAACTAGTTTACACTCCCACCAACAGTGTAAAAGAATTTCCGTTTCTCCACATTCTCTCCAGCATCTGTTGTTTCCTGCAGGGACATGCATGGAGTTGGAAACCATCATTCTGAGCAAACTATCACAAGGACAGAAAATCAAACACCACATGTTCTCACTCATAGGTAGGAATTGAACAATGAGAACACATGGACACAGGGCGGGGAACACCACACATCAGGGCCTGTCGTAGGGTAGGGGGGGCGGGAGGGATAGCATTAGGAGATATACCTAATGTAAATGACGAGTTGATGGGTGCAGCACACCAACATGGCGCATGTATACTTATGTAACAAACCTGCATGTTGTGCATATGTACCCTAGAACTTAAAGTATAATAAAAAATGAAAATAAAAAAACAGTATACTTCTGGAATAAACAAGAGGTAGGAAACACTTTTCAGTCACAGGTGCACGGAATCTCTGCCACGCTTATTAGGTGAGGCAAGGTTACTTTAGAAAGGCATTTTTCTTTTTTTTTTTTTCCTTTATAATGGTGGTAAGGGAAGTATTCATTGCACCTAGTTCATTATTGTTGCTTATTTAGTACTTTCTACTATATCGCCATTCTAATTGCCACAGAACTTGGACCATATGAATCGAATATAAAATGTTTCCCCCTCAAAAAGATGTCATAAATGTACACACTGAACAGAAGACAGTCTCAGAAATGCTAAGACATAACTCAGATTTGGAGGCCACGGTCCTTTCTAAGTGCTGGGCTACTTGTTTCACACACTGACTTCATGGTTTGCTTGCAAGATCTTATTAGGTAAAAATTATCACCTTCATTTTGCAGAGGAGGAAACTGAAGAGAGGGAACCATTAAATCGTACATGTAACGTCACAGTATTGGAGATGGTGCCAGCCACCCCTTGATCATAACACCTGACTTTGTACTTTACCATCAGAAAGACAGAACTCTCCAGAAAAATACTTTTGGCTGCAAGTAGGAGAATTACTGTATGTATCGACCTGTAGCAGGAAGCAGTACTTGTTAGAAACACGGATGAGGGGTTTTACAAACAGCTGTTAAAGCTAGAAAAGACTAGGAGACGCCGTTTCAAATCCTACTCAAGTAAGGAGTTTCTCAGCCTCGATCCATGTTTTCAAATCAATTGGCAAGTTATCTTTCACTTTCTACTCCTCCATAAGCTCAATACTATTCCACCTGCTTTATACATTTTTTTTTGCCTCTCTCCATTGTTTTGATTCGACAATTTAGTAAGCTAAGGAAAGGCAGGCTGCATTTGCTTCTGCTCTCTCTCTCTCTCTTTATATATATTACATTGTTGAAGTCAAAATCAATTGTCAAGACAATGACTGGTTTGCATAGGAATGAATTATTGAAAAATCTGATATATTTTGTTTTACTTGGGGTGGGAGGTGGAGATCTGCATATAACAGAGACTGGGACCCCACAAAAAAGTATTTAGGTACTGTTAAATCACTGACAACTTATTGACATTTGAGATACAGTCCTTTTGTCAGTTTTTGAAATTGTGTTGCTCAAGCCTCAGGTCAAAATTTAATTTTATCAAAATAGTCCTGATTTCTTAAGCAAAAAATATTAATACTGCATATATCAAACTTCACTTAGAAAACAGATTTATTTTCCCTCCTTTGCAACTTCTCTGTATCTATGACATTATTTTGAAGTCAGTTCTTTTTTTTTTTTTGAGACAGAGTCTTGCTGTGTTGCCCAGGCTAGAATGCTGTAGCACAATCTAGGTTCACTGTAACCTCTGCCTCCCAGGTTCAAGCAATTCTCCTGCCTCAGCCTCCTGAGTAGCTGAGACTACAGGCATGCTCCAACATGCCTGGTTAATTTTAGTATTTTTAGCAGAGACGGGGTTTCACCATGTTGGCCAGGCTGGTCTCAAACTCCTGGCTTCAAATGATCCATCCACCTTGGCCTCCCAACACGCTGGGATGATGGACGTGAACCACCACACCTGGCCTGATGTCAGTTCTGATTATAGGTTCTACTCCTCAACTAACTTGAACGTTGAGGAAGTTCCTTACCCTCTAAGCCTCAGTTTTCTCAGATATGATATAGAACCTATAACTATATTTAAAATAGAAGGAATTAAAATCAGAAAAGCACCTATCCTATGTCTCAAAGTCAGAGAAAAACTAGTGCTCCAGAGAGTTGACAGACAGTGATCATTACTTTAGATGTGTAAAGTAGAATAATTTTTATAACATAAATTTAGCTTTGTAGAAACCAATATGCATTAAAACAAACAAACATAAGTCGACCGTAAGGTTATAGTCACTGTGACACAAGAAAACATTCAGTGACTCCCCTGTCATGTATTTTTTTCAACAGGTTAATACATCCCTTTAAAGGCAGATTCATGGTTTTATACCCAAATGATTTTGCTTATTCCTTCCTACTTAGACACCTACCTAATTTAATTTTTGTGCTTGTTCAAAGCCCAAAATGATTAATTAATTTAAACACAGGAATTTTATTTGGGGCTTTTGGAGAATAAAATAACACAGGTAGAGAGAATGAGCAAATAATACCATTCTCCTCGGTTCTAGATGAGAACTCTCTCTATTATAGCACGTATCCTTGCTTATGATATCTGTGCTCCTCTAACATATTCTTGTAACAAGGCTGACACAATTAAGCACACCTTTATCAAAAGCATAAATAAGATGCAGTTTTCAGCACACTGCCTGGTTCAATCAATTTTGTCCAATGAATTAGTACAACTCAATAATGGAGAATATGAGTTATGTTTGCTCATCTATATTCTTTTTTTTTTTTTCCTGAGATGGAGTCTCACTCTGTCACCCAGGCTGGGGTGCAACTGCACAACCTTAGCTCACTGCAACCTCTGCCTCCTGGGTTCAAGCAATTCTCCTGCCGCAGCCTCCTGAATAGCTGGGATTACAGCCATGCACCACCACGCCCAGCTAATTTTTGTATTTTTAGTAGAGACGGGGTTTGCACAATGTTGGCCAGGCTGGCCTTGAACTCTGATCTCAGCTAATCTGCCCTTCTTGGCCTCCCAAAGTGCTAGGATTATAGGCGTGAGCCACTGCACCTGGCCTATAAATTCTTCTTAATATAAAGCCTTTATTTGCTAGTCATCTTTGAGATTGTGAGACTTAAAACAATAAGAAGCTAAAGATTGCCTCTGGTAAAAGATATACTATTGTAATTTACATTTCAAAATTTCCAACACCTTGCAAATGTTAATCATAGTGGACATCCATTTGATAAAGTGTGATTCAAATCTGATTTCTATTTCATAACTGACAACGTTACACAAATGGGAAACTGTATAAACACAGGCAGACAAGGGTAGCTTTAAGGACTTGGGAGTCAGACACAGTCTTAAATACCAACTCTACTGCCTACTAGTTAGGAGTATGTGAGTGAAGTACTTAACATCTCCAAGTTGAGTGTGTGTGTGTGTGTGTGTGTGTGTGTGTGTGTGTGTATTTCTCTTATATACATTTGTGTGTATATACACAAAATATCAGAATTATTAATGTTTTACAAAAATGTTGGGGACTTATATTAGGTAGTGCATATGTAAAAGAACCAGTAGCGTTTGGTACACAAAACGCTTAATAAATAGCAGCTATTATTTCAGTTTTCTAATTTAGATGGTGTTTCAATTTGGAAACATTTGCATATCTTGCATGATTTTTGCTTTTCTAATTGGCCTGGGTTTTGTATTTTGTAGATTGCGTCCTTGCCTTTACCCTACCCTACATGCATACTTTTACATTCATATACATTCTTACACGTATCATTCCTTAAAATTATTAGAATGTTTTATTATTAGAATTAGAATATGTATAATTGCTTAGAATGTTCCTCTCCTATAACCTGTTTTTTTATTTTATTTTATTCATATGGTCAAGTAGCTATTGTGTTTAATGATCAATTACAAGGCATAAAAAAAACAAAGAATTTGCTATGTTAAGATAATTTTGCGGAGTTTTAGAGAAAGTCTAAATAATGATGACACAGAAGTTAAGTTACTGCCTAAGGTCACATATCAAGGCTATGGAAACTGAAATAGGAAATAAAACAACCTAATGCCTCACTTCTAAGTATCTAACCCTTCAAAAGAATGGCTATTCCACAGGACACATATGTATAAAAGAGTTCTGTATGTTTTATATGGCTCTGCTAAAAGATTCTTCATAGCATTGGATTGTGAATACCTCACATGAAGATTCTAATTTGCCAAGTATCTAATTTAAGTGAAAAAAAATCAATTCCAAGGGTTAGAATTAGCCCAAAACATTAATTTGAAATCTTATCAAAATAATTTTATTTTGAACTTTATACCTTCATGTTCTAAAACTTGATTGGTATTGTACAATATTCAATTGTGTTTTTCACCTATAATTAGTTTCCTACATTAAGCATTTTTATTTTTTAGGCTTACATAAAATTTTCTAATTAAAAGTTGTGTCTTTTGTTTGGTCCTGAAAATTTTATTGGTTTGAAATACCTTTTATTTATCAAGTAAGCTCTCTATCAAAATGCTTATCAAGAAAGAAGGAAAAAAATTCATTTTTCCCACAATATCTACACACAAATATGAAAGTAAAAAGAATCAAAAGTATTAACATTGAAGTCGCACATAAATTAAAAACCTGTTTTCCTTTGCATTTTATTCTTGACTCTGACTAACACTTTGTACTTAAACCATTTCAACCTTCGTTTAGCAAAGAGCCAACTTCTTTCTAAACTATCTTTAACATAGTGGCAAATTTAAAATCTCAAACTAAAGTACATATGGGGGAAAGTTCTCCTCACCTCTAATCCCCTTGCACCTACTTCTGTAGTTTCCAATGTGTAATACACATGCAACTGAATTATATACATTCCCATTTTTATACCAATGGTAGCAACACCATACACACTGCTCTATATTTTGTTCTTGCTTTTTTAAATTTCTTCTGGAAATCTCTTCATGACTATTGGTAAAGACCATCCTCATTCTTTTTACTGATAGCAATTACTTGCTACTCCTTTCTGTAAATTTATCTTAATTTGTTTAACCTGGTGATAGAAATTTAAGTTGTTTCCCACTTTTTGTTACCAAATAAAAGTAATATAGTCAATATCTTTGGGCATATGTAGTTCCCAAATGTGCTAGTATGTCCAAATTGTTGGTCAAAAGGATATATGCTATCTAAATTCAGGAGGTACTGCTAATTATTCTCAAAGTAATTGTGGCAATTTACACATCCAAGAGCAATTCTAATCTAAGCTTTATTCTGGTGCTTCCGATTCAGCCAGGGAAAATCTTCAAACTGTTCACCATAGTACTAACTAGTGTCACTTTTCTGTTTACAGAAGCTTTGTCCTTTAACTATAGCTGTCTCCCACCTACTCCTATACCCCATATAATCCATTGCATTATATATAGATTTACATGTATATAGAATATATATTTCCAGTATATGCTCTTTACTGATTACTTGTTTCATGACTAAAATGTTCCCCAAGACATTTTTGAATATAAAATATCATTCTCTGAGATCAAGACTACAAATTGACTCCAATTTGTTCATAATGATTGGGATTTTCAGATGGACACAACAGTATGCAGAATAAGAACTACATTTCCCTGACCACTTTATAGCTAAGTGTGGCCCTGACTCTAACGAGATATGAGACAAACTGTATCCACTTCTGGGTCTTGCCTTCAAAGGGGGAGCACACCCCTCCTTTTTCTTTCTGTCAGACATACTGCTGATAGAGTGGTGACAGACATCTAGGGTCATCAGCATTGGGAATATCAGAGCAATAAGATTCAAGAAGTCTGGGATCCTGATGACTTCATGAAGTGCAATTGCCTTAACCACTTGTATTTTTACAAGTGGAAGGAAAAAATAAATGATCCTATCTTACTCAAGCAGCCTGTCATTGTAGGTCTTTGCCATTCATAGCTGAGCTTATATCACAACAAATATCATTTCCTTAGCGTTTGCAGAGAAAATACATTGTTACAAATTACAAAGTCAAGAATTATGGTTAATATTTCATGGAAGTAATGTTAATGTGAACTTTTTGGTTTGGAGTAACACTAATTTTTGTCCTCCTAACCCAATATTTATTGAATCTTTCTCAAATAAATATGTCATTATACTCAGTATAAAAAAGAGAGACACTACTTGGAAAGATACATTACTGAGAACTGGACTCTGTTTTGATAGAGAGAAGTAAAGAAAAGAAAAAAATATTACAGAGGACCAAGTCTTAAATAGAAAACGGGTGTTCCATGATATAAAACTCAATTATTCTGAATTACCTTGAAAAATGTATTCAGACATCCTTTCTAAAACAGGCCACTGAAAGGACTTTCTCTGTCCAGCAACATTTATGTCAAGCAAGAACCCCCACAGACAGTGCAAATATGTTGTCCCAGTAAGAGGGGTATGAGGGACAGAAAAACAAGGGGAAGAAATATTCGGAAAATCTTCATTTGTTTTTATGTCCAGTTGAAACTGGCACTCATTACTATTCAACATAGTACTGGAAGTACTAGCAAAAGCAATCAGACAAGAAAAAGCAATAAAAGGCATCCAAATCAGAAAGGAACAAGTAAAATTATCTGTATTTACAGATGAGATAATTCCATATGTAGAAAACCCCAAATACTCCACACACAAAAAAACTGTTAGAATTAATACCTGAATTCAGTGAAGGTTCAGAATACAAAATCAACATAAAAAAATCAGTAGCATTTCTACACACAACCTACCTGAAAAAGAAACAATCCCATTTATAATAGAATCAAAGCAAAAATATTAATTATGAATAAATTTACTCAAGTAGGTAAAAGATTTGCACACTGAAAACTATAAAATATTGCTGAAAACATTAAAGACGCAAAGAAATAGGAAGCTATCCCATGTTCATGGATCAAAAGAATTAATATTGTTAAAATGTCCATACTACACAAAGTAATATATAGATTCAATGCAGTCCCTATCAGAATTCCAATGGCATTTTTCACAGAAATAGAAAAAAAAGCCTCAAAATTTATTCAGAACTAAAAAAAACCCTGAATAGACAAAGAAATACCGAGGAAGAGAAACAAAGTTGGAGGCATCAAAATTCCTGGTTAAAAATTGTATTACAAAGTTACAGTACTCAGAACAGTATGGTACTGTCATAAAAATAGAAACAAAAACCAATGGAACAGAACAGAGAGTCCAGAAATAAACCCAAACATATATATAATTTTGAGAAGGACATCAAGTGAACATAATATGGGAAAATAGTTTATTAAGTAAATGATGCTGAGAAAACAGGATTTTCACAGGCAAAAAAAAATTGAAATTGGACTACCATACACAAAAATCGACTCTAAATGAATAAAGGCTCTAAATGTATGACCATAAAATTCCAAGAACAGATAAGGGAAAAAGCTCCTTGACATTGGCCTTGGCAATGATTTCTAAGATATTACACCAAAAGTTCAGTCCACGAAAGCAAAAATACCTGAACAGGACTACAGCAAACTAAAAAGCTCCTGTGAAGCAAAGAAAATAATCTACAAAATGAAAAATCAACCTACAAACTGGGAAAAATGTTTGCAAACCCCATATCTGATAAGGGGTTAATATCCAAAATTTATAAAGAACTCTTACAACTCAACAGCAGAAAAGCAAAACAAAACAAAAAAACCGATTTAAACATGGGCAAAGGACCTGAACAGATATTTCTCCAAAGGAAACATAACAATGTCCAACAGATATATGAAAAGGTGCTCAACATCACTAATCAAGGGAAATACAAATTAAAACTTCTATATCACCTTAAGCCCATTTGTATGGCTGTTATCAAAAAGACAAGTCATAATAAAAGTTGGTGAGTGTACAGAGAAAAGAGAACCCCAGGACACTGTTAATGGGAATGTAGGTTGATACAGCCATTGTGAAAAGCAGTATAGAGCTTCCTAAATAAAAGAAAAATAAAACTACCATATAACTCAGCAATCCCTCTTTGGGGTGCATACCCAAAGGAGATGAAATCACCACCTCATAAAGACATCCTTCACTCTCATGTGCATTGCAGCATTATTCCCAAGAGCCAAAATATGGAAACAACCTCAAGACCCACTGAAAGACAAATAGATAAAGCAAATGTGGTATATATAATACAATGAAATACTATTCAGCTTTTAAAAAGGAGATCCTGCCATTTGCCACACATGACTGGACCTAGAAGATATTTGCCACACATGACTGGACCTAGAAGATATTAAGTGAAATAAGCCAGATATCCAAAGAAAATATTGCATAATCTCACTTCAATTTGGTATCATTAAAAGAAAGTTTAAATATACAGAAATAGAGAATAAACTGTGGTTACCAGGTATGAGGGAGGGAGGAGGAAATGAGATACACGTGGGTCAAAAGACACAAACTAGCAGATATGTACTGGGGTGGGGTCACAGAAGAGGAAATGGGGAGATAGATGTGGGTCAAAAAACACAAAGTAGCAGATATGTACAATAAACAAATCTAGAGATCTAGGTAGAACATGAGGACTATAGTTAATACAACTGTATTGCATTTGGTGTTTTTGTTAAGTAAGTAGATTTTAGCTGTCTTCTCACAAAAAAGTAACTATGTGAGATGATAGATATATCGATTTTCTTCACTATAGTAACCATTTAACTATATATAATTATCACATAACATCATTTTGTAAGCCTCAAATATACATAATAAAATTTACTTTAAGAAAATAAAAAATAAAACAGGCTTTAAAATGAGCTCACTTTAATGCGCTTATCATATTGGTTGGAAAGAGGAGGGCTTCTGAAATTACACAGCCATCTGGAGAAAATAAATTAAAAAATCACAACTGGCTACAAAGTATAATAAATGCATTGACAAACTTAAATGGTCAAATGTATCTCTGAAAGCAAATAATGCTACACTATATACTAAAACAGAGAAAGAGTAAAGGTAGCTATACATATATGGAATTGTTGACAACCCTGTGTAATATCGAGAGTACGGAACTTTGGTGTCAGATCTGATGTAAATTATGGTCCTTTCACTTATTATTTGAGTGACATTAGCGAATTTATTAAACTTTCAGGACTTCTGGTTTCACTCTGTAAAAAAAAAGTTATAAGTAGCAATTACTGTAATTAATACAAGCAGTGGAAAACTTAAAATAGCAATTTCTATTACAAACCTTTTTATGAAAATGTCCCCTATATACCTCTTCTTAATAACCAGTCACGTTTCTCAGAAGCAACCTGTTTTAGATGTTTCTCTTGTATTTAAATTTATATTTACATATAAAAAGAGCTCTTATATAATTCTTGAATTATATATTTTAGAAATTTTCTACTAGTTTATTGTTTAAGAAGTTTTGTAGTTTTATGGTGTTTTGTTTTTTGGTCTCCAACTTTCATTTTAAGTTCAGGGGTACATGTCAGGATGTGCAGGTTACATAGGTAAACTTGTGCCATGGTGTTTGCCGCACAGACCATCCCATCACCTAGGTATTAAGCCCAGCATCCATTAGCTGTTCTTCCTGATGCTCTCCCTCCTCCCATCCTCACAGTCCAACAGGCCCCAGTGTGCGTTTTTCCCCCCATGTGTCCCTGTGTTCTCATCATTCAGCTCCCACTTATAAGTGAGAACATGCAGTTTTTGATTTTCTGTGCCTGTGTTAGTTTGTTGAGGATAACATCATCCAGCTCCATCCATGTCCCTGCAAAGGACATGATCTCCTTCCTTTTTATGGCTGTATAGTATCCCATGGTGTATATGTACCACCTTTTCTTTATCCAGTCTGCCATTCATGGGCATTTAGGTTGGTTTCACGTCTTTGCTATTGTGAACAGTGCTGCGATGAACATATGTGTGCATGTATCTTTATAATAGAATGATTTATATTCCTTTGGGTATATACCCAATAACAGGATTGCTGGGTCAAATGGTATTTCTGCCTCAGAAATGTTCTACTAGTTTTCTATTATGGTGTATGGGTGGATATTCAACCCTGTCACTCTTCTTATTCACCTACTTACCCATTTATTATCTTCCTCCAAATAAATACTTTATACCAATATCTTAGTTAAATTAATAATTACCTTATACATTTTCTAACTATTTAAATACTTTTTCCTGCTATATCCAAATAATATGTTTCTTCTTTGAACAAATTTTGTTTTCCTTAGATTTGACAAATGCCTTGCATGTCTTCATTTGCTTAGTTTTTTTTTTTTTTTTTTGGACAGAGTCTCGCACTGTCACCCAGCTGGAGTGCAATGGCACGACCTCCGCCTCCCAGGTTCATGCGATTCTCCTGCCTCAGCCTCCCGAGTAGCTGGGGTTACAGGATTACAGGTGCACATCACCATACCTGGCTAATTTATTGTATTTTTAGTAGATATGAGGTTTCACTATGTTGGCCAGACTGGTCTCGAACTCCTGAACTCGTGATCCGCCCACCTCGGCAACCCAAAGTGCATTTGCTTAATTTTTTAACAGCTCCACAGTGAAGTTACCTCAAATCAGTAAAAGCCCTATCAATTCTAATCCATTTATTTTCAAACGCATCTGGAAACTTACTTCTTTTCTTTTTCCCCCGGAGTCCTTCAGTCTGGAACTTTAGTAAACCTGCAGCATAGGGAAACTCTCTTTCCTGCCCTGTCCGTGAAACCCCCTGTTCCCTACATTTCTTGCATTTTCTTTCATGGTTTACTCCATAATTTTGGTATCACATAGCATCTGTAGCTTCATAACAAATATTGAAATAGAGGTAAACATTTATTTGATATTTTACATGGCCAAAAGGTTTTGGTTCTTTTTTTCCTCTTACTCTTATTAATAGTTTGGCTGTCTATAGAATGCCAGGAAACATGTCCATTTTCCTACCTTTGGAAATTAAAAAGGCACTCCTCTCTGTCTTCTAGAGTCCAGTGCTGTTCTCAATGCATGTAAACCAATCTGATTAATTTGCATACAGCTTTTTAAAGAAATTTTTGGTCCTTGATCTTATGTTTTGCTATGTAAAATTTTATTTTAGTGTACATTTGTGCGAGTTCCCCACTACCCTCTATTCATTGTTCTGGTTGCTTCATGGTCCTTTTCATGCAAAGATTTGTGTTCTAATACTGAAATGTATTATTGAATTATTTATTTCTTTTATAATATTCCATCTGTTTTCTTTTGTTCTTTCTTTTTGAATTCTGAATCATTAGATCTAAGACTTCCTGATTATTTTCTCTCATTCACCAATCTTTTCTATACCAATGTCTATCTCTTTGAATTCATTATATTTTTGAAAAATTTCCTCAAATTTAGATTAACATTTTTCTGTTAATTTTTTTCAGCTATTGTGTACTTAACCTCCCAAAGTTATTTTTTAGTTCCCTGGCAGTTGATATTGGTACCTCACAATGCAATAGTGTTTATTTTGAGCCAGTTTTATACAGTGTGGATTCTAACACTCCAGTCTCAGTATCTTTTGTTTGGGATTATTGGGTTTATCCTAAAAAAAATCCTATAATCTCCAGCTTTTGGAACTATCTGCATGGCTACAGTCATTCTCAGGTAAAATAAGAGGACAGGGAACCCCACCTTTCAGTGTGTAGAATATGATATATTCATCATGTTTTCATTTCTAAACTTTACCTTAGAATTGAGATGCCCTGCGTCTCAATTTCTCTAGCTCACTATTTCACAGGTTACATTGGGAGAGAGTGTGGGAAAGGGGAAAGAATGCTCCCTGTCTGTTTACTTCATTACCTGTTTGTCTCACTATTATGCAAACAGAATTTCAATCAGTCTTTCTATTATTAGTGTCATGCCTGGCCTATATAACTTATGGAAATATGTTCTTCCAAATTCTAGGCCTCCTTGTCCACACGATGTGCCAGACTTTAAATACATTCTCTCATTTCAACTTTATATCAGGCATATTAAAAAGTACATATATTACTCCCTTTGATATACAAGAAAACAGAGGTACTCTTAAGTACAGAGGTACTTCCCAAGACAGACAGATGTAATCTCAAGACACTGTAAATTGGTGGGAACAAGACCCAAATGTAGCTTTGTCCAACGAAGAAGTTGATACTATTAACTTCTACATGTCCCGCCTCCCTCACAAATGTGCAGTACAGATGTGCTTTGCCACAATGAATTCTCAGTGCAGGATGCAGTCATTACTGAGAGTTTTAAAAACAAACTTGAATTGAAAGAAATGAAAATCATTTACTGCAGTTAGAACCAGCAAAGTACTTGTGAGACAGCGTGCACACAGATGTATGCACTTGCTTTTAGATATATTGGCAAATTATATCGTCTAATGCAATGAGCTGCAAAAGGTTCATATGCTAAGTCTAAAGATTTTATACATATATATATATATATGTATATAATAGTCCAAGTTTTACCATGCTTACACAGTGATGCATAAATAGAAAACAATACCGATTTGTCATTGATCACAAGATTATTATTAGACATAAACAAAATACTGGCTTAGGAAGAAGCACAGTGAGAAAGTAATAAAATTATCCCTATGATTTGTTCCAAAGCCAGGATTATAACATAAAAAACAGGGTGAATTAGCTACCTATCTCTGCTGAGGACAAAACAAAAACAATTATGCCTTTCAGCATAGAAAAAAACAACAACAGATGCTTTAGTGAACAAAGTGTGCACATTTGGGAGGTTTCGCTTTTATTTTTTTTTCATTGACAGCTTATATTTTGTCATATATTTATAGGCATAAGAGAGGAGTTAACTAGTATTTTTCCAGCTAATACATAATGCAGATATTTAAGAGAGAGAGAGAGAGAAAGAGATAGACTCTTTGAGCTTAGTGGTGCAGTGCTTTAAAACACTGAAGACCTGTCAAAAGCTTAACTCAAGAAAGAATCAGTTTTATCTCTAGTATCGCCAATGACTATAACTTAGATATCCGGATAAAAGGCACATTATTCAGCTTAAGTACACTTGTTCTATAGCCTGCTAAAGTGCAGGGAAAGGCAAAGCTGGGTGGCTGCAGTATTCTGAAACAATAGGAGTCAATCTTCGGTGGCAATAAAATGTCAAAAATGCTTTTCCGCAACTCCCCACATAAAGGGGAAAGTCAATTATTAGTCAAAAATGCAGGCAGAACTCTGCTCCCTTCTGGACCCTATAAATTTCATCTTTTATCTTCTATTTAGGAAGACATATTATTTAGAATATGTGGACACGCAGCTCTGGAAGACAGATTCTATCAGCAGTTACTTCACTAAGCCTAATAAGACATTATAGTATATTAAGATTTCTCACATGCATTCTTTTTAAGAAGATGAGTTTTATTCTAAAGTAGATTTTCTTATCATATTTATTTCTTCATGTCTAATCTGCCTGTTCTTCACCACCTAGAACTGTTCTCAATGCAAATTTAAATTTGGCATTAAATGCAGTCTATTTCATTTGGTAACTTAAAAGCAGGATCAGTCTTGAACAAAGCACTGTCGCTCAGAGAAATAAAAGATTGGATTTTTTAAATAGAATGTAAGCCAAATCCCCACTCACATAAAGTAGGCTGTACTAGAATGAATGGATATACACAGACTGGCTCAATGATTGGCTATACTGATTCAATTCTTCAACTGTAAACATCCTGCTTTCAAACTTAAAATACCAGTAAGAAAATGTTTTCTGTTAATAATTCTAACTTCATTCATAGTTGAATACAACTGCTTAATTGTTGAAAACATATGGGGAGAGGGTTATGTCCGCCAGTTTTTAAATCAAGGGCATTCTTTTTTTTTTTTTTTTTTTTTTGAGACGGAGTCTCGCTCTGTCGCCCAGGCTGGAGTGCAGTGGCGTGATCTCGGCTCACTGCAAGCTCCGCCTCCCGGGTTCACGCCATTCTCCTGCCTCAGCCTCCCAAGTAGCTGGGACTACAGGCGCCCGCCACTACGCCCGGCTAATTTTTTGTATTTTTAGTAGAGACGGGGTTTCACCGTTTTAGCCGGGATGGTCTCGATCTCCTGACCTCGTGATCCGCCCGCCTCGGCCTCCCAAAGTGCTGGGATTACAGGCGTGAGCCACCGCGCCCGGCCAAGGGCATTCTTATGATATTATGTCACTAGACATTTCAGGTAGGCTGAAATAAATCCAATAATCTGGAAGACTTTATTTTCCTTCTTGAGTCATAAAAATGATGCATCCAATATAAGTGGTAAAGGGATTTAAGTAGATTTTATGTGCAATAGGACTTTTAAAATTGTTTTGGCCGCCTCACTTTGGAATCCCTTTTCATGTTGATGATGTCTCTCCTACCTCTAGCAGACCCCAACCCTTGGAACTGAAATGGAAATTCTAGATACTTCCTTTTCCATCCCATCCCACAGCTAGGGCACAGGCATGTGACTTAGTCTCTGCCAACCACAAGCACCGACTCCCTACTTTAAATAAGCAATTATTGAGCCAAGCGGGCAGGAATGCACAGACCAGTTGTGGTCACTGTGTGCAATGTCAGGATATCAACTGTCCCTGAGGTGGAGATGGTAGTATCCTATCTGGCTAGATATTTGAGGGTAGACTTCATTGCTCATAGCTATATAGCCTTCATGCTGGGTTAGCTAGCTTTCTGAGAGTTTCTATTAGCTACCCAAGAGCCTTAAATGCATTTCACTTTTCTGCTTAAATTAGCCACACAATTAGCCAATGTCTTTTGCTTGCAAATAATAACTCTTACTGATACTCTATATTTTCTGTTTACTCCAATTTTTCATCTTTGGGACTTCCAGACCAAAAAGACACACAGTGATCTCTGGTTTTTTAAATGCATGCTGTTCTCATATAAATAATTATAATCCACCCTACCCCCCACCCCACCCCAATTGTTTGCATGAATAGGTGTATGTGTTTTCTGGATAGCACCAAAGAAATAATAAATACAGTCAATTTTCTATCTAGAAAACGCTCCTATAATTTTTTATATCAAGGTAAAAGCAGGGACCTTTGAAAATCATGATAAAATTTGCTTCTAGGGAAGGGTCAACCCTTGCTCTACTGCTCACATTTTTTCTCCATTATGTCTGAAATCAGGAAACTCTTACAAGGCAAGAAGAATGATCCTTATTTAGAAACTACAACTGTCCCTTTAAGTCACCAACTTTTTTTTCAGCCATAATTATACTTATGGATGCTCCCTCAGTTACCGATGTCTTACCTCTACTGGATCTCCTGAAATGCTCTCCATTCCTAACAAATGCAGTCACAAACGTTAGGTATAGCAGGTGCCACATAAGGTGCTAAAAGGAAGGGGACAACTAGGTCACAGTCTTTGCCTTCAAGGATCTTAAATATCTGGGGTAGGACTAGTATATAAATAATATTAATAAAAGACAAGCTGTAATTATTTTAAGAGAGATATAGGTCAAGTCTCACTGTGGTTTAAAGAAAGTACTCACCATTTTTGAAAATCACAGAAGGAATCATGGATATCACTCTGGACAGAGTTTACAAATATGCTATTGTTGAAAGAATTTCAACCACCAATTTGACATAACCAATTTAACACCAACCAACTACTTTATACCTTTTCTCTTTATTTATTTTTTTTTTCCTTCAACTTCTAAGTTCCAGGGTACATGTGCAGGATGTGCAAGTTTGTTACATAGGTAAACGTGTGCCATGGTGGTTTGCAGCACAGATCAACCCATCACCTAGGTATTAAGCTCAGCATCCATTAGCTATTCTTCCTGATGCTCTCCCTTGTTTTTCATTTTAGTTTTCTATTTCTAAGTAAAGTGTGTTTATCAATAACTAGCTCATTTTTCCATTTATGTTTACCAGAAATGCATAATCAGCAGAGCTTTGGGGACAACATAAAATAAGTGTCATACTAACACCAAATAACCACAACGATAACAACAGCAATGGTATTCTAAAGTAAAAAATAAAGAAAAATTCAAAAAGTGTTGTCATACTTTAGAGTATTTGTTTCAGTTGTGTTGAAAGAGAACTCATTTGCATTATAAAATGTTAAAAATGAAGTAGTGTAGAGTCCATAAATATCACTTCCAAGGGCTCAGTGTCACTTAGATCTAGATTCACAGGTCAACTCAATTTCATGAAAAAATATACTTGTGTGTATTATAACAAAAAACCAGGTTGGTATAGTTAAATTTTCTACGGCAGAAGAGGAGATGGGGCATGGGCATTTGTTCATGCGTGTCAGCACGGTCTGAGGAGCTGAGCTGACTTTCTGGTTAACAGGCAAGGTGTGCTCTGCAGTGAGAACGTGGATAATTCATGACACCCTCTGTCAGGCCTTCAGATCAAACTTATCTAAAAGCTTTCAACTCATTGCATGCTAACCAACCATCTATCTAACCACAAATGTGCTTCACAAGGAAACTAGTTCTGGAAAGGAGATAGTCTAGATTGCAACCATATCAATGTAGCTGCTGACAAGATGCCACCTTTAGAGTAAAATACTTTTTAAAATTCTGGTTTATCAATCAGTATCTTGTGTAATTGATTTCCATCAGTCAGCAACAGAGTTGCATCAATAGTCTCAACATGCATATGGATTTTATCTAAGCAATTTATCTCACCTTTTAGGAAGCTCAGACTAAATATTCAACAAACCTTTTCCCACACAATTTGATATAATTACAACGAATAATTACAGTGCTAAGATGACGATCTCAAACAGTTGTTGGCAATATACCATGGCACATTTTCCCACATTTATGGTCTATTCCATAGCTCTCGGTCTCAAATATAGAATATTTCTAAAAGTTTTAGCCAAACCTCAGATTTAATTGGAAAGAGCTCAATATAAGTTTATGCACTTGAGCCAGGAGTAGCAGTGTGCAACTCTGGTCCCAGCTACTGGGGAGGATGAGGTAGGAGAATTGCTTGAGCCTGGAAGTTCAAGGTTGCAGTGAGCTATGATGGTGCCACTGATCCAGCCTGGGCAAAAGAGTGAGACCCAGTTTCTTAAGAGAAAATACAAGAAAAGAAAAGAGAAAAAAAGGAGAAAAGAAAAGAAACAAGAAAAAAAAGAAAGAAAGAAAAGAAAGGAAAAGAAAAAAGAAGCACCAGTATCTATATTGCAGACATACCAAACCTCTCGGTATCTACTCCCTAATTTAAAGAGTTGGCAACAATTGCCCATTAGATAACAAGAAACCAAAACCAGACTGGCTCATTCTTGCTAAGAAATTCATATACCATCATCATCACCACAAGCCCATAAAGAATCCCCAGGAGACCAGGTGTTCTGGATTAGGGCTTGCGTTAGTTCGTTTTCACACTGCTATAAAGAACTACCTGAGACTGGGTAATTTATGAAGAAAAGAGGTTTAATTGACTCACAATTATGCATGGCTGGGGAAGCCTCAGAAAACTCAGAAAATCATGGCAGAAGGCAAAGGGGATGCAAGGCACCTTCTTCAGGTGGCATCAGGAGAGAGAGTGAGAGGAAGTGCTACACTTTTAAACCCTCAGATCTCGTGAGAACTCACTATCGCAAGAAGAGCATGGGGGAAACCACCTGCAGAATCCAATCGCCTCCCACCAGGTCCCTCCCTCAACACGTGGGGATTACAATTTTTATATATATACATATCATATATATACATATATGTATACACACATATGTGTGTATATACACATATATGTATATATACATATATGTGTATATATACACATACAGAGACACGTATAAATATACACAGATATGTGTATATGTATATATACACATATATACACACAGACACACATATATATTAATATATACACACACACAAACATATATATACACACATACATTCCTAGTAGTTATGTATCGATGAGTCTTATTTGCTTGGGAATGACTGAATCTAGGTGTTAGCAATCATTTTATGAAAGACTGCTTCAAATAACATCGATTTATCCTACAGTTTCTTTATCCCTCCAACTAATGTGATTTCTCCTTCTGAAATGCTCAGTAACTGACCACTCACAGATCTATTTCAGAATTACTCTTTATGTACCTCATCTCCTCACTACCTTGTTGGCAACCTGAGGGAAGAGCGTGCATCTTTCATGTCACAGTGTTACCCACACGTGCCAAAAGAGTGCCCTTTTTCCAGTAGAGATTCCAGAAATGGTTATGAAATTGAATTATGCATCATATTGTGATACTAAACCAAACTCATGGTCCTTGTTTGTTTGTTTGTTTATTTATTTATTTTTGAGACGAAGTCTCGCCCTGTCTCCCAGGCGGGAGTGCAGTGACGCAATCTCAGCTCACAGCAACCTCCACCTCCCAGGTTCAAACAATTCTCCCGTCTCAGCCTCTGGAGTAGCTGGGGCTACAAGCATGCACCACCACGCCCGGCTAATTTTTGTATTTTCAGTAGAGACAGGGTTTCGCCATGTTGGCCAGGCTGGTCTTTATAGTGTTCTCTTTAACCTAGTATAAAGTAGATGCATTTGCAAAGGAAGAACCAGTCAGTTATATAAAGCACCCAAGAAAAGCACCTGCCTTCCTTAGCACATTGGGAATATCCGTGTTCCATAAGGTCTGTGTGGTAGATTTTCTAAGAGGAAATATCTTATTAATCTATGACAACAATAGGGTATTCAGCAGAAATTTCAAACAGCATTCTCAAGACTACTTCTAAAAACTACTACTTCTAGAAACGGAGATAGTCTAAGAATGTATGTTTTTTACTGTAGCTATTGATCTTGTTTTTTATGTTCAATTAATAGGAAACATGCTTGATAACAACAGACTAGTTCTAATGAAAACTGTACTTGAAGGCTGCTGCTGCAATATAACTACACAGACATCAGGCAAGTTTAGATTGTTTTCTCAACCTGAGAAACAGGTTTTTATATGGATTATCTAAAATCACACAAAGTCCCAGCAAGAATATACAAATAAAACCATGATTATATCAAATCCTTCCACACTAAAAAAAAAAACCTTTGAATTGTTAACCTTAATTAAGTAGTTACATTTTAATCCTACAATACACACACACATTATAAATGTTGCCTCAATTTGGCAATTAGGATCTAAACACATTGTCCTAATTGACCAGTGACTCCATTAAACTCAGAGGTTTACATTTGAATTTGGAGAGACCTCAGTGCCTATATTCTTCCTTTTTCTGCTCTCTCCTAAAAGAGGTATTAATAAACAATGGCATTCCCAGAAAGGATTACAAAACAGGAAGGAATGAATGCAAAACAAACAGGCAGTAATCACCGCAATAAAACAGAGGACAAGGCAACCCCCAGCCTGAAAAAACACATTAGATGTGAACAATAAACACAAACTGAATTTTGAGAGACTGAATTAAACTGAAGCCCAGGATGGTGCATGGAAGATTTACAAGCCACAGAGATTAATATAGAAGGTTCTCCTTTCAAGATTTGATTAAAAAGTCGAAGAGACAGCATGGGGTCACGCAGATGCAGAAAAGCAGACCCATGAACCACAAAGCCGAGCCCCAGCTTCGTTTCGGGGAGAATGACAGTCTCGCCAGACAGTGGACTGCTATACTCATAATTTTCCTGTAGCATGTGCTGGAAGGATAAAATAAAAGAAAGCAGTGAAATGTCACGCAGTGTGAAAGGCGTGTATGAAAAGGTACAGAGCTGTCTTTCAGTAGACAGTCTACAAAAGCTTTTCAAATTGTTGCCTCATAACAGCTGCAGTGGTTTGATTCCCTAAATTCAAAAGACTTTCTCTTGTGTATTATCAAAGACAGAAGCTGACTTCGCTAACCCACAAGGAAAATAGACACTGAGTCTGAGGGTCCACCAGGTTTCCTTTCCACCTGTCTGGAGGTGGACTGTGTCCAGCATGTTAACCTGACACTGGGGAGCGAGCCCTTCTCCTTGGCTCCAGAACAGGACATTCAGAGCTGAGGTGTCCCTGCCTGCAGCTCCAGAGAACGCCTTCCTGACCCACATCCACAGGTCAGAACCACGTCCACACATCAGGGGCTACGGCAAAGCAGCAGCAAATTTTCTTCGGAAGTAGCTCTCTTAAATGGATCTTTTAGTTTAATTATGTTCTTCTAAGCCCCCTCTCCCTTCAGTAAGTAGAACATTTCACATACGGATTATCCTCTGCAGGAAATGAACACAAACAAATGGTTTTTAGTCTTTCAGAACACAATCATATACTTGGGCATTGTTCCATTCTGAATTCATTACACTTCCCCTCTATCCTGTTTTAAGGGCTCTGATATTTTTTACTGAATATAATGATATCAACATGTAATGATATGGCTCATATTTCTGGCTTGTGTACTACATGCCAGGTGCTGTGCCAAGTGCCTTACATGAATGATTTCCTACAATCCTCACAATAGCATTGTATGGTGGACACTGTCATTATCTACATTCCATAGATGAGGTAACTGAGGGATAAAGAGATTATATCATCATCTGAGGTCACATTAATAGATTTAAGAGTGGATTTTACAAACTGGTGTTCTTAACATTGTGCTATTATACTCTTACCTCAATTTGGCAACTCAGTCTCTGTTTTACTTAGTAAACCATGTAGTATGAAGGCAAAAGAATGATAAAATGGAGCTGAAAGTAACCAGCACATACATATGTGCTATATATTTATCAGTAATTTTTCTGTATCTGTTTTATTTCAAAAGGGGGCAATTCACAGCATCACCCAATATCCTAATCCTTCCTAATGCGCAAGTACAGCTCTGCATGATTAGAAACAAAACCTTGAATTTTAAAAAATGCATTATAGGCAGTATGCTTTAGAGACTGAAGGAGAGAAGTGTTATTAAACGATTAAATAAGAAGAATGAAAATAGATGAAGGAAAAGAAATAACAGAGGAGAAGAAAGGGGCTCATGAGAAGCCTCGGATGTGAGTCCTGCTTTTAGCTTTCACTGCCAGTGAGGCCTGCCACAAGCTACTTCAACTCTCTGATTTCAGTTGACTTCACCATATAATGAATAGAAAATCAAAATTCAAAAACTTTCACTTGTATGTTATCAAAGAAAGAAGCTCTTTTGTGATGACATATGTTGATATAAAGAATCTTTTTCATGACAAAGATTCCATTTATGGTTGAATATGACACATAAGTGCATTTGTATAATGCTTAGAATTCACAAGCTGCAGCGCTGCTGTCCTTCAGATCACTTGTTGGCCTCTGCTTCCTGGCTTCACACCATGAGACTTGACACTATGAAATCCCCCTAAGGCACCCCTTTCTCAAAACATTAGGAAACCAGGCCAGGCGCAGTGGCTCACGCCTATAATCCCAGTACTTTGGGAGGACGAGGTGGGCAGATGGCTTTGAGCTCAGGAGTTCGAGACCAGCCTGGGCAACATGGTAAAACCCTATCTCTACAAAAATATAAACGCTAGCCAGGTATGGTGGTGCATGCCTGTAGTCCCAGCTACTTGGGAGGTTGCAGTGAGCCGAGATTGCACCACCGCACTCTAGCCTGGGTGACAGAGTGAGGCTTTATTAAAAAAAAAAAAAGAAAGATAAAATTGGGAAACTTTTTAATCTGAACAGAGCATTTCCTCTTTTGTTTGTGCTCTGTTTTGACACTTAAGAGTTTATTTCCTATGAGTTTGATACAGATGTGTTTGTGTCATTGTTTTTCCTGCACAGAAATTCTAAAAAATTAGGTGCCGTATCCATGACATCATGCTCCACCTACGTTTTCCACACCTGAGTTTCATATTTTGAATTATTTGAAAAATTAACCAGGTTATACCATAAACAGTAGTGCTATTCCAAATGTGGATATTAACAATGAGTTACTATTCGTAGCAAGGGAAGAAACAAAATTGAAAGTGTTTAGAAGGGTTTTTTTTTGCATTTTCTCTCATTTTTGAATTTTTTTATTTTTGTGCTTATATAGTAGGTGTATATATTTATGGGATGAATGTGATGTTTTGATACAGCCATATCATGTGTAGTAATCACATCAGGATAATCGGCATTTAGCATTTATCATTTCTTTGTGTTTGAAACATTCCAATTCTACTCTTTCAGTTATTGTAAAATATTTTTATAATAATTTCTTTCTTTCTCTCTCTTTCTTTTTTTTTTTGAAACAGAGTTTCACGCTTGTTGCCCAGGCTGGAGTGCAGTGGCATGATCTCAGCTCACAGCAACCTCCGCCTCCCGGGTTGAAAAGAATCTCCTGCCTCAGCCTCCTGAGTAGCTGGGATTACAGGCATGTACCACCACAACTGGCTAATTTTGTATTTTTAGTAGAGACGGGGTTTCTCCATGTTGATCAGGCTGGTCTTGAACTCCCGACCTCAGGTGATCTGCCCACCTCGGCCTCCCAAAGTGCTGGGATTATAGGCGTGAGCCACCGTCCCCGGCCTTTTATAACAGTTTAGTAAGGCTATGGAGTTCCTGTGCCCGATCAGGGAGTCATTTTGTTGAAGAGGCTATGGCAGAGTTGGAGTGGTTTCAGATTCATGTGATGAGCCGCCTGTGGTGTGAGCTTTGTAGAGTCACGTACAGGAGGACCTTGACAGGTTGCAATGCAAGGGGAAAAGTGAGCCCTTCAGCAGAGATGGCTGTGAAGCACGACACCACAGTGTGCCCTTCTGGCACGGAGGCCTCTCACGTCTTTACACTTGCCAATGTGTTCAGCCCCATATGAGCACAAATAATTATGCTGGATTAGCAATAAGGAACCTTTTTTTGAAATGTTTTTAAAATGAAAACAAAAGTTCAGAAGATTGGGATGCAGGTTTCATAAAGGGGGATAGAATTCTTTCCTTATAGTTACATGTGTCACTCCAGAGAGAGAGGAGTAAAATGGAGCAGTTAAAGAGGATGGTATGCTTGCTGTTTTTTCTGAGTTTGCTAAGTTCGATGTATGGAACAACTTTGGGAAGCTAAGAAGGAAACTTAGGGTGTTAAACTTAGGGTGTCCATCTCAGGCAGTAATTCAAACCCATTTATGTCACCTTGCAAGGCAACATTGATACCTTAGATCCCCCATCAATGCTTCCATCAAGGCCATTCAGATGTTCTCAAAGGCGTCAGACTCATTTGCACTTTCTAGCTGGAGTTATTACCAAAGATAAGAGAGTGCTGAAAGGTTCAAAATTCAGTCTTTGCATTTGGAAAAGAGAACTTTCAACCACTCGAGAGCAGTGCTCCCTGATTTCAGACAGGTGTAAAATTCACCCAGGGAAAAACGTCTGAGCATGTTTTGTTTCCCGGTGCCATATATTGCTCTTTAACCCGCCCTGCAAAGGCTTCATCAGTGCTTAATGCCGAATACAAGAGAGAGGACCGCCTGATTAGCTTTCCCTCCCAATCTCATTTTCAGTTCATCCAGGGGCACAGCTTGATGTGGGAGAGAATCTCTGCACTTACATTTACAGACAAATTTGTTGGGCCACTGCTTTCTCTTCGCTGTCCATGTAGGCAGGTGACACATTTACAAATCTTTACAGGGCATTATGCTGAAAATACTTCCTTCCCCAAAGTGGATATGCAGTGTCCAGCTTAGCTGGAGACAGGAGATGTGACTATATTTAAACACAGGATTTTTCATTACATGAAGTGTCTTTAATGCCTGATAAGGTTATCACACAGCTGTTGCATGCCTCCCTGGAGAGTGTCATAAATGTTGAATTTGGTAGGAAGAGCGCTCAGACACCAACTCTTGTTACTGACGGCAGTGGTAGAGGAGTGGAATTATGAAGAGAAACACATCTTTACACCTTTTTTGGTTGTTATTTTGATGGCGGGGTTTCCGTAAAGAGAAGACAGCCCAGGATACTTTGAATAAAAATGCTGACCTTGGAAAAACCAAAATCACTGACTCTCAGAGTTGGGAGTAAACTTAAAGATCATCTCTTCCAACTGCATACCCATGCTAACACCTGCTCCAGTGTGCTTAGCAGGTAGATATTTCAACTGTCCTCAAAGCTCACCCACATCACCCACATATCCCATGTCAATGCTTCCTCTCTTTGACCTAGGTGCTTTATGTTGTGCCAGTAAGATTTTCCTTTACCCTTCCCTCATTAATTCTATTTGTATCCAATGAGAATAAACATGAGTAAAATCTCTCTTCTAGCTGACAAACATTTCAGTATTTGAAGCAGTCTGTCTAGCATCAATCCAATAGGTTTTTAATCTACGAGTTCCCCAAGTGTGGTGCCCCAATCGGCAGCATGAGTATCACGTATGGACATATCAGAAATGCAAATTCTGAAGTCCCAGCACATACCCACAGAATCAGAAACTCTGGGGGTGGAACCCAGCAAGCTCTGGTTTAACCTGTCCTCCAGATGATCCTGATGCACACTGAAGGCCAGCGAGCTGGAAAATCATTAAAAGTGAAAGAGGAGAAGTCGAGAAACCCTTGGGATGTGGAATCAGAATGTGTTCATTAAGGTATCTCGGAGATGTTAGGTAAAAAGCTACGTCCAGTGCTCAGGGAACTGCAGTTCTATAATCAAGAGGTGAAAAAAAAAAAGATGCATCAGTCTTAATCTACACAGAAAAAGACTAATTTTCAAAACGAAAAGGAAAAAAAGGAAGGTTTTTACCTTCTGAAAGCCAGGAGTGGGGAAAGTAAGGCAGCACCCTCCGTGGCTTCCTTCTCTTTCTCCCCATCCCAAATTTCCAATCTTAGCCTCTGTTTATCCTTTCCTGATCTTAGTTACTGAAGCAGCCACAATCAGGGCACAGAGATGATTGGGATATAATGTATCTAGATCTGCTTCAACTTTTCTTTTTTCTTCGCCAAGTAATTTTTAGCTCTTTCTTTTTTCAGATCCCCAACTCGCTGGTCCACAGTGCTGCTCACTAAGCTTACTCACTCTCAATTAGACCCAGCCCTCCACCTGCTGTTGTTCCAGCTGATAAAACTGGCTTTGGCTTTTGGTTCCTACATTCTGGCAAGGAACCAGATTGGAAACCAGGTGTCTCTTCAGCGAATGCGTATCCCTCATCCCGAGGCGAGAGCCCTGCTGCTGTAAACATGTGTCCTTGATGGCACTGTCTCCCTGCCTGACCCCTTCTAGAGTCTTTCCCACTCTAGATTTCTGACCTTGATGTTCTTTCTCTCTGTTATGACCCTATTGCTCTGTCTCAGAAGCTCAGTTATAATGCTTTATGCAGTTCCGGATAAGATTGTCATGGACTTACGGGGAGTAGTCCCTAAAAGTCAGAATCCTCGTCATACCATCACAGTCAGCAACTGCACCAAACCAGTTCCCACAGAACCTGCCTCATTAAAGGAAGAAGACTCTCATCCCACTTCCTCCCCACCTACCTAGTGGCTACCACACCTATGATTATCCTAGCGAACTGTGTCCTCAGATATTTTTCCTGGGGAGAAAATCATCTCAGCTTGGCTTGAGCAAGGAGAAAAAATAATAGGTGGATTTTGTGGACTAGATGAGGAAAAGGCAGTTCTTGAGAGGAGTATTTAGAGCTTTAAATGAGCACCAAACAAAGAGTTGTGTGAAACTGGTGAATAGCTGCCCCATGTAGTTGAAAGAACACAGTCTTTGAAGCCAGTGTGATGTAGATCCAACTCTGGGTTTCAATGGACTTACTCAACAAATACTTATTTCACCCCTACTCTGAACCAGGCCCTGCGCTTTCTAATATGGCAGCCAATAGCTACTTGTAGCTATTCAAGCTTGAACAAGTTGAAATTAAATAACATTAAAAATTCATTTCCTCGGTCACCTTAGCCACATTTCAAGCACCTAATAGCCACATGTGGCCAGGGGCTACTGCATTGGACCAGGCAGATATAGAACATTCCCTTCATCTCAGAATATTCTTTTGCACAATGCTAGGAGCTAAACCTTTGGTGGTTTTGCATAAGCATTTGATCTCAAATTCTTCATCTAAATAGAAGCATAGTTTCAACTGCTTGTATTTGAATTAAATGAGATAATTTACGTAGAGTGCCTGGGTCCCTAGTAGATACTCAGTAAATGATCATTATCATAATTACTTATATTCTGTTCACCAAAAAGATTCTTCAATAACCATTTTATTTCCATGTGATGTTCTCTCTGTAACTAATGAAAATCTGCTGAATATCACAGAGATTATCAATTACCTTGTTGTTTTCTAGTTAGCAAGGTTTCTTGAATTTTCTAGTATTTAATCTTGTTGACCACTGGCAGTTCTTTGAAATATTCTCTTAGCTGTCTCAACAAGGCCTTTCCTGTTTGCCCACTGCTTCCATCATTGCCCCCATGTAATCTCTCTAAAGTCTCCTGTTTCTACTAATCTATCATAAATGTTCACCATTCTTCCTTCTACAGTTGTACTTTTTTTTCCACTGACACAATCGTGCTTCCCCTTTCAATAGTCACTTTGTAAAGAAATTCCCAAAATTTATTTATCCTTTCCTGACTTCATCCTCAGCTCCAAATCCATACTTCTACTTGGACATCTATAGTAGATGTCCAAGTAGAACTCAAAGCAAACAACTACAATGAAACCACGGCTCTTCTCTCACTTCCAACTATTAATCACTGTGCCTGTCCTCTGAATATCTCATTGCTCATAATGGTGTGCTACCTTGGGATCCAGGCTTGAGAGTCTGTATTCTACTCTCAAAGTCATATTCTACTCTTTTCCTTTTTCCCCCAACATTGATTCCCATGCTCCTGTCTCATTCAACCCTTCATTGCCTCTAACCCAAATAATACCAACAGTCTAATGGGTGCTCCTGGGCTCCCCTTGCCGAACTTCATTGCAAATATGACTGCATGGCTGATTTTCCTGAAGACAATGTCAATCATATTTCTCTCTTCTTCCTCAATAATCACCGTTCCCTCTGCTCATGTTTCTCTCTTTGCTTGGAATGCCCTCCCCATCTCCACTCGCTTTGTCACCACCCCAATATACTCCCATCTTTCTGGCTTCTCTTACTTGTCATCACCTCCATGGAGCCTCTCCTGCCCACGTGCAACTAGACAATACTTTATTCCATAGCGTTTTGGTGGCCTCCACCCTACGAACTTGCCACTCATTAAACATGTACATGACTTATCTGCCTTAATCTCCTTAAAGACAATAATGTGCTCTATTCAATTTTACAATACGCATAGTTGGCTGGGCACGGTGGCTCATGCCTGTAATCCCAGCACTATGGGAGGCCAAGGAGGGCAAACCATGAGGTCAGGTGCTCGAGACCAGCCTGACCAATATGGTGAAACACGTCTCTACTAAAAAAATACAAAAATCAGCCAGGCGCGGTGGCGCACACCTGTAGTCCCAGCTACTTGGGAGGCTGAGGCAAGAGAATCGCTTGAACCCAAGAGGCAGAGGCTGCAGTGAACCAAGACTGCGCCCCTGCACTCCAGCCTGGGCAACAGAGTGAGACTGCATCTCAAAAAAAAAAAAAAAAAAAAAAAGCATATTTCCCAGAATAATACACAGTGAGTATTGTATGGAGTCCAGTAACATGTGCAGAATTAAGTTTTTAAGTTCTGCATTTGAACACCTAAACTATTGAAGCAGCCAATTAGCCAAATCAAATAAATAAAATAAAAGGAACTTAGCTAGGGAACCAGATAGAATTTGTTATTTTCACAAGCATTACCCAACTGCCTGCACTGTAGTTCTAATCCACGTCCTTTTACTGACCGATCACTTTAGAGCACAATCAAGCTGAGCTGAAGGTAGTGTTTACTCCTTCCTTCTGGATAAACACAGGTTGAAACACATCTGTTTACGCCAAAGGTTGCATATATGCATTTTTATCCATGCTGGCAGGATGATCCAGCACATTCTATTTGTGTACAGCCGCATCTGATCCAAAGACTGAGCTAACAAAAACATTATTGCTAAATCCATTTGTATCCATATGGATGTCAAGGCTCTCTGTGGGCATCGTGGATATCACATGAATGGTACATTGGAACCTGAGAACTGAGTTATTCACTCCAAAACAGACAGTAGTTTAAAACTAGTTGTCATCAGATCTCAATACACACACACACACACACACACACACACACACACACACACGTAATGAAATAATCATAACTCTCATTTATGGAATAGACATGAAGGACAGGATTGTGAGTGCTCTGTGTATCATGCACCAAATTGTATGAAATGAAGTTAATACATGTAAAAATGATACCGGTTCCTAGGGGACAAAAACATCATCTTCCGCCAGCACCCAGCAACAAGGAATATCCAGCCCTCACAGTCCAGCCCCTCCACTGTGACAGTCCTTCCAGAACACAACTGTTGCTCATTTTGACATATAAGCTGTGCAGGGAGGCAGAGTCAATACCTACAGATGGATTTTCAATGCTAAGCTACATTTTTGAATGGAGCAGGTAAAATTATTTCAAGTTCTATATGTTTCTGAAACAATATGAGACTACAGCTCTCTCCACGGTGTAGTGCAAATCTGGCTTTCTCTCTCTCCGTGTGGCCTCACGCTGCAGGAAATTGCAGGCAGGCTCATCAATCCCCTTTGACGGGATTTCCCTCTTCTGGGACCTGCCCAGAAGGTACACTGGCTGTTTTTCTGGCAGAATCCAAACACCTAATTCCCAGGGAGGGATGGACGCTGGGGAGATCCCCCATTTGCATTTCTGCTTCTCATTATAATGATCGTACTGCCTAGCGGTGTCAAGCAGAATATATAAAATCCTCTCTGTTCTCTCCCGGAGGAGAGGGAACTGCAGCGCGGTGAGGAGATCTGATTTCTGATGTCTGATCATCACAACACATCCCTACCGCAGATTCATGAATATTTTAAAACTTTTTTGAACGAGGCTTTTGGCGTGCTCTGTTTATTCATACATGCTGGCTAGTGATAAATAAGAAACATCACTGAGGGTTCCCCCCCTCTTGCCTTTGAGTTTAAGACGATTATTAACTTAAGACAAAGCATTCAGCAAGTTAGGAAATAGAGATATCCTGGTAGAATTCTATGCAGAAAATGACCTAAATCCAGAAAGGAGGAGGGAGGGAGAGAAAGGGGAGCAGGTTAAAAGTTCGGTAAATCTACCTTAGAACACATGGTCTTATCATAAAGGAAAAAGCAGTATGCGTCACTCATATCCTTTCTGTATTCAGAATCCAAATTAAAGAAAACAAGGAGAAACCTAAGTTTCTCCCTTCTTTAAGGGAGAAACTCTGAGAACCTAGATCCTTTTCACATGTGTTAACTTCATTTCATAGAATTTGGTGCATGATACACAGAGCAGTCGCAATCCTTGATATCTATTCCAGAAATGAAAGTTATAATTATTTTATCACCAAGAAAACTGGATGATTGATGGTTCATGTCACTGAAAATGAGGAGCCTCAGGTACTTCCTGCACTGCTCTGGCCACCTTGTCTTGGGTGTTCTGGGCACAGGAATGGAAGCAGTGCCACCCTGACTGGGAATGGCACAGGAGTGCAGCCTCTCCTGCCAGTGCCTCCCTAGCGGGCCCCTAGCAACACTACCACGCTCCTTCTGAAAACGGTTGCCTACATCTCTCCTAGGACAGTGAGGGAGAAAGGCTTTGGATCCAGAGAGACCTTAAATCAAACCTGGGCTATCTCCACTCGTGGGGGGTCAGGGCACCTCTCCACCCCTCATTTCCATCTGTAAAATGGAAGTAATCAAATGTGACTTCAGAGTTGCCATAAGAATCACAGATGCTGCAGAGAAAGCACTCAGCCCAGTCAGCTCAGATTGTCACCACATGGATGGGTTTCAGCGCGCACCTTCCCTCTCACCTGGGTCCCAAGCGTAAGGCATTGCTGTACATGGCGGCTCTGAGCACAATGCTGGTGCAGGCCCTAAACAGAAGCTATCATGACTATTACACAATTCAGAATTAGAAAATGTAGAATTTTCCACGTATTTATCAGAATTTTTCAAAACTGAAAAAATATCTTAAAAGCCATCTCGTTAGAATTCACATCCAAATCTTAAATTCCTTGGGATACATCCTGATTAATTATTGCCTTCATTCATCACATTCAGTCAGCGGATTGGGCCCCAAGAAGATGATAAACTGAGCATGCGATTCCTGGGATACATGTTTATGATGACCCAGTACCAGAATCCCTTGCTGCTTTTGTGGTTCCTGACTTTTCTAGATATCTTTTGCCCTGAGATTCCAATTTCTAGATGTGTTGGTGTGGTCTACACTCTGAGTTCTATTTTTAGAAGTTTGACCTGGCTTGCATTATACACTTAAGACCTGGCAAGCTCAAAGATTGACTACCCTGTCTAAATTGTGTTCCCATCATTTTTTTATGTAACTTCATAGTCTTATCACCCAATTCATACACACACACACATACGGTATACACACACATTTTTATTCAATAATTATTTGCTGAATGAATGAGAGCATGTGACATTTAAAGAGGGTTTTAAACCAAGTACAAAAGATTATCATACTGAACTTGGGGGCTAAAAGGAAAACAATAAAAATAAGAAAAAGTCATCAGGAGAGAATATTGCAGGCCAGTGCATACTATATACTGAAACAAGAAGTGTTTGATTCAACATATGACTGAGGGCAATAGGGCCCGATAAACTTTCTTAACGACCTCTTACAGCGCACATGCAAACGAAGTAGACTTGTGGAGAAGGAAGAAAATAAAAGGTCCAACTCAGGTTAAAGAAGGTTGGATAAATCACGGAGTGAAACTGTTGTCTAGCTTACAACTTTTACCTAATTTTTTCTAGTTAGATAAATCATTTCATCCTGTTTATCTAATTTTAACATGAGAAACTGTACAAAGAGCCCAAATATTCTTATATATTGTTATATTTAACAATATTCTTTAATTTTTTCATGCAAATATTTGATTTCTACATTGATAAAGTTATGTTCCAAGTTAAATTTTAACCTAAATAATTTAAGTTAAAATAAGGGATTCATCTTTTCACAGGAGAAAGATGAAAATTAATTTGCAAAGACGTAATACTGCTTACAAAGAACACACAGAAGATTAAAGATGAAAATAGGAAGCTTGTTCCATTTTTTTAATGAATAAACTGAAGACTATTTTTTTACCCTCAATTTCCAAACACTTCTGCATCAGTTGCTTTTCCCTTTTAAGATCTGCTTTTGTCAAGGTTTCAAATTTTGCTCTTTTTTAATTCTTCACTTTTATTGTTCCTACTTTGAAATTCATGCCTGCTTCACAATGTTAACTCATATTGCTAAAGTTTTACCTAATACAAAAAAAAATGATTAAAAAAGAAATCACCTTCTAGAAGAAAAATACATAATCCTGATTTTTATCTTATTTCTTTTTAATGTTGTAAAATATCTTGATAAAACCCAGAATATAATCGTTCATTTACGAAATGATTTTTCTCCTCAGTTTGTCTGCTTCAAGATTTTGACTGAAATGAAAAACAATGTATACAACACTCATATACCATCCCTCCCTCCCTCCCTCCCTTCCTTTTACTTTGCTCGTTTTTGAGACAGGGTCTCACTCTGTAGTCCAGGCTTGAGTACAGTGGCATGATCTCGGGTCACTGCAGCCTTGACCTCCCAGGCTCAAGCGATCCTTCCACCTCAGCCTCCTGAATAGCTGGGACTACAGACATGCACCACCATGCCCATCAAATTTTTGTGGTTTTTTTGTTTTTGTTTTTGTTTTGTAGAGACGGAGTGTCACCATGTTGCCCAGGCTGGTCTCAAACTCCTGAGCCCAAATGATCCACCCACCTTGGCATCCCAAAGCTCTGGGATTACAGGCATGAACCACCGTGCCTGGCCCAAACCTGTATTTTCTAGGAAGTCCATTTCTAGCTCTACAAACAATGAATATAACTCAGAGGTTCGTTTCACTGATACTTCTCATTCTAGCTTCCAAGAACTCACTCTTAAGAAGTTAACCAGAGATAGAAGTTAATAGATAATTTATTGATAAATATTTTGTGTTTGTCTTACTTCTGGATAAAAATACGAATAAATACAATTGACCGTTGTTTCACATTTTAAAACTTTTTAAATAAACATTTCCTCAGCCTCATGATAATCAGATTTATTTTTGTATAAAATACAGCTCAATAACTTAAGACAAATCCTTCAAATTGCTTCCTCTGTATTTCTCTCTTCAGAGAAATTTTTCTGTTTGGGATCAATTTTATAAACACATTAGTTTTGTGGACTACATTTTAACCTACTAAACTTTTTTTAAAATTCTAATTGCCCAGTAATTATAATAATATCTATGATGTGCTGTGAATTATGAGGGAAAAAAATGTAATTTTTATTCTTGCCAAGATGGACAATTGCTAAGAGTAGAAAAAGTGAAGTAGGGCTGGGCGCAGTGGCTCACACCTGTAATCCCAACACTTTGGGAGACCGAGGTGGGCAGATCACCTGAAGTCAGGAGTTCGAGACCAGCCTGGCCAAAATATAGTGAAACCCTGTTTCTACTAAAAAATACAAAAATTACCTGGGCGCAGAGGCGCACGCCTGTAGTCCCAGCTACTTGAACCAGGGAAGTGGAGGTTGCAGTGAGTCAAGATCACGCCAGTGCACTCTAGCTTAGGTGACAGAGCAAGACTCTGTCTCTCAAAAAAAAAAAAAAAAAGTGAACTGAACTGCCTTAATTCAACTCACTGACATATTGCAGCCCTAGAACGTGATTGTATTCGGTAGACAAAAAATAAAGCAGTGGATACATTTTTTTGTTTAACCTGATATGAGTGGCCATAAAGTTCCAGATTACAAGGAAATTCAACCGTTTTGGTTTTGTAATTTTTTTTCATATTGCCGAGTATCCCAGGAAAAACCCATTCAGCTGGGTGTTTCTTTGATCATAAAGACTTTGGTGTTGAAGAAAGAGCAGTGACAATTGAGTAGACATTTTTCGCTTTCTGTGACCACCTGGTGGATCCATGCACCTACTAAGTGGGGTGGATGGGTGTGCCTGCATGTGGCCTCATCTCTGTCTCTCTCTCCCTATGACCTATTTCTCTGTCATCTAGGGCTTACTGCCAGTTATTCAGTCTTAGTGATAATTAATACAAAGACACAAAAATTGACAATTTTCATTTCATTCTATTAGTTTTTCTTCATCTTTATCTTTTTGATGTGCAAAAATGCAACTCTCTTATGTTTTTTATTTTACCAGTAGTGACAAGAGAAATGGGTCCTTTCATATTTACCAAATAGGTTAGCCAGAAACAAGATGAAGTGGGACTTACATTTCAGCATCTCTTCTCATTTTTCTTCTTAATCTGTGATGGAATATTTATGTCCTTGAAGCCAAGTAAATTATATTATGCTGTCTCACAAAACCAAATAAAAAATTCCTTTTATTTGAATAAACCGAGTTCACACTAGATACATGATACTAAGGTGTTCAAATTCAACATGAAGCTATGTGATGTAAAGAAAGGCTCTTGCCCTCATGTATATTCAGACATTTTTAAAGTTTTGTGAAAGTACTGCCTCTTATGTGTTTCTGGATCTTATGCTATGTAAAGGCAAATTCTTTTTTTTTTTTTTTTTCCAGATGGAGTCTCACTCTGTTGCCCAGATTAGAGTGCAGTGGCGCTATCTCTGTTCACTGCAACCTCCGCCTCCCAGGTTCAAGTGATTCTCCTACCTCAGCCCATTGAGTAGCTAGGACTACAAGGCACAGGCCACCACATGCGGCTAATTTTTGTATTTTTAGTAGAAATGAGGTTTCACCATGTTGGCCAGGATGGTCTGGATCTCTTGGTGATCCACCCTCCTTGGCCTCCCAAAGTGCTGGGATTACAGGCATGAGACACCACGCCCGGCCGGCAAATTCTTGTGTGTGTGTGTGTGTGTGTGTGTGTGTGTGTGTGTGTGTGTGTGTGTGAAATGAAGACTCCTTCTTTTGTATTTTTAGGAGAGACGGGGTTTCCCCATGTTGGTCAGGCTGGTCTCGAACTCCTGACCTCATGATCCTCCCTCCTTGGCCTCCCAAAGTGCTGGGATTACAGGCGTGATCCTTCAATGATACAAGAGACTGCCCATGGTAGTAAAGGATATCGCATATTTAAGGCACAGACTCGAGACCAGTGTGTCTTTTGCTAAAAGAGAAGCCCAAGGCACAGCTTGCCATGAAAAAAAAATGTGATAATACACATAAAGAAACAAACTAAAATAATCTTGTAAGAATGTCATCTGAAAACATTAAAGTGAGTAAGATGCATTATTTCCTTATATCTATGTGACATTCTTTGAGTTATTCCCAAAAAGTCTCCAGGAAGAAATTCTGAGTGTGGTGGCACTTCTCATGAGAGTTCCATAGGCTGAGGATTTTCAGAACTTGGGAGCTGCTGTACACCCCTCTAGGACCTGCCTCACATGACAACCCATACTCTGTGGACAACAGGGAAAGATAAAAGGCTTCCTTGAGTCCAGCAGTGGGACTCTGCTACAGTCCTTGCTTTTGGCACCAGTTCCTGTAATTTCATCAGCTTCTAAACCTGAAGAAAACCTACGTGACGCCATTCAGGACACAGGCATGGGCAAAGACTTCATGACTAAAACACCAAAAGCAATTGCAACAAAAGCCAAAATTGAGAAATGAAATCTAATAAAACTGAAGAGCTTCTGCACAGCAAAAGAAACTATCATCAGAGTGAACAGGCAACCTACAGAATAGGAGAAAATTTTTGCAATCTACCCATCTGACAAAGGGCTAATATCCAGAATCTATGAGGAACTTAAACAAATTTACAAGAAAAAAACAAACAACTGTATCCAAAAGTGGGCAAAGGATATGAACAGACACTTCTCAAAAGAAGACATTTATGTGGCCAGCAAACATATGAAAAGACAAAAAGCTCATCATCACTGGTCATTAGAGAAATAAGAATCAAAACCACAATGAGATACCATCTCATGCCAGTTAGAACGGTGATCATCAAAAAGTCAGGAAACAACAGATGCTGGAGAGGATGTGGAGAAATAGAAACACTTTTACACTGTTGGTGGGAGTGTAAATTAGTTCAACCATTGTGGAATACAGTGTGGCAATTCCTCAAGGATCTAAAACCAGAAATACCATTTGACCCAGCAATCCCATTACTGGGTATATACCCAAAGGATTATAAATCATTCTATAAAGACACATGCCCATGTATGTTTACTGCAGCACTATTTACAATAGCAAATACTTGGAACCAACCCAAATGTCCATCAATGATAGACTGGATAAAGAAAATGTGGCACATATACACCATGGAATATTATGCAGCCATAAAAAAGAATGAGTTTATGTTCATTGCAGGGACATGGATGAAGCTGGAAACCATCATTCTCAGCAAACTAACACAGGAACAGAAAACCAAACACCACATCTTCTCACTCATACGTGGGAGTTGAACAATGAGAACATGTGGACACAGGGAGGGGAACACCACACACCGGGGTCTGTCAGGGGGTTGGGGGAAAGGGGAGGGACAGCATTAGGACAAATACCTAATGCATGCGGGGCTTAAAACCTGGATGACAGGTTGGTGGGTGCAGCAAACCACCATGGCACATGTATACATATGTAACAAACCTGCACGTTCTGCGCATGTATCCCAGAACTTAAAGTAAAATAAATAAATAAATAAATAAATAAAAAAGAAAAAGAATCCAGCCTTGAGGAGACGGCAGAAGAGACTTTCCTCTTTGAACTGTACAACCTGGTTTGAAATGGAGAAAATGCTGTCTTCGTCAGAGGCTGGCATAGCTGAGATGTCAAGTTTGAGGGCAAGATAAAGGCTCATAGCCAATAGGTCAAAAAGACATCTGCTGAACTAGCTACAACGAGAGAGAAAGATAAAGCCATGCAATTCTTGGAAGACATTTTGACTTTCTTGAGACTAAGAAGTTGCCCATATTTGATGTATTTGTTCATCATTGCATAGAATGGCAATTTAAATAACTTTTTAGGGGAAGCAGCGAATAGCCTTTGAGGAGAAAATATTCACTCTATGGACCACCAACTACACACTGAATTTGATCAAGCTGGCAAACTACAGCTCCATGTCTGAATGCATCTGTTTTTGTACAGCAATAATCTAGGGATATTTTTTATTTAAAAAATGTATAAAAATATACTTATAAACAAACATAAAGAAGAATATGTGAAACAAGCAAAACAATGTCTGCAAAATCTAAAACATTTACCATCTGACAATTTATGGAAAAAGTGCCAATTACTGACCTAATACAAAATTTGGCCTATTAAAAGTCTCCTTTTCTGCTTCCTCCTTTAGCTCTAAAATCTGTAATAGGATGCTGTTCTTTGTTGTGACACTGTAGAGTGCCACTGAAAAAAAAATAATAAATATGGAAATGTAATGTATAAAGTTGCTATTAAAATGTTAGGTATTGATGCTTTTTTTTTTTGAGACAGTGTCTTGCTCTGTCACCCAGGCTGGAGTGCAGTGGCGCGACCTCAGCTCACCACAACCTCCACCTCCCAGGTTCAAGCGATTCTCCTGCCTTGGCCTCCTGAGTAGCTGAGATTACAGGCGCCCACCACCACGCCCAGCTAATTTTTTTGTATTTTTAGTAGAAACGGGGTTTCACCATGTTGGTCAGGCTGATCTCAAACTCCTGACCTCAGGTAATCCACCTGCCTCAGCCTCCCAAAGTGTTGGGATTACAGGCATGAGCCACTGCACCCGACCCTTTGATGCATTTTTAATTTAAAAAATAGTCTTGAATGAATTAAACTAACTCGGAGGGTGTAGCTGCCGTGGCCACATACAGTTAGTTATTTATTAGATGGACCTTGATAGATATATGCCTAGAAGAAATGACTTGGTCTACCAAAAATATTTATTGAGTGTCTCCTCTTTGCAATGTAGTAAAAAATATTACATATTCTAGATCTATAGAACTCTTGGCCAATATAATAAAAGTCACTTCTGCTGATTATCAATAACATAATCTATCTCTACAACATCTCTTCTCTAAGTCTGCTACGAAATTTGCTACAGGGAAGCTCAAAGATCTGTCTGTACCAAGAAAAATGAAAGGGCATATCTGCAAAATAGGCTTCTAAATACAGAACTACTGTCGAGAATCATTACATTATTTGTATTATTGCTACTTTGCTCTAAATAAAGTGATTTCTTTTCCCAGAATTATTGAAAATATTGCAGATACAAGAATGCATTTCCCACACTTTGCATATCACAGTGGGATTCAGGCTCAATCAATACTCTCCTGTCTAACAACCTAGTCTTATCCTCTGTAATACAAAAATTATACAGGACTCTGCTTCCCAAATTAGTTTCCATTTTTCTGGTGACTGACATGAGTGGCTTAATTAAAAACAATATCTAAGCACAATGTAAATTAAACTTGAGACTTTAATTTACTATAATGCTTTCCCTGTACTTCTGTGTTCATCGATTTAATTTATTGGCTGGAATCGAAATGAGTCTCTAATAATTCCTAATGTTCCAAACTAATACTTGCTTTTCTAAGAAGACATTCAGTATTTCATTGTATTCAGCTATGACAGCTCAGAAACAATTTTTACATCACATGGAAGTCATTTTCTATGTACTTTTCAATAAAAAAAGTCACACTTCTTTAATGTCTTGGGGGAACCTGTTATGACTGCATGGACTTAGGCAACCATCTCCAAATGAATCACCACCAATTAACCTTTTATTATAATTGAATAAATGAGTAACAGTCTCAAATAAGTGCTAGTGATACTTCAGGAACGATGCAACATACTTCTGACAGCATATGCCGAAATCCCTGGCTTGAGTCTGTATCCCATTAAAGACAACATAGCATATAAGCGCTGAAAATTACCCCTAGGTTTTCAGCTCAGACAAGGGATAAAGTGCTCAGCATTACACTCCATCTGGGTGCTACGGGAATGTCGATCTCTGAGAGAGATTTGCCTACAGAAGATGTTGAGTGAGCATGAAAGCTGTTCAGACAGTATCAATTACAGGAACGAGGAATGTTAGAGCATTAGAGCATTATGCAATGTTGTTTTTGCTGTGGTCTTTCTTAGGCAGCTAGTATGCTGATTAGCTCTCCAGAAAACAAGATGTGGAAGGAATCTTTGCACAGAAGTGTGGAAAGTATCTCATATCTTCACAAAGAGATGATTAAAATGGTATCTTTTTGTACTAAAAGGAAATTTCACTTCAAGTTAACATGGCAAAAATATCATTTTTTACTCCCAACAGTAGCTTTTATATATATGTTCATTCACAATAAAACATTATACTTTGGGGTAATAACTGAGGAAAATGTACTTGAGAATCCACAATTAATTATTTTTTAACTTTTATTTTAGGTTCAGGAGTACATGTGCAGGTTTGTTATATAGGTAAACTTGTATCAGAGGGGTTTGTTTTACAGACTATTTTGTCACCCAGTATTAAGTCTAGTACCCAACAGTTATTATTTTCTGTTGCTCTCCCTCCCATGCACCCCCGACCCTCAAGTAGGTCCCACTGTGTGTTAGTCCCCTCTATGTGTCCATGTGTTCTCATCACTTATCTCCCACTTATAAGTGAGAACAGGCAGTATTTGTTTTCCTGTTCCTGCATTAGTTTGCTAAGGATGATGGCCTCCAGCTTCATCCATGTTCCTGCAAAGGACATGATCTCATTCCTTTTTATGACTGCGTAGTATTCCATGGTGTATATGCACCACATTTTCTTTATCCAGCCTGCCATTGATGGTCATTTAGGTTGATCCCATGTCTTTGCTATTGGATAATCCACACATTAATTTATGCTACAGTAAATTTTAGAAATTCTTAAAACTCTTTCTCTGCTGCTTCCTTTGTCCTACAGAATTCTCCATAGAGCTATCCTAGATTTAGGACTGTAGGAATTTGTATGATGAAGAACAAGCAAAAAAATAGTGGAATTTAGAATTGTTGGGGCCCTGCTGTTCCAAACTGACTTAGTCCACGTAGGTTATTAACTTCTCACATATTATCACCCTCATTTCTAGGAATCTTTGACTCTCTATCAGCCCCCTGGGCAGCAGCTTTGCTTATTCTTTTTCATGAAGTTTCTCCAGATTTCATTCACTTGAAACCTAATACTTACTATATATACTATGTATAATATATACTGTATACTACATGCATCCTCTATATACTATATACCATATATATGCTATACTCTATAATATGAATACTTATATATAAAACAATATACCCATGGTATCTATTACCTATACATACACATATATGGTTTGCACTCATTTCAGTTCCATTTGACTTGATGTCTACATGGTGTGCAAGTGTACACAGTGGGTTTTCATTTGCTGGAAGTGCAACATGAGAACATGAAAAAATGTATTAGTTACTTAAAGCCAAACTGTCTAGTCTAAGGACAGCCATGCTGTCCTGGGCTTAGACGTGGCAGTACCTATGTCCTTCTCTCTATGCAAGTCCTAGGGCAGTCTTCCAATGGTTGTTGAATATTTCTCATTTCCTCAGAAGTTGTATGGGAATAACCACATCGTTATTCACCCACATATCTAGGGCATATGTGTCATGAAAGTGCAAGCAGCTTCTCTTAGGTATTATACAGGACTAGAGAAGACAGGTGAATCTGTGAATCTCATAGTGAGATCTGTAGGTTTCTCTTATATTTTACCTACTTTCATTGCTATGATAGATAAGCTTGCAGAGTAACATAAACCTATTGCAAAGTACACACAGACACATAATATATGCAACAGGTCCTAATCATTGAATCTATGCTTCATTTTTCACTCTTCGTCCATAAAGACACATATGGACAAACTTTCTACCCGTCTGGTAAAAAGAAACTTGACTTTTTTAAGTTAATGATTTTAAGGAAGTTCAGAAAAAGGTAAGAGGTTTGGGGTGACGGCACCATTGTGGGTAAACATATTGTGCTAATTTCATGGATTAATATAAAGAATGTATGAAATAAATCGGCACCCTGGAAAAGAAGGGACACTTGGATTAAAAGAATCTTCACTCAAATCCTGTAAATATATCGGACATTTCTTTAGGTTAGTAAGTTATTCTAGTAGGATAAAAAAAAGTGCCAGTATCACTAATCCATTATTAACATTTTAGCATTTATGCCTTATGCCGACTTAAACTGTCTAGTCTGAGCCTAGCAACCTAGGCAGAAGTGAGAGGCTCCAGCAGTGACAGCAGCACATTGCAAAAGCACTTTCTTTTTCTTGTCCTAAACAGACCCCACCTATTTCTTCTCTGGACACTCCAGGACCACCATTATCAAGAGAGTAAATTCACACTGTAACAATTGTGAGGGCCCCTGTGTATTCAGAATGGCTTAAATCTTAGTTATTTTTCTTCTTTTGGAATTTCTATAGGCAGTGACAGAATTTTGGCCATATGGAAGATTTCAACAGCTTACAACAGTAGTTTTTAATCTAGATGTATCTTTAAAAAACAAAATTATACAAATAGTCAAAGAGAGTAACACATCATATATCTATTACAGTTCTCTAAAAATCAGAGGCATTTATTAGTATTAGTGTAAAATAAGGAAGTAATTTTTATTCATTTCTAATCTACATAATGAAAATAAACCAATGACAGAAAGAACTAGTAGGAATATCTCATGGCATTAAAAGCCACTAGAGTCATTAGTGAATCTTAATTTATTTAGATATCTTTAGATATTATGTGAAGCAAAAAATTGTTGCTAGGACACAACTTATATCTATTTCCTGGAAGAGGAAAGCATAAGAACAGAAGAGATACTCATGCATTGCTTAAGAAGGAGGATATGAACTGGGAAATGGAACATTTTCTCATTGTGTAAACATCATACAATTTACTTACACGAACCTAGATGGTACAGCCTACTACATACCTAGGCGGTGTGGTATAGCCTGTTGCAAACCTGTACAGTATGCTACTGTACTGAATATGTTAGGCAACGGCAAAACAGTGGTAAGTATTTGTGTATAGAAACTTACCTAAACATAGAAAAAGTAATGTGTTGCACTACGGTGTTATGACGGCTATGATGTCACCAAGAATAGGAATTTTTAGCTGAGCTCCATTATAATCTTATGGGCACACCACTGTATATGCAGTCTGTCCCTGACCAAAATGTCATGGCAGGGCACATGACCGTCTACGATAATGAATCTGGTCTTGCCACCACATCACTTAATTATGCACCTCATGCGGTGGTATCAGCCGGTATTAGCCAATGAATTCTACAATGTAACTTTGGGAAAGGTCATCACTAGGGATCATCTGCAATGTTGCACTGAGGCAAGAGAAAATCTATGGGTATTTTTCCTTTAAAAAAAAACACACACACACACACACACACAATGGAATTAAGGAAAGAACCCAGAGTTAGATGCAGAGTCATGAAAATATATTTACTTTCCTCCTGCAATACCAGGAGTCTTTTATAAATAAGTCCTCCTAAGAGTTATTATTTTTAAAGCCGTGGTACATAGTAAAATCTGTGGCATAATGGAAACAAGTTTTGTCTCTAGGAAGATGCATTTTCAAATCCCCGTTCTTTCTGATAATAGATGGGTGACTTGATTAAGACATTTATGTCTTTGAGCCTCAGTTTTCTTATTCATAAAGTACAGATAATGCTTATTTCATGTGAATATTGTGAAGATGAAATAAGACAGCACACATAATGGGCTCCCATTAATAATGATGATGATGATAACTACCATTGACAGTATACGCACCATATACTAAGAATTTGTATGAGTAATACTGTATTAGATCCCCCAAATGAGTTCTCTTTTGCTCTCCTTTCTCCACTGTACTCCAGCCCCACGTTTAGACATTGCTATGAATCCCCTTCTACAAGTGGAAGTAAATTGGTGGCTAACCAGTGAAATAAACTCCACTTAGGAATGCATGGGATCAAAGACTACTGCTCCTGGGAGGAAAAAATGGAGTTGCAGATTGGAGAGCCTGCCTTCCCACCAAGAATACAATATTCCACCAGGAAGCCTCGTGGGCTGAGAGCCCAGAAACACTAAAGACTTGATCTAAATCCAATTGCATGGGCCTGTGGTGAAAAATAGTAACCCAGACCACACAGTCACTTCAGAGTCCCAGGAAAGAGGACTGTGATAATAAATTTCTGTTTTGTTAAGTTGTACTCCACATATGACAACTAAACCTGGGTAGTAAAGGCATCCTGAAGCCAATAGCCTCTGTGACAGACTAAATGACGAGTATTTCCAAATTCCAGGTGATCAGGAATATAACATGGTTGGATGAGTAAAATAATTAATTTGCAGAGAATGGCCAAATGTTTTCAGCCAGGATTTGAGTTTTGGCAGCTTGCCTGTTTCGGCTGGCTTTAGAATGCTGACTAGCTCTCTTTATCCAGGAAGGTACTATAACATCAGAAAAAACTCACCTGTAAATTCCCCCATCTGCGCACACATATGTTTAATTTCTCTCTTCTCTGAGATTAAGTTGGAAGAGGTGTAAGTGGCAAGAAGTAAACAGAAATGTGATATCCGTACGAATTCAAAACAGACCCCTTAAGGAGTCATGATCAGAAAAGAATCTTTTGGACTGAAATACCCAATCGCTTTAGTAAAAACAGTAAATATTGTACAAATAGCTGCAGTCTTATAGATTTGAATTTACATTATTAACAGATAAAGGTAGTTGCCTCTATTTTGGCATCTCTTTACCCACCAACTCTTCTTGGTGTAGGGGTAATGGGGAAATACCGCAGGCTTTGGCCTGCAAATTACATCATCACAGCTAATAAGATACTTAAGGCAGTCTTACTAAAGAATGAGAATTGTGCATTCTTGAGCTTCTAACTATTTTTTTAGTAACTTTTCTCTGCTCTGAGTTATATGCTTCTCTTATGGCATTTGCCTCATTTTATCTTGTCTGACATTATTTTATGTTGATTTTATATTCCTTGCTAGACTATAAAGACTTTGAGGGCTAAACCAATAGACATGCGCTGACTGGATCAAAGTTATCATGATGTGACTTACAGCCCAATAAAATGTAACAAAACAAAGATGATATTTTCAAGGCTTCTCTGACAATTGCACCAAGATGCATACGCATGCATACACACACACACATACACACACACACACACACACACACACACACGCGCGCGTGTACCTAATAAGCTGTATCTAAACAGCTGCACTGTGTTTGTTAGAAACGTGGACACTTCTGTAACAGAGTGCAGTGGCGGCGGCGGCATTTCTTAGGTTGCATAATGCTTTCTTGTTGGAGTTTGCTTGTTGAATTGTTGATGCAGGTTGATTACACCCCTGTTGCTGCTGCTGTCAGTAGGTTTCCCTGAAAATAAGATGCTGCAACTCAGTAGGTGGGAATAAATCAGCACAAATAAGCAGCACACGTACTCATTCCTTTGTGCTTAAAATACTTAGTTATGAATCTCTATGAAACCTACATACTGTTAGTTCTCGAAAGAACTCCAAACTACAGAGCACAGCACCAAATTATATTTTACACTCCCACTGTTCAATTTGGGTGTTATATTAGCATTCAAATGTTTGGGGGTTTAAATGGTCTCTTCTTTTCAGCTCAATCCTGCTGCCAACAAATTCTAGTCATTTAAGCTAGTGCTTTTAGTTAACAAGTTACGGAAAAAGCCAGAGTGAATCAAAGACTCATAGCTAATTTGGGGTGTATAGAGGCACTGATAGATGAGAAAAAGAAAGGCTACAACAGAAGTGCTGAAGTAGACAGCAGCAGCCTCCTTCTCCAACATTTGAAGCTAAAACAAAATGAATGCAGCTCCACCATATTAACATTGTTTTTCCTAGACTAACTTGGCAGGGGATTCCCACACAGCGAGGAAACCTTAATGGCCTGCCAACCATTGGAGCAGTGCTGCCTTTCTAATTACACATATTTCCATGAATTATAACTGGGTGTTTTATCTGTTCAACCAATTTGGAAGACAGCTGAGAACCACATCAACTTTTCCATGTTCTTCTTTGATTCTGAACATTAAAACAACATTATTAAGTCTTCGTAAATGGCATTATTAATAGCTGCATGAGTATAGGATAGAGAAACACCAGTGTCTTCTTAGTAGCCATTATATAATTTCCAGTATTTTATGATTATTATTAATGATTTCATGACACCATTTCACAGCAGTTGGTGGTGGTTCTTTCTACAGTCTAGCTAACAATAAACAAAATTCCTAGGTCAAAAGTGATGAATATTTATAAGCTTACTAAGCCAAATTATTTTAAATAGTTTTATTAACATTCCAATGTGATGTGGAATTCCTATTCACTGAATCCTAAATGGCATCAGATATTCTCACTTGAAAACTAATTGATTTTTAAAACAAATTGATGGGAAAATTGGAAGATCACTCATTAGTAGAATTTACGTTACTTTGGAAATGATAGGTGATTATTTCCCATGTTTATTAGCCATTTATATTTTTTACTTTATAATCATTTTTTCTTAATCCAAAAAAAATTGCTGGGGTTCCTGGAAAAAGGAGTCAAAGTAGAATGTAAATTTTACGTAGCTTCATTGCATACTTTTGCATAACTAACTTTCTGAGAAGCTCAAGGGACGGGAATAGAAACAAATTTCCTAATTATTTGTACATTTACTTCTGCATTTCGTAGGAGCATATCAGTTAGCTATAAACTGTTGAAAAATGACCCATTGTATTGCAGAGTACCCTGCTGTCTGGGGTTCTGTATGCCTAATAAAAACAATTTCCTTCTTCCATTTATAATATAGAGTCAGAATCATCTTTCCGAAGAATAGAAAATGCATCCACGTACAATTCGGGCAGAAGGGTATTAAAACATGTGAAATCACTTGGAAAACACATATTTTTTTCAGAGTCATAAATACAAGCATAAAAAAGCAGCAAAGATGGGTCTAATTCAGTCAGTTTGATACTAAGACACAAAACTATTTAAAAACACGGCTCTTTGCAGTCAGCACTATTTTACTGCAGAAGTACAGTGAAATGAAACATAAGTCACCATTGGTCACTTATCATCCGTCTCATTTAAGTGTTTATTTCTAAGAATAACTGTGACATTTTTGGGAATGCCCATTAAAATTATTAATAGGATATCCAGTTCATTTATGTCTTGCCAGAAAAGGAGGTGACCGAAAACACTTTCTAGAATGTTCCCCCAATTGATATTGATTCATGCCTATGAGAAGTTTCTTCTGGATAAGAGGTCACCACTTCCTGTTCTAAGTGGCATTTACGCATTCTGTGGACTCATGATCTTAAATCCATTGGTCCAATTGAACAACTATGTTAGTCTCATAAGATTCCAATCTTAAGCCTGGACTTCACAAAATAACCCATTTTCTCCCCGTTCCCTTGTCCCCAGACACTTTCTCATTCTTCTAACAGTCAATTTGGATCAAATAATTAATACCCTGAGAATAAACAAAGAAATAACTACAATATCACTTTGTGTAATAAAAGTAGATTATTAAAAACTTTCCCCCTTCATTCTTAGAATGGGTCAATAAAAGGACACTTAGAAATGAAATCAATACATTTTCAAAAGAGTTCAGTAAAATTTTCTTTATTTTATTTTTGAAATGGAGTCTAGCTCTGTCACCCAGGCTGGAATGCAGTGGTGTGATCTCGGCTCACTGCAACCTCTGCCTCCTGGGGTCAAGTGATTCTGCCTCAGCCTCCCGAGTAGGTGGGACTACAGGTGCCTGCCAGCATGACCAGCTCATTTTTGTATTTTTAGTAGAGATGGGGTTTCACCATGCTTGCCAGGCTGGTCTCAAACTCCCGACCTCGTGATCCGCCTGCCTCTGCCTCCCAAAGTGCTGGGATTACAGGTGTGAGCCACCTCGCCCAGCTGAGTTCAGTATAATTTTCAATGAGAAAACTGAAATTCAGTTTTATAATCAAAGAGCATGTTTGCTGGAAGCCATCATTCTCAGCAAACTAATACAGGGACAGAAAACCAAACACCGCATGTTCCACTCATAAGTGGGAGTTGAACAATGAGAACACACGGACACAGGGAGGGAAACATCACACACCAGGGCCTGTCAGGCGGTCAGGGGTAAGGGGAGAGAGAGCATCGAGACAAATATCTAAGGTATGCGGGGCTTAAAACCTAGATGATGGTTGATAGGTGCAGCAAACCACCATGGCACATGTATACCTGTGTAACAAACCCGCACGTCCTGCACATGCATCCCACAACTTAAAGCAAAATAAAAATATATATATTTTTCATATTTTCATATATAATATATAAATATATAATTAAGATAAAATATTACATATTACATATGTATAAATTCATATATAACATATAAAATATATAATATTATATATTATATACATGTGTATATAAAATCTGGCTGCGGAGTTTTTGATCTATACATTGAACAAATTGTCTCACCTACTGATATTGACCCTCACTGATTCATCAGGAAAATATAGTAACAAATACATACACAATGACTAATGCCATGGACAAATACACGGACTAATGCCATCCCGAACATACAAAGTATAATAGCAATTTATTAAGACCTCAAGAAACTGAACTCTATAGTGGAGGAATCCCCAACCCCAGGTCCATTAGGAACGGGGCCACACAGCAGCAGGTGAGCAGTGGGTGAGCGAGCGGAACTTCATCTGTATTTCCAGCTGCTTCCCAGTGCTCACATTACCGCCTGAGCTCTGCATCCTGTCGCATCGGTGGCAGCATCAGATGCACATAGAAGCGCAAACCCTATTGTAAACTGCACATGTGAGGGATCTAGGTTGTGTGCTACTTATGAGAATCTAATGCCTGATGATCTATCACTGTCTTCCATGCCCCCAAGATGGGACCATCTAGTTACAAGAAAACAAGCTCAGGGCTTGCACTGATTCTACATTATGGTGAGATCCATATTATGGTGTAATAATAATAGAAATAAAGTGCACAATAAGTGTAATCCACTTGAATCATCCTGAAACCATCCCTCTCCCCCAGTCTGTGGAAAAATTGTCCACAAAACCGGTCCCTGGTGCCAAAAGGTTGGAAATTGCTGCACTGAAATCAGTATAACTCAATATATACATTGCACAATTTATATCTGAGAAATATTTTTATTTATCTCAAGTAAAATTATATTTATATGAATATATAGAAAACTAGGCATTTTCCAATTGGAAATGACAAATGCAGAATGGGGCCACCTTATTACAAACAGAAACAAAACCATAGAAGATGTAATAGAATCAGAAGAGATACAGTCTGTGAGGCATCTGTTGGTAATATTATATCTGTCCTCTTTATCTTTGGAGATTAGAAGATAAAAATTGCAAATTATTATTTTTGCTTTGGGGGATTTAGTATGGAAATACTTAAAATCAACTAAATATAATTTACACTGAATTTCTTGAAATTACATAGCATCTATTATTAGATTATTCATCACAATCTTTCAGACTCACAGGCAAAGGATAATAAAATAAACACATGTAACAGAAAACTAAAAGTGTTTACCTATTAATTTCAAACATTTTTCCATAAATCAAATTATTAGTAAGCTAGGACACTTCTAGATATTACTGAATGTGCTCACTTTGTTTCTGTGATCATTTTATAAATGGGCATCATTTTCCATGCTTCACTGGCTCAAGAACAGTTTGCCAAATTGGTGGACTACTTTGCCAATCCTTGCTAGCTTTTTTAGAGATCAGAAAATGAAAACCCTGCTGGAATCTCCATTGGAAGGAATAAAATATATGCTTTGGAATATGTACAAGAGAAGGATAAGCTATTTCTTTTGGTTAAAGGAGGAGAGAAATGAAGGCAGTAAAGAACAACTGTAAATATCATTAAATTCAACAGCTAGGGGGCAGTGATCATGATGTTTATTCATTCATGTATTCATTTATTCAATACACATCACTGTGGTCCTACTACATACCAGGAATCACATTGATTCTCTTGTTTGGTATCAGTAGCGTTTTGTGAATTATAATACAACAAAATAAAATCAGCATTAAGACAACTAATTTGTGAAAATATGTCTGGGCTCATCCACAGCACATTTGACATAAAATTCTGAGACCTATTATTTACATTTCATTCTGGTGCTAATTGGATTCTGGAATTCCACTAACTATGGAGACCTTCTCTCAGTGTTGTTTCCCCAAATAGCAATGTAGCAAAAAGTATTTTCCTACCCTAATTCAGCTTCCCCTAGGATAAATGTTTGCCAAAGAAAACAATGATCAATGAAACAATCAATTTATTGTTAATTTACATATTGTCTTGTGGATAAAGTGAAGATATATAAAGGATAAATGCTTTCATTATTAATAAGAAATGCCTACTGAGTACTTACCTTAACCCATTCACTATCGTATGTAGGAGCAATCAGGTGAGAAAGCTTGAATGATGACAGGTATTTAACACTGAGAAAATGATGGTACTATAAACGGGAAGAGAAATATCTTGCAATAATACAAGGGAACTTTTAGCACTTCTAAGTTCATTTCTGAAACACTGCATTTAGAAATTGGTATACTGTCTAGTTGGAATTGACAGGTGTAGGACCAACACACAACTCAGGAGCCAGGTCCAGGAGTCAGCTCCAGGACCCAGATGGTACAATTAAGAGTGACTGAATGAGAAACTGGCTGAGATAATTTGGCTCATGAGGACCTCTGAAGGAGAGAACTTAAAGCCAAAAGTAACCCAAGACCTGAAAATGGGTTATTCTCTAGTTTATCAATGAACAAGGAAAAACAGAGCAAGTTTCCAGAAAGACATGGACGTGGATAGCTATGACCACAAGCTTGAGGTAAGGAACAGTTCTCAAACTCATCCCTACAGAACTTTGGTCTTATGTGGCTAATAATAACAATAACAATCATACATTAAAAATTAAGTTGATACCATCAATATCCATTACATATGTTTACAATGTGATTTCTTTAAGTAATGGTGCACCATGTTCTCAGGAAACAGCACGAGAAGTGGATGGGAAGTCAGTCTCCCCTCATTCAGCGGGATCCAGTGCCTTAGCCTTTGGAAAATGTGTGGGTCACATGGCCAGCTCCTGCAATCGCCTTGTCCTTTGATGGATCACTACCACCCCGGCTATTCATGTGCTGCCTCTTTCTTATTCTAGAGGTCTCATCTAAAACATCATTTCCTGTAGACCAACCAACCTACCTACAGTGAACATCTCTCTGTTCAAGTTTGTTATGGTTTGGCTGTGTCCCCACTCACATGTCATCTTGAATTGTAGTTCCCATAATCCCCATGTGTCCTGGGAAGGACCCAGGAGGGGATAATTGAATCATGGGGGCGGTTACTCCCATGTTGTTCTAGTAATCCTGAGTGAGTTCTCACAAGATCTGATTGCTTTATAAGGGGCTTTCCCCCCTTTACTCAGCACTTTACCTTCCTGCCGCCATGAGAAGCATGGGTTTACTTCCCCTTCCACCATGATTGTAAGTTTCCTGAGGCTTACCCATCCCTACAGAAATGTGAGTCAATTAAACCTCTTTACTTTATAAATTACCCAGTCTCAGATATGTCTTTATTAGCAGTGTGAGAATGGACTAACATAAGGTTATTCCCCTGGTTATTTCCTTCAATGATTGCAGATCTTTTCTCACTAGAGTGTGGTAAGCTCTATGTGAGCAGATGCCAAGTCCATTTTGCTCATGGGTTATACTCACAACCCCCAGCAGAGGGTCTGGCACCCAACAACCACCAGTGTTAAATGAACAAATAAATGAATAAATGACACCATGCTAAGAATTGTGGATGCTACGGAGAATGTAGAGATAAATCCTCAAGTCTTTGGCCTGGAGGAGTATGGCAGTGGTATCCCACACCAATTTCCTCAGCACACAGATTTCTCAAGCACACCAAGTGGCTCTCTGCCTGAGCATGTTTGGTGACTGCTGGACATGCTCAGTCTGTGCTGGCTAGGCTGGGAGGCCTGGGAGTACTTTGACAGGGAGTGCCCCTCAAATAGTACCAGAGGGAATTTAGCATGTCGATATCCCAACTTCTTCCCTAGCTGGGAGGCTAGGAGGTCTTACAGAGATTCCCAAAGAGATTGAGTCTCAAGTTTTCAGAGCATTAACTTGCCCCTTAACACACATCCTTTCCTTCCCTATCTCCTTCCTTTCCTGCAGTTTTGTATAAGTGTGTAAGTGATTCGTAAGATCAGTTCCCAAACACAAACCATGTTTCAGTCTCAACTTTCAGATGAATCAGCCTGTGACAAGAAACTTACTTTCTGGTAAGAAACGGCATGCTTATATTGCTCCAGCATAATGTTAAAGGTAATAAGGGCCATAGCAGAGAATACTGTTGAAGGTAATAAAGGGAATAAGAATGAAAGCACAAAGCAAGGGCTGTGGAAACTCAAGAGAAGAACTGTACCTACAAGAATCCGTTAGAGATGATATTTAAAGAAAAACAGAAACATGCATTATATACACAACACCTTCCCGAGTCAGTTGCTACAGTTTACACCTCACTTGGGTTAAGCTGAGAGAGAAGATTTGAAGATAGCCACGAAGCAATTCCTAACAGGAGGATATTCCTCACAGAGTAAACAGTATAGCAGATTTGTATACAGAACACAGTGAGTGCTTCTGTTTGCCTATGCGGTATGCCTTGCAAAAAGGATTAGTAAGAGGATAGGTTATACAGGAACTGTGAAGCTAGACACAGGGTAAGCTGTATGTCCAACCAGGAATTGAGATTATTTTGTATAGGCAATAGGGAGTCTTAATGATTTCTTTAAAGGTAAACAGCATCATCAGAAAGTGCTTTAGAAAAAAATGATCCTTTAGTTATGCAAAATAGATTAGAATTGGGAAAGGGGGTTGTGAAATCCTTGTAGAAGACTAGCCCAGTAGTCCAGGTAACAAATAATAACACCCAGACAGACTTAAGAGTACAGCAGTCTGGATGAAAAAGAAAAGACAGAGGTATATATTAGATTCAGCCTGGCTGACTGTGAGGCAAGAAAGAGACTATAAAAATCCAGCACAGAAAGTACAGCAGACAGAGAGACCTTTGAGTCAGACAGACTTGGGCTTAATCCAGTGTGAGATCTTGCAAGCTGTTTAAGCCCTCTGAGACGCAAGAATTTTCATTTGCAAGAAAGGGAAGAAGACATAGCCCACAGGCTTGTGATGCTTCAAACAGATAATGCATTTAAAGTCCAGCAGATTGCCTCGAGAATTTTAAGTGTACAAATAATCGATGGTGGTTACTGTCATTGTTGTTAAAGGACAAATAAGTAAGCGAAGTGTTTTAAAAAAAAATGATATCCCCAAGCCCGAAACTTAGCCAAAGGTATTAATATATTAAAATAAAGAATTGACCAATTGGAAGATGTATGCAGTTTCTCAGCCTGGAATTAACCATTATAGAAAGAGGACAAAAGACAGATAGGTGCAGCCCTATAGTGGAGTCCAGCACCTGAATCTATAGAAATCATGTGATTTACGCTCCTTCCTCTTCTTTGACATGACCTCAAAACAACCTTGAATTATATAATTTGATTTCCCAAGAAGGTCTGTCTACAAGGACACAAGATGCTGGCCATGCCAGCTTAAGAAATGTGCTTTCTATGAAAGTGATATTTTTATTGAAACATAAAAAATTCTTACTTTAAATTTATACAGGTTTTTTTGGCATGGTATAACATAATTAAACTCTCAACAGTAAGACAAATTCAAGTGTCTAAGAGTGAAAGCCTTAACATGAAACTCTAGGTTAAAAAGAATTAACCAAAAATATCTGTTTATTTATATATTTCATTCATCTCACCGTGACTGTCACACAGTGGACTTTGAGAGTCCTGAACGTACGACTCTACCACACAGGTTTTTCATTCTACTGCACTGATATTCACAACCAGTATCAACACGAAAGTTAGAACTATTGTCAATTTGAATAAAAGGTCCTTAGCAAACATGATCGAATAGATATTCCAGTCCACGGTGAGGAAGGTCTGTAGCACTAATACCTAGAGGGTACATAAACAAATTTTTAACTGCAACTAAAACTTAAACAAAATAGAAACAAAATAACCCAGATATTTTTATTGTTTTAAATAACTTTTGAAGCACCTGTAGAAAGTGACACAGAAGAAGAATGAAGGTTGACCCTATTACAGAAGAAAAGCACTGGATCAAGAGTTAAGAACCAAGAAGGGGGACTGGTCTCTTGTGTTTCCTGCACTAGCCTTGTGATATTAGTCAAATTATAGACACCCCCTAGCTGAGTTTCAAAAAATGTTCTTAAGATTGTTGGATTAAATGATTACAAATGTCTTTAGCAGTTCTAGTATGTTGCCTGAAACTGCTGTTATTCCTTAGCCAACACAAATTTGATTCCATCACTCACTCTTTTTTATTTCATAATGGGGTTTACACAGATAAATAATAAAAAATAAAACATTTACAGTGACCTACGTTTATTTTTCTGTTGTAAACACTCAAATCAAGGAGTAGTTCTGCTTGCACATGGTACCAATATTTATTTATTTATTGTTTATTACTGCCAGCAAGGCAGAGCAATACCATAGATCCAGGGTGATATGGTTTGGCTGTGCCCCCACCCAAATGTCATGTTGAACTGTAGCTCCCATAATCCCCGCATGTTGTGGAAGGGACCTTCTTGGGACCTCATCATGCTGTTCTCACAATAGTGAGTGAGTTCTCATGAGATCTGATGGTCTTATAAGGGGCTTTTCCCCCTTTGCTCAACAATTGTAATACAACAAAACAAAATCAGCATTAAGACAACTCATTTGTGACAATATGTCTGGGTTCATCAAGAGCACATTTGACATAAAATTCTGAGACCTATTATTTACATTTCATTCTGCTGCCTATTGGATTCTGGAATTCCACTAACTATGGAGACTTCCTCGGAGTGTTGTTTCTCCAAATAGCAAAAAGTATCTTCTACCCTAATTCAGCTTCCCCTGGGAGAAATATTTGCCAAAGCAAGCAATGATCAATGAAACAACCAATTTATTGTTAATTTATGTATTGTTTTGTGGATAAAGTGAAGATATAAAAATATCTTCTGTCACCTTGTGAAGAAGGACACGTTGGCTTCCTCTTCCACCATGATTGTAAGTTTCCTGAGGCCTCCCCAGCCATGTAGAACTGTGTGTCAATTAAACCTCTTTATAAATTACCTAGTCTCAAGTATTTCTTCATAGCAGCGTGAGAATAAATTAATACACAGGGTTTAACCCAAGGTGCTTAATAAATATCGATAACTGAATCTATATATATATTGTGTTGGAGAAAAATAAAATCAGGTTTCTTTTCAATACATTGTGGAAAACATTCCATTGCCAAACGTGATTTTTCACTGTTTAGTACTCTGTTTTAGCATAGGCATTTTTGAGATCAATTGTCCTTTAATTCATTCACAACTTTATATTAGCATATAATCTGTAACATTTACATTAAATAGGAATTTTACTATCAAGAAACATCTGTATTCTTAAGCAGTTATTTTCTGCATCTTTGCTGGAGATGCACTAAATGTAGAAGCTTCTTTTCAATGTTAACAGGAAAGGAACACTTGGTTTGATAACACTTTTAAAAGGGCCTTCAGCTGACTATAAATCAGTGCACATATTTCTGGCCCCTCTTTTCTGTTCCAAGATCATATAACAGAGAAAGGACAGTCTTTTCAAGAGATGGTGTTGGGAAAACTGAATATCCACATGCAGAAGAATGAAACTGGGTCTGTATCTCACTTCATATACAAAAATGTACTCGAAATGGAATAGAGACGTAAATGTAAGACCTGAAGCTGTAAAACTCTTAGAAGAAGACACAAGGAGAGAAAGCTTCCTGGCACTGGTGTGGCCAGTGATTTTTTAGACATAGCCCCAAAAGCACTGGCAACAAAAGCAAAAGTAGACAAATGAGATTGCATCAAACAATGAGATACTGGAATGGAATACCAGTGATGGAGCCCACATGCATGTACGTTATTGAACACAGCCCAGCATTGTACATTCTTGGGCAATTTTAATTTCACTGCCAATTTACAACATGGCTATAATTTCCATCTTGAGCCCTGTTTCCTTGCATTTCTTCACAGCATTATTTGCTATTCCTGATGGTGATTTACATGTTTTCCCTTATCCCTACATGTTTGCAAGTTTTCTTCTCCATCTCTATATTTAAAAGCCTGCCATCTTGTACAACTAACTTCAAATGGTGCTTCTTTTGGGATGCTCAAACTTTCCACCAGATGGGATCTTACTTCCACTATGGTTCTCATCCAGCAGTTATGAAATGTACATCCATCCTTTAGTTTTTCTTAATTCTATGCATGTTGGTCTTACCTCCCTCTGTCTCCCATTGTCTCAAACACCTACCTCAGTAAAGATTTTTACAACCAACTCATACTTTTGCATAATGGCCAAACTCTGGTGTAAATCTAATGTTTGACAGGGAGTCTTGGGAACTAGTGGAGAATCATATGGCCACACTCGATAGTCTATGTGTATTACATCTTTCACTTTTGTTAGATATAGATAACTAAATTATGTCATGTAATAGTCCTCTTTTATAGAAAATAAGGCTTCGATAAAGAATTGTATTTACTCAAGAAAGGATCTGGGCTTTTTGTTTGTTTGTTTGTTTTTAATCAAAGGACACACAATTAAAATGTATAAGACTCCCTGTGATTGTAAACACACGCACACATGCACATGCACACGCACAACTTAAGGTAAAATATTTCATACTAAATGTAATTATTTCTGATTTGTCTCCTGTATGCAATCAAGAGTATATAGGATAATCTTATGTCTCACCAAATATTTTCCCCATTCTGATTACTAATAAGGAACATCGTAAGTAAACTATTTATAACTGAAAAAGCCCATGTTATTTCTGTAACTAACGTTTTTCATTCTAACGTAACAACAAAATTCAATCCCAACTACAATAATCTAGCTGCAGCATCCTCAGTTTCCCTCTTTCTCATCAGGAATCAAATGGGATGTTATATGCTAAATCACTCCAACAGTTGTGAAAAGGATAAGAAAATGAAAAGCAGGGAACTCTTACCAAGTAATAATAGTCAATCTGCTGTCTCAGTAGGCAATTTTATATTCTTTATTAATTTGAGTTGTATAAAAATAACTCAATTGCAGTTTACAGCTTATAAGACAGAAAATTCACTTTTCTTTAATGTTCCTTATGAGCAAATTGTTGCTTTGCAGTTCCACGTAAATTACCTTGTTTAATATAAGGAGAAAAAAGTCTCAAAGTAATAATAAATGAACTAGTCTTTATACCACACTGGCATTGACTAGTTTTGCTACATGTATAGTATTTATAAATGAACACGATTATTCTCCATTAGGTCAGATTATTAAATTCCATGTGTGCCTATTACTGACGAATCTCCAGTGTCCAAAGCACAATTGCTTGAACAATGTAAACTCTCAATAAATATTTATTAACTTACCTGACAATTAATTAGTACCCATTAGTCAACAATATATTTTGAATCAGTAGCAGTGAGCATCCTCTGGTATTTAATGTAATGTCTTGAATATTTAATTGAAGCTAGTGATAAAAATTAAATATGTTTAGCATATGGAAATGCATGTACTACACTGGGATAGGGATTTCACACACATTATTTGATTAATTATATTATTTGGGTTTTACCCACAAAGGATGAGTCTGAAAATGGGAGACAGAATGAGAGAAGGAATTGGAGGAAGCTAAAGCTGGAAAAGGCCACTTAGCTGTGGGGAATGGGCACCAGATAGCCTGAGAACACACACAATACACATGAGGAATGCTGAGAGGTCCTGAGGCTGGTAATGTTGGAATAAAAGATGATCAAAATAATGAGTCACATAACTATCATTATGCTTCCCCAGTTATGATCCATAGAATGCTATTCCTGAAAGATGTTCCTTGGGAAATGGGTGATGAGCTAAAATCAATTTAGGAAATGACTCAGACTATAATGTCTATAATTGTGTGTGTGTGTGTGTGTGTGTGTGTGTGTGTGTGTCTACGTGTCTGTGTGTCACATATTAAAACGCTGAGAAACCTTTCTAACTTTAACTTTGTGAAACACATATTTTTGAAATTTCTGCATTTTAAGGCAGTTTTCTCTTAGTAAAATGCAAAGGAGCTAGAGAAAAATTTAAATTTTGTGAAAATCCGCTGCCAAGTTCACTTTTATGAAGAGAACCGTCACTGTCTCCTTCCATGTGAATCACCACAGCAGCCCCGCCTAGCAAATGCAGTGCAAACCACATAGGCAGGTTTAAATGTTCCAGGCGCCACGTAGAAAAGTAAAAACAAAAAACAAAAAAGGTGAACTTAATTTTAATACTGTATTTTATTTAAACCAACCTATCCAAAATCTATCATTCTAGCATATAACCAACATAAAAACTATCCTTGAGATATTTTACATACTATAATATACTATGTAGTATATATAATATACTATATACTATTTTACATACTACAGTATACTGTAGTTGTTCATAGTATATCTTCAAAATCTTGTTCTTTACATTTACAGACGATCTTAATCAGACACTAAAGTTTCAAGGTCTAAGGTAAATATAGTCGTAGCAAATCAATAAAGTAAACTTGATATGAAATTATTTTTTACTGTATCAGTTTGGTTTTTTTGTTGTGGTGGTTTGTTTGTTTGTTTGTTTGTTTGTTTGAGACAGAGTCTTGCTCTGTCTCCCAGGCTGGAATGCAGTGGTGAGATCTTGGCTCACTGCAACCTCCACCTCCCAGGTTCAAGCGATTCTCCTGCCTCAGCCTCCCAAGTAGCTGGGACTACAGGCGTACGCGACAGTGCCCGGCTAATTTTTGTATTTTTAGTAGAGACAGGGTTTCACCATCTTGGCCAGGCTGGTCTTGATCTCCTGACCTCATGATCCACCCGCCTCAGCCTCCCAAAGTGTTTTTAAATTTTCATTGATTAAAATTAGATGCAATGATTTAAAGCATTGCCTCGGCCTCACTAACCTCACAGTCAGTGCATGGTCGCCACTTGCCCAGTGGCTGCCACACTGGGACGTGCGGACCTAGAGACTCAGTGTGTCCCCTGCACCTCTGGAGAGCCAGCTCCACACAGGGCATCGTCCCTGACTCCAGAACACGGAATACGGTCTTCAAGCTGTCAAAGCGAGTGTCTATCTTGGTGTTGCCTACAGTAACCATGGGAAATGATTTCTCAGAAAATACAGGAAGCTATGTAAACAATGTTTAACTCATATTCAACTGAGCTGCATAACCATTTTTAAATCCACATATATTACAATTTTCCTGAAATTTTATATCTGGATGTGTTTTGGAATGAAAGTGAATCATATAAAAGCATGCAGTTAGTTTTTTAAAAGATTGAGAAAGAAAAAGAAAAAATAGAAAAATTATAATTGATGTTGGATTTTATTAACATGAAAAAAAAAAAGAAAACAAAGAAGAGCAACAAATGAAACAAACCCACAAGTCATGATGTGATAGTAACAGGTAACAGTACGCTACAGTCACTTAATCCAAAATTCTAGTGAAGAGTAGCAGATGCTATAAAATGTCTTTACACTAAAATCTCTAAAATAAAATACCAAAATTGGAAAATAAACTTCTTGAAAGAAATGTTTTAGCTATGAAACTAATAGACGTTAAAGTTGAAATAACTGAATGTTTCATGTGCTCTGTAAAGTACACTAACCTCCAACTGCCCTCCCCAACCCTGCCCCCACAGCCCCCGGCCAAAATAAAACACAACATAGAAAGCTTCACTTAAAGACTCCATTCTGGTGTACACAAATGAAAGTTGGACAGGTGGAAACCTTAATTTGGAAGCCTCTTGACTGAATGATAAAACAGGCCAGAAATTGATTAATCTCTTTCAACTACAAAATGGAATGCAATGTGCTATTAAGCATATTAAAGCAACAATTTCATTTCCTCCAGTGCAAACTAAGGAGGAAAAGCTGCTTTTCCAGAAAATTATCTATTTTGTAGGCATAGGAGGTTTCAGTTGAGTGACCTGCCTTACCCTTTTTGGAGTGGGTAAATTATCGTAAGACTCACAACAAAACATCCAAATGTGTTCCAATGATATTTCACATAGCTTTGCCCACGGTAGAGGTAAACAGAAGTCACATTTCTGCACTTATGGAAACCTTTCTGTGTTAAAAATAATGGAAAACTGACCTTGAAGAATATTTGTGCCTTGTAAAGTGTTAGAGAATATCATTCAGGTAAAATAGTTATAGCTACATGATGTCAAACAGCTGGTGTTCGGACCAAACACAAATAACTAACTGGCTTGACTATTTTTCTTCAAAAACTTTTATCAGTTAAAAAGTTAGGTCAACTCACTGCATACATGCACAATTTACTGAACTAAACAAATTAGTTATTCCTTAAAACAGACCTAATTAATGTTAATGGACTTTTCTGCTGCATATATACAAATATATATTACCTGCTGAATGACACTGAACGTGTACAAATTGAAGGCCTATTAAGATACTACTGTAAAATAATGGCTGTAAAATAATGTCTGAAATGCTAAATCATGATGAGGAATGTAACACAGAAATTTATACAGTTTACATTCTGTAACCGACTGCTTACCCTAAAATAGACTTACAAGAAACCCAAGCCTAGCCAATGTTTTACTATTGACTACTAGCAACATACATGTGCACACACACATATATTATAAGTATTCAAAATTTAAAATAATATCAAAACAAATTCATGTCATCAAGGTGCTTGGAATTTTACCTCTGCTTATATTAATAAAATATAAATTTTACATATTGCAAAGCATATTCATTTTTAGTATTCTATCAAATTTCAAACATATTAATATTTATATTAATGTTTTAGAAAAACATTAATATATGGGGGAATGATTGCATCATTTTTATTTGGTACACATGAAACAGAAAATATTAAATAATTTAAAAGTAGTAACATATTGGCATGTCAGATGCCTTGCCTACCTGTTGAATGATATATCCATTACAAAAACTACACAATAGTATTTTCCTTTCTTCTACAATAGATTGCCAATTCATTGAATTTTCTGTCTTTCACCATTGTATTAGCCAACATTTAGATTTTGGCTATCACATGAGTATTATGGTTTAATAAGATAACGTTCTTTATTGAGACTCAGAATTCCTTTTTGAAATTTTAAACTATTTAATTAACAAATAAAGACTGTATATACACAAGGTATACAAGAAAATTTGTTATACATATATTGTATAATAAATATCATGATCAAATTACCACATTCATCACCACCCATGATATTCATTGACAGATAAATGGATAGAACAAAATATGGTGTGGGTGTGTGTGTAATGGAATAATGGAATACTATTCAGCAAATTAAAAAGGGAGGAAATGCTGTCATTTAAGATGAATCTGCAGGGTATTATAAGTGAAATAAGTTGGGCACAGAAAGACAAATACTACATTATTTCACTTATATATGAAATCTTAAAAAGTTCCTTCTGAAGGTCAATCTAGTTTATTTCTAAGCCCTTCCAAAGAGACTACAGACTCTTAATAATTTGTTCACAGTAAACTCATCACCTTTTAAGTAAATGCTCAGCACAAGAAGGAAACTCAAGTAAGTCATTGTATAATTGGACATTAGATAATTGACAAAGGCCAGGACATACGTAAACCTGTTTGTGCTTTTCTAATAGTGAATCTATAATTATACGTATAAAAAACAGAAAGGAATAGAAAAGGAACCATGCTTTTGATCACTCTCCCCCACATTAGTACCATGCGAAAATTCCAAGTAGACTTGTGTTACCAACTTTGTTGTTATGAATTATTTTGTTCCCCACATGGATGTTTAGTAACATAAATATATGCACTGTGTCTTTGAAAACCAGGGTTGTGAGTGTCTTACACAGAGGAAAGGAGAATGGTTAAAGAGCCATTAAAGGCATGTCCCTGCTTTCCTCTCTAATGCTCCTTGCAGCCCTGGGTTTGGCCATCTGCCCTTTGCTTTAGATATCTGTCCACTCATCCACAGGCCTTTCCTATTATCTTGAAAGATTCCAAACTTCTTCAAGTGATTACTTTTCTAAGCTTTTATAGTCCATTTTCTCACTTTTAACTGGTTTATGATGAGAGGTTCTTTCATTAATTGTGCAATAAGGCTTCAATCCACACAGGTTTTCTGAGATTACAATGAATTTTTTCCCTGGGTCTTTCTGACTCTAAATCACTTGTGAAATTTCTTGGCAGTAAAAGAACAAATCTTCTTTGTTGTTGTTGTTGTTGTACCAATGTAAATAGTGTGTTTGGTCATAACAAAACCAAGGCAGTCTTTTTTTTTTTTTTTTATCTTCAAGGGATGATGACGAAATACAAAGCGATGTTTGCAAAACCTCAACCTGGGAGAACTTTCTTAAAGCACATAAAACTCATTTGGTTTTTATTCACGTCAAGGCAAAAAGAAATGAAATATTACGGATACACAGAATACTTTCTGCATGGGATTTTATGCAATTTTCCTCTTCATTTTTTTTGAAAGGCTGAGGACATTGAAAGTAAACTTTATAGGTATACGTCATTATTTTTAAAGTTCTCAACAGAATGCAATACTGGGCCAAAACTGAAAAGATGGAGTTGAACAAGGATCCATATAAAGTGTAGCTTTTAGGTTCAAAAAGCTAATGGTACAAATAAATCTGTGATGCAGCAGGACTGGGAGTTTCCATTTGGTTGCAGATGAGAAAAGAGTGATAACATGGACAAACGGCAGAGACTGCACTGGAGGGTGCTGTGCTCAATTCCCATCCACGTGCTAAAAAGAGGTACTGACAAAACAGAGGTCACATAGAAGAATGCTTCCAAATGTTGGGCAGCTGAAAATAAAGAGATTTTCTCTAATCCATGGGGAATAAAAGAGAAAAACAAGGACTATATTCTGCTTAGGTTTGCTAGGTGTGATACAAATAAGTCGTCAGATAGGAACTCTTTCATTCTGATATGACTTTCTTCCTACTTTTAAGTAAAGTTTATTTTTGTACTTATTCAGTAAAGGTGAGATTAGTTAGATGGTAGTGATGTCTTTAATGCAAATCCACAAACCTTTCATTTGATTTGATTTTAGTGGTCCATTAAATTCAAAAGCCAAAAAGGGAATACCAGGTTACCTAGGAATTGTATTTTTGTACATTGTGAACACACACACACACACACACACACACACACACACACACACACACCATATATGGAACCGCTGAACAATCTGAGCACATTTAGCTTAGCAAAATTCCAAAGAGAAGCATGATAATTATCTGCGAATCGATCTCAATGGAAGGAATGAAAGTGTTTTTGCTGTGGGGCAAGGTGGGCAAACATGTAGATCACTAGATGGTTTTTTTTTTCTTTAAAAATAACTTTCCAAAATCTGTCTTGAGGAGTTGAATAAAACTGTCAGCACATGAGTTTAAAGAAAACCTGAATGAAAACCTGCAAGGAAGTAGAGAGCATTTCGGTCCTTCATATGAAAGTTGGAGAAAATGATTCTCCATGTTTTCACTGTAAGATCACATAATTTTGTAATTTAACAAGTTTAAAAAGTGTCTTTCCACATTTGTCTTCTAAATTCACTTAAATACTTCCATCCACTAACACTGACAAGAACAATGCCTTCACATACCCACACTATTAGAAAGGAGAGAAGAAATTGTAAATCCTGTGGATGGGGTAAGTACAGTTTTACTCTTCAATGTTTAAAACTTCTTTTCATGTTTTCCTCGAATTTATTTTATTAAGAATTTCAGTTGTTATAGTTAAGGTCTTCTGGTAAATTGTATGTGGTAGTAATCCTGTGTCTCCTTCAGTAACTGTGTAATAAAATTTCAAACCTCAGCTCTAAAATTGTTGATAAATTGAGAAAAACTGCAAAGGCATAAGGAGTTAAAACCTTTAAAAGTACAAAAACAATTGTTATTTTTTTTTTGCTTGTTGACAGATTACTTTGCTATGGGCTCAGTTTAGATTCCATGTTGCTCCACACACAGTCCTGCCTACGGCTCCCTTTTATCTTGTAAATGAAATTTAAAGTTTCAGTTTAGCATTTGACATGTAGAAGGCACATCTTCAAATTATCTCCATTCACCCACCACTTCACTCTAGCTGCACTTCTCCTCTATTTCTTCTTCAGGCCTCTTAATTTTTGGTGTCCTTACCTTTGCTCACACAGCTTCTTCCATTTCAAATGCTTTTGCTTGTCTCTACTTGGTGGAGTGCCATGTATCTTCAAGGTTCAGTTACATATGAGTTTATCCAAAATGTCTTTTTCATGAGTCCATCTAAAAGTAATCAGAAGCTCTTTGGTTCCATTTTCATGCCAAAATTATTTCTGTTTAATTTATTTTACATACTAGATTCTAGAGGCCCAGAAGGCAGGAACTGTTATATATTTATCTTCTCAACTGCCACAACTCCTATAATGAACATATGTTGATAGACAAAACAGTCAGAGCTGTCCAGAATTAATTCTACATATGTTTGATTGCACATGCTTCACACACATATGTACATACATGCAGAGGAAAAGCTACAATCTACCGCAGACTTGGAGGCAACCCAGAATTTCAAATGGCATCATTTGTCTCATAACAGAAAATCTTGAACACCAGAACCAGGAGCCCTGTTACTTCAGGAGTGAAGAAAAGCAGATTCAGCAAGCTTATTTGCCCTCATATTTTATTTACATACAATCTTATGGCAGTCCTTTAGATTTCTACATGAAAGACAGATGTGATAACTAATGACACAGAGGTCACTAAAGAGAAAGAACCAACTTCAACTGATATCAGAGCTTGGTATATTCACAGTATCTAATGAGGTCTTGCTTCCTAGGTTACTAAAGACATTGTGTCTAATGTTTCTTTGTTATATTTTGTTTGTGTGACTCCTACATGCAATCTCCATCTGGCAGGGAAGAGAAGCTAGAAGAGAGAAACTTTTAAGAAAAATACTAAATTATTATTTCTACAGGGCTCTCACATCCCAAAGATAACGGCAATGTTTCAAAACCAAATGTTAATTCACATCTACAGGGGAAGGTGTCTTTTTAAAATTCAGACCTTGACTCAGTAGTTCAGAGTGACACCTGAATTCTAGATTTTTAACAAGCTCCCCTGGTGATGCCAATGTGGCTGATGCCCAAACACCACCTTGAAGAGCAAGGATGTAGGGTAGAGACTAGCATTTGAATCAATCACAACTAAATATTAAATAAGTTTAATGGCTATATATATATATATATATAAAGCATAAATACACAAATGCATGTAAAACATAAATACATAAATCTTGGCAGAGACTTTACATTTTAACATAAAATAAACATTAGTCTGGGTAGGACTGACACAGCTTTCGTATTGTTACGACTGTCATTTTAAAATTTTTATCCTTTATTAAACACGCATGCTAAATACCTCCATGGATTTGTCACCACTTAAATGATCGCTTATGGCCCCCAAACCATGAATATCAACTTTCCTAAGCACGTCATGGGTCGGAGGCCATCCTCCTACGGAGGTGCAAAAAAGAGGGTGTGTGCTCAATGAAGGCAACAATTAACCCTCGGAACCAGGACCTACGCTCTCCCTTTCACATAATAAACAAGCACAGAAGACATATTGCATTGAAAAATTGTTTGCTCACATAGAAAAGTTTAAGGATATGATTTTGTTGTAATGACATTAGATACACCCATGGATTCATGGGTGCATTATTGTTATAAGTTCATACTAAAGGCTACAAATTAACATGTGTACTGACTCCCAGTTTTCTTCATTGTAAATATTAGCTCAAGGATACTTTGAAAAACAAAAAAAAATTATATGCAGATGTGACTCTGGACTAAAGACTTGTGTTAACACATACAAACCTTGCTCATACAAGCTTCTGATGAGATGCAAGAAATAGCCCATGCCTTTAAACAAGGAACAAGGCAGTGATTGAGGTAGTATGTACTGATTTGCAGCAAATAAACACAGGAAGGTGTGAAAAGTGTATGATATATCTGGCAAAGTGAGGTCAACTCCATATTAACATAAGGTAGGAAGATGGAAGACATCCCATAAATGTTACTGGGGTGGGACGGAGAGGGGGAGATTTGTGGAAAATATTGGACATTATTTTGGAGAAACAGCAATTTTGGAGAAATGAAGAGTAACATTATGGAGAGCTTCACATTCCAGTTAACAACACTGGCCCTCATTTCTTTTTTTTTTTTTTTTTTTCAGTCAACAGGTACTATCGAAAGTCTATGTGAATGATAAGGGGCTAGAAATCTATACAAATGCAGGCCCCAACTATGAAAAAGTAAACAGTTTGATAGACAGTAAGGAGCCATGGTTAATATAAACAGTGGTACAGATCATGAATCCCAAAATATCTGTTTCTATTATTTTGAAAAACTTAGGAGAATATCTGGTTATGTGTATACACACACATACACACATACTTTCTCCTTGTGTAACTGATTAAATTCTTGATTTTTGTCACTGAAGCATAAATCTGTCTGTCCTAAGACCTTAAGAAAACTCTTAAGAGTTTTATTGGCTAATGAGTAAAATAAAGCATCTATCAAATGAATCCACTTAACTAATTTGAAGTTTATTCAGTCTGAATATTTAGATTTAAATAATTTGAAAAATTCTGTCAAATCATCTTGAGTTTTGTAATTACATCATCCTTGATGGTTATTGATAAAAAATTATCAATAAGCTTTTATTTTGAACATTATAAATTGTATTACATTATTTTCCACTATCAATTGTTCAGGGGCTGATGGGAGAGACAGATTATCTCTTTATTTGGCTATTTCTTTTATATATCCAACTGATGGTGGCATCTCTTCAACACCACCCTTCAAAAGTGACAAGAGAAAAGTAACATCAAAATATATCTCCTCTATTCTGTTACTGAGGCAATGCAAGAAAAATGTCCAATGGAGAAACTGATTAAAAAGATCAAAAGAACTGTGATTGCATTTTGACTTCAAGTGTACCTGCTTATCTCTATTATTCCTCCATACACGACTATTTCTACATAAGTGTGGGTGTTAGGCTAACTAAACTGAAAATTTCTGGAATAAATGTTTATCCATGTATGTATTCCCACTTACTATAAATCTCAAATCAGCAAAGCTATAAAACAATTCATTTTTAATTTTCATATATTAATAAAACCACATGCATTATTGTATTACAGATCACTTGCTGAGTCCATAAAAAGCATGTATAGGCTTGGCGCAGTGGCTTATGCCTGTAATCCCAACACTTTGGGAGGCTGAGGCGGGCGGATCATGAGGTCAGGAGATAGAGACCATCCTGGCTAACATAGTGAAACCCCGTCTCTACTAAAAATACAAAAAATTAGCTGGGTGTGGTGGCAGGCACCTGTAGTACCAGCTACTCGGGAGGCTGACACAGGAGAATGGCGTGAACCCGGGAGATGGAGCTGGTAGTGAGCCGAGATAGCGCCACTGCACTCCAGGCTGGTGACAGAGCGAGACTCCATCTCAAAAAGAAAAAAATAAAAAGAAAAAGAAAAGCACGTATAATTGCCAAACTTTTGGCTTCTCCACAAAATACAAGTTTGAAATAAGTTCTTATGCACAATGGATAAAATGTTTAGGTATAGAATTGTTTTATTCAGAATCTCAATACAGGTTTTACGAGAATGCACCAACCTAAAGAACAAGACCACTGAAACCCTACCTCCAAATGATAAGACTTTCTGAAGCCAAGCTAGATGATCTAAGCTGAAAGAGTGTGAGGATAACTCTACAACCAATTCCAGTTGCCTGGCCAGGAACCACCAAGATCTCAGGGTAGTGGTGTATAAGGTGCTTGTAGATTTTGTAATAGACTTCTGTCCTCATGTATCCAAGAGTCAATGGGTTAAGAAGAAATGGCAAACAGCAGGGTCAGGAGAAATACCACCCACTGTCTTTTAAGGATATCCCTGTATCTTAGTAGAAATGGGTTCATTTGTGTCTCTGATTTCTTTTGTTTTTGTTTTTGTTTTTTGAGATAGTCTTGCTCTGTCACCCAGGCTGGAGTGCAGTGGCATGATCTCAGCTCACTGGATCCTCTGCCTCCCGGGTTCAAGCAATTCTCCTGCCTCAGCCTCCCGAGTAGCTAGGACTACAGGTGCATGCCACCACCCTTGGATAATTTTTAGTATTTTTAGTAGAGGCGGGGTTTCACCATGTTAGCCAGGATGGTCTCCATCTCCTGATCTCAGGATCCACCCACCTCGCCTTCCCACAGTGCTGGGATTACAGGCGTGGGCCACCGCACCCTGTCTTGTGTCTCTGAATTCTTGCAAATGCATCTGGTTCTCTCGGGTCCAGACCCACATTCCACCTAGTCCAAGAGACAGACTGGTTTTGTTAGTACCTGTCAGGTTTGGTGCTAATTCCAGTCTTCAACATTCACAGAATCCATCAGCCATCACTCTGTGTTCTCCCCTTACCTTACTGTGTTCTTACCTTACTGTTCAGTGTCTCTGTCCATCCTCTCTGTTTGGAGCCTCAATTAGCTATCTTCAAATGGCATTTACTTTGCTTTTTTTTTTTCTGGGACTTAGTTAATTGAAATTGCTGATCTCTTCCCAGAGAATCTGTTATTCTTACCAAATGTTGTCCCCCCCATCCTCCAGCTGTGTCATGCTGGGAATGAAGAGCCCATCAAGACAGCACCTTGTTCTTCAGGGTACGTGAAACCAGAGCAGGTTATGATAACTTTTTTGTCACATTCAACATTCAACAGTGTGAAATATCTATCTAGTAATAATCTGTAATTCTACCAAAATACCAAATTAGTTTTCATTCCAATATACAGCCATTCATGGATAAGGTAGGAATATAAAGTGAATGCAATCAACATAAAATTCAAGCAAACCTTAGCAAGTTATGCCAGCCTTTGCTGTCCAAGCTCAGGACATTTTGTGAAATATGTACAGAGTTATTGCATCAAGGTAGATTTCTCCTTTTTTTCAGAGGGATATGTTTGATTTTCACATGTATACATGCATACAGCAAAGAGAACTCTGGACGCCTAAGGAGAAGAAATAATTCATCTTCCATGGATCAAAGAAGGAGAAGATTTTAAAAATCAACATGATGCTTATTGTGAAAGAGAAGAGAAAGGACAGACAACACAAGGAGGAACATCTGTAGAAGGAAAGCACCACCCCTCCTGATGAGCCCTGGAAAGTCTCGATGGATGTCTGCTATTCTAACTCAACCGAACTTCCCCCTTCCACTCTCAAAAAGGTCTTTGTTAGATGATGAATTATATTTTCACAGAACAAGTAATCTGGAAATCTAATTGCTAGTTCTTAAGTGGACCCTAACTATTCTTCCCTTCAGCAAGTCACTGAGGCTCTTTGTAAAATGGGAATTGTAATATCCTATGATTTCTCTCAAGATCGGTTATGAAACAAACATGGTATCAATGATATGTCCACACCTTTAAAGTTTTAAATGTTACTCAAATACCACGCATGTTGTCATAATTCTAGCAAGGTGTTAGCATTCGGTAACAGGATGTGTTTTCCTCTGAAATTTGTGCTCTTCCTTCTTCTATAGCTCCTATCAATTATACCCCATTTCCTTGGCAGCCATTATAACATGTCTTTGACCTAATTTTTTGCAGTAGTAGTTGAGTCGGACTTGCTGTAATGAAGGGAGCCGAAAGAGAAGAAAGGAGCTAATAGTTACTGAAGATCTACTTCATTCAAAGCATGAAGTACCACAGTAGCAACAGATGATGACAGTAATGGCTGTCATTTGTTGAGTTTTCACTAACAGACTTCTGTCCTCTTGTAGCCAAGAGTTAATGGGTTAAGAAAAAATGGCAAACACCGGCCAGGCGCGGTGGCTGAAATCACACTTGTAATCCCAGTACTTTGGGAGGCCAAGGCGGGCAGATCACGAGGTCAAGAGATTGAGACCATTCTGGCTAACACGGTGAAACCCCATTTCTACTAATAATACAAAAAATTAGCTGGGCATGGTGGCAGGCGCCTGTAGTTCCAGCTACTCGGGAGGCTGAGGCAGAAGAATGGCGTGAACGCAGGAGACAGAGCTTGCAGCGTGCTGAGATCGCGCCACTGCACCCCAGCCTGAGCGACAGAGCAGGACTCCGTCTCAAAAAAACAAAAAAAAAGAAAAAAAAAAGGAAAAAAATGGCAAACAGCAGGATTGGGAAAAATACATGCACCTGTCTTTTAAGGATATTCCTATATCTTAGAAGAAATGGGTCCACTTGTGTCTCTGATTTCTTGCACATGAGTCTGGTTTTCATGGGTCCAAACTGATATTCCACCTAGTCCAAGAGGACTGACTAGTTTTGTTAGTGCCTGTCAGATTAGGTGCTAATTCTAGCCTTAATTACAATTAGGAATTACGGTAATTCCAATTAGGCATTGTGCTAAGCAGCTTGCCATAGATGGAAACATTTAATGCCTATCAGCCATCTTTGAAATGAAATCACTCATTATAAATAAGGAAGTGGGGTTCCAACACATCAAACAATATTTCATAACAGGACTTCATATTCAAAGCACCTGATTCCAATAGTGGTTCTGTTACTTATGAACTGTGTCACCTTGGACAAATCACTTAATATCCCTGTCCTCCTAACACATCTGACAATGGACATAATCATAGTACCTACTGCAAAGAGTTATTATGAGGATTAAATGATTTAATATAAGGATTTAAATATGCCCACTACATAATAAGTGCTATGTAAATGTCAGTGATGGCTGCTACTAGCACTGCTATTATTGCTGTAATAAATATTTTTATTGCCATCATCATTATTAAGATCTTTGTGTACCCAAGGGCACACAACTTGTAACTGACAAAATAAGATTCAAATCTAGGTATTTTGAGCACTGACCCAGTTATTCAGGCAATTAATACTTATTTGGTGTGTGCTATGGTGCCAGGAATGAAATGATGAGCAAGACTGGGCGTCCTTTATATGTAGCTATTGGTTTTGGTTTCAAAGGCTCACATTCTATCAGAAAAAAAAAAAAAAGTAAAAGTTAATTTTTGTGATGGTTGGAAATAACAAGGTGTCATGTGAGAGCACATATTGGGTGTAAATCTCCCACTCTAGGAACGCCTTTTAAGTCTGTATCTGAAAGGTGAGTTATACATATGTAACAAACCTGCACATTGTGCACATATAGCCTAGAACTTAAAGTATAATTTTAAAAAATTAAATTAAAAAAAAGGAAGAAAATAATCACACAAGGGGTCATGGGAGAGCACCCCAGGCAATGAGAAGGATGTGAGTGAAGATCTGAACTGGGATCTATGATGGGAACTAGAAAGACATTGTGTATGGAGGTAAGGCGGAAGGCAGGTTTTGAAATGAGTTAGAGAAAATCAAACAGGAGAGGAGGAGTCAGTTCAAGGAAGTTTAGGAAATGGAATGGTGGTTGCACGGGCTGGAGGGAGGACATACAGAGTCGTTGTTCAGTGGGTACAGGGTCTCAGTTTTGCAAGATGAAAAAGTTATAGAGATCTGTTGCACAACAACGTGAATACACTGAACACTAAGAACAGTACATTTAACAATGGTTAGGTGGTAACTTTTATGTTATGTCTTCCTTACAAATATTTTTAATATATTAAAAAAGAAAGAGAGTCTTAAAAATTGTGTTAAGAAGTTTTAATTTTATCTGGCAAGTGATGAGAAATAATTAGAAGCTTTTTAGAGAAGGAACTGACACAACCAAAATAGAAACAGAATTTCCACCCTCTGGACACCAGCTTTTGTGGAGGCTGCAAGGAATAGCAATGCACACATCTGTTTGATACCTTTTTTTTTTTCTAGTGGGCCACAAATTTAAGCTGAAAGAAAGAAAAATAAACTCATCATTTTTCTGGCATTAAACAAACTTTTTGAAACCATTTTATATAGTTTGTAAAATCTTTTAAAGTAAACATAATACACTAGAAATCACAAAAATGAGAAAATCAATATCCCCGCAAGTAAAGGATATCCAGTTAAAGTGCTCTTCAACCTCCTCCTCCCCAAGAATTAGTCACCAATCAAACTTTAATGGGTAAAAATAGCGACTCCAGTAAATTAAATATCACTAGATGCTATTCTCCATATAATGTCCACTTACAGCCTTAAAATATTTAGTTGTCCTGTTATTATTTTCTTCAGACTAAATCACTAGTTCTCAAATGATGTACTTTCAGAACATCTGGGATCTATACCACTGTGTTTCATATTAAAATTCAAAAAAAAAAAAAAAAAAGGCAAGCCTTTCCAGTTCACTGCAGATAAAAATAGTAGATAAGAATATTTCCACATTAAATGCCCTTCAAAAATTTTTCTTGAAGCTTTGGGGCCTGCTTTTGCTTGTCTTATACAAACAACATTAATGAAAAAGCAGCACATAGATATTACTAGTAAACCTGAAAATAGCTGATGACTTCGGTCATTGACTTATGTACCCATGGTTACAGGGATACACAATGCAAACATATGATATATCTACTAGTAAAATGTTTACTGTTTTGTATCACTGAATTAATACATCAATATTATACAAAGTTATACAGACAGGACTACCAGGTATACAATGATCTGGATGAGATTTCCAACCATTAGGGGTCTACCGTACCTAATCACAAGCTGTCCTATGCTGTGTCACCCTATCCTAAGTGTGTCACCTCTTGTTTTCTTCCTGTTACTTTGCATTATATATCTAAATTGATTTAATAGTCTTGATAATTTGATCTACTTAGTTTGGTCTGAGAGCCTTTCTACTAATGGCCGGCCTCTGGGAAAGTCGACCAGGCATAGAGGTATCAAAATACCAAGAAAATGTATCACTGGTCACTCTTTTATTTTCTTCTACTTCTTACAACTAGGGTGAAAACATTATGGAAACTGGGCATGTTTGAAGAGGAAATAAAAAGGCAACATATTTAGATATTGCAACATATTTAGGCCAAAGTTTATTACTTATTTCAAAATTAAGTAGGTGATGTTTGTATATATGATGTTGCATAATGTTTTAACATTAGATACTGTAACACATTTAGGCCAAAGTTTATTACTTATTTCAAAATTAAGTAGCTGATATGTTTGTATACGTGATGTTGCATAATGTTATAACATAATACATATGTTGTATGTGTATATATTATATATGTGTGCATATATGTGTGTGTATATATAACACTTATACATCTGTGTGTGTGTGTTTGTGCGTACGTATGTAGACAGAGAGAGAGAAAGGAAGACTTCGGCATGAATACACCAATATCTGGTAAAGTATTCTAATGAAGGGACTTTGTCTTATCCAGGTGACACTAAGGTAAGACAAATCAATGAAGGGAATACTGAATATATCTGACTTTGTAAAACCAGCACATACAAATTCCTGGGACTACATCAAGATGACCATTCTGTGTTGTCAAGCGTGGAATGCATCATGGTTAATATTGAGAAGTCTCTCCTATCATAAAACTATTCATCAGATGACCATGATCTGTATGATTGGTGCAAACAGTGCCAAATGTCCAGTGATGGATTGGGATTCACTTTACTGGAGTTTACAGTTTTTTCAGCAAGATACTCCTTGTGCTTAAGTCAACTATATGATCTCAAGTCAAGCTCTGCAGACGGCTGCATTCAATTAATAAGTTTCCAGACATTGAACTGAAAGAATCAACTCAGATTTTAAAGTAATTTATCTTACTACGTGGGTTACTTTATGCATGGAGGACATCCAGTCCCTGCTTTTCAAGTCACTGCAAATTACAGCATCCTTGCTAAGTCCTCTCTAAAACAAGAGCTGCTCCTCACCCACGGAAAGAGACGTCTAGTAGATATATTTGTCACTTCTCTGAATGATCGTTACAACTGAATGGAAAGAAAATATGTTGCTAGGATTAGAATATCCCAGGAATCCCCCCACCACACACACAGCAGCTCAGCCACAGAGATACTGAAATCTCACCACTTTCTTCATTTTTCAGCTTTGTTGTGTTAATTGCAATTTACAGATTTTTCATTGCACCACAAATGTTCAACAAGCCATAAATATCCAATTCAAAGAGCTGGGTCTCATCAGAATCTGTTCTGAATGAATCCAGTCCAACAGGGTTTCTAATTTTCTCCTTAAAATATTTATCCAACAAGAAAACTCTAAGCCTCAGTAAGAGGTTAATGTGCATGGGACAATATTATAGAGTTATATAAGTAACAGCATATGGAAGTGCCATTTTATCTTGATTATCACGATATTATATAGCTCAGCACATAATCTTGCAAGCCTACTTACATAGTATTTGCTTATTTCGTTCTGTTTATGTGGATGTACATAACTGTATATGTATACATTTATCTATTTAATGATAGATTTAAAAGTGAAATTGTTTTCATCTTTAATGAAACCATTTAGTAAATAGGATCCCTGCCCACCCATCCTTTTTATTTATAATAAATGGAAATAGATAACTTGCTTGCATCATTTATGAAACCTGGTCTCACTGAATAGTTCTGAAATACTGCCTTAGTTTATTTAAGCTACTAAGTAAATAAATATTTAAAGTAATAAAGGTTACCTAGATTTTGAAGATTCTGAAGGGAATAAAGTATTTAGAAAACGCCTACTATTAAACTTTTATAAATATTTGAGGAACATGTCTATGACAAATCACATCCTTTAGGGTGTAATCAACTAGCTGTTTTAAATTCCTCTTTATCTAGGTCACATTGCTCTCTTTTTAAAAAAATAGCTATGTTTTAGCTGTTTCTGTTCCTTTGTTCACGTAAAAATAATAACCATAAAGAACAGAAAATCATCTATAATAGGTCCATCGAAGGCAACCACTGTTTACATTTGATGATTGCCTTTCATACTGAGTTAGGAGGTGAATGTAATTACAGATGTACGTGCAGCAATAATGAGGCCTTGCTACAGCCCCATTAGCCTGAGAAGCTTAGCAGGTCTCTCTGAGGACAGTTCTTAAAAGATAAATCTGTACCATCCCCAGTGATCAAGTAAATACAATAGATATAATTCATTTTAGACAGCAATCTAAAGCCAACAGGGACTTAGCAGCTGCGTGAGAAATGCTGCTTTGCAAAAGAATAAATAACCGATAACAATGTGCTCAGAGAAACATTTTTTTTAATCAAATGAATATCAGACAAAAAGAAAACACAGGATTAGGTCACCAGAAATTAATTTCCTTTCAAGGGAAATTTTACTACAAGATTGACTGAAACGCAGAACTGTTCATAATAATGGTGATGGGGGAGAACTTAACTGAAGTCTGTAGTGAATTTATTGTCTCAAATATCTGCTGCGTTAATGATCAATACATATTTAAGCAGATGGGCTAAGTGTCAAACAGGATATTTTAGAATGGGTTTCAACCTATGAGAGAATTTATATCTGTGTATGTAAAACATTTTTAAAAATCCTTAAAGCAACATTCAGACAGCAAATTCAATTGAAAATAGAAGACAAATTTTATTAAAACAAATTCAAAGCAAGAAAATTTCTAACTTTTAGATCATCATAGTTGATTTAAAGCAGTTCACAGAAAGGCAGAGACTGTGGACTCCTACTTCAGTCTTTGTTTTAATGCCATCTGACCCACAATAAGAAAGCTACAGAAGTAAAACCAATTTTATTCATATTTTCATGTTAAAAACAAAGCCTAAAAACTATCCAGAGTGATTTGTTTAAAATTTTATTTTATATTATGGCTAAAGGAAGCAGGCAACTGACAACAGAAAGACTTAGACGTGTGGAGGAAAAACAACCAAACGGGTAAGACAGAGTCAGAGAGAAAAACCTAACAAAACAGGAAAAAAATATAGAAAAGGAAAGATGGATTTACATGCAGAAAAAGACAAGGACACACCTCATGGTGTGTTTCCCTCACAAAGAAACAAAATAAATGTTTCATATGGGGAGAAACCGGTAAATCATTAACAACATTGAAATCTACAACATGTGACCTTTTAGGAGTTTTTCTAAAGTTAAAGTCACATTGTGCTTTGTGACTGGATGCATAATTGGCTTGTCACTTCCTGTCACTTGCCTCCAGGGCCAGATGAAATTAAGTCAAGGACTCAGGATTCCCTCCTGCTGCTGTATGTCCAAGTGTAATTGGCAGCAAAGACCGATTGTCCCCTGCCTTGGTGTTCTGTTGCAGTAACTGGTTATTCAACGCAGTCCCACTGTCCTAAAATGCTCTAGAATGTCTTACAAGGATTTCAGCTGTTGGCTCTCATCAGAATATTTTAGGTCACAGGTCTACATGTAAATTAGAAGACGACTGTATACCTTATGAGAAGAATCTTAGAACTGCAAGTGTATCTGAAAGTTAGGGGAAAGGTTCCAAATGTATCATGTGCTTTCATGGGATAGTATAAAAGTTATCGGTACGCTGCTAATGGTCATTTTTCCCCAATATATTTCACTAAAGTATCACAATTAGGAAACTCTGGGAAAATTATCATGACACTCTGGTTTGACTTTATGGTCCATTATTTTTTAATCTTGCCCTTTTTATAACAGAATTTTTCTCTATTTATATATGATAGCATACCCTGCTCTAGCATATACTTCAGGCCATTGCTAAATCTTTAAAGAGCGTTTCTCTCATTTTCATGTTTTATATGAGAAGAGACACAATTAAAGAGTGGGGAGAGATGTATGAAGTAGAGACACGTTGAGAAAGTAAGGACTACCCGGAATGATCCCCGGGCAGTCAATCCACAGATTCCTCCTCAGAACCCGTCTATGATGAAGGGGGAGAACAGAGCTGGGTTTAGATTGATGTGAATGCAAACCTCAGCGCCCTCACTTAAGAGTCTTGTGTCCTTTGGCCTGTCACTTCAATCGTCTGAGGCTCAGCTTCCTTAATTAAAAATGGAATCCATGATACTTCATTGATCCAATGCCTCCTAGGATTATTTTGAGAATGAAATGAGACAATACATGCACAAGGCTTTGAGCAGTATCTGGCACAAAATAAGCACCCAATAAATGGATAGTAATTTGTTTCTAACATTATGGCTCTGACATGCTAAATACTGTATAATTGTGGCAAGTTATTTCAATACTGTAATCCTTCAATTTTCTTTCACAAAATAAAAATAAATATATTTCCTAGAAGTGAGACTCATTTTAAGGATTAGAAATAATATTTGAAAATATTCTAATACGATGGGACACAATAAACTGGTTAATAATCCACAGTAGCTTTTATAAGAATTTGGAATGTGAACTAAATCTTGAGACTTATTTTTTTCTACTAAGTGAGATTTCCAAAAAGCGTTTATAAAGAACAGGATGAACAATTGGAATCATTCTCGGAATAACTTTCCCTTCATCTTTAACATCTGATAAGCAAATGGAAGAAAATGGACTAAAACCTTTTTCGCAAGTAAGGGCATACAAAGTAATACTACCAATAACATTAATAATGAACAGCAGCAATTGACTGGCAGATACAGCAATTTCTTCAGAGTTTAGAAATGAACACAGGTTTTACAAAATGGGAGAAAATTTTCGCAACCTACTCATCTGACAAACGGCTAATATCCAGAATCTACAATGAACTCAAACAAATTTACAAGAAAAAAACAAACAACCCCATCAAAAAGTGGGCAAAGGACATGAACAGACACTTCTCAAAAGAAGACATCTATGCAGCCAAAAAACACATGAAAAAATGCTCATCATCACTGGCCATCAGAGAAATGCAAATCAAAACTACAATGAGATACCATCTCACACCAGTTAGAATGGCAATCATTAAAAAGTCAGGAAACAACAGGTGCTGGAGAGGATGTGGAGAAATAGGAACACTTTTACACTGTTGGTGGGACTGTAAACTAGTTCAACCATTGTGGAAGTCAGTGTGGCAATTCCTCAGGGATCTAGAACTGGAAATACCATTTGACCCAGCCATCCCATTACTGGGTATATACTCAAAGGACTATAAATCATGCTGCTATAAAGACACATGCACACGTATGTTTACTGCAGCACTCTTCACAATAGCAAAGACTTGGAACCAACCCAAATGTCCAACAATGATAGACTGGATTAAGAAAATGTGGCACATATACACCATGGAATACTATGCAGCCATAAAAAATGATGAGTTCATGTCCTTTGTAGGGACGTGGATGAAATTGGAAATCATCATTCTCAGTAAACTATCACAAGAACAAAAAACCAAACACCGCATATTCTCACTCATAGGTGGGAATTGAACAATGAGATCACATGGACACAGGAAGGGGAATATCGCACTCTGGGAACTGTTGTGGGGTGGGGGGAGGGGGGAGGGATAGCATCGGGAGATATACCTAATGCTAGATGACGAGTTAGTGGGTTCAGTACACCAGCATGGCACATGTATACATATGTAACTAACCTGCACAATGTGCACATGTACCCTAAAACTTAAAGTATAATAAAAAAAAAAAAAGAAGAAATAAACACAGGTTTTAGTCCTAAAAAAACGGTTCCATTAACCCTTATATAATCCACCAGTCCCTGATTAAATCACCAGCTGTGGAAAGTTTTGCTGTCTGAGCCTAAAGTATAATGGGTTACCATCACCACTTAGAGAATTCCATCAATATACATCCTCCAAATATCTCAAACTTCAAAATTCAATTTTTTTTGCTTTGTTTTGTTTTGTTTTGTTTTGTTGAGACGGAGTCTCGCTCTGTCACCCAGGCTAGAGTGCAGTGGCGCGGTCTCGGCTCACTGCAAGCTCTGTCCCCTGGGTTCACACCATTCTCCTGCCTCAGCCTCCTGAGTAGCTGGGACTACAGGCACCCGCCACCACGCCCGGCTAATTTTTTGTATTTTTTAGTAGAGACGGGGTTTCGCCGTGTTAGCCAGGATGGTCTCGATCTCCTGACCTCGTGATCCACCCGCCTCGGCCTCCCAAAGTGCTGGAATTACAGGCGTGAGCCACCGCGCCGGGCCCACTTTTGTTTTTTATAATAATGATAATCTCCAACATTAGCCAAAGTTATCTAAGACGTTCTTTTGATTACTTATGCTGTTTGGAGCTGCCTAAAATTCAGAGGTAGTTGTTTAGTTCTCCTTGAAAGTGTAGATGAGGGGTAAAAGGTCAACTCTAAATTGTCAACTCTTTTGCATGCCTAAAACTTTAAAATGTCAAAAATGATTTAATATTATTTATGCATAACAAATTATTCATAGAATATAGAAATGTAACTCTAGTTTATTATTAAATAAGAGCTCTACGTTTTAAGGAAAAATACAGTTCATAAGTACCTACAACTGGGCTTTCACTTCTGAAACAGACTTCAAGTACCATGGTTTCACAAGTAAGTAATATGAACTTTCTTATCCAGTGATCCTTCTAATCACTCTCAAGCCATTGTCCAAATATGTTTCTCCAAAATGCAGGGTTTACTAACAGCCTTTTGAGAGCTGCCTATTGTAATTAGGAAGACATGTTAATGGCCTGGGTGAAATCTCAATGGGCTCATTGTAAATGTTCATTTGATGGCTTTGTTCTCACAGACTTTGTACTAGTCAATTAAATCTTTAATGACCTGACTTACATTTTTCTCTTCCCTTTTGAAATAACTTGCTGATTTCTTTTTTTGCTTTGTTTTCTTTGCTTCTGGCAATCTTTTGGTTGCATTATTCCTTTTGGCCTAAATAGTCTTTGGCCTTTAGCAGACCTTGTGAGTTTCTGGTCTTTTTCCTTCCTAGGAATGAGGGAGCCTGGGTGTAGCTCCTTAAATAAAATCACCTGACATGTTTCCTCAAAGGGGCATAAAACAATTTCATTTGAAATTGTATGTCAAATATCGATTTATCTATCTATGTATTCTATCTTGCAGATTAAATTTGCATTATGTTAAGGACTAAATTTACAAAACAAATCTTACCAAAATGTAAAATTAACAGAACTTTTAAATTTTACTTTCTGGATGTTTCCAAATCCTAAATTTATATATTGGTTTGAGATGTTATTTTAACATGTTGTGTGTGTGTGTGTCAGTATATGATAATTACTTGAAATCCGCTTTCAAAAAATGTTTTACAATTGAAAATATAAATAAATTGCAGAAGGCCTATAATTATCATCATAATACATAACATACTTAATGGCTATCAACTGGATTGCATGTCATTTTATGCATACACATATATAAAATATTTGTTTTGTTTTCCTTAACAGCATAAATGTATATATGTATGCATATTATAAACATATATGATACAATATATAAAATCTATAATATGTAATATAGTATAATATATAATATATATTAGTGTCAGAGGCGTTCGAACCAGAGCGACTCCATTTTGAGTCAGTGTTGGGAAAATGAGGCTAGGAGTTGCTGGGCTGCATTTCCAGAAAGGCATTCCTAGCCTGTAGATGTTTACTGTTAAGGGAACAAATTAATAATGTTTACTAAATAGACTCAGACTTGAGAGTGTCCAGATATCCAGATATCTGCAGAACAAAAGCATTTCTTTTCTTTTTTTGACGGAGTCTCGCTCTATCGCCAGGCTGGAGTGCAGTGGCGCGATCTCGGCTCACTGCAGCCTCCGCCTCCCGGGTTCAAGTGATTCTCCTGCCTCAGCCTCTGGAGTAGTTGGGACTACAGGCACATGCCACCACCCCCAGCTAATTTTTGTATTTTTAGTAGAGACAGGGTCTCACCATGTTGGCCAGGATGGTATCGATCTCCTGACCTCGTGATCTGCCCGCCTCGGCCTCCCAAAGTGCTGGGGTTACAGACATGAGAACAAAGGCATTTCTAATTTTGCTTTAAAAATAATAATACTGATTCTTGCAAAATATAGTAATTAAGAAAATTAATCCTCTATCACAAACCCTTGAAGCAGAGCACATCTCCCCATATACACACGTATCGTATCTAGGGTGGACCCGTCCCTCCTCTTACTTTCAGGAACTCCTACTCTGTCTACGGAGTAGCTACACTTTGGCTACTTTACTTTCTTAATAAACTTGTTTTTACTTTGCACTGCGGACTTGCCCTGAGTTCTTTCTTGCGCGAGATCCAAGAACCTTCTCTTGGGGTCTGGATAGGGACCGCTTTCCTATACCATTAGTAGTGAAAATTTTTTAAAATATTGAGGTAAGTGGACCATTTGTCTGATCTGTTATGCATTATTAGAGAGTTTCCATATTTAATGTGAAAAAAACAAAATCTTGTCCTGGCACAAACAATACAATATGTCTCTATTTTTTTGAGATAAGTTCAATGTAAAACATAAATTCAGGGAGTTGTTTCAGGAGTTATATAAATGCTATGTGAAAAAAAGTCCCTAATTAAGAATGTAGGTAATATATCAGTAAAAGCTAAATTAGCCATTGTGAGATTTGCAGCATCATTTACAGCAGGCTTTTCTAAAACATGTTCAACGAGAAAAGAAATTCTGGGGTGAAATATTTGTGGAAAACACTGTGAACTATATCCCTTCTTGGGTCACGGCCTTGACTATTAGCCTGTTAGAAGCCTATTAAAAGCTCTGAGAAGCTTAGGTTCCTATGTGAGAGAAACACTTATTAAAAATCTCTGAAAGCAGTTTTCCATGGAACAAGTTTTTTTAATGCCACATTTTAAAATTCTGTATAAAATCTCTACCATATGTGATTATTTCCCCATTAAAAAATAATGTTTAAATTGTATGCAATGTAAAATTTCAGGATAGATCTTTATTATCTATCACATTTGAAAAGAGGGTTTTTTTTACATTTCATATTTGTTTTATTTAAAGAAGATTAAATGAGTACAGTGTACCTTGCTATGCACCAGCAAGGTAACATGAATAATTTACAATTCCTTTAAGAAGCTCAATGTCATTAAGAAGATGAAACAAAGTACTACTAAGGTAAGCAGTATATTGGCCATGTGTTGTTAGAAGCTAGTTGACTATTGTTTTTCATTCAGAGTCTGACATATTTTACCTTGATCATACTCCAGTTTGATAGATTACTTTCAATTTTCTCATCAGAAATATGAACTGAAGCAAAGATAGTACTAGCAAATGTGAAACTATCTTGATACACATGATAAATCATACTTCAGAGTGATAAATCATACTCAGAATAAACAAGCTCAGAAACAGTGCAGAAAAGACTAATGTCTTTGTTTAAAGCTAATATATGGCTAGACCTCAAGTTATTATGGGATAATCTTGTAATTACTTTGCCATGGGTTAAATAAGCTAAAATTCTGATAAAATAATTTCAAGGACTGATTTCTTATTCTTGTCCTAATTCTATTCCTGTATTTTGAATAATTTTTCTAAAACCAAGTATTATTCTACAAAGATCTCTTATTTTTAACAACAGTATGCGTTTTTAGGCTTTGATTTCCTTATCATTTAAAAATAATGAGTGTCCGCATGTTCTCACTCATAGGTGGGAATTGAACAATGAGAACACATGGACACAGGAAGGGGAACATCGCACACCAGGGACTGTTGTGGGGTGGGGGGAGGGGGAGGGATAGCATTAGGAGATATACCTAATGCTAAATGACGAGTAAATGGGTGTAGCACACCAACATGGCACATGTATACATATGTAACAAACCTGCACATTGCGCACATGTACCTTAAAACATAAAGTATAATAATAATAAAAAAATAAAATGAGTGTCACTATTTTGTATAAGTGTACAATCAACTATATTGTAAAGATCATTTTGTGTTTTTGATCCTGCTGCAGATAGATTTCCCCCTTAAATGATCAAGTATTTTAAACTATTAGTTAAGTCAGCCTGTTATGCTTCTATTCATCAAACATTAATTGTCTCTATGCTCCAGAAATTGAGCTAGAAATTGTACTTTTTTATGAAGGTGAGAAGAACAGTTACTTCAATCATTTCTCTTGATATTTCCAATGGATTTAAGAAGACTGATACATGGCAGCAGTAATCCAGTGTCAATTTAAATATGTGTATTTGTATTTAGGTGCATAGGTGTGTTACAGAGCTCCAATTCTGCATATCATGCTACACATTTTTCTCAATGGTTTACAAATATTAGTGTCAGCTCTAAACAGATTCAAGAAATTTATAAATCAGCTAGGGAAATGAAGTCCACAGGCAACACCACTGGATTCCAAAATCAATTTGAATATGATTTTGTTACGGGATTTCTTTCCAATTTAGGACAAAATCCTAAGAAATTACATTCAGCAATTTTACAGTCAGATAGTATATGTTCCGTTATCTTTTCCTGGCTACATTAACTATGTTGGCCAAATTAAAACCTCTCTGAGACTAAATTGTTTATTAGTGAAATGGAGGTAAATACATTTCTTACCTAACACCAGCATATAACTTTGGTTACTACATTCTCTGTAGTTCCATAATTTATCCAGCAGCCATTTCTATTATGTGCAAGGCTTCCTATTATATGCAATACCTATTATATGCAAAGCTTCAGTGCTAGGTAGTGGGGATGGAAAGTGGAGAAAATAGCTCTTTTTTGTTCTTACGGAGTCTCTGGGAATGGATCACTATTAAATTAGCCATGCTATGAAGGAGCTGAAACCCTTCCTTAAAAAAACAGCCCTAAATCTCAGCTCTTATGGTTCTTCCTTCCTCTCTTCCGAGTCAGGAGGGCTCTTTCTTCCCTGATATCTCTATATTATGCACATGTGTCTTAGAGATCACATCATACTACAGTTATAGATGTAAATGCCTATGTCTCCCAATGAACTGTGAATTTCACTGAGATCAGAAACACAAAGCTATACTCTAAGCTAAACAACATTTTAGATGCTTTCACATTTTATTTCATGTATTCTTTATTTTTAATTATACTTTAAGTTTTAGGGTACATGTGCACAATGTGCACGTTAGTTACATATGTATAAATGTCCCATGCTGGTGCGCTGCACCCACTAATTCGTCATCTAGCATTAGGTATATCTCCCAGTGCTATCCCTCCCCCCTCCCCCCACCCCACAACAGTCCCCAGAGTGTGATGTTCCCCTTCCTGTGTCCATGTGTTCCCATTGTTCAATTCCCACCTATGAGTGAGAATATGCGGTGTTTGGTTTTTTGTTCTTGCGATAGTTTACTGAGAATGATGATTTCCAATTTCATCCATGTCCCTACAAAGGACATGAACTCATCATTTTTTATGGCTGCATAGTATTCCATGGTGTATATGTGCCACATTTTCTTAATCCAGTCTATCATTGTTGGACATTTGGGTTGGTTCCAAGTCTTTGCTATTGTGAAGAGTGCTGCAATAAACATACGTGTGCATGTGTCCTTATAGCAGCATGATTTATAGTCCTTTGGGTATATACCCAGTAATGGGATGGCTGGGTCAAATGGTATTTCTAGTTCTAGATCCCTGAGGAATCGCCACACTGACTTCCACAATGGTTGAACTAGTTTACAGTCCCACCAACAGTGTAAAAGTGTTCCTATTTCTCCACATCCTCTCCAGCACCTGTTGTTTCCTGACTTTTTAATGATTGCCATTTAATGAATGCCATTTAATGATTGCCATTTATTTCATTTATTCTTTACAACAATATAGAAAAGTATTATGTTCCCCACACAAAGATAAGGCAACTGAGGTTTGGATAAGCTGAATAATACCTCTGAGGTTAGTTAGGAAATGACCAAGCTAGGCTGTCAGAGCAGGTTTACTCTTATGCACCTGGCCTAAGAGCCAAATGGTGATATCATAGTCCTAAAGTGTCCTAAAATCACCCTAAAGTGAAAGTTGACCTTGTTTTTCTCTCAAGTCAACTGTACAACTTGCTGGCTTCAGCAGCAAGAGGGAAAGAGGACATGGCATGGCCAACAGCTGTAGCTTTTGAAAGCAGTTGGGAGAGAACAAAACAAATGCACAAACTGAGCTAAATCTGGAGCATTTTTAAAATCATTACTATCATTAGACACATTGATTTGGCAGAGGCAGAGGCAATAGAGGGCAGTGATGAATTGTCTCAGCTATGGAGTCAGACAGGCTAGGTTCTAGTCCTGCTCCATCTCTCATCAGCTGGGTAAGTTTTCTTGGGTAATTTTTTTTAATGTCTAGGTACCTTGGTTTCCTCATCTGTGAAAAGGGATTAGTCATTGACCCTATCTCAAAGTGTGGCAGTGAGAAGTAAAGGAAAAATTGTACACAAGCTGTTTCTGGCATATGGGAAGCTTTCAGTAATAATATCATTCTTAACGCATAAAGAACAGGTCACAGATTTATACCAGCATGACAACGCGGTGAACACTATCACTAAACAAGAGTATAGCCTGACTGATGAACTCTCAAACTGCACCATATCCACACTTATTAATTCATCTATTACATTAATTTCACAAGCATGTATTGAATACCTACTGTGTGCTAGAAATCATGATAGATCTTATGAATACAAAGTTGAGTAGGAAACAATTGCCTTAAGAACATGACAGATTTTAGGATGTACAAAAATGTAAATGCATACTTAAAATACACATGAAATGTGCTTTGATGTAAATGCTGCAATATAAACTAATACCAGTTTTAGTGGTGGCTTAATAAAAATACTGAAAATTGGCCGGACATGTTGGCTCATGCCTGCAATCCCAAAACTTTGGGAGGCCCAGGCAGGAGGATCCCTTGAGACCAGGAATTTAAGACCAGCCTGGGCAATGTAGGAGGATCCTATCTGTACAAAAAATCTAAAAACTTAGCCAGGCATGGTGGCTCACGTCTATAGTCCCAGCTGCTTGGGAGACTGAGGGGGGGAAGATGCTTGTGCCCAGGAGGTTGAAGCTTCAGTTAGCTGTAATCCTGCCACTGCACTCCAGCCTGGGTGATGGAGCAAGAACCTGTCTCAAACAAACGAACGAACAAAAAACTGGTAACATTTACTGATATTTCTATATCTGGCAATTTTCCCGAAACTTCACATAAAGTATCTTGCACGGCTGTCACAGCATCCTCATGAGGAAGATTTTATTATTGTACCTATTTTATAGGTAAGAAAATTATGTTTAGAAAAAGTTTAAGATTTGCCCCAAACAGACAACTAGGAGGTGGTACAGCCAGAAGTCTGCCTCTTGAGCTTTATCAGCCGATAGCTAAGTATAAAGAAAGGCAGATACACCCATTGACGTAATTTGGATATTTGTCCCCACCCAAATCTCACGTTGAATTGCAATCTGCAATGCTGGAGGGCCAGCCTGGTGGGAGGTGTTTGGATCACGGGGGCAGATCTCTCCTGGCTTGCTGCTCTCTTTATGATAGTGAGTGAGTTCTCGCAAGATCTGCTTGTTTAAAAGCGTGTGGCACCTTCCCCGCAACTCTTTCTCTTGCTCCTGCATTCGTCATGTAAAGTGCCTGCTCCAGCTTCTGCCTAATTGTAAGCTTCCTGAGGCCTCCCCACAAGCTAATGCTGGAGCTATGCTTCCTCTACACCCTGCAAAACAGTGAGCCAATTAAACCCTTTTTCTTTACCCAGCCTCAGGTATTTCTTTGTAGCAATGCAAGAACGGCCTAATACATCCATCAATGCCTTTAAGAACAGAAATTTAATTTTATGTAAATTATAGGAAAGGAAGAAAGTGGCAGTTATTGAAACTTGAGGGGAAAAAAGCTTTCAAAGGCTCCCTGATGTATGTTTATGGAATTTATATGTTTAACAAAAGGGAAACATATTTTTACAACATACTCCCAGAAATGTTCTTCCTTTGCCTTTGTGACATTGTTTTTACTTTCTATCTTGTTCAAATTCTCTGCTGATTCATTTGCTGATGAATTAAAAATATAATTTAATAAGATAGATTCAAATTGCACATTTTACTTTTTAAATAATTGACTCCAAATCCTGCGATGAGGGAGACCTGGGTAAATGAAATAACGTGTGAAAACACCCAGGACTTCTGGGGTGACTGTTTAACAGGAGTGAACAGAGAGACTGGGCTGCCAAAACTCCCCTGCAAACTGAGGCTGCATGAATGGAATGACAGGATTCAGAACAAAGGAAACATCTGTCTTCCTCCATCCCTTGGTGTAAAGGAATGTATTTGGAGCATCATGCTTAAATCTGGTCACCATGTTTTAAGAAGGAATTTAATTAGAGTGTGCCCAGAGGAGGAAATCCAGAAGAGTGGAACATCTAATGTGACACTGTGTGAGGAGTGGTTAAAGCAACTGGGAATATTGAACTTGAACTGAATTCTTAAAGGGGGTATGATCACTGAATTCAAATTTTAAAGACCTGTATGTGGAACTGGAATTGGAAAAGATATGACTCTTGATGGCAGAACTAAAGTCAATGGCTGGCAGTCTGTTGAAAGCAGGTTTCAGGCTAGGATTAAAACAGGAGTTGTTTTTTTTCTGTTTTTTTGTTTGTTTGTTTTTGTATTTGTTTGTTTGAGTAAACTGCCTATGTTTAGAAGGGCCTAAGCACAAATTTTCAGTGTGGACAGGAGATGGAGACCATAAACCTTAGGGTCTCTCCCTATTCAAAGGCCCCATGACTCAGTTTTCATGCTGAACCCTCTTTCTTCCCTCCCCACTCATTCATCAGGTCAGTAAGGGCTCCCTCAATCACCTGTTGTTACTTGATGATTCCCTGAAAACAGCCTGTGGCTCTCAACATCAGTTCTCACTATCCAACTATCACCTCCAAAACCTATATGTATTAACCATAAACTATCAGATTTTTCCCAGGATCAATTATTTTTATTAAAAAAGTATTACTATTTAACTATTTAACTCTTCTTAACCTTACCTTCTCTACAGTCAATAGTCAAGTTCTGCTGCTTCTTTCTTTTATAGGTCGAGATTTATGAGAAGCTAATTATTTCATATTTTGAATATTTTGGCTGAATTACTGTAGAGAGATGAAATATTTTTGCAGCTTTATGCTTTTCTCATGCATAAATTTCACTGACCTTTCATTTTTCTGCTATGCATTATGTTGATCTAAATAAGGGATGGATGTGTTTACACCTGCATTCTTATAAAATTAATTCTAATATCCTAGTTTGTGGTTTCCTCTCAGGCCATTTTAATCCTGCCAAAGTTTGCTCAGAACCAGAAAAGGCTACCTCTGATATCACCTTCATGACTACATGTGGAAAGGCATTATCACATCTTTAAGTCATTTTCTTTCCATATGTCCTTTAAGGAGTATCCAGTTCAGATCCTATACATTATCTGAGTCACACTTATGATGATATTGCTTCCAAATCGGATCCAGTGGCTTTCAAACATTCCTGTATTTCCATGTGCCTTACAATGCTTACAGTGAGTAGGGTGAAGGAGATTCTCCTCCTATTCCTCCACTTGAAATGCTCTTCACTGCTCACACTCCCTTGGAGCCAAACCATTCTAGCTGACAAAAGTGCGTTGATTCCTGGCTTGCCAAGCACTCGTTCTGTAGTCTGCCTTTTAAACTAAGTTTGACACTGAATTTTCATACATTAAGCTGAGATCTCTACACAGTTGGATGAGTTAATTAATACTTTGAAGTTTCCCATTGAATCCCTTCTTTTACCCCTCTTGTCTCCACCTTCTTCTAAAACCTCAGTTCTAAAACCTCAGGAAACATATTTTTACTTATTGAATAGATACAAACAACTCAATATCCCCTTTTCATTTCATGCTTGGAACCCTGAACTTGGACAGTCTCTGCTGTAAATGTTAAAGTACGCTTCCTGGTCTTAAGCCATTTGGAAAACAAAATTGCATTTTTAAAAGTTAGTATGGAATGTTTATCTTCATACAAATGTACTCTTATTACTTTGTTCTCTATCTCCAAGACATACTTTTTTTTTTTTTTTTTCTGAATGTACTTTACAATTGCTACTGCGGTTTTGTTGTTGTGGTTGTGTTGTTGTTATTGCAGAAACATTTGTTTGTGGCCCGTGGCAATCTCCTACATAATTTACTGCCCTTAGATTTAAAAACTCCTTGCAGTTAGCCAATCTCAATCTTCCCTTACACTTATATGTGTGATCCTTTCACTATTTGTAGTTTGCCTTCCCTTCTTAATTTCCGTATTTCAGCTCCCACCCAACTAAACACTTTACCTTTTACTCAGGTTCTCCACTTTTTCACAGTTTTTGCTTGCGTTCAACACTGACATTGGGCACAATTTTTCTGTGCCTTAGAAAAAAAGTCCTGTCTTTGCTCAATTTTAAGTTTCTGATGTTTAATATAGGAATGATTAAAATTATGGTTATTTCTCACAGGTGTTGAAAGTACCCAATGAGACAACGTATTGGAAAAGAGTTTTAACTTTTTTTTTTTTTTTAAGACGCAGTCTCACTGTCACCCAGGCTGGAGTGCAATGATGTGATCTCGGCTCACTGCAACCTCCTCCTCCCGGGTTCAAGCAATTCTCCTGCCTCAGCCTCCTGAGCAGCTGGGATTACAGGCGCCCACCAACAGTGGTGGTGGCTCACACCTGTAATCCCAGCACTTTGGGATGCCGAGGCAGGTGGATCATCTGAGGTCAGGAGTTTGAGACCAGCCTGACTAACATGGTGAAACCCTGTCTCTACTAAAAATACAAGAGTTTTAATTTCTGTAAAGTGCTAGGCAATGATGATTACTACTCTGTAACCATTTTACATGGGCCCCCAACTGACTTCATAATCTTTTTGTAGTGCCTTTACTGATAAAAATCTGAGCTCTTGAAAAATGGAGACCAAGTTTTTATTCATCTTTATATTCTTAGCATTTAGTATATTGCTGATGGCATTTTAGATGCTTATTTATTGAATTGGATAATATATGCTAAGTGTTTTATCAGTTGCACAAACTGGAACATAGGAGAAATGTCAAATACTTATCAAATTTATAGTGGATTTGCATCACTTTTTACTGTTGATAACACTAAAAATTTCTTCTTGTGCCAGGAGAAAACTAATTAGTATTGTCTATGCTAATATTATTATATGGTTATCATATGAAAAATTTCATTTTGTTTCTGTGTTTTTTGAAACCAGAGATGCCTCTGCAAAAAAAGAATGTTCATTTTTAATTTAATAAATCTTTAACATACTAATCATTTAAAGGTAAAACAGGGTGCTATATGACAGAGTATCTACTTGTAGCAGAGGCTGTATTACATAAACCTTAAGAGATTTAAAAATCAACATTCCATTGAAGAAACAGCCTGAGTATAATTTACAGATTTTTTTAATCTGATCTACATTTTGGATCTATACAAAATATTACTTCAGTTTGCTCCCACCCCTACATATAAATACTCTGTCTCCTTTCTAACTCCAGGGGCTATTTAAATTTATCCACATCTATCCTTCCCTTACTAATAACATTACATATTTGAATTGTGTTTTGAGAGCTTGATGTTTGGTCAAATCACTTAAAAATGTATCAGCAACTCTCACTAAATGACAGAATCAAAGATGTGCCAGCTTACTAGATCACATTAGATCCATCCTCAGGATCTCTTCTTTGCACTGCTTCATTTGGTGCACAATCTCATTTTGAGTCAGATGTCACTGCTATACGCCTCTAAAAGCTCTATTCTTTGACGTTAATTGTTTATTTAATTGCATGTTGCTGTTGCCTGCATTGCCTGTAATCATTATGTGGACAACTAATACAAGTTTTATTAATTATCAAACCCACACTGCCTAGCTTAGTATAGTCTGTTGAATGAATAAATGAACCAAACACTGTTTTGTTATTGTTTTGTTTTATGTTTTGCATTATTGCTTAGTTGGTGATAAAAATTGTAAGGAAAGGCTAAGTTACACTTCTGTGCAATGGTTTTATAAGAAAATCTTCTCTCCCTCTCCCTCTCCCTCCTCTCCCTCTCCCCACGGTCTCCCTCTCCCTCTCTTTCCACGGTCTCCCTCTGATGCCGAGCCGAAGCTGGACTGTACTGCCGCCATCTCGGCTCACTGCAACCTCCCTGCCTGATTCTCCTGCCTCAGCCTGCCGAGTGCCTGCGATTGCAGGCGCGTGCCGCCACGCCTGACTGGTTTTCGTATTTTTTGGTGGAGACGGGGTTTCGCTGTGTTGGCAGGGCTGGCTTCCAGCTCCTTACCGCGAGTGATCCGCCAGCCTCGGCCTCCGGAGGTGCCAGGATTGCAGACGGTGTCTGGTTCACTCAGTGCTCAATGGTGCCCAGGCTGGAGTGCAGTGGCGTGATCTCGGCTCGCTACAACCTCCACCTCCCAGCCGCCTGCCTTGGCCTCCCAAAGTGCCCAGAGTGCAGCCTCTGCCCGGCCGCCACCCCGTCTAGGAAGTGAGGAGCGTCTCTGCCTGGCCGCCCATCGTTTGGGATGTTAGGAGCCCCTCTGCCTGGCTGCCCAGTCTGGAAAGTGAGGAGCGTCTCTGCCCGGCTGCCATCCCATCTAGGAAGTGAGGAGCGCCTCTTCCCGGCCGCCATCCCATCTAGGAAGTGAGGAGCGTCTCTGCCCGGCCGGCCATCGTCTGAGATGTGGGGAGTGCCTTTGCCCCGCCGCCCCGTCTGGGATGTGAGGAGCGCCTCTGCCCGGTCGCGACCCCGTCTGGGAGGTGAGGAGCGTCTCTGCCCAGCCGCCCCATCTGAGAAGGGAGGAGCCCCTCCGCTTGGCAACCGCCCCGTCTGAGAAGTGAGGAGACCCTCCGCCCGGCAGCCGCCCCGTCTGGGAAGTGAGGAGCGTCTCCGCCCGGCAGCCGCCCCGTCCAGGAGGGAGGTGGGGGTCACCCCCCGCCCGGCCAGCCGCCCCGTCCGGGAGGGAGGTGGGGGGTCAGCCCCCCGCCCGGCCAGCCGCCCCGTCCGGGAGGGAGGTGGGGGGTCAGCCCCCCGCCCGGCCAGCCGCCCCGACCGGGAGGGAGGTGGGGGGGTCAGCCCCCTGCCCGGCCAGCCGCCTCGTCCGGGAGGTGAGGGGCGCCTCTGCCCGGCCGCCCCTACTGGGAAGTGAGGAGCCCCTCTGCCCGGCCAGCCGCCCCGTCCGGGAGGGAGGTGGGGGGTCAGTCCCCCGCCCGGCCAGCCGCCCCGTCCGGGAGGGAGGTGGGGGGGTCAGCCCCCCGCCCGGCCAGTCGCCCCGTCCGGGAGGTGAGGGGCGCCTCTGCCCGGCCACCCCTACTGGGAAGTGAGGAGCCCCTCTGCCCGGCCACCACCCCGTCTGGGAGGTGTGCCCAACAGCTCATTGAGAACGGGCCATGATGACAATGGTGGTTTTGTGGAATAGAAAGCGGGGAAAGGCAGGGAAAGGATTGAGAAATCGGATGGTTGCCATGTCTGTGTAGAAAGAAGTAGACATGGGAGACTTTTCATTTTGTTCTGTACTAAGAAAAATTCTTCTGCCTTGGGATCCTGTTGATCTGTGACCTTACCCCCCAACCTTGTGCTCTCTGAAACATGTGCTGTGTCCACTCAGGGTTGAATGGATTAAGGGCGGTGCAAGATGTGCTTTGTTAAACAGATGCTTGAAGGCAGCATGCTCGTTAAGAGTCATCACCACTCCCTAATCTCAAGTACCCAGGGACACAAACACTGCGGAAGGCCGCAGGGTCCTCTGCCTAGGAAAACCAGAGACCTTTGTTCACTTGTTTATCTGCTGACCTTCCCTCCACTATTGTCCTATGACCCTGCCAAATCCCTCTCTGTGAGAAACACCCAAGAATGATCAATAAAAATAAAAATTAAAAAAAAAAAAAAAAAGAAAATCTTATAAAAACCATTTACTGTGAGAGATGCACTCACTTCTTCTTCTACCTAGTATACTTTCAGAGCTGAGCTCCCGGGAGGCAGTAGGATTACTATGTGCTGATTCCACACAACCGCTCCCCTCAGTGAGTGACTGAGAGAAGACGTCTCCTTCCAAGAGCCATGAAGAGGTGCCAGCTGTAGATAGTATTTTAGATGCCAAGCTGCATGGGATTTCAGGAACACTTGTACACAATAGGATCTACATATACTTGTTTAGTTTAGAAAAGTAGATTTCCACAAAGACACGCAAAGAGTAGCGAAATAACTACTGCCCCGCTGACTTTCAGTGATGGGTCTCAAGTAGAAATTGTGTTTTTAAACAACCCGAACAGGAGGTGAAAGCATGGAAACCGCATGCTGCAGGTAACTACTGAAACAAGCAATTATCCTGTGCTATCATACAAAGGCATCCACAAATACCAGCATAGCTGTTCCTAGTTGTCAGTTCATAAAAATTTTTCCTAGTAAATTATTCACTCATTTTCTTCTTTATATAGAATAGAAAGCTCCTCGGATTATCTTAAAGTGTCACAGATGAAACATTTTAAGGTCTGTTCTGATCAATATTTAAAGTCAAATTAAAAAGAGGTTGCTCCAGTAGGAAAAAAACAAACAAACAAACAAACAATTCCCTCAAAAAGTGGGCTAAGGACATGAATAGACGATTCTCAAAAGAAGATACACAAATAGCCAACAAACATATGAAAAAATGCTCAACATCATTAATGATCAGGGAAATGCAAAATAAAACCACAATGCGATACCACCTTTCTCCTGCAAGAATGGCCATAATCAAAAAATCAAAAAAAAAGTAGATGTTGGCGTGGATGTGGCAATTAGGGAATCCTTCTACACTGCTGGTGGGAATGTAAAGTAGTGCAGCCACTATGGAAAACTGTGTGGAGATTCCTTAAAGAACTAAAAGTAGAACTACCATTTGATCCAGCAATCCCACTACCGGGTATCTACCCAGAGGAAAAGATACCATTATATGAAAAAGATACTTGCACACGTATGTTTATAGCAGCACAATTCACAATTGCAAAATCGCGGAACCAACCCAAATGCCCAAATGCCCCATCAATCAACGAGTGGATAAACTGTGGTGTGTGTGTATGTGTCTGTGTATGTGTGTGTGTATGTATATATACACACACATATATATGTATGTATATGTATATATATATTCATATATATGTGTGTGTATATATATATGGTTTTGTAAGTAAATCTTATAAAAACCATTTACTGTGAGAGATGCACTCACTTCCTCCTCTACCCAGTACACTTTCAGAGCTGAGCTCCCAGGAGGCAGTAGGATTACTATGTGCTGATTCCACAAAACCGCTCCCCTCAGTGAGTGACTGAGAGAAGACGTCTCCTTCCAAGAGCCATAAAGACATGGTCTATATGATGGAATACTACTCAGCCATAAAAAGAAATGAATTAACAGCATTTGCCTCGACCTGGATGAGATTGGAGACTATTATTCTAAGTGAAGTAACTCAGGTATGGAAAGCCAAACATCGTATGTTTTCACTAGGTGGGAGCTAAGCTATGAGGATGCAAAGGCATAAGAATGATACAATGGACTTTGGGGACTTGCGGGGAAGGGTGAGAGAGGGGTAACAGATAAAAGATTACAAATAGCATTGAGTGTATACTACCTGGGTTATGGGTGTACCAAAACTTCACAAATTACCAGTAAATAACTTACTCATGTAACTAAATACCACTTGTACCCCAATAACCTGTGGGATAAAAAAGAGATTGCTCCAGTGAGATGCAAATAAATACCTATAATAATGGTTCCCCTTTACAGACTTTTTGAAGGCTGTACTTTGATGACAGTGGTTCTCAAACCTACAGAAACAAAGAATAATTTTCTGTAATCCTGGTGAACGTGTTATCAATCAGGATCTTACAGGCCACAGAGGACACTCAAATTGGGACAATGTGAGGAGGTTTTATTTAGAGAGAGAGAATTGTGGGCAAGAGGTAGGGGTACCATGAACTTTGGTGTAAAAGCCAGGCAGAGTGTTCCCACAGCCAAGACTCAAAAGACAAGACTATGGAGAGGGCTCAGAAAGAAAGTCACAGAGTCCCAGAGACAGTTTCTTTTAGAAGAGCAAAGGTTTTGTTGAGGACTTAGCCAGGACAAGGAACCCTCACAGGAAGGAACTCAAGAGAATTAATGGGCAGGGTGAGGTGCTCATGCCTGTAATCCCAGCACTTTGGGAGGCTGAGGCGGGCAGATCATCTGAGGTCAAGAGTTCGAGACTGGTCTGACCAACATGGTGAAACGCCATCTCTACTAAAAATACAAAATTAGCTGAGCGTGGTGGTGCATGCCTGTAATCCCAGCTACTTAGGAGGCTGAGACAGGAGAATCATTTGAACCTGGGAGGCAGAGGTTGCAGTAAGCTGAAATCGCACCATTGCACTCCAGCCTGGGCAACAAGAGCGAAACTCTTTCTCAAAAAAAAAAAAAAAAAAAAAAAAAAGCCGGGCGCGGTGGCTCACTCCTGTAATCCCAACACTTTGGGAGTCTGAGGTGGGCGGATCACCTGAAGTCAGAAGTCAGGAGTTTGAGACCAGCCTGCCCAACATGGCGAAACCCCATCTCTACTAAAAATAAAAAAAATTAGCTGGGCGTGGTGGCGGGTGCCTGTAATCCCAGCTACTCGGGAGGCTGAGGCAGAAGAATCACTTGAACCTGGGAGGCGGAGGTTGCAGTGAGCCAAGATCGCGCCACTGCACTCCAGCCTGGGCAACAAGAGAGAAACCCCATCTCAGAAAAAAAAAGAGAGAGAGAGAAAGAGAGAGAGAATATATGCCTGACCTCAGGCTCTTCTCTCCCTCTCATCTCCTTCCAAGGCAATCACTTTTCTCGCCAAAATGACTATGAAACTCACTGAAATCTAACTCACTGATGCTACAGGTCCACTTCTAGGAGCTGAGAGCGGAGCAAACAATGTTGGAAAGTAGATCTAGTGGGGACAATGGACGCCTGAGATATCTTCATTTCTGAAGTAAGAGCACTGAAGTTCAGAGAGATTCATACCCTGAGTGGTAGATATACCTGAGAATGTTTATATAATCATTTCATGCTATTATTTCATTTAGTCTCCTACACCTACTCCTGACCTACAAAGAAAATATTAGATCTATTATGTACATCTAATATTACTCTTTTAAGATAATATTAAACTATCATCACTATTCATTACTGAAGATTTAAGAAAATACTTTTAACCAGTTCTTTGTACACCCATAACAGAATATATTCTTATGTTGATGAGAAATCCATATATATGCATAAACACTAATTTTTTTCAATAATCTAAAACTCTGGCCTTAAATTTTTCCAATAATATGTTTACAGCTGAAAATATTATCATCACAATTATATGGTAAGAATGTCTATGTAATTGGTTTATTTAAAGATACAAACTTTATTAGAAGCTCAAAGGTAATGCAAAGTCAGACACATGGGTTGAGTCCCAAATATGCCTTCTGTTCTCTTTATGATTCACAGTTTATGGGTCTATAGTTTTACAATCAATGACACCAAACCTGTTGTTACGTGGGTCACGGTAAAGCAATTAATTAGCTAATACCAATATTTCCGTGTCTTTTTCTGACTTTCAGAGAATGGAATTGAGAGCTACCTGACTCTTGCTACATTCCCGTAACTAGTATATCATTTATTCTAGTAAATGATTAAGTACAATTAAGTATTTCTGAAGTTATGTTTTTAGAAAAAATTACTACCAGTATAAAACCTCTTGCAAACTAATACATCTGTCTCATAGAAAATACTTAAAGCCACTCTTTCCTGAACACTGTAGTATATGTGCTTGAATAATAAGTGCATCTACTGATAAATAATAAGTGCATCTGCAAATCCAATCTTCCTAGGTAATATAATTCTTTTTTTAGACCTTGATAATTTCATTCATTGTTAGGAATTGAAAGCTTTATCTTATATTACATCCTTATCCCCAGGTTAGATGTGCATCTGCCAACCCACGGTTTGCATGAATTGTCCCTTGAATCTCTCAAAGTCAGCGTGTCCTGAGTTGACTTCACCATTTCTTTAGCTTGCCCAGCGGAGCCACCATCTAGACATTTGGGTCAGTCTGTACTCTGGATGTCATCCTTAGCATTTAAATCTTCTTCATCCTCCTTGTTTGAATCCTGTCTATTGTAACTCCTTTTTTTTCTATTTTCTTCATCCTATCATCCCAAAATTAGCTTATCCTCCTTGTTTTTCAACTGGATCATTGTAACAGCCTCCCAGTTATTATCTGCGTGTCTCATTTTGCCCTCACTGATCTGTTGTCCATAATTGGGCCCAAATGTTATGTTTTTTAAAGTCAATCTATCTGATAACAAAGTTTCCCTTTTTAATTTTTCTATTTGGGACATTCATGGTCTGACATCATCTCTCTCTCTCTCTCTCTTCTTCCTGCACTGGTGGATCTTGTTGAATAAATGCACTTTTCCAAATGTGTTCAAGTCACTACCTTTCTTCCTGCAATATCTTCTTCCTCTCTCTTCCCATGGCCAATCTCTAGTTGAAATTTTGGATTCACTCTAGCCCTTTCCTCTTCCAGTAATGGTTCCATGACTGCCCAGTTTTTCCTCATGTGTGATAACACAGCACTTGGAATCTACCGGCACATGGCCGCAGTCATTACACAGCTCTGCTGAACATGTCCATGTCACCCACTGCAGGGCAAGCTCCAGAATGCAGGGGCTTATCTGGAGGACCCCAGCAGCTCATTTAGCAGCTAGAATATATCTGCCAATCAATGAACGCAGTTTGATTGTATCCTTTTTTTAAAAAAAAAAAATTTTGTCACATAGACAGAAGGCTTGCCCAATTGCTGAAGGATAGTGGCAACCGGAAAGCGTTTGTGGAAAAAAAAAATCAACAATATATGATAATTATTGAAATTCTGGCCTGGAGGTTGGCCATAATAGAAAGCAAATATGGTTAACCTAGTTAAGTTAATGGAACCTTAATTAGATAGCAGAGAAACTCCAGTGTCTGTCACAAGTGCCATTCTGACTGTGGTGAGGAAACTGTCAGGGGGTGACACAGAGCTCTGTGTGACTTGACCTCTCCCTCGGGTTGCCGTGGAGTGGATCACAGGCTTATCTGAACTGGATCAAGAGAAGAAATAAGAATTAGGAAACACGATGAAATAACAGAAGGAAATTTTGTGTGTGTATACAAGTAAAGGACAAGAGAGATCATGATACTACAATTAAAATTTTAGTGGCTTGGCTTGAATTTACTAAAATTAAATTTTGATAAGACTGTGATCTCTACTCCACAGTTTAATTACAACAATAAGTACAGAGTGATTTCACAATTTTTGAAAATCTCTTTTGCTTTAAAAAGTACTTCATTAATTCAGTTACAAATGGGTATGAATGTCGTCAGGCAATTCCTGTCTTAAAATCATAAAAAGTTCCACCTTACAGGATAAAATCTTTATACACAGATCGTTTATTGTTGGGAAACTATGCTTACTTCATCTTTATCTCATCATTTCTTTGTCATTCTGGATCATGAGATATACAGGCTAGAAAGAGCAAGAGTGAAAAAGAACAGAGACATAGTAAGCAATGGCTACACCCCAAACACCATCACTTTTTTGTTCTTTTTTAAGCATCAAAATCATACTAAAATGGAAGCAAACATTCTTTTTCCATGTTAGAGATAATAAAACTGAGACTCAGACAGATTCTTTTTCAGGGTGATATAGCTACAAAGTGGCAAAATCAGAACTGGCACCCAGGTCTCCCAGCCGAATGCCCATGCTCTCTGCACGGCAATATGCTGCCAGGGAGTTGGTTATATTCACCTAAATTCCTGGTGAACTGTAATAATCTGGACAGAAACTTGTCAACCAACTATTATGTCTTGAGTTACGTATATAGGCAAATAAGGATAAAAGAAACTAAACTTTTGTTTAGGAAAATTAAAATGGCAAATTGTGCTATTCAGGACTCATTCACTCCCTTGTACACTGTACACAATATTTGAAAATGTTCAATAGTGCAGGTTTACAGTGCTGCCTCCATAAAATTACTGCTATCTTACAATGCAAAACCATCAAGACTCATAGACCATAGGCTAATTTAGGAAACTAGAGTGGTTCAGACATAATATTTAAGAATTTTCCTGAAGCATTTACAGAATGGCAACCATCAATGTTTATTAAGTACTTTATACCAAGCACTACTCAAAGTCTTTCACGTGTATTTACATATACAACTTGGCTAAAATAAAATAAAAAGTATTAAACATAACATGACAAAAAACATTTACAGAAAAAAGTGGAATAATACAGTACAAAGAATATGTCAAAATTAACTCTTAAATAGGCAACAAATTGAAGAAAGCATAAAGGGTGGATACTAAAATATTACAAAGACTAATTTTATTTTGGAAGCTTAGATGAAAGCATTTATAGAATAAACTATACATTGTCTAATTAATTTAAATCTGTTCTGTAAGTAATCATTTACCCATCATCTCCTATATGATGAAGTTTTACTGATGATGATGAAGATAAATTGAATAAAACAGGGCTGAAATCTGTATGTCAGATCACATACACATAATTCACTAACAGCAACATGAAATGAGTCATGGCAAGATGTGTCTATTGCATAGTTATTAAAATAGCATAGCAATTCTGCATACATTTATGCGAATAAAAGAAGCAGCTGTTTCACCATGTTCATAGTTAACCAAGGAGTGTTAATTTTTAGCCATCTATGGGTACAGTATTAAATGGATTTGGGGAAAAAATGCATAGAAAATGGGTGCAGGTTAGGGCCTTATTTTAGAGGTCTTTTAGTTATATAATATACAGGCTAAATAAAAATCTATAAACATAGACTTATAACAGTGTTACATCATATTAAAAATACAGGATTCTTATTCTCTAAAGAGCTTACAGCACCATTAGGAAAAATCATAAGACAGTATAGCAAAAACAGCATCTGATCCTAAGATAATCCTGGAAGGAGATGGTGAAAACTACCCACAAACCTAAAAATGTTATTAGTCTCATATACTTTTTAAAAAGGTTGTAAAGGTGGCAAATGGAAAAATAAAATCCACCTTTTCCTATTTATTTTGCTTATTTAATATAGAAAAAATGTAAAGTTACTAATATTCAGGTTTGTTGCAACTACAGTATGATTGGTGAGAATATAAAATGGTAAAAATGTTTTTGCCAAAAGTTTGGCAATATTTATCAAATATTCCCTAAAATTTGTAATAGCTTAAAATGGCTATGCTGTTAATGGAAACAGCAAAATTAAAAGTATCATCTACAGTACAATCCTGATTTTTCAAAAAGACAAAAACTATGTACCTGTCTATCATATCTAGCTAGCTAGCTAGCTATCAATCATCTATGTCTTCACTCTATAGTGATTACTCCTGGGGCATGGGTGATTATCGTTTTAGACTTTAGGCTTTTGTCAAGTTTTCCACAAGGGCATGTCATACTTTTGTAATTAGATATATTTTTAATGCAGAAACCCAAAAAACATTAGTTTAGGCTATATGATGATCCTTTGGTTCTTCTAATGGATATTTTATTTTTAAAATTCCTTTTGCAGTAAGTCATAAAAAGAATTGTACTCAGAATTGACAAAAATATAATGTTGTGAACAAATAATAATGAGTTTACCAAGAATCCTTACATTTGAAGCACATGAAACACAGACTCACACTTTGGGAGGGTGAGGCAGGTGGATCACTTGAGGTCAGGAGTTCCAGACCAGCCTGGCCAACGTGGTGATCCCCGCCCCCCCCCGTCTCTACTAAAAATACAAAAATTAGCCAAGAGTGGTGGCGGGTACCTAAAATCCCAGCTACTCAGGAGCCTGAGGCAGAAGAATTGCTTGAACCCGGGAGGTGAAGTTTGCAGTGAGCTGAGATCAAACCATTGTGCTCCAGCCTGGTGAACAAGAGCTAAACTCCATCTCAAAACAACAACAACAGACTCTACAAATTTGCTATGTTTTAAGTTACAAAAAGAGCTGAAGTCTATTTCAAATTAATTTTTTATCAATATGCAAATGAAACACATAAGTGGAATTTTAAAATGTTGTCCCACTTTGGCTCTGAGGAAGCTTGGGTTGAGCCACAAGAAAGCAGGTCTTACTATGCTCAAAGACCAAGAAGCTATCTCAGAATTTTGTCTCTCTTATCAAGTACACTACTAATCCTATTTGATCCATACTAAAACTTTGTAACCTATCATGATGCATATTTTTAAAATCTTTACAAACGTAATTCCAGACATGGATTATTTTAATACCATACATATGACATTTAGTAAAATTATAATAGATTTTTCCTCAAGTCCATGCCACTTTTCAGGAGAACTAAAGACAAAATGTGAAAGTGTCGCGGTGTCACTCAGCAATACTCACAAGATCCACTTCTCCCCCACAAACAGATCTTTATAAAACACAAATTTGTACAAATTTATAAAATTTACATCTTGGTATCTGAGCCTAGTAAGATCTGCTTTCCTATGGCTCAACCCAAACTTCCTCAGGACCAAAATGGGACATTGTAAGTGCAGTGTCCACATACTCTGACATTAAATTGCCAAACTACTATCACCATGACAATCTTTCTAGACACGAGTTTGACTTAATGAAATAAAAATGTGTTTATAGGTTTCCAGATGTATGTTAGTTAAAGTTCATAAAAGAGTGAAACACTTATGTAACAGTCACACTAACTAAAGGCTTTGGTGATATAATTTCATGTTTTATAATGTACCCAAAATTACACTTTTTAAGCTTAATTCTTTTTAATCATTTTGTTTGTTTGTTTGTTTAGACACAGGGTCTCACTCTGTCACCCAGGCAGGAGTGCAGTGACAAAATCATAGCTCACTACAGCCATGTATACTGGCCTCAAGGAATCCCCCGCCTTGGCCTCCCAAAGCACTAGGATTACAGGCGTGAACCACTGAGCCTGGCCTCTTTTTGATTCTGTAGCTCCAATGTCCTTAATTTGTAAATAATATTTATGGACATCAGTGAGATTTGTAAATACAACCACAAATAAAACCTTTCTTTTATTTGGTAAGATCCAAAGTATCATGTTTTTGGTAATAACTTATATAGTTTGACATTAATAAGAGACAGTTGAAGGAATACAGAAAATAATCAGAAAGCTTGTTCTGTGCCCTTTTAACTCAAAGTGATCCAGTTTATTTCAACAGGATAGCAGGGCTGTTGATTTTTTCATACGCTCCATATTATGCCGCAATGCCATTAGAAGAAATAGTTATCCGTGAATATCTTATGTGTTGATAAGCACTCTCTACAACAACAGTGAAAAATTCACATTGTCAACACTAGAACTGGTTATGATGCAAGAATTGTCCTAACATATAGCTAGGCTATGCATTTAGGGTTAGTCAATGCCATCTTAATGTATTTATCAAATATAATGATTCCACACACCCAATACCATGCAAAATGCTATTGTGAACATTTTACTTAATCTATTTTTATAATTTTCGCAAAGACACCAGTTGATGCCAGGTACACATCAAGTATCTCCTGCTTCTATTAAGAAGCAATGCTACTTCAATTAAGGAATAGGTTTATGTCAAAATTTTAATATTAATATTTCTTTTTAAACCTCAACTTCAAACTTTCTGTCATTAACATGTCATAAGTTTGAGTCAGAACTAGTTATTCTGAATCAATTTCTACTCTGATTTTGGGTTATAAAGTCTCTTCCACCCACATAGCCTATTATAAATTCTGGTATCCAGACACAAATAAACCCACTTCAACTTAACTACTTTCTTTAGTCTGTAAATTGACAATGAATCACTAAAAGTTTTTTTTTTTTATTTTAGTCTTTGAAAGTTGCTTGAAATTGTCTGAAGAATAAAATGAGTGTGACTATGAATTTCACTAACTCATCTTATTCACTCTTATTTCAGATGAGATCAAGCACCCTCAGGACAATATGTCTGTAGACCTATTCATTCTTACTTCACAGCAAGGTAAAACGTAAACCATTCCAAACAGGAGAGAGAATTTCACTGTTTTAAAATATGTTCAGTCAAAGAGTTAAATGTCTTATTTATGTAAATGATTCCCACAGCCAATTTATATGTAACCTACAGCCAATTCATACTTAACCTGGATCCACGGGACTGCAACTTACACCTCATTTCCTGTTCTATGCCCTTGGAAATGAAGAACAAGAACAGCTGCCTGCCACTTTTACATTCAACATGAAAGCCCCTGGTTACGTCTCTAACTTGACTTTTCCTTTCCAATCTAAACCAGGGTTATTTTCCTGTAGGCTTTTGACTTGTCCCTCTTGAATAATCGTTGAGTCCTTTTTTCCCGGTACTATTAGAATTGCTCAGCCCTTGAACTGGAAAGAGGGAGACAAGGTATGAGAATGTTAATGATGACAGGGTAAATCTATTGTTCTCTAACTAGCATGCAGTGTTTTTTTTTTTTATTGCAGGAATTATAATGCTTAACAATATGTCAAAATATTATATTATTGAAAAACAAAAAAACATTTTCACCCACCAAAAAAAGAAAAAAAAAGAATCCTATTAACACCTGATATGCAATGCCAGTTTCTACAAGTATTCTTAAAGTCCACATAATTGAGTTAAAAAAAAAAAAACCTATCATCCCCATTTCCTACCTATAGGACATTAGGAATAATGGCAACTCTATTACAGGATCATTGTAGGAATTTCAGATACTGTAAAGCAAACTTCTACCACATAGGAAGCACTGAATAATTATTTTTATCTGTCCTTTTTGAGTTCTAATGTGAACGTTTGTACAATGTAGTCATGTCTAAAGCTATGTTTAAATTACACAAAATAATTGGTTTATTTTAATAAAAGGCAAATATTTTTCTGAACAAGTTCTTCTAACATTGAAGAGATAAGAAAATCTTTTGATGTACTGATTACCTTATTGCCTGAGAGTATAATAATGAGGACAAAAAGAAAAAAATATTTAAGAGGCACATTAATGTGTATACACATTAATTTCATAAGATGTTTATTTGCATACAAAAGTAATTGTAAAAAAGAATACACATTAAGTAAAATGGGTAAAAATTAGCTAAGATAATGTTAGACACATGCATTCGCAGTTTCTATTCAGAATGCAAGCGTAACTACAAACCATGCCTGTGTTTCTGGATAAAATAAAACATAGCCAAGCTAAATTTAGGTCAATCTCATTTTCTCATTCTCAGGCAACAACAACCAAAAACAAACAAACAAAAAACATCAATACACATCTTGCAAAGAAAGAGGGGGGAAAGCCACTGATCTGGGGAAGGGAAAAATTTTACAAAGCCTCATCATTCACGTGTAACTTACTGAGTTAGGTGCTATTTTTTTTTCACCTTAACACAGAGATTGGAAAGTGTCATTAAACAAATCAGTCCATCCCTCTCTAGTTTAAAGTTGTGCTTCCTCCTAGAACCTCACAGTTCTGCCATTTTAACAAGTTAGGTCCAAATTGCTGGAAGAAAATCCTTTACGCTTTTCTGTAAAAAGCTACTCTCTTCAAATCAGCTCAAAATTCAGAAGGTAGAAGGCTTTGTTCTTGCAGGATCTCCAGGTATTCCATTTATCTTAGCACAATGCTGTATACAATAATTATCATTGTTATTATCCTTAATAATACTATAGTTTATATAGCATTTGAATTTTACAATTTGCAAGCAAAGTTATCACAAGTTAGCTATGAATGGAAGTTTAACATACGTTTCCATTATTTCACTAACTATACTGTCCCTTGAACATAAAAGAAATTATTCTTCTCTAGTTTCATCTCAGTAGCATTGTGTTATGCCAATAGCAGTGAGGAATAATCCCCAAACACCATTCTCTTGCCTTGTTAAACATACATTTTTTCTTTATTTTCTTATTCTCTGTTTGAATATGGAGAAAAATCACCTATCACAGCAGATTGAATACTACTAGGCTTAAGGGATCTCAGTGTTGATATTGGTGAGTGTCTTATTGTAGTCCTAAGCCACGATTTTTTAAAGAAATCAAATATTGATGGTTAAGGCATTTTTTAACAATCCAACAGGTTTAATGCTAATATAAGGTAATCTTTGTGTGTGGTGATGTATAGATTAATAATCCCCCTTAAATATATTTCCCTCTTCAAATTTAAAGCCATAATTATAGGATTTCATTTCATGTGTTTTATGTAGTTTGGGTCTTCTAACTTCTTGAGCCCGGTAATAAATTCACAATAGTTTTTGTTCACATCAAATAACATCCAATTTGTCAACATTTATCTTTTATTTTTCTGGGATTGCTCAGCTACATTCATTAATTGAATTTTGGAGGCCTTGATGTAATACTTTTGTGTAATGTTTTGTTTTAAGATAATCTTTTTGCCTTCATTATTTTCTGAGCATTTTTATTTTCTCTCATTCGATGTGAACAAATGATTGAGATGTATTTAATATCACTTTTCACTGGTCAAGATTTAATTATATTTTGTGATTTCAACTCCATCTAAAATTTCTGTGAAATTTGTATTTCTTCCAACAGTTATTAATAAGTCTGAAAGTACTACTCTCGCTGCTTTATTGATCCTTTGTGTCGTTCCCCTTCCCTGCATGTTGGTGTTACTTCTCTATGCTGTTAGGGTGGTCCTTCCTCCTTCACCAATCATAAAATACCTCCCTGCTATCTTCCCAACAGTCCCCATTCCAACTTATTCTCCATGACGTTATCAGAGTACTTTTCTAAAATATCATTCTGAATTATCAGTTAGGCTTACCTGAATAAAAACATAAACGACACCCCTCTAATTACAGAATGAAGAAAAACTCCTTAACAGAGAATACTAACCTCTGGCACACTCATACTCTTCCATCACCTTATTTTACCATATTTTACACGTGCCCAATACTTCTGTCATACTCATACCTTTATTCTCCACAAAACACCAAACTTCCTCAGCCATTTCCACAAATGCATGCCCTTCACAACCTGAAATGTACTCCAGCTGCTCATGAACCCCATGTTTGTTTCAAAGATCATGGCCACCAAAAAGCTTTCTGAGCCAGGAGGTGATCGTGTTTCCTTCCACCAGATCCCCTTGCTCCCTTGACTCTGACAGGTGAGCATGGCGTTTTGTTTTTTTATTTTTACATTTCTATTCCTCATCACCTCCCATTTTTCTTTTCTTTTCTTTGTCTTTTGAGACGGAGTCTCGCTCTGTCACCCAGGCTGGAGTGCAGTGGCACAATCTTAGCTCACTGCGAGCTCTGCTTCCCGGGTTCATGCCATTCTCCTGCCTCAGCCTCCCCAGTAACTGGGAATACAGGCGCCCACCACCATGCCCGGCTAATTTTTTTTTCGTATTTTTAGTAGAGAGGGGGTTTCACCGTGTTGGCCAGGATGGTCTCGATCTCCTGACCTCATGATCCGCCTGCTTCAGCCTCCCAAAGTGCTGGGATTACAGGCGTGAGCCACCGCGCCCGGCCCACCTCCTGTTTTTCAACCCCAGTCTGTATAAACATTTGCTTAGTAAGTAATCCACAAATATTTACTAAGAATGTACGATACATGAGTCAGTGTTCTGGGCACTGGGGCTTTATCAATGAACACAACACATCTTCATGGACGTTCCAGTCTGGTTGAAGAATGAATGAAACTCACAAGCTAAAATATTGTTGATTTTCAGATTTTATATTTGAAGATAAATTTCATTTAATTTATTTTCAAATATCTAATTTTGGGGAAGATAAAAAGAATAAAAGTAAAAAAAAAAATTTTATCAATCCAAAGAATCAATCTTATATTTGAATAACAAATGTGAACCATACTTTTTGTTATTTTTCTATTCTTGACCTAAGAATACTTTCAATGGAACTAATGAAATGCATTTTAATATAAATGGCCCAAGATGGCTTTTCTTTTCTACATTTAAAAAATTTGAAAGCAATTTGAACCAATTTAAACAGCATATCCCATTTTCCTCAACTTGGAATAAGCAGATTGTATTCAGGTATATTGCTATGCTATGAAAACCAATATTTTTGGCCACAGAGACATGATGATGTATAATAAAGGATTCATAATTTTCCCCATGATTTAGGCTTTCTGGTTTCATTCTTTGGAATATGGGGCGCTACGGCATCTGTCCATTCAACAACAATGAGTAGAGAATATCAATGGTTGATTGCAGCCAATTTTAGTTTTGTGTATTTTCTTGTCCTTTGCATGCAAAATTACTTTTCAGAGGGCACAATTAGTAAAATGTACATTAAATATATGTTGCCAGTTTAGTATGCTAACTTCTTCTCTCTAGAGGTTAATACATTTTCCATTCAGAATTGAGATGCTATTTATAAAATTAATAACAAAAATTCTCTAATATATTAACAGAATTTTCTGAAACTAGAATTGCAAAATGTTACAATATTATGTTGAGGTAGCACAATTATTATCAATCTCTTCTTTCCTTCCCTTATCAATCTCTTCTTTCTTTCCCTATCATCTTATATATCCTTCCTTTACTTCAGTTCTCGTGTTTGTGTTCCTCACCTTTTCTTCTGAATTTTGAAATATATTTAAGAAGCAGATTAACAAGTGATTACAATTTAATTTATTAGAAAACAACCCCAAGGAATTCAGACCAAAAATTCTATCAGTTTGGAATGTATTTACAGTTTTGTCTTAAGCATTTCTAAATAGAGTTTGCCACTATGAGATAAGACAATACTTCATTTGCAGGCTAAGTCTTTCTAGCTAAGTCCTACTTTGAATACAGTCTGTAGTCCATGAAATCCTGGCAATAAGGAAAAACAAACTGCCCCCAAATATTGTAGAACAAAACGCAACTTTTTCAAAATAGAAATAACAGTAAACACATACATCGTAGCCTTTTGAGCACCTATATATGTCAGGAATATTATGTTTTCTCTTTTAAGCTCACAAGTGCCTTATAATTAGTCTCATTTTAGAGAAATACTGAGCCTTAGAGAGCCCTATATAATACAAGTCCTGTGACCCGGAAATTGCAGACTTAGTAGTCCACATCGGCTTGCTCATTCCCCAAAGCCTCTGCCCTTAAACACTGTATATCCACTGTCTTCTACTTAGTACCTAATCCACACACAGTAGATCAAGGGAAGCCTCGAAAAAATGAGTGTGGCGTCAGACATTTCCTGTAGTGATTTTAACAGCTCTGTAGGGATATGAAAGCATGCATTACAAAATCTTAAAATATTATGTTGGTTTAGCCACAGACTCCTCTCATTGTGCCCTGTTTACAGCTCCTTTTATGAGGCTGGCTCAGCAGAAGATCCCTTGCAGGTACGGAGATGAAAGTGACATGCCTGTAAATGAGGTGATATGTGGGAAAGTGCTCACTGAGCTCAATGCCACGTACATGATATACACTCAGTAAACACCAGTTTTCTTGAATCTTTCTTTTCCTCATATATTTGAACATGGAAATGATGAAGTCAGCTTTTCTACATCACATCCCCCCAAACACCACCATCATTGCTTAGAAACAAGAAGTTTGCACTCACAATTCACTTTTACAAATAATTCTTACCTTTTAAAAGGCTTGTTTTGCTTATAATAAATCTTATGGTAGAAGGATCTATGGGCTGATTATTAGATGCTTTAAGAATAGAAACTGCAGATGTTAAAATGTTTAAAGACAAAAAGCAATCAAAAGAATATTGATAATTTGAAAAGTGTGTTAAGATTAGGTCAGTGGATGAAAGCAAAAGAGCAACCTCGGGGTTCCAGATATTTTTCAGGTTCCCTTTACTTTGTAGAGGAAGGTAAACACAACAGCAATAACAATGACAAAAAATCAGGTGAAAAATCTCTAGAATTTCAGTTACATATTTTGTAACTAATTACTGTAGAGAAACAGGAATGTATGAGGAAGCAAAATGGATTGAAGAAAGCTGGAAAAAGAAAAAAATATTGAGAGAGGAAGAAAACAAGGATGAAGAAAAGGAAGAAAGGGCGGAGAGGGAGGTGCTAATGTTTATTCTGAAGAACCAAACTATGCCTAATTCTTCTTTTGAAATCTCCGCACTTAAGGAGCATGTAGTTGATAATTGTTGGTGGGTCGAAATACAGAACTAAGGAAGAGAAAAAAGAGAAAGATACAAAGAAAAGGGAAGCAGAGTGTGGTCTGAAGTTTTGTCTCAGGTGTCATTTACAATTGCACTTTGCCTGGCTGTCGTGAACATGAAAATTAAAGACTGAGCAAAGCAGATTGTTGAAGATACTTTACTTGCAAATTTGACACTGTGTAGAAAACCAACTTGAATGATTTTATCGTATTTTTATTGTTATTATTATCATATCACTTTTTCAGGAGTTCTGTCATGATTTACACTCATGGAATTAAGTAAAATGAATTTAAATATAGTAAACTACACTAAGTTTAAATAGAAATAAAAATGAGTCCCTAAACAACAAATTTAATAAACTTCAATGTGTACCATCATAAACCAAGCATTTGCATCTGAATTAACTAATTTAAGTCTCATAGTAATAAGTATAGTTTACTGTATTTAATATAATATACAATATATAATAAATTATGTAATATAATATATATATTATATAATTATATAATACATATAAGATATATAATATATAATACATCATATTGTATTTTATTGGTAATAAAATATATTATGTATCATATAATACATATAAGATGTTATAATTATATAATATATGATATAATATATAATACAGTGTATAATATAGTTTATTATATTTAAATATAGTACAGGTAATTTCTAAGTTGCTAATGAAATAACATCCCCTAAACCAAGCATTACTTGGTTTAAGTTATAGTATGATGTCTCTTGCTCAAATAATAAGCTATAGATAATTGAGACAAAGCCTTTTATTTGACAGATGACATTCAGAACTTCTTCTATCAATGAACTATCTTATACTAATTCAATTTCCTCAATCGCATTTCAAGGAAATTAGTTTGTATAATTTATCTCACTACAAGTCCTACACAATCTGTCAGTTAAACTATTTAAATGTCCTTAAATAACACTTGCTTTCATTTGCTTTACTTAGCAGATTTTTCTACAGATCAATACAAAACACAAAGGTACATCACATAGCGTAGCATTAAGATGTTTGTTAGGGAAGTATTGAGAACTATAAGAGTGCCATTTGCTGTCACAGAATTCTAGACGTTCTAGATGAGTGAATATAATTATATCATTAGAACACTGTCTCATAGCTAATTTTTCTTCTGAGGTACCCATGCATAGAAAGCATAGCAATAAGACATCGCCCAGATATTTTAGGACAGTGGATTAAATGGTGTACTAGGATGATGTCGATTTGTTTTAAAATATTTATAAGAAAGGTTTTGAATAGTTGAGCAATTACTAAAGGAGGCTGGCATAATTGTAACACAGTCAGAGGCAATGCTCGGGTGGTGTTCTTATATATGAGAAATTTCAACGAAATTCAGTAAAAGGCAATAATAATAAGACAGATGGTTTTGGTAGAGCCTTGGCAGCTGTCAATGGAAAATATAAATCAGTGCATCCATTCCTTACAAGGTTTTCCTAGAAACTGACTGCAGAAAATTAGAATCCTGTCGGGGCCAACTAAATATGTGCCCTATATTGCTGACATAATATTCAGTTGGATATGAGCAGATTTTAATTTCATATCCTAATTAACATTGATAGAGAGCAATTTCAAAAATGTTTCACCAGGATGAACTAAGTCTACTCAGTCGCTCTCTAAAATTGGCCATGAACATTTGCATAAACAGCCTTCCGAGTCGCCTTCTTCCTTCCCCTTTCCTCTTCGCACAGCCAGCGCTGCACCGGTTGAATGAAATGATTCCGAATTACCCTCTGCCTTTCACACATTTCACGGTCTAAATTCTATGACTGTCTGTGTATCAGCAGTTTAAGGAACCATGTTTTTTGCCTATGATTTTAGGTAAGAATTTGGAAATTTTTTAAAAAGAAAGAAACGTGTGAAACCTGTTCTATGCAAACACCTCAAGATGAAAGTCTCTTTGCTATAAAAATCCTATTAACAAAAAGTTGCTAAATGTCTCTTCTCTGATAAACAGAAGACATTTGTGTCAAATATAAATGTAAACCATCATTTGTTTGTGTAATAATTTTTGTAATTGCTTCATTTCAATTTGTAAGACTCTCCCTATATTTTTCACCAATTACTCACTTCACATTACTATAAGTTAGTTTGCTGTGTAGATACCTCTAGAAAAATATTTTATTACCAAAAGTAGAAATGACGAAATTACTCCTTCCTAAACATGACTTTGGGATAGTTTTATTTTTCCATTTACAGCCTTTAATTTACTTGTATATATTTCAGATTGTTAAACATACCACTAAAAATACCAAAATCATATTATTTATAAATTATGGCCTTCTAAACATTGTGCATGTATATTTTCTTCTTGTAATTTGCAATTTTACAAATCTTAGAAAAATTATTGTATGCTTATTTTTTTCTGTAACCCTTTTTAAATTTTCATTTTTCCATCAATCATTTAAAATTTACTGAAGCCCAAAACTGCTAGAGACATAGTTCCCAGAATGGAAAAGAGATGCACAGAACAAGTTCCTTAATGACAAGAGCCATGTTTTTTTATATATCAGTGTGTAATACCCAGCATGATGCTTAGTAGAGAGTATATATAAAATAAATGTTAGGGTGTAGAAGGATAACTGAACGAATAAATAAAAATTGCTGAACGTGGTAGACAGAATAAAAAAGAAAAAGCCATTTTTATACCATTCCCATTACTACATTTTATTAGTTTGAATGCTTACCTTTAAGATTGAGGATGATAATTTACTTAATAGCCCTAAAGAAAAAAATCTCAAGGGAAAGTTGGGGTCACATGAATGGTTATTCGATGACCAGTAAATTCAATTGTGCTGGATGGTCAAGCCTTGGTCAGCACCCTTTGGGTAGAAATGGAAAAATCTCTTGCACACAACTGCCTGAAAAATCTCAATTTTGGTGTCATTCGTTTATATATTCAGTTATCCAAAAATACTTCCTAAGCACTTTCTAAATTCTAGCATTGTGCTACTAGGGAATGACCATCGCAGACATGAAAGAAATGGCCCTGCCCTCTCTGAAGGAAGGTAGCTGAGCTGTGCCTATTATTTGAAAGAAGCGAACAAATGGCCTAGAAAACCTGAGGAGACTGGATCCAATAGGTAAACAATATTGATACGAATTCTAAGGGCAATTACAAAAATTTAATGACATTATATTTCTATATTAAATATAACGTGGTCAATTTTTCTCTTAGGATTCTAGTTGGTTTCTAGAAAATATTAGTGAGAGCCAACTGGCATCTTGCTCAAAAGTAGTAATTTTATAAGGTCCAATTACTATTTTGTGACCTAACATGGATTAAGAACCTTTAAAAAAAATGGCATCATAATATTCAGGGTCAAAATCATTAAGAAATATTTGATGAAAACTTTTCATCTTTAAAATATCACGTTTTTATTTTGCTGTTCTTTTTGTACAGAATTGTATCATGTTTTCCAGTGCAGAGCGATTACCTTCCCCAGGCAAAGGCTGAACTCTTTGAGCTAAAAAGTTCCCTTAGAAAAGTTACCCCAGAAGTATGGGGAGTTGCTTCATTTATGGTTTTGATTTGTAAAACTAAGTACAAATAAAATGAGTCCCTAAACAACAAATTTAATAAACGTTAATGAGCACCATTATAAACCAGGCAATTGCATCTGAATTAATTAATTTAACTCTAATAACACGATGGTTTCAGAGGAGGCAGTGCCTTGCCCAAGGACACACAGGTAAAATGACAGTGCCTGATTTAAATACTGGCTCCCAGAGTCAGTCCATGCACCATGGAGCTGCTTCTATTATTTCGGCCCAATCTCAGTGAATTGCCTAAGACAGAAAATGTAGTTCCATTGACTTCTCCTTCCCTGTACCCAGCATCACAGTCAATTGCCACATCCGGCCCACTCCCCCACCCCAGTGTCACAATTGTGTCCTCTTTTCTACTTTCCTGGAATTATCTTTCCTAAACAGGAACATAAGCGTCCTTTCTAAAATCCTGCCTACAAGTGCCTAACCCACACCCTGGGCTTTTCTCTCGCCTGTCCACCTTGATCCAAGCAGGTATCCTTCCTGAAAGGCGCAATTTGTCTTCAAGACCTTGTTCACGCCCATCTTCTGTCTGGTATGCTCTTTAGTCATTCATTTAAAAATACCTTTAGCATCAGTTATGCTCCAGTGCTTCCCTAGTGCTGGGGAGACAGAGAGAAAAAGACAGACACGGTCCAGTTCTCATTCCTTCCCACTTCCCTTTCCTTGAGGCTGGAGCTCAGAGGCCATTTTTTTTTTTTCTCTGAGAACTTTCTCTGGTCTCTGCCACTATAAACATGTGTCCTATCCTCCTCATACCCTCACTCTAGCTCCCTGCAGTGGAAAGTCCTGGACTAGTCCCCAAGCTCCCTGAAGACAGGGACAACATCCCTCCATCCTGTGGCACTCCTCACCTCACCAAGACCCAGCATGCAGTGGGTGGCGCTCAGCAGGTACTTGCACTGAATGTGTTCTTTTTCCCCACAGGAGAATATCGGCACACTGTCACACTCTTCTCAGTATGAGGGCACTCGGAATGTCTGGACATATCAGCCATTTTGAAAGATAATATGTGGATATTATAATCTTTAGAATTCAATATGCACTGAAAGATTGTGGTGTAATGAACAATACCAGAGTAACTCAAATTTGTTCATTTGTCTATAAAAGTATATATATTTCTGTTCAAACCACAGGAATTTTTGCTTTGAACAAGAAATAGAAAACAAAATACTTCTTTGTTAATGTAAGCAGATAAACTGTGCCTTATATATTTAATCATAATTATTTTGCTTCAAATTACATTTACTGGGACTTAAGTAATTGAAGACAATAACATGCATCATAATTTAAATACCATAAATATAGCACAATTTAGGTCACTGAATATATGTCACTGACTTGGAGGGTGACCTAGACACCTGACATAAGATAATCACTCTCAAGTCAAGCAACTAAAAACAGTAATTGAAATATGTTTACAGAAGTGTAATTATCCTAGGTTTATGTTTTATGAGTCTAATTATGTAACATTAAAAATGACATTAAGTACATTTTACTGTAAGTAAATTTCATAGGTCACTTCACTATTTTTTAAAGATTTCTCAGCGCTTACTCTTACAGATGATATGCAGTCTCCTTAAATTTGCATATATATCATCAATAATTGACCCTCAAGTGAGCCAAAAACCTATCAATGCTATCAGTACTTGTTATTTCAGACATGTTTGTCTATGCATTGTGTCACTTCTATGCTTACGGAAGAAGCATAGATGATATTTTAGGATGTCCAAGATAATTTTACTCCTTAATAATTGGAAAATAAACACATGCATTCCCCACTCTCCCAGGAGCTCTTTTGTTCTTACAGAGGGATAGAAATGGAGGGAATATAATCCACTGCAGAGTTTATCTGCCTTCTTATGACCCTTGCTTTATTCCATCAGAAAAAAAAGCATGGTTTCAAAATGTCTAACTTACATGAGTAAATAAATATTAAATTGAGAAATGGGATGCTTTATTTAATCCTATGTGCGGTTACCTTCAATTAGCGATCACAGGAGCAAATGTACACAGAAATAAATTATTTTCTACAATCTTGGAAGTCTTGAATATACATTTTGCAAGTGTCTTCTTAATGAACTGGTAACAATTCTCACTAGTGTTGGTGCTGGCCTTCACCTGTGGCTTCTTCCGCCCAGATCCCTAAAGCCTGTGGGCTGTTAATCACAAAATCACGGAAAAAATATGATGCACCAAATTAAAAGGTCAATCCCAACATCTGTAGGTTTAAAAAAAGTGTTGCCTTAAATATTTTCTTACTGTCATTCATAGTTCTAAATAAGATTTTGTAGAATTATATAGAAAGAAACGAAGAAAGATTCAGAAACCTCATCCCTTTTGTAACAGTTTCAGATTGCAAGCATTTGAAGGAAGCATATAAACCTCGAAGTGACCTAGAGAGAAAAAGCAATGGTTGGGAAGGCACATGCGTTTTAGAGGGCTGACCTAGATTCCAATACCAAAGACTCTGCTGTGCTCCTGGGTTCTGTTGCCTACAGTTTTAAAATATTCTGTGCCTTCAGGTAATTTAATGTAGTCACTACTGATGTGGCTTAAATATTGACCTTTTCAATTGTGAGGAAGATGAAATACTTGCAGTATTTATGAAAACATTAAAAGACGGAAATGTTAAAACATTCTAGATCAAATTAAAGAAATTACATCAGAAAAGAACCCCAGAAAAAAAATGAACATTCAGACACACCTATTTTTTTAAAAAGCCAATTACATATTTTGTCCATTTCTTAATCTCTCACGTAACTTAGAAATGATAAGAAAATATGATGAGCTTTGAACAGCAAGGGACTGTTAATTTATCTTTAAATATGGTGTCAAAATGTGACATCTGGTCAGAAAAGCAAAAAATGTCTATACATAAGGTTGATTCAATACACTAAGTTGATGAGAAAAGTTGAAATGTACTTTCAGAATAATTCTTCAAAAAGTCACTCCATAATCCCTGACCTAGGATTATGATAGTTTCCAATGAAACTGAAATCTTTGCATTTTATTTACCAAATGTTTCTCCAACCAACTACAAGAAACGGAAAACAGACTTTTTAATAGCTGTTTTGTTTAAACCCCAAGAGTTTCAATGCAATAAATCAATAACATATACTTAAAAACCCCTGATTCATGGGCATCATGCTTCATTTCTTTTCTTTCTAAATCATTCTTATAAATTAAATTACATTTGCTGGTAGACATTCTATAATTCTTCTTCAAAGTTAAAACAATTTTTGGCTGGTCCATCTTATTTTCTATTTTGGTGAATTCCAATGTGTTTGAAACTCTAAATATCACGCCAGTAGACACTTATTAAAATACCAAATACTGACATGCACTTCTAAAAGTACATAATAGTATATTCACATTCTTTCATTATTAATCCCTTAATGACTTATCCTTTTTAAATTCAACTATAAAATATTCAGTATGTAAATATGATTATATTGATATGAAAATGTGTTTATTCAGCTTCGTAAAAGTTTGTATTGTTGCAAAATATTATTTTCAATATCTAAGATATAATATGCACAACTAAATACCAACTATTACCATGCATAAAAATATACTGTCATGCATTTTTGTATAATATTACTACACCTGGATGACTCTGCAAGAACTAATAAAATCAAAGCAGTAAAAACAAAAGGCTTAACACTTCAAATAGGGGAACTATTTGCAAATGTCTAAAATGACACACCAATATGTGAAAATTTTCAATGCTGATGAGCATTAGTTTTCAACAACAGGAAAAGTCATTGAGCCAGTAGATGGCTGCCAGCCAAGAAGCACTTGTAGATTTTATATTATTCTTTCCACACTGCATTACCTAACTATTGTGATAACACGGAAAATGTACCAATGATAAATGAACTCAAAATATTTCAATGTGGTTCCTTCTACAAATAATAATTTATGCCAGAAGCAAATGTTATCTGGTGAGTTCTAGGTCTCTCTCATTAACAGGCTGTCTGATTTAGGAAAATTACTTTTTTCTCTTCAGGCTTCATTTAGTTTATTTATCAAAGGGGACCATAATGACTGCTAATTTGCAGGGGTATTGTAAAACGCAAATGTTTTTGCAGTCTAGATATATACCCCATGGGGAACAGCTCACACGGACTACCATATAAATGACTGTACCAAACAATGTTTACAATGAAATCTTTATGATATTTATTTAGATTGCCAAGCCTAAGTAACAGACAGAGAGGAAGACTATAAAAGAAAATTATATTTATTTGGAAATAGGCATTGCAATGGGAATATATGTGAGTGTGTTCCAGGAGGTAAAGGGAGGCAAGAATCTTTAAGAGAAAAATGAGGAGGGTTACATAAGTTGTTGTGAGACAATTATACTTGGCTACAAGAATCGATAACAAGGGTGGCATCAGTCCAAGGTTGGACAGGCAGTTGCGGGGCCGATGCACTCACAGAAGTATATATATTTTTGTAAGGTTGCAGTAGCCTTTGTGGGTTATAGGTTTTGCAGAGTCTTTTGTGGCAGCCTTGTTATCAGGCATACATGAGTGAGAATCCTCTCTTCTTAACCTTTCTCGGCTCCATCTGTCAGGCTTGAAACACAAGTGACTCCATTCTAATTCTGACAACTTTTAAAAGATTCTTCCATATGAAAGGAATATCTATCTTTTTCCCCTAGAGAATATAAATTTCACTTAGTTTTTTGCACATTTTTCCCAAGATTTGTCCTACTTTTGGCTTATTAAAATCTGTCTTTCCTTCTCCTGACTTCCTGCACAACAGGGTAATCTTAACTTCAATAGCTCTTCTTGCTATGCACATCAACTATGAACAGAGGCTTTTACAGAAACACTGATGACTCGAGAAAAGAAAGTGTAGCTGAAAGAGGGAGTGATCTTTCTTATCTGTATTTTCCTATTTGCGCAACTTTTAGCTGTGATCAAATTTCCACTATACAGATTTAAAAAAAAAAAAAAAATGACTGCTTAGATAGATTAGGAGAACAAAGTGGAAAGCTATGCAGTAAAAGAAAAGGCAGTTTGGAAGTTTACTTCCCGATATCTCACAAAATGTATCTCCCTGCCTCAGATCATAATATTACACATAACTGGGAGGGAGATCAAGAAACCTTGCAATACACATCCAAATCGAAATGCCTTTTCACTAGATGGTCCTATACAGAAACCACTGTCACTCCTGGAAATAAGTTACTAATAGGCCTGTGACTATGCAGACCTGCTTATATGAACTTCAAGAATAGGGCTAACAAACCTTGTTTTCTGAAATCATAAACTATACAAAATTTTCAGTGAAAACCTATGACTAAAGAAGAAACAACTCACTCTAGAAATCCGAGCCACCGGAGTCACTTTGACTCAGGGAAGCAGATTCAATTTTAAATAAGGTGCAGAGTTTCAGATATGGAGTTTGGGGATTCAGCATTTCACATTTCTCTTCATTATCTAGTTTGCAAAGAAACAGAACCCCAATCCTATGTTCACTTCTCATACTGCGGTTAATCAGGCCATGACCTAAATATGTTTTTACCTAGACGTGGACAAGGCTGTTTTAACCATCTGTCTTCTCAAGCCACATCATCCCTCCTCTTGTGCAATCGTTGCTTTCTTTCCAATGATGTTCCTACCCCTCTTAGTGCCTCCCAACTCTTGAACAATTACTGAGATAAGCAGTTACTGTAAAGACTCTGTCTCATGACAATATCCAATGTGAAGGCATTTGCCACTTCACTTACACTATATGTACCATAATTCAGCAAAATTTCAAACTCTAGAAAAGCCCTTTTCTCCTCCCTCTAACTGACGCACCCACTGTTCACATAGGGTGTGCTTCCTTTTCTGCACAGCAAATTTAAAATGCAAAGGTTGCCCTTGGCAGTTGTTGGCTGGTGGTCTTTATCACCTTGGGGAAGCATGAAATGTGCCCTCAATTTTTGGAAGACTTATTTTTGCTATAATTAACTGTCTTGTATGAGATCTTAATATCACGCCCACTTTATATCCTCATCATGTCTTTCCCAGATAGAACGTTCACTATAGTCCACCCATACACGTGTCTAAGAAAACAGAATCCATACTCATGGAAACGTCCACCAGATTTCTCAATCACACCTCACCTTTTTCTTTTATCCTCATTTATCAACTGCATTCTGTCTCAAGGAAGAAATAGTTCTACCCCTTTTAAGGCAAATCACTCCATCAGAGTTTTAATCTTATCATGTCTCTCATTTCCATTCTCTCTCTCTCCTTTCTTCTTCTCTCCTATTTTACCACTTTTTCCCCTTGATTTATGCATATCCTAGGACCGCATCATACTACTATTTCATCTAGCTTTCTTCTCTCAAATTTTTCCTAGAAAGAAATTTACATTTTCTACTTCCTTACCAATCCTCTTTCCTAAATATGATCAAATTGGTTTCTTTTTCATTTCTCCATCTCTGTAGAAATTATTTTCTCCAAGACCAACAACCTCTTCCCAATGGAAAACCCATACTCTACATATGACTCAATATCTCCTCAAATTTGACACTTTTAAACAGTCATGTAATTGCCATTTTCCTGCCCTTTTATAATGATTCCTTAGCACTTTTCCTTCTCTGTCACTAACAATTTATCTCAGAGTCTCTTCATCCCTCATTCAATGACTGGCCATCCTGAAGTCTATCTCTCCCAGATTCGGGCACCATTCCTCTTTTCTTCTTGCTCTCTAGGTTCTTTCCCATAACTACCTGTCATCACCTCTATACAGATAAGCCCTAAGTCTATACATTTCTGTTGATCTCCTTAATTAATTTGATATCCATGTTTCCAATAGCTTCTTTTATATTTATACACAAATGTCCTGAAAACATCTTAAACTGGGTAGATATAAAGCTAACATTATTTTTCAAAAAATCTTCTTCCGTTCTTGTCTTGGTTATTGGCAGATCATTATTTTTATAACCCAAGCTAAGCCATCATGCTTCTCTAAGATTGCTTTGTCTCTCACATTTACTTCATTCCATCAGTCACAAACTCCTGTCAATATGCAGTTCAAAGTCTGTCCCATCCTGTTCTTCTTTTTTGCATGCAAAAAAAGTCATTCTGTGAACTAGATCTTCAAAGTCTCTCCATAGAGATGTTGCTTTCGCATATTGGTCAATCTTCTCATTAATCTCTTGCCTCTCTATTCTGTCCTCTTCTCTAGAACCAGATTAACTTCTGTACAATTCTCCACTTATATGTGCAAACATACATTATTCATAAATTATGTATATATTATTCATAAATTATGTATATTATGTATCTAATATATCAATAACGCACAATTATATCCTGTGATGTACTGTGACACACTACACCTTTACTCAGAAATATTTATCTATAGAGTCCAAAATCCTCCTTATGAAACTCAAGAGCTTCTGTTAAGAGGCACTTTTAAGCTTTGCATTATTCTTTAAGCAGCATCCATCTCCCTACAGAACACTATCTAAGCTGCAGGCACACTGGATAATTAATTGCTACTGAAACATAGTGTACAATTTCATACTTGTTTTTACTTGTGCTGTTTCCTCAGGGGAGATGTTATTTCTCTTTTGTCCACTTAAGAAATTCTACCAAACCATCAAACCTCAAATTAAATGCCACAGTCTATAAATGTCCCTGATTCCTGAAATAAATGTTTCTTTGACTCTGATTATGTGCCTTTTAATCTCCAATGTGCCTTTTAATCTCTGTTACAGTTCTATATCTTACATTGATTGACATTCTATGTGTATGTGGCATATGTATCCTCTTTATTAAATTATGAGCTCACAGAAGACAGGAAATGCATATTATTAATCTTTATGGCCCCCTAAAGTATGTGTTTGACTTTGGAAAACAGATACTTTAAATGCTTTTGTGTTTTTGTATATTTATACCTGTTTTAGTTCATTTTCTGCTGCTATAGCAGAATGCTACAGCCTGGGTAATTTATAAAAGAAATGTATTTGGCTCATGGTTCTGAAAGCTGGTAAGTCCAAGAATATGGCCCAGACATCTGGGGAGGGCCTCATCTCATGGTGGAAAGGCGATAACTAACCTACTCCCATGATAATGACATTAATCCCTTTATAAGGGCAGAGCCCTCATGGCCTAATAAGTTCCTGAAGGCCTCATCTCCTAATACGATGGGAATTAAGTTTCCAGCACATTAACTTTAGGGGACACATTCAAGCCATAGCAACACCTTTCATTGTCTTTATTGATATGCAGGGAAGTTTATCATAACAGTTAAAATTTTTCCTCATTTGGTATTTTCATAAGACCTAAGAACTAATGGAATCTAAGAAATAGAAAATATTTTAATGGTGGTTAGTATTAAGGGTTTAATACTTAAACAGAATTATTAATAGCAGCATTTTAAAATTGATCAAATCTTAGTGAAGTTCCATGAAAAACTAAAGCTTCATTCATTTCACCTAGATGTATGTTAAATGAATGAAAAGTCTACAGGTAGCATAAATGCTGACATATCCAAATATTACAGTTTCATTTTCATGAAGAAAGTATAACTACCAAGTAAATTTTGTCATTATAAATACTACTGGCCTCAAATGAATTAAATGTTTTTATTATAATAGTATTTGTTAACTAATCAAAATAATACCACTATAATATTCTAAAACAGTTTGATCTTAGACTAGTGAAAAAGACCACTTGAAATGGGTTCTTTTGATTTATGTGCAAAGAATATACAACATTGACATATTTTATCTTAGGTCTACTTAGCAATGTGATTTTTAGTCATGTCAATGAAAAAATATTTCTAAAAATAGCTACAAAGTTTGTATCATAATATTAATATTCAAACTTCTCTGTATTGATGTACATTTTAACCCATAGATTTATACAGAACTTTATACAATTAATTTCATATTTAGCATGTAAAACTTCTTATGATTGTAAGTAGTTAATATTTATTTGTATTTTTATCAAGCCATGGAGTCTGTTTTCAAACAGTATTATTTTCTGAAAATTTCTAAATAATGCTACAATTTCTATCCATGTTATAATGAGAGGGTTTTTGTTGTTGTTTTTCATTTTTTTTGTTTGTTGGTTGGTTCGTTAGTTTGAGACAGGGTCTCGCTCTGTCACCTAGGTTGGCGTGCAGTGGTGTCATCTTGGCTCACTGCAACTTTTGCCTTCCTACAGGCATGCATCACCACACCTGGCTAATTTTTGTATTTTTTGTAGAGAATAGGTTTTGCCATGTTGTCCAGGCCAGTCTTGAGCTCTTGGATTCAAGAGATCTACCTGCCTCAGCCTCCCAAAGTGCTGGGATTACAGGTGTGAGCACCACGCCTGGATAACATTATTATGATCTGTTTTGTAAAGCTTATTCTCTTTTGCCCTTATTGCAAGAAGATTAGCAAGTTTCTTATTAGATATTCACTATGAAATAGGCTTGGTAAAATTTTCATAAATTGTGAGTTACTGAGCTTTGAATAAATATGCTTATTTATATGTGTCATTTCCCCATAGCAAATTATCACAGTGAACAATGAAACCAAAGCTATAATTAAGTTGATAGAAAATGACTGTTATATTCTGCAACAGCATTATAGGTCTTGAAGGTGACTGGTTTATAAACACAAGCTTAAAACGTAAAGAAACAACACATGGAACATATGAACCAGCCTGAGGAAAGCCAAAGTATTTAATTCCTCCTGTAACATTAATTTCATGTTGTAAAGCTCAAAAATAAGTTTTGGAAAGCTCAAACTTGTTTTGTTTATTTGTGTGTTTTCCCATTTTCTCATAAGGTTGGCTATATAACAGGTACTATTTATTACAAATTATTATTATATTACACATGTACTAGGTGTTATATATTTCATGCAGGGTAGATACTTACTGAATTCAACTGGCTGTTAATAATAGAAACTTTCTGTTGAAAATTCTAGCAAAGTGCATAAAGAAGACCAGCAAAAAAAAAAAAAATTTATATTCTGACATCGGGATGGGGCTTGTGGGTTCAAACAAGAAGAAGAAGAAAGTATTAAATCAGTATAAATCCATCAGACCTTCCATATACATGAATAAGATAGACACTGAATGGACACTGGAGATGCAGGTGGGTCTGTGTTGCTGAGATTCAAGATCATGAGTTTAATTAAATAATTAATTAAATTGCTGTTGTTATTGTTGCTATCATTGTTTAACTATTCTAGTTGGATTTTAGATATAAACATATAATCAATGTAGGTATCCAAAATACATAGGTTTTTGAGCTTATGGCATGAGAAGATAATAGGGGGAGTACAAAGAAGGAAACTAGAGGAGTATTATCTTTTACCCTGCAAACTGTGGAAAAGAAACATAAAAGGGAAACTCATACAGCAGACCACTGATTCCTATTTCAGGGGAATATCTTGTGGCTGGACAAGAGTTGTACCTAAGGAACAGGGATGGATTTTCTGATGTTTATATTAAAAGCCACTAGAAGACAGGACTTTCTGATAGAATTCACCTTGCCATGATATTGTCAACTCTCAGTCAAAGGTAAGAAGAGGTATTTTTAGACAATACCCCTATCCATCATCCTCAATCTGTCTACACCACCAGCAAAACCAGTCGCACACGGAGGCTGTAGACCCTTCCTTTTACTGGCCATCCAGGTCCTGGAAGAGAAGGAGTACTAATACGCATTTTGGATTTTCCAAACTTTTAATGCAGTATCTGCAGGAGACACTTCAGATGGAAAAATACAAATAGTTTAAAAGTAAAAGGCTGGAGAAAGGTATATTATGCGAACAGCAACTACAGGAAAGCTGGAGTTGCTATACTGATATGAGAAAAAATAGACATGAAAACAACAACAGAAGAAGTTACTAGAGATAAAGAGGGATACTTTATAATGATAAAAGGGTCATCTCATCAGGAGGCTATAACAAGTGGAAAATATACTCACCTAACAGAGCCTTCAAATACATGAATCGAAAACGGAAAGAATTGAAAAAAGGAAAAGATAATTCAAAAACAATAATTGGACATGGCAATACTCTATTTTTAATAATTGATAGAACTAAGCAGAAGATGAACAGGGAAATGGGGGACCTGAACAAACCTATAAACCACCTAGACTTAGCAGACATCTACTGAACACTTCACCCAACACAGCAGAATGAAAATTCTTCTCAAGTGCACATGGAAATCTCCAGGATACATCATGTCTTGTGGCATAAAACAGAATCCAATAAATATAAAATGTTGGAAGTCATACAAGTATGTTCTCTGATCATACTCAAAAATTAACTCCAAATGGATCATAGACCTAAAAAATAAAAGCTAACAATTTAAAGTTCGTAGAAGAAAACATAGATGTAAATTTTTGCAATCTTGGATGAAGCAATGGTTTCTCAGTTATGACTCCAAAAGTCCAAGTAATAAAATAAAAAAAAGATACATTTGATTTCATCAAAATTAAAAACTTTTGTACTTCAAAGGGCACTATCAATAAATCTAAAAGACAACCCAAAGAGTGGAAGAAAACATTTGCAAATCATGTAACTGATTTTTTTTAAAACTTTTATCTAGGATCCAAAAAGAACTCTTATAACTCAGTAACACAAGATAAATAACCCAACAAAAATTAATCAAATGATCTGAATAGAAACTTTTTTCAAATAAGATATACAAATGGCCAATAAATTCTTGAAGAGCAATTCAACATCACCAGCAATCACTGAGATAAAAATCAAAACCTAAATAAGATACCACTTCACACCAATTAGGATGCCTATAACCAAAAAGACAGATAATAACAAGTATCAAGGAGAATGTGAAGAGATGGGGACCCTTGCACATTGCTAGTAGAAGTGTAAAATACAGTTCTGCAGTTCCTGAAATAGTCAGAGTTTCCATTTGACTCAGCAATTCCACTCCTAGGTATACACCTAAGAGAAATTAAAACATATGTTCACACAAAAACCTGTTCTTGGATATTCACAGAAGCATTATCCATAGTAGCCCAAAAAGGTGAACAACCCCAATGTCCATCAACTGGTGAATGGATAAAAAATATGTGGCATAGTCATACCATGCAATATTATTTGGCAATAAAAATGACTGCAACACTGATATATACTATAACATTGATGGACCTTGGAAACATCAAGGAGTCAGTCACAAAGGACCACACATACTGTATCATCCAATTTATGTAAATTGTTCAAGACAGGCAAGTCTCTAGAAACAGAAAGTAGATTAGTAGGTGCCTAGGATTGGGGGTATTAAAAGGAAATGGGGAGTGGCTGCTAATAGATATCAGGCTTTCTTACGGACAGAGAAAAATGTTCCAAAAGCGTTTATGGTGATGGTTGCCTAACTCTGTGAATAGAACTGAACAAAACATTAACAGGGAAAGAGGAGACTTGAGCAAACCTGTAAACTAACTAAACTCAGCAAAGATCTACAGAACACCTCACCCAACACAGCAGAATGAAAATTCTTCTCAAGTGCAGGAGACATTCTCCATTCTCCATGGAACATTAGAACTTACTTTTTAAAAGAGTGAATTGAATGATAGATGCATTAGTCCATTTTCACGCTGCTGATAAAGACATATACGAGGCTGCGAAGAAAAATAGGTTTAATGGACTCACAGGTCCACGTGGCTGGGGAGGCCTCACAGTCATGGTGGAAGGCAAAAGGCACTTCTTACATGGAGTATGAGGAATGAGAGAGAATGAGGAAAAAGCAAAAGCAGAAACCCCTTATAAAACCATAAGATCTCGTGAGACTTATTCACTACCACATGAACAGTAAGGGAGAAATCAGCCCCACGATTCAATTATCTCCCACTGGGTCTCTCACACAACCCATGGGAATTATGGGAGTATAAATCAAGATAAGATTTGGGTGAGGACACAGAGCCAAACCATATCAATAGGTGAATTATATAACAGTAAAGATGGTATACAAAAGTTTTTATTGACAACAAAGCATAGATTATTGACAAGCATATGACAAAGTTTGCTGAACTATTGCGTATTGCATTAAAAAAAAACCTTAAATTAAACGTACAACAGAATTATGTTGAATTTTCTTTTCATGCGGAGTGTGTCCACCTGATTCGTAGACCTCTCTCTCTCTTCCCAGTCCAGGAATAGACAGGGATATTTAAAACAAAACGTAGGTCTGCCAATCAAGCAAATACATTCACAAGTAGCACTTCCAACTTCATTTTATCATTTCACCTTTTCCTTTTTATACATATGGATTTTGGAGAATTTAATATAAATGTAGGGTTTTTTGTATTTTTAATCTCTTCAGAACTTAACCATACTTGGGAGAAAGAGACTGAGCAAAAGTGAGTGTGAGGGAAAGAGCAAGAGCAATTTATATGAACTATAAATAACCATATCAATAAATGAAGAGGCAAATATGTGATGAAAATAGAAGTAGGTGAGGACACAAATAAGTAAATAATGTGATCCTCATTACAAGGTTATCTAAAATATATGTCACTGCTGAAGACAAAAAGCATTCACATTAATAAAAATGTGAAATGCAGTATACTTGAAATTGTGGTTTGCACAAAATCACACATTTTGAGTATGAAAACAACAATGCATATAGGTGTGGTGTCCTTGTGCTACTTAGAATGATGATTCTGTAACTTTTGGTAGACTTAAGCAGAGATCTGTGATGTAAGAAGTGTAAGCAAGTGAGGACACACAGCCAGAGCTATATAAAGAAACATACTGTGATATCTTCAGAATGTTCTTATCTTTAAATCATTCACTCTAGGGAGTGCCGGGATTTTAAGCCCTGTAAATATCTTCTGTTTTCTCTCCCAATTCCCTCCTCTTAAAGAAATCCTTGTTTTCCTTTTTAGGGTAAACCATCCATCTGTGCCTTTTCACCTCTTTTTAAAATTTGTTTTCAATTTATCACCAAATATAAAGGACATCCCATCTATCTGCTAAAGGACTCCTGCTCAAATATGCTCAATTCTAAATGATTTATTTCACCCTTTTCACTCCAGGGTGCTTCCATGGTACGCTGCACTTCCCCACATCACTGCCAGCTCCTCCAAAGGGCCCTCTCTTTGTGAGTCCTAAACCTCCTCAGCACACCATCCCTTGCAATCTGGCTTCCATTTGTTTATTTGCATCATAGTAGCGCAGCCCAAAGGCTTTTGTTTTTATATCCATCCATCCATCCACCTGAAAAAGATTTATTGTTAGATGCCTGTTAAGATTTATGAATATGCAAAGGAATAAGGCAAGCTCTTTGCTTTCAAGGGGATATTTGTTGGTAGAAACAGACATGAAATAAAAGGTATATCCCTATCCTTCTTGAATTCTCCCTTCAGGTCATACGGTAACCAATGCTGATTTTCTTCTATGCTGTCTTCTCTGGTATATGATGGCATCGGAGGGACATCAACAAGCATTTTCTGACTAGGTCAAGTGCATTAATCTTAGGGGAACATCTTGAGGAGAGGTAAGCTTGCTCCCGTTCAGTTAGACACACGGAGGGGCTGTGATCCAGAATAACTCTGCCCACCTGCTGCTCTTCCTTTTTAAGGGATTGGGGGACATCAAAGTGGGAAAAGAGAGCCAAGTTCTCTCTGAGTGCCAAAAAACTTTTGCTCAGGGCCACATGTTTACAGGAGTTTCTGGGGACAGCACCTGGCCAGGAATTGGAGACACTGGAGGAAGTAGGGTCTGCACATAGCTGCTCCTATTGGAAGGGGGTTTGTGGAGGTTGAGTCCCAGTCCCAAAGACCTCCTAACCAGGGAGCATGGACTACTTGGTGGTGAGTGGCAGATTGTAGAGTTGGAGTTGCCTGTGTCTTAACACATGAAATCAGAATTGGTCTTAAAAATCCAGTTGAGGCCGGGCGCGGTGGCTCACGCCTGTAATCCCAGCACTTTGGGAGGCCGAGGCGGGCGGATCACGAGGTCAGGAGATCGAGACCATCCTGGCTAACACGGTGAAACCCCGTCTCTACTAAAAATACAAAAAATTAGCCGGGCGTGGTAGCGGGCGCCTGTAGTCCCAGCTACTCGGGAGGCTGAGGCAGGAGAATGACGTGAACCCGGGAGGCGGAGCTTGCAGTGAGCCGAGATCGCGCCACTGCACTCCAGCCTGGGCGACAGAGCGAGACTCCGTCTCAAAAAAAAAAAAAAAAAAAAAAAAATCCAGTTGAGCAAATATGAGACTTCCAGTGTGAGGGTGAAAAGATCCAACTATGTTCTTGCAGTGTGAGAATGCTGAGGACTTATAAAACATGAGAGCCTGACTACTGAAAGTCACACTGGATTATTTTCTTTCTGTTTCCCATAAAGTGGGCAAGCTCTTACAGATGCATACTCCCATGACAACCTGTAACTTTTGTAATGTTGACCATGAGTAAATACTTTATAGCTCTAATTCCTCAGCTTAACCTGATGTCTTGAAGATAGTAGGCTCTGAATAAATATCTACCAAATAAATAAATGATTTGTAATCACTTCATTGAATAAGCCTTTTTCATTAGAGCATAAGTAATATGAAGCAGGGTGTAATGTTTACCCTGGACTCCCAATGTTAACACAATGGCTGGCACATAAACAACAGGCACTCAATAAACACCTTTAAGCAAATTAATGATTACATGACTAGTTCTAATTCGTCAGATTCTGCCTCAGCAGCATTTCTGGCAACTGTGTCATCTTTTTTCCAAACTTAGGGCATCATGATCTTTTGCTCATACTTCTTAGGTGGGACGCCCCATGCTCTACACACCTGAAAGCTATTTTATAAACTTTGGCCAAATGAATCTTCCACAAGTACAATTCCATTTATGTTCCTTTACTACTTACAAATATTAATCACTTCCCATTGGCCACGGAGCAAGGTCTAGATTTAAATGACTTAAAGAATATATTAATTGTGCTCTGCCACTACATTCCCATAAGATGAATCTGCTGTCTCCAGCTGGAAATTCTCTCTCTCTCTCTCTCTCTCTCTCTCTCTCTCTGGAAACTGTCTCTCTCTCTCTCTCTCTCTGGAAACTCTCTCTCTTTCACACACACACACACAGCACACACACTTCTTTCTCTTCCTTCCTCTTTTTCTCCTCTTTCTTCTCTCATATTTTATAATCTGTACCTTGTAGTAGCGCTTGCCACTATCTATTTTTTAGGCTTTCTGATGTGCAGTTATTTGCTCATAAAGTTGTCTAAATTGGGTCTGGCATATTATCAGTTTCTTCTCCAACGATGTATTCATCCACAAGGAATCTGGAAGCCAAATCCTGAAGACAAAGATTACAGACTTCTTGCTTCAGACACTGCTTTTCTTTTTCATTACCCAGCCCATTTCTTGTGACCCAGGAGGTAGAACCCCAAGTACCCTTCTTTCTGCAGGAAGAAGTTCTGCTCCTATGCTCTTATTCATAAGCTCCTTGGCGGTTGACTGTTTATTGTCTATATCATTTGTATACTCTACAGTGCCACAGATAGTATTCTGCATAAGGTAAGAGATCAATAAATAAATGTTTCATGAATGATGCATTCTGTGGTGTTTTGTGAATGCAAGAATTTCCTGTTCTTCCAAAGAAATTTTATAGTCAGCTGGACTCGTTGCTAACCATATATTTTCACGAGCATGACTATCTCCAATTGCCTGAATTGCACTCATATTTTTAAAATTGAATGCACACACAGATCTGACATTTTCTTAGGATGAAGTACCCCAAACTCTTTTTGTACATCACATAAGCAGACTGAAATTGCCCTCAGCCTTGCTACCGGCAGCTCCTAATCTACCTTGTCAAGGTACTGACATGCAAACTTATTTTTTCAAAACCTTCCAGGCAGAAGCTTATGGTGTTTAGGGAGTCCAAAAGCCTAAATGACAATTTCCAAATGAATATTGGGAGAGTTAATCTATTTCCTCTTATCTGCTATGTAAATCTTTCCTTTGTGCTTAAATGCTTCACATTTTAATGAAAAATACATGTTTCCCAGTCCTCACTAAATTGATATTTCTGTCACAGTGCCTGCTGCTTACAGCGATTTTCCAGTTCTAGTCTGTGGCTTAATAACCACAGGAGACACTGATTTGGCAAAATATGATGTTATTTCATGATCTAGTCCATAATCCATATTAGAAACCCGGCAGCAAAATGCCCCTGCCATGTATTTATTCCAGGTATTGGCAAACATCATCCGGCACTACCTGCATTCTCATATATGTGGACAAAATGCATAGCAATTAATTCTGCATACTCCCTCCCTTAGAATTTTATCCAACTAGAAACACAAGCACGAATTCCAGTCATAATATGCGCATGTGCATCCATCACTGCCTATGCCCTTCAGGAAAAATTGGTCTCTAGAGCTGAAAACAAATGTTTCCTTAAGGACTGAAAGTATTTCAGTGCTTAAGTATTATTTTTTACTTGTTTATTTGTAGTTTTGTTGACATAGTTTACCATATTTTGCTTTATTACAACAATATTTAAAAGAAAGAGAATTGTCTACCTGATTTGCTGAGGACTTATACCCCAATACCTTTCAACTACTGAAATACCAATGTGCTCAAATGTTTACAATTATGCACGTACAGCGACTTAGCATCAGTAATGATTCCTACAGTTATATGTCTTTTAGGCAGAAATCTAAAAGTCATGCTACTGTAATGTCATGCTGAGATGACGCACCCTTTGAGATGACGCGTGAGGGCTCTAAGGCCATGTCGAGATTACGCGCCCTTTGAGATGATGCATGAGGAGGACATTTCTTCTCTGCAGAATTCTTTCCAAAAACCCATAACCTTAGTCTATTACGGAGAAAAATATAGACAAAGCTAGAGTCAGAGACATTTTGCAGGATGGCTGGGGAGCACTCTTCAAACTGTCAAGTCATGAAAAGTAAAGAAATACTGAGAAACTGTCACAGACCAGAGGAGACTGGGGAGATATGACAACTAAATGCAATGTGGTACTCTGGATGAGATCCAATGACAGAAAGAGTACATAATAGGGTGACTAGTGTAATCCAAATGATGTCATACCATTAATTATGTTAACAACAAAGTAAGATTTTAAGCGAATCACTGAATGTATTTGTAAAATACTGTCATTGTTATTCTTCCTTAAACCTTTAAACAACTTATCTGTATTATATAATAATTAACATTTACATTCAAACATATTTTAGAAGGACTATGTGAATTAATTGGCCATGGCACAATATAATCCCCAAAATAACTTTAAAATTACAACAGATGTGGACAATGGTGATATACAAATGTATTTCCTTTTGTCATACCTTCTATGCTCTCCTGTGAACATAAAATTAATCACAACTATGTCTCTCTCTTAGAAAATGTATATGTGTATCATTGAGAAGCATGCATCCTTAGAAAGCTAGCTCACTTTTTACTTAATAAAAAGCCTCTTGTTATAAAAGTGGCAGAGTAGATAGGAAATAGGGTCATCATACTGACCTTCTGCAGCAAAAACAATAAAGCCCAGTTTGACTTCCATTCCTTTTTAAGAAAATGCACTTGTGTGGTGGAGCTACACCATCCCTCCAACCCAAGCTGTTGCCTGATGTCATGCAAAAGTATTTTTTTTTTTTTTGAGACAGAGTCTGGCCCTGTCTCCCAGGCTTGAGAAAACCACCTTTTCCACTACTGCTTCTCAAAGCTTGGCCTCTACACTGTCAGCAGCAGCAGCACCTGAGAACTTTTTAGAAATGGAAATGTAAGACTTACTGAATCAGAAATCCTGGAGAGTGAGGTACAGGAATCTATGGCCTAATGAGCCTACAGAGGATTCCACTACACACCCCAAAATGAGAACTACTGCTTTATCATATAAGCAGGTTAATGTGTTACAGCACAGAAGTAGTCAGCCATGTAAAATCTCAGCATTGCAGTTGATAAATCATGAATACTGTAAAAGTGCTGAGATCCTTCTTTTTATAACCTACTTCACGTTTCTTTTTATTCTAGCACTAACGTGATTGAAAATCCTCCAAATTTTGGCACTAGAGTTAAAGGGATAAGTTGAATTAGCATTCTGGAAAGATATGAAGATTTAGGAAAATCGTTAAATATAAAAAGAACAAGGAAAAATTTAGCTTAAAAGATGAACCCAAAGATTGAAATGGTCAGTTAAGCTGCTATAGTTAAACCAAAAATTCATGGGGTGTGAGTATTAATTCATTTTTCTGAGAAAGTCTGCTCTTCCTTCAGTTGGGTTTCAATAATGTGTTTGCCAGTAGCCATAAAAAATAATCGGGTACTGCTGAGGTCTGCTGAGAATGAGAATCTCTGTAAATGTGCTTGGACACGGCTGACCATGGGAAATGCTGTTGTCAAAAGCATTTGTTTAGTTTTACTGTAACAGTTCAATTTACCCTAATTTCCTCATCAGTATCTACCTCTTTCCACTATTTAGAATAGTCAGTTACCCTCCTCATTTGTCTGGCAAACCCCTGCCTTTCAGGCCTAGTGTGGCTGCTACTTCTCTGCGGAGTTCTTCTTCAACAGAGAACTCTAATTCAATTAAAAGCTCCATCTTACTGTGGTCACTGAACTGTTGAGTTCAAGACCCTCACCCTTGCTCACACTACCATCCTCTCTCACCTGGGTAAGTCCAATAATCCCCCATTTTACCTGCCAGGAGCCCCTCTGCCCCTGGCTGACATTTGTTCTCCGTGCAAAATCATGCCAACTCCACAATTTCCCAGTTTTCTTAGGTTGAAGGCACATCTCTTCACCACGGCCAAGAACCCATGTCTGGATTTGCCTCTGCGTACCCCTCCAGGCTCACCTCTGCCAAGGTCCTCTGTGCTCTGGTCTCACTGGCTTTGGTCAGTAACCCCCGTGGCCTCCGCTCCCACTCCAGAAGGCCTTGGTACTCTCCCTTCTCCAACTTATGCCCTACAAATCTTTCAAAGGTTAATTCTTCAAAGAGGCCTTCTGTGACCTTCCAGAGAGCTTTCATGCTCCTCTCTTGACACAATTTTATATATGTTCGTGTGACAAGTACATACAGATTTTGGAGCCTGACAGCCTGAGTTTGAGTATTGGTTATGCTGCTTACTAGCTGTGTGATACTGGGCAAGTGATTTAACCTGCTTGCTTTCAGTGCTCTCATCTGCACAATGCGGATAATAGTAATGCTTACTGCATAAGGCTGTTGGGAGAAATCAATGATTTAATACATGTAAAGTGTTTCTTGTAGTGCTGGCATCTAGAAAATTTTCAATATTACCATTGCTGTTATTATTATTATTATTATTATTATTATTGGTCCCCATCATTCCTTAAAGGCAAAGGCTGTTCCTGTTTTCCTTATCCTGTGTACCAGCTCATGGTATATGGATGGCTTTCAATAAATGTTTGTTGAATAAACAAATGAATATTTCCATATTATATTGACCACATATTAAAATAAGTGTGGTAAGCACATAATTCCATCCATCTGCTTTCCACTAAATTGTCTGATTGTTAATATAGGGACCATATCACTAAATTGTCTGATTGTTAATATAGGGACCATATCACTAAATTGTCTGATTGTTAATATAGGGACCCCTAGATATATTTGTTTTGACTCTAGTGCCTAACATAGCCCCTGCAAAAAGTATTTGTGGAAGGAGGAAATTAATGAGAAAAAAAACTATGAATAGATGAATTTCCCTAAAGCTATTTTCTCCCCTAATTTTCTTAGCTACCTGCATTTTGGATGATGCGTGGTTGGATTAAGGCTGTAATGGAATTCTTTCTTCATCAATACAAAGCCTGGGGAAATGGTCCTCAGATTGGAGAACACAAAATCAAGGGAAGAACAGAAGTCATGAGTCTGATAGTCTAGACAGGAAATTCTGGCCTGTACTAATCCAGATTGAGGAATTTGAATAACTGATTCAGACAGAAAATCATTGGTCTCTCAGCTCCATTATGCATGTGTAGAAGATTCCCCCATTCTGTCTATACAAATACAGGTAATCACAAAATTCCAGGTAAAGAAGCCAGAACTGCAAGTGCAGCTTGTTTTTGATGAGAATCCTGACGAGCATGCAGGTGCACGTGGTGTTCAGTGAGTATGGACTGGGCTCTTCCATCGCTGCGTAGTCATAAATCATGTTTGCTTTGCACCACTGCTCTTACGAGTTTCAGTTTGCCACTTCACTGGCCAATGTCAGATGTGTGAAAGTAGAAGACAAAGTACTAAAATGCTTTCCACCTTTCCCGAATACTAGGACATGATCCCAAACCACGAATCTAGTAGCTACAATGCTTTTGTTGTTGTTTAGTTACTTGTTAGTTTATATTCCAATAGTATTTTGGATATTTAGAAAGGAAAGGCAACACTACTAATAATAAACCAGCTTCATAAAAATAAAACACAGTTATCAGTTCTTAAAACAATATAAAGTAAACAAAATTTGGAATGCGTTATAGTTACTAACAAGCTTTGGCTTTGTTTTTTTTATGTGATAGGTGATCTAAAATCTACCTTCCAAAATTCCCTCAGCTGCAAAGTGAGAATGTTGGTCTGCTTTGGATGTCCGAGTAAAGGGTATTTTAACTAAAATATCTTGTGTCTCTATATAATTTTCTTCTCTAACCTAACCTAAATGAATAATGCTATTTGATTGGTGAAATGACATTTTTCATATCAAATGTCATGTGACATCAGAAAAAAAGTTGATGCTCATTCACTTTTAAAGAACGGATGCATAATCTGTCATCAGAATCTTCTGTCCTTAATCTGATCTCTTGTCTCAATCCATAATTAGGCCTCAATCCTTATGCATCATGATAGAAAAAGCACTTCACAGAGAGCATTCGCTCAATAACTGCTGGAAATATTATTTCATAATAAAAGTGGGGAAGATATGGAAAATAAATAAATTCCTGTACTTGTAGAACATAATCAACTCCACATATCACTAATATAAAGTTCTTCACCCATGAAAATCTGTGAAAAGAGGAGAAACTTCATAAACCTTTTAATAAGCAGTTATCACAAAGGCCAATAATGTATCCATATTTTGACTATAACTAGTACTATTTCTTGTTTGTTTGTTTGTTTTTGTGAGGCAGTCTCGCTCTGTCACCCAGGCTGGAGTGCAATGGCAACATCTCGGCTCACTGCAACCTCCACCTCCTGGGTTCAAGTGATTCTCCTGCCTCAGCCTCCCAAGTAGCTAGGATTACAGGCTCCCGCCACTGCGCCCAGCTAATTTCTGCATTTTTAGTAGAGATGGGGTTTCACCATGTTGGTCAGGCTGGCCTCAATCTCTTGACCTCGTGACCTGCCCACCTCTGCCTCCCAAAGTGCTGGGATTACAGGCGTGAGCCACCATGCCCAGCCTTATAACGAGTACTATTTCTTAAAGAGTAAAACTATCCAGCTGATGGTCTTTTAAAGGGAGCCACATTACTGAAGCCTGGAGAAGAATATCTTAGACTGAGGAAAAGCAGAGAAAGAGACGGAACATTCATTTGAGATCCCTGAAAAGTGGTCTTTCTGAGTTAGTCCATTTCTGTGTAGGTGCCAGAACATAGGTGCATGTATTTGTGTGTGTGTGCATGTGCACGTGTGTGTGTGTGTGTGTGTAGTTCCTACCAGAGTTCAAAGTCACTCAACCAACAACACAAGCTGACAGGGTGTTCCTCAGGAATGCCCACAGTTCAAGAGCTGCCAAGCCCACCCAATAGCATGTGCATGCTTAAAACAGAAGAGAGGGGCATGAAAGAGCGGGAAAAGGCATCATGTATAACAGTCCAGTATGAAGAGGAAGACGCCAACGGGGCTCCAGGCTGAATGGTGAAGCAGAATGAAAAGTTATTTTTTAGAAAAAGAGGATGCAGCTTATAAACACTTTTCAGTAAGTTTAGCAGACTCCTTTTAGCATTACAGTGGGTGATGTCAGAGTGAAATGTGCCTGCATAAAACATACATAAGACCAGTGGAGAAGACCACAGTCAACTCACAAAGAGAACTTTTCCTTCTGAAGAGGAGGCAGGATTTGGATTCAGAAACATTTCAATTAAATATTCTGCTTCACTTCCTTGTTTACATGACCTTGGGGAAACTAATCGAACTCTCTTAGCCTCAGTTTTCTCATTGGAACGAGAGGCATCATTGGCCTCAAAGGACTGCTGGGAAAAGATATGGAGTGAATTGTGCACCCTGCCTGACACAGGGTAGGTCTTAGTTTATGAGAAAAGCAAGTCCTTATACAAGTGGTAGAAAATTATGAGAGGAGAGAAAGCAAGTTACCATGTTGAGTGAAATCAGCATGCCTTCGACTACTGGTCCATGTACATTCATTTATTTACAAGATTTAGCACCTACTATGTTTAGGTTTCCAAGCTGTATGCTGAACACAGTCTCTTGCATTAGGATTTATGACTACAGACTCCTAAAACTACAAATATTGTAATATACTTGTTTTAACCAATCAAATCAATATTATTTGAGTCATCTTAGAAACGCAAAAATAAACATTTATGGAGTGTCTGTTAAACATTAAGGCATTTTCTTAAGCTGATACTCCTTGTAGTCTTCTCAACTAAACTTGCAGATTTACTTAGCGTGTTTCTTTTCTCTTTTTCTTTTCAACTAGATTATGGTTCATCTGACCTGAAAGATCTGAAGGATTCCTCGTTAATTCATTATGTCTTTCCTTCAGGTCATTCCAACCAGGTACGCAGGAAAAGCATCTGTCAGAGTCAGACGGCTTGTTGCAGGATTGCTACAAACAGACCCTCTCCTTGGAGCTAAATCCAGTGCTTCCCACAAACATCCCAACATGGGTCTGGCCATCGGGCAGTGTTAGAATCCAGCCAACCAAACCCACCTTCCCGGGTCAGCAGGCACCAGCCACCTCTAGATCAATTTCGTTCCGTCTGCTTTTAAATAATCGCTGTTCATTTTTGTTTGTTTTTATATTTGTTTGTTAATATAGATATAATCTTTGCCCCACAAATCAATAATCTAGTTTTATTCCACGAACATTTTATTAAAAACACTCTGCTTTATTTTCCACCTAAAAATGAGATACATCAAATGTTTCTTTGTCAATGTAGTACTGAATTGAAAAACAGTGGTATTATAATTACTGGTTACAATTTTAAGAAAATTTAAGTTGGGTAAATTTTGGAAAGGGCGATTAAAAACATGTCTTCTAGCACAAAAATGAGAAGAAAAACTCTTCTGGGAATATTATACTCTTGTATTTTTATTTGTACAAAACTGCAGCCGTCAGCGGTAGGAAGCGTTTTGTCCCTCAGTCAGAACCTACTTCTACCCTGAAGCTGGCTGTGCCAATGTATACTCACAGGTGACAGGGATCTCACAGTTAGAGTAAACCAAAGGGACTTGTGAGTTCGATTTCACATTATTTCTCATTTGGGCAGTTTTCAGCTTAAAGTGCCGGTAACACTTTTATTAAGCCATGCAATCTTATCTTTCTTTTTGAAAAAAAATTTTACGAGTAATTTGAGTGAAGGTCCCTTTTAGTAGCACTGACATTCCAAATTTTTGTTATTGTTATCTGGCCCATATCCACGTTACTGCGTGTGGTTCTAATCTGCAGTGACTACAGTAAAGTGCATAAACCACGTCACAGAAGCACAGAAAAGGCTTCAGGTCAGGCCCTGCACGGCAGCTGCAACTGCATTCATACATCAGTGTGTGCTTCTAGAACTCATCTCATTTAATTTGATTAAATCAAATCACTCAGAAAATAGAGTGCTTTTTGTAGTTGAGCCACTGACTTGTTTTTTTTTTTTTTTCTTTCAAAGAGAAGAACACTGTGAGGAAATTCAGAATAGGTAGAGAGTCATATTAAATTCTATCTATCTATCTATCTATCTATCTATATCTATATCTATACACACACACACACACACACACACACACACACACACACACAAATCTCCCACAGCAACAAACATGATTTTTATTTTAACTATATTCCAATGCAGTATCTCTTTTCAGAGAAGATATATTTCTGCTTGGAGAAGCAAATAAAACAATAATGGCTTAACAATTTGTTCACCTTCTCAAAACCTACAAAAAACAGATGTGGATTTGTATTTTCACTTGATAACTAATACCTCAATCTATACAAATAAAAACATGGTTTCAGATCAGCTTGGGGGGACAGTACCAATTTCACCATTTTGGTTATACATGAATCATTACCTGGACAAGGACATTTCTCTTTAAGCTATTAGATTATGTGCACTGTTTTATTTTTTCTGACCCAAAGTTCAATAAAACCTGTATCCATTGTCTATCTTAGAAGAGCTCCAAAAATAGCCTATCATGAACATGCCCCCTCTTCTCTGCATTTCATATTATAGCTAGCCAAATGAGCAAAAGTAGACAAGCAAAGGTCAGAAAGAAAGGCATATGAAATACCAGAGAGATCACCCATTATTTCTACAAAGCAATGTGAAGAAAGCACTTTGGAGGATGTGAGAATGACATGGATGTGAAATAAGTATACCCCTACATCCAGCTTCCATATTTGTTCTACACTATACCTAGGAAACACCAATATTGAGCAGTAACGAATAAAGTTTCTAACTGCATTGGTCAGTCAAAGCCTGTGACTCTGATCACATATACCACAGACACCATAATAACTATGTGCATGCCTCAGAAATTTTCTAGACCGAAAATACTGTGGAGAACCTGACATTTAAATGTTGACATAAATATACTCCCACAATAGAAATGAAATAACTTTTGGATCTCATGATTTTTTTTCCAGTGGTGAAATAAAATCAGATCTTCAAATTCTTTCAGACAAAGGCACTGATATTTAAGGGCCATGTTATGAAGAGAACCTCCTTTTTGCATTTTAATATTATTATAATTAATAATAATTAAATTTAAGACAACTGTATTAACTGCAAATCTAAGTATTATTGTTGCTTCAGAACAATTTATGAAAAAAAGATCATGAGTTTACTCGTGTCTGAAAATTCTGCTGCTCCATAAACACGGATGACAGGTTTACATGGTTTTCCTCATCAGTGAAGTTGGCATTTCTATACTTTTTACAATTACTTATTCACAGCAGTCTATAAGTTTTGTATTGTAATAGGAGGGTACATACGATTTTTTAAATTTCTCTTTATGCACTATCATCTGTACCAAAGATGTATAACACTTCCAATTCATGCACAGTATCACTACGTTGAAAGGATATTGATGTCACATTCGGGCTTAGCAGGAAGTAACAACAAGAAAGTCTGGCAACAGATGCCAACCCTAACTCACAACCCTAACTCGCAGAAGATTACCTTTTTATAACCCAAGAGTGCCATTATTACACCCGGAACCCTCACCAAATAAGTAGGAAAACTACACTGAGAACAATTCGGCCCAGCTGTCTCTGGCCCATTTCCCTTTCTACCGCCTCTTGTGCATTCCAGCAATCTAACTCGATGAATGATCTTCCAGTTGGAAAGATGGGGACTTCACAATGTGCAGACCCAAAGATCTGTCTTCCAAAGGCCAATCACCACTGTATCCTTCGTTCCTTTAAATGTCGTTGTTTATTTGAATATATTAAGAATAATATCAAGGTAATTATCTATGTATAAAATGTATGTTTAATTTTTTAGGAACCATCATACTGTTTTCCACAGTGGCTGTACATTTTACATTCCCACCAACAATGCACAAGGGTTCCAATCGCTCCATATCCCTGCCAACACTTGCTATTTTTTGATTCTGGGACAGCGAACCTAATGGCTGGAAAATGGTAACTCACTGTGGTTTGGATTTGGGTTTCCCTGATGATTAGAAATATTTCACATCTTTTCATGTCTTTTGGCCATTTGTGTATCTTTGCTGGAGAAATATCTATTCAAGCCCTTTGGCCATGTTTTAATCAATTTCGGGGAGCGGGGGGAGGATTCTTGTTGTTGAGTGTTTCCATCCCTCCTCTTTTTCCCTCCAAACACTCTCTCCGTGTGATCTCACCCCTTCCCATATATTTAAGCTCCTTCTGCACCACAGGCCTCCAAAGGGAGGTCAAAGAATGCGATGTGCCACTGACGCATGTGTGTGTGCAGAGATGTCTTCCTTTGCCTTTTGTATTAAACTATGAATGGAATTAAGACTTACTCATATTTAATATGTGGATTAAAATGGTACCTTCACCCCATCCTTATCTCAGATAATCCCATGTCCTACATGAAAAATGAAAGTCCTGGGGGAAATAGGATGTTCCGCAAAGAGCATGGGCTGACAGTGCTGACCTCACTCTGGCTGTGCGGATTAAAGGAGCTCCTTATAACCAGAGTTGTAAAAGATTCCTGCAAAGAAACTGGGACTGAAGAGTGTCCTCAAAATAGAAACACATAAATCAAGAAGAAATCGCAATGCTGACACTTTTCCTACTCTGAATAAGAAATTTTCATTATCCACATTTCAAGGTAAAAACCAAGATAGTTCATCCAGACCTGAAAAACAGACAGTTTAAAAATTCAAATGATCAAGAAGACGATTTGACCTCTGGATTACATTGACTATTGCTAACCATAAACTTTACCGTACATGTATACTGTGCCTTGAGAAACTAAAGAAATCAATAAGATTAAAACTCTTAAAAAGTAAGCCTCGGCACTTAATAAGATTGGCAATTATTCATAACTTAAAGAAATAATATATTAAAATATAGCAGCATTGTATAATAATTTGCAGAGATGGAATGTAGTCATGGCAACATCTTGGGCCCTGCAGAGTTTCGCTGGTTTGGCTTAGGTCAAAGTACAAATAAACTATTTTTCTTAAAAAAAGAAAAAAAAAGACATGTTCTAAAATTACTGAGTAGTGCTGTGATTCAATAGAAAAAAGAGTAAAAAATCTGGAACCAAGCTTGAAATGTAAACATACTCAACGGCACTTCTGAGAAAGGTGATTATATAATGATGAGGTAGAAATGACAGTAACTGATTTCAGGGAAGACATTTAAGCTTTGGAAAGAGTATTTTGTAACAAGATGTTTGCGCGTATTTGCAGCCCCTGGGATTTTGTTGTTGAAAACAATGTATGCCACCTCTCATCTCTGCCCAGACAGAGAACTTTCTAACATATTTCAAAATATTCCAGAGTTTAGCTTCGGTTTAAATTCATTTGATAATAATGCAAAAATTCAACATTCTTTTAGTTTGTAAAGACAGTTAATTTTAAGGAAGATGGGAATTCAAAAATCGCATTTCAATTGTTTGAGGAAAAAAATTTTTCATAATTTGTGGACATCATTAAAATAAAGTCTAATGATTTCATGAAGTCCATATTGTCCTTCCATTTAGAACTACACATTTTGTGATTATCTTTTAAACTATTATATCTGGTACTGAAACCAAAACTGTGACATGAACTGAACCTACAAGTAAATTTTCCAAGCACTTTATCCTAAATATTAAACTAAGATTTTAGAAATAATGATGGATATTCAATCCTATTATTCTACCTTCAAGCTGATAATTAACATGTTATCATTAATATAATATTTATTATATTTAATCCATTCTATTTAAGTAAAAAAGATATTATATATCATTCATAGGCAAAAATGTTTTAAAATATTGCTTACTTCAGCTTTATCTCATCTTATGTAAATATTTTGTATATATACTGAATGTGCATAAATATATACATGCACATTAGTGCTAATGTATTTATATATACATAATATAGCAATAAAATATTCATATTTGGGGTATATAATGAAGATTTGCTAACCCCAGTTGGATCCCACAAGCACCTCAAATCTAATATGTACAAAACTGAACTCCACACCATCACCCTTCAAAAACTTGTTTGTCTGCCTCTCCCGTCTTACGAAATGATACCACCTGCTGCTCACTTGCCTACATTGGAAGGGTCAGGGTCCTTCGCAACTCCTCGTTCTTCCTTTCATTAACATCCATAGAGTCCTGTCCATTGTGGCAGCCAGAAGCCTTTGTCCTCTTCCTTCAACCCTTACAGGCCCCATCTGGTGTGGCTTCTGCTCTCCTCTGTCTCGCTAATTACAAGAATCTCCTAAGTGACCTTCCTTCCTACAGTGCTGCTGTCTCCTGACCCCCAGTTCAAGCCGCAGAAGACTGATCTTTCAAAAACAACAAATCATAGGCTGCATCTTCTTAAGAGCGCTCAGTAGTTTCCCAATGCCCTTGGATACACTCCAATCTCTTCTTCTTCAGCAGCACAGCGCCTGCTGGCATCTGTAGCCTCCCCTCCCTCACACTCTACCATGGAGCTAGTCAGCACTTTTTCCATTCTTCCTGTGGCCCCTGGCCTCTCTGGTGCTCCACGCACATGCCCCATCTCCTAGCTAATGGTACCCGCCCTGCAGTTTTCTGTGCAGAGGGCCCTCGCTAAGTGAAGCCCTCTCAGATGGTCCCTGCGCCTCCTTTAGCATACCACTTTGAACATACGAAGACACGTCTGATGAATAATTTGAACTGCTTCCGGAACAAGAACAAGGTCTACATTGCTCACCAGGGTAGACTTGGTGACTTGCACAGTGTCTTACCTATACCACACCTTTCCTTAATTGATATGTATTGAATACACATATGAATACTACTGGTATGATTTTACACTCGGTTCAAAATAAGCTCTCTGTTGTCCAATGTGCATTCATGGGATGAAAGTCACCTCCTCTTTTCTTTCTCCATCTATAGGATTATTTTTGGAAAACTATTCCTGCTAGCTGTCTTACACTGTTACTTCTAGCTCTTAAAACAGATCTTCTACATTCAAATCTCCCTATCATGAAGTACCAAATATATTTACTTTCTTGGGTGCCATGTTTAAATGTATTTTTTACTCATGTTCAATGATCATCATCCCCCTTCTCAATCCTTTCCATTACAAAGGTGTCAAAAACAAGATACTTGACATACGAAAGCAATGGGGAAACAGATTAAATCATGAGTCAAAAACTTCTCAACCAATTAGTTAAAATGTTGAAAGAAAGGACAAGCTTTCTGACCACCTGTTACCTAAGGCCATGATAATGCTTCTCATGTAAAGGTATTATTCCATAACATCCTTTTACTTTTTTTCTAATAATAGTATTTTAATTTCCAGTATTTTGCATATTATCTTAATTATATTAAAGTACCTTAAAGCTGTTTTTTTAATTTTTAATAATGCCATTCACTAATATATAAATTTGTAAAACTATGGAAACTTTGAGGAAGAAATTTCAAACTTAATATGGTTGGCCCTCCATATCTACAGGTTCTGTACCCATGGATTCAACTGAGGATCGAAAATATAAAAATAATAATGATAGTAATCATAATAATAAATAACAATATGACAATAAGAATTAAACACCAATTTTAAAAATACAGCCTAATTACTAGTTATATAGCATTTGCTTTGTATTCGGTATTATGAGTAATCTAGAGATGATTTAATGTACATGGGAGAACATGCATAGGTTAGATGCAAATACTATGCCATGTTAAATATGGGATGTGAGCATCTACAGATTTTGGTGTCCATGGGGATCCTGGAACCCAATCCCTCTCAAATACCAAGGGACAACTGTGGTCAATTAGACCACTTAGGACAACTGTGGTCAATTAGACCACTTCTGCATTACATTTGAGCCAGAGAGCAAGAGACTGAATTTTTAACGTTTTTTATAACTGCACAGCTCTTACCATCAATGTCAAGAGTATGGGGAAAAAATGAATGAATCATGCCTTTATTTATCAGCCAAGCTGTGAGAGAGTAGTCATCAGAGTACTGGTCCAACAAGGTTGGCAATTAATGATGCAATAAAGGGTAAACAATTAACTAGTGTAATTAAAAAGATTCTGAATCTCATGTCTAAATGTTACCCCAGACAGCTGGATCATTTGCCTGGAGAAAAATTTACTGTGATTTTTTTACAAGAAAAAATAGACTCAATTTTCATTTTCATATTCCCTGTTTAGATGATAAAGAACGTTCTCCAGAAAATATACATTAAGATATTTCAACTCTGCTAAGGTATGGTATGCAATTTAATTTTGAATATTCTGTCAAAACATTGTTCATCTGTAGCATTGCTTTCCTAACTGTGGGACGATAATTTCCTGTGTAACAAATTCCTCAGAAAGGTTCCTAAGGAAACGAGGCAAGAACACCAAACTAATTCCAGGTTTAACATGACAGCAAATGGCACAGAGGAGGGAAGGGAAAGCTCACTCACGGGAGACACGTCATAAATGACAGCCTCTAAAGACTGACTGTGGAATAAGGCAGCTGTCACATATACACTAGCATTAATACTTGCCTTTCTCTTCTGTTTCATCCTTTTGAGAAAATATGCAATCACGTATTGTCCATGATGTTCTAATATAGGGTTAGTTATATTTTTCTTTTGATGTAGCACGATATTTATTTACAAGATGGTTGTAAGGATATAGTGTCTTCAGGGTTAAAAACAGAGGTACCAGGAGCCTAGAAGAGCATGGATTCACACATAAACTGGAACAACAGATTTTTCCTTTCTTTCCTTAGATACCAGAAGATTAAAAAGCCTTACAATGTGTGTACTGTCCTCCATATCTCCCCTTCCCCAAATGGTGGAAGGATCGATTTGCCTCTCTCTTGGCTCCTAACTCTCACAGACAAGGCTCTTACAAGACAGCATGACTTACCTTCACTAATAAAAGAGCCATCAGTCTACCAGCCACTCCTCTGAAAGCAGGAGGAATAAACCTCCTTTTAGGGACTGCCCCTTTCCTCAGCTGGTCCTGTCCTGAGAATGAGGAAGTGAGGGCTTTTGTCACTTGAGGCTTTTTTGTCACCTATTATGAGGCAATAGAAAATACAAAACTACACAGTTAGGTATTCAAGTGAGCTTAGGGGCAGGCACAAGACCCACACACACACCGGTGACTCAGGGCTTAGTTAGTTAATAACCACATTTCTGAAGTATATTAATAATAATATTCAAGCAATAGTGACAGGAAATGTGTGAAGTGACAATATTAACTCAAAGAGCTAGCATCCCTGAGGCTTACTCTGTGCCAGGCTGGGGGTTTCGCATTCTTATTTTACTCATCACAGAAACCCTCTGGAACATGCACTCTGTGGTTACCATCTTATAGATGAGGATCGGGGTGAGAGAAGATTAATACATTCCCCACAGTCTAGATCATCAGGAGAACCAACAAATCTTGGGCAAGGACCCAGGAAGCAGAAGCAGAAGCAGCACAGAGCCGGTCTGCTTTTTTGTAGTTGTTGTTTTTGTTTTTTTCTTTTTGAGACAGGGTCTTGCTCTGTTGCCCACATTGGAGTGCAATGATGCGATCATACCTCAATGCAACCTCTGCCTCCTGACTCAAGCGATCCTCCCACCTCAGCCTCCTGAGTAGCTGAGACTACAGGTGCACATCACCATGCTCGACTAATTTTTGTAATTTTTGTAGAGATGGGGTTTCATCATGTTTCCCAGGCTGATCTCAAACTCCTGGACTCAAGCAATCTGCCCCCCTTGGCATCCTAAAGTTCTGAGATTACAGGTATGAGCCACCATGCCTGGCCTAGTCTGACTTTAAACATAATACACAGGTGATTTTATATAAGTTTTAGGAAGCACTTTGCTTTCAAAGCTGTCTTAAATAATTTTTGTGTTTGATACAAAAGGCACTTAGGAGAGAATAGTAAGCCTTGAAATTAAGATCGTTAAACATTAACATTCTGTAGGTATTATTTTGCTAAATATTTCAATATCATTAAAAATGAGGAATTTCTCACTGAAAAAAATGGATTAGCCCTTCTGCTCATGAGATGGGATTTTTTTAATTTTATAAAAAAATAAAATTTAATTAGGAAAATGGAAATATTTTGTAACACAAGGAAGAAAAGCAGAATCCAATAATATTCTGAGTTAAGTATTATTGTGTATATGAAGGGTACTTAACAGTATTTTTCTAGCTATGAAAGTCCTCGCCTGATTTCAAAATATCCTTTAAAATATTCACTAGCCAAGTGACCTCAGGTGAGTCTCTCTAATTTGTTGCTGAGATAATTTAAGTGAAAATCTTTGGAAATGGCGAAGCTCTTTATGAATGTCACTAACATTAGGTGATGTTATTCACAGCCCTTATAAGCCCATCAATCTCAACTTAGCATTTACGTGACGAACAATGGGAGGCAGATAGGATGACACTAACGGGAAGAATTCTCCCCAGTTCAAGTTCTGATTTACTGAATGGAAAATATATCTGGGCAAGGACAACTCTTAATCACAGTAAAGGGCCTTTTCTTGCTTTAGAATGAAAAGAACATAGTCCTTTTCTGCTACGATCTCTTTAATCCATGATAGAGCTTGGATGCATGTTCATACGGGCATGCTTTCCACCAGCTACCGGTTACATGCAACAAAATTTGAAATGTCTCAGAAATGTGTCCCCTAGCCCCCTTTAAACAGGAAGAGCAAACTGATTTACAAATGCAGGATGCTCTATACAGTGTAACCAATTACAGGAAAAAGAAAATATTGTAGTTGAAAAGGAAAAATAAAAACATTCAATTTCATTTTAATGTATTGTTAAGGAAAAGGAATGCATAGCAGTGCATCTCAGATGTTATTATGCTTGGGCATCCCCTCCAGAGCCTATTGAACCATAGATTCTGATTCATGGGATGGCGTTGGGTCTCAGAGTGAAAAAGACAATTCCATTTCTTGACATCAGTGGTCCTTTTCATTCATACCACCTCCCACTATCAGATGAACTGCTAGAATTTTCCTTACGCATCTACCTGTTACATGGATTTGGGGTGAGTTCTGTAAGTACAGAGGACATAATGCACAATGGTCCTGAAAAGAGAGGGGAGATGCTGAGAACACAGGGAAATATCAAAGCTTGAGTGACACAAATAACCTGAAATCATCTGGGGAGGGTTTTGGGACCCCGGATGCCCCACCAGCTGCGCAGACTCCCAGGAGTCAGCGTGACATCTGCTTTCTCTCCTCCCCTGCAGCACTTCACAGAGCCACCCGGGTGTGAGAAAAGACATTTGACGAGGATGATGAATGAAAATGATACTTTACCAGTTCTTTCTGCAAAAAAGCCTGAAATACTCTAAGATCATTTGATGGAGGTTTCCCTGTGAGAAAGCAATCATAACTGACTTACAAGGGATCCTCCATCAATACAGTATACAGATTAAAAAAAAACACGGTAAAAAAACTCATCATAGAACCATAAGGCTTCAGAAATGCACTATGGTTTTATATTTTTCTTAATTAGGTGCTCGAAATGTGAGTAAAAGCGACTACGACTTCTGTTCAGACTGAACTTCCAAATGCTGGAAGCACGGTAAACTCGGCACAAGAAGTACTTGTGAAGGAATGGGCTTCTAAAGAGCCTGCCATGGACCCTTTCCACATCTACTAAGAAGTTTTGGCATTATACCATAGGCCCTCTGAATGTAGCCAGAAACAAACAAACAAACAAAAAGCCAGCATCATCGGCACCTGGGGGATTGTCAGAAAAGCACCCTCAGACCCAACTCCATCCTATGAATCAGAGTCTACAGTTCAGCAGGGTCCCAAGGGGATGCTCAAAAACAATAACATCTGAAATGCACCGCTATGCATTCCTTTTCCTTAAGAATAAATTAAAATCAAATTGAGTGTTTTGATTTTTCCTTTTCAGTTGCAGTATTCTTTTTCCTGTAATCGCTTACACTATATAAAGCACCATGCATTTGGAAATCAGTTTGCTTTACCTACTTAAAGGAGACTGGAGATCACATTTTAAGGCATTTCAAATTGTGTCGTACGTAACAGGTAACTGGCAGGAGGCATGCGTGTATGAACATGCATCCAGGCTATATCAGAGATTAAAGAGATCTTAGCAGAAACAATGGTGATAGCAAGAGTTGAAAAGTGCTTTAGAGATCTGTTTTATTCAAGCTATCATTTAAATTCATGCCAAACACACCTCCACCCTAGTCTTTCCCTCCAGTGATCTCACTTGGTTTAAAAAAAATACATGCTGTTGGAGGTTCCAGTTACTCCCTGAGCAGGTGGGAGGATGGCGCAGAGCTCTTCAATCACTCATCTGCAGAGTTCGGGGATGTTTTGAGTATGAAAGTCATTATACGACAACAAATCCTCTTCTATCACATTTCACTTGTGAGTAATTATTGTGTTCTAGCAAGTGGAGGATTAACAGTTCTTCTTCACAGTAAGAGAGAGCACAGCAGGTGCTTCCCCCTCACCTGCAGGGGCCTCTCTTTGGTTGCAAAATTCTGCCTGTGTTTGAGTCCATATCTTGCCCTCTCAGACAGTGAGGATACATGGTGACCTCCTCCACCCTGAATTAAACTAATAATTTCTATCTTCCTAGAAAAAAATATATTTGCTATGTAACAAGACTAGGGGTAAGGGGCTGACATTTAGTTGGCCTACCGAGTTTAGTGCTTAGTTTAATTCTAATGAATGCCATGCAGATGAAGCCATCTTCCTGCTCCTATTCCAGTCACACCATGTAAAATCGTAGGTGTTATTTAAGCAGTGTCCTAACATCTTCACTTTATCCTTCTTCCAGTCCATCTTTCAGACTCCAATCTTTTATCACCTACCTAAAATCCCAGTTTCCTCATCTAGTATGCTTCTGCTTCCAATTTAAATCACTTATTATTTTATATACAGATAAAGTCTAAGCTCTATAGCTTATCATGAGAGGATCTCCTTTATAAGAAATGCTAGTTATTTCATATTGTTTGCTGTTGCCAGGCATTGTACAAGCACATTCCATACATTAATGCAATCCACTGTCTGATATAAGTTCAATTATTCCCCACCTGTGAGGAAATTAAAGGAGAGAAAGTTCAAGAAACTTGCCCGATGACACACAGTGAGAAAGCAGCAGAGTATGACCCCAATCCTGGGTTTAGAGTGGGGAAAATGTGGTCCTGCATAAGAAAAAAAAACTCTTAAGTATTATTTAATTTTTAAATAAAGAGATATTTTTGACCCATAAAACATTTGGGAGACAAGGAATAAAGTGGAAAAAGTAAATTAAAATAGTGAAATACCACTTTTTATGTCTTGTATGGAACTTAGACTACTCTGTGAATAATTTCAACTGGTGAAATAGCATAGTCTACAATATTCAGTTTGCACTTAAACTTGTATCTCCTTCCCTTTAATATATAAAAACAAGTCACAAACACAAATATTCTACAAATGCATATATACCATGGACTTGCAATGCTCTTATGTAGACAAAGGGAGATCTACAAGTTGATCCTATACATACCCTAAGATCTAAATATAAAAGAAACTAAAAGAAGTCAACACAGTTGATAAAACCCTTTAGCAATGCCACTGCGATATGTATTTCCAGTCATTTCTTCACGCATTCAATCACTCATTCTTTAGTCAGTTAAATGCAGTCGGCTGTGTACCTAACTCTATACATGCAACTATACGAATAGGAAAGAAACAGAGGATTGAGTCTTTGGGACTGGAAACTGCAGAAGGATTGTGATCTATTTGAAGAGTATGTAGGTCAGGGTTATTGTTAGCTACATATAACAACAAAATCCCCAAAAATAGTGGCTGCAAGCAAACAGTTTATTTCTTGCATTTTAAAAGTGGCAGTAGGTGGTCCATATTGGTTTAGGAGACCCAGATATTCATCAGGTCCCCTGGAAATTGTACCAATCTTATAACATGACCTTCCTGGTCAAGGTTCAAGGTGTCTGCTGGAGCTCCTGAACATTACACTTGCATTTCAGGTGGCAAAATGGAGTGATAAAAGGAAAAGGAATGTGCCTTCCATTTAAGATGATCCCCCTAAAGGATTACACCAAATGCACACAGACATTCAGTGTACTTGGTCTCACTGACACATGCAGCTGCAAATTAGTTTCGGATACTCGGGTTCTATTCCTCGACAGTGAAGAGAGAATGTCTATTGGGAAGCAGTTGTCAGTCTCTCATACATGGAGACAAAAGAACTGGACCAAAACCAACTTGAAAAGGTTTTCAGTACATCAAACCCATCAGACACAGTAAGCTCCTTCCACAACACACCCTGGTCTTTCTAGTCTCTGGGTTTTTGTTCTCGGTATTCTGTCTACCCAGACTGCCCTTTTTTCCTTCATATGTTAAGATTCTACTCATCTTTATTATTTGATTTAAAAGCTACTTCCTAACTGAAATCTTTCCTAATCCTTCCTTGCTGAACTTGACCTTTCCTAGTGATCCCTAGCATCCTGGCTTGGAAAATAAATCATTTTAAACAACTCTATTTCTCTAATTATATTATATGCTCTTGAGGGGCAGGGGTCATCATCCATGTATTCACTCATTTACTCAACAAAAGTGAATTGCACAACTATTATGGCCACCTCCATCCCATGTTTTGTATATACAAGATATTTTTTAAAATTTGTTAAATCATGCAATTACACTTATGCATATTTGAAATAAAATTTTAACAGCATTCTAGGTTTTACAGACCAGTGAGGAGTCAAGGCAATCAGGGATCATCTGGGCTTCCATCTGTCACTGCCCAAACTACTGGCTAAAGAGCTTGCATGAAGAGACAGCCCTCTCGCTATGTGTGCCTTCAAGGTACCATCCTAAAAGGGACAGAGCTGGTCAAAGACAAAGATGATTATTTGGCACATTTGATGACATGAAGAAGTGCTCTTCAAGGGTATTTTGCTTTAAGTAGAAAAAATTCATATTAAAATGTTTGAGGGGAAAAAAGGGGGAAATCCCCACCACTGGAATAATGTAAATAAATATTATAAGTCATGGATGTTTACTCCTGTTTAGTAGGTCTAGGTTCTTCCCAGAGATAGTTACTCTGGGCTTTTATTGCCCATACAAAAGAGAAATGCAAAAGAAATGCTGGAATATCCTTAAAAAAAAAAAAACATAAGAAGTTTTCAATTGTTTGTTTGACTTTGTTTTGTTTTATTTTGTTTTAACAAATCACATTTCACAAAGACTGTTTTTTACACTGCCGTAGGGAAAGCATATTGTTTAAATAAGTTATGAAAAAGAAGTCAAAATGTACGCCTTTTTTTATAATATTTCCTGCATACTTGAAGTATCACTGAAATCCCAAATATTCTTGCAAAAGAATGCTTTCTGAAAATCATACGGAGAAATATGCATCTATATATAATTACTATTATTTTAGAAATAGACAATATGTAGATAAAATATTAATGAGTAGCCACATATTAAAAATAAAAATATGCTCATATCTGCTTATATTTAAGAACTCTTTTAAATTTATTACTTGAAGTATCATATTCATTTATACATAATAAATTTTTAAAATTTGATTCCATTTAGAACATTTTAGCCAATTTAACCTCGATGTGTATAATAAGGTAAAACAAGCAATTGATTATTTTATTTCTTTAAAATACCTGATATATCATTGATATAAACATGGCCCAAAATCCATATACTCACAGATATCAGAGTTGAAAAAAAATTTTTTAGATGTTTCATCATTTATATGTATGAAAATGAAGTATGCCTATTTTATAGATGAAACAATCAAAACTGAGAGAAATCAAATTATTTGTGCAAGATAACAAAGAAATAGTGTGTTTATTACAGAAATTTAGTATATTGCCTTTAAGAACTCCTTCAGTAATGGCTATGATTATAATACAAAATTACAATTGCTTTCAAAATCAAATGTAAAGATTAAAAGTAAATTACCTAAAAAGGTTAAGGGTATAAATTTGTACATTAACCAACAAGTAACAGTTTTTGTGGTAAAGTATCTTTAGAGTTTTTTTTTTATTTTAGTGTCTCAAATTGTAGTGGACATAAGTCCCTCACAATGCCTTATAAAAGAGTTTTATATTTAAATAAGCTTGGAGATTCAAAAGCACATGATATACAAAAGAATGGCCTTTATGGCAGGTCTACAAAAGTAGACCTGCCATAAAGAAAGTAATTAACTTTTTTTAAAAGCTAATAAATCTCTGACAAACGAGCAAAAATTCCTTTATCTTTCATCAGCTCTCAACTTCCTAGGTTATTAGTCATTCCTCAGCACACTCTTTGGAAAAACTTGAGAGTGATTTAATCCATCTTGGCAAATCTCTGGGAAGAAGACATCTGCCGGTGTGATATTTCTGTCTGGCTTCTTATTTAGGTAACACTAGGATACGGCCCCCTTCCCCAAGAAACTGATGTGTTCTCCTCAATAAGAGGATCATCCAGATGTTCCCCAAGCCATAGAAGCACTCAGGCTCCATGGGTCATGTGCATATTATCCAGGCCACTGATACCTGCCTAGGCAGTAGAAATACATTTAACATTTAGATAACAATGGCCAGCAGACCATTAATGAAGACTCATGGTGGGCTGCTGTGTTTTACATGCAAAGCATATTTTATTTATCTAACAAACACTTCTATGATACTTAAAATGCTCCAGATAGTATTCTAAGCGTTTTATTTATCTGAATTTATTTAATCTATACAACAATGCCAAGAGGTAGATGCTATTATTGTCATAACAGAATGAAGCAACTGAGTATCAGAAAAGTTAAGGAAATAGCGTGAAGTCACACAGCTTTTAAATTGCAGGGATGAAGTTTGAGGCTAGACATTCTGACTGCATATAGTTCACGCTCCACTTAGAGAATCATCCACATTCTCTGCTGCTCTAGAAAGGAAATGCTAAAAGGACCTCCTCGAATCTCCCTTTGTCAATGGTCAAGTCTTCCTGCTATCACTTGTAACACATCATGACCTGGAAACTTATCTGCAATGCAGATGCTCAGCCCCACCCCAGACCTGAAGAATCAGGCTTAGCATTTTCGCAAGATCCCCAAGTGCTTCCCCTGGTAAAAGTAAATGAAATTTACTGGGAGATGAACCTAATCACTCCAATTTCTTATTTCAGCTTTGTTTTCCAGCAGATACACCCTAAAACTTCTGAAGTGCACATGGATGACCTCTTTACTGCCTTCCCTGGTATGGAGGCCAGAATGACCAAAAATCAGTGAAAGAAAGAAGAGCCAGTAGAAACATAAGCCATCTGCGAATGGAATCAGACCAAAAAATAAATTGAGAATAAACTTAACAGCATTTTAAAGATGTTTGGAGAGAAACGAAATGTTAGCTAATGATAAAAAATTATATTGTGTAACATAGACGTTGCCCCTAATAGCAAATGCTATTGCTTCCAAAAAGATACAGTGTTGCAAAAGTAGGTTTCATTGAGTTATTTCCACTCAGTACTGAAGCATCAAAAAATGCTTAGTCTTTACTTTCTGCATAATTAAATCTTTTATGAATCAGTTAATAATGGACATTAATACTCACTCTTCTCTTACCCAATCTCTAAAGAAACCTCTTTTTTGAAGGGTTCTAAAAATAGTTGATTAGGGTAATTAGAATAACTTAACATTCCCTTTCCTAATGTTTATTACTAGAAATAAAGACAGTCTGTTGAGTAGCAAGTTGTTTGTAGCCACAAATAAAATACAGATAAGAAAATCTAAAAAAATCAAACTATACAAGAGAATCTTATGAAACAACCAGAAGAAAACTAATAATAAAAAACACAAATTTAAACTGAAAAGCTGTCATTATGTCAGGGTTCTTTTATATTTTTGCAAGATACTAATAAGAATTTGAAAATTCATTATTATGTAGGTCATTCTTAAGATATACTTCAATGAAGTTTTAAGGAACAAAATGCTTTACCTTTGGATTCAGTTTTATTAAAAGAATATTCCACAATAAGTATAACTGAATTCAATATTCAGTAGTTCTTGCTACAGACTAGCTCTTCACAGTTAATCTTTTTATTCATCACAAACCATTAAAATAACTTCAGTCCCTTAATAAAGCTAATCATAATATAGTAATTGTATGAATCATCCTTTGATTTGAAGAAATCCAACAACCGATAGTTTGACAATGGAATGAATACATTTTCAAATGAAGAGATGGATTTGTTTAAATTACTTTTTCCCTAGTTCAAACAAGATTTTGACATTGTGATCCAGCATGACTTTAAGAACCACACAGAAAAAGACCATAGCTAAACTGTGCCTAATTTCCTCAAGAGCATGACCTTAGGGATAGGCGTTTCTGAGAGTCAAAGCAGGCCTGGATACCCAACAGTTGGTTCTTTCCTTTTTCATGTTTATGATACTAAAACTAAATTTTTCCAAGTCAAATATATCAATTTAACAAACATTTAATGAATACTTAGGTATCAGATATAATGCAAGAATAAATAAGATTTAGAGTTTTGGAAATTTACAACAGCACATTAATTCTAAGTCAGCAATTACGCATAGGAAAAAGGCACACTATACACATAGCTTAATAGTTCAAAATATCTGGGAATATGGTGATTTCATTTATGGCAAAGAAAATTCCAGAAAGATTTTTTAAATTCTTAATTTTGGTTGAATGCACTAATTTCTTTTGTCATTTTGGCATGACCCAAGTCCAGATGAAAGATTGCTAATTCCATTGTCTCCATCAAACATCAGTGTAATGCTATTAGGCGGCATAAGCTTGAAATCCTTTTCCAAGTGGTGATGATGTATTTGTAGTGATCCATTTACACTTCCTGAAACAATCAGAATGTCCAGTGTGTGCTGTGGAATGAGTCTACCTGATGATAAGGAATAGGTGGATGTTGAGGTGGGCAGGGTAATGGTGAACCTCAGCCTTAGTCAGCTTGCCCAATGCCCTAACACGATTCACTCCTTCTCCACAAAATCCATACCAGTCACTCAGTGAGCATGAATCCAGAATCTGAAACATTATCCCCACACTGTGTCTTCCATTTTCAATACAAAGCATTCTATCTTTCTCCACTTATTTGGATAACTTTAACTCATGAAACCATAGTCATATAGAGATAATGCAATTGAGAATAATCTCTCAGATCTCGGGATCCTTTAACCCCTAGGCTTTTTGGGAGAAGACTCCAAAATATTGCTAAACACATACCTCCATGCTAACTTCCCCACTCTCTTTTAAACTACTGACATTTTAAAATTACAAGTGAACAAAGTCTCATCCATCAGCTCTATCAGTTTTAGCACCATAATACTACCCAAAAGAATGCCACTACTAAAGAATTATTTGTAACTCTTTCCTGAGAAAGGACAGCTTGAAACCTGGAAGATAATGGTAGAGTTGAATATAATTCAAATTCATGTACCTAAATATAATTCAAATACATATGAATATATATATTAGAGTATACAGCAAAAAAAATAGTACCAATCATAAGCAAAGCCCTGAAATGTACAAATCTATCTTCTTTGAGCCCAGGTTCTCTGCATTTTGCCCTTATCCCCTGGTAGATTGTATCACTGCTTGTCACACATTCCAGGTCCCTCCCTGCTCCATTGAACACAGGAGTGGTGACTTGACTTGCTTCAGTCAGTGAAAGGTAGCTGCAAGCGTCCTGTATCACTTTTGAGCTAGATTTTTCAAAAACAGAGTATGGCCCTGTGTCTTTTTTCTTCCGCCATGAAACCCACCATGTTCTAGATAGAGACTGTTCTGTCAGACGGGAGTCTGGAATGAAAATGTATACAGAGGCACTGCTGAACCACAAAAGGCATAGAATGTTAGCAAGAAAGAAACCTTTAGCAGAAATTGTTGTAAGCCAGGAATATTTGGGGAATGTTCATTAGTCAGGGAAACTTCGTCTATCCTGATTGATAGACCCACCTGCCTTTCCAGCCTGCCTCAGTACTCCCATTCCTACCCCACTCTCCCTAGCAAAACCATACAGTAAACAAAATGTGGGAAAATCTTACTTTAAAGTAAATGTGTAATGAGGATAGGCATGTAGAATCTATGCTTTAATGAGGATCAAGGACTAAAGACAAAAGATGCATCTCCTAGAAGAATTAGAAGAATATCTAGCATTCCAGAGTTGGTGAAAAGAAATAAATCTGCTAGTAGGGTCAGAATAGCTGAGGAGGAGTTTCCAGACTTCTATTCATAAAAGGCAGTTGTCCTAAAGTGCCTTCGTGTTTATTTCAAATCCCATTGCTGAAACCTTTAATCTGGATTTAGCCTTATGGGCAGCATTTCAGACAAATGAGATTTAGACAGATGACTAAATAGGCATATATGATTACTGCAATGGCCTAAGTAAGTCAATCTAATTATGAGAGTTCTAAGTCACCACTTAGAAACTACAGGTTCCAAAGATTTATTAATTTGCTCCAAAATACATTTTTAGGAAACAGACTTCTAAAGCAATTATATAACATTTATTATTCTATAATGACAGCAAATTTCTTAAATTAAAAAAAATTAAAGGCAAACTTTAGAGTTGATTTTATACATTGTTTTGGGGAAAAAAAGAAAACTTGAACATGACCTTTTTTTATTTCATTAATTAAAACTAAATTTTCCTTATGCAGAATAATGCCTAATAAAATTTAATTTACCTATTTGCATTTAATAATGGGTGATGGTCTCCTATGTTTACAAATATTTATCAAACATTTCTCTTTGATTTATTGACAAAATCAAACAAAAATAAACATGTATTTTTCCTTAGCTGATTTTACATTATGTGAAATTATCTCTGATCATCTAAAAAATAATGTAACGGATGTGCAAACAGTCTTTAAGGTGGGCCTCTGATTTTTCCTCTTGAAATTCATGGCCTTGTGTCATCACCTCTCCTTGAATGTGGTGAGAACCAGTGAGTTGCTTCTAACAAACAGAATACAGCAAAGGTGAAGAATGTCAGTCTCGTGATGACATTACATAAGATTGAAACATCTGTCTTACTGAGAAACATTCCCCCTTGCTGGCTTTAAAGAAGCCAGCTGCCAGATTGTAAGCTACTTTGGAGAGGGTCACAGGCAAAGAAGTTAGAGACAGCACACAGACAGCGAACAGCTGAGATCCTCAGCTCAACAGCTCGCAGGGAGCAGGATTCAACAACCACGTGAGCTTGGAAGCTGATCTTTCCCTAGCAGAGCCTCAAATAAGACCCCAACCCTGGCTGACACCTTGACTGTAGCTTTGCTGAGGACACAGCTAAGCTGCGTCCACATTTCTGACCCACAGAAAGTGTGAGATAATAAACACGACTTGTTTTAAGTCTCTATATGTGTGAAAATTTGTTACACAGCAATAGATAACTAATGAAATTCTCTACTTTTTTTGCAAAGCAAGAAAAATAAACTGAACCTGCTTCACTTTGATCTAAACTTTAAGAAGAAATCAGATATAATATTATTCCACTTTTGAAATTATCTGTGAAAAATGGCAACCACTCTATTGAATCAAAAGTGTACTCAATCAGTCAGAAAACTAATTCATGCTTTCCTTCAGGATAATTCATTGTTTGCCACTTTCAGCTGTTAGATGATGCCTTTTGTTGCTGATTACAACACAACGAAGTTTCCTTTGGTGGTTTCTACAAACTGTTAACCTTTAACTGTTCCCAAAATATTTCAAACAAATCAAATGAGCAAATTTGCACTAATACTCTTTACAATGTTCAAAAGTATGGTTGGTAGGTACATGATCAAAGAGGGGATGATTTTAATATACGCATGAAAATGTAACTTTTCTCCTAAAGAACGACAGAAACTCTAAGATGGAATGTTTGATGTTATAAATGCAGAGTAAATGATTCAATTTCAAGAGGAATAGTTTACTATGGTTCATTAATTTGAAAACAGCAACCAAACATGATTTCAAGTAACTTTCCCAAATAATGCAGCCTTAAAATTACTTTTCCCTTCAAAATGCAAGCAGCTGTATTTTGATGCTTTAATTATTTGGACAGCTAATTTCCTTGTTACTTGCCACATGTGGACAAACAGTAACACATATGAGTATAATTCAATGAAAAATGCAAAAAGTGATCTATCCTAAATTCCCTAAGCATCCTCTGTGTCTCTCCGTGGCACTTCATGTTCAGCCTCAAACTGTATCTACAACCTGTCCATAGGCAATTACCTTTTGGAAACATAATATTTCTCATAACTCTTCAAATGAAAAATTGTGCAAAATGTCTGACCTGTCATATTTGATACTAAATGATTTAAATGAACAGGCAGGGGAAATTTCTGAAATACCTTCAAGAATCTACTTACCAGCATTACCGACCTGACAGGAAAAGAATTCAGTCAAATACACGAGGCCACATAGGTTTATTTCAATTTTCATTAATTTTACTCAGTGGAACCTCTCACATAATGGAGAATCATTCATCAAAATATTATGGAACACTGTCCACTTATCTATTGCTGCATAACAAACACCCCAAAATGTAGTTTACAACAACACCCATTTTATTGCGTTCTAGAATTTTGGTGGCTCAGGAATTAAGATGTTGTGTAATTAGAGCATAATGATGACCATTAGGGATTTAGCTTCTTCCTCATTTTACTGGTAATACTCTATCTCATTTCATAATGTGAAATAAATACAGAACAATGTTTGGAAAGTGATATTTAAAACATTTGCTGTGAGTGATTTGAATTTTTGGAACTATATGACCTGCCTAGGTGACTTGTCAGAGGTTATAACAACCTTGCTTCTCTGCACATCCTAGGGAAGTTATCTGAATAAGATTGTGTAGTAAAGAAAAATATTGATAGTTCTCTCCTCTAAAGTTTGTAAGACTTTGGGAAGATTTGAAGCGGTCAGTGTGATCTAAATGGCTGGGTGGTAAGTTAATCTGCAAGCTTCACCCACATGTCTGGTGCATGGCCTGGGAAGACATGAAAGCTGGACTCAACCGAGACTGTATGAAGAAGCCTGCCCAAGGCCTCTCTATGAGGCTTGGACTTCCTAGCAGTGTGCTGGCCTTGGGCTAATTGAACATCTTACAGGGCAGCTCAAAGCTTCAAGAATACTTGTCCCAGTAAACAGCATGAAAACTGCATGGCCTTTTATCATCTACCTTGGAAGTCCCAGAACATTATTTCTGCCCTACTCACTCTCAATTGGAGGAGTGTCAAAGAACCTGCCACTGTGTTTCGTAACCACCCACCTGCAAGCTCTCTTCTTTTCCTTTTTTCTTTCTTTTCTTCTTTGCAAGTGATTAGACAAAAATAATCAAGAAACAATGCCTATCTTTAAGAGTACTCTCAAAATCTAACAGGAGAAACAAAGGCACTGGTATATAATTCATTTTATAGCTTTATCATGTAAATTATTCATGTGTTGCTAGAAATTGTCTTCAGGCTAATACTTTTAGTAATTTATTATTTTCTTCCTTTTCAACAATTTGTATGCAACCTTTGAAAATTAAGATTGTTTCTACACCAAGTAATATGACAAAAAATAAATGTAAAATTGTGTTAAAATGCCTTAGTTAAGAATGCTGTGCCCTAGGCCTTAGTTTTCTTATCTGCAAAATGGGATAATTATCAGGCCTACTTCACAGAATGAAATAAATTGGCCCGGCATTATCACTAAGTGCTAATTGTTCACTACCACTACCTACCAGAGGAAGAAATCTTCCCTCCAGCTTAGGCATAATTTTGCTGTCTCTCCACATATCAAATTAAAATAAAAAGATAAAATTTGATTAAATCAATTATATTTAAAAAGACAGAAGAATGTTTTACATCACATACCTTCCCTGTACTTGGGTTGTTGCCTGATATTAAACTGTTTTCAAATCAGATGACAAAAGCAGTCATAGTATTATACTTGTTTATATTGGTTTCTATTATAAGTAATAGACTTTACATGCACACATACACACGAAAAGCCGAATCATGGCCATTAGGGATTCAGTTTCTTCCAGTAACAGCTTCTTCCTTGTTTTACTGGTGATACTCTAACTCATTTCATAATGCGAAATAATACAGAACAATGTTTGGAAAGCGATATTTAAAACATTGGCTGGCCAGGCACGGTGACTCACGCCTATAATCCCAGCACTTTGGGAGGCCAAGGTGGGTGGATTACCTGAGGTCAGGAGTTCAATACCAGCCTGGCCAACATGGTGAAACTCCATCTCTACTAAAAGTACAAAAATTAGCCGAACGTGGTGGCATGTGCCTATAATCCCAGCTACTTGGGAGGCTGAGGCAAGAGAATCACTTGAACCCAGGAGGCAGAGGTTGCAGCGAGCCAAGATAGCACTCCTGCACTCCAGCCTGGATGACAGAGCGAGACTCCATCTCCAAAAAAAAAAGGAAAAGAAAAAGAAAAAGAAAATTGCTGTGAACAATTTGAATTTTTTGAACTATATGACCTGCCTAGGTGATTTGTCGGAGGTTATAACAATCCTGCTTCTCTGCACATCCTAGGGAAGTTATCTGAATAAGATCGTGTAGTGTGTAGTAAAGGAAAATATTGACAGTTTACCCTCATGGTTGAATTAATTTTTCAATTATGTTGTCAAATAGTCACTTTTTCTGTCAAGTGGAATCTTCTCTCTTTCAATGTCGTCTGAATTTTTTACCGGACATGGTAACCTTATAGTATCTTTTCAGTGTCTTCCAATTCATAAACTAGGCAGCAGAATGATATAGTGACATATTTTGCTAACAGCTTCTAATTTGGAAAACAAGTGACATTAGCTTTAAAATTGCACATCTGGAAAAGTTCACAGATGAACAGTTTTTTTTTTTTTTCTTTAAGTGGCCAGATTAAGGAGACACATCCCCACTGCAAGCTATGGAGTGATCACATCACTGTTTATTACTTTTCAAACCCATAATTAGCCATAAAGAAACATGTACAAATAAAATACTGTATTTATATTTCCCATATAAAAGACTCTGTTGTTCAGTCATAAAGTTATCAAACACTATATTTTATAAAATTACTATTTTGTAATTATCTGACTTAGAGCTTACTACATTTTAGAAGAGAAACGACGACCCTTTCTTAAGCAAGGAGAAGGAACAACTGTCAGGTTGAAATTGCTGCACTGTCTTAATTTCAAAGATCTGAGTAAAATCTAATTTTCAGTCACAGGTTGGAAGTGGGACCGTTTGAAAAGGGAAATGTGTTAACTAGAATTTTTAAGTAACAGATTAAGAGCACAATGCTTTTGGATTAAGGGCTTTACAGGCCCTTTCTTTTTTTTTTTTTTTTTTTTTGAGACAAATTCTTGCTCTGTCATGCAGGCTTGAGTGCAGCGGGACAATCATAGCTCACTGCAGCCTCTACCTCCTAAGCCCAAGCAACCCTCCTACCTCAGTCCCCCATGTAGCTTGGACTCAGTGCATGCCACCATGCCCGGCTATTTTTTTTTTTAATTTGGGGGGTGTCATTATGTTGCCCAAGATGGACTTGAACTCCTGGCCTCAAACAATCCTCCTGCCTCAGCCTCCCAAAGTGCTGGGATTACAGGTATGAGCCACCTCACCTGACCCATGCCCTTTAATCTTGTTCTAATTAATGTGCACCTAGAAAAAGAAAAGCAAGTATTCTTCTAGGTTTTCCATTATATTCTTTTCTTCCTTTCCTTTAATAAGCATCGTGTTTATATATAAATGGCTTACATTTTTCCATGTCCATATATGAGTCACACATGATGAAATGCTTGATGACTTACTCCTTTTTAAACTAGGTGCACTGTGGGACACCTTTTATCTCAGTGCCTAAATTACCATTGCCATATAATAACAGCACTCAAATTAAGAACCGTTTCCACTAAAATTCTATTTTTAAGAAGCAATATTCATTTGTTGCTCTACTATGCTTCTTTTTCCATGCAGTACACAACACTTGTGTGACAAAATGCATTCCCAGAGAAAATGATCACAAATTAAGACATTAAAATGTTTCTTTATGCAGCATCCTTTAATGACGCTGGACAATGATCATATCCTTTGCACAAAGTCACTGTGATCATTTCGAGGAAATGCATGTGGTCTTTTCAGAACTGACAGATCTTGGTCTGTCTGATTCATGTGCTCATTCCACAAGCATGGGCAACCGAGAAAATGGTCCTTCACCATTACTTGAAGAAATCAGAAGAACCAGGTTGAAAAGCCCCTTGGAAAATTATTTTTCTTAAGTTTCCACATTAAGTACATTATCTGTTGTCATGGCATCAAAAAAACACAATAGAAAAAGTATAGGTTCAGGGCCATACAAAATAACCCACAATGGAGATAGCATTCCACTGATAAGAGAAAAGTATTATAATCGGTCAGAGGTAGGAAACAGGAACTCTCAAACATCATTTTGCGGTTTTCCTGGCTTATTTGCAGCATCCTTTCAGCCACTTCATCTTGTCCCATGCATTTCAAATGTCAGACTATTAAGATGAATTAATTAAAAGTCATATTTGAGTGAATATGATTTTTTCCCAAAGCCAGCTCTATCATAAATTAATTTTTCTAAAATTATTCTACTCTAGTCATCACATGGAAAAAAAGGAAATTGTTGAGTGCTGTATAGTGTCTTCAGCTATATTGTTTTAATATTATTAATGTTCTCCAGTTGTAAAAGAAATGCAAATTTGCACGGCTCAGATTTTGCATTTAATCTGACTAAAGTTGATATTGTGAGAAAATTTAATATCCATCTAAGTAGGTTGTAATATTGAAAACCTGAGCTTCATTTCCTTATCAGTGATTTACCATATTTCTGAGAAAGATTATTAGCCCCAGAAAATTAATTGACAAAACAATGTTTTAAATCTTTGCATATTTGTATTTGTCTCAATTGTAGTTATTTATGGGTCTTAGTTTCTTTTCCTGTGGACACAGTCAAAAAGGGAACTAGGAAAAACTGATAAGCATTGTAACCACTCCTGCAATTACAGCCTTTTGTAAAGTTGCTACTTTTATGAAACAATTGGGAACACCAAAGATTATCCCCACAGCTTTAAGAACACTTTGAAATTTTCACTATGAAAAAATTTGAGTTCTTAGTATCACAATACTGCAATACCACAAATTAAAATTTAAACTAATAAATTTAATTCTAAATGTACAATTAAGGATTTAAGACATAAATATCAATAGACTTTCCTAATGTTCCACAGATTCTGCAGTTATTTAGAAATGAGAAATGTATTTACCAAAGACTAAATAAAACACACAAAAATAGATTGGGTACTCTTTTAAAAAAGACTTTAAAACTTTAAAAAGTTTGATTTTTTCAAAAAACAGCTCCTTTGACTCACTGCAGGTGAAATAGCATAGAAATAGTTGGACTGTTTCACCCACTAAGTTGTAAGGACAACAAAATACTAAAAAATACTTAAAGATTGGATCAACTATTTTAATCATCTTAAAGAGCTAATTCATTTAATGGAGAAATCCAATTTAGTTGACAGCAAATACTCCATTTTCTTGTCAATGAAGCAAAACTATGCAGATAGGATTTTATTCACTCAGAGCTGAATTCTCTCCTCTTTACTAGAATTTGCAGGCACACTGAATAAAAACGAACATTCGGTGTAAAAAAAGCCAAAGCTGAAATGATATAAAAGGATTCATCTTTTCATAAGTGACTTTTAATATTCAATATATATATTTAGAAACTTTCCGGGACCCATAGAATATATCTGAAACCTGCCATACTTGGCCAAACCTCCAGAAAGCAGGTCACTTGCATTTTCATGCTTGTGGCCTCTCTTTTTTCTCGCTATTTCACTATTTCATCTGGACTGTGGCATGAGGCCATTGCCTGAGAAGGCATACCTGCCTGACAACTTGTTGGCTAGTGGTCCATAACCACCAGTCTGCTGTTCACTACGGCCGGAGATACCCGATTTTAAATGATTTAAGATTCACATTGACCTTTTTAAAAACACTTGCTTCTCTCCAAACTCTGCAGCTATCTAGGGTCACTGTGATTCCTGAGGTTAAATTTATTACCCATGCCTTTTTAAAAAGACCTATTTGGGGTCAGCGGCGGTGGCTCACGCCTGTAATCTCAACACTTTGGGAGGCCGAGGCGGGCAGATCACGAGGTCCAGAGATTGATACCATCCTGGCCAACATGGCAAAACACCGTCTCTACTAAAAGTACAAAAAAAATTAGCCACGCACGGTGGTGTGCACCTGTAATCCCAGCTACTCGGGAGGCTGACGCAGGAGAATTGCTTGAACCCGGGAGGCGGCGGTTGCAGTGAGCCAAGATGGCGCCACTGCACTTCAGCCTGGCGACACAGGTTCCATCTCAAAAAAAAAAAAAAAGAAAAAAAGACCTATATGGAAACCTACTTCAAAACGTCTGTGAGGCAGTTCATTTGGACTAGGAAAAGGCCAACTTTTGGTAAGAAACCAATTACTGAGATTAGGCAGATAACCTCGTGGATCTTTTCTACCTGCTCAGCATCTAGAGAGCAGGCACAGTGGAGTGCTGGTGAGGTGTAGCAGGGAGTGGTCACCTCTTTGCAGAGGCGTTTCGCTGACAGAAAGGAAGCTCTAGCCACATTTCACCACATGCTTGCTCCATTGTATCTCTGGGTGCTGCCTTAAACTGGATGCACCAATCCCCATTTTACAGGAACTGGTGAAAGCACCCTGGGAATCAAGGCCTCTCTGACTCTTAAGCCTATGCTCATTCCTTACACCAAGATTGTCCAACCCCCGGCCCGTGGGCTGCTGGCAGCCCGGGAGAGCTTTGAATGTGGCCCAACACAAATTCACAAACTTTCTTAAAACATTTTTGTGATTTGTTTTTAGCTCATCAGCTATCATTAGTGTTAGTGTATTTTATGTGTGGCTCAAGACAATTCTTCTTCCAATGTGGCCCCCAGAAGCCAAAAGATTGGACACCCCTGCTTTACACCAAGCTGCCACAACAACACACATTCTGGATGAAGCAAGTTACATTATCTTTTATGTACCAAAGAATTGTACACTTTATCCACTCCTGCTGTTCTCCTCCACCTCCTTCCCTCTAAAACAAAAACAAAAGAAACAACAGGGCAACCAGACATGGGCAAAGACTTGCGGCACAGTGAGCAGTATAAGGTAATAGTGAAGGTAAACCCAAGAGATTAAGAGCCAGGTGTTCCTGGGTTTGAATTCTGGATGTGCCATACTTACCTATGAGAATGTTCGCACACTCTTAACCTAAGTCTTAATTACCGCTTTGATAAAGAAAACTGAGTTTGCCCATGATGTTGAATTTTTGTGGGGAATGAATAATATATGGATGATAACATTATTATGACAGAACTTGTTTATTGAATAAGTGGAATTCCCTAAGAGCGAGAATTTTTTTTTTTTTCAGACAGGTTGTTGCCCTATTATCCAGGCTGGAGTACAGTGGCACGAATACTGCTCATTGGAGCCTCAAACTCATGGATTCCAATGACTTCACCTCAGCCTCCTGTGTAGCTGGGACACAGGTATGCACCACCATGCCCGGCTAATTTTTAAAAATTTTCTTGTAGAGACAGAGTCTCACTATCTTGCCCAAGCTGATCTCAAACTCCTGAACTCAAGCGATCCTCCTGTCTTAGCCTCCCAAAGTGCTGGGATTACAGGCATGAGCCACTGCACCTGGACAAGAGAAAGAATTTGTATACAATGACTTCAGTTCTTTTGATAATGTCCCCAAAGAATTGGATGTGGACATGAATAACTGTGTGCAAAGAAGTGCTGTGAAACCAATGGAGAAAGGTCATATGAAAACTTCTCCTTCCCAGCACCACCATAATGTTGAGTCCTGCTTTGCTCTAGAGGGTTCTTTGAGAGTTTATAATGCTTGATGTGTTTGTGACCAGAAGAGATGAGACAGTATATATTCTCGATATTAGCAAGAGCAAACAATTACTTATTCATTAGTTTCACTTCCTGTCTAACTCTAGGGTAAGTATATATACTTTATTCATTATTTTTTAAATTATTCTCACTGATAACATGGATAGGAATCAGAGAAATAATTTAAAGTTGAAATTGGCAAGCTTTCCTTTTTAAAATCAAAGTACTACTACTGTGAGCAAGGTGTTAGGCTAAAAAAAATAGTTATTTTTTTATGTGATGGAATTTTATTGGCACTAAGTACCATCTCACCATGCAAAGTCACTTCCGGGTGCCTCATCTTATGCCAAAGGATGTTGGATGGAATGTTTAAAATTATGTAGCCCAACCTGCAACCCACAGGAAAGATGCTCTCTAGGGTGGTGGCCGACAGCTCCCATCCCATTTGTACATCTTCTGTGGAAATGTGCTCTTGAGTTCCTGAGACAGCCCTTGCTTTTGTAGGAGAGCAACTCCTTTCATAGAACACTCTTCCTTATGTAGAGCAGAGATCTTCTTGCCAAAACACCTGCACACAGAGCCTCACTCTCACCCCTAAAGCAACACAAAGCATTGGATAGTAAGACTTCCTTCCACAGGACAATTTTCGTCAAGTTAAAGAACCTTGCTGTGTCTCCCTGTGTCTTCTCTATCTCAGGGTAATCCTGTTTTCATTCATGCAGCACAGCTTCCAGGCTTTTCTTCAACCTGCTCCATCTTCTCTGTCATGGCTACCAGGTTTGCCTTGTCTGGTAGCTCTAGCTCGACATCAAGGATATCTGTTACCCACTTCATCTCAGTCCTCAATCAATAAAAATACTAACTATGGCTGACTGGATAAATGCCGAGTGAAGTAGAGAACAACAGAGACAACCAACCATAACAGAATACAAAGCTGAAAATCTAGGGTGCAGGACAAAGTTCACATCTTCTACAGTGGAATCTGGAGGCACATGGCTTTCCAATGCCTGACAGACGACATAACACAAAACGTTTCCCAAGACCATTTCTACCCACAGGTTTACAGGAGATGGAGGATCACTACAATGGTTTCTCCCCTTGTCCTCTCAAAAAGGCTGTGAACCAAAGTGTTCAAGGCCTTTGGTTACGCACCTATCAGGATCCAGTCAATCTAAAATGTAGCACATGTTAATCTCTAAATTAAAATAGAGAAAAAAATTCCAGCCTTAGGAATGAAACATTTTACTCCAACTGAACTTATGTTTTCCATTTTACTCTACAGTTGTTCAATAATTGAATCATCTTTCTAGAGAAGCACAATAAATGTAGGTGCAATAAATCAGAGGATTTTACCATACAATATGCAAAGTCTGTTTATAAAAGTCTTGTAAATCAGTCTTCTATACAGAAAATTTATATGAGATCTCAAGTGAGGACTATATTAATTTTATTGATGTTTCCCGTGGGTTTTAATGAATTGCTCCCATTTACTGGGCATCATCAAGCCCTAGGCAAGGTCTTTTCATATACCAGACTAAAAGACTCTGCCATATTGAAATTATGAATTCATAGAAATTATCGCCAATCTCCAAAGTTTATTTCCATCCCACCAAAACCATACACACATCCTTTCTCTACTCAGCTCTAAACGTGAAATCAGAAACCTTCGTGTTCTTCTGATCTTCACATTATTCATTCATATTCAGGTTACCTAAGCCTTTGACATGATAAACCTGGCCATCCATCCTAGTTGCCCAGGACTCTCACATTTCTGTCTTCTTTGCTTGCTATATCATCGAAAAATGTTTTCAATGATAAATTAAAACTAAATAGAAGTAGTAAATATGGCAAAATTCGTAATAATTGTAAAATGTATAAGACAGTTACATGTGGGTTTATTATAATAATGTCTTAATTCTTTGGGATGTTTGTAAATATTTCTAATCAAAAGGAAAAAGAAAACATTTACAGTGATGAAGTGACCCTAATATTTAAATTACCCATCTCGGCTGGGTGCGGTGGCTCAGGCCTGTAATCCCAGCACTTTGGAAAGCCAAGGTGGGAGCATCACCCGAGGTGGAGAGTTCAAGACCTGGCCAACATTTGGAAACCCCATCTCTATTACAAATCCAAAAAATTAGCCATTTGTGGTGAGGCACACCTGTAATCCCAGCTACTCAGTGGGCTGAGGCATAAAAATCACTTGAACTGGGAGACAGAGGTAGCAGTGAACTGAGATTGCGCCAATGCACTCCAGCCTGGGCAACAGAGTGAGACACTGTCTCAAAATAGATTAATTAATTAATAACCCATCTGTTTGACCTTGGGATAGTTAACTTTATGTCCTCACATTCCCCATCTGTAAAATCTGTAATAATACTTCCCTCATAAAGTTGATGTGATGATTAAACAAATTAGAATAGTTTCTGACATCTAATAAATTCTGAAGCTTGTTACCTGCTATTAAAGATTGCTCTAGGGCTTAAATTTCTGGGTGATTTAAGTCATTTTCTGTAAGAGTTAATACTTAATAATGATCGTCTATTTAACGTCTTAGTTCAGTTTTCTATTCAAATAAACAAAGTCAGTGACAGCTCCATAAGAAAGAGATCAATCTTTTTTGATGGAGGTGAAGGTACAGAGAAGAAAAGAAGAATTCTGAACTTCGAGTTCCCCACGGTACACAGGCTCTGGAAATGCAGCTAACAAATGGCAGGAGAGGACCCAGCGATGGAAAGAAGGCACATTGACAAGGAGGAAAGGAAAACTGAGAGGTGAAGAGGCTAAGTCAGCAATTTCTTAATGTTGATAGAACTCATTTTTCTTCTTGTGCAAAATGAAGCAGCTGACATACAAAATTCCCATGTATTTCCGAAGAAATGATTATTGCATTCACCCACCACACATGTTCTACTGCTAAGATCAATAACGGTATTTAAACAGGTATTAAACATCTATCTTTTGCAGGATCTTTAAGCATCTGAGATAGCTTCTATAAATTTTGTTTGTAAATGACTCAATGTAGAAAGAAAACTTCAAGTGGGGAAAATCAACTACCATATTTTAACACCTTAAAAGCCCAAGAATTTTAAAAAACTACCCAAGAATTAAATATTTTCATGCATTCCAGTACAATACAACTGTAAGTCATTAACAATTTGTTGACAAGAAAGAAGTCATGTTAACCATCTCTCATTTCCAGTATTAAAGAATCAGAGTAGGCGGGTGCGGTGGCTCATGCCTGTAATCTCAGCAATTTAGAAGGCCGAGGTGGGTGGATCATTTGAGGTCAGGAGTTCGAGACCAGCCTGGCCAACATGGTGAAACACCATCTCTACTAAAAATACAAAAACTAGCTGGGCATGGTGGTAGGCTATAATCGCAGCTACTGTAATCCCACCTACTCAGGAGACTGAGGCAGGAGAATCGCTTGAACTCAGGAGGAGGAGGTTGCAGTGAGCTGAGATCACGCCACTGCACTCCAGCCTGGACGACAGAGCAAAACTCCAACTCAAAAAAAAAAAAAAAAAAAAGAATCAGAGTAAATTAGAGCATTACATTGAAGAAATTCCACTATGTAGCTTACAATGATGCTTGATTTCTTATTAGATAAAATTTAAATTTAACTTTATATAGTATCTCATGAATTAAACTTAAAAAATAAAAAAGATGACTGATATTACAACCTTGGCTAAAACATAGAAAATCCATAGTTGCCTGACACAACCTTAAACAGTCAAAACTCTGGCCCTCCACACATCCATCTCCTTCTCTCCATGATCCCTTCTAGCACATTCCCTAACTCTGAGACCCAGTTAGTTCACTTCTCATGCACTTCCTCAGTCTCATCAATAGAAATTCGTTCCCTGCCCTTGGGATATGTCTTACTGCCATTACCACTTTTTAAAAATATCTGAGTTATACTTTCATCAGTTGAGCAAATGGGATTATGATGTACTACTGAGATATAGGAGCTGAAAGGTCATTCTATATCAATTGTCACTGTGAACCAGAATGGTGGTTCCCAACCTTGGCTGCACATCAGAATCACCAGGGAGACTTTGACAGAGCCCAGACCCATGACACCGGCAGGACGATAAAATCAGAATCTCTTAGGGTTGGGATGCCCTGGCCTTAGCGCCCTCAAAGATTTCCAGGATGTTCCACTGTGACCCCAAAGGCCACTAATCTAGAGTATATGTTAACTGAAAAAAATATATTTGCAATGTAGATCAATATAAACAACAAAATATTTGGTGCTTAGTCATTGTGAGAGCAACACAGCGGATAAAGATTTTAAAAGAAATTGAGAAATAAAATTAAAGCAATAGTTCACATCATTCAAATCAAAATAGTCTTTTGTTTGAAACAGTTATCCATAAATTTGTTCTCGTACATTAAACCTGGTAAAAATATATGTTAATGAATTATGATTTACATGTGGAGGAGAATGAGAGCATTGCTTGATTTCCTTTGTTAATACTTTAATTCATCATGTATATGTGGACACTAACTTCATCTAATAAAAGAGGTTAAAAGCAATATATAACAGCAATTATTTAAACTTTGTGATCATACCTATGTAGCCACTAGTTTGACCCAGTTACAAGTTCAAACTAAAAATATGTATTCCATGGTCTGTGAGAAAACAAATATCTAATAATAAGATATAATGTTGGATATCTTTCTATAAAAATAAAACACAAATCATAAATCAATAGTTGTACATGGAGCAAGAAGATAAAAAACATAAACCATAAACTAAAATGATTATGATATTCTCTTCAACCTCATAAATAGCTTTACTAATGGTTAAAGAAATAAAAATACATATAACTATCATGCATCAATAAAAAAAAATTTTAAGTAGTCATCTGCATGGTCAGACTGATCTTCTAGAGAAGCAATTCCACTATAAAAATTATTTGTAAATAAAGTGGTAGAATATTAAAATGTTCTATTTACAGATGTGTACTCCACACTTCTGAACAGTGACATGATATTACAATAGCACTTAGTCAAGAGCAAAATATTTTTGGTTCAAAATTTAAGTGATAAAAAATTGTAAGATACTTGATTTCTTCTTAAAAAACTATTTCTTGGCCAGGCGCTGTGGCTCACACTTGTAATCCCAGCACTTTGGGAGGCCAAGGCGGGCAGATCACGAGGTCAGGAGATCGAGACCATCCTGGCTTACATGATGAAACACCATCTCTATGAAAAATACAAAAAATTAGCTAGGCGTGGTGGCGCGCACCTGTAGTCCCAGCTACGAGGGAGGCTGAAGCAGGAGAATCGCTTGAACCCGGGAGGTGGAAGTTGAATGAGCCAACATTGCGCCACTGCACTCCAGCCTGGGCGACAGAGTGAGAACTATTTCTTTATGAATCTTCAGTGTGTAACACTAAAATACATAAGAATTTAAGAAATGCATTTTTTTTTCTTTTCAAATTGTACATTATGTAACCAAACTCTATGTTCTCAAACTAGTTGGGTAATGTTTGTGGGTGATGCAAATGAGAAAGCCCTGCTATACATGCCTAATACTTGCAAGGTATCCTTTTGGTCATAGTCTGTTATATAAAAATAAGCAATATAATCTGCTTTAATATAAGATTGTAAAAATAAAAATGTGAGCATTCATACATTCTTGAGAGAACAAAAATTACAATTTATACTGAGAGAACTAAAGTACAGATGGTACAATGGTTTATTTTGCAATCTAATCTCAAACCCACTTACACTGACCAACTGTTTGAGGGAATAGTAACTAAATAAAGCTATCAATGACTTTAGAAGTTTGTCTGTAAAATAAAAGTTTATATCCCATAAATTCCTCACTTTTATATTCATTTGCAAGAATTCTCAGGAACTAAAGAATGGCATGTATAAGAGAAAATATGTATTTAAGAAAAATCAAGCATGTTTATAATAAATATTTGTACTTTTGTAACTTAGAATATTTCATTTTTTAATATTGTCGAACAACTTAAAAATTTTGGTAGCTTTGTCAGTTTTTTATTATGCATCAAAAACATTGTTTTAAATAACACTGTAAACTACAGGGGAAAATTTCTGCTGTAGTATTTACTACTCAATTTATGTAATGTAGCAAAATGCTATAGTATTAATGATATAGTCAACATCTCGTGTTCTTTATTTATCCATAAATAATTTCCCAGATAAATGCATATATTTACATTTATCAGAATATTTAAAAATATTGAGTGAATATTTTTTCTATGATACATTGCAATACAGAAGTACATCCAATCTATATTTGACCAGCAATTACTATAAGTTTGAGACACTATAATTTTATTAGGTCTATTCTAAGGGGTTTCTTCTGAATAATTGGTCAAAAAGCCTTTTAAACAATTTAAATCAAAATGAAATTTAATTTATTCTTATTTTATATGAAATGTAGCAGTTTTGAATGAGGGCAGAATATGTAACCGGAAAGTAATAATTCATCCTAACTCTAAAATTTAGAAATCACTGCATTACTCATTTAATTATAAATGAGTATAATAAAGTTAATATAGTTTTTCTAAAATATGTATCCCAAAAATTTGTGGTGCTAACATGATTTTATGTATTCTTTTCTCTACAATCTTAATAAATATATTTATAAATTATAAATTAAAATTAATTTTAATGAAAATATTACCAATTACAGAAATATAATACATTTACTTTTAATGTAGCCTATGACTTTGCAGATGCCTTCAGAAAGGAAAAATTTTGCATAGAACTTCTATCTTGAACAAGGCTCCTAATGATAGTCATTTCATAGGCATAAGTCCATCTGAAATAAGTAAAAGTGTTCAGAAAGAAACTCAGGCATATCTTTCAAAGACAAAAAACATTTTAAGTAATGTGGCATAGTTTATATGTGAATGTGTTTGTGGCTTTTTCAGAATCAAAGAGAAAATATATGTTAAACTAAGAAACTATGCTTCTACTCCCTTTCTACATATAACCAATTGATTTGTGAGTCTTAAACCAAGAACACCACACTTCAAATTTGCAACTGTAATTTTTGACAACAGCTATTATGGAATAAATATTTCAAGTTTACAAGAAACCACAACAAAAAAACACCCCACAACCAATAAACGTCTGCACGACATAACATGCAATTAATTCTCCATTGCGGTGATAAGAAATCAAGTGTCTGCATTTACTTATCAAGGCGAAGACTAAGTTTTTAAAGAAATTAAGGTTTTCATAATGTGCTTTTTTGTGCCTACAATTAACTTCTACTTTACACAAAAACATAATCCAGAAGTAGGCAATAACGTTATAAATGAGTTAACTTACACTATACTTTATCGCTATGATTATGTAAATGATGTAAATATACAGTTGAGAGGTAATTTAGGTTAAGGGGAAAGAAAACTTTTTAATATATTTACTTGAACATTTAAATTAAGATGTATTTGGCATGCTCATTTGAAAATACGCTGCAGTCTATTGTCAATACAGACTGTCTTTTAAATACTGAGTTATACAAATGGAAATTATCAGAAATTAGGGTTTACATGCAGGGAAGGAGGCAAATATAATTATTACAGGGTACCACTCTTAAACACAACTAAACTGAACCCTCTGCAATCCTTTTATTACTAGTAGAATTAGAAGACGTAGAGTTTCCTTTTCTTTACAATTTCAATGCAACATATCTTGTCAAAATAAATAACTGCAATTATTGCAGTAGTTATTCATTATTAATTTCTACCATTAAAGTTTTATTCCCAGGCATAAGTTAAAGTGATATGGTTAAAAAAATAGATAAAAAAGTTTAAGATACACTTGTCTAGTGAAGTATCACTCTAAATTAATGTTGTAAATTCAGACTTACTATTTTCAGAGAGCTGTGTTTCTGGTCTTGAAGAATGAGAATAAGGCAAGGTCAGTTTGAGTTTAATTTAACTGTCAAAAGCACAACTAATCCGCCCAAAGTAAAATATGGCCTTTCGACTGTGTTCATTTAAAATAGGCATCCCTTAGTCCAGTTCTTTTATCAAAAAAATCACAAAATTATTTGATCTATACCACCCTTGACTTTATTTTCCCAGCAGAACGCAAGTGAGACAGAGGAACAGTTGTTCTGCTTGTATATGGGATTGGGAAAGTAGGAGAGAAAGAGAGAGAATGTGGTGTATTATTTCCCTTGAAAAGCAGTACCCGTTTATTGTGTTGTGTAAGAAATTACCCTTGGAACAAAACATTAAGGCTTATAGAGATACTGTCATTACATCTTCCCTACTAAAGGTCACTGCAGTATCTTCATCTTCAGTACAGCTCTTGGGTAAATCTCATTTCAGCACCACGGACAGAGACGCTTCTATTAAAACCTGCGCCTATTGTTGCATTTGCATCGACCAATTCTTAAGAAACTTGCGCAGGCTTCCCATTTGCCCATCAGCAAGGGTTATATTCTTTATTACACTGAACAGGGAGAGCTTAAATATAATACAGACTATTAAATATTTCAGTAAATTTTAACTACATCATCAACGTTTTGCTATTTAATACTTCTGGAAAGCATACTGAAAATCAAGCTAATTACATAGTGTGTCTGATAAATAGCCTATTGCTAGTCAATCACTAGACACCTAATTACAACTGTTCATTCATAGTGAGTCCCAGATCAATAATTATACAAATGTCCAAGAGGAAACAGAAAACTTAAAAAAAGTAAATATCCTCAGGTAGGCCCCCAGACTTTCTGAACAACCAGAACTACCCCTGTAAAAACAGGTAATTCTTTTTAACTACCGAAACAACTACAACCACTTTCTCTTGCTCAACCAACTTAATGATGTCACTATGAGAGCGTTCCTGTGTGCAGATCTATATTGCAAACCACACATGCCTGTCTCGAACTCTTCTGACTTTACCTGTGAGCATCAGTGTGCAGTCTCATTGCTATTTTCCTGACAAGACTTTTTCAACTTCCTTTTCTTAAAAGATGTAACAGAGTTTGAGCCAACTGCATGAATGTAAGAAACAGTTAAAGTGCCAGCTTGATTATCTCAGATAACCGGGGACTTCCCTGATCTTCCAAGGACTCCCAGAAGAAGGCATCAGTCAGTCCACCAGCAATCCACCAGGTATTCTCATCTCAAACAGCAAGCCAAGCTCTTAATAACCGCAGAAAACACAAAGTAACAAAACCATAGCCAAAAAATAATAATAATAAACTTGAGAAGACACCCCAACCAAGCAGAGATAGGAAAGTGCAGGAAAGGGGGAAACCCCCGAGGGTTCCTACCTTACAGTCTTCAGGACAGGATTTCACCGAGTACTCCTCCGACTGTAAATATTTGTGGAGCACGCTTTCAAACTCTTCGTATTTCTCCTGAGCATGGTGGTCATAGTCCTGGTAAGCCTCGACGCACTGCCTGCAAGTGGTCATCTCGCCGCCTTCCTTGAGCACCACATCCAGACTGCAGTTCAAAGTGTTGGGACTGGACAACCCCGAGAACAACTCCCAAAGTGTGTAGGAATTACAAAACGAAAGGTAAAAATCCGACAAGTTCCAGAGCGGAGTGGGATGCTTGCTCCTCACCTCCTGCCCGTCCCCCCCGGCCGCCCCCCGACTCCAGTTCCTGGCGCACACCGCGTCCGCATTCTCCACCGTGAAGCACTGGCCCGAGGACGCGCCCTGGGGGTAACAAGTCTCCAGGCGCCACACGGGCTTGGCAGAGTTTCCTAGAAAAAGAGCCTTGCCCCGGTCGTCTTTGCCTCGGTTGCCCTTGCCGCCGCCGCCGCCGCCGTCTCCCGGGGAGGGGGGCAGGGTGGGGGACGAGGAGGCGGAGAGGAGTCTGTGTGCCTGGGCGGCGGGCGAGGACTCCCCCATGCTCGCCAGGAGCGCGGGCCAGGAGGGCTCCTGCTGCCGCCGCTGCTGCTGCTGCTGCTGCCGCTGCCTCTGCTGCTGCTGCTGCTGCTGCTGCTGCCGCTGCTGCTGCTGGTGCTCCTTGTCCCGGGCCCGGGTCAGCTTGGCCTCGGCGCAGAACCACAAGTGATCAGAGAGCAGGACTGTGAAAAACAAGAGAGATGCCAGAGACAGTCGCCATTTCTGAGCCCTCTCGGAATCGATGAACGGTTTCTCGTTCTCTCGGGGTGCTGCCAACCAGATTTTTAAGCCGTCGTCATACTGCCGACACATCCAAGCACCCCTGGTCATATTTTGGGAACGCACAGCCCTGGCCGACTCCACCGTGAGGGCGCCTGTGCCGGTGTCACCACAATATGCATTGACTTAAAGGGTTTAATTTCCTTATCCCCTCCTCCCGTTTCTTCTCTCTCCTCTCTCTCTTTCTCTCTCTTCCCCTCTCCCTCTCTCCTCTCTCTCTCTCTCCCTCTCCCTCTCTTTTATCTCTCTCTGTCTCTTTTGCCTACATAAATATTACCAGGCTTTGAAGGAAGGTCTGACTTGCTTCCTAATCATCAGCCGACCCCATCCTCTGTAGAGTGGGAAACAATAATGGAGAGAGAGAGAGAGAGAGAGACGGAGGAGGCTGGTGCTGGTGGCCGGCGGCGAGGCTGGGTGCAGGGGGCGATGGTGGAGGTGACAGGGTGGCTGGCGCGGCTCCGGTCACCCAGGCATTGTCAGCGCGCGGGTCCCCATGGCCCCGCGGAGCCCAGCCCGCTCTCCCCTGCCAGGGGCATGCCGCGCCTCCGCTGCCCACTGACGGCGCCCGGAGCGCCTCCCCTCCTCCTCCTCCTCCTCCTCTTCTTCTCCTCCTCTTCCTCCTCCTTCCTTTCCTTCTCCTTCTTCTTCTCCTCCGCCTCCCGCTCCTGCTCCGCGCTGGCTCTCCCAGAGTCCGGAGCCTGGGCTGCCTCCGGCGGGGCGCTCCCTCCCCCCCACCCCCCACCCCGCGCTCTAAGTGCTGCCGCCGCCGCCGCCGCCGCCGCCGCTGCCGCAGGGCCGCCCGCGGGCGCCGCCGCCGGGGCTCCGACTGCTGACGCCGCCTCCCGCGGAGCTCCGGGCCGAATCGCCTGGGCTGGGCCTCCCGAGAGCCACAGTCATCTTCAGTCCGCGGGCTAAGTTGCCGCCATCTTCGTCCTGGAGAAACACTTTTTTGGGGGGAGCGCTGGCTTTTGCGTCATCTCCTCCCGCGCCGAGCTCGCTCCATCCTGGCGCAGTGGCGCCGGCTCGGCCCGGGAGGAGGGAGAAGGCGCGCGGGGGCGGGCGGCGGCGGGGCCGCGGGGCCCGGGGGCCCCCGCCCGGCTCCCCGGGCTCAGGCGCCTGCTCTTTCCTTTCTGTCCCCCTGTCCACGATATTTTGTTTTAATCACTGAAGAGAAAAATAAAAGTCAGACTGCGGACGGCATGGCCGGTGAGGCTCCTCGCGGCCGCGCCGCCCGCACGCTCTGGCTCCGGGAAGCGTCCGAGTTGCAGGCGCCCGGGCAGAGGTCTCTACTGGTGCGAGGGTCTGGGCAGAGTCCTCTCAACTAAGGACCGAGCCACTTCGGATGGAAGGTGGGGGTCCGCGGAGGAAGCTCGAATTGGCTAGAGGAGGGATGAGGTGACATTTGGTCTCTGAATGCGTCTCGGATCCCGGACCGCGAGATCCATCGCTCCCAGTGCGTGCAGTTATTCCGTCCTGCTGTGTGACACGGGAGAATGGCGCGCACGCCTGTGCACCTGCATCGACCGTGTAGCTGCCTGGGTGACAGCCACCCATTTGTCTATGTTTTCTTTCCTATTCTAAAGTAAACGATTAGAAGTGGCCTCATAGAGTCTTAGGAAGAAACAGTAAGCCCTGTGCCACCCGGGGTCACTGCCTAGCCCTGCCCTCCGCGCGCACCGTCCGCGTCTCCGAGGGCTCCTCCTCGGACCTGGACCCTCTGGAGCGGCTTCGACCCTCCCTCTGCCCCCGCTGCCTGCGTCCAGACCCCCTCCCGGGTGGGCTCCTCCGAGGACCTCCGCAGCCGCGGGCGAGCTGGGTGCCTGCGAGTCGCCGCCGCAGTCTGAGCCTCTGGTGCCCCTTAGCGTTGGCTCTCGGAGTTCTGAGAAGGGAAAGGAGACAGACACTCTGGGAAAATCTGGGGTCACCTCGATTCCGGCTCCTACGCTGGATGCCGTGGGCAAGCATCGGTCTCCTTTGATCTGAAGATCCTGCCCACTCCGCCCCTTGCCCCTGCCAGACCCGCGGGAGCAGCAGGTGGCGTGGGTGCCAGACGCTGCCGGTGCGCACCGAGTGCAGCGCTGCCCCGGCTCGCCCCGGGGGTCGCGTGGGACAGCGGTTTGCGGTGTCGCCCTCTCTGCGGTGCTTTCCAAGGACCCTCATGCCCCGCCCGGGTGCACATTCACCACATGGGTCTTACTAGGTGACCTCTTTCTAAGTAAAATGCATTGAGAAACCAAAGGGATGGGGCATCCGTATCCATTTTCCTTTAAGGAGCGCTGTGGGTGTTGGGGATGCGGGAGAAGTAGGTGTTTTTTAAAGAGAAAATTGCAAAACCTCTTGGGCAGGATTCGACCTACTAGCCTCTTCTGCTGCATAATAAGGTACTGTATACACTAAATTTTACCCCTAAAAATTTTCAGTTCTTACCAACTATAGGTAATGATCATCCAAAAGCCGCGTCCTGTTTGATGGCTGGTTTACTCAAGTGTCATGTAGTGTTTTAAAAGACGATTTGTGTAAGTAGATCATTCTAGTACTTTCGATTTCAGTGTGTTGAATTTCTGAGTAATGTCAGTTTTTCCTCATAATACAGACAAAATTATTATTTATTAACCAGATTGTTTATTAATCAGGACTGTACTGTACATGCCACAATATTTCTTAACTAAATACGAGTGCATACATTCTCGCTGACATAACTATTATTATACAAGTACAGTTTGTGCATTGTAAAAAAGGTGTAAAAATCAGAAGAGCAATTTAAAAAGTCATGGTGATATCAACACCCAGATATAATCAGTATTTTCATTTTACAGCATCTTCCTAACATTTTTATTTTGTATTACTAATTTCCTGTTTTGTGATATTCACTAGTCCAGCATTTTCGAAGGATTGAAGTATGATAGAATACACATCCACACTTATTAGATAATAATATATTTCCCTTCAATAATGCATTAATTTTAATCAGACACAAACATTTTAATGGTGGCTGAGATTATTAGCATCCAATGTCTTACTCTGCATGTGTGATTAAATCAGAAAGAGAACGAAAACTAGGGGAAATAAAATAAACAATATAAATTTAAAGGTTCATAATTATCAAACAAGGAACCGAAGCAAAAGAAGACTCTGTGACTTATCTTATTACTATTCAGATCTAGTAAAAATCATGTCTCAGAAGGTAGTTCAGTGATACTTAGTAAAAGTCTTATATACTGCATTAAAATAATAGTGTTTAATCTATTTTTACTTTATGTAACAGACTATAGTTAATTATTTTTAAGTAAGCTGGGCCTTGCCTTCCTCTAATGTTTCTCATGAATTAGGATATTTTTATAAAAGACAATTTTAAGGACGCAAGCCCACTGAAAGTAAACTGTTGAGAACCAATTTGACTTTTGTTTGTTGTGTGTTGGTTCTAGAATGAACTGTTGGAAGACAGATAAAAGACCAAGTCTGGCCTCTTGAAGCTTAGTCAAGGGGCAGATAATACTAACTAGGCCAACAATTACAATACAAGGTAATCTGTGAAGATTAGCATGTTTTGAGACTTCAGAGTAGAGCAGTAAACTCCAGTTGGATTTTAAGAGGGACTAGGGATAGATAGGAATTGGGGACATTTAACGGGAGCAGAAAGAAGTCTTCTAGGGAGGAGAAAAGGACAATTCAGAAGGACAGCAAATTTCAAGGACTTGGGACCTTGAAGGAGCCCAGGGCACTGGTAGGACTACTGACAGATAAGTGGGCTGTGTTGTGTGTGACCTGTATATTGGGAGGGGGTAAGGGAAGAGGCTGGAGAGAAAGGCTGGGGCTCTGTTATGAATGATACTGTATAATACTCAAAGGAAATTGGCTTTTCTCCTGAAAGAGATGGATTCATTAAGGAAATTTAGATTGTGACTTCAATGTTCGTTTTCATGAACATCACTGTTCACTAAAATCAAAACGAGAAATATGTTTGGAGAAGGCGTTAACTAGATTAGTAAATGTTGATTCTTATTAGCTTATCAGCTAAAATATTGCATAGTGGCAAGGAAGAGCAAATAGCTTGGCTGGAATGTAGGTTTCATTTATATCAGGAAAATCAGGCTGTGGAGTCTAGAAACTCCTACGTAGGTTTTACCTAGGAGTGTGACTAATGGAATAGAGAAGTTTAATAGCACCAGCACATTTCAGAAGGCTGCTGAATAGTAGACAGTTGCAAATACATTATATTGAGGGATCTGCTAACAGGATGTACTCTGAACAAGAAAACATTGCAGAAACAATCTACATGTATATCATAGCTCCAGGATTACTGTTCAGGGGGTCATTTATGTTTATAACCTTCAAAAATTCAAAGCTCTTACGTTATTTGATCATGCTTATTTTCATGGGAATCAGTGCTTTTATTCCTATTTAAATGGCTAAAGTTGTTATGCATTGGGAGATGGGTTTCTTATTCTGCCTTTACGTTATAAAAACAACAAAATGATATATTTGTTGTCTTCTCAAGTATTTATCCTTATCCCTTAAAATTAACATCTGCCAAATAATTTTACCAAAGAAAAACAGGCAAATCCAGAATATCTTCTTATCTAGTGAAGGCCATTGCTTAAATATGTCCACTCCATAAATCAAGTAAATAACAACCCCAAGATATTTTCTTTTTTCACACTGAATGCATCCTGAAAACACGAAATTAGGTACACCCTTTGTTGTTCTCATATACTGTTTATGTGACACATATAAGTGAAAATGGATTATGCTCTTATATACACATTAATCTCAAAAAAGACTTTTGTGCTTTTAGAATTCACAGGCAATGTGCAAATTCTTGATGAGCATGTCTACATTTTCTACTTATTTTTGTGGTTGTAGTTTTGAGATGGAGTCTAGCTCTGTCCCCTGGGCTGGAGTGCAATGGTGCGATCATAGCTCACTTCAGTCTCAAAATCCTGGGCTCAAGAGATTGTCCCACCTCAGCCTACCGAGCAGCTAGAACCGCAGGTGCATGTCACCATGTCCAGCTAATTTTTATTTTTACTTTTATTTTTTGTAGAGATGTGGTCTCCCTGTATTGCCCAGTCTGGCCTAGAACTCCTGGCCTCAACTGATCCTCCTGACTCAGTCTCTCAAAGTGCTGGGATTACAGGCATGAGCCACCACACTGGCAAATGTCTACATTTTTTAAAACAAATTAAACATAAAGAGCTCATAAAGAATAGTCAAAGTTTATTTGTGGAAAAATATAAGACTGATCTATAAGCTTTTAATTCCACTATAATTTGTGAATGTAAACCTCTCTTTAAGATAAAAGCAGATTCTAGCATCATGAGGTACCTGAGGGCTCTAGTTAGTTACCAAGATGGGAAATGTGCCTGGGGCTTTCTGTAATTGCATTTCCACCTTGATTTGATAGGGTTGATTTGGCAAACTAGCATTTTCTCTCTATCTGTGTACTTCCACCATGCTCCAGCTCAGTGATTTTCTAATGTTGGTGGGCAGAGAATCAAGTAGAGACTTAGTCAACTTGGGCCCCTCTCCAGAGACCTGCCTCAGTAGAACTAGGCTGGGGTCCAAGGAAACTATTTTTAACAAGAACCCCTTAGTAACTTTTTCTAACCTAAGAACGCTTCTACCTACAGTATTGGCACTGCTGGATAGAGTGGCCGGTGTGAGTCAAATGAGGGTGCATGCTCTAAATTCTAAACCAGTATCAAGATTCATCTGTGGAGAATATAGTGTTAAATAATGTTATTTGTGATTAAGCATTAGCGTGTATAGAATTAAGTCATGAACACTTTTCATAGAATGCAAACAATGTATACCCCACATGACATTAAAAATCTATGTCATCATTGTCATCATCAAAATTACTATTTGACAAACTCTTTTAAGAACGTGTGTACATACACACCATTTGCAAGCAACAAAAGTGACAGAGGGAAAACGCTTCACTCAAGATACACAGAACGAGGCCCATATGGAGAAATGGACAGAAGTTACTGACAAATAAAATAAAAGATTTGAACAGTAAGAAAAATCTGCCTGTGTCTACACAGAAAGTTGGCTATTATAAAGATGAAAATTCTCCCTAAATCAAGTTACATATTCCTGAAAACAAAACGTGATTATTTTTCCTGAAAGAAACTATCCTCCAAAACAGAGGGAGCCATTTTATATTTGACTTCTTACAAAATCTCTCATAACGTGGGGGCCTCTCTCTATTTTATTTCAAACTTCATTTTGGGAAGACACAAAGGCTCTTGAAATGAGAGCCACCAATGTTTGTTTTAGATGCTTATAAAGCTTACCTCATGGAGCTGTTAACATAGCAAAATAAATTTTTTAACAAAGGAAAATTTGGTAACTATTTCTGGGGTAAAGATTTTACAATAGCAAGTATTATCACTAGACATTACTTTAAATGTGGATTTTTTTAAATCATGGTAGAAAACAATATAAAAAGTGTTCATGTGGCAGTTGTTAAGAATACACATCTTCAGGGTTTTTTAATATAAAAAGGGGAAAGAACAGTCTCATTATTATATGCATAGTTTCTCTGATTTGGTACAAAATTTCCCAGTGATGTCATTGTGGAATGATCCAAGTGTTGCCTGTCAGCAGAGATAGGAGTGAAGTTGATGATGATGGTTAGATGGCCTCACAAGGGACTCTAGTGATAGTAAAGGTTCCAGTGGCAAACACACAAGTGAAAAGTTTGAATATAGTTTCATAATGTTTGAGAGTGTAAAAAATGCATTTTTAAATTAATGCATTACTTTCTGTACTATTTTAAATAAGTGTGTATCTAAATAAACACATAAAATGTTATGAGTAAACATTAGGCTATTTAATTTCATTTCATCCTTAAATTTGGGAAGTACAAACCAACAGGGCGTGGTGGCTCAAGCCTGTCATCCCAGCACTTTGGGAAGCCAAGGCGGGTGGGTGGATCACATGAGGCAAGGAGTTCAAGACTAGCCTCGCCAACATAGTGAAACCCTGTCTCTATTAAAAATACAAAAATTAGCCGGGTATGGTGGGGCGCACCTGTAATCCCAGCTACTTGGGAGGCTGAAGCAGGGAAATCACTTGAACCTGGGAGGCAGAGGTTGAAGTGAGCAGAGATGGCATCACTGCACTCCAGCCTGGGTGACAGAGTGAGACCCTTTCTGAAAGAAAAAAAAAAAAAAAACTGATAGAGACCTTTTCGGAGTTAGCTTCTGATGCATCAAAAAGTATGATGGGCTTTAGACCTATTATATTTGGGCTTGCCTTATATGTGTGCATAAATATGATTTGTTCAGTACAACTTCAATTAAAAGATTTTTTATAGAACCTGACAAATTATAAAGTTTATCTGAAATTATAAATGGAAACTAGAATGGAGCCTCCGTAACCACGGTCCTACAGCAGCTTGCAGCTGTCGTGGGAAACATCAGGCTCCCTCTTCAGACAGCCTTCCTGGTGCTCTGGCACTAATTTCAGTATGCTCACAGGGAAAGCAGAGTGGACAGGGTAGATAAATGGTGACTCCCTCATTCCATTAATATTTGATGCAGGATCCAGCCTCTGCCCTCCAGCTCTAAGAGAATCTCCAGCCAGAGCATGGATGAGGCCAGCAGGCAGATCTCAGAGACATTTCCTGGACGTTACTATATAGTTGGCACTGGTTCCCACAATACAGCACAGAGAATAGCTTTGTGACACTAGCTACGAATTTGATCATAATTTGAGATCAGATGCATCCATAAAAGAGTGGACTCTGATATATTTCTCTCCCTACTTCTCAGACTTCAAAACCCACAGGGATGGTAACAGCAGAGGTCAGAAGAAAATTAATTGCCAACAGAGAGGAGGGAAAACACACCTAAGATATCTACATCCAAGAGGACAGGCCACCCATTTGGGGAGCATTTCAATGCAGGTAGATTTTAAAGTGAATAAATAAAAGTAATGAGGTGATAACCCTACCAGGTGCTAAAACATATGTTAATGATATAATAATTAAATAAATGTTTAAGTAGGTAAATAGCAGTAAAAACTAGAAATGACAGAAAAAAGGCCTAGTACATGTAAGAATTTAGTATATGATAAAGGATAAACAAAAGTATTACGTAATATATGTTTCTGGGACAATAGTTTACACAGTGCGATATACGTTCACTTAGATATTTACTTTCTGAATAGTTTCTAGACATGTTAAATAATTAAATATTAAAATAATCAACTGGAAAAATAGATAAGACTTTTTTAAATGGAAAAAGCACATAATAAATTTATAAAATTAAAATTTATAAATCCATACAACTTTTGTTTGTTAAAAATTTATACTCTGGGGGACAGCCAATATGGCTGACTAGATGCAGCCAGGAAGAGCTTCTCCCATAGAGAGAGACCAGACCAAGTAGACTGGCACACTCCAAACGGATCTTTGGAAATAAAGCATTGGGAGTGGACAGAGGGAGGATGCAGACCCTGGGCTGAAACAGAAGGAAACTGGGAACTCTTCACAGGGTTGCCAAGTAGCTGGTCTCGTTCCTGGCCTTGAGCAGCTCCTAGGGGTGGGTGAGTGACCTAGGCATGGAGTGGCCTACTCTTGCTGTGGACCTCCAGGATCCCAGCTGTGGGAGACCCCACAATCCCCAGCGACATCTGAGCTGGCAGGGAGAACTGTCCAGAGAGTTGATAGAGACAGAACTCCAGCCTGTGTGGAGCCCAGAGTCGCATGGGAATGGCTGCAGTGGAGCAAGGCCATAGGCGCCCATCCCCCAAGGCTCGCCATAGTTCTGTAGGTGTTTCTACCCATTGTTGGCTGCCAGACTTGGACAGAGTAGAACTTTCTTGCCCATGGGACAGGGCCAGTCTGATCTGAGTGACCCCCTCTCTGCTGGCCTCTCCCAGGGTCCCTGCCTGGCCACCACACCTGCTTGCAGCACAGCCTCAGCTTGCCAGTAGCCACTGCCATAGATCTTTTGCAGGCAGACCCCACCTAACTGTCAGCGCACTTTTGCAGACAGACTGCCAACAGTGTGCATCCACCCACAGCGTTCCCCTCAGGGGACATGCACACACCCATGGCCTCCCCCTGCTGCCCCACCGGCACACATGTGTGTGCGGACCCCTGGCCAGCACACACATGTGCAAGGACCCCCACTGTCCTACTAGTATGCATGTGTGTGGGTACCCACAGCCACCTTACTGGAGTGCTTTTGCCAGCAGCCCCTGTCACAGTGTTGTTGCCAGCAGACAGGGCACACCTCAGCCAGTCTAGCACAGCAAGTGCTTAACCTTGAGGGGCCAGAGAACAAAGCCACAGGCCTAGTCCCAGCCCCCCAGAGTTAGAACATGTAGCCTACGAGTGCTGAGCTGAGGCTTGACCCTCTGAAATCATCCAGAAATGAAGCCAATCCACTAAATCCAACTTATACGATGGTCATATCCTGGAGGGCATCAAATAGTGTGAATGCAAAAAGCCTCACCCAAAAGATAACAACTGCAAAGACTAAAGGAACATCAGCCCACATAGATGAGAAAGAACACGTGCAAGAATTCTGGCAGCTCTAAAGGTCAGAGTGTCTTCTTACCTCCAAATGACCGCACTAGCTACCAGCAGTGGTTTTTAAACAAACAGAAATGGCTGAAATGACAGCTAATTCAGAATCTGGATGACAAGGAAGCTCATCTACATACAGAAGGTTGAAACCCAATCCAAGGAATAGAATAAAATGATCCAAAAATTGAAAGATGTCATAGACATTTTAAGAAAGACCCAAACTGAACTTCTGGAAATAAAAAATTCACTACAGGAATTTCAGAATACAATTGGAATCATTAATAACAGAAAAGGCCAAGCTGAGGAAAGAATCTCAGAGCCTAAAACCACTCCTTTCAATCAATAGAGGCAGATAAAAATAAAGATGAAATAATGTTTTAAATGAATGAAACCTCCAAGAAATATGAGATTATGTAAAGAGACCAAACCTACCATTCATTGGCATTCCTGAAAGAGATGGAGAGAGAGCAAGCAACTTGGAAAACATATTTGAGGATATTGTCCACAAAAATTTCCCCAACCTTGCTAGAGAGGTTGACATGAAAATTCAGGAAATTCACAGAACCCCTGTAAGATATTAAAGGCAGCTAGAGAGAAGGTGCTGGTCAGATACAAAGGGAACTCCACTAGGCTAACAGCACACCTTTCAGCGGAAACTTCACAAGCCAGAAGAGATCAGAGCCCTATATTCAGCATCCTTAAATAAAAGAAATTCCATCCAAGAATTTTATATCCAGTCAAATTAAGCCTCATAAGCAAAGGAAAAATAAAATCCTCTTCAGACAAGCAAACGCTAAGGGAATTCATAACCAACATATCTGCCTTACAAGAGGTCCTCAAGGGAGTGCTAAACATGGAAGGGAAATATCAGTACCTTCCACCACAAAAACACATTTAAGTACATAGCCTACTGATACTATCAAGCAACTGTACAATCAAGACTACATAACAACTAGCTGACAATACGATGACAGGATCAAATCCTCACATATCTATATTAACCTTGAATGTAAATGGGCGAAATGCCTCATTTAAAAGACACAGATGGTGGCTGGGCATGGTGGTTTACACCTGTAATCTCAGCAATTTGGGAGGGCAAGGCAGGAAGATTGCTGAGCCCAGCCTAGGCAACATAGCAATACCCCATCTCTACCAAAAAAAAAAATTAAAATTAGCTGGGCATGGTGGCACATGCTTGTAGTCCCAGCTACTTGGGAGGCTGAGGTGGGAGGATCATTTGAGCTTGGGAGGTCAAGGCTGCAGTGAGCCAAGATTGTGCCACTGCACTCCTGCCTGGATGGCAGAGACCTCATCTCAAAAGAAAAAAAAAAAGACACAGAGTGGCAAGTTGGACAAAGAAGCAAGACTGAACAATATGTTGCCATCAAGAGAATCATCTCACTTGCAATGACAGCCATAGGCTCAAAGCAAAGGGAGGGAGAAAGATATATCAAGCAAATGTAAAACAAAAAAGAGCAGGAGTTGCTATTCTCATTTCAGACAAAACAGGCTTTAAACTAACCATGATTTAAAAAAAAAAAAAAAGACAAAGGCATTACATAGTGATAAAATGTTCAATTTAACCAAAAGACTTAACTCTTCTAAATATACATGCAGCCGACACTGGAGCACCCAGAGTCATAAAACAAGCTCTTAGAAACATATGAAGAATCTTGGATAACCACAGAATAATAGTGGGAGACTTCAACACTCCACGGACAGTGTCAGACAGATCACGGAGGCAGAAAAGTAACAAAGATATTCAGGACATAAACTCGACATTTGAACAAATGGGCCTACCAGACATCTACAGAATATTCCACTCAACAACAACAGAATATACATTCTTCTCATCTGCACATGGCACATACTCTAAGAACGACCACATGCTTGGCCATAAAGCAATTCTCAACAAATTTAAAAACCTCAAAATCATATCAACCCCACTCTCAGACCACAACACTATAAAAATTGAAATCAATACCAAGAAGATCTCTCAAAACCATACAATTACATGAAAATTAAACAACATGCTCCTGAGTGACTTTGGGTAAAGAATAAAATTGGGGCAGAAATCAAAAACTTACTTGAAACTAATGAAAATAAAGATACAACATACTAGATAATACAGCATTAAGAAGAAAGTTTATAGCACTAAATGCCTAAATCAAGAAGTTAGAATGATCTCAAATTAACAACCTAACATCACACCTAGAGGAACTAGAAAAATAAGAGCAAACCAACTCTAAAGCTAGCAGAAAATAAGTTAAGCAAAAGCAGAGCTGAACTGAAGGAAATTGAGATGTGAGCATGCCTATCAAAGAATACAAAACCAAAAGTTTGTTATTTGAAAGAATAAATCAGATTTGATAGCTAGCTAGATAGATTTTTAAAAAGAGAGAGATCCAAATAAACACAATCAGAAATGCAAAGGTGACATTACCACTGACCCCACAGAAAAGCAAAAATAGTCAGAGACCATTCAAACACCTCTGCACACAAACTAGAACACCTACAAGAGATGGATAAATTCCTATAAACATACAACCTAAGATTGAACCACGAAAAAAGTGAAATCGTGAACAGATCAATAACAGTTCCAAAATTGAATCAGTTATGAAAAAAAAAAGAAAAGAAAAGAAAGAAACTACCAACCAGAAAAGGCCCTGGACCAGATAAATTTACAGTTAAATTCTACCAGATGTGTAAAGAAGAGCTAGTACCAGCCCTACTGAAAATATTCCTAAAACTGAAGGAGGGGGGACTCCTCCCCAACTCATTCTATGAGGCTACCATCATTCAGATGCCAAAAGCTGATAAAGAGACAACAAAAAAGCAAGCTTCAGGCTAACATCCCTGGTGAACATAGATGCAACAGTACTTAACAAAATACTAGCAAATGAAATCCAGCAGCACATCATGAAGCTCATTAACCACAATCAAGTAAGCTTTATTCCTGGGACGCAAGGTTGGTTCAATATATGCAAATCAGTAAATATGATTCATCACATTAACAAGACTAAAAACTAAAACCACATGCTCATCTCAACAGACATAGACAATGCTTTCAATAAAATTCTTCATCTCTTCATGTTAAAAACCCTCAACAAACTAGGTGTTGAAGGAACATACCTCAAAATAAGAAAAGCAGTCTATGACAAACGCATAGTCAACATCATACTGAATGGACAAAAGTTGGAAGCACTCCTCCTGAGAACCAGAACAAGACAAGGATTCCCACTCTCACCACATGTATTTAACATAGTACTAAAAGTCCTAGCTAGAGCAATCAGGCAAGAGAAAGAAAAAAAAAATGGCTTCCAAATAGGAAGAGAGAAAGTCAAACTATCTCTGTTTGCAGGCAATATGATTCTAGACTTAGAAAACTCCATAATTTCTGCCCAAGGGCTCCTAGAACTGATAATCAACTTCGGTAAAGTTTCAGGATACAAAATCAATGTACAAAAATAAGTAGCATTTCCATACACCAAAAAACATCCAAGCTGACAGCCAAATCAAGAACACAATCTCATTCACAATAGCCACAAAATAATAAAATTCCTAGGAATACAACTAACCAGGGAAGTAAAAGATCTGTACAGCAAGAGTTACAAAACACTGCTGAAAGAAATCAGAGGCGAAACAAAAGAAAAATCATTCCATACTCAGAGAGAGGAAGAATCAATGTTGTTAAAATGGTCATACTGCTTATTTACAATGGCAATTAGCAATGTATAGATTCAGTGTTATTCCTATCCAATTACCAATGTCATTTTTTTCACAGAATTAGAGAAAACTATTGTAAAATTTATGTGGAACCAAAAAAGCCCAAATAGCCAAAGCAATCCTAAACAAAAAGAATACCACCTGAGGCATCACACTACTCAACTTCAAACCATATACAAGGCTACAGTAACCAAAACAGCATGGTACTGGTACAAAAATAGACACCTAGATGAAAGGAACTGATTAGAGAACCCAGGAATAAAGCCTCACACCTACAGCCATCTGATCTTCAACAAAGCTGACAATAACAAACAATAAGAAAAGGGTTCCCTATTCAATAAATGGTACATGGATAACTGGCTAGTCATATGCAGAAGATTGAAACTGGACCCCTTCCTTTTACCATATATGAAAATCAACTCAGGATGGATTAAAGACTTAAATGTAAGACCTAAAACTGAAAAAAAAAAAACCTTAGAAGAAAACCGAGTACATACCATTCTGGACATAGGCCCTGGCAAAGGTTTCATGATAAAGTCTCCAAAAGCAATTGCAAAAATAGACAAGTGAGTCTAATTAAACCAAAGAGCTTCTGCACAGCAAAGAAACTATCAACAGAGAAAGCAGACAGCTACGCATCTGACAAATAATCTATAAAAAAACTTAAATCAACAATCAAAAAGCAGACAACATTAAAAATGGGCAAAGGACATGAACAAACACTTCTGAAAAGAATACATGCATGCAGCCAACAAGCATATACAAAATGCTCAACATCACGAATCATTAGAGAAATGCAATTCAAAACTACAATGAGATACCATCTCACACCAGTCAGAGTGACTGTTATTAAAAAGTCAGAAAGTAACAGGTTGATGAGGTCGTGGAGAAAAAGGAATGCTTATACACTTCTGGTGGGGATGTAAATTAGTTCAGCTACTGAAGAGTGAAGTTTGGAGATTTCCAAAAGAACTTAGAACCACCATTCCACACAGTAATCTCATTACTGAGTATATACCCAAAAGAATATAAACCATTTTACCAAAAAGACATATGCACTCGTATGCACATCACAGCACTGTTCACAATAGCAAAGACACGGAATTAACCTAGATGCTCATTAATAGTGGACCAGATAAAGACAATGTGGTACATATATACCATGGAATACTACATAGCCATTTAAAAAGAACAAAATCATGTCCTTTGCAACAACATGGATGCAGCTGGAGGCCATTATCCTAAGCAAATCAACACAGGATCAGAAACCCAAAACGTGCATGTTTTCACTTACAAGTTGGAGCTAAACATTCAGTACATGTGGACACAAAGAGAGGAAAAATAGACACCAGAGCCTACATGAGGGTAGAGTAGGGGGACAGGAAAGATTAAAAAAACTACCTATCAGGTACTATGCTCACTACCTGGGTGATGAAATCATTCGTGCATCAAACTCCAGTGACACACAATTTACCCATATAACAACTTTGCACATGTACCCCATGAACCTAAAATAAAAGTTGAAAAAGAAAAAAATATATAGCTAAACTGAAAGGAAAATAAACTCTTACCTGTTCAAGTATTTTATAAGTATGGCAGATTAATTTCCTGATACTGATACACATATCCTCCCCAAACTTACAAACATAAAGGATTAGAATTCCAAAATATTGTGTAATGTGTATTCATTCATCAGTTCATTATGAAACATTACTTATTCTACAACCACTAAGTATGAAATAGATGTCTTGTTCTCCTTGACTCAAGGGTGAACAATGTAAATATGTACTTTAACCACATGGTACTGACAGTCCAGAAATATGGGCGGATATTTTTATAGTTTACTTTCAAGGGCTTAAAAATTAAATTTTAGATTATGTAAACTTATCATCACGAAAGAACAAATACGTTCCCAATCCAGTTTGCCTTGTAAATTCTGATTCATTCATTGAATTTCAACTTACACATTGATTTTTCCCTGATGTCTTCCTTGAGTATTCCAGATCCAGCTAGTTAGTCTTTCATTAATTCATTTCACCAATAGATATTGAATAGCAACTATGTATCTTTCTAGGAACAGAAATATGACCATTTCCTTAACATGTTCTCAATGTAGTTACAATTTTACTATTGACTTTTTAAAATTTGGTGTTTCTACAATAATATATTCAGTAATTCTTAACCATTTCTTAAAGTATCTCTTTGCTTTTCTGATGACAGCTCTGCACACTCTCTCTGAAATCGGTTTACAGGCTCATACACTCAGTATTTTGCACAAAATTTTACAGGGTTCATGGACTTCCTGAAATTCCATCATGGATCATCTACATCAGGTCAACCATACATGCAATGGAACCTTCCATCTTGGCAGGTACCCATAATTATTGCCTGCATTTGTTCATACATCTTCCCTTTTTGTTCTTTTTTATCTTCTTGTAGGCTCCTCTTGGGCAGTGGGCCTTTTTGTATTTACAGTGGCTAACAGAGTGACAGCACATATCAATATTTATTGAATGAAAGTGGATATGTGTAAAGACAGAATTCAATAGGATCTCACATGGCTTTTATTCTAAAACCTGCTGCATGAAAGTTGCTTATGCCTACATAATTCAATCTCCCCTAGGAACAACTAACCACGTAGAGCATCAGTTAGGATTCTTCTGTTGAAAGCAATAGAAAAAAAGTCCTAAATAGACTTAAGTAAAGATCAATGTATTGACTCATGTAACTGAAGAGTCCCATGGTAAGCTTTCTTTCAGACATAGCTGGATATGCAGGATTAAACAATGTCTTTTTTTTTTTTTTTTTGCCAGTGTTATTTTCCAACTCTCTGTTCTGTCTCCTGATGTGTTGGCTCTGCTTACATGTGGGTGCTTCATTCACATGGCAGGGTTGTGTCAGCCGCCACCATCCCACATGCTTCAAAATTTAAGACCATTAGAAATGACAGATTCTCTTCCAGGAGCTCCCACAAAAGTCCCGAGTTTCACTGTGGTTGGAAGGCTTAAGCCAAGTGCTTACTCTTGAACCAATCACTGTGGCTTAGGCTGCTTCATGTGATCCACACCCGGAGCTGAGATTGATCCACACCCTGGCTGAGTGTGCTGAATGCAAGAGTGGTTGACCTGCATGTGAAAATCTGAGGCCATCACCAGCATTGGGGGAATGGATGCAGAGCTCTCAATGAATGGCAAGCATCCATGTATCCTCCTTGTCATCTAAACCCCTTCGAAAGACACAGGTTTACATAAGCTGCCCTCTCCCCTCTACAAATACAGACAATCTCTGTAAAGTAGGTCTATTTATTGGCAAATAACAGAAAAGTTGCTTAAAACTAATTTCAGAAAAGAAAAATGATTATTTTGTGTTCTATTACCAAAACGTCCAGGAACGGAGCCGAGCTGGCTTTGTGTGTATTTATATTTAACTCAGTCTCTCTAATTCCCTCAGCACTGTGCTGGCTTCGTTTTTAAGGTCCATGTTGTGGCTTCTGGAGATACAAGGTTGAACATAAGGTCCCTGTAATTGAGGTATCTTACTCCTACTGAATCCGGCTTGGTCCTAGAGTCCATCCTTGAACCAATCAGCATGACCAAGAGGATGGAACATGTTGAAGAGGTTAGTCTGGAGAATGTGTTTTATTCAGAAATCCAGCAGTGAAGTTAGCTTTGCAGAAACTACATGGGTTGAGGAGACCCGGAATAAAAAGACGGGGTACTATAATCACAAGGAGAAAGGGGATAGTGAGAAGAAAAAAAGAGTATTTATTAAAATAATATAACCTACTTTTTCATCTTGGAGTCCCAACGTCTGCCTCCATGTCCAGGATCTCTGAATGATATGCCATAACATTGGGTACAGATGCGACTTCTCACGGTCTGGCAACTGTAGATAAGTAACAAGCCTGACTACTCCCAAACATACCCAGCACAGCACTGTGGAACACGAACGGCCATTTATCAAAAGCGGAGAAACTTCCACTTCCATTGTTGAAAGACAGGCTTCTTCCAGCTTGGAAAGCCAAATAAAATATAAAATATATCTCTGTGGCAGCTGTGACACACCACGGTAAGTCCCACATTCCAAACTGCTCTTCAGGATCCTGTCAATTCAGAGCAACAGTGAAGAGGCTTTCTAGCTAAACTGAAAGAAGCAACTGTGGGAGTGAGGGGAAGGGAAGTGACTCAGGTCCACCAAAAGGGAGAGACCACAGTAAATATCTCAGGCGTGTAGTCAGGAGCCTCAAACATTTACAGAGTAGAAGATGGAAAGAGAACTAGAAAAATGGCTGGCCTTTATAAGGTCTGAAGCCTAAATTTGAAGCAGATTGATCCCTGATTAGATTGTGGTGCTCTGTGTCTACCCTAACTGGCTACCTGGTACAAACGAAAACCTCCCATGAGAAATATAACATCACTTAGATTTTAAAATTATCTCTATAGTGTTTCACATCATCATTTGGAATGTAATAAGCAAATGATCAAGTCTATCAAAAGACAGCATAACAGAATTTTTGGAGAAAAATCAAACAATAAAAACAAATCTACAGAAGATCCAGAAATTGGGCATAAGATTTCAGATGCTTTTTAATTGGCGTGTTCAATATGATGAAAAGTTGTATCAGAGAAACCCTAAAATTGAATCAACCATAAATTCTAGAACTAAAATGACAAAAGTAAAAGTAATAGATGCATGTATAAATATCTAGAGAAAATACAAAACAATAGTAAATAAATGTATTACCAAGCTAGTATTTTTTCTGGTCATTTTCATAAGATATTGACCAAAGCCAAAACTCTTGCTCAGTTGTAATCTCTGAATTTGAAATCTGGCTGGTGAATGTCCATTTCTTTGCTCATAAGTATCTATGCTCAGGCCCATGAACTGGAGGCATTTAATTGAGCCCATACAACAGGGCAATATGAATCAATGGCATGAAGTAAAGAGGTATGGGTCTTCCTCTGACCCCCAGGCTCCATGCCAGCAGCATCCCAACAATGAAGGCAACTGATTCCCCATCTGGTAGAGATGGATAACAGGAGGTGCTAAGGATTGGCCTTGAGAAACAGGATTCTCTCAGGTTCTAAAATATTAGGTTGGTGCAAAAGTAATTCTGGTTTTCACCATTACTTTCAATGGCTGGCTTTTCTTCTAGCCTTTTTCTTCTGCCTTTCCTTCTAGCCTGTATTTTCTCTACATTTAGCTTAGGACTGGGGATTTGCTTTTTCTAACCATGCAAATATCCCAACTATTAGAGGTCTGATTCTTTTCCATCACAGGCTGAAAGCAGAGGCATCACTGTTGTCAGATGGGCTAGTTTCAACATCAGCTTGGCACATGTTTCTTCCTGTTGACTGTAAGATCCTGACTTTTTTCTACTATGTTTTTAATGCTTACCCTCCCAGGTGTATACCCTCCTAGATGTATATTTCTGGGACTCAATATTCACAAGGTTGTGCTCAAGTGTCTACTGTACCTCCAAATCACAAGAATTCCCAACTTTCCGTCTTCGGATATTGCCTACCTCGAGAGATACCCCAACTAATTTCATGATTTAGGCAGTCACTCTCATATTTTACATCATCACTACTCTTACTTCAAAACCCTATTCTCAATTTAAAATTCAGTATCAATTGGGATTCTTTCACTCATGTAACTAAAGTTACTGGCTTCAGATTTGTGGGATTCAGGCCACTTTTTATTCTTATCACTTGGCTCTGCATTCTATTCCACTGGCTCTGTTCTCAGACTGACTCCTGATCACAGGTGCTTGAGCCTCATACTCTCTCAACTTCAGCCTCAGCCAAAGTTCCACTGTATTTCCTTGACTCTGATATGATGAAGTGCCCATTTCTAAACCATTTCTCTAATGGAGTAAAATTTGGAGAAAGAGTAAAATTTTCTCATTTACCAGGGCTGTCAACAAGTGATAATCATTGTGCTATAGCTAAAGCATAAGAAATGAACGAGCATGGCTCTGACAAATTAAAGTTGTGTGGTTCTCTACAAAGAAATGGAGAATGGAGGCTAGATTGTACAAACAAGCCTATGCCTATTTCACCATATTTAGACTTTACTCTGCACACAAGAGAATGTCACTAAAGTAATTGGAAAAATTCTGAAATAACAATCGGATTTTGCATTTTAGACATTTGATCTTAGTGGCAGTGTGAGAGAGGCTAGTTTGATAACATCACAGTCAGGGGTATTTGTAGGAGCACATTCTAGAAATCTGCTCCACAAACTCTCAGAATTATGCACACAGAAATGTCATTTCAGAATTTAGCTTTCAGTGTGTTATTAAAATATACTCTTTTCATGACTGAGGCACTAATTCTTCAGGCTGCAGGGAGCATTGGATACTTTCAGTATTCAGCTGAACTCCTACTTAGGAATTGCCATAACTCAAGGCGAACTTCCTTGCCCAAGGTTATACCCCATTAAATAACCAGTCAGTGTAAAGGAATGAAGGATTAGCCCCATTTCCTCAATTAGGGCAATTCTGATGGACTTGCCCAAGTCAAGAGCTCCTCATTGGATTGTCTGAGGCTTCTAACTACAGCACAATCCAGCTCCTTCCTCTGCCCAACCCTGCTTCTCTCATTTCCTGGAGGTTTTGTTTCAGGGTGCATTCCTCAATAAAACTTCTTCATACAAACTTCTCCCTTTGAGTCTATCTCCAGGGACTCTACGTAAGATAAGTGGCAACAAAAGTAGTCCAAGGAAAATAACACAAAATGGGATTAGGATTTCTGACAAGATGGCTGGCAATGAGGACCCCATTGGTGGTAAGTGTTAAACTCTGCGGCGGTGCAATTTTAAAAATATTTACTGATGCAAAGTCTGAAGCTGTGGAAATAAATTCACTAACTGATGAAATAGCCAAGGCATTTGAGAAGTATGAGTGAAGCACTAGCTATAAAGACCATGAAATCGGACGGCCAATGGAGCCAAAACCAAGGGTATTCTGAAACAGTGTGGAAGTCAGAGGCTCTCCAAGGCAGCCATAAAGAAACTTTATCCCCTGCAACCAAAAGGTGAAAAGACCTGCTGATGACACCTCTATTAGTCCATTCTTGCATTGCTATAAAGAACTACCTGAGATTGGGTAATTTTTTTTTTTTTTTTGAGATGGAGTCTTGCACTGTTGCCCAGGCTGGAGTGCAGTGGCACAATGTCAGCTCACTGTAAGCTCCACCTCCTGGGTTCACGCCATTCTCCTGCCTCAGCCTCCTGAGTAGCTGGGACTACAGGCACCTGCCACCACACCTGGCTAATTTTTTGTACTTTTAGTAGAGATGGGTTTTCACTGTGTTAGCCAGGATGGTCTCGATCTCCTGACCTCATGATCTGCCTGCCTCGGCCTCCCAAAGTGCTGGGATTACAGGCATGAGCCACTGCGCCCTGACGACTGGGTAATTTATAAAGAAAAAGGCTTAATTGACTTACAGTTCCATAGGCTGTATAGGAAGCATGACTCGGGAGGCCTTAGGAAACTTATAATCATGGTGGAAGGCAAAGATTAAGCAGGCATATCTTACATGGCTGGAGAAAGAAGACAGAGAGGTGGGAGGTGCTCTGCTCCCATGATCCAATCACCTCTCACCAGGCCCCTCCTCCAACACTGGGGTTTACAATTCAACTTGAGGTTTGGGACACAAATCCAAACCATATCATTCTGCTCCTCCCAAATCTCATGTCCTTCTCACATTGCAAAATATAATGCTTCCTTCTCAACAGTCCCCCAAGTCTTAACTCATTTTAGTATTAACTCAAAAGTCCATAGTCCAAAGTCTCATCTGAAACAAGGCAAGTCCCTTCCACCTATAAACCTGTAAAGTCAAAAGCAATTTAGTTACTTCCAAGATACAATGGAGGTACAGGAACTGGGTAAATACACCTATTTGAAGAGGGAAAAATCAGGCAAAACAAAGGGGCTACAGGCCTATGCAAGTCTGAAACACAGCAGGGCAGTCATTAAATCTGAAAGCTCCAAAATAATCTCCTTTGACTCCATGTCTCACATCCACACTGATGCGAGGAGTGGACTCCCAAGGCCTTAGGCCTCTCTGTCCCCATGCCTCCACATGGTACAGCTGCTTTCATGGGCTGGCATTGAGTTCCTGTGGCTTTTCCAAATACATGGTGCAAGCTCTCAGTGGATCTACTATTGTGGGGTCTGGAGGATCTACCACTGTTGGGGCTGGAGCTTCTCACAGCTCCACTAGCAGTGCCCCAGAGGGGACTTTGTGTGGAGGCTCCAACCCCACATTTCCCATCTGCACTGCCCTAGAAGAAGTTCTGCATGAGGGCTATGCCCCTGAAGAAGACTTCTGCCTAGACATCCAGGTGTTTCCATACATCCTCTGAAATCTAGGCAGAGGCTCCCAAGCCTAACTCTTGCTCTCTGCACACTCACAGGCTTAACACCACATGGAAGCCACCAGGCTTATGGCTTGCACCTTCTGGAGCAGTGACCTGAGGAGTATCTGGGGCCCTTTTGCCACAGCTGGAGATGGAGTGGCTGGGACACAAAAAGCAGTGTCCTGAGATTGCACAGGGCAGCGGGGCCATGGGCCCAGCCCATGAAACCATTCTTTTCTCCTGGGCTTCCAGAACTGCCACAAAGTTCTCTGAAATGCCTTCAAGTCATTTTTCCCCTTTGTCTTGGCTATTAGCATTCAGCTCCTCTTTGCTATGCAAATTTTTGCAGCCAGCTTGAATTTCTCCCTGGAAAATGGGTTATTCAGACCCATTTTTCAAACCTTTACACTCTGCTTCCCTTTTTGAATATAAGTTCCAGTTTCAGGTCATTTCTTTGCTGATGAATATAAGTATAGGGTGCTAGAAGCAGCCAGGCCACATCTTGAATGTTTTGCTGCTTAGAAATTTCTTCTACCAGATACCCTAAATCATTACTCTCAAGTTTAAAGTTCCACAGATCTCTAGGGCAGGGGCACAATGCCTCCACCCTCTTTTCTAATGCATAACAAAAGTGGCATTTCTCCACTTCCCAATAAGTTCCTCATTTCTCCTGGACTTTATTGTTCATATCACTATCAGCATTTTGGTCACAACAATTGAATAAGTCTCTAGGAAGTTCCAGGCTCCCTCATCTTCCTGTCTTCCTCTGAGTCTTTCAAACTGTTCCAACCTCTGCCCATTACCAAGTTCCAAAATCACTTCCTCATTTTCATGTATCTTTACAGCAGTACCCCATTCCTGATGCCAATTTTGTGTATTAGTCTATTCTTGAATTGCTATAAAGAACTACCTGAGACTGGATAATTTCTAAAAAGAGGTTTAATCAACTCACAGTTCTGCAGGCTCTGCAGGAAGCATGGCTGGGAGGCCTCAGGAAACTTACAATTGTGTCAGATGGTGAAGGGGAAAGCAGATACATCTTACATGGCCAGAAAAGGAGGAAGAGAGAGAAGAGGGAGGTGCTACATACTTGTAAACAACCAAATCTCATAATAACTCACTCACTATCATGGGAACAGTAAGGGAGAAATCCACCTCCATGATCCAATCACCTCCCACCAGGCCTCTCCATCAACACTGAGGATTAGAATTTGATATGAAATTTGGATGGAGACACAAATTCAAACCATATCCATGCCCAAGTGTTAATTACAAAGTTAGAGAATCTCCAGAGAAGATTAAAATTTCAGCTCCAGCAGATCTGCTACACAAGTTGGAGGTCTGATGGACTCTGACACTTCGGATAAGAACATCTGGGTCAATGCACCAGAAATTCTGGACTCCGTAGATTCTTCCAAACCCTCTGCACTGAAGAATGTGTCCCTGTTTCTCCTTTAAAGGCTAGTGCTCCCCTTGCTTTATAATGGCACAGAAGCCTCTGCTTTGCAGACTATAAATGTTTCCTTAGAGTCTACCTATATATACCTGCCTCTTTTGCTGACCACCAGCCCCAGAATTTGGAGTAAATCTAAGCATATTCTAATTGAGAAATTGCCTGGCCTCCAAGGGGAGAATAACTAGAAAAGCTGTATTACCTCTGCGAAACTCTCAGGATCCAGGAACTGAATCAAGAGGGGCAGAAAATAAAGTTGTGTAAGGGATAATTTATTAAGATGGGAAAACTCTCTTGGGGTACAAGGGTAACACCTTGGCATGATCTCCTGGAAAAGGTGCTAAGCTGCTACTAGTGTGGCTCTTGGAAGCTTGTAAGAAATGGTGGTTGGGTCTCAATGAAAGAAAAATGCAGACCCCCATGGGAGATGATGGAGGAAAGCTTACAGGCCCTGAGGAGTGGGCATGCTAGTGAATACAACACTTGAGGCCAGAACCCCGGCTGAGCATAACCCATGGGACATCCCAAAGGATGCTCTATATACCAAATAAAGAGTGTGCTGTGTGTGGAAGGCAGCATTATCAAGACACTCAGTATGGCGGTCCTCCGTGGGAAAGGCTGTGATGGAATGCAGCTCACAAGTAGCAAAAGGAAGAACAGAATCTCAAAGTAACAGAAGCTGCGTAGCACACACAAGTGAAAACATGCAACAGACAGAAAAATCTGGAGGTCAGAGAAAGGTCAGAATGGTGAAGAAAGGGAGTAGTAGGGGCTGTCCTGTATTCGGTGGTATTTTAATTTGGCATTAATTTTTGCAACTCCAAAAATTCCAATTCCACCATCTCCACAGTTTGGAGTAAATCTCAGCATATTCTAGAACTATACCTTTTAGCAAGACTTTTCCATGTGAGCCAAAAGATATGTATAAAGATGTGTAAGATAACAGCGTATTTAATTGATATAAAAAGTGAGGAAAACTCTAATTTTCCATTAACAGAAAACAATTAAATAATAGTTAATGATATTTTCTATGAAGTGTGGCTATTAAGTTAATGAGAGCCATGGAAACTGACATAGAAAGATTGTGAACACGTATTCTTAAAGGGGTAAAAACCAATAACTGTCAACATAAATTGATCCAAATTAAAATTTTAAAACCCTGTATGTGCATCTCTTCTATGTATATTGGAAAGTTTAGAGAGGAAACTCACCAAACTATTCCCAGGACATGGCTCTGTACAGGTGAGTGAGTAGGATTACGGAGATGAGGCAGTAGAGGGGAAAAATAATGTGATGAAGTAAATACCTGTTTTTCATTGTGCTAAAATACACATAACACAAAATTTACCATCCTAACTATCTTTAAAGTTACACTTCAGTGGTATTAAACATACTGCCATTGCCATGCAACCATCATAATCATCCATCCCTAGAACTCCAGAGATGTCATATAAGGAATCATAGGGATTATATTTCTTCTGCTTTTTTTTTTTTTTTTTTTTTTTTTTTTTGAGACAGGATCTCTGTCACCCAGGCTGGAGTGCGATAGCACAATCTTGGCTTACTGCAACCTTCACCTCCTGGGCTCAAGCAATCCTCCCACCTCAGCCTTCTGAGTAACTGGGACTATGCTATGCCTGGCAATATTTTAGTTATTATTTTTTGTAGAGATGAGGTTTTGCCATGTTGCCCAGTCTGGTCTCAAACTCCTGGGCTCAAGTGATCCTTCTGCCTCGGCCTCCCAAAGTGCTGGGATTATGGAAGTGAGCCACTGCATCCAGCCTCTTTTCTGTTCTTTATCTGTTTATCTTTTTTCCTGAGTTTTTAATCACTTAGGGTGTGTCACGTATGACTTTTTGTAATTGCTTTAAAAAAAGTTATATGTAACAGTAACTTATGCTGTCTGTGAATGAATAATGAGAAAACACGTTTACAACAATAAGACAAGTCTTTATTTGAAAGTTTAAACTATCGCAAGAACAAAAAACCAAACACCGCATATTCTCACTCATAGGTGGAAATTGAACAATGAGATCACATGGACACAGGAAGGGGAATATCACACTCTGGGGACTGTGGTGGGGTGGGGGGGAGGGGGGAGGGATAGCACTGGGAGATATACCTAATGCTAGATGACGAGTTAGTGGGTGCAGCGCACCAGCATGGCACATGTATACATATGTAACTAACCTGCACAATGTGCACATGTACCCTAAAACTTAAAGTATAAAAAAAAAAAGAAATGTGAAATCAGTTAAAAAAAAAAAGAAAAATAGCTTAATTGTCAAATAAAAATTGGACATATTTAAGACTAAAAAAAAAGAAAAGAAAAGAAAGGCATCAGACTGTGAGGTGAAAGGAAGGCAGGAAAGAGACACAAGGGGCTCTTGTGGTATTTAATGGGGGTTCCCAGAGGTTGGGAATTCCCTTTCTTTCCATATTGCAGCATGGGCATGTAGGATTACATAAGCATACTTGCTATCTGTATATACATTTATTCTTTTTCCCTTTCCCAGTTCTAAGGCTCAGGTAAGTGCCACTAGTTCTGCTAACTGGGCCCTGGTCCCTGGAGGAAGAGGCTTACTTTCAAGTACGGTTACATCACTAACTATGGCATAACCTGCCCTTCGTATCCCATTCTCCACATATGAATTTCCATCGGTATATAGGTTAATGTCAGGATTCGCTAAGGGAACTTCTAAGAGATCATCTTGGGCTGCATAAGTCTGGACTATAATTTGTTGGCAGTCATGCTTGATTGGTTCCCCATCCTCTGGGAGAAAAGTGGCAGGGTTGAGGGCCGTGCACATACGTATTTGAAGCACTGGTCCCTCAAGAAGTAGCGCCTGGTATCTAAGTAGGCAGTTGTCTGATAGCCATAAACTTCCTTTGGCACCTAGTATGCCATTTACATCATTAGTAGTCCAGACAGTGAGATCCTTTCCTTGTATTATTTTGATAGCCTCTGACACTAAAACGGCCACCACCACAACTACCCTTAAACAGTGAGGCCAGCCCTTTGCTACTACATCAATTTCCTTACTTAGGTATGCCACTGGTTGTGGGGTTGTCCCACGAGTCTGAGTAAGGACTCCAAGAGCTATCCCTGCTCTCTCTGTAATGTATAAAGACAAGTTTTGTCCTGTGGGAAGGCTTAAAACTGGAGCTTGTACTAGGGCCTGCTTTAAGGTTTTGAAGGCTGTTTCTGCCCCTAGTTCCCATTCTACTAGATGAGTATTTGCCCTCTAGGTCTCCTTGATTAGAGTATAGAGGGGCCTGGCTATTTCGCTGTATCTGGGGATCCATAGTTGGCAAAAGCCAGTGATTCCAAGGAACTCTTGCAACTGTTTTAATGTCTTAGGGTGAGGATAAGCCAGTATAGGCTGTATTCATTCCTTGCTGAGGGTCCTGGTCCCTCTGGCTAAGATTAGGCCAAGATATTTGACCTGAATTAGGCAAAGCTGGGCCTTCGATCTAGATGCCTTGTACCCTTGATTAGCTAGAAAGTTCTAGAGATCTAGAGTAGCCTGCTGGCATGAGGCTTCCAAACTGGTAGCCAAAAGTAAATCATCCACATACTGAAGAACCAGAGTGCCTGGACTTGAGAAGTGGCCTAGATCTTGGGCCACTGCCTGACCAAACAGGTGAGGGCTATCCCTAAACCCTTGGGGCAAGACCGTCCACACAAGTTGGGACATGTGGTCTGTGGGATCCTCAAAGGCAAAGAGAAGCTGGGAGTCAGAGTGTATGGGAATACAGAAGAAGGCATCCTTGAGGTCCAGAACAATGAACCATCCTGCTTCCTCTGGTATTTGAGAGAGCAGGGTATAGCGGTTGGGTACAACTGCATATAGAGGAATTACTGCCTCATTGATGAGTCTAAGATCTTGCACTAGTCTCCACTGACCATTCAGTTTTTGTACTCCTAGAATTGGGGTGTTGCAGGGACTGCTGCATTTCCTTACTAAGGCTTGAGCTTTTAAATGTTTAAAAATATCGTGTAATCCTTTATGAACTTCAGTCCTTAAGGCATATTGCTTTTGATAAGGAAAAGTGGTGGGATCTTTTAGTCTGATTTAGACCGGGCGGGCATTTTTTGCCTTTCCAAATTGTCCTTCCAATGCCCAGACTTCAGGGTTGATTCCCTCCTCAAGTAGGGGACAACAAATGGGTAACTTGTTCCCCATATTCATGTAGATAATAGCTCCAGCTTTGGCTAATATATCCCTCCCTAATAAAGAGTGTGGGACTTTCAGGCATAACAAGAAAGGCACATGAAAAGAGCAAAGTCTCCCAATTACAACTGAGGAGGTAGGAGAAATACCTGGTTACAGGCTGTCCCAGGATTCCTTGGATGGTAACGGACCTTGAAGACAGTCGTCTGGGACAGGAGATTAACACAGAGAAGGCTGCACCAGTGTCCAGGAGGAAGTCAATTTCCTGGCCCTCAATGGTTAAACATACCTGGGGCTCAGTGAGGGTGATGACATGAGCTGGCGCTTGCCCCGGGCACCCTCAGTCCTGTTGTTGGATCATCTGGTTGGGGGCTTCTGGCCCAGGGAACCTTCGTCCTCTGGGGCAGTGTGCCTTCCAGTGATTGCCTCCGCATAGCAGACGTGGATGAGGGGGCAGCTTGTTTCTCGTTGGACAATCTTTTTTAAAGTGTCCTTATAAACCACACTGATAACAAGCCCTACGGGGTGACTGGCCTGCGCCATTTTCTGTCCTCTCTGAACCAGCAAGGTTTGTTTGTCTGAGGGACATGACTAAGGCTACAGCTTTTCTCTGATCTCGCTTTTCCTTTTGGGCCTGTTCCTCTTGGTCCCTATTATAGATCACCGAGGTTGCCAGGTTTAATAATGCCTCCAGATTTGGTTCAGGGCCTAGGGCTCGCCTTTAGAGCTTTCTCCTGATATCTGCAGCTGATTGGATAATAAACTTATCTTTTAGGATCAATTGACCCTCGAGTGCGTCAGGTGACAGGGGAGTATATTTTCTTAAGGCCTCCTGTAGCTGCTTGAGGAAGACAGAAGGATTTTCTTCCTTTCCCTGAGTTATGGTGGACATCACTGAATAATTCATGGGCTTTTTTCTAATTCTCCTTAGTCCTTCTACAACACAGGTCAACAGATGTTTATTACTCCAGTCCCTATGATCTGAGTCAAGGTCCCAGTGGGGATCCATACTGGGGATTGCTTGCTGACTGGTAGGGAATTTGTCCCTTTCTTTGGCAGTCGTTCTATCATTTACTTGGCTAAGATACCAGGTATCTCCAAACTCTTGGGCTGTAGGTAAAGCCATATTCTTTTCATTAAAAGCCAGGGTTTGATCTAACAATAGCATGACATCTCTCCAAGTGAGATCGAAGGTTTGCCCTAGACTCTGTAGGACATCTATGTACCTATCGGGATCGTCTGAAAACTTTCCCAGGTCTTCACTGATCGGCTTTAAATCAAGAGAGGGAGAAGGGGACATGTACCCAGGTTGGGCCAAATTTGCCTCCCCCTACAGCTTGAAGGGGACATAACAGATAGCCCAGGGTTTGTTGTGGTCCTTTGGAGATTTCTTTGCTTGTTTCCTTTTGGGCAGGGGAGATTAGAAGAGGCTTATCATTAATAGGAAGGGGAGCTATAGGGAGGCTAGGATAGGGGGGTAAGCTGAAAGGTCCTCCTGTGGGATGTAAATTCAAAGCTTTGCATAGTTGTGTATTCTCCTTCAACGAAAAGAAAGCTTGGACATAAGGTATTTCACTCCATTTGCCTTCTCTCTTACAGAAAAGGTCAAGCTGCAGGATAGTATTGTAATTTATACTTCCCTCAGGTGGCCATTTTTCTCCATCAGAGAGAGAATATTGGGGCCAGGATGTAGTGCAGAAAAAAATGAGCCACCTCTTTTACAGGATTTGCAGGTCAAATTGGTATCAAAGGCTTAGGATGCATTTCAAGGGTAAGCCTGTTGATGACTGAGTGTTTCCCATCTAAAAGACAAAACTGCCCATGGTTTTGGTTTGTTTGTTTCTCCCCCTGCCCCAAAACCCACAACAGTCCCTGGACCCTGCTGATCAGAATAGTTGCACTCACCGATGCAGCAGCAGAAACACCTCTTGCCCAAGAACCCTGGACCCTCTGATTGGAATAGTTGTGCTCACCGATGCAGCAGCAGAAACACTAGTTTTCCTCCTAGATCACAAGGAGGACCAAGGAATGTTGGATTTAGTGGCCCTTGCCAATGCATTCTCAAAAACCTGCACCCTTGCCTGTCTTCCTAGAACACAAAGAGGACCAAGAAAAATCAGATTTAGTGGCCCTTACTGACGCATTCTTGAAAACCTGTTAAAGAGTCCTAAGCATTCTCCTGTTAGTATTGGGCCTTTACCCATGTCCTATAAAGATGTTATGCCCCAAAAATGAAGTTGAGGGCCATACCCTGAGGGAGGGAAGGGATCTCTAGAGTTAGAAAGGTGATGCCTTTTGTCCTCACTTACATGAATAGGAAGGATACAATTTCTGAGGCTCCCCATATCCTAGATTCAGGAATAAGCTTTTGTTAGGCCTGCTTGTCTGAGGAGGGATCCTAGAATTCCAGATAGTCCCCCCTACGATGGGGCTTTGGGCAAAAATTATGTCTTTCTGATTGGTGAGCCCGGGTGCCTAAAGAAGGTAACAGAGTCCTGGAGTTTATACTAGAAATCATTCTTATAGGAGAAACTAGAAAAGCATCAGAGACAGCGAGTGGTTTTTAGAAGCGGGACTAGCCTCGGAGAAGAGAGGCAAAAGGAAGTTTGTCTGACAGGCATTAGGACCCAGGAGGCAAGGGTCAGGATAGATAGGATAGATGGGCGAGTCTCACTTGGGCGACATGACTTTGAGAGTTCTGCTCATGGCTGCAGGGTCAACCAACTTGCTGTCGGGACCCCGGAGTTGAATGGCTTTCCTATCTGTCAACCCTCGGCTCAACCCAGAAGTACGAGAAAAGCGGAAGCTGGTTCCAGGCAAACGAACGCTCCCAACTCCAAAGAGTTAGGAGTTGTTAGAAAGGCCTTTCCCAGAAAACCTGACAACCATGTCTTTAGTCCGGCTTCCACGCTAGTAGCTTTTAACTGGCCGACAATTGCCCGGTATTTAGCCCCCGAATTCTAAGGAAAAATAGGACAGAATAGCAAGTGAAAAAGGTCCGATGGTACTCACCATTTGGTGATTGTACCTTCATGGTCGCCAAAATGTGTCCAGAATTGGTTCCTTCCTTCCAGTGGCTTCTTGGTCTCACTGACTTCAAGAATGAAGCCGCAGACCCTTGTGGTGAGTGTTACAGTTCTTAAAGATGGTGTCTCCAGAATTTGTTTCTTCAGATGTTCAGATGTGTCCGGAGTTTCTTCCTTCCGGTGGGTTCGTGGTCTCGCTTGACATCAGGAGTGAAGCTGCAGATTTTTGCAGTGAATGTTACAGCTCTTAAAGATGGTATGTCCGGAGCTGTTTGTTCCTCCTGGTGAGTTCGTGATCTGGCTGACTTCAGCAGTGAAGCTGCAGACCTTCACAGTGAGTGTTACAGCTCTTAAAGGTAGTGTGGACCCAAAGAGTGAGCAGCAGCAAGATTTGTTGTGAAGAACGAAAGAACAAAGCTTCCACAGCATGGAAGGGGACCCGAGTGGGTTGCCATTGCTGGCTCAGGTGGCCAGCTTTTATTCCCTTATTTGGCCCCGCCCATGTCCTGCTGATTGGTCCATTTTACAGAGTGCTGATTGGTCCATTTTACAGAGTGCCGATTGGTGCATTTACAAACCTTTAGCTAGACACAGAGTGTGCTGATTGGTGCATTTGCAAACCTTTAGCTAGACACAGAGTGCTGATTGGAGTGTTTTTACAGAGTGCTGATTGGTGCATTTACAAACCTTTAGCTAGACACAGAGCGCTGATTGGTGCACTTACAATCTTTTAGCTAGACAGAAAAGTTCTCCAAGTCCCTACCCGACCCAGGAAGTCCAGCTGGCTTTACCTCTCAGGAGGACTAAGAACCACAGGCAAAAGCAGAAAATTCTCATAGTCTACAGGTTGCTGGCAAGCACAAAAATCTGGGAGGGGGTGCCCTCCAATAACACCTGACTGGAATAAGCCCTTGAGAGTCTCAGAAATACCAGCAGGCCCTCTCCTCCAGAAGAGAACCTCATCCCAAGGGAAGACTAGAGACTCAGAGTTCAAAGTCAGCAGAGAAAAAACACTGACAGCAAGAGTGAGAGAAGGCTCAAGGGGCCCAAAAAAGAGAAGCAGATCCAAAGAAGTGTGGGGAAGAAATGAGGTGCCTGAAGCTGCAAACCTGCAGACCAGGAGAAGCAGATCCAAGAAGTCTGAGGAAGCAATAGGGTGCTTGAGCCTGGGAGGCCACAGACACTGCAATGCCCGTGAGCCTGGGGCTTGGGCTGGGGCAGAAGGAAAATAATGATCTGGAGCATATCAGTTGGGGTTCTCCACAGAAACAGAACCAACAGGCTGCATAGAGATCAATAAGAGGAGATTTCTTATGAAAATTTGCTCACACAATCTTGGAGACCTGGAAGTCCCACTGTATGTCATCTGCAAGCGGACAAATCAGGAAAGCTGGTGATGGAACTCAGTCTGAGTCCAAGACCTGAGAATTGGGGCAGCAATGGTGTGACTCCCAGGGTCAGAAAGCCCCTAGAACCAGGAGTTCTATGTCAAAGGGCAAGAGAAGCAGGATTTCCAGTTCAAGGAGAGAGGGAGAGAACGAGAAGGTACACTTCCTTCATCTTTTTGTTCTACTGGAGCCTTCAAAGGATTGTATGGTGCCCACCCACACTGGGAAGGGTGAGGTGATCTGCTTTACCCAGTCACTGATTTAACCACCAATCTCTTCTGGAAACACCCCTGCAGACACACCCAGAAATCGTGTTTTTTTTACCAGCTATCTGAACATCCCTTAGCTCAGCCAATATGATGTATAAAATTAACTGCCACACTGGTCAAAGCTTCCTTTAGAGAGACCAAAGTGGCTTCTCAGAGAGGGTGAGGTTATATTGTGAATCCTTTAGGAAAACAACAGATGAGGGAACCCATGAACCAGAAAACCAAGAAAGCTGCTCTAGCCCTTCTGTTTCCTGTCACCTCATGCAATGGGATGACAAAAAAGAAATATACTGTAATCCATAAAAAGCTACTCTGAGGAGAAAAATTAAAGTAACCCTACTCACATGTTAACAGATAATGAAAAAACACCAGAAATCCAGGGTCACAAAGTGAATGAACTGTAATCCAGTATTTTATAATGATCTGGAAAAATTAAGAAAACAATCAGAGCTCTAAAATAACCAATCAAAAACCACAAAGTTCAGAGATGATGTGGCTAAATCATACGGATAATAATCTTACTGAGTTATTTTATAAACATGTTCTCTAAAAATTGATTCCATTTTGTTTAAAATTGGTTGGAAATCTTTAATCCAAGTATTTGGTGAATAGAGTGCTAAGAAACTTCAGATTTTGAATAACTGAGTGAACTGCAATTGTTGGAAATAGACCTTGCAAGCAAAAAGACATTGAAAATTACCCTGACAAAAGCAAGGGAGGAACTGAACAAATTGCAGAATGAGAGCTCAGATGGTGCACAGAATTTAATTCTCAAGTTCTATGAGTGTGATTTGGAATATCTTGGATTGTGAGAAGAATTTCTGATGAACTTCCTATTTTAATTGGATAAAGTTATGTTCTGAGTGGAACAGAATGAAACGAAGGTCTATGATTTTCCAGCATATAAATGTAAAACATCCAAAAGAATCATAAATAGAATCAACCAATTTTCCATGTAAAAATTCTTTTCAAAGAAAGATGATCTGAATAGAGGCTGAAAAGCAGTACCTAAAACATATTTTGGCAAAATATTTATACATTTCATATTGTTTAAAATGACAAGGAAATCCTCCCTGAAGCAGAATTTTCTCTGAGCCTATTGGGTAACTCAAACTCTGAAAAGAGTATCTTCTCAAAACTACTTGTGTATTCAGGGAACATGGAATCAAGTTTTCAACAAACATAAAGAAGTTATTAATTATAAATTAAAAATTTGAAGATTACAGTGAAGTTTATAACAAATTATACATGATCATATTCAAGAAAAAAAAAACCCTTATTTCTGAGAAATTCCAGTGACAAACTCATACAAATAGATGTAGGTAAAAAATAATTTTGCGAATGTTACAAAAATGAATTACTCTGCTTTCTCATCTTTGAGGCTGAGAGTCCATTTTTAAAAATTAAAAATTTGCTTTGCTATACACAATGTATACATTGTATTATGTTACTTCATTTTTTGGGACATAGTTTCATTTTTAAAAACAGTTTTGAGGAGAATTCTCTTCAGGTTCACCAACAGCATAAAATCAAATTACTCATGAATAAATGAATATTTCTAAAACTCAGATAGTTTGATTTATTGGGCACCTTCTCAAAATAATCCTAGTTTGGAAAATAAATTATATAGTCACCTTGATTATTAATTGATGATAATTATTACAATGTAGAATTCAATAATTGAGATTCATAAAGACCCAAGCACAGGATGAAAGGTCTGGAAACAGGAAGAGATCCCTCTTATATGGGTACTTGACTTATGAAAGACACAGCCATGCAGAGCAGTAGAAAATCTTCAATAAATCTTTTGACAATTGATTTCAATAAGTGAATGTTTTGGGGTAATTATAATAATATATGATAAAATTCATGTTTGAGTCTAACCTTACCAAAAACCAATTTCAAGTTGATTAAAACCAACTGTAAAAGTGAAAATTATAAAACCAAGAACATAGGAAAATAATTTCCTCACTTCAAAATAGGCAGTAATTGTTAAGCAAGACACAGTGAAAACAACACCCCTAATTTATGTTATTTAGGCAGCAATGGATTAGTGTTATATTACATAAAAACTTATTAAATCTGTGAAAAAAGAGAGAAAGCATGTACATGAGAAAGACATAAAAATCAATAAAAATAAACGTGCAAACCAATAAAAATGTGCAAAAAGAAAAGAAGTATTTTAGAAAAGAGAATATTCACATGGTCAATAAACATGAGATAAACTATTTAACTTAATTACAAATCAGAGAAATACAAGAAATACCAAGAAAAAAGACATTTTTAACAATTATATGTAAACATGTTGACAAAATAATTTTTAAAATCTGACAGTATATGAAGTAAAGATGTAAAGCAACAGGACTTCTCACACATTTCTGTTAGGAATGTACCTCATTACAAATACTTTGAATAACGGTTTGGCCTTAGCTTCCCAATTTAAAAACATGCACATCCTGTGACTCAGCAACTCAGTTCTAGGCATACATCCTAGAGAAATGTGTGCTCTTCATGGAAGATATACGTATGTGATTGCCACATTTTTTTTGCACTAACCTCAGAGTGAAAACAAAACAAAAAAATGGTCTATCCTTACTATAGTGGATAAGTATGGTCTATTCAGAAGAGAGAATTTGATACCTCATCAATAACAATGAATAAACCACAAATACAATCAATACTTTGCATAAATCTCACAAATATAATATTGAGCTGAAGAAGCCAGTCAGAACATAATGTGTGTTATTCAATTCCATTTATATAAAATCCCCAAACAGCCAATGCCACAGTGTTTAAGGATTCATAGAAGCAGTAACACTATAAGGAAATATAAAAATCTAGAGAGCAGTTGTTGCCAGTGGGAAGAAAGGGAATGGACCTCATCACTCCTTCACAGTCCAACATGAACTTCCATATCATCCAGAGGTGAACACATGACCAGGCTTGCTCAGTCAATAGCCCATCTGATTAGTGGGAGTGATTGTGTAGTTCAAAAAGAACTAGTGAGGCTCAATCTTAGAATGTTTAGAACTTCTAGGACGAGAGAATGGTATGTAAGCCCTGAGCTAGCCGTGTTGTCATAAGAAGAGAGACATTCTGACAACAGACCCCTGAAAAGTACAGCAAGCTCAGACATGGCAGAGATGGAACCGTGTCCTCACGAGAGCTTCTCAAGTTTTGAATCCATAATAGACAAAATAAAACCTGTCCCCGGCACTGAGTGTTTTCTGAGTCAGTAAGTTGACCTTCTTATCACAACTTTGATTGTCTCTTAAGGCCAAGAGATCTAATATTCCATAAGTCATCAAAATGTCACAGCCCACAATTTCATTTTCTAGTATATACAGCTCCAGGATACTGCCTCTCACACTTGTATGTGGTACAAAATTACTGAATCGAATAAGACCCAAATCATTTCTACTTGAAATGCAGGGAAGCAAAGTGAGTCTTGAACTCAAGTTTTCCTATAAGTCTCACCTACCTCTTTGACAATCATTACTAGTTACATTCACCACAGATGCTAGTCTCATCACACACTACAATTACCTTCCCTTACATTACTAATTTGAAGCATAATTAACACAAGCCTCACATACTTGGTAAAGTTTGCTATGTTATAGTTAAAGTCTGTCTTCACAGATCACTACGTTTGTGACTCATTGCGAGTTCAATAATCAAAGTTCATGAACTCGAGGTGATTGATACACAGTGTCCTCATCAGTGAACCTGGTGTTAATGTAGTATTTGTTCATAAAGTTATTGTAAGGACTGTATAAAACACTTGCAGAAGCTCACACTGAACTGGTTAATGGTACCAATTCTGAAGTCAGTCAGTGTGTGTTCAGACCCTAGCTGTTTCACTACTACCAGTGAGACCTTGAGCAGGCTAGTGCTTCAGGGTTCTGACCTGTAAAATTGGATGATAACAGTAGCAAACTCCCAGTATTGCTGTGAGATAATAAGAGTACTTAGAACAGTGCTTAACACTTAGTATTGCATAGTCATTATTTGCTGTTATTAAAGAATAATGTTTTGGAAAGGGCCTGGCACATAAAAAAGCTATTAATATTAAATACTATTATTAGTATCAAGAATAAAAGATTAGATATCACTACTGGTTCTACATTCATTAAAGAATAACATGATAATTTACAAATAATGTTATGACAATAAGCCTGACAACTTAAATAAAAATGACAAATCCCTTGGAAAACAAAACTTACCCAAACTAACACAATAAGAAATAGAAAGTGTCTATCAATGACCTTTAACTCATAATCAGAAACATTTCCCCAAAGAAAATTCCGGTCCCATATGGATTCACTGTTTTTGTTTTGGGATGGAGTCTCGCTCTGTCGCCCAGGCTGGAGCACAGTGGTGTGATCTGGGCTCACTGCAACTTCAGCTTCCTGGGTTCAAGTGATTCTCCTGCCTCAGCCTCTTGAGTAACTGGGATTACAGGTGCCCATCACCATGCCCGGCTAATTTTTGTATTTTTAGTAGAGACAGGGTTTCACCACGCTGGCCAGGCTGGTCTCGAACTCCTGACCTCAAGTAATCCGCCCACCTCAGCCTCCCAAAGCGCTGGGATTACAGGCAGGAGCCACCGAGTCCAGCCTACACTCATTTTTTGAGGGTTTTATAACTATTATGAAAACCTGCCAATGATATTGCAAATAAAAATAAAAGAAAGCTGCAGATCAAGAGCTCTCGTGAATGTAACAAAACACTGAAGAAATCAAATCAAACAATTTAACTGTACAATCCATGATGACCAAATAGATTTATCCTTGAAATACAAAGTTCATTTAACAATTGAAAATTAATAAATGAAGTTCAGTATAGGAAAAAAATAAAAAAATCACAGATATCTATCAATACATTCAGAAAAAAGTATTTGACAAAATTCAATACTCATTCGTAATAAAGACTCTCAGCAAATTAGGACATAAGGAAACTTCATCAACCTGACTAAGGGTATGTGGTAGATTGAATGGCGGATCCATAAAAGATATTTCCAATTGTTAATCCTGAAAACCTGTGATTATCATCTTATTTGGAAAATTGGTTTTTGCAGATATAATTCAATTAATATGAGATCATTCTAGAATATCTGGTTGGGCCCAAAAATCTAATGAGAAGCATCATCTTAAGATACACACAAAAGAAACACGACACACAGAAGAGGAGGAGGCATTGTCATCATGGAGACAGGAATTGGAATGATACAGCTGCAAGTCTGGAACCACCAGAAAAGGGAAGAGGCAAAAAACAGTTTCCTCCTGGAGTCTCCAGAGGGACCATGGCCCTGCCCGTACCTTCATGTCAGAGTTCTGGAAGCCCAATTGTGAGATCACAAATTTCTGTTGTTTAAGCCACTCAGTTTGTGTTAATACATTAATGCAGCCATAGAAAACTAATATTGATCATTTATGAAAATTCTATAGCTAACATCATACTTAATGAAGAATTATTGAATAATGCAAAGTTATCTGAAATCCCCACTGCTACTCATCATTTTAGCTGAAGGTTGTAGCTAGTGCAATAATGCACAAAAATAAAGGCAGAGAAAGGAATAATTAAATTATTTTTATTTGCATAAAATATGATTATCTATGCGGAGACTCCATAATACATACAAACATTTCTAGAACCAAAAAAGAAATTTAGCAAGTTTTGCAGAATACAGAGAAATATAGAATTATCATATTGTTTCTGTTATAGATAAATGCAGAATATTTTCTTTATGATAATCATTATCTGTTACATATAAATACTGAATATTTTTTTGTTAATATATAACACAAACAATATGATAATTATTGTTATCTGTTATATATAAATACAGATACATATTTGTGTGGGCAGAAGACCTGCCCCCATGATTCAATTACCTCCCATATCAGCAAAACCATATCAGGTGGTAAGTTTCAATATTTATAAATATTAGAAATACTTATGTTATATATAAATATTCTGTATTTACATTATATATAAATATTCCGTATTTACATTATATATAAATATTCCGTATTTATATGTAACAGAAACAAATAACTTTAAAATAAAATTTAAAATTTTTATTTATAATAACATACAAATATATGCAAAAATAAATTTAACTTGCACGTTTTTTACACTAAAAAAAATAAAATTTACAGAGATTAAAGAAGAACTAAACAAATTGATTTATGTAACATGTTCATAGATTGGAAAACTCAACATTGTTAATATGTGAAATACCTCCAAATGTACCAGTAGATTCAAAGCAATCCTAATCAAAATCCCCATAGCCTTTACAAAAGAAATTGACTAATTCTAAATAAAAAAAGGAAGTAAAAAGGATCTAAAGCAGCCAAAGCTAGATGATAAAAGAAATTTGAGGGATGTTAAGACTTCATGTAGAACTAGAATAATCAAGGATGACATGACATGAGGGAAAAGATAAAGCCATTGAATGGAACGGAACAGAGGATTCAAAGTGTAAAAGAAAATGCTTTCAACAAGTAGCACTGAAACAACGGAATGGAGAATGGCTAAAGAAATGAATGAATAAGGAAATTGTGGTATATTCACACAAAACAATACTTCTTGGCAATAAGATGAAACTATCGATACATACATGAACATAGATAAACCTGAGAAACATACTGAGCCATACACAAGAGAGTACATACTGAATGATCCCACTTCATTGAAGTTCAGGAAAACAATGAAAAAAGCCTAGTCTATGGTGATAGAAATAAGAACAGTGGTTTCTTATGATGGGTAAAGTTTACTAAGAAGGAGAAAATAAAACTTCCTAGGATGGCGGAAATGATTTTTATATTTTGAATAAAGATAGAAAGATGTACTATATGTCAAACATCAAATTTTACAATACTTAAAAATCCACATAAAAAGAGTGAGATGGGAAAAAATATTTAGTAAGACAAACACTCAAGGGTAGTAAGAGGGAAACAGACCCGCAAAATAATGGGACACAGCAGTTGACTTCTTGCGAAATTTGGTGGATTGTTTTAGAAAAGTCCTCACATTAAATATATCTCAAAATATTTTTACAAAGGAAAATCCAGGAAAGTGAGATTGATATTTGGCATGATTTTTTCTTTCAGAATATAGATAATTTAGAACCTGCAGCTAAGAGACTTCGTTTTGTCAAAAATACAAAAACACCTAAGAGGCTAAGCAGTTGAGCAGAGCTTTAGGTAGCTGCACAGGATTTAAGAGATAAAAATTAGAGATGGTGTAGGACAAATACATGCTTCATAAGACCATCTGCAGAGTTCTTTTTTTATTTCTAGGACTCACCCTACAGTTACTGAAGTCTTGTAGGAACCAGGTGGTGTTATGGCCTGCATGTTTGTGTCCCACTCAAATTCAAATGTTGAAATCCTAATTGGATATGATACTATTAGGAGGCAGGGCCTTTGGGAGGAGATCTGTCATGAGGGTGCAGTCCTCACCAATGGGGTTAGTGCTTATAGACAAGGGACCCCAGAGAGCTCTCTCGCTGTCTTTCCACTATGTGAGAGTACAGAGGGAATTCACCAGTCTGCATCCAGGAGGAGGTTCCTCACCAGAACCTGACCAGGCTGGCACTCTGATCTTAGATCTCCAGCCTCCAGAACTGTGAGAAATAAATTTCTGTTGTTTATCAGTCACCCAGTCCATGAGATTTTTGTTATAGCAGCCTGAAAAGATAGATGGTGTATTAGTCTGTTCTCATGCTGCTAATAAAGATGTACCTGAGACTGGATAATTTGTGAAGGAAAGAGGTTTAATGGACACACAGTTCCACATGTCTGCAGTGACCCCACAATCACGGCAGAGGGCAAAAGAGAGGAAAAGGAATGTCTTACATGGTGGCAGACAAGAGGGCTTGTGCAGGGGAACTCCCACTTATAAAACCATCAGCTCTCATGAGACTTTTTCACAATCACGAGAATAACACAGGAAAGACCCGCCCCCATGATTCTATTACCTCCCATATCAGCCAAACCATATCGGATGGTAAGTTTCAACGAGGTCAAAGCCTGCCTTTTTTTGACCAGCTCCCCATATCAGAAAAAAATCATTGGTTTAAGGCCAGAGTACTGAGCAGGAGAACCAGCAATCGGGGGGTGCCATTATCTCCAGGATTTCTACTTGTGGCTGAGTCAAGCTTGTGTCAACCTCAGCTTCCAGATCCAGGTTGTTGCTTCTGATGCCGACACACTGTGAACTCTTGCTTTTTTTCCATTCAGTGCTACCTTGCACTCTTATTCCTTCTGAATTAGTTTCAATAATTTCAAAAATTTAGGGATATTCTTGAGTCTTTCATGGAAGACTTTTTTTTTTTTTTTTGAGTAAGACTTTATTCAATATACAGAGTTTGGTTTCACAGCAGCTTTCTCTAGCCAGGGATGATTTTCCAAACACCTCACTACAGCAGTTTGTGTGAGGGCTGAAGCATTTTTTGCTTTCTTTGCTATGTGGAAGAAAATTGACATCAAATTTCTGTCAGCTCTTCCTATCACATTATACTAGTTCAAGTACACTGTGCAGCAGTTCAGAAATGAAGGGAATTTGAGGGTATGTGACCAGATATAATTCCTAATGCCAGGCCCTGAAAACTTTCCATTTATATCTGTCACTTCTGTCTGAGGCCTGTCATTTCTCTGAAAGTTCAGAGGCATATTGTAACGCCAACTCAAAATTCTCCACTTCTGTTTCTGGCAGCGTAGTTCCTGCATATGTTTTTAGGCTCTGGTTACACCAGGAGTTCAGAACTGTGCGTGACAGACGACCCACCTGCAGCTCCCCAGCCGAGAGGTTCTCTGAGTCAGAGAAAAGGGCTGCAGCATGCCACTCGCGGCGGCCACAGACATCCTTTCCCACGGCTGCACAGCTCCAATTTCGTGATACAATTTTCACTCACAAAGATGGATTGTACCCCATTTTCCACTTTTCCCACTTACCCAATGTGATAGAATTTAGATATTTTAGATATTTTCTCTGCCCAAATCTCACATTGAAATGTAATCCCCAATGCCGGAGGAAGGGCCTGGTGGGAGGTATTTGGATCATGGGGCAGATCATTCCCTTGCTGATAAGTGAGTTCTCGCTCTGAGTTCACATGAGATCTGGTCGTTTAAAAGTGTGGGCCCCTCCCTCCCCAGTCTCACTTGCTCCTGCCCTGCTCCCCCTTCACCTTCTGCCATGGGTGTAAGCTCCTGAGGCCTTCCCAGAAGCAGAGCAGATGCTAGCGTCATTCTTCCTGTAAAGTCTGCAGAACCATGAGCCAATTAAACCTCTTTTATCAATTACCCACTCTCAGATATTTCTTTATAGCAATTCAAGAAAGGCTTAATATACCATGGTTTCTTAGCCTTTTCCTAGTAAATTCACACAGTGATTTAGGGCCTGGGTCTGTACCTCTCACATCCATCTTAAAACATGCAGTTCACAAAAGTTCCAACTAAGATCTCAGAGAAGTTTTCAACATGTCCCTGACTTGGAGGTAGTGCGTGGAGAACTTTCACAGATCCTGCCTGATCTGTCTCAACTTCTAGTCACCTCACATCCAAATATTATTATTATTATTATTATTATTATTATTATTATTATCATCGGAGACAGAATCTTGCTCTCGTTGCCCAGCCTGGAGTGCAGTGGTGTGATATCGGCTCACTGCAACTTCCACCTCCTGGGTTCAAGCGATCCTCCTGCCTCAGCCTCCCAAACACCTGGGATTACAGGCACTTGCCACCATGTCTGGCTAATTATTGTATTTTTAGTAGAGATGCGGTTTCGCCATTTTGGCCAGGCTGGTCTGGAACTCCTGACCTCAGGTGATTTGCCCTCCTTGGCCTCCCAAAGTGCTGGGATTACAGGTGTGAGCCACCGTGCCTGGCACATCCCAAGATTTAACGTGTGGTGAGAGGCCATTCTTAAATTCAATTATAAAGCATGGTTTAATCTAACACATATTTAGGTATTGCATTTTAGTATGAAAATCCTATGTGAAAAAAACACACAACACTTAAGATTCCCAGCTACTTCAAGATTTGGAAACATTTAGCATTAAGCGCCTCTTCCATAGCTTTGAAAATTAAGCTACCCCCAGAGTTTCTCTGAACCCTTTAATCTTATTTTTGTATGCACTCTGCTTCTATGTGTGTGCCCAGGTTGCATTTCTGCTCTGCCTAAGCAGGTCTCAATCATTGTGCCCTTTCCCCAGCCATACTTTGGATATTGTACATCCCTGAGGAGGTGAAAGCTTGCAGGAAGGTCCAATAGAGCAGTGCACAGCCTTCCAAAATCTCCCTGGCCCTCTCCTGCTGCACCGCCGTCTCCAAAGCCTCCAGCTGCCTTCTTTCTGTGTTCAAAAGCCCGGGAAGGGAGTGTGATCTAATCTCTTGCTTCCCTGCTCCCTTTCGAGTGGCTGCCTCTCCTTGTTGGTCATCCTTCTACAATTTTGTTAAAGAAACTATTGTTCCCTGACAGTTGTTGAGCACCAAATTGTAACAAGTTTTGCATAGTGAGCACTTAGGAATTTTGTTGTTGTAGTTGTTATTTATTTATTTTTTTGAGACAGAGTCTTGCTCTGTTGCCCACGCTGGAGTGCAGTGGTGCAATCTCGGCTCACTACAACCTCCGCCTCCCGGGTTCAAGCAATTCTCCTGCCTCAGCCTCCCGAGTAGCTGGGATTACAGGTGCATGCCACCATGCCCGGCTAATTCTTTTTGTATTTTTAGTAGAGATGGGGTTTCACCATGTTGGCCAGGCTGGTCTCAAACTCCTGACCTTGTGATTTGCCTTCCTTGGCCTCCCAAAGTCCTGGGATTACAGGTGTGAGCCACCGTGCCTGACCCCACTTCGGAATTTTTTATTCTAGTAAGGAAAATGTGCTCATTTCTTCATGTTCCCCTAATTTCCCCAGTCCAATTGTTACATTGCTGATGGCACTGTTGACAATCTTAAGTGCTCTTACCCGTTATTTTAATGGCACCTTCTCCATTATCCTAGATTTCTAAATTCTCTCCACCACTCCCCACCCAGCTCGGTCAAGAAGCTCAGAACACAGTGATCAAATGGGGATCTCACCCTCTTCCTCTGCCTGCAATTCATTTTTATGTTGTTGTCTGCAGTTCACAGAGGAAGAGATACAATCAAATTGGTTTGTTCTATTACAGATCTTTGTTTTTTAAATTTGATTTTGCCTTTTCTACTATTTTAACCATTTTATTCACCCTGTTTATTCCCAATCACAATGCTCACAGCACCTGATCTATATATTCAATTTTTGTATTTATTCTTCTAATCCTTTTTAGCAGAGGAACCTACATAGCACTCTACATAGAACCCAAAAATAAGCGGTAATAATCATAGCCACAAATCACCTTCTCCTCTGGAATTTTCAGTGCTCCTAGACTACCTTCGAATATTACCCTCTCTTACTGCAGTGTCCTCAGTGGTGAGTACAATCTCTCTCAAACACAATAGCCGGTAGTATAAATTGAAAGAAGCTTCCTGGAGCCCAGTTTGATCATATATGTCAAAATGTAAAGTGAGCACAACACATGATTCAACAGTGGTGATTTCCATGAAATACTGTAAATGAAATAATCCAAGAAGAAAAAATTTTAAAATAATAGTAGCAAGTAAAGAAAAATCATGGTCTAAATAGCAAAAAAAAAAAGGGGGGGGGGCATGGCTGAGTAAATTGCAATTTATTCATCTGTGGTAGAATTAATTTTGATCAATTTATTGATGTCAAGTGTTAACATTTCTTGTGGCCTTGTGTAATAGACATTTTTCATAATTTGGATGAGCAGCATCCGGTCTTATTTCTGTTTGTTATTATGTTGGTTACTTTGGGGAAGATAGTGACTGCCTTCCTCTACAGAAACCAAAGATGCTTAGTCCTCATTTCTACACATAGCATAATCAAGAGGTATATAGGATAATACTTAGTCCTAACCAGTTGGGCGCTCTCTCAAGGGATTTTGAAACTGAGCTACTAACAATGGATGGCTTGGAAAGCAATTTCATTATGATTTAGTGCAGAATCTGACTGTTTCCTGCACTTCACTGTAGTTACAGCTGCCTGATGTTCACAGAGTCCTTGATTCCCAGGCCTGGGCAGTTAGTTTCCAAGAAAACAAGGAAAACAATCCTTACCAAAGGTTGGAAACTCTTCCAGGTATTTGATAGGTATAAACCTATTTACTCTGTACAAAACCCCATAAGTAAGTTCAATTATTATCCTAAGGGAGGAAACCACCCCTCATATTGTCTTATGCCCAATTTCTGCCTCCAAAGAAAGAAAAAGTTAAAACTAACAGGCACAAATGAAATCCACAAGCAGACAGCCCGGCGCCACACCCTGGTCCTGGTAGTTAAAGATGGACCCCTGACCTAATCGGTTATGTTATCTATAGATTACAGACATTGTAGAGAAAAGCACTGTGAAAATCCCTATCCTGTTTTGTTCCGATCTAATTACCAGAGCATGCAGCCCCTAGTCACGTACCCCCTGCTTGCTCAATCGATCACGACCCTCTCACACGTACACCCTTAGAGCTGTGAGCCCTTAAAAGGAACAGGAATTACTCACTCGTGGAGCTCGGCTCTTAAGACAGGAGTCTTGCCAATGCACCCAGCCGAGTAAACCCCTTCCTTCTTTAACTCGGTGTCTGAGGAGTTTTGTCTGCGGCTCGTCCTGCTACAATCCCATTTTGCAGGTAAGAAAACAATCTCAGAAAGGTTGTATGACTTGCTCAGGTATACAAAGATTAAGAACAAGAATGCTGGCTGCAGAGTCTGTGACCTTCACTCTTCTTATTGCCCTTACTCTTGCCTAATTTTGTAGTCCCTTGAGAGCAAAAATTGTGCCTGAAATGTCTTACGACCCTTTCCAGTTAAAGCAATAATTAGGCTGTTCTATGCTGTTGGCCTTAGGAGATGGATGGCACCATAGCAGGTATCATGTTTTGTTTTGTTTGTTTGTTTTGCTTTTTATAGAGATGGGGTTTCACCATGTTGCCCAGGCTGGTCTCAAACTCCTGAGCTCAGGCCATCTACCCACCTACACCTCCCACTGTGCTGGGATTACAGGCGTGAGGCACTACACCTGGGGATGACACAACAGAATGCAGATTATAAAAGAATCAAGTTTTTGAATGCCAGTTCAGCTTGGGTGAAAATGCCAGTTCAGAAAGGCAAAAGGCACAGGGCATACGTGAAAGGTGTGGAGAGTGCAGGTGCCCTTCACTCAAACTCAATATAGGTTTTCTCATGGTGGGGATGTCAGGGTAACAAAAATCTTTTATTAAAAAGGCTTGTACCTTGACACAATCCAATCCAAAATCCAGGTAAACAATGACAGGGGAAACCACAGAAATCCTAGAAAGTGTGAGCTCAGAAAAATCACAGTCTGGGAGTAATACATACCCTATGAATAAGATGAAACTGAAATAGACCCTCCCACCCCCGATAAAGCTAAAAACCAAGACCCAAGATTATTAGGGTAAACTGCTATTAAATTCTGATAAATAATTGAATGAATGGAAACCTTTTTGAGAAGAGACCACAATTGATAGATTCTACAAGGAAACCATCTAGAATGTCATTTGGAGTGTCATAGTGTTACATACCATTAGAAATTATTAATTGTACAAAAAAGCAAAGAGAAAGATTATTAATTGATAGAGAAGATAATGAATAGAAGCAGATGCAGTGATGATTAAGATATGGGAGTTAGCACGCAGAAATTTGACAATAATGATAAAAATATTAAAAAAGATAAAAACATACAGCCAAAATAGATGAAAAGATGGATAATTTCAACTGAGAATGGGATGTATTAAAAGATGGATATCATAGGATGGGTAAGTGAAATAAATGAAAATTAAGAGCTCATGGATGGTTTTAACAGCATATTGAAAACAGCAGAATAAAAGATGAGTGACCCTGAAGGCCAAGTAATATAAAAAGTCTAAACTAAGGAAAAGAGGAAGAGAAGAAAAAATATAACAAAGCATAAAAATATGTAGAACATGGCCCAAAGGTCAAAATGTGAACCTGGAGTCTCGGAAGGAGAGCAGAGAGAGAATGAGGCATGGGGAATTCTTCAAATCTGATAAAAAATTACTAAAGTTTGAAAATTCAATAGCACACTTCTACAAAATCCATAGCTTAAAAGGAAACAATAAAAACTTGAAAATATTTTGAGCTGAGTGATTAAATATATATAAAATCTGTTGTGGTTTGGCTTTGTGCCCTCACCCAAGTCTCACCTTGAATTGTAATAATCCCAAGGTGTCAAAGGTAGGACCAGGTGGAGGTAATTGTATCCTGGGGGTGGTTTCCACCAAGCTGTTTCCATGATAGTGAGTGAGTTCTCAGGAGATCTGATGGTTGTATATACATCTCACATTTCCCCTGCTGACTCTCATTCCCTCTCCTGCTTCCCTGTGAAGAGGTGTCTTCCACCATGATTGTAAGTTTCCTGAGGTCTCCCTAGCCATGCAGAACTGTGAGTCAATAAAACGTTTTTCCTTTATAAATTACCCAGTCTTGGGTATGTCTTTATTAGCAGTGTGAGAATGGACTAATATCATATCAACTCATGGAATTCTCCTTAAGGGAAATTTTTAGCTTTAAAGCGTATATTTGAAAAAAGGAAAGTTTTGTAGTAATCAATCATTTAAACTTCCAATGCAATTAGATTTTTAAAAGTTGAATGAAAAACAGAAAAAAATGAAGTAATTAAAAATAAATTTAAAAATCAATGCAATACAAAAAATATAATAAATTAATAAAACTAAATTTGGTACTTGGAAAAATTAGTAATACTGGTACTGAAAAAGAAATCGTCTATACAGAAATTAAAAAGAAGACATTATCATAAATACAACAGATGTTAGCAAGAAAATAAGATGTTATACAAAGTTTCATATAGGTAAATTTGAAAATTTGGGAAAATGGATAAATTCCTTAAAAGTAAAACCTACCAGCCGGGCGCGGTGGCTCACGTCTGTAATCCCAGCACTTTGGGAGGCCGAGGCGGGCGGATCACGAGGTCAGGAGATTTAGACCATCCTGGTTAACACGGTGAAACCCCATTTCTACTAAAAACACAAAAAATTAGCCGGGGGCGGTGGCGGGCGCCTGTAGTCCCAGCCACTCGGGAGGCTGACGCAGGAAAATGGCGTGAACCCGGGAGGCGGAGCTTGCAGTGAGCCGAGATAGCAACAGCGCACTCCGGCCTGGGTGGAAGAGCGAGACTCCGTCTCAAAAAAAAAAAAAAAAAAAAAAAAAAAGGTAAAACCTGCCAAACCTGGTAGAAGAAAAAATAAAAGGCCAGGCGCGGTGGATCACGCCTGTAATTCCTGCGCTTTGGAAGGCCGAGGTGGGCAGATCAACTGAGGTCAGGAGTTTGAGACTAGCCTGCCCAACATGGTGAAACGCTGTCTCTACTAAAAATACAAAAATTAGCTGAGCGTGGTGGCGGGCGCCTGTTATCCCAGCTACTTCGGAGGCTGAGGCAGGAGAATCACTTGAACCCGGGAGGCAGAGGTTGCAGTGAGCTGAGAGCACGCCATCGTACTCCAGCCTGGGCAACAAGAGCAGAACTCCGTCTCAAAACAAACAGATATAAAAATGTCTACATAAGTCAACATTTACTAAAGTTGAATTTATAATTAAAATCCTTCCCATTAAGAAAATTCCAGATCCAGGTGCCTTTATTTGTGAGTTCTTTCAAGCCTTTAGGAGTAAACACCACCAAATTTTACATAAAATTTTCCAAAGAATAGTGAAAGGATTCCAACTCATTTTATGGAGCTGGCATGATCTTGATACAAATACCTAAAAAGAATATTACAAGAAAAAAATACTTGTTTATATGTCTCATATATGAAGATATAAAACTTTCTAAATATATATTTTTAAAATACAATTAATGAAACACATAAAAAATATAATCATGACCTAGCAGGACTTCAGGAATTACTGCATTATTGTAGGAATGCAAGGCTGGTATAATATTTGAAATGAACACAAATCTTTGCATTAAAAGAATAAAAGAGAAAAACATTTGATCACCTCAGTCATTGCAGAAAATAATATTTATGAATGCATAACTCAGCAATACAGTAATATGAAACCTCAGGGACAAAATAATAATAATAGTAGTAACAACATCAACAAGAAAGCACTAATCCAGTGACCAATCCTGTGTGGCTGTTATTTAGGGTTGATGTCTCACCCTTGGTTATTTAGAGCTTTGATTTGAGTGGGCTGTGAAATTTGATCTGAGATAAAGTCCAGGGCTCCAGCAACCTGGATATTTGCATCAGGCTACCGCAGAAAATCAGAACCCCAGAGGTTGCTACTCACTTTGGAAGTATGAGTTGAGGTGGGAGGAGCAAGTGTTCTCCTATTAGAAGAAGTAAATAGAGTCAGAAGCTACAGTACCTATTCACCTTCCCACTTCTTTATTTTATTTTATTTTATTTTATTTTATTATTATTATACTTTAAGTTTTAGGGTACATGTACACAACGTGCAGGTTTGTTACATATGTATACATGTGCCATGCTGGTGTGCTGCACCCATTAACTCGTCATGTAGCATTAGGTATATCTCCTTCTTTCTTCTCAAATGGAAGTAGATGGAGAGGAAGGTCATGCCTGGTCCCTGGAGATTGGGTATTCCTTCACATCTGCTGAAACTTTTTTTTTCCCTTCACATTTGCTGAGATAATTGGTTTAATCCTAAAGTGAAGAAATAGGTTTTCTAAAAGAAATATTTTACTCCTCTCTTTTCACCTGAATTTGTAGACATTTGTCTGGGTAAGTCACATGCCAGCAGGGATGGCTAAATTGGATTTTACAGAAGGAAAAAACATCTCAATAAGGTTATTATGTCTGAAGAACTTGCAATACTTTATGTTAATCCAGAAGGAGACTAACTAGATTATCTGGTCACAGCCAAATCTGTGTAGTTTTCACGGGCTGCAGTTTGTGAACTTAGCTTCTTCTGAATCTCATTCTGGGCTCACAATCTCATAATGGCTCCTTGTAAAAAATAAGTATTCCGTTAGACATGAGCTTGACAGATATCCCTGGGTCCTCCCCATATTCTTCTGTCATCAGGCTTTAGACAAAAATTTTCTTTGTGCTCTAGTAGGTTTGGTGCTTACCCAGATGATCCTTACCAGTTTTCTAAAGATGATCTCCATCCTGCAGACCTCACAAAACTGTTGAATAATAGCTGGTTTTTAATAATCAACTGCATATTTTAAGTCGATCTACTTCTATATGAACTTTTCCCAGAATCTAGTAACTTCTTCCCAAAATGAAAGCAAATTCAAACACAGCCGACCCCATCTGGTTGCGATGATTTATTATGACATAGGTTTGTTTGTTTGCTTGGTTTTTTGGTTTTTGGTAGTTCCATCACTTTCCCTGTTACTTTGCTTCAGCAAAGAAAAAGGAGAAAAGGATTTTGTTAGTGGACCCTGGTACCCTATCATGGGCAGTAATCCTGCTAAGAGTGTCCTGTGAGCACATCTCTGAAATATTGAGCGCTCACTGTCCATATTTCCTGTCTTCCTCCTCTAAATTCACTATCACTTAAAATCTTTTAAAAACAAAACAAACAAACAAAAAAACCTCTCTGACAGATCATACTCCTTAAAAAAGTACATCTGCCCTTTCTTATTTTATTAAGGATGATTTTTCTTCTTTTAAGCAAAAGAGAAACAGATAAAAATAATTAAAAGTTTATTTTTATTTATTCATTCATTTATTTATTTATTTATTGTGAGACAGAGTCTCACTCTGTCACCCAGGCTGGAGTGCAGTGGCACGATCTCGGCTCACTGCAACCTCCGCCTCCCGGATTCGAGCGATTCTTGTGCCTCAGCCTCCTAGTAGCTGGGATTACAGGTGCCTACCAACACACCTGGCTATTTTTGTATTTTTAGTAGAGATGGGATTTCACCATGTTGGCCAGGATGGTTGTGAACTCTTGACCTCAGGTGACCTGCCAGCCTTGGCCTCCCAGAGTGCTGGGATTACAGGCATGAGCCACTGTGCCCAGCCTAAAAGTTCTTTTTTACAAATAAGTTTTAAAAAATTTAACATTCGAAGTGCTTACGTTTCTGATTGTCACATAGACCAAATGTTTTCGCTTCTTAATGTAGAGTTTCTATTTGGTATTTTGTAAGCAATGCTCCTTCAAGAAATAATAGGAGAGTGGAGGAAAAGCCCTGTGGTCCAAGAAACCACATTCTTAGAAATGCAGATTGTCCATTTGTGTGCCAAAACTTCAAAATATCCTATTGTGGAAAAATGTGCTTAACTTTATTTGAACTAGCCTTTCCTAAATGTATTTGATGAACAATTTAACTTTTATTTTAGCTTCAGGGGTACAAGTGCAGGTTTGTTATATAGGTAAATTGTGTGTCATGGGGGTTTGGTGTACAGATTATTTTGTCATCCAGGTAATAAGCATAGTACGCAATAAGTAGTTTTTGGATCCTCACCCTCCTCCTACTCTCCACCCTCAGGTAAGGCCCAGTGTCTGTTATTCCCTTCTTTGTGTCCATATGTGCTTGATGTTTAGCTTCCACTTATAAGTGAGAACATGTGGCTTTTGGTTTTCTGTTCCTATGTTATTTTGCTTAGGATAATGGCCTCCATCTCCATCATGGTTCTGGACACAACATGATCTCATTCTTTTTTATGGCTGTGTAGTATTCCATGTTGTATATGTACCACATTTTCTTTATCCAGTCTACTGCTGATGGGCATTTATGCTGATTCCATGTCTTTGTTATTGTGAACATACACATGCATGTGTCTTTTTGTTAGAATGACTTATATTTCTTTGGATATATACGCTATAATGGGATTGCTGGGTAAAGGGGTCATTCTGTTTTAAATTCTTTCAGGAATAACCAAACTGCTTTCATCATGGCTGAACTAATACATTCCCACCAGCAATGCCTAAGTGTTCCCTTTTCTCTATAACCTCACTAGCATCTGTTATTTTTTGACTTTTTAATAATATCCATTCTGAGTTGTGTGAGATGGTATCTCATTATGGTTTTGATTAAAATTTCTCTAATGATTAGTGATGTTGAGCATTTTTTCATATGCTTTTTGGCTGCGTGTGTCCTCTTTTAAAAAATGTTTATGTCCTTTGTCCGCTTTTTAAATGGGGTTGTTTTTTGCTTGTAAATTTGTTTCAGTTCCTTATAGATGTTGGATATTAGACAGTTGTCGGAAGCATAGTTTGCAAATATTTTCTCCCTGGAGTATGCATTAGTTTCTTATTATAAGAAGTCTACTTACATCCTTTGTATTTCTTTCATCTAGCAACAGACCTAATTCTTGGTAGGCATTAAATGCGTATTTTAATGAATATATTGAGTAGATGGTCAACTGTATATACTTAATTAAAAGGCAACCAACACATTTCTGTTCTACTTCTGTCTGCTTATTTCCTGAAAGCTTTCTAATTGAGTCTAGTTAACCCTTTCATTAAAAGTCTAGGTAAATCTTTTGTTCTATTGCACACTGGTATCTGTTGACTGCCATGCCTGTTACATTTTGCTCTACAAAATGGAAGTTCCAACACTTGTTTTCCTGTTGCAGACATAAATGAAGATACTCTATGCATGACATACTTTCCTGATATACCCAGGTTTACTATATCCAAAACCACAAATTTTGTTGGGAACTCAACCTGTAATTATTTTGCCATAAATGCTAAGGGAACAACTGTATTCATCAAAATCAACTGATTATGTATTTGTTATTTTTATGCATATAGTTCTGTATGTTGTGTTAACTACTTCTTTCTCTCCCATTCAAAAAGGCATCTCCACATGCAAATTAGAGTGCTATGATATGATGAAATACTTGTGCGTTTCTGTATTTAGTAATTATGGAAAGGCAAACAATTCCACATATTCAGTTGTGAATTTCTTATCACATACGTGACAGTGATTATGTTTTGATTTTATTTTCTCTTTTCCTCTGTTTTATTCTTTTTCTTTCATGTCCATTCTTACGATAAGCAATTCTTCACTCATTAACTAAAGGAAGGGAATTTTCAATAAAATGTGTAGACCAGCAACTGAGAAACATAAGAAACCTAATGTATCTCATCTCCACCCTCTCCTGGACCCCAGTTTTTTACAATGTGTAAAAGACTTTTGCCATATCCAGTGTGTGAAGGGGAAATTTTAAGGATAATGTGTCTGAGCAGAATAAAAGCTTTGAATTAAATATTAAGTTGAATAACAGAAGAAAGTTATGTCTTTGGCACAGCTGAAATTATATACTAAAATTTTTATCTTCTCCACACATCCAAGAACTGATCAAGACACACAAGTGGGTTCTGACTCACTGCTAGGAAGAGATGTTCTAGAAGGAAATGACAGCAGTCAATACTTGAGCCTTGAGATTCTCCGTTACTAAAACATCTGCTTCAACTGCTGTTCTGCCATTCTTAGTGGACTTTTCCAATTAGAGTGTTTCATAGTGAACGTCTATACACACATACTAGTTTAAGAGGGTTTTTCTTATTTAAATTAGATTCCATAAAACTGAACTTTTTTTTTTTTTTTTTTTGGTCAAGGCACTAAATAGGTTGCTTGATCAAACTTAGGTTATTTTATTTTATTTTATTTTATTTTATTTTACATTACTTTAAGTTCTGGGATAAATGTGCAGAACATGCAGGTTTGTTACATAGGTATACATGTGCCATGGTGGTTTGCTGAACCTATCAACCTATCATCTAGGTTAAACTTAGTTTTGAAGGGCTACTTATGTCATGTCCATATTACAAGTAAGATCAATTACTAAGTTGGAAAGAACAATTGATGGAAAAAAACATGAATCATTATCAAATGATAGGTCATGCTTTTACAGCCATTGCAGGTGATCCAGATGACTGGGTAGGCAGGACTTGAAGAAGGGTAATAAGCGTGGTGGGTTCATTAAAAAGCACTCTTATGACCACAAGTCCTGAAACAGTAGGCAGAATAGATTGTAACCTATTTTACCAAGTTGAGTATTTAAACAACAGCGGATGTGGAGTACATGCAGTTTATTAGAGGATTAATTATGGAACATATGACTGTGTCTGTTTTATGCATTTTGTCAACATGTGAATATCTACCTTAGGCAAGGCACTGTGACTTTCCTGGATTTGAAAAGATTAATACTTTTGTGTTTATGTCAAGAAGCTTCCTTCCTGTTAGGAAATACAGACACAGAAATAGCTGATAGCATATACTTTTACATATTTACATTGTTCAAAGAGTTCTTCCACATCAATAGGAAATCTAAAAATGGGGCAATGGCAAAGTGTATGGGCAAATATCGTGGCCTTTAAAGGGGAATTTGTGTTTAATCTCACTAATAAATAAGAAGATAAAATGTTAAGAGAAACAAGTAGGGGAAGAAATTAAAAACTTTGTCAATAACATCATTAAGAAGATGGAAAAGCAAACCATAGTCTGGAGAAAATACTTAAAATTAATGCTAATTAATTGAAAAATAATATAATAGATCTACTCTATCCTTAGGTTTACTTCTTGCATGTTATAGCTTTCTTAACCTTTTACAATCAAAATATCATGTAGACAGTAAGAGATGTAATTCTCACTTTTTATCTAGACTGGCAATCTGTGGCTTTTAAATAAAGTGTTAAAAACATTTATATTTAAAATAATTAATATGGCTGGATGTTAACACATTACTGCGCTATTTGCTTTTTATTTGTCTCATCTGTTTTTTCCCTTTTGTGCTTGTTCTTCTTTATTTTGAGTTAATAAATATATATTATAGCATTTCATTTTAATTTCTCATTTATCCTTTTAGCTAATACTTTTCCAGATGTTTTAGTGGTTCTGCTAAAGATTATATTTTTAACTTAGTTTTAATATTAGTACTGTACTATATGTAAAAATATAGGAATCCTATAATGGTACAGTTTCATTTACCTCATTTCTTTGCGCTACTTTTGTCATCCATATATGCATGAATCATATAGAATATACATGTATATATACACATATGAAATCTTTACATTCCTTGTAAACCCCACAATGTACTGTTAGAGTATTTTATTTTATTTTTTTTTTCAGTAACTTCTTTTTTATTTATTTATTTATTTATTTATTATTATACTTTAAGTTTTAGGGTACATGTGCACATTGTGCATGTTAGTTACATATGTATACATGTGCCATGCTGGTGCGCTGCACCCACTAACTCGTCATCTAGCATTAGGTATATCTCCCAGTGCTATCCCTCCCCCCTCCCCCAACCCCACCACAGTCCCCAGAGTGTGATATTCCCCTTCCTGTGTCCATGTGATCTCATTGTTCAATTCCCACCTATGAGTGAGAATATGTGGTGTTTGGTTTTTTGTTCTTGCGATAGTTTACTGAGAATGATGATTTCCAATTTCATCCATGTCCCTACAAAGGACATGAACTCATCATTTTTTATGGCTGCATAGTATTCCATGGTGTATATGTGCCACATTTTCTTAATCCAGTCTATCATTGTTGGACATTTGGGTTGGTTCCAAGTCTTTGCTATTGTGAATAATGCCGCAATAAACATAAGTGTGCATGTGTCTTTATAGCAGCATGATTTATAGTCCATTGGGTATATACCCAGTAATGGGATGGCTGGGTCAAATGGTATTTCTAGTTCTAGATCCCTGAGGAATCGCCACACTGACTTCCACAATGGTTGAACTAGTTTACAGTCCCACCAACAGTGTAAAAGTGTTCCTATTTCTCCACATCCTCTCCAGCACCTGTTGTTTCCTGACTTTTTAATGATTGCCATTCTAACTGGTGTGAGATGGTATCTCATTGTGGTTTTGATTTGCAGTTCTCTGATGGCCAGTGATGATGAACATTTTTTCATGTGTTTTTTGGCTGCATAAACGTCTTCTTTTGAGAAGTGTCTGTTCATGTCCTTTGCCCACTTTTTGATGGGGTTGTTTGTTTTTTTCTTGTAAATTTGTTTGAGTTCATTGTAGATTCTGGATATTAGCCCTTTGTCAGATGAGTAGGTTGCGAACATTTTCTCCCATTTTGTAGGTTGCCTGTTCACTCTGATGGTAGTTTCTTTTGCTGTGCAGAAGCTCTTTAGTTTAATTAGATCCCATTTGTCAATTTTGTCTTTTGTTGCCATTGCTTTTGGTGTTTTAGACATGAAGTCCTTGCCCATGCCTATGTCCTGAATGGTAATGCCTAGGTTTTCTTCTAGGGTTTTTATGGTTTTAGGTCTAACGTTTAAGTCTTTAATCCATCTTGAATTGATTTTTGTATAAGGTGTAAGGAAGGGATCCAGTTTCAGCTTTCTCCATATGGCTAGCCAGTTTTCCCAGCACCATTTATTAAATAGGGAATCCTTTCCCCATTGCTTGTTTTTCTCAGGTTTGTCAAAGATCAGATGGTTGTAGATATGCGGCGTTATTTCTGAGGGCTCTGTTCTGTTCCATTGATCTATATCTCTGTTTTGGTACCAGTACCATGCTGTTTTGGTTACTGTAGCCTTGTAGTATAGTTTGAAGTCAGGTAGTGTGATGCCTCCAGCTTTGTTCTTTTGCCTTAGGATTGACTTGGCGATGCGGGCTCTTTTTTGGTTCCATATGAACTTTAAAGTAGTTTTTTCCAATTCTGTGAAGAAAGGCATTGGTAGCTTGATGGGGATGGCATTGAATCTGTAAATTACCTTGGGCACTATGGCCATTTTCACAATATTGATTCTTCCTACCCATGAGCATGGAATGTTCTTCCATTTGTTTCTATCCTCTTTTATTTCCTTGAGCAGTGGTTTGTAGTTCTCCTTGAAGAGGTCCTTCACATCCCTTGTAAGTTGGATTCCTAGGTATTTTATTCTCTTTGAAGCAATTGTGAATGGGAGTTCACTCATGATTTGGCTCTCTGTTTGTCTGTTGTTGGTGTATAAGAATGCTTGTGATTTTTGTACATTGATTTTGTATCCTAAGACATTGCTGAAGTTGCTTATCAGCTTAAGGAGATTTTGGGCTGAGACAATGGGGTTTTCTAGATATACAATCATGTCGTCTGCAAACAGGGACAATTTGACTTCCTCTTTTCCTAATTGAATACCCTTTATTTCCTTCTCTTGCCTAATTGCCCTGGCCAGAACTTCCAACACTATGTTGAATAGGAGTGGTGAGAGAGGGCATCCCTGTCTTGTGCCAGTTTTCCAAAGGAATGCTTCCAGTTTTTGCCCATTCAGTATGATATTGGCTGTGGGTTTGTCATAGATAGCTCTTATTATTTTGAGATACGTCCCATCAACACCTAATTTATTGAGAGTTTTTAGCATGAAGGGTTGTTGAATTTTGTCAAAGGCTTTTTCTGCATCTATTGAGATAATCATGTGGTTTTTGTCTTTGGCTCTGTTTATATGCTGGATTACATTTATTGATTTGCATATATTGAACCAGCCTTGCATCCCAGGGATGAAGCCCACTTGATTATGGTGGATAAGCTTTTTGATGTGCTGCTGAATTCGTTTTGCCAGTATTTTATTGAGGATTTTTGCATCAATGTTCATCAAGGATATTGGTCTAAAATTCCCTTTGTTCATTGTGTCTCTGCCCGGCTTTGGTATCAGGATGATGCTGGCCTCATAAAATGAGTTAGGGAGGATTCCCTCTTTTTCTATTGATTGGAATAGTTTCAGAAGGAATGGTACCAGTTCCTCCTTGTACCTCTGGTAGAATTCGGCTGTGAATCCATCTGGTCCTGGACTCTTTTTGGTTGGTAAACTATTGATTATTGCAACAATTTCAGATCCTGTTATTGGTCTATTCAGAGATTCAACTTCTCCCTGGTTTAGTCTTAGGAGAGTGTATGTGTCGAGGAATTTATCCATTTCTTCTAGATTTTCTAGTTTATTTGCGTAGAGGTGTTTGTAGTATTCTCTGATGGTAGTTTGTATTTCTGTGGGATCGGTGGTGATATCCCCTTTATCATTTTTTATTGTGTCTATTTGATTCTTCTCTCTTTTTTTCTTTATTAGTCTTGCTAGCAGTCTATCAATTTTGTTGATCCTTTCAAAAAACCAGCTCCTGGATTCATTAATTTTTTGAAGGGTTTTTTGTGTCTCTGTTTCCTTCAGTTCTGCTCTGATTTTAGTTATTTCTTGCCTTCTGCTAGCTTTTGAATGTGTTTGCTCTTGCTTTTCTAGTTCTTTTCATTGTGATGTTAGGGTGTCAATTTTGGATCTTTCCTGCTTTCTCTTGTGGGCATTTAGTGCTATAAATTTCCCTCTACACACTGCTTTGAATGCGTACCAGAGATTCTGGTATGTTGTGTCTTTGTTCTTGTTGGTTTCAAAGAACATCTTTATTTCTGCCTTCATTTCGTTACGTACCCAGTAGTCATTCAGGAGCAGGTTGTTCAGTTTCCATGTAGTTGAGCAGTTTTGAGTGAGATTCTTAATCCTGAGTTCTAGTTTGATTGCACTGTGGTCTGAGAGATAGTTTGTTATAATCTCTGTTCTTTTACATTTGCTGAGGAGAGCTTTACTTCCCAGTATGTGGTCAATTTTGGAATAGGTGTGGTGTGGTGCTGAAAAAAATGTATATTCTGTTGATTTGGGGTGGAGAGTTCTGTAGATGTCTATTAGGTCCACTTGGTGCAGAGCTGAGTTCAATTGCTGGGTATCCTTGTTGACGTTCTGTCTCGTTGATCTGTCTAATGTTGACAGTGGGGTGTTAAAGTCTCCCATTATTAATGTGTGTGAGTCTAAGTCTCTTTGTAGGTCACTAAGCACTTCCTTTATGAATCTGGGTGCTCCTGTGTTGGGTGCATATATATTTAGGATAGTTAGCTCTTCTTATTGAATTGAGCCCTTTACCATTATGTAATGGCCTTCTTTGTCTCTTTTGATGTTTGCTGGTTTAAAGTCTGTTTTATCAGAGACTAGGATTGCAACCCCTGCCTTTTTTTGTTTTCCATTTGCTTGGTAGATCTTCCTCCATCCTTTTATTTTGAGCCTATGTGTGTCTCTGCACGTGAGATGGGTTTCCTGAATACAGCACACTGATGGGTCTTGACTCTTTATCCAATTTGCCAGTCTGTGTCTTTTAATTGGAGCATTTAGTCCATTTACGTTTAAAGTTAATATTGTTATGTGTGAATTTGATCCTGTCATTATGATGTTAGCTGGTTATTTTGCTTGTTAGTTGATGCAGTTTCTTCCTAGTCTCGATGGTCTTTACATTTTGGCATGATTTTGCAGCGGCTGGTACCGGTTGTTCCTTTCCATGTTTAGCGCTTCCTTCAGGAGCTCTTTTAGGGCAGGCCTGCTGGTGACAAAATCTCTCAGCATTTGCTTGTCTGTAAAGTATATTATTTCTCCTTCACTTATGAAGCTTAGTTCGGCTGGATATGAAATTCTGGGTTGAAAATTCTTTTCTTTAAGAATGTTGAATATTGGCCCCCACTCTCTTCTGGCTTGTAGGGTTTCTGCCGAGAGATCCGCTGTTAGTCTGATGGGCTTCCCTTTGAGGGTAACCCGACCTTTCTCTCTGGCTGCCCTTAACCTTTTTTCCTTCATTTCAACTTTGGTGAATCTGATAATTATGTGTCTTGGAGTTGCTCTTCTCGAGGAATATCTTTGTGGTGTTCTCTGTATTTCCTGAATCTGAACATTGGCCTGCCTTGCTAGATTGGGGAAGTTCTCCTGGATAATATCCTGCAGAGTGTTTTCCAACTTGGTTCCATTCTCCCTGTCACGTCACTTTCAGGTACACCAATCAGACGTAGATTTGGTCTTTTCACATAGTCCCATATTTCTTGGAGGCTTTGCTCATTTCTTTTTATTATTTTTTCTCTAAACTTCCCTTCTCGCTTCATTTCATTCATTTCATCTTCCATTGCTGATACCCTTTCTTCCAGCTGATCGCATCGGCTCCTGAGGCTTCTGCATTCTTCACGTAGTTCTCGAGCCTTGGTTTTCAGCTCCATCAGCTCCTTTAAGCACTTCTCTATATTGGTTATTCTAGTTATACATTCTTCTAAATTTTTTTCAAAGTTTTCAACTTCTTTGCCTTTGGTTTGAATGTCCTCCCATAGCTCAGAGTAATTTGATCGTCTGAAGCCTTCTTCTCTCAGCTCATCAAAGTCATTCTCTATCCAGCTTTGTTCCGTTGCTGGTGAGGAACTGCGTTCCTTTGGAGGAGGAGAGGCGCTCTGCTTTTTAGAGTTTCCGGTTTTTCTGTTCTGTTTTTTCCCCATCTTTGTGGTTTTATCTACTTTTGGTCTTTGATCATGGTGATGTACAGATGGGTTTTTGGTGTGGATGTCCTTTCTGTTTGTTAGTTTTCCTTCTAACAGACAGGACCCTCAGCTGCAGGTCTGTTGGAATACCCTGCCATGTGAGGTGTCAGTGTGCCCCTGCTGGGGGGTGCCTCCCAGTTAGGCTGCTCGGGGGTCAGGGGTCAGGGACCCACTTGAGGAGGCAGTCTGCCCGTTCTCAGATCTCCAGCTGCGTGCTGGGAGAACCACTGCTCTCTTCAAAGCTGTCAGACAGGGACATTGAAGTCTGCAGAGGTTACTGCTGTCTTTTTGTTTGTCTGTGCCCTGCCCCCAGAGGTGGAGCCTACAGAGGCAGGCAAGCCTCCTTGAGCTGTGGTGGGCTCCACCCAGTTCGAGCTTCCGGGCTGCTTTGTTTACCTAAGCAAGCCTGGGCAATGGCGGGCGCCCCTCCCCCAGCCTCACTGCCGCCTTGCAGTTTGATCTCAGACTGCTGTGCTAGCAATCATCGAGACTCCGTGGGCGTAGGACCCTCCCAGCCAGGTGTGGGATATAATCTCGTGGTGCGCCGTTTTTTAAGCCCGTCGGAAAAGCGCAGTATTTGGGTGGGAGTGACCCGATTTTCCAGGTGCATCCATCACCCCTTTCTTTGACTGGGAAAGGGAACTCCCTGACCCCTTGCGCTTCCCAAGTGAGGCAATGCCTCGCCCTGCTTCGGCTCGCACACGGTGTGCGCACCCACTGACCTGCGCCCACTGTCTGGCACTCCCTGGTGAGATGAACCCGGTACCTCAGATGGAAACGCAGAAATCACCCGTCTTCTGCGTCACTCACGCTGGGAGCTGTAGACCTGAGCTGTTCCTATTCGGCCATCTTGGCTCCTTCCCCCTGTTAGAGTATTTTAAACCAATTTCTTTTTAGCCTGCAGAATTTCCTTGCATTTCTTATAATGAAGTCAGCTGTCAGCACATTTTCTTAGTATTCATTTATCTGAAAATATTTTTATTTCACTTCATTAGCTAAAGTTAATTTATGGATTATGTTTTACATAAAATGGATAAATTAGTATATAATCAGATAAATTTTGTCAGATGTTTGCAACTATAAAACCACATCATTCAATATACAGCGTGTTTTTATCACTCCAGAAAGTTATTTGTACCTCTTTGAATCCAGTCCCAGAGTACCTCTCACCTAAATAATTTATTTGATTTATGTCACTATATATTATTTTCCCTGTTGTGGAAATTCACATAAATGGAATTATAAGGTATGTACTCTTTTGTGTCTAGCTTCTTTCATGTAACATGATGTTTTTGAGATTCAGTGATGTTTCATAAATCAGCATTTCATTACTTTTTGTTGAAGAATATTTTATTTTATAAATATAATTTGTTTATACATTCACTTCTGGAAGGATATTTGGATTATTTTTATTTGAGTTTATTATAAGTTTTTAAAAAGCAGTACAAGTGTGTATAAGTCTTTTGTGGAAGTATATTTTTATTTCCTTTGAAAAAAACTTCTGGAAAAAGTTTCTGGGTCCTATGGTAAATGTATGCTTAACTTTAAATAAACCACAATAAAGTCATCAAAGTTGTACCATTTTACACTACTATTAACAAAATTTGAGTTTAGTTGCTTCACATTCTGGCCAATACTCTTAATTATACTCACTTTAGTGGTTATGAAATAGTACTATGTCATTGTGGTTCCATTTTGCAATTTGCTAATCACTAATGAATTTCAACAGTTGCTCTTGACTTATTGGCTATTCCTGTGTCTTTTTGCAGAGTTGTAAGAGATGGCTATATATTCTGGATATAAGTCCTTCAACAAATGAATATATTACAAATATTTTTCTGATGTCTGTGACTAGAATCCTTTTCGTTTTTTAGAGACGAGTTCTCACTCTGTTGCCCATGCGGGTGTTCTGGGGCACCTTCTTAGCTTACTACAGCTTTGAACTCCTGGACTCAAACAAACCTCCCACCTTGGCCTCCTGAACTGCTAGAATTACAGGCATGAGCAACCGCACCCAGCCTCATTTTCTTACTAGTTCTTTTGAAGAGCAAAATTTTTTAATTTTGATGAAGTTCAATTCATATTGTTTTCCCTATTCAATATTAGTAGAATTTTGTTTGTAAGATACCTTTGACAACTTCAAGGGTGCATATATTTCCTGCTACTTTTTCTAGAAACTTTACATCTGAGGTATGTATCTAATTAATTTTGTGTACGATATAAGGTAGAAGTCACAGGTAATTATCCCCTCACACAAATATCTAGTCATTGCAAGTCTATTTGTTTGAATGACTGTTTTTTTCTCATTGAATTATGTTGATACTATTGTTGACTATCAGTTGACTATTAAGTCTAATTCTGGACCCTTTGTTTTGTACCAACTATCTATGTGTATACATTTATACTGTTACCACACAGTCTTGTGTACTATAGCTTTATAGTAAGTTTGAAGTCAGGTAGGGTAGATTGTCCAGATTTATCCTTCTTTTCAAAGTATTTTTGACTATTCTACTCTTTTGCCTTTTGGTATTTTTTTTAGAACCAACATGTCAATTCCTACCAGAAAAATAATAATTGGAATTTTGATTGGGATTTTGATGATCCAAAGATTAACTAGAGAATAGTGGACTCTTACTACTATTATGCCTCCTAGTCCATGGACATATTATATTTCTCTATTATTTAGGTCTTATTTAACTTCTCTCAACAATGTTTTGCACATTATTCGTTTGATTTATTCATAAGTTTTTAAATGCACTATGCTATTGGAAATAAAATAATTTAAAATGTAATTTTCCAAAGTTCTATTATTAGCATACATAAATGACCAATTTTTGTATATTGACTTTGTATCATTTAATTTTGCTAATCTAACTTTAATTCTAGTAGTTTTTGGTAGGATCTTGTGTATTTTCAATATAGACAGTAGTTCATATATCTATCATGATGGATAATAATATTCAATCCTAAAAACAACTCATCCTAGTAGACTCTATTTTCTTTATTTCATAAAAAGAGAAAATGAGTCAAGTGTTACGTGACTTGCCTGAAGCCTCCTCACTCACAGGTGCTAGAGCTGGGATTCACATTGGATACATCTGACCCCACAGCCAGAGCTTCTTGGGCTAGGCTGCGCTGCACTGCCTCTGCGTGCTCCATCCCCTGGATGTCTCAGTATGACAACTGAGAGGAGAATGTTGCCTCACCTTGTTCAGTCTCAGCTGGGGGTGGTGTGGCAACTCAGATTCTTGGTTGCTCTGTGCATATCTGCCAATGACCACAAAGACACTGCTTGAATATTGATTCTGTGGTCACAAATAAATTTTAGTTGAACTTTCAAATGTAGAATCTATGAATAATGGGAATGGACTGTATTTAGCACTCTAAATCCAGATAGCACTTATAAATAAGTGAAGGTAGAGCTAAGAAGAAATACAAATATTGAGTCTTGAGGCATTTAACACATAGCCACACCCACCAACAGAGAGCACGGGAGAGGGACAGGGAACATAGCCTGCACAGTGATCTGGGAAGACCCAATACGTGATGAGGAAAACCGGAAGAGTGTCTTAGAAATTAAACAAGGAGTTTCAGGAAATGGCCAAAGAGAGGAAATTCGAGAAAAACAGATTTTCGTCACATGGAGGTTGCTGGTAATCTTGGCAACAGTAGGTTTAGTGGATTTGTTGAGATACATTTAAATTAATATTCCAGCTATCTATTGCTGCCTAACAAACCACTCCAAATTAGTGGCAGAAAACAACTTTTTTAATGCTTATGATCCTGGGAGTCAGAAATTTGGTTTGGACACAGCAGAGACCATTTGACACCTCTCTATGTGTCCCACCTAGTTGGCATGGCTCAAATGGTGAGCAATGGCTAGGGAGGTTGACTGGCTCTGTGTCTGGGTTCAATCTTGTGGCATCTGCTGGAGTTGGGTTTTCCAACATGTCTCCTGCACTACACTGGCTGGCACTGCTCCTGCTCTCTATACACCCAGATTGGGCTTCCTCGCAGCATGGCAGGCTCAGGACAGTTGGACTTTTTGCATCCCAGCTGCATTTCCCTGATCTAGCATTCAAGAAGACAAAGAAGGAAACTAAACGACTTCTTATGACTCAGCCTCAGAAGACATATATATAGCCTGGAAATTAGGGATACGATTCAACTGGAAAAACAAAAACATTGTGGGCAAGAGTAGATGAGATTTATTCCACAAATGGAGAGGTTATAATTAGCTTTCAGCTTAGTAGGTCTATTTATGATCACAGCAGGAAAGGTAGAACACATGGGCATAGTGGCGTGAATGTGGGGATTTAGTAATGAGAGAATAGAAGTTTCTCTTCTATTTGACTCAATTTTCTCTGTTAAATGAGAAGAAAAGCCAACAGTTGAAAACAGGGCGTCAGTGGGCTTGAGTTAGAAGATGGTAAATGTTGTTTGAGGGTTATAATATGTGAACCACCTAACAACATGAAATAGCAGGACTCTAATAAAGGATGTTATATAATTCACTGTGCACTATGTTCTGTCCCCTGCTTCTCTGGGGTCCTTCTACTTACTGACATGAAGCCAGTAGGCAATGTGAGTTTTCTCTACCTACCAGCCTACCGAGAGCATCCTCTTGAAAAGTCTGCACCTTATCCCACAGCTACATCCAACTCTGTCCCGGATAGCTGCCCCTTCTAGCTCCTTCCTCATTAGAGGGTCCTAGATGATGGTCCTCCTATTACATCACTTTTCTGGATTAAACATCATTCTATTTATCATATTTCTTTGCTCATTAAATTTTTTTTGCTAGATCTCATACTAGAACAACAGCAACATTATCTGAAGTACCAGCCCATCCCAACTCATTTACTAGTAGACGCATATTTTAACTATAGCTATAAAGACCCATGAAAGAACCACTCCATCACACAAACTGTGTAAAAAAAGGCACAGTTTGGGCTTTCTGAAATGGACAAAGATTATTTCTTTTCTCTTTTTTCTTTTCTTTTTACCTTTTAGTAGGTGAAAAAAAAATGAGTTCCTGCAAATTCGTGAAATATGCTGGATCACATAGGAGGTGGTAATTTCTGAAGGGCTGACTCAAACCTAGTTCCTCTGTCCCCAGAAAAAAAATTATCTTTCCACTGTGATCACGTTTAAGCCCATTCTTGAAATAAAGTACAGTTTATAACTTCAGATGTTTTCAAAACTGAATTTGCAAAGAGGAGAAAATGGGCAATCCTTGTCCCCAGCCTTTAGGCACCATCACCTACTTCTCTGCATTGTGGAAGAAGGCAACGACACTAACATTTAAACTACTGCATGAGAGGATGACGGCTGTAAGTTTATTTCATATTAGCATTCATTTTATAGATTTTCCTCTCTGACTAGAAATATCGCTTGAACTCCACTCACCATGGCAACAAAACAGCTGAAGATTCTTACAGCTTGCCTAGTGAAGAAAAATACTTGAAAATATCCTTTGATGCTAAAATTGGTTTTGTTTTCACAGTAACACATGAAGCAACTGAGGGACAAGGGATATCACCGTGTATTTCAAAAGATGGATTCACCCAGAAGGAGCATTGAGGGTATATCAGAAAGAGAGGAAAAGAGTGAAGGAACAAAAGGAAGGGAGGAAGTACAAAAAGAAAGAAGGAAGGAAGGAAGGAGGGAGGGAAGGGAAGGGGAGGGAAGGGAGGAGGGAGGGAGGGAGGAAGGAAGGAAGGTAAGAAAGAAAGGAGGGAGGGAGGAAGGAAGGAAGGAAAGTGAGGCAGACCACAGCATGTTTATATCCTTGAAGGCACATTTATCCACACACGTGCTCCCCAAAATCATTCCTCATCCATACCATTGCACACACTTTGTTGTTGGATATCTTCACTTTGTTGTTTATCTGGCTGTTTCCTACAATTGGATTGTTATTTCCTTGAGAGCAAAGACCATGCTTTACACATCTTTGAACTCCTATTGTTCTTTTTAAGTGTGTGCTGGGTAAACAACTAAATTAAGATTTTTATCAAATAATCAAAAAACATAGAAACTGAAAAACAGTTAACTTCAAACAACATTAAAATTTTTGGCATGAAAGGAATGGTCAGAGTAGAATTTTTCTTGAATTTATTATTTCTGGCAAAATGTATTAACCAGTCTATTTTCCTTTTTCTCCCAGGATTGGTTGCAGAGTCCTTCTGTCAAAGGGTATTTGTGGAGGAAGTTAATAAATACCTGATTAACTGAATTAAACTAAGCATATTTAGATAGGTAAATGCATTGCCAAATAGATAAAAAATTACAAAGTCATATTAAATGACTGTTCGTTTTCATCATGAGAAGTCCTTGTTAGTATATAACTGAGATCTGATTACATATCTTAAATAATGGATAAGTGGCAGATTGCCATGCTTTCTTTGAAAGAGAAAGTTTTTCCCAGGAACTTCATTCTCAGAGTCTAATGACCATGTTGATATTACTCTGTTCTTGGCTGCTAGTCATCAATAAATAATAGTCTCCATTTTGGGGGAGGTATGTCAGTGATGTATTATCAAGTGCTTAATAATCAATTTTCCAAGACAAAGAAAAAAACAAAGCCCATGCTTTTAGTATGTGCCAGTTGCCATGGTGTAAATACTCCTACCGTGACCAAATTCAGGATATAAACACAATGCCATTGAATGCAGAGTTGGGAAGAAATGTGCAGTAGTGCAATATGGTGTCACAGGTCCATCATACAGATGCAGCAGATGTAAATACTCTCAAAAGCACAGATAGTAGCAAAATAATTAGGAAGTCATGAGTCTTGAGTATTTTTTGTTTTAATATAATTCATTTAATTGTAAGTTTATATAATGTAGTTTTTAATAAAGGTTGCATTTAAAAACTTTAACAGTCATCTCTCCCCTGTGGAGAGGAGACAGCTCCAGCACACCACAGGATACTGTCTCTGTAGTTCTGCCTTAGATTACAGTGAGCCGGAGGTATGATGTGATGTTATTTAACATGGCACCTCCTGGCCTGAGTAAGGAGGTATGCAGTCTTTGCCTTATTGTACAATGTTAGCACAGACACACAGCAACAGGTGTGCTGTGCACTGTAACTGTAAAACAAGGGTGAGTGGGGAAACGGAGGCAGAGAACTAGCAGAGCACGATGTTCCCATGTTTTTTGTGTTTGTTTGTTTTTTGCCATTCTGCAGGGAGGCAGCTTGTGTTGGCAGGAGCTTACAACACCAAAGAAGTACACCACTAGAGAGACCCAACCCTTCACATTACTCTGCATATTACAGAGAAAGGAGGGCAGAGACCATGCAGTCTACTGGGTAACAATGGGTGCTTCCTGCTATAGATATAACTTTATTTAAAAATAAGAGTTTCTGGAGATGTTCTTCCATTGAATCAACTGGAACATGCTGAGCTAGATTCTCACCAGAAAAGGAGGAGGAAATGAGGATTTAGAGCATTCAGGATGTGCTTTTCTTCACCCCACACCAACTTAGAAGGTTTTCAAAATAAAGTAAATGTGGTTCCACAATGTAATTGTTTTTTTCTCTCGCTAGATTTTAGTTTTCCCAAGTCATCCAATTTTTCTGTATGGTGAAGCCAGAGCCCAAAAATTCTTGGATATCCTTATAAGGTAAATAGTAGGGTGCAGGTCTTCTTGTGAATTCTGAATGGTCTAAGGAAAGGGTGACTTCACAGTCAAAGCTGTGCCACTGATGGCCTGACCAGAAGATGAAAAGAGGGACTAGAGGTAACTGAGAGAGGGTTAGGGAAACCAGCATGATCCCAGGTGTGTAATATCAGCTTTGGAAGATGATCAGGCTTTCATCAAGCTAAAAGGAAATGGGCTACCTGCCTTACCAGCCAGAATCTTTAGCAGAATTTCCAGCAGAATGACCAGAAAGCAACTTTAACCAAGTACTCTACAGAGATCAGTTGGAAAGCACAGAACAGGGTGATGAGTGGAAGACCCCTACTCTTGTACTGCCAAGTGATAGAGCAAGCCCCTCACAGACACAAGGCACCATCTTGGATAGAGAAATGAGGATGAGGGTAATATTACGGTGAACAATTTCCCCTAACAGCATTGAACAATTCCTCAAAGGACTGTTTAAATTATCCCTGAGACTGAATTGAATACATTGGGTTTAAATTGTATTTTTCCAATTCCCAGTGGGAAGGGAAGCTATAAAGTAAAAGGATCACTTATAAAAAGAAAAAGATAAAGAAAGAAAGAAAGAAGAAAGAAAGAAAAAAGAAAGAGAAAGAAGCGAAATCTCCTTTGCACATTTGAGTATGGTATTGATAAATCCATGACTTTCTATAAAATATTCTTAGCAATCCATGGCAAATTTTCATATGTGGGTAGTACCAATATTATTCCACCCATTGTGGTGTGCAAGACACTACATTTTCCCTATCATTATTTCAACTTATTTAAGCATTCTTCAAATAGTGGTGGAAACCAATTAATATATGAAAATCTTCCTCTCCCCAGTTATCTTCCCATTGAACAATTGAAGAATATGAAATTCACACACACACACAAACACACCCAAAAAAAACAGTAAATTATTGCTCAAGGACAAAAATGGTCACTGGGTAATGAAACTAGTACATAGCTCAAGTTTCCCAATGCCTACTGTAATGTCATTTCCATTTAAGCGTGTTACTCTCATTTACTAAAAACAGCTACTGGGCTGCTACCCATTTGTTCAAAGCCTAGGAACCCAGTTCTTTTAGAGAATTTTCAGCCAAAATTCACAGGAGGCTCTCTGCCTCTCCAGCTCTTCATTGATTTAATTGGTGCTTTTTATAATACTTTAAATGCAAGATTTAGAAGGACCAGAATCAGATGTTAGAGGGGAAAAAAAAGCTTGTTCATCAAAGTTCCTTTCATTTCTACAAAGGAAAATATTAATAACTTAGATATTTCACCTGAGCTGATTTGGTAGCTTCCTGCTGGTGAAAGCATCTGGAACTAAAACATCTTTCAGGTGACTACTGGCTGAAAACTTTCCCAATTCTTCTAAAGTAATCGTCAAAAGTAATTCTTCTAAAGTAATGTATGTTTAGAATTCCTGTATCTTCTTTGATTAGTTTTGGTGGATTGCTAGATTTCTTTTTATTATTATTATTATTGTACTTTAAGTTTTAGGGTACATGTGCACAATGTGCAGGTTAGTTACATATTTATACATGTGCCATGCTGGTGTGCTGCACCCATTAACTCGTCATTTAGCATTAGGTATATCTCCTAATGCTATCCCTCCCCCCTCCCCCCACCCCACCACAGTCCCCAGAGTGTGATGTTCCCCTTCCTGTGTCCATGTGTTCTCATTGTACAATTCCCATCTATGAGTGAGAACATGCGGTGTTTGGTTTTTTGTCCTTGCAATAGTTTACTGAGAATGATGATTTCCAATTTCATCCATGTCCCTACAAAGGACATGAACTCATCATTTTTTATGGCTGCATAGTATTCCATGGTGTATATGTGCCACATTTTCTTAATCCAGTCTATCATTGTTGGACATTTGGGTTGGTTCCAAGTCTTTGCTATTGTGAATAGTGCTGCAATAAACATATGTGTGCATGTGTCTTTATAGCAGCATGATTTATAGTCCTTTGGGTATATACCCAGTAATGGGATGGCTGGGTCAAATGGTATTTCTAGTTCTAGATCCCTGAGGAATCGCCACACTGACTTCCACAATGGTTGAACTAGTTTACAGTCCCACCAACAGTGTAAAAGTGTTCCTATTTCTCCACATCCTCTCCAGCACCTGTTGTTTCCTGACTTTTTAATGATTGCCATTCTAACTGGTGTGAGATGGTATCTCATTGTGATTTTGATTTGCATTTCTCTGATGGCCAGTGATGATGAACATTTTTTCATGTGTCTTTTGGCTGCATAAACGTCTTCTTTTGAGAAGTGTCTGTTCATATCCTTTGCCCACTTTTTGATGGGGTTGTTTGTTTTTTTCTTGTAAATTTGTTTGAGTTCATTGTAGATTCTGGATATTAGCCCTTTGTCAGATGAGTAGGTTAAGAAAATTTTCTCCCATTTTGTAGGTTTTCTGTTCACTCTGATGGTAGTTTCTTTTGCTGTGCAGAAGCTCTTTAGTTTAATTAGATCCCATTTGTCAATTTTGGCTTTTGTTGCCGTTGCTTTTGGTGTTTTAGACGTGAAGTCCTTGCCCATGCCTATGTCCTGAATGGTAATGCCTAGGTTTTCTTCTAGGGTTTTTATGGTTTTAGGTCTAACGTTTAAGTCTTTAATCCATCTTGAATTAATTTTTGTATAAGGTGTAAGGAAGGGATCCAGTTTCAGCTTTCTCCATATGGCTACCCAGTTTTCCCAGCACTATTTATTAAATAGGGAATCCTTTCCCCATTGCTTGTTTTTCTCAGGTTTGTCAAAGATCAGATGGTTGCAGATATGTGGCATTATTTCTGAGGGCTCTGTTCTGTTCCATTGATCTATATCTCTGTTTGTTTACAAAATTATTTGCTTAGCGTTGAATCAGAAGTCTCATGAATCAAAACCCGTCTGTATCTGTGGTTAGATTGTCCTGATCATGTCTTGCTTTGAGTAGTTGTGTTTTGCTTCCCACCACTCGTTTTCTTTGAAAAAGTTAGCTAACAATTTCTGTACTTTATTGTATCTTTTTACTTCAAAAATCAAGCTCTTAGATATATTTCTTTTGACAATTTTATTAATGTCTGCCTTATCTTTACTAAAATTTACCTTTTACTCTCAAATTTTTGTCTTTTAGGGTTTTTTTTGTTATTTTTCTAACTCCTTTAGTTGGATTTTTGGGTAATTATGTGTTCTCAATTGATAATGCAATTATTTATTGCTGTATTTATTTCTCAATTCTTCTCAATTGATAATGCAATTATTTATTGCTGTATTTATTGCTGTATTTATTTCTGGAGTGTGGCTCTATCTAATGTAATGTAATATTTTATTATAATTACTTTGGAGATATTGAGCAACAATCCTTTCTGCCACTAACTCTCCCTCCTCAGCCTTAGCCAAAAGTCATTTAAAGAGAATGTTCAAAGTTTAAATAGTGGATATTTTAGTTTCTAGTTTTTCTTCATTTATTGTTATCATATTTTGATAAGAAAATGTCTTTGTCATAATGTATTTTCTTCCTGTATAAATGGTTTGGAGTTTTCTTTGTTAATTCTTGTAGCTATTTTAGGATGAATGGTCATTTCATTGACAAGAGTCAACAGTGGGTAAAAACTGTTGAAAATAACAGAGATTCTACAAGGATAATTCAAACATCATTTAATTATCTAAAAGATACAAATATAGCAACTCAATACTGGCAGGTAGCAAAATGATCAGTAATATTTTTACAAACATAGTGGACATTTGGCGCTAAAATTCCTCACTACAGAAAGCAAAGCTACAGATGACAACATATAAATGAACAAAGTTTGCACTAGAACTCCTTAAAGTATAAAAATTTCTCTGATTCCAGTTTGGTACAGATGACGCTTTAGAAATCCTGCTAGTAGTCACATCTGAATCCATGCCAGAGAATAGCTCATCTGGGCCAGGTGTGGTTCATCAATCTCTGAGATAATCCTGTGCAATTTATCACTGCAGGAAAATAGCACCCTCAGACATGAAGAAGTCCTCATCTGTCACTCATAGACTTGGGTTATACAATTTGGCCTGAGACAATTCCTGATTTTATTGTCTGAGAACCAGGACAGGGGGCAATTTTCCAAACAGCGTTTAAGAGTCATGGTTAAAATGTCTTAGACCAGTTGCAGTACTCCTTGGACAGGTGGTTGGGCATATGGTTACTTAACAAAAAGGCACATCCTCTGTTTTCAGGGTACAGAATTCACTGTACTGAGTAGATATTTTTATTCATCAGATTACCTAGGTCTTATTCATCATTATTTTGTTCACATGCTGTGCTGCAGGAAAGATATGAATCAAATTGCCTACTACATCACTTCAATTTCTCTTTATATTGTCTGTGGTTTTGTTTTATAAATGTTTATGATATTTTATTACATGCATGGATATTCACAACTATTAGATTTTAGTTGCAGATTGCATACTTAATCAATATGAATTGCCCTTCTTTGTGTCCTGTAGTGTTTAGTAACTCTAAATTTAATGCTGACTGGTATCGTGACTCTTGATCTCAATTTGTGCCTGGCATGCTATGTCCATCTGACTATTATGAGTCACTTCGCTTTCCTGACTTACATACAATAATATGCAGTTGCATTTTATTCTGTAATTCCAACTGGGAGTGTTGGTATAATAAATGCAGTGGTTCTTGATATAATAAATGTGGTGGCTCTTGGTTTTAAATTCATATTTTGTTATTATATTACTGTTTTATTATTGTTTAAAATTATTTTTTAACTTAATGCCTGTGTTGTTTGCATGTGTTAGTGTGTGTGTTTCTTCTGATTGTTTGGAAGATTTGAAATTTTGTTCTGGCCAAATTTACAACTAAAATTTTATGTTACACATGTCCTCTGATTTTACTTTTCTCTAACAAATCAATTAATTATGTAAAGTTAAAAACAAATGCAAGAAATATCTTGTAAAATAAATGCAGAATTAATAAATGATGATACTGAATAGTAGTTATGTAGTGATATTAAGTTATTTTAGTTATAAAGACTTCTTCCTACAAGATAATTCTTTCTACATTACAAATTTTGCTGGTATTCCACATAAATGTGTGGTCATGTGTATGTTTCTTTAGTCAATTCTCAGGAGACTGAGGGAACTGGAAGTCATGAGTGGGGCTTCATTGAATTTTGATGCCAAGAAACATGGTAGGTCTGAATGAAAATAAGTCACAGTATGGTTGGCATAATTTGACTTTGCTTCTTTTGCTGACTGAAGCCTTCTCCTACAACCATTTCCCCTCCATTCCTAGCTCACCACTCTCATCTCCCTCACATTCTCTAAGACAACTCTAGAGTTTGTGTAGCTTGTTTTCCCTTTCATTCTTGCCTCTCCCCACGCCCTGACTTTCTGCTAATTTATTAAGTCATGCTATTCATCACACCCCAACTCAATTTTATAAAGAGAATGTAGTGAAAACTGTAGTAACTGAAGAGGAAGTAGAGCATTATAAATACTCAGAAAATGCTCTGGATCAAAATCTGATTCGTAAGCAAACAATTATTACTGCTGAGACATTTAATCTTATGAAGCACCAGAAGAGTTTCACAAGCTTTTAAAATTTTGTGCATATAAATGCAAGGAGAAAGAGCTGAGTGCAAGCACAAATGATACATATTTTTAAAATATCTAAGCAAAGAACAAAAGATGACTACCAAGCTCTTAAAGTTATTACTTTAGAATACTTAGTATAATGTTGCTTAATTAGAAGAAATAGAATGTATTTATCTGAGAAATAATTTTTCAGAATACTAAATTGTTATTCATTTATTCATTCTTTAAGTATAAATTGAATGCCAACAATATTCTAAGGGACATGTCATCAATATAAATATGACATAGCCTTTTGAACACATAGAATTTATAATAACAAAAGGAATCCATATGCTTACAGAAAATGTAGAAAAATGACATAGAAGAGGAAAACAAAAAAATACAGCATAGTGGATAGATAGATGGTTAGATAGGTAGACAGAATTAATGTTGTATTCATTGTACTATATAGCTCTCCATTTTTTACTCAGGTGAAAAATAAACCTATATTAAGCATTTACATCACATTTATATATTGTATAGGCTTTTCCCCCTTACTATGAAATACAATAATTTTCCATGTCATTAAATGGCTAATTTAGTGCTTAATACTAATCTATTAAATAGAAACATCTAATTTCCTCAAATGACCCACTATCTTTGGACCTATACACTGAATCCTACTCCACTGCTTTATGAACAATTGGTTCACAAACTTTTTCAGCTCTCCTTCCTGTAAGATGTTTTAGCATAAATTTAGCATATAAATATGTATATATAAATTATACAAAAATTTGTGCACTAGTGTTTAATTAATGAAAGTAATTTTAATTATTTTCCTCAAAATTGTATAAAGAACTGGATGAGAAATTAAAAAAAATCTTACAGTGAAAAATTTTTACTGAAAATCTTCTGTGTCCCCTTTGCAGACTAATTGCACATTTCACTAGTGTGGGCATGAAGCAGCTTTCACTCCAGAGAAAGTTGTGCTCTTCTACAAGGTGTGACTATTCTGGGGTTCTGCTAAAAGCCTCAGTGAATGAGAATTAAGGATTCTCCAGTGGGTCTGGTGGTGATTTGGACATCCTTTTACCTTGTGTGAGCTCTGAGCAGTGTTCCACTTAACCATCCCTTGCCCAGCCTTTTAAAAATCTACCTACTCTATGTAGGATGGGATAGTATTCAGCAATGCCTCAAGGGTATTTCTGTACTCATCTGTAGTGCTCTTTCACCATAAGACTCCTTTCCCAGAACTCTGTCCCACAACGTCCAGCCCTCTCAACCCCTTTAATTTCCTCCCCCATCTTGTCAATCCAGTGAGAATGCTGGGCTCAGTCTGTGTTCTCCCTCCTTATGCTCATGATCCAAAAACTCTCTCAGGCAAACATCTGAATTATGATCACAGGACTCACTTCATTTGTGTGTTTCCCCACAGTCCCCACAATCACAGTCCCAGGCTGTCTGTCATCTTTTACCTGAAACAGTTGTTTCATGTATTTTCTCTATTCTTTTAATTTTTAATGACAGTGGGTTAAGTTCAGTCCTATCACTCCATCATGACTGGGAGCAAAATTCTGTGCATTTAAATTTAAGTAAGAATATAAAATTTGAAGGATGCAACAAAATACCCTCCCAAGGATGGCTGGCTAGATGTAGCTGGGATGTACCTTTTTCCTGGGGAAGAACCCAAATGTCAAGTGAACCTTCACACATTGAACTTATCTTTTGAGAAAAAAAAAACACTGAAATTCAATAGAGAAGCAATGGGAGACACCATGATAGAAGCAGGGAGCAAGGCTTCCTGCTCACCTCACCCCGCTCCAGGACCAGCCCCTAGCCCAGACTAGACCCAAAAAAGGGGTGAGTGAAGGACCCTGGTGTACCTCATTCCCATCGTGGACCTCTGAGATCCTAGCTACAGGAGTTCCCATGATCGCTCCAGACATTTAGCATGGGAAGTTTCCTGGGGAACACACAGAGCACTGCTTGAACCTACATGGAGCCTAAAAGGCAGCAATCAGTGTGCTGGGCAGATGGAGCAAAACGTGAATCTGGGCCCCACCTCCCAAGTCTCTGTCTCCTGCCGTGAACAGCTGCAGCTCTTGCTGTATGTTAGGTTGGGAGAGAGTGTGGCCAGGGTATGCCCACATACCCAAGACAGGCCTCACTGACATTGTCATGGGACCAAGGGGCATCTGATCACATGCCCCCTTGCCCGCTGGTCCTTCCCAAGACTGCCTGCTTGGCCTTTCCCACCATGGAGGGAGTGGGTAGAAAGCATGGCTTCCATTGCCCGACTCAGTGGTTTGTTCACTGCCTGAGAGCAGTTCAACACCCCATCACTGCTGGTACTTGACCCCGAGGAGGCAGGGGACAAATCTGCTGGCCTGGTCTCAGTTCCCCAGGACTTGAGCACACCACCCACGAATATGGGGATGAGATATGTGGCCTGATCTCCAGCAGGGGAGGAGCCCCCACTGTTAAAACACAGAAGAGTGTGACTGGTTTCTGCAGCAGGTCTGGAATGTCTAGAATGGCACAGCAATCTGGGTGTGGGAGGCTTGGAACTAACCTAACCAGTCAGGCTTGTTGCCATGAGGATACCAGGGGAAACCCTCTCCCCTCCAGGGTCTGGAGTGTGGAAGCTGGGGGGACCCACAGCCATCTTTTTGCCTGGAAACCTGGAAACCTGGGAACCTGGGCTGCCCCTCTTCCCCTGAGCAGGCTCCATGGCACAGAAGAGGCACCTCCTTGCAGGGTAGCCCAGCATGCTGAGAGCTACCCCTAGACCCTGACAAGCTCAGTGCTTGCACCTGCCTCAGAGAGCCTGGTGGTGCTGCTCACCAGGCCCAGCCATGACCAGTTTTATCCCCTCCAGCCACCTTGACAGCACAGCCTGGGGTAGAAACCCTGAGAACCCCTTACCTTGCTCATTGCCAGGGACACCTAGATACTTCTCCCACCAAGAAAGGCCAAGTAAGAATTCCACTGTTAGCACTGCAACTGTCTCTCACTTGCAAGGACCACCTACTGGCCAGGAGGTCAAACTTTCCAGCCCATCACAATTGCTGACGTCTTTCTACAGTGCTCAGCTTCTTGCTCACAAGTATCACCCACTGAACCAGTTGAGCACTATAAAATGATGTCAGCAGTTGTGATGGGCTGGGCACAACCCAATGTAATTCCTGCTGACAGAAGTGCACAATGCTGGGTAATGAGATAAGCCCGCTGAGACTTCCACCTCCTTATCTCTATAGGAGACAGTGAGCCTGACCACATGCACAGCACAACAACGTTACAACCTGCAAACAACTAGCAATTGAGAAAACTGCTACAAGGAGGCTACGTCCAAGAAAATCATACAGAGCCTTGGTCTCCTAAAGGCACAAAGACACAAAGCCTGAAGGGTCCCACCCAACATACACAACAGTTGCACCCTTAAGGGAGGAAGACAAAAACCCCAAACAAATGAAAGTAAATGCAAAAATTAGAAGTGACATCTTCTACAGATGAGAAGGAACCAGCAAAAGGACTCCAGCACCAAGAAGAAACAGAATGTTGTGACAATCCCAAAGGACCACACTTGTTCTCTAACAATGGATCTTAACCAAAATAAAAACTTTGAAAGGACAGATTAAAAAAATCAAAATGTGAATTGTAAGTAAGCTCAATGAGAGCCAACAGAAAATTGAAAACCAACAAAAAGAAACCAGGAAAACAATCCAGAAGATGAAAGACAATTATACATATATAAAACAGAATTTTGAGAAATGAAAGAATTCACTGAATGAACTTCAAAACAGAGTTGAAAGCTTCAAGAACAGACTAGACTAAGCAGAAGAAGGAATTTCAGAGCTAAAAGACTAGCGTTTTGAACTATCCCAGACCAAAAAAAAAAAAAAAAAAAAAAGATTTTTTAAAAATGAACAAAGCCTTGAAGAAATACAGGATTATGTAAAGCCAACCAAACTGAAGACTTATCGGCATTCCTGAGGGAGAAAAAGAAAAAGTAAAAAGATTAGAAGTATATTTGAGGGAATAATTAGGGGAAATTTTTTCAGACTTACTAGAGATGTAGACAACTAATACAATAAAATAAATTCAGAGAATACATGTAAGATATTATACAAGACTAACACCACCAATGCATACAGCCAGCAGACTATCCAAGTTCAATGTAAAAGAACAAATCTTAAAGTCAGCTAGAGTGAAGCATAAAATTATCTATACAGGAAATAACTTCAAAGTAACAGCAGACATCTCAAAATAAATCTTCCAAGCTGGAAGAGAATGGGGACCTATTTTTTGCCCCCTTAAAGAAAAAATAAATGTCATCCAAGAAACGCATACCCTGCCCAGCTAAGCTTCATAAATGGAGAAATAGATTCTTTGCCAGATAAACAGATACTAAAGGAATTTGTCAAGACTAGACTGGCCCTGCAAGAAATGCACAAAGGAGTTCTAAACATAGAAACAAAAGGACAATACTTGCCATAATTAAAACACACATAAGGAGAAAGTTCACAGATCCTATAAATTCCTATAATTCACAGATCACATAATTCCACAATTGAGACTCCAAGGCAACTAGCTAATAAAATTATGACATGAATAAAACCTCACATATCAATTTTAACCTTGAAATTTAAAGGCCTAAATGCTCTACATTAAAGATATAGAGGGCAAATTGGATTTTAAGACACTATCACTTTGCTGCCTACAAGAGACTCATCCAGTGGTTAAAGATATCCACACTCAAAGTAAAGGAGTGGAAAAAGGCATATTATGCAAATGTAAGATAATAGTGAGCAGAAGTAGCTATTCTTATATCAGCTAAAACAGACTTTAAACCACAACAGTAAAAAAGAAATACAGAAAAAGCATTATATAATAAAGTTTTCAATACAACAAGAAGATTTAACTATCCTGATTATACATGTACTCAACACTGGAGCACCCAGATTTAAAAAGCAAATACTACTAGACATAGGAAATAGATTGCAAGCAATACAATAAGACTGCAGAACTTCAAAATCACACTGACAACATTAGACAGGTCATCAAGGTAGAAAGTCAGCAAAGAAACTCTGGACTTAAACTGGACTCTAGACCAAATGGACCAAATAGACATTTACAGAACATTCCACCTGACAATTGCAGAATATACATTTTTCTCACCCACACCTGGAACATTCTCCAAAACTGACCATGTGCTTGGTCATAAAGCAAGTCTTAATGAATTTAAAACGTAAACTGAAATCACATCAAGTATCTTTCTGGACCACAGTGAAATAAAACTAGAAATCAATACTAAGAGAAACTCTCAAAACTATGCAAGGACATATAAACTAAACAAGTTTCTACTGCATGGCTTTTGGGAAAACAACAACATGACAGCAAAAATTAAAAAAGTGTTTGAAATAAATGAAAATAGACACAAAACATATTAAAACCTGTGGGATATAGCAAAAGCAATGGTAAGAGGAAATTTATAGCATTAAAGGCCCACATCAAAAAGATGAAACTTTCAAATTAACCAATCAATGTTGCAACGGAAAGAACTAGGAAGCAAGAACAAACCAAATTGAAAGCCAAAAAATAAAAGAAATAACAACGATGTAAAGACGATTGAGTAAATTAAGACTGAGACTAAAAAATACAAATCAACAAAATGAAAAATGTTTTCTTTGAAAGGATAAACAAAATCAATAAACCATTAGCTAGGTTAACCAAGAAAAAGGGAGAGAACATTCAAATAAGCACAATCAGAAATAATAAATGTGACATAACTGATACCACAAAAAGGCAAAAGATTATTTGAGATTCATCTCTATGTGCACAAACTAGAAAACCTAGAGGAAATGGATAAATTTCTAGAAACATACAACATCCCAAGATTGAAATAGGAAGAAAGAGAAATTCAAAACAGACCAATAACGAGTAATGAAATTGAATCAATAATAAAAATATTAAAACAAAAAAGCCCCAAATCGGATGGATTCACAGCTGAATCTTACCAAGTTTACAAAGAAGAGCTGGTGCCAATCTTACTGAAACTATTTCAAAAAATTAAGGAGAAAGTATTTCTCCCTAATTCATTCTACAAAATTAGCATCAGCTTGACACCAAAATCAGGTGAGGATACAACAAAAACAAAAAACTACAGGGCAATATCCCTGCGAACAGAAAAGCAAAAATCCTCAATGAAATACTAGCAAACCAAATCCAACAGCGTATCAAAATGATTATTCATCTCAATCAAGTGGGTTTTATTCTAAGGATGCAGAGAGGATTCAACATGCACAAATCAATAAATGTGATTCACCAAATAAACAGAATTAAGAACAAAAACAATATGATCATTTCAATAGATGTAGAAAAAGCATTTGATAAAACACAACAACGCTTTATGATAAAAACCTGCAACAAACTAGGTGTTGAAGGAACATACCTCAGTGTAAGAGTCATATTGACAAAGCTACAGTCAGCATCATACTGACTGGAAAAAAGTTGAAAGCATTCCCCCTAAGAAAGAATAAAACAAGGATGTCCTCTCTCACCATTCCTGTTCAACAAAGTATTGGAAATGCCAGCCGGAGAAATCAGTCAAGACAAATAAATAAGAAGCGTACAAACTGGAAAAGGGGAAGTCAAATTGTCTCTCTTGATGAAACAGTCTTATGCCTAGAAAACCCTAAAGACATCTCCAAAAGACTCCTAGACTCGATAAACAACTTCAGTAATGCTTCAGAGTACAAAATCAATGTATGGACATCAGTAGCATTTTTATACACTGATAACATTCAAGCTGAGAACAAAATCAAGAATTCAATTCCATTTAAAATAGCCACAAACATTGAAAAGAAATAACTAGGAATACATTTAACTAAGGGGATAAAATATCTTTACAAGAACTATAAAACACTGGTAAAAGAAATCATAGATGACTCGACAGTGACACAAACAGGAAAACATCCCAAGCTCATTTCATAATATTGATGTGAAGAATCAAAATCATTAAAATGATTACCCTGTCCAAAGCAATATATATATATATATATATATATATTCATTTTATTTATTTATTTTGAGACAGAGTCTTGCTTGTTGCCCAGGCTGGCATGCAGTGGCATGATCTCGGCTCAATGAAACCTCCGCCTCCCGGGTTCAAGCAATTCTGCCTCAGCATCCTGAGTAGCTGGGATTACAGGCATGCGCCACCAGGCCCAGCTAATTTTTGTATTTTTTTTTTTTTTTTTTTTAGTAGAGAAGGGGTTTCACCATGTTGGGCAGGCTGGTCTCAGACTCTTGACCTTGTGATCCTCCCACCTTGGCCTCCCAAAGTGCTGGGATTACAGGCGTGAGCCGCCGCGCCTGGCCCCAAAGCAATTTGTAGATTCAAAGCAATCCCTATCAAATTATCAATGTAATTCTTCAAAAAATTAGAAAAAGTCAACCCAAATAAGCCTATTTAATATTAACACATTTAATAATCAAAATCCCAAAGGTCAAGAATAATGGCTGGATTCTAAAAGCAACAAGAGAAAAGAAACAAGTAACATACAAAGGAGCTCCAATATGTCTGGCAGCAGACTTCTCAGTGGAAACCTTACAGGCCAGGAGAGAGTGGCATGACATATTTAAAGTGCTAAAGGAAGAATTCTTTTTTCCTGAAATAGTATACTCAATGAAAATATCTGTCAAACATGAAGGAGAATTAAATACTTTCCCAGACAAACAAAAGTTGAGAGATTTCATCAATACCAGACATGTCCTACAAGAAATGCTAAAGGGAATTCTTTAATCTGAAAAGAAAGGACTTTATTAAGCAATAAGAAATTATTTGAAGGTACAAAACTCACTGGTAATAGTAAGTTCATAGATAAACACAGACTATTAAAACACTGTAATTGTGGTGTGTATTCATATTTTGAGTAGAAAGACTAAAAAATGAACCTACCAAAAATAATAACTACAACAGCTTTTCAAGACATAGAAAGTGTAATAATATATAAATAGAAACAACCAAAAGTTAAAAATTGGGGGAATGAAGTTAAAGTGTAGTTTTTATTAGTTTTCTCTTTGCTTGTTTGTTAGTGTGGTTTCACAATCACTGTTAAGTTATAATCAGTTTAAAATAATGGATTAAGATATTATTTGCAAGCCTCATGGTTACTGCAAATAAAAAACACAACAGATACACGAAAATAAAAGCAAGAATTAAAACATGCCACCAGAGTAAATCACTTTCACTAATAAGAAAGCAAGAAGGAAAGAAGACAAGACCAGACCACAAATCAACCAGAAAACAAATAATAATATGGAGGGAGTAAGTACTTACTTATCAGTAATAACATTGAAAGTAAATGGCCTAAACTATTCAAAAGACATAGAATGGCTGAATGGATTAAAAAACAAGACCCAGGGATCTTGAAATTCACTTCACCTATAAAGATACATAGAAACTGAAAATAAAAGGATGGGAAAAGATTTTCCATGCAAATGGAAAGCAAAAAAGAACAGGAGTAGCTATGCTTATATCAGACAAAATAAATTTCAAGGCAAGCACTGTAAAAAGAGATAAAGAAGTTTATTATATAAAGATAATGGGGTCAATTCAGCAAGAGAATATGACAATTGTAAATACATATGCACCCAACACTGGAGCACCTAGACATACAGATCAACTATTAACAGAGCCAAAGAGAGAGATAGACCCCGATATGATATGAGCTGGAGACTTCCAGACCCCATTTTTGCCACTGGACAGATAACACAGAGAGAAAGTCAATGAGCAAACATCAGTCTTAATCCTCACAAATGGACTTATTAGCTATTTATGGAACATTTCATCCAACAGCTGCAGAATGCACACTCTTCTCCTCAGCACATGGGTCATTCTCAAGGATAGGCAATATATATTACACAAAAAACAAGTCTTAAAACATTCAAAAAAGTTGAAATTATATCAAGTATATTTTCTGACCACAATGCTATACCTCTAGAAATAAATAACAAGAAGAGCTTTGGAAACTACCTAAACACATGGAAATTAAACAATACGCTCCTGAATGATCAGTGGGTCAATGAAGAAATTATGTAGGAAATTAAACAATTTCTTAAAACCACAAAAAACATGAAACTGTGGAAACACAGTAAACCATAACCTATGGGATACAGGAAAAGCAGTACTAAGAGGAAAGTTTAAGCTGTAAGTGTCTACATCAAAAACGTAGAAAAGCTTCAAATAAACAACCTAATCACGCATCTTAAATAATTAAGAAAGCAAGAGCAAACCAAACCCAAAATTAGTAGAATAAAAGAAACAATAAAGATAAGAAATAAATGAGATTGAAACAAACAAAATTACAAAAGATCAATGAAAGAAAAGATTAGTTTTTTGAAAAGATAAAGCAAATGACAAACTTTTAGCTAGGGTACGAAGAATAAAGAGACCCAAATAAATAAAATCTTTGATGAAAAAGAAGACATTACAACTGATACCACATAAATTAAAATGATAATTTGAAGCTACTTTGAGAAACTATATGCCAATAAAATGGAAAACCTAGAAAGAAATGAATAAATTCCTAGACATATACAACCTACCAAGACTGAACTGTGATGAAATCCAAAACCTGAGCAGACCAGTAACAAGTAATGAGATTAAAGCCATAATAAGGTCTTCCAGCAATGAAAAGCCTGGGACCTGATGGATTCACTGCTGAATTTTACCAAGCATTTAAAGAAGAACAAATACCATCCTACTTGAACTACTCTAAAAAATAGAGGAGAGAATAATTGAAAACTCTTTCTATGAGGCTAGTATTACCCTGAAGCCAAAACCAGACAAAGACATTTAAAAAAAGGAAAGAAAAAAGAAAAAAAACTACAGGCCAATATTTTTAATGAATATTGATGCATAAATTCTCAACAAAACTCTAGCAAATTAAATTCAAAAACACATTACAAAGATCATTGATTATGACCAAGTGGGATTTTACTTAGGAAGTTTCAACATACACAAAAATAATCATTGTGATATACCCTATGAACAGAATGAAGGACAAAAACCATATTATCATTTCAATTGATGCTGAAAAATTAATTGGTAATGTTCAAAATCCCTTTGTGATTTAAAAACCATCAAACAACTGGGTATAAAAGGAACACACCTCAACACAATAAAAGCCATATATGACATACTCACAGCTAGTATCTGTGATAAAATGGGATAAAACTGAAAGCCTTTCCTCTAAGACCTGGAACATGACAAAAATGCCCACATACACCGCTGTTATTCAATACAGTCCTGGAAGTCTGAGCTACAGTAATCAGACAACAGAAAAAATAAATAAATAAAGAGAATGCAATTGGAAAGGAAGAAATCAAATTATCTTTGTTTGCAGAGGATATAATCTTATATTTGGAGAAACTAAAGACTCCACCTAAAAACTATTAGAATTAATAAACAGGTTCAGTAAAGTCGCAGGACATAAAATCAATATACAAAAATCAGTAGCATTTCTACACACCAACAGTGAACACTCTGACAGAAGATATCAGGAAAATAATATCTATTTACAATAGCTACAAATAAAATAAAATACCTAAAAATAAACTTAACCAAGAAGTAAAAGATCTCTAAAATAAAAACTATAAAATTTGATGCTACAAGTTGAAGAGAACACAAAAAAAGGAAAGATATTCGATGTTCATGGATTAGAAGAATCAATATTGTTAAAATGTGTATACTATCCAAAGCAATCTATGGATTTCATGCAATCCCTATCAAAATACCAATAGCATTCTTCACAGAAGTAGAAAAAACAATCCTAAACTTTATATGGAACCACAAAAGACACAGAATAGCCAAAGCTACCCTGAGCAAAAAGAACAAAACTGGAGGAATTGCATTACCTGACTTCAGATTATACTACACAGCTATAGTAACTAAGACTGCATGGTACTGGCATGAAAACAGACATACAGACCAATGGAACAGAATCGAGAACCCATAAACAAATTCATACATTTACAATGAACTTATTTTTGGCAAAGTGGACAAGATCATGCACTGAGGAGAGGACAGTCTCTTCAATAAGTGGTGCTGGGAAAACTGGATGTTCGTATGCAGAAGAATGAAACCAGACCCCTGTCTCTCACCATATACAAAAACCTTATCAAAATAGATTAAAGACTTAACTCTAAGACCCCAAACTATAAAACCACTAAAATAAGACATTGAAGAAACTCTCTAGGACATTGGACTAGGCAAAGATTTCTTGAATAATACCCCTAAAGCACAAGCAACCAAAGAAAAAATGGACAAATGGGATCACATCAAGTTTAAAAGCTTCTATAGAAACAATGAACAAAGTGAAGAGACAACCCACAGAATGGGAGAAGATATTTTTAAACTACCCATCTGACAAGAGAGTCAAAATCAAAATATATATGGAGCTCAAACAGCTGAATAGGATAAAAAGCTAATAATCCAATTTTAAAATGGGCAAAAAGTCTGAATAGATATTTCTCAAAAGAAGACATACAAATGGTAAACAGGCATATGAAAAAGTGCTCCACGTCATTGATTATCAGAGAAATGGAAATCAAAAGTACAGTGAGATATCATTTCACCCAGTTAAAATGGCTTTTATCCAAAAGACAAGCAGTGACAAATGCTGGCAAGGATGTGGGGAAAAGGGAACACTCATACACTGTCGGTGGGAAAGTACATTAGCACAATCCCTATGGTGAACAGTTTGGAGGTTCCTCATAAAAACTAAAAATAAAACTGCCTTATGATCTAGCTACCCAACAGCTAGGTATTTACCTAGAAGGAAATCAGTGTATCAAAGAGATATCTGCATTCCTATGTTTATTGCAACACTATTCACAAGAATCAAGATTTTGAAGCAACCATAGTGTGTCCAGAATTGGTTCCTTCTGGTAGGTTCTTGGTCTCACTGACTTCAAGAATGAAGCCACGGACCGTCGCGGTGAGTGTTACAGTTCTTAAAGATGGTGTGTCCGGCGTTTGTTCCTTCAGATGTTCAGATGTGTCTGGAGTTTCTTCCTTCCAGTGGGTTCGTGGTCTTGCTGACTTCAGGAGTGAAGCCACAGACCTAGTGTTACTGCTCATAAAGATAGTACAGACCCAAAGAGTGAGCAGCAACAGGATTTATTATGAAGAGCAAAAAACAAAACTTCCACACTGTGAAAGGGGACCCAACCGCGTTGTCACTGCTGGCTCAGGTGGCCAGCTTTTATACCCTTATTTGGCCCTGCCCATGTCCTGCTGATTGGTCCATTTGACAGAGCACTGATTGGTCCATTTTACAGAGTGCTGATTGGTGCTTTTTTACAGAGTGCTGACTAGTGCACTTACAAACCTTTAGCTAGACACAAGCGCTGATTGGTGCATTTTTACAGAGTGCTGATTGGCACATTTACAAACCTTTAGCTAGACACAGAGTGCTGATTGGTGTGTTTACAATCCTTAGGCTAGACAGAAAAGTTCTCCAAGTCCCCACTCAACCCAGAAGCCCAGCCAGCTTCACCTCTCAATAGTGTCCATCAACAGATGAATGGATAAAGAAAATGTGGTTCAAGAAAGACACATAGACCAACAGAACAGCAAAGGGAACCCAAAAACATATTCATATATTTACAGTGAACTCATTTTTGACAAAGGCGCCAAGGACATGCAGTGGGAAGGAAAGTCTCTTCAATAAGTGGTGCTGGGAATACTGGATATCCACATGCAGAAGAATACAACTAGACCCCTATCTCTCACCATTCACAAATATCAAATCAAAATGGATTAAAGACTTAAATCTAAGACCTCAAACTATGAGACTACTACAAGAAAACATTGGGGAAAACATCCAGGACATTGGACTGGGCGAAGATTTTTTTCAGTAACACCACACAAGCACAGGCAACCAAAGCAAAAATGGACGAATGAGATCACGTCAAGTTTAAAAGCTTCTGAACACCAAAGAAAACAATCAACAAAGAGAAGAAACAACCAACATAATGGAAGAAAATATTGGCAAACTACCCATCTGACAAGGGATTAATAACCACACTATACAAGGAGCTCAAACAACTCTATAGGAAAAACTCTAATAATCTGATCAAAAGATGGGCAAAAGTCTAAACAGACATTTCCCAAAAAAAGACATACAAAATGGCAAACAGACATATGAAAAAGTGCTCCACATCGCTGATCATCAGAGAAATGCAAATCAAAGTTACAATGAGTTATCATTTCACAGAAGTGAAAATAGCTTATATCCAAAAGACGGGCAATAACAAATCCTGGCAAGGATGTGGAGAAAAGGGAATCCTTGTACACTGTTGGTGGGAACGTAAATTTGTGCAAGCACTATGGAAAACAGTTTGGAGGTTCCTCAAAAAACTAAAAATTGAGCTACCGTATCATCCAGCCATCCCACTGCTGGATATATACCTAAAAGAAAGGAAATCAGTATATTGAAGAGCCATCTGCACTACTATGTGTGTTGTAGCACTGTTTGCAACAGCTAAGATTTGGAAGCAACCTAAGTGTTAGTCAACAGACAAATGGATAAAGAAAATGTACGTACACACAACGGAGTACTATTCAGCCATAAACAGAATGAGTTCCAGTCATTTGCACCAACATGAATGGAACTGGAGATCATTATGTTAGCTGAAATAAGCCAGGCACAGGAAAACAAACATGCTTGTTCTCATTTATTTGTGGGTTCTAAAAATATGGACATAGAGAATAGAAAGATGGTAACCAGAGTCTGGGAAGTGTAGTGGAGGGTGGGGAGTGAAGTGATAATGGTTAATGGGTACAAAAAAATAGAAAAAATGAATAAGACTTACTGTTTGATAACACAACCAGGTGACTATAGTCAATAACTTAACTGTACATTTTAAAATAACTTAAAGAGTGCAATTGGATTGTGTGTAACTCAATGGAGCAATGCTTGAGGGGATGGATACCCCATTCTTTAAGTTGCTTATTTCATATTGCATGCTTGTATCAAAATATGTACCCCATACACATATATACCTATTATGTGCCCACTAAATTAAAAATTTAAAAAGTAATAATGTTATCTAAGAAGTCGTTGCAGAAGTCACTTTGCAATAATCTAAACTAATACATTCTTCCGTATGAATAGGTTTCCTTTACGCAGTGACTGCTCAGAGAATAAGCAGCAACCACACACTCTGTTTCCCTTTCCAAACTAAGTCCTAGCGTAAAGGAACACAATCTTTCTCCTTTTCTATTATTTTAAAAGGGAATTTTTGGTAGTTTAACACATTCATTAAAGGTTTTTTTTGTATCGGTGTAATTATATGTTATTATTTATAACAGTTAAAATTTGAAAGCAATCCTAACATCTGAGTACTAGAAAATCCCTAATGTAGTCAATCAACAAAATGTCCTGAAGCTACTATAAAACATTTTTTATAAACTAGATATGAATATATGGTTATGCTGGTGATTCAATGTTAAATCATAAAGGTAGAATTATGTATAGTATATGGGTATGTATATACATGCATATATATGCATATACATATCATATGCTATTTTCATATGAATCTTTATATGTACTCAAGGAAAATAGATATACACCACAATATTGCATGGTGAATATCTTTGGTAATAGTTCATTGGGGATTTTATTAGTTCAATTTATTTTTTCAAAGTTAAAAAATAAACACATATTTGGCTGGGCACCATGGCTTACACCTGTAATCCAAGCACTATGGGAGGCCGAGGCAGGCAGAGCACTTGAGGTCAGGAGTTCGAGACTAGCCTGGCCAACATGGTGAATCTCTGTCTCTACAAAAAATACAAAAATCAGCCAGGTGTGGTGGCATGTGCCTGTGGACCCAGCTACTTGGGTGACTGAGGTAGGAGAATCACTTGAACCCAGGAGGTGGCAGTTCCAGTGAGCCAAGATCACACCACTGCATTCCAGCGTAGGCGACAGAGCCAGACTCTGACTCAATAAATAAATAAATATTTATTTTAATTTATTTAATTAAAATATTAATCTTAAATTCAGAGAAAAAGTTTTGTGGACCAAGTACTACTAATTCTAGGAAGTTGTTTTTTATTATTATTCTATGCTTTTGGCTCCATTAATCCTACGGATCTTTTTGATGTATTCTCAGTTTTAAGTACAGATTCAAACAGCATTTTTGATGTACATATACACACTCATATATGTTTGTGTATGTGTATATATGTATGTATATATATATATTTACATTATTTTTATTCTTTTACATAATCCTGCCATGTGGTTTCTAAGTGGCATTGCTCTTTCTAGTGCTCTCTTCTCTCTCTTTTTGTAAGCCTTTGGGAGCAGCTCAAGGAAGAAGTAGAGGAGATAATTTGTTTTTTATTATGTGAAAAACACTGACAAATGAAATAAGACAACTTAGAAACGATCTCCTCTTTTGCAATTCTTTATACTTGATACATTTCATAAACAAAGACCAATTTTGTTTTCAAAGAAAGAACGAAATTTCCCTGGTGATGAATTACCAGGGTAAGGGGTGAATTACCACCCCTTACCACGGCAATGATCCATTTGATGCAGGGCCAAAATGTTTTCAAAATGTTTCTTGTTGCCAGAGTCACCAAATTTCCCCATACTTCTCAAAATTCATTTCGAGGCCTGAGTTTGGCATTACTTCAGATCATCCAACTCCATATACTGCAATGTTTAACCACAAATTTTCCATGATTAGGAAATAAGTTAAAATACATAACACATCAAAGATTTTAATCCACCAATTATAAAATTATCATGGTTTCTCCATTTTAGTAATCATTTTCAGTGAAAAATAAAAGTTTCAGAATGTTTTGTCATAATTGACCATTTGTTTTAACTCATCATTTCCTGTTGGGAGTAAAATCATGGATATAGGCTACTTAAGTGTTCTATTATTCTCCTTTTTATCCTCATAACTAATGCTCTACTCCTAGACTACAATAATTGATAGAACCCTAGATGCTGATAGACATATACATAGACAGGAAGAAATAGAACTATTGGGAATGTACATTCAGATATTTTTCAAACTTTAATATCTACTACACTCTGTATAGTAGATATTGTGCTCCCTTTTATAGACATAAGAAAACTAAGATTTGCGCTAGCTGAGAAATTCGACCGGGGTTACATAATTTACAAGTTAGGAGTCATCTTGCAGTTTCATGCTCATTCCAATGCTCATTCTGGGTTAGGAGGTGGGAACTGACTCCAAAGGTAGGGCTCAGACACTGGACCAAATTGAGGACTAACTAAAATAGGGGTGAGGTGGAAGCAGCTTTCCATAAGACACGCCCACCACTAAGCCATGGCAACACCTGGGAATTACCACCCCTTACCATGGCAATGACCCAATGACTCAGAAGATACTACATCTTCCCTAGAAATTTCTGCATAAACTATCCCCTAATCTATATGTAATTAAATGTAGGTGTAAATATGACTGCAAACTGCCCTGAGCTGCTACTCTCAGCATACTGTCTATGGGGTAGCCCTGCCCTACAGGAGCAGTCATGGAGCTGTGACACCCTGGAGTTGTAACACTGCCACTTCAATAAAGCTGTTTCCTTCTATCCTACCACTGGCTCACCCTTGAATTCCTTCCTGGGCAAAGCCAAGAACCCTCACACACTAGGCCCACTCTGGGGCTCATCTGCACTGCATCAATTCTATCTTTCCTCACAGTTAAATGAGTCTCTTGAATCACTTAAATTCGCCCCAAATCTTGATTCTAGATTAATGTTTCTAAAGCATAGTTCTGAGATACTAGTCCCTGGCTCAAAGCCATCATGAATACCTTTGCTTTCAAACTAGACTTGCAGACTCACTTATCAATCTTTAAGAACATACACATATATTTTAATAGAATGAGGCTGCATGTGCTCTGGTGCCTTATATTTTTTGAACGTGTTCACACTTACAAGTAAGCCATTCTGCTCTCCACAGTTCTCGAGATAATTTCATTCATTAAACGTTGTCACACATGTCCCAACAGTGTAGCTTATCCGATCACCTCTCATGTCCCACTAAACTCATGGAACCTTTAACTCCACATTACATGATAAATATTTGTGCACTCTTTGTGTTGTTAATTTATACCCCACCTTGTATTAAAAATTTTAAATGTATGGTTTTCTTCAATGATACCCTTAAATAACAGTATTAAAGATTAAATAATAATGTATTCTACAGACATCCAGCTCTGAAGCCATGAAGTATTCTCTCTCCTTCCTATCTTCTTCTCCTTGTGTTTTTAAACAGTATCTTATTAGACGTGTGGATTCAGGAAATGCCTGTTAACTTCATTTCAACTTAAAAAAAAGCACTCCCATAAAATGAAGATAGGATGAACACACAGTTAATTATGTTTTAAATATTTTGTGCTTTTTTTAATTCCATTTTTTTCTTCTAGTGATTAATGCCATCCTCAGAAGACCTGCCCATTTCAAAATAGGGGAGAATTTGATACTTAAATTTACAATATGTGCTTAAATTATTTTTACTTATATGTGAAATTCCATTTTTAATTATTTTACTTCAATCTTTAATTTTATAATGAGAGAAGAAAATGTTCATTACATGGAGGTGGACATAATCATTCTGTTATGAAGACAAGTCTCTTCTTCCCTAAAGTCAACTAATAAACATGTTTGCAAGTCATTCTGTGATTGGATCAGGCTGGCATTATGAGGCTGGGCAGCACTTTCCTTGTACTTCCTTCCTCTCCTCCATGTACATAACCCAGAGGGTTTCTTCATGGTTCCAGAGACACTCAGGACTGTTCTTTAACCAAACCTTCGACTCATTTTGCCTATTTCCCTCCTGCAGCAACCCCACACACCAGGTTTCAATCTTACACCCACCAGTTCCCAGGAAGAAAGAGGGGGAAAGAAACAAGAGCCACTGGTCAAAATTGGCTGAGATTGTGAGCTGGACCCAGAAAGGAGCACCCCATTGGCTACAGCTGCCATTCATCTTGCCAGAGGCCACGCCCCTTCTTGGGTGCCCAGATGCAAACACAAATTGATACAAGATTGCAAAGGCCTGGTCATCTTGATTCAATGTCAAATAATTACAAAGGGATAATCTGTATCCATGACCTAATTCCCTGTGTGTTGCAGCTTAGGTTTTTTAGCGGGAAGAATGTGCCCATGAGATGAATAATTTCTGGAAATCTAATGTACAGTATGGTGACTACATCTAACAGTATTGTATTATATACTTGAAATTTGGTAACAGAATAGATTTCAGATGTGCTCACCACACACACACACACACACACACACAAATGGAAACTGTGTGAAATGATGGACGTGTTAACTCACTTGATTGTGATCATTTCATAATATAAACATATATGTAATCATCACTTTATCCACCTTAAATATATACAATGCTATTTGTCTATTATACTTCAAAAAAGCTGGGAAAAAAAAGATATGCCCTTGGGACCAAACTCTGTGGAAAGGAGGAGAAGAACAGAATCAAAAGAATGTCAGTCCCCTATTGTGTGCTCCTGTATGTGTGTGTGTATGTGTGCCTGGTGATTAAGTGGTTTCTGCCCCATCATGGCAGAAAAAAAAAAAATCAAAATGAAGGTTGATTACACTCTAAGCTATTTTCAAGCCTCATGCTTGAAGGGATGAATACCCCATTCCTCATGATGTACTTATTTCATATTACATGCCTGTATCAAAATATAGACTTACTAGGTACCCACAAAATAAAAAATAATCTAAAATAAATAAAAAGTATAAAACAAAAAAATGAGGCTTGATTATATAAAAGTGATAATATTTCCATGTCTCCATAATATTCTGGGGTTGCTGACTATTGAGATTATCTTGTGCTTCTTATGATGTTAGGTGATAGAAGTCGTGTCTCAAGGCATCATTCATGCAATTATGATTGAGTGTCGCTATTTGCACACTTGCTTATTATCTTCCTCTACCACTAGGGTGATGGTTGTGAAAAGTCAGGGACACTGTCTGACTGTCCATTAACCGGAAAAGTTTGTCACCTAAAATTATCAATAATTATTAACAACCATTGAATAAATTACCAAATTAATATTTTTTATAGGATTGTGTGAATAAGTGATACGCCTGTATACCCAGTCTTTATTATCTGGGGTTCTTTTTTTGTGGTTGTCTCCTTACAGTTTAAAAAAATTAGACAGTACATTGCCCCAAGACACTTTTGTTAGATGATTATTTCCGGAATGGTGAGTGCTTAAAATGTAGAATCATGTCTGCAGCAGAAGAAAACAAATTGGATGCAGAGAATGTCAAAATCCAGTTTCTTCACATTAGAGCACTGGCAAAAGAATAGACCAAAACTGGGCTATGCTGAACATGTACCAGAGATTGCCTGGTGTTGTGTTCTTCCTACCATGTGATCATTTCATTGTGGTATATCCCTCCTCTGCCCTTCTTTACTGTAAATTAACATCCATATTATCACTATAAGTTATTTTGAACATTAGCCTTAATAAAAGAAAGAATATTAACTTCAGACGAAATTATGGCAGGCTTTCTCTGGCAGCTTCTAGGAAAACAGAAAGAACTATTATGGACCAATTTATATTCTTCCTGTTACAAATATTTTTCCAATAACAAATATAACAACTCCTAATTGTAGAAAATATAGGAAGCTATGAAGAAAATGATCATTTCATTCACTCCCACTTAGAGAATTTTTTCACATTTTCTTATTTTTGATATGTTTTTCTTATGGTGTTTTGTGTGTAGGTACATGTGCATATGTGTGTGTGTGCAGGTGTATGCCTGGTCTGAATTTATCTATCATACTTAAAGAATGAGTAATGCTACCTTTTAATTTATGTAATCAACATTTCTACCTTGCAAACCTTCTCCTCTGTACTGGAGAGAAGTGTAGTTTTCATGGATGCCAATCATGACCTTTCATCAAAGACACCTCAGAGTTTATATCAGGCCAAGCCTGGAAGTCCCCAGTTTCCAGTAAGGTCACTGTACTGACCTTATTGCTGGGCTTCTGAACAAAACATGCAAATCTACTTGGGGGGGGGACAGTTTCACAACAAATGCAACATCCACTGAACCAAACTTTGAGCCAAACTCAACATTTTTTGAGTCACCTGAGAGTTTTACCTCAGTTCCTAGGACTTCTTCGATCAGTTCCCATTCTCACTCTTAATTACATTTTATATTTACACCTCATTTACAATCCCTAAAAAACAAATTTTGAACTATTTATTTAAGAGCTAATGTTATCTTCCCCTTCTTCAAAAGTTTCCTTTAACTCTCCCATTGTAATTATTTATTGATTATCTATGGAAATAAAAATCTTACTTTACCAAAAGTAAGCCTAGAGTTTGCCCATGGCTGGGATTTCTGACCACATTCTCTTAAACCTCCAGTTGGATGGCACAGTGTTATGGAATGTTCCCAAATGATTTCTCTGTGTCTGGAGGGTTTTATCTAGTGCTGCTTTGCCACTTGAGATAGGATCATCTTCTACCTCAAATGTTTGAGTGTGTAACGCACTGAATGAATGGCATGTAGGTATCTTATTACTATTGTCATAAGATTAAAAAATAGGTACTGAAAAAGAGAGCATGCAAGTATTAACCAACGTAACTCCCCTCTTCATCGATCATCGAGAAAGGGAACATAAAAAGATAAAAAGTCCATTTATCTCAAGCTTATCAAGCAATGGGCTTAGTATTTCTCATATTGTTGAGACAAAAGGGAGGCCCACCCCCATGCCAAACAGCTGGAGTGAGATGGATGTGTTTGGCAACTAACAAAAGACCTGTAAGAAGTATTAATATATATATTAGGAGACAGAAGCATATACACACACACACACACACACACACACACACACGCATGCATATATATATGTGTGCTTCTGTATATATATATGCATATACATATATATGCTTCTGTCTCCTAATATATATATTAATACTTCATATATATATGAGTGAATATATATATACACACACATATATATGAAATGATTGGGTTTATAGTGTGGGGAAAGCACAGATCAAAATGAAAGAGGGCTAGATCTAGGGAAGGAGCACCATTATCTGTGAATCAAGTAGTTAAAGAAGTTTTCAGCCTGTCAAGGCATGAGATGGTTTGCCATACCAAGACCCAATTTATAAGCACCCTTGGGGATAGTAGTTTAGTAAGAAGAGAGCACATAATAGGAGTCAAGAGAAATAAGGGTTTCATATAACTTAGTAAATTTAATGTTCTCACACAAACGAGGAGCATAACAAAACAAGCAAAGCAAGCAGCAGACACATATCTGTAAGAAATTAGATCTGCAGTTCTAGATGTTGTTACCCTGCATTGGCTAAGGAGGAGTGGAATGTGTGGGGGTGGAGGAAGAAACCTGAATGTGAGAACTGGGAAGCATACTCATCTTTGCAGGGGGCTGGGGGATGGAGGGATGGCATGGGCATGATAAACTCAGATTGAAGGGAAAATAATTTTAGTATGCATTAAGAAAACAATAAAAAGATGCTGAAATCAAAAGGTTGGAGAGTCACCACTTGTGAGCAATGAAAATGATTGAAATAGGGCTACACAAATCCTCATTGCTAAATCTGAAATCAATGCTGAAGGATAAAGAGAAGGTCAGAGAAGAATCAACCCAATGTCAGCCTATTATTATAAAGCTCACAAAAAAAGCAAAACTAAAATATGTACATAATATTTAGGGATATCGATTACTGTGATAAATCTACAAAGAAACAGGAAAAAAAGTTACTTGTTGTGAGGGAATGTTGGAAATGAGATCAGGGAGTGTCCCATGAGGCTCTGCAAAGTACTAATTTCTTCTTTCTTTAGCAAAGTGTTGATTCATGAGGTTCATTTTATTATTCTTTAACTTTATATGTGTATTACAAACACATTTTAATGCATTTTGCCCTTCTAATGCTAAATATAATTACTGAACTTTCTCTGCTTAATGCATGTCAGCAAGTATAAATTTTCATAAATAAGAAATTCCATGCTAAAGAAACATTTTCATTATTGCTAATAATAGCAAATGTCATTCATGGAGGTGCATTGTTATTTTATTCTGAGACGTTGTGTACATTTGTAACTTATAATGGGTTTGACCAGTTTGTGCAATGCCTTTTTGATGTTTTGTATATACGAACAAAAAAATTATTGTATAAGATTGCCAAACTGTGATAATACCATAGTACTTGCAAGGTGAGGCATACGAATACTTTGGAAACCAAAGTAGACTTAATTAAAATATTGTGAGTGGTAAAGAAATAATAATTATTACTTGTTTGGTTCTTCTTTGAAATTTGAAACAGCCCTGTGCAATCTAATGTGTTCATAGCTAAAGAGACCATCTTGAATACTTAGAAAGATGTTCTTTTATTTTGGAATGATCTTCATGAGGTTTGGTGGATGTTATTCAATCCATGTATTCATTCCACTAATGTGTATTGAGTACCCTTCCTCTACAATGTGTGAGGCATTATGCTAAGCCCTTCACGTGTCATTTTAAATACAAGGTTGAAAACAAAGCTATGGGATAGGTATAATCTCATGAAATTGAGGCAGATGAGATTCCTGATACACTATAGGTTGTATTAATTTTAAAAAATGATTTGTGATTAAAAAATAAAAGAATACATTCGAAATTGACCAATATTCCTCCAATGAATAGGCATTAAATCTGGGATTTGAGCCCTCTGTTCTCTGAAACTTTTATATATGTGCTTTCTTCAAATGAATTGTATCTGAATCCCTAGACCTGACTGCTGTTTTCAGAACATGCCATTGCTATTTGTTTGTTTGTTTCTTCTGTTTGCATTAAGACTGTCCTACACATTAGAAGATTAGTTGAAATGAATCAACCTATTATTAGCCTACTCTAAGATTCCAAGTGATGTCACTCCTGAGTGTTAGAAATAGATATTTGAGTCAGTGCAAAGTCTGTATCAACAAATGCATAAAATGGTTGGGGGTGGCTGATGGGATGTCTGAGGAAAGAGTGCATGACTAAATCTCATAACAGTATTTTTAAAAATCACATCTGAGATGCAGATTTAACCAAGAGTCTAAACTTTTCACTGATACTTGAAGTTTGCCTCCATAATATTCTGACTCATTCTGCACACCATGTTAATAAATCAGTAGGGAGATATTTTCATGATAAGAAATGTATTGAGGGAATATGAGAGCAAACTGCCTACCTTCGTTTATGCCAAAGACACTGAATGTTAAAAATGCAAATAGACACACTCTTTTCTCTGCATGCCTAAGACTATGCAAATACAAACTTAGGACAAGGGCCAATACAATGTAAAAGAAAGTAAATAAGCAAGCACAATCTCTTGACATATTTTGTGCTTCAGTGATACTAGTCTTCTGTTTACAAAAGAATTTCAAAGTTCTGATCTTCATGTTTACCCCCTGCTGCAAGATGTCTGGTTTGGAAGTATTTTTTTTCCAGTGTGTTTTTACACAAAGCACACATGAGATTACTTATCTAAAATAAATATAAATATTCGTGAGCACCTACATGAATATGGGTAAACTTTATTATGAAAAGAGCATTAGCCAGCACTGCAGGCTAATGTTTAATACACACTAAAGGAAGGAGAAATCGTCAAGAATTTAAATTTAATAAGTGATCCGTGATATTAGCATATGTTGAATTGTAATGAATATTCAGTCATTCTGGTCGATTTTACCCTTTTCTAAATGATATTTTTCATTATTTGACTATTCAAAATATCTTCTTTAGAATTTATAATACTTATATAAAGAGTATGTATACCAGAATAGTACAGTTGTCATTATGTATGCATAAACACATGAATGTGTACAGGAAATAAAAATATTCTAGAGAAAGACATATTTAATTCAGAAGAAAGTTGTTAGCATTTTTCTAAAATGTAGTATTTGAAAAGTACAAGCCAGTATTATATAATACTATATATATAAAATTTATATTTTACAATGGAATCATATTTGCATAACTGGCTTAAACAAAGCACACTATTTTCATGTCATGTCCCAAGGTCTCTGAAGAATATGAAAAATATTAGAAAAATGCATCCAGATAAGGAAAAAGCTTTGTACTTGAGATACATTATTTGTCAGTGGCCTTAGGCTCACCCATCTCTGATATATCTTCCACACAATCCTCAGAGTCCTCTTTCTAATATGCAAACATAGTTATGTCATTGTTTGTTTTTACCAAATGTGCTCAATGTCTCTTTTCTACAGGACAAACCAGATTTCATTTCTTACATATCACGATCTGGTTCTGTCCACTTATCATACTCATGTTTTTATTTCCTCAGGTGTAAATAATTGTTTGGGTTCTGATTTTCTTTTGTTTCTGTCCTTTTTACTGCTCATAATCCATTTTGAAGGTTATTCTTATGTAATTTTAAAATAATCTGAATTTGAATAATTCATTTTATTTGCTGAGAAGGAGTTTGGCACTGCCCCTGCCATGCATAGAGGTAAGCATGTAAAATCAAACTCAGCAACTCAGAGCGCCCCAGGAAATATAAAATGACCAAATATGAGCCAGTCAATCACCTATCCAGAACTTTTCATACGGTGTTAGGAAAAAACAATGACAATAACAATAGCAACAAAAATTCTCATCCTCTAGGGTAACTAAGTTGATGGATGTGAGTCACCAGCTTTGGCTACCATCTTTGTCAACTCTACTGAGAATGACGCCAACACACAAGAAAGAAGAGGCAAGGGGTGGAGACAAAAAGAGAGTCCAGATGGTGTGATTTGAATCCCTGGATATTGCTATGCCAGAAACCATAATATTTTAAGTTATATGAGTACAAGTCTTCCTCTGTTTCTTCTTAAATCTAGTTGAAGCAAGTTTTCACAATTGTAACTGATAGAGTCATTATTAGTACATCCTTTCATTCTCATCTCAAATAATAATATCCTGTAATATGCAAATTCTTATATTTTCCAAAACAACTTATGTTGCTTTGGACTTTCATGACTTGGCACAAGAACCCCCATCTACAACTCTTTTCCATTGTTTCTCTGTCTAATTCACCACTTTTCAACATTTTACTCACAACTAAAATGGTTTATCCACAGACAAAATTTCCCTGACTCCATTAGAAACTTAGTTTACCCTTCTACTAATCTCCTCCTACACACAAGGCATAATCTGGGTCCAGGAAAAAATGTCCTTTTGCTATAGCAATTGCTACATAGGTTGAGAGCAGGAACTGTGAAATGTCATGCAAATCTTTACAATGCCTGTAAAGATACATATATAAACTGAATAAATAAATTTATTGCCTCACAGTTCTGGAGGCTTAAAGTCGGAAATAAAGTGTCAGCAGAGCTCTTTCCTCTGAAGCCCATAGAAGGGAATCATTTGTTGCCTCTTCCCAGCCTCTGGTACTTTGCCAGCAATCCCTGATGTTCCTTGGCTTGCAGCTGCCAGCACTTCAATCTCTGTCTCTGACATCACATGATAGTTTCCCTGTGTGTACGTCTTTACGTAGCTATTTTCCCCCTCTTATAGGAACGCCAGTCAAATTGGATGAGGGCCAACCTTAATGACCTTGTGGTAACTTGATTATATCTGCAAAAAAATCTATTTTCAAATAAAGCTATGTTCACAACTACTTGAGATTAGGACTTCGACATATCTTTGGTGGAGACACAACTCATCTGAGAGAATTTTTTAAATGCAGGCAACAATAATTATAAATTACATTAACAAGTATGTAATGTATGAAGATTTAATTTGTGACAATAACCACAATAAAGAGAAAGATGGAGCTGTAAATGGGCAGGAGTTTTGTATATTATCGTAGCTAAGTTGGTATTAATTCAAACTAGTTCGTTATAAATTTAAGATGTTAAAATGTTAATTGTAATCCTCAGGATAAATGCTGAGAAGTTTACAAAAAAATAAAGAAAATGAGAAAGAAATCAAAATGGTACATTGAAAACAATCAATAAAGCACAAAAGAAGAAAGTAATGGAGGAAATGAGAAAAAAATGAGAAATATAAAAAAATGGGAAAATAAGTCACTATAAATGAATTTATCTTTTCAATTAAAAGGTGGGAATAGGCAGAATGGATGTATAAATTTATCCAAATATGTGCTATCTGAAGAGACTCACTTCACATTTCAAAACACAAGTCGGTTAAAAATAAAATAATAAAAAAGATATTCAAATCAAATTGTAGCCAAAAAAGAAGGGATGTGGCTATATTAATATTTGAAAAAAAAGTCAAAAATTGTTACAAGAGACAAAGAAGGATATTATATATTGATACAAGTGTCAATTTCACAGGAAGTTATAACAATTGTAAACAAATGTGCACCAAATGAGAGGGTCCCAAAATATATGAAGCAAATCTTGATAGAATTAAAGGGACAAATAGTTCAACAATAATAGTTGGATACATCAATGTCCCATTTTTATTAACGGATAACCAACTGGACAAAAGATCAACAAGGTACAAGAGGACTTGATCACACTATAAATCAATTAAATTTAAAAGAGATACACGGAACACTCAACACAGCAGAATACACATTTTTCTTAGGTACACATGAAATGTTCTCCAGGATAGATCATATCTTTGGCCACAGAACAAGTTTCAATTATTTAAAAACATTGAAATCCCCAAAAGTATCTTCACCAAACACAGTGGAATAAAATTAGAAATTAATAACATAAGAAAACATAGAAAATTTAAGAATAGTTGGAGATTAAACAATCTGTCCTTAAAACACCAATGAGTCAAATAATAAATCATAAAGGAATTAGAAAAGGCTGTGAAACAAATGAGAATGAAAATATAATAAAAATTTGGGGATGCATCAAAAGCAGTGCTCAGAAAAGAATTTAGAGCTGTAAACACCTACATTCAGATGGAAAAAAAAATCACAAATCAATTACCTAAACTTCTACCATAAGGAACAGGATAAGTAAAGCAAACTAAACCCAAAGCAAGTAGTAGGATGAAAATATAAGAATTAGACTGGAGATAAGTAAAATAGAGAATAAAAAATCAATAATCAGAAATCGACATTATCAAAAGCTGGTTCTTTAAAAGATCAACAAAATTGACAAACCTTCAAGTAGACTAACCTGGGAAGGAAGAGAAAAGACTTGATTATTAAAATCAAAATGAAGCTGGGCATTTTAATAAACTGTACAAAAATAAAAAGAAATAAAAATTAAAATGCCAAGACCACTTAATGGGAAAAGAATAATCATTTGAACAAACAGTGCTAGGACAACTTAATAGCCAACTGAAAAAGAATAAATTTGGACCCCTACCTCACACCATAGATAAAAATTGCCTTAAAATGGATCAAACATCTAAATGTAAGAGCTAAAATATCAAACACTTAGAAGAAAATATAGATATAAATCTTTGTGACCTTTTATTAAGCAACACTTTCTTAAATATGACACCAAATGCACAAGTAACAAAAGAAAAATAGATACATTGGGCTTCATCAGAACTAAAATGTTTGTGCTCTAAAGGTCACTATTTAAAAAGTCAAAAAGCCATCCACAGAATGAGAGAACATATTTGCAAATAATATATCTGATAAGTACCAAGTACCCAGATTATATAAATAATTGTGCAACTCAACAACAAAAAGACAAAAAAAGCAATTTAAAAATGCGTATATATTTGAACACAGAGATTTTTCTAACAAAGATATACATATGTCAAATATGCACAGTTAATAGTCTTACCATGGAAAAACAAATCAAAACCACAATGAGATACTCTTCACATTCACTAGGATGGTGATGGTTAAAACAAAAATAAAAGGTAAATTGGTGCTGGCAAAGATGTGAAGACATTGGAACCACCTCCTGCCCTGCCATACATTGCTGGTACGAATGTAAAACAGTGAGTTCACTTTGGAAAACCGTTTTGTGATTTCTGAAATTGTTAAACAGAATAACCACAGGATAAGCAATTTTACTCTTAGATACGTACCCAACAGAATTGAAAGCAAGTATAAAAACTTGTAACCAAATGTTCTTAGCAGAATTATTCATAATCACTAAAAAGTGGAATCAACTCAAATATTTATCATGTGATGAACTGATATACAAAAAGTGATACATCAATATAATGGAAATTATTTGGCCATAAAACACATAAAGTACTGGTACATACTACAACATGAATAAACCTTTAAGACAATATGCCTAGCAAAAAGGTTAGGCATATAGATTATTATTCCATTTATATGAAACTCCCAGAATAGGAAAATCCATAAAATGAGAAAGCAGATTAATGGTAGCCAGGGATTAAGGGTGGGGCAAAGAATGGAGATCCTCTGTTCAAGGAGTACAAGGTTTCTCTTTGAAATGGCAAAAATGGTATGAAATTAGGCAGTGGTGGTAGTTGCACAACATTGTGCAGGTACTAAAAGCCACCGAGCTGTACACTTTAAAGTGTTTTCGGTGGTGAATTTTATGTTATGTAAGTTTTACCTCAATTAAAAAGAAACAGTTCAAAAGACAATGGGAGTGCAGGGCAGAAGTGCTGACAAATTATGTTAACGATTTCTTATTTACCTAATTAAATACTGATTTGAGGTGACTTCCTATATTATCTACATCTTTTTTTCCATCCACTTACCACAATAGCTTACCTTTGCATATTTACATAAATGTAGCATAAATTAGTACTAAACTGTGTAATTACTTTGTCCTTTTTTGCCTACTTGAAGTATCACTTTAATATTGACAAATTACTTCAGTTTTCAGGCTTTGCAAATACATTTGTTAAGCTGTAACAGCTACAGTAAATATTTTTTGAAAATGAGTTTAGTTGACCTTTTATTACAGAAACCTACTAAGCAGACATTTTTTCAAAGAATATGTGGCAAGAATTTTACTCCCTGAAAACGGTATTTTTTTCTTTCTATGTTATCTAGATTAATTGATGAATTTTGAATATTTAGGGGATGCTAAAGAGAGACCCTGGAAAATCACTATGGGTCACAGAAATGTGTGGAAGGAAAACGACATGAGAAGATTCATTTTCCAACACGATTGACAATAATGTAACCAGAATATGTCAGGAGCACATAACAAGTAGCACAGTAGGCAGGGCAGGTTCTGGGTTTCGGAGGGATTCAGAGGCTTCCAATCACACAGGAGTTCTTTTGTTTTTCTCTTTGTTTGAGTTTTAAACATATTTAAAAACAACTGTTTGATTTATTTTGTGATTTTAAGGTGTCCTGACGGAGATTTTTGGAGTGAAAAGTGTTCTAGAAGCATGTGGTGGTTCTTTTCATGGATTTCTCATACCCATTCAATCCTCAGATCTGGTAGCAGGTGCCATGGGAGAAAGAGAAGTGGAATAAAACTAGCACAAAAGACTCTAAAACCTCTGAAAGAATGCAGCTTTTATTTTTCCAGCATCCAGGTCATTTAACTAAAAAGCATTTTCATCTTACACAGCTGACAGTCCAGGTATGGCTGTATTTAACCACTTGTGATTATTCCACAATCAGGCAAGTGCCAACATGAACAATGAGAAGCACAGCATTCTGTCTGTACTTAACATTCTTTAAAATACTGTTCAATGATTAGTCAAAGCCCTATGGGAAAAATACGTCATCCAAGAAAATAAATAGTTTGAAGACTTAGAAAGAAAAGTATCTATTCAATAGAAGGCAATAAGATGAAATAGCACTACCCTTTTAACTTCCATTTCATGGTGCAAGTAAAGTGTTCAGGGTGCCGTTTGAGCTTTTCTCATAGTGAGTATATTGGCAGGTAAACATAAAAGTAAATATGGCTGGTTATACTCTTCTCTTCAACACATGATTATCTATGAAATAAACTTCACATATGCACCTTGAGATGAAGGAGCTCTTCCCCTACATACAAACATTCACCTTCATTAGAAAATGAGGCAAATAAAACAAAGATTTTTCTAAAATAATATCCTACTTTGAATGACAACTCCTCCTACTTTAGCTCCTTTAAATATGTTATTTCCATTGTGTAACATTCAGCTAAAAACGGGAGGGTTGATGTTGTAGTGAAAAGCAAGGTAAGTGTAGCATTGTAATATTTAGAGGACTGATGACAACAAAAGTCCTGTCTACTTTGAAATATGTGAGAACTAGGCTTTGCATCTGGTCATCAGATCCACAGTACCTCACTGAAAGAACAAGACATACTACTACTTAACATTCTCAGATGTGGTTTATAGACATTAATTATTAGAAGCATTCTTCATGGTTTATGACCCCAAATGTAATACGTGTTACTAACAAGTTCTAATTGCATCTAACACTGTTTATGTAAGAGAAGAAAAAATACCTATTTTGTAGCTAATATTAAAGCAGTTGACAGAATAAATCTAAAGGATAATTCAAGTTAGGTATATAGAGTTTGCACTGTAAATTAAGGTAAATCAATTCTTAGAACTCACAGATAGCTAGGTTACATCTTAAAAGATATTCGTCTTATAAGAGATATTTCTCTCTTTCTCTAAAGGTTGTCTGTTTACTGGCAAGTTAACTCAAAGGGCCAGATGGCCAAAGCCATATGAGATCATTAGACAGTTCCTGTTAAAATTTTGGACAACAATTAACAGAAGCCCAGCAGGAGTTCCCCACTGTTGACCCCTAAAGGGTGGCTAATCAGCAGCATATGTGTTTATTTATACCAGCAGGCCCTTTTAATTAACAGCTCTGAGGTGTGTACTTTTTGGAATTTTGTACAGTCTATTAGGAAACAGTTCTGAAAAGGCCCAGTTATAAAGCATAAGTTATATTAAAATTGAAGTCAGAAGACAACAAAATGTCAAGATGTCTAGGCATAATACAGGTGGACCAAATATTAATAAGATCCCAACCAAAAAATCTCTTTGGCTGGATCCAAGGGTTGCCAAGAGTTGATGCTGTTTTCACTTTCCCGCCCCAATCTGGATAAATTTACATAATCCATAACCATAGCACTGCCCTGACACTTGGAATGTTACTGATGGTTCTGAATCCAGACTATTCCCCTTGCTGCTTGATATGGTTTGGCTGTTTCCTGACCAAATCTCATGACTGGTTTTGAAATGTGAGGACATGAGATTTGGAGGGAGGGGCCAGGAACAGAATGATATGGTTTGGCTGTGTCCCCACCAAATATCAACTTGAATTGTATCTCCCAGAATTCCCACATGTTGTGGGAGGGACCCAGTGGGAGGTAATTGAATCATGGGGGCAGGTCTTTCCCCTGCTATTCTCATGATAATGAATAAGTGTCATGAGATATAATGGGTTTATCAGGGGTTCCGCTTTTTCTCTTGCCACCATCACGTAAGAAGTGCCTTTTGCCTCCTGCCATGATTCTGAGGCCTCTTCAGCCATGTGGAACTGTAAGTCCAATTAAACCTTTTTTGTTCCCAGTTTTGGGTATGTCTTTATCAGCAGCGTGAAAATGAAATAATACACTGCTTTTTGCAATTAGGCTTTTTATCTACACTGATGCAATTAGGCTTTTTATCTACACTGATGCTTTTTATCTACACTGATGAGATCAGCACTTATGAACTGATCTCAGGTGGGCCTTACGCTCTATGCAAAATATATGCTAGGCAGTGTCATACATACTGAAGATCTGACAGCAATACTCCTTTATTTTTCTCCAAAAGATAGACTTAGTGTAGGTAATTTCCTTACCATCATTGGGAAAATTATAAATATTCAACAGTAAAAGATTAAATAAATTTCCCTTCTTGGTCCTAACCTCATATTTAATCTTTATGCACATGGGTTGTTACAGTTGAAAACTGATACATAAAGAAGGAGAAACACCAACAACATGGAATCTGCTCCTGTGTAAGTCATTGAGATGATGATGATGTCACAGTGTGGCTTCATGACAAGAATTCCGTAAAGTCTTGATTCATACAAGCTCCTGAAAAATCATTGACTTACTTTTGAGCTCTCCATAGGCAAAAATAACCAGCAATATTAATAATACAAATACATTAATATAAATCAATGTTCTAATTATTCATTTTACTTTAATTTGGAATATTTAATTTCATCCTTAATGAAGTAATTTTTATTCTGAAAGTACCTCTGAAATACTGGGATCGGATCTTTCTTTGGTATGCCTTTCTTTGATCTTCAAACATGCATTTCATTTCCAAATTTTCAAAACTGATTTGACAACTAATATTTCATTAGATTTTAGCAGTAGCTGTAGGAAATTGTCAAAGCAGATGTCATTGTTCTTCTTTTATAGGAAAGAAAGAAGGAGTCTTATAAAGCTCCCAGCATGTCAAAGGATTCCATCCCGCGTCCCCTGGTTCCATGAGAAATGTTTTCCTCTCCTTACTATTCTATCTCCAGAGCATCTTCTGATGTCCCAAACCTCCTTAGGAAACTGCAGAGTATCTCTAACTTCTAGAATAAGGAAACACATTTTCTTGGAAGTACTAATTATTCCCACATCCTTAAATCCTGAGGAAGTTAGTCACAATACTTGTTTTAAAAATGATTTAATAATATTGTTAAAGATGCAAAAGGCATTCTGTAGGTATATTTATTTACTGTTGTTATGTGAGATAAGAGGTTCTGCATGATCCAGCCTAAATATAGATAGATAATTCTCATGTTGTAACTACAATGTGTAATTAATGTAATTACTGCTTATAAGTGATTTAGTGAGGTTGCTGAAGAGAACTAACTCCAATGTGAATCCTCAAATTGAGTAAGACCCATATGTTGTTGGCTTTGCTTGAGATTAAATAACAGTTAATGAGTTCAGAAAACAAGGCAATAGATGATTGTATCATATTAAATGGGATTTCAGTATTTTAACACAATAATGGTGAATTTTACTTGATATTATAGTTGGCAAAGATGAAGTTTCAATTAACCATTACTATAAAACAAAATAGTATTGCTCAATTTTGAATGCTAAGGGCTGTAATTCTCAGTGAGTTTATTTAAAAAGAATACTGTATTTATTTAAAAATAAAACAATTTTTACTTCTTTGTAACCTCACTAAATCACTTATAAGCAGTAATTACATTAATCATTTGTAAAATGTTTCATTTGAGGAAGAGTACAAGCATTGGGAGGAGAGCAATTACCTACCATAATGGTGAGTTATACATAAAGAAGACGAATATTGTTACTTGTGGTGTTAGTGTAACTGATTAGTTCTAGATGCGAATTGCATTTGGGCAAGTCACCATTTTCACTTCAAATAGATTAAATGCTAGGATGATGTCAAGAAGTTCTGGGCTTCTACATTCCTTAACAATGCCTGCTATCAGGCCCTTACATTCTGCCGAGACTGAATTGTATATATAATCGTATTTTAAATGGGTAGACATGAAAAAGGCTACCATAATATATCTTTGGTATCAATGTCACACATCATAGCAGAAGACTCTAAAATCTTACAAGGTTCAAAAAAATTCATACTGGGATCAAAGGATGACAATGAGCTCCCATCTTTTATGCTGTGGTTACATTTTAAAGTCCATTGCCTTGCATTTTTATAGATTGATTAATAATGCTTTGCTTGCATAATGAAGCAGACAATCCTAATCAAACAATATAATAATAAAAGTGAAAGTACTTTAATTTTTATATATTTAGTAGAACAGTTTACATAATAGAATCAGAGGCTTTAAATACTATTAGGGATTAGAGAAATAATCCAATCAAAATCTTTTAACATCTCTGTAACTTCAAGTTCTTTTTAGTTTAGTAATTTAGCCAAAAGCCTACAACTAATTTTGGTAGAAAAAAGATTGAAATCCAGATCTTATGAGCTATTCAATACATCTTCAACCACTATAGAAAGTGCCCTAAACATTGAGTGACCCATTAATTGTGTGGGCTCAAAAACTAGGTAAATCAAAGTGTCACTTTTACAATATAAACTTTATGAGAAAACCATCTGTATGCTAGTGATGGCATACTTGAGATAATTCTGTAAAGAAAATATATCACCAGAGACTCTCAATATATGAAGACAATGTATGTTTTTGAAAAACGAATATAATTTTGATAAAGTATAGTTTTTAAAAGGAAGTGAAACTTTGTTAAATAGATCTAAAGTTAATTTACTCGTAATTACTCAATTATGCATTTGTAGTTTAATATATTTATTTAGAAATGGTCATGCTTTTTCCAGGATTTAACTTGTTTTTCAGTAACTTTGACTTCTTATGGCCACGTCTATCAGAATTTTGAAAGACAAATATTGTAGTGGCAAAGATATATGAAAATTAGGAAAATATTTTTGTGCAGGTTTCTTGAAATTCACTTCCTCTGTTCTCAAAAGGAATATGCTATACCATTCTAATGTTAGCAGCTATGTGAGATGGTGAAACTCTAAATCACATAATTACGTATCAATTTTAAAGATCAGAGATGACCTAAAGTGACTTCAGTTGATGTGGTCTATTTTAAAGCCATGTGAAGAATAAATAAAGGACAGGAAACAACCTCAATAGTGACACAGACAAGCTTCAGTAAAAATGGGATTTCTCCAAATGTAATGGATGTCTGGCCATGGTGGGGTAACGATGTCTTTTGCCTCTACAGAGGGTGTCTCCTGCTTCCCACATTAGTGTCCTGTCATAATGTTGGGTCTGTTACTCTCTGTGTTTGTTTTTATTGGCTCTTTTCTTCTGACCACTACCAAATGTTTCCATTTCCTCCCAATTAAAACTGTCTTTTGGGGATGGCTTTGATTGTTTCAGCCAGTCTTCATCAAGTGTAGGGTGCCTTATTGTGCACACATTTTCTAGGGCAACTTACAGAGCCTTGATTAGCTTGTAATTGTTGCAATTGGGTAGGTGATTACATTTTGTCCAATACCCTGTGACTAGGATGGCAGACTCACAGGAAAAAAAGCATAATAATATTTTGGAAGAAGGTTTACTCATGTTCTAGGGCATTTGAAAGGGAAGTGATGAAACTTTCAGACACTGGTGTTAAGTTACTAACACTGACACCTACAAAATATTAGCTGTCATCATAGTCACCATAATGATCAATGTGATGATGAGGTTGCTATATACAGGCTTTTTCAATTTAAATCTCTAAGAACTCTAAGACATGCTAACATACTAATAATTAAAACACCCTTTTTGCAAACTTTTTTCACTGTTTATAAAATAGATTCACACTTCAATTTGGAGCTTGGTCCTCCAAATCCATGCTTAAATTTGGAGCTTGGTTTACTCTTTTCATTTTTTTTCCTTAGATATGGATGTGCTAGCACAAAGGATGCACCCAGGTAAAGGAAGTTATCAGCTGTTACAGCTGCTTCCATTGTTAGGGTTGGTTCCTCTCATCTTAAATTACAGATCACACATTTCCCCCATATTAAGCTAGCATAGTGGTATAGTGGCTATACCATATGGGGCAGAGTGACTGTCATATTTTTCATTCTTGTCTTGGTCGCAGAAGGAACGGCACATTATCATCAGCCCTCCTGTTGATTTTTGTCTGAGTATCCAGGCTTCAGTGATTGCCAGCATGGCTATTAGCCACAGAATCATTCAAGTAATATGATACAGCTATTTTGCTGATGACTGTTCTTTGAATTTTAGCATTTCTTATACTCAAGAGTCTTCAAAAATAAAAAAGTAATGCTCTCTACTAGAATTTTGTTAAAGAAAATGTAATAAATATGCAAAATATAAAATAGAAACCAAGGTAATTACTTAAATAATAAAGGCAAAGCAATGCAATATCCAATATCCGAAATAATATTCATGAGTATATTTTAAACTATTCAAAATATTCATTTTTATTTTATTAATATCCTGTGGAATATTTGATGGTTTTCTTAATAACATGATGCGTGAATTTTGCCCAAATGTTTAATGTTACTAGTAGTAACATCAGCAAACCTGGATTTATTTTTTAAAGGGACTTCATTCAGAAAGACTTTATAACAATACATAATCATTGACAATGTATACTAAATTATTCTGACTTATAAGCATGCATGATAGATGTGTTGAATTTTAGTAAAGTCCGGCTATGTTTTTAAACTCAGAAAAAAATAAAATAAGGTAATTTTCTCTAATAAACTCATATGATCAAGTTAGAGGTTTTGATTAATATTAACAAGTCCTCCATTTAGAATTTAAGGCATGTTCTTTGCTGAAAGTAGGAATTATTTTAGAAATATTATATAAAGATGAATATAAATAAAATTCCTAAAAAAAATTATGAATTAAATAATCTTCTCAAAAAAGATATATTGAAGACCTAAACCCTGCTATTTCAGATTGTAACCTTATCCAGAAATAGGGTCTTGCAGATATGAATCACATTAAGATGAGGTCTTATTAGAGTGGGATGGGTCCCTAATTTAGTGTGACCTTGTCCTTATAAAACAGTGGCCATGTGGAGACAGGGAGATCACTATGTGAAGAGAGAGAATTGGAGGGATGCATCCTTGGAATACTAAAGAGTGCCAGCAAACCACCAGAAGGTGGAAAAGACAAGAAAGTATATTCCCTTGTAGGTTTCAGAGGGAGCATGCCCTTGACAATACCTGAATTTCACACTTCCCACCTACAGAACTGTGAGATAATACATTTCTGTTATTTTAAGCCACGCAGTTTGTAGTACTTTGTTATAATAATACTAGGAAATTAATACAAAGTCATTCATAAATAATTAGTAAACATCTACCAAATTGAAACGTTGTGCGATATATTCAAGAAGATTAATCTAGAGAATATCGGTATATTGAAGTATCTTTCTGAATCTCACCAACATACTACTAAATGTTTTAATACTTCTTATTAATGCCCTGTTATCTATAATAAAGTTATATTGATAATTTAGTATCAAAGGTCTTTGAGATTCATGTTGAGAGGTCAAATTAGACCCTTCTCTTAACAGTTTTTTTTTTTGATAAATGCATTTTCCTGAACCCTGTTATAGGTCTTACTCAGTGAGCCTCACATTGAGAATGGAAGTCAGTCCTTCATTTTGTTTCCTTAGAAATGAATATGCTAGCACAAAGGATGCACCCAGGTAAAGGAAGTTATCAGCTATCACACCTGCTTCCATTGTTAGAGTTGGTTCCTCTCATCTTAAATTGCAGATCACACATTTTCCCCACAGTAAACAAGCACATTATTATTGACAGTAAAAAGAGCAAAAATAAAAGCATATGGGAGGTGAATTTAGCAAAGGTAAGAGTACAACGACCTGATTTGGAAAAGGCAGTGATAGCTTACTTAAGATCATTTCTGAGATAAACTTTAAGAATGAATGAAATCATTCCACGAACAAGAGTATTCTAGAGGAAGAAAACACGTGAAAAACATATGGAGGCCTAAATATTCCTCCAATTGGCTTTTGGCTCATCATGCTCTGCACTGCCCAGGGTTTCAGTGTGGGTTATAGTCTTATTTCCAGGTTTCACCTTTGGAACATCAAAAGAGTTTGTGTAGCCACATGTTGTTTGAATGAGTGTTTTCTCAAATGAAAGCTTCTGCAAGAAATAAAAAGAATTGTGAACATGAGGGCGTTTGGCTGGTTGGAAGCAGCGAAACAGATCCTCCTTTAAGATCAGCAAATGCATGAAATACCTCCCCTGAACTCCCTCCCTATATCCCTAGATCCCACCAATCTCAACATGCTCCATCTACGGGAAGACATCACTAATGAATCACAACTTGCTTTCCTGCTAAGAAGTGAATAAAAGTTCTCATCTCAGTACCGATGCAGTTAATCAGGGGTGGCCTGCATTTGTGTGTGTGTGTAAGTGTGTGTGTGTGTGTGTGTGTGTGTGTTATGTTTATGTCAGTAAAAAGGGGATGTGCATGTCTTACAACTGTAGATTCCTTCAGAAGGGCAAAAGAGAAGGACTGGGTAAAGGTTTCAAGAATGTGAAAAGATGGAGAAAGAAAAGAGGCATTGTTTCAAATGAAGCTGGGGGAAAATAAATGTTTTACCTTTTAGAAAATACTCTCCAAAATACTGTTTATTCATGTACAAGGAGCTTTTGATAGCCTTCATGCAATTCTACAGCAGCTAAACCATCATTAGCCGATGATGCCAGCTTGCTTTCACAAGTGTGTTTAATATAGTATAATTTATGGATTTTAGTTTCAAAATAAGTACCACTTATCCTGTCTGGCACCTCTTCCTCCTTCTTCTCTGTCACAAAGTGTTGACTGTGAGCTGAGTAGCCTCCAGCCAGGAGAACTATGGACGGCTGTTCTTCCCTTTCCTACTCAGCAAAGCCACCTGCTGTTATGTCGCTCCTGGCTACTCTCAGCAAAGCGGATGCAGTGCTGGGTGAATGCCATGGTCAAACATTTGCTATGATAATAAATGTTTTAATAAGAAATTGATTAGTATCCTCTAATATCTGCAAAATATTCAGTAAAATGAACATAATGGCAATTCTGAGCTAGAGGGCTGCACAGATTCTTGCAGCCATTTAAGTACAGCCATAGAAAGGCACACATTTTTATCTATAGTCATCTAACTCTAAGCAGAGAGACAAACATTTCAATACAGAACAATTAAAGCAGAACTAACCTGGAAAAGAGCCACCTTACTTCAGGTACCTACGGTCTTCGTGTAGTACTGGCCACCTAATTTGCGGGGCCCAGTGCAAACATGAAAATATGGGGTTCCTGCTCAAAAGCTATTAAGAATATCAAGATGGCAAGAGCAGAGCATTAAACCAAGTAGGAGCCCTTTTGAGTATGGGCCTTCTGTGACTGCACAAGTCCTGTGCCCACAAAGCCAGCACTGCCTTCACAGTTTGATTCTGCCATGTTACGTGTTTATTTCATCATATTTAGATGTAGCATTTTCCTTTACCAGTTATCTATTCTCTTTTTTATCTTATGATGGAAGAACTTTTCTTCTATTTTTTCAGTCTTACTTGAAAGTGACAAAATAAATGTTATACAGTTTTGATTTTATCTACAATTGACAGATCATCAAATTCTTTCTAGGCATAAAATTCAGAATTCTGTGAGTTAGAAAAAAATCATAAATTACTTGATTATCTGGGTGTGGTGGCACACTCCTGACTCCTGTAGTTCCAGCTACTAAAGAGGCTAAGGGCAGAGGATCGCTTGAGCCCAGGAGGTCCAGGTTGCAGTGAGCTGAGAACATGCCAGTATACTTAGCCTGGGTGACATCACAAGACCTTGTCTCCAAAAATTAAATAAATAATTTAATTTTATTTAAAATTACTTGAAAATTAATATCTATTTTTAGATAACTCTTTAGTAATAGTATATTACACAATAATTCCAAAGTTACTTGTATTAAACACCATTTTTTCATTGATTTACCATTCTGAGCTCAGCATTGCTAAGTAGAGAAATAATCTCCCCAGTTATTAAAATATTAAAAATCTTAAGAGCACAGGAAGTAAAATTTTCCAAACCAAATGTGTTTCAATATATCAGCTTTGTGTTCATTAATATGCAGATTTGGGCTTCTGCAGATTTAATAACACTGATCATTTGTGGCATAAAAAGTTCTGATTCTATTTATTGAGAAAAAGACAGCAATTAATATCAAAATTAATTAATCTACCATGCATATATCATTTTCCTTAATAATTTCACTGAGATATGTTTTTATATATCAAAACATTTTAAGTATGTACAATTAAATGAACTTTAATAACTTCACCAAATGGTGAAGTTATCATCAAAAGTCAGTTTTAGGATGTTTACCTAATAACACCCCCCATTCCTATTTATAATAATTCTCCATTCCCACCTTCAGCCCAGAAAACCTCTCATCTATTTCCTGTTTCTATAGTTATCTATTCTGGACATTTCATGTAAATGGAATCATATACTTTGTGTTCTCTTGTGTCTATTTTTTTTAACTTGGCCAACATTTTTGAGGTTCATCTATGATACAGCATATGTGAGTAGATTGTTGTTCTTTTACTGTTGAATAGTATTCTACTATGTGTTTGTGTCACATCTGTCTATCTACTCCCAGATGATGAGCATTTCGGTTATTTTCAGTTTGTGGGTATTAAAAATAACGGTGATATGAATACTCACATGCAAGTTCTTAATATGGACACACATTTTCATTTCTCTAGGGTAGACACCCAGCAGTGGAATTGCTGGGCCATATGGTAGCTTTATGTTTAACTTGTTGAGAAATTGCTAAACTGTTTTCTAAAGTGGCTACACCATTTTACATTCCCAGAAAAATATATATGAGGACATTTGTTTCTCCACATTCTTGCCAATATTTATTTTAGTCTGTCTCACTTATTATAACCACTCTTTCTTTGATTTCTATTTTTTTATTTGTGCAAATTTATGGGGTACATGAGAAGGTATTTATGTATACAGAATGCACACTGATCAAGTCAGGATATCCATTCTTGTAGGTATGAAATTGTATCTCATTGTGGTTTTGATCTGCATTTTCCTAATGGGTAATAATATTGAACTTCATTTCATATACTTATTAGACATTCATATACCTTCTTCTGTATGTCAGTTCACATTTTCTTCCCATTTTATTTTTCTTTATGTTTCTTCTTGATTTGTAAGTGTTCTTTGCAAATTCGCACTGCAGATCCTTTATTGGATAAATGTTTTGCAAACATTTTCCCCCAATCTGTTACTCGTCTTCTTATTTTCTTCATGGTCATTTTTAAAAGGCAAAATTTGAACTTTGAAGTTTGGTGAGGTTATTTTTTTCTTTTATGAACTATGTTTTTAGTGTCATATCTAAGAAATTGTTGCCTAACCCAAGCTCTCAACATTTTTTTCCTATTTTTTTCTACAAGTTTCACTGTTTTAGCTACTTCATTTAAGTTCATGATTCATTTGGAGTTAATTTGTGGGTGTTGTGAGGTGTAGGTCTAAGTTCATCTTTTTGGATATGGATATCCAATTGTCCCTGCACCATCTGTTGAACAGACTGTCCTTTCTCCAGCAAATATTTTTGGCAACTTGGTCAAAAATAAATTGACTATAAATATAAATATGTATTTCTGGATTCTCAATTCTTTTCCATTTTTGATATGTCTATCCTTACCATCTTGATAATTGGAGATTTATATTAAGTTGTGAAATTGTTACATAAAGCCCTCCAACTTTTTCATTTTCCAAATTACTTTGGCGATTCTATATGTTTTTCATCTCCATATAAATTTTTAGATTTGTTTGTGTATAGCTGGTGGGGGAAGCCTGTTGGAATTTTGAAAGGGATTGAATTGAAACTTCAGATTAATTTGGGAAGAAATGCCACTTAACAATATTGAACCTTTCAATTCATGAGCATGGAATGTATATTCACTTATTTATATCTTCTTTGATTTCTCTCAACAGAGTTTTGTGATTTTTAATGTAGAAGTCTTCACTTCTTTCTGTTAGACTTAATTATTAGCATTTGTTTTGATACTATTATGAATGGAATTTTATTCTAAATTTCTTCTTTGGATTGTTCATTGCTTGTATGCATATATCACTTTTTTAATGTACAGTTGTGCACTGCATAACTTTTTGATCAATGATAGACTGCATATACAACAGTGGTCCCATAAGTTTACAATGTAGCAGAAAAATTCCTATCTCCTAGTGATGTCTTGGCCATCCTAACATCCTAGTGCAATGCATTACTCTTGTGTTTGTGGTGATGCTGGTGTAAACAAACCTACTGCACTGCCAGTCATATAAGAATGTACTATGATGTCATACACCTTCACATTTACTCATCAGTCACTCACTGGCTCAACTAGAGCAATTTCCAGTCTTGCAAGCTCCATTTGCGGCAAGTGCCTGATACAGGTGTATCATTTTTAAATCTTTTATACTGTATTTTTATTGTTCCTTTTCAATGTGCAGATAGGTTTACATACACAAATACTTATCATTGTGTTGCAATTGCCTACAGTATTTGATACAGTAGCATGCTGCACAGGTTTGTGTCCTACGAGCAGTATGCTATACCAGGTGTGTAGCCTATGTGTGTAGTAGGCAATACCATCTAGGCTTGTGTAGGTACATTCTGTGATACTCGCACAATGACGATGTCACCTAATGATGCATTTCTCAGAATGTATCCCCATCAAGAAGCAATACATGACTGTATTTTAACAGGAGCAGAAATTTCTTTTAAACCCTGTATTTCTCTTTTGTACTTTTTTGAGCAACAAATATTCACTGTGGGAAACACAGTTATAATACAAGAGTCACTGGAAGCTACCACATCAGGCAGTTGAGTCATATCTGCATCCACTGTAGTTCTCTGGTTCCATCTCGCTACACATATGCAGGTCAGCCAAGGCTGTGATGTTCAACAATTCCACAGTTTTATTTTTTGCCATCTTTTCTACAAATATTTTCTGGGCAGGCTAAAGAGCTTAGTGGTTAAGCGCACGAGTTCTAGATTCCAATCCTAGTTCACCACACACTATTTGTGAGAGCATGAGTAGGTTCCTTACTCTCTAATTACTCTCATTTCTTCACTTGTAAAGGACGTGATGTTACACTTCTTTCCAGGTTCCTTCTTTCTTTCCTTAACTCCATCCTTTCTTCTTTTTCTTTACTCCCTTTCCAACTCAATTTCATCACTCTAGTGAGTTCATATCAGGCCCTCTGTCTAAAATAACTGCTCTTGAACAGTACATCCTCTCAAAAACTGGGACGCCAACCTCATATTTCACATCTTACCTCTGATTTGGAAACAGTATTCCAAGGATCAATACTACCTCCTCTGAGTCCATCTCTAGTCTTCTCAATATGCCTTCCAGTTTTCCTCTCCTCTGACCTCCAGATATAACCCAGATGCAATTTGGGGCGCCCTAACTCCTTGGAGTGAAAGGTAAATGCTCAATTTCCCAGCTTTTGTGACTTCAGCATCTTCCCCCAATGTTTTCTCTGAGTGCTTGGTCTTGGTCTCCACTTCTGCATCTGTGTACAATGATTTAATTCAGCTTTGTGCTGATTGTTATGCAGATCTGGGCTCTGATACTATTTTACTATGTTAAAAACCCAATCACACTCATGTTTTCATGAATTTAATAACTTCCATGAAGATTCAGAAAGATTCAGGGAAAGCTTGACTCACAGATCACAGAAACATCTGCAGTTTTGCTGTCTCCTTGCCTTGGGGAGCCCACATTTCCCAATGTGAGCAACGCACAGAGGCAGCCCATCTCCCCCAACACCCCTCTTGTGGGTAGAAGCTCTGCCAAACACACTGGCCTTCCCAAGCCCTCATGATTTTCTGAAAGATGATAGCAATGTATGTAAAAGTCCACAAAAGAACCAAAAAGAAAAGAAAAGCACCTGCATTTTTATTATCCAGAATTCAACACCATTTTAAAAATATTGTACATGCTCTTCCTTTTATATAGTTTTTGAACTTTTCAGTTATAACCTAGTGTTTTAAGATAATTGGGGCTCTACCTATATTTTGGCTAAAGCAATCAGATGATTAAATCACATTATTGTAACTTCCAATAAATCAGTGAATAAATTGAACAAGTTACTTTGATGTATTATTATTATTGTTATTTTGCATGATATCAAGATGGCACTATATTATAGCAATTACTTAAAGTCAGAAATCCTAATACTTTGCCAGGTACCAATTGCATGCCCTTGAGTAGGTTACTTCAATTGGGGGGCTTCACTTTCTCTAATCATAAAAAGAGGAGGTAGTTCTATTTAGACTTCAAGCCTTCAAGCCACCAGTGTAACAATGGACAGATATATGAAATATATGTGCTTGTACTAATTTCATTCAAACCTAAACTGAAAATGATGTCTTCGTTTTGAAAAAGAATAGATGCATTTCCATTATTCAGTCTGAGTTGAAATGTGGAACCATGGATAAAGATAATTTTATCATAGTATTTTATCATTGTATGATCCTAATATATGCAAAAAGTTTAGACAATGTAATTATAAAAGTAAACTGAAAACTAAACTGTTGCAAATTTTTAAAATATCATAGATAATTTCTATTGCAGATAGAAAGGAGGCCTATGTGGCACGTTAGAACACTGGTACTTGATTTTGAATGTAGAGAAAGGGTTTAATGGGTTTATACCACGATTTCTCTGTCTTTTTCAATAGAAGAGTAATTGCTGGTTATTTCCATGAGCAGTTTCATATGTTTGGTGATTTAAAATGATTTTAGAATCCCAATGACAATTATTCATCAAGGACAACGTGTCCTACCACCACTCAAAGTAAAAATGAGGCTTAATCGGTTCAGAGGCCTAAATGAAAGTATTTAAAGTCAGTGTTTTTCAGTGACACCAATCTTGATGTACAGTCTTTAGCTACTGCATGGTGGACATTTATGCAATGGTTCTGCATAATAAATAAGAAGCTAGGTGACAAAAATTTGCTAACCAGTAGTAAACCACTACCCTCCTTGTAAAATGCCTATTAAGGCCAGCCATTTTTGCTGAAACAAACGATATAATTTTACCATTTTTTACTAGCTTCCATTCTGTAGCTCATGGGTTAAGTGCCGTTACTAAGCTTGCCCCTAAAACCCACCTGCCCTTTTCTACTTACTGGCTTTAAACTATTAATGTGCCTGGAAATCTTTGTTCTTACTTTGTAAGAACATCTATGTGGTAATTTTTTGAATGATAGCTGGTGCCAAAACTAAGATCCGTATGGTATGAAAACAGCTTAATTGTAGAGATTGTATAAACAACTCAAGTGGGGAAGAGAACATAAGCATCTTCGGAGTTCATGCAGCATGAAGAACAGAGCGACTGCTGAACAGTCTTCCCCAAATGTACAAGCAAGCCAATCAGGGATGTGTGGCAAACTGAGAGTGAGGCAAAAACAAAATTAGACACAGCGGACCCCAGATTATAATGTGAATCTAGAACGTTTAGGACTGCTGTCAATTGCCCTGGTCACCCACCCCCCATCTCCCACCCCACCTAATGTACCAAAACAAGACATTTTGAAAGTATAACCTAAGATATTTATTTCAAACTTCGATGAAGTCAAGATTAATCTCTGAGGCCCCTGTGAGCTGTAACATCTTGTAGTTTTATAAAAGAGATGTGTAGGGTGGTCAGTGATGGCTTCACAGGTGTGTAACCTGAGAAACCACATAAGGCTCTGCACTTAGAAGGCACCATGCTTAGTATAATGCTCTGGTGTTGTTGTTTCAAAATTTCTAATAATTTTCAAACAACCCTCCTCCCCACACACATATTTTCATTTTGCACTGGATCTTACAAATTTTGTAACCAATCCTGGGTATAGTATTTTTGTTGCAAGTTTTAGAACAAATTCTGTGACTGTGTACTTGGAGAAGCAACTAACTTTTCTTGCATATAAGATTAGATGAGGGTGAACCAGTTACAATCAAAGGGTCTTCATGAAACTTGATCTTTAATATTGAACTTCCTTTAATATTTGTAACATGAAAATTATGGTCTGTTTTTAATTGATTTCAATGAGACATTCTGCGTCTTACAGCAGAATAGCAAGTTTCTAGAAATAGCTGTATCCAAATAGACTTATTTTTTAGAACATTCCCATGTATGTTTCAGACAGTGGAAGAATGAACGTGTGTGAAAAAAAGGAGTATACTTTGAAGCTAGATAGACTTTGGTTTGGTCCTTGGTTTGGTCCTTGCCTTCAATGTAAGTTATCTGTAAAAATCCTATAAATGAACACTCTTGTTTATGGTGAAATATTTAACACCCTCTGTGCATAGTCAGGAACAAGGTAAAGTCCACCATCACCATTTTATTCGCACCATATTAAAGTCCTAGTCAGGTGTTACTAAGAGGTTCATAAGAGCCTACATTGCCTGAGAATATGTAACATACTTAAAAACAATGTATTTAAAAATTATAAAATGTTTCTAGGATAATATAATTAAACAAAATTGACTCTAGACTCATTAGAAATTTAAATAGGTCAATTTTCATAGGAAGAGTTGTTAATGGCATCTTTATCAAGAGTATCAGATCTAGATTGTTTTAAGGTAATGTCTATAAAATTTGTTTAAAAAATATTTTATTTATTATTTTGATTTTTAGAACTTTTATTTTAGGTTCAGAGGTACATGTGCAGCTTTGTTATATAGGTAAACTTGTGTCATGGGAATTCGTTGTATAGATTATTTCAGCACCCAGGTACTAAGCCTAGTACCCAGTAGTAATTTTTTCTGCTCCTATCCCTTCTTCCAGCCTCCACCCTCCAATTGTCCACAGTGTACGTTGTTCCCTTCTTTGCATTATGAATTCTTATCATTTAGTTCCCACTTATAAATGAGAACATATGATATTTGGTTTTCTATTCCTGTGCTAGTTAGCTAAGGATAATACTCTCCAGCTCCAACCATGTTCCTCATACTTTTTTATGGCTATCTAGTATTCCATGTTGTATATGTACCACATTTTCTTTATCCAATCTGTCATTGATGGGCATTTAGGTTGATTCCATGTCTTTGCCATTGTGAATGGTGCTGTGATGAATACATACATGCATGTGTCTTTATGGCAGAATGCTTTATATTCCTTTGGTATATACCCAGTAATGGAATTGCTGGATTGAATGGTAATTCTGCTTTTAGCTCTTTGAGGAATCTCCATAATGCTTTCCACAATGGATGAACAGATTTACATTCCCACCAACAGTGTATAAGCATTCCCTTTTCTCCACAACCTCGCCAACATGTTATTTTTCGACTTTTTAATAATAGCCATTCTGACTGGTAAGAGATGGTATCTCATTGTGGTTTTGATTTGCATTTCTCTAATAATCAGTTATATTAAGCTTTTTTTCTTATGCTTGGTGGCCGCATGTATGTCTTCTTTTGAAAAGTATCTGTTCATGTTCTTTGCCCACTTTTTAAAGAGGTTGTTTTTCTCTTGTAAATTTAAGTTTCTTATAGATGCTGGATATTAGAACTTTGTCACATGCATGGTTTGCAAAACTTTTCCTCCATTCTGTAGAGTGTCTGTTAACTCTGTGATATTTCTTTCACTGTGCAAGTAACTCTTTAGTTTAATAGATCCCGTTTGTCAATTTTTGCTTTTGTTGTGATGCTTTTGGCATCTTTGTCATGAAATCTTTGTCTGTTCCTATGTCCAGGGTGGTATTGCCTACATTGTCTTCCAGGGATTTTATAGACTTGGGTTTTATATTTAAGTCTTTAATTCATCTTGAGTTGATTTACAGATATGGTGTAAGGAAAGGATCCAGTTTTGGTCTTCTGCATATGGCTAGCTAGTTAGCCCAGCACCATTTATTGAATAGTGAGTCTTTTCCATATCGCCTGTTTTTGTCAGCTTTGTCAAAGATTGGATGATTGTAGGTGTGTGGCCTTATTTTGGGGCTCTCTATTCTTTTCCATTGGTCTATGTGTCTGTTTTTGTACCAGTATCCTGCTGTTTTGATTACTGAAGCCCTGTAGTATAGTTTGAAGTCAGGTAGTATGATGCCTCAAGCTTTGTTCCTTTTGCTTCAGATTGCCTTAGTTACTCAGACTCTTTTTTGGTTCCATAAGAATTTTAAAATAGTATTTTCTAGTTCTGCGAAAAATGTTGTTGGTAGTTTGGTAGGAATAGCATTTAATCTATAAATTGTTTTGGGCAGTATGGCAATTTTAATGATATTGATTCTTTCTATCCATGAGCACAGGATATTTTTCCATTTGTTTGTGTCTTCTCTGATTTCTTTGAGCAGTGTTTTGTAATTCTCATTGTAGGGATCTTTACTCTCTCTGGTTAGCTGTATTCCTAGGTATTTTATTCTTTTTGTGACAATTGTGCATGGAAGTTCATTTGTGATTTGACTCTTGGCTTGACTCTTGTTAATGTATAGGAATGCCAGTGATTTTTGCACATTGATTTTGTAACCTGAGACTTTGCTGAAGTTGTTTATCAGCTTCAGAAACTTTTGGGCTGAGACTATGGGGTTTTCTAGATATATAGAATCACGTCATCTGAAAAAAGGGATAGTTTGACTTCCTCTTTTCCTATTTGAATGCACTTTATTTCTTTCTCTTGCCTAATTGCCCTGGCAAGAACTTCCAATACTATGTTGAATAGGAGTGGCAAGAGAGTGCATCCTTGTCCTGTGCCAGTTTTCAAGGGGAATGCTTCCAGCTTTTTCCTATTCAGTATGATGTTGGCTGTGGGTTTGTCTTATATGGCTGTTACTATTTTGAGGTATTTTTCCTTCAGTACCTAGTTTATTGAGTGCTTTAAACATGAATGGATGTTGAATTTTATTGAAAGCCTTTTCTGCATCTATTGAGATAATCATGTGGTTTTTGTCTCTAGTTCTGTTTATATGAGGAATCACATTTATTGATTGGTGTATGTTGAGACAACCTTGCATCCTGAGGCTGAAGCCCACTGGATTTTGGTGGATTAGCTTTTTGATATGCTGCTGGATTCAGTTTGCCAGTATTTTGTTGAAGATTTTTCCATGAATGTTCACCAAGAATATTGGCCTGAAGTTTTCTGTTTTGTTATGTCTCTGGCAAGTTTTGATATCAGAATGATAGTGGCCTCATAGGATGAGTTAGGGAAGCGTCCTCTCCTCCTCCTCAATTGTTTGGCATAATTTTAGTAGGAATGGTACCAGCTCTTCTTTGTACATCTGGTAGAATTCATCTGTGAATCCTTCTGGTCCTAGGCTTTTTTTTGACTGGTAGACTATTTATTACTTATTCAATTTCAGTGTTCATTATTGGTCTGTTCAGGAAATCAATAGTTTTCTTTGTTCAGTTTTGGGAGAATGTTTGTGTCCAGGAATTTATCCATCTCTTCTAGGTTTTCTAGTCTGTGTGCATAGAGGTGTTTGTAGTAGTTTCTGATGGTTATTTTTATTTCTATGGGGTCGGTGGTAGCATCCCCTTCATAATTTCTAATTGTGTTTATTTGGCTCCTTTCTCTCTTCTTCTTTATTAGTCTAGCTAGTGACCTATCTATCTTATTAACTTTTTCAAACAAACAACTCCTGGATTCATTGATCTTTAAGTCATTTTTTTTGTGTGTCTCAATTTCCTTCAGTTCAGCTCTGAGTTTGCTTATTTCTTGGCTTCTGCTAGCTTTGGGATTGATTTGTTCTTACTTCTCTAATTCTTTCAGTTGTGATGTTAAGTTGCTAATTAGAGATCTTTCTAACTTTTTGATGTTGGCATTTAGTGCTATACATTTTCCTCTTAACAATGCCTTACTTGTGTCCTAGAGATTCTGGTATGTTGTATCTTTCTTCTCATTAGTTTCAAAGAACGTCTTGATTTCTGCCATAATTTCATTATTTACTCAAATGTCATTCAAAACATTTGCTTAATTTCTATGTAATTGCATGGTTTGATTTTCTTAATCTTGACTTCTATTTTTATTGTGTTATGATCCAAGTGTGTGTTTGCTATGATTTCAGTTGGTTGATTTTAGAGTATGTGCCATGTGGCAATGAGAAGAATGTATATTCTATTGGTTTGGGGTGGAGAGTTCTGTAGAGGTCTATCAGATTCATTTGGTTCAATGTTGAGTTCAGGTCCTAAATATCTTTGTAAATTTTCTGCCTTGATGATCTGTCTCATACTGTCAGTGAAGTGTTGAAGTTTCCCAATATTATTGTGTGGGAGTCTACATCTCTTTGTATGTCTCTAAGAACTTGCTTTATGAACCTTGGTGCTCCTGTGTTGGGTGTATATATATTTAGGATAGTTAGATCTTCTCGTTGAATTGAGCCCTTCACCATTGTGTAATGCCTTTCTTTGTCTCTTTTGATCTTTGTTGATACAAAGTCTGTTTTGTCTGAAATTAAGATTGGAATTCCTGCTTTTTTATTATTTCCATTTGCTTGGTAGGTTTTCCTCTATCCCTTTATTTTGAGCCTATGGGTGTCATTACATGTGAGTTGGGTCTCCTGAAGACAGCACAACATTGCATCTTGCTTCTTTATCCAGCTTGCCATGCTGTACCTTTTAAGTGGAACATTTAGCCCATTTGCATCCAAGGTTAGTATTGACATGTGTGGATTTGATTACACCATTGTGTTGTTAGCTGGTTATTATGCTGGCTTATTCGTTTGGTTGCTTTAGTGTCACTGGTCTATATATTTAAGTTTTTGTGTTAGCTGCTAGTGGTCTTTCCTTTCTCTATTTAGTGCTCCTTTCAAGATCTCTTGTAAGGCAGGTATGGTGGTAATGAACTCCCTCATTATTTGCTTATAAAAAGAATAACATTTTAATGGCAATTACACTTTTCTAGTTTATATAAGAGAATGAAATCTAACTTATATGAAGAAAAATAAAAGAAAATAAAAATAAAAAATTAATCCAAAAATACCTTTCAGACCAATTTTTTATAAATAGTAAACAAAATTCTGTTAGCAGGTAGAATCCAGCAATACTTTTAAACATTAATAAAACATGACAAAATTGAGGTGAATTGAATAATGCAAGAATTTTTTGGAACTAGGGAATATATTAGTCCATTGTCACACTACTATGAGGAAATACCTGAGACTGGGTAATTCATAAACAAAAGACTCACAATTCTGCATGACTGAGAAGGCCTCAGGAAACTTATAATCATGGCAAAAGGCATCTTTTCACAGGGTAGCAAGAGAGAGAATGATTGCTGAGCCAAGGAAGAAGCCCTTTATAAAATCATCAGATCTTAAGAGAACTCACTATCACAAGAACAGCATGGGGGAAACTGACCCGTGATGCAATTATCTTGACCCAGTCCCATCCTTGACACATGGGGATTATTATAATCCAAGGAGAGATTAGGGTGGGGACACAGAGCCAAAAGACATCAGGGAATCTAGTAATATAATTCATCCTATTCATAGCCTTATAGTAAAAATTAAATGATCTTCATTCATACTGAAGTAGTATTCTAAAGTTCAAAATATTCTTTGTAAAAATGTGTGATGATAAAATAGAAGTAGATATGTTTTTAATATAATATACAATAAGATTAAAAGCAACAGTTGCAAATTTAAATTAAACATTAAATACATCAGGAAAAGGCTAAATGTACTATTTAACCTTGTACAGAGTACTATTTAACACTGTTCTGGTCACTATCACTGCAGTCTGATGAGGGGAAAAATTAGAAGCATACAGTTATAAAAAAGAGGTAGAATTATTATTATTATAAGACAACATAATTTCATTACTGAAAAGCAGAAAAACAAATTATGATAAGTAGAAATCAGTAAATGGGCTAAGTGAAAACAATAATATTCAGAAATTAATAGCCTTCATTAACACAAAAAAACTTCTTGAAGACAAAAGTCAAGTTAAGGTCCTATTTAAAATAGCAAACAACAACAAAACCAAGGAATGAACTTAAAAATAGTGAAGAAAACTTAAAAATATAAAGAAAGTTTTTTTAATTTTTTAATTTTATTTCTATTTTATTTTATTTTTTTGAGACGGAGTCTTGCTTTGAAGCCCAGGCTGGAGTGCAGTGGTGCGATCTTGGCTCACTGCAAGCTCCACCTCCCGGGTTCACGCCATTCTCCTGTCTCAGCCTCCCAAGTAGCTGGGACTACAGGCACCCGCCATCACGTCTGGCTAATTTTTTGTATTTTTAGTAGAGACGGGGTTTCACCATGTTAGCCAGGATGGTCTCGATCTCCTGACCTCGTGCCCACCCACCTGGGCCTCCCAAAGTGCTGGGATTACAGGCGTGAGCCACCACACCCAGCCAGAAAAATTTTAATGTTTTGAACAGATACAACAGGGTAAATATTCCTAACATGTAAAAAGTGCTGATAAATCAATAAAAATACCAACATCCCCATAGAAACATGGATAAGGGCTGAAAATCTAGAGAGAGTTTTTGAAAAAGGGAGACACATTATTCTTTAACATAGGAAAACTTCAATTTTCCTTGTTACATAAGAAATGTAAAATGAAACCATAGTGAGATACCAGGGTTTTTTTTGATGTTCAAATTAGTAAGCTTTTGAAGTTTGATGTATTTTTCCCAAAATTTGGAAATACTCTTTATAAATGATATTCACTTAAACTATATTGTTTTTAGTAATCAAAACCCAGGAACTTGCCCATTAGAGTCTAAAGAACTTTCTTGTTTGTTTTACTGCTATATAATAAATCATTGTATGAATTTCAAAACATTTAATTTAATGTATCTTGTCACATTGAAAGAAAGTAGTCATTGATTCTTATTTCATTGAGTTTTTCTTTAAAGAAAAATTGTTGGAAAATTGGTCAAATGCTTGTATATTTGATTTCTATTTTTTGATATCCTGTATTGAAATCATCTTGCTTTTGAAAGAGATGTTGATAGAAATCTTGTTTTGGCCAGGTGCTTTGTATTAAGGTAAAACATTGACAATTGCTCATATAAAATGAAGCTGGTTAGATTTTCTATCATTACTAGGATTATTTTAGAAACTCAAATTTTTCCAATAATGTATTATGTATTTATTTCATCCAGTATAAACATATATTAGTAACATATTAAGAAAATTATTCTACTATGATTTTTTAAACTTATTCTAGGGATTTCCTGCTATCCTATTTTTTTCTTTCTTCAGCGCTTAATAGTTTAAACCTGATTTTTTAAAATTAAATTATGTAGAAATGCTATGTTTTGTGAATGAATTTTTCAAAAATTCAGCTTTTAGATTTATTTATTCTTCCCATTTATTCTGCATTAGAAAATAGAGATAATTCACTAGATAACTCACTAAATTTTATCAATATCTATTCTTGCATTCTCATCTCCTTTCCTTTATTTTATTGCTCATTCTCCAAAATTTTGAGTCAAATATATAATTTGTTAATGTTACGTATATTTTTGTTATATAAAATGTTATGTAAAATATATGTATATTATAATTGTGTGTGTATATATAATATATATAGGCATTTTCATACGAACTTTTCAAAGAATACTTGTGCTATTTCACAAAGGTCTCCATATTAATGGTAATTTTATTATTAAGTTAAACAACTCTCATACCACAATATTTTTTTCTTTTTAAAATTTTCTCACAGAATTATTTTCTGATTTTATTATTATTTTTTCACACCGGAGAATAATGTCAGTACTACTTCTATTTTACAAGAGTTTGTGGTTTTCTTTTAGTTAAGTTTATAGTGAATGTTATTTTGGCCAAAGAAAATCACAAGAACAGTCTAGATTTCAGCTGTGAAAATAATATATTGCAAATATTTTGTCCACTTTTTGGCTGTGTCAATTAGGAGGATAAATCTTGTTTTCATTACTCCATTTTTGCCAGAAGTGGAAGCCTCATCAGAATGCTTCAATTTAAGAGAATTAGCTAATTGATTACAGTATCTCCAGCAAGAAAAAAATAAATCAACATGCTACTAAAATAAAGTTGATAAATGTAACAGCAAAATGTTTAAATCTGGAGACCAAAAACCTGGATCTTGATGTAAGTTACAATTTTGTAGAGTCATAGCTTCTAATCGTTACCAGATTGATTCTCAGAACAGAGCTCCTGATTGAAATGTAGGCCACATCCCCTTGTGAAAGAATCATGTGACACAGCCAAAGTACACTTTATAAATACTCTTTTAAGCATTGCTCAAAAGAGGTGTGGATTCAGTTAGTCAGCTTACTGTGCTGTGGGGAAGGGAACTATCTGGGCATTCCAGGGACACGAGACACTGGCTGTAGGTGCACTGGCTCCAGGTAAACAAAGGCACCCCTGTGGTATGACAGTCACAGTGGAGCACAAAGGTGGTGTATTAGTCCATTTTCATACTGCTGTAAAAACTGTCTGAGACTGGGTAATTTATAAAGGAAAAAGGCTTCATTGCCTCACAGTTCAGCATTGCTGGGGAGGCCTCAGGAAACTTACAATCATGGCAGAAGATGAAGGGGAAGCAAGGCACCTTCCTCACAAGGTGGCAGGGAGAAGTGCCGAGCGAAGGGGGAAGAGCCTCTAATAAACCATCAGATCTCATGAGCACTCACTCACTATCATGAGAACAGCATGGGGGAACCACTCCCATGATTCAATTACCTCCACCTGGTCTCTCCCTTGACACCTGGGAATTTTGGGGATCACAATTCAAGATAAGATTTGGGTGGGCACACAAAGCCTAATCACACCAGGTCGTCAGGTGATGAATGGAGTTTTGGCAGAGGTTTGGATCACAGTGGTTATTTCCTCAGTTCCTAAATATAATTTGAGTAGCTGTACTTGGTAACTGACAGAACCCCTGTACTGACTCTCTGAACCAAGGAGTGAAGACTGTCACAGTAGGGAGAGAAAAGTCAACGGCATGAAATGACTCTGCTCTAAGTATTGTACACAGAGAGCAGTACTGTGGCTCTGGACAAACCACAGAGACTGTGACCACAGTGAAGGGTTAAAAATGCAAGAGAATGGTGATTCATCTCAGAATTCTATTTAATTTTCCTGCTTTCCTTTGCAGTAAATAATGATCTTAGAGATTCTAACTGCACATATAATTAAAGTAACCAGAGATTATTCCAATATTAGTTGTTGTTTCAGATGTGGTATCTTAATGGAGAAAATCAGCATAGGTCCTTAACCTTGCATTTAATCTGGAAAATATTCATCTTCCCCCTGACTAATTTACAAGAACCCACAGAAACAGCCCTAGGCTAGGCTGTAAAAGTTTTCACTACAGAGTATTTCACTGCTCTACTTCATTAATGATGTCACGTTAATTGAACCTGGTGAGCAGGAAGTAAAGAAGGCTTAAAATGCCTTAGCAGAAAATATAAATGCCAATGTCGAGGTGGGGATAAACCCTGTGAAAATTCAAAAGCCCAGCAGCTTGTAGAAATGTGAGTATCCAGGCATCTGAGGTATATTTAATCTACCCCTCTGTCTTAGTCCATTTGGGGTGCTATAACAAAATACTGTAAACTGAGAAGCTTACCAACAATAGAAATTTATTTCTCCAAGTTCTGGAGGCTGGGAAGTCCAAGATAAAGACACTGGCAGCATCAGCACCTGATTAGGGCTTGGTTTCTGATTCATAGGTGGCATTGTCTTACTGTGTTTTTACATAGCAAAAAAGACAATGGCATGCTCCCTTGGGCCTCTTTTATAAGGACACTAATTCCATTTATGAAGGTTATGCCCTCATGACCTAATCAATTCCCAAAGACTCATCTCCCAGTACATCACACTGGGGGTTAAGATTTCAACATATGCATTTTGGGGGTGGAGGACACAAACATTCAGATAATAGCACCCTCCAAAGTGGAAGATAAGGTACTGCATGTTGTATCTCCTGTTACTAAAATATAGCACAGTATAGGTAGATTTTTTAAAAAATTGTAGACAACATATAACATGTTCTGGGAGCCCACCCAATCAATTTGCCATTTATCTCCTTAGGCTGCAATTTTGAGTGAGACATAGAACAAGAAAAGGCTCTGCATTAGGCCCAGGTTGGTAAACCTTCTTTTATATCTGGGCCTTGAAACCCACAATATCCCATGGTAACCAAAGCACTTATGGCAAATGGGATTCTCTTCAGAGCCTCCAGCAAACTCCAATAGGATAGGATCATACCAGTACAGACCCCTAGATGTTTGGCAAAACAGTCATCTCCTTTTTTGCATATACCCATGTTCCTGAGTTCTACTAGAGGTTCAGTGCAAGTCCCATAGGACTTTAAGTAACTGTTGCCTATCATGAGAGGATGATACCATGAGACTGGGTATACTCAACAGCAATCCATCATCATGTGGAAATAATATTAAGGAGACCAGGCTTGAGCAGATCTAGGAGGTCCAAATTAGTGTGCATGAACTTTTGGCTTGAATGTGTTTCTCCTCGCTTTCAATCTAGCCATGTGGCCTTCTGTGGATTTCCATGTGAGCATCTGACTGAGGAATAAAAATGTGCGCCTTTGCAGAACAGTGAACACTCAATGTGATGTAGAGTGCTGCACATTATAGCCCTCTCAATAATGTACCTGAAAAGTAATGGTGAGGACAAATCTTCCCAGTGGGCAGAATTTCTAGCTGCATAGTTAATTGTTCATTTTCTGTGGATTGAAAAGTGGCAAGAGTTATAACTCCATATTGATTCGTGGTCAATGGCTATTGGCTGAATAGTTAGGAATTTAGGAAGAACGAAATTTCATGACTGCCATGAGGAAATATGGGAAAGGTGTATGTCAATGGACCTGCCAGATGAAGTACAGAGTGGGAAGACTGTTCATCAAAGGGCATTTGTCTACTCAGGTGTAAAAAAAAAAAAAAAAATGCCCAGGAGCTCTCACCCAGCTTCTGTCCCCAGCCACCCAGTATGTAACCAATGGGCCAAAGTACAAAATGTCTATGATGGCAGAAATGGGTACTATTTATAGACTCCATACATTGACTCACCTTCACTGAGGCTGCTCTGAAGACCGCCACTGTTCTGTTCAATAGTTAATGGGCCCACAGCAGAGACAAATTTTTTTGGTCCCCAGTATAACCTCATGTCTAGAAGGGCTAGCCACTCATTTTTTAGCAAGTTGATTATATTGGACTTTCCAGCAATTAGAAGGTAGCATTTTGTCCTCATTGGAATAAACTTGTATTGTGGAGATGGGTTAACTTTCCCTATATTTAATGCTTATGCCAAGACCAACATCTAGTGGATGTACAAAAGGCCTTATTAATTGCCCTGGTATAGCATCAAGCATCTTGTCTTATTGCTCCAGCATCTTGTCTTATTGCTCTAAGATCTTGTCTTATTGCTCTACTAGGGACTTTCAGTACTATGTAGACTAACAGTGGTGACTACAGGCATCATTGTCATGTTTTAGATCCTAGAAAGGCTTTCAGATTTTAACTATTCAGTATGATACTCACTGTGGGTCTGTCATATACAGCTTTTATTATGTTGAGGTGTGTTTCTTCTATATCCAGTTGTTTTAGGATATTTTATCATGAAGGAATGTTGAATTTTATCAAATGCTTTTTCAGCATCAATTGAAATGATCATTCAGTTTTTGCCCTTCATTCTGTTGATATAATGTATCACATCGATTGATTTACACCATACTTGCATAAGTGAGATAAATCCTACTTGGTCATGATGAAGGATCTTTCTAATGTATTGTTGAATTCAGTTTGCTATTATTTTGTTGAGAATTTTTGCGTCAATATTTATTATAGATATTGGCATGTAGTTTTCTTTTGTTTTTGATGTGCCTTTGTCTGGTTTTGTTATCAGGGTAATACTGGCCTCATAGAATGAGTTTGGAAACACTCCCTCCTCACATTTTTCAGAAGAGTTGCAGTAGGATTGGTATTAGCACTTCTTCAAATGTGTGCTAGAATTCAGCAGTAAAACCATCAGGTTCTTGGATTTTCTTTACTGGGAGCCTTTTTATTACAGTTTTGATCATCTTAGTTATTACTGGTCTGTTTAGGTTTTAAATTTCTTCATGGTTCCATTGTGATAGGTTGTATGCATCTAGCAATTTATCCATTTATTCTAGATTTTCTAACTTATTGGCATATAGTTACTCATATTAGCCACTAATGATCCCTTGAATTTCTGTGGTATCAGTTGTGATCTCTCTTTTTCATCTCCGATTTTGTTTATTTGGGCCTTATCTCTTTTCTTCATAGTTTCTCTAGCTAGAAGCCGTCAATATTGTTTAACTTTTCAAAACACAAACTTTTTGTTTTGTTGATCTTTAGTATTATTTATTTGTTTCACTTTTATTTATTTTTGCCCTGATCTTTATTATTTCTTTTCTTCTACTAACTTTAGATTTGGTTTTTTCTTGTTTTTCTAGTTCTTTAAGATGCATCATTACGTTGTTTATATGAAGTTTTTCTTCTTTTCTGATGTAGGCTCTTACCATAATAAATTTCCCTTTTAGTACTTTTTTGCTGTTTCCCTCCCTTAGGTTTTGTTATGTTGTGTTTCCATTTTCATTTGTTTCAAGAAATTTTTCAATTTTCTTCTTAATTTTTTCATTGATCCACTGGCCATTCAAGAGCATATTGTTTAATTTCCATGTGTTTGTATAGTTTCCAAATTTCCTCTTCTTATTGATTTCAAGTTTTATCCCATGTGGTCATAGAAAATGCTTGATATTATTTCAAATGTTTTACAACTTGTTTTGCAACCTAAAATATGGTCTATCCTTGAGAATGACTATGTTCTGATGAAAATAATGTGTATTCTGCAGTAGTTGGATGAAATATTCTGTAAACATCTGCTAGATCCATTTGGTCTATAGTACAGATTAAGTCTGATGTTTCTTTGTTGATTTTCTGTCTGGATGATCTATCCAATGCTAAAAGTGTGGTGTTAAACTCACAAGATATTATTGTATTGAGGTCTATCTATCTGTTTAGCTTTAGTGTTGGGTGCACATATATTTATAATTGTTATTTCATTTTGCTGAATTGATTCCATTAATATATAGTGACCTAATTCATCTCTTATGGTTTTTTGTCTTGAAATCTACTCTGTCTGCTATATGTATACCCACTCCTGGCCTGTTTGGTTTCACTGGAATAGAATATCTTTTTTCATCCCTTTGTTTTCAACCTGTTTGTCTTTATAGGTGAAGTGTATTTCTTATAGGCAATAGATTACTGGATCTTGCTCTTTATCATTCAGCTACTCTGCATCTTTTGATTGAGGAATTTAGCTCATTTACTTTCAAAGTTATTTTTAAGTAAGGACTTACTTCTGTCATTTTGTTATTTGTTTTCTGGTTGTTTTGTGGTCTTCTCTTACATTTTTCTTCCTTCCTGTCTTCCTTCCGGTAAGCGAAGCTGCTGTTCTCTGGTGGTATGATTTAATTTCTAACTGTATTTTTTGTGTGTAAGTGTTTCTGGGTTTGACCTTACCATGAAACTTGCAAATACTGTCTCATAACCCATTATCTTAAGCTGATAACAACACTGTTTGTATAAAGATACAAACAAGCAAAAAGAAAAGAAATAAAAAACTATGCACCTTGACTTCTTCTCCTTGTTGTTAACCTTTTGTTGTTTCTATTTATACCTTACTGTATATGTCTTGAACAGTTGTTGTAGTTGTTATTTTTGATTGGATCATCTTTTAATTTTTCTATGTAAGATAAGTTATAACAATCTGTGATTTTCTGCGTACTTACTATTATCAGTGAGTTTTGTACCTTCAGATGATTTCTCATTGCTCATTAACGTTCTTTTCTTTCTTATTAAAATACTCCCTTTAGCATTTCTTATAGGACAGGTACAGTGTTGACAAAATCACTCAGCTTTTGTTTGTCTGGGAAAGTATTTCCTCATGTTTGAAATATATTTTTATTAAATATACTATTCTAGGTAAAAGTTACTTTCCTTCCACATGTTAAATATGTCATTCCATTCTCTCCTGACTTACAAGGTTTCCACTAAGAAGTGTGCTGCCAGACATATTGGAGTTTCTTTGTTTGTTATTTGTTTATCTTCTCTTGCTGCTTTTAGAATCTTTTATCTTTGACCTTCTGGGGTTGGATTATTAAATGTCTTAAGATAGTCTTATTTGGGTTAAATCTGCTTGGGGTTCTATAGCTTTCTTGTACTTGAAATTTGATATATTTCTCTAATATGGAGAGTTCTCTGTTATTATCTTTTTGAATAAATTTCCTACCCCACACTCTTTCTCTACCTCCTCTATAAGACCAATAACTTAGATTTGCCCTTTTGAGGCTATTTTCTAGATCTTGTAGATGTGTTTCATTATTTTTTATTCTTTTTTCTTTTGTCTCCTCTGACTGTGTACTTTCAAATAGCTATCTTCAAGCTCACTAATTCTTTCTTCTGCTTGATTGATTCTGCAATTAAGAGATGGATTCCTTCTTTAGTATGTCAATTGTATGTTTCAACTCCAGAATTTTTGCTTGACTCTTTTTAATAATTCCTTTCTTCAATTTGTCTGATAGAATTCTGAATTTCTCCTCTGTGATATCTTGAAATTCTTTGAGTTTCCTCAAAACAGTTATTTTGAATTTACTGTCTGAAAGGTTACACGTTTCTGTTTCTGAAGGATTGGCCCCTGGTGATATATTTAGTTTGCTTCGTGAGGTCATGCTTTTCTGGATGGTCTTGATGCTTGTGAATGTTGTTGGTGCCTGGGCATTGGAAGTTAGGGTTTTATTCTATTTTATTTTATTTTTAGACAAGTTCTGCTTTGTCACCCAGGCTGGAATGCAATGGTGTGATCATGGCTCACTCTAGCCTCGACCTCCTGGGCTTTAGCAATCCTTTCACCTCAGCCTCCTGAGTAGCTGGCACTGCAGGCATACACCAACATGCCCAGCTAACTTTTGTATTTTTTGTAAAGACAGGGTTTGCCATCTTGTCCAGCCTGGTCTCAAATTCTTGAGCTCAAGCAATCTGCCCACTTCAGCCTCCCAAACTGCTGGGATTACAGGCATGAGTCACCACACCTTATTTTAGTCTTTGTATTCTGGACTTATTTGTACCTATCATTCTTCAGATGGCTTCTAGGGTATTTCAAAGAACTTGTGTGTTGTGATCTAAGCAATATCTGCATCAGGGGACATCCCAAGCCCAGTAACACTGTGGTTCTTGCAGATCCATAGATATACCACCTTGGTGGTTGATATGGTTTGGCTGTATCCCCACCCAAATCTCATCTTGAATTGTAGCACCCACAATTCTCACATGTTGTGGGAGGGACCTGGTGGGAGGTAATTGAATCATGGGAACTGGTCTTTCCTGTGCTATTCTTGTGATAGTGAATAAGTATCAGGAAATCTGATGGTTTTATAAAGTGGAGTTTCCCTACACAACTTCTCTTGTCTGTCATCCTGTAAGACTTTCTTTGCTCTTCCACCGTGATTGTGAAGCCTCCTCAGCCATGTGGAACTGTGAGTCATTAAACCTCTTTCTTTTGTAAATTCCCCAATCTTGGGTGTGTCTTTATCAGCAGGGTGAAAATGGACTACTAAAGTAAATTGGTACTGGTAGAGTGGGGTGCTGCTGTAAAGATATCCAAAAATGGCCGGGCGCAGTGGCTCATGCCTGTAAACCCAGCACTTTGGGAGGCCGAGGCGGGTGGATCACAAGGTCAGGACTTCGAGACCATCCTGGCTAACATGGTGAAACCCTGTCTCTACTAAAAATGAAAAAAAAAAAATTAGCCAGGCGTGGAGGTGGGCGCCTGTAGTCCCAGCTCCTTGGGAGGCTGAGGCAGGAGAATGGTATGAACCCGGGAGGTGGAGCTTGCAGTGAGCCGAGATCGTACCACTGCACTCCAGCCTGGGTGACAGAGCGAGAGTCCATCTCAAAAAAAAAAAAAAAAAAAAGATATTAAAAAATATGGAAGCTACTTTGGAACTGGGTAACATGCAGAAGTTGGAACAGTTTGGAGGGCTCAGAAGAAAACAAGATAATGTGAGAAGGTTTGGAACTCCCTAGGGACATGTTGAATGGCGTTGACCAAAATGCTGATAGTGACATGAACAGTAAGGTCCAGGCTGAGGTGGTCTCAGATGGAGATGAAGAACTTGTTGGAAACTTGAGCAAAGATGACACTTGTTATGTTTTAACAAAGGGACTGGCAGCATTTTGCCTCTGCCCTAGAGATTTGTGGAACTTTAAACTTGAGAGAGATGATTTAGGGTATCTGGCAGAAGGAATTTCTAAGCAGCAAAGCATTCAAGAGGTGATTTGGGTGCTGTTAAAGGCATTCTGTTTTAAAAGAGAAACAGCATAAAAGTTTGGAAAATTTGCAGTCCGGCAATGTGATAGAAAAGAAAATACCATTTTCTGAGGAGAAATTCAAGCCAGCTACAGAAATTTGCATATGTAAACAAGGAGCCAAATGTTAATCGCCAAGAAAATAGGGCAAATGTCTCCACGGCATGTCAGAGATCTTTGTGGCAGCCCCTTCCATCACAGGAAAAAAAATGGTTTCATGGGCCGGGCCCAGGGTCCCTCTGTTGTATCCAGTCTAGAGACTTGGTGCCCTGTGTCCCAGCCATACTAGCCATTACTAAAAGATGCCAAGGTACAGCTCTGGCCATGGCTTCAGAGAGTACAAGCCCCAAGACTTGGTAGCTTCCACGTGGTGTTGAGCCTGCGGGTGCACACAAGTCAAGAATTGAGGTTTGGGGCTGGGCATGGTGGCTCACACCTGTAATCCCAGTAGTTTGGGAGGCTGAGGCAGGCAGATCACTGAGTCAGGATTTCTAGACCAGCCTGACCAACATGGTGAAACCCCCTCTCTACTAAAAATACAAAAATCAGCTGGGCATGGTTGCAGTACCCTGTAATCCCAGCTACTCGGGAGGCTAGGGCAGGAGAATCACTTGAACATGGGGGTAGAGGTTGCAGTGAACTGAGATCGCACCACTGCACTCCAGCTTGGACAACAGAATGAGACTTCATTTAAAAGAAAAAAAATTGAGGTTTGTGAACCTCTGCCTAGATTTCAGAGGATGAATGGAAATGCCTGGGTGTCCAGTCAGAAGTTTGCTGCAGGGACGGGGCATTCATGGGGAACCTCTGCTAGGAAAGTGAGGAAGGGAAATGTGGGATGGGCACCCCCACATACAGTCCCCACTGGGCTGCTGCCTAGTGGAGCTGTGAGAAAAGGACCACCATCCTGCAGACCCCAGAATGGTAGATCCATCGACAGTTTGTACCATGTGCCCAGAAAAGCCACAAACACTCAAGGCCAGCTTGTGAAAGCAGCCAGGAGGGAGGCTATACCCTGCAAAGCCACAGGGGTGGAGCTGCCCAAGACCATGGGAACCCACCTCTTGCATCAGTGTGACCTGGATGGTGAGAAATGGAGTCAAAGGAAATCATTTTGGAGCTTTCATAGTTGACTGCTCCACTGGATTTCAGACTTGCATGGGGCCTTTAGGCCCTTCATTGTGGCCAATTTTTTCCATTTGGAATGGGTGTATTTATCTAATGCCTGTACCCCTGTTGTATCTAGGAAGTAACTAACTTGCTTTTGATTTTACAGGCTCATAGGCGGAAGGCACTTGCCTTGTCTCAGATGAGACTTTGGATTGTGGACTTTTGAGTTAATGCTGAAATGACTTAAGACTTTGGAGGTCTGTTGGGAAGACATGGTTGGTTTTAAAATATGAGAACATGAGATTTGGGAGGGGCCAGGGGTGGAATGATATGGTTTGGCTGTGTCCCCACCCAAATATCATCTTGAATTGTAGCTCCCACAGTTCCCATGTGTTGTGGGAGTGACCTAGTAAGAAGTAATTGAATCTTGGGGATGGGTCTTTCCTGTGCTATTCTTGTGATAGTGAATAAGTTCCACAAGATCTGATGGTTTTATAAAGGGAGTTTTCCTGCACATGTTGTCTTCTCTTGTCTGCTACCGTGTGACATGTGCCTTTCACCTTTGGCCATAATTTTGAGTCCTCCCCAGGCAGGTGGAATTGTGAGTCCATTAACCCTCTTTCTTTTGTAAATTGCCCAGTCTCAGGTATGTTCTTTATCAGCAGTGTGAAAATGGACTAATACAGTGGTCTTGGTTAAGAAACAAAAGAATTTTCTAGATTACCAGACAAAGACTTTTATTCTCTTCCTCCACTTTCCCCCAGAGTCTATCTGTCAGTGCTAAACTACCTGGAGCTAGGGGTAGAGTGACATAAGCACCCCTGTGGCCACCACCAGTGGGACTTTACTGGGTCAGAACCAAAACCAGAAGAGTCCTGGTTCTCATCCTCAGCCTGCAGTGACTATTGGCTGACTACTGCCTATGTTCACTGAAAGCTCAAAGGGCTCTACAATCTGCAGATGGCAAAGCCAGCCATACGTGTGTCCTTCCCTTCAGGTAACAGGTTGGTCCAGGCAGGGTTGGTTCAGAGATACCAGCCAGGAGCTAAATACTAGAGTCACAAGCCTTAGCAATCTGCCTGTTGTTCCATTGTACTGAGGCTGAGCTAGGCACTCACACCATGAGACAAAGTCCTTCCCACTCTTTCCTCCCCTTTCCACAGCCAGAGGATCCTCACCCCACGGCCACTGCCACCACAGACCCATAGGAAGTACTACCAGGCCACCACTGATGTTCCTTTAGGATCCAAGCTCTCTTCAGTTAGCTTGTGGAGACTATTGCTTGGTCTGGGACTCACCCTTCAGTGCAGTGGGGCTCCCTTTTGGCCCAGGGAAGATTCAGAATGCTATCTAAGAGCCAAAGCCTAGAACTGGGGACACCAGAAGCCCACTTGGTGCTCTAAACCACGTGGCCAAACTGGTGCCTGAAGTGCAAGACAAAGTCCACTTTACTTTTCCCTTCACTTTTCTCAAGCAGAAGTCTCTCACCGTAGCCAACGCAGCTCACGATGGTCTGGGTCTCACCTGAGGCCAGCATGTCAGAGTTTCACCCTTCTCTTCAAGGCAGCAGCTTCCCTTCTGGTCCAGGGTATGTCTAGAAATTTTATCTGGGAGCTGGAGCCTGGAATGGGGGCCTCACAACTTTGACTGGTGTCTTATTTCACTGTGGATGAGCTAGTATCCAAGATGTAAGACAAAGTCTTCTTTAATCTTTCCTTTCTTCTCCTCAAGTGGAAGCAAGGGGTCTCTTTTGGAGTCATGAGCTGCGCTGCCTGGAGCTGTGGAAGCAGGTGTGCAAGCACTCCCTTAGCCTGCAGGCTAGTGTCTCAGTAGGTCATGTGCCCTCCAACTTCACTGGCTCTGAGCCCAGCTCAGCACAAGGATTTGTCTGGGAGTTGCAGTCCTTGTGTCCTAGATTGCCTTTCAGGTTTATTCATGGCCCCAGGGCACTTTAGCACACAGTGGCAAGACTTGCCAGAACTCAAGTTCCCACTGCTGGGATGTGCAATTTCCTTTTAGTTAGGGCTGCTCTACATGCTCCCTCTGTGGACAGGTGTCTGCGGAGTTCAGCCTAGTTTTGCTTTTCGCTGTGACAGGGTAGCCCTGAGTTCAATGTAAAGTCTCACAATCACTGCATTCTTCCTCTCCCAAGTGTACAGATTCTCTCTTTGTGTCATGCAGCTGCTGCTGTAGATTGAGGGAGGAGTGGCATCAGTAACCAAAGACTATCTTTCCTACCCCTTCAGTGCCTCTTTCTGTGATATGAAGTTAAAACAAGGTATGGTGAGTGCCCACTTCACTTTTGGTTCTTACGAAGGTGCTTCTTTGTGTGTAGATCGTTGTTAAAGCTGGTGTTCTTGCAGGCGGGACGATCAGTGGAGCCTTCTATTCAGCCATCTTGCTCCACCCTCTCTGCTAGGAATTCCCAATCCAGGATTTATCAGCAACCATATGACCATAGGTTATTGACTGTATACTCAAATTATCTCATATTGTTGCCACTATATTTTTGGTGCTAAGCTAAATAGTTTTTTCCTGCTTTCCTAGTGATATATATTCAACTAATTTATTGTTAGTCTTAGAGGTTTTTTTCCCCAATTGTTGGCTTTCATACAGCAGAGTCACTGCAAAATAGAATTTTATAAATAAAACTGTGTCTATAATCTAAAGTGTGCTTATATATCATGGAAGGGTAGGATCGTTGCTCACTGGTTTCTGCGCCTCAGCACACATACAAATACATGTTACTATATCATTTGAGTAAAAAGGACAATATTATAGAAGAACCTGTAATTTTGAAGGTAAATAAGGAGGACACAGCCTATTAAGTGCACTGAAATTTGTAAATTGGGTAATTATTCACAACGGGCAGGAACACATTTAAACACTAGTGTAGGCTTTTTAGTCTGAAGGGCAAGGCAAAGTAATATCACCTGCTGTTAGTTTACAAAAAACATAGAGCTTTGAGAAGTTCAAATATTTGCATCATGAAATAGTTGAAGTCAGGTACTGTAGAAGACAAAAAGAAAAAAGTGAAAAGTCACAGAAATTAGGAAAAAAAATTATTTTATTGTATAAGAATAACTATTTAATATCTAGTGAATCAGAAAGTTTAAGGTGTTCGCCCCCTTATATGACAATGTATTAAGAAATATTATCTTTACATTCTGTAAGTGAACAGAATCTAATTTTTATATTTTGCTTTGGCAAAGCCTGTGCGTCTATTTAATTTTATTTCAAGCATTTAAAGAACAGATTGCTATAGATGTGTGGTAGAAATATTAAGAAATGTGGTTTGTACTTTAAAAGACTTCTTCTAAGGTCTTAATTTAGGGGCCAGTGTAAGGCAAATTGCTTAAAAGACTAAATTTCCATCTAAATTAAATTCCTTTCAAAATAACAAGAACAAAGCTTAAATTACTGCAAAGGGAACAATAGTTTGATTACAAAGTCTTTGGGAGTACTATTTTGGAAGTGGTGTCTAGAGCCAATAACTGCCATGCAGCACCCACCTCCGCCTCAGCTGTTCAGTACTGTTCATAAAACCCAGGCGCTAGGAAGGAAGTTAACCCTTCGGGATTTTTTATCAGTGTACTGCCAAGCCTGATTTCTTTATGTTAAAGTTTTTAACAAAATAGGAACATTAGAAAAGAAAAGTGTTTTAGTTGAATATTTCCTACTCACTGAACCTCCTCCCAGGAATTATTGGCAGAATGAATGAAAGTGGAAAAAATTAACATTTCTCCAGGGACTATAGATTTTTTTCAGTAATTCTTTATGTTTTGAATTAAATATACTTGTCATTAAGAAATTTGGAAAAAGGAACTCACAATGGTTAATAAGGGCCCAAGATCACATGCTTGAAATGTAACAGAATTGAAATTCAATTTCAGATTTGTAATAATTCGAAGTCTGTAATCTTTATGTTAATATTTTTTGATGTTATAAAACTATATATGTATTTACAAAATGTCATACATGTGTTATATTTGTATGACATATCATAACATGTATATGCACATACTTAAAGAATAATATTAATTGATATATTTGTACCTACCACTCGGTTTAAGAAATTAAAAATTATCTGTGTTTTTGAAGACTCCTGAATATTGAAATTGCATTCACTCTTTCTTCACTCAATGTAACAAATAGCTTCAGTTTTGTTTTAGTCATTTTTTCCTATTTTATATTTCACCAAATGTTTAATCCTTAAACTGCATATTCTACACCTGGATCTGTTTTTAAGTGATATAAGTGCTTTATCTATTTTCATCGTCATATTGTACTCCATTTTCTGAAGATACAATTTATGCATTCTTGAACATTTGGATTGTTTACTTTTTTCTTTCCATTTTTACTGTAAACCATGCTGCTGAGAACATTCTAGTAGATGTCACCTTGTACACATCTGTAACAGTGCTTTGGTGAATATACAGATTATTGGAATTGCAAGGTCATAGAATATGTCCAACTTTAGCCACACATTAATGCAAAACCGAAAATTTGGGAAAAGCAGTATACAATTTCAGAAACAGAAAAATAGTTTTATTTATTTCATATCCTCACAAACACTTGGCTTTAAAAGACTTTTTATAATTGACTAATTTGGTAGGTGTGGAAAAAATGTGTCACTGTTTTTCATTTTTATATTATTGGAATTAAATATTTTAAAAAATCTTTTCATATAATTTTCTTTTTTTCTTTTACATTTGAGGATAGCCAAATGCTTATTTACATTTTTACCCATTTTTTCTATTGAGTTGTTAATTTTTTCCTCAACGATTATCATAATTCTTTTTTTTGAGACAGAACCTTGCTCTGTCACCCAGGCTGGAGTGCAGCAGTGGCGTGATCTCGGCTTACTGAAAGCTCCGCCTCCCAGGTTTAAGCAATTCTCCTGCCACAGCCTCCCGAGTGGCTGGGACTACAGGCGCATGCCACCTCACTGGCTAATTTTTTGTATTTTTAGTAGAGACAGGGTTTCACTGTGTTAGCTAGGATGATCTCGATCTTCTGACCTCGTGATCCTGGCCTCTGCCTCCCAAAGTGCTGGGCTTAGAGGCATGAGCCACTGCACCTGGCCGATTATTATAATTCTTTATATCATAGATATTAAACTTTCTGCAGTCCCATATGCAGCAGGCTCTTCTACTCGGGCGTGAGTAGTGTTTTGTCTTGTTTTCTTAATTAAATTTTAATTTGAACTCAGTGTGGATTGACCTTCACTTGAGGGAAATAATACAGAGAGATCTTGCATACCATTTCCCTAATTCCCCTTTATGGTAACATCTTGCAAAAATATACTACAATATCATAACCAAGGTATTGACATTGATACAGTCAAGATACAGAACATTTCCATCAACACATGGATTCTTCATGTTCTTTTGTAACCACATCCAGTTCCCACTTGCCCCATCCCCTTTTTAATCCCTGGCAACTAGCGGTCTTTTCTCAATTCCTATAATTTTGTCGTTTCAGGAATGTTATATAAAGAGGATAGAGCTGCATGTAGCCTTCTGAATTGGCTTTTGTCACTCAGCATAATTACCTGTAGGCTCATTAAGTTTTTGTGTGTATTAGGAGCTCCTTCTGTTTTATTATTGAGTAGTGTTCTGTCGAATGGATCTATCTTATTTGTTTAACCATTCATCCATTGAAGGTCCTCTGGGTTTTTTTTCTAGTTTTTATTAATATAAATAAAGCTACTATTAACATTTGAGTACAGGTTTTTGTGTGAACCTGAGAACCTGTGTTTTTACTGCTCTGGGATAAAAGATAAATATCCAAGAATGTGATAACTGGGTTTTATGATAGCAGCATATTTAATTTTTTTTTTTTTTTTTTGAGACGGAGTTTTGCTCATCACTCAGGCTGGAGTGCAGTGGCACGACCTCAGCTCACTGCAACCTCTACCTCGTGGGTTCAAGCGATTCTGTACCTTATCCTCCAGAGTAGCTGGGACTACAGGCATGCACCACCACACCTGGCGAATTTTTGTATTTTTAGTAGAGACAGGGTTTCACCATGTTGGCCAGGCTGGTCTTGAACTCCTGACCTCAGGTGATCCACCTGACTCAGCCTCCCAAAGTGCTGGGATAACAGGCGTGAGCCACTGCATCTGGTCTATTTAATTTTTATTAAGAAACTGACAAACTGTTTTCATTGTGGCCATAATATTTTACATTCCTACTAGCAATATATTATTTATCTAGTTTCTCTGCTTTCTTGTCAGATTTTTGTTTTCTTCTTCTTTTTTTTCAGATTTTAACCATTCTGACAGTTACACAGTGATAGTTCATCTTTTTTTTTTTTTTCAGAAGGAGTCTCACTATGTTGCCCAGGCTGGAGTGCAATGGCACGATCTCGGCTCACTGCAACCTCTGCCTCCTAGATTCAAGCAATTCTCCTGCCTTAGCCTCCCAAGAAGCTGGGACTACAGGCACACACCACCAGGCCTGGCTAATTTTTGTGTTTTTAGTAGAGACAGGGTTTCACCATGTTGGTCAAGCTGGTCTTGAACTTCTGACCTCAGGTGATCCACCCACCTCAGCCTCCCGAAGTGCTGGGATTACAGGCGTGAACCACTGCTCCTGGACTTCATCTTGGCTTTAATTTGTATTTCTCTGTCATTCATGATGTTGAACATCATTTCATGTGCTCCTTTGACATGTGTATATCCTCTTAATTGAAATGTCTCTTCAGGACTTTGGCCTATTTTCTGGATGGGCTATTGGATTTTTTAATGTAGAGTTTTGAGAGTTCTTTATGTATTCTAGATACCAATCCCTTTTTGGATATGTAAATGCAATATTTTCTTCCAGAAAAAGTTTGAAGATTTTAAAAATTGTTTTCTGCTTGCTTTCTCTTTTTCTTGTTCCTCTGTTTTCTTTTCTTTCATCCTTTTGTGCTACTGGAACATATTTTTAAAATTTCATCTTGACTTTGTAAATAATGTTTATCCCTTTGTGTAGGTTTCTTGGTGGTTATTCTGAGTATTACAATATTATTACAATATAAATATATAACTTATCACAGCCTAAACATTCAAGTTTTATGACTTTGAGTGAAGTATTTAGGACTTGCTTCTATTGAGGCTATTTTACCTTCCTGCTTTGTCTTGAAAATTATAATTTCTTAGACTGCGTTAAAATTTTTATTTCAATCATCACATACATTTTAGATCATGGTATAATTTCTGTTTTAATCACTACATATGATTTAGAAAACCTATGATGAGGATAATCTATGTATTTACCCACAGTTCTGCTCCTTCTGTTGCTGTTTTTTTTTTTCTTCCTGATGTTTCCAGACTTCTTCTTTCACCATTTCCTTTCCTTTTAAAGAATTTTCTGTAACCATTCTTTAAGGATAGATCTGCAATTGACAAATTATTTTACATTCTATTTGTCTGAAAATGTCTTTATTTCTACTTCATTCTTGCTGGATTGTTGTAGCTGATATACAATCCATGGTTGGTAGTTCTCTGCTTTCAGTGTTTGAAAAATGTTGTGCTACTTCCTTCTGGTCTTCACAGATTCACATGAGAAATCCACTGTTTTTAAAATCAGTGTTACATCTAGGTAATATGGTATTTATCTCAGGCTGCTGTCAAGACTTTTGGTCTTTAGTTTTTAGAAGTTTAACTGTGATAGTTCCTAGTGCAAACTTCTTTTGGTTTATTTTAATGAATACCTGGTTGGGAGATGAGGGAGAACATTCTGGAGCTAAAACCCATGAAGCGTGGGGGCCCCCATAAAACTTTAGCCCCCAGGAGTATCTCACTTTCAGGCTAGCCCACTTCTTCTCTAAGAATTCTTCAGAGGCACCATACACATATTCTGACTAGTTTGTGGCTCTAGCGACTTCGGCTTTCGGTAAGCTGATCTTAGCTGTAATTCCCTTATTGATCTGTCTCTGTAGACTTTGTGGTGACCTGAATTCTGAAAGATTGAAGAAAAGTCATTGAATTTCAGTCTTCTTAGCTTTTTCCTTTGCTAGAATGAGAGTGATGACTTTAAACTCTATATGTTGAAGCTGAAACCCAAAGTCCTATCATCTTTCTTTGTATTTATTTCCATATGTACCAAGTATAGCAACTTTGAATAATGATGAATTCCCTTTTACCTTACAATTCTTCTCATTTTCATCTATTTTTCTTGTCTTATTTCGCTAGCTAGTATTTACAGCACAATGTTAAATAGAAAGGGTGAGAGCTGGTTGTCTTGACTCATTACTGATATCAAAGGAAATATTTTTAAATTTTACCATTTAGTGTATTATGAACTATTGGCATTTTTGTAGATATCTTTTTTGAGGTAAAAAGTAGCCCAAGTATTATTTTAGCTCTGAATAATTATTATAAATTGATATGTTGCTTTATCAAATGCTGTTACTATAATCGTTGAATTATGCATCAGTTAATACATTTATATGTATTTTAATGATGAACTAATTTTTCACTTCAGGAATTAATCCAATTCTGATATAATTTGTACCCATATCTGAATTCAGCTTGCCATTATTTTGTTTAGTATTTATATATGCATGTTTGCTAGCCTATATTTTGTCTTTTTGTAAAATTTTTGTCAGACTTTTATGTTAATATTATACTAAGTTAATGAGTTTCAGTGGTCTTTTTATATATTTTGAAAGTCTTTGTATAAGAACTATCTTTTTTTTTTACATTTTGGAAAGAACTTGGCTATAAAACCTTTGTATTACTGCTTCTTCATTTATAGAAATATTTTAAACTACTGATGCAATTTTCCTAAAGGTTAAAGGTACCATTTTTATTTGTTCTTGAATGCTTTGACACATATTTTTCTAGAATTTTTTCCATTTTTTTCTTGTTTCTAAATATATTGGCATAAAGGTATTTCTTCTAATATTTTCTTATTATCTGTTCAAGTTACTCAGGATCTATAATATTGTTCCTTTTTATATTACTAATATTAATTATTTTACTTTTTCTTTCACTTTTGTTTTTGTTGGTGGTGGGTTTGTTGTTGTTGCTGTTTTTGACAGAGTCTCACTCTGTTGCTCAGGCTGGAGTGCAGTGATGCAATCTTGGCTCACTGCAACCTCCTGCCTCCTGGGTTCAAGTGATTCTCCTGTCTAAACCTCCCAAGTAGCTGGGATTACAGGCATAAGCCACTATACCCAGATAATATTTTTGTATTTTTAGTAGAGACGGGATTTCACCATGTTGGTCTGGCTGGTCTCAAACTCCTGACCTCAAGTGATCCTCCCGCCTCAGCCTCCCAAAGTCCTGGGATTACAGGCATGAGCCACCGTGCCCGGCCTATTCTTTATCTACCTTTCTTTTCTTTGTCTTTATTTTGTGATTCCTTTTCTAACATTTTACATCAACCACCTCACCTGGCCACTTTCACATTTTTCTTGATTAATCATAAAACATATTTCATTTTAATAGTCTTTTCAAAGACACTGGTTTATGTTTTATTGTTTCTCTGGTTTTTGTTTGTTTTGGTTTCCATTTTATTAATCTTTATTATTATTATTACTTGAGATGACGTTTCACTCTTGTCACCCGGGCTAGAGTGCAATGGCAAGATCTTGGCTCACTGCAACCTCCGCCTCCTGGGTTCAAGCGATTCTCCTGCCTCAGCCTTACAAGTAGCTGGGATTAAAGACACCCACCACCATGCCTGGCTATTTTTTTTGTATTTTTAGTAGAGACAAGGTTTTACCACGTTGGCCAGGCTGGTCTTGAACTCCTGACCTCAGGTGATCCACCCACCTTGGGCTCTCAAAGTGCTGGGATTGCAGGCCTATTCTTTATCTACCTTTCTTTTCTTTGCTTTTATTTTGTGATTCTTTTTCTAACATTTTATGTTGATTATACTTCATTAATTTTCTTCTTAAAAAACACAATATCTTCTTAAGATTAAGATGTATTTATATTTCATAAATTTTTATGATTTTATGATTGTTTTACACAATGTATTTTAACATATCTATGTAGGTCTCTTTTTCATTGTTAGAATTTTAAAAATTTTTCAATTAAATGAGAATTATACAGTTATATTTTTATTAGTAATTCTGTCTTCATTTCATTTTGGTGGGTGAATAAATTATGTATGTGATATGTTTTGGCTGTATCCCCACCCAAATCTCATCTTGAATTGTAGCTCCCATAATTCCCACGTGTTGTGGGAGAGAGCCGGTGCGAGAGAATTAAATCATGGGGGCGGTTTCCTCCATACTATTCTCGTGGTAGTGATTAAGTCTCATAAGATCTGATGATTTTATAAAGGGAAATCCCTTTTACTTGGTTCTCATTCTCTTTTTGCCTGCCCTCATGTAAGATGTGCCTTTTGCCTTCCACCATGATTGTGAGGCCTCCCCAGCCAAGTGGAACTGTGACTCCATTAAACCTCTTTCCTTTATAAATTACCCAGTCTCAGGTATGTATTTCTCAGCAGCGTGAAAACGCACTAATACAACATGATATGTAGCTCATTTGAAATGTTTAAGACATAATTTATGCCATAGCATGTGGTCATTTTTTATACTTGTTTCTTTTTGTAATTCTCATTTTATAAGTGTTCTGAAGAGAAAGTTTACTCATTTTTTGTGAACTGATTTATATTGTCCATAGTCTCAATTACTGTGAGAAACGAATTTAAAATATACCAATATAATGATGGATTTGATCATTCCTCTATTTTGTTTTATACAGCCAATTTTATTAGACTTAATCACAGTTTGCTTCTTTCTTGGTTTGTGTTATGCTTTCCTGCATGTCAGACCTTGCTTCTTGCACCTTTTCCTCCTTTTGAAACTATTTTTTTGGTATTTCTTTAACGACAGACTTATGGCAATTAAGGTTTTATTTTTCTGATTATGTCCCTGTGTTCTCCATATTCTGGAAATAGAGTTTCCTTGGTATGAAATTCTAGGATGACAGTTGTTTGATACTGGAGTTATAATTTTACTGGTTTTGAACTGGCTTCCGTTATTGCTTTGAAAATCCTGTGTCTACTTGTAGCCTGTTACTCTCCTTACGATTTGTTAGGATATCTGAATGACAAGTTTGGTATCTTAAGTAGGCAGAATAATGGTCCCCAAAAGATGCCCCTGTCTTAATTTCCAGAAACTGTAAATGTTTTATATGACATGACAAAAGAAAACTGAAGTTGCAGATGGAATTAAGGTTGCTAATCCTTGAGATGTGAAGGTTATCCTGGGTTAATTGCGGGGGCCCAAGGTAAAGGCCAGGATCTTTGAAATTGAAAGATGAAGGCAGGAGAGTCAGCGTCAGGGTCGAAAAGAGCTATGCTGCTTGTGTTGAAGATGGAAAAGGAAACAGTGAGTCAAGGTACGTGGGCAGTCTCTGAAAGCTGGGAGAAGAAAGGAAACATTCTTTCCTAGAGCCTCCAGAAAGAACGCAGCCCTGCAGACAGCTCAGTTTCAGCCCCATGAAGCCTCGTGAAGCCCCGTGAAGCCACGTGAAATCCCGTGAAATCCCGTGAAGCCCCTTGAAATACTGTGAAATCCCGTGAAACCCTGTGAAGCCCCAGAAAACCCCCCTGAAGCCCCGTGAAGCCCTGTGAAATCCCGTCAAGCCCCGTGAAGCCCCGTGAAACCCCGTGAAGCCCCTTTTTGGCTTCTAACCTCCAGAACTTTAAGATAATAAATGCCTGTTAAGTTTCTAAGTTTGTGGTAATTTGGAAATGAGAATAGTCATTCAGAAACAAAGAAAGTTAATACAGTATCCTTCATCAGTTCTGGAAAGTCTCAACTATTTTCTCTGCAAAGTTTTTCTACCTGATTCTCTCCATGCTTTATTCTTGAAATTGGTTTAATAAATGTTATGTCTTCAGCTTTGTCCTACAATTTGCTAAAATCTGTTATTTAATGTTTTTGTATCTTTGCTCTGAGTTCTGTATAGTTTATTCTGATGTTCTCTTTACAGGTATCTAATGTGCTCTTTAAAATATTCACCCAATTTTTTGTATGTTTACATTTTCTAGAGTTCTAATCTTTTTTCTTTTTTCTCTATAGAATCCACTATATGTATGTATGTGGATAGATAGATAAATATCTAGATAGATTAGATATACATATCTACATAGGTAAATAAATACATATAGATAGATAGATAGATAGATAGATAGATAGATAGATAGATAGATGTGGAGACAGAGAGAGAATGAATTTCTCTGTTGTCCAGACTGGAGCATAGCTCATTGCAGCCCTGAACTTCTGGGTTTAAGCAAGCCTCCCACCTCAGTTTCCTTAGTAGCTGGGACTACAGGCACGAGCCACCATACCTGGATAATTTCTGTATTTTTTGTAGAGACAGTAGTTTCGCTATGTTGCCTAGGGTAGTCTCAAACCCCTAGGCATAAGCAATTCTGCTGCCTTGGCCTCCCAAAGTGCTAGGATTACAGGCATGAGCCACCACAGCTGGCCTACATGGTCATTTTCATAGTCTTTTCCTCGCTGTCTCTTTTTTTGAAATACTACTGACAATTTTATTTTTTAGCTCTTCAAACATACTAAGTAAATGAATTTTCATTTAATTCAATGTTAATTCTGACATTGTAGTCTGAAAATCTGGTTATCCAGTTTGTGTTTCAAAACAGTCCCACTTACGGTTTTGCATTTATTCTAGCATTTTGCTATTTTGTTATTTTCTTGAAGCCTCTGATTTTTGGAACCTTATCTGTGCCAATGTTTTGAAACCTAGGCTTGAATTTAGTTATGCCTCACAGGAATTATATTTGCTTCTTTTCAATATTTATGAGTACAAATCAACCTAGCATTAGCTTATATTTTAGTTTGGGTTTTTCTAGAGGGGAATCCACAAAGATTTTTTTGATTGACATTTCAAACCTTCACAAAAGTGGGCTTGGATTGTAGTTAGAAACTTTCAGAAAGACATTTTCCTTCAGAACTATGATTGAGAAAGGTAGCTATCTCCACCGTCTACAAAGAGGATGTTTTTGTTGTGGTGGTTTTGTTGTTTTTATGTTGCTGTTGTTAACAGTGTTGGCTGTGTCTTTTCTCATGTGTCTCAGCTTTCTGTGAGAATGTCTGATCAAGCTGCCCACTTTGTGCTGGCCCTAGGTTCTACACTACATGTGTTTCATGGAATCCTATGAAGACAAAAGTTCTGGGTCATTAGGTTGGGAGATGCCACCACAAGCAAACAGCAGTTTTAGTGTCTGTTTTTCTTACTAAATTCTCACTTTCATGTTGTTTATGACCCCAGAATATTTCTTTATTTTCTTGACACATCTATGCTTACAAAAGGACATTCTTCAATATTTTGCCCTGATGTTTTATTATTCTAAACAAGAAGATTTTATGGAATGTAGTCCACTGACATGCTAGAAATATCTCCAAGTCTATGTGTTTCAAGCCAAAGTAGAATGAGAAACATTCTGAAGTAGTTTCTGAAGTCTTTCTCTTCTAATCATAAAATTTAACAATTGTGATTGTGGATGCTGAGTCCTCTGCATTTAGTTCTTTCCCCCTACATCAAAAATTTTTATTGGATGAAATTATATAACCTCTAAGATTTGTCTCAAAATTTTTTGAGTATGGAGAAAGTGGATGAAATGTGGATGAAACCAGAGTGGACAGAGTGAATGGGTCATGGTCGAAGGTGGGTGATGGGTACGTGGGGATTCGTTGTATTTTTCTTTCTCCTTCATGAAATAAATTTAAAATTTCCATAATAAATGGTTACAAATAAATAACACTTCTGAAATCCTACTATGAGTCCATGCTTTGGAATATACAGAAGGGAATTCCTTTTCAATTTAGTAAATAGAATGAATCATCTTCAGTCTATTCATCATCTAATATAGTATCTGGCAGAGTGCTTAGTGATTATTGATGAAAATAAACATTCTAAACAGCTAAAAACATTTGATAAATATGAACTTTTATATACAAATCTGAAAAGAGCTTGAATATAAAACATATTAAAAATTGTAATTATCCAAGATTAAGCCCTGAAAAGTAGAGCCAGACTGTTCCTTAACTTTTTAATCTTTTGATCTTAGACTTTATTGAAGAACTACAAGATTAAGTCATTACCAAATAGATATACGATTTTAGTGAAAATATCACTTATGCAACTTATAAAAATGACTAGACATCAATTTTTCTATGGCAATAATTATCCTTAAACTTAGTAGAAAATGAGTAGATTACCAAATATACTGAAAATGAGTAGATTACCAAATATACTGAATGTTGAGTAGATTATGTTCTCGTCTAAGTAGGCACTTTGTATTACTGGACATAGATTGAGCTGCTCAGGAATGAAGTGTATCTCAATGAAGCCTCAGTAATTGGTTCTGTATTACATTATTTCCTTGGTACACATTGACTAGTAACAGTGTCCTATAGGAATTAACACACTTTATTTCCCATAATTATATTTTACTTTATATCTTGCTATTTAATTATACTGCATAAGTGCTTTTCCGTATGTTTGTTAAAACTTGTGGAATAGGGCATTTTACACTTAAAAAATAGCCAAACATTTGTTTTGCAGCTCATACCTTTCCTTCAGCACATTTCACATTATATGATTATTGTTTCATCAAATCATTCATATCTTTTACTATTTGAGTGCAAAATTAACTCTCATTACAAAAAGAATAGGGAGAAGAACTACCTTGGATTTTTATTTCAGTAACCTGGCTTTCCTTCTGAGCAGGCAAAACATAATTAAAGGTCAAACCTGGTTTAAAGTATGTTCTAATCTGATCGTTAGGCAGTTTGTCTCCAGTGGATGAGCATTCTTGCACTCTGATTGTTTCATGTAGGTGGTAGCTGGTTGCAAGAAAGGAGGTGGGTGGCTGATATGACGGGTGGGTTCAGATTTTATGACACTTCCTCATTTCCAGGTAGCATTCTTTTCCTACATGTTGTTAACTAAGTATAATCCTCCTCCTGCCTCCTGGGTGTGGCTTGTGCAGGAGTCATTCTTGACAGTTATCTATGTTTGGTGCCACTCGTGAGCTGCCTCCTTTCAATTTGGAGAATGCTCCAGGTGTGCTCTTTGGCTTCCCTGGTGTTGCAGGAAGTCAGGGACCCCGAATGGAGGGACCGGGTAGAGCTGTGGCAGAGGAACATAAATTGTGAAGATTTCATGGACATTTATCAGTTCACAAATACTTTTATAATTTATTTTGCCTGTCTTTACTTTAATCTCTTAATCCTGTTATCTTTGTGAGCTGAGGATGTACCTCACCTCAGGACCACTGTGATAACTGTGTTAACTGTACAAATTGATTGTAAAACATGTGTGTTTGAACAATATGAAATCCGTGCACCTTGAAAAAGAGCAGAATAACAGTGATTTTTAGGGAACAAGGGAAGACAACCATAAGGTCTGACTGCCTGTGGGGTCGGGCAAAAAGAGCCATATTTTTCTTCTTGCAGAGAGCCTATAGATGGATGTGCAAGTAGGGAACATATCGCTAAATTCTTTTCCTAGCAAGGAATATTAGTATTAATACCCTGGGAAAGGAATGCATTCCTGGGGGGAGGTCTATAAATGGCCGCTCTGGGAATGTCTCTCTTATGCGGTTCAGATAAGGACTGAGATACACCCTGGTCTCCTGCAGTACCCTCAGGCTTACTAGGATGGGGAAAAACTCCACCCTGGTGAATCTGTGGTCAGACCGGTTCTCTGCTCTTGAAACCTGTTTTCTGTTATTTAAGATGTTTATCAAGACAATACGTGCACCGCTGAACATAGACCCTTATCAATAGTTCTGCTTTTGCCCTTTGCCTTGTAATCTTTGTTGGACTCTTATCAGTAGTTCTGCTTTTGCCCTTTGAAGCATGTGATCTTTGTACCTACTCTCTGTTCTTACACCCCCTCCCCTTTTGAAACCCTTAATAAAAACTTGCTGGTTTTGAGGCTCAGGTGGGCATCACGGTCCTACCGATATGTGATGTCACCCCTGGTGGCCCAGCTGTAACATTCCTCTCTTTTTACTGTCTCTCCTTATTCCTCAGCTGGCCGACACTTACGGAAAATAGAAAAAAACCTATGTTGAAATTCCGGGGGTGGGTTCCCCCAATACCCTGGCTCACACTTGACTTCACACAGGTGTTGTGCCTTCCTCTGGATTCTGGATGTGACTTCGATTCTGTCCCTGTCCAAGCAGCACAGTTCCCATCCCTAACTACAGTCATCTTACTGCAGTCAGTAAAGTGTAACCCCTGTACATTCCACATAGGAACTAGGGGCAATATGGAAAGACATACCCCAAATCTCCCTCTCCTTGTCCATGTTACAGTGCCTCGTGTACTTTGCAGAGATTGTTCCCCAGGTTGGTATATGATTGCCATTGAAGAAACCACTAACCCAAGGTCTAAAATGTAAACCTCAATTGTACAACGTATTTCCCTCTCTCTGTGCATCAGGAAATTGAACTTCCTCCATCTCCTCCCTTCCTTATTCACTTTCATGGCCTCTCAGTTTTTAAAAAAATTCCATCCATGTTATACCCGCTACTTCTATGCTGTCTCTCTACAATGTGAGAGAATTCTAAGGGCATATATCATTCAGCATGGTTGTTGATTCACAAAGTTGATGAATAGGCAAAGAAAAATGGCAGTCTTTATCCACACAATACATGAGCTTGCACAGCTAATTGTTTTGCTGCAAATTCCATTTTGCACAGAAGAAACTTTTTATTTGTATTCCTTCTATAACATTACTAATCTTCTCTGCAGGCAAATGAACCGCCTGGGGCAACTAAGCTTAAAGTGATGCATTAGTAAAGACATTTCACAAAGACACATTAATACTTCTCAATTTTTTTTCTTTGTTGAATTACATGTGTTGCAAATCTGTTGTGGATCAGTTTTTGGTAAGAAAGTTTATACTCAACAACAGAAAATAAGAATGGAATAAAAAATGTAGAATAAGATAAACACTAAAATGCAGCAGAAATTCCTGTGTAACTTAGGCATTGTTATGCTCTCAGACCAAAAAATGGAAGCAAGAGCTCTAAAACTTTTGTAAAAACGTCTGCCCAGCAACTGTCTATCAAACCTTGAACTGACATCTCCCTTATTATTGATCCTTGTGGCCAAGGATAATTGTTTCACTTGAAAACCTTCCTCTTGCTTTACCTCCCTGAATACATTCGCATATTTCATTGTAACGTTCAATACTGAATAAACATTATTTTCTTTTTAAGAGCCTTTATGTTAATTATTTAGGTTTAACACATATATGCAGTGTCTCACTGAACAGAAAACAAGATTTAACAGTTCTCTATTACTCTGTATTTCACAAACAATTCTCTTTACTACAGCACCTTTTTAAAATCAGCTGAACTTTTTTCAATTTTCTAGTGCTACTCTGTCCAATACAGTAGCAATTGAACACTATTATGTGGCCAGTAAAACTGAGAAGTGCTGAAGATGTGAAATATATACTGGTTTTTAAAGGCTTAGTATCAAAAAGTCATGTGGAATATTTCAATAATATTTATGGTGTCTATTTGTTGGCGTAATAATGTTTTAGATATTTGGGGCTAAATAAAGTATGGTACTAAAATTACTTTTATGTTTTTCTTTTACTATCTTAAATATATCTATCAAAAAATTTCAAATTACACATGTGGCACTCCTTTACAATTTGCATTATTATTCTACTAGATAGTTCTGTTCTAATATATTAATTCTTCTAACCATGTTACCTAAATAAAATCATGCCTTTGCTGGGATGTGTTGGATAATCCTTTATGCAAACAAGAAAAAGCATAACTGACACTTAAATAAAGCAATTAAGCAAAATGCTGAAAGAATAATCTTAGTTGGGTGTTTTAAAATAGAAATGGAATTAAACTTTTGATTAGATTTTTTCCCCAAGATGGCAGATTAGAGGCTTTTAGCATGCTTTATCTACTTGGAAATAGCAAGATAATGCATAAAGATCAACTCTGTGAGATTCAGTTCAAGAAGAAAAATGGGAATAAAGAGGAATCATGAAGTACACCCAGATGCTATGGAGGAGAACACTGGCAAACAGCCCCCATGATGGTGCCTGGCTGATAAAAGCAGAAATCCAGGTATATGAACCTGCTTTCCTGGACCAGCAGCCTGAGCCACCCTAGATCACTGAGCCACCACATAGATCACTGTGCAGCAGGGCTATCTCTGCTCCACATCTGGGCAGCTCTCAAAGGATTTGGAGGACCCATTCACCTGGTTCAGCAGCCTGAGCCATCCCACCCTTCCTGGACATAAATCATGGCAACGAGACATGCTCTGCTCCACACCCAGGCTGATCTCCAGGCGGTCAGAGTACTTGCTTGACTGGTTCAGCAGCCTGAGTTTCCCCGTACCTCTTGTGCAGGGATCTTGGTGCAGGGGAGCCCTTTCTGCTCCAAGACTCATCCAGCCATTGTTTTCAAGAAACCCATCTCACACATAATGGCACCCATAGGCTCAAAGTAAAGAGTTGTAGAAAGGTCTATCTCACGAACAGAAAACAGAAAAGAGCAAGGGTCACTATTCTTGTATCAGATAAAACAGACTTCAAACCAACAACAGAAAAAAAAAGGACAAAGAAGGGCATTACATAGTGACAAACGGTTCAATTCAGTAAGAAGACATAACTATTTTAAATATATATATGCACTCAACATTGGAGAACCCAGATTCATAAAACAAGTGCTTCTAGAACTACAGAAGACTTAGACAACCACAAAATTATAGTGGAAAATGTTAATATCCCACTGTCAGTATTAGACAGATCGTTGAGGCATAAAACTAACAAATTCTGGACTTAAACTTGACACTTGACCAACTGGACCTAATATACTTGTACAAATAGTCCACCCATCAACCACAGAATATACATTCTTCTCATCTGCACATAGAACACACTCCAAGATTGACCACCTGATTGCACATAAAGCAAGTATCAGTAACTTTTTTAAAAATCAAAATCATATCAACCGTACTCTTGGACCATGATGGAATAAAAATAGAAATCAATATCATGATCTCTCAAAACCACACAATTACATGGAAATTAAACAACTTCCTCCTGAATGACTTTTGGGAAAATATAAAATTAAGGCAGAAATCAAAAAGTTATTTGAAATGAAAACAGGGATACAACATTCCATAATCTCTGGGATTCAGCAAAAGCAAAGTTAAGAGGAAAGGTTATAGTGCTAAACACCTACCTCAAAAAGTTAGAAAGTTCTCAAATTAACAATCTAACATCACATATGGAAGAACTGGAAAAATAAGAACAAGCTAACCCCAAAGCTACCAGAAAAAAAGAAACAACACAATTAGAGAACAACTGAATGAAATCTAGACCCCAAAATTTACATAAAAATAAATAAGACCAAAAGCTTGTTCTTTGAAAGCTTAAATAAGATTGATAGACCACTAGCTAAGTTAATAAAGAAAAAAGATAAAATCCAAATAAACACAATCAGAAATGACAAAAATAACATTATATTAGATCCCACAGAAATACTAAAGATTTTCAGAGACTGTTATGATATCTCTACACACACAAATTAGAAAATCTAGAGGAAATGGATAGATTAACACACAATTTCCCAAGATTCAGTCAGGAGGAAATTGAAACTCTGAGCCATCTAATACTGAGTTCAAAATTGAATTGGTAATTAAAATCTACCAATCAAAACAAGCCTTGGACCAGACGGGTTTACAGCCAAATGCTACTAGATGTACAAAGAGGAACTGGTACCATTGCTACTGAGACTGTATCAAAAAAATGAGGAGGAGTAACTCCTCCCTAATTCATTCTATGAAGCCAACAGCATCTTGATACCAAAACCTTGCTGAGACCCAATGAAAACAGAAAACTATAGGCCAATATTTGTAATGAACAAAGATACAAAAATCCTCAACAAAATACTAGCAAACTGAATTCAACAGCACATCGAAAAGCTAATTCGCCACAATGAAGTAGGCTTAATTCCTGGGATTCAAGCTTGTTTCAACATAGGTAAAACAATAAATGTGATTCACCACATAAACAGAATGAAAAACAAAAACCATGTGCATGTGGTCACCTCAATAGATGCGGAAAAATCTTTTGTTAAAAATAACAGAAAGGTACAGTGCTTCTATAACCTTATTGGGCTTATGAATCACTTGGGGGTCTTGTAAAAATGTAGACTCTCATTCAACACAGTATGTCTTGAGTGGGGCCTGAGATTCTTTATTTCTAACAAGCGGTAGATGATGCCAACAGTGCTGGTGCTTAGTGCCATGTGATTGGTTTTAATCAACAAACAACAGCAATTTGCAGAATGATGAGATTTGAAAGGTTATTTGTGCACTGGGACTTTTTCTCTCTTTCTCGTCTTACCTTCCATCACCCCCTAATTGCACCTGAGTTAGCCTGTTGGAGGATGAGAGGCCATGGGGAAGAGAACCCGGGTACCCCAACCTAAAGTCAGTCAGTTTAGCCCCAGCCAACAGGCTGCTAGCTGCCATCACTGTAAGTGAAGACATCCTAGCTTCACTCCAGCTAATCTTCCAGTTGACCATAGACACCTGAGCAAGTACAGTGGCTCTCAGTCAACCTGGTTCATACAGAAGATCTCCTCAACCAACACACAGAACCATGAACTAAATAAAATTGTTGTTTTAAAAATAAATAACAAATTTTTGATTAGAGAAAATTAAATCTGAACGATTTAAATTTAATTTTCTTTTAAATTATTTTAATGCCATTATACATATTTGTCTTTAAACAAGTATATATAATTATACATAATTGCATGAATAATCAAATTATTTATCTTTTAAGTGCTTTTATGCTTCAATGTTCCTATCTTCATCAGCCTATCTTTATCGTCATCTTCACAGCATGTTAGCAAAATGGACAAGCTAATATGTAGTCATCATATCTTTTCATGCTCAACTAATTATATATATGTATATGCATATATTTTCATACAATGTATGCATATATTTGTTTATATATGTGCATATACACTTGCCATTTTGCTTTGCAAGAAATGGGTTTTTATCATGCATACTTTTCTTAATCTTTCACTTTCCACTCATACTTTCTTGTTGACATCATTCCAAGTCAACTTGAAATACTTGAATTTATTGTTTTTAATGGCTGCCAGTATTCCAAGGTGTGAGTACAATGTAACGGTAATATATTCAAGTGTCCCTCTATTGATAGGCAATTATATTGTTTCTGGAGGTTTTTTGGGGGGTCCATTTTTTCTTTTCTTTCATCGTTATTTTATTTTTTGCTATTACAACCAAGACATTCATAAATATCCCCATATCCATGTTATTTTGTAATTGGACTTTTATTCCTATGGGAGATGTTTCCAGGAATGATATCACTGTGAACAGATTTATATCTAATGCATACATGCACACACATTATAAAATGGTATTAAATAAAGATTGTTCTTTTGCATTTAAAAATAGTAGGATGATTTCTAGTTCTGTGGTAAGGCTGAGGATGCAGTAATCTGATCCATATATGTGAATAAATGTGTGTGAAAAGGAAATAATACTGTTTTCAAGTTTTGCCAATTCAGTGATTGTAAAGTAATACTCTTTGTTACTGTAATCACTGTTTCTCAAACTACTAGTGAAACTGGACTTTTTTTTTGTTTACTTATTGAGCATTTGTATTTGCTCTTCTGTAAACTGGCAATATAGAGCAGGAATATTTCATAGAATTTTCAAAATAAGTAGAAATTTTTTTTAATGTTTTAAGTGGCCACACTTTGTCCACCACTTGCCATAGTGGACTGTGCAGATTTAGATTTCAATCTGATTTTAATTTTTTCCTTTCATTCTCAAAGAATACTTTTGATATTACAGAAATTAACAGTTTATTATCACTACTTTTTAAAATTTTACTTTAAGTTCTGGGACACAAGTGCAGACATGCAGGTTTGTTACACAGGTAAACATGTGCCATGGTGCTTTGCTGCACTTATCAATCCATCATCTAGGTTTTCAGCCCCACATGCATTAAGTATTTGTCCTAATGCTCCCCTTCCCCTTACCCCCACTCCACCGACAGGCCCTGGTGTGTGATGTTCCCCTCCCTGTGTCTATGTGTTCTCATTGTTCAACTCCCACTTATGAGTGAGAACATGCCATGTTTGGTTTTCTGTTCCTGTGTTAGTTTGCTGAGAATGATGGTTTCCAGCTTCATCCATGTCCCTGCAAAGGATGTGAACTCATTCTTTTTTATGGCTGCATAGTATTCCATGGTATATATGTGCCACATTTTCTTTACCCGGTCTATCACTGATGGGCACTGATGGTTCCAAGTCTTTCCTATTGTGAATAGTGCTGCAATAAACATACATGTGCATGTGTCTTTATAGTAGCATGATTTATAATCCTTTGGGTATATACCCAGTAATGGGATTACTGAGTCAATGGTATTTCTGGTTCTAGATCCTTAAGGAATCACCACACTGTCTTTCACAATGGTTGAACTAATTTATACTCCCACCAACAGTGTAAAAGCGTTCCTATTTCTCCACACCCTCACCAGCATCTGTTGTTTCTAGACTCTTTAATGATCACCATTCTAACTGGCATATTATCACTACATTTTTTAACATTTTGTTTTAAAATATTTATTATATTTTAACTTGTGAAAGGGGTTAAAGTGATATTGTCAAATTTCATATTATTCCATTTTTAAATTTTATTAATAAACTTTGATATGACTTCACATTTTTATAATACATTTAACAAACAGGGTGAAAAAAGAGATAGTATCTTGATAGTGCTTTATTATTTTTCTTTAATCATATAGACTATATTTTCAAACTTTGTATTTTAATATTTACTATTTAATAAATGCTATAGTTTTCAAACATCTTCTTCCATTCTATTTTTTTTAAACTAACATTTCTTATTTGCCCACTTTAGTAGTTTTCATCTAGTTACGTTTACTAAAAATACAAACATTAATAACTTGTTAGGATTTGAGATGAAGCAGTATAACTATGATACAAAGAGTCAATGTTTATTTTCTCCCTCAAATGTCTTCTTGGCAGTTGTATTCTTTATTAGGATATATAGGATATAAGAAACAACTTGTGGCCCCGCACAGTGGCTCACACCTGTAATCTTAGCACTTTGGGAGGCCCAGGCAGGTGGATCATCTGAGGTCAGGAGTTTGAGACCAGCCTGGTCAACATGGTGAAACCCCGTCTCTACTAAAAATACAAACATTAGCTGGGCGTGGTGGCAGGCGTCTGCAATCCCAGCTACTCAGGAAGCGGAGGCAGGAGAATCGCTTGAACACACAAGGAGGAGGTTGCAGTGAGCCGAGATCGCGCCATTGCCCTCCAGCCTGGACGACAAGAACAAAACTCTGTCTCAAAACAAAAAACAAAAAATGAAAAACAAAAACCTGTGATTGTATTTCTTGACAAATCAAGCCACCATATAAACTAGAAACTCATGTAACAGATTGCTAGTACTAAGTTGAGGTTATATGGTGTAAAAAATATATTTTCAAATTTATGCAACTGATTGGAAATTTTTCTGTGGCATCATGTAACTGGAAGTTTATGCAATGAAGGCAGAACTGATTCTGATTTAATCTCTTCTAACATGCAGTGAATTTACATGATTTAGTCAATTGCAAAGAAGTCATATGTTTATTACAAAGAAGAAGCAATAAAAATAGGGCAGTTGTAATTTTTTTCATATCAAGAATGGGAAATGGGTTCACATATATAAATTCTTTCACATATGCTATCAAGATTTTATTTGTGCAGAAGACACGATATCACATTCTTTCAAGGTTGTAATTCACTGTTGATTTGACCACATAGTCTAGTTATATCATTTCACCAAAATAATTGTTCTTCATTTATTTTGAGTTAATGGATTTTAACATTTATCTCACATTTCACTGTTGTTTCAATAACAAAATAAACTTCCTACTTATAAAATTAATGCTTGCTTATGGTAGAAAATTTAGAAAATGTTAAAAAAAAGTAAAAATTAAAAGCTAGAAAGTAAAAAATGTGGAAAAAAACACAATGAAATAAGCCTCAACTGTTATCATCAAATAAATACAGATACTTTTTTATTTATAGAAACTACATAGCATAAACTATTTAAAAATGTTTAATAAATTGTCTTGTAACTCATACCTTTGGAAACATAGTTTTGTTTTGCTACATGGTATTTCATACACTGACAAGCCAAGAATGCCAAATCACCATTTCATTGGTGCTGTCATATACAGGTGACAAACGAGATTCTACCCATGTCAGCAGACTGGAGATTGCAGTTCTTCAAACCTGAGTGTTAGGTGTCTCAGAGCAGTATGGATTGCAGACAAAGGTAGGTTAAAGTGCTATTTGCCTGGAAATAAAAGATTTTGTTAGAATAAAACATAATCTTTAAATTGTCTGAGTCAAATGTTAATGTGTGCAAGCTTCTGGGCCACACATTTATTCAGGTTCCTTTCAAGTCCCTTTACCTGTGTTTTTATTGTTAATTTTTTTTTCTTAAAGTTGGTTGTATAAATTAATTAAGCTGCAGGCCCCATAAAACCAGGATCTACCTCTGGTATCAGTTAAATATCTGTTTTTTCCCTACTTTTTAGCCTTAGAAAACAATGCTGTCAATCAAAAGTATCCTGCAAACTATGAAAATATTAGTCTTCTCTGATATAAGCTGCATAAAGCATCATAAAATGGGTAAATAAATTTTATAGGAGATCTTCTATTATATAAAACCAATAATTCATTTAAACATATTATTTGTTCTTTATCTACTTTGTTGCTTTCTGCTTAAAATTGTCCTTGAGGACATTTGAAAATTAAACAGGCAAAACATTTGCATTTAGTATGCAAGTCCCACTTTTGTATTCATTTTCTCATTCATGTGTTAATTATGGACATCTATGCTATGTGAAACAAATGCTAGACACTGTGCTTGTCAGTTGACCTATTAAATCACATCCCCCACTTAAGGGATCAGGAAATACTATTTTTCTAGCTCTATTGCTCCTATGTAGATTCCCCGAACTGTCTACTTGAGTTTTCATTTTTTGTTTTAGTGATTCTTACATGTCCTCACTCAGTTTTTAAAAATTTCCTTCCTAACCCTGAGTTCGTTCTCTGGAATGAAAAAATTATATTAAACTCCTCCATAGTTTACAACTACCGCTTTACATAATCATGAGAGAAATCTGAAAAAGAATGTGAAGTAAAAGCTGATTTGTGGCAGCTAGAATGGCTGCTTTACTCATGCAGTCATTTATTAACCAATAAATAACCAAGGCATTGTAATCTTTAGGAATGTGAGCTTTTAAGTTACATGGGGGCCAAAATCTTGGCTTTATTGATAACTAAAAATTTGACCCTGGATAAGTCCTTTAAATTAAGTTGCCATATCAGTAAAATGACATAGTGTTTTGTGTGTGTGTGTGTGTGTGTGTGTGTAAGTCATAGAGAAAGTATTTCTATGTTTTGACACATCTATGCCTTTCTACACAGATTTTACTGAAACTTGAGATCTGAATTAAAAACCAGCCTTAGAAGTTAATTTACAACTCTAAAGATAATGAGAACTTCAGAGAGGCTCACCCACCTCCTGAGTTATGCATGGACATTTTGAGGGAGGTGGCAGGGGGTGCAATACTGAGGCCCAGGACCATGGAGGCATCTCTTAATTGTGAAACTGAAGACATAGGACTTACCATGTTTCCAAAACAGACTTTCTCAGAAGGGAGAAGAGAGACAGTTGCCTTACTCCCCACTATAAGCAGATACAATTCATATTTTTCCATTCCTTGATTACCATATAGACTTGGTGTGTTTAAGATATTTGACCTGGCTTTCATCACAATGGCCCTGGCATAAGAACGAAAGCACGGGGGAATCACATGCTTGTTTTTTGCTGTAAATCATAAAAAAATCTGTCTCTGGTCCAAAAACTTTGTGGGTGCATTTAGGACAGAATCAATAAAGATGAATATTAAAAACCTAACAGTTGGTTGTGATGATTAAATATTCTGATACATGACAATGTTATCATAGTGGTACACATTAAGTGCTCAATTATGGTTTTCTACTCTTACAACTGGCTTCTTTTAAGCTCCTGTGAGTGAAAAGCCATCTTCCAGGTGCTATGTCACAGTACAACTGATAGAAAATTGAAAACAATGACAGGATTACTAAAAGTTGTCCACATTCTTTATATCATTTCAGAATGCATTCATGAGGACTCTTAGAAAAATGGCTATGAGTCTACCATTGATCTAGAGAGTCATTTTTATCCACTTATTTTCACAAACCTGGGCGCTTCTCTGTGGGACTGTGACATGGGTCATTTAATTGCCAGTTTCAATGTTTACAGGTATAGAGATATCGAACGCAAGTTAACTTAATTTCAGAACTTCATGTTACCATTGTTTATATCAATAACATATGCCAGCAAGAATAGTACCAACGTTTTCTTAAGATGTAGCTCAAATCATTAAAGTACAAAGGGAAAATATGGGACAGTCATGCACAGCTGTTGTTTAAACACAGAAAGAAATCACATTAGCAATCAGAACATTTTAACATCTAAAAATGGTTCCACGATAAATTTAAACACTTCTTTAAATACCCCATGCCTTTGAAAGTGATAAAAGATAACTTAAACAAATGAACAATTAAAAGAACTTTGGGTCTGAATATAGATAATTACAGCTACACCAAAAAAAAATCCTCAATTTTTATTTGTAAATAAAATACTCAGTACAGTTCTAACTTAGGCATATGAAGTAAAATAAAACTCAGTCTTCAATTCTACAACTGGGCTTCTAAATGCAATCTCAGTCCTATGGGGAATACCATTTTTTCCCCTCGAGGATTGAATCTTGGCTGGTAGCAGGGCCAAACCCAATGCTAGGACAATGCAGAGGTAGAAGTGGGAGGGTTTCTTGTCCTTGATGTCACAGGGCCCAGCTGGCATCTACTGAGACAGCCATTGGCTTCTTTTAGGATTTGGCCATTTATCATTCGGAGTGGACTTATGATCTCTTGAGGATCTGTGACTCCTTATGCCTCTGAGGAGAGAGTGTTATTTCATAATTTCATGCCACACTGCAACCAGGAAATTCTGTCCATCTTTCTGACTCTTACTTTATTGGACTCTACTTTAAGCTATGAAAACTATTTTGTTGCTCTTGTACACTGCTGGGTTAAGGTAGAATATTTCAGGTCTGCTTTTGGTCCATCTTTCTGAATATAAGCCCATGCCATTCCTCTGTAAACTGTTCACCTCCCCAGGACTCCAACCAAGGCGTTACACACATAAACACCCTCCGTTCTCAGATCTCACAAACCTTTTTGTCCATTCCAGCTCTCCTTACTCCCCACCTCCACTTCAGGGCGCTGTTTTTCAGGACTCCACCAGTTCTACACAATTCCCATTGGTCGCTGATTCTCTCCCTTCCATCAGCCCAGAGAATCATTAAATGGGTTGGGGGTGGGGTGGTGAAAAAATGTGCACATATTATCTCAAACCTATGAAAAGACTCCCTTTTCTTCTTTTCTCCTATTTTGAACTTTTCTCCAGAAAAGGAATGTAGTATTTTAGCTGACTAAATGGTGAAAAGGCCATTCTGTCCTTTCTGCTCCTTGGCCCTTCTACTTCTTTCTACTTCAGACCTTTCTACTTTCAGTCGTTTCTACTTCAGGCCTTTCTACTCCTTGGCCTGAAGTAGAAAGAAACAGGAGTGGAAAGAAATACCGAGAATTGTGACATTAGAGAGATTTGGCATGACCCCCCAGACTTCAGCATGTTACCTAATGCAATCCTAGCCCTCAGAATGTCACACAGAGAGATGACTAGTATTTCTTGAGTTTGGTTTGTTAAACAAGGAAAATAGGACCCCATATTTTAAAGAGAGTTAAATAAATATTTAATGTATTATGTAAAATGTATTTCAAAATAACTATCTCAATACTCAATTAAAATAGTAATACTAATCACTAATAATCATTAATTATTATAATGTATCAATATTGGTTTATTAGTTGTGGCAAATGCATCAGACTAATGAAAGATGTCAATAACAGGTGAAACTGGGTGTGCAATATATGGAAACTCATGGTACTATCTTTGCAGCTTTCCTGCAAATCTAAAATTATTCCAAAATTTTTTTAAAATCCTTGTTTTTTTGACTTTTATTTTCAAGGAAAAAGTGAATTTGCATAAACTGAGAATCATTATTCAAAGTTTACATATTGTGTACCAGACAGAACCCAAATGAACACTTTTCCATAATTGAATCAATGATAAGAAATAAGTCCACCACCAGAGAGGAGTTACGCTTTCATGCAGATTTCAGTTTGGATTTCAAGTCAAAATTAAGGTTGTTGACATGGTCAAAAGGGGTCCCTCTGAAGAGTTTGTAGGTGTGTTAGTCCATTTTCACACTGCTGATAAAGACATACCCCAGACAGGGAAATTTACAAAAGAAAGAGGTTTAATGGACTTACAGGTTCACAGGGCTGGGGAAGCCTCACAATCACGGTGGAAGGCAAGGAGGACCAAGTCACGTCTTAAATGGATGGTAGCAGGCAAAGAGAGAAAAGACCTTGTGCAGAGCAACTCCTCTTTTTAAAACCGTCAGATCTCATGAGACTTATTCACTATCACGAGGACAGCACAGGAAAGACCTGCCCCCATGATTCAATTACCCTCCCACAACACATAGGAATTCAAGATGAGATTTGTGTGGGGACACAGCCAAACCATATCAGTAGGCATCTTTTTCTATTTCATTTCTCTCATATAAAAGGAAAAAATTCCATTGTCCCATTTTGTTTATATTAGTCTATATGATCCTTTTTCTTTTTCCCATGCATTATAATATATGGGCTTTTAAATACGAGCAGTAGTTGAGAGAAATAGTCCTCAGGTGAACCCTGAGCCTCCCAAATGATGTGTCAAGTATCAGATGCCTGCTGCCAACCCTGGACTCAGGGGACTCCTCCCTTGAAGTCTCTTCTGGTTTTTCTGTGATACCTTCCCAGAAAGCATTCATTTATTTCTCCTGTCAGCTAGAATCACTAGAGTTTTAAATCTGTGAATTAAACATGACTGATTTTTCTTTTCAGAAAAGATAAAAACTATGCTAAATAATTCTGCCATGCTTCATCTCTGGGACTTTAACAGGATCAAGTTCTGGGGAGGGAAATGAATTATACATTTGGTAAAATGCCATTTGTTTTGGAGTCTCTAATTTACTTCATTTGATTGTGGAGTTTTCTTCCTCCCCTAATTAAATAAATGAATAGAAAACAACACATTTTTAAATGTATTTTTCAGAGTTTTGTCCTTTAGGAGAAACTGAAAATAAAATAAAATAGTTGCCCACAACCTCTAGTTTTACTAATGAAAATGAATCAATTTTCTGGTTTCTGGTAGCTTTTTTCTGTTCTGAAAATTGTTGTTTGATTATCCATTAATTTTTGATGAATAAAATAATTAAGAAATTTCACTTCGTTTTAACCAGAAATGTTAAAATCTACCTTACTCCAGTGGTGAATTGATATGGCAAACAGAAAGCTTTACATTGCAATTTTCTATTAGTAGTTTCACAGCATTTGTGTTTTCCAGACAGTTATTTTCAGTGAAACTTTTGTAACAGCAGGATCTTGACTTGTTTAGAAATAGTTGGTTCGGCCAACATTGACTGATACTAATTAAAGAAAGAAAAGAAGGAATAAAGGTGGGGAGAAGAGAAGGAGTATGAATAAATAAAAAGAAACAAGCTGTACACTTTAAGAAACAGTGGCTGGAGATTTGGTAGTTCTTCTGCTACATATTCAAGAATTTTAAAAGAATTTATGGAGACCTGCATTTCAGGTCAGAATACAGTAACTGTTTTCAACACATCGGACAGCAGGTGAAAAGGACATTAACTCTGACAGACAAGAAACAAACTGAAGAAATCCTATGAGTCCTTTATATTTGTGTTTTGCGAAAGCTTCCAGGCAGTGGTGTAGGAAGCGGAAGCCCAGCAAACACACTGAGTTGAGGAGAGAGAACTGAGAGACCAAGGAGACACAGTGTCCAGGTGTTACAGAAAACAATGCAGAGGAAGAAAGAGCCAGAGGGGGAGAATTCCAGAGAGCTACAGAGGATTCGGTTGAGTATTCATCTATTCAGCAAATGCATATGGGAAAAGGACTTGTGGCCAGAGAAATAAGCCACTAGGAAGAGAATTAGGAGGGGTAATAGAGCCCTGCACTTCCACAGAGCCGTCAATAGTGCCTGTTCACGCCAGCCAGAATGGAAATCCCATGGTTCATGGGACACTGCATTGAGTTTGCAGAAGGGTCTTGCCTCACTAATAGAAAAAAGTTGGCTTTAGACTCAGCACTGTCCTGCTCCTGCCTAACAGGTATTAAAACCAATATCTGAAAGGATCAAACTGTTTATAAGCAACTTATGTCCCAGAACACAGGTCAATAATAAGAGTTTAAAATCCTCCAGCACTGAATAAGGTAAAACTCACAACTTCTGGGATGCAGTAAAAAATCAGCAAACGTAAAGAAACAGAAAAATATGGCTCATAAAGGAGGGAAAATCTCTCAATCTTGACAGATGTGAAAATTAACAGACATTAAAACAGTTATTGTAACTGAATTCTATGTGTTACAAAAGTGCAGACAGAAAAGATATGAAAAAAGCCAAAGCAATATTTCTACAAACTGCAATGTCTAAGATACAAAATGCATCGCATTATACCAAGGACAGATTAGACACTGTAAACAAAACGATTAGAGAACTTAATAGCTAGTGACAGAAATTAACTAAAATGAAACACAGAGAGAAAAGACAACAATTTTTCCCATTTTAATCCTTTTTAAGTATACGGTGGGGTGGCATTATTTACACATCGTTGTGCAACTATGACCTCTGTTTATCTCCATAACTTTTTCAGCATCCCAAACTAAAACTCTGTATCTGTTAAACAGGAATACTTCATTCTTCTTATCTCCCTACCCCCTGTTAACCCCTATTCTACTTTCTATCTGCGAATTTGACTATTATGGGCATCTCAGATAAGTGTAATCATACAATACTTATCCTTTTGTGTCTGGCTTATTTTACTTGGCATAGTTTCTTCAAGGTTCACACATACTGTAACTTGCATCAGAATGTCATTCATTTTTTAAGATTGAATATCATTCCAGTGTTTGTACATAGCACGTTTGGGTTATCTATTCATCTGTTCGTGGAAACCTGGGTTGTTTCTACCTTTTGGTTGTGCACAATGCTGCTATGAACATGAGTGTACAAATATTTGTTTGAGTCCCTGCTTTCAGTTTTTTGGGGGTATATGCCCCACAGTGAAATTGCTGGATTATGTGGTAATTCTACGTTTAAATTTTTTAGGAGCTGCCAAATTGTTTTCTATAGAGGCTACACCATTTTACATTCCCATCATATATGCACAAGAATTTCAATTTCTCCACACCCTCATCAACACTTGGTGTTGCTCATCTATTTGGTGTCTTTTCAATGAATGGTGCCAGAACAATTCAATATCCACATAAACAATAATTTCAATCAATACTTCAGACCAGGAACAAAATTAACTAAAATTCATCGTAGATCAAAACATAAAAAAGCTATAATACTGTGGCTGGCATAATATTTCCCTCACAAGCCAAGAAATGCTTCTAGAAGCTGGGAATGACCCTCAACTGTCAGCCAGAAAGGACTTGGGGATCTCAGTCACATAATCGCAAGGAATTGAGTTCTGCCCACAATTCAATAAACAAGGAAACAGATTCTCCCCTACATTCTACAAAAAGAAACACAGTCCTGCTGACTCCTTGATTTAGCTCAGTGAAATCCATGTTGGACTTCTAACTTAGAGAACTGTAAGATAATAGATAGGTGTTACTTAAACTACCAAGTTTGTGTTCATGTGTTATGGCAACAGCAGAAAACTAATCCATCATATGAGTCAGCAGTCTTACTCCTGTATATTTATTTATCCAAGAAAGATGAAACATGATTTTCACAAATAGCCTATACATGCATGTCTATAGTGGTTTCATTCATAATTGCCAACAACTGGAAACAAATGTCCTTGAGCTGGTGAATGGGTAACAACTGGGTCATAGCCAAACAATAGAATACCATTCAGCAATGGAAAGCAGCAAAGAAACAGAGGGTATGATTGTAAGATACTTTAGTTCATTTAAAAAAGAGAAAGCTAATTAGTTTTTTTCCTTTTAATAACTGGTGACACAATACAGTTAATGATAAACAGATGAAATATTCTGGTGAGATATGAAATCTCTGCTACCTAGGAAGATTACATAAAAGGTAATTAATAACCTTTATTACTCATTGTTAAGAACTCTGAGCTCAGCTTACAGTTTTAACACGGCAAAACAAAAAAACTAAATTCTGGTTTTGCATTAGTAACATATTTGGTAACAAAGTTTCACAAACATTTTACTTTTTATGAATAACTGAGTCAACTTTGGCAACATTTAACTCATGTCATTTCTTCTTTTCAGTTTCATTATTTAAAGTTATTATAAATGAAAGCAAATAAACATTTCCTGTCTGTGTACCTTCTGCAACTTCTTTATCCATTCGGTCTTTGTCACCACCCTGCTTTATTCTGGGAACACCAAACCTTATGACAAAAGTACACTTTTCTCTTTTGAAGAACAAAACCCGTCTTAATAGATTGCATACACAACTATATGTCTCTGTCACTACAGCTTCTAATATAGTCTCAACCATCAATAATAATTATAACTTTTACCCAAAATAAGTCACTTATAGTTTACAATGTAAAATTGGTACTTGCATAATTGAGCACTTTCTGTAATATACTGTTACCAACAAAGCTGGTCCCCAAAAAGTTGGGGGACACCTGTTTGGTGTCACAAAGCCAATACACAAAACCAGAAGTGAGTGTCAAGAAGTGTTGGCTTTATTTGATGGCCATGGAAATGAGAAGGGAGCCATGGCTCACAAATCAGCATCTCGACTAGTGAGAGGTAAGGGGGTTAGAATGTAGGGTTTCTCTAATGAAGGAGTTGGATGTTAAAGGCAAGAGAAAGCATATTCATGTCTTTTCTGGAAATGGGTGGTGAACTTCTCAGAACTAGAGTGCTGCCTTCCTTTTTGCCCTTTTATGGCTTCTTCCCGTCATTGTCATGGCGATTGTCAACTGTGATGACACCGCTGGGGGTGCTACTAAGCATGGAAATGAGATTATCATGAATTCTGAGGTCTTCTTGAAGTTGTTTGGTCAGCTCTCTTGATTCTAGTGTGTCTCAGCTAGTTTGGTTACAAAGGGAACTTTTTATCACAGGTGTCCTGTTTCTTAAAGATAGGCAGGGTAGAAATTCAACTATGTCACATAGGCATGACATCGGGCAACAAGGCTATCATTTTACAGACTAGCAAAACTTCTGACACTGATTATGCAACCCTCTACACCTACGGATATCAGGTTTACACCATGTTTAGTAATATGACCCAAAGATAAAGTCACTTTTTAGTGGGCATAAGAAAAAATGTGCTTGAGCTTAAACAGCCCATGAGAAGCACTTCCTAAGAAATGCGGTTTGCTTAGTTCCATCAGATGAGTCCCATGGGCTTCTTCGTTGAAATTCTAAAACTATTAATGTGTAATTTTAAAATATGCTTTAAAAAAGACATTTATAAAAATAAGATGATCCAATAGAATATCATGTGAGTGAGAAAAAAAGATAAATATATGTCAAAAATTTATTAAACTCATTAATTAAGGGCACTAGTAAGATATTATGACCAGTTCAAAAAGTAGTTGAGAAACTAGGTATAAATAGGCAATGATAGGATAAAATTATTGGGTCAGATACAGAACTGATTAATGCCCCCAAAAGGCCATATATATAACCTTCAAGGTTATCTCCAGAGAGAAATCGTTTTTATCTCTACCAGAGAAAACTCTACAAGATGAGATGTAACTTAGTGCAAGACCTTTAATCAATAAAAAACAGTGAATTGAACTGTGCACATTCCCCTGGCCTTCAGCTTCATGTGACATTAAACGAATGTACCACACACTTTTTTTTTTTTTTTTTTTTTTTTGCTGTATTTCAACATTTTGGACAACACTTATGCACGCTCATACCACCACCTCAGCAGCTATTGAAAATTTACTTTCTTTGGAACCCTAATGGAATTTCTAAATATGTAAATAGCACAATCAAAAGATGCCTGAACTCCTGAATCACCACAGCTCCTTCCCATACCTTTCCCCATTCCACACCCACACTCAAAAGTCTAGATCTTCCTATCAGCATCAATGTTTCCTCTCTTCCAGGAAAACATGTCCTAGTACAGTGATAGCACTGAATTAGATAAGCTCAAGTCCTAGATTCACTACCAAATAGCCTTATAATCCTTGGCAAATTATTTAATTCTCTAAATTTCAATGAACTTCTTTTCAATATGAACATGATAATCCCTATCATATAGAGATTGTTAAATAAAATTCACATCGGCTGTTCTTTCTGCAGGGAAAGCTTTTCCCCAGTTTTTGCATTGCTGACCTCTCATTACTCTGTCTTTAGCCAAGTCATTTCTTGGTGAAATTAAATAAGTCTTGTCCAGTAGAATTTGCTGAAATGACAAAAACGTTCTATATCTGTGCTGCCTAGTACTGTAGCCACCAAACTGATTTTTAAATGTTACTGCATTTTAATTTACTTCAGCACCACACGTGGTTAATGGATAACACACTGTACAGTGCGCATTTTGAAAACAGGCAGCAACTAAGAAGAACAAGAGAGCATAATGGTTTAAACATCAGGCTATCAAATGAATAATTCATTTCTAAAGTTCAGAGTTAAATAATTGAGGTAGAAAAAAAACCAGCAATTAGGTCACCTGATATACATAGTTGAATATATAGAGTGTAAGATCACATTCACTTATTGAGTAGAAACTTTAAAAAAATCTGAAGTCAAGCTCCACAGTTGGGGAGGGAGGGGGCACTCTTGGTTCCTGGGAATTTGGTGAATTCAGTCTTCCAAAACACTTAACTTGTCTATATTTATTATTTCCCCTCTCTATCTCTTTGTTTCTCTCTCTCTCTCTCTTTCAGTTCCTTTCCCTGACTGCCTTTTAAAAAAATGTTTAGTCCCAAAATAACTTAAATGAATTCTTTGGACTTTGTTTTGTCATTCTCATTTTGCAACTGCTAAGTATTAAATTGTCTCAGCCAGCTGAGGATGTCTAAGCTGAAGGTTACATACAGTATTATTTAGCTTGAATGTGTTAACAGTTCAGCTAAAATACTAAATTTACATTAGGGATAATTAACACAAACACAAAAAAGAAGTCACTTAAGTGTATGACAAATAGGTTGGGCACACTGGTCCATGCCTGTAATACTAGCACTTTGGAAGGCCAAGACAGGAGGATGACTTGAGCCTAGATATTCAGGGCCAGCCTGGGCAACACAGGGAGACCTCATCTCTACAAAAAATAAAATGATTAGCCAGGCTCGGTGGTGCACACTTGTGATCCCAGCTACTCAGCTGGCTGAGGTGGGAGGATTGTTTGGGCCCAGGAGGTTGAGGCTGCAGTGAGCTATGATTGCACCACTGCATTCCAGCTTGAGTAACAGAGTGAGATCCTGTCTCAATAAAAAAAAAAAAAAGATGACATATAAGAATCTTGGTTTTCAGAAGAAGCCTTTATTTCAAACATTTTGTTTGCTTTCCTCCATAAAACATTCAAATGTGGGATCAAATATTTTAATTCCTGATTTTTGGTTTGGAAAAATGCAGACCCCTTATCCATAGGTGTGGTGTGGTTATATGTCAATTTACACAGTTAGTAAAGTAGAAGATTTATAATTCATTTTATTTTAGACATTTACATACAGAAATAGATTATGAAGACTGGTATTATCAGAATTCAAAAATTTCAGGGAAACACACTTGAACAGTATTTACATCAATTTAAGAGCCTTGATAAAAACAGAAAAATTCAGTTGGCTGTCATTTGAGAAAATGTAGCGTCACGTAGATACAGCCTAAAATGTGTTTAGTTAAAGTAGTGCCACGTTCATTTCTTTACTCACCGTCTACTGATTGGGGGCCACCAGGCATCAGAGACCTGTTACATGTTAGGGATGCTTCAAAGGACAAAATAGTATTTATTTCGACTTCCATTTAATACACTTTATTATTTTAAAAAATCACCTGAAATTCATTAGATGAATCATGTTCCTTAGAAACTACCTCTAGAGCCTATTGCAAACTCTAGCTGTTGAAGCATTTGCTAATTTTAGTTACTCTTTAACTTAACAACTAAATTATAAAGTTACCTAATAATAAGTTACCCGTAACCCTTATGTAAATTGATAAGGGGAAAGAAGTAGAAAAACTTGGTGTATAGATGACAAGTAGATAGATGATAGATTAGATAGATAGATGATAGGTAGATAGATAGATTGATATAGACATAGAGATAAACGATAGATATGCACCCATATACTCAGGCACATACATAAAGAGAAAACAAGTAAGAAATTGGTACACACACAAATACGCCTGCATCAAGCAAGAAACGATTCATAGTAGGTGCTTCACTCCTAGCCTCTGTAACTGAGTACTTATAACTTCCTTCTTCCTCTACCCATTCCATGTGTCCTCTGCCCCCTCCTGGCACCTCAGATCGTGGGTTTCTATACCCAGTGCAATGACTGGAGAGTCTGGATCCTCAGAGGCTCTGCCTTGCTTTGCCTGCTGTAGCTTTCCATGAACTTTTCCTACATGACATGGTAGTTTGAGAGGTGTTCCAGAGAGTCCCTGAATCTTAGACACATTCCTCCTTCTTGCCCACATTGTGTAGCAGCAACCTGTTTTGTTTTTTTTTTCTACCTCCTCCCCCAACTTTTTTTTTTTTTTTTGAGAGAAGGGAAGAAAATGGTCATTTGTACAAAAGATATTTTCATCTTATTAGGCAAAAGAATGCAATTGTTTTAATTGTTGCATGGAATTGAAAATATATGTGGAAAGTTAAATATGGATGCTGAGTGTGCAAAATGGTGGATTGTACTGAGTATTGGGATATTATGCTATTATCCTTGAAACCACCTAAGCAAAATCACAAGAGAAACCTGACATAATTGACTTCATCTTGCTTCTAACCTCCACACTTTCCTTGGTCATTCCTAGGCGTGGGCCAAGTAAACTTTGAAAGAAATTTAGTCTGTAGTTTAAATAATAACAGCCCTTCCCCAAAACTAAACCATCCTTTTAAAACTAATGAGAGGCCACCGGGTTAGGAGGATGAGAGGGAAACTACTGCTGCCATTGTTCCAGAGGTCACAAGATTTGCAACTTCCCCAATTACACCTGTCAAAAACATCACTATTGTAGAACCTAAGATTGGCCATTTGAGATGTCTTTTCAGGCCTTTGCATTTCTGCCTACCAGGTGGCCCCGCTGGGACCAGCAACTCCTCTGGTGGTTCCTCCTTAGGAGCTCACTCAGCACACAAGGACTGGTTTTCACACCCCTACGATTGCACCCCCAACCAGTCAGCATTCTTCCTTCCCTAGTCTCCTGCCCATCAAACTATCCTTGAAAAACCTTAGCCTCTGAATTTTCAGTGGGATTGACTTGAGTATTAACTCCACATTCCAGGTAATGTGGCAGGCCGTGCATCAATTAAACTCTTCCTTTACTGCAATGCCATAGTCTCAGTGAATTGATTTTGTGCAGCAGGCAGGAAGGACCTGATGGGTAATTACATCCTCCTCCTCAAACTACCTCTCTATTCTCTGCTCTGTGATGCTGGGGGTGAACTGCAAACTACACTTGGTTGCCAGCAAGCTTTCTGTCAATTTATGCTGACAGGGGGTGCTAGGGAGACAGTGGAAGGCAGGAGGCTTAGAAGGGCTTGTTGCTTCCTAGATCTTATTGTCCTACCAAGTTTGTCCCAGTAAGGACCCTTCCCTTTGGAAGGATTTTTGGATTTTAATAGCAACTGGTTCTATTTCCAGATATCTTCCTTAATGCCATAATTGGCTTCTACGTGATTTTCAGAAATATCAGCACCAGCCTAGAGGCACCGCTCTTTCCTCAGAATTCTGGGTCCCAATTCTGTGATCCCTTGTCTGAGAGACTGAGGCTCCAAAAGCTGTTCAGAAGCACTTCTCCTCAGAGGTCTAGGTCCCAGCTCAGCAAAGCCTTCTCCAAGCTCAAAACGTTCCAGCCCCAGCCAGACAGTATCTCACCTAGGACATCTCAGACTCAGTTCATAGGACTCCTCAGCCAGTGCTGTAGGTTCTAATCCCAACCTCACCCCTCTTTTCCCAGCTCTTGGAGTAATGTCTCTGTGGCTCCTCACCAGTTCCTTTAAGTCTTCTGGTCCTCTCATACCTGTTTAACCAATATCCTGTATTAAATTCTCTCTGGTTGAAAAAAAAAAAAAACAAAAACCAAAAAAAACACCTATTTTGCTTGCTGTGGAAAACAGAAACTTGATTTTGACTCCAAGCTCCAGTATGAAAGCTCATTCGTTAAAGCAATATTTAATCAGAAACACAGCTCAGTTGTACTGAATTGTCCTTACTGACACTAAAATGCATCATAATTTTTTCCAGTATTCTCTTTGGAAATTAAACTGAGCCCTGTGATATTCCCTATTCCTTGGGCAATTACGTTAGTAGAAATTATGGGTCAGCAGATGAACTTGTTCTTGGATTGTGGACATCAGATGGATGATTCACTTTTTTTCTTAGAACCAAATAGATTTCTAACAATAATGTAAGTTTGATATTATATTGAGTTTTTAAAAAGGAAAAACAGTGAGATGTTACCTCAATTCAGTACCATCCGAATTTACTTTTCTTTTTTTCATCAAATTTTATTTTAAGTTCCAGGGTCTATGTGCAGGATGTGCAGATGTGTTACATAGGTAAATGTGTGCCATGGTGATTTGCTGCACAGATCAACTCATCACCTAGGTGTTAAGCCCAGCCTCCATTAGCTATTATTCCTGAGGCTCTGTCTCCCCATGCACCCCCGACAGGCCCCAGTGTGTTGTTCCCCCCACTCCCGATGTTTCTATGTGTTCTTATCATTCAGCTCCCACTTATAAGTGAGAACATGCAGTGTTTGGTTTTCTGTTCCTGCATTAGTTTGCTGAAGATAATGGCTTCCAGCATCATCCATGTCCCTGCAAAAGATATGAATCTCATTCCTTTTTATGGCTGCATCGTATTCCATGTTGTAAATGTACCACATTTTCTTTATTCTATCTATCATTGATGGTTATTTGAGTAGATTCCATGTCTTTGCTATTATGGATAGAGCTGCAATGAACATGTGTGCATGTATCTTTATAATAGAATGATTTATATTTTGGGGGATATATATTCAGTAATGGGGTTGTTGGGTCAAATGGTATTTCTGCTTCTAAGTCTTTGAGGAATTGTCACACTGTCTTCCACAATGGTTTAACTAATTTACATTCCCACCAACAGTGTAGAAGTGTTCCTTTTTCTCCACAACCTTGCCAGCATCTGTTGTTTCTTGACTTTTAAATAACCACCATTTTGGCTGGCATGAAATGTTATAGCATTGTGGTTTTGATTTGCAGTTCTCTAATGATCAGTGATGTTGAGCCTTTTTTCATGTTTGTTGGCTGCATGAATGTCTTCTTTTGAGAAGTGTCTGTTCATTAGACCATTACTTCAAAGAATAATGAAAGCTAGGAGTGCTGAACTCAGGGATCTAAAGGAAAAGGATCATGAGATGACCAAGTTGAGTTTCCTGGAAATGAATGAGTGTGCTCTAAGTTAGTGACTCATTGAAACGAATCTATATTACTGTGAAAGGAAATTAAATTTTGGGACCCCAAACTCATTTAGCCAAAGGGAAAAGCCAAGCTGGAAACTGGGTCATGAAAACCTGCCTCCTGCTTTTAGTTCCTAAATAAGATGGCTACAAAATGAAAAGCTACACGACTCCCCCATATTTTGCCCACAAGGAAATGCCTATTGAGCTGTTAAAATTTTACCATGGCAATGCAAATTGATAGCTCATCTTTACAGGTGCAGTCACCCTGGCCCACCAGACACAAATGCATATCTGATTATTCCCCTGCCCCATTTTGTCTATGTTATCTTATGTAAAAATGCAGATTCACTGAGCCAGACAAAGGCATGAATGACTATTTTCTCTACCCCCATCCCACATAAAACTTGTGTGCTTTTCAATATCCCGTCCTTTCCTGTTTAAATTTGGAGCCCTCAAAATCATCTTTGGAGAAAGGCATAGACCTGTCTCCCAGGTGCATCCTTTACTTTGTCAAATAAATCTCCTAAAATGATTGAGACTTGTCTTATCATTTTTCTCCATTGACATTACTGTACTGGTTGTCCCATCCCTCCAAGTTCTTTATATTCTGAGGAGAATATTTAGACAGCTTTGTATTGATAATATTTGTTGTGGGAAGTCAGGGACCCCGAACGGAGGGACCGGCTGGAGCCATGGCAGAGGAGCATAAATTGTGAAGATTTTATTTTAATATGGACATTTATCAGTTCCCAAATAATACTTTTATAATTTCTTACACCTGTCTTACTTTAATCTCTTAATCCTGTTATCTTCGTAAGATGAGGATTTACGTCACCTGAGGACCACTGTGATAATTGTGTTAGCTGTACAAATTAATTGTAAAACATGTGTGTTTGAACAATATGAAATCAGTGTACCTTGAAAAAAAACAGAATAACAGCAATTTTTAGGGAACAAAGGAAGACAACCATAAGGTCTGACTGCCTGCAGGGTAGGGCAAAAAGAGCCATATTTTTCTTCTTGCACAGAGCATGTCTTCTTAAACAGACATGCAAGTAGGAAAGATATCGCTAAATTCTTTTCCTAGCAAGGAATATTAACATTAATACCCTAGGAAAGGAATGCATTCCTGGGGGGAGGTCTATGTGCACCGCTGAACATAGACCCTTATCAGTAGTTCTGCTTTTGCCGTTTGTCCTGTTCCCTCAGAAGCATGTGATCTTTGTTCTGTTTTTGCCCTTTGAAGCCTGTGATCTTTGTATCTACTCTCTGTTATTACACCCCCTCCCCTTTTGAAACACTTAATAAAAAAACTTGCTGGTTTGAGGCTCAGGTGGGTATCACAGTCCTACTGATATGTGATGTCACCCCCGGCGGCCCAGCTGTAAAATTCCTCTCTTTGTACTCTTTCTCTTTATTTCTCAGCTGGCTGACACTTATGGAAAATAGAACCCACGTTGAAATATTGGGGGTGGGTTCCTCTGATAAATATTATGTCTACAGCACACAGAGCTTTATTTTTTATCATTCAACTTAATTTCTGACTCCACCTTCAGTTGTTCCTGATTCTTACCCCATAGGATTGTGACACATTCCAAATATCTTATGTTAATGCCAAGCATCTTAGTCCATTTTGTGTTGCTATAGAGGATGACCTGAAGCTGGGTAACTTGTAAAGAAAATGTTTATTTGGCTCACAATTCTGATGTCTGGAGAAGTTCAAGACTGGCCATCTCATGAGGGCCTGAGGCTGCTTCCACTCATGGTAAAAAGCAAAAAGGAGTTAGTGTGTGTAGAGAAAGAGAGAAAGAGCGAGTGAGAAAAAGTGGGGGAGGAACAACAGAGATGCCAGGCTTTTCATAACAAGAAGCTCTCTCTTGAGAACTCACAGAGTGAGAACTAACTCACCTCACCCTTGGGAGGGCATTAATGTATTCCTGAAAGATCCACCCCTAGGACCCAAACACCTCCCATAAGGCACCACCTTCAACAACGAGGATCAAATTTCAACATGAGGTTTGCAGGGGACAAACATCCAAACTCTAGCACCAAACATGACAGTCAGAAAATGTGCTCAACTGTTGGTCCACAGATTACCAAAGAGGTCTGTAGTGCCTGGTGGTGTGGCCCATTCAAGCTCCCTGCAGTGCTCTTGGGCCACAGAAGTCTCTAATGAGGCAGCCGGAGAGGGCCATGGACCTTCCACTGGAGCACTTCTATCAAGGCTGGCTCTCCATGGCTCTGTCTGGACACACAGAGATACCGCTCATGTCTCCTCCCTAGCCTCAGAGAACGTCTTTACGTTGTATGTGTGCAGTCTTTAAAGTTTCATTTTTTGTGTGGAGTCCTCAAAAATGTATCAGTTCTCTCTATTCTAGATTATCAGAGTTATAAGAGCCAGTAAAGTTGAATCCCATCATTCATCACATGCTTCAATTGTATGTATTATACTAATATAAACATTGAAAAATAAATCTCTGATGTGAGAACCTTGTGACACCTTTGAGGTAAGTGTTTCTCTAACTGGAGTGATTCAACATCAGTGGTTTAGGTTTTTTTTTTAACTATTACTTAAGTGAGCACTGAAAATGTTAATCTGGATTTCAAATGTGTTTCTGAGAACCACATGAGACTTCAGGGTTTGAGTTTGCATTTGTTTTCATTAATCATATTTGCCACTATTGCTTTTTTTAGTTTTAACACACATGAGTTTGTTAGTTAATGTTGCTTAATTTTGGAGCATTTATGATGGAGAAAATTTCATAAAGTGAGTTTATAAAGAAAGATGAATTTTGTTTCTAGTATTTAAATGATTAGAAAATGAGGAGTTTAAGATGTCTTACCTAACAATGCATAATATTTTAACCAAGTAATCTCCATTCTCTGCCAACTGAAACAAGTTTTATAATGTTTATAGTAACAGATCATTGGTCTTCTTGAACACCCCAAAACTGATTTCTATCACATCGTTAGGGGCTTGGCTTTAAAACCATGACTCATATAACAATTTATAATTACAAAAATAATTATGAGAAATCCACAAGAATTTTACAAGATTGCAATACATCCATCACCAACAACAAGCGTTAAGGTGAGACTTTCTACATTCTCTGAGACTTATGTAGTCATACAGGGTTGCAGCCAGTGTAAAACTAAAAGCAACAACTTAATGAATCCATTCTCAACATTTATATCACTTCCTGCTTGGATTTTGCAGTTGTCTGAAGCAGCACTGCATCTTGTGGATATGGAGAAGGGAACACAGAACAGCAGGTCACAGTGCTCCCTCATGTTTTGTTTATCACTGCAGCTCTGAGCTGTTAACAGCTGTCAGCCCAGGGAGGGGCCTGGCGGCAGCTGGGACACCTCTCAGACCCACTGCAAGGTGCAGTAAATTGGTGGTGAAGTAGCATCCTCAGCAGAGACTGGCTCATGTGAACTGGAATAATTGGTACAAACAGGCTTTTGGTGACAAGCTACTCCACTTAGAGGAATAAACTACCTGCCTTTCACACTGCATGAAGTTATTTTCCTCCCTGGCTGAAACATCTCTAATCCCATTTCCAGACTCTGTCAATCTAATTATTTCTAGCATATACATAGAAGTGGATCAGAACTCTGGTTAGGTTCTGATGCTGAATTTTTGTGGTATTTCATTCCTAAATCTTGTATCAGAGGGTTTCTTGGATCAGCTGTTCCAATATAATCTATTAATCAATGTTTTCTCTTACCTTTTGTTAACATTTTAATGATTTTATTCTTGTCCAAGAATGTGCTTCAATTTCCTCCTTCCACCCTCTGTTTTTATCTTCTGTTAATGACAAATTTCCATTTCTTTACCTGAAATATAGTGGTAGTTGGATTAAATACTAATGGATTTTATGACCTTGTCAATAACAAAAATCATTCAATAGGAATTTGGTTTTCTAAGATATTCTAGTATCCTAGAGTGATTTACTTTAAGAATCGGACACCAGATTTAGCCTTTGTGGAAATAATCCTTGGGAAAATATTCTTATATGTTTACTATAAAAAAGTTCTAAAGCTTGAGCTATCCTAGCCATGTTCTCTTGCCTGCTAATTCATATGCAGTTTAGGCCTCAGAAAACATATAATAAACTTTACTTCCCAAAATACAATTTTGAATAGTTTTGAATTAGTGTCTTGATATATGATAGGTACTTTTTATTATATAGGATAGGTTACATCAATAAGGTAGAAAATTAGGTGCCATTCACCTACGTAAGGGGAAAATCAAAGCAAGTTGAAAATATATACATTTACAAGATTTGAAACTGTTCTCACATTTCCAGACCATTTAATTTATTTTACTTCTTCCAGGACAAATTTTTTCAGCATTTCCCTCTTACCATAACAATATAAGTTCGTCTCGGGTAAAGCTCTGGGTCATCCTAAGTGCGTTTGCTGCTTTAGTAGGCAACTAGGGATGGCCCAGGGGCAGCTTATTTGTGTTCACATCTTCCTTGCATGCTACCTCGATCCTGGCTGCGTGGACTGTGTGGCCCAACGTGTGTCTCCCGTTGCACGCAGGTTGCCCCTGGTTGCCCACCTGTGAGCAGATTGTGGGCAGCTGGATGGCCCCCGATGTCCTCTCTCTTTTATTGGACTTGACACTGTTTAAAGTTTTCCTTTTATTCTCTTAAACATTTTTCACCCGCTGTAAGCAAATACCTCTCTCCATTCTACATCACCCCTGCCAGAACCTGTCATAAAGATTTAGAGAAAAGATGGAATTTCAATGTTGCGAGACCACAAGCACCCTGCTCCTGCCCAGTGATTTCACAGAGCTGCTTTGACACAGTGCAAACCTAACAAGCCTAACAAGGGGAAGCTACTGCTTTCTGAAAAGCTGGTGATTTTCTCCTAGAGAGATCTCAGCAGTCCTATACAAATTAAAAGACAAACACCTTCTTCTTTAGAACCTTACAGAGTGATGACTATACGTTTATAGGCAAACACAAAAGTCATTTTACTTTTTAACATAACATCTAAGCCCCAGTGTTTGGGAAATGATCCATGCTTTACTAAAAAACAAGTGTCAGTGCATTTAGGTAAAGGATAATAAAGTTTAATTTTAGAGTGTACACATTTTGAATTAAGTTTTAATAATATAACCAAAATTGAGATAGGGCTTCTTAATACCAACCAGTTTGCAAGTTAAAGGTCAATTTTCAATATGATCCGAGCTAAAAAATTTCCATTCTAAATGCCATGTAAATACAATATATTTTGATCTTCGTTCTATAACCACCTTATAATATGCTAAGGGAATTATTAGTGCTATTTCCAGGCACATTACTAAATCAATCACAGCAGTACACACAGTGAGAGACAAGAGCCCAGAACCTTAATATACACAAAAACAGAAAATAAATATTTTAATATTCATAAAAATATGAAGGCATGTGCCAAGCAATATTTCTGACTATTTTATGTTAATGGAATGCCTGCTTCTAACTTACTATGACATAATTTTAAATGTATAATTTTATATCAGATAAGTAAAATATTTATTTGTGATATACAGAAATAAAGCATACAATAAAATGTTAGTATCTGCTTTCATTTTGGATCTAACATAATCATTTTTCTGAAATGGTCAAGTCAGCTTCAAAGTAATTTTCATAGGTTTCAAATACTTAATAGTAATTATCCTGCCTACAAGATATATTGTGTTGCCTGTATGGAAAATGCTCAAATACAATTTTTCCTTGTGTGTTTTCATTTGAACGGACAGCCAATAAAGGCGAAACTACAAAAATGTCATGTCCCTAATATGAGGTTTTCTAGTACAGAGATGTGTCTTCAAAAATATAAGTCATCTTGATGAAAATGGCATTCATGTTCTTAATAGCAATCGTTTACTTAAGAAGTATCCTTGAAGCTGAGTCTTGGTATAGCTTTTCCCTGACACACAACAAATCACACACATCAATCAGAATGATATTAGAAGCATTTCGGTCTTTTATTCAATTTCTCTATATAAGACTACCAAGGAGGGAGGGGTATGTGTCTGTTGCTGGAAGTGTTTAAATCTTCTCTTCTTTTGCAGCCCAGCTCACCATCTTCCCACAGGCGACAGCTGCTTCAGGTGCTCTTACTGCCACCCTCACCTCAAACCTCACTACGCTTTGCTACATTTTATAATCACTCTCTAAGCCTCCCTTTAGCCTGTCTATTTTCCTTGGATTCTATCTGTAGACTCCTGCCTGGTTCCTTCACATCAACCTATAGTTCCAGATCCAAAATGCCATTCAGAATTTGAATCTCTAAGCTTGAAATGAGGAAGGGATATGAGAATGCTTTATATTGTATATGTATGTTTTCTATAATACAAATAGTTTGCTTTTGACCATGTGTCACACAAACATGTATTCCTTCCCTGACGCACTTCCTTTCCCCCAAAATAGATCACCCGTTCCTCAGCTCCCAGACTGGTACACACACATGACAGCCACCCCTTACATTGGGTAATGATGCTGCCCAATGTAAGGTAATTGTAATACATTTTACCCCAGTAATTCTCCACTGGTGATGCTATTAACCTCAAAGAGCATTTGGCAATCTTTGTGTCTGGTTTGTTCATTGGTAGGTTTTTATCCACAAAAGTTAAAAATTAAAAAAAAATTTAAAAAGATATAAGCAAAATAAAATACTGTCACTCTGGGTTTCCTTTCCAGTAGTCTAAACATGGTCATCATCTTTGAACAGAAAATTCTGCCCACCTCACTGAAGGTGATATAACACATAAAACCAACCCAATGAAACACCACATAGAGAATTTCCAAACAGGGCTGGGGGTGAGGGAATCTAAATCTCTCAATGTATTAGTTCCTCAGGGCTGCTGTAGCACGGTATCAAACACCAGGTGGCTTAAAACAGTAACTATATTTTCTCATAGTTCTGGAGACCAGGTGTCTGAATTCAAAGTGTCAACAGGGCCATGCTCTCTCTGAAGCCTCTAAAAGAGAATCCTTCCTCACCTCCCCTAATTCCCAGTGGTGGCCATCAACCTTGGCTTGTAGATGCAGCTCTCTAGTCACATGGCCATCTCTTCCCTCTGTGTCTTACTTTGCCTTCCCTGCGTGTGTCTGCCTCTGTGTCTAAATTTTCCCTCTTTGTTAGGACGCCAGTCATAGTGGATTAGGGCCCAACCTAATGACCTCATTTTAATGTGATGGCCTCTGGAAAGACCCTATTTCCAAATAAGGTTGCATTGTGAGATACTGAGGGTCAGAAATTCAATACATCATTTTTGGATACTTTTTATCTAAAAAAAAAAGTTTCTATTTTTAAATAGAAAATCTTATACCTTTTTCAATTACATTTTAAATTATTTTATTTATTATTGGAAGGTCAATAATTTTTAACTGATCTCAGAAGACAAAACTTACACAATATTCTTTTGTCCTATCTGACTTCATTGTGTACAGGGATTGAGGGAATCCCTGCAAAAAGCAAAAATTACCAAAATAAATAAATAAATAAAGTCACATTCCAGCTGTGAGATTTAATCTTATGTTTCAACTTGACTAGGCTAAGGCTGTCTGACTGCTGGTAAAACATGATTTCCGGGTGTGTCTGTGAGAGTGTTTCTGGAAGAGATTTACACACCGTCACGAATGTGGGTGGGACTGTCCAGTCCATTGAGGGCCCAGATAGAACAAAAAGGGAGAAGAAAGGTGAATTTTCTCTCTCTTCTTGAGCTGAGACATCATCTTCTCCTGCCCTGGGATATTGTGTCCTCTGGTTCTCAGGCTTTTAAACTCGAACTAAATTATATTACCAGCTTTCCAAGGTCTCCAGCTTCCAGACAGCATATTATGAGATTTGGCCTCCATAATTGCATGAGCTAATTCCTATAATAAAGTCATCCTCTCAGCTCCCTCTTTCTATCTCTCGCTCTGTCTCTCTCTCACTCTCAATTTTATTTTAATTATATAAATATAATTAACATAAATATATATTATCATACATAATTAATTATATAACTTTATACATATATATAGAATTGAGAGTTTTCCAGATCTTTGAAATAAACAAATCCACAGGTTCAAAAAGCCCAGTGAATTACAGACAGAATAGTAAAAATCAGGACGTATTTTTAATACAATCAAAGACAAAGAATAACTTACATATATTTTCTGGTTTTATCCATCTGTTTAATATTTTTTGCTCTTTAGCTCATTGATTTTCTTCTTAAAGATAATGTGTTTAGTTTGCTAATTGAATGTCTTCATTTCAGCATTCTGAAGAATTACTGAATCAAAAATTTTATGCTGTCAATCTGGATATTTTCCTTTCATAGAAAATGAATGGCTTATCTTACTCTACCTTCATTTTCTAAACCTACATCTAAAATGACATTGTCGATTTTGTCTAGAATTGTAAACTATACAATTGTGATAACAACATGAATGATTTTGTTAAGATTGTTGCCTTTCGCCATTCTATTTTGTCATTTTAATTGATGAGAAAATCTTTGATATTTATGATTTCCACAGCCATGACTGATCTGTTTTCTTGTATTATATTAGTAATTTTGACACCTTTCAAATGGCTCAGACTTCAAGTACTATTTTCAGGAACTACCCCTAGAAGCTAAGTTTTATGAATCCTAAATATCTGTGATGGGCATGGACATTTGGGGTCAAATATTTTCCACTCCGCAACTGTGGATATCACATTATCTTTCTGGTCTGTTACATAACTATGAAGAAATCTATAGCCACTTTAAATTTGTACCACTCTGTTGGTTCTATTTTTTTAAATATGAATGCCAGTAAAATGATCACCCAATTACAACCAGGTGCAAATAATTTCTTTATTTTGTCTTCAACCTTGATAAGCCCCCTGCTTCTAAAAATTCAGAAGGTAATGTTTTTCTCACCATAAAATCCTTTGGTTCCTCCATATACTTGATTGATTACATCTTTTCCTTCAGTTGTTTCATTTTCTCCTTGTATATCATAGAAGGATAAATTATACATCCAAGATCTTTTCTCCTATCTTACAACTTTCATCTACTTATTCTTTTCTCTCCTTTTTGTGATTGGTTCACAAATATGTTCTTTAGATAACTAATTCAATTTTTGATATGTCAGACCTGTTCTTTAAAGCTTTCCACTTTTTTTTTTTTTTTTGGCTTGGTTTTTTACCATTGCCAACATTTTTCATGCCAGCTATTCTCAATTTTGCTTTTTGCTTTTACAGTCTTTATAATGACCTACACTTTTATCACAGATAATTTTCCTTACTGAGAACATGAAGAAACTACATTAAAGTCAATTTCAGAAATATGCATTTCTCCTCTGTTCTTGGCATATGCTCTTATTTCTTTCTGGGGCCAATTAGATTTTTCTCTGTTTACTCAACAATACAAAAAGACACGTATTTTGATGGTTGACTACTCTCTTGTCCTTCTCCCACAGCATCTTTCCAGACAACAGCAGCATGCTATAGAGAGAACAGTGGAGCGAAGATGATGCATAAGTTTTTTTTATTTTTTACAATGATCTCTTTGCTGGGACCACGCAGCAAGAAAAAAAAAATGACCAGCAAAAGCCGTGCCCAAGAGAATCTTAAGAAATCTCCAAGTTCAATACATTTCTGTTTATCTGTCTTGCAGACCATTTCCTCATTAGTTCAGGCATTTTTCTCTACATGAATCCTCCAGAAATGTGCCTCAATTCTTCCTTCTCTTGTGGTTGCAAAATCACAAATTCATTCCTTTCAATCACTGCATCATTTTCACATTTAAAAGTATCTTGTTGAGTGAGTCTTTTCCACCATATCTAATGACTCAGGTATTCTATTTTTACAAACAAAATATAGTATGCACTTATGTCCCCAAATATGCAAGACCAAATGGTGTGCCTCTCACATCTATATGGCTTGACATAACAATTTTTTTACCTGATATTACAATAAGGTTTCTAATGTGACCAGGATGGCTCAGCAACGGTTTTGTCCTTGGGATAGTTAGGATGCCTGGATTACTGTAGGCACTGGAAAAGTTGAAAAAACTTTGAGTAGAGCAAATCTCTTTGAGATAATTGAAATGAATTTATTAGTTTGAAAGATAGGCAAAATGTTTGAAAGACAAAAATAAATTAGGTTTTAATTTCAGAAATAAATTAGGAGACCTGAAAACAAGAAAGATTAATTTCTTCAATTAAAATAGAACATGTACTATGTGCCTACATCATAATAAGTGTAACATTTGGATGTGGATATAGCTGTGGTTATGGTTTTCTTGCCTACTGAGAAGGTATGCTGACCTTAAGACAAACGGGATTTTGAGAAAAGGTTTTCTCCAATAATTTATATATACAAATGTTATTCAAGACAAACATTTTACTATTTTCCTTAACCTACATTGAATATGGCTGGCTATAGATTAAAAAACAAAGTGACCCTAGAAATCAACTCACAAGCATTTGATAACTTTTCTCATCAAGGAAAATGTAAGCATCTATGGTAAGGCACCTAAAAACCCCCAGTTTCTAGCTCTGAACCTCTTTATGCTCTTTCCATAAGGTCTTTTGGTTTCACTCTAATAACTGAAACCACAGGAGGGTTTTGAGGAGAGGCGTGGTGTGAACAGGTCTGCTCTGAAGTCAGGCAATGGAATTTGCTGCTGAAAAGTTCAGAGGCTGTTGCAATAATAGAACTGAGAGATGATCATGGCTTGACTAGGATGGTAGCAGTGAATGTAGAATTAAATAGACAGATTCTGTATGTACATTGAAGGTGGTTTACTGATAGCATTATATGGAAGAGGTGAGAGAAAGAGATTTGTTGGTGATGAGTCCAGTAACTTTTCTTGAGCAACAGAAAGAACATAGTTATCATTTACTGAGATGAGGAAGGCCATGTGAAGGACAGGTTGGGAAGAAAAATCAGGATTTTAGTTTTGAGTTGTTTAGGTTCAAGATGTCCATTTAATATCAAGGGGAAATGTTGAGAGGTCAGTTGGATACAATGTTTGGAATTTAGAGGAAAGCTCTGGACCAGAGATATACATTTAGGTATCATTAAAATATAGATGGAATTCGAAGTTCGAAGACTGGATGAGATGAGCCAGGATATGAGTCTAGCGAGGGAAAAGAAGTCTGAAAATTGAGCCCTTAGACTCTACAACTTTAAGATGTTAGATAATGAGAAAGAAATCCAAGGGAGACTGATCATCTGAAAGTCCAATGAGGAGAGGTTTGCAAGAAGTGATTAATGGTCATATGCTGACGATGGCTTAAATTTAAAAACAAACAAACAAAAACAAAACAAAAAACCAGACCAAGAACTGATCATTGGCTTTGGCACAATGAGATTATTGATAACATCTGTAACAACTCTTTGGGTGAAGCTATGGAAGTGAAAGCATACTTGGAAGGGAACTGGAGACATGTAATATCGACAAGTCTTTTGACAAACATCACTAACGAGATGGAACATAAAGACAAAGTTATAGCTGTAGATGGACCTAGGAGTTAATTATAGTTACTAAGGTGTACAAACGAAAGGTTGTCCTTAGAGGGGCACTGACAGTCAGTCCTTGGAATGTGCGGTGTATTTGCCTACATGCAGAGATATTGGTGTACATCGTGGTGAGAATGAGTGGAGAATTTATTCTGAAATTTTCTATTTTCTGTAGCAGCTGAGAATGAAGATTGGGAAGGATGTATGAGAGATTTGAATAAAATTAGAATAAGTATGAAATAGTGTGTAGTGCATCAGTCATCTGTTGTCACCTAAAAAACCACCTTAAAATCCAATGGCTTTAAAAAGATGATGAATTCCACTTTAGTTAACAAGCTCATTGTCTCTGTTTCATATGCTATCAGCTGGGGATGCTAGATTAGAGACTAGAGGACCCAATGTCAAGGTGGCTTGCTCACATGGTGCATAAGTGGGTATCGGAGCTGTCAGTGAGTCAGGTGCCCAGCCAAGATGTGTGCCCCAGGCCTTAGCTCTTATGTACATGAGCCTCTCCATAGCTGCTTGGGTTTCTCTGAGACATAACAGCTAGATGCTAAGAGCAAGCATCTCAAGAAGAGCAGGCAGAACCTGCATCACCTCTAATGGCTTAGTCTGAGATGTCGCATGACATCAATTTGTCCACCATCTATTGATTAAGGCAGTCATAAAGTTTCACCTAGGTTAAAAGGAAGGTTCAATTCCATCCCCAATTCTATTGGAAGGGTATAAAGTACACATTTCAAGAAGAAAATATGATGGGATATATTGTTGCTGCCATCATTGAATAAAATGATCTGTCATCAAAAAGTCATCTAGAAGAGTAGGAGAATAAATAGACCTGGGAAATGAGATATGATTGCTAGATGGTTCTAATAATCCAACTAAGATTGTCACAAATTGAAAGAATCTAAATGTAAGTATGTGTTTTGCTATCCACATTCAGGTATGAGAATACTCATTTGAAGCAGATAAAGATGCAAAATTTAAGTAGCCTTTAGATTTTCATAAGCAAAGTGATGAAAGATGCTCATGCGAAAGCATAGAACATCCAAGCTCAATAAAGAGGGAAGGAAGATCATAAAGAAGATGAGGGGCTGGAACAAGGAATAGTGAACAATGGATCATAGATCTCACAGAGACAAAACGTTGTTGTGTTTGAGATATTAGAATTAGCTGGCAGTGTTGATTTGAGAGTAAGATGCTTAAAATTGAAATTAAAAAGGGACAAATAGTATTGATAATGACAGTATGTATGTAAGCTATGACTATGATAGTGAGTAATTTAAATTGAGAGGAAGTCAAGAGAATAAGAGGCTGGGATTTTACTGGGATAATATACATGAGTATAGAAAACACCAAAAATAATACAGGATACAATAACCATGAGTCAAGTGTTAGAATCTTTATGTAAGAAGGAGTAAACCAGAAGTCTGTAGGTGACTCTTATTAACCCCAGCTTGCACAAGGAGTGATTGAAGCACAGAGACATTAGTAACTTGCCCTAAAAGAAGTAGAGCCTAGATTGGATTCCAGAAAGTAGCTCAGCTCCAGAACCTGCACTCTTAGCTTTCAGCTCCCCAAGAACAAGAGGATAAAGTGTGATATAAACCCAATCACCACTTTCTTTCAAGAGTAGCTTTTATCAAATTAAAAAAGGAGAATATTATTGGTAATGACAACCTATAAGCTACGACTATGGTTGTGAGTAGTTTCACAGGGAACTCTATAATATGGTATTTACACCTGAGTCTATACAAACTGACTTTTAAAAATCCATTAGCTTGATGCTGTGGCACCATATTTACATTCTAAAATATTAAATGACTTAGAGATTATTTTAGTCATTTAACAGACTATTCTTCAGTGTCAGTAGAATATATTTACTCATAACCATATTAGCCAATTGTATTGTAGAGAGTACCATATAAATGATTGCACACGTCCACCTGTGTTGTTGTGAAGGAATGTCTGAGACTGGGTAAATTATAAAGCAAAACATCTATTTGGCTCACAACTCTGCTGTTTGGAAGATTAGGCCTCTGGTGAAGGCCCCAGGCTGCTTCCGTTTATGGTGCAAGGAGAAGAGGGGCTGGCATGCACAGAGATCACATGATGAGAGAGGAGCTAAAGAGATGGGGAAGCTGCCACACTCAACTCAATAACCAGCTCTGGAGGGAATTAACATAGTGAGAACTTGCTCACTTGTGCTTCCCAGAGGGGGGATTAATTTATTCATGAGGGAACCTTCCTCATGACCCAGACACCTCCCATTAGAACCCACCTCCAACACTGGGGATCCAATTTCAACAGGAGATTTGAAGAAGTCAAACCAACCATGTCCACAGTATAGCCACACCCATTTGTATATAGAAATGGCTGTGTTTACATTTATAGGTGTGTTTATGTGTGCCAAAACTTATGTATCTCTACAAACACAGTGAAAAGGTTGGGCTTGCTCAAGTAATGATAGGGTCAACAAAAAGGCACGTGGCCCTAGCTGGGGGCCTGGACATGCTCCTCTAGCAGTAAGACCCAGGTTGCCGACTGCCCGTTATGTTGTTCTGTGTTTTCTTATAACAAGCCAGACTCTGCTCACATTTATTTGATTCAAAGTACAGTGTAGATCTGGAAAAACAGAAATACGAAGGTAGTAATGTAAAGACTGCAAGTATAATTTTTAAAAATCTTTCTGGGTATAAAGTTCTATGAGTATTTAATTGATTTAATCCAAATAGCAAAGACCTCTTTCCTTATAATAGTTAACCTTTCAAAACCCTGCACATTTCTAAGAATAAGAAGTGTTTGGTGAGTGCTATAAGAAGTAGCTCAAAAATAGATAGAAACACAGAAACAAGCTCACCTGGCAGAATATTACATTTTTCCCCAAAAAACTTTATAGAAATACCACGTCTTCTTTGCCTTGTGTTTTTCTGTTGAAACCAAAGATTGCAAGATGTCATGTTTGCACCCAATTTTAGAGCACTGTAATGTCAAGTAGACTCCATTTTACATGAGATTCCAAAACCGTGTGCTGTTTTTTATATTCATCTTTCTTCTTTGTAACACAATTAAAAGCATCCTGCTTTCTTCACAGTAATCAGAACATGAAATATTACCTTGTGCTCCAAATGCAACCCCTGGGGGTGTTTAACATGTCTCTACAAGACTCTTGGGAATTCTGCACAAATGTTGGAAAAATGCATGCTGGCAATGTCATTAAAAAGGAAGAAAACAGATGGTTCTTTGGCTTGAATTTATGCCGGCAGTTTTATGTGTTCAGGACAAGTTTGATTAAACAATAATTTCAGTAGGATTTTAGCTAACAAATAACTGTCCAACCATTGTCTGTTTCAGAAAAAGTAGTTCTGGCTTTTTTCCCCCTTTTCCCCTAGCCTGGTGAAAATATTTGACATTTTCAATCCTAAAATAGCAAAACTTGAGGAGTTTGCTTTTCTCTGTCATAATGTCATAAATTCTAATCATCTGTGACATAGGAAAGCAGCATAGCACTGTGGTTAGAAGTGTGTGCTTTGGGATACGCAGGGTGAGTTCAAATCCTTGGACAATTAACCCTTCTGTTGCCTCAGTTGCCTTATTGTTTACCATGAGGCATAATAACAGTATCTACTCCAAAAACCTTTTGTGAGAAGACAATGTTTGAAAAATAGTGCCCAATACCTAGGAAGCAATCAACCAAACATCAATGTCTTTACAAATATGTATGTGTTTGGAGATACAGGCACAGAGCAATGGTATATTTTCCCTAGGCTTTCTGGTTCTCTAATAATGTAGTTTAGAGTAAAGAGATGTAAAGAGATGACGAGTTTAACCTCATCTACTGGAATATTCCTCTGAATGGTTCTCCATTCTGAGACCCAGTGTCTTGTCTATAACTAAAAGCAAATGTGTCCAGTGAAAACATGAGATGATAGTGCACTGAACTTTCTCACCAGAAATGAGCTTTTAAAGATCTCTTGGTGCTTTCTTGGCCCATCTTTTGTCTCACCAGAGTATCACAATTTGAGAAGGAGAAATATAATAGAGTTAATAATTTGCTAATTATGAGTAGGGAGATGTTTTTGTGCAGCTGTATGTTTGTCTATACCCATGTAGTGTTATCAATGACCAGCTTTGTGAATGCATGTTAGAGTTTACAGTTTCAGTGGCTTGCCTTATGAAAACATGCTAATAAAATATGAGTAGCAACAAAAAGGGCTATTTTCCCCTCCTTTCCATACAACAAATAGTGGATCCTCCTGAAAATCTGTAGATCCTTCATACGAAGCGACTGTACCTGCCATATTTCTAATGGAGTCTGATTAGGAGGATGAAGGATATTATCTGCATTGTAGTCAAAAAAGTGGATCTTCCTGAGTCTTTCCCAATTTAGGTTTAGGGAAAAACCTATGTTTTTAGCTGAGTAAAATAACAAGCCAGTTTTTTCTACTTTATTTTTCCATTTTCTAAAAGCTGAGGAGGATTAGGAACTGGTGCTAGGTGAAAAGCATATTGATTTTATATAGTGTCTTAAGGCAACTAAACATGAACCCTCTTTCCAGAGCTTGAGTTCATCTTTTGTACTTACTTCTTTTGAAATGGAAATATACAACCATAAATTCTGGCCTTACTATACCAAAATAAGTGTTACACTGAAAGATTTTATATTTGCAGTGCTTCCCAGTTTTCAAAATGTTTTCAGCCATAATGCAATAGAAAAGCACATTTCTTGGAATAGTTTATATCTGGGTATTAGACTAGGCCATTACATTAAGCTATTACATTTAAAATGATGTAAAACTAATATCTTCAGAGACATAGCTAGAAATGTAGTAATGAAAACCAATATAATGGTGCAACCGGCCAGGCGCTGTGGCTGATGCCTGGAATCCCAGCACTTTGGGTGGCCAAGGTGGGTGGATCATCTGAGGTCAGGAGTTCAAGACCAGCCTGATCAACATGGTGAAACCCTGTCTCTACTAAAAATACAAAAATTAGCCCTGCATGATGGAGGGCGCCTATAATCCCAGCTACTAGGGAGGATGAGGCAGGAGAATTGCTTGAACCCGGAAGGTGGAGGTTGCATTGAGCTGAGATCATGCCATTGCTCTCCAGCCTGGACAACAGAGCAAGACTCCATCTCAAAATAAAATAAAATAAAATAAAATAAAATAAAATAAATAAAATAAAAATGGTGCAACTATTGATGCCAGAACTTGGATTTAACAGTAAGATATTTAGTATTAGCCTAAGGACAGACACCAGTGGAAAAGAGTTGAAAGTCTAGAAATATAGCTAAAAATATATTGCTTTTTTTTTTTTTTTTTTGACAAAAGCTCTAAATTCAATGCAGGAAAGGATAGTCTTTTCAACAAATGGTGCTATAAGAAAAGTTGAGAAGAAAAGAAAATGGAAGGAAGGGAGAAAGAAAGGGAGGCAGGGAGGAAAGAGGGAAGGAAACAAAGAAGGAATGAAGTCAATCAAGGCTCAAACTAGACAATAAAAAATAAAAGATAATCCATACAAACAGATCTAAAAACAGTCCTGAGAGAACATCTTTGTGGCCCCGTGATAGGCAAAGATTTCTCAGGATTCAAGTAGCACTATAAAGCGAAGGAAAAAAATAAATAAATAAATTGGACTTCATCAAAATGGAAAATTCTTCAGGAAAGACAATTAATGAAATAAAAAGGCAAGCCAAAACAAAGAGAAAATATTTATAATACGTGTGTCTAACAAAGCAAGGTGTCCAGATCATATTTTTTAAGGTCTTACAACTCAATAATAAAAAGACAAACAACCAAATTGAAGACTGGGCGTGAAGGAACTTAACTGGAATGACAATCATATAGGTGTATATTTTGGTCAAAACTCACCAAACTATACAGTTAAAAGCTTTGTCTTTTATTGTATGTAAATTATATATGCATAAAATATAAAATATATAAATCTCACTAATATTCTTCAGTTTACTAACCTCTATTCCTACTGTGAAATTGAAGTTCTAGGAGCGAATTGGGTTAAATATTTTAACAAAAACACATTTCAAAAATAAATTTGTGTTTTTTATATTAAAATTTGACTATACTTGAATAGAGATTCTACTGGCTTTATATTTTTTCACCCTTCATCATTCTCAAGTCAAAATATTTTTAATAACACTCACTACACCATATTTCCTGGGAAAGATCTCCGATCACTAGGGCATATCATTATATACTTCCCAGTTCTTTTGTCATTTGAATTGATATTTGGAAGGCTGATCTCATGACACAGAATTTTTCTAAGCTTCTCTCTTTTTGTTTACTTTTACTTTAATATTCCATAATCTGCAATAACAAAATCTGAGTAAAGAATCTATCAAATTAAGGAAACATGTGCTGCATAAAATCTATATTGCAGTGAGAAAGAGTGAATTAATCCAATGAATGATTGGACTTACATTAAGAAATACATAATTTTTAATAAGTTACATACATATTAATAGAGCACCTTTTTTTTCTTGAAACATTTTTGTTTCAATTTTCAATTACTCATGTCAAAGCCTGAAAATATTCCCTAATAGAATTAAAATATATCTGTCGAAATGTTCATGGATTTTAATTAAAGACTGCTGTTGTACCTTTAGGTAAAGAAAATATAATGATGACTTAGACAAAATGACTAAACATTCTTAAATTAATTTAAAATATTTACTTTTTTGAATTCATATTTAAAACATTTTTTATCAGTCAAAATAAAAGTGTTACCATTTTTAAATTTTAAAAAATAAAACTGAAAGCATATTAAATAGAAGTTTGACAATAGAAATGCAGATTACATTCCTACCAATTCACTAGGAAACACTTAAAAAATTTACATACCGAGAGTGCAGTGATTGTAGGACTTCACACTGGAACTCAGTGCTGCCTATCACAATGGAAGCAACACAGGGCAGAATTCAGCCGTCGCCCACAGAGGGAGCATTTAGACCAGCCCCCGGCACATGAAAAGCATTTAGACGACCAGCCCTAGCCACAGGGAATTCATCCATTCCAGTAGTGGGAACCTGAGTTCTGGGAAGGCTCACCAACATTAGCTAAAATGCCCTGGGGTCCTAAATAAATTTAAAAGGCAGTCTAGGCTAGGCCACAAGGATTGTGATTCCCAGGCATGTCCTGGTGTTTTGCTGGACTTGGAGCCAGTGGACTTGAGGTGCACGAGACCCAATGAGACATCAGCTGGTGCAGCCAAGCAAGGGTTCACATCACCCCTCCTCCAACACCAGGCAACAGAGCTTGCAGCTCCTGCAGACTCCTTCCTTCTGCTCAGGGAGAGAGGAGGGTAAAGAAGATTTTCTTGCAACTTGGATACCAGCCTTGCCTCTGAAAATGGGGTATTTTCCCTCCAGGCCTTAGCTCCCAGACAATACTTCTGGACACACCCTGGACAGAAGGAAACCTATTACCTTGAATGGAAGGGCCCAGCTGTGGCAGGATTTATCACCTGCTGACTAGAGAGTGCTTGGACCTTGAATAAACATCAATAGCAGCCAGACAGTACACACCATCGACCTTGGGTGAGAGCTGGTGCTGTGCTGGCTTCAGGTGTAATCCAGCACCTTCCCAGCTATGGTGGCTAGAAGAGACTCCTTCTACTCGGGGAAAGGATAGGAAAGAGTAAAAGGGACTTTGTTTTGCAGCTTAGGTCCATGCTCGGGCACAGTAGTGGAGAGCAGCAACCAGGCTCCTCGGGTCTTTAATTCCAGGCTTTGGCTCCTTGAATGCATTTTTGGACCCACCCTGGGCCAGAGGGGAGTCCCTGCCCTGAAAGAAGAGATTCAGGCCTGGTAGCATTTACCACAAGCTGATTGAACAGCCCTTGGGCCTTGAGTGAACATTGGTCGTAGAAAGGCAGCATTCACTATGTGCCTGGGGTGGCAGTGGCCATGGGGAGAGACTCTTTCTGCTTTAAGAAAAGAGGAAATAGTGGAAAGGACTTTATTTTGTGAGTCAGTGCCAGCTCGGCTGCAGTAGAATAGAATACCAGATAGATTCCTAAGGCTCTAACTCCAGGTCCTGGCTCCCAGATGGCATTTCTGAACCTAACCTGGGTTGTAGTAGGAGCTCATCACTCTGAAGGGAAGGACATAAGACTGCTGGACTCACCACCTGCTGACTGAAGAGCACTTGTGCCTTGATTGATGTTCAGTGGTGGCCAGGCAGTGGGTTGCTGCAGGTTTTAGGCTTTGGGTGGGACTCAGTGCTGTGCTGGCTTCTGGTTTAACCCAGTACAGTCCCAGTGGTGGTGACCACAGAGATGCTTATGTCACTCATCCCCCAGGTTCAGGGAGCTCAGCACAGAGAGAGAGAAAGAGAGAAACTGTTTGTTTGGGGGTAAAGTAAGGGGAGATAACAAGAGTCTCTGCCTGGAAATCCTGGTAATTCTCTAAGGTCTTACCCAAAACTACTGAGGCAGTACCTTCACAAGTCTGCAAGAGTCACAGTGTTACTGGACTTGGAGCAGATAAGGCCACAGTGACCAAATAATTAGACGACGACACTCAATTTACTTTGAATACTTGGAAAGCCTTCCTAAATAGGATAGGTACAAACAAGCCCAGACTGCAAAGACTACAATAAATGCCTAACTCTTCAATGCCCAAACAGCAATGAGCATTTGCAAGCATCAAGACCATGGAAAACATGACCTCACCAAACAAAGTAAAGCACCCATGACCAATCCTGAAATGACAAAGGTATGTGACAGTTCAGACAGAGAATTCAAAATACCTGTTTTGAGGAAGCTCAGTGAAATCCAAGATAACACAGAGAAGGAATTCAGAATCCTATCAGATAAATTTAACAAATAGATTGAAATAATTCTTAAAAACCAAGCAGAAATTTTGGAACTGAAAACTTTAATTGACATGCTGAAGAATACATCACAGTCTCTCAACAGCAGAACTGATCAAGCAGAAGAAAGAATTAGTGAGCTTGAAGATAGGCTGCTTGAAAATACACAGCCAGAGGACACAAAAGAAAAAAGAATTTTAAAAAATGAAGCATACCTAAGGATCTAGAAAATAGCCTCAAAAGGGCAAATCTAAGAATTATTGGCCATAAAGAGGATGTAGAGAGAGACAGAGTGGTCGAAGGTTTATTCAAATGGATAATAATGGAGAACTTTCCAAATCTGGAGAACGATATCGATATTCAAGGACAAAGAAGTTATATTAGTAAAACACCAAGAAAATTTACCTCAAGTAAGGCTACTTCAGGACATTTATAATCAAACTCCAAAAGGTCAGGACTAAAGGGAATTCATCAATCTAAAAGAAAACGACATTAAGGAACAATAGGAAATCATGTGAAGGTATAAAACTCACTGGTAAATACTAAGTACACAGACAAGCACTGAATATTAAAACACTGTAATTGTGGTGTGCAAACTATGCATATCTTGAGTAGAAAGACAGATAAATCTATCAAAAATAATTACAAAAACTTTTCAAGATATAGACAACATAATAAGACTAAATAGAACCACAAAAATTTAAAAAGCAGGAGAGATGAAGTTAAAGTGTGGAATTTGTATTAGTTTTCTCTTTGCTTGTTTGATAGTTTGTGTTTCTTCTTGCAATCAGTGTTAAGTTGTCATCAGTTTAAAATATGGGTTATAATATGTTATTTGCAACCCTCATGGTAACTTAAAATCAAAAAACATACAACAGATACACAAAAAATGAAATGCAAAAAAATTAAAACATAGTACTGTTGCAGAACTTTTCCCTAGTTCAGCTAAAAACAAGGTTCTTTGTCCCATGCCCATGAAAATTCAGGCTTGCAGACAGTTTGAATGGTAAGTGAGACAGAGTTTTGTTGGGTGAAAAGGAAGAAAAGGGGGAAACAGGGACTCTTGCTAGGCCAGAGTCCCTGCTAGAGCACTTCCCACCTGCCATTCAAATCCCAGATACCACACAGGAAGAGGAGGGCCCAGGTTCCTCCCTGCTGCAAAGGGCAGGAACCTCTGTGGCTCCACCTCAGTGCACAGGCCAGTTGGGGTTTTTTCTGGGAAGCCCCTCCCACCTGGCTATCTCAGGACCAGAGACAAAAGGGTCCTTCACAAAAAGGAAGACAGGAAAGAAAGAATGAAGGAGGAAAAGACCACAAAACAACCAGTAAGCAAATAACAGAACAGTGGAAGTAAGCACTTACTTGACAAGAATAACATTGACTAAATGGACTAAACTATCCTATCAAAACACATAAAGTGCCCAAATGGATAACAAATCAAAACAAAAGCTAATGACCTGTTGCCTACAAGAAACACACATAGACCAATGGAACAGCAAAGAGAACCCAAACACATATCCATACATTTACAGTGAACTCATTTTTGACAAAGATGCCAAGAACATATGCTGGGGAAAGGAGAGTCTCTTCAATAAATAGTGTTGGGAAAGCTAAATATCCATATGTAGAAGAATGAAACTAGACCCCTGACTCTCATCACATACAAAAATCAAATCCAAGTGGAACATATAATTAAATCTAAGATCTCAAACTGTGAAGACACTGGAGAAACCCTCCAGGACACTGGACTGGGCAAAAAGATTTTGAGTAATACCCCACAAGCACAAGCAACCAAGGCAAAAATTGACAAATGGGATCATATCAAGTTAAAAAACTTCTGCACAACAAGGGAAACCATCAACAAAGTGAAGTGACCACACACAGAATGGGAGAAAATATTTGCAAATTATCCATCTGACAAAGGATTAATAATCAGAATATATGAGGAGCTCAAACAGCTCTACAGGAAAAAATCTAATAATCTACTTATAAAATGAACAAAAGATCTGAATAGACCTTTCTCAAAAGAAGGCAGTGGTAAATGGCAAACAGATATATGAAAAGGTGGTCAACATCATTGATCATCAGAGAAATACAAATCAAAGCTACGATGAGATATCATTTCACTCCAGTTAAAATGGCTTTTATCCAAATGCAGGCAAGGATGTGGAGAAAAGGGAACTCTCATATAGCATTAGGGAGAATGTAAATTAGTACAATCACTATGGAGAATAGTATGGAGGTTCATCAAAAATCTAAAAATAGAACTACCATATGATCTTATGTTATACACTGCATATACCACTGCTAGGTATATTCCCAAAAAGAAAATCAGTATATTGAAGAGACATCTGCACTCCCATGTTTACTGCAGCATTATTAAAGACAGCCAAGATTTGGAAGCAACCTAAGTGTCCATCAACAGATGAATGGATAAAGAAAATGTGGTACATATACACAATGGAGTACTATTCAGCCATAAAAAAGAATAAGATTCTGTCATTTGCAACATGGATGAAACTGGAGGGCATTACGTTAAGTGAAATAAGCCAGACACAAAGAGATAAAAATCACATATTCTCACTCATTTGTAGAGCTAAAAATTGAACTGACAGAGACAGAAAGCAGAATTATGGTTACCAGAGGCTGGGAAGTGTGGTGAGGTGGGGGGTGTGGGGACACTTAATGGACACAAAAATAAAGTTAGTTGGAATGAATAACATTCAATGTTTCATAGCACAACTGAATGAATACAGTCAATAATAGTTTATTGTACATTTTAAAATAACTAAAAATATTGGATTTTTTTAATACAAAGAAACAATGAATGTTTGAGGTGATGGAAATCCCATTTACTCTGATGTTATTGTTACTTATTGTATGTCTGTATGAAAATATCTCATGTAACCCGTAAATATATACACCTAGTATGTACCTATAAAAATAAAAAGTAAAAAATGTGTTTTTTTTAATTTAGATACTACAGAAGAGACCTCTATGGGAGAAAGGAGACAATCTTGATATATCACTTTTTTAAATATTCACACATGAAACAGGTATATATAACCCTAGTAAAAAGGAAAACACTATGAAGAAAATATGAATGTCACAAACATAAATGAAGGTTAAGTACATAGGGAGATATTTTTAACGGATAAGAAATGCTAATATAGTTTCAAAAGATTAATTCATAAGGTTTGTGATGATACAATTTATGTAAAAGGAAAAATAATATGTAAACTTATGGGAAAATTCTCAAATACTTAAAAAAGACAAATGTAAATTATAATTGAAGTAAACTTTCAACATATTGGCAAGGCATTTATAAAAATTTAAATGCCTAATGTTTGCGGATCTGTGGTGATCCTGGTTGTCTCAAACTTTACTAAATAATGTTATAAAATCATAAAAATAATTTTAGATGCTAGGACCACACGCATTGAGTCACCATAATGTTCATGCTATTTGATTAGTAATCTCATATCTTGTCATTAATTCAAAAGAAGCACTATTAAATAGGGAAAATAAATACATTCAGAAAGATGGTTTTTCAACATTTTTAACATAATTAAAACCAGAAACAAAATGATTGTTCAATAATATAAAACATAGAAAGAAATTATCTGTATTCAGTAGGACCTTATGATAACATTTGAAATGGTAGTTAAGACGCTCAGATGGTTAAGAAGATATGATATATTAAAACAATAGGCAAAATGTCCACCTAAGACCAAATCAGTGAAAGGAGCATATTTGTTCCTATAATTAAAAACATATTAATGAAGCTTATGTAAGGGTGGTTAGGTTATAGGTGCCCTTTTTAAAACTTTGTCTCATCAAAATCATATTAAAATCATAATAAAAATTATATATAAGAGCAAAACAAAACTAGCTGTTATTAATACATTTATTAGTTTAAAAAGATAATTTATTCAAGAGTCATATTATAGGTACCACAAATCATCTGTATTTAATAAAACTTTAATTAAAACTATCCAGCAATGGAACTAGATAAAATGAGAAAAACAATCTAATTACCAAGACCTTTAAAGGGAGAAAGATTTTTTTTTTAAATCTTCCTTTTCTTCCTGTAAACTCGTGAATTTTATTCCTAATGTTTCCATGTGAACTTATTTTTGTAAATGTGCTAAACAAATGCAGAGTTAAAATAAACCATCTAAGTCTTTGCTTAAAAAAAAAATAGAATTAAACACCACTGATCTCTCTAGTAGTACATGCATCTACTAACATCTACTCAAAGAACCCAATACACTAGAGAGAGAAAGAGAGAGAAGGGAGGGATGGAGAGAGGGACAGAGGGAGACAATATTGATCTATCAGTTTATTACATTTTTAAGCATTTACTGGGACTATATCCTTTATTCTATGTTCATTCATAATATTTATATGATTAAACAGCATAAATATAAAGCCAAAGAATTACTACTAAATATCTAGAGTAATGGTGATAAAATCTTTGATATTTAATAATCAGTTGTGCCTATATAATATTAATATTTGTAGTTTTGCCAAGCCATTAAGGTTATTTCCAGAGGCAGTAATGGATGCACAGCATGCTTAGGAAGAAACCAATGCAGATATTGTTGGATGCATACCCTGATGCTTGACCCTGTTACATGTATTTCATTTTATTCTCACACCAGTCCTTCGATATAGATAATATTACATGCATTTTACAAATGATGCAATTGGTCTCTATAGAGTTAATTATTTGTCTGAGGTTATAATGAAAGAAAAACAACTAAGTCTTCATATCTCAAGACTAGCAAATTTTTTGCTATATTGAGCTACATTGGAAGTTTCATTGTTGAGATAGTATACAACTTTCAAAATTCAAAATTATTATTTATTGTTTTACTGAAAAGATAAATGTGAAAGAATATGATATATTGAAAATAATGCATTTCCTTTCCACCTAATTAGCTCATAAACTCAATGAAAGAGTGGGTAGATAAAGATATCTAGAAGAGTTATTCCTTCTTTCTCATGTGAATGAATGTGAAAATAAGAGAATATCACAAATATTGTCTTTGGAAATAATTCTTACATGTATTCTATGGTGGTTGAAAATAAGGCTCTTCCTAGAGAGCAGGGTAATAGTACATGTCATATGTAAAGGAAAGAAAAAAAATAGATATATAAATTGTGTAGGAAATTCAGTGTTGTAGTAAACGGGAGATAAGACTGGTGTCAGAGGAGTGGAAGTCAATTATAAGAGAATGCAATCAGTTTCATAATTCACTTCATGTGCCCCAATAAACAAATAGCAAATATTTGTTATTTCCTTAGCTAATGAAAAGCAAATAATAATTTTTAAAAATAAATCACATTTGAATTTTTTATTCAAATGATGATAATAAGAAATGTGAAAATATGAATCATATTACATATAATGAAGTGCTATCATAATTCTAAATTACTTTCTTTAAATAACAATACTGAGATACACACAAATACCTCTGAGGACTAATCTCTGATTTTTTTTTCTTGTCCAGATTTCTATCTGAGTGACCTGGGGAGTCATGCCCTACAAACCATAAATTCTCATCAGATGGGTTTTATTTAATCCTATATATTGTGACTTACTTTCCAATCTGACTCTGCCATAACATTACGAGACAAGGAAGAAACTCAAAATACTGGGCTGGGCATAGTGGTTCATGCCTATAATCCTAGCACTTTGGGAGGCCAAGGCAGGTGGATTGCTGGAGCTCAGGAGTTTGAGCCCAGCCTGGGCAACACAGTGAAACCCTGTCTCTACTAAAAGAGAAAAAATTAGCCAGGTGTGGTGGTGCATGCCTGTAGTCCCAGCTACTTGGGAGGCTGAAGCAGGAGAATTTCTTGAACTCAGAAGAGGGAGGTTGCAGTGAGCCAAGATTGCACCACTGCACTCCAGCCTGGGCAACAGAAAGAGATACGGTCTCAAAAAACAAAAAACAAACAAACAACAACTACAACAAAAAAACAAAATCAAAATACTTTACCCCAAAACATGTTTCTCTGCTATATCTTGAAATGGCCCTGCAAAGCCATTCTTTGTGGAGGAAAATCTGCATCTGTAAAGAATCTCTATTAACATAGATCATTGCCAGGTCTGTCCCACCAACCCTGGCAGAGAGACAGATGAAAGGAGTGCACAGACACAGGTATTTTGCCTGAGAGCGTGGCTAGGGGACTGCACAGCATAGCACCATTGACAAGAGTGCAGCCCTGATAAGATGGAGCCATTTGTATTTATTTAGTACAGATTTAATGACAAAGGCCTGGAGCAAACACAACTTGTGGGTAATTAACACTGTGGACCCCCCAAGTTAGAGAGCTCCTGAGTGCGAATGATCAAAGGCTGGTTTCCAGGGACATAAGTAAACCAATTTATCTAGCTAAGTTCCTTTACATTCCCTTGTTACCTACCCTTTACCCTTAAGAGAATTTAGCTGATGGCAGAATTTAGCTGAAAGCTTTTGCAAAACCTCCCAGCCTTCCAAGGAGATTTGCGTCTTTCCCTAAAATTTTTTCTTATAACTTTTCCCACCACCCTGACTGATGTCCTACAGATCTTTTTGTTCCAGGTCCTCCCAATTCTGAAGAGATTAACTAAAAGTCTAGCACCTTTTAAAGATCTGAATAGGAAACATTTGTCATCTATTGTCTCTAAGGCAGCCACTATAAGACTTCAAAAGAACCTTGGCCTCCACAGTCTTTTCTCTTAACCTGAACATTTCCTTTCTATGGATCCCAGGTCTTTAGACAAACTCAACCAATTGTCAACCAGAAAACGTTTAAATTTACCTATAGACTGGAAGCCCCTCCCCCCAACCCCCTCACCTCCCCACCCACTTTGAGTTGTCCCGCCTTTCTGAACCAAACCAATGTATTTCTTAAATGTATTTGACTGATGTCTCATGCCTCCCTAAAATATATAAAACCAAGCTGTACCCCAAACACCTTGGACATATGTTTCTTGGGACCTCCTCAGGGCTGTGTCATGGGCCATGGTCACTCATATTTGGCTCAGAATAAATCTTCTCAAATATTTTACAGAGTTTTACTCTTTTTGTCCACACCTCAAAACCCTCCTTGTCTTTTAAAATTAAACCAAATTTGTGTAAATGCTCAGCTTATTCTGAACGAACTTGTTTGTGAGTTTTATTATACATGTATTTTATGGTGTGTGTGTGTGTGTGTGTGTGTGTTTAGCATATAAACTCCTAAAGGATAGGGAAACTTTTTACAGTGGCTTCTTAAAATAGTTATGTGTGTATACCTTTGATGAATGAAAATATGCAAATTTTAAAAACCCCAAATCAAGTTCCGTTGAGCTTTGGATTATAGAGGAGAGCTGAAGGAAGTTCATGTCCACTGTGAAAAATTAAAAAAAGAAATTCAATTTTAACCTAACAGAGACCTAAGGTGTTAGAAACAAATGCTCGGTGCTGCAAAGAAAAATCAGCACTCTGGCAAAAAGCTTTCTCAACAAGGCGATTTACTTCTGCAGAAGAGTGCCACTTGTGCCTGGTGTGGTTGCAAGAGCACATCAAGTGGGGTGGGGAAGAGGTTTTATTCCAAACACAGCAGCTCCTGTAGCTGTGTCCCTTTCTCCATTGGCTGTAGTTGGACTGCACAATCTAAGCTGACCCAATTGGCTACTGTTTAAAATTGAATAGAGTTAACTAGGTGGGATGGGAGAGGCTGTCCGTTACAGTTTTAGGGTGCAGTAAAGGCAGGAAGGATAGTTCTAGGGGGAAGGTCAGTTACAGAGTGGGTAACCAAGGGAGTAGATGTGAGTTTTAGAGTAGGACTGGCAGGAAGGTTGTTTACCCTAACTAGGGGCAAGGAGGCACAAAGAACGAGGAAGTTAGACTTTGAAAACTGAGATCAAAGAACAAGGAAGCTGAGCAAGCTGACTCTTTGAAGAGAAACTCACTGTACCTCACAAAGGTCACAAGGCAATCAACTGGCCCAAAATATAAGGAGATGTGAGTACCCACAGGGAAAGAAAAGACAGAAGCACTTCCCTCCATGGGATAGATAACAATCAGATATTAGAAGAAAAGAGTTCGGCTGGGCGCAGACTCTAGTTAAAGTATCACCCATGTAGTGAGAATTCAGTTACCACCCGATTAAGTCCTACACTGAAGGCTACTGTCATAGGCCTAGTCTTTAGAAGTTGATCCTTGAAGAGGAGTCCTTGTTTAGGAGACATGGAACAAGGGAAGCAGTTTAGGTCAGGGGGAATCTAAGCCAGGATTCAGTCTCCCCTGTAAACTGGCTTCCCTGTGTTCCCAGGCAAGCGCTGGGGCCTGGCTTTCTCTGGAGATCATTCTAAAGCCATCCGACTTTCAGCACCCCTGTCTTTTACCTATTGACCAACTGCTTGCCTCAGGGAGGCCTTAAGGGCATAATCTTCTGGGCAAGGTGACTGCCATTTTACTGCACAATGTTCTGCCTGGCAATTAGCAGGCTCTAAACAAATATTTGTTAAATGTTATTCATGTTATTTATTATCTGTTTAAATGCTCCCCCCCGCCACCGCCACCTTGCCCACCTCCAGTGACTCATGTTCAACATAGTCTGAACTGAGTTCAGCATTTCTCCACCCACGTATCCTGTCTTAATCTTATTATTATCCTCCCCGACACAGAAGCAAGAGATTTCTAAGTCAAATTTACTTCTTACTTGCCTTTATTCACTCATAAATAATTCATTAATTCTACAAATATTGCTGCTGAAAACTAAAATAAGTGCTGGTGACACAGAGTCAAACAAAACACAGCCTCTGCTTTCAAAGATAATTGTACCTAGTGGAAAAGGGAGAAAAGTAAATCAAGATTTACAGGACAACGTGGAAAGTGCAATGGCAGGACAAAGAAGAGAGGCCAGGAGAGGAGGGGAAGTCATCAGGAAGAAGTGAAGCTTAATCCGAATTAGAAAGAATGAAGGGGAGGGAACCAAGATGAATCAGGGAGAGGGACAGAGGAAATGGGATGTGCAGAAGCAGGGAGGGCTCCGTGGTGAATGGTTCCAGCCAGGATGCCAGTAGTTCACAGTGGCTGCTTGGAAGCCAAACATCAGGAGAGGCCAGCGAAGTCTCCCAAACGCAGACATCCTGTGGGGCCAGGGAACAGGCACTGCTCTGATTCTACAGAATTTGCAGAAAGGTCATTTGTCTTATTTCAGAAAGCTCTGGAGAGTGGTTGAGGGATTTTATGCAGGGTTTAATACTGTGTGGGAAGTTGAGGGGGGCAGGTGTGCATGCTATAAAGAGTATATTTTCTCATTATGCCATGGGGATCTAGTGAGAAACTTTGTCAAAATTGTATATGATTTATATAAAATCATATAAGAAAAAGAATGCAAGAAAAATGTATATACTATGCTTATAGCAATTCTCTTTTGTTTTGAACTAGCTCAGAATGGAAATATCTGATTTGTTCTAGGCACTGAGGATCCAGAGGCACATAAGAACCAGCGCCTACCCTGGGAAAGCACCATCCATCAGTAGTAAAAGCATGTGCCAATATAATGTGGTAAGTATCAGCACAAAGATGTGAATGGGTGGCTGAGCTAGGACAGCAAGGAAAGGCTGACTGCCTGAAGCTGACTCTCCTCCCGATCCATGATGGGTCCTGGTGACCAACTGCTTCCTTCTCTAACTACTTGCCACTTTTGTAACCCATCCAAGAATCCAGCAGGATAGATCCATTTGTCTGTGGATAGTGAATTGTCTTTCACATTTCTGTTCAAATGCAAACTTTTAAAAATTAAAACATTGAGAATTTAACATTTTGTTGGTGTGAACATTTAAATGGTGTGAATACTCCTTGACTAAATAAAAAGAATAAAATAGACTTTGATTATAAATTCACTCCTGGTAGACCTGAACTACAGTTATTAGGTACTTCTACTAGTTGTGGTGAGATCAAGCTAAAAATTATATACAATAAATGTCATTTGGGTCTAATTCCTCATAGCAGTTTCATGTAAGGTCAAGCATTCTATATTTGTGTGTTTATTATGCATTTGATTTTTATTTGTTTTTTAAGTAGAGAAACAAATAAGCCGAACTCATGTGCTATAAAAATTCAACAAAATAATCCTTATACTACTTTGTAATACTTTGGAAGATTTAATTACTCATGTTTCTTAAATAGTCTCCATAAACTCCTATTATACATTTGACACATTGATAATTGTGAGGTCAAAATAAATTTGCATTTTTGCATTTAATTGTTAATTCAAAACTAAAGCAGTTCCTAAAGAAAAAATACAAATGGCCAATAGGCACATGAAAAGATGCTAAACATCATCAGTCATTAGTTACGTGTAAATCAAAACCACAAGACATCACTTCATACCTTCTAGGGTGGCTATTATCATATAATGTAATATAACAATACAATAAATGTTGGCGAGGATGTGGAGAAATTGAACCCAACACAGAAGAGCAGATCCTGATAGTAAACCCAAAAATTGCTCAAAATAAGTGTATTAGTCAGGATTCTCTAGAGGGACAGAACTAATAGGATATATATATGCATGAAAGGGAGTTTATTAAGAGAATTGACTCACACAGTCACAAGGTGAAGTCCCACGACAGGCCGTCTGCAAGCTGAGGAGCAAGGAAGCCAGTAGCGGCCCAGTCCAAGTCCCAAAACCTCAAAAGTAGGGAAGCCGACAGTGCAGGCTTCAGTCTGTGACAGAAGGCCTGAGAGCCACTGGAGTAAGTCTAAGAGTCCAAAAGCTGAAGAACTTGGAGTCTGATGTTCCAGGGCAGGTAGCAAGCAGCACGGGAGAAAGATGAAGCTGGAAAACTCAGCAAGTTGGCTTATCCCACCTTCTTCTGCCTGCTTTATTCTAGCCATGCTGGCAGTTGATCGGATGGTGGCAACCCACATTGAGGGTGGGTCTGCCTCTCCCAGTCCACTGACTCAATTGTTAATATTCTTTGGCGACACCCTCACAGACACACTCAGGAACAGTACTTTGCATCCGTCAGTTCAATCAAGTTGACACTTAACATTAACCATAGCAATAAGCTTTTAGATTCATTTCTATCTTTGTCACTATAAGAACATTATTTCTTATTGCTATCAAAAATAATTTCAGACTTTAGTGATAGAAGTTATGTTTTAATGCTTGTTAGTTGAAAACATGTAATGATAACATTGTACTACAAATTCAATAATATTTTCAAACATTTGTAACTATAGTTACAATATCATTTGTTTCCATTAGAAAAGCACGTGTGTGTGTGTGTGTGTGTGCATACACATGTCTGTGTCTCTAGGTTTGTGTCTGTGTATTATGGGTATGTATAGAAGAGATATTTGTAAGAATTATTTTAAACCAATGCTTTAAATGTAATAACAAAGTAGTCGATGTGCTTAGGGAAAACAAAAAGTTGACAATGATTTCTAAAGGAGGAATAAAATTCAATGAGAAAATTTAAAAAGCAGTAAAATGGATAAGCACATTTGAAATGCTCTTGACAATTGTGGATGACGCATGCTCTTACAGACACTGCTGAGTAAGTGCCAGGGGGTAGGCAAAGTGTTTTTTTTATTCATTATCTCATTTAACAGGATGAAAAGGGTAGAAAAAGAATACAAGAAAAATAAGTTCTTTACTTTCAAATAGGTACAAGATGTATCACATGGTAGGAGTAAACGAATAGTGGGGGTTACAGGGAGTCAGATTTTTGTTTCCAGAAAGAAAGAGTTTTCTAACAATGTGACAGACAAAAATAAGTCATTTCAAAAAATAAGACAAAAATGTCTCTGCATTAGTCAAGGTTCTCCAGAGGGACAGAACCAATCGGATATGTGTATATTGGAAAGGGAGTTTATTTGGAGGAATTAGCTCACACGATTACAAAGCAAAATCCCAGGATAGGTTGTCTGCAAGCTGGGGAAAGACAGAAGTCAGTAGCATGACTCGGTAAAGTCTGAAAGCCTCAAAACCAGCAAGCAGCCCTCAGTCTACAGTCAGAGGCCCAAAAGCCCCTGGGAAGCTTCTGGTGCAAGTCCCAGAGTCCAAAGTCCAAAGAACCTGGAATCTAACCTCCAAGGGTAAGATGAGTGGACGAAAACATTAGGCACGAGAAGAAGAAAGAGAGCCAGAAGACTCAGCAAGCAAACTTATCCCACATTCTTCTTCCTGCTTTGTTCCAGCCACACTGGCAGCTGATTGGATGATGCCCACCACAGAGAGGGTGGGTCTTCCTCTCCCAGTCCACCTACTCAAATGTCAATCTCTTCTGCCAACACCCTCACAGACACTCCCAGAAACAATGCTTCACCAGCCACCTCGGCATCTGTATTAGTCCATTCTCACACTCCTAATAGACATACCCAAGACTGGGTAATTTATAAAGGAAAGAGGTTTGATTGACTTACAGTTCAGCATGGCTGGGGAGGCCTCAGGAAACTTACAATCATGGTGGAAGGGGAAGCGAACACATCCTTCTTCACATGGTGGCCACAAGGGGAAGCGTTGAGCAAAAGAGGAAAAAACCCCTTATAAAATCTTTAGATCTCATGAGAACTCACTCATTATCCCAAGAACAGCATGAGGGTAACCGTCCCCATGATTCAATTACCTCCTACTGGGTCCCTCCCACAACATGTGGGGATTATGGGAACTATCGTTTAAGATGAGATTTGGGTGGGGACACAGACAAATCATATCAGCATTCTTCAATGCAATCAAGTTGATACCTAATACCAATCATCACAATCTCTAGGTACAATTGTTAAGACTATTTTGAGAAAAGGTAGTGAGTTTTACATCTGATTTATAAATCTAGTTAAACATAGTTTTTATTGAGGAAAAGTTTAGATATATAGGTTACAATAATTTCGACATTTCATATACAAAATGTTCCAAGAATATCATGTTAAGAGATTTAGCAAGTCTACAGTAGAATCTACCACCTATATTTTTATAAAACTCCATGGATAAGTTTGGCGTGCATCAGCAATTGAGAATATATGGCCTAGATGCTAGATTCAAATTAAATAAGTAAGGCTGTGGCCAAAAAGAATTTTAAATAACAACTAAATTTATGACTGAAATGATACTACTGTTGTCCCTTAATACCAGGCAAAGTACCAACAGGACTCTTAATAAGTGGAAATGTATAACAGACAGTGAGAATACTGATAAATATCCAGGAACTTGCTATAAAACATACCATTTCTGAAATATTTATAGTAATAACATTTTTCTCCTATAAGGCTGAGTATCTCTTCTGATTTGACAAGTCTTCCCAGGCAACCATAATAGTAACAGATCAAATCAAATGAATGTAATTATTCCCAGCACTTCTCCTTTTATAAGATGAATTAGCAAGTCTCGGTGATTAAGAACCCTCCAGGAAAACCCAAAGCTACTTTTAGATTTAAAATATACCCTGAAAATTATATTAAATTTTTCTATGTTTAGGATTCCATTTGGGAATGAAAAATCAAAAAGTTTGTCAGAAAAAACTTGGACTTTTGATTAAGACAGAACTATGGATGCCTTAGAGGCAGCCCTATTTGCCTATGTAATCAAAAGGACAATAAAACATTTAAAAATAAACCCCTCCATGTCATCAATAACTAAAAGATATCTTAGAAATGTCGAGATCTAAAAAGAATGTCACATTCTACAACAAGGGAAAAGGCAAGACAAACTGAAAATTAGTGACTTTCATTGAACCTACCAGAGAATTGAAGACACAGGACATTAAATTCTCCTGAATTCTGAAGAGACACATAAGCTTGCAGAAAGAAAGAAAACCTAAGCATTTGCTTAGGGGCAGACATCACTGGATGAGATATAATCTGGAAGGAAATTTAAACTAGTAACTTGTAACCAATTGCTAAAGGCTGAATATGAACTAACGTCAGAGTGTGAAGCTGAGACGGGCACTGACATAGAGGTCTCATGCTTCTACAGGCCTTTCTGCTGGGACACTTACTCTGATAAATCACAGAGAAGCCAGAGGAAGAGGCCCTACCGAGACTCATTTGCTTCTATTTCTCCTAAGCATGAAAAGGCTGATCTGCAGAAGAGGAATGATAGAAGCATTGTTTGAGGACACTGCAGCTGGCTGAAGACAAATGGTGGAGTAAGAGGTGCTACACCTATTGGAGCCACAGAAAATCTTGAGAAGGCCACACACCCAAGGGCTTCCCTAAGTCTAAAACCTAATGAGAATATTATAGTGAACCCGCTCGCTCCTTCCACCCCACCTCATAACCATGCTAACAAGCTTCAAGTAAACAATAACAGAGGAAACATCTAGAGAACTGCAAAAGGAAAACTCTCTCCAGGGAGAAACACAAATTAAAGATGCAAAGCCAACCAGAGAGAAAAAATCCAAAATATCACTAGAGAAACTGCAAGTCTCCTGTGCCCATAACAACAACTAATTCCAACTCTGGTAAATAGAGCAATGGAACACTTCAAAGTCAGCCCAAATCCTGACAAAATTAAAACAAATGCCATACTAAATGCATAGCAGAAGGCATATAATAAATACTTGCCTTGACATCTCTTGTCACATACAATACATCCACCTTTCAATACAAAAGTATAGGGCATACCAGACAGCAAAAAAATAAATAAATAAATAAATAAATAAAAATACAGTCTTGAAGAGTCAAAGTAATCATTATAACCAAAATCAGTCCTAACACAGATGTTGGATATATCAGACAGGGAATACAAAATAATAATAATTAGTATGTTAAAGATTCTAATAGAAAAAGTAGATAACATGCAAGAACAGAAGCCAATGTGCAGCACAGAAGGCTACTACAAAAATAGTAAAATGAAAATATTAGAAACAAATGAAAAAAAACCCACAGCAACAGAAACTGTACAAGTCTCATTAGTAGATATGACACAGCTGATGAAATAAGTACACTTGAAAATAGGTCAACATAAGTTACCCAAACTAAAATGCGAAAGAAAAAAGTATATTGATAAGAACACAACACATCATTCAAGGGCTGTGGCACAATATCAGACCTTCTAACATACATATAATTTGAATACCAGTAGGAGATGACAGGGAAAACAGGATGGAAGAAATAGTCAAAGAAACAGTGGCTGAGAATTTTAGAATTTTTTATTATTACTAACAGTAATCAAACCACAGATTTCAGAAACTCAGAAATGACCAAACATGATAAACAACAACAACAATAACAATAACAATACACACACACCCCTCTAAACATATCATATTCAAATCCCTGAACCAAAGATAAAGAGAGAATCTTGAAGGTAGCTAAGAGAAAACAACACTTTTCCTGCAGAGAAACCCGGATAAGAATGATGACATACTTCTCACCAGAAACCATGCAAGCTGGAAGACAATGGAATGACATATTTAAAGAGTTGAAAGAATAGATCTGTCAACCTAGATTTCCATATCTAGTAACAATATTTTCCCAAAATGAAGAGAAATAAAAACTTTCTTAGGCAGAAAAAAACTGAGGGGATTCATTGGCAGCACACTTCTACAAGAAATGTTAAAGAAGTCCTTCAAGCTGAAAGAAGATGATAAAGGTTATTAGAAACCCAGATCTACATGAAGCAATGAAGAGTATTTGAAATGGAACAAATGAAGGAAAATAAAATATTTTATCATGTTATAATTGCTCTCAAAGAAAAATAATATTTTAAAGGTATAATATTAACAATGTATTGTGTGATTGTAGCATAAGTAAAAGTGAAATATAAGACAAAATTGGCATAGGCAATGTGGGGAGGAATGAGGAATATGTGGATGCTGCTGGACTTGCGATGGGGGCACTTCTATCAAGATGTAATCTCATCATAAGTTATATCTGGACAAAAGTAACTCCATCAACTTAAGTCAAGAAACTTACTAAATTCATTTTGCATTTGCAGCATTGTAAAGTTGAAAAATTATGAGTCAAACCATTGTAAGTTGGAGACTGTCTGTACCGATATAGGATCCTTACACTACACTTGATGAGGTATAATATTTCCGGGTGAACTTAGATTATTTGAAAGTGTATTTTGTAAACTCCAGGGCAATCTCCTCTTCAGATGAAGCAGTTTAGTCACATATTTTTCTCCTTTCTAGCTACAATTGCATTACTTGCACACTATCTTTCTCATAATAAAACCATTGTGATGAAGAGAAAAGTCATGCTTAGTTGACAGGTAAGCCCCAAGTCCATTGAATTAAACTATATTCTACAATGTATTACTCCTAATCTGTTTCTCTACATTGCTTTGTTGACCAGTATATCTTTCTTTAATATGCTGACTTAATACATTATGAAACTACTAACTAAATCTATCAGAATTTTCCTTGAAAAATCCAACATTTTCTTTCTGATTAAGATTACCTTATAATATGAGTTATTCTTTATTGTGTTTCCTGACCACCGATGGCCAGAGACCTGACCACTGATGGCCAGAGAAGTTCACTGCTCAAATCTCCGTCAAGAGAGCCCGCTGTGGGGAGCATCACTGACCAGCTTCAACCATTGACACTTGAGTCCATGCTGCATTTCCACTGATGTCACGGCCCCTCTGGGTTACTACCAGGCAATGACCATGGTGGTGGCACTGGTGTTGCCCATATCTAACTGACATGGGATCCTTTCCACAGGCAGCCTTTGCTTGGAAACTCCTCATTTGCCTGTGAAATTTCCTCAGGACTCCACCATGGTCACACACTCTTCTTTCTAATTTGCTCTCCCGCTCCTTTCACAGTCATCTGCATCATGATCTGAAGACTTTTCCTGCCTGTTCCCAACTGAGTCCTCCCCTTTTATCCTTCACAGACATTTCTCCTAATAAACTTTTTCCATATCTAATCCCATCATGGCATCTACTTCTTGGAGAACCCAGAGTAACACACTATCATACATTATATTCTTGGCATTTGTTAAAGCTAATTTTCACAAGTTAGTGTTACTCTTCCACAGTTTACAGTGATAAAACTACTTCAACCTTGAAATATGGAGCCAGAACATGAACTTGATTCTGCTTCCTCATTTGCTTGTTCTCAAATTTCATGCTTTCTCTACTATACAACACTGCCCCCAAAGACAAGCACAGTCCCTTTCAAATAAATAAAACGATGCATGAAGACTGAATCATATCATTAGGCAAATGAACATCATATATATTTGTATATCTCCCCAAAAGTCCTATAGCAATTCAGATGTGATCAATTATATATGTATGATCTGTCCCAATCTATTTTTATCTTTTTTTCTTCTGAGAAGTTTCTGGAATTGACTGTCTCAATCTTGACGAACTGCTTAATGACATTGATGAAACCTTTCAGAAGCCTAGAAATCTGAACAATTCCATAAAGTACAAATATCTCCTAGAAATACTTAAAGCATATCTTTGAAATCCCTGCTCCACCACTGCTTAGAGATTTTCAATTTTATCTAATAGGTTCCATAAAAAATACTACAACATTTCAGCTCCTGTGTATGATGGAGAGACTTATAATGACAACCCTAAGGCCTAGAATTAAATCCTGAATCAAAAGTGGCTTGGAATCCAAAAAGATGAGATTCCAGCCTTAAGGAGCAAAGAAACTCTATAAATGTAAGTGATGATTATTAAGAAGTGACTTTAAAAAAAAAAAAAATGGAGTCTCGCACTGTTGCCCTGGCTGGAGTGCAGTGGCACGATCTTGGCTCACTGCAACCTCCACCTCCTGGGTTCAACTGATTCTCCTGCCTCAGCCTCCCTAGTAGCTGTGATTACAGGTGCCTACCACCACGTCTGGCTAATTTTTTTGTATTTTTAGTAGAGATGGGGTTTCACTATGTTGGCCAGGCTGGTCTCAACTCTTGACCTCGTGGTCTGCCCTCTTTGGCCTCCCAAAGTGTTGGGAATTACAGGTGTGAGCCACTATGCCCGGCCAAGAAGTGACATTTTTACACCTGGACTCACTGTGTAAGAATAGAGCAAATTTTCCATCTTCAAAATCTGGGAAATTTCTTAAAAAATGAAGAGCAGCACCCATGTCTCCAAATTCCAACTGAGGTAGTGACAGGGCCAAAAGTGCCAAACCACCCACCACTAACTACTCTCAACCAATGGACAGGCTGAGCTTCCTCAAGTGTCAGGCCTGGGATGTGCGTTTAGCTTGCTGTTTGGTAAATGAGACACTGCTCTCTCTTTGACATTAAAAAAAAAAGTATAAGCCATGATTAATACATACCCTGTTTAAGAATGCTAATGCCTTCTGGAAAACAAAGAGTCATGAGCTGCTAGCACACTCCAAATTCATATGTTAGTATCCTAGTTTGAAAAAGAAAATGTGCCACTATATCAGCAACAGTTACATAAGATTTTTATTATGTCTAGCAAAAATTTTAAAACTCTAACTAAAATGGAAAGGAGGAATTGAAGCAGGATTTTAAAATATGGTGGTTCAGGAAAAATACTAATCGAAGTGTGTAAGGTTCATTTAAAGAAACACTTGGTATTTAATTTGTATATAAAACAAACATTATCATTATTTCAGCATTATCAAAAACAATAAGCTCTTCTTTACAGAAAGGTTATTGATTCACTATTAACTACAGATATTAACTAGTACTGTTTTGTCCTAATAGTAATTTGTATGGCTCTTTTAATGATCTTACTGACCAACTATTAATATCTCGTAATATTGCCTTTTTATTATCATCACTATCATGATCACCATCATTATCATTACTGTCTTAGTTCTGAAAGAAGAGTTAGTAATCATCTTTATCTACTTTATTTTACCTATGAGAGGTAATGTAATTTTCCCAAGATAATAGTCACAGCCATTTTAGTTATCCACTTAAGCAGTTTTTCTGTCTCTGAAGTTAATGTTATTTCTCATACAAAAAATAAATAAATGAAACAGGACAAAGTATGCTAGATTGTCCATTATTAGGAAATATTCACTGGAGTATTTACAAACAAAGAAACATTATTCTTGCCTCTAAAATAATTGAGAAAAAATTTTTAAATGCAGTAAAATATTAATATTTGAGGATTCTGTAAAGGATATCCAGCAATTATTTGAACCATTCTTCTATATTGCCCATAAGTCTTTAAATATTTTTTTTTTAAAAACCATTTGGAAATATTGTGCAATAAATAACTTTCATTAAGTCTATATAAACTATGATAATTTTTTTTTCTGATGATTAACAAAGTCACCAACATCTTGTAGGACCTTGCCTCTCGTATAAATATGAATAGTATTGATAATTACTGTATAGAAATGTAAGAAACATTAGGCAAGAAATGGAGATATGTTTAGTAAGGATTTCCAAATTAGAAGTATTTTTGGTTATTGCAATGTTTATTTTAATTCAAAATAATGTGTGTAATAAGAAAGATATTACTTTACTATGCATTAATATTTCAAAAATTGTAAGTAGAGTCAACATGTGTTAAATATCTGCCAAGCTTTGTGCTGTATATTTTAGATAGCTTTACAGATAATTCTATCAGAACTTTTAGAGAAGTTTGATACTAAGCCCATTTCATAGATGAAGACATTGCATGTTGGAGAAGTTAAATAACTTTCCCAAGGTCACAGGCATTAAACAGTGGACCAAGTATCAAGCACAATTATATTTTCCCCCTATTTCTAAGCACCAAATAGTAGCACTATTGCAATGTGTTTGGCAAAGGAATTGGATGCTATGCCCTATAAGTTACATTTAAAGGAACTAGACACATTAAGTCCTGAGATGAGATGACTTGATGGTTATGATCTCATAGGCCAGTCTCTGGGATAATTGGCAGAATTTGCATAAACATAAGTTCTATTCTTTCAAACTATTGCAGAGATCCATTAAGTTTCTATTAGTTAAAAAAATACTAATAATGAGATTCGACTTTTTTTTTTTTTTTTTTTTTTTTTTACTGTCGGAGAAAGAAGCTGTAGTAAAGCAAGGAGGAGAAGGCTGTATTAAACAGTGTGGCACAAGATCAGATTCAGAGACATCAATATGAACTCAGGTTTACTTTTATACGTATATATGATAAATGCAGAAATAATTATGGATATGTGTGTATGCATAGGTTAGAAAGCATGCATCTATTTCCTAGCTCTGTCTGCTGAGAGACCCTAGAGGCAGCTATGCTCAGTATAGTGGATATACTCAGCAACCAGTTCTTGGTTTCTAAATATCATTCTCTACGAAAAAGGAACGAAGACACCTTGGAGAAATGGCTGATGGAGGGGTGGGGCAGGGAAAGTATAAGATGACCCCAGAGTATTTTGGAATCCCATAAAGTAAAGGCTGAAAACCAACCAAACAAACAAAAAGACAGGGCTGCGTCAAAAGAACACAAGAGCCAATCTGAAACAGCTCCCAATGGACAAAGCTGAAACAATTTAAGCAACAAAAAAAAAAAACAATGTAAAATGAGTTTATATAGAAAAGTACTTAAAAAAAAAAAAAAAAACAAACCACAGGCGTTTATACTAAGACAGGTAAATGGGTAACCAGAGGCAAAACTTCATTACAGAGGAATTTCAAAGAGCATATGTAGTTACTCTCCATTCCAGAGGTGGAACTACTTACTTCTCCTAAAGCATAGGGTTTATTTCCTGCCAATACTGCCCCCTCAACCCCGCAAAAAAAAAAAAAAAAAAAAAAAAAAGAAGGAAGGTAAGAAAGAAAGCAAGCAAAAATGCAAGCAAACAAGCAAGCAAGCGAGAATAAGGAAATACGAAACAAAAAGTAAAAAGCCATTTATTTGCACTATTGTTTTCTCTATATTGCTACCAAAACTTTTTTTTATTTTAATGTCAATATACCTCATCAATCAACAATATGGCCCAAAAGGCCCTCAAAATATGGACTGCTTTCTCTACTACATTTCAATTTATTGTCACCATTCTAATAGAATCCTTAAGTCACCTAGAAAATTTTAAAGGAAATCCAGATACTGTAATGCAAAGTAAAAAGCAAGAGGAAGATGGTCAGCTGGTCAGCTCTGAGAAACTTGTTTATTTTAAGAGGAAAATGCCATTGTTCTTTCCCAGAGTCGGGTTTAAACACAGGTAGGTAAATCATAGCAGAACAGAACCTCAATAATGAGTCATTTTAATGTGAATAGAAGCATTCTTCATTTACAGTGGCAATTTATGCTTGGCAGGACTTTTGTTCTCTCATTACTTGAGTTTCAAAAGATCCTAGGAATGTGAGCTGCACGTCTAGCATGGCATATATAGCATTTTTCAACCCATAGACCATTTTCCCAGGGCTGGTTGGTAGGCATAAAAAGAATATCTGATAAAAGGGGCTTTTTCATTGGTTCACTAATTTACTTAATATGAAAGAAAATTAAGCTTGAAACTTAACTTTAAAATACTTGGTCATTTGCAAATGCTTTTTGCAATGTCCCATAAGAGCTAAGTACTTAAGATGCAAAAGAAAAAAAAGACTGATGTTCAGACGTCATGAAGAAACAGGCATTCTAAGTCAAAGTAATTTGGAAAAAAGAATTAGTCAAAGGTTCTTGGCAAAGTTCCTGTGTGATGGGAAGCTGTCAAAATGATTGAGAACTAAAGAGGTTATGACAGTTTAGTATCTCCAATTAATTTCATTATTTTATTGAACTTAGAAATAAGGTTGCAAGTATGTGCTTATCCATATTCCTACTCTCTAATTTTGAGCAATAATGTCGCCTGCCAAAAATAACCTGTTGTTTTAACCCTAGCCATTTCTTTCTGTGCTAGGGCTACCAATTAAGATCACATGAGTACTTTAAAACTAATACTTATAACTACTATAGCTTTCTGGTTTATAGATTCCATTAGGCTTACATAAAATATCTTAAAGTTATAGCAATCTATTTTAAGCTGATGACACCTTAACTTTTATCACACAAAATAATTCTGTGCTGTTTACTCCACACTCCCCAACATTTTGTATTTATGATGTCATAATTTGTACATATGTTAAATAGCTTGGTTAAGCCGTTCCACAACTTATACATACATCAAAACATCATGTTGTACGCCATAAATATATACAATTTTTTACTTGTCAAATAAAAAATGTTTATATAATTTGCCATGTGTAATTAGCTGTGCCCAAGGTGATATATATAACCACATATATTTTTAAATTGTAGTTAAAAAAAAAACAAACTCACATCCACATAACATAAACTTACCCTCTTAACAACTCAGGTGATACCTTCAACTCCTGTATTTTTACATTTGTTCTTTGTGCCTAATACTGTGAAAACAAGTTGAAATAAATCAAAGCCTCAGTAAGAGTGTTAGATATGAGTTCTAAATTTCTCTTCAAAGAATCAATATGTCAGTATGTTCAATTCTTTGCCTTCTACTTTTAAACTTAACTTCCTCATAAAGCAACCATTTTCGATTACCTGCTCCACCCTGACTCATTCCGATTAACTGCTCTGTCATAACCATTTTTCCTGCCAAACCACTCACCCCGTCACTCTCTTTAAATTAGCCAGTTGGAATTAGTTTAGCCTGTACAGTCTAACCCTAGCCAATAGGGGAACTACACTGCAGCAGGGGCCATGTGCGTCAGGGACAAGAACGCCTTCCCCTCCCTCATCCAAGTGTGCGCTCACAATTGCTCCATCTGTAAGGGTGCACCCTTCTATAGAAGTACATTGCCTTGCTGAGAATTAAAAAGAAAATTTTATATTCAAGTGCTATTTCTTTTGTGGCACCAAGACTTTATTTATAACAAGAGGTTCTATATGCTTTTGTCCCATGATCTTGAATTGGAGAAACTCATTTGAACCTCTTAAATGATTGTCATAAGCTCTACAGTCTTGTCATAGAAACACAACGCAGCCTGGAGCATGCCCTCTGGGGACTACAAGACTGCCAGTGAGAGGCCTTGCATCTGGAACATTCAGGATTTTGAAAGGAGTTAGCCAGCTTGCTTCAGGCACACTGCAAAGGGAGGGCCCCTGGAGAGCCTCCGCCCCACCTCTCAGGTGCTTGTACCGGATGTTTTCTTCACATAAGGCAACTTGCAAAGGGGGCTTGCCTAAATATGCCCACAGTGGACTAAGGGCCCACATGTACACTGGGGGAATGGGGTGGAGCTACCAAGAATTCACACCTTACACAAATAGGGAACCCAGCCCCATCAGCTTATATATAAAAAAGCCCTGGCATTCTACTGTAAAGGGGGCAACCGGGAACCTGCTTTCAGGACCCCTGTCTTTGCTGAGAACTTTCCTTTTCGCTTAATAAATTCTACTCCAGTCACTCTTTGATGTCCATGTGCCCATTTCTTCCTGGCAATGAAACAAGAACCCAGCCCTGGCTGAGCTAAGGAGAAAAAAATCTTGCGTCAATTTCTCCACTGACACTAAGGGTCGCTTACAATGGGAGTCAACAGAAGTTGCAAACCCAGATTTATATGGAAACTCTCACAGTATTGAAATGTCAGTCCAGGGTGTTCCTTAAACAGTGTGTGGAATATATGTGTGTGGATAACAGTTTGCATTATACTGTATATCTCTTCTCAATCAAATCACAGACTTCCTGTGAGCAGAGGCTATTTTTGTTCAGGTTTGTTTGACGCAGCCAATGCAATGCCTTATGCAAAGTGACCATTTGTGTTTGTAAACTTGAGTTTGGCAAAGACCAAAAGAAACATCCAAAAAAAAAAAAAAAAGAAAAGAAAGAAAAGAAAAGCATTATGCAACTTTTCCTTCAAAGCCCTGAAGGTCTCACATGGTCTCACCATAAATATTTTACAAAATGAAGTGAGCTATAAATTCTGTCCATCAGTGGTCCTGATTTGGAACTAGGGATGGGGACTAGGAATAATTATGGCAAAGGGCATTATGATTGACAAATGATTTGTTGCAAACCAACAGTGAAATAAGCCCTAAGAAATCATTGCATTTAGCTAATCAACTGGGTTTTATCAATTGGCTTTTGTTATTCAGTTTTGTGACAGCTGGTTCTTTCAAGAGGTTATTTTTGATATTGTGTGGCTTTGCTTTACACGATATCACATTTCCAACAAGTCTGTGTTATTATTTTGTATTTAATGGTTCTAAAATGAGAAAACACTTAACCACTCCAGAGGTAAAAAATAAACTTGCATTCTTCAAGTCTGTTTGTATAGCATTCTTGCAACTCATTGTGCTTTTATGAAATAGTGTTTGGGTGTTCCCTTGATTTTCCTTGTTGTTTATGTTATTAATGAGACACTTATAAATTCTTGTACAAGGGAGCTAAGAAGTATAAATGTTATGTGGGTGGTATGCAATCAGGATATATATGAATGACCACTTTTAAGAGTGGGAATGATCAGACTGATTTCTCCATGTTATTATGTTAATTAATTCACATCATAAAGTTTTAGTCCATTTCCTTTTATTAAGAAAACTTAAGACACTTGGCATACAGATTTAGATTTAAATATAGGACAGGGTCAATGGTCACATCATAGCCAGACGATAGGAGCAAAGCAGAAATCTTTCCTCAAAACTAGTAGCAAACTAGTTAAAGAAGAGGAAGTTGCATGAAACATAGAAGGTAAAGTGAATATCAAGGTTATGTAGCTGTTGTGAATAAAGCTGTTTTAATTTTCTGAGTTAGGGCTCCTTTAGTTTCAGATGACATATTCACAAAGTAAAGCAAATTTCATGACATGTAGCTGGCAGTCCAGGAGCTCCGTGGGACCCAGAAGTTGAACCAGTCTTGTTCTCCAGAAGGCTGCCCTCAAGTGGTGGCCAAGATGGAGACAAGAAGTTCCTGCTCTCTTCATTCTTCTGGCTGACAAGCCCAAGGAAATCAAAATCACATTCCTCTTGATGGTTCCAGCAATGACCTCGGAGCATTTTGATTGGCCCTGCTTGGGTCAGTGCTAATCCACTGGCTACTTACTGTACCCCAGGCAAACTTTTGTGAGCTTTTCCCAGTTTTTCCCCACTCTGGTGCAAGAGAGAGAAAAGAGTCAGAACTTTCTAAGCCATGGGAAAACAGTTCTACACAAAGGCTTGTTTGTTACCAGAAGGGGTATGGAGTCTTCATAAGACACAACCTGTGGTCTACCTGAGTGTAGCCACCACCAACCACTACATCGTTATTACCTCTGGGGAGGCTGCTGGAGCTCACAGCCTTTGACACAGACTCCTGAAGAATAGGGACAATCAAGAGAAGGCAGATACGTTATGTTCAAGCCCATTGCTTCAGCAACTTGATCCTGGTCTCCACTGCTCCCATCCTCAATTTATATTGGCTGTGTCTGTTTCTTTTTACCAATCTTGCCATTCTGATGCCAGTCCACAATCTGATTGCAATTTACCCCTGTTCCAGGGTCTCAGCAAAAATGACCCAAGACCCTTGTGTATATATATAGAGAGAGACTACTTCCTGCTTTGTTTATTGTTTTCAATTTTCTGATCTGTAAATAGTCATTTAAGTATTTTAGAGACAGGTGCAATATTTTATGTTAGCTTGAGTTCCCTGTAGGATCCTCTGTATTCTACTGAATGGTTCAGTGTTCTTTCCTGTAAAAACAGACAAGATAGATTCTAACTGAAGAAATCAGAGAGATTTTAGATTAGTTCCCCTGGTAGATGAAGTCTAACTCAGCATTTAAGGTTCAGATTTTTCATCTGACTTTTAAAACCCCAATGGATTATTCTATCCAAGACTCCTACGGGTTAGTGTTTGTATATAAAAGCCCTTCTGCTGAATGCTTTAAATCTGCCCTACAGAGTTTAATATCTCCCTTGATTTGAAGAGAAAAACATTCTTAGAGTTGTATATTTCTGTATCCTAACTCTGGGGCCAGGGCTGGCACTCTGGCAGAAGGGTTTGAAACATGGGCTGAAAATAGCTGACTTCCACAGGCTTGCCAGGGATATCAGATGAGCTCAGAGGACTCTCAAGAATTCTCTTAACAGCGTTTCTGCTATTCCTGGGAGGACGAGATAACCAACAGTGGCTAGTTTTAAGTTTTATAGCTTTTCTGATTACTATTGGTATTAAGAAATACTGTTAATGCCTCCCAGGGTAGCATTTGAAAGGGACCTTCTCAGTGGGATGGCATCTTGGAACTTTGTCTTTGCTTCAGTGCATAAACAGTCTGGCTCAAGACCAGCATCATATTATATATGATGAGCAGAATGGTGAACGCTGCCCTTGGGTGAACATGCAGAGTGTCTGAACTAGAGCTAGATCATCTTTAGGATATTTTCTGGATATAAAATTCTATTATATATCTATTCTGTATTCTATTCTGTATATTTTCCCCCAAATTAGGCACAAAGGCAACTTTTTAGTATATTTATTTGTAAGATATGAAATGATTGAAGGAAGGCCTAAGTCACTTCTATAAATGGGCACATACTTTTAAACAATCTAGACACTTGAAAGTCCCTTGAGGGGCTATCAAATAGAGGGGCCACATGCCAGAATGTCTTCAGAAGGGAACTACACACGGGGGGAAAGTCCACTCAGTTATTTGCTTAAAATGCAGCCATATAGCCTTTGAATCAACTCTCTGAACCTAACACATTCTGTTCATAAGATAGCCTAGACCTACTGTACATGTAATACAAATGAATGAGTTAAGAGCCTTTCGAGTTCTGTATACGAATTCTATAAGTGGTTTTGTTGGCATTAAAAAAAGGATAATTTTCTTGGAGCTCAAGCAGTTAACCCCTTTATAAGTAAAATCAATTGTCAAAAATAAAAAAAGAGAATCTGATGCTCTCTATACAGACAAGTGAATTAAAAATAACAAAACAAAATAAAACATGGTCTTCCCTACATCAGCAACTTTCACAAGCATTAAATTCACTTTAATGGTTTTAACTCTGGACATGTCCAGTGGCATGCTGACTGTGACAAAATCACGTGAAACCTACACGTTCTTTCATAATTGTTTCAACTCTATAAAAGAGAGATGACAGTTTAAGGATGACTCCACTCTGCTGAGAAATGATAGAAGAGAGAAGGTTGACAACACATACTTCCCAGACTGCATTCACCAAAATTCCTTATAATAGAAGGAGATCACAAGAGTTGGAAAAAGTTTGACTCCAGCAGCTTTCAAAACTCTGTTTCATCTTATTCTCCCATAGTGTTCTCTATAGGAAACGGAATCTTTGGAACTGTATTTAACATAACTTCTCTAGAAAGTACAACAATTTCTTAATGGTTTCAAGTATCCTTGCAAGTTATAGATCTAGAATGGAGATCTGCACACCAGCCAAATCTGGCAATGCCTAAAAGATGTAATTATCACACAAAAGGTAACAATGGGCTCATGTCATCCTGAGTGCTGACTCCAGAAGCCACGTAGATGAGAGAACAGCAAAGTCTGTCAGCTGAGTCCCCATGAGTTGGTACAATGTATCACTTATTTCAACGTTTCATTAACAAAATTAAGAAATTTATTAAAAAGCTAGAAAACCCTAAATCCTAGTTAAAAGTCTAGTTTTTCTACTGCCACATTTTATAATTTTACTCTAAAATTCCAAAATTGAATGTATTCTCAAGCACAGTTTTTCTACAAAGTTTTCTTCAAATGCAGAGGCATCTTGTGGTGGCTTGAAGTGTGGCCACCAAAAGGCCTATCTGCTCGGGACCTCAGAATGTGACCCTATTTGGAATGACAGTCTTTATAGGTGTAATTAAGGTAAGGATCTTAAGATGAGGTCATCCTGGATTAGCATGGGCCTTTATAAGAGACAGGAAGGAAGAGATGCTGAGACATAAGAAGAAGACAGTGTGAAGTAGAAACTGAAGTCATGCAGTCCCAAATGAAGGAACACTTGGAGCCACAAGAAACCAGGAGAGGCAAGGAAGGACACTTTCTTGGAGCCTTCAGGGGCACTGAGGTTCTGCTCATGCTTTGGTTTCTTTTGTACTTCTAGCCTCCAGAACTGAGAGAGATAATACATTTCTCTTGTTTGAAGCTAACCTGTTTGTAGTAATTTATTACCACAGCCCTAGGAAACTAATACACATCTTTAAGTAGTTGATGCATTTTTAGCAGAAAAACTATATAAAAATGAAATCACTTCTCTCAGGGTCTGGTATTTGCAGGAGTCAAAAATTATAACAAAAAAGATTCACTGAGTACAATTATCTAAGTGCATAATCTTGCAATTTCTTTTCAAATATTTTACCTAGAACTTAGGAAGATGTTTTTAAAAGGCCATTCTGTAAGGGTCTCCTGAAATGAACGAGGCTGAGATTGTAGATGCATGATGGGCAGTCAGTGATGAGAATATTCTAAGCAAAACTGAACATCTGAAGTGTGGACAAAAATCACTAAATTCTAAACTGTGTGAAAATGTCTTTCAAGGACAAGGGTAAAATAAAGACAAATAACGATGAAATCTACTGCCAATCTTTCCTAAAAGAAATCATAGAAGGTAAAATTCAGAGAGAAGTGAAATTACTCTAGAGAGCAAATCTGAGATACAGAAAAGAATAGAAAGCAAAAATGTTAGAAAATGGGTGAGTAAATCTGGGAATTTATGGAATCACTAAAGCAATCATAGTAATTTCTAATTTGTGATTAAAAAATAGGCAATATAGAACCAAGATACCGGACAAAATTAACAAGAATGTGAGAAAAGGTGAAAGGAGTTAATGTTGTCTGTTATTTCTACGGAGGTTAATTTTCATAATTTTAATTAAATAGGCATGTTATACCACCTATGGTAACTAGTTAAAAAATAACAAGGAGAGTATAACCTTCATACTAATAGGTGAAAAATGAAATGTGAAAACTAAACAAATAAACAACAAACCCTCAATTAATTTGAAAGAAGAAATGGGGTAAAAGGGGAAAAACAGAATAAATCACAAGAAAAAATGTGAAAATAAATCAATACATCAGTAATCGCAATAGATGAAAATTACTCCAAGTTTACCTTTCTCATAAATGTGGATTAAATGCACATTTTCAAAAATGGCCATAAATAGTGATACATTTTTTTGGGATGTGAATATCTGGGGACTTATTAAACTTCTCCAGAGAGGAGGTATCTTTCACTTGAGCGTGACATTAACTTGTGGAAGGCTTTGGACAACAGACTTGGATTGACTGATGTTCTGGGTACACTCATATTTTACATCCATTTTCTTCCTTTCTTTAAGTCTTTGTTTCCTTTTCTTCTATATGCTCTGTCTTCCTTCTTTTCCCCTGATAGCACTATTGTCTATTGCCAATAATAGGTTTCAAATTTAGGATACCTAACAGATTCTGAGAAAACATGTATACCCTAAGTGTTCGTATCAAAGGTAGTCAGGTTTTAATGCATAAGTATGAGAATCATTGAGTGTTCCAATAGTTCCCTTTGCATTTGGAAAGGAGAAAACCTGACAGACATAGGAATAGGAATTTTCTTCTGCACTCATGTTACTGCGAGGTTAACACAGCTTTGAGGCAGAATTTTCGTTCCAGTAGAACACTTCCCAGGTACATGGGGATGAAGAGTCACCATCTCTTCTACGCAGACATTTCAGAGTGTAAAGCAGAATAGAGAGCTCATTACCTGAGGGTTCACATAAGGAAGAAAAGTTGCCTGATATAAAATAAGAAATAGTATTTATTCTGCAGTTCAGACTCTGGTCTTTGCTTAAAAACGAAAATGGAGAGGCTAAAGTTCTGGAGGAGAATGATCTCAGTTCACCATGGTGGGAAGTCATTAGAGACTTACATATAAAGATCTAAGAAATGTCTTTCAAAAATATCAAATATAGTCGTTTCAGAAAATAGAAAAAGAAATAAAAGATTCTGGATCCTACTTTAACATTTTGAGCAATACAGGCATTAGAAGGATGCTTAAGGGCTGTGCAAGTCAATGATGAATGCCTGCTGCCTGAGAGTTGGGTAGCTCACCTTGCCTCTCCTGGTGGCCTGCTGAACGACAAGTTTTTAGAACTAATTATTTGTTTCCACTAGCAAATGATGCCTAGATACTAACATTATTGTATAAATTTTTACAATTAATATTGTAATAAATATAATGAGTCTGTTATAAACGTATTCCATGTTTTCCATAAAACTCAAAAAAGCTGTCTTAACCTTTTTGAATGAAAATAGCCACCAAAGACATATTTTCTTGTTCACAAACTACCCTTTGCAAAATAGTTACTCATTAAATATCGAATTCATCTCTCTCATATAAAAATGCCTGCAGGTGCAAATATATTTAAACAACTTGAGTGAAGGAATTAAGATTTTAAGTTGCTTCTCTTAAAATACAGAGGCTATTATATGGGTCATACATTAAAATTTTTTCTCCACTGCTATTTTAACTTTCTCTGAGGAATCTCCTTGCTCTTTCTGCCACTGCGGTAGAGCCCAAGACACATGGAAGCTTGGATGGCACTGTTGGGTGTGTGGCCTGCCCTCCATCCCCCTTCTGCTCATACAGGTAGAGGAAGCAGAATGTTACCAAGTTGATGAGAGTAATGTAGGAAAAAAAGAAAAAAAATTTTAAAAGAGTTAGCAGTGTAATTGAGACAAACCCCCTTTTACACAATTTATGCTAGATAAAATCTAGCTCTTTTGAGAACAAGGTTCTGTTGGCATATGGATGGAGGAAGATAGCTGGATGGATAGATAGGTAGATAGACAGACAGACAGACAGACAGACAGACAGACAACAGATAGGAGTTGTATGTTATTTTAAAGTGCTACCACCTGGAATAACCCTTAGTTTCTTTACACAGCCTGCTTTATAATATATTAGTGTCCTTTAAAAATATCCGTGGAGTCAAGGTTATCTTAAAGGAAAGACTATTTTATAACGATTATATGTTCTATGTATTAGGGACTGCATTTATTAAACCTAATACACCTTAACAGCAAATAATGTTAAAATTAAGTTTATTTAAATATAATTCTAAATCCCAGAGATAGTTAAAACTCTCCTTCTGTGATTCTTTTTAGAGAGGTGATACCAGATGAAGAAGAAAGTGATTAAAAATTCTTGTTCCTCAGAAATTAATTTATGACTATTATCAAGAAAACTACACAGTTTTCTTTAAACGCTGCATTTTCCAAACCATGGGATAAGCATAAATGTTCTTTAAAAGAAAAAGGTAGGTTTTTTGGGCAATATCAATTGCAAAATGGCATAGATATTTAATGTTCAAACAAAAAAATCAAGAGTAATTCACTAATTATTTTCCTATTTTATGAGATATTCGTAGAGAATTTAATAAATTATGTAAATGGAAACTCCTGATTTTCCTCCGTAGACATCTCTTCTCTTGCTTATATCATGAAAATTTGAATAAAGTATATTCATTCCCATGCCCGAAATATATATTCTGGTAGTTGCTATTTTAACAAAGATCCTTATTCTTGACTCAAGCATAAGTGTTTTATTGATTATTTTTGGAAAGCTATAAGTAAAAATGCGTCAGGTTAACTTAGTAAACAAAAAGAAACTTAATAGTAGGTGATTGAGTCAAAAATCAAGAACCACAAAATTTCAAAATACATTGGCTGGCAGTGGGAATTTAGCTTTAAGCACCCTTCCATATCTGGAAATGTGTAATTGATAAAAGAGAATTATATGTTTAACTTTTATTTCATTCTTATCATACACAAACAAAAATGACACAACCACTTTGAAGTGTTAACCAAAACTGAGTCACACTAGATATTAGCAACCAGCAATAAACTATCCTTTGAGTGGTTATTATCAAAAGGCTAGACTGAGTCACACCATTTTTACAATCAAATTTAACTCAAGTCCAATTGTTTGTCACAATTATAAAACGGTGGAATTTATTTTTCAAGTTTTAATTTTCTAATTTTCATCAATTCTAATCCTTGTTTTTACATTTTAGCATCTGTGATAGATGCATAGTAGCATTTAATATCACTGATAATCAGGTGCTTTCTGTCATGGACATGCAAGCTCTCCATATCACAGTTTAATTGGCAGTGCCTTTTCTTTCTTGGTGGTATATAACATAATAGAGTAATTTTTAAATAATATCATTTTAGTTTTCATTAAATATTATGTTATTAAGACTTTCCTTACCTCCACTCATTCACACTGTTTAGAAGGAAACAAAAAAGTATGATTAATAAAGCATTTCAGGAGCAGAAGCCACAGGTTCAATTCTTGCATTAGCACTTGATTAGAATTTTTATAAGTAAAACTTGCTTATACATTTTTATCATAATATAGATGAAGTTGAATGAAAATTAAATGAGACATATGAAAGTATTTTGACTATAGTAGGCTTTCAATATATAATAGTTCCCTTTTCCTCATGATTTAAGAAAAATATATACTTGGATAATTTTAATAGCAATAAAGTAGTATAGTAAAATAAGAGTAATGATAATTATTATAGGGGTTGATAATTTCCCACTGTTTTGGATTTCAAGAGAAAAATCTTTCCCCCAATCCTTCCAGGACTCTTGTCAAGGAGGCTGAGTGAGGTATCTGATTTGCGGATGACAGTCACTGTTTATTGTTCAAGCAATAAAGTAGTATAGTAAAATCAGAGTAATGATAATTATTATAGGTGTTGATAATTTCCCACTGTTTTGGTTTTCAAGAGAAAAATCTTTCCCCTAATCCTTCCAGGCCTCTTGTCAAGGAAGTTGAGTGAGGTATCTGATTTGTGGATGACAGTCACTATTCATTGTTCAAGTAGTAATAACTTCCTAACAGACATTTCAGCCCCACTTTCTCCTTGGGCCCTCCTAAAGATTATTGGGGAAAAAGCATCCGGTGAGAGAACAGGTGTCATGGTGCTGAAATAGCTCTGCCAAAATAGATGCCTCCAGCCACTATAGTTTACCTCGGTGAGTTAGTACGGCCCATCTCCGCAGTACCACTGAACTAAACAAGGCTTAGGAGAACATTTTCTCCTAGCTCTGCTCATTTTAGGTTTGATTTCCATTGGCATAAGGAAGAGGCATAGCATGTGAACTTCAGGTGAGTCCTTCATCTTCAGGAAACGTGCTTTTTCTTAGGCTTTCTGAACTCTTCTTTGTTCTGCTTTCAATCTCTTCCTGTGGCTTCTGCCCAATCTTAGCTGCTTTTAGCAGCTCTTAAAAATGTTTTGAGATCTGTGGTCTTGACAGGAGTAGAGGTCTGTTTTTCTCATTCTCCTTTTTGCTTTTGTGTTGTTTTCAGCAGAAAAGGCAGTATCTAACCTCTGCAGCCATATTTCACCCGGAGTCACTTATTCATACATAAAAATGTCAAGTGCCATGTTCACAGTGAATCTGCCATGGCCATCCTCTGAGAGATTTTCTAATTATTACAATCTGCTCTCAGTCCTCAAAAAATTTAGATTAAGTGAGGATGTATATAAAACAATAACAAAGAAATTATGTGCAGAATTCTGTTGTTTGGACCACACGTGAAAAAGATTTCAGAAAGGAAGAAGTCAGTGTGGCCTAGAGAAGCCAGGAAGTACCCTGGGGAGGAGGCTGGCATTGAGAGTTTCTTGAATTAAAAAAAGTAAAAGGTACAGAAAAGAAGGTTTAACAGGAGGATGACACTACTTTAAAACTGCACATTACAATGAAACCTGGAAAAAGAGTTTTCTTTACTGTAATTATAGAAAAAATTATTTACATTGATACCCTGCTTTAGAAGTTTCCGATCACTTTCCCATATAATATTTGAGCAATCCTATTAGATTCCCTCTGGATTTATGTACAAAAATTGGAGACACACTTTGGGAGCAACATGTTAGTAAATATGGCCAAAAACTAATTTGTATTTAAAAGCAAACGCAGTGTGCTAACACAGTGTTTTGATTACGTGCTTAGGAAATTGACTGAAGATAATGGTGATTTTTTTTTTTTTTTGACAGTCTCCTTCAGTTGCCCAGACTGGAGTGCAGTGGCACGATCTTGGCTCACTGCAACCTCTGCTTCCTGGGTTAAAGAGATTCTCCTGCCTCAGCCTCCCCAGTAGTTGGGACTACAGGTGTGGTGTTTTTTATTTTTTATTTTTAGTGGATGGGGGGTTTCACCATGTTAGCCAGGATGGTCTCGAACTCCTGACCTCAGGCAATCCTCCTGCCTCAGCCTTCCAAAGTGCTGGGATTACAGGAGTGAGCCACCACGCCCGGCTGAAAACAATGTTTTCATGGGGTGGGAAAGGTTGGTTATAATCGGATTCATGCTGCAACTTCTTCTCATAGCTAATATTTACTTTTGTGATTAAACATAGTTTTCTTCTATATAAAAGCCTATAGGTGTTATCAATCCAAATCAAATTACAGAGTGACTGATGTTGAAACAATTTTCTGTCTCTTATGCAAAATCAGTTGCTCAAACTAAGACACAGTCCCTTTCCAATGAAGGAAAAGTCAGGCTGTGCATAAAAAGTGAGACCTTGTTAAGTTGACTCTCACTGTTGACTTAAGCCCAGTGGCTTCCTGCTCCATCTCTTCACTTCTTAACCGAACCTTGCTCCAAGCTTGGTTTCCCTTCGAGAGTCTTTGTAAAACATGTCCCTGACTCCACTTTGTGGAATCTAGCCACCTCTACCAATGGGCAACTCTTCCAGCTCTTAGGCTCTGGCTCTGTTACTTGGCTGCGAGTCTTGGCTCTCCTTTCAGCCAAGCTTTTCATCCACAAATCGTTTCTTGGTGGCAATGTTCTGGATGTAACAGAAATGCACAAAAGTCAGGATGTGTCTGGATGTAACAGAAATGCACAAAAGTCATGCCTTGCTGGAAGCTTCTCTGCAGAGTGACCTTATTCTATTACCCTTATGATAGTACCACGTTTTTAGTCCCTTAATCATGAAGAATTTGAAATCCTCTGATCCAGAGTTTTCACTGGTCATAGAGACTTGGATATTTAGAGAGAAAAATTGGAGAACAGTTTTTTTTTTTTTTTGCTTTCTTAGTTTCTATTGTCTACTGTTTTATATACATTTATGCCCTTTTATATTTTCAATAAGCAACCCTGAGATCCTTCACGGTGGTAACTACTATTAGATAGTCACCAATTTAGGAGCCTCAAAATAGTTTGTTCCTGAGTAATTTCAGTATAGACCAGCGCTATCTCATTCTCTTCTATTGCCATTATACACACCAAGGTTACCTACAAAAAAGTGTTTAAAGATATAAAGATTATCACATTTTTAATGTCCGACTGTGCTTTTTAAATGAAAATATTCCAGCTCATGACATGATTGGCTTTCTTAGTGCCAAAGATCTTCACCTAACAGAGGAAGTTTAATACATCACTATTTTCCTGCAGATAGAAAAGTGCAGGGATCACTGATACAAATGAATATATTCTTTACTCACAAAATTCATAGAAATTCAATTATGACACAGGAAAACATAAACCCAAGTCAATTCTTTTAAATCAATTACAATTGTACAAAATGAATTTATCATAAAATCAGAGTTTAAACGTATTGTTTTATTTTAATTCTAGAGAAAACTTCACCAGTGAGTCTTATTTCTACTGGCTTATGTCAGACTGTGTGTTTTAGTCTCACAAACAGCATTAATACAAAAGTGATGGGTTCAATCTGATTTACTTCCTTACAATAAGCAAATCATTTGAAATTTGAGCATATAATAAATTTCTCATTACTCTCATTGTGATGTTTGTTTCTTTTTCATAGTTTATTTCATGACATGCTTAAACTTTAACCTTTATAAAGATTTAAAAGTGTGATAAAGGTCAAGTGTAAAGTGGGTTATTTTGGCTGTTGGGGCTCAAAAAATAAACCCCAAAAATATGGTGCTTTGATGTGCTGAACTAAAGTAGCAGCTTCAAGGTCTCTCTGACATCCTCCCAATTTTCTCTCTCAATCCTCTTCCTCTCCCAAGCCACAAGATGAGGCTGTTCTCTGAAATTCCCTTATGCACCTAAAACCAGGTCCCCCAGAGAGAAACGCAATTGCCTTCAATCCCTTCCCTGACATTTCGTTATCCAGAGAAGATTAGAACTCATATCAAAGAGGAAGAGATTGAAAATTGAACACCACACCTAGAGCCCAGAAGAACTGCATCCCAAACTACTGTCTGTTCTCTGGTCCCATTTAATTCCCAAAGAGAATTATTTATTAACCATGATCTAAACATTGGCTCTGTTTATCTCTCCTAAAGTCCTAAAGTTCTACTCCTACTCTCCCTCATCTTCCCTTCCCTCATGAAAAAGGATGTATAAGCACCTGGACCTCCTTGCATTGTTGGACAATCACTGTCTGAGACTCCCCTGTGCTATGCATGTTCACTAATCTGTACGGCCATTTCTCCTATGAATCTGCCTTTTGTTGGTTCATTTTCTGCAAGCCTTCAGAGGGAGAAGGGGAAGCTTTCCCTCTGTGTCCCCACGGTGCCCTCCTTTAATTGCCATTTTCCTGTTGTCATTACATCCTTCAAGTATCTGCCTGGTTTTCATGCTGCTAATGTTAGGCTAGTTTTATCAGGGAAAAATATGTTTTTTTTTTAATGTAAAGCACTGCTATTTTATGTTTTTATAGCCTGAACAAATACATCACCCACTCATAGCTCTTATTAATTAATTAATTAATTTAGGGCATGCATACCTGGGAAATGTGACTCAGGAAATGAGCTCTAGAGTAGGTTAGAGCTAATGAGTTATTCATTATGGGTTGGAGAGTTCTTAGAAGCTTTTGGTTTCTCTCTGTCCCACATAGGTCATCAGTTATGTGGACTTCAAGCTAAAATCAAATTGCCACCTATGTACTAAAATATTTAAGTTAGCTAACATGTGGAACATTCTTTTGTATGAACTCCCAGGAAAGAGCATGGAGATTGATAGACTGGACAAAAAGTGAAAATTGGATCATTATTTAGTTACCAAAATACAAATTATTAAGAAAAAATACAGCATTATTTGTAAGATTTGATGTGAATAGAATTGGCCTAGAATAAAGGGTAGATTTTGATGGAAAATTCTGATCATGAGGAACAATTATTGCATTAAAATAGAGAGACATTATAGGTTTATCTGTGGAAAATCTTGTAAATTTTGTAAGAGAAAAACATTGTGTGTGTGTTAATGCACAATGGGCAATATTTTATTAGAATTATTTTGGAGAAATATGAATCAGTAGAATAACAAAAATCACTGAATCCTTTAAGAAAACATATCTGGTTAATGCAGTTTTCAGACATATGGAAACCAAATAAAAATGACAAAGAGACAATGACTGTAATTTTGGCAATTTCCCATTCCCAACCATGATGAATTACAGACTGGATTTCGGGAGCCATGTGTGCAGGAACCTGGGGTTGAGATGGATGGCTCGGGGCCTGGGCTGTGGGTAGGGGTGTGTGCACTGGGCCAGTGTGTCGGCTCTGAAAGGCCTCCACAAGGGACCAAATCAACGCTGCATCATCCATGGAGATGTTTCATGCCTTGTAGTTCACCATCCTGGCTGGGGAGGAAATCCTAGAGATAGCAGTGTGGGACACTTACTTCTCCTTAACACTGACTTGCCAGGTATAATTCTAAACTTAGTTTTCTAAGTTTCATAAACTTTAACTCACAAAACACACAATGTACACACACACACACACATCTCTTCTAGGGGTTGTGAGTAATAGAGAGAGATTGAGATTTAGATGTACCTTGCTCAGAAAAATGCCTGACACAAAATCAATTCTTTCCTGCTGTTGTTGTCATGAATATTATAACTGACATTAAGACTAATGTGGCAAATTAGAGATATTTATATGTGGAAATTAAACGTAGTGGCCTACATTTGTATTAAATAAAGTATTATGCCATGACTCATTCTGTTATTAGGAGCAGCCCTTTTTTATGGGGCTATATTTAGAAATCTAAAGCCTTAAAAAAAATCCAAGGTTTCACTTATGTTAACAAAATGTGGTTTTTAATAATACTTTTATTCTGTGTATCATTAAGTGTAATTCAGTCTTTTTACAAGAGAAAAACAGTCATTTTAGTTTGTTTTTCTCCCCATCAAGATGAAGTAAGAATGGTTGGAATAAACCTGACGTTGTCATGTAAACCAGTTGTAACATATGAGTGACAGTACAGCTAAGTCATTTAGAGCATGGTATTTGGAGTCAAACAGAACTAAGTTCAAGCCTGTTTCCACCCACCAGTGGGTAAATGATGAGTCTGAGTAAGTTACCTACCACCCTTAAGGCTCAATTTTCTTACATGTTAAATAGAGATAACAATGTTAATATTTACATTAGATGGTACTTGTGAAGGGAAAAATGTGTTTAAATTGCTTGGCACAGTGCAAGGAACACTTTTAAAATTTTGATAAATGGTATTTATTGTGCTAGTATTGTTTCCCTTCCCTTTCCTCTTCTAGTAAGCAAGAGTCTGAGTATTTTTTCCCTCGAGAAATTTGCTCAGAAATGAAATAGCAAAGAGCCTGAGGTCTATCAGCCTGAGAATGAAGGAAGGGGCATTGGTCTTTCTTGATAGCTCCTGGCGGGTCTAATGAGAAGCCAGGGGTGAGAACAACCACTTTCTGGCATTGCCATTAGATGAAAATATCCCATAGTCTTAACTTTTTTCTAGGTCTTCACACAAGGCTCCGATTCCTATGTGAGAGAAGCTTTTGTTGTTAGTATGAATAATGTCTAATCTCCATGCTAAGATTAGAATTCCACTGACCATGTTAGGGGACAGAGGAATGGTTTCCCAAAGAAAGGAAAGCTTGTGGGACCAAAATCCAGATGGGCACTACTGTACCTAATACTAAATAGGGTGGAGCATTTTGGGGTTCTATAAGTGAATTTCAGAGGATGATGGAAATGTTCTAAATCTTATTTTGTGTGATGATTACTCAGATCAAAACTCATCGATTGGAATGTACTTTATTATTTATTCCACGTAAATCCAAATAAATCACTTCATTTAAATACCTCAATGACTCAGTTAAATTATCTTCAATAGTTAAGATGCAATTTATAATTAGTCTTTCAGTAGTCTGCTATATCACAGTCTACCAATCAACATAAGGATAGAAGAAATTCAGAAGGAAGAGACACGCACAGTGGTTTCTCTTGATATCTTTTATTTCTAAATTCAAGTTAAGAAATAAAAGATTAAGTACTGCATATACGCATTAATTTATAATTCAAATAATTCGTATGCAATATTAGGTAATAGCATCTATTTTCGTTTTCATTTTAAGTAGGTTCTCTGTTGCTAGGTGCTTTCTAAAAGTGATTTTAATAGTAATATGGTAAAAGTGTTACATAGCTCCTCTTCTAAAATTTCAGTCTCATTTATATCATTTTTAAAAACTGTTTCTGGGAACAGTATTGTTATACTTATTCCTCTTTGAGAAAATGAAGTGAGTAACATTTAAGTCATTTAATATAGACTAGAACTCAAAGAGTTGTGTTCTGTTATTACTTGAGGCATGCAACAAACATATTTCTATAAGCACAATGTTCAAGAAATGTATGGACACCATCGCTTCCTGATTTGAATTTTTAAAAAGGAAATTAGAGAAAAAGTGCATAGAAAAACTGCATTTGTCTTGTACATTATCCCATGATTTCCTTTATGCAGAAAATTCCTAGTTTATGTATTCTGTAGTAACTCTTAGAAATGCACATCTTTATGTTTGCAGCATTATTTTCATATTTAAACAGTCATTCACATATATACCCATATCTGTGTACATCTATACTATTGTTCATATATTTAATAATCTGTAAACTGAAAATAGTTATGATTGACTAGTTTATATACTCTTATTCAACACACCTTTACTAAGCATCTGCTATTAGTTAAGCACTGTGTTTGAATCTATAAAGAAACCATAACCTCATAAATAATCTTAGTTCAGAAACTCTATTACTTGTTTTGGAAAACAGGTGGAAAAATTTCAAGTGGAAAACATAGTAAAAGAAACTGTGAGGAAAATTACTGGAAGAGAGCAGCTTGGAAGACAGACAGCCAAGAGATAAGGCATGACTAATGAAAATTGTAGCAGAAGAAAGCCCCAAATAATACAGAAAACTAGCCAGAAGTAAAAGAACACCTTGAATCTGTCATTTGAAAGGCATCCTAACATCCCAGGATAATTTTGAAATCTATCGGGTATAATTTCTGAATTCCAAGAATAAAGAAAAGACAGCACACACATTGCAATGGGAAAAATAAAATGAGAGAATAAAAATGAAATCCAATTATTTATGGAAAATCCCAGTAGCTAGATGGTAACAGAGCAATGTTACAAACTTTAGGGAGACCAGGAATAGAACCAAGAATTCTGGGCCAAACCAATATAGATTCATGTATTAGTGCAAAATAAAGATACTCTTGGAATTGCAAAGCTCAGAAAGTATTCTGCATGCGCTGTTCTTGGCCTGTTGACCCAAAAGCCATGCCCTGCCCTTCCCCAGGGTCTATATTCTGCAAACCAAGTTTCCCAGCCTTCCTCTCTAGCTGGCTTCTCACTAGATTCCAATAAAAGGAGGCCCTGGCAGGAGAATGGAAAGTAGCAGGAAGGGAGAAATCAGAAGCTTTTTTCCTGCCTGTTACTGCAGCAGGTTGCACCCTTGGCTGTCACTATCTCTTCTGTGGTTCAACTCCATCATGGTTCTTGTAAGACCACCTGTTCCCTTACCCCTCCAACCCTTGTGGAAATAGCTGCTTAGAGGAAAAGAGGAAGAGGAGGCAGTGTAACAGAGACTTTATAATGCATTTTTTTGCAAACCTGACTCTCTGCCAAAGCTGCTGATTGAGGAGACAGCGGTGTCTTCAGACATGTGGAATGAAGCAGCAGCTGTACTGATAAAGGATTTGGCTTTCCGGGCTGAGGGATGAGAGTAATAAAGCAGATTTCCGTCCGTCTCTGCAAACTTATTAAATGAACATAGAATTCTTGCCAAAGTAACAAGGCTCCTGTGAGTCATTGACTGAGTGTGGGTACCAGCAGTCCTTCATGTTCATATCCGGTAGCTGAAGAGTTCTTTCAGGTGTGCACCTTTGCCTGAAATGGTGGTGGTTAATCAGTGCCAATCGAAGAAAAAAGCTGACCCCTGCCTACTAAGATAAAGTTCAAATGGTTTCCAAAGATTTGTTGCAAGTACAGCAAATTTATAGCAAAATATCCACCAAACCACATTTACACATTTGGAAATTCAAAAATATTTTTCAGATCACAGAAAAGCTGGTTACTTTTCCAGCCTAGTCCAAAAGACTGTAACCATAACAAAACATGCAAAACTTTCTTGTGTACAAGTGATCACAATCAAAATTCTTTTCAGTGGTATGCCCATATAGCTCTCTTAACCTACAAATCCCCTCTTAGGTTAACACTATGAATTTACTTCCTGATTTATTTTACATATTAGGAAGAAGGATAGCAATGAAGGAATCAGAAGTATTTGGTGACTGAACGGATATAAGAAGTAAAAAGTGCAAGATTTTACTTTTAAAGCTTCTTAATCAGTTAAAATTATTTTAAGTTCTCAGACCTGTATGGCTAAAGAAATGTCCTAGCATTGCTACTGTGAGAAACAGACTTACCCATCCAAATGCAAAGAATGGACTCAGAGATCCAAGAACAGCAAAAGCGAGACTTTTAATAATGGTCTTGCAAGATCGGGTGTTTGATGAGCAGGTACACCCAGCGCAGTTTTAACAAGCAAACTATCCCCTAGTGCGCAGGTCCCTCCCCCAGTTCCTCATAGGCTGAGTCCTATGGGGTCACAGTCTTCCAGAACATCGCCTACAGATTGTTGGATAGGGGCTGTAGGTGTTTTTATTTTTATTTTTTATTTTTTGGGGGTGGGATGCGGTGGTTATTTTGCTGCATTTTGTTGCAGCCCACAATGCATTGCAATTGTAGTTAGCTTAGGGGCTTTTCAAGCATTTGACTTATGATCTAAGTAGCTGGGCAGGCTGATAAGAACAGACGAAATGAGCTATTTTGCAGGCTAGTAAACTTTCATTTTAGACTAAACGTTTTTAGTTCGGGTGAGAGCACCTAAGAGGCGGGGGAAGGTGGGGGAAGGGGGAGGCCAACAAGCAGGCATCGGCTATCCAAGCAGGGGTCTAGTATATCCTGTTTCTTCTGTAGTTTGCTGACCTAAGGAGATTCAAGGCACTTTGTCTTGGAAATAGACCACTGTGTACATTATCTCCTTCAACAGAAACAAAGACAGGACAGTTAACTTTCAAGAAAACTAATATATTGCTGTGCAAAAGCCGGGCAGCAATGTTCCTTGCCTCTGGACAATAACACTCATTCTCAGAAAATGGCTCAAGATTTAGGATGTGGAAGTGGGAATTATTTGCATAAAAGGCTGGTTGGAGTCATGGGGATGTGATAGTTCAAGGCAGAATGCAGCACAGATTTCAGGACAACTTGGGGAGAAGTCAAGTGAGAAAAATCACCTAAGTAATCCGTTTCCCTGTGTGCAAAGTGTAATGTGTACTAAAGAACATGTTATAATCAGAAAGCTGCATTTTACCAAACCTTTCTGTGCTCATCCACAAAACATTCACACACACATTTAGAAAAAATTAGAAAATATTTTCATATGAAAAACTGAAAAGATAAAAACTCATAAAATACAAAGCTAGTAAAGTCAGTTGGTAAATCATGCTCTATGTTAAAGTGAGAAATACTGGAATGGAAAAAAGGCAGCTCTCCTCATACTCATCACAATCCTTTTCAGTGGTTGAAAAGTATTCAGGTGAAAAATTCATGTAAGTACACTCAAACAAATATAATTTCCTTCAAATTTCTGAGACCTTTACAGAACAAACATGTAATTTTTTTTCTGTTTCTCACTTCCCGTTTCTTCCTTCAATCACACACACACACACACACACACACACACACACAAAGTGTGAGCACAAAACACTTCTGCTCAATGCCATCAAGTCCTGATGGGTATTTGCTTTGTCTGTTTGCTTGTCTTTTATAAAAATTTTCTTCCCTGAACTGTAACTCCTTGAGGGCATGAATTATATCTGTTTCTTTCATCTTCCCTACGTTTAGAAAAGTTCCTTGGATATTGAAGGTTATGTATATAGATGTATGTTATATATGTATGTATACATTTATGTATGTATGTGTGTATATATCTTCATATATTTAACATATACATGTATATGTAACATATATACACATACATACACAAACATAGATGTGAATATATATGTATAAAAAATTAGAACCAATGCATTTGATGACTCAATAGTACCATATCATTTATGATTGAAAACACTGGATCATTTGGAACATCAGATTTTAAGCAGCTAAACTGTAAAAATACAGTGAGAGCAGGATACCATTTGTTGCACAGTCATCAAGATTGTGGACCACTGTATATCATCTACTATTAATGCACAGAAAGACATCATCTGCCAGGGAAGACAAATCTGGAAAGAACCCATAGATTGTTCTAACACCAGACTGAAAGCCAGAAGACATGTCATGAGATCGTAGCTCTCACACTTTCTAGCTACAGTGACTTCAATTCTCTATACTTAAGTTTTTGTTTTTTGTATAAAATAAAAACTGTGGATATTATGAATCCAGGATCATTCACAAATCTAAAGATTTTTCTATTGCTAGAACATATGTACAATAATTAAAATGGAGTTTTTCACAATGCCATGATCAATAAATTGTTGTTTGAGTAGGTGGCAGAGAAGGACATGTAGAACTGAGTCCCTTCCAATATTGGAAATTCAAGATCATAGTCAGGAAAGCTTAGAGCAAATGTTGGGGGATTTGCCTAAAATCCCTGTCCAAATCATTCCCATTGGGAAACAATATCTGTTTTCCTAATATTTTAAAAAATCAAATAAAGATCTTATTTTTAGACAATATGTAGCATACAGACAAAGAAAGATTCATCTAACCAGGAGTTTCTTACACAAGATCAAAAATACGTTCTTTTTTGTCCTCTGCACTGAGTGTAGTACAAGTTAAACACTCAATGTTACTCAATTACAATATTTCTTTAAATGAAATAAATTGAATTATGTATTTACAAGGATTAATTGTGAATGTACTAATTAATCTTTATTATTACAAAATCAAAGATCTCATCTTAAATATCTTTGGACACCATATATGAAAGTTAACTTAAAATGGATTAAAGACTTAAATATAAGACCTGAAATGGAGAAAGTACTAGAAGAAAACATAGGGGAAAAGCTCCATAACATTGGCATAGGCAAAGATTTTTTGAACAAAACCTTAAAAGCATGGACAACAAAAACAAACACTGTAGAAACTAATGGGATTGCGTTGAACTAAAAAGCACAACAAAGGAAACAATCAGCAGAGCAGAGTGACAACATCTATTTTAGAGAATGGGAGAATATATTTGCAAACTACATATCTGATAAGGGGTTAATATCCAACATTTTAAAGAAACTCAGACAACTTAACAACAAAAACCCCAAATAACCTGATTTGAAAATGGGCAAAAGACTTGAATAGACATTTCTCAAAAGATGACATGTAAATGGCCGACAAATATATGAATAAATGCTCAGCATCACCAATCATCAGGAAAATGCAAATCAAAACAACACTGAGATACGACCTCACTCCAATCAGAATGGCTACAATCAAAACATCAAAATATAAGTGTTGGCAAGGATGGGAAGAAAAAGGAACCCCTACACACTGCTGGTGTGTAGCAATTATGGGAGACAATACGGAAGTTCATAAAAAATGTAAAAAAGAACTACCATATGATCCAGCAATCCCACTGCTGGGTATACAGCCAAAGGAAATGAAATCAGTAGGTTGAGGAGATGTCAGCATTCCTATGTGTACCTATGTTTATTGCAGCACTATTCACAATAGCCAGAATATGTAATCAATCTAAATGTCCATCAGTGGATGAATGCATAAAGAAAGTGTGTTATATGTACAAAACAGAATACTATTCAGCCATTAAAAAAAGAATGAAATATTGTCATTTGTGGCAACATGACTGCACCTGGAGGACATTATGGTAAGTGAAATAAGCCAGGCACAGAAAGACAAATACTACATGATCTCACTCATATGTGGAATCTGAAGAGTTGTTCTCATAGAAGAGTAGAATGGTGGTTACCAGAGGATTAGGAGAGTTGGCGGGGACGGGAGGATAGTGAGAGATTGGTCAATGAGTACAAAGCTACTGTGAGATGAGAGGAATAAATGCTGGTGCTCTATTACATAATATAGGACTAGAGTTAACAATAATGTGTGTTTCAAAATAGTTGCAAGAGAGGTTTGCGAATGTTCTCATCACGAAGAAGTGATAAATATTTAAAGTGCTGGATATGCTAATTATCCTGATTTGATCATTATATAATTTATGTATGTATTAAAAAATCACATTATATCCCATAAATATGTATGATCATTATATCCCATAAATATGTACGATCATTATGTGTCCATCATAAATTTAAACAAAGAAACCATTAAAATAAATATAACAAATATGTATGTCAGAAATAAATATAACAAATAAATATAACAAATAAAATAAATATAACAAATATTTAAGTCAGAAACTTCCATACATCTACTCTAATTAGTGTTGGCAACGGTAGTGCCTATCTGAGATTTTGGACTATCCGGCATCCCTTCCTTTCAGAAACAGCTCCTCTCTCCTTACACAAGTCAGCCAGGGCTCTAAGCTCAGGAACCCAGGGGTAGAGAAAACACCCACACCAAGATAATTAGATTCCATCACATGGGAATCGGAATCTTGTATGAAGACTCATAACTTTCTATTCTTTTTTTAAAATTTTATATTTTGTTGAGTAGTGGTTCTTACTGCATTTTGTAATTACTTGGAGAGCACCCCAAGAAAAAAATGTGGAAAGAGAGAGAGAGAAAGAAAGGAAGGAGGAGGAGGGGGAGGAAGAGGAGAAAGAAAAGGAAGAGAAAGGGAAGGGAGAGGAGAAAAAACGTACCAAGTTCAGCATTGGAATGCTGACGTAATTGTCCCAGGACGAAGCACAACCATTAGTTTTTATTTTTGTATGTATATATTGCTCTCCCCATGAAAACAGTAAAACAAGATCTTTGATTAAGAAAGAGCTACAGTTCATTTTCTATGGCTAGCCTGAGGTCAGCATACATTTCTATGACTTTTTCCCTTGCTTCTTCTTCTTTATAAGTAATACTAAAATCATATATGTAAAATATTCTGCAATGAATATTCTAATGTATATATACATACATACATATACACACACGCACACACACAAAGTGTTTCATACATTATAAAAAACACTCTATCTTTCCCTACTTCATCGGAAACTATTCTGCTTAATATATTCTTCTTTAAAATGTATATATTTTTAATCCTGTGTGTATGCATTTTAAATCCTCTTAATGGGATTGTGCTAAATATGTTGCATTGTTTCTTTCTTCAGTAAGCAAATGCTTTTAAGATCTATGCGTGTTGCTATGTATGCGTATCCAACCCATTGTTTCTAACTGCTGCACAATACTTCTTGGTGTATATCCTCCAAATTTGACTGTCCTTTCTCACATGGATGGACAGTCAATTTGAAATCAACTCACTGTAACACAAATATCTCTGCAATGAATATTCTTTTTTTGTTTTGTTTTGAGACAGTCTCACTCTGTTGCCCAGGCTGGAGTGCTGTGGCAGGATCTTGGCTCACTGCAACCTCCACCTCCCAGGTTCAAGTGATTCTCCTGCCTCAGCCTCCTGAGTAGCTGGGATTACAGATGCGTGCCACCACGCCTGGTTAATTTTTGTATTTGTAGTAGAAACGGGGTTTCGCCATGTTGGCCAGGCTGGTCTCGAACTCCTGACCTCAGGTGATCCTTCTGCCTCGGTCTCCCAAAGTGCTGGGATTGCAGGCATGAGCCACAATGAATATTCTTAAACATTTTCCCTTAGGGACATATGTGAGAATGTCTTTGGAGTATATGGCTAAGAAAGGAATTATGGTGCTATGTGAATAATTTGGCTAAATAATGACAGATTGCTCTTCCACATGGCTATGCCAATTCACACACCCAATAACAAGGCATGAAGTTTTATAAATGCTCACATCCTCACTAACCCTTGGTAATACCCAACTTGTTAATTAATTGTCATTCTAAAATTGTAAAAGGGATAATTTCATTTAAGTCTTCATCTCCATGTTTATCAGTTATTCCAAAGATGTTTTTATGTTTGTTAATTTTAGCTTTTTTTGTTAGAGATTGCTCCTTTATAGCCTCGCTTTTTTTTTATATAAGTGTTGCCTTTGATTTAGTGTTAATTTCCAGCAATTCTTGGCACGTTCTAGATATGAGGTGCCAGATTTAGACTTGAAAATACTTTCCTTGTATTTGTTGTTAATTTAATCCACTTGATACTTTATTTCATGCTTCAAGTCTTCCTTATTTTCTGCAGTAGTGCTATTGAAAAGTTCTGTAGATGATTCGTGGTATAGCCAGGTTTGATTCACAGCTCAGAACCAATAACCAAGATAGAGGTTCAGTAGTTTTGCTGCTCATATCTCAGCTGTTTTGTTCTCATCCTCCCCAAGGCCTGGTTGTCTATAAGAACAGAGCTTAGAAAGAGCTGATGGTAAATGTAGTATGACATTTATGCTGAGAGCCCCGTGGCATGCCAAGCTCACCTTATAATTGTTTTTCCTGTGACTGAGCCTGTAGTGGATATCCGCAATAATGTACAAATATTCCACATTAATTTCTGTCATTTGTCATTATAGTTGGAAAGGCAGAAGGAAGAAATTAAAGCTTTGCCTTCCCCATCAAAATAGTAAAACATGGTCTTTGATTAAGAAAAAACTACAGTTCACTTTATATGCTAGCCCATGATCAGTATAAATTACTGTGACTTATTCCTTTGCTTCTCCTTCTCTATAAGTAAGACTAAAATCTCAGTCTCCTCAACTTGCTCCAACATCAATTGTGATATCAATGGAATTAGATCCCCAAATAGAAGCGGCTACTATGATCTGTTTAATTCCTGCTTAAGGGATCAAGTTTCATCCTGGCCAGTGCATAGGCTTAGAAAGTCACCATAGTGAAATAAAAATACCCTAGACTTGCTTATAGAAAGAAGTTTCTAGGTAAGGCTCTGCCAGTTAACTATGTGTACGTGTACATTATATTCTTAGCACATAGGAGTATGTGCAGAGAAATATTTATTGCTTGAGTGACCGAATTTGCTATATGATCTTGGTTAACTACCTGAGTCCACATTTTACCTAAACAAGGGAATTAGGCCAGATGATATATAGAGTCTCTTCCAGCTCTGTGATCCCAGTATATTGAAAAATTTCTACCAAGTTGTTACCATTTATACAGCATGGAGCAATATAGTCTCAAAGTTTTACGATACATAGTCTCCTTTTACAGGAAATAAAAATTCTCTGGTGTTTTAATTTCATAGAGACTTAAATCCACACAACCTGGTATAAATTTCTTAACAGTTCAATGCACCTATGAAATTTAAAAAATATATAAAATAAGTGGAAAAAACTAGAAAAGTAAGTTAATTTCAAATCAATAACATTTATTCAACTAGATTGTTTTGTTGAAATTAAATTACAAATGGTGGCTTTAATAATAAAGTATATGTGTTTGATCATAAGGAACATTTAGCCCAGCACCTATTTCTATTTTAAAGTTTTCTCCTATGTTGAATTAAATATACTATAATTATAGAAAAATGTCTATATGCATTGGTATGTGTTATAAAATATTAATAATATTAAGACTTGATTCAGTGAGCTAATTAATGAAACTCTGGCGTAGGAAGTTCTCTAATGCCAATTTAAATTAGAAGTCACTTATTCTGTACTGTTGTCTTGTCTACTTACATATAAAGTTTGCTTTACTGAATTCTGCATTGCATGAGTGTATGGTACAATCACTGCCACTATCTGGAGCAGAAAACGTCTTTATTGGCAATGAACAGTTGCAAATTAATATCTATAAGCAAAGGAACCAGGTGACATGCCTGCTGTCAATATGAACATGGCAATGTCTGCTGTGGCAGAGGTTGTTTTGGGCTTACCTACCCTTACCAGTGAGAGACGCATTACGGCTCAATTCCTCCACCACTTTTCTCGAATTATTGCAAAACCTTCATTCCTACAATGTACCACAAATATTTACATTTGGTCTTTACATGGAATGAAGTTAAATGGAAAGGTAATTATTGGAGCAGAAATAGAAACAAGATTCAGTAACAGGCGGCAATGTAGATGATCCACAATATATTTACATTGAATGTTTAATTAAAGACAAAGTCAAAACACTTAATGGAAAAACCTGAAGGCCTCTGAGAATGTTTTCTGGGCTGGCAGGGGATTGTAGACCACAGTTTGAGAAATACTGAATTCTGAGCATAATAGGCAATAAAAATATTAAGTCTTTTTCTAAGTGAGCACTCGAAATACATTTCTTCTGTTGAGAAACTTAAAATTAGAAAACCAGTGGAAGAAGCATCAAGATTCTAAATAATCCTACTATCTATTGCTAGCTACACTCCGATTTTCCGATGGAAAATATAGCCTGCAGAAGATATAGCTAAATATTCAGCTGGGGATTTTCAAAATTGATGTAGATGAGAAACAGCGTAAATATATAGGAACATCAGACACTTTCTCAGATTCTTGTTTGATTTATTTGCCCACTCAGCTGCTTTGGAATGGGCAGGAAAAAATGCCCTCTCTCCATTCTGCCTTTCCTCATTGTGCAATGATGATGCTAATGAGCAAAACATGTTCAATGAGAAGAGAACAAGGAGATACAGAAACCCCAGGGCACTGAAAATGAACTAACTGGTTGCCCTGTTCCCCTGCAGAGAGCTGATGATCCCACTAAAATAATAAGGCAGAATATTTTTAAAAGTTATACATTTATGGCATTTTGGAAAAGGTCAGTGTTTGTCGGCATGATACTTGTACAATATAAAAGGAAAATTGTTAAGTGTACAATCCTTTCAATTAAAAACAGGTAAAAATGTTAATGGGCAAACGATCAGGGTCAACCAGCAGGCCACCCCCACTGCAGCACATCCCTGGTCTCTATATGACAACTGAAAAGTTATATTTAATACCAAGGAGATTTCTTTGCTTTTGTTGTTGGTGGTGGTGGTTTTATTTTTTTATTTTATTTATTTATTTATTTTTTTCAGACAGAATCTCACTCTGTCGCCCAGGCTGGAGTGCAGTGATGTGATCTCGGCTCACTGCAACCTCCACCTCCCGGGTTCAAGCAATTCTCCTGCCTCAGCCTCCCGAGCAGCTGGGATTACAGGCGCCCACCACTACACCCGGCTAGTTTTTGTATTTTTATTAGAGATGGGGTTTCACCATGCTGGCCATGCTGGTCTTGAACCCCTGACCTCAGGTGATCTGCCGGCTTCAGCCTCCCAAAGTGCTACTGCGTGAGCCACTGCGCCAGCCCCAAGGAGATTTCTAAAATGGCATGCAAAGCTTTGAGACCAGTTCACTGTAGTTTTCTCAGGGGAAAAAAAGTAAAACTTTCAAGAAAACTGGATTGTCAGTATCTTAACCGTAGAGTTAGTTCATGATTCCTTTTAAGAGACAAACTTAGAATCAAATCATTGATTATTGTAGCTGGGAGGAAGCTTAGACATGGACTAGTCTTATCAATTTATTTCAAAGCTAAGCCTGACTGCAGAGTATACCTTAGTCGTTAGAGCATGGAATTTTTCATCCAATAAAATTTGGGTTGGGGTTTTAATTCTATGATGAATTGTAGGATGGCCAGGGTTAAAGGTACTAACTTTCCATTGCCTTTATCTATAAAATATGGATGATAGTATCTATCATATGAATGTGCCATGAAGATTAGGCCAGATATGAACATAAAGCACCCTGCATATGAAAAATACCTGAAGAATGGCTGTTAGAATTATTAATGCTTGAAGTCATGTAATGAATTACTACTCTGATAGTAGATGCCACAGAAAACATATGTTCTGCATATTATAATGCTTATTTAACACTAACCGCTACAAACAATTGCAGAAAGACCACACCGGTGTTCTTATCCTAACTTTGATATCTGTGGTTGCAGTATGTCATTATAAGTTCTCTCAATCTCTGTTTCTCATAATTAAAATATAAGAGAAGCCTACATATCCTTTTCAGTGCTTTTCTAGTGATACATTGTCTGAGTTCCTAAACTGTGAATGGCATGCAGCCGCCTCACTCCTTTTATACAAGGTGAGAGGAGAGACTGCACTTGAGTTGACACAATGCTGTTACCACAATGGAAAGAATGAACTCAAGCTTAATTTTTCCACCCCCTACACGTTTTCTATGGCTCTATAGAAGATCTGCCAGTAAAAAATACTGTGTAATAATTATGATGAGCTAAGTTGATGGGTCCTGTGGGAGATCCAAATTTGAAGAAGTAAAACATACGCATAAGAAGAAAATGAACCTCATTCAACCCCAGGCATAGCTTATGGCAAATAAGAGCTGCTAAATTCATGTTGAGTCCTGCATATGAACAAAAGAGGAGGAGATGAGACATTAAGTGTTTTAAAGATGGATATGACTCACAAAAAATGCAGACATCCAGCGACAGGTAAATATGTCTGTCTTTCTGTGCTGTACTATGCCCATGTACACGAACTATGTAGATGAACTGTACAATTCATTTACAGTCACATTATATTTTCTTTTTATAGTCTCAGTCACCGTAGATGTTTATGCATTCCATTATTCAGGGAGACCGAGAAGATATATGTTTGTACACAAATAAAAGTATCCAAGAATAAAGGAAATAAAAAAAACAAGTAGAAAGTTGCTTTTTCTTAAAAAGTTCTGAATCTTTAAACATGTGTTTCATCTTTAAATTGGTTTATATACTTAGAGAAATTCTCTACCTGAAATGCAGATTCCTTTTGTCTCTGACAATACATGCAAGAAAGATGAGCTGCATGTATCAAGATCAGGTGCTGAGTATGGCTCAGGCCTCCACCACATGCCAGCTTGACACAATCTTATTTGAATCTCATATTGGTTTTACAATTCCATATTTGACCTCTCACCAACTCCCTGCCAAGGATGTAGCATGGTTCAATTAGACTGCTTTTTGTTGTTGTTGTTTGTTTGTTCCATTCATTTAGTAAATATTATTGAATGTCTGCTAGATTCTAGGCCCTGTGAAATCTCTTTGTGATACAGTCATGAACAAATGAGCCCCTGAGTTCAAATCTTACAGACAACATATCTTGTGTAAGATATAAGGAACACAGAAAATTATGCTGCGATAATCTAGGAACCTCTTAGAAAATTGAGAAAATGTTCAACCTTATTTCTCCCCATGGTTTCAAAATAAGTTGTAAAATGCAATTTCGGTCACTGTCCATCAAAATGCTACTCAAGGCTAAACTTGGAATGTAACTATGGAAATGGGAAATATTCAAGAAGAGATAGGAAATCATAAGTGCATAGAACTCATTGACTATGTAAACTGTAATACCCAACATACATGAACATATGTGAACCTGACCACCACTTTCATGAGTTTAAGTTCTTACCTAAAAGAGTTAGGTCAATCCTACAGAAGTTGATATAGTTTGGCTCTGTGACCCCACCCAAATCTCATTTCAAATTGTAATTCCCATAATCCCCACCTGTCGAGGGAGGGACCAGGTGAGAGGTGAGTGAATCATAAGGGAGGTTTCCCCCATGCTGTTCTCGTGATAGTGAGTGAGTTCTCATGAGATCTGATGGTCTTCTAAGTAAGTGTTTGACAGTTCCTCCTTCAGAGGCTCCCTCTTGCCTGCTGCCATGTAAGGTGTGCCTGCTTCCCCTTCCACCATGATTGTAAATTTTCTGAAGCCTTCCCAGCCATGCAGAACTATGAGTCAATTAAACCTCTTTTCTTTATAAATTACAGTTTCTTTATAAATTGCAGTTCTTTGTGGCAATGTAGAAAAGACTAATATGGAAGTGAAAATTTGCATTACCCAAACTAATAATAATATTTTAGAGTTATTTTTTAAGAACATAAATTTTAGTATTTCTTTGTTGACTCATCTTATGTGGATACTTCTTAGTACATGATGAGATTCATATTCTAGCAGGAAACCTGACCGATATTCTTCATAATCTTACTCTTGCTAATCTTACTCCTGCTGTTTTTTTCTAATCACTCCCCTGTCATACACCATCATTCAGCCATAATGATGTCTTTCCTGTTCTCTGGACAAATATGCTGTTTCACACAACAGTGCCTGCACATATGCTGCTACCATTTGTGAGAAATGCTCTATCATTTTCATGTACTGGAAAAATCCCTACTCATATTTCAGAACTTCTGCAGATTGTTCTAGTCTCTCCTCTCGCCCTTAAATATTCACTAAGACCATCTATTAGAGCCTTTACCAATTTATCTTGTAAAACATTCTCTAACCTAACTGGGTCATGAGTTTTCAAAGGACAATGTATTGTTCATTTTTGTATCAACAGTAAACTTTGTTTGAATCAAATGTAATGACAAAATTTAGAGTCTCTCTAAACTTCAAAGAACAAATGTAGGTATGTTCCAACAGCAGGAGACTTTAAAAGGGAAAATGATTCGAGAATGATGGGAGGCTCTCAAAATGAAATTCTGAAGATAGCCTAACATATAACCTTACTAAGGAAAAAAAAATGCCTCTATTTGAAGAGGCTTATGTAGTTGTACAGCCTGTTGGCCAATGAGTTAAGATATTAATGAGCAAGTATACAAAATGAAAAAATAACCAGAAGCAGAGATAAGATGGGAACTCAGGAGTTAGGTGATTCATTCTAGGGCACTAAATTACTCATAAAGCTTTGCAATATCCACTAGGCCACAGAAGATGTGTCCTGTGGTGACACTGTCACTATCCAAGGGGACTGATTAAGCTGATGAGATGGATTATTGAGGCAGGAACAAGATTTTTTGGAGAAAGAGATTAGCAAAGGATAGACAGGATGTTAGAGCCCCAGCTGAAGGAGTTAGTCGGAGTCCCATTTCCTGTAAGGTACAAGAGTGCAAATCAGGGCCTACAGAGGTGAGTTATTGGGCCAGGAAATTATAGAGTGGAATAATTGAGGATAAGTTGTTACTGGGTACTTGCAGGTACATAGGAGTAAACAGAGGGGAAAATACCCACTAGGGACAAGAGATACCAAGATTACAAAGTGAGATCAATTCTCCTCTCACAGTTGGCAGTGGTGACTGTAATATATCATTGGCTGTTTCAGCTGTGTCTTGTAGCAGGGTGAGGTTATTAAGACAAAAATGGATTATAGCACTGACAAGGTAACACAGCTACTATAGGCTATTCAGACCTAATATTCATTAGTAAGGGTACGTTTATAGAAATGTATCTAGAGCAAAATATGTGATTGACACTCCCTACTTTTGCAGCCTTAGGTGCATACTTAGAATATCATGTTATGTTCTCAGCATGAATTTTAAGGTAGAAAAGGACACTAGAACATATTGAATGAAATCAAAAGCCAGAGTTCAATATAACATCAAACTCTGTCTGTAAGTACAGGGTTACTTTTTGCCAGAATTGATATAGAACAATTTAAATGTAGGCAACGAATTAAACCTAGAATATGTGAAGTTGGAGGAATTAGTATCAATAATTTGAAGTTGCAGAAAGCTTATACTAAATTTAAAGACCTCTCCAGAGGTAGAGCTGCAGAAACAAAAACAGAATGGTTTGCCTTGTGCAAAATATATACTGATATAAATCATGCTCATTGGTCAAATACTTTGTTTAATATATTAATAGATGAGAAAGAAATTATAATTCTTAACTCACAGAAATCTATGATTTTTAGGAATCAGTTCCATGTTATTGCAAACAATGTTGTCATGACCATTAGGTTCCATGAGTGAAAGTTTCTCAGGGGACATAACTCAGAGAAAATGTTCTTATGGTCAATAGCAGGCATTTCTAATTTGCTCAGCAGTATATGAATTTCCACCGCTCCATATCCTCAGCATTACTTGATATTGTTGGATTTTAATATTTGACTACCTGTTGAATGTGAGATAATAATTTTGATTTTAATTTTCAAACCAGTAAGGTCTCATTTTAATATATTTAATTGTCATTTGTATTTTTTTCTTTCATGGAATGCCTACTCATTTCTCTACTTATCTTCAATTGGGTGGTCCATCTTTTCTTTTTAATTAGTCAAAGTTATTAATATATTTTGCATAATAATCTTTTGTTGGTTAAGCATGTATCAAACATCTTCTCCTAGTTCATGGCTTATTTTTGCAATTCTATGGTACCTTTTAACAACAAAATATTTTTAAAATAATTAGTTATTTTTAATTTTTTCTAACTTGTTTGCATTTTTCTTTTTTTCTGCGTCTTCTTTAAGAAAACTTTCATTACTTTGTGGTTATAAAAACACACTGCTAATACTGTTTTGTCATATTTAGTAACATAACCCAACTGAAATTGCTTTTTCTATATGGCGTAAAAAAGGATTCAGGTTTATTTGTCTGCATATGGTTAACTAGTTGACTCAGCACCAGTTATGGAACAATCTTCTTTCTCAGCTATGTTGTATGCTAGGTTTCTCAGAGGCACTGGCCTTGGTCTGTGCTATTTTGTTTCAATTGTGTCTTGGCCTACCCATAAACAATACTATGTGGCCTTAACTATTAAGCTTTAAAATAACTTGAAAATACATTTTAAGTTCTAGTACACCAAATCCCCCAGCCATTTCCTTCTTCAAAATTATCTTGACTCCTCTTGGCCTTTTTCAAGCCCATATAAATTTTCAAATTAGCTTGCCAAATTTCATGAAACACCCAGGTTAGTTATAGATTGGCATGACTTGATTGTATAGATTAATTTGGGGAAAATTGACAACTTCGCCATATTGGTTCTACTTACCTTGAATGTCACATGATCTTTTGTTTATTTGAGTTTTTCTTAATATTTTTCTAGGCCAGGTGCGGTGGTTCACACCTGTAATCCCAACACTTTGGGAGGCCAAGGTGGGCGGATCACCTGAGGTCAGGAGTTCAAGACAAGCCTGGCCAACATGGTGAAACCTCGTCTCTACTAAAATACAAAAATCAGCCAGACATGACGGCAGGTGCCTGTAATCCCAGCTACTTGGGAGGCTGAGGCAGGCAGAATCACTTGAACTCAGAAGGTGGAGGTTGCAGTGAGCCGAAATCGCGCCATTGTACTCCAGCCTGGGTGACAGAGCGAGACTCTGGCTCAAACAAAACAAAACAAAAACAAAAACAAAAAAAAACTATAAGCTTTTATAGTTTTCTTTGTAATTGCCTTGGTTTTTATTTATTTTTATTTTTTTTAGACGGAGTTTGGCTCTGTTGCCAGGCTGGAGTACAGTGGTGCGATCTCGGCTCACTGCAACCTCCGCCTGCAGGGTTCAAGCGATTCTCCTGCCTCAGCCTCTGGAGTAGCTGGGACTACAGGCGTGCGCCACCATGCCCAGCTAATTTTTGTACTTTTAGTAGAGATGGGGTTTCACCATGTTGGCCAGAATGGTCTCGATCTCTTGACCTCATGATCCACCCGCCTTGGCCTCCCAAAGTGCTGGGATTACAGGCATGAGCCACTGCACCCCGCCAGTTAATTAAAAAAAATTTTTTCTGCTAGATATACCCCTAGACATTAGAATTTCTTGCTTTTTCTTTTTGCTACCATAACCATTATCTCTTTTTAAATTACAAATCCAGATAGCTTATTATTAGTCAGTGGAAATAAAACTGATTTTCACATATTGATCTAATAGTCAGCAACACTGACAACTATCTTATACATTCTAAAATGATGTCTATCAATTATCTTGAGGCCAAGGCAAGAGAATCGCTTGAGACCAGGAGTTCAAGACTAGCCTGGGCAACATAATGGCACCCCATGTTAATTAAAAATAATAATGATAGATAATTTATTTGTTGTTTCTATAAACACAGTGGTATAATCTTAAAATAATGATAGTTTTGATAGTTTTATTTTTCTTTTTCCAATTCTTATACATGTTATTTATTTTTCTTATACTGAACAGAAATGATCAGGCATGTTTGTCTCATTTCTTATTTTAAAGGAATGTTTCCAACATTTCTTCATTAAAAGATGTGCCAGTAAGGGTTCTGTTATAAGAAAAAAAGAAAATAGCTTATCCGATTATCTTAAGCATAAAAATAGTTAATGTAGAGCATTAGGTCCTGGTAAAATGTTTTAAAACACTGGAGTAGTGGACCTTGACTGTTTATCCAGGGAAATACCCACATGTCCTGACCCAGCTTTCCAAAACAGCCAGGAGTAGAGCTTCCACTCAACCTCCACTTCCTATGCCTCATGTAAGTTTATCTAACTGGAAGAACTTAATTCACTTTCAGGACCCTATCTGTGAGAGATGCTGGGAAGTGCAGCTACTAACTTTAAAGTCTTTGCAAAGACTCACTAGAGTGTACGCTCTTCCGCATCTATACTTACCCTTCCATTTGCATTTGCACTTTCAAAAAGTGTGGTCCAAATTACATTTCCCCACACCCTGAAAAGGGAACTCCATAGAACTATCAATCACCGTGCACATCTGTGGATGATGCTTTTCCCTCCTCCGGGTCAGTCCCAATCCACTTTTCTGTCCTAAAACCTAAGGATTTAGTTAAAAAGTTAGCCTCCATCAACAGTCCTTTTATTGATCTTACAAAAATGAGAGAGAATAAAAGAAAATTGTTTAATTTTTAACAAGTATATGCTTAACAATGCAAGAATAAATAAATGAGTAATTATTAAAGTCTTTGTTCCTGTAATTTATCAAGAAATCTAAATGACATCTAAAATGTCTTATCCCTCTAACCATTCCATGTTTCCATTGCCTCATTCAGCACTTCAGGAAGATTGGTTCTTTATTTGGGAGTGTAGGTGGAGGACCCAAATCTTCATTTCCACAGGGTATGAGCTTCTAATGGTCTTGTATGTATAAGATTGCAGAAGTCTTCCATGAATTTTTACCACTGGATATGACATTAGAATGATGAACCCCAAATGATTTCCTGGGCTCCTAATTCTTTCCTCCTATCTTACCTTGCCAAGAGCAGCCCTATTGTTACAGGAGTTACTGAGAAATTACTTTAGGCAGACCGAGGGGAAAAGGGGTCCTTGGGAAGTTTTCGTTTCTTTTAAAGCAGCTCCAGAAACGTTTCTTGTCTAGCAGGGAAAGCCTGGCTCTGACTCTTAGAGCCAGGCTGGCAACCTTTGATATGCAAATGTTGGTCATTAGAAACTGGGTCCACCCAAACATGACGATTCCTGCCACTTTCTTCTTGCATTTGTCCCACATGTGCCTGGCAACATGGCTGCCCCCACATAGCCCTACGTGTGTAGAACATCATGGCACCCTGCATTTGCATATTAAAGTTAGGGTGGGAGGGCCAGTTTTTTCAGCAGCTACGTGAGTGACATGCCTGGTCAAACCAATCCCCTGAGCCCTATGCAAATCAAACACCACCTCTTCCCGCATCCTCATATAAGCAGCCACTTTTCCACCCACTGCACACGGGGTTTTCTCTTTGTTTGAATCCCCCCCTCCTTCTGTCTCTGTTTGGGGGAGCTGTTTTCTTCTTCCTTCCTTCTTTCTTGCCTATTACACTTTTTGCTTCTTAAAACCACTCCACATGTGTCCATGTAGTTTTATCCGAACTGGCGCGAGAACCAAGAACCCTGCTGTTCCTCCACTCATGGTAGCTGTATCACTGTTTTCTCTGTGCTATTCAGGATTTACAAGTGCGGCGGATGCAGAGTATTTTGGGGCTTATTTACGAGTGCAGTGGGCACAGAATATTTTGAGGATTATTGGATCAATGGCATAATGAGCCAGAAATGGCAAGTTGATAGTCTCAGTGGAAACGTTTTTATGCCTCTGATGAATCATCTCTCCTTTGTACCCTGACTTCTGACCAAGCAGAGGCTAAATGTACGGTGTCAGGAAGCAAACATTTGCATATGGCTCGCAGGTCTTAGAGCGGCAGGTGCTGCTCCTCCTTTCACCCCTGGGTTCCCCAAACCAAAGTTCTAGTTATGGAAAAAACAGAATTTTTTCTTCACTGATCTTTCAGTATATACACTACATCCTATAGGACAACCCCCCAAACTCTCAAGGTATTTTCCCTCAGTTGATGCTGTAACAGAACTGTCAGTGAGTCAGCTGCATCTTATAATTGGTACATGGTAAGATGTGTGAATGTGTTATGGTGTCAGTCTATTGCTTAATTTTTTTTTTTTGTCATTAGAAAGAGACAGAGAGGAACTTGATCAGAAATAACGCTATGTGAAATACCATGAAAGGAATAAGGCATTCAGTAATTTTACAGTGGTAACCCTGAAAGACATAGAGCAGGCACTTAAGTCAAATTCATATCCAAAGTCAGTATATGGTTCAGCAAAAAGTTATCAGAGCCCTGGCTCATAATGGACTTGAGCCAATGGAATCCACCTGCCACCAGAGGGCTGGTGTTCTCCAAAAGAATGGTGTCACTTCAGGGGATGAGATTGGTCTCTGTTTTGGTAAAACAGGCACTCAACAGTGTTGGTAGGCAGTTTAGCTTTGTGAAATTAAGTCCACATAATTGAAGGCTCTATTTAAATTGATTAACTTTGAGGTCCTTTTTGGTTTTTGTTTATTTTTTCCTGATAAAATCGCACTGCAGTCAAAATGAATGTTACTAGTTACTTTATTTGACATTTGTTAATACTTGCTTTAGGACTCAGCCAACATTTTTATAAATGCTTTACGTGCACTTGAGAAGAAATTGTTTTCTGTATGTGCATATGTATTTGTGCACATATATATACACACATACATATATATACATATATATTCAAAGTATATATATGTATACTTTGAAAACAGGCTATATGTGCATGCTATTATTAACTTTTAAAAATATACTATATTCGCCTACAAAAACTCCAAGATGTCCTACTAAAAAAAAAACTTTTTGAACTTTAACACTGAACTTGTCCACAAAAGTTTGTATATGTTCTATGAAACTCTTATGAACTATATATTCTTATGAACTATATAATGTTATTTAATTTTTTTGTTATCTTTGGCTCTTCCTCTATGGGCATTGGCAGTAAAATCTTTACCAAAAAATATGTTGCCAGCTTTTGAGAGAGGGCAAAGTGGCTGAGTTTCCTGAGTCTGCTGGAAGGAAGAAAAGAAAAAGTTAGGGAAACCATTTACAGAATGAGAAAGAGCCAAGGGACTCATTTCTTTGAGGCTCTATCTTCTCTCTGCTCAGAGTCTCTAAAAGAGAAATAAATAAATTCCAGTGTCGCTGAGAAGTCTGGAAAATTTAGCAACTTGACTAACACCTTTGCTAAGAACCAAGTCAGAGAATCTTGCAAAACTTCACCCGGATTCCATGAAAAAATAAGCCAGTGGGCTTCTGTTGAACAGCCTATGGACCAATTCCTTTAAATTTCCTGGAAGTCCAGTGTTTGATATAGAGGACGTGAGGCACACCCTTCATCTCGTTAAAAGGCCTTTTGTCTGACAGATATCTCTAGAGTGCCACATTTGGTCTTTCTAAGGTTTGAACAAAACATTTCACAGTAACATCTTCATCCTCGTCTTTAGGCCATGCTTTCTTGGTGGTGCTTGGATTAGATATTTGCTCAGAAGCCATTTTTTAATTTTGGTATCGTTCGGCATGTGGAGAGTTGAGAATCTTCCAAACCAGCAAGTCATGATTTATTTTTGTTGAACAGTCGTTCCTTTACTTACTCCTGTCCTCTCACCGTTTGTTACAAGCAGCAGGGAAACCAGGTGACGCTTGCAACACCCTGGTCAAAAATCTCCTCAGTTACATAACCCAGTGAATTAGATACATTTTATACCTCCCACATACCTGCATTTGACAGTGTTGCCCCCTGTATCTCTAAAATAACAAACCCACACCATCTTGTCATTTTAAACCATGGTGCCATTCCCTGGATGCAGGAGGGTTTTTAATCTCTAAAACCCCACACTAAATTTCCTGTATTATCTCATCAGACAGTCAATCCTCGATGAAGCCTGCCATTTTCAGGCAATTGAGAGCAAAATCCAATGGTAACACAAGAAGAGGGAGAGCAGATGGAGGAAGGAGGAGATGGTAGGAGGGTGAGGGTGGAAGCAGCAGACCAGCGAGACAGATGTCAATAAATGGAGTCAAAAAATATTTAAAAACTCCCACCTGTGCCTATCATGTCTACTAGGGCCAGTGCAGAATCTAGAAGATAATTTTAACCCATTAAGATACCTGCTTTTTGTCTCAGGTCCAAATATGATAGCACCTAATGGTGTGACTTTGAGAAAATCAGTTTATCTCTTTAGGTCTCAGGTTTCTTTTCTGAGAAATGAGGATCTACAGTGTCCCTTAGGTTAAGTTCTAAGCTTGTGATTCATTGGAATAGTTGTGCAAAGAATAAACTATGCATTCTTCATTATCTTCAGTATCTGAGGATGAGTGTCTGACAGAAAACAGCCCTGAGCAAGCTGCACAGTTGTGTGTTCCCCTTCCAGTCTGGTGTTCAGATATCATAAATGCACTCTCTCTATTCATATTCAGGGAGACATGACCTATTGGTGCTGTCGCTGTTCTTGCCCTGTTTGTTTTTGTTTTAGCTTTTCCACCAGTACAGCCACATCAATTTTGACAGTTCAGTCACTGCAATCACATTTGCCTCACTATTGTCCCCTGCTATTGATAACATATTATTTAGTGTTGAATATATCTTCTAACACTTAGAAGACAAAAGAGAGTTGCTATTCTTTTTCTTCACACCACGGTGTGTCAAATATTCTGCTGGAGACTAATAACACTGAATACTTTTTGAAGAAGTAAAAAATAAAATGGATATATTTAATGCCATATTGATACAGGAGTTAAGATGAAATCACTTAGGCAGAGAGTAAGGGTATGGGATTCCTCAGTAAGGCTTTTCTCTTTAATGAAAAGCAGTCCCAAATCATTGTCTAGCAAAGAGCAGCCTGTAAAGTTGAGCTGAAGACATAGTCAAGCAAGATGGGAGCTTGCACGGTGAATGCCAGCAGGAACAGAGGACTAGACATGTTCAAGATGGTGGCTCCATCTTCCCTCCTCTTTGTCAGCTATCTGTACAGTAAGGAGCAGATAAGATGGCACCAATCAACTGGAAAGCCTATTTGCAAAATAAGATTAGAGTGGGGCCACCAGCCTTCCCCTCACACTGTGTAAACATCATACCTGATCCAATTAATCTGTGAGTCTTACCTAAATCGGACACTGCCTCCTCAAACCGGACTATAAAATCCGGCCCATTCACTTGCAGCCAGTCTTTTCCTCTTTGAGGGCCCTCTCTCTATATAGAAAGAGCTGTTTCTCTTCTGCCTATTAAACTTCCACTCCTAAACTCCTCACGTGTGTCCATCTCCTAAACAACAAACTCCAGGGTATATACCCCAGACAATGTAACCACTTCAATATTATTAACACTTTTTTTGATCTATATTTTTATGAAGAAACATTGAAAATGTTGTAAACCAGTAACAACCATCCTGGAAAGCTATAAGAAAAGAAATTTTATGTAATGAATTGTAGTAATTTAGAGATGGAAAGAAGAAAATAGATCCTGAAGAAAGTTATTAGTTAGGAAACTTATCTAGTATTAAGCATGCAAAAAATCATCTCTGAATTTCTAAAAGCTTCTTAATTCTCATTCCATTGGCATTTATCTCAAATTTATTTCTATCATTAGATTTATCCTGAAGTATTATACTTATCATAATACATTTGAAAGAAGTTTATTTTAAGTACTCAATCCATATATTTCTTTTAATTGTTAATAGTTATTACAGTTTTTGAGCACTATGTCTTGTGTAGTGTGGAAATAAAAAATAAAATGTCAGGTTTCTAACATCAAGAAGCTTACAGCTAATTAGACTAGTGTGTCAGGTGAGTGTATGAAGCTGGGCATCACTTTAACTCCCCACGGAACACTGGTCCTGCACAAATCACTGGCTTCTTGCTCAGTGGTTTCATCATCTGTAGAAAGGGGCTTGCACTTTGCCTCAGAGCCCTGAAAATGGCATAGCTCAAACATATGTGGTGTACTGAGAACTTTCATGACCATCAACAAACATCAGATTCCATCTGTTCTTTTCTGAAAACACAAGAATTGCTTGTTTTGCAACCATTTATATAATCTGTTCTGTGCCAGTCAATGACATGAATGCATTCTAAATATCAATTCAGTCTTCACAATTACCCTACGAAGAAAGCCCTCTTATCACCCCATTTTACAGATAAGGAGAGTGAGGCCTAGAGGTGTTAAGTATCCTTCTCAGGTTCATATAAGTTGCAGAGCTGGTACTTAAAGTCAGTCAGTTTGGCTTCAGAATCTATATTCTTAAACACTAAGGTATACTACTTTGGTTTACAAAGCCATGTATTTGTGAGAAGATATTCTCCCAATGTAGTCTCACTTCTGGTTTTTGAGTAAAAATTTTAAGTTGCTGATTTCCTTCATTTTTAGTTTATTACGAGAGTGAATTTTTTTCTTTTCTTTTTTTTTTTTTTTGAGATGGAGTTTCACTCTTGTTGCCCAGGCTGGAGTGCAATGGCGTGATCTCAGCTCACTGCAACCTCCACCTCCTGGGTTCAAACGATTCTCTGCCCTCAGACTCCTGAGTAGCTGAGATTACAGGCACACACCACCACGCCCAGCTAATTTTTGTATTTTTAGTAGAGACGGGGTTTCACCATGTTGGCCAGGCTGATCTTGAACTCCTGACCTCAGGTGATCTGCCAGCCTCGGCCTCCCAAGGTGCTAGAATTACAGGAGGGGGCCACCGCGCCTGGCCAAGAGTGAATTTTTTCACATTTACGTTTCATGATGCTTCCCTTAAAAATTTCGAAATTTCATTTTCCTATAAAATTAACTGTCTATTGTCGATGTGCTATACATATATATTCTCCACTGATTAAAATTAGTAAATTTTGGCTGTCATAGTTTGCAAATATGTATTTCCATTCAGTTATTCAACAAATACTTATCAAGGGTTTATTATGTGCAAAGTCTTGTGCCAAGCACTTAAGACCTAAGGAAGAGGCATTCCTTTTACCTGCTGAGGGATTAAAGTCCACCTGCAAGCACAGATATTTAAACACAGCAATATGTTAAAGGGACTATCTGGATGAATCCTTTGCATCTTCCTTTCCTCAGTTACCATCTGAGTGACATTGACAATATGCTTAGCAACTATTGCTTCAGTTCTCTTATGTACAAAACAGAGGTGGTGGTGCTGTCTTTCTCCGGGGGTCACACAGAAGATTCGATGGGGAATCCTTGTAAAGTGCTTAACAAGAAGGTAAACTGTGGTAAATTTTGCCTATGGATGAGGGGGCGGTGTTTCTAAGCATAAGATACGAGTAAACAAGAAAAGTGCTGCAAGTAAAGGTATAAATAAGCATCTGAGAATAAACAGACACACAGATTCATTATGATTATCCACACCAGAGCAGGTTTAGTGAAGGAAGTTCATGAGAGTTGGGGCTTGTATGTTGAGCAGCTTTCATCCCCCAGAAATCCACGTGAGAAAGGGAATTCTGGCTGAAAAAGCAGTGCAAGGATGACAAATGGCACTTTCAGAAGTTATCTGAACCATGGGACATTTTAAATGGGAAGAAGACAGGGCTAAACACCAAAGATATTGTGGTTTTAGGTTGAGAAATAGAAATATGTATATTCAAAGTTATGCTTGCATTTGTATTACTTCCACACATTGAAATATTAAACTCTGAGAAATAAAAATTTTTCCATTGGTAATTCTGTGAATGAATTCAGAACCGGCACATTTTTCAATAATCCTTCACAATGCTGATTGTTATTTAGAAAAGAACAAGATTGATATAGCGATAACTTCATGGAGATTCACCAGAAATCATCATACACATTATTGAAATGTGTCACTGCCTGTGAGAACAACACCAGTGTCACCGCCGTGGGGTAACCCCGCATTTATTCTAATGAGTGCTGGGAGTCAATACGCATCCAAAGATTCCAACAGCTTACACTGCACCAAGGTCGCAAATGCTCATAGGACTTGGTGCACTTCCTGACTACTTTTGATACTAAAAGTAACAATATTCCTTGAACCTCCCACAAATATTGGGTATAAGGATTTAAAAAATAATTTTATTATACTCATTTTCAGAAGAGGCTCAGGAATATTAAGTGATTTGTCCAAAGTCACATAGCAGGTAAGTGATGGAATTGGCACTCTAGTTTTGATGTTTTTTCTACTACACCACAATGCTTAAGCAGGTGCATACACACACAAACACACATACACACCAACTCACAGTATGATTGAAAAAAAATGCATCAATCAATGCAATAAGCAAAGCTTTGAAAGTCAGTAACCCCCAGAGGGTAATTCACTAATAATGCCATAAATTCTTATCCCACTGCTCTCAGTTACTGAATCTATAAAATGTGATTTATTTTAGCCAAGTTGTAGCCCATAATATTGTCCATGACAGAGTGAGATACATTTAAATTTTCTACATTTCTTCAGAACATAACTCTGAAATATAAGAAAATTTCAATGATAATTTAGAAGAATAGTAGTTTATAATGTACACTACCTGGTAAGTGCATTTTCTCAGCTTCACTGAGGTATAATTGACCAACAATGAGAGCTCCCAATTTCAATGTGCAATTTGATGAATTTTACAGAGGTTCATAAGCACTGAAATCATGACATTGAACTTTTCCATCACCCCACAGTCCTCGTGATGGTTCATATTGAGTGTCACGACTGGATTGAAGGATGCAAAGTATTGTTCCTAGGTGTGTCTGTAAGGGTGTCGCCAAAGGAGATTAACATTTGAGTGAGTGGACTGGGAGAGGCAGACCTACCCGCCATCTGGGTGGGCACCAACCAATCAGCTGCTAGCATGAAAGCAGACATGGAAAGAGCCGACTTGCTGAGTCTTGTGGCCTCCACCTTTCTCCCGTGCTGGATGCTTCTTGCCCTCGAACATCAGACTCCAAGTTCTTCAGCTTCTGGACTCTTGGACTTACACCAGTGGTTTGCCAGGGGCTCTTGGGTCTTCTGCCACAGACTGAAGGCCGCACTGTCGTCTTCCCTATTTTTGAGGTTTTGAATCTCGGACTGGCTTCCTGGCTCCTCAGCTTGCAGACGGCGTATTGTGGGAAGTCACCTTGTGATCCCATGAGTCAATTCTTCTAATAAACTTCCCTTCATGTATTCATCTATCTTCTTAGTTCCATCCCTTTAGAGAACCCTGGCTAATACAGTCCCTTCTTGTCACTTTGCAGTCGATCACTTCCCCCTACTCCTTGCCCTTTAGGGACCACTGTTTTGCTTTCTATCTCCATAGTTTTGCCTTTTCTAGAACTACATGTAAATAGAACCATAGAGTGAATACTCTTTTTTGTCTAGACAATTAATAATATTTGAATGTTTATTAAATTTAGGACCCCAAAAGGGGCCAATTCCTGGGGGCCTATTTAACAGAATTGGTAACTTTACTACTGTACCGCCAACCAAGAAGCAGTTCCTCCAGTGATTATATCATTTTTTGAGTACATTTTCAATGTTTTCTAAAAAACATAACCTTAAAAAGTCATTTTCCTGTAGCTCTGGAAGTTCATGAGATGGAGGAAGACTGAGACTAGAAAACACTGTTGATTTTGGCAAAACCTCATCTAACTGTTGAGATGATACAAGCATTTGTTATACACTTTATTGCAGAAGAAGCCAAAGGTGGTTGATGTGAATGAAGAATAAAGAACATTTTGCTCTTGTTTGAGAAATCACAGGAACATTGTATTATATAAATACCTATAAGGTCATCCCAATTCTCCCACATACTGACATGTAATCAATTGTTATTTAAAATTTATTCCATTTGTGCCTCAAAAACCTTTGTTTTACCAAGTATTTGGTTTTATTTGCTATCATGTGTTTCATGTGTGGCTTGAGTTGTCTATTCATAATTGAACCCACATCAATTTTATGACATTCTGCCTTGGGCTATGAGTGTAACCATTAAGGGGGTCCTTATGGTGGAGGCCAGAGAAACCAGAAAAGGTTATGTTGAGAAAAGGGACTCAGAAGAGAACAGATTCAGAGAAAAGGGTGGATTTTCTCTGTGCCTAAGTCCATCCCCCTCCTCAGCAAAGGGCAACCCAAAATATCTGTATTCACTGCCCCCATCATCAATCCAGAGTTTCTGATTGCAAACTTCAGTTTCCTTTCAGACCCTAGGAATTCTGGGAAAGAAGAGGCTGAGGGCGGTGGGCGGACATCACAACTTTAGGGTTTACCGGGCTAGTCAGTGGACAACAGAGTCGCTAAAATGAAGCTGTTCCTCTAGTGGATCTGAGTTTTATGAGGCCTTTTTGTGTTTGAGACCTTGCCCTTCTCGCTCTTCTGTTTTGGGCGTATTTCTTAAACTCTTAGTTTATTTATGCACTCACACTAACCTCTGGGAAGTTTGAACAACTGCAATACGTGATTCCCGCCCTACTGGGCCTCACATGGAAAGAAAACACAAACATAACTCCTACTCTAGTGCTAGTTTATAAAGATCATAACAGAGACATGTACAATCATACGAATAAGAAGAGTGGGCTCCTCACCATTCTCTGCGTGGACTAAAAGGTCATCCAGGCTAGATATGGCATTTGAACTGAGACTCAGAAGAAAGACATGGCAGGCAGGAGGAACGACCTTATGCAGGCAGAGAGAAGAAGTTTTATCCTGTGTTTGGAGGGGAAAGTGGGTAATTCACTTCATCATTCTAACCTTCCCAAACATTAACAAATTACACTTTCATTTTATTCCAAAGCTTAAAGATAGGAGACGGTTAAAAATGATTCCGTCCATGCACCTAGAAAAAGAAACAAATTCTCAACCTATTTAATATTGTTACCAGCCCCTCCATTATCTCCAGTTAAATGTTCTTTAATTGACATTGACCTCTATTTCGTGAAACCCGGAGAATATTAAGTCCATCAACACACTTGGGAGGCAGCAGAAATCAAGGCGCCTTCTCCATTCTGTTAGCGCTGGCTCTGCTGTGGGGCCTCTTGGGTACCCTTTTCACCAACATTCCCTTCTGTTTCATTTTCATTCATCCTCTCATCCCACATCCCACAGTCTGCTACTGACATCAGTTCCTCTTGCTTTTGTTCTCTAATGAGGTCCAGGTCTGTCTGTCTTTGAGTTTTCTGTTCCATCTACCTAATATTAACATGCTGTGGGAGGTAGAGTTCTGACTAAGGACCATTCATGATTAGGCTAAAAATTGCCTTCTGACTTTTTTCCCTAACCATCTTTTTAACATGAAATGTCATTAAAATATAGCTGAACTCTGCCTCACTCTCTTATAGCTTGGAATGGAAGCTAAGCTCACACGTGTCCCCAGATATTTTTAATTTCAAGGACAAATTCTTGTTTAAAATAATTGAAAACTAAGAGTAAGATGAACAGAAAAACAATTATAGCACCTAGAATGATAAATAAGGCAAAACAAGCTTCCCGTGGACACATCATCAGCATCATCCCTAGAGATTTATGGAGTACTATCTGCATCTCTACATTGTCACAGATACAGATATAAAATTAGGCTCCTAGACTTGAAGAAATTGCAACCAAAGCTAGAAACAAGATATGATAATATGAAACTTAATCATGAAGTACGTAAAAACAGTTAACATCAATGTTATACATATGACTCATTGCTTAATTAAAATTGTTGTAGTTCTCTATAAAAGAAAAAAAGTCACTCGAGGCTGACATGAAAATGCATTAAATTATTATACTCTTCTCTAAAATCTACATTATCAAATGCACAGCTTGCTTGTTTCTTGAAGTCACCGTCATTTTAGTTTTTCAGTTCATAATGTTATTTTCTCCAGCCATGGTTGTGTAGGGGATGACAGGGAAACTAACATTTATTAAGACCCTCCTTTATGTCTGGCATTGTGTTCATAATAAACAGATGTCTTTTAAAATTCAAGTTATTTATTTGTATTTATTTATTTTTTAATTGACAGATAAAATTGCATGCATTTATGTTGTACAAGATATCTTGAACTATATATACATTGTGGAATAGTTAAATCTAGCTAATTAACAAATGTATTTGTTCACACTGTTATTATTTTTGCAGTGAGAACACAATATCCACAGTATGGGGAGATGTCGGTTAAATGGTATATAATTAAAGTTAGACAGGAGGAATAAGTTCAAGAGATCTATTCTACAGCATGGTGACTATAGTTAATGATGATATGTTGTATTATTAAAAAATAAAACTCAAGTTAGATTAACTTCAAACCCATCTCAATTCCTAAAAAGTCCTATCCACAATCTCAGTAGGAATTGACAAATATCACTTGAATTATATGGAGAACTAAATAAAGTATTTTGTAATGTTTGACTATGACACAAAGTAGCTATTCCATTTCAATTCCCATTGTTTATTCCACTGAAAATAAAGCTAACAAGCAAACAAAAATTGTCAAAGAAAGCTAAACTGACAAACTGTCCAGCAAAACAAACCCTAAACAAGCAAATCAAACCATGTCAAAAGTTGTAAAAAAAAAAAAAAAAAAAAAAAAAAAGAGGGGAACGGAGATACATGTATGACAATTTTTTATCTCTGTCTACTCCTGCACATTATTAGGGGCTTTAACTCAGAGATCTGCAAAGTTGAGTAGACATTAATTTAGTGAAAGAAAATTCTTGTAATACAAATCATTTAAAATTTCCATGAATTTTACTGTAATGAGATTTTTGCTACTTTTTTGAAGCTATGCTTTTTTAGTTAGAACAAGTAAATTTCTAGCATTTGAATATTAGAGAAATTACAGTTTTTATTTGAAAATTGTAATACAATTTACAAACACATACATACGCACTCTTATATAGATAAGGATTTGCATGCAGAGTCACAGTCCCCTAAAATAATGACTTTTTAAACAGCAGGATTCTCCTACCCTTCAAAACCTCCTGACTGAATTTAATTATTAATGTAAATATATTCTAATAAAATGTTGATAATATTTCAATGCAAAATAAAATATACATACATGTATATCCTATTAAATTTCCTTTTTGTGCCCTCATTTTGTGAAATCTCTAATTACATGGTTATGATGAAAATTTTCACATAATTTGCATTTTATTGACAATGATGCCAAATAGATAATTTTTCTTGAGTCTTAAGTTCTTTTATATTTTCTTAATTTTGATTGGTAGAATGCTTATTCTGTTGAAATAATAGCAATTTGAATTTTCAGTCCCTTAAAGCAATGCTAGATTTGTAACTGTCTTATAAATTTTGTTTTATGCTTATTGTAATAGGAATACATATGATAAATTATTATTATTGCAGAAGTTATTTCAAGTTTTTTTCATCATTTAAGTGGTTTTTTATCATTGAATGGTGGTTTTTACCATCAGTTAAAGCAATACATAAATCCATACAGTATCTTAAAACATTCTGCTTTTGACTTTTTTAGTGTTAACACCATTATTACAGGCTTGCCATCAGCAATTTCTGAAAATTGTTCTTGAAAATTGGAAGTTATATTTTTCAGTTTTTGACTTAAGTCAATACCTGTACATTTTACACGTGTAAAAAGTATGACCATGAAGAGGGTTCCACTGTCCTGGGTGTAAATGAGGTACTAACAAAATGTTCAATGAAGCCGGAGAAGCTGGAGAGGGTTCTGGCATCACATTCTGGCCTTTTTCCTATTAATGAAATGATACAGGGTCTTGGGGATCTGGTTTTAACCTAGAAAGTTCAATAATCCAACTTTCTCTCCTCTAGGGGAAAAATACCAGACTAACACACTTTTTAAATTTCTGAATTATATTTTTATTATTATGTAATGATGTGACTTTGTTTTTACCAAATAAACCAAAGAAAAATAAATTATAAAATGGACCGTTGTCAATCATCTTTCAGTATTCCACACCCCCCCAACCTCTCTCTCCTCTTTCTTGCTCTCTCATCTGTACATTTTTGTCCCGTGTTGCTAGAATTTGGCTTGGGAACCTGCCTCTCTTTTGGCTCCGCAGGGAGTTCAGTCTGTATGTCCTGGCCAGGTGCTCTCCGACGTGGACTAGTCTGGGATAGAAAGTCTATTTTCTTCCCCAGGGTTCTCCATTCTGGTCACAAATGGTCTCTGCTTTTGCATTCTAAACCAGGAATGGCAGGGTCATGTTTTGCATCCTGTGCGTCCTGCCGAGGGCTCTGTCTACTGTTCCTGAGCAACGCCCTTTCATTCTAAACCATCGAAGTTCTCTTAGATGACTGTGTGGTCCCAAGGGGTCGGGGTCTTTTATGCAATGTCTGGAACAGCTAGTGGGACATTTTAAAGCCCTTTTGATAGGAAAAATCATCTCATGTTCACAGAGAAGCCAAAAATGGGCCAGCTATTTGCAGGACAGCATTGCCACTCTTTGTGTCACAGCAGTAACTCTAGGGTAAGTCAGAGTCAGAATGCAGCTTACACCTAGCAGTGTGTAGGTCACACACATGCAGTGCACTGGGCTTGTCGCTGCTAATAACCATTGTGGCAACACAATTATTGTTAATATATGAATATTCCACGATTGTCCTCTTTACTTGTCCACCAACGAGGGCCTGCCTGGCCTTGCTGGCTAAGTGCGTTTCTTTCCTTACACTCCCTGGCCAAGACTCTGCCACTTGGGTTTTGCATTGAAGGAGGAAAGGGGTCTGGGAAAGAACTCCAGAGATTTTGAATTGAGAAACAGCAGAAAAGTAGCAGAAGGAGAGACAAACAGGTAAGAAAATAAGAAGGATTTTTAGAAATATTGCTTGAGCTATATAACCATCCATAGTTTTTGAAAACTATTTTGAAATTACTCTTTGGTGCTGTATGGTTCTCCTTTGTTCATATTTGAGGCTGAGCCGTAAGTTCAAACCTATAGTTCAACAGAAAAATACTAATAATAGTAATACAAATAGTTTATATTTATGTTGTGCCAGGAAACCTTTTAAATGTTGTGGAAAAGAGGAGTGAATTTAAATCTTATGGCAACCTTGAGGGTAAGTTTTATTTTATTCCTACTCACAGATTCAGAAACAGCCTTCTGGAACTTATTTTCTTTAAGGTCACTCAATAAATACACATCCTTGCAAGCCTCAACACCGGTTGTTCTGACCCCAGACTCGAGGCTCCTGAAAGATACACCCACACTGCCTGGTGATCTTGGACATTCAGCCGGATTCCATATTGCTTTCTCGCTCTGGAAGAAAATGCCAGATAATGTAACCAGATTCTTTTGGGTTTTCTGTCGAATGAAGAATAAACCTTTGTGAAAATTAATTCATCCTGAAGGATTATTTGTTCCCTTGAATATATTGTATTTTTAATCTAGGAATAGCCTGTTTTTACATCAAAACCCACTGTTTTAAGCTGAAATGTTGTCACCTTAAAAAAAATGATATGTTGGAGTCTTAACCCTCAGTACTTCAAAATGTGACCTTATTTGGAAATAAGGTATTTACTGAGGTGATCAAGTTAAGATGAGGTCAGCAGGACGGGCCCTAGTACAATATTATATAAAAAGGAGAAATTTGGACACAGACACACAAGTAGGGAGGTGACCTAAAGACATTGAGGGAGAAGATGGCCATCTACAAGCTGAGGAAAGATCCCTTCCTCACAGCCCTTGCCAATACCTTGGTTGTAGATGCCCAGCCTCCAGAACTGTAAGACAATAACTTTCTGTGGTATAAGCCGCCCAGTTTGTGGTACTTTGTTACAGTAGCCCTAGCTGACTAAGACGTCTACCATATTCTCCCCTTTTACTGTCCTCTCTTTCTCTTGTTCTGGACTTCAATACCCTATCTGCAACTCACACTCCCATGAAAGGAGCAAGATCATCCTAGAATTTTATCCACCCCAAGGCTTTTGATATGGCTTGTGCCCCAACCTGGGACTTTACTTTATGAAATATAGACAGCTCATTATTTGTGTCAAAAAGCAAACTTCAAACGTTGTGATTAGAAATAAAAACACTTTGAATAGAGAGATTAGTATGCCTAATCAAGTCATTTAGCTGCTTGCCTTTCTTACATTCCACATGTTCCTTACTGAGAAAAATCCAGCATTTGATATCAAGATTCTTTTTTTATTCATGTTAAGCATAAAAAGATATATAGTATTAAATATATTATTTGTCATTAAGTATGGGTTTAGCTATTTTCAACTAATTCTCTAATAGTCTACATAAATTACTAAGTATAAAGAAACCTAGATAAGGTTGTATAGTCAGAGAAATATATTAAAGATGCAGCATTGTCTGATTCTCCAGTTTCCTTCGTCTATCACTATGGCAACCAAGAAGGTGTTGAGTTGAGATGGCGCAAGCACAATACCAAAGCATCCTAGATAGTGGTGTCATTTAATGGAAGGTAATCATGCTGGTGATTTGCCTTGATATCAAGCAGATTTTACCTAATCAAGAAATCAACTTGTGTTAGGTTAAGTAACTGATATTGGGAAGTTTTACCCCAGCAAAGCCTAGTTCATCTTCTTTCTCATTAACAGTCTAAATTCGATGAATACAAGTAATTCACAGCTCTGTATCTTCATCTACAACCATTTTACCCTTCTCCTATATCAAACAATTAGGGTTCTGCATCCACACATATCTATATCCATTTTGTTCCTATGACCTTGTTCTCAGAAAGTCTTCTAAAACTTCATTTTTTACACAGACTCTCTCCCAAGCCTCAGATGTGGCCTCACACTGCCAGCAATGTGCTCCTGAACCCTAAAATCAGCCAAGTGCTATTCATCTGATATTGATGTCACATGAACGGGTCACCAACTGAGAAAAAAGCATTCAATATTAAATTATCTGTTTGTGTATCTTATCTTCTCCATTAGACTACAAGCTTTACATGTCATTTCAGACTTTTGCAATATGTGATTATAATATGTCAAGGGGGAATCTTTGGGCTACCATATATCTAGATACATTTAAAAATCCCCCAAATTGTGACTTTTTTGTCTTTTACTTTTAATTTGTGTCCTCAGAGCACCTTGCATAGTTCCAGTGGAAAATGAGCACTTTATATATATTAGTAGACTTGACTTGAATAATGAGTTTTGTTATAATAGGGTTGTATTATATAAATAATTAAATTTTTAGTCAAATCCTGTGATAGAGAAAAAGGCTTAATTCACCTTAGAAAGGGCACAAAGCCCTTGATAATGACAAGATTAAAGGCCTATTAATATTGCAGGAAAAGTATGACCAGTAACACTTATCTATTATGCCTCCGAATTTTAATGCTGTGTCACTTTAGGATTTAATGTGTTAGCTCTATGAAATCCAGTTTTCACTTATTTTATGTTTCTTGGTTTGATGTCTATTGGAAATTAATAAAAACAAATTTGGAGCTTTGGAGTACACAAAAGTGGAAGAAATGGTTTCTTCTCTAAAACAGCATCAACTTGCAGAGAAAGAGCAAGGATAAACTAGTGAGCACCCATAAAATGAACAAATTGTGCTTGAGGGACAAAACCTGAGATAAAGAATGAAACACAAATTTCACTTATGAGAAATAGTCAAATAGAGAAAAAAGTCTCTTAAAAAGAGATATCTAAAATAATAATAATCATGAGTAAAATAATACCCGACATCCTAAAAGTAGTAGATGTTAGAAAACAAAATCACTAAAGCAGATGACCTACATAGAGGCATATGTGATTCTTGTGTTGTCTAGTATTTCACGGAACAGAATACTATCTGCTTTCTTGTAAGTGAATAAAATATAATTTCTAGGGCTGAAAATTCATGTGTAGAGAATCCAGTATGAGAATATAACTTTTCAAGAGTAGAGTGATAATTAGATTATTAACCAGGCACAGGAATTTTTTCACTATGGACATCTCCCTCTCTATAATTTCTGCTCACCTTGTACTTCAAAAACACATATTTCTTAAAGCTGACAGTAAACTCCATACTTGAATGCACACTTCAAATAAGGTCTCACATAAGCTTGGAAAAATCTGAACATAGGTCCATATTTTGACACTTGCATATATTACAGTGGGTTGGTTTGAAATATTACCACAATCAAGAGAAAAGAGTAGTGCCCAGCATGCTGGCTATAAATTGCTAATTTAGTAAAAGCCATTATCATTCTCTCTCAAAGACTGCTCTGTGTGTGGCCCTGAACAAAGTGCTCTGTGTGTGCAATCTCAGACAGATTTCTTATATGACTTCTGTAGCAGCCCCATAGTCAGATTTCCGTATGGTTAAAGAGAATCAGCAAATTAGCCAGGCCAGGATAGAACAACTCATTGAAGAATTACAGAGAGAACTACATGGGAATAAACACTAAACTAACTCAAATCTTAACATATAAATAACCAATGCATATTATATACAATGATGAATAAAATTAACATTTTGGAGTAGTATTTAAACTATATAAATATTTCATATGCATTATTGCTAATTTAATTTCACTCTAATACTTCAATAAAGTACATTTGCTAAAAATAACTACCCCATGATGTTTTGTTGACCAGTTTTCACAGGCATGACTCCAGTCTTTGTTCAGATAGTCTATGATTGACCTGTTATGCTAATTGAAATGAACCTTGTCTCAGTTTTCTAGTAATTTACAAAGTTCTTACTGTTTGAATAGAATGGTTGCAATAGAGGTGAGGAATTAAGAGAATATGTTTTAGAATCAGAAGACCTGGATGAGAGTACAACCTCCACTGTAGTTTGACTCTTAGAAAAGATTCAATTCCTCTGAGCCTCTCTTTCCTCAGCTGTAAAATGAGCCAAATAATGGTGTTTATAGGGTTGTTGAAAACATAAGTAAAATTATACATGTAAAATACTTCAGAGCATGAGTTATTATTTTACAGACCATTTAAAAAATTCAGCTGCTGAAATAAATGGCAATTGTACTGTAACTTAAAAAAAACAAAGTCTTGCTCTGTCACCCAGGCTAGAGTGCAGTGGCACTATCTCCGCTCACTGCAACCTTCATCTCCCGTCACCATGTTGGCCAGGCTGGTCTCGAGTTCCTGACCTGAAGTGATCTGCCCTCCTCGGCCTCCCAAGTGCTGGGATTACAGGTGTGATATACTGTAAATCTTGTACCTTGAACAAGTTCTGGGAATTTCAGTCTAATTCTTAAACAAAAGAAAACAATGATTACAGTTGTCTATAATCGAACAAAATTAAAAGAACAGTGACTCTTCTGCTCCAACCATGGTGTTCCCTGGCTGTTCTCTTTAAAGGGATGGCCACTCTGTTCCTCAACCCTACCAGCCTTACCTACCGCTTCTATCCAACTAGACTACATCCTTCTTCCTCACTCACTGAACTAGAGCTTCCCTTTCTCTGAACCTATAATGAACTTTCTGATTCTACTAACTTAATATTTCCAGACACAATCCTGAAACAGAAAAGAAGGGTATAAGCAGAGAAAAATATTTTTAAATGAACGCTCAATAAAAGAGATGTAATGAAGCAAGAAATTTAAGTCATGAAAAATAATCAGGAGTTGGTTGGTGACCAAAAAATCATGTGGCTTCTATGCATGCATATTATAGCATGCTAGGTGTATACCAAGAGTATGCTTACAATACATATACACAATATATCTTAGTTCAGGCTGCTGTAACAAAATAATCTTAGGCTGGATAATTTATCCACAGCAGAAATGTATGGCTCACCGTTATGGAGGCTGAAAAATCCAAGATCAAAGCACCAGGAGATAGGGTGTCTGGTGAGGGATTGTTCTCATAGATGGTCCCTTCTCTGTGTCCTCGTGTGGTGACTGGGGTGAACAAGCTCCCTAGGCCTCTTTTATCAGGGCACTAATTCCATTTATGAGAGTGAAGCCCTCATGACCTGATCACCTCCCAAAGGCCACACCTATTAATACCACCCCTTTAGGGATAATGTTTTCATATACAGATTTTAGAGGGACACAAACTTTTAGATCACACCATAATATGTGTACACAATAGCTTCTTCTGGGAAAATCTTTCATTAAATGAGAGGTGTATGAATTCTTTAATTAAGTGAATGATTTATAAATTCTCTTTTACTTCAGAAGTGAATCAACTTATCTACAGATATCAATAGGTATTCCAACCAGAGGTTTTTCAGCTTCTTTAAGATAAATCAGAAAGAACTATTTAATAGTCCTAATTTTATCTCAACAAATTTTTGCAGAGCAAAGTTTATTATGGGAAAACTATACTAGTAATCCTGAGCTAATATTTTTTATAAGAATTGATTGCTACCCTCAAAAGGATTATGGTTCATTTTCTTTTAGAGTAATCTTATCTCATATATGTTTTCTAAATATATTTTATTCTGAAGATGTAAATATCACTTTACCTGATTGTTTTCTTCAATGCCTAGAGTTCGTTAAGAAATTATAAATAACTATCACAAATTCCATCTTAAGTAGTGTAGAGAAGTCGCTGATCAGAATTTTATTTGATGTTTTTCCAAACAGTAAGGGAATAAAAGAGTGTAAATAACAAAATTTAGTGATGAAAATAGGGCCTGGCTTATTTAGCTAAAACCTAAAATAGATTGAGTTTAAATTAGCAAGTACAGTGAAAGGCTTTAGCAAACCTAAAGGAACCAGAGCAAGGAAGAAAACGACATGAACAAGTGATCCCAGAATGAAGAGTGAGTGGAGGGAGCTGGTGGGGGTGCTGAGGGGGCTCCTGGCTTCTCATGGGCATGGTCCCTTCCAGGTCCTGTCAGAGGCCCTCACAATGTGTGCACGTGGTAATCTGGGACTTTGAAAATGTATAATCTTATGTTCATTTATTAAAGAGGGGCCTCCAATTTTTTTAAAGCCCCATATCCTCCCCAGGAATCCACTATGATAGAGCTAGGGGAAGTCTTTGTTGAAAAGATTCTAAAACAACAAGGTGGTAGGAAATTTTAAATACTTTAGCTCATTCTAATTACTCAATTTGCTCAGATTTCCCCATCCAGCAAACTTCTGTTTGCCCCTCTTTGTGGATGTTTAATTCCAGGATGCTGTGTGCAAGCACCGACCCTCCCAGCTGTAGCCTTCACTCTCCCTCTTCGAGATTATCTTGTGGTGGATTCATTGAATCATGTGGTTTGCTTCACGACTTTGCCCATTTCTAGTTTAGAATTAATGTTTCTTGCTCATGCAACATTAGTTACTGCTGTACATCTGCTATCCAGCTTCCAAAATGATGTTGGTGTTTTCCCCTCTCCTGTTCTCTCCCTCTCTCTATGGTTTATGCTTTTGAAAATTCCCAACAAAAATATCCACTGGATTTTGGGGAAGCTCAGTATTCTGATATCAAAGACATATGGGAGAAGAAACTTGTCAAAACAGCCAGACAAACCCTGGAAAACTAACAGGGGACCAGATATTAATGCCTATTTTAGGGCAGCAATCATCAAGACAGTGATGTTGTTAGAGCAGCTCAAGAAAACAGAAACAAATACCAGAAGGCAGGAAGGAAAAGAGCAAAAAACTTGAACACGCAATAATGTTCTCAACTATCATAAGGCAAACCCCACCATAAATAAAGTCAAAAGGGAAGCACAAATTAGAGAAATATATGTTTTCAAGCCAGACCAGGCCAAGGGCTAATACCCAAAATGGATAGACTGTTCTTATAAACCTATAGGAAAAGACCAATACAAAAAAATAAGGCAGACATGCAAGGAGAAAGCTCACAAATGAAAGACAAATGGAATATAAACAAATGAAACATATGAAAATAATGTTGTTATAAATATGTCACTAAACAGACACACATTTAAAAGGGTAAGATCCTTGTTTTTCCCTTTCTGTTGGCAAAGCTGAAGTGTTGGACATGCAGTTTTAGAGTCCAAGACACAGCACTGCCCTATCTTCTCACTGGGAAGATGTGATCATGTAGCCTCTTTGCAGGGCAATTGAGCTCTCCAAAACTCAACATATATGTATCTTCTGATCCAGCTATCCACCCATAAACACTATGTCTAATAATTTACTTGCACATGAATGAAAACATATTAAAACAGGGGTTCCCACGCCCTGGGCCATGGACGAGTACTGATCTGTGGCCTGTTAAGAACTGGGCAGCAGGAGGTGAGTGAGCATTACTGCCTGAGCTCCGCCTCCTGTCGGATCAGCAGCAGCATTAGATTCTCAAAAAAACTTGAACCCTATTGAGAACTGCACATGCGAGGGATCTAGGTGGCACACTCCTTCTGGGAATCTACTACCTGATGATCTGAGATGGAACAGTTTCATCCCTAAACCAGCTCCCTTACCCCCCGAGCCTGGGGACCCCTGGTCTGTGGAAAAATGGTCTTCCACAAAACCAGTCCCTGGTGCCAAAAAGGTTGGGAACAGCTATATTAAAAGCATGAATGTTCACTGCAGCATTATATATTAGCAATAATTTTTAAATGTCCATTAAAAGAGTGCCAGTTAAATAACCTATAGCACATCCATAAAGTCATACACTCTGTAACTACTATAAAGAATAAAGTAGATTTTTTACCTGCTGCTATAGAAATAGTTTCCACATGTTGTTACTGTAAGGATTGTGATTTAGAACAGTGTGCAAGGTAAATTCCTCCTTGTGTATTTTTACGCGTATGTGTGAATGAATGAATTGAAAATTTCTGGAAAGAAATATAACAAATTATTATCTCTGGGAAACAGCATTGGAGTTTTCAGGCATAGAAAGGAGATTTTAATCTTGTTTATCCTTGATTTAGAAACCACCATGTAAATATTTTGAATTTACGCCAAAATACAAGCAAGTTAAATTTTTTAAAAATTGATTAACAGGCAAACAAAAGTTATAGTAGAAGAACAGTCAATAAATAAGCAAAGCAAAACAAATACCGAAATGACATACAGACATGTTAAGGAAAATAGCACAAGAAGAACAGTTTTTCAATGAAGAATGATGAGAACTTAGAAAAAGTGGGAAAACATAAAGTCTTCCTGGATCCTCACTTCACATTATACCAAAACACATTCTAGACAAATTCCAGACACAACTAAGCAAAACACTAAGCTATTAATTAAACCAAAAATAATTTGAAGAAAATATAAATGAGTCCATAATAAAATTCTTGGAGACGGATCCAATAAACTTCAAAGTAATTCAAAAAGAAATGCCAAATGAAATTGATCTATTTGATAACAAACTGCTGAATTTATGTTTGGATATTTCTGATAGAACCCACCAAGCTAATCACAAAGATAATTTACAATGGGAGTTGCCGGGAATGTCCTCTCTTTGCTTCCTAGCATAGCTAGCTACTTGTCCTTCAAGAAATCGCTATACGCAGGTGGTTGGGGCAGGGCTGAGCCAGCTGAGCTGCAGGGGTTGAATAAAGGAGAGCTGACTGCCTTCTAGCAGTCAATGAAGCCCATTTTCTGGTCACACTGATTGGTTTAGGGAATATCCAGTAACCAAAGGAGAACAACGAGGTATGAGATGTTTGCTGAGGTTTTCTAAGAAAAAGAAGTTTCCTCCATTTTTCAAAGAAGATCCTGAGAGAGAACTTCTCTCTTCTTTTGAACTATGTGATGTAAGAATTGAGGTCTGGGACTGTTAAAGCCATTTTTCTGTGACATCAGGAAGGGCTGGAAGGAAGAGTGGTAGGAGCTGGTGTCACACCCACAGGGCTAGAATGAAACCACCACAGAGTATAGCAGAGGGAAGAGTCAGAATGAAACATGGCCCCAGATACACTGTTTGAGTTGGGACATAAAGGGCCAGGATACACTGAGTTGGGACGTAAAGGCTCTTCTAATGTCAGACTTTTAGTTACAAAACACAGTAAATTAACTTTGTTGTTTAAAACAAATGTGTTTTCCATAACTTCCAACACAAAACATTTCAAATGATGCATATTTAAATAGATGTTTTCTCAAGGCAATGTTTTGGATTTCAAAGAGGGTTTTGTAGTCATCCACAGACAGCCCAAAAAATATGAAACCCCACAGTTATACAACAGGAAGAAATTCCTCACTTTATAAATAATTCATGACGGGACTCCACTGAATATAATCCACCCTAGTGCACTTAAAATGGAAACTGACTTATAAACGATTTATATTCTTCTAATGTGAAAGCAATAGCCTTCATCTCTTAGGATTTTGCAGTTTGTAAAGCTGTTTTGTATGCATTATCTCATTCGACCTAGGAAAGCAAAAGAAGCTCACATTGGCCAGGACCCCAGGAGTGTGTTTGTAGCAAGAGTTGACATCCATCTAATACATCTGACATTGATATTGATTTACTTTGCAGCCTTCCATAATTGTGCCAGTGCCATACTTCCTGAATAACTGTATCCCACCATTCACATGTTGCCTCCTATCTTACAAAGCAAACCCACAACGTGTTTTGTTCGATGGTCACTGGTTCAGTAGCCCCATTGCCAAGTGAGAAGCTCTTGGGCTCATTGGGAGACAGACGGAGCTTGAAACTGCCCACATTTACTAAGTATATAACATTTGGAAAAGATATTCAAATACTCTGAGTCTCTGATTTATCATATGAGAGTGGGAATAATAAACACCCACCTCACAGATTTTTAAGTACCAAGCAGGATAATTCCCTTTACACTTTTTATTCTTCCTTTGACTGACTTTATCTCTTTCAAGTCTTCTTTCATAAAAATATGCAAATATTTCTACTTTTTAAATTTATAAATTTAATGGTTTCATTCCCATGCTTAAAATCTTTCAATGATTCCTTGTTCCTAAAGCATGAAGTCTGATCCCCATATCAGGACTTTCACGATTACCCATGATCTGGCCTGGACGCCTTCTCACTTGTCACTTGGCCACCTCTTCCGACCAGACTCATGTGCCCCAGGGTGTGGATCCCACCTAAGACAGCCTTAATGATCCCCTCAGCGTGATCAAACTTTAGTCCTGACCCTTTATTTGGAGGGATTACTTTAGAAAATTTGTAAATTATTTATCCTTTCCTCTGTGATGTACGTAAACTTTTTAAAATGCCTCTTGCCAATTATTATCATCCAGAGCTGTCTTTTTCAAGGACCTGGGAGCCACCTTTTAGAAACATAAACATCAAGGAAGATGATGGCCCTGTCTCCCAGTGCCTCCTGTAGGGTAGGAGCCCAACTTAGGGGGTGCCTTTTTCCAAGTTGTAAAACTACCTGCTTTCACTAAGATATGAGAAAGTTTGCTTTTCCTTTGGGTGAAGCTAATTAGCCAGCCCAAACAGCCTGTACTCTCTCTCACCCAGTTCTTAAAAATTCTTATGTTCTTCCTTTCAGTGGAGTTAAATTCAGACTGAATCTGGCCTCTTTCCCCTAAGACAATAGCCTTGAATAAAGTCTTCCTTGCCTGTTCACCCTTGTCTGATGCAATTCTTGTTTTGACAATCCCCAAATGCAGCATGTGGCTATGCTCATGCCTGGCTTGGCCCATTTGTTTTTTCAACTTGGAACAACTTTCTCTCTCTTATCCACAATAATTTATGCATTCTTGCGTCAAAGGATTAACATGTTGTTAAATGTGTTCCTTGCTTGGACTAGGGACTTCTTGAAGGCAGGAACTATTTTATTCAAATTTTGGTTCTAGGGATTAACCCAATGTTAGGTGCTTAGTGTACTCAGTGTACTCCCCACAAATGCTTGGTGTCTGTCAACCAGAACAAGCAACATTGCATTTAGCTCCCCATTCAACTGAGCATGAGCAAATAAATTAGAACAAAAAATAAAGAAATAAATAAGCTGGAGGTCAGAAGGAAAATCCCATAAGCAGACCAGGAACAAAATGTTAGCATTGCTGCTCAGCCAAGATGGTGAGAAAATGTGAACATTATGCTTTCTTCCAGGAAATAAACTCCCCTGTGCAAGAGAAGTGGTGGCAAAAAACAACAGGTTATCTCTAAATCTCCAAAAGTGTAGTTCTCTTTCAAATAAACTGAAAATATCTCTTTGATATTTCCAGGTAGGTTAAAACTGCAACTCTTTTCCTAAGTATAGTTTAAGTATTAATAAGACAGATGTTGGGGCTGGGCACAGTGTCTCACACCTGTAATCCCAGCATTTGGGGAGGCCAAGGTAGGAGGATCACTTGAGCTCAGGAGTTTGAGACCAGTCTGGGCAACATGGTGAAACCCTGTCTCTACAGAAAATACAAAAACTAGCTGGGCGTGGTGGCACATACCTGTGGTCCCAGCTACTCGGGAGGTTGAGGTGGGAGGATCACTTGAGCCAGGGAGGTCAAGGCTGCAGTGGGCAGTGATCGCGCCGCTGTACTCCAGCCTGGGCAACAGTGCAAGATGCTGCCTCAAAAAAAAAAAAAAAAAAGGCAGATGTTGAAACATCACACTTATAAAAATAATAAGACGAAGAAAAAAAAGGAACAAGGGAAAAGAAAGAATACCAAACATATCAGGCACTTAAATTTTCTAGAAACTGTTCTCAACAATCCCAGTGTAGTCCTGAAGTGGAAGCTTTTATACTGAGGGAGCAGGTGAAGTAACTTGCCCCGGTTTGGTCAGCTAGTAAGCAGCACAGCCAGGATTCAAAACTAGATGGTCTGACTATGATCTTGATTAGATGACCTGTGATCTTGCACATTACATGATAATGAAACAACACCTTTACTTGTGAATGAATTCAGAAATTGTAATGCAAATGATACTGCTAGTGTTAAAGATCAATTGACCAGGTGGACGTACATTTATATATTGTAATGAGCTTTACAGAAAATAATCACTGATTTTGACCACACACTACCCAAGATTTTGGGTAGAGGATTGTGTAAAACTTTTCCCAAATATTTGGGAAACATAGATGCTCAAAGAAAAACAAAAGCTGAGCACATGTAAAATAATCCAAAATTGTCTGCACTTTATTTTTATGGGCCCTAAAAAAATCTTTCAGAGCAGAATAAAGTAAATATGGATGCCCATTATTTTTCTGCACAAACTGCTTGTAATTTATAGCAAAAGCATTTTCAGATCAAGCAAACCAGAATTTTTTTCTTCCAGTTGAATATAAGTACCTAGAATGTTATATTAACAGCAAAGAAGAATCAAATTTTTACAAGAAAAGGGCAGTCTGCTTGTATAGACTCTATCCTGTTTGGAGAATGATAAAATCCTCAGAGGAAATAATTGCATTGCTGCAAGGTGCTCCAGCAGCTAACATTGTGTGGCACCTTGACATTAAATTACTAAGGGGTCCCACTGGTCACTGTTTGTTAACTTACATTGAGCCAGAAAGGAACTGGCAGTCAAAAAGTGTTTTCAGAGGAGCATCAAAGATACTCATTTAGAATTTTAATTTTAAAAAAAGAGAAAGCTTCAGAGGAAAATTCTTAAATTTAATTTATTTCATTTATTTTATTATATTTTACTTTTTTAAAAAGGAAGATGGGAAAGCAGCTTAGATGGGAAATAAATTAATTTTATCCTGTATTAGAGACTTCACGTGGACATTAACTATGACCTTTTGAATACACATGAGCTATGTCTATTTTGGAATGAGAAGTAGCTAAGAAGTTAAAAGCCAAAAGTAGTAGTGGGAAAAGATAAGCTGAACCACATCCAAGCACTTAAAATGTTGGCTTGAGGCATGTACCAGTAAGTCTAAGATCACATAACCAACCTCTGTCTATGACCTGTAATTACTCTTTCTGCACAGACAGAAGTCTGCTGACTTTCCAGTAAAGTATCCACTAGATAATACACTTCTGGATAAATATATTGAACTTCTATGACGAGGTGTTAAAAATGTTTTACAATGTTGTTAACATTGGCAAGAAACTTGTGTATTCCAATTTATTGTTCTATGCACTTGCTAAATTAATTGCTTAAGGTTTTGTCTTTATATTAGCTGGCTTTTCTCTGGAATTTGACACTATCTAATGCTCTCCTTAAAATCCCTGCCTTCCACGTTCAAATATATGTATATTCAAATCCCTATGCAACAAATCGGAATGAATGTTCCTCATTCCTGTGTGGCAGAATTTTCTTCTCTTGCTCTTATTTTTCTTTCCAAGTTGAGTTGACAGTTCACCATCCATTCAGAAATCCAAGGCTGGAGTCATTGTCCACCCCTCAGCTCCATGTATTCAGCATCCATGATTGGAGTCACTGTCCACCCTCCATCCTCCATCTATTCAGCCATCCAGGATTGGAATCACTGTCCGTCCTCCAGCCCCCATCTATTCAGTCATCCATGATTGGAGTCACTGTCCACCCTCCATCTTCCATCTATTCAGCCACCCAAAATTGGAATCACTGTTCATCCTCCATCCTCCATCTATTCAGTCATCCAGGATTGGAATCACTGTTCATCTTCAAGCTCCCATCTATTCAACCACCCAGGATTGGAATCACTGTCCATTCTCCAGCCCCCATCTATTCAGTCATCCAGGATTGGAGTCACTCTTCATCTTCAAGCTCCCATCTATTCAACCATCCAGGATTGAGGTCACTGTCCGTTCTCCATCCTCCATCTATTCAGTCATCCAGGATTGGGGTCATTATCCATCCCCCATCTTCCACCTATTCAGCCATCCAGTATTGGAGTCACTGTACACCCTCCATCCTCCATCTATTCAGCCATCCAGGATGGGGTCATTGTCCACTCTCCATCCTCCATCTATTCAATCATCCACGATTGGGGTCATTATCCATCCCCCATCTTCCATCTATTCAGCCATCCAGTATTGGAGTCACTGTCCACCCTCCATCCTCCATCTATTCAGCCATCAAGGATGGGGTCATTGTGCATCCCCCAACCTCCATCTATTCAGCCAACCAGTATTGGGGTCATTGTCCACCCTCCATCCTCCATCTATTCAGTCATCCAGGACTGGGGTCATTGTGCATCCCCCATCCTCCATCTATTCAGTCATCAAGAGCTTCTCACTTGGCACTGGGGCTACTGAACCAGTGACTGAGAAGCTCTTAAGTGTAATTAGATCCTATTTGTCAAAGACGTGAAAAGCAACCACAACAAGAGCAAAAAATGACATCTTTACCTATTTACTAATGTCTTTAATCATTTATTTATATCAGCCTAACTCATGGATATTTATTTTCTATCTTGTTTTATAATGCAATACTACTTTATAGATTTTGTTGCTCAAATTGTACCAGCTTTGATTATTGGGAGCTTTTTGGGGTGCCTCTTGTGTGCTTTGGCTAGCTCACCACTGTGGGGTTTCAATGGTTGTTTACTGTTTGTTTGTTTCAAGCACTTCCATACTTTCTGGCACTACAAGATGCCCAGGCTCATCTTATGTAGTCCCTGCCCCAGTCCTAGAATCAGTCATTTCTCCAAGGGGCCCTGCTTTATTTGATTAAAGAAATTTTTTAGAAACCAACGTCTGAGACTAGCTAGGTTCATCGCTATGGGGGGTGTCATTTCTTTTAGGCTCTCTCAGCTGACAGAGCAAAGAAATATATGTGTATATACTAGTTATGCATACACATATATCTATAAATACTTCTAAATGTAAACACCTGTATTTATATTAAACCAAACTGAGTTTTTTCTGATAACTCTAACTCTTGCAACATGGATCATTGTAGCCTCCTCTCCCTGCTTCTCTGCAAATTCCCACTCTATTCATGAAAGATTCCCACCACCCACTATCCATATACTTAACTGTTCGTGTACACATGTACAGCAGTATCTGAATTGTTAACCTGTACCTCCATCGGAAACAATTTTATCAACTAGAATACTAAACTTACGTGCAGTTTCTTATGCGTTTAGAATTACAGTTTCTACTCACATCCATCTTTCTTCTACCTTACGCCTTTAATGAGGCTGGCTATATATTCATTTATTTGTAATACACCTAGATTTTCTTGTTGCAATCTATAGTCTTTCCTAGGATCCCCTTACTTCCTAAATGACTTTCTAAATTTATATACAGTAAAGTTTACTTTTTATACCATAAATTTCTATGGGTTCTGACAATACATAATGTTATGTATCTTCCATTATAGTATCATTATCCAGAATCATTTCATCACCCTAAAAGTGCCTTGGGTTCCACCTATTCAATCCCCTTGCCTCCTGCTGAAGCCATGGAAACCACTGATCTTTCTACTATCTCTACAGTTTTCCCTTTTAGAATGTCATATAATTGAAATTATGCAGTATGTAGCTTTTCCTGACTTTTTTTTTCACTTAGCAATAGGCACTTAAGTTTCCTCTATGTCTTTCTGTGGACTGATAGCCCATTTCCTTTTATCAAGGGATAATATTCCATTGTATGGATGTAGCACAGTTTGTTTATCCATTCCTATATTGAATAAGAACATCTTGATTGCTTTCAGTTCTGGCAACTATGAACAAAGCTATTATAAATTCTGTACAATGTTTTAGGTGGACATAAGTTTTCAACTCAGGTAAATACCTATGAGTGTAATTGCTAGATTGTATAGTAAGACTATGTTTAGGTGTAAGAAACTGTCAGTCTTCCAAAGTGGCTGTACAATTTTGCATTCCTACCAGCAATGAATGAGAGTTTCTCTTGTTCCACATTCTTTCCAGCATTTGGTATTAAATATAATCTGCAATAAAATAATTTATTCCAGTTACCATATTTTTTCAGTAGAAGATTTTCTTTGAATTTGTTTTAATACATTCTAATTCTTCAGTGAAATTCTCTTTGCTGTCACCAATTTTCTTGAAGCTAATAGTCACAGTTATTTTAAAGACTGAGCCTAACAAGTCTAATATCCGGATCACCTGTAGTTTGACTTCTATGGTTTGTTTGCTTCTCTGGGTCTTGATATATCTGGAAATTAATGATTAAATATTGGATTGTGAGTATAAATAATTGTAAAATATCTGGGTGAGCACTTTGTTTTCGACAAGCAGTTAGAATAGAGAACTGAGTTCTGAAACATGGATCCACTTCTCCATCTGGGCATGATTTTCTTTTCTCTCTAGTCTATGGGTACAAGAGTATAACTCCAGATCTGAAACTGATTTTGAACTTGAAAAGTCATAGTCGATTTCTGGTTTCCACATTTCTGACGATGTAGTCCTTCGGGCATACAGGCATCTCAAATGAGTGTCTAGGATGTTGAGTAGGGCATCCAAGTTTATTTCCCTAGCCTTGTGAAGCTTACAAAAGCCCTGCTTCCCCTCAACCTCTAAGCTGAATTTTCTTTCTCTCACTGTCTAGACAGTGAAGAAACCCTCAAGTGGAAAAGTGACTCTGATTTTCAAATTCGACTTTTCTAAAACTTCTTTCTCTTTTGGAATTGGCCTCTCAAATCCTCACTGCTTTAATAGCCTGAATTTCAATTTTAGTCTCCCGGTGCTGTGAGATAGCCAAAATCTCTGCTTAGTCACTGGCTTCCTGCTTAGATTTTGCCTTGGTTTCTCAGCCTCTTGTCCAGCTTCATTTAAAAATCACTAAAGTGTTTCAAGGGATTTTGAAGGAGTATGAGACGCCAGACTCAGCTCAATAATTTTACTTTCAGCAATCTTTGCCCTCCAAGATTTGGCTACCATGGGTGCTTTCCATGGATAGGGTGGTAGCTTAGAGAATGTTGTTTTACATGTAGCTTAGAGAATGTCATAATAAAGGATGGTTTGTTTTCCATATAGAATTTCCTATGTCCTCAATTTGCTGATTGCGTCCTTTGGTTGCCATTTAACTTGCTCCTCTACTCCCCACGTAACCAGGAAATTGGAAGTTAGATATAGAAGTTTGATTATATTCAAGCTTTCGACAAGAATAATTCAGAGTATTCAGGTGATTTTTGATTATTCTTCTCTTTAAGATGTTTTATATTGATCAGCAGGCCCAGGTGTGGTCATTGCAACATATTTTTTAGTGAAAAAAGACATTGTCAAAGACATATCCTAGATGATCCATACTGTGATTTGCATATAATAACTGACTGTCCTCAGGTGATATCACTGAATGCTTCTGATGCCTTTTTGTTCTTATTATATTTTACTTTTAGTTATAGTTGCGTTTTTATTCAGAGAGTTTTAAAGGAAATATAAATTTATCTGATAATATTCAATTACTGTTAGAGAAACGGTGCTTGCTGTCAAAGAACTATCATAAAGAGAAAGAAAAGAATGGCACCATTTAACAAGATGACATAGAAGTCACCACAAGAACTCTAACCCTGACATTAAATTTAAACAGTGGCTCTTGAAGGGGTGGTACTACCCTTGGTGCCATCAACTGAAGAATGACAAGGTTCATAGATTTGGAAAGGAGAGCTTTATTTCCCATAAGAGGTTGCAGCCTGGGCCAGGTGTGGTGGCTCATATCTGTAATCTCCATGCTTTGGGAGGCTGAGGTAGTACGATCCCTTTAGCTCAACAGTTCAATGTTACAATGTGCTTTTATTGTGCAGCTGCACGCCAGCCTGGGCAGCAGAGTGAGACCCTGTCTGGATATGAAAAACAAAGGTTGCAGCCTGCAGGGTGGCCATTTTCACAGGCTGGGAAGCATAGCCTCTGGTCAGAAGCCAAAAACAGGTATTCTGAGGGAGGGGAAAAAGAAACAGGAGTTTATGCTGAGCAGGGTGTCTCAGTATACATATTTAATAAGCTATAGGAGGAGGCATGAATGTTTATGAGAGGAGAAACGTACATAGGCACAACTGAGCTTCATGCCCCATGAGCTGCATGTACAAAAAATGGCAATCTTAACATGATCTGAGCATGAAGTTTTCGATCCTCTGACATCAAAAGGTGAAGCAGAGGACACAAAAACCCTCACCATGCATCCTCCATAGATTGGCCAGAGCCACTTTGTGGTCTGTGATCTCTTATCAGAAAGGACTGCTGGTCAGTTGCTGTGAAAAACTGAAAAAAAGAGGAGTGCCATCAGGTGGTTGGTTTAAATCAGCGGTGGAATCTTTTGAAAGGGCTGTTTGCTGTTTAGACCTTAGGGAAGAAAGCCTAATGGCAATTAACAGGGGATTGGACGTTAATGCAGTGTGGATTTGTGTCTCTACTCAAATCTCATGTTGAATTGGAAGAGGGAACTGGTGGGAGACAATTGGATCATGGGGGTGAATTTTCCCCTTGCTGTTCTCATGACAGCGAGTTCTCACAAGATCTGATGGTTTAAAAGCATGTGGCACTTCCCACTTCACTCTCTCTCTCCCCTGACACCATGTGAACAAGGTGCTTGCTTCCCCTTCACCTTCCACCATGATTGTAAGTTTCCTGAGGGCTCCTATTCATGCTTCCTGTTAAGCCTGCAGAACTGTGCATCCATTAAACCTCTTTTCTTTATAAATTACCCAGTCTCAGGTAGTTCTTTATGGCAGTGCAAGAACGGACTAATACAGGCATAATGTATGTTCAACGTTCCATCAAGTCATGGCAGAAAAGTCAGTTTTTAACTTTCTCTGGGGTACCCTTGGACAAAAAGAGACACATTCAGTCAGTTGGGGGGCTTACAATTTCATTTTCATTTCTCAGTGGGTATTTTGCAAATTTGTGGAATTGTTTTGTCAAAATAAATGGAGGTGCTACTGACATTTTGTGGACAGGCATTAAGACTTCTAGAAGTCCTGCAACACACAGCAAAGGCTGCCAATGAACCTGCCTTTGCAAAATTATGATGGTAACATAAATCTGAGGTAGTTGACTCCATCTTGCTTCTAACCTCCAAAGCTGTTCTTGGTCATTCTTAGGGGTAGGCCAAGCTAACTTTGGGAGAAATTTAGTTGATAGTTTAACCTTAAAGCGAGGATAATAATTAAAAGTCCAAAAAGTTAGGGTTATCAGAGGGGCCTGAATTCTGCCACTATGTAGCAGAATGTATGTAGGCATAGTTAAATGATAACCAGCCATTGTTCCAGAGGTTGCAAGATTTGTAACACCCCCACTTACGTCTGCAGATAACACCACTGACGTAAGACCTAAGATTAGCTTTTTGAGGTGTCTTTTCAGATGCTGGTATTCCTGACAACTAGCTAACCCCACCTGGACTCATGGCTCATGACTCAACTGGTCCTGGGACTCTACCCAGAGGTGGACTCAGGGCACAAGGACCATTTTCCACACCCTCATGATTGCATCCTCAACCAATCAGCAGCACTCATTCCCTAGTCCCCTGCCCACCAAACTATCCTTGGAAAACCTTAACCTCTGAGCCTTCAGGGAGAGTAATATGAGTAATAACTCTGTCTCCTGCAAGTCCTAGCTGGACTTGCACAAATTAAACTTTTTCTTTACTGCAATGCCATGGCCTCAGTGAATTGGCTTTGCCTTGCAGTGTGCAGGAAGAACCTGCAGACAATTACAACAACAAGAAGACATTTTAGTATCTCTTCAAGTGTAGCTGCTCTGAGGACTAGCATGTCAAAATGGATGGTACCTTATTATATATCACTTTCCAACTTTTCCTTCAATATACAGTTAAGGCACTCATACTGATTTTTAAAAGTTATATATGTAGGCAGTTCATATTATCTTTAAATTTCATTCCACAGATGACAGAAAGCACGTTTTATTATTGGCTGGGTGTGGTGGCTCACGCCTGTAATCTCAACACTTTGGGAGGCCAAAGTGGGTGGATCACCAGGTCAAGAGATCGAGACCATCCAGGCCAACATAGTGAAGCCCTGTCTTTACTAAAAATACAAAAATTAGCCAGGCGTGGTGGCAGGCCCCTGTAATCCCAGCTACTTGGGAGGCTGAGGCAGGAGAATCGCATGAACCCAGGAGGCAGAAGTTGCAGTGAGCCGAGATCGCGCCACTGCACTCCAGCCTGGCGACAGAGTGAGACTTTATCTCAAAAAATAAAATAAAATAAAATATTTATTATTAACAGGGAGCATTGAGTCTGCCAAGATTAAGAGCCAACTGTTCTGGGTGAGAGGATTTGGGCCTTACTCTCTATTATTTACTGTTCCTACCTTCCTCCTGAAGCTCATTTAATAGATAGTTTCTCCTGAGCTCACTGATCTTCCTACCTGTGCTACATATGGACAGATCTCCTATGCTTGAGTGTGCTTTAATTTTTCTTCTAGTCTATAGGTAAGAAAGGGGACTACCTCTTGGTCTTGAGAGTGGCCTGCAGAGCATATCTGAGCTTATTCTTTATTTTGTAAACTGTGAATTTTATCACCTTGCTATTCTTTTCATATATCGTGCAGCTGTTTACTCTCTCTCCAAAGTTAGGAAAAGAATCTCTGCTTGATTTTCACTTATCCAGCCTCCCTGTTGGCCCACAGCTGCTAAAAAACAAGGTGAGTGGTGCTTAAGTTCAGGCTTGATAAACCACAACTGAGCTGGACTTTGCACCACTTCACCCTCTACAGCAGTCACTGAATTCCTGCTGGGAGGAAAGTACTATGTGAAGTATTAGTAGATAAGGCTGGGAGGTGCAGAAAGTTAACTCATATGTGGCCTCACCTCTCAAAGGAATTTATAATCTAGCTGGGAAAAAAATGTTACGCCACAGAGTTAACAATGCAAGAGAAGGCTTTGTTGCACTGGTTTTAAAACCTATGCTGTTATTTATACAAGACCCTCAGACACTCTCCTGCCCCTATGTCCCTGCCCTCACATGCTGCTTTTCCTTTGGTCAATATTGACATTAGTCCAGTGACCAATATTGAAAGGGGACAGGGAGAGATGAGCTGCCTCCAGGTTTAGAAAACAAGATAAACAAATACGAAGAAGGAACTGAAGTAAGAACTGTATTCAGAGAATAGCAAGTACTTCAGGGTGAGAATAAAGTTGCAGGGAGAGAGGACACTGGGAGATTTGTCAGTAAATACATTTTAAAAATGGAAGAAAAGGCAATCTTTAAATGTCTTTACTCCTCCTAATGTTCACACAAAGAAAAAAGTATGAGTATGAATATTCCGTAAACTCTAACATCTTCCCCAGTAGTGGGGTTCTGTTATTTAGTCACAGTGCAGATCCAGCTAAGAGGAGGCAATCAGCTTGAAGTTAGATAGAGCCCGTGGAACTCAGGGACACAATAAAGATAGTTTTGAATTAAGTTTAACATTCAGGTCTCTTTTCTAAAAACTAGTATTTTTCCTAATACTTTTAATTTTAATCCCTTACATTTCCAACAGTTAAGCAACACTAGAACCAGACTGTCTGGTTTCAACTCCCACCTACTTCACCTAGTAGCTGTGAAAACCCGGGCAAAGTCCCTGCCTCAATTTTCTTGTCTGTAAAATGGGCACAGTCATAATATCAACACAAAGCGTGCTGTGCGCAATGATATGTATTAGGTACTTAGAATGGAAGTATGGAATTAGTCCTCAGTAAAAGTCCTATCGTTATGACTTAGTGCCCTATATTATCCCCATTCTGAAAAGTTATTTTATCTTTAACATAGATATACATTTCCTTTTACATTAAAGAGTGGAAAAACTCAGTCACATGAAAAAAGAGAGCGCAGCCTTGGCACAGATTTTTTTTTTAAGTGGCAATTCTGTGCTTTCGTGATACATGCTGCCACCTGCTGGACCCATCAGGAATTGTTCCCATCGCGGGATGTGATTAACATTGCTGTGTTGTTTGACATAATTTTATATTTACGCAAAATAAAGAAAGCTAAATATATTATTCAAATCGTTCAAAGAATAGCCATCTGAGCAATTTCTGTCACTAGGTGGCACTATTAATAACTGCATGTGATCTTAAGACCCTTGGAAAAGCTACATAGTCGGCTGCAAGACCCCAGTGTGATGAGGAGCTTCACGGCTTTTAGGATAATGACCATAGACACTCGCTTAGTTACAAATCCACACTTCAGGGGGCATCATAATGAAACTAGAATGTGAAATAAACGCAGCATTTAAAAGATCGGTTTTCTTTTAAATTAAAAGGAATTTAAATTATTGATATCGTAAACCATTTCTTATTTAGAAAGGCTTTAGTATAAAATTTTTAAAAATGAATAAAAGAGTAGCTGACACTGAGATTTTAAAAATTAATAATCTCAGAATACTAAGGAAAAATATAAAATGTATTTTAAAAATCTTTCATTAGTTCGCCTTAGTTATCAGACTTATGTTTCAGAGTGTGGGATTCTATAGTGGGAGACATGTTTTTGTTAGATAATATTTCTAAGCTTGGATCCAAAGTCAGAGATAAAAATGCATATGACAGCTCAGAAGATAATGTGGTCGAATTTTATAAAAGATGCATAGAAGACGTAACTCTGCGTGATTTAAGAGTACTTAACTCCAAATAGGATCTTAGGACATACGAGATCTCTCATAAGATGAGTACTTAAAGACGTTGAAGTGCCCGTCCCCTGAAGGGGGAAAATCACGAGTGGTGGGGGTTAGGACACATTTATAAGTGTCATTTATGACAGTGATTAGCTCAAATCTCTTAATAACCACTAGATTACTAAATGCTGGACTCTGTCTGGAAGGAACACTAGGCCAAGAACACCAGATGGGAAAATATGGAGTTCCCTCTAGTTGTAGTGTTAAAGCGTTGTGTGTCTGAGCACACTTCAGCCCCACTGAGGGACTGCGCTGCATCAGGCTCATGTACTGAGTGTCAAGGACCCCACTGAGAGTGATATGAAAGCTACAAAGCTCTTTCCGGAAGAATCCTGATATCCATCACACACACGCACACACACACATGCACTCACACTCACACACACAGTCACATACACACACAGACCCACTCACACACACACTGAAACACACTGTCTCAGACACAGACACACACACATACACACACAGACCCCCCCCACACACACACACATACACACTGACACGGTCACATACACACACAGACCCACTCACACTTACAGACTCATACACATACACATACACGCACACATTTACGTACACAGGCACACTCACACAAACACACTAACACTCACACACAGAGACCTACTCACACATACTCACACACACATTCTCACACACTCACACACATGCACACACACACCCACCATTACCAGAGCCCTGAATCTCTTTCTTGGGCCCCTTTAAGGTAAACAATCCATGAACCATATCACATCTACAGAACTTTCAAATGCTGAAGTTCAAGTGGTAAATTCAGTCTTAAGAAAAAAAATCATGAAGGAATTTGGGAATCAATTAATTATACATTATTTCAAAAATGTTAAGAAAATGAACCCAGGTCATAGTTAATACATGCTTATTAATGCACTTAAGAGTCTCAAGATATGACTTCCGGTTAACTATCTGAATTTATTCTTCTTTGAGCTAGGGAATGAATTCTTCAAAAACAGTTTTAAAATTTCTGTCTTATATATTACAGAATATTCTAACCTAAGACTAGTCTAAAGTGCCATTACTCATAAAAAAGAGAATTTATTTGTATTTTCTACATGCAATATAATCACTATAGAATATTATTTTAACATTTGCTTTTTAAACTATTGTCAAATTTATGTATATGATATAATATTCATTTTTGGATATAAGTAGAAATCTAAATCAATCCAATAATCAATCATTTTGGCTATTTATCAAGTCTTGAAATCTAAGCAGAGAAGTATAGAATTTATTTTATAAGTGTTAGGAAAATGCAGAGAAATATCATGAAAAATAAATATTTAGGGTGATTTATCTGGTAGTGATATGCAAACTGCCAACTGCCCGTGAGGCACTTTTAAAACCCTGGCTTTACTAACGCAGGAACGGAAAACCGAATACCACATGTTCTTACTTATAAGTGGGAGTTAAATAATGCAAACTCATGGACACATAGAGGGAAACAACACACAGTGGGGTCTAATGGAGGGTGGAGGGTGAGAAGAGGGAGAGGATCAAGACAACTAATGGATACTAGGTTTAATACCCGGGTGATGAAATAGTCTGTACAACAAAACCCCATGACACACGTTTATGTATGTAACAAACCTGCACATGTACCCGTGAACTTAAAATAAAAGTTTTAAATAAATAAATAAATACCTGGTGTATTAGTTCTCACGCTGCTATGAAGAAATGCCCAGACTGTGTAATTTATAAAGGAAAGAGGTTTAATTGACTCACAGTTCCACGTGGCTCGGGAGGCCTCAGGAAACTTACAGTCATGGCAGGAGGGGAAGCAAACACGTCCCTCTTCACATGATGGCAGGAAGAAGTGCAGAGTGAAGGCTGGGGAAAGCCCCTTATAAAACCATCAGCTCTTGTGAGAACTCACTCATTATCATGAGAACAGCAGCATGGGGGTAACGGCCTTCATGATTAAATTACCTCCCACCAAATCCCTCCCATGACCTGTGGGGATTATGGGAACTACAATTCAAGATGAGATTTGGGTGGAGACACACCCAAGCCGTATCACCTGGCTTTGAGGTGACTCCACAGCAGGGAAGGAGGTTTCTGGGGCAGCGGGAAGGAAAGAAGCAAGGAGGAGGAAACAGAAGGGGAGAATACACACGGTCTTGGCAATTGAGAAGCTGGATGACAATTTAAAATAGCTGCATGTATTCCCCACAACAAGGGATGGGGGTCCCACTGGAATACAGGACACTTTCAAAAGATCAAGTTGATCAAGTTTTCCCACAATCTGCCTTTAAAAACAGGCAGGCTTGAATGCCCAGAACATGGAAAATCACAATAAAATGCATGTGAAAAGTAAATAAAGGCGATTGTGGGTGTCCCACCTTTTACAGAGTAACGGCGCTTCCTTTAGTTTCTATGCCCCTTGTCCCGCTTCCTCGGAGCACAGCACACTGCCTTACAGCGTGCGTCTCTGTGGGAGGCTTATCACGTGCTCCCTCGTCATCTCCCTAAGGAAGGACTGGTTAAATAGCATGCGACCCAGAGCTGGGCCACCCAGAAGCTTGCCTTCTCCTTCACAGCCATTCTCATATAATGGTCCAGATTTGGTGTTTGACTCTTGTCCCCACGTTTGTCTGAACTCTTTACAATACCTGAAAGCTTCAACCTCCTTGTGTCCATGAAAACGGGCATAGAAGACTCGGATGGCTGTCGGAAGAATCAGGCGTCACAGTAATAGAAAGCACTTAGCCCTTAGCTGCTGGAGAAACCGGGCTCAGGCACATGACCTTACCTATAGCCACACCTGCACATTCAGGTTTCCAGCTGAGAAAAGAGGAGGAAGGAAAGATGGAAACCGAGCAAGAGCACAGTGACAGAACCTTAGAGCTAGCGGGAGAGTCCAGAAAGTAAACAGTACACAAAGAAGCGCACTGCTTAGCTTTCGAGGCGAAGGAATCTGCCTTAGGAAGCGAGTAATGTTCCCAGAATTACAACACACATCTGAATTCTTCCAACCCAAGGCTCTTGCCACTGAAAAGGGAAGAAGAAAGTGAGATGAGGGAAACTTAAAAAAGAGGAGATGAGGCCGGGCGCGGTGGCCCACGCCTGTATTCCCAGCACTCTGGGAGGCCGAGGCGGGTGGATCACAAGGTCAGGAGATCGAGACCATCCTGGCGAACACGATGAAACCCCGTCTCTACTAAAAATACAAAAAATTAGCCGGGCGCGGTGGCGGGCGCCTGTAGTCCCAGCTACTCGGGAGGCTGAGTAGTTCCAAGGCTTCTCAGCAGTATAAGGAAAGGTCTTTCTATACACATTAATTTTAACTCTGACAACAGCTCTGCAAGGGAGGGATTACAGTTGAGCAAACTCAAGCTCAGATACTTTAATACCCTATTGGAAGTCAGATAATTTGCAAACTGCTGAGTCAGGCCAGTAATCTAGGTATGCCTGGTACCAATAGATCCTATATGATATCTATCCCCATAGACAATAGCTGAAACTCTGCAGGATAGGGTCGAGCATCTCCTTTTTTAATTCACTAATATTTTAACTTCACTGAAGAAGAGAACCTAATATTATTATAGTAGCCAACTAATTTGAATTTGTCAGAAAGAAGATGTTACGTAAATATCAAACAGGGTGATTTCTTACAATAAATCTAGTTGATTTGTTCTTCTGTTTGACACTGTGTCCTTGTACTTAGTTTCCATTTTTTAGTATCTATATGGGGAGAACAACTGATAAAATACCAAGTGACTTTTTTCCTGACTTGTTAATGCAAATAATCAATGTTCTTAGCAACAACAACATGATAACTGATTTCCAGGTATAAAACTTCTGAATAGCTTATGCTTTCCATGACTTCACTGGAATAGGTTTCTGATGATAAAGATTGCCATTTCTTTGTGATCTTTCTCTCAATATCCCTTAGCCCCCCATCCCCAAGAAGTAAAGGCCCATATAGGGTCCTACCGGCCAGCCTTCTGTCTTTTGCCATCGTGAATACAAATCCAAATGGAACCATATGTTCATACATCCATCTTTCCTGCCTCAAAAGATAAAATCCATGCAATGACACAATGTTAAAATTCAAATTAAAAAGTGCACTGTGAGATCCAAGATTTCTCCACGCTAGCAGAGTTGACGTTTTGTTTTGAGGCCCTCTTGCCCTTAACATTTTTATGACAAATAATCATTTTCTACTTGTTACCAAAACCTTGCTTTGAATCTTTATGTAACCATGAACAGCATCACTTCTCCAAGACAGAAGAAGACAAGAAGCAGAACAACTGATAATGTTCTAGATTGGCCCTACCTTATGGGGCATTGCAGAGAGATTACTATTATCAGTCATTAGGTTCAGCCAGCTTTGTGCTCTTCCTTTACTGAGTCATTCTCTAACATCACTGGGGAATCACTCCCTCTCTGGAGAACACACTCCTTGACAATGATGGCATCGCAATTTCTTCTCACTTCCAAACTGAAAAAGAAACGAGTCCCTTTACAAGCAAAGACTCTTGACACATTTTTTTGTTGTTGTTGCTTCTGTAACTCAAGAAGTTTTCTTGTCCATGACAAAGTATGAAATAAGGACTGGGCGCAGTGGCTCATGCCTGTAATCCTAGCACTTCGGGAGGCTGAGGCAGGCGGATCACTTGAGGTCAGGAGTTTGAGACCAGCCTGGCCAACATGGTGAAATCCCGTCTCTACTAAAAGTACAGGAAAAAAATAATAACCGGACATAGTGTCACGTGCCTGTAGTCCCAGCTACTTGGGAGGCTGAGGCAGGAGAATCGCTTGAACCCGGGAGGCAGAGGTTGCAGTGGGCAGTGATCGTACCACTGCACTCCAGTATGGGTGACAGAGCAAGACTCCGTCTCAAATAAACAAAAAAAAAGTATGAAATAATACAATTAATAACAATATGGGAGTAGACGAACATATGGAAACAACTTCTCTTTACAGTAAAGCAGCTATTTGAAAGTGAAATGCATTGTTCTCTTAACTTGCACTGCAAAACTGGAGGCATGAATAGGATGTCCTGAGTTCAAGTTCTAGTTTTTAATGCAAGTTATCCAAACGTTTAATTTTTCTTTTTTGCATCTCCCTCCTGTCAAAATGCATCCAGGCTCAATCCCCGAACACTGACTTCTTACAGGATCTTATCCAAAATCCTAGTGTTGAATACTATCTATGTCTATGTGTTGCTGACTTCAAAATTCACATTTCTGTCTAAACTCCAAATTCTATGATCACCTTCTTAGTCGACATCTCCCTTTAGGTTTCCGATAAACATCTACAACTTAATATATCAAAACAAGTTTTCTGAATCTGAACATTCAATGAATATTCGATAATATTAGGAAATAATAGTTCATTTCTTGGAGATGACAGTATTGTGCTTGTTTTAAAAATATTTCCTATAATATAAAATAAATGATAAAAGTAAATCATTCAAAGTCTGAGATTTGCTTAAATAGCCCCATGGTGGTGGTGCTGGTGTGGAAGGGAGAGGAAGGAGAATCAAATTAAAGTACAGACGAAACAAGAATCTCAGGGACTTGATGCTTACTATTTCTGGGTGATGATTTTGTGGAAAGTTTTTGTACTGTTCTTTCTAATTTTGCTTATGTTTACATTTTTCCCTAATTAAAAAAAAACAGCCCCCTCCCCTTCTGAATAAAGGCATCATCATTAACTCAGCTGCTGTGAATCAAAATCTTGGAATCATTGTTGCCCGATCTTTTCTCTCACAGGTGCACAGACTCTGAGTTAAGAGTGTGTCAGGCATGTCTGGGGAACAGCAAAAAGGCTGAAGTGCTGTAGCCATTGGAAGTGGGGTCAGAGAGATGTCCAAATGATTTCTACACAGGGCCTAAGAGGCCACAGTAAGCATTTGTGTTTTATTTTGCATTTTACTCTGTGTATGCTACAAAAATTACTGGACAATTTTGATGAGAAATGCAAAACACTGAGATTTACATTTGACTAACATCGCCACGAGTGGTGTTTGAATAATAGATGATAAGGGGCCAAGAATGGGAGAGGAAAGGCAACCAGAAGCAATTTCACTAGTACAGGTGGGTGGTGGTCATTCAAAACAGTGCTTCAGTGGAAGTAAGGGGGACTTGATTTCAAAGGTATGGCTGACATGATTTTCTTTATATATATATATATTTTTATTATACTTGAAGTTCTAGGGTACACGTGCACAACGTGCAGGTTTGTTACATATGTATACATGTGCCATGTTGGTGTGCTGCACCCATTAGCTCGTCATTTACATGATTTTCTAATGTATGACTAAGTGTAAATTGACAGTACTGGATTAAAAATTGTCCTGTAGCCCTAAAATGCCATGGATGTCCCCAGTCCTGTAAGATGCGGGGATTGTATGCACCGTTGCTTCTGTGCCTTCCAGGAGTCACCTTCTTGCAGTGTACATGGCAGAAAGAGCACAGCCTTCAGAGTCAGAGAAGATAGGCTAGAATTGGTGTGGGTCATGCAGTGTGCCCCACAGAGCCACATGAAAATGAAAGGGAACAGCGTGAAAATCTGTGTCCAATGCAACATAGCAAGGGGCCTTAACGAAAACCCCCCTTTCCTCTCCAAAATGCCTGCCCCTTACAAGGGGCACTCTCCTGTGTCACTGCCCTGCCATGAGATGTCAGCCTTCCTTCCTCACATGTTCTTTGACTCCATGCATAAGATTTCCACAATGGAACCTCCCTTTCTTGCCCTCTAGGCTGCATGTTTTTGTAGATGAGAGCTCGGTTTCCAAATCAGAGTTTGCAGAGGGGTGACCCTTACGTGGGGACTAAATTGATAATGTCTTTAGTTTAAAATTTCAGGCCTTTATTACCTGATTTTATCATATCTAGGTCAGGTTTTCTCATATAGTGTCAGTCTTGCCTTGACATTTTGATGAAACTTCTAAATTCAGAATCAATAACATACAATAAAGCTTTTATCTGTGCATATGTAAATAATTTATATTTCTCTGTATTTTTCCCTCATTTCTTCCTTCTTGGTAAGCATTAATTACTGTTTTGCAATCTCATGTATATCTAGATAAGCAAAAAAAGGGGTAGGAGAAACTGAGTTAACAATTCATATTTTCATAAAATATTGACTGATTGCTACCTTCATCTTACTAATATTGGATACATATCATTTGGCGGTGAGCACCACAGAATTTTTCTTGGGAAAGTTCAGTCTCTTTTTAGCTTATCACTCAATATCTCATTGAAGAGATATTTAGGTAAAATTAGCTAAAAATCCTTAAGTTATTAATGTAATGTCAGCGAAGTTTTGGAAATTATGCAGGTTAGACAGCTGACTTCCACCCATGCACAATGACATCTAGCTAGATCCTCAAAATCTAGTACGAAAAAGGACAAACGGATGTTTACACAGGATAGCGACAAAGATAATAGAATGAGCACACCAATAAAATCCACCACACCAAAGGTAAAGAATTTTTTTCCGGGGCAGGTGCGGTGACTCACACTTGTAATCCCAGCTCTTTGGGAGGCTGAGGCGGGCGGATCACGAGGGCAGGAGATCGAGACCATCCTGGCTAACAAGGTGAAACCCCATCTCTACTAAAAATACAAAAAATTACCTGGGAGTGGTGGTGGGTGCCTGTAGTCCAAGCTACTTGGGAGACTGAGGCAGGAGAATGGCGTGAACCTGAGAGGCAGAGCTTGCAGTGAGCCGAGATTGCGCCACTGCCCTCTAGCCTGGGCGACAGAGCAAGACTCCGTCTCAAAAAAAAAAAAAAAAAAGAATTTTGTTTCTGTGCTTCCTATTTATTTACCTGTCTTCCTTCAGTGGGCCTTGTGGGAAAGAAATTCCTTCTTCAGTGTTCTATTTAAAGTTGAATTGTCAATCAATACGCAATCAATTGCCACCTTCTTCTGCACCATCTCTTCTCTAATTTCCAAGTTGTAAAATACTTTCAAGTATTTAATGCTAAGTATTCCAATTTTATCCACTTGTTGCAATTATTATTTTATTTTTATTGCTAAGTAACAATACCCTCAATCACAAAACTATCAATTTATGCATCTTACACTTTTTACACATGCACAAAATGCACGTGACATCAAACTCCACCCTATAGCACTTTCTGGAGGTGAGGACCAGCCTTGGATATATGTGAACTAGGGAAGGCCATCCCTGTTGCTTCACTCTCACTGTCCCCTCTAAGTTGTGTTTTTATTCCACTCCAACTAATTCTCCCCACTTTGATAAAGCGAGGCTCAGCTGTGATAATGAAGAGTCCCAAAAGGTTAATGGTGCCACACAACAAAGTAGTTGAAAAAATGGTCTAAAATTGATATTCCCAGGCACCAGACATCTTTCCCTGATGTTAATTCAGGGTCCAGTTTCCTTGCATCTGTGTCTCCTCTAGGGAGCAGGAGGGAAAAGGAATCGAAAATGAAGTCCGCTTCTTAAAAGTCTTGGTTTGGAAATGCTACACACTCCTTCTGTTAACATTCTATTGGAGAGCTAGTGACATGGCCAAACCTGCAGGCTGAGGGGCTGGGAATTGTGGACCATGGGGGCAGCTGCCCCCAGCCACAACACTAAAGGATGGATGGGTCATGGATGGCAGTGCAGCCAGCCATTCCTGCCACATCATCTGTTCATGCATCAAATCATCATAATGAAATATTAGCAGCTCAAAACTGTGTATGAAGAATTCCATACCGATAGTCACACTCTAAGTTTGAAATAAAAGTGTGAACACGCTAATAAAACCTTACAGCAGTTCACATTTAGTAATTCTATATGATACAGTTTCTTCCGTTTCCTACGTGAACAACTAGCTTATTCATCACGTAATACTAAAGCTTAGAATATTAACACAGACATTTCAGGTTCCAGAGAAAACATCCCTTTCATCACAGTTATAGCCCAATTCTAATGAGCATGTAATTTTCTGTGATAAAAGTGGGAGGAGAGTGCTATTGTGAGCCCCGAATGGGAAGCAAAGGTGGCCTTCAGATAATGCTGTTGCTCAGAGCCATGTGCAAACATCCCAGCTCAGGGAGTCAAAACATCTTGGCATACATTATACAAAAAGCAACACAATGATAATCTCATGTTGAAATACTCAGCTTTGAAGCTCATAACAAACGAGAACAAATTTCATTTCCTTTTGTGTCTTTCTTATTTTCATTTGTTGACATGAAAAACCTCACCTCAAATGTGATTATTTAAAAGAAATGGAAATTTTTTAAAACACGAATTCCCCACAATGTGAATTTACAATCTGCACCTTAAAAAGTCAGGCACACTGTGAATTTCAGTGGGCATCAGAGCTTTGTCTCATTTTTATTGGAATAACTACAAGTTCTAAAGTCCAAGTAGTCTCAAGACTGTAATATTTATTTCACAAAAGAACCTGTACAATGTATTTTCCTTCAGTCATTTTAAAAAGTTTTAAACTACTTGCAAAATATCTTTAACATCATATCTTAATGGCACTTTAAATATTTTCAGCAATAAAACAGGATCTAACTATGTGACATTTTCACTTTAAATATTCTGTGAGAAAGAACATTTTACTGGTACATAATAATATAAAACTGGAGTTTTCTCTTTCCTTATATCAGGGGTTAAAATTGTACAGTATTGTACAGAGAACATTTAAAAATACGTAACTCTAAGTCCTATCTCCAGAGTTTCTCATTTAGTAGGGGTTTTTGGTTTTGTTTTTGTTTTTGCAGGGCCTAAGAATTTGCATTTTATTTAACTCACACATCAGGAAATTCTGACGTAACCAGGCCACATGTTTGTGAATTACTGATAAGGAATTTGAGAGATTTAGAACAGTGCTTCTAAAACTTTATTGTGCATACAGATATCAATGATCTTGCTGCAAAGTTGATTCTATTCAGAAGGCCTGGAGTGGAACTGAGGTTCTGTATTTTTAACAAGCTCCCAGGTAACCTCATGCAGCTGGTCCACGGATCACAACCAGAGTGCCAAAGATGGAGGCTCCCTAAAAGATAGGGTGAGTTAGGTGGCTGTGGATGTTAATATAATGGTTTTCAAACAGGAATGACTGTCTTTGAGTGCGTTAGGACTCCAGCAAAGAAGTCACACACTCTAAATCACCCTTTGCCAAAAAGAAATATTTGTAGAAGGAAGAACAGTAAGTGCTCCCTTAGCAAAATGTTTCATCATTAAGTCTGGTTCTTTTTCCTATATAACAAATCTTTAAGAATTCTCAGGGTGGACCAGGGGAGAAGCATATGCTCACTGTTCAGTCAAATTAAGAGAAAACTCTGACCCTGCATCCCACGGCACTGACTTTACCCCACCCAACACAGCACCATCTCACTCCATTCGCGTGCTCCCAGGTAGTCCTAAGAGGCTCATTTAGATCATTGGATGAGAGCATGGATGATGAGGCTGGGTGCATATTTCAGCAGCAGCATTGACTGAGTGAGTTTGTTCAAGTTACATGCCTTTTCCAGATCTCAGATTTCCCACCTGAAACATGGAGACAGCATCTGCTTCAAAGGATTTTTGTAAACATCACAGGAGAACACACAGTATCTTGCACATAGTGGAGCTCCAAAAATGTTAGATGTGATTATTATCACTAAAGGCCAATGAAGAGCTAGAAAAAACAGAAAAAATATTCAACTAACGGGATAAAACAGAAAGAAAACCAAGTGTAAATGTCTAAAGCAAGTAGATACGAATTAAAAGGTAGGTAGGTGATGCCATATACCAAGGCTTTATTCTCCTAGGGTGTACTCATTTTAATTCCTGAAGGACAGAAAACAAATAGCCACCAAACAAGTAGCCCTGTCTCCATCTTGCTTTTTCTCTAATGTATTTGCCACACTGGAGCCAGATAGAATCTTCCAGCATGCCAAACCGAATGCATCATTCCCCTTTAAAAAGCCCTCTTTGACTTATTGCCTTTAGGATAAAAGTAAAAATCTTCAACAATGCCTGTTGATGCTCTTCCTTTTGTCTAGGAACCTCTTTCTCCACCCTTCCTCACCAATCTCTATTCCCAATCTAAATATTCTTCCTCTAGGAAGTGTTTTTCAAGCTCTATGTTTCTGGAATCCAAATATTTTCACACTTTATTGCAATTTATATGAAAATGTCTAGTGTTTTCATCTAAGTCCATAAGAACAATGAAGGCAAACATTTTTACTGTCTTAATCATTATTTACTACACAGCAGCTATGTCGTGCCTGGTACACAGTTGGTTCTTAATAAATATTTGTTAGGGTTGGTGGCCCAGATGGCCAACTAGAAGAAGCTAGTGCACACATCTCTCACAGACAGGAACAGAAGGGGCAGGTAAGTATAGCACCTTCAACTGAAATACCCTGGTACACTCACTGAGACTAATCAAGGAAATAACTGGACCCACGGAAAATGGTGAAAATCAAGGCAGATTAATGGCCCACCCAGAAGTGACACAGAGCCAGGGGAACCTCCTTCACCCGGGGAAGCAGTGAGTGAATGAGTGATCCCAGGAACCCACACTGCTTTCATGGATCTTTGCAACCCTCAGGTCAGGAGATTCCCCTGTGAACCCACTCCACCAGGGCCTTCAGTCTGACACACAGAGCTAAGTGGAGTCTCGGCAGAGCAGCCGCACAGGCACATACTTGGAGACCCAGGAGCCTTAGAGACCCGGACTTTCTGGGCTTCCCATCAAAAGTACTTGCAATTCAGGCAAAGTGGGAGGTTAGACCCCCATACATACCCCTAAGAAAGAGGCTGAATCTAGACTGAGCAGCAACAGTCTGCAGACCCTGCTTCCATGGCACCTCACAGGATAAGGCCCACTGGCTTGGAATTCCAGCCAGACACTGATAGCAGTGTTGCACCACCCTGAGACAGAACTCCCAGAGGGAGTGGCGGCCACCATCTTTGTAGTTTGGGCAACTTAGCCATCCAGCCTTCAGGCTTTGGAGAGTCCAAGCCAACCAAGGGTGGAAGTGGTCCCCTAGCACAGCCCAGTTAGATATGATTATTTTCACTAAAGGCCAATGAAGAGCTAGAAAAAAAACAGAAAAAATATTCAACTATTTGGATAAAACAGAAAGACAACCAAGTTTTCTATGAAAACATGGCCAGACTGCTTTTTAAAATGGATCCCTGATCCCATTCCTCCTTGCTGGGCAGAACCTCCCAACCGGGATCTCCAGTCACCCCTGTTGGTTTTCTCTGGCCAACAGAGATTTGCAACCTCTCTGGGATGAAGCACCTAGAGGGAGGGGTGGGCTGCCATCTTTGCTGTTTAGGTGACCTTAGCCATCCAGCCTTCGAGCTTTAGACAGTCCAAGCCGACTGAGGGTGAAAGCAGTTTTCCAGCACAGCACAGCTGCTCTATCAAAACATGGCCAGTTTGCTTACTTAAATGTGTTCCTGATCCCATTCCTCCTCACTGGGTGGGACCTCCCAACCAGGGTCTCCAGCCATCTCCTACAGGTGTATTTGGACTGGCAATAAGCCCATAACTCTCTGGGAAGGAGCTCCCAAAGAGAGAGGCAGGCTGTCTTTCTTGCTGTTTCATAGCCTTTACTATTGATACCTCCAGGTACTGGAAAATCCAAGGTGACTAGGAACCGGAGTGGGCCCCAGCATACCACAGCAGCACTGCAGAAAAGTGGCCAGACTGTTACGTGGGTGCTCATTTTTATATGTCCTCACTGGGCAGGTCCTCCAGACCTAGGCCTCTAGCCACCCCTGCCAGAACTACTGCGCCAGCAGGAGCTCTGCAACTCCCTGGACAGAGTTCCCAAGGGCTCAAAGCCTCTCTGCCACTGCCTCTGCTGTGGAACTGCCCTTGCTACCCTCAGATTAACAAAGGAGCAAAGACCCTGCGTGCCTTAGCCACACCTCCAACAAGCTGTAGTTGATCCAAGGAGAGGAGGCCAGTCTGTCTTCCTTGGGTTCCAGCCAGTGCCCCCACTGCTCATCACTAGACAGAGAACCCCCAGCTTGGGCCCACAGCACAGACCCTCCATCCTGGGATGATTGCACTGAGCAATTTCTGACCTCCATTTCTCTGGAGTGGACCCCCAGGAGACAAGCAGAAGACCTTTGGACACAACCACTACTAAGGTCCCTTCCTCTGCTGCCTCCAAGTTGGGGAAGGAACATGAACACTGAGATCACCCCAGAGCAGCAGTGCGGGCAGCCAAGGAATGCCAAGCCGTAATCTACAGCCAGCACTCAATGGGGAGAAGAACCCACACTTTGAGAACATTGAGAGGGACCATGGCTGTAACATGTGAAAACATCTAGAAAAGAAGTCTATTGGGTGCACTCAATCTACACTGTAGGTAAAGGAATGACAACATGCAGAGATGAGAAAGAACCAACACAAGAACTCCAGTAGCTCAAATGACTAGAGTGTTATATGTCCTCCTAAGAACCAAACCAGTTCTCCAACAAGAGTTTTTAACCAGGCTGAGTGGGCTGGAATTACAGAAATAGAATTCAGAATATGGATAGGGATGAAGCCCATTGAGATTAGAGGATGGCAAAACCCAATCCAAGGAAAGTAATAATCACAATAAAATGATAAAGGAGCTGAAGGATGAAATAGCTGGTATAATAAAGAACCTAACAGATTTGATAGAGCTGAATAACACAATACAAGAATTTCACAATGCAATCACAGGTATTAACAGCAGAATAAACCAAGAAGAGAAAAAAATATCAGAACTTGAAGATTGGCTCTCTGAAATAAGACAGTCAGACAAAAATAAGGAAAAAATAATATAAAAGAATGAACAGAACCTCTGAGAAGTATGGGATTATGTAAAGAGGCCAAATTTATGAATCACTGGTATCCCTGAAAGGGAAGGGGAGAAAGCAAACAACTTGGAAAACACATTTCAGGATATCATTCATGAAAACTCCCTAAATTTTGCTAGGAGGCCAACATTCAAGTTCAGAAATAAAGTGAACTCCTGAAAGATTCTACGCAAGATCATCCCCAAGACACATATTGTCAGATATTACAAAATTGAAATGAAAGAATGTTAAAGGCAGCTAGAGAGAGAGGGAAGGTAACCTCCAAAGAGAACACCTTTCATTTGAGAGGCTAACACTGGACCTCTCAAATGAAACCCTATAAGCCAAAAGAAATTGGGGGCCCATGTTCAACATTTTAAAACAAAAAATCTTCAACCAAGAATTTTATATTCAGCCAAACCAAGCTTCCTAAGTGAAGGAGAAATAATAAGATTTTTTTCAGATAAGCAAATGTTGAGGAAGTTTGGTACCACAAGACCTGCCCTACAAGAGATCTTGAAAGGAGCACTAAACATAGAAAGGAAAAACTACTACCAGATACTACAAAAATGCACTTAAACACACAGACCAGTGTCACTAGAAAGCAACCACACAAACAAGCAAACATAATAACCAGGTCACAGCTCAATGACAGGAACAAATGCACACATATTAATACTAACCTTGAATATACATGAGCTAAATGCCCTCACCTAAAAGGCACAGAGTGGCAAGCTAGATAAAAAACAAGACCCAATAGTATGCTGTCTTCAAGAGACTCATCTCACATGTAATGATATCCACAGGCCCAAAATAAAGGGATGGAGGAAAATCTTCCAAGAAAATGGAATAAAGAAAAAAGCAGGGGTTGAAATCCTAATTTCAGACAAAACAGACTTTAAATTAATAAAAATAAGAAAAGACAATGAAGAGCATTACATAATGGTAAAGGGTTCAATGCAACAAGAAGACCTAACTATTCTAAATATATGTGCACCCAACACAGGAGCACCCAGAAATAAAGCAAGACCTAAGAGACCTACAAAAAGATATAGACTCACACACAATAATAGTGAGAGACTTCAACACTCCACTGACAGTATTAGACAGATCATCGAGGTAGAAAATAAACAAACATATTTAGAATCTGAACTCAACATTGGACTAAATGAATTTGATAGACCTCTGCAAAACTCTCCATGCAAAAACAACAGAATATACATTATTTTCATCACCACATGGGATATACTCCAAAATCAACCACATAATTGGACCTAAAACAATCCTCAACAAATGCAAAAAACCCAAATCACACCAAACACACTCTCAGACCACAGTGCAATAAAAATGAAAGTCAAGACTAAGAAAATTGCTCAAAACTATTCAATTACATGGAAATTAAACAACATACTCCTGCATGATTTTTGGGTAAATAATGAAACTAAGGAAGAAATCAAGATGTTTTTTTGAAATGAATGAGAACAAAGATACAACATAACAGAATCTCTGGGATACAGCTAAGACAATGTTAAGAGGGAAATTCATAGCACTAAATGCCCACATCAAAAAGGTAAAAAGATCTCAAATTAACAAGCTAACACTACAACTTAAGGAATTAGAGAAGTACAAGCAAATAAACCCCAAAGCTAGCAGAAGACAAGAAATAACCAAAATCAGAGCTGAATTGAAGGAAATCAAGACATACAAAAACCATTAGAAAGATCAATGAATCCAGGAGTTTTTTTTAATTAATAAGATAGATAGACTAGACTGCTAGTTATACTCATAAAGTAGAAAAGAGAGAAGATCCAAATAAACACAATCAGAAATGATGAAGGAGATGTTACCACTGAACTCACAGAATTAAAAATAACCATCAGAGACTACTACAAACACTTCTATGCACACAAACTAGAAAACGTAGAAGAAATGGGTAAACTCCTGGAAACATACACCCTCCCAAGAGTGAACAAAAAAGAAATTGATTCCCTGAACAGACCAATAATGAGCTTCAAACTCGAATCAGTAATACATAGCCTACCAACTGAAAAAAAACCCAGGATCTGATGAATTTACAGCTAAATTCCACCAGATGTACAAGGAAGAGCTGGTACCATTCCTACTGAAACTATTCCAAAAAAACGAGGAGAAGGGATTCCTCCCCAATGCATTCTATGAGGCCAGCATCATCCCGTTACCAAAACCTGGCAGAAACACAACAAAAAAAGAAAACTTCAGGCCAATATTCTTGAGGAACATCAATGCAAAAATCCTCAAAATAATACTTGCAAACCAAATCCAGCAGCACATCAAAAAGCGAATCCGCCATGATCAAGTAGGCTTCATCCCCGGGATGCAAAGTTGGTTCAACATATGCAAATCAATAAATGTGATTCATCACATGAACAAAACTAAAGACAAAAACTACATGATTATTTCAATAAAGGTAGAAAAGGCCTTTGATACAATTCAACATCCCTTCATGTAAAATACTCTCAACAAGCTAGGTATTGAAGAAACATACCTCAAAATAATAAGAGCCATTTATGACAAACCCACAGCCAACATCATACCAAATGTGAAAATTCTGGAAGCATTCCCCTTGAAAACCGGCACAAGACAAGGATGCCCTCTCTCTCACCACTCCTATTCAACATAGTATTAGAAGTCTTAGCCAGAGCAATCAGGCAAGAGAAAGAAATAAAGGGCATCTGAAGGGAAGAGAGGAAGTCAAATTATCCCTGTTTGCAGATGACATGATTCTGTATCTAGAAAACCCCATAGTCTCGTCCTAAAACCTCCTTCAGCTGATAAACAACTTCAGCAGAGTTTCAGGATACAAAATCAATGTACAAAAATCACTAGCATTTCTATACACCAACAACAGCCAAACCAAGAGCCAAATCAGAAAGGTAATCCCATTTATGATAGCCACAAAAAGAATAAATTACCTAGGAATTATAGGGAGATGAAAGATCTCTACAATGAGAACTACAAAACACTGCTCAAAGAAATCAGAGAAGGGTTGGACACGGTGGCTCACGCCTGTGATCCCAGCACTTTGGGAGGCCAAGGTGGGCAGATCATGAGGTCAGGAGTTCGAGACCAGCGTGATCAACATGGTGAAACCCCACCTCTATTAAGAATACAAAAAAAAAATTAGCTGGGTGTGGTGGCACATGCCTGTAATCCCAGCTGCTTAGGAGGCTGAGGCAGGAGAATTGCTTGAACCCAGGAAGTGGAGATTGCAGTGAACTGAGATTTTGCTGCTGCACTCCAGCCTGGGAGACAGAGTGAGACTCCATCTTTAAAAAAAAAAAAAAAGAAAAAGAAATCAGAGAAAACACAAACAAATGGAAAAATATCCCATGCTCATGGGTAGGAAGAATCAATATCATTAAAATGGCCATATTGCCCAAAGCAATTTACAGATTCAATTCTCTTCCTATCAAACTACCAACAACATTCTTCACAGAACTAGAGAAAACAATTTTAAAATTTATATGGACCCAAAAAAGAGCCTGAATAGCCAAGATAATCCTAAGTAAAAAGAATAAAACTGGAGGAATCACATTACCTGACTTCAAACTATACTACAGGGCTACAGTAAACAAAACAGCATGGTTCTGGTACAAAAACAGACACATAGACCAGTGAAACAGAATAGAGAGCACAGAAATAAGGCCACACACCTACAACCATCTGATCTTTGACAAGGCTGACAAAAACAAGTAATGGGGAAAAGACTCCCTATTCAATAAATGGTGCTGGGATAACTGGCTATCCATAAGCAGAAGATTGAATCTGGACCCCTTCCTTACATCATCTACAAAAATCAACTCAAGATGAAATAAACACTTAACTGTAAAGCCCAAAACTATAAAAACCCTGAAAGACAACCTAGTCAATACCATCCTGGACATAGGAACAGGCAAAGATTTCATGACAAAGACACCAAAAACAATCACAACACAATAAAAACTTAACAAGTAGGGTATAATTAAACTTAAGAGCTTCTGCACAGCAAAAGAAACTATCAACAGAGTAAACAGACAACCTACAGAATGGGAGAAAATATTTGCAAACTATGCATCTGACAAAGTTCTAATATCCAGCATCTATAAGGAACTTAAACAAATTTACAAGAGAAAAACAAATAACCCCATTAAAAAGTGGGCAAAGGACATGAACAGACACTTTTCAAAAGAAAACATACATGCGACCAACAAGCATATGAAAAAAAAAGCTCAATATCACTGATCATTAGAGAAATGCAAATCAAAACCACAATGAAATACCATCTCACTCCAGTCAGAATGGCTATTACTTAAAAGTCAGGAAACAACAGATGCTGGTGAGGTTGTGGAGAAAAGGGAACTCTTATACACTGCTGATGGGAGTGTAAATTAATTCAACTTGTGGAAATTGTGGAAAGGAGGATGATGATTCCACAAAGAGCTAAAAGCAGAACTACCATTTGTTCCAGCAATCCTATTACTGGGTATACACTCAGAAGAATATAAATTATTCTACCATAAAGACACATGCATGTGAATGTCCATTTCAGCACTATTCACAATGGCAAAGTCATGGAATCTACCTAAATGCCCATCAATGACAGATTGGATAAAGAAAATGAGGTACATATACATCATGGCATACTACACAGCCATAAAAAAGAATGAGATCATGTCATGTGGGGGAACATGGATGGAGGTGGAGGCTATTATCCTTAGCAAACTAAGGCAGGAACAGAAAACCAAATATTGCATGTTCCCAGTTATAAGTGGCAGCTAAAGGATGAGAACTCATGAACACAAAGAAGGGAGCAACTGACACTGGGGTCTGCTTGAGGGTGGAGTGTGGGAGAATGGAGAGGAGCGCAAAAGACAACTATTGGGTACCTGACTTAATAAATGGATGATGAAATAATCTGTGCAACAAACCTCCGTGACACAAGTTCACCTATGTAAGAAATTTGCATATGTACCCCTGAACCTAAAATAAAGGTTTTTAAAGGTGAAATAAATAAATAAATATTTTTGAAAAATATATATATCGCTCACTTTTAATGAACTCTTGTGAAGAAAAATCTCTTTGATGTTTTTAAAAATCCCTTCTGTGATTCACACTGAAACCACCGCCTTTGTGTTTCCTACAAACCTTGCTACTTGATAGCTTTATACCTCAATTTATGCAATTTATATAAGCCATACTTTCACAGATTATAATTATTTTTCCTCCTTGTTACTTTTCATTTACAAATGAGAACTCAATATTTGAGTTCTTAGCACATGGAAATATAACAAAAGTAAAACCTTTTTCTTATAAATTATTGGGTTTTCATAGGAAAAGGGGCACTTCAGTGCAGCTTAGAGAAAGGGATAAAATATAAGGTACATTTTGGTGAATAGTGAATACAGATGTTGCTAGAAACAATAATATATCCACTGATATGGCAAAAATATAAGTTGAATTGTAACTTGGGCTTTCCCAGGCTATATGGGAGAACAACCAAAGACAGCAGGGCAAATACTCCTCTTTTCTGCCCCACAACCCTCCCAGCCCTCGGAAAACAAGCCGAGATGGCTAGGGCATCCCTTTCCTTGGGGGTAGCCCAACTCCACTTAGCCTTGGGGAGCCTTCCTCACCCGGTGTTGCCAGTGGTGATGCTGTTGCTCACCAGTTTGATCCTATTGCTAGTCTGTGATCTCACTCCAGCTTTCGATTTTCTCATTAGTTGGTGAATTCCACTCTTCCTGTCAGTCAGTGAATGACCAAACATTTACTAATCTCTGTGCCAGTCACCAGGCTGTGGAAATGCAGTGTGAGGGAAGTAAGGTGTGCCCGTTCTCACAGTCCCTGAGATGTGGAGAACACCCGTTCTCATTGGAGTAGGGAGGACCTTGTTTCCAACAGTTACAAATACATCATTGATGCCAATCAATCAGGTGGCCTGAATTCTTCTCTTCCCTATAGTCCCTTCTTATAAAGACTGAGTGGCCTGGGGCTGGATCACCTCCCAGGAGGTCACCAGATAATCTCCCCACCGTAGCTGAAGACCAACCTGTACCCCAGGGTCCATGCCACGCTCTCTACTTTTTTATTCAGGGTGAGTTCTCCTCCCCCAGGAACCCATCAGGGAGACTCTGAATTGCTTTGATCCTTGGTCCCGTCCATGAGATTTAGCTTTGCTGAGTTATTGAGAGACAAACTCGTAACACCAATATTGAGGCCCGTCGCAGTGGCTCACACCTGTAATCCCAGCACTTTGGGAGGCCGAGGCAGGCGGATTGCCTGAGGTCAGGAGTTCAAGACCAGCCGGGTCAACATGGCGAAACCCCGTCTCTACTGAAAATACAAAAATTAGCTGGGCGTGGTGGTGCACGCCTGTAATCCCAGCTACTCAGGAGGCTGAGGCAGCAGAATCACTTGAACCCAGGAGATGGAGGTTGCAGTGAGCTGAGATCACGCCATTGTACTCCAGCCTGGGCTACAGAACGAGACTCAATCTCAAAAACATAAAAACAAACAAAAACAAACCAAAAAAAAAAAAAAAAAAAGAAAAAAGAAAAAGAAAACGAATATTGAAACAGCAATACCAGAAGGAAATTCATCCTCAGCCACGAGGTGGCGACAGTGAGAAACTGTCAAAGAAAAGGCCTCTGTTCTTCCCTCACCCCCCAACCGCCCTCCCGTCTTGTGTTAATAAATTTAGTTATTCTTCTCTAGATGCCTTTTTCCAGCACCAGAAACCTAAAACTGGGTTAATTATTCCATAAGTAATAATATTTCTTTTGTATCTATTTCCTCACTAGCCTAAATTGTAAAAAATTGTATTTTCAAAGAACTGAAGAAATGGGTTTATATATTTTACTGATCTAATTAAGTCCAATGTAAATACCTTTGTAATGCATGCCCCAGTTTGAAAGTATGCTTTATTATTCTTGAATGTTTGGGGCTTGAAGAAACTCTGCCTGTAACGACTTAATATTAAAGGAAAACAAATTTATCTAAAAGTAGAAACTTTTATTACCAAACAAGGAAGAGGAAAATGAATGTGAAGACTGTTCCTCCCACATTTGTTTATCAGCCTCCCAGTGCTTCTAATAAAACTACCTAGACTAGGACTTCTCAAGGTTCTCAGTGCGTAGGAATCACCAGAGGTCTTGTTAAAAGGAGCTTCTGATGCACTGGGCCTGGGGCAGAGCCAGAGATCCTGCATTACTAACTAGCTCCCAGGTGAGGATTAGGGCACTGGACCACACACCACAATTTCAGCAGTAAGGACCTAGAGTACAATTATTTCCAGAATGTTAAGGACAAGAATAATCTGTGCCTATAAATTACTAGGTGTCTGATGGCCCCTGGTTGAATCTTAAGTAATTCTAAATTATACTTTGACCTAATATACTTAGTTGAGTTAGTAGGTTAATTTTTGTAAAAGCAGTCATTTCCTGAAATCAATGTTAGTTCTCTTCCTAAATTGATCCAAAGTATAATATTCTGATTTTCTATTGTTGCATAACAAATGCTCCCAAAACTTAGTGGCTTCAAGCAACAATGCTTTTATTCTATCTCATGGTTCCGTGGGCCAGAAATTCAGGCAGGCATTGGCTGAGGTCACCCAGTGGTATGCAGCTGGCAGCTCATCTGGTCTACAGGTCCCAGAGGGCTCAATGTATATGTCTGAAGAGTAGTGACTGGAAGGCTGCACTCATCTGGGCCTCTCTTTATCCCACAGTTATGAGGACTCACTAGATGGCCTCTTCATCAGGGCAGTTGGATATCTTACACAATGGTTCAGATCCTAATGAGAGGTGAAGCCAGCTGGGTTTCTGGATTGGGTGGGGACTTGGAGAACTTTTGTGTCTACCTAAAGCACTGTAAACGCACCAATCAGCACTCTGTAAAAACACACCAATCAGCACTCTGTGCTTAGCTAAAGGATTGTAAACGCACCAATCAGCACTCTGTAAAATGGACCAATCACCAGAATGTGGGCAGGGCCAAACTAAGGGAATAAAAGCTGGCCACCCGAGAAAGCAGCCGTAACCTGCTGGGGTCCCCTTCCACGCTGTGGTTGGTTTGTTCTTGCACTCTGTGGAAGCTTTGTTCTTTTGCTCTTCACAATAAATCTTGCTGCTGCTCTTCTTTGGGTCCGCACTAACTTTGTGATCTGTAACACTCACCGCGAGGGTCTGAGGCTTCATTCCTGAAGTCAGCGGGACCACAAACCCACCAGGAGGAGCAAACAACTCCGGAAGCACCACCTTTAAGAGCTGTAACACTCACTGCGAAGGTCTGTGGCTTCACTCCTGAAGCCAGCAAGACCACGAACCCACCAGAATGAAGAAACTCTGGACACATCTGAAGGAACAAACTCTGGACACACCATCTTTAAGAGCTGTAACACTCACCACGAGCGCTGGTGGCTTCATTTTTGAAGTCAGTGAGACCAAGAACCCACCAGAAGGAATAAATTCCGGACACACTAAGACCAAGCTGCTAGCCTTCACACAGGTGAGCATAGAACTGGAATCATGTCCTTTACAATATATTCTCTTAGTCAAAGCCTTCATAGTCCAGCCAAGGTCCAGGGAAGGAGAGATGGTCTTGGACTTTTCTCGACGAGAATGCCAAGGGTGTGCAGTCGTCCTGAATCACCCACAGTGGTTGTAAGACAGCAAATCAGCTTCCCAGAACCTGTGCACATCTGTACACCTCTTGAGAAGAGGAGTAGCAAGGACTGGAATATTCATATTGATTGTTTTCCTTTAAAAATCTTCAAGTTGAATTTATTTCAATGTCTCTTCCTTTCACTTAGCTATTGTACTAATACTATGAAACACATTTGGGTTTGTAAATATGCTTGTTACTATTGAGAAATGCACATAACCTCTCAGGGTCTCAGGTTTCCTAGGTCTCTAGATTTTTTTATTTATTAAATTAAAAGTAAGAATTTACATGATTGCTAAGCCTCCCTAAAACTCCATGATTCCACCTGGGCGAAGTGGCTCATGCCTGTAATCCCAGCACTCTGGGAGGCCAAGGCGGGTGGATCACGAGGTCAGGAGATCGAGACCATCCTGGCTAACATGGTAAAACTCCGTCTCTACTAAAAATACAAAAAATTCGCCGGGAGTGGTGGCACATGCCTGTAGTCCCAGCTGATGCAGGAGAATCGCTTGAACCAGGGAGGTGGAGGTTACAGTGAGCCCAGATCGTACCACTGCACTCCGGCCTGGGCAACAGAGCCAGACTCCGTCTCAAAAAAAAAAAAAAAAATCCATGATTCCAACATGTTTAATCTATTCTATTATCTCTTGAGTAATAAATTTATAGTTAATTTTTAATATTAATATAGTTAATGTCTCAAAACCATACCAAAGAGTGTATATGTATATATACACATACAAATATGTGTGCGTGTATATACATATATATACACATACGTAATTAGCAATTTATACCCTAACTTCCTGCCTCATCTTTATTTCCAGCAAGTTCTTCAAGAGCTTCTGCATAATTTAATTACTACTTATTTAAAGATTTACCACTTTAATTATAGACATCCTTGCTCTTTCAAAATCCTTTAGATGTTTAGAGAAAACTTATAGCTTATGCAAACCCCTGTAGTTTATTTATATAACATAATTTTAAAGCTTAACTAAAACATTCCCAGTTCAAATTATTATTATTTTAAATCCTTTGACATTTTTGTATTTCCTAATAACATTCTCTTGCAGCTATAATTTCCAAGAAGTTAGAACCTCAGAAAACAGCACCCACCTGAATCTTTGGATTCACCCAAGACCTAGGATTAGCAAGGAAAAGGAAAGTTTAGATTATCATAAAAATGTCATCAACATTTCTAGGAGTATTTTTAAAACTGCTAGTACATACTAACTTTTAAAAGGGATAGAAAAAACAAAAATCTAGTAGTAACTAAATGGTAACAGTCTCAAAAAGAAGAGGGCTGGGGTAAGGAAAGAACATTGTTAGACACTTGCAGGTAAGGGCTGAGAATTGCAATGAGAATAAAACAAGTTGAGAGAGAAAAGCCTGTGTGCAGAAGGAAAGGAGAAAACACAGGGGTCTGAAGATGAGGGCTGAGCGGCCAATGCCAGGCAGAGGCCCCGGGCGCCTTAGAGGAAATGAAAAGCAGGGCCTGAAACTTCAGTTAGGATTCCCACACAATTAGAGCTGCCAAAGTATCGTCCATCCCTTTGAAAATGGAACATGGAATCATTCTTAAATAAACATAGTTTTATTCCCAAATTTGGAAAGTACCTTTTATGGACTGAGTTGTGTGTCTCCAAAATTCATACGTTGAACTTGACCGCCCCATCCCCCAGCCCCCGCACCTCAGAATGCATTTGAAGATTGGGTCTTTAAAGAGATAGTGATGAAGTTAATATGAGTTAGCTAGGTCGGGCCCAATCCACTAGCACTGGTATCCTTACAAGAAGGGAAATGTGGACACAGACACCAGGATGCGTGTGTAGAGGAAAGATCATGTGAGGACATGGCTAGAAGGCAGCCATCGGCAAGCCAAGGAGAGGTTTCAGGAGAAACCCAACCAGCCGATACCTGGGTCTCCAGCTGCTCTCCAGCGTCAGAACCGTGAGAAAAGTTTCTGTGGTGAAGCCACTCAGTCTGGCATTTTGTTCGGGCACTAATGCAGTAGCTTTGTATAATGCAAACACTTTGAGTCTGAATATCAATTCCCCCGCATACTAACTATGCCCCCAGGTTCTCTGGGGGCAGATTTTTAAAAATAAACCTTTTAAAATTTTAGAATAGTTTTTTTTTTTTTTTTTTTTTTTGAGACGGAGTCTTGCTCTGTCACCAGGCTGGAGTGCCGTGGCGCGATCTCGGCTCACTGCAACCTCTGCCTCCCAGGTTCAAGCGATTCTCCTGCCTCAGCCTCTCGAGTAGCTGGGACTACAGGTGCGTGCCACCACGCCAGGCTAAGTTTTTGTATTTTAGTAGAGACGGGGTTTCACCATGTTCACCAAGCTGGTCTACTCTCCTGGCCTCGTGATCTGCCCACCTCGGCCTCCCAAAGTGCTGGGATTACAGGTGTGAGCCACTGCACCCGGCCTAGAATAGTTTTATGCTTACAGAAAAGGTGCAAAGATAGTAGAGTTCCCATAGCCCCATTCCCAGTATCCCCTACTATTAACGTTTGATGTTAATATGGTACTATTAAAATAGTATTGTCACAATTAACAAGCCAAGGTGGATGCATTGCTATTAACTAAAATTCATACTTCATTTGAATGTTCTTAGTTTTTCATCAAGGTAAATTTTCTGTTCTGGATCCCATCCAGAATGTCACATTACAATTATTCTTCATGTCTCCTTACACTCCTCTTGGCTGTGACAGTTTCTCAGACCTTTTTTGTTTTATGATGGCCTTGACAGTTTTGAGAAGTATTGGTCAGGTATTTTGTAGAATGTCTCTCTATTTAGATTTGTCTCATGGATTTTTCAAGATTATGCTTGGATTATGAATTTTGGGGGAGAAAATCACAGCAGTAGAGTGTTATTCTCACATATCATATCAAGGGTCCATGCTATCAATACGGTTCATCACTTTCCATGTTGACCTTGACCATCACCTAAGACAGAGTCTGCCAAATTTCTCCACCATAACATTAGTTGTTTCCCACTTCCTTTTCTTTCTTTCTTTTTTTTAATTTTTTTTTTTTTTTTATTTTTGAGATGGAGTTTCCCTCTGTTGCCCAGGCTGGAGTGCAATGGCACAATGTCAGCTCACTGCAACCTCCACCTCCCTGGTTGAAGCAATTCTCCCACCTCAGCCTCCCGAGTAGCTGGGACTATAGGTGTGCGCCACCACGCCCAGCTAATTTTTGTATTTTTAGTAGAGACGGGGTTTCACTACATTGGCCAGACTGCTCTCAAACTCCTGACCTCAAGTGATCCGCCCGTCTTGGCCTCCCAAAGTGCTGGGATTACAGGCATGAGCCACAGAGCCTGGCCTGTTTCCCACTTTCAATACAGTAAGGCAAGATTTTAACCACCCCAAACCTCGGTTTCTTCTTTTTGTAAAATAAAGATAAAACTACCTCAAAAAGTTTTGGGAGCAATTCTACAAGCTGTTCTTAAATAACTTCCCTGGATTGCTGAAGCCTTTAGTTAATTAACAGCATGCTGAAAAGGTTGATGTTGACAAGTTACCAGTGTTTACATAGCTTTTGGAGGGGAGGATGTTTGAGGTCTTTACTCAGCCTTTCTCAGTGATATCACCTGATCTCACATCTAATTTTACATTCTTAATTTTTGAAAATTTTGTTATAGAAAGGCTGGGAAGTTGTATAAGTTTCAGGCCTCACAAAAGTTTAACTGTCTGTGGTATCAAGCGGTTATTTTAAGTTCTTGACAGGTATTCACACATTTAATCTTGACAACAGTCCCTTGAGGGAGATCCTGTGTTGTCACAATTTCACCTACTCGTACACTTAACCTTGGAGTTACTAAGTTAACAGCCCAGAATCACACAGCTTTTTCTTAGTAAACTAATTTCCCAATGTCACTCAGCCAGCAATATTACTCAGGCACTCTGGCTCCAGAGTCCAAGCACATAAACAACACTGCAACAACTTAAAATTGGTAGCAGGTGCATCCAGCTATTGCCAATACCAGGCCCCACCCAAACATGTTAAATCATTTAGTTTCCGCAGTTCGTTTTTGGATATTTCTAAAGTTAACTTTATTTCCTCCTCCACTTATCCTTGCTGGCCCAGGATTTTTTTCCTTTGAAATTAGACATTATTGACCTACCATGGAGCTTCTTTTTATCTAAATATTTATGAAAAATCAGCACTCTTATAGAATATTTACTTACCAACTTGTTTTTATGGAAACACTACTAAAACAAAAATACAAGCATAAAAGTTTAACAGAACAATAATATCTAGGCAATTTGTTAACAGGTATTTAATGTATACTATTATACTGTAAGTTACAATTAAGGGAGAAACCTAAAAATGTATATAAAAGACTGAATTTCCCCCAAAGAACTATTGAGACTATCTAGATAAATCAGAGAGTGATTAAGTACCAAATTACATGTGTTATGCTAGAATCACAACGGCAGTTCCAAGAGGGGGAGGTTTAGAGGGGCGAATGGAGTAGGTGAGACTAGGACTGAGCCATGCAAAATATTATGGAGATTTGCAGGCAGAGGGGTGGGTCAGGGGTGCTCCGGAATCTCTGTGAACATAGGCAATGATAAAAATGGTAATACATGTATATTTCCTGTATTTTTCCAGGAATGATTTATTGTAGACTGGTGAGGGAGCTGGACCAATGGAGAGAGAGCCTGATGATTAGAACAAGGATATCATGTTGAGAAATGGAAGCATAATTTGAGTGTTGAAGAGGAAGCAATGATGAATAGATAATGGGGATCATTACATGAGGTGTCTTTCATTACCAGGAAATGAGGTTCTCTGGTTTCTCAGCCCTAAGCCATTTTTTAAAATTGTTCTCTCTCTCTCTCTCTTCTGATTTTTGTTTGTTGCTCTTAATAGGCATGGTCTTCAAGCAAGATTTATGATCTACATGGGGGTTAGGAATGCTAAACTGCACCAAGTTATCAGGCTCATCCTAAGGGTTCCATAGAGAAGACAGAAAACAGGTATCACATGATTTGGTTACAATGCATATGATGTATGTTGCTAGCTTCATAACTCATAGTTTCTACCATTTTCACAAGGAACACCTGGTGAATTTTCACTTTTTAATCTTACTTCATTCTGATATGTGGTGCTACAAGATCAGTTCTTTGTTTAAAGAAGGTGGGAAAAAATGCGTGTATTAGGGCTCATTCCCTTAGAATTCTTCTTTGTAGACTGGGCCACGTCATCATTTTTACCTTAGACTTTACAGCAGAGAAGAATAAGTGAAGCTCTGTGATATTCCAATTTCTATTTGGTGTCAGCTATACTATCAATAAATTACTAGATTATGCCTGACCACATACAACTAGAGAAAACATAACTCCCACTTTCCCGTTAATAAAAACATGAAATACATAAAGGAATTGTTAAAAAATTAAATCGTTAAAATTAAACTTAACTTTTTAGTAAATTAACTTACTGAACAATTAAAATGAGCTAAGAGGAAAAAAGGACGTATCTTAAGAATTCTACTTGGAGAGCAAAATAAGATTTCTGATTTTGGTCTTTAGTTTCAGTACCCAGCATCATCTTTGAAGTTCATACCAGTTCCATTTATTTAGAACTTTTGCCTCTCAAAAGTATTAGAAAAACTCAGAAAAACACAAAACAAAGCACCCATAATTACATCACTTATATATAGTGCTCACATTTTGACATATGATTACAGTTCTATTTTTCTATGCATTTAAAATATACTTTTTAACTTACATATTATATCAACTGTATTGCACGTATGTGACTAAATCTTCCTCAATAGTTCCACAGTTATGTATCATATGAAATGTTCTATTTTCATTCATCTGTTTAGATCACCCTAGATTTTTTCCTATTGCGAATAATACTGTGATAAACATCCTTGCATATACTTCTTTCCATATCTGTGGGATTTCATTTTAAAGAGTGGTGCTAACCAAGAACTAGATCATGAAAACTGTAATTCGCTCTTACTCTGTTCAAATAAATGAATATAATTAAAATTATGCATATCATCTCCACCTCTCCCATCAGGTTTTCAATAGTAACTGATAATTAGCAACTGCCTCTACAGTGACCTCATTTACATAATTAACAAAATCCAATAAGGCTGAAATTTATTGTCCTGTTCAGTGAATCATAATCTGGCAGCTGTTACTACCAAGGCAGGCATTTGTGCCTGGCTGTTCACAGCTTGTCTGAAAAAGCATTTTGCTGGTGATATCCTCATGAACTTATTCTTAGGGGGCAATATGATAAGAAACACATCACTAGATTTCTCTATTGAAAAAAGTTCAAATTCATTTTACACTGGGGATTCCCATACAAAAAAAAGGACAACTCCTTCAATTAATAAGTGTACGCTAAAGAAAACCAGTATATTTGGAGAACTCCCATTTTGAGAGACACTCTAGAGGGAAACTATCTTACCCAAGCATCTCCTCTGTGACATTGATCAGAGAAAAACAACACTGCTGAGAGGAAACTGAACCCATTTGGCAAGTTCTTCTTTCATTTCCCATCTCAGAGCCAATCTGGCGTATCCATTTTTGACATGCCAGGTCTTATCTTTTTATTTACATTTACAGTACAAGAACTAATGCCCAATTGTGTTCATTGTCAGTGCAATAGTAGCAAGAACAGAAAGCAGTGAATCTCTGTTGTGATTCGACTAAGTTCTTAGAATTATTACTTATTCCTGAAAAATAAGACAGAACATCATTTGAATTTGGCTTGTTCTGATGTCAAACATGAATGCCAGCTAATTGTAATCATTATAAAAATGTGTCAAGAATATAGTCAAGTCTTCTTAATCCTGGCTGTTTCAGTTAGGTGACACGCCTTAAACCCCAACAGAACTTCCATGTGATTAAAATCGCTTTTTCATGCTATTTTTAATATTTTTAATAAACATGTTTTTTATTTTTAATTTCTACATATTAAATAACCAAATTGATATAGCTTCTCAATACTACAATTCATACAAAGATAACACTTTTATATTAGAAAGATGGTGACTGCACAGTCACACAGGCAAGGGCAATAATGTTTCCTACGCCTCTATGCAGACAACAGGGCCTGTGTTTTGGAAAGCTCGAAGGACAGCAGCGATTATAATTATTGGTGTAAATAGGTATTTCATTTGTTGGTCCTTTTTATTTTCAATAGATAATACACAAACATGGAACAAAATTTAGAGGGTACAAATGAATGTGTAAAGAGAAAGGCTAAACTTCTGTTTATCACCTCTGTCTCCCAAGATCCTCAGTTTCCTTCTTTGGAGGGGACACTTTGACAGTTCCCGTGCACCTCTGAAGAGAGCTGATACCATGTGTGAGCACACTCGTTCATTCCTCTTTTATAAAACAATGCAAATGGTGAAAGCCTCCACATAGTGTCTTACACCTTCTGTTTTTTTCTACTTAATGTATCTTGAAGATCCTTTCATAGCAGTACACATCAAAATGCCTTATTCTTTTTAAATACAGTCATGTGTTGCTTAACGACAGGGATACATTCTGAGAAATGGGTTGTTAGGCAATTTTGTCATTTTTAGGAATGCCATAAAGTGTATGACACAAACCCGGACGGTACAGCCTACTACACACCTAGGCCATTTGCTACAGCCTATTGCTTTTAGGCTATAAACCTGTACTGCATGCTACTCTACTGAATACTGCAGGTAATTCCAGCATAAAGGTATGCATTTGTGTATCTAAACATAGAAAGGGACAGTAAAACTACGGTATTATAATCTCATGGGATCACTGTTGTACATGCAGTTCTTTGTTGCCTGAAGTGTTGCTATGCAACACATGACTATGGTTGCATATTATCATTGCCTGATATATCATCATGTATTTAATCAAAATTCTGTTAATTAACATTTAAATTACTTCCTCTTCTTCAGCATTATAATTCTACAGTAACTAACCTTGAAAATATCTTTTTGTACATGTGTAACTATATTTATATGATAAATCTCTAGAAATTAAATTACTTCGTCCAAGCATAAATGCATTTTAAATTTTGATGATAGGAACTGCCATGCGCCCCCCGATAGTAAATCAGAATCAACACATAATATAAACATAAATATTTCTGTCAAAAAAGGATGAGAGTATCTATTTTTCTCACGCCCTTACCAAACAAAGTATTATTAAAGTTTTGCTTTCCAAATTTGATAACAATAAGAAAAATATGACTTTCGTTTGTCTTATTTTGTTATGGATGGTATGGATATCTTTTTATAAATATTATAGTCATTTGTTTTCTTTAATCTATATTTTATGGTTTTGAATATTTTTATATATCATTTTCATTGTTATTGTTTAGTAAATAGCCTTTCTTACAGATGCTCTGCCTATAATAAAGAAAAATGTCATTATTCTGCTATTTTAATACAAAATTTTTCCTATTGCATCAACTCTTTTGATTTATTTATGATGTGTACCACATAGCATTTTTATGAATTTTATACATTAAATTCAGTCACCTTTTTTCCTCTGGGTTCTGTTTTTTGTTTTGTTTTATATATTTAATGCTTAAAATAGTCTTCCCTAAATTTATATTATTTGTATGACTTTGTTTTCTTTTAAATATCTGTTTTGTCTAAAATGTACTTTGGTCTAAGCAATGAGAGAGGGTTCCAAATTTACTGTCTGTTTTCTAGATGACTACACAGTTATCCTCAAACTGTGTATTAAATAATACGTGTTTTCCGCCATGACATGAAATGTTGCCTTCATTATAAACTGAAGCTCACATACAATTAGGTTTATTTCTGGAATTCCTAAGTCCTTGATCTGTTTAGTCATGTAACAAAACCACAGTGTTTTCCTTACTACAGCTTTATACTTTACACTACCTTGCACTGTTTTCACTAATGGAAATCAATTTTGTAATCTGTGTAATATTCCTCTTCATTTCTCTTCCTTTTCCAATATTTCTTGATATTCTTTCATAATATTTTTTCAAGTAATATTTTGAATCCTATTTTCTAGGTTAAAAACTATTTAAAACTATTTTTATAATAAGTCTCTTTTTTCTGACATATTATTTGTTTTGGTTGGGGAGGTATAAAAGCTACAATCTCTGCCATCCAGGAATTTACAATCTAATGAAATGAACACAGATACAACTTAAACATCATTTGGGCAGCTGGGCAGTAAAGTGTGTCGCTTATCTGGTTTACTTACCCAGGGCAACATAATTTAGACCTTGACAGTCACGTAAGGACCAACCAAGAAGAAATAGGAATACGTAACAATCATTTGATATCTATAACATGAATCTTTAGGAAGACAATAAAAACACAATCTGGAATAAGGTCTATGTACATACTTTACTATGTTGAAACACTAAAAATAGAGACAAAAATTCTAAGGATATTATACAACAGAATTGTGATCATTAACATCCAGCATTTCTTTTTTGAAGACCTGTAGGAAACTCTTAGTGTGTAGCCCAGGAAGTAATTTCTGCTTTAGTCTAGCATGGATTTCGTTTCCTTTAATTTCTGATGATAGTGCACATTTCATTGCAGGCAAATACTCATAGGACAGGTTTCTTTTTAACTCTGATGCCCATTACCATGTTACCATGGGTGTACACAGACATAATATTTTTACATAATGGGTTTTAGTGTGATTAACACCGTGGTAGGGTTTAGCCAATGGCCAAAGTTAAAGACACATATTTAATTTTTAGTTCACAAAAGTGGCAAAAAAGAAAAAGGGATAAAATTAACTAAAAAATACAAGGGATAGTTGTATTAGAGAAACTGAGGATGTAACATTTTGCATGCAAAACGGCTGATGCCACGTATGGATCAGGGTATAAACTGGACTTGAAATATTGAGTGCATTTAGGCAGTGGTGAACTATAGAGATGGTGAAGCAGATGTCTGGGTTAAAATCCTGAATACATACATTACCAGTTTTCTATACTTGAGCAAGTTATGTAACTTATCTGTGCCCCTATAACCTCTTCCATAAAATCAAGTTTAGAATAGTACTTATTTGTGCTTTGGTGTGAGGATTAAGTGAACTAATAGTGTAGGTAAAGAATTTAGGATAATTCTTGACACACTATAAACACTCACTGAAGAATAGCTATTTATTAGCATCATGTATGTCATGTTACAGATTTTGGACTAAATTTTATAACAATATATACATACATAAAATACATAGTATTTTAAAAAGGAAAATGTAATGGCAGTATGAAAAATGATTCAGAAAGAAGGTAGACAAGTTAAGAACACTGTATTTTATTAGATGAATAAGTCTTAGGTTACTCCTTCAAATGGGGAACATAATTACACCTATCTCCCAGAACAAATGAGATAAGATTCATTTAAGTTATTAATAAACTGAGATATTATGGACAAAATGTAGTTGCAAATGTAAGTAAACAACACTATCTTGGTTGGTTGGTATAAATGGTCACTCCCAAATGGGATGGAAAAGGAGGAGATACAGAAAAGATAACATGAGTGAGATTCTCAGATTTAGAGGTAAAATGAAGCCCCCATTCCTTTGCAATTTTTTTTTTTTTTTTGAGACGGAGTCTCACTCTGTCGCCCAGCTGAAGTGCAGTGGCGCGATCTGGGCTCGCTGTAAGCTCCGCCTCCCGGGTTCACGCCATTCTCCTGCCTCAGCCTTCTTAGTAGCCGGGACTACAGGCGCCCGCCACCACGCCCGGCTAATTTTTTGTATTTTCAGCAGAGATGGGATTTTACCGTGTTAGCCAGGATGGTCTCGATCTCCTGACCTCGTGATCCACCAGCCTCAGCCTCCCAAAATGCTGGGATTACAGGCGTGAGCCACCGTGCCCGGCCTCCTTTGCACTTCTATTTCCCCGGTGTTTAACCCCAAATCAGATTAGAATCTCGTGGGAAGAAGGGAGTCGTATTTTCCCTACTCTATAGCTGGACATTATAAACTGGCAGTATTGTGATTGATTTAATGCATTTGCAATTGTTTCTGGGGGACATTTGTTTTTGTATTCAAGAACAAATAAACATAACTTCCCAATCTGTTCAATGTTGGTGGTATCAGAAAAACACAACAGCAATTAACAAACGAGGAGAAAAATCCATATGTCATTAATGCCTAAAATTAGGTGTGTTTGATGCCAAACCATCATTTACTCTTCCTGAGTGTGAGGCACTATGAGTGACAGGAATAGGGAGAAAATGTGGATTCTAGAGTTCACCCAGACCCACACCTGATGCTCAGCGTCATTGCTCTGGATGTGTGTGGACATTCCTGCACTGCAGTGCTCCTGAAAGCAAGACGCCATAAACAAAAACCAAGATGGCACCTCATCAGTGTTGCTCTAATTAGAATAAAATATCCCCATTTTACAAATTGATCTCATACAGTGTAATTGTAAAGCTTTAAGAACAATGTAAACTTAATGCTTTTAAATCTTAAAAAAAACAGAAATAGAAATACTTTATTTCTTAAATCCCTTTGGGAATACACAGCCAGGTTTTTTGTTTTCTTTTTTTCTAAAAAAAGGGGTGAATTTCCAATTCAAGATAAAACTTTCCTTAATGTAGAAATGTTAGAGAACAGCGCTCTCAAAGGCAAAATTCTAAATGTGTCTCCTGGAAACACAAGATGGAAGCAACAACAAAAGAGATAGAGCTTTCAAGTCTTATCTACATTATTCATTAAAACAGACAGAACAACTAGAATTACCAAAAAAACTCCAAAATGAACATTTTCAACAAAACTAGGAGGAAAGTATCCTACAAACTGTGGCATATAAGGGGATGGGGTTATGCCAATTACAACACCAAGAACTGTGTGGACACAGCAGCTGTACTAGACAAAGAAGAAGGAAGACAAGGGGGACTTCTGATGGTTCTAACAAACTGGAAATTCAGAAATTACCAACACTCACTTTCAAAAAGAGGAGTCCCCACTGAAGGTGAAGGATCTGAAAACAGTGCTTAGAATTTGAAGGGACATTTGAAAGCTTGGATGTCAGTGGAGCATTTAGGGCTGGGCTATGGAAGCCTACGTCATTAGGGATTTCTGAAATTCTCAGAGAAGGACAGAGCCTCATATTGAGGGGGATCTGTGGAGGAACATGTCTCCCATTTAACATAACAGAAATGCTGGAAGTAAAGAAAATAGGAAGTTTAGTGATGGAGGAGACAAGAGGAGATGGATAGCTTAAAGTATTGGAGAGGTGGTTACATGAAAAGGCTGCATTTTTAGTATGTTGCAGAAACAACAAGAGAGGAAACCCCGTAAATATGAAGCTAGCAAGTTCACCCTGGCTCATGTCCAAATCTTGAACAACAGAAGCTTCTTTCTAAACGTACAGGAAAATCAATCTTACTTTACTATAATAGCACCATACAAGGTCTGCAGCCCAAATCCATACAAAGATGTTGTAAGAAAGATGAGGTCAAAATATGAGTAACTATTTTAATCTGTTTTAATGCTCCTGATAAAGGCATAACCAAGACTGAGTAATTTATAAACAAAAAGAGGTTTAATGGACTCACAGTTCCACATGGTTGGGGAGGCCTCACAATCACGGCAGAAGGTGAAAACGATGTCTTACATGTCAGCAGACAAGTGATAATGAGAATGAAGTGAATATAAAACCATCAGATCTCGAGAGACTTATTCACTACCACAAGAAGAGTATGGGGGAACCACCCTCATGATTCAGTTACCTCCTACCAGGCACCTCTCACAACACATGGGAATTATGGGAGCTACAATTCACGATGAGATTTGGGGCATAGCCAAACCATATCAGTGACATTCTATAGAAAATGAAGACACAGCTAAAGAATACAACCAAGAAAGAAAGAAAAAACATATAATCTATCATCTCAAAGAATGCCATAGTAAATTATGAAAATAATTAAATATATGCAGGAAAAGCAATATACATCAAAATTAGAAAACATCAGTACTGAGATATCTGAACAATAGGAGAACATTAAGAGAGAGTTGAGTATGCCCAGAAAATATTTTGAAATAAAAGAAAATGTTATTTCAGAAATTAAGCCTAAACTAAAAGGAACATAAGAGCATAGAAATTATTGTATGAGAAATCAAAATAGAAATAAAAATTTGAAGAAAATGAATCATAAAGCAAGGACATAAGAGATAAAAGGTATTCTAGAGAAAGTGAGAGAAATGGAAAATAAAGAGTAGTCAACATACATATAATGGGAGTCTCAAAGAAGAAAACTAAAGCAGTATTAGAAAAAGTGCTTAAGTGTATAATCCAAGAATCTATTTTGGATAATAAAAGACTTGAACTTATATTTTAAAGAGGCATACAGTGTACCTGGAAGAACTAATTCTGAATGCTCAACACCAAAAAACATTCTAAGAAAATAACTGAAACATTTGAAAAATAAATTATTTTGGCATCTAGGGAAAATCCCTTCCTTAAAAGAAAAAGATACCAAGACTTTTGATAGCAATGCATTATGCTAGATACAATGAAATAATGAGTTAAGATATTTAAATGAAGAAAATGTGAGCCTTTGATTTTATTTCCTCTTAACTAAACTTTAGACATAAAAGTCATGGTAAAGCTATTATAAAAATGAAATAATTTGGGAAGTTGTTTCCATAAGTATTACCTGATGAATCTGTAGAAAACAAGTCTCAATCCACCAACAAATAATCAAAGAAGTTTTGACACAATAATATTCATTGAAACATTTTAAAACATGGACATAAGAATGACAATACATATAATGCTAGATATATACAATTATAAAAATGGGAAGAGAAGGGAAAGAATGTAGGGAAAGTAGAAGGTATTTCATTTTAGGTGCTAACTGAAAGTAAAGAATATTCTATCAAAATACAAGCCAGAGGAGACAAAAAAAAAAGTCAGGGCCATATTTAATTCCAATATAGCCCTAATAGAGAACTAAATAGCTAGTACATTTTAAAAATGTAAGAGAAAAATAAAGCATTAAAGGTATTATTATATTTAGTTGTAAAGTTCACTCATTGAAAACAAAACAAATATTTCAAATTGCCAAAAATAATTGTTGAGAGGCAGTTAAAACATGCAAAAACAAAATAAATCATTCTTTGTAAGACTCAAACCACCTTAAAATATTAAAATCCAACAATGCAGCAGGAGGCCTCTTTCTGACCCATCCTTATCAATTCCTCTCTATCCTTAAAGTACCAACTCAAGTGCCACTTTCTTTCCTGGATCATCTCAGAAAAAAGAATCTTCCAAATATGGACACATCACATTTAATATCACTCTGCTTAGTTTAATATATGATCAAATATTGCAATCATATTTCTTTTTCTAAATTAAAAACTCTTAGTGGATAAAAATTTTCTGATATCTGAACCCACACTGTGCCAAGCATCATGCTTTTGCACATAGAAGGTATATAATGAACCTATTCTGAGTTAACCTGTGAATGAAAATGGGATTACATCACAACACTGAAACAGTGTAAATAAGCTAAGCTGATAGATAAAGAACTTTTCAGTGACTGGCCATAGAATGTAGAAGATCAAAAGCTTCTACGAGAAGACTCTTATCTTGGGATTTTAAGAGAACCCAGTCTAATTAGGGAGAGCTAAGAATGACTAAAGAAAAGCACATAAAAACTAGACTATAATGGCAAAAATCTCATGGACATATGAGACCTTAAATGCATGTGTCCCAATCTCCCATGCTTTGTTGTTTCTGTCTGCAGAATTCAGCGGGCTTGGCCACCTTGAGTGGGCTTCCAATATACAGATAACTCAGCTCTGGAGGCAGTTCGTCCTATACTTAGTCTGATATTCTGTTCTCCTATTGTGGAAAAATCTGCCATTTTCAAATTTCAGTATTCCTATTCTCCTCCGGAAGTCATCAGGAGAGAACACATTCCCTCTGCTCATGTCAGTTCCTCAGAATTTAAAGAAAGTTGCCATGTACACTGAAAATTTTCCTGGTCAAACTTCAAGGCTTCCCTGGTAACTGTCCTATCACTGTTCTGTATTTCAGATTTCACCCCCAAAATGAGTTACCCAGGAATGAATTCCATCAGCATGCATGTGAAGCTGATTCATGCAGGTAAATATGTTCCAGCAGGATTTGACAAAGCCAAACTCTACAGCTCTGACTTATGCCTCAACAAGGACACCTAATCCAGTTTTACCCCAGTATGTTGCTGATGAAAAAAACCCAACCCTGTACAACATTTGAAGAGATTTTTTCAGAGCCAAATGTGAGGGCTTTGACCTGTGACACAGCCTCAGGAGGTCCTAAGAATATGTGCCTAAGGTGGTTGGGTTAAAGTTTGATTTTATATATTTTAGGGGGCAGAAGTTAAAGACAGACATCAATCACTACATGTAAGGTGTACACTGATTTGGCCCGAAAAGGTGGAACAACATGAAGCAAGTGTTTCCAGATCGTAGGTGGATTCAAAGATTTTCTGATTGGCAATTGGTTGAAAGAGTTAATTATCTAAAGACCTGGAATCGATGGTGGCTGCAGCCTATTTGAAGCGGCCACTGTGAGGATGCCAGCTGCAGTGGGGGAAGTGTGGCTGGGCGCTCTGTGGAGCCAGCAGGGGCCGGGAGCAGGAGATCCCAGTGGGAGCCCCATGCCCTACCAAGTTGGCAGGGTGGGAGCCCATGCTCCTGGGTGCAACTGCAGCTGCCTAGCCATGGCTCTGGACCCAGGGATCCCTGCACTCTCATGGACCTGGGAAAACCCCTGCCCCCACAGGCCTAGAAGTACCTGCTCCTGCTGCCTGGCCTCTCCCTGCTGTCTGTGCCCACTCCAGTGCAGAGCCAAGTTGTGGCCAAGCCCAGGCACTGTCGTGACCCAGCTAGGTGTGCATACACTTGGGGTGGCACTGACACACCATCCACCTGCTGCCTCAGCTCCCTCTGGACTTTGGACACCAATCAGCATGGAAAGGAAGCTATGGGGCAGAGGGAGGCTCAGCACGGGTTTGAGGGTTCCACTCAGTGCAAACAGACTGGGCACTGTGGACAGAATGTTGATGGTGGCAGGAGGCAGACAGATTCCTAGGCAGGAAGGGGCAGGTCCCTGTGAAACCTCACCTTCAGGCCAGGGATGGCCTGAAACCTGGGGTCCAGGCTGCCAGTTCCAGGTTGAGTCTGACCCAGAGTAAGAATTTCACTGATGCCTTTTGGCCAATCAGATGGTGCTTTTTCCAGGCCCACCCGTGGTTGCCCATGGATCAATCACACACTTCCTCCATTTTGAGCACATAAAAACCCCAGACTCAGCCAAACTTAGAAACTCATCAGGATGACCTGCCTGTGGAAAGGAGCTACCCATTTTGGGTCTCTTGAGAGCTGTTCTCTTGCTTAATAAAATTCCTCTCTTCCTTGCTCACCCTCCAGTCGTCCATATTACCTCATTCTTCCTGGATGCAGGACAAGAACTTGAAACCTGCCAAAAGGTGGGAGTGAAAGGCACTGTAACTAATTCCTGGCTGGTCAGCTCACCAAGCTGCAGATAGTGACATGCTACTGGACTGCAGGAGTAAAGAGTGGTGACCTTTCTGGGGTCCCAAACCTCACAGTTCCTCAAGCCAGAGTTGCTGTAGCACTACAGGCCTCCCACACTCCACTGGCTCCAGGCGGCCACCCCACATGATGGGAAGCAGCGGCAGGTCTGGGCCAGCCCAGGAGCTATGAGCTGGGGTGGGGCAGTGGGAATGAAAGAGGTGCAACACAAACAGGTTGAACCCCCACTGAAACACGCCCCCACCAATTGCTGCACTGTGGGCAGCAAGAAGGAGAGAAGAGCTGCAGCCTTTCTGGGGGCCCAAATGTCAGGACTCCCTGAGCCTGGGCTATAACATACTGTAACACCCTCTTTGGGGCTATGAGGTTCCTGACATCTCCAAGCTTTCAGGCGCCACTTTATTCAAAAGTGCCTGTAGCAGAAGGCACTTGCGGTATGACTGGTTCAGCTGCAGCCTCGCATGGAGCCAGGTTGCTTGTGCCAGTGCCTAGAGCTGCCTGCCGCACTGCAGCTGAAAGGCCTGGCTGTGCACAGTGGCCAGACCCTGTGCTCACTTACCCACACACCCCTTGCCACTCAACACCTGGCTTGCCCTTGGCAGGTGTGGGATCCAGGCCTTTAGTGCAAGCTGAGCCCAGCCTGCCAAGCCGAGTGGGTGGAATGAGCCCAGTGGGCACAGACAAAACCCAAGCACAGGTGCCACCAGCCACAGAGGTTTCTGGCTGGCGAAGTGACTCCCAAAGGATCATGTGACAGAATCAATAGAAAGGAATGTCTGGGTTAAGATAAACTGTTGTGGAGACCAGTGTTCTTATTACACAGGTGAAGTCCCATAGGTGTCTGTCCTTAGAGGGAATAGATGGCAAATGTTTCCTATTCAGACCTTTAAAAGGTGCTAGACTCTCAGCTAATCTCTTCAGGATGAGAAAGAAAAAGATTGGAAAGGGAAGGAGATTCACTATAGTATGTAAATTTCCTCCACGAGAGAGCTTTGCAGGGCCATTTCGAAATACGTCAAAGAAATATAATGTTGGGTAAAATTTCTTTCATGGTTTGCTATCTGTCATGTAATGCTATACTAGTGTCAATTTGCAATTTGGTATCTTATTGCTATATAGAATATGTTTTGTCAGTCTTAAGATCTCTGTTTTAATGTTAATGCTGGTCAATTCTGCCTGAATTCCAAAGAGTATAATGAGGCGTGTCCAAACCCCACTTCTCATCATGGCTTGAACTAGTTTTTCAGGTTAACTTTGGAATGCCCTTGGCTGAGAGGAGAGGTCCATTCAGTCAACTGGGGACTGAAAATGTTAGTTTTGGTTTACATTGTCACCAACAAGTCCTTTGTCCAGATTGATACTGAGTTAAAAATAGGGCTACAGGCATTTTAGCAGATCACAATGTAATTGCTGTATAAATCTGTAGGGTTAGACTCTGCCCTAACAGGAAAATGTCGTAATCATGAAGAACAGGAGCTATCTTAAAATGTAAAGATATTTATACAAAGTATAATATTATATTTACATGACATGATTGATTTATACTTCATATAGAAAGAAATTTTATCATACCTTGTATCTTCTTTTAAAGTTTTTGTAAATCATTTTATTGTCTTAACAGACAGACACACTCCAAATAACACAGTGACTCATTGGCCAGAGAAAATCAGTTTGCAATATAAATAATATAAATGTATTTCTATAAATTATTTTTGCTTGTTTATAATTATTTAAATTTGTATTTTAGATTCTTGCTACCACCCTCTCTGACATATACTATTGTAAAATTGAAAGAAATGTACTCCAGTATAGCAAAAATCCCAAATCAAAACCTATAGTTTTCTTGATCTTAATGAGCCAATTTATATACAGTCATATCCCAGCTATCTAAAATTGGCTTAGATCCCTGATGTCTGTCTTTCTCATTATCAATATTCTAACTTATCAAAGATAATTCAGCATTGCTCAGGTCTTTGAGGCTTGGCTCTACTAGGGAACAAGTAGGGTCACAGTGCAGTTCTTCCAGAATGGTAATTAATAATAAGTAGTATTTACATAGGACTTTACATCGTCAAAGGAGTTTGCAAACACTAATTAACCTACATCCTAACCCCTTAAAAGGAAATAAGTAGGAATTAGCATTTGTTTTATGAATGGAACACTGATTTGCAATACAGCTGTGAATATGCATGATTTAAAAGGATTACTAACAAGTAATATAATGTCTTTTCTCATGCATTGCAGAAGATTCTAGAATAAGTTTTCTCCACTTCAGTACTATTGACATTTTAGTCTGGATAATTCCTGTTTGTGGGGGTTGTTCTGTTCATTGTAAGATATTTAATAGCATTGCTGGTCTCTGCTTACTAGATGCTAGTAGCACCACCAGTCTTGACACCCCTGCAGGTGGCAACATCTGGATACTTTTTGATGGTCATCTCCAGTTGTGAACCATTGTCTGGAAGAAAGAAGGGGTTTAGATCTTTGAGGCTATGAATAATTCTATGTGAATGAATCTTTTATGCTTCAGTGCCTCTTGTGTTTACTGAATGTTTCATAAATATATTTGGACTATGCCTACACAGTCTTGTCTCACCCCATTTCTTTTTGAAACTTTTCTTCTTTTGTTATCCATAGTATCACTGTTGTTTCTCAGAGATTAATACTGACGTGTGTGAAATGATGTCCACTGCTGAAAACCTCTCTGCTTGAGAAAGAAAATGCATGTGTAGCTCTGTGATAAAGAGTATAGACCCTGGAAATAACGAAACTGGATTTGAAATAGGGTTACTCTACTTGGGCAAGTTATACAACTTCCCATGCCTTAGCTTCCTCTTCTATAAAGTAGTTTAATAATGGTATCTATTTTATAGAGTTGTTTTTAGGACTAAATGTGCACACATGTGTGTGTATTAGGATGATGTTTAGAATGCTGTGCTGTATAATTAAATTTTGTACATGATGCAAGAAGGAAAAATAATAGATGCAGAGGTGATGTGATATATAGTAATAAAAGGAGGTGCATTAGAGAAAAAATGCATTTGTCCTTTCTTGACTTGCTATGCTTTACCCTTTCAAAATCCGACTATATCCTGTTTCCTCTATTAAAATGCCTTCTTTGAGTACATACCATGGCAGTCCTCAAACTTCTAAAATCTATTCATCTCTAAAGTCACAGATCATATGCCATTTTTGGTTCTTTTCTTTTCATGAAAGAAAGCAAATGTTTGCAGCTGAGTAGTTTTCTGAGACTGCTTCCCACCAGTAGAATTTTTATGGTCCCTCAGACTCCTTTTATTTCATAGTCTCTCTGTTCCTTGTACTCCAAGCTGGTAGTGTTTATGCTAAAATAATTTTCTCAACAATATTGACTCCTGAAGATTTTAATTGAGCTTGTTCCACTAAACAAAAGCTACACAATAGATCAGCGCAATATAAGTCTTCCTCTACTTCATCTTCCTGCTGAGATGGTGTATTAATCTGTTCTCATACTGCTAATAAAGACATACCCAAAACTGGGTATTTATTTTTAAGAGGTTTAATTGACTCACAGTTCTGCAGGGCTGGGGAGGCATCAGGAAACTTACAATCATGGAGGAAGGGGAAGAAAACACGTCCTTCTTCACATGGCAGCAGGAAGGAGGAGTGCCAAGCAAAAGGGGAAAAAGCCCCTTATAAAACCATCAGATCTTGTGAGAACTCACTCACTCACTATCATGAAAACAGCATGAGGGTAACCACCCCTATGATTAAATTACCTCCCACCGGGTCCCTCCCATGACATACGGGAATTATGGGAACTACAATTCAAGTTGAAATTTGGGTGGGGACACAACAAAACCATATCAGATGGCTTAAAGACAACATACTTAACTTTCCTACAGGCCCCATAGCTTGCTTGTGAAAATCTAAGAGGATCTCTTGAAAGGACTCTGTGAAATTGAATAATCTGATCTTTAGGTATATCTGAGGTTAGAGCAAAGTTTGCACGATCATACCTTTGGAATTTTCTGCATACTGTATTTTTGGAAGCAATTTCTTAATTTCAGCAGTTTTTGCTTTCTGGAGATGCTGGGAATTTTCAATATCATCAACTTGCAGTTCTTTTTTGTTTAAAAGACAAAAACAGATTTGTTTAAATCTTACCGTATTTTATAAGCAACAAGAAACCAGCACTTTGCTTGAAAATCTCTTTGGCTCTATAACTGAGTTGGTCACCTACAAGTTCTGATTTTTACATAATTACAGGAGACAATTTGCTTAAGGATTTTACCACTATATGACAATGATCCCTCTTCCCCCACTTTCCAATAATATGTTCCTTGTTTCCTTTTGAGACTTCACTGGCAGTGACCTTGAAATCCAGACTTCTAATAATAGTATGCTCGGTAACTTACCCTTCTTGTGTTATACACCTCAACATTCCTTCTGACTCTACCGTTTACTCTTTTCCTAAGTCACTTTTTAGGTATTTGTTAAGTAGCACCCTACTTCTGGGACTAAAAATCTACGTTAGTTTTCTATTATTGCTTTCTCTTCTGAAGGTTAAACTAGGGAACTATCACTCCCCTACTCTCATGATTGTTGCCTGAACTCAGTTCTTGGAGGCCGTGAGATCCATGTTCTGTCACGTCTTCAAAGCCAGCAAGAAGTGAGAAGAAGGTTACACCCAGCTAAGTCCCCAGACATAATAGAACCATGTAAGACATTCCTGCTGTGAACAAACTTAATACCTGACCATAATTAAAATGGCTTTTTATACCACTAAGTTTTGGATCAACTTGCTGTGTAATAACAGTAACTGGAACGATATTCATAAGTCCAATTTTTGTTTCTTTAATAAGTAAACTCAGTGGAATTCTCTTTAAATAAATTATGAAAGTAGCCATGCTTTGTTGAAAAAATTTTAAAATAGCATACTATATCCTCTTGCATATTTAAATATATGCTAAAAATTAACTGTATGTTTCAGCACCAAGAATATATTAAAATACTTTAATTTTCTGATTTTTAATTTTCTCAAATTGGACTTCCAAAAAGTCAAGTGGACTAGATTTTTGAAAAACATCATGGTTTTTCTCTAAGTGGCTAGAAAAAGAGAATGTTTGGAGTTCTTTGTAAACACAACTCTACAAATAAATACATTGAGGTTATGAATGGTGTTCTATTACTAACAAGTAAAAGGTAAACTGGATATGATTACCAATATAGTTTCTCCTTTGTCTAACATTGCTTTTGGAAGTGCTAGGAAAAATTTGATATGATATATAGGAATTTTGATCAGGTGAATACAATTTATTAATCTGGTGACAATTATCTTGATATGTATTTGTAATATTATTATGCACATGCTCTTCATTAACTTGTGTTATCTTAATGTACCTTATTTTTCCTTCTTTTATTAAATGTATATTATGAGACAAATTAAGTTGTTTATGATTAGGAATAAAAACAATTCAAAACTGAATAATGGCCATAACCTCTGTGTCAGCATGGGATGTTCAGCTGAATGATGATATGATTCAGTGAATGAGTCATTCGCCACTTGTCAGCCTCAACTATTACAAGTGCTTACTGAATTTCTACTCAGAGGCTTTCAAATTACTCAATTTTAAAGGAAACATTAGTTATGTATCAATTTAGGTAAAAAGCCAAAGATATTAAAACCATTACTAACTTTATATGGAAACTTCTTTGTACACCCTTGAGGTTCCCAAACTATCTGTTGGAAAATGATGCTCTACCCCAAAGCCAGACACACTATAAATAGCTTGTTGTCACTTAAGACTAAATTACATAACTCACAGAATGCTCTACAGCTATTACCAATACCAACTTTCCAGCAGAAAGGAAATAATTAACAGAATGAAATGGAAAAAAAATCAGTACACTTCTTTCAGTAATTTAGTTTCAGAAACCCCAAAAGTCTTGCTCCAATAATTGTAGAAACCACTGTTAGAGTCATAAGGAAAAGAATGTACCTTATTCCCTTAAATAATATAAAGTACGAATTTCAGGAATTCATAGTGCTGAATGATATTTTTGTCCTTAAATACTAAGATATATATTTTGTAAGAATTTGAAGACTCATGTTAGTCACTGAATTCAATTTCCTTTTAGATCTTGCAAGGGTACACCTTAAATCTAACAGTAGCTGCCAGATGTCTATCTATTCCTTAATCAGCAAGTAGAAAAATCTAAGAAATGTTAGTGCTCTTCACTAAGAGCATCAAAAGCTTTGGCCATTTTACCATCATTATTTCAAACTGGGTAATTAAATTCCAGCTCATCAAGATTCTCAAGAATTCATGATTTTCGTTTCATTTATTTATCTTATCCCATAACAGAAAGCATGTTAACACTAATATAGAAACAACACTTACTATTATTTGAGCAACAATCCTCTGCCAGAGTTACGTAAGTAAGGCTTGGCTTTTCATCACTAGGCAATGCTGCTCCTGAATTTTTATACACAATCTATCTACAAAAGGGAGAGAATTCCATCTAGTTGTATTGTTGGGAAAAGGACATGATTATTTGTCTTGAAGGTGCATTTGTTTAGGAAGTGGTTTGTTCATACATATACTGATGTTAGAGATTAGTGAAAGTATCAAATCTATGAAAGACATTTTATTTACATAAGATAGAAGAATCTCATATATCCAAACCAAAGGTTGATGGAAATGAAGAGCCGTTCCTTGGAAAAACCATGACTTGAAAAAGCCATTGCTAGATGCATGTATACAGATTCCCTCACCTCCCCAGGATCACTCTATCAGCTGGCCACCCAGTCCCATCTCCCAAACCAACCACGGATACTAGCTTAAGATCTCACCATAAAAATAAAAGGTCAGGCGGCTGAGGCAGAAGGATTGCTGAAGGTCAGGAAGTTGAGATAGCCTAGACAACATAGCTAGATCCCATCTCTACAAAACATTTTTTTGAAAAGTTATAAGGGCATGCTGGCATGTGCCTGTAGTTCCAGCTACTCGGGAGGCTGAGGTAGGAGGATCGTTTGTGCCCAGGAGGTTGAGGCTTTAGTGAGCCATGATTTCACCACTGCACTCCAGCCTGGAGGACAGACCAAGACCCCCATCTCAAGTAGGCAGGTAAATAAATAAATATAAAAGGTGCATTCATAAATTAATTCAAGGTTGCCAGTAAATGGTTCTTGGATGTACCACAATGTTAAAGTTGGAAAGGACCTCAGAGATCCTCACATTTATGTCCTACTGAACTACCAAGGACCAGGAGGTTACATGCCTTTTAATGGGTTAGATTTAGGGAAGGGTGATGTCGGAAGAAGGTAGATGTCCCAGACCTCTTCTTGCTCCACCCCCACCAATGCTGACTTAATGATATTTTATATGTGGTTCAACATTTCATGTAGTTTAATATGTTTTATGTTACACATATTAATTACTTCTATGGGTTTAAGTTTCCAATAGCACATAGATTTTTTTTCTTTTATATCTAGTTCCTAAGTTCTGTCAGCTAATTTCTGAGTTTTTCCAGTTCTGAAATAAAATGTTGTTCTTTCACATCTTGTATTTAAAAAAAAATCTTTCAGATGTTTTGAAGCTACAGGTTACAATTTTGATCTGCTTTAGGGGCTTTTCTTTCTTATGTGAGTTCATTCTCTGTGGAAATGGATTCTTTCAATCACACTATTTTCTTCTTCTTTGTGTAAATTTAGCCCCCATTATCATTTGGTTCCTCGTTGTTAGGTTAGTTTAGCTTCACTGAACATCTAGAAGAAAATGTAGTTAATAGTAATTTTTCTAATGTCACAGAATTCCTACTTCTGTTGCTTTTCAGAACCATAATGGTTTGCTTCCTAAAATGTTGGCTGCTTCCTCTTCACCTTCATGTGGACCTTCTATTTCCTTTGTCTTTCTGTTGCCCCTATTTTGCTCACCTTTTATTCCATTCCCACCAGTGTTTCTTCATTATGAGGTCCTGAGCTGGAAAGCATCAATGGTGGCTCAGTTCTGAGAATTCACAGTTACTAGGCCCTTCAGATTTACCTAGGGCTCCTTTCCCTCACCTGCTATTCCACTGGACAAAATCCCTCTTAGTTTCAGGTGCTGCTCTCAGTCTTGCCCACTGTGCTTTCCAGTAAATCCTTGCTAAGGAGTTTCTGCTTTTCTCAGGTCCCTCTGTTTTCTTCACACACATATGAATGTCATGCAAGTATTATGGCTCACCTGTCTGTTTTCATCTATTCATCACTTAGTCCTATTGTAAATGTTGTTCATGGGTTTTTGATTGCTATGCAGTTGTGTTTCATTCATGTGTGGGAATTTATAGGGATTCAAAAACTGTGATGCCACTGCCACCATCATCCTAAAATCCCAAAAGCTACCGGCTTTTTTTTTTTTGTAGCATTATCTCTTCTAAGAAGTCTCCAATTTTTATTTAAATTATTTTTGTTCTTATTGCTTAAAAAAGAATGCTTTTGAATTTCATATACCAATTTTTTTATTGCTGCATTTAGTCTATTAATACAGCTACATGCCATAATATATATATAATATTGTATTATCCTCACATTTCTTAAAATATTGAAAATATTTTCTTGCTCCTCTTACTGCAATATTAATTTAAATGCATTATTGGGATGTTTTATCTATGTAACTATACAATCAATAGTTGTTTCAAATATTTATTTAAATAATTTTTTGAAGTACAATTTACTCAGAGTAAAATGAGCACATCACATGTTTAAGAGTCTCAGAGTAGGTATATCACTTTAAAAATTACCAGTTTTCCAAAGTGGCACCATTGCATGTTCCCACTAGCAACATATGAAAGTTCTGGTCACTCCACATTCTATGCTATTTTTGATAGAGGGTGATATCAAGATTACTAAGCCCTAAGAAATGATTTTGGAAGGCTTCCATGTTTTTTCTATGCTCCAAAATTTTTCAAATATCAAAGGAAGCATGTGTTCCATCAAAGGCAACGTCCCCATGATGTCTATCAGTCAGAATCACTAATGCTTATTTGGTTCATCTAGCTGACTAGTTGGGTGGATTATCTTCTTCCTTCAATGTTCACTCCAAATACATAACTTCAGAACATGGTTATCGTTTCTTCCCGGTGAACGCTATGTAAGTGCCTGTGTTCCTATAGTGGAACACCCAACAAGCTCTTTAACATTTATGGGGTGTTATCAATGAAGAGGTCAAAGACTTTGTTAGAACATTATATGTGTAATTTTAAGAGTGAAAAGCCAGAAAGTGAAACTAGAAGTTTAGACAATTCTTAGAAATGCTTGCATGTGAAAAGAAACATCAGCCAGAAAATACATGGTTTTGAAATGCTGAGGGAAATAGCCTCCAAAGACGGAGAATCAGACAGAGAAGGAAACATGAATTTTTCTCTTTCCTCTCTTTATCCACTAAAATGGAAACTCAACGAAGACAGGAATTTCTGCCCACTTTCATTACTGCTGTTTGTCCAGAACTAGGACAAAGCCTAGAATTCAAGAGGCACTCATGTTTGTGAATCATTAAATAACAGAACGCAAGGTGGGGACTCAGTCAATAAATACTGGGGAAGAAGATAACTTTTGAAGCTGATGGATAAGTTTATGACCTGAATGTGGTGGTCTCAAAAGGTGTATACTTACCTCCAAACTCATCAAGTTGTATGCTTCAAATATGTACTGCTTTTTGTATGTTTATCATACTTTAAGTGGTCTAATAAACAAAAAAAAAATGAAATTAAAAAAAAGCCTTACACGAGAGGCTAAAATATCTTGCTTACAATTCTTCATGCATTTATCTTGAGCACACTACATATTCCGTAGTGTGGCATTTCAGACCTTTCAAAATCTACCCTAGCCTACTTTCACCTATCTCTCTCCCTCACCCCTAAATCTCAATGCTTTACAAGTATTTCCACACACTTTTGTATCCCCTATGGCTTTATTTATAATCTCTCCTCCGCCAGGAAAAACCTTCCATACCACTATGCCTGATGAAATTCGACCCATTTTCCCTCAGTTACTCACTTACTAACCTGGGTGTGGGTAAGAATAGCAGGTAAAATCTAGAGTCCTTAGTATGTGCGGGGGAGCTATGGTTCTGTCCTCAAACATTCTGATAAGACAGGTGTCATTTGCATTTGAAACTTGAGAAACTAAGTTTCAAAGAAGTTGTGATTGCTCAAAATAACAGATAATTGGTGGCTGAACTGTAATTGAGCCCAGAATGACTTGATTCTAAAGTTTGTGCTCTTTCCCCTACACCATATGACTTTCCAGGACAATCCATCATTCCTTTAACTGGGAATACACTTACCTTTTGTATTCCAATTATCTTTATCTGTCAATACACTGTGAGTTCTTTGAGGGCAGGGATTGCTTTATCCCCCTTTTTACCCAAAGGGCTACTAATGAGAGTAAGAACTTATTCTACTGAATGAAAGTGAATTGTAGTGTTGTTTACAGGATAAATTCTAGGGCTCAAATAATTCCATGTTAGACATTTTAAACACAATGTATTTTCCCAAAAGTGAGAATTCCAAGGGGCCAAAGGAGCCCTGTTCACATAGATCCCAGGTCAAGCACACGAGTATAATGCAGCTACTCTAGCCACCTGACTTTCAAAGAAGTTGCCGTCAGCCTGAAATGAACTCCTTGAGGACACTTCTAAATCATCAGATATATGGAATAGGGTGGAGCAGCTCTTGGTAAATCTGCTGTCCTGTTTTCCGGCAAGAAACCATAGCCTTGGAGAATTAAGAACCAAGTGTGTTTTTCAGTTGGCTTCAGAATATTTATCCTGTAAATAGTTGACCTAGTGCCTTTATTCATGTATTTTATTCTAGTGGAGCCTGTGATCCCAGCTATTAGGGAGGCTGAGGTGGGAGAATAGCTTGAACTCAGGAGGTGGAGGTTGCAGTGAGCTGAGATCACACCACTGCACTCCTGCCTGGGCGACAGAGTCAGACTCTGTCAGAAAAAAAAAAAGAAAAAGGAAAAAAAAGGTGGGGGTGGCATGGTGAAATAGTCTAAAATTTGAACAATAATGGGCTACATAACAGGGCATTCAATGAAATATTGCACAACAATTTAAAATGATGGAGCTATATTTTAGAGAATTGTAAATATTTTCAAAATTCATTGAGAAAAGCTGATTAAATGAAACACATACTTTGCTTTATACATATGTGTTACACTAAATATTTATTTTGTACTTTTCTTAAGTTTAAAATTTTAAATACAGCTCATGGGTAATGTGAAATACAAAGACTCTTAAAGAGGAAGTAGATTGGCACCAGTCAAAAATTTTACTGACACCTGGCCGGGCACGGTGGCTCACGCCTGTAATCCCAGTACCTTGGGAGGCCGAGGTGGGCAGAACACGAGATCAGGAGATCGAGACCATCCTGGCTAATATAGTGAAACCCCGTCTGTACTAAAAAATACAAAAAATTAGCCGGACATGGCTGGGCGTGGTGGCTCACGCCTGTAATCCCAGCACTTTGGGAGGCCGAGGCGGGTGGATCACGGTCAGCAGATCGAGACCACGGTGAAACCCCGTCTCTACTAAAAATACAAAAAAAAAAAATTAGCCGGGCACGGTGGCGGGCGCCTGTAGTCCCAGCTACTCCGGAGGCTGAGGCAGGAGAATGGCGTGAACCCGGGAGGCGGAGCTTGCAGTGAGCCGAGATCGCGCCACTGCACTCCAGCCTGGGCGACAGAGCGAGACTCCGTCTCAAAAAAAAAAAAAAAAAAAAAAAATTAGCCGGACATGGTGGCGGGCACCTGTAGTCCCAGCTATTCGGGAGGCTGAGCCAGGAGAGTGGTGTGAACCCGGGAGGCGGAAGTTGCAGTGAGCTGAGATTGTGCCACTGCACTCCAGCCTGGGCAACAGAGGGAGGCTCTGTCTCAAAAAAAAAAAAAAAAATTTTACTGACACCAAAAAAATCTATGTGATACAACTATTATGAATTGTTTTAAAAAGAATAGAACATAAGAAATTATTTTAATAGTGCATTAAATATTTTATTTAAATTAAGAAGTATAACAAAATCACATACATTTGTTCCACGGTTTGAATAAAATTTCCAATAACTTTCAAATAATGCACACATAGTATCGCATGGATCAAATTCCGTACATTTCAATATGGTCATGAGATAGGCTGTATTCCAAAATTTGGTATATAAATCCATACATAATATATACTATATACATTGACTTTAAATAATCTAACTATGTCATTTTTAAAAGTCAAAGCAACTTATTTCTAATGAAAGTTACAATATGCATGCCATATTGACACCTATTCAATAGATAAAATCTAGGAAAATCTTTTTTGTGAATACTATTTATACTGGAATGCAAATTCACATAAAAATACTTCCTTTAAAGCATGTTCTATTTCACACAAGAAATTAAATGTGAGCTACTTTTAAAATTGCAAGCTTTATTTTTAATCAAACCAATTCAATTTTAAGTTTTTAGATCATTAAGTCTCATACAACTTCCTCTAATTTAGCTAAAACCATCGACAGGGTTTTATTGTTACATTTGGCCTTAACCTTAAAAAACAAATTTGTTTACATTTCATATTTAAATGGGACATTTTAAACCCTGAGTAAAAAGACATATTTTTACAAGTCCAGCTGTAACAATTCTACCCTATTTTCTTGCAGTGCTTTTATTAGATAAAAACTATTGTTAACGTTTTGACTTTTTAGAATATACTGTTTAGAAGGTTAATGCTTTTTCATGACTTTAAAAGTTTCTAAATGTATTTTATTAGTATCTAAGTAAAAATTCTAGATTTCTATATGGATATTATAAAAACACCTCTTCTTTAGACTGTTTATTTCACCTTGATCATAAAAAATCATTGAATACTACATTCAAGATAATTTTTCTTTCTTGGCTTTGGGCTATTGTCTTTTCAACCTTAAAAGTTAAAATTATTGTTTTCCTATATGTAATGATACTTTTTAGGCATAGATTTTTAAGATACAAAAATAAAATGTAGTTTAGTATTTTATCATTACCACCTGCTGCAATGAGTCTGCCAGATCAGAGGCTTTCCTCACTAGGAAACCTAGCTTTAAATCAAATACTGGTTTTCTTCTTGTAATTCACACTTGTCTATTGAATCAGTTACCCAACTTTCTTTTAGGATTTTAAACTTTCTCTTAAAAGTTCTTCTAAAAGCTTTAAAATCTGCAACACGACTATGATCTTCCCCAATTATTACATGAGACACTCCCTCAGCTAAACAAGAAACTACTTTTGCTCCATGAAACCGAAGCTCCAAGGCTTTAATAGCTAACCTTGTCCCCTCATTTTTGGTACTCAGGTCATTAATAACAGCATACGAGTCCAAATAAACGGTGTGGCGTCGAAACATACTGAGAGGAGAGCAATCCCAGGAATACCGATATTCTAAATCAGCAATCAGAGAAGCCATTTCTTCAGGAGTCTGCTCGTTAGAATTTTTAATTCCTGAGAATACTTCCTTCAGTTGGTTCAAGTCTGTATCAATGAAATAACTATCACCATAGCAATCATATTCACGGGCAAAATGTTCTTTGGTTGATGGGCACATATGAATCATAAAGCGAGGCTGCCATGGTACAAAGCTTTTGGTCTTAAAACATTCTAAAAGCCATGCAGGCTTGACAACATCATGTTTATTTGACAAAATTATGTTTTTCACTCTGATGTTCTCAGACCCTGCAATTACACAGTACGTGTCTGGGCCTGGATTTTGTACTATATAACCACCAAATTCTGCAATTCTGTTCTCCAGGTCAGGCTTTGGCTGGCTATCTGTTCCACTCATAACACAAAACTCTACATCTTCAAATATATTAGAAATTTTGTTAACGTTAGTAAGGTTAGGTGCTTTTAAGTGCTCAATAATTCCAATAACTTTCTTCATCTTTGGGGCAGCTTTCCGCTTTTTTTCTTGTGGTTCATCATCACCACCTATATAAAGGTGTTTAGATGCGAGCTTACCAGATGCCTTCCCCCTAAGTTGTTCTAGGTCGTCCAGGGTCATGCACTCATGCCACTCCTTGTCATCTCTTATCTTTTCAATTCGTGGAAAACGCAAGGTGCAGCCAGTTTTATACATATCACTGGGTACGATCTCTGCTGCTTTAATCTGAACAATGACAGAATTACAAGGTTCAATGTATACTTCTGGCTTCTCTGTTCCACATAAAATGCTGCTTGGTGGAGCTTTTCTATGAAAAGGCTTCCAATACTTGGCCAATTTCAAACCCAGATCATACAGTTCTTTCATGGTGCAGCCAGACCCAACACGAGAGAGAGTATGAAACACAGATGGCTTCTCACCAGGAGGGGGCTTCTCTGCTACTGCACACAGAAAATGAGACATCATTCCACCCCGTGATCCTTTACCCCAATATCCTCCAACAATTAAAATGTCCAATTCATCCATTAGTCCACTGACATACTCTGGTTTAATTTTTAACCACCCTTCACCTCTTTTGTCTGGCTTGTAGATGGATAGAGGTTGTTTTACCATAATTCCCTCTTCTCTTTTATCTATTGCTTCATTCAATGCATCAATTACTTCATTCTTAGTATGAGCTTGTGTTTTCTGCACTATTTCTATTCTACCTGGAATTGGTGTAAAAATACTACTAAGAATCTCATACCTCTTTCTCAGAGTCTCATGCCCTAGCTTTTTATTATTAACCATCAATACATCAAAAACACAATAACAAGTTTGCAGATCAGAATCCTCTACCATTCTTTTAATATCAAACTTAGTTCCCTTTTGCATGAAAGTTTGTGTATTAGGATTATAGGCCATCATCTCACCATCAAGAATACAGATTTGTATATCTGCTTTGAATGCATTATGAATGAATGGGGTAAGAGAACCTTCAGTAGGAGAAGCACCAAACTGATCAGTGTAGTTATATCCATTTCGAGAGAAGTATTTATATACATCTCCATCTTTGTGCATTTGCATACGTTCACCATCTAGCTTGGTTTCTATGTAGAAACTCTGATGTTTCATATCCTTCTCAATGTGCTCAATATCTGCAATAGCAGCTAGCATTGGTTTAAATGCAGAAAATAAAGTGATAGAAATATCACTGAGTCCTACAGAAGGATCATGCAGTTGCCTACAGACTTTTTCCAGATCTGTAGTGACATTATGCAACTCAGCAGCATCATTATGAAAAACAGAAAAGATAGTTTGCTGACTAACACCAAGCTTTAAATCCTTTATGATCATCCGTATAAGCCACTTTTGCTCAAGTGCTGAACTCTGAGTTATAAGTTGAAGAAGGCTCTTTTTTATTAGGTCTTTTCTTTTAGCAGAATTATTGCTGGCAATTGAGTCTAAAAGGTCGTTTACTTGCTGTATGGTTAAACTTCCTTTCTGTAAACATCTTGGCTTCAACACAAAATATGCAATCATTGCAAAGTCTCCAGCATCTCCATGAGTTCCAGTGGGTGTTCTGTAGTTTAAAAGTTTGAGGGCATCTTTTCCATCTCTAGGTAAATTAAGCAACTCAATATAAAGCTTAGCAAGCATAGTTTCTTTAATTCCATAGGCCATTCTCTCTCTTTCTAGCTGAGGAAGAATTAGTCTCATTGCTGGATAAAAAGAGTCTGTGACATCTTTGTGGTTCTTATGAAGAGCATCATGAAATTTTCTCCAAGAATCTAAAAATTCCCTGAAGTGTCTGATTTTTTCTGCACGTCCTTTACTTTTCTGTATTCGTTCTAAAGTTGAACACAAATCTGCAAAAGGAACGTGAGATGCAACAGTTTGTGAAGTTTGTGAGGCAGCCATCAAAGCGGTGATGAATCTTCTCGTTTAACTAGTAAAGCAAAAAGAGAATAACTTTAAGTAAAAGATAAGATTCAACTAAATATTTAATGTAAAGATCTTACAAAGATCACTGAGATCATAATAAATGTTTATTAATGTTTACTAAAAAAAAGATCAATGCTCTAAATGATGTATCTTTTCAACCTCTACATTTAATAACTGTTTTGCTCCAACCCTAATTTGAAGTTATTATGAAAAGTATCATCAGCTATATAGCTGTATTTCCTGTATTTATAATACAGAAATCATTTTAATTTTCTCTTTAAATTCCAGTTATTCTATGTATTAATTATTTAGCACATAATACAAACAAATATTGCTAATAATGGTGACAAAAAAACTCATCAGGCTTAATTCACTTCACTTCTGAGCTTCTGAGGGAAGGCCTTTCATGTATGTCTCTTCTTTCCCTGTCAGACTACCACATAGCACCAGAAATGAACTTGATCTTCGAACAGATATTTTTAACAAATCACTCATTTGCTGAACTGAAATTTGACTTCCTAGAAATCCTAATCATAGGCAGGGCCCTTGACCAAAAAACAAAACAAAGGAAAAAACAGGTACCCTCTTCTTCCAGCCAAACAAAGCCTACGTCTATGTTTCCTTTCACTTCTTCACTGCTAGCTATGCCAAATCACACCAGCATTCGATTCCAACTCAAAATGCCCTACCCATAAAATCCTCACTTTATCTATTTTACCATAGTTACTTACTGTCTTATAAGTATAAATTTATTAGTATGCTGCTTTTTTCATATTTCCATGCCAGTTATTCCCTGAGTATTTAATGACTACATATGAGATGTGCTACATACACTGTGCTAGGGGAAAATACTGCATGTTTCTGCTTTAAAAGAAAATATATTCTGTAAAAAAAAAAAAAGAAAAAAAAGAAAAGAAAAAAAGGGGGGGAGTGTAGTGGAAACTGAGTATAATAAAATGCCAAGTGCTTTAACAAAATAAAACAAACGTAAAATGTCCTGAGGGGAGAGCTTTTCCCTAAAGTATCTGCTAAAGTCAGAGAAGAAATAATGGGTACCTTGCTAAGCTAGGGCAAGAATATTTCCTAAAATTTCACAAGTGTAAATTTCTTTAGTTTTAAATATTCATACAAGTTCTACTGGAAGATAAATATATTAGAGTAATTTTAATATGGTTTAAACTATGTAATGTTAAATAACTTTTCCAAAAAAAGATTTCAAGTAAAATGTATGGTCCATGAATAGAAACTATGTTTTATCCTGTGGTTTCAGACCCCTCCTGGCACACCACCATGTATCCCAGGCAGTGGAGTTGGAGAAGTTTTGCTGGGAGTGGGGAGATCTATTACAGTGCAGAAAATATGTGACTCCCCATCTTCCAATTCGCAAACAAATGAGCAACACACACATGCACAAGGCTACATTATCTAGTATCCAGTAAAATAAATCAAATGGCTAATTACAATACTACATTTACTATACTGTCAGTATCTAGAGGCCAGGAATTGTGCTGTAATTTGTGCTCTAGTGGCAGACATGTAGGAGGTTTGCTGAATGAATTACTGAACACCTAGAGTTGACTCCTGGATAAGCACACTAGGGAAAGCTATGGTCTGGTTACATACCACACACTCACACACGCACGCAGACACACAGTGGGTGAGATTCAGTTTGGTTAAAAATATTCAGTAGCTCTGACTGCCCTGGCAATGGTTTACAACAGCCATTTGGTGGCCTATAGAGAAAAAAGGTGCACTTCTCAGTCTAATTTCTGACAAAGGAAACCCAGCTTCTACTGAGTGGGTTAGATCGAGGGATAAACGCATGACAGACCACTTTCCTGAAACTTTTATCTTTGAATATACTGTTGTTTCCTCTCTCTGAATCTGGTTTGCATAACTGACTGTAACACCTGGTTATGTATGTTCACTGCCCTATCTCCCAAAATTTGCTCCCTCAAGGGAGTAAACAGGGTACACAATGCTATATCTACAATTTCTATATAAACTATGTAAAATAAAGTAGGTTAACTAATATTTCTTTAATATTCAAATATTGGTATATAGTTTCTACAGATATATCTATAGATTCTACATGGTCTCAAAGTTAAAGTTTCGCTCAACAAATCCCAGGCAAGGACTTAAATTACTTTATAATGACAAAATGTAGGTAATGGTGTGGATACACATGTATCCTAAAATGGCTACGCCTATAACAAGGATTCCAAAATTGCCATAAACTAGTCGTAAGTATTTTTGCTCATTACAACGGCATAAAAAGTCAAAGATTAGGACTTCCATTCATTTTTACATGCTAATTTTATTTTTTGGATTCTGAGGATTTTAGCTGATTCATTCCATTTGCAGTAAGACAAATGAGGAGGTTCCTGGTTAGGGCTCAGGTTTTAGACTCTAATAAATCTGAGTTCAAATGTGGATGGTAACATTTAACAGCTGTGTGATACTGGGCAATTACTTAATTTCTCTAAGCTTCAGTTTCCTAAAGTATAAAATGGGGTTAAAAACTATGTAGAAATTAGAATGAAGATAAAAATCAGATAATCTACAAAATGTGCTTTAAAAAGTAGTAAGTCTTGATAATTTTAATACTATAATGCTTGCTGATCCAAGCAACATTTAAAATATAAATATTGCAAAATATTAACGAGATAAAAAGGTGGGAAGAAGCTTCACTCTTTAACAATAAGCAAAGCTTTCAGGAGAATGAATGCAAGCAATTAGTACACAATAACGATTCATCATTCATTCAGTTCTGACTAAATTGTCCTGAAGTGACACATGAAAATAAACCGGCAGGTTTTATTCAGTGACTATGGAAGGTGATTAAGTGCTATGCTATTGCACTTAAAAAAGAGAGAGGAAAAAAAGGAGTAAGTGACGAATGCAACTGAAGTATCCTTCATGCAACCCTTGACAAGCTGTGTTTCCCTAGGAAACAAAGGGTTTACAGCTGCCTATCTTCCACAGCACTTAGTGACAATTTGGGACAATCTCAGCAAAAAGAAATGAGCAGACAAAGACGCTAGAAGGGCTTTGGGATCCCAAAAGTTAATGAAAGACCAAGTGTAAGAAGAGAAATAAAGTAATTCCCTCCAAGCCTAAAGTCTCTCCCGCTCCAATGCCCCCTGTACCCTCTCGGAAAATGGAAAATCCCTAAGGAGTCTACATCATTCCTCTGCCCGTTCCCCCTACTCTCCCCCAACCCTTCACGGATTCCCAGTGAATACCTGGCCTCGGGCAAGCTCCGTTACCTCTGTGAACCAGAGAATCCCAGCTGTAAAATGAGATCTTGATGGTTTCCTGCGGGGTTGCCATGAGAAAGAATCAACATGTACGCAGGTAAAGCAGGCAATACAGTTCCAGGGAGTCAAAAACGGGAGAAATCGTCCCACGACCTGGGGCTTGGGTCTAGATGAAGAGCACAGCATCAGGAGGCCAGGCTTCTAATGCGGCGCAGTCTACAGCGCTGTGGACTCGGCAACTCCCATCACCTGCCGCTGCACAAACACCCTGCTTGCTGCCCCCATAGACCGACCCCCGCCTGACGCCTCCCAGACCCCCCCACCTGACGCCCCTCAGGCCCCCCGCCTGACGTCCCAGACACCCCCACGACCGGATCCCCCAGACCCCCAATCTGACGCCCCACTTCCCCTACTTGACTCCCCACACATCCCCCGCCTGACGACCCCCCGACCCCCGCCTGACGTCCCAGACACCACCCATCTGATCCCCCAGACCCCCAATCTGACGCCCCACACCCCCCACTTGACTCTCCACACACCCCACACCTGCCACCCCACGTAAACCCCGCCTGACACCTCACAGACCCTAACCTGACGCCCCACAGACCTCCCCCGCCTCCTGCCGCCACACACACCCCAAACCCCGCCCCGAACACCCCCCACCTGCCGCCCCACAGATTCCCCCCTCTGACGCCCCACAGACCCCCAACGTGACGCCCTACAGACCCCAACCTGACGTCCCACAGATACCCCGCCTGACGCCCCACAGACCTTCCCCCGGTCTGTTGCCCCACAGACTTCTCGCCGCCTGCTGGACCACACCTTCCACTTGACTCCCCCCACACCGTCAATCTGCCACCCCCCACCCCCCCCACCCCAACCCCCCCCAACCTCCCAACCGCCCCCACCTGCCACCCCACACCCTTCCCACCTGACGTCAAGCCTGAAGCTCAGCCGCTAAGCCGGAAGCTGGCGCCAGAAGATGCCGGTTCCGCCAGCTGCTCGCCGCGCAGGCGCAGGGGAGACCCGGGGCCTTGCAGTCACCGGGCTCAAGCACGCCGGCGCAGCCAGGCTCGCGATGGGAGGTGGGGGGGCCGGCAGCCCCGTGGGGCTGCGGAGGCGGGACCTGCAGGATCCTGGTTAGGGTCTTGAGTACACACGGCTCCTATTGGCCTCGGCAGCAGATGCTCTCTGCAAGCAGTTGATCCACACGCCAGTGGATTTTGTCTCGAGGGAGACCTAAGATCACTTTGTGCTCTGGCTAGTGATAGCCTCTAATTCTTGTTCTCTGTACGTAAAACAGTGGTAACTATACTGATTTCGCTGGTTGTGAAAACTCCCAAGAGAGAACAGGACATCCTCCCAACTCAAAACGTTGGTTGTTTCATTTAAACTTTTAAAAAATAGGCTTTTGCAAACTATATAGAGCTGTTTTTTTTTTTAAATGATGTTTGCTACTGTGGTCTCAGTTCTCTTAATACAGAAATAATACATAACAATACATAACTTACAATATAGAAATAAACCGTTGCATGACCAGAAATCAACTATGGACTCTTCTAGTATCTGTTTAAGGTTTAAAAATAAAGTTATTTAACAAACCTTTATTGAGCACCTATTATTATATAGTAATGGTGCTAGATATTCAGGGTGGAGAGATTATAAACAACCCCAGTTTTTGTGTTCCAGGAGCTGTTGGTTTCCACCGAATTTTTGCTGTGGTCAGTCCTCTTTCGCCATGGAGAAGTGAGAAGTTATTCATAAAGAGGGGTGGAAACAACTTTTAGAACTATTTTATTTTAGCATAAAATATTGCTTTACAATAAAATAAATTTTGCTGCAGTGGGCCCTGATAAAACATATTAGAGCTGTTAAGTGCCCTTAGAGGTTGTGTAATGTATAAAAACCTCCTTTTTCAAAACTGACACATTTCATTCAGTGCTAGTTTGTAGCGGAGGTTCCGTCTAGCCCAAGAACATTCAGTTATTTACTTCGTATGTCTAATTGACCTAATATGCCTGAATATCTAAAATCATCTGTGATGTTGTAAAGTCTCATGATATTGTTTTGTGAGTATCTGCTCTTCAATTTAGTTATCAATTTATTTTGGAGGAAAAATGAATAGTGTTAAGGTAGAGGAGCCTCCACTTGCCCATCTTAGGAGAGGGTACCTATCCGTGTACATTTGTAGCTTGTTCAACCTCTACTGAGCTCCTACAATGTCAGAAGCTGGACTTTGTATTAGTTACATGAGAAGAACCATGAATTATGAAACCAGGCAAACTCCAAATTGATTCAAAGCCCAGTCTCCATTTCATCATGTTATTTTAGTTGATTGGTTCAAAGACAATCAAGGGTTTTTTTCACTAAGTATCTTCTAGAGTTGCCATGATTATTAATTTATTTATGTAAATGGTCTACTTTATATATGCTTGGCACTTATTCCGTGATCAAGATTAGGAAGCTATGATTCAAGAACCCAGCTTTGACCTGGAGCTCTCCATCTGGTAGCAAGACACATATGTTCAATAACAACAACACCACAGGCCGGGCCAGTGGCTAATGCCTGTAATCCCAGCACTTTAAGAGGCTGAGGTGAGCGGATCACTTGAGGTCAGGAGTTTGACACCAGCCTGGCCAACATGGTGAACCCCCGTCTCTACTAAAAAATACAAAAATTAGGCCGGGCCTGGTGGCTCACGCCTGTAATCCCAGCACTTTGGGAGGCCGAGGTGGGTGGATCACCAGAGGTGGGGAGTTTGAGAGCAGCCTGGCCAACATGGTGAAATCCCGTCTCTACTGAAGAAAAATACAAAATTAGCTGGGCGTGGTGGCGCATGCCTGTAATCCCAGCTACTCCGGAGGCTGAGGCAGGAGAATCGCTTGAACCCGGGAGGCGGGAGGTTGCGGTGAGCCGAGATCTTGCCATTGCACTCCAGCCTGGGAAACAAGAGCGAAACTCCGTCTCAAAACAGCAACAAAACAAAAACAAAAAGTAGCGGGGCGTGGTGGCGGGCACCTGTAATCCCAGCTAGGTCAGAGGCTGAGGCGAGAGAATCGCTTGAACCAGGGAGGCGGAGGTTGCAGTGAGCCGAGATCACGCCATTGCACTCCAGCCTGGGCGACAAGAGCGAGGCTCCATCTCAAAAGGAAAAAAAAAAAAACCCACAGATTTATGAAATATCCTCTGTATATATAAAATAGGGGACATAGAATAAGGAAAGCCCAAGGGAGGGGAGGCACACATCTGTAAACAAGTGTGTACACTTCAGTGCACAGGGGGGTTGACAGCGAAGCTAATGAAGCCCAAGTTTTAAGGGCCCATTTTTGCGAACACTTCCAAGGCCTTGAGAGGGGCCCTAACGAGGTGTTCCCATGGTCGTGTACCTCGGTAAAATTTGCAAAAATAAGACAATTTTACATTATTTTTCTTTAAAAGGGCTCTCCAAATGGCACAAGGTTCAGGCCTCACAAAACCTGCATTCGCCCTTGACAGTCCACTCTCGTAGAGGTAAAAGGAGAAAAATAGTTATGGAAGCGCTTTAAATCGTGGACCTCATTGCGACACCCTTAACAACCCTATCAGGCAGAACAAATTGCTCCGCAAACCTGCGGCTTGCAGAGCGATGGTGGACTCCCGAGCTCATCGGGTCCGGCACCTCTTCACCACGGAGGCCTCGGGTACGGAACTGGAGGGAGTCCTGGTGCTCGGAGGAGGGTGGAAGGCCAAGATCCCTAGGTCCTGGAGCAGGGAGCCGGGCCCACGCCGCCGAGGTATCTTTTCCGTCCGGGCCACCGTCGCGGGGGCTCACTGGCAGCGGCTTCTGCGCATGCTCGGAAGAGCGGGCAGGGTTCCCACTCCGGGAGCGGAGACGGAGAACAGGTTATGTGGGAGCCGGCGGGGGCATTTGCCGGCGACACCCGAGCGGGGGCCGGAAGTGGGGCCACAGCTCGCAGCAGGAGCTCCGGGCTAGACCGTGGCGCCGGCAGCGGCCCCTGGGCTGGAGGAGGATGATGAGGAGCGACGGAAGCGACGCGGGGGTACGCTGCTGCGCGGCGCCCGGTTTCGTGCCCGCGGCCGACTGCGCAGCCTGTCCGCGAGTCTGAGTAAGTGCGGCTCGGGGACCCCGAGCCCGCGGGGCCCGAGCGCCGGTCCGCTCCTTCTAGGAGGGTCGCGGGGAGCCGCCGGCTCCTCCAGGCGGGCGCGAAACCCTCCCGGGAGGCTGTGGGGGGAGCCCCGGGGCTAGTGCGGCTTCCCCTGGGGGTCGTGCGGGGGCCGAGCGCCGGGGGTTGTGGAGGACCAGCCCGGGGTGCAGCCCTGCCGGCCGCCCCGACTCCGCTCACCACTCACCAGGGGAAGCAAACTGAAGCCAAATACCTGTTTTGGAAACTAAGGTGCGCGCATTGCCAGAGGCTCGCCGGGTGTCGTTTTGTAATTGGAACCTAAAACGTATCTTAGTGTTCTATGTCAATTGTATTTCCAGTAATGTGTACAAACCTAAGATCCCTAAAATCCAACCCTCCGCTCCCCCACCCTCCCACACAGACATGAAAAGTAAAATAGAATAATTCCAGCTACTAGGTTGGAGAGAGGGAGAGCCCCGATCTAATCACGACAGTAACAGGTTTAGACCTGTGAATATCATGACAGGAAGTTCTGGGGTTATTCAGGAAACATCAAAAAAGCACCCCATACAATCGAAGTCAATTTTGCTGTAGATTTTAGTCAACATTTAAGTAAAATGAATTACTAGTATTACTACCCAAGGTATCGAAACCAAAAAAAAGTCCGTCCCCATTTAACAACTCTTATTTATGTTTACTATGTGATAGTAACTGGATAGAAAGAGATGAGTATATTGGCTTTGTGTGTTGATATTGGATTTTTCACTGATCTCTTTTGACGGGAGGGGGTTCGTGGATCAATACTTATTTGTATGCATGCTTAGGGAAATCACTCGTCTTTGACTAAAATATCAAATTTTATTTTACTGTGTAAGATTTCTTGATTGCCGATTTAGTGTTAATGTCATGATATCCTACCTAAGACATCAGCTGCTCAATTAAATAATCGTTAATAGAGGCCCACTATGCATCAGGCACTGCTGCGTACAGAAAATGTAGAGTTGAATAGGACGAGGTCTCTGTCATCGAGGAACTCACAGCCTGTGTAAGCAGGTTAATTACGCTGTAATAGTAACTTCTGCCACGTAAGTTTGCACAAACTACAGAATGTGGAATGGGTGGCAGGAGGGAATAGGGGTCCAAGGAAAGCTTTCTAGAGGATCTACTACCTGAGTTTGGTTTTAACAGAGAAAGAGTGCATTGCTCTGATTACTTCCTGTGTTCAGATACGGTACCTCTAGGGAATCATATCCATTATTTGATCTAGGACTAATAGGGCTTCTAGTTGTCCTTACTTTCACATACTCTGCTATAGTACATAATTAAGTAATTTAAATTTTGTCTCATAGAAGTAGCTGCACTTAACACACTATTACATTTTATCTCAACAGTAGTTCAATTTAATCTTTCATCCTCCTTTTACATACGAGGAAATATATATTTAGAGAGGCTAAGTGAGTTGGCAAAAGCTACCTATCTCTTAACAGACCATGACTCAAAACACTGTCTCCTTTCCATTGCACCACACTGCCTCCCACTGACAGTTAACTTGGAATGATTAAAGCAAGCCAGGTACCTACAGGTAGCCCTTGGCACACTGCCCTCTTCTTGGGCACATCAAAGACCTCTTGGCATGTGGATAAGAGGGTTTACTAACCAAATTGCCCTGGGCTAACAATATAACTTAGTGATAGGTGCAGGAAACTGTTGGATCTAACATTTTCCCATGATCTCTTCTCATAACTTATCTCAGGGGAATCTATTTCTGTTTCTCTGTTTAATGTATTACCCAGATTCTGAAATCTTTCTAATCCTTGTTTAGTTGCCCCAGGAAAGTCTTAAGACCTTTAAATAGCCTTTTTTCGTGTGGACTTAAAAGATGCTCTAGTTCTTCTAAGTAAGATATTTTTCCTCAAATGACAGATTTTGTAATACATTATTATATTTTATGTTTCTGTTTCACATGGTGTGAACTCCTACAACAGTATATTCTGCTGAAATCCCTTGCAAAGATGTAGTATTTCCAGTACAGGGACTACATGCATTTATGAGCTAGCCTGAGAATCTAGATACTTCTAGTAAGGCTTCTAGTTGTACTTACTTTCACATACTCAATGTTATATAACACTGGTTTTATACAAAACAAATATTCTAAGTTTCATCCATCTAGTTTATAGGTAAAGTTTTAGAACATTGCCCATTTATAAATTGGAAACTTTGTGAATTTCATTATCAGTCTAACATCACTACAGTTTTAGGCTAGTGGATTTGTTTTAAACATTTCAGATATTTATAATCTCAGAACAAATTGTGGTTGGCTTCCATAGTAACAATAATCTCTCATTTTACTTCTGCCAGAGTTGACTCTATTTGCCAAGATTTTCAAGCATGAAAAAGCTACTAAGTAGCTGCCTGGTATAATTTTTGAGCTATCTGCTCATACAGATTTAAATCCTAGTTAAAGATGCTGTCTGAACCATCCAGTTATTATCCAGCATCTCCATAGGCAGTTACTGTTCATTTGTCCCATAGGACTATTAATACACACTTTTTCATTATTGATGGCATGTGGGTAACCATTAGGGAAATAGATAATTCATTCTGTGGTGTCTCCAACACCTTGATAGCAGCTATTTGTGTTTCCATTTCAGCTGTGCAGCTGGCATGGTTTCTTAACTTCCCAATGCTTAACAGAAGAGGAGAGAGATTGATATAAGAATACTGAATCTGAGTTCCACATTACTTCACATGTGATTGGAAGCTGTGATTCACCCAGAGTAATTAATGAGCCCATGGGGTGTGGGGTCCTCATTCTCTGCTGGGATGTGGATGTCGGCATTGACACACGAACTCCCTTTCCACTTTTTACAGTCTTCACTTGAACCTGCACATTTTTTTTAAATGTATGAACAGTTTTTATTTTTAAACAAGCTGTTCCCAAAATTATCAATCTAGGATGGACTTAAAGATCTTTAAAGAAATAATAGTGCCTTTATGACTTAGGACTTTTTAATTGTATTTGAAATTGTTTAGCCTTTTGCCAAATTGTTTTTCGGAAATTCATTGTAATTCACTATGGGTAATGCACTTTTTTGTATTTTTAAAAGACCATTTGCTGGTGGCAGAATCCGTAACTCGATATACAATATGCAAAACAATGTACACTTTTTTTTTTTTTTGAGACATAGTCTCACTGTGTCACCCAGGTTGGAGTGCAGTGGCACGATCTCAGCTCCCTGCAACCTCGACTCCTGGGTTCAAGTGATTCTCATGCCTCAGTCTCCCTAGTAGCTGGGATTACAGGCACGCGCCACCATGCCCGGCTAATTTTTTGTAATTTTTAGTAGAGACGGTGTTTTACCATGTTGCCCGGACTAGTCTCAAACTCCTGAGCTCAGGCAATCCACCTGTCTTGGCTTCCTAAAGCGCTAGGATTACACGCATGAGCCACCATGCCTGGCCCAATGTACACTTTTTAATTAAAAATAATTAGAATAACTAGAATTTAATTTGTAGGGCAGTTCTGACCTTCATTAAAATACAATTTTTATTGTAAAATGTTATCTATGATACAATAGATTTGTCTAATTTATTCTCCTACTAACCTTACGGCAATAATTACAATGTATTTACTCCTATACTTTTGAGTTTCAGTTCTTGATATATATAAGTTTTTATTTATTTTTAGTTTTTGGAGAAAATATTACTGGGTAAAAACCTTAAATATATTTATATATGTTATAATGCAGAAAGGATTTAAAAAAATGTAATATATCTTTCTTAATTTGAAGAAGGCAAGTCTCTGGGGCATAAGGCAATACAGTTATATGGTTAAATAGTATGGAACCGTGGTTCTCAAGCTTTTTGGTCTCAGACCGTTTACATTTTAGAAATGTAAAGATCCCAAAGATTTTTTTGTATGTATGTGGATTATATAGATATTTATTGTGTTAGAAATTAAAACTGGAAGTTTATAAAGTGTATAAATTAAAATTGGAAAACTGGAAGTTTATAAAGTGTATAAATTAAAATTGGAAAACTGGAAGTTTTAATTCATTTAAAAATAGCAGTAGTAAGTTCATTACATACTCACATAAATAAAATTTTATATAAAACAATTGTAATTACAAAAAATAGAGGTGTGGGATTATATTTTTGTAATTATCTTTAATGTCTGCCTCATAGAAGACAGGCAGATTATTAGGCTCTTAAAGTGAAACATGAAGAAAGTCAGGCTCACACAAATTTGTAGTTGTAAAGGGAAGAGTATTGTAGTAGAGAATTGTGGGTACTCGTTGGTACGACTCCATCACCCAACAGGAGGCACTTCCTTAAAGGTCAGTTATATTGTGCCATCTGAAACCTACATCAGAGAAATTGTTGTCTCTTGTTACATCAAAATCTGTTGGTTTGTAGTGAATTTTTTACTCACGTTTGCTTGATTTTGTGACACCATTCATTGGTCATTTGGAATATATTGGTTTATGGAGTTATGCAGATTTTTCCAAATGGTGACATGTTTAATATTAATAGATTACCACAGTGCCATCAAAAAGGTCCCTTAAGTGTCTAGGAGCTATTGGCAACCTCATTCATTTTCTAGTAAATATCTGCCAAACCTCTAAGTCTGAACAACCATAGTTTGTCAGTTGTCTTTTTAAATAAAAATGTTGTTACCTGAACAAAGCAGCTAGTTCAGCTCACAATTCAAATGTATTTCAATACATAGCACAAAATGCTTTATGTGCACTTCCAGTGTTGTCACACATTTGTCACACAATGTGTTAAAAAGATGTGTACTTGTTAGTTGAGATAAAATAATTTTTACTGCTTCTTCTTTGACATTCTTAAGTAAAACTGGATTATTCCCTCATTTACCGTGAGCTCATGGTGATAAAGAATACAGTGACTCCAACACGTGAGGCCACTACCTTGATTCTTACAAAGGCACCAGCAATTTTACCCATCATTGCTTATGCATCATTAGTGCAAGTGTCAAACAGTGAAAAAAGTAAATGATATTTTAGTATTATTATGAGCATAATACTGATCTTGTGGACCCCATTAGAGGGTCTTGGGGACCCTCAGGTTTCTGACCACCTTTTGAGAACCACTGGCATAGAAAGATCTCAGATTTAATAGAGCCCTCAAAGTTCATCCAGTTTAACAGCTCTAAATTCCTCTATGCTATCCTTGCCAAGTATTTATTTAGATTATGCTGAATACTTGCAGTTTCTGTGAATAATCGTGCTAAATGAATAAAAATAAGTGTCACAGACAGCTGTTTGATGGAAAGTAATAGAGATTCTTAATCCTGGAGTTATGTTTTGTCCTGCTTTTAAAACATTGCATAAGTTTCCACTTGGTTTCTCTAAGTAATCAACCTTGATGAAATCCAGAGACTACTAAAATTATGTTGTGAAGGAAAGATACAGCTAAGGTTTTGATTTTCCTTTGCTATATGTAATGACAATTGTCATCTTTCTTTGATTTTTCTTTGTCTGCTCTATAATTAAATGAACTTACGTTAGGTATGTAGTTATTTATATCCATATCTGTCTCCCGAGTACCTCAAGAGTTGCTTGAACGTTACTGAGTAGATCACAAGCTACTTGAGAGCAAGGACTGTATAGTATACTAGGATGCATTGGAATCTGATGACCATCTCTTACGGAAGAGGCTGGGAAATCAACTGTAGGCCTGCTTCAGTGGTCCACGCTGGGTTTCACAGCTCCCCTGGGAGCCTGCAGTGATATTCTGAGGACTCATACCATTCGTAGTGGGCATGACTTCAATATTGATCTCTTTTTCTAAAGCATCAGTTTATAAAATAGTTATTTAAATGAAATATTTTTCCTTAAAAATGGAACCATTCGTGATCCTATATGAACACAGGAGATGATTAGTAGACATCAGAGAAGCATGGCCATCACTCATGCCCTTAGCTGACTTACCATCCAGCTAACACTGTTAGCCAGCAAGGTGGTCTGAGAGCTTTACAGTTCTAGACGGCTCTTATTTTTAGTCTCAAATTGTTTATTGTATACCCGTCATGGACTTAAATTTAGAGACAGTAAGTAGGGAGCACTAGAGGTGACTACAACCAGCCAATTAGGACCATAAATCCTCAAGATGAGCACCATATATTAAATTGCATCAGATGATCAAACTACTTATGTAGTATAGCAGGATGTCACTAATACTGCAAAACCATTCTTGTAAAAGGAAAACAATCATATCTAATTTATACAGTACATGATAATAAAGATTAGTTATGCTTTCAGTAGATTATTTTTTGAGACACACTCACTAATATCAATGTGACACCTCAAACCACTTCATTTAGAAAGCACAAAAGTTGTTTCTAAGGTTGATTTTTTTTTCATTCAAATACAAGACTGGTACAGGTTATAATAAACTGTAATACTTAAATCTTAGCTACATATCCTGGGTTTTTAAAAAATGTATTTGTTTACACATCATGCTTTTTTTGTGTATAATTAGCATAAAGTCTGCAAAACGTTGGGAAGGGAGCAGGATGTGTTTAGTTTTGGATAAGTTTGAAATATCAGTGAAGCATCAGGTACGTGAGGAACAGGTAAATTGAGATTGTAGATGAAGAGTAGACTTGTAGATTGGGAATAATTCATACACAGGTGTGATAATTGGAGCCATGAAAAGGAATGAAATCACTGAGGGAAAGAACATAGTATCCTAAATGAGTGGAGAAGACCTTGGAAAATGCCTGCTTTTCGGGGTATAGGGCAGAGAGAAACAGCAATTTGAGTGTAGAGGAGAAGCCAATAGCAGATGACACTTTGGGGGTCTGGTGTTGCAGTGTGGATTGAGAAAAATCCACTAGATTTATTTTAAAGTGAAGTTTACATTGTATGAGAGATCATTATGAGAAGTCAGTCAGCAAGTTCTCAGATAGTAAATGGTTAAGGAGTTACTGGCGGTGGTTAAAACCACAGATTGGTGGGTTTTAGAAATGTCTGACATGTAATACCAGATCTGATAACATAGCAAACAGAAAATTGAGAAATGGGACTGTCAGGTATTCATTTAAGATGTAGACATAAGGTTAAAAATACATACAATAATGATGTAAAAGAAGACTGGAAGATGAGAAGTTATTGATTATCTACATTTCTATATTCTACATGGAACAGGTCTAATTGGCTCTCCTACTCAGCAGCCCTTCTAGTTGGTATAAGTTTGAGTGTATTAAATGCATCCTTTTTCCTGATTTTTATGATGCCAAGATGTTATCAGCAAATGGATTTCACATGCAGAAGAACCCAACAAATAATACATCTCCTCTGAAGACACGTTTTATAGGTGTTTTACCACATGGGACATACTTGATTGCTTCACTCATTCTTCATGACTAGTAGCAGTGGTCTTGGGGTCAATTGGACATTGATACTCACAAGACCCAGTATACCATAGTGGACCGTACTGTGCATCAGCCTTTCTGCTTTTTTGAAAACCCAACATGTCAGTGTTAGGTATATTGTTCCAGATGATAGCTCAGGTCTAGTGGAAAATGACACAAGGGTGGGAGTGAGCACCACCCTGGCTTAGCTGCTTCATGCTCCACAGGAAACAGTGTCTTTTTGTGACAGCATGTGAGTATAGCATCCAGGACTAAGCAAATGACAAGCCAATTACAGGTCGTATTCAATTCAGAAAAGCCCCTGTTTATACTTCCCACTGGGCATGTTTAGCCCTGCTCACTGTCCTCTCAGTCCAGATGTAGCTCATCAGTAGGAGCCATTTTTACTACACTGTTGCTTAGAAACACAGCTGATATCCCACCTTTATCAGGTTTCCAGGGAAACAGTGCAGGAAGGTTAAGGAGAGGTCATTTTTTATCTGAAGAGGGAGAAAGGTTTTGTTAACCGTTTACTCACACTAATTTATTGACAAAATCAATAGAAAACATAATGCTGGCTGTAGGATCCATGCAGTCGACTTTATTAGAGGCAGTGTTTGTTTCTATTGACTGTCATAACATCTGGGTATGAAGTTGTTTTTACATCTCAGCAGATGGTGCATGGTAATTATGCTTTGCTGATACTTTCAGCAAATTCAGTAAATTAAAAATCCTTCCTGATATTGTTCACTTGTCCTGGTTCCTTTAAGATCACCTTTGAGATGGAAATATATATCATACAGACTAGGGAACAGAGATTATTAGCAAGTGGGGTTAGGTAAAAATAAGGCAATCCGTGAGTGGAGTTCTTACTCTAAACCAGCAATATAAGAATATGTTAAGGAGAAAACACACCCATACCCACGCACTCCGCCACCCCAGAGCAATTTTTATTAACCTGTTCTTAAAAATGACTTCCATTTGATATTACTCAAGATGAATGGACTTTTATTCCGACTTCCATAGTGCAACAACTGATTGTGAGATTATGATTGTTTATCACAAAACAGTTTAGTTAATGTGACTTTTCAGGAATGTTTTGTGGAAAACGGTAAGTTTATCCCTTATTATTCCTAGCCAGTAATAGACCCAAACAAATACGCCCATTTTTCTGATGTTGTTTTAAACATATATGCCCACTGCTCAGAATACTTTTTTTAAAATAAATTGAATAATTCGTATATGTAATTAGATTATTTTAAAAATGTTTTAGTCGTAAGTATATATAAAGTGCTGTACTAGATATTAGAGATGCAATAGTGAAAAAGAGATATACAATTCCTAGTCTTATAAATTTTAATTCAGTATTTGCTAAAATTAGATGTTAGAGGCTACTAAAACGAAAATAACTTTTCAAAGTTCATTAGTTGAAAATTTAACTATGTAAATTGATATAAATGTAAATATAAGATTCAAATTTTAAAATATGCCTTATTCGTGTATTTGGAGCTATTTTATCTGGTTTTATATAATTTTTTAAGTAAGAACTAATTTGAGCAGAACACAGTAAGAAAGTAGTAGAGCCAGAAATACCAGTCACAAAAGCAAATAAAGTTAACATGTCTGTAACATTTATGAATGATCTCATTATTAATCTTACTTGATACTAATGACCAGCCTCATAGGTAAGCATTTTAAAAACTCATTCTACTGAAAAGGCAATTGAGACTGGAAATAAGTGATAAATAGTTATTCAGGGAGGATGTGATACTGTAATAAAACTTGCTACCACTGGGTGGCAGTGTTGATTTCTGGGAAATCAGAAAAATGTTGGTTTATGCTCAAAAAGGTTCAGTTCATTTGAATAATAATTCAAATGTAAAAGTCTATGTTTAGTGAAATAATAGAAAAAAATCAAATTTGTTAAATCATCCAACTCATTATTTGTATAATCAATCTATAACCTCTTTATAGCAGTTTGGTCAGTGGGAAAGAAGGAAATGTAGTATTTTTAAAAGTTCAGTAAATAAGCATAAGTAGACGAATAGTACATAAGAAAATTTGTAACATATCTCAATTCTTTTGCCTTTTTAAGACAACATGTATAAACCTTTTGATAACAAAAAATTCTCTTTTAATAGTTTTTACTTTCTTTATATCAGTTAACATATTTTAGTAATCTTTTTAAGAATTGTTCTCCAGTGAGTCATTTTACTTTATTTATCTCTGTTTCTCAGAGGATTTCTGTGTATTTGTTTCACACTGAACCCTCAAGTATTTATTGCCTTATCAATACATTTTAGCAATCTATTGACCCCAGGACGTGAAACTTCATTAAAGAGTATATAAAAGATACTGCCGATCTCATGACACTAGCAATATGATATTTATTTTTAATTACATATGAAAGATAAATCATTAATAATTTTCTTAAAACTAATACAATATTAGAATCTAGTGTTTAAGCAAATTATTTAAGTTTAGTATTAAAACTTCGAGGTAGAGGGGGGATACTTTTATTCTTTCTTTCCCTAGTTGTTTTTTTTTGTTTTATTTTGTTTTGCCCAACTCCTTACCCTAGTTTCTTTAGTTTTTGCTACCGTATGTGAAAAAAATTGACAAAGTATATTAGATTGGTCTTGCTATGTTGGAATTTCTGAACTGCCTTTTCAGTACAGTTTGCCCTGGACATACGTAACCTAACAGCAGATGTACCACAATCTCTAGAATCATGCTTGTTTGCCTCCCAGCTCTTCTACATTGAGAAGCAGATGATAGCCAGTCTACTTATGCCCCTGAGCTTCTGTTTTCTCATTAAAAAAAAAAAATGACACTATCGCATCAACTTTTTTTGGGTCAAATCCGTGAGAACACGTATATGAAGAATAAGCACTTGTTAAAAATGAGTTAATTTGAAGAATATTAGTGTTTCCTAAATATGACAGTGGAGGGATATGGTAGAAAGGAAACTGTTGAGAACAGAAAGGACAAGGGAAATTATAGCAGCTACTTTTGTGGATGGACTGTACCTATTACCATATTTAACAATTACATGTGGCCTAGTACCATAGTTTATTATATTGTGGATTTTTAAAAGAATAGATAGACGTTGAATTATTGATATTCTCCCTCTCTCTCTCTAGGATACTTACAGAGAGCTACAATGGAAAAGTCCTGGATGCTGTGGAACTTTGTTGAAAGATGGCTAATAGCCTTGGCTTCATGGTCTTGGGCTCTCTGCCGTATTTCTCTTTTACCTTTAATAGTGACTTTTCATCTGTATGGAGGCATTATCTTACTTTTGTTAATATTCATATCAATAGCAGGTATTCTGTATAAATTCCAGGATGTATTGCTTTATTTTCCAGAACAGCCATCCTCTTCACGTCTTTATGTTCCCATGCCCACTGGCATTCCACATGAAAACATTTTCATCAGAACCAAAGATGGAATACGTCTGAATCTTATTTTGATACGATACACTGGAGACAATTCACCCTATTCCCCAACTATAATTTATTTTCATGGGAATGCAGGCAACATAGGTCACAGGTTGCCAAATGCATTACTTATGTTGGTTAACCTCAAAGTTAACCTTTTGCTGGTTGATTATCGAGGATATGGAAAAAGTGAAGGAGAAGCAAGTGAAGAAGGACTCTACTTAGATTCTGAAGCTGTGTTAGACTACGTGATGACTAGACCTGACCTTGATAAAACAAAAATTTTTCTTTTTGGCCGTTCCTTGGGTGGAGCAGTGGCTATTCATTTGGCTTCTGAAAATTCACATAGGATTTCAGCCATTATGGTGGAGAACACATTTTTAAGCATACCACATATGGCCAGCACTTTATTTTCATTCTTTCCGATGCGTTACCTTCCTTTATGGTGCTACAAAAATAAATTTTTGTCCTACAGAAAAATCTCTCAGTGTAGAATGCCTTCACTTTTCATCTCTGGACTCTCAGATCAATTAATTCCACCAGTAATGATGAAACAACTTTATGAACTCTCCCCATCTCGGACTAAGAGATTAGCCATTTTTCCAGATGGGACTCACAATGACACATGGCAGTGCCAAGGCTATTTCACTGCACTTGAACAGTTCATCAAAGAAGTCGTAAAGAGCCATTCTCCTGAAGAAATGGCAAAAACTTCATCTAATGTAACAATTATATAATGTTTCCCTTTTTGATTATTGCATTGTATTTTAATTTGTGCAGAATGATAAAGAATGTTCCTTTTAGAAGTGTGTTATGTCTGTACCTGTCTGAAGAGTGACATTAAACTTTGAAAGGACTTCACTGCTCCTTTACGATATTCCAAATAGTTTTTTACATTGGAAAAACTAATTCTTGGGATTCTTTCATACATTTTCATCAAAACTTTCAGTGTGATTATGTATTCATATCTTCAGTTTAATATGTCAGTATAATAGATATTGTTCAAAAGTTTCTTGTTGCTAAAGTGGTGTAATCTGTTACACAGATGAATAGCTAGATGTGGAAAGAGATATGTAAACAAGAAACCTTTGGGTATTGTTTCTTAAGTAAATATTGGGACAATCATGGTAAGCAAACTTAGTTCTGTAACTGCATTTTTCACCTTAAAAGTTAAATGAAATGCATGATGGTATTTTATTCCTTGAATTATGCAATGCAACATTTTACATGTAAATAGCACTGGTCATATACTGATGTATATGGTTATCTGGGTTATATCTATTTTTATGTAAACTCTATTTTGTTTTTGGCAAGAAGTGAAATTGAGACTTATGTGCAGGTTGCCATTGAATTTTGCTCTGGTGAATGCTGAGATCCAGCTTTTTCTTACAAATAAATGGGACCCTGTTTTCCAATACAAATGTACCGTGTTTTTGTTAGGTACAGTCTGGATCATGGCATGTAGAAATAGAAATTTAGAATTTTACTGCAGCTTTGATGTGCATATTTGAACTTTTTAACATTTGTAACTTTGGTGGCAAAGAGAATTTTAGCTTCTATCGATTTTGTAAGTCTTCAGCTGAACCACTAATAGCAGTCATAGTGAAGATTAGCACTACTTAGAATTAAATTAGGAAGTCTTTTATCATTGCAGGATTGTACATACTACTTTATAAAAATTCTCACCTTTGATTTTAAATCCCAGTACCTAGTTATATCTAACCTATCAAAGGCAAGATATCATTTATTGGACTTCTTGAAAATAAAAGTTACAAAATCCAACAACAACAACAACAAAACAATGTTCTTGGTTTTAATGTTCCAGTTGCTGTGAAATAGAACTCCTACAATCAAAAGACAGTTTTAGGAAGTCTTATTTATTGATTTTAAAAGTTTTACATGTAGGAGTGTGGGAATGAAGGAATTCTGGAGCTTTTTGACACAAAACCTATTACCACATTTAGCAGTTAAATGGCTATAGGTGGGAAGTAGGATTTAGATGTATAGAAAAGTAAGAAAATCTTACTTAGAAAAAAGCCCCTTGAAACTTGCAGGATTTACTTAATAAAAATACACGCTATGAGTCATAATTGTGCCAAGTTGTTTCATGCAGTCCTCAAAAATTAGATGTAATTGAGCTTTGTGTAATATTATGTCAGCTTTAACATATAATATTTTGAATATTTTAGCTATATTTAGTGGCTTTCTGCAAGCAACTAGAACAGAGAAGTAATGGGTCAATAATCTTGACCTTAATTTAAAACTTTCAATGGAGATAGGGCTAGAAATACTTTTGCCAAATAGCATTCTTATTCACTTTATGCCGGTATTTAGAAAAAATAAATTATAGCAAGTATGATTTCTAAGAATGTTTTTCTATAAATTACTAATTGTAAAAAGTCTTGCTTTTTAAAACAAGTTGGTAATGCATATCATGGAAGGCATATTTTGTATGTATAAATTCACCACAATTAAAGATTATTCTTGTCAGTCCTTGCTATGTAGAATGACTATTCTAAATATTAATGTATTAAAAAGAAAATACAACAAAATGTATATTTAGACACGAGCTTACATGGCATACCTTATATTTGTATCATTCTTTAAAGTTTACAAAAAAAAACCTTATGTTTTTATGTAATCAGTCATTACACTAGGGAGAAATTTATCAGCTTTAGTTCTAAATATGCTCATGAGGTATAAAAGCTATTTCTTCATCAGTATTTTGCTTTTATGCTGCTTTTTCTTTTTGATACTCCAGGTTTATAAACTATCTTTTAAAATTTTAAGCCAGGACTTCAAAAATTGTAGAGTACTTGTTTGGCGTTCCCTACCTTCATTCTCTTAGGGTTAAGGAGCCTTTCTTTCTGCAGCTAAGGGCAGAGGCTGTGCCTAGGGCTATACCACCACTAGCATCTGTATTTGAGACTGTTTCCTTAGATGGGTAAGAGGTGGAAAACAAACTTAGTATCAGGGGTCCATGAAGCCCATGGCATCATTTTTGAAAATATTTCTAGTTTTGTAGCCAAAGCAATTGGTTTTAGTAAAATGAGACTTCTTCAGGAGTCACTCCTTTACTGTGGACCCATTGCTTAGTGGGAATGGAAGTATATGTATCTATCTTGTGTATTAACTTCTGACTTATTTATACAAGAGCAGCTATAGGAGTTTACAAAAGAACTTTAAGTTATTAAGTTACTATAAATTTGGGGATCCTAGAGTGATCTTAAATATGGCAAGATACAGCTCATTTAGAATAAAATCTCACATCCATTATTTTAAAGGGAATGATTGGGGGGAAAAACTGGTGAAAAAGAAATATAAAAAGGACCCTAAAAAGAATTCTGCAAAATAAGAGAAGAAATAATTTGTGACAGGTAATAGAATACTAGTAGGATAGAAACAACTAGAAAGGAAAGTGTGACACAGTTTTTAAATTTAGATGTAGAAAATAATGAATTAATGAGATTGGTGAAAGGAAATCATGCAAAACATTTGAATGCAAAGCATTTCTAACAAAAAGTGACTGGAGCACTTGCCATTGCAACAACCCTGTTTTTGCAATTAGGTTTTTGACTGTTAAAATGGATATTTTCATAAAAATGGTGTTCTGAATTTTGCTACAGGGCTGCTTAAATTTATGATTACCTGTAGACACTTGATATTTACATAGATTACAGCTTTGGTAATATGTCACTGGAGTAATTACGCTGTAATACCTGTTGAGAATTCATACCATCTGATGCTTATATATTAATTTCTTATGTTTGTAAGTTTGGCTTTGTGGGAATAGGTGTGGAGAAATTAAAGAGTGAAGGCCATATTTCATTTTTTATAAATTATCTTTCAAGCTCAGATAGCTTAAGAGCAGTTTATATTAAGGAGACCCTTTTCTCCTTGAGGATAGGGATAGGTAAGGTAAACTTGTAAAAAGGATGTCACAGAAGTCACTTTTTAATTAAGTCATGATTGAGATACTGAACTCTTCCACTCATTCTTCTTTCCCATTTTCCTATTATGTTTGATAATTATATGTATTTTTAAAAACTGTGAGAGGAAAAATTAGTCATAACCCTTTTGGGTTATCCACTTAAATTTAGGTATTTTCATATTACTCAGGTAAAGATGGAAATGACAGAGCACAGACATTTATTTTTTAAATTGATAGGGTAGAAAATGAAATGTACTTCTGTTTATTCTTAATACTATATATATATATACACACATAGTTTTAGCAAATTGGAAATAATATATTCATTTGTATGGCAAGATAAATGCAGTCATCTTAATACTAGTCTATACATTTTTGCCAAATGGCGCAAATATACCTCCATTTATATTTTGTATCTTAAAATGTAGTTTAAAAATAGGACCATGTATGAGACACTTTTTTACAAAAAGTGCCGTATATACATATGTAACAGGTGAGTGTGTGTTTAACATAATTTATAATTATTTCTGTCAGTACAGCGTATATGGAAAATTCAAGTTGTTTTTAACATATTCAAGTATGTTCAGTATAAAATAAGTTAATCCCATTTCATAATGTAAATCATATTTTTGTTATTTGCCATATTTTATTTGAAGTGATAAAATTTTATAACTCAAATTTGAATGTCATAGTACATTGTGTGCTAACCATGGCAAGCAAACATTTACATTTGTTTTTTACAATAAATTTCTTTTAAAATATACTTTCTATTTTTCTGTACTGACATATGCAATAAATTGGTACATTAAAAATTTGATTAATGTCTTCAGATAGTTTGTATTCAGTCTTTTTTTAAAAATTGTTAATCTAGAATTTTATGGTAGGACATTAAAATTTCTTCAATGGTTACGTAAAATTCCTGAATTTGCACTGAAATTAATGAATTTTATTCTAGTAATGGTGTGGATAAAAAATAGAAGTTAGATTTATATTTCCTTCCCCGGAGAGTATTATCCTCTTACATATATTTAATTTAGGCTAATATTAAAACTATACATAAACCACTGGTGAATGACTAATCCCTAATGCATTTCTTTAGTTAATTGAATCTAGGAATGAATACATTTTAACTTCATAATTATGTTGCCTTCAGATTTCATAAAATGCTTTTTTTTAAAAATTCTGCTTTTCCCCCCCTCTTGTTTGTATTTTAGTTAATGGTTTTTAATGATCAAAAAATGACCTGATACTAACTCAGCCTTTAGGGGCCTATACCTTGCTTTTCCTAACAAGAAATGTGCATGCTTGAATATGTCAGAAGGAGTTGGATCATAGGAAGTGTAAGATGAATCTTAAATGGTCCCCTGAAAGGGAAGATGAAGAATTCACGTATTGGAGCCCATCTTTGTATGGGTAGATCTAGTGGGAGCTAGGGTCTCTCATGTACTACCCTGAAAGATAGCCAACTTGAATCCCAGGGTGAAGTCATTTTTAGATTACTATTTCTTAAATTTGAAAGATAAGTTTTTTTCACATTCCCATTTCACTCTCCAACTCTTTCATTACATTCTGTTACATACTAAAAAGCATGAACAATTAGATCTGGCTAGAGACTATAACTCCTATCTTACTAAGGGGAGAGGAAGGTAAAGAAATTTTTTGAGTATTTTCAAATATAAGGCCCAGGTGTTGAATGTGTTAATGTCATTGAATCCTCACAACAAACCTTAGAGTGATTTGTAGTCCCATTTTGTAAGAAATGGCTCGGAGTGGTTCAGTAACATGCTCAAGGTTACCTAGAGTGAACCAAGATGTCAATCCAGGTCTCTAATTCTAAATCGAGGACAGCTATTCATTTGCTAATTTACCCAAACAATTTGAAAATTTTGTTCATGTTGGAATAGATTAGAAATATTGAAATGGGTTACAAGTTGGTCAGTTATTTAGGAATCCAAAAGAATTGGCTGTGAATTGAAATAAGTATTATACAGTAAAGTACATGTTTTCAAAGTCATTAAATGTGTGTTTCTATAGGAAAATCTAGATAAGAGTTATCCTCTCAAAAAATCTTGGAGTTGTCTTTTTGTTCCTGATATTTTGAAACACATCTTGCTGTTTTTCCAATAAGATTTATTTTCCCAACATTTCCACTACTACCATACTAGTCCCTGACATTATTTCATAGTAGTCAACATTTTTATTGGGTGATTTTTGTGTTCAAAGTATTGTTCTGACTCCTTTTTGTCGTTTATTCTTAATAACTGAATATGAACTGGATCATTGCCCCATTCTTTGTAACTTACCAGAAAAACTCCTTATCATTCCCTATCCAGTGGTTTTCAGTGGCTGCATTTCTCAGTAGATCAAAGTCAGAGTTCTCATTCTATGGGGTCCTTTACAAACTAAACCTTGTAAAGGGTATCCGTTCTTTCTCTTTCTTGAATCAAACTTACTCCTCTTCTGTGCATTTATTTATATCTGGTGCTTTAACCTCTAGATCCAGTGCCTCCCTCCCACCTCTCTAGGCCTCTGAGTCCCTGACCAAATTTATGGTAGCTCTACCAGTAGCTTTTTTTTTTCTTTTTCTGAACACCCATTGCATTCAAAGCATTTTGTATTTTGATACCTGATTATATTCAATTCATTTCTTTATAATATATTGTCTTTTGATCTGACAGGAATGTCATGTGATTCCTGTCTTACATGGCACCTGGCACAGTGCTGAGCATGTTGTGGTACTAGATACATTTTCTGTATAGAATGTGCACACTGATTATAAAGTTTGTCCAAACTTCCATCTTTAAGAAGAAAGGCACGAAGGCCATTACTTTAATACTTTACATTTCTTAAAAGTTTAGACCTAAAATAGCAACAAACCTGGAAGTTACACACAGCCCAAAGCAATAATTAAAGTGGAAACATTGGAAGTTACCCGTAATTACACGGGTCTGCAGAAAATAAGAGGGGCAATAATTGTGCAGGTCGTATGTTCCCTGAGGGCTCCTTCTTAAGCAGAGCAGAAGAGCCTAGTAACAGTAAGCTCAGGGAGGAGAGGAGCAAAGAGTACAGATGGTGGATGTGAAACAGAGATCAGTGGAGATCAACAAGTGTGGCAGTATCAAGTAGATCTGTTGGATAGGACAAGAAGAACCAGAAAGTCAGGTGGGCACATTAGTGGAAGGGCAAAGAAGCCCTTGTCGTGGGACATCCAGTTTGGGAGATAGTGACTGTCCCCAGTTTTGATTTCTTTCCGTAATTTTTTTTTTTTTTTTTTTTTTTTTTTTGAGACGGAGTCTTGCTCTGTGGCCCAGGCTGGAGTGCAGTGGCGGGATCTCCGCTCACTGCAAGCTCCGCCTCCCGGGTTCACACCATTCTGCCTCAGCCTTCCGAGTAGCTGGGATTACAGGCGCCCGCCACCAGGCCGGCTAATTTTTTGTATTTTTAGTAGAGACGCGGTTTCACCATGTTAGCCAGGATGGTCTCGATCTCCTGACCTCGTGATCGCCTGTCTCGGCCTCTCAAAGTGCTGGGATTACAGGCATGAGCCACCGCGCCCGGCGTCTTTTAACCCTGTACCCATGGTTCCCTTATTAAAAATTTATCATCATCATTACTTTTTAAACAAATGAAATGACACAGACAGTTGAATTAATGTGACACTGGCATTTTTCTTAGCCTTTTGTTCCAGAGCCTATTTCTTGAGGTATGAGTGAGTTCCAGGCTCCTCTATGCAAAGAGCATGCATGTCTCAAAACACAGGACAGACTGCATTAGGGAGTGTGTGGGAAGGGCAAAATCTCTGGAGACAGTAAATGCTATGGAATGACTATTTGTGCTCTCCCAAAATTCATGTGTGAGATCCTAATCCCCAAAGCAGTGGTATTAGGAGGTGGGGATTTGCGGGGCAGTGACCTTATGAGTGTGGAGGAATGAGGGCTCTCATGAAAGGAAGAGGGCTACTCCTACCTCTCTCTGCCATGTGAGGATACAAGGAGATAGCTGTCTACCAATCAGTAAGAGAGCCCTTACCAGACATCGGGTCTGCCAGCACCTTGATCTTGGACTTTCTAGCCTCCAGAAATGTGAGAAATAAATTTCTGTTTAAGCCATTTAGTCTCTGATACTTGTTACAGCAGCCCAAAGTGAGTAAGACAATAAACAATCCTAATTCTTTCTTAAAAGTGGCCCTGGAGATGAATGAGAGCTGATTTAATAGTTTTTCTTTTTATTATTATTATTATTATACTTTAAGTTTTAGGGTACATGTGCACAATGTGCAGGTTAGTTACATACGTATACATGTGCCATGCTGGTGTGCTGCACCCATCAACTCGTCATTTGGCATTAGGTACATCTCCTAATGCTATCCCTCCCCCCTCCCCCCAGCCCACAACAGTCCCCAGAGTGTGATGTTCCCCTTCCTGTGTCCATGTGTTCTCATTGTACAATTCCCACCTATGAGTGAGAATATGCGGTGTTTGGTTTTTTGTCCTTGCGATAGTTTACTGAGAATGATGATTTCCAATTTCATCCATGTCCCTACAAAGGACATGAACTCATCATTTTTTATGGCTGCATAGTATTCCATGGTGTATATGTGCCACATTTTCTTAATCCAGTCTATCATTGTTGGACATTTGGGTTGGTTCCAAGTCTTTGCTATTGTGAATAGAGCCGCAATAAACATACGTGTGCATGTGTCTTTATAGCAGCATGATTTATAGTCCTTTGGGTATATACCCAGTAATGGGATGGCTGGGTCAAATGGTATTTCTAGTTCTAGATCCCTGAGGAATCGCCACACTGACTTCCACAATGGTTGAACTAGTTTACAGTCCCACCAACAGTGTAAAAGTGTTCCTATTTCTCCACATCCTCTCCAGCACCTGTTGTTTCCTGACTTTTTAATGATTGCCATTCTAACTGGTGTGAGATGGTATCTCATTGTGGTTTTGATTTGCATTTCTCTGACGGCCAGTGATGGTGAGCATTTTTTCATGTGTTTTTTGGCTGCATAAATGTCTTCTTTTGAGAAGTGTCTGTTCATGTCCTTTGCCCACTTTTTGATGGGGTTGTTTGTTTTTTTCTTGTATATTTGTTTGAGTTCATTGTAGATTCTGGATATTAGCCGTTTGTCAGATGAGTAGGTTGCGAAAATTTTCTCCCATTTTGTAGGTTGCCTGTTCACTCTGATGGTAGTTTCTTTTGCTGTGCAGAAGCTCTTTAGTTTAATTAGATCCCATTTGTCAATTTTGGCTTTTGTTGCCATTGCTTTCGGTGTTTTAGACATGAAGTCCTTGCCCATGCCTATGTCCTGAATGGTAATGCCTAGGTTTTCTTCTAGGGTTTTTATAGTTTTAGGTCTAACATGTAAGTCTTTAATCCATCTTGAATTAATTTTTGTATAAGGTGTAAGGAAGGGATCCAGTTTCAGCTTTCTACATATGGCTAGCTAGTTTTCCCAGCACCATTTATTAAATAGGGAATCCTTTCCCCATTGCTTGTTTTTGTCAGGTTTGTCAAAGATCAGATATTTGTAGATATGCAGCATTATTTCTGAGGGCTCTGTTCTGTTCCATTGATCTATATCTCTGTTTTGGTACCAGTACCATGCTGTTTTGGTTACTGTAGCCTTGTAGTATAGTTTGAAGTGAGGTAGCATGATGCCTCCAGCTTTGTTCTTTTGGCTAAGGATTGACTTGGTGGTGCGGGCTCTTTTTTGGTTCCATATGAACTTTAAAGTAGTTTTTTCCAATTCTGTGAAGAAAGTCATTGGTAGCTTGATGGGGATGGCATTGAATCTATAAATTATCTTGGGCAGTATGGCCATTTTCACGATATTGATTCTTCCTACCCATGAGCATGGAATGTTCTTCCATTTCTTTGTATCCTCTTTTATTTCATTGAGCAGTGGTTTGTAGTTCTCCTTGAAGAGGTCCTTCACATCCCTTTTAAGTTGGATTCCTAGGTATTTTATTCTCTTTGAAGCAATTGTGAATGGGAGTTCACTCATGATTTGGCTCTCTGTTTGTCTGTTATTGGTGTATAAGAATGCTTGTGATTTTTGTACATTGATTTTGTATCCTGAGACTTTGCTGAAGTTGCTTATCAGCTTAAGGAGATTTTGGGCTGAGACAATGGGGTTTTCTAGATATACAATCATGTCATCTGCAAACAGGGATAATTTGACTTCCTCTTTTCCTAATTGAATACCCTTTATTTCCTTCTCCTGCCTGATTGCCCTGGCCAGAACTTCCAACACTATGTTGAATAGGAGTGGTAAGAGAGGGCATCCCTGTCTTGTGCCAGTTTTCCAAGGGAATGCTTCCAGTTTTTGCCCATTCCATATGATATTGGCTGTGGGTTTGTCATAGATAGCTCTTATTATTTTGAGATACGTCCCATCAATACCTAATTTATTGAGTTTTTAGCATGAAGCGTTGTTGAATTTTGTCAAAGGCCTTTTCTGCATCTATTGAGATAATCATGTGGTTTTGTCTTTTGTTCTGTTTATATGATTTAATAGTTTTTCAAGCCTGCCATCCCTCCCAGTCTATTACTGTATTTCACCATTACCTATATTTGGATATCCTGCCATTAGTCATTAACTAGTCATTAACACCTTGAGTTATAGACACACAGGCACCAAGTATAGAGTTTCACCCAATAGATTATAAATTTTGTGAAGGTGGGCACAATACTCTTTCCTCCATGGAAAGACCAATGCCTTTGACACATAGCTGACATTCAATAAACATTTAGTGAATGAAAAAATTCCTGGCATACAGAAAATATTCCACTACATAATGATATTGATGGAAATATATTAATATTTAAATACATTTGCACTCCAAAGTCACTTTCTGCAGGAGTGGAAAGCTCTAGAACTTTCAGTAGTCTCCATTTGCATCACTGTGCACCCCACAAGCTTGTAAAGGCTGCAGTATGCCGTTGGATTAATCTGGGTATTAAACTCAAGGTAATCATAAAGGTGATAACGCAGTACAAGGTGATGGTTACACTTATCATTAAAACACAAACATGTAATTAAAACAATCATGTTAATAATTGAAATGCAATCATTAAAGGTTGGTTTACGTGCCATTTTGTTTATTGGAATACAAGGTAGTTGGGGTAGGTGGCCAAAATAATGTTTTATGCTGTTTTTCACTTAAAAGAAAAACAATAGAAGGCTTTTTTGAAGGGAAGGAGAATTCAGATTTTTCCATGTGCAAATTTTACCTTATATTTGGAATATATATGTTTAATAACAATGATTTGTGTTCCATTTTATAAGGGGAGTAGCTAATCTAAAACATAAACCATTTTTGTTCTAATAGTGCAATTTATTTCCCTTATTAGAATCATTATTTATGCTTAGAGCCTCAAATTCAAGAAAACATATTAATGAATAATTCATTGCCCTCTAATTCTTATTTATGTGAGTAAAACCCGAAGAGAGAAAAGGCAAATCATGGAGAATTTTTCAGAAGAAGGTCATTTTAGCAAAATGTGCTATCTCCTACTAAGAGATGGAAAAAAATGCAAAGGAGTAGGAATACTGGAATGTGAGAAAAATATAGGCTTAGATTACAATGCAGCTCAGAAAAGAGCACACTTTTTGATATGCCTTGGGATTAAACAGTACTATAGCATTTTGTTGAATTTCCCTTTCTGCTTGAACCTCTTCTTCCTCTGGAGATATTAGTAGTCCCTCAATCCGGTCCCTCTTCTTTCTTTTTTTCTCCATTCACATTTTTTATTGTTGTTACTGTTTTTAATAATCACAAACTTACAGAAAGTTGGAAGTACAGTAAAAGAATTATTTTTAAATCATTTTGAAAATAAGTTCCTGAACTAATGCACCATCACCTGTGAATATTTCCATGTGTATTTACTAAAAATATGCTATACATTCATAATGCAACCATTGCAATCAAGAAATTAACAAATAATTTCTTGATCCCTAAGATCCCTTTCAAGTCTTGCTAGTTATCTTGATAATGTCCTTTATATTAAAAGGACTGAGTTTCAAACCACAAGTTGCATTTAGTTACGAAATCTCTTTAGTTTCTGTATTGGCTGGATAATGGCTCCAAGGTAGCTGGTTCTAATCCCTGGAATCTGTATGTTACCTTGTAAGGAAAAATATTTTGCAGATGTGACAAAATTAAGGTTCTTGACTTGGGAAGATTATCCTGGACTATCTGGGTAGGCTCTTAATCCAATCATAACTGCCATAAGAGAGAGGCAGAGGGAGATTTGACACACACAGAGAGGAGAAGGATATGTGAAGATGGAGGTGGAGACTGCAGTGATGAGATCACGAGACAAGGAAGCCGAGGAACACCAGCAGCCACAGAAACTAGAAGCAAGGAAAGACTCCTCCCCAGAAGCCTTTGGAGGGGGTGGTCCTGCTGGTGCTTAATTTCAGACTTGGGACCTCCAGAATGACCAGAGAATGAATCCCCATTGTTTTAATCTTCCATGATTGTGGTAATTTATTACGGCTTTCATAGGGAGATAATACAGATTTTGGTAGAGGAAATGGGGAAATAGCTTTGGAGTTAGTGAACAGGGCTAGAAGAATTTTGAGAAATGTACTACGAAAAATGTAGATTGCCTTAAAGAGACTGTTGGTAGCAATGTGGACATTAACTGGGCTTCTGGTATGGATTCAGAAAGAAGTGAGGGGCATGGTAGGAGTGCCTCGATCATCAGCAGCATTTTGGAGAAAGCTGAGGCCTATAGTCCATCCGGTAACATTACATGGTTCCTTTGAATATCACTGGACTCTTTCACCAAAGGTGCTGTGCTTCTTAGGTCCAATAAGAGGAAGACAAGCTGAATATTAGATTAGATTAGAATTACCTTGTAAGATGTCAACAAGTATACTTTACACAGAGGAACCCTGAAATTAAAGAGCCTGCAATCTAATCTTCACTGTTCCACATATAAAATGAGAAAGTTAAATATAGTATGTGGTGAAGGAGCCTTATATTTTCCACCTTGTTTTTGGATTGTCAAAATAGTGACGCGGTTAACAATTTAAAGTCAAGCTATATAAAACGTTTATTTTTTGCCTACAAATGTGGTTTACAATTCTATCAAATGTCACAGTTTTCTCATAAAAAGTCTCATTTTATTTAATGAGCTTGTAAATATGATTGAACTGCTATTGAAAGTGATTCTTTCTTCTGTAATTTAAGAAGTTGTGTGACCTTGGGATGATATTTCACCTTTCAGGGCCTTGTGAAAAGTGGGCGTTTGGCTCAGTTGGTTCTAGTGGCCGCATCCAGCAAGGGCTTTCTTTTCTTTTTTTTTTTTTGAGATGGAGCCTCGCCCTGTCGCCCAGGCTGGAGCGCAGTGGCGCAATCTCGGCTCACTGCAAGCTCTGCCTCCTGGGTTCATGCCATGCTCCTGCCTCAACCTCCCTAGTAGCTGGGACTACAGGCGCCTGCCACCTTGCCCAGCTAATTTTTTGTATTTCAGTAGAGACGGGGTTTCACCATGTTAGCCAGGGTGGTCTCGATCTCCTGACCTCATGATCCGCCTACCTCGGCCTCCCAAAGTGTTGGGATTACAGGCATGAGCCACCGTGCCCGGCCTAGCAAGGGCTTTCTATGATTCCGAGTATATAGAAATCAAAAGCATTTTAGATTCCCATAAGGTTGATCAAAAGTATAGGATGTCTTCTTTAAAATATATGAATTTACTTTGAATAAGAATGCTCATTGTAGTACATTATGGATAAATGCACATTCAACTTTTGTTTACCTGGTTCTTTAATCCAGTCATAAGGAAAAAAAGACAGTTTGTCAGCAGTGTTTAAATGTATGTGTCTTGGATCAATTTAAATGCTATAGATACTCCAGTTTTACAGTCATATTCTAGAGCAAAGTAAACACTTGGAAGATGGCTATGGCATGGGATAATTTCCTTTTTGTAAAAACAGTTTTTACATCAAACGGTTTTACATCAAACTGTCTCTGTTTGTCTCATCAGAGAAGTATCAAAAGAGATAGAAATTATTTTAAATAATGAACTAACTGGAAATTCTGATGTTGAAAGGCACAATCACTGAAATGAAAAATTCACTAAACAGGCTTAACAGCAGAATCAAACTGGCAGAAGTAATCAGCAAACTTGAATATCGACTTCATAAAGTTTATATAAACTTGATCAAGACTAGGCAATCTGAAACACAGAGATCAAAAGAAGAGTGAAGAAAAATGAGCAGAGCCTCAAAGAACTGCACCAACATGCACATAATGGTAGTGCCAGAAAGAGAGGAGAGAAAAGAGCAGAAAAAATATCCAAAGAAATAATGACCAAAAATTCCCCAAATTTGATAAAAAACATCAATCTATACACCCAAGATCAAGGAACTCCAAGTAGGATGAGCACAAAGTGATCCATACCTAGAAACAGCAAAGGAAAAATGCTGAAAAACAAGAGAGAAAATATTGAACGCAGCAAGAGTAGAACAACTCATCATGTATAAAGAAATCCCCAATAAGATTAACAGCTGACTAATCTTCAGAATTGATTAGAGGAAGACAGAAAGTAGTGGTATTAAATATTCAAAGTACTGAAAGAGAACTGTCAAACAACATCTTATATTCAACAAAACTTTCAGAAATGAACATGAAACAAAATATTCCTAGAAACAAGAACATAATTTTTGTGAGCAGGACCCACCTTGCGAGAAATACTAAAGGAAGTCATTCACACTGAAAGTAAGTAATCATATATGGTAATTTGAATCCACACACAAAAAAACAAAAAGCACTGGTAAAGATAATTATGTAATTAGAGAAGACAGTATACATGCATATTTATTCTCCTTTTCTTAAATTATGTAAATAACTTGCATAAAATATATATGCATAATTGTATTATTCAGTCTACAACAAATAAATATGTAATTTGATGATAAAAACAAAGGAAGTGGGTAGGAGGAAAGCTGCCATGGAATAATGAAATGACATCAGATAGTAACTTGAATCCACAGGGGAAAAAAAGTGGACCTAAAATGGTAAGTAAGAAGACTATTATAACAAACTCTATAAATATACTTGCTTTGCTTTTATCCCTAAGTCTCCTTAGTAAATATAAAAATTGTATAAGTAAAATTATAAGAATTTATTTTGGTTTTGGTTTTATAATATGCATAGATGTTTACATGTATAACAATATCATCAAAAGAGGAAAGAGGGAAGAGAGCTATGTAGAAGTTACATTTCTGTATCTCACTGGAATTAAGTTAGTATAAATTTCAAGTAGATTCTGATAAGCTATGATAAGTATGGTAAGTCTTAGAGAAATCAATAAGGAAATCACTTAAAAATATATTATGAGGCCAGTTGTGGTAGCTCCTCTAGCCCTTTGAGAGGCTAAGGCAAGATGGTGAATTGAGGCCAGGAGTTTGAGAAAAACCTGGGCAATAGCAAGTCCCCATTTTCTACAAAAATAAATAAATGAATAAAATTTGCTTGGTGAGGTGGTGTACACCTGTAGTCCAAGCTACTCAGGAGGCTGAAGCAAGAGGATGGCTTGAGCTCAGGAATTTGAGGCTGCAGTGAGCAATGATTGTGCCATTGCTCTCCAGCTTGGTCAACCCGGTTTAAAAGAAATATATATGTATATTAATATAGTAAATATAGTGAAAAAATATATACATCGTGAAAAAATTATTAAAGGAATTGAATTAAATAACGCTACACTCAAAAACATTAATGCAAAGTAAAGCAGTAAAGGAGAAATAGAGAAAATAAAAGATATGAGACATGTAGAAAACAAAAACTAAAATGGCAGACATAAATATAACTATACCAAATGATAACATTAAATGCAAATGGATTAAATAGTCCAATTTAAAGTCAGAGATCGCTGACAATCAATTAGGGTGGGCAATCGGATTCAGCAATGTACTCTCTAGAGGACATACTTTATATTGAAAGATACAAATAGGTTTAAAGTAGAATAATGGTAAATGATATAACAAATGCAAACAGTAACTATAAGAAAACTTAAGTGGCTATACTTCTATCAGACACAGTGGTAGGATGGCTGAATATTCCCCAGATGAGATGGGGAGATTATGCTGGATTATCAAGTGAGCTTCATGTAGTAACAAGAGTCATTATGAGGGGTACCAGGATGTCAAAGTGATAAGTTAGAGATACAACAACAGAAGCAAGAGATTGTAGAGATATGAGGAAGGAATTACAAACCGAGAAATGCAGGCAGTTACTAGAAGCTTAAAAAAGGCAAGTGAACTAATTCTCTCAGAGTTTGCAGGGGAACCAGCCTACCAATATCTTGAATTTAGCTCATGAAACTGATTTTTGATATCTGACTGCAGACAAGTAAGAGAAGTAAGAGAATGAATTGACATTTTAAGCCACAAAATCTTAAAAAATTTGTTATAGTACCAATATAAAATTAAGACAGGCAGGATAGATTGTAAAAATAAAATATTACCAAAGATAAGGAGGGTTATTTTATATTGATAAAGGGTCAATCCATCAGAAAGATATAACAATTGTAAACATATATACACCTAACCATAGAGCCCTATAATACACAAAAGAAAAACTGACAAAAGTGAAAGAAAAAAATAGACAATTCAACATGTCATAGACTTTAGTACTACACATTCAATAATGGATAGAACAAATCAGCAGAAGACCAACAAGAAAATATAAAACTTATGCAAACTATAAACCGAATAGACTTCACATACACAGATAAAATACACAAAAGCAGCAGAATACATATTCTTTTCAAGCAGACATGGAAGATCTTTCAGGATTCCATAGGCTAAGTTATAAAACCAATCTTAGAAAATTTAAAAGGATAGAAATAACAAAGCATATTCACCAAGCAGAATGGGCTGAAACTAGAATTCAATGACAGAAAGAAATTTGAGAAACTCGCAAATATATTGAAATTCAAGAACACACTGCTAAATAACCAGTGGGTAAAAGAAGAAATCACAAAGAGAATTAGAAAATGCTTTAAGATAAATGAAAATAAATATAAAACACACCAAAACTTAATATGCAGCTAAAAACAGGCATACAGCTTAGTGGGAAATTTATAAGTGTAAAATACTGTATTTTTTAAAAGTTCTTAAATTGATGGACCAATATTCCATCTTGAGACACTAAAAGAAGAGCAAATTGAACACAAAGCAAGCAGATTAAAAATAATAAATATTAGTGTTGAAATTAATGAAATAAAGAATAGTAAAACAATAGATAAAAATCAGTGAAACAAAAAGTTGGTTCTTTGAAAAAGACCAATAAGGTTGAAGAACCTTTTACTAGACTGATGAAACAAAAGAGAGAGAGAGAGAATAATTATGTTAATAACATCAGGAATGGAGGGGACATTGCTGCTGAAATTAAAAGATTTAAAGAAATGTAGTAGTAACGACTTATCTGTGGGAGATATGTTCCAAAATCCCAAGTGGATGCTTGAAACCACAGATAATATTGAACTCTTCATATACTATATTTTTTCCTTATTATACATACCTGTGATAGATTTATCAATTTCGCTCAGCATGAGATTAACAATAACTAATAAAAACAGAATAATTATAGAAATATACTATAACAAAAATATGCAAATGTAGTCTGTTTCTCTCTCTCAAAATATCTTATTGTACTGTACTTGCCTTTATTCTTCTTGTGATAATGCAAGATGATGAGCTGCCTACCCACTGAGAGAAAATGAGGTGAATGACTTGTGTGTTGTGGCATAGTGTTAGGCTACTACAGATCCTCTGGTAATGTTAGAAGGACCATGTGCTTTGGGTTATCTCAGATCACTGAGCCACGACAATATCAATGGTTGGATGTCAGGATGATCTGATAAGCAAGACAGCAACTAATTGACTAATGTGTGGGTATAATATGCAGCACAGGGTATGATTTATGTCCTGGGCAAGATGAAGCGGGATTGACTAGGTGTGATGACACACATTTGTAGTCCCAGCTACTGGGGAGGCTAAGGTTGGAGGATCACTTGAGTCCAATAGTTCAAGGCTGCAGTGAGTTATGATTGCACTACTGCACTCCAGTGAGACCCTGTCTCTATTAAAAAAAAAAAAAAAGTGAGGCAGGATGACATGAGATTTTATCACACTACTTAGAATGGTGTGCAATTTAAAATTTATGAATTGTTTATTTCTGGTGTTTTCTATTTAATATTTTTGGACTGCAATTTACTGCAGGTAACTGGAACTATGGAAAGTGAAATGACAAATAAGGGCAGGACTGCTGTACCATCAACAATCAACAAATTAGATAATTTAGATCAAATGGGACAAAATTTGTAGAAAGATACAAGCTCTCAAAACTGACTGAAGAAGAAATAAAAAATCGGAATAGACCTGAAACAAGTAAAGAGACTGAATAAATAATCAAAATCCATCCAACAAAGAAAATTCTAATTCCAGATCCTTCATTAGTGAATTGCTCCAAATCTTTAAAGAAGAATTAACAGCAATCCTACACAAACTCTTCCAAAAAATAAAAGATGAGTGAACATATTCCAAATTATTCTATGAGGTTAGTGTTACTCTGATACCAAAGCCAGACAAAGAAATTACAAGACAGAAAACTAAGGATCAAGCTACCCATATAAATATAGGTACAAAATCCTCATAACATACCAGCCAACTGAATCCAGCAATATATAAAAGAATCAATTGCCATGACCAAGTGGCATTTATCACAGGAATGCAAAGATGGTTTAAAATCTAAGCATTAACTAATGCAATACACCATATGTTTTACTCCACTCGGGCTCACATGACTGATTAGCTTAAAAAATAGACATTTTCTCACAGTTCTGAAAGCTAAAAGTCCATGATCAAGGTGCCAACAAATTCAGTTTCTGGTGAGGGTTCTCCTCCTGACTTGTAGTTGATCACCTTCTCACTGTATTCTCACATGGCTTTTCCTCTGTGGAGGGAGGGAGGGAGGGAGGGAGGGAGTGAGGGAGAGAGAGAGAGAGAGAGAGAGATTTCTCTTGTCTCTTCTTCTTTGAAGGACACCAGTACTATGGGTTTACAGCCCACCCTTATGCCTTCATTTAACCTTAATTACCTCCTTAAAGGCTCTATCTCCTTAAAACAAAACAAAACAAAACAAAAAACCGTTAAAAAACTAGGAATAGACAGGAACTAACTCAATATCATAATAAGCATTTAGAAAATACAGCCAACATCAGACCCAATGATGAAAGACTGGAATCTTCCCCCTAAGATCAGGAACAAGACAAGAATATATACTCTTGTCACTTCTAATTCCACATTTTACTAGAGGTTCTATTCAGGACAGTTAGGAAAGAAAATAAAATAACAAAGCATATAGACAAGAAAGGAAGAAGTAAAACTATATTAGCAGATCATATGATCTTGTACATAGAAAACCATAAAGAAATCCACTAAAAAACATTGGAACTATTATACGTATTCAATAAGGACGCAGGGTTGAAGATCAAGATGGAATATTACTTTTATTTCCATATATTGTTAAAAAATCCAATATGATGGGAAGTATTGAGGATTGATTTGTTTATGCCAAAAATGATATACTGAAATTCTAATTTCTAGAACCTATGCATGTGACCGTATATAGAACTAGGGTCTTTGAAAATATAATTAAAATGTAAGTTGAGATCCTGCTGAAGAAGGATGAGCCCTTAATTCAATATAACTGGTGTCCTTATAAATAAGAGTAGAAGAGAAATGGATACATATACACATAAAGAGCAGAACACCACATGAAGTCACATAGACACGCACACACACACACACACGATCGCCATGTGACAATCAAGGCAGACACTGGAGTTGTGCAGCTTCAAGCCCAGGAACCCCAAACATTCCCATGAATCATTTAGAAACTACCAGTGAAAGTATGGCCCTGTTTACACCTTTATTTCAGACTTCTCTCATTTAGGACTGTGAGAGAGTAAATTTCTGTGGTTTTAAGTCTCTAAGTTTTTGGTTATTTATTATGGCAGCCCTAATACAGATAAGGGAAGACTACTATACTCTCCAAAGATAGACCAATATGTTCCCCTATCAAAATCGAAGCTGGTGCTTTGTTTATTTTTCTAGAAATAGACAAGCTGATCCTAAAATTTATACATGAATGCAAGGGACCCAGAATAGCCAGAATGATCTTAGAAAAGAAGAACAAAATTAGAGATCTTATCTATGCTTATTTTAAAACCTACTGCAAAGCTACAATAATCAAGACATACAGGCATAAGAATAGACATAAATCAATGGACTAGGGTTGAAATTCTATAAACAATCATATATTTACATTCAATTGATGTTTTGGCAAGAGTTCCAGGACACTTCAATGGGGAAAGGAAAGTCTTTGCAATAAATAGTGGTAATGTTAATATTCATGCAAAAGAATGAATCTGGATTTCTACATCATGCCATCCAAAAAATTGAATCAAAATGGAGCAAAGACCTAAATTTAAGAGCTAAAATGATGAAACTCTTTGAGGATAACATAGGCATCACTTTGTGACCTTGGGTTAGACAATGGTTTCTTTGATATCATGACAAAAACGTAAGTGACAAAAACAAAACAAACAAGAAAAACAGAAATTGGGCTTGATTTAAAAATTATGCTTCAAAGGACACTATCAAAAGTGTGAAAAGACAACCTACAGTTTAGGAGAAAATTTGTGCAAATCATATATATGATAAGAGACGTGTTTGTAGAATATATAAAGGACACCTACAACTCAATAATATAAAGACAAACAAACCAATTTAAAAATGGGCCAAGGATTTGAATGCACATTATCCAAACAAGATCTACAGTTGGCCAATAAACACACAGAAGATGTACAGTGTCATCAGTCATAAGGAAATGTGAATCAAAACAATGAGATGCTATTTTTATACCTATTAGGATGGCCATAATAAAAAAAGATTAGCAAATAGCAACTGTCAGTGAAGATGTGGACAAAATTTGAACAATCATGCACTGATGGTAAAAGTGTAAAATGGAGCAGCCACTTTGGAAAACAGTTTAGCAATTCATAAAAATCTTAAAAATGCAGTTAGCGCATGACCCAGGATTTATACTCCAGGAGAAATGAAACATATGACCACACAAACCTTATACCTGAATATTCATAGCAGCATTATTTGTAATAGCAAAAAGTAGAAACAACCCAAATGTCCATTAACTGATAATAGGATAAATTAAATATGGTAGATTCATATGATGTAATGTTATTTAGCAATGGAAATGGAGTAATGATAGATGCTGCAACATGCATGACCATTCAAAACATGCCAAGTGAAGGAAGCCAGTCCCAAAAGACCCATACTGTGTGATACCAATGATTCAAAATGTCCATAATAGGTGACTCTACTGAGACAGAAAGAAGATCAGTGGTTACTTAGAACTAGGGGCATCGGGAGAAATGAGGAATGACTGTTAATAGACAAAGGTTTCTTTTTGGGGTGATGAGAATGTTCTAAAATGAACTGTTGTGATGGTTGCACAACTCTCTGAAAATACCAAATATTGAATTGTACCTTGGAAAGATTAAATAGTATTACATGTAAACTGTATCTCAATAAAGCTGTTATAATGAATGAGACCATTTAGGGATATTCTAGGTTAAAAAAAATGTTGAATTCAAATGATTGTAGTGGATCTGGAGAGTTGTAGAAAGATTCAAGATATACTTGGAATGTAACTGATTGGGAGTGGTGCAGGAAAGTATAAAATTAATACTTCTATAATTCTGCCTAGGAGAACACAAGGATTTGTGAGAAAGATGAGAAGTTGAAATCAGGTTTATGATGAATTTGAAATGCCTATAAAACAAGGTAATGAACTTTTTTATTATTTAAAATGGTCAATTCTTGTCCTCTGCTTTGGCAATTATTCCACATAATGGGTCAGAGCCCATCTCCCACTATGGGATGCCCCTCTCACAGATAAGGCCCAGGTTCCATATGTGACCTAGATTTTTTATTAACTTTCATTTCAGGTTCAGGGGTAAATGTGCAGGTTTGTTATATAGGCAAATTGCATGTCACAGGGGTTTGATTTACAGATTATTTTGCTACCCAGGTAATAAGTGTAGTACCCAATAGGTAGTTTTTTGATCCTCATCCATCTCCCTCCCTTTACCCTCAAATAGGCCCAAGCACCTGTTGTTCCCTTCTTTGTGTCCACATGTACTCAGTTTTTAGCTCCCATTTATAAGTAAGAACATGTGGTATTTGGCTTTCTCTTCCTGTTCTAGTTGACTTAGGATAATGGCCTTCAGCTCTATCCATGTTGCTACAAAGGATATCATCTCATGCTTTTTTATGACTGCATAGTATTTCATGGTGTATATGTACCACATTTTCTTTATCCAGTCTACAGTTGATGGGCATTTAGGTTGATTCCATGTTTTTGCTATTGTGAATAACATGCAGGTACATGTCTCTTTATGGTAGGATGATTTATATTTCTTTGGGTATATACTGAGTAATGGAATTGCTGGGTAGAATGGTAATTCTGCTTTGAGTTCTTTGAGAAATTGCCAAACTGTTTTCCACATTTGCTGAGCTAATTTGAATTCCCACCAGCAGTGCATAAGTGTTCTCTTTTTTCCCACAACTTCACTAGCATCTGCTATTTTTTGACTTTTTAATGATAGCCATTCTAACTAGCATGAGACGGTATCTCATTGTGGTTTTGACTTGCATTTTGCTAATGATTACTAATGTGGAGCATTTTTTCATATGCTTGTTGGCTATGTATCTGTTTTCTCTTCCAGGGTTTTTATAATTTTAGGTTGTTCATTTAAGCTTTTAATCCATCTTGAATTAATTTTGGGTTATAGTGTAAGGAAGCGGTCCAGTTTCAATATTCTGCATATGTCTAGTCAGTTATCCCAGCACCATTCATTGACTAGAGAGACCTTTTTCCCATTGATTGTTTTTGTTGACTGTCAAAAATCAGGTGATTTTAAGTGTGGGGCATTATTTCTGGCCTCTCCATTGTGTTCCATTAGTCTATGTGTCTGTTTTTGCACCAGTACCATGCTGTTTTGTTACTGTAACCTTGTACTGTAGTTTGAAGTCAGGTAATGTGATGCCTCCTGCTTTGTTCTTTTTGCTTAGGATTGCCTTGGCTATTCAGGCTTTTTTTTGGTTCCATATGAATTTTAAAATAATTTTTTTCTAATTCTGTGAACAATTTCATTGGTAATTTGATAAGAATGTCATTGAATCTGCAATTGCTTTGGGCAGTATGGCCATTTAAAAAATATTGATTCTTCCTATCCATGAGCATGGATTTTTTTTTATTTGTTTGTGTCATCTTTGATTTTTTGTGCAGTGTTTTGTATTTCTCATTGTAGAGATTTTTTTTCCTCCCTGGTTAGCTGTATTCCTAGGTATTTCTTTTTATGGGTAAAGTGAATCAGATTACATTCTCGATTTAGCTCTCAGCTTAGATGTTGTTGGTGTATAGGAATGCAATTGATTTTTTTACATTGATTTTGTATCCTGAAACTTCATGGAAGCGGTTTATGCCATCTCAGAGCTTTTGCACAGAGACTGTGGGTTTTTCTAGGTATAGAATCATATTGTCTGAAAACAGGGATAGTTTGATTTCCTCTCTTCTTATTGGATGCCTTTTTTTTTTCTTGCCTGATTGTTCTGGCCAGGACTTTCAGCACTGTATCAAATAGGAGTGGTGACAGAAAGTATCTTTGTCTTGTTCCGATTTTTAAGGAGAATGCTTCTAGGTTTTGTTCATTCAGCATAATGTTGGCTGTGGGGTCGTCATAGATGGCCCTTATTATTTGAGGTATAGTCCTTCAGTACCTAGTTTATTGAGAATTTTTAACACGAAAGGATGTTGAATTTTATCAAAAACCTTTTCTGCACCTATTGAGATAATTATATGGTTTTTGTTTTTAGTTCTTTTTATGACATTAATCATATTTACTGATTTGCATAGGCTGAACCAACATTGCATCCCAGGGAATAAAGCCTACTTGATTGTGATGAATTAGCTTTTTGATGTGCTGCTGGACATGGATTGCTAGTATTTTCTTGAAGATTTTTGCATTTATGTCATCAAGTTTTCTCTTTTCTGTTTAATTTCTATTGCCTGAAGTTTTCTGTTTTCCATCATATCTCTGCCAGATTTGGTGACAGTATGATTCTGGCCTCACAGAATGAGTTAGAGAGGAGTCTCTCCACCTCAAATTTTTGGAATACTTTCAGTAGGTATGGTTCCAGCTCTTCTTTATACATCTGATAGTATTTGGCTCTAAATCTGCCTAGTCCAGGGCTTTCCCGATTGGCAGACTTATTACTGATTCAATTTCAGAACTTGTTATTGGTACGCTCAGCGTTTCATTTATCCTGGTTCAATCATGGGAGGTGGTATATTTCCAGAAGTTTACTGATTTCTTCTAGGTTTTCTAGTTTGTGTGCATAGAGGTGTTCATAGTACACCCCGAGGGGTTTTTGTATTTCTTTGTGGTCAGTGGTAACATGTGCTTTGTCATTTCTGATTGTGTTTATTTGGTTTTTCTCTCTTTTTTCTTTATTAGTCTAGCTAATGGTCTTTCTCATTAATTCTTTCAAAGAACAAATTCCTGGATTAATTGGTCTTTTGTATTTTTTTTTCACATCTTAATTTCCTTCAGCTCTGATTTTGTTTTTTTTTATTTTTTTATTTTATTATACTTTAAGTTTTAGGGTACATGTGCACAATGTGCAGCTTTGTTACATATGTATACATGTGCCATGTTGGTGTGCTGCACCCATTAACTCGTCATTTAGCATTACGTATATCTCCTAATGCTATCCCTCCCCCATCCCCCAACCCCACAACAGTCCCTGGAGGGTGATGTTGCCCTTCCTGCGTCCATGTGTTCTCATTGTTCAACTCCCACCCATGAGTGAGAACATGTGGTGTTTGGTTTTTTTGTCCTTGCGATAGTTTGCTGAGAGTGATGGTTTCCAGCTTCATCCATGTCCCTACAAAGGACATGAACTCATCATTTTTTATGGCTGCATAGTATTCCATGGTGTATATGTGCCACATTTTCTTAATCCAGTCTATCATTGTTGGACATTTGGGTTGGTTCCAAGTCTTTGCTATTGTGAATAGTGCCGCAATGAACATATGTGTGCATGTGTCTTTATAGCAGCATGATTTATAGTCCTTTGGGTATATACCCAGTACTGGGATGGCTGGGTCAAATGATATTTCTAGTTCTAGATCCCTGAGGAATCGCCACACTGACTTCCACAATGGTTGAACTAGTTTACAGTCCCACCAACAGTGTAAGTGTTCCTATTTCTCCACATCCTTTCCAGCACCTGTTGTTTCCTGACTTTTTAATGATCACCATTCTAACTGGTGTGAGATGGTATCTCATTGTGGTTTTGATTTGCATTTCTCTGATGGCCAGTGATGATGAGCATTTTTTCATGTGTTTTTTGGCTGCATAAATGTCTTCTTTTGGGAAGTGTCTGTTCATATCCTTTGCCCACTTTTTGATGGGGTTGTTTGTTTTTTTCTTGTAAATTTGTTTGAGTTCATTGTAGATTCTGGATGTTAGCCCTTTGTCAGATGAGTAGGTTGTGAAAATTTTCTCCCATTTTGTAGGTTGCCTGTTCACTCTGATGGTAGTTTCTTTTGCTGTGCAGAAGCTCTTTAGCTTAATTAGATCCCATTTGTCCATTTTGGCTTTTGTTGCCATTGCTTTTGTGTTTTAGACGTGAAGTCCTTGCCCATGCCTGTGTCCTGAATGGTAATGCCTAGGTTTTCTTCTAGGGTTTTTATGGTTTTAGATCTAAAATGTAAGTCTTTAATCCATCTTGAATTAATTTTTGTATAAGGTGTAAGGAAGGGATCCAGTTTCAGCTTTCTACATATGGCTAGCCAGTTTTCCCAGCACCATTTATTAAATAGGGAATCCTTTCCCCATTGCTTGTTTTTGTCAGGTTTGTCAAAGATCAGATGGTTGTAGATATGCGGTGTTATTTCTGAGGGCTTTGTTCTGTTCCATTGATCTATATCTCTGTTTTGGTACCAGTACCATGCTGTTTTGGTTACTGTAGCCTTGTAGTATAGTTTGAAGTCAGTAGCGTGATGCCTCCGGCTTTGTTGTTTTGGCTTAGGATTGACTTGGCGATGCGAGCTCTTTTTTGGTTCCGTATGAACTTTAAAGTAGTTTTTTTCCAATTCTGTGAAGAAAGTCATTGGTAGCTTGATGGGGATGGCATTGAATCTATAAATTATCTTGGGCAGTATGGCCATTTTCACGATATTGATTCTTCCTACCCATGAGCATGGAATGTTCTTCCATTTCTTTGTATCCTCTTTTATTTCATTGAGCAGTGGTTTGTAGTTCTCCTTGAAGAGGTCCTTCACATCCCTTTTAAGTTGGATTCCTAGGTATTTTATTCTCTTTGAAGCAATTGTGAATGGGAGTTCACTCATGATTTGGCTCTCTGTTTGTCTGTTATTGGTGTATAAGAATGCTTGTGATTTTTGTACATTGATTTTGTATCCTGAGACTTTGCTGAAGTTGCTTATCAGCTTAAGGAAATTAAAAACACATGAAAAAATGCTCATCATCACTGGCCATCAGAGAAATGCAAATCAAAACCACAATGAGATACCATCTCACACCAGTTAGAATGGCAATCATTAAAAAGTCAGGAGACAACAGGTGCTGGAGAGGATGTGGAGAAATAGGAACACTTTTACACTGTTGGTGGGACTGTAAACTAGTTCAACCATTGTGGAAGTCAGTGTGGCGATTCCTCAGGGATCTAGAACTAGAAATACCATTTGACCCAGCCATCCCATTACTGGGTATATACCCAAAGGATTATAAATCATGCTGCTATAAAGACACATGCACACATATGTTTATTGTGGCACTACTCACAATAGCAAAGACTTGGAACCAACCCAAATGTCCAACAATGATAGACTGGATTAAGAAAATGTGGCACATATACACCATGGAATACTATGCAGCTATAAAAAATGATGAGTTCATGTCCTTTGTAGGGACATGGATGAAATTGGAAATCGTCATTCTCAGTAAACTATCGCAAGAACAAAAAACCAAACACCGCATATTCTCACTCATAGGTGGGAATTGAACAATGAGAACACATGGACACAGGAAGGGCAACATCACGCTCCAGGGACTGTTGTGGGGTTGGGGGATGGGGGAGGGATAGCATTAGGAGATATACGTAATGCTAAATGACGAGTTAATGGGTGCAGCACACCAACATGGCACATGTATACATATGTAACAAAGCTGCACATTGTGCACATATATGCTAAAACTTAAAGTATAATAATAATAAAGTTAAAAAAAAAGAAAAGATTACATCTTTTCACAAAGAATACAGAGATAAAACCAAAGAGTCAAATGACTAAATGTAGTTGAACAACTGAACCAGAACACATTTTTTTCTGAGTGCTAGTCCGGGATTCTGTGTCACACACTGCTGTCCTCTTAAGCCTTCAACAACACACAGATCCTCTTTGAGGTGCAAAATTCATGACCTGCAGAAGTTTACAAAATGTAATAGGTTCCCTTGTTTGGGACACAGTGAGAATTATAAATTCACAAGTCATTGATATTAAAGAGAAATTGCAGAGTGACTTTTAAAATAATGAAGATGGTAAATTGTATAATATATGTGTATTTTACCACATTTTTTAAAGTCAAAAAAATGCTTTTGATAAAGGATTGAAGATTAGTATTCTGAAATGCTGAATTTTCAGTAGTCACTAGTAGAGTACAGTTTATACTTATTTGATTTGACTTGTTATCCTTGGTTAATTGTTGCTAGTGTTGGTGGTTGATAGTGATAAGATTTTCACATGAATTTTACACTGCGCCACTTGTCCTGAGTGTGGAAATATCAACATTGGTCTGGATTGTGTTTAAATTTTGAAATTGTTGAAAGCTCATTATTCAATTTAAAGTATGTAAACAGCTGTTGCCATGAGATAACAGATTATGCTTTTGGTTAAAATTCTGGGAATCACCCACCAGTTTTTGTTTACTTTTTAATAACCAGAGGCTTATATTTAAAATAGACAAAAAATTAGCAAGTGCATTTTAAATTTAGTAAATTTAGAAGTAACCAACGACAAGTACAATTATGAACTCATACTGTCTCCACTACTAGACATGTTTTATGACTGTCTGAAAGTATCTAAAACAGATTTTATGAGTTTTCATATAAAATTATATTTCTGTTTTAGCAATCAGTCATGGTAATCAAACAATTTGAGGACAAGAGTCTTTATATTTGAGTAGCAGAAAAACACAAGGGAAATCTTTGATCCCTGATAGATCATTAAACAAAATAGAATTTAATTTTACTTAACATCATGTGTACACACACACACACACACACACACACACACTTTTTCTATTGTTTTTTTTTCACCATGGATACCGTGGATAAATTCTCAGTAGTGAGACTGTTGAGTTGAAGTGTAGATATGTTTTTAATATTTCTAGTATCATTAGATTGGCTTCCAAAACAACCTTATTATTTTACATTTTCAAACAAACCACCATGGCACGTGTATACCTATGTAACAAAACTGCACGCTCTGCACATATAAACCAGAACTTGAAGTGTATATATATATATATATATATACACACACACAAACACACACATACACATATATGTGTATATATATACATATATATGTGTATATATACACATTATATATAATGTGTATATATACACATATATATATGTGTATACGTATACACATATATATGTGTATATATACACATACCATAAAGCTGAAACCACTAAAAAATTATAGCATTGAAGACAAAGCTATAATATAAACACAATGATGTCCAAAAGAATTAATTCTCATCCAAAAGAATTTAAAAAGGGATAAGCCAAAACAATCCAGGTAATGAAATTAAATAAAGATAGCTAACACTGATGATTAATTATATATTGTTAGTTAAAACGTGAGCAAAAGTCATTCTTTATATAGACATATGTATATATAAAGAATGACTTTTGTATATGTATATGTATATATGTATATGTATATATGTATATGTATATGTATATGTATATATGTATATATGTATACATATATATGTATATGTATATGTATATGTATATGTATATGTATACGTATACGTATATATGTATATATGTATATATACATATATATGTATATATAAAGAATGTATATATAAAGAATGTATATATAAGAATGTATATATAAAGAATGACTTTTGTATATGTATATGTATATATAAAGAATGACTTTTGCTCACGTTTTAACTAACAATATATAATTAATCATCAGTGTTAGCTATCTTTATTTAATTTCATTACCTGGATTATTTTGGCTTATTCCTTTTTAAATTCTTTTGGATGAGAATTAATTCTTTTGGACATCATTGTGTTTATATTATAGCTTTGTTTTCAATGCTATAATTTTTTAGTGAGTACTGCTCTGGCTCATATGTTTGGTATAAGTTGTTTTCCCTTTTGTGATTTTCTAGGTAATTTCTAACCTCAGTTTCGCATACTTCTTTGACACAAACTTGACCTATGAATGTATTTTTACATTTTCAAGTAAGCAACTCTTTGATCACCTTTTTGTAATGATTTCTATTTTTATGAGATTATAATCAATGAATGGGATATATCACTTAGGTATTACTAAGTAATAAACCACCCTACTTTAGTGCCCTGTAACAGCTCCCCTTTATTATTTTTGTAATTCTGTGAGTTTTTCAGGTGGCTCTTGTGCCAGCTCCACCTGAGTTCATGTGTGTGGCCGCATGCCTCTGACAGCCAGGCTGGCTGGGGGTTCAAGATAGCCTCACCCACACATTTGGCAGTAAGTGCTGGCAGGTGGTTCAGGCACTTTAGTGGTTTTCAATGTATCTTCTCATCCTCCAGTAAGCTAGACTGACTTTCTTGCATGCGGGTCTCAGGGAGGCAGTCCTGTGTGTTCTACTGGTCAAAGCAAGCAATTCACAAGGTCAGTTCAGATTTAGGGGATAAGGAGACAGACCAACCTTATTATCAGTCACATTGCAAACAGGCATGCCACCAGAGAGTAGTTCTTCCAGTCTTTGCAAACTATCCGTCATGGTAGCCTGTAAAAGACTACTTTTTAAAGTTGTCCATTTTGATTAAAATTTTAAGTATCACTTGTGCATTTGGGGAAAAAGTTATCTTTTTGATAGACATAATTTATTATCTCCCTCTCATTTTTTAATATCTTTGCACTAAGTGTTATAATGTTAAATAATATAGCATCAATAACCATAAAGCTGAAACCACAAGAAAAACACCTGGAAATACACAGGAAAAAACATTAGATATGGGAAATTTTACTCATCTCTATTATTCTATGACATCATATAAACAAAAATGCAGATATTGTAGACTAAAATAATAAAATTATTAAGGATATCCCTTCTTTTCAAGTAGCTATGTTACATTCACACAAATGACAATACTATTAATCCCTAAAGAAACTCTGATTAAGCTTTATAAGTAGAAATTGTGAGAGAAAATTATCTGAATGCAATACGATAAAATAGAAGTTAGTGAGAAAAATGAAGAAAATTTCTGGAAATTAAAACAAATTAACAAATATCTCTTAAATAACTTTTAAGTCAAATTGGAAAGCCAAACAAAATTTTTAGATTAATTTATATTATTAATCGTTTCTAGAAAATAATAAGCACAATATATAAAAAACACAATAATAATAAAACACAATACATACCTGATATCATTGAATTTTACTAAGCAATGCTCTTGGGAAATTTAATAGCCTATCAACAAATAAGAAAAGAAATGAATGTTTGAACACTCAACTGAAGAAGTCAGACTAAAGAAAACAACAAAACAAACAAGTAGAATGAGACAATTCATAATGATAATAAACAGAACTATCTGCTGATTACTTATTTGACACTAACAAAACAGACAAGTTTTTGCTATTCTTTCAAGAATAAAAGGAGAAATTGTATGCAGACAATTTTTAAAAAAAATGCTTAACCACAGATACAAAAGAAATGGAAAATCAGATGAGAAACTGTTTTGTATAAATTTATCAAGTAAAAATTGAAATCATTTAAAATGATCTTATACAATAGAATTTAACTCCATGACACAGGAGTTTTCTTTTTTCTTTCTGACTTTTTTTCTCTCTGTTTTAATTTTTGTATGCCTAGTACCTAGAACAATACTGAAAGAGTGGATGGTGAATATCCTTCCTTTGCAATTGGTTTAGCTACTTTGTTATTTCATTTTTTTTTTGTATTCAAGAGAAATGCATGTATACTCCAATTTCCCCTTAATTTTACACACAAATTTATTCATAATATCCTCTTACCTGTTTAGGATCTGTAATAGCTCTAAAATGTCCCGCTTTTAAAATTTCTGTTATTGAAATTTCATACTTTCTCCTTTGTACTGTGTCTTACTACAAATTATTAATTTTATTTGTTATGTCAAATAACCAATTTTTAATTCTCTTTATTGTAAAGTTATTATTTATTTCATTAATCTCTTTTATATTTTTTACTCCAATCTTTAAGCTTAATTTGTTTTCACCTTTTAACTTGTTAGGGCTTTGTGACCTGTATGCTCAGATTATTTCTTTCCATTCTTCTTTTTAAAACATGCCATCAAAGATATGATTTTTCTCATAAAAATAGCTTTAAATGCATTTTACAAGATTTTATATACTTTATTTTCATCATATCCCAACAACTCTTTCTATATTCAGTAATACCATCAGACCTTACCTGGGTCGATTTTTCTCAGCATCCTTTCCTTCCTTCCTCCCGTCCTCCCTTCCTTTCTTTCTTTTCTTTCTCGGAGTCTCCCTCTGTAGCCCAGGCTGGAGTGCAGCGGCGCGATCTCTGTTCACTGCAAGCTCCGCCTCCCGCGTTCACACCATTCTCCTGCCTCAGCCTCCTGAGTAGCTGGGACTACAGGCGCCCGCCACCACGCCCGGCTAATTTTTTGTATTTTTTTAAATAGAGACGGGGTTTCACCATGTTAGCCAGGATGGTCTCGATCTCCTGACCTCGTGATCCGCCCAACTCGGCCTCCCAAAGTGCTGGGATTACAGGCGTGAGCCACCGCGCCCGACCTACTTGCTTATTTTTCTTTTCCAAAAAGCTACCCATACAGATTTTCTCAGCATTTTAACCTAGGACTTGATAAGCTAATTCAAACTGTAGTTTCAGCTCTTTCATAGATTAAGAAGCATTATTCTTTTCTCCTGTAAGTTTTTATGTCATTGCCTCTATTTAGTCTATATCCTCTCCCTCCTTTTATGTTCCCATTTTTCTTGCATGTGAGTTGCAAAACACTCTTGAGTTTTGAGATTTTACTTCTATTTGAGCCTGCAGGCCAGTAACTCAGTGCTCAAAAGTGACCATCCTTTTCTTCAATGCATGTATTAAATTATTTAATTGAAAACTATAGAGATATTTTTTAGTTCCTAAAAAGTTTCTTCAGTTGAATCTTAAGTCCTCTATTAGTTTTTAAAATTCAAGTTGTCTCCATCCCTTTGTGTTGTGTGTATGCTGGGATGTTCTGTGCTCTCCTTCTTTGATGGTTTATCTCTCCCTCTCTCTCTCTTTTTTTTAATTTTCATTGGAAGACGTTTATTTAGTCAGCATTTAACAGAGAATAGCAGAATCCATGAAGGACAAGTGTTCCAGGCACTAGAGATACAATAGGCTAGAAACCACACATTTCTGCACTCATGGAGCTGAACACTCTTAGTTTATCATTTCTTTCTGTACATATCTTCCCTACTTCCACCCTACCCTCTGCCATAATCTTTTTAAAATATATATATAAATGGCTTCATTTTCACATTTCACACAACCACAGCTGTGCATGCAAAAACACTGCAGTCTAGCCACTATTTATACGTCCAGCCACTTCTTGCATCTCTCCCGATATCCCAATTTCAAGCTTTCTCTCTTCAACACCTCCTGTGTTTGATTTGATGGCTCAGCTGGGGCAGTCTAGCCTCAGGAGGTGGGAAATCAAGTCCTGTCTAACCCTATGAGCCAGGATTGGACTAACAGGGAAACTTCTAGTCTACTCTGAGGCATTTGGGGGAGGCTTTTGTTTCTTGTGATCCCCTGATAGTCTCTCAGCTTTAGGGGCAGGGAGGACTAACCCCAAGCACTTACTCCCTTTGTGGGTACTCAGAGGCCCGGGAAACTTGGCATATTCCTGTGAGGCTGATGTTAGCCACTGCCTGGGGCCCACAGATTTCTGCTCAACCATTCTATCTAAGACCCATTGAGACTTGGGTCTCACATATAGTACTGCAAATACTCTCGAGAAATAAACCTCAAACATTATTTTTCTCTATCTAGGGCCAATTAGAGCAAAAAGCCCCTCGCTAACACCCAATTACCTCTAAGTTCTACTGCAATTTGGCTCAGAGAAGAAAGATAATTTACAGTTGTTAGTAAAGGAGAAGAAAGATGCATTCATGTTGCAGTTTTCTCAGAATACACTATATCTCTCTTACTTTTTCTTAGTTTGAAATTATTCCCTTCTTACACGGAGATGCACAAATTCTAATTTTGCATTTTTTTTTCTGAAAGAGTTGACTACGTTTTTTTGGTTCCACATAGAAAAGACAGATTCATTAAACACATCTTCACATAATAATAATTTTTCTTAAGATTCCTAACATATTAAAGAGCTTAAATTATTAAAAAATAGCTATATTAAAACTGGATGTAAGACTCTTTTTTTTTTTTTTTTTGAGATGGAGTCTTGCTCTGTCGCCCAGGCTGCAGTGCAGTGGCACAATCTCGGCTCACTGCAAGCTCCACCTCCCGGGTTCACGCCATTCTCCTGCCTCAGCCTCCCAAGTAGCTGGGACTACAGGCGCCCGCCACCGCGCCTGGCTAATTTTTTGTATTTTTAGTAGAGACGGGGTTCACCGTGGTCTCGATCTCCTGACCTCGTGATCCACCCGCCTCGGTCTCCCAAAGTGCTGGGATTACAGGCATGAGCCACCGCGCCCGGTCAAGACTCTTCTTAACAAATGAATTAGTTTTTCTAGCTTGTGGGTGTTGACCTTTTCTCTTTACACCGTAGTTTCAAAAAGTGGACATTTGGAAAATTTCTGAAAGAACATTTAAAACTCTCTTATACAAAGTTCTTTGGTTGTAAGAATACAATTCTTACAACTAGCAGAATTAGTATGTCTTTGGATCCTAATCAACTGCTAATCTAACTAGCAGATTTAGGATGTCTTTGGATGAATTAACACCTAATCTTGTCTCACATTGGCGTAAACAGTTAGGAAATAGTATGATCCAAATAACAAGCATGAAGAGTTGAGTAATCCAGCAGGACAATTATGTCCTTACAGAGCCAGGTTCCCTCCAGAATCCTGTTCTTGCCGTCACTGTTTCAGTCTGGGCCTGACGGCAGTTGCAGGATGGCAGTTCTCGGTGATCACAGACAGGCTTGTAATGTCTAGTGGAAGAAGAGCATCTCTTTCTTGTCAATCTCTTTAAGAATGAGGAACTCTTTCTTAGCAGTGCCCCCAGGAGACCACCTCACAACCAACTGTAAAAAGCCTCTCTCATTTGTCCCTCCTTAGCAATCAGTGGTGATGTAGATGGAGTCATCGTGAGTAGATTTCATGATTAGGACTTCCCTAAAGTGTGAGATTATGTCGGCATCCCACAGAGATAGATATCTAAACAAAGTCAGCGTCTAGATTTGGGGCAAGAAAGATTCTGTTAAGATGGCGAAGCAGAATTGGGCATACAGATGCTTCTGGCTTCAGAGCCTACACTCCTAAACCCATCCTCTTCTCAACATTCAATAAGCGAAATTTCAAATAAATCATTAAAATATTTGCAGTCCATTTAATTTTAATTTATTTGTTTTATTGATACAAAACAGATGCACATATTTTCAGAGTATATGTGATAATTTGATACATCATATAATATGAAAAGAACAATTCAGAGTAACTGGGAAGTTAATCACCTTCAATATTTATCCTTTTGTTTTGTGGGAACATTAAAATGATTCTCTTCTAGCTATTTTGAAATGTAGAACAGATTAATGCTAACTCTAGTTGCCCTACTAATCTATCAAGCATTAGGTTTTATTTTTTCTAACATAAATCAACCTCTCTTCATCCCTCCACCCTTCTTCCTACTCTTCCTGGCCTCTGGTAACCACCTATCTACTCTCTATATTCATAAGACCTACCTTTTTAGCTCCCACATATGAATGAGAACATGTGATATTTGTCTTTTTATGCTTGGCTTATTTCATTTAGCATTAGTGACCTCTAGCTGGTGAGAATGTGGAGAAAGGGAACGCTGGTGCACTGTTAGTGAGAATGTCAATGAGTACAGCCACTATGGAAAACAGTATGGAGGTTCCTCAAAAAACTGAAAACAGAACTACCATACTTAAGCAATTCTATCACTAGGTCTATATCCAAAAGAAAGCAATCAATGTATCCAAGAAATGGATCCAAGAAATGGATTCATTCATCCAATCAATGAATCATGTTGATTCAGCACTATTCACAATAGCCAAAATATGGACTCAACCTAAGTGCCCATCAATAGATGAATGAATTTTAAAAATGTGGTATAATACAGTGGCCTACTATTCAGCCATAAAAAGTAAAATCCTGTCATTTGTAGCCACCTGGATGAGCCTGGACGACATTATATTAAGTGAAATAAGCTAGGCACAGAGAGACAAATACTGTGTAATCTCACTTATATATGCAATCTTACAAAGTTGATTTTATTGAAGTAGAGAGTAGGAGAGTGGTTACCGGAGGTATTGGGGTGGAGGTTTGTCACCTGGTACAAAGTCAGGGTTAGATAGGAAGAACGATTTCCAGTGTTCCATTGTACAGTAGGGCGGCTATAGTTAACAATAATATATTATATATTTCAATAGAGCTAGAAGACAGGATTTTCAAAGTTCTCACCAGATAGAAATGATAAATGTCTAAGGTGATGGATATGCTAATTTTCCTAATTTGATCATTACACATTGTATACATATATCAAAACATGACACTGTATCTCATAAATATATATGTGTCAATTAAAAATTTTTTAAATTAAAAATTATATACAGTGATTAACATTTAGCCTTTCAAATCAAATTTAACTATATAATAACTTAACACACATACTCTCTCTCTCTCCATTATATATAATATATATATAAAATATATAATATATAAATATTTTATATATATATAATATTTCTACTGGAAAACAGCATATTTTCCTGAAATGCAATACTTAACCTATATCATAAATCTTCCATATTCTGAGTGCTTTAGGATACCAATTTTATCTAGATGTAATTTTAGGTACATTTACAGATCGAGTACATTCACAGATCTAGAAGAGCTGTTGTCGCCATGCTTGACTGGTCTAAATCCTTTTCCTCAAAGGATTTTGAGGAAAACACGCTTTTCCTCAAAGAAAAAGGGCAAAGGAGAGATTCCTCAAACCTGTAATTCTTTATAGCACTATTTAGCCAGAAATTTATAATTCATTTTTAAAAATATTTTTGAGGTTGTCAATGTAAGAACATAGTCAGAGAGTGAATGTTTATTTTCTGCTGTTTCTGACTCCCGGACAAACTCACAAGTTATATTCTTTTGAATCCTATCTGCCTATTTCTGAGTGGATAGAACAGTTTCGTCAGTCACAAAGTCCTAGTATCTCAGTTTGTTTATTGAATGACAGAAGAATGCTTTACACTTACATTGAGAAAAAGATGTGTGTAAAAAGCAGCTAAATACTGTCAATAAACACTGAATGTATAATAAGATCGCTGCACAATCTGTGGCTCAGATACAGTGGCCTTTTGTCCCTGAATAAACTTGTGATGTGGTGTATTATTCAATGAACGTGAACATGCTTCTTGTTTAACAGAATTTCTGTTAAATTATTGCCAAACCATTTCCTCTTCCGGAAACAGATTCTTGATTTATGGAGTAATGACTTCCTTTTGTTCATCTAATAAGAGATTCAAGAGTCATGAATGTCACTTCGTTTTCTACCTGTCTTTAGAGAAAATGCAGCTGTCAGATCCCTGTGGAGGATGTGCACATTGCCATCCCTGCTTGCTGTCCCTCTAGCCAGAGGGACATGATGGCTGCCCTTTGTGGAAGAAGAACTTGCCCATTTTATGCATGGCACGGCTCACTGCCGCAACAAACATCGGCACTGGTTTAAAAATGGCTGCGTGCAGGCTGGCCAGTGACTCTCTTTTGAGATGTTCAGGCATGAAAGTCTCTGCCCAACACAGTGACGAAGGCAGAGGGAATTCCCTAAAGCAGTCAAATCATTCCCTGTCTTCAGAATTTTCTCTGAGGGATATAGAGGGGAACGACTCACCAGAAGAGGGAGAATGTCCATGGATGGAGAGAAGCAGTGGCTACAGGAAACCCTGAGTGAAACGCAGAGAGAAATTGCTTTCTAGCACTGCGTTGCATCCTTTCATTTCTGCATGTATTTAAATCATAAGAATACACAAACACATCATCTAAAGGATCTCAATGACTTTCAGTAAGAAGGCCTTCATACAATTCCCATACGAATTCCATTTTTTATGGCAAGGTTACTCCGTATGACTCACCCTAATTGTTCTGGAACAAGAACTGACAGAAAAGAATTGGACTGTCATTCCTGATGCAAAAGGGTTTACAAACATCCTTCTAAAAGAAGACTTCCACCTGAGAAGGTTGATGGAGGACCTCTTGTCTACGTACCTGTTAGACTGGGGCACGGTCACCTTATTGTGGGAGTTATAGGTAAGAAAAATTAGAGAGCAGCTTATTTTGGGGGCCAGGATAATAACAAGTTATTTTTAAAAGGTCTTGGAAACTTGCAGATGCAAAGGGAAAAAAACAAAAAACAAAAAACAATCCTAATGGTAAAAACAAGTAAGTCTGACTGCGTCATTTTGTAGTAAGACAATGAGGAAATGGGAACTCGTCAGAGGGTAACTGGGTGGTGCCTGTAAAAGTGAAGATGTGCTTCTCCCTCAGCAGGCATTTGCTGGGAAACCCTTGCAGACGTTACAAGCACAGTTGTAGAAAATATCTATTAGAGCACTGTTTGTAACTGAAAAATGTTTCATTCATACTTTGAATGTAAAGAATAAAAGTGAATGAAAAAATGGAAGCATTGCACCGTGCTTTTGATTTACATTTCCCTGATCATTTAGTACAACCACCATGGAAAACAGTGTGGAGATTCCTTAAAGAACTAAAAGTAGAACTACCATTTGATCCAGCAATCCCACTACTGGGTATCTACCCAGAGGAAAAGAAGTTGTTATACGAAAAACATACTTGCACACACATGTTTATGGCAGCACAATTCACAACTGCAAAAATATAGAACCAGCCCAAATGCCCGTCAATCAATGAGTGGATAAAGAAACTATGATACATATATATGATGGAATACTACTCACCCATAAAAAGGAATGAATTAATGATGTTCGCATCAGCCTGGATGGGATTGGAGACAATTATTCTAAGTGAAGTAACTCAGGAATGGAAAACCAAACATTGTATGTTCTAACTCACAGTGGGAGCTAAATTACAAAGATGCAAAGACATAGGAATGATCTAATGGACTTTAGGGACTCAGGGGAAAGGGTGGGAGGGGGGTGAGGAATAAAAGACTAAAAAATGGGTTCAATGTGTACACTGCTCGGGTGATGGGTGCACCAAAATCTCACAAATCACCACTAAATAACTTAACCATGTAATCAAATACCACCTATTCCCCAAAAACCTGTGGAAATAATTTTTTTTTAAATGGAAGCATCCAAAATGTAATTTGTTTCCACATTCTTGTAAGCCTCATTATGTATCCCAGGGACAGTTAATATCGTCATACGAATTCACAGGTGAGGAAATGGAATCACAGAGAGATTATGTACTTTGCATAAGGAGAGCGAGGGTGAGGCAGGATTTGCAGTCTAGAAGCCTGGGTCTGGAGTTCTCCACTTTGCACTATATCATTTCTGTAAACTTCTTACTTAAGACTGTGTGGAAATGTAGAGTGAGACAGAACTAAAGCTCACTATTCTTAGTCCACAGGGGAGTAGTGACTACCCAGGGCTTGGTAAGTGCTCAGTAACGTTTGTTGAAAGATGAATCAATATTTCAATGCTGGGGCAAAGCAGTGAAAAACTGGGGAATGTCCAGGAACCAGCCATCAGGATAAGGCAGGACTAGAATGAATGCAACAGTCCTCACAGGTCCACCAAGTCAACAACAGAAAAATCCAAAGCTAAGGTGGCTCTTGTGTGATCAAGGACCTCTTGTACACCGACCTGTTAGGCTGTGGCACAGTCAACATGGGAGTTGTAGACAAGCTACTTGAGAGTGGTTAATGGTAGCAGTCAGGCATTTGGAGCTGGAGGCAAGGCTGATTCTCCTCAACTAGTATCATATTGAGCGGGGACTTAAAGCCTCAGAAGTCTGAGCAGAAAAGCTGAGACCAGGCTCCTTGGGACAGGCTGTTCATATGCATGATTGAGTTTCAGTGATGAGTCCCAGAAGGAAAAAGTTTATGCATGTTTTCCTTAAAAATATATTCACTTATATTTAGAGAATCCTTCAGATATCTAACCTAAATACGTCTGTAACATTTACTCTCATTCTTTTTATGACATTATTAGTATAATAATATGAATAATTCCCAGTGGACTTACTTCCACACTTCCTTCAAGGATTCTCCATTTTATTTCATAATTGAAGACTGTTAATAAATCACTCTCTAGCTAAGAACAATTCAATGCTAAAACACTTAGCTTATCTGACCTTCACATTAATTATTTTTATGACAGCAGCAGGAACTTTCAGCTGCTTTTCCCCCTTCCTTATGAAGCCATGTGGTCCCAAGCAGACAGAGTTCCCTTGCTACACTTAAGGGTGGGCTTCTCAGACCTGAGCATATCTTAAAAGCTTTCCCTTGACTGTGCCAATCCAAACTCCAAGTTTCCTCAGCAGATTTAAGGGGTTTTAAATCTACTTGAGCATGAGTGTTATGAGAAGACTTTGAAATTCTTACAAAAACTGAAAGTGAAATGAGGAAGACAGATTGAGCAATCCAATCGGAGGGTAAATGCCAGCAAACCTACTGTACAGTAGGGGTAGAGATGCAGAAAGGCAGAAAGGAGAAAATTCAGGATAACTCTCCTGAGGGGTGAGCCAAGCCCTGCCATGTAGTGCACGCAGGACATCAACAAACACAGATAACAGGAAATGATCCATTCCCTGTGGTCACTTATTCTAAAGGCCCCAACCTTCAAAGTTCAAGTAGTGATATGGATGACTCCACAGAAAGGGAGCAGTCACGCCTTACTTCTTGCCTTAAGAAAAGAGAAGAAATGAAACTGAAGGAGTGTGTTTCCATCCTCCCACGGAAGGAAAGCCCCTCTGTCCGATCCTCCAAAGACGGAAAGCTGCTGGCTGCAACCTTGCTGCTGGCACTGCTGTCTTGCTGCCTCACGGTGGTGTCTTTCTACCAGGTGGCCGCCCTGCAAGGGGACCTGGCCAGCCTCCGGGCAGAGCTGCAGGGCCACCACGCGGAGAAGCTGCCAGCAGGAGCAGGAGCCCCCAAGGCCGGCCTGGAGGAAGCTCCAGCTGTCACCGCGGGACTGAAAGTGAGTTTGCAGCAGCTGCAAGACGCAGGCAAGATCCTGCCTACACTGCTGCCTCTCCCTCGCCTCAGCTGTCTTTCTAATAACTTGAAGTTTTTCTGTTCATAGATCTTTGAACCACCAGCTCCAGGAGAAGGCAACTCCAGTCAGAACAGCAGAAATAAGCGTGCCGTTCAGGGTCCAGAAGAAACAGGTATGTTTTGGGCACAGACACTTTTAGGAGTCAGGGATTAGAGAATAACATCCAGTCTGGGGGAGCTGGAGGTGAGTATCCCCTCTATGAACCTATTAAATAGAGACTATGAAATTTGCCATCCAAAGCAGACATTGCTTTAGAGCAAAGCCCCAGCGCTGGCAAATGTAACAGGCTGCATGGGTGTGCTTTTTCCTCCAATGAGCAGATCGTGTGACTGGAAGCATTTCTCTGTGCGTGTGTAAGTATTTATCTGTGCATTAAGCATAGAGGAGATAAAAGGGCCATATGTGTTTCCTCAGGTAGATAATGCCCTCCCATGTGAGAAGCATTATTCATCACTCCAGAAAAATAAAAAAAAGCATTACATGTTAGAATTAGACTTTGCTTACTACCTGGGTCATAGAAAGTTAAAGACATCTGTTTTCTGAATGTACATTACATGTTGTGAAACCAGGTGAAGGTTGTAATGAAAGGCCCTGTATGTTGTACTTTAATTTTGTTTATTTGTTAAAAAGGTTATTTTACACACACACACACACACACGCACAGACACACACACAGATTTTAAAGCTTCTCTTTAAGGTACGCTTTTCCAGGGGATCCATGCATTTATCGTCTTCTTATAATCGTCCTTTACTGATTTCTGACTTTCTTCATGTTCTGCTCATTCCACGGAACTTTACAGAGTTGGTGGGGCCTACCAAAATGATCGATTCTAGTTCTTTCATTTGAAGGTGAAAAAAAGAATCTTTGTATACATTTATTAAAGTTATAATATAACAAATTCTTAATATTATTGTCCTTTTATTAAATATATTGAAAGAATATTTTTTGAGCACCTGGAACGTATCGTACAGCTATAGACCAGAATAGGCATTTTCAAACATACTATTTCGTTTAACCTTCACAGTGACGCTATGAAGTCCACAGAATACATGCAATAATTTATGTATATTTTCACTTCTGAAGAGAATTGCATAAGAAATGTAGTGAGAGATAGACCAGGGACCCTTCTATCACACACACACACACACACACACACACACACACACACACACACACGCATGAGGTACCCTGACTATAAACTTATTTTTTGACTATATGCTTTATTCATAAAAAATTGTTTCTTATTTTATAAAACCATAATTTTTGGTATCTGGTTATTGTATCTTTATACTAGTTATCAGGAATAACTGGGCTTAAACATTTTTAAATTAGGAAACATGCACATTTTTATTATTTTAACACATCAATTATTTTTATCGTCTGCATTTTATAGTCTATATTTCCTACATAATTGAAAATAATACGGAATATATACTATAATATTTTTTGTTTTGACTTATACAATAAGGATTTTTCCTATTTCTAAGTATTTTTCATATATCTGTATTAATTTATCTAACAATTGTTTTAAATGGTTATTTCCATTCTCTTTGCTATAATACAACATGCAAAAGTTTTGCACAGAACTCTTTTATTTCTGTGAAATTATATATTCAATATAAAATTCATATAGTGGAATATCTGAGCTAGGGAGAAGAAACATCTTCATCACCCTTGCTTCCGACTGCCATATTGTTTTCAAAATGAGTTATACATGCAATCAAAAATGTGGTGTACCGGTTCTCCACATTCTTGCTTGCATGTTATTTTTAAAGTGTATTTTGACTAGTTTAGTAGTTGTAAAACAATATCTCACATTTATTTTGATGTGTTGCTTGTTTACTAATATGAATAAACTTTCTGCATATTTTGATTATTTATAATTTTATCTTTTGCTAATTTTTATTTATAACTGTCTCCACTTGTCTGTCCCATGTTTTTATAATTTTGGATAAGCTCTTCCTAATTAGACATATTGATAATTGATCAAAATTTTGATGTAAATATTTTAACAGTTTTGCTTCTTTTTTTACTTGAACATTTTGCATTTCTCTATAGTAAAGTGATAATCTTTAAAAAATTTTCCCTAATATTAAAGCTAAAAATACATTTGTTCATGTTTTCTTAAGTAGTTGACTCCCTGCCACTTTGACTTTTTCATAGTTGAGTGTTTTGTTTTAACTCATTAGTCCTTCTGTTGTTTATTTTGATGAATCATCTCACATTGGCTTTAACTTCCCCCTCTCTCTTTTTTCCTTTCTAACTGGTATCTCAACCAAATGTATTAAATAGTTCTTTTTAACTCCTTGGTGTTGAAAAGCTTACTGTGTTTTATTAAGTTCCTCATAAGAGTTGAATCTATTTGAGACTCTTTTTTTTAATTGATTATTCTATTTATATGCTTTAAAGAATATTTTTAAGGTAATTTGTATTATAAGAGGCTTCAATAACTAGTAGGGTCAGGATCCTTCAATCTCCTTAACCTTCACTGCTAATATCCCCGTTTCTAAATATTAGTTTTAAAAATAAACTTTAACTTTACAATTAAAAAAAAAGATGTAGACTCATTTCAGCAGATTTAAGAAGAAAAGAATAATAGAGTAGGAAAGAAATAACTTCTTGGGTCACATTTTCCCAAAATTCTCCTATTAATACTTTTATGTATTTGTGTTTTAATGGCATCCAGGAATAGTATACTGATGAGAATCTTTCACCAAATAATTTGCAATTTGTAGATTCTAACAAAGTGAAAAAAAATTTGCCCAGATTTCCACAGCCCAGAAGTAGCTACTATTATTATTTCATGGTTTGCCCTAGACTTTTTAATAAACCTTAATACAGTGTGCATATAGGTATATATTGCACACAGTTGAGCCTTGAACAACACAAGTTTTAACAGCATGGATACACTTACAGGTGGATTTTTTTTTTCAATAAACCTATTGGAAAATTATCTGTAGATTTGTGATAATTTGAAAAAACTCATGGAAGAACTGTGTATCTTTGAAATGTTGAAAATATTAAGATTAATTAGCCATGTCATGAATGTATAAAATATATGTAGATACTGGTCTATTTTCTTATTACTATCATAAAATATACACAAAAGTTAAAAATTCTCAAAACATATGCATACAAACAGACTGTACATAGCGCCCTTTGTAGTCTAGAGAAATGGAAACAAACATAAACATGCAGTATTAAGTCATCACTGCATAAAATTAACTGTGGTACATACTGTACTACTGTAATAATTTCATAGCCACCTCCTGTTGCTACTGCAGTGAGCTCAAGTGCTGTGAGTATCTGCTTAAAACACCATGTGATGCTAATCATCTCTGCATGAGCCAGTTGTATCTCCAATCAGTTGGATATTGCAGTAAAAATGATTTCTCATGATTTGTGTGTATTTTTCTTCTTGTGTAATGCAATATCATAAACCTTGAATAACACCATGAGACCTATAGAAAATGCGATAGTGATGCTGGAAATGCTCCCAGGAAGCAAAGAAGAGTCATGACATTATAGTTGACCCTTGAACAACACAGGTTTGAACCGCGAGGGTCCCCTTGTATGTGGATTTTCTTCCACTTTCCACCCTTGAGATAGCAAGACCAACGCCTCCTTTCCCTCCTCCCCCTTAGCTTACTCAATGTGAAGAATGAAGAACTCTATAATGATCCACTTCCACTTAATGAATAGTAAATGCATTTTCTCTTCCTTATGATTTTTTAAAATAACATTTTCTTTTCTCTAGCTTATTTTATTGTAAGAATACACTACATAATACATATAATTTATGAAATGCGTATTGATTGAGTTTTTGTTATCAGAAAGGCTTCTGGTCAACAGTGGGCTGTTAGTAATTAAGATTTGGGAGTCAAAAGTTAAGCACAAAGTTTTGACTGCATGGGGTCAGTGACCCTAATTCCTGTGTTGTTCAAGGATCAACTGTATTTGTTCATATACATATGAACAATACATATGAACAATACATATATGAACAAATACATATATTTATACAAATATATGTACAAATATATACACATACAAATATATATATATATACATATATATACATACATAGTGTGCATATGTGTTATGTGTATATATTCAAATAGGACATAGTATACACACTCATAACTTTCACAAATCCAAGGTGGAAGATTTGAAGATAAGAATCTTAATGACATCATGTCTACTATTCCTTGTTAATAAAATTAGGAAATTCATTTGAATGTTGTTCTAGATACTATTCTTTGGTGGAGGGAAAGTTTATTTTATTTAGCATACTCCAAAATTAATGTTTATATTCCCAAAAAAGTTGTCTGTAACACAAGGACGTTTTTTAGTAGGAATTTTTTGGCATTGAGAAAATTCTATGCAGCTTTCTTTGATTTTTGTTTTCATTCAAGTTCTGATTTATTTTCAGTAAGACTCAAAACCTTAAGTTGTCCTTTTTACTTTTAAAGTGTTTATTTATGTTCATATTTATTAATTGTCTACATGTTTTAGAACCAAGTATTTTTATTGGAACTTCACACAAACTGTAGAAGAAGGGAGGGGAATTACCATCAGCCAACATGTCCCAATGATACTCTCTTCCAGGCATCCCATGGGTAAACAGTGGTTTTACTTAATGTTTTAATTTTAGAATTTAGTACTTTGGCTTTAGTTTTGTTTTTCTTAATTACTTTGTGTTTCAAACCAAAATCTCATTAAGCTTAATGTATTTCATAATATCATTTTTGATTGTAGTATAATAAACAGAAATGTGGGGAAATCCAGGATTAAAAAATTGCCAAATAGCTCATATTAGCCAAAAATTCACTTTTAAGCCCGTAACTGTGTTTGGAGATATTCCCAATTTAAAAATTAACTAAAACAATATGGCTTTGAAAATATTACGTAATAAAATTTATTTACAAATGGAATCATGAAGATCCACATTTTGAACATCACTTAACTATAATTTTATTAATTTTAAGAACCTAAAGATGAATGTCTTTAGAGTCTATCAAGAAAGTGAATTCTTTCAAATGGGTATCACTGACCTAAAAAGGTTCATTGTTAAAATTAGGTAACCATTGTATTTTCTTTCCTGTTAATTAATAACTATTAGAAATTTATGTGTTTTAGGATACAGAAAGACAAAATTATTTTTATTGATAATGTTTATTATAATTGTCTCAATTTTAATAATAAAATAATAGTAAAAATATGGACAATTCAAAGTAATGTAAAGCAAGAATAGAAAAAATTGTCCGTATTTCACCTTCCAAATAATTATCATGAGATTTTTGGTCAATCTACTTTAAGGTATATTTTTCTTCATTTTTAAGTGAGCTTGGGATTGTTTAAGAATTACACACAGCTTGCAAAGAATACAGTGTGTTGGCATGTACCCCTATCCAGCTTCCCTAATACTAACATCTTATATGAACATGGTATTTCATTACAAAAAGGAAACCAACATTAAGACTTAACTATTAGCTAAATTCTAGACTTAATTTGAATTTCACGAGTTTTTCTACTAATGATTTTATGTTTTAGGATCCATCAGGATATCACATTGTATTTAACATTTTTTAAATTAAAATTTTGAATGTAGCATATATAAACACCAAATATTATACCTTAAGTTTTCTATCGGATAAACCTTTCTAATTGCTAAAAGTGAAGATATCAATACTATTTTTGAGTCTTCTTTTTTGAAATCCAAAGTCCAACTCCTTTGCAAGGAAAGATGAGATGTTTGACAAGTCTGTAATGTCCAGTCTTTGCCCGGTTGGCATTTCTGGCTTAGCTGTGAGTTCCAGGCTGTAACATGAGTGTTGGAAGCGTGCAATGTAGAACTTGACCATCCAGCCCTTATCAAAATTAGGCTGACTTGAGCCTCTTACCCAGCAAGGGTGTGTTCCTTCGTGGAACAGAACCAGCTGGCTGCTGCTTAGGCGATCTTTGACCAGAGCTTTCCCTGAGAGTTATTTTTTCTTTCCCCCTGCTTCAATAGTGAGACTTTTCTTCAGTGTTGCAAGAACTGGCTTCTGTTCAACTTCTGGAAAAGCATTTAAAATTGAAAACGTTGACCTTCCAACCAAATCTTTGACCTGTTCTTGTTAAGCTTGAGATTTTGGGAAACGGAAGAGCTAGGAAACAAATCAGTCAACACAGCCAAATGTGATATTGTGTCTCTTTTACACAATCTTACATTATCGTGAGTTGAAGAGAAACAGAAAAATGATAGTACATATAGTTAATTAGCAAATTAAAATACAAAAAAATGGTAAATATGTTGAAAAAGTGAAAAGGTTAGGGCAGGTGAATGAGTATCAGGAATGTGAAGGGTGAGGAAGGGAAAGAAATGCGTTTTCATTTTGAATGGAGAGGCCAGGTTCATTAAGCCTTTTTATCTTTTCTTGAAAGCTCAATAATTCTTTATACTTTTGACTATTTTTTTTAACATTGCAGACATGGGTAGGTGATTTTTAAAATAAATTCAAAATGTTTATACCTGTGTTGTTTTTATTAGTAATTCCATATGAATGGAAAATGTTAGTTTTAATGCTTATTCTTTTTATAGATCAACTCCTACTTAAAAGAACTGCATTGAGCAGCTGCATTTTTGTTGTGGTGATATTTTTTTTTTAAAAGACATTCCCATTTCTGAAGAGTTAGAGAAACAGAAGGTTTCTCTTCAAATAGATTTATCACCCACTGTTTCTGCAAATATCTGAGGTAGGCACTCCATAATATACAGAGAAGAGGACAGCGAAGCTAACAATTATCAGGCGTGTTTCATGTGCAAACACTGTGTTGGGCTCTGGGAATGTATATCATTTACTTTCTCAACAACTCTGTTAGTTGGGCATTATTGTTTTCATTTTAGATGAGAAAGCTGCAACCCAGAGAATCAATTGCCTCTCTCAGCAAGCTAATTATTTAATAGTTGGAGAAGTTAAGCCAAATTGATGCAAAATTTAAAAGAACAATAAAATAGACAAGTTATTTACAATTCATAAAACACATCTAAATGATGACTTCAATCTATTTTCGCAGCAGTATGAAATGGATATTGCTATTCCCATTGTTACAGGACCCAACACTCACCCAAAGTTAACCTTTGGGTCGGGGGTTTCTGTACTATATTCCCTTCTGTGGTCGCCAGAGAAATGTTACAGGAAAGGAGTCCCGATCCAGACCCCCGGAGAGGGTTCTTGGATCTGACGCCAGAAAAAATTCGGGGCGAATCCACAGGGTAAAGTGAAAGCAAGTTTATTAGGAAAGTAAAGGAGTAAAAGAATGCCGAAACCATAGACAGAGCAGCCCTCAGGGCTGCTAGTTGCCCATTTTTATGGCTATTTCTTGATGATATGCTAAACAAGGGGTGGATTATTCATGCCTCCCCTTTTTAGACCATATAGTGTAACTTCCTGACATTGCCATGGCATCATGACGCTGGCGGGAGTGTAGCAGTGAGAACCACCAGAGGTCACTCCTCGCCATCTTGGTTTTGGTGGGTTTTGGCTGGCTTCTTTACTGCAGTCTGTTTTGTCAGCAACGCCTTTGTGACCTGTATTTTGTGCTGATCTCCTATCCCATCCTGTGACTTAGAATGCCTTAACCATCTGGGAATACAGCCCAGTAGGTCTCAGTTATTTTACCCAGCTCCTATCCAAGATGGAGGTTCTCTGGTTCACCTGCCTCTGACATCATTATACAGATTTAAAATGCTTCAAAATTAAGTGTCAAACTCATGGTTTGACAACTAATTGATAGGAGAGGTAAGGTTTGAATTCATTATCTATTGATTATAAATTCTGATTTTTTTCAATGATAATGGCTGTACATGCTTAATTTTCAAGTGTGCCACCAGATTTGAGAAAAAATATTGGGTCTGACAAGGCCCAGGGTATTACGATTAATGCCAGTGAGAGAGACATCAAGTTAAGGAATCAGAGAATGTTGTTAGTGGTAGAGATCACAGACTGCGAGATTATCTAGACAGTGGTCAAGAGAGCTGAAGTGGGTTTGAAGATGGAGCAGACTTGGGTAAGAGGACAGAATAACTGAGGTTATGAGGACAAGGTAGAAATAGGAAACAGAAATAATTCAAGAAAAGGCCTTGTTTTAGTAGGCATAGAGGCTTATCCCATACAAACATCTTTATATTATCCCTTTCCTCTTCTAAATTTGTAAATTTTTGCAAGTGCTGATCTGTTGAAGTGTTTTTGCAAATGCAAGCTTTCTTCCTACCCCCTCCTCTCCTCCTCCTCCCCTTCTCTTCCTCCTCCTCCCCTTCTCTTCCTCCTCCTCCCTTTCCTCCTCCTCCACTTCTCTTTCTCCTCCTCCTCTCCTCCTCTCCTCCTTTCCTCCTCCTCTTCCTCCTCCTCCCCTTCTCTTCCTCCTCCTCCTCCTTCTGATCAGGTTATTTGAGACAGGGAAGGGTAAGAGAAAAGGGAATAACTGCGCTGTGACAGCTCCTGACAGCAGCTATGAAGTCTCACTTTCAGGCCTTTTTCTCTTCTATCTGCCCCACTGGAGCCTCTGGAAATTACAAAATAAGACATTTTAGGAAAATGGTGCACAACTACTTACTTTAAAAATATTATAGAGTGCTACACTTCTGTGGATAGAGATTCAAAAATGTATTATTAAGGTTTTCTCTTGAGGAAAATGTTTCCTATATAACTGAGGGTTCAAAGCCTATTATGAGAGAGTCCACAATTCATGGAAATTGTTTTGTTTTATGGAACCCCTTTTCCCTCAAGCAATGACTTGATTTAACACATTTCATAAAGCTGGATTTAGTGACTGGTTTTTAAGAATTGTTTGGAAAAGTTGAGTGCTATTTTTTATGTAAATTGTTTCATATATTATTCCACGGATTTTTTTTTAAGTCTGCTGTAAATCAGACACTGAAAATTTGTGAATGGTTGTCCTTAATATCAAGTGATTCACAATCTAGGGAGAGAAACAGTTACAGAAACAATTGCGTGTATAGTAACATGTATTTCAATAGATGATATGCAAAGTATAGTGGGATCAAATATTTTGCTAGAAGTATTGTAGAAAAAGTTTGTATTTGATTTCAGTACTGAAGGATGAATGGAGTTCCACTGGATAGAAGGTAAAGTATATTTAGTAGGAGGGAACAGCAGACATACAGTCATGGAAGCATGGAAGATGACCTCTCATTCTGAGATGTGTTTAAGTACAACTGGGTTTGGGTGGGTGACACGCATGAGACTGTGAATGTTGGCTGGGCCGGGGCATGGAGGAACTGTTTTGTATTCCAGGGAGATGCAGTGAGTGAATTGTAAGCATTAGAATGAGAAGAACAAATTTGCACTTAGAAAGATAATTCAGGAGGAAATGCAAATGATGGGCTAGGAATTGTGAAAAAGAGGCACAACTTGGTAGGCTAATGGAATTGTCAAGAATGGTGAGGTAGGGATTCGAATTTAGGCTGCTATGCTCCTCATCTTCCTTCCTCTCTCTCTGTGTCCCTCCCAACATCACCCTCTGCATAGATTCATGAGCTGTTAATTTTGTCCGTGATGCTCCTATTGCTCCTCTTTTTTTCTGATTTTAGTTGAAGTGTCACCTCCCAGAGAAGCCTTCCTGATTGGATCAAATGCCCGGCCCGGGCACCAAGAATTAAAGTTGAAACTTTAATTCTGTCCGTGTGATGTTGAGTAATACCCATTTCTTCCACTGGATTGTAAACTCCCTGGGGGCAGGGATGGCGTCTGCTTTTTTTTTTTTTTTTTTGCTGTTCTTAGCACAACACCTGACGTAGATTAAGTCCTTAGTAAATTTGTTAAAATGAAATGAATGAGAGATGGAATCTAAATTGAAAAAAAGTTAAAAATTTAAACCATTCGAACTTGATTATTAGTTGAACTCCAAGATTGAGAAGGCAGAAATCAGGAATGTTTATAAAGTTTGTAGCTTGGGCAACTCAGAGGATAGTTATATATCCACTCAGAGAGAAAATAAGTATGCATGAGAAAGATAAAGCATTATATTTGAGACATGTTGAATCTGAAGTATCACTAAGGCATCCAAATGGAAAGGTCCAAGGGGAAAGTGAAGATTTAATTGCTGATTGGGGAATTCATTAGTAACTTCATACATTCAACTGTTTTTCTATTTTTGGCTTTATCTTCCTTGACATCAGGTTGGTTTACACGTGATATTGTGAAGCTACTGTTCTTCACTGGCAAGCTCCTGATATTCAGTGCGTTCCAAGAATATATTATTAATAAATTGAAATATTCTAACATAATTCAGTGAAGTCATGGAGAAACACAGATGATGATTCAAGTATAAAATTATCAATTTAAAATTAAAATATTAGATGAATAGTAAACTGAAGCAACATTAAGTCATGATAATGCTTTTTTTTTTTTTACTCTTAGTGCCTATGAGGCAATACAAAAGGCTTGCAATTTTACATCTCCTATATTGCTTTAAGCACAAAACATAGTTAAAATATGAGTGGATATGTGACAATGATCAATTAGTGCTTAAGATTCTGTCTATACAAACACACACACACGCAAGTTACAGAAAATTATCATTTGAGGCCGGGCGTGGTACCTCGGCCTCTAATGCCGAGGTATTTAGAGGTATTAGAGGTATTAGAGGTAATTAGAGGTAGCTCACACCTCTAATGCCAGCACTTCAGGAGGCTGAGGTAGGTGGATCACCTGAGGTCAGGAGTTCGAGACCAGCCTGACCAACACAGAGAAACCCTGTCTCTACTAAAAATACAAAATTAGCCAGGTGTGGTGGCACATGCCTGTAATCCCAGCTACTCAGAAGGCTGGGAGAATCATGTGAACCTGGGAGGCCGAGTTTGCAATGAGCCAAGATTGTGCCATTGCACTCCAGCCTGGGCAATAAGAGTAGAACTCTGTCTCAAAAAAAAAGAAAAAGAAAGAAAAGAAAATTATCATTTGAAGTATTTGTCATCATTCCATCAGCTGTGGTTTTTTCTATTCTATCAACTCCTTTCCAACACCCGCTTCCAAAAAATACCCAGCACCCCTTTCTTACTTTCTCAGGAACACTATAGTGCTATTATCTTTCTGAATTCTCCAAAATTAAAAACTATTGGTCACGACTTCAATTTTTCTTCACAATGTATCTTAGATGCTGCATTTACATAACTGCATTTGAGACCAAACCATCCTCACCCTATGTCTTTTCCCAGTAGATCACTGAGACCTTTGCTGCCACCCTCCCTTTACAGGAGCTCGCTTCACACACAGACAGGAACATGATTTTCCTCAAGTACAAGGTCTGTCAGGCAGACCCCTCCCAAGATTGAGAACTCTACTTATAAGAATTTCTAGTAGGCCAATATGTACTTCTCGATCTAGTTTTCTCAAAATTCAAAGTTCTCGACTTTTATTACTTTTTTAAGTAAGCAACCAAAGCAAACTGCTTATCGTTGGTCAACCTTATAAACTAGCTTCCCTCCTCTAAATTCATGTGTTTTAATTTCAGTGAAAATGTTAATTCAATACCATGCTTTCCCCATTTTCTTCATAAGTCTTTGTCAAATATTAGGTCAATATTGAGATCTTTAAGTGTTTTTTTTTTCTAGTTAACATTTTTCTGCCACTGATTATTTATTCAAAGCTAGTTCAAGAAAAATTAAACAGCTACATTTGTCATAACTTACGTTTACCAAATGATAAGTTTTGCAGAAATGAAAGTGAGGCATTGCCGTCCAAGATCCTCCTTCTTTAAAAACATATGGTGCAATAAATAAGATGACAGGAAAAAAACCACACAAAGAGATAAGGGAAGATGCAGGACTTACATCTCATCTGGAGGAGGCTTCTTGAATGAGATGAGTGAGAAGCACTATGAAGAATCTGTGGGTGCAGGTGATATGGATGGGATAATCGTAATGGGAATGCTCTGTGTGTAATGTTTTTCATGGGAGACACATATAATCTGCAGTAATTGCGTTATTTATGGTAGTTCATATTAGATTTAGCTTTGTTGAAATAATGAATAATAAACCAGTTTCAAGTTTTAATGGATTCAGTTCCAGTACAGAAAATAGTATAACAGATATTACCAATTCTCTAAACTTTCAAATCACTTTTTCTGATTAAATGGTATTTAGACATTATACTTCAAAAGGTGGCCTTTCAAACTGTAAAAATGTTTCCCATATGGTTAGTATTTAAATTACACTCTAATTGTGAAGTATTGAATTTTATTGTGTTAAATATTGATCAATAGCAAATTATTTTTGTCCTTAAATTCTTATTTTGGTAATTTTATTTTGTAAACATTTTGTGATCATTATAATATTTTGTTTTTAGAAATGTTTTATGTGAAGTTTATTATGATGAGTAAATTCTCTTATGCTGTAAAACGGCATTTTATAAGATTATGTATTTTACACATTATTACATCATAATCCCCAGAAATGTATATTCAGAAATGTGTCTCCATAGGCTCGGAAGGGTTTTAATGTATATTATTGCCTTGCTTAGTTAAAAGAAAAAACAATAACAAACATAAAAAAAACTATTCTTAACCTCTTGTGTAATTCCTTTCAATTGTAGTAGAGGGAGAGATGTGTGAAAGGCATTTGAGAACCAAACAATAATCAATTAATATGATAATTACTATCAAATTGTGTTTCTTATATTAAACTACGCATTTTCAAAACTCTTGTGGTTAGATATCTGTGTTACTGGAAGATATTAAAAATAATATTGCCATTTTTGCTCCTCTCTTTGTGAGGCAAATCTCTAGCTGAGCACTAATCTCCAGCCTAAGACCAGATCTATGTTGAATGAGAAAGAAAGTCTTAAAAGGCTGAATAGGAGATAAGTTGAAATAGCTGAAATAGTTGAAATTCGATAATAGCTATCAAATTTCCTAAAGCGAATTGCCTTGGAAAAGTCGAGTAACTTTGTCTGGAACAAGGACAATTATTCATTCTGCATCCCTAGGCAATTTCACCATTGTGCAAACATCAGAGCATACTTACACAACTTCAGTGGCTGTAATTTAAACCTCATTATTGAAACATCAATTTTATATCTTATTTTCTCTTCTGAAGAACAGTTCTTGAAAGAAACTTTTCTCTTTAAAGCACATTTTCTGCTAAATGTTAGATTTCTGCTACTACATGAGAGAATAGACCACTGTTTTTCAATGTGTAGGTTGTGACTAAGTTTTAATTGGGCTGTGGAGACTAAAAAGGAGACATATTCATGGTGTCAAGTCATTACTTATTAGGTAAACTTCTCTCTGACTACATAGAACATCTAAATCTGCCTTAGTTCATTCAAGGCTGTTATAACAAAATACCATAGACTGAGTGGCTTGTAAACAACAGAGACTTATTTCTCCCAGTTCAGGGGGCCGGAAGTCCAAGACCAAGATGCCTAAAGATTTCGGTATCTGATGAGGACTTGCTTCCTGGCTTGTAGATGATGCCTCCTCACTGGGTTCTCACGTGGGGAAAATAGGGCAAGCTAGCCCTTTGGGATCTCTTTTATAAGGATACTAATTCCATTCATGAGTGCTCTGCCCTCATGGCATAATCACCTCCCCAAAGTCTTCCTAATAGCATCACCTCAGCAGTTAGGTTTCAACATAGGAATTTGGGGGCAACACAGACATTCAGACCATAGCCGTCTCCTACTGAAGTTTTTGGGAAACAGAGAAAGGGTGACTTGAAATAGGAAGTCATGGCCGGGCGCAGTGGCTCACGTCTGTAATCCCAGCACTTTGGGAGGCGAGGTGGGCGGTTCACGAGGTCAGGAGATCGAGACCATCCTGGCTAACACGATGAAAGCCCGTCTCTATTAAAAATACAAAGAATTAGCCAGGCATGGTGGCGGGCACCTGTAGTCCCAGCTACTCGGGAGGCTGAGGCAGGAGAATGGCGTGAGCGCGGGAGGCGGAGCTTGCAGTGAGCTGAGATCGCGCCACTGCACTCCAGCCTGGGCGACAGAGCGAGACTCCGTCTCAAAAAATAAATAAATAAATAAATAAATGAATAAATAAACAAACAAACAAACAAACAAACAATAAAAAAAGACAAAAGAAATAGGAAGTCATACATTCTGTATTTCTTTAGCCTTTATCAGCTGCAGTTGGGCAGCATGTTTCCACGGTGTCCTTCCATGATGTTTTCTAAGTTATTTGCCTTGATATTATTAAGAACAATAATGCTAACACCACTACTGATACAAATAGTCAAGATTTATTTATTTTGCAGGTGTTATGCACTGAGTATAGCGCAAAGTGCTTCCCATGCATTGTGTCATTTACTCTTTACAATATACGTATAACAAAGGAAAGATGCAAAGTTTAAAAATCTGACTTTGACGTTCATCAACATCCTCCCTTGTTTTTGATGTGGAGGAAAGATGAGAGCTTTGTATGCTCTGATTGACCCTAGTGCCACTCAGAAACCTGTCAGGGTGCCTTGTGAATAATAATTACTTAAGAAGGATTTGTTGGAAAAATAAAAACTCTTTTAAAATAGGTTGAATGTGGCTACTACTGTACTACTATAGAGACTGTACGCTTGGGGCTTTAGCTGCCCCGGAGGCTTTGTTATTCCTTTCTTTCATGCTGTCCTCATTCACTACCATTCTTCCTGTTAGGATGCTTTTCCATACTTCCAGCAGAACAGAGTCTGCCATAGTGACTAACGAATCATGTTTTTCCTGGGGCACAGGCATGGATACCTTTCTTGTATAAGATTAATAAAAGAATCCTCAGAGTGGACCAAAATGCTCTGCTCCTATCAAAATATCTGAAAATTGACATAAAAATGTGTTAGAAAAGCTTTATAGTTATAAAGGAATTATAGTTTTTAACAATATATTTTCATCTTTAAATACCAAGAATTTCTTAACAGATTTTCTTATGTGACCACACCCTTTAATAGTATGTATTTATACAAACTCAAACTTATTTAGCTACTGCTATGTTATTTCAAGTTTTAAATACATTCATGTGTTGCTTAATAACAGGGATATAGTCTCAGGGATACATTCTGCATCCCTGGGCAATTTCATCATTGTGCAAACATCAGAGCATACTTACACAAACCTAGGTGGTGTAGCCTTCTACACAACTAGGCTCTGCAGTACAGACCATTGCTCCTAGGCTACCAACTTGTACAGCATGTTACTGTATTGAATATTGTAGGCAATTGTATAATAATGCAATGGTAAGTATTTGTGTATCTAAACATAGAAAAGGTATAGTAAAAACTTGGTATTATAAATAATCCCATTGAACCACCATCAGATATGCAGTTTCTCATTGACCTAAATATTATGCAGTGCATGACTGTATTAGAAATTTTTCAGCTAATCTCCATACAATCACCAACTAGTCACAGTAGAAGTTCCCTACTGTGTCAAGTTCATAAAATGTATACATTGAGAAGCATCTTTATAAAGTATTACTTTAACTCTTAGTAAAATATTTGGTAGATAAAAAACTACACTAATATTTTCTTAATCTAAAACATGCAAGCTTAGATTTCTGTTTCATATTTTTCACAGACATTTACTGCTTTATTGTATCTTCCCTACAGATCCAGCAGGTGTACTTAATTTGCTTTTGCCTAAAGGCATTTCTCCTTATTTAACACAATGTTATTTAGTTTCTTAAATATTGACTGGAATATTCTACATGTAATATGTGATGTGAATTGATGTTTTCAGGAAGCTTTACTAACTATATGCACTTGCATGGAAGTCTTCCATTTTATTTGTAAAAGATGTTCTATCTCTCTTTCTCTCTTTGGTCCAATATATTTTACCAAAAGCTTGACTTTGGATCCAGAGTGAAACAGGTGGGGTTGAAATTCTGGTCCCATCACTTTCTGTCTCTGATTCCTGAACAAGCTGTTTGCACTTTCCGAGCCTTAGTTTCCAATATCTAATTTTTAGGATTCTTGTGAGGGTAAAAGGAAGTGATATATACTGTCTTGGTACACTGTCTGCACTTAAATCTGTTCAATACGTATTAGCATTTTTTTTTTTACTTTCATAAGTGTCAGAAATAGTATTTTCTGTAGTAGTAGGTCATTATTTAATGTTAGATTTTTTAAAACCAAAGATTGTTTAGAATGTTCTTATAAGGTTAACTGTTTCATGTATTTGGTAGACTTGCAAAACAAATGATTAAACTTGCTTTCTCTTCAGCCATTTCTCAGAGCAAATTAGGTTAAACTGTAAGGGTGATATTATATTTTAACAGCACATAGAGCTTTTCTGAAATGTCATGAATTTCATATATATATATCATATATATAAATCAATGGGCAAATATAAAGTAACTTTAAGAATAATGTCATGCAATCAATGTAAAAAGTATAATTGATTTAGTGTTTCTGGAAGAGTGGGTTTCTAGCTTTGTGTTCTCAGTTTCTTTATTATTTCTACTCAAGTAACTAAAATGATAAATTTTTGCTTTTTAGTCACTCAAGACTGCTTGCAACTGATTGCAGACAGTGAAACACCAACTATACAAAAAGGTAATAAAATATAGCAAAGACTTGGAACCAAGCCAAATGTCCATCAATGATAGACTGGATTAAGAAAATGTGGCACATATACGCTATGGAATACTATGCAGCCATAAAAAATGATGAGTTCATGTCCTTTGTAGGGACATGGATGAAGCTGGAAACCATCATTCTCAGCAAGCTATCGCATGTTCTCACTCATAGGTGGGAACTGAACAATGAGAACACATGGATACAGGAAGGGGAACATCACACACCGGGGCCTGTTGTGGGGTGGGGGGAGGGGGGAGGGATAGCATTAGGAGATATACCTACTGTTAAATGACGAGTTAATGGGTGCAGCACACCAACATGGCACATGTATACATATGAAACTAACCTGCATGTTGTGCACATGTACCCTAAAACTTAAAGTATAATAAAAACAAATAAAATATCCCCAGTACTTTTTCCACTTAGAATTCAGTCCACTCCAAATATTTGTAAGTTTCAAGTCTAAAGACTGTATTTGAATTGCATGTAAAATCAATCAGCCATCTCAGAACTTCTTATAATCAGGTAAAAAATAATAAACCTACATTTATTCAAAATGACTTGGGAATAAATAATAATTAAGACCAAAGTAATAATCTAATAAGGAGAATGACCTTAGAGGCACGAATACTTAGAAATGTTAAATAATTAAACTACAATAAAATAAAAACCAATAATAAATCAAATTCCATTTTTATTATTTAGACAGCATTTTATCTTTAAGAATGACTCAAGACCATCTTCACAAATATGAATTCTCCTGTTATATTCAATTGTAAAAATCATAGAAAGAGGAAAATAAAACTGAACAGATTATTAAAAATCTGTATTTTTAAAATAAATTTCCAACATCAAATTATTGCTTGATAATTTACCGTTTTCTCACAGAGGTAGAATGTTTTACATTTTTCAGTTATTTGAAGCCTTTTTTAGTTTTAATTTTAGACAAGTTAAGTGTTTTCCATAATAATGGCCTGAAACCAGGTTTACAAAGAAACAACTTTTAATGTCATTTCCCAATATGTGTCACCTAGAATGTTAATCCAGAGAAATGGTCCTTGAAATAAGAGTTTCAGTGTCGTATAAGTTTGGAAACACAGCATCTTACATATTTTTCTTTGAGTCACAAGGCACATTAGCAAGTTATTGAATCTAAGTAGTCCTACTTTAAAAAATGTTTGTTTAACTTTGTTTCATCCAGTTTTTCACAAATTTTTGTGACTATGCTGCTTTATCATGTATCGACCTCTCTCTGAAAGCAAATGGGAATTGATGCTCTATAATAGCATTTGTTTATATAAGATAACTAGTGAACAAAAATGTACTAAAAAAGAACCATTCGTTCACTCACACATTCATTGATTCATTTAGTTTACATTTATTAATTAAGAATATACAATATTTTAATTACTGTATGTTTACTGGGTGTATCAGTGACTAAAATATGCACAAATGCTCCTTGGCTTACAATGGAGTTATGTCCTGATAAACCCATCCTAAGCTGAAAATAACGGGCCTTGAAAAAAGCAGTTAGGACATCTAACTTACCAAATATCATAGCTTAGTCTAGCCTACCATAAATGTGCTCAGAACACTTACATTAGTCTACAATTGGGCAAAATCATCTAACATGAAGCCCATTTTATAGTAAAGTATTGAGTAGCTCATGTTGTGTTTTGAATACTGGAATGAAGTATGATTTCTCCTGAATGTATGTGGCTTTCACACCTTTGTAAAGTTGAAGATTCTAAGCCAAACCATCGCAAGTCCATATGCATGGTTTTCTACTTTGAAAGAGCTTACCTCTTGATGAGGAGAAAACAAACGAAAGGCCCAACAACCCACAAATGAACAAGTAAAATGTAGATGAGACGAAATGCTGTGGAGGGCAGCAAAGCAGGCGGGGGCAGGAGAAAGTTTTGTGTTGTGAACGAACTACGAGTTCAGGAGTATCTGGAGGTTAGGCTAGGCGATGAGGAATGGGCAAAACAACACTAGCACAGATGATGAATGTGAGTTGGCACTGGTAATGATTCCCTGGCATGCTCTTTTCATCTGTGTTTTTTTCTGCGTGACTTTAATTGTCCTAAATGCAACACAAGTACTAAACTACTTGTAAATCTATTATTTATTGTTCAACATTTTCCTAAATCATGTTTGCAACTTTTAATAAGCAGCACACTGTTTCCTAAGAAGTAAAAGAAAGCCAGAAGATCTTAAGGGCCAAAGTTACAGTTTTTAAAAATTCTTTTGAAAAGGTTTACTTTACACATCTCTCCCCCACCCCCCAAAATGCTATAAATTGCACCAAATTATGCAGCTGCTATACTCCAATGTGCGTGTGAACTGGAGAGTATGCTGTGATCTTCCTGGAGTGGTGACTGCTTGCCACAGATCCAGGGGTGCTGAACTGGGGTGATTACCTGGGATGCTTGCTTGCAGTGCTCCAACCTTTAGGATGGACAGGTTGCCCTTGTGATGTCAGCAAACCCTTGACCAGTATATAAATGTGAGTGTGCATGGGCATTTAGCAGGCAGATTGCATTTAGCAGGTAGGTTGCATTTTGTTAAAAAAGGCTGTACTCACTAAAGCATTTTACTTGCACAGGTCCATAAGAAGACTTCTGGGAAAAGATAATAATATATTATTAATATTATTAGCATATTATATGTAATTATATATTATATAATATATAATGTATTATAATAATTATATATAATAATATATTATTATCTTCTGGGGAAAGAATTTATATATATAAATATTATTAGCATATTGTATATATTATCTTATTGTATTATACATAACATCAGGTCTTGAGATGAAATCATGTTATGTATTCCAGAGACATGGAGATTCAAAGGAGCGGGGCTACGTTCATCTGATATTTTGAGTTCCTATGCTTGCTCTGCCCCATACTTTTGTCCAGACAGTGAGGGCAGAGGTAAACTTCACAAAAGAGAAAAAGACAAGAGGGGTTTATCAGAGTGTAGTCTCATGTCTTTTCTGTTCATTTGTTTTTTTGAATTTTAATCTAGATTTTGAATAGGTAATGCATTCACACGTTGCAAAAAATAAAAAAGCATGAAGAGTGTGGATTGCTCCTTTTCCCATCTGTTCCTGCCCACACTCACCTCACTTTCAGTTTCCTACATAGACTTCAGACTCCCTCTATGTTAACACAAACAAATGCAAATGTAGCTCTGCTTCCCTCCTTTCTTATAGTAAACACTTAAAAACCATATTTTCAATACATATGATTTGAAAATGAGATTATAACCTGCATTCTTTACTTAACAATGTATATTGCAGACATTTTGATGCCTGTGTACAGAGATCCTCATATGAAAAAAAAAGCAGCATAGTATTCCATTGTATGAATTGAATGTATTTAACCAGTCTCCTACCAATAGACTTCTTGGTGTCCATCTTTTGCAATGCAGGTGCTTCGAAAAATAATTGTGTGCATCCGTAACTTCTCATATGTCAGCCTATGTGTGGGACAGATTTTGAATTTTGACAGTTATTGCTAAGTGGTCCTATAGGGGTTGTAAAGTGTTATGCTATCACTTGCAGCAAAAGAGCATCAGGTGAAAAATAGCATCTCTTAATTTGCTTTCTTTCAAGCCATTCTTTTGTATGTTTTAAGAACCATTTGTATTTCTGTCTTTACATTCTTCCAATTTTTCATGTCTATTTTTATTTTTTTCTGTGAGCCATCTGTTCATATTTTTTTCCATTTTTTCGTTGGACTTGGTCATTTTTAAACTGATTTCTGTGAGCACCTTATATCTCAAGCAGATTAATTCTTTATATTACTAATTGCAAGCATTTCCTCCCATACTGTCATTTGTCTTAATTTTGCATACTTTTTTTTTCTGTCAAATTTGTCAATTTTTTTAAAGGATTCTGGATTTGGGTTGTGATTAGAAAGACCTTTTACACTTAAACGTATTAAGGAAAGATCTCGTGTTCCTTCTGAAACCTTTATAGTTATTTTCTACCTTTAAATACTTTATCTATTTGCAATTTATCCTGGTATAAGATGTAAGGTATGAAACCAACTTAATTTTCCCCTGTGAGGGCATCACAGTCTTTTTTTAATCGCCCATCTTTTCCAGACTGCTTGAAGACATTAACTTTAACTTTTATTAAATTCCATGTTTAGTCTATGTTTTTTTCACTTTTTAAATACTTTTCTGTTATACCATATTGACTTAATGTCTATTTATGCACCCCAATAAAATGGCATTTTGGTTACTAGGGCTTTGTATTATTTTCTGGTAAATTTAATTCACTCATTTTTTCTTTTTACTTCTAGAATTTTTCTTTTTTTTCTATTAAATATAGGAACTGTAGAATCAGCTTACTTAGTTAAAAAGAAAAAGAAAAATACGTGCTATTTTTGTTGAATCTCATATTTATAAATTAAGAAAAATACCCTCATGATAACAGATGTACAGATCAAATCCAAGAACATGATATATATTTATATTTTTTTAGTCTCCTTTTTTTTCTTTTAGTATGTATTGAAATTTTCTTCAAGAAGTTCTTGCATATTTCTTATTAATATCATTACAAAGTGTTTTACCTTTTCAAATGCTATGATAAATAGAAACATTTTCTTTCATTATATTTTCCAGCTGGTTGTTCTTTTTGTGTATAAAAGCCTTGAATTCCATGATATATCTTTTCAATATTAAAGTTGAAATGTTTTCTTTTATTTTTGGATTGCATTTCCCTAGCATGACTTTGCCCAAAATTTTACTTTTAACTTCTCTGAAATAATTTTTCTGTGTTTCTCATGTATGCAAAACAGAGTTGCTCTTTGTTTTTTGATATCATCTTAAAATAATTTTCATTTATTGGGTGATATAAATCAATTTACATTTACTTATTTCAGAAATGTATTTGGCTTTTATTCATCATAATGTGCTATACTGTGTATTGTTTTTCATGTTAACAAAAGAGTTTCTATTTTATAGTTTTAAAGAGGTTGCTTACTATGTAGGCTATTTGCTTTGCTTTTTCTGTTAGCGTAGACTTCTAAATGCTAAATACTAGGGGTAGCTACCTTTTCAGTTATATCTTTTTATTGAAATTAAATTCATATAACATAAAATTAAATGCACAATTCATTGTAATGTAGTATTCACAATATTTTACAACCACCAACTCTCTCTAGCTCCAAAATATTTTCTTCAGCCCCAGAGAAAATCCTGTATCCATTAAGCAATCAGTTACCATTTCTCTGTCTCCCCATGCCCCTGTACCAGCAATCTGCTTTATGTCTCTGTGGATTCACCTATTTTAGATGGTTTATATAAAGGCAGTCACACAATACGTGACTTTTAGTGCCTGGCTTCTTTCACTTAGCATGATGTTTTGAGGTTCACCCACATTCTAGCATGTATTCATACTTCATGCCTCTGTATGAATGTATATCATTCTATTATAAGTAAGCCATAATTTCATTAAGGGTATTTGGTTTGTTTCCACCTTTTGGCTATTGTGAGTAGTGATCCTGTGAACATTTGCATAAAGTACTTCCTGAGTGCCTCTTTTCAATTATTTGGAGTATACATCGATGAATCGATGAGTAGAATTGCTGAGAAAATGTCAACCTGTTCTCTACAGTGCTGCAACATTTTGCCTTCCCCCCAGCAATGTACTAGTGTTCTAATTTTTCCACATCCTCACTGACACATCTTATTTTCAATGTTTTTATTAGTATTGCCTTCCTACTGGGTGTGAAGCCATATCTCTGTTATTTATTTGCATTTTCCTTATGACTGATGATGTTGAGCATCTTTTCATGTCCTTTTTGGTGTCTTCTTTGGAAAAATGTCTATTCAAGTACCTTGTCCATGTGTTTTAATTGGGTTGTTTGTCTTTTTGTTGTTGAGTTGTAAAACTTCCTTATATATTATGGATACAAGACCCTTATCAAATATCTGATTTGCAAGTATTTTCTCCTCTTTTGTGGATTATCTTTTTACTTTCTTGAGAATGTCATTTGAGGCACAAGAGTGTTGTACATCAGATAAATGAAGTAAAATTTATCTTTTTTTTGTTTCTTGTGATTTTAGTGTTATCATTGAAGAACTCATTGCCAAATTCAACATCATGATTCACCCATATGTTTTCTTCTAAGAGTCTTGTAGTTTTATGTCTTATATTTAGGTAATTAATCTATTTTAATTCATTTTTGTATATGGTGTGAAGCAGAGGTCCAAAATCATCTTTTAGCATGAGGATATCTAGTTGTCCCAACATCATTTGTTGAAGAAGATGATTTCTTCCACATTGAACGGTCTTGGCACACTTGTTAAAAATCAGTTGTACGTAGATGTATGGGTTTATTTCTGTACTCTCAAATTTATTTTGTTTCTTTATACACCTCGCCTTATGCTGGACCACTATACTATTTGGATTACTGTTATGTTATAGTAAATTTTGAAATTTAGGATAGTGAATCCTTCAATCTTGTTATTTATTTTTAAGATTGTTTTGGCTATTTGATACTCTTTTGCAATAACAAATGAATTGTAAGGCTGGCTTTTTCATTTTGGAGAACAAAAGGTCACTGAAATTTGTATATGGATTAGACTGAATCTGTACATAATACTGAGTATTACTGCCATCTTAAACTAAATCTATCAATCCATGAACACAAGATATCTTCTCTTTTATTTATATGTCCTATCATTTCTTATAGCAATCTTTTGTAGTGTTCAGTGTTAAAGTGTTTTATGTCCTTGGGTAAATTTACTTCTAGGTGTTATGTTCTTTTGAATGCTGTTTAGTCAGTTCAGTTTGCTATAACATATTACACTAGACTGAGTGGATTAAACAATAAAAATGTATTTCTCACACTTCTGGAGGCTGGAAAATTCAAGATTAAGGTGCCAACAGATTTGGTTTGTGAATGGTGGTCTTTTCATTGTGTTTTCACATGGCTGAGAACAGAGACAAAAGCAAGTTCTTGTGTCTTTTCTTATAAGGACATTAACCCATCCTGAAGGCTGTGCTACCACAGCCTAGTTATTTCCCAAAGGCACCACCCCCTAATACCATCACATTGGAAGTTAGAATTTCAACATATCAATTTTGGGTGACAGAAATATTCAATCCATAACGGATGCTACTGTAAATGGGATTCTTTTTTAAAATTTCCTTTTTAGATTATTCATTCCTGGTATATTGAAACACAACAGATTTTTGAGTGTTGATCTTGTACCCTGAAACTTAACTGAATTCATTGATTAGTTTTAGTAGATTTTTTTGTAAATTCATGGATTTTTTTTTTTTTTGAGATGGAGTTTTGCTCTGTTGCCCAAGCTGGAGTGTAATGGCATGATCTTAACTCACAGCAACATCTGCCTCCTGGGTTCAAGTGATTCTCGCACCTCAGCCTCCCGAGTAGCTGGGATTACAGGCGCCTGCCACCACACCCAGCTAATTTTTGTATTTTCAGTAGAAACAGGGTTTCACCATGTTGGCCAGACTGATCTCGAACTTCTGACCTCAAGAGATCTTCCTGCCTCAGCCTCCCAAAGTGTTAGTATTACAGGCGTGAGCCACCATGCCTGGCTGGAAATTTTCTGTATATAGAATTATGATATCTGCAAATAGAGATCGTTTTACTACTCTCCTTGCATTTGGATTTTTTTTTTAATTTCCAGCATATGTTGAATAGCAGTGGTAAATGCAGGCATAGTCTTGTTTCTGATGTTAGGATAATCTTGAGGATTATTACCTTTATATTCATGGTTGATTCTGGCCTGTAGTTTTTTGTGGTGTCTTTGTGTGGCATTGATATCAGTGTAACTCTAGACATACAGAACAAGTTAGGAATGGTTCCCTTCTCTTTTACTGTTTTTTGGAAGAGTTTGAGAAGATTGATGTTAATTTTTCTTTAAATGTCTAGTAAAATTCACCAGTAAAACCATCTAGTTATGAATTTTGAGGGAAGACTTGGATTAATTAAAACTCTACACTGGTTATAGGTCTGTTTAGGTTTTTTATTTATTTTTGAGTCAGTTTTGGTAGTTTGTGTGTTTCTAGGAATTTGTCCCATTTGTCTACATTATCTAATTTGTTGGAGTACAATTATTATAAATAATAAAAAGGTATAGACATTTTATTTCCAATGGGCCATTAATAATACCTCCATTTTCTTTAATGATTTTATTAATTGGAGTATTTTCTCTTTTATTGGTCAATGTAGCTCAATGATTGTCATTTTTGTTCATATTTTTCAAAAAACCAGTTTTCAGTGTTATTGTTTCGTCTTTTTCTGTTCTTTTTTTGAGATGGAGTCTCCGTCACCCAGCCTGGAGTGCAATGGTGCGATCTCGGCTCACTGCAACCTTTGCCTCCCAGGTTCAGGCGATTCTCCTGCCTCAGCCTCCCAAGTAGCTGGGACTACAGGCATGTGCCACCAAGCCTAGCTATTTTTATTTATTTATTTATTTTTTGTATTTTTAGTAGAGACTGGATTTCACCATGTTGGTCAGACTGGTCTCCAACTCCTTACCTCAAATGATTCACCCGCCTTGGCCTCTCAAAATGCTGGGATTGCATGTGAGCCACCGCACCCAGTCCTTTTTGTACTCTTTATTCCATCTACCTTCTTTATTATTACCTTCTTTATTATATTATCTGATCTTTATTATTTTCTTCCTTCTGTCAATTTTGGGCTTAGTTTCTTCTTCTATTTCTATTTCCTTAAGCTGAACTTAGGATATTATGTTGAGATCTTTTTTTAACATAGGCATTTACAGTTGTACATTTCTTTCTGAGTGCTACTTTCACTGCTTCCTATGAATATTGCTATGCTGTGTTTTTATTTTCAATCATCTCAAAGTATTTTCTATTTTCTTCTAGGATTTATTTATAGATCAATTTGTTGTTTAAGAATTTGTTCAATTTTCACTTATTTGTGAGTTTTCCAATTTTCCTTATGTTATTGAAGGTAGCTAAAATGAATGCTTAATAGAGAGCCATTTCAGATTGAAAAACATAAACAGGTTTCAAGGTCAAAGGATGAAAAACATATCTTTTTAAAATACAAGATATTTGTGGAATTCAAATATTTTAAAATTTAATGAGAATTATTTTGTTGCATAACATGGTCTATCTTGGTCGATGTTCATGTGCATTTGAAAATATGTGTTCTGCTGATTTTAGGTGGAGTGTTTTCTATGTGTCTGTTAGGTTCAGTTAGTTTACAGTGTTGTTCAAGTTCACTATTGCCTTATTGATCTCTTACCTAGATGGTCTAGCTATTATTTCAGGTGAGATACTGAAATCTTCAGCTGTTACTATAGAAATGTCTATTTCTCCTTTCGGTTCAGCCAATATCTGCTTATATCTTGAGGTTCTGTTGAGTGATGTTTATAATTATTAGGTATTCTTGATACATTGACTCTGTTATCAATATTTAATACTCTCTTTGTTTCATAAAAATTTTTGGCTTAACATGTATTTATTCTGATATCAGTATTAGCCATCCCTGTTATCTTTGGCTGCTATTTGCAAGGAGGCATATTTGTCATCCTTTAATCTTGAAACCTTGAAACACAAAAACCTGTTTGTGTTTTTGAATCTGAAGTGAGTCTCTGGTAGGCAGAATATAATTAGATCATGAGTTTGGGCTTTTAAAAAAATTATTTTACCAATCTCTGTATTTTAATTGCCAAATTTAAATTTAGCTCATTTATATTTAAAGTGATTACTGATAAGGAAAGAATTACTTATGTTGCTGTTTGTTCTTTTATAAGTTTTGTTCCTCAATTCCTTTATTACCTCTTTATTTTGTTTTTAATAGACTTTTATAAGTACATCATTTTGTTTTTCTCTTAATTTCTTTTTGTGCATTTTTAAAAGTCATTATCATAGTTGTTATTCTGGTGATCACAATAAACATCCTAAATTTATAACAATGTGGTTTGAATTGATAACAACTTAGCTTCTCTCTTATGTTGTTATTGTCACAAAATATACGCTTATACATTGTAAGCCCTTAACATAAATTAATAATTATTATTTTATGTATTTGCCTTTTAAATAGTATAGGAAACAAAAGGAGAAGTTAAAAACTAAAAATACACTTACAATGGCTTTTATATTTGCCTATGTATGTACCTTTACTTGTATTCTTTATTTCTTCATATGTCTTTCAATTCTCACTTAGTGCTTTTTGTTTTATTTCTATCTCCTTTAGCATTTCTCACAGGGTAAGTCTGCTACCAATGAACTCTCTCAGTTTTTCTTTATTTGAGAACATCTTAATTTTTCTTCACATTTTAAGGATATTTTCCCACATATAGAATACATGGTAGACAGTGTTTTTCATTCAGTACTTTAAATATGTAATTCCCCTGGCTTCTGGCCTCCATGGTTTTTGATGACAAATCAGCTATTAATCTTATTCAGCATATTTTATATTTGATGAATTGCCTCTCTTTCTGCTTTCAAGATCTCCTCCTTGTCATTATCTTTTAATAGCTTGATTTTAAGAAGTCTTGGTAGGAATCTTTTGTGTTTACCCTTCTTGGAGTTTACTGAATTTTCTTAGATGTGTACATTCATGACTTTCTTCAGCGTTGGAAAGAGTTTGGCCATTATTTCTCCAAATATTCTTTTTTCAAATTTTCTCTCTCTTCTCCTTCTGTAACTCTCATAATGCCTATGTTCATCTGCTTAATGTATCCTGGGGGTCTCTTATAATCTGTTCACTTTTCTTTTTTCTTTTTTATTTTAACTTTATTTTTAGAGCCATTTTAGATTCACAGAAAAATTGAAAGGAAGGTACAGAGATATCTCATAGACCTCATATTCCCTACGGATGCATATCCTCCCCCATTATCAAAATCCCCCACCAGAGTGATACATTTGTTACAACTGATAAACCTACACTAATATATCATTATCATCCAGAGTCCACAGTTTACATTAGGGTTCACCTTAATGTTTTACTTTCTATAGGTTAGCACAAATGCATAATGGCATGTATCCACCATTGTAGTATTAGAGTATTTTCACTGTCCTAAAAATTCTCTGTGCTTCACTCCAACTACCTTTCCCTTTCCACTGCTTATCCCCTGGAAATGGCATTTTTTAAATGTCTCTGTAGTTTTAACTTTGTTCCAGAGTGCCATGTTGTTGGAATTGCACAGTATGTAACATTTTTATTTTCACTTCTTTTTTTTAGTAATAGCAATTTAAGTTTCCTTCATGATATATCAGTGTAGGTTTATCAATTGTAATAAATGTATCACTCTGGTGGGGGATTTTGATAATGGGAGAGTATCTGTAGGGAGTATGAGGTCTATGAGATATCACTGTACCTTCCTCTCAGTTTTTCTGTGAATCTAAAATGGCTCTAAAAATGAAGTTAAAAAAGAATAACGAAAAGTGAACAGATTATAAGAGACCCCCCAGGATACATTAAACTGATGAACATATGCATTATGAGAGTCACAGAAGGAGAAGAGAGTTAAAATCTGAATAAATAATATTTGGAGAAATAATGGCCAAACTCTTTCCAATGTTGAAGAAAGTCATAAATTTACATATCTAAAAAGTTCAGTAAACTTCAAGGAGGGTAAAGACAAAAAGATTCCAAATCTTATTAAAATCAATTATAGTAAGTCTTGAAGTAGAGTAGTGTTAGTTCTCCCATTTTGTTCTTATCCTTTAATATTATGTTGGCATTTCTGTGTCTTTTGCTTCTCTATATATTCTTTAGACTCAGTTTGTTGATATTCAACTTGCTTTGATTTTGATTAAGATTGCATTGAGTCACCTGGGCACGGTAGCTCATGCCTGTAATCCCAGCACTTTGGGAGGCCAAGGCAGGATCACAAGGTCGGGAGTTTGAGACCAGCCTGGCCAATATGGTGAAACCCCTCTCTACTAAAAATACAAAACTTAGCCCGGCGTAGTGGCACTTGCCTGTAGTCGCAGCTACTCGGGAGGCTGAGGCAGGAGAATCACTCGAACCCCAGAGGCAGAGGTTGCAGTAAGCCAAGATGGCACCCCTGTCTCCAGCCTGGGCGACAGAGCAAGACTTGGGAAAAACAAACAAACAAACAAACAAAAAACAAACAAACAAACAAAACATTGCATTGAATCTACAGGAAGAACTGACATCTTGACAATATTGAGTCTTCCTATTCATAAACATGGAATAGCTCTCCATTTATTTAGTTCTTTAAATCTTTTACATATTTTGTTGGATTATTCCTCAGTATTTCATTTTTTGAGGTAATAATCTCAATGCCATTATGTTTTTAATTTCAAATTCCACTTGTTTATTACTGGTAGAAAAGTGTTAGATCACTGGTAGAAAAGTGATTCGCTATTGAGTATTAATCTTGTAATAATGACTTTATTCTTTTGGTCCGCTGAGTAGTTCATAATTTTCTCTTTCTTTGTATGCCTTGAAGTTTCTTCTTGAAAAGTGAACAGTTAGGCAGTTAGGATGTTACAATGTAGCAAATCTGGAAATCAAAATTACTCCCATCCTCAGGGTTTTCTGTTAATGGATGTGGACTGCAGTTGTTCACTTGTTTAGTAATTTTTCCAAAATACTTTTTTTTTTGTTTGCCTAGACTCTATTCCTTGTCCTGTGTGGACACAGGAGTCCTTCTTCTATTATCTCTTTTGTTGGCCTGGTAGAGATGATTTTATCGCTAATCCTCATCCTGACAGAGATTTCGTTAAACATTAAAAGTCAAAAAATAAAAATAAAAATCTCTCCTGGTATTTACAAACAGCCTCTGAACTGGGGTATTTCTTCAAACTTTCACTAGGCTGTCTGCAGTTAAACTTAGTCTTTACCTCCTGTTTGCAGAGAGCCCAGGTAGGTATGTGGATGTGCGTATGTGTGTGTGTGGATGTTGGAGGAATAAAGACAATATATAAAAATAAGTAAACATGTTCTCTATCACTTTAATAAGATTATTGCCAGAAAGAGATGATAAAATGCCTAAATAAAATGTTAAGAGACAGTAAGAATAGAGACCTACTAAGTATTTGTTTTATTTTCTAGGCTGACAATGCACCAGTGACATTTACTAAGAAGTGGGTCTTTAATTTTATACATATAAATTTAATGTAAAAAATCTAACAAATCAATCTAAATTATTATAAAATTTTAGTAAACAAATATCTCTAGCCAGAATGTAAACAAGTGGTTTTAGAAATTTGTATTTTACTTAAATTTAAGAGAATATACTACCTCTATGATGGAGGGCATTTCATTACCAAGAATTTCAGTAACTTGGTATTAAAATGCTTTTAAAAAAACAATTGAATACCTGTGATTAATTTTTACAGTACATTGCTATTTTGAATTATATTATGTTTAAATTTGAATTCATTAATTTAATAAATATTTGCTGCATGTCTACTGTGGGTCAGTCATGATGTTAAGCCCTGGGAAAATGACAGGGAACCAAACATAAATGGCCCTTTAGCTCAGAAAATTTAGTATCTCTCAAGTATATTATTTTTTTAAAAGCTCTCTTCCCTCCAAGCATCAAATGAATATCATTAAACTATGAAAGCAACTGCCTTGGTGAAGTCATCAGTTTGTGTTTTACAATAATGACAGTAACTGTATTAACTCTTCCTCATTTTTCAGCACTCCAAAAAGTGCTTTGCATACATTATGTCATTTAAACAAAATTAAAAACTATTTTATTATAATCTTTTCACTGAAATTATATCGTAAAAGAGGCGATGATGATTTTGCATTTGTAATTTGTCATTGAGGTGATCTTGTGTTAACTATTACTATACAAGAGGGCTTTTCTTTTAAGGAAAATATTCCCTTCTTTGGGAAAAGCCAATTAGACCTGCCCATATCAAGGCACATTCACCCTTGGTGAGAGACAGTGACAGAGGTGGCTCCTGGGAGTGAGCAAGAAGCACAGGCCGACAAGAACATGTGCTGAAGAAGACCTGGGAAGTTTCTTGATCCACCCATAGATCCTCCATCCTTCCTCTGCACTCTCCCTGACATCTTTCCTCCCTCTGTCTATGGTAATAGGAACTCAAAGATCTGACTAGGGAAATGTTATTTATTTCAACTTGAATTTACAATGTAATTTGCTTGGTTATCACCTAGGATTCTTACTCCTTAGAAACAATCAGAAATATGTGGTTCTTATTTTATATTCTTCCCTCCATAATCTTATTTGGAATGGGAATATAAATTAGTGTAGCCATTATGAAAAATAGTACACAAGTTTCTTTAAAAATTAAAAATAAAATACCATATGATCCAGCAATCCCACTACCAAGTATATATCCAAAGAAAATGAAATCAGTGTGTCAAAGAGATATCTCTCATCCAGGTACTAACCATGCCCAACTCTGCTTAGCTCCTGAGGTCAGACAAGATAGGGTGCATTCGGAGTGGTGTGACCATAGAAGAGATAACTGTACTTCAATGTTTATTGCAGAATTATTCACAATAGCCAAGATATTAAATCAACCTAAGTGTCCATCTGCAGATGAATGGATGAGGAAAATGTGCAATATATACACAGTGGAATACTATTCAGCATAAAAATAAGGAAACCCTGTTGTTTGCAGTAACATGGATGAACTTGGGGGACATTATAACAAGTGAAATAAGCACAGAAAGACAAATACTACATGATCTGACATATATGTGGAATCTAAAAAAAGTCAAATTCAAAGAAGTAGAGAGTAGAATGGTGTTGACCAGTGGCTGGGGTGGCGGGGGTGGAGGTGAAAAGACGTTGGTCAAAGATTACGAAATTTCAGTTAGACTGGAGGAATACGTTCAAGAGATCTCGTGTACAACATGGTGACTACAGTTAATGAAAATGTATTTTTGAAAAATGCTAAATGAGTAGATATTGTGTTCTCACCACAAAAATGACAACTGTACGAGGTAACATATATTTTAATTTACTTGACTCAGTCATTGCACAATGCCTATATATTTCAAGACATCATGTTGTACATGACAAATATGTACAATTTTATCTGTCAATTAAAACATAAGATCAAAAAAGAATTTTATTTGGAAAAAGTTTAAATATGTTTGGTTTGCCTTGGAAACACTATGTGAAGAAGGCATGTACACTTGGCAGTTGTATTTACAGAATGTGAACACACTGTTAGCTACCACATCATCCTGTGCCCCTCATGAAAACCCACAGGAAAAAATATTCTTTAATCTCAATTCTAGAAATATTGTTATCTTCTTGGGCTTCTAGCCTATTGTCTGTTGTGGATTCTGAATTTTATTATCAATTTTGTTTTCATTTTTGCTATGATCAGGATGAAATTTGGAGACAGGTATGGTTCACCATTACCAATTATATAGGGACATTTAAAGTATGATTTTAGACTAACTTCTATAGCTCTATTTTACTATTTTATCCTTATATTACAGTCCCTCAATCTTCTTTTTATTCATTTTACATCATTTAATTTATACTCCCCAAATTTCCCAATCTCCAGCCTTAGGGCTCACCCTTTATTCAACACACCCATGAGAAATCCAGGGAATGTAAAGTATGAATTCACAGGAAAGGAATGTCTCTGCTCTCTTAATGGGTTTTGATGTCTGAACGCACCTACAGATTCTGGCTCAGCAATGTAGTCCCCCCATGTGCCTACTCACTGATGGCTACTGTCTTCTCTCTGTCCCTTTCATCTCACCCTTGAGCACAGTGGTCTCCTTGTCACTACCCAAGTGACTTTTGATGGGTAATGGAGGAGAATTATCACTGAACTGAACAGAAGCCATTGAAACTCAAATATCATAGATGGTTGTTACAAAGTTCCTTGACCGTTCTTAGTAAAGGTTGTGTCTTAGTCACTTTCTTCTTTCTTCCGTAGGCTCCCTTCTGTTGCCACATTTGGGCCAAGGAATGGAGAGATTTCTTCGTCTGGAAACATTTTGCCAAACTCTTCAGATACTCTTTCCTCTCTGGGAATCAAAGGAAAATCTCTACTAGTGTGTTATTCAGAGAAATTTTGTCCACTCTTTGCTTCAAACTCTCTTATCCAGATCAGCCTTTATTATGAAATAGCCGAAATATAGACCAATAAAGGGAAAACCCAGACATTCATATAAAGGGTTAGCTCTCAGGTTCTTGTATCTGATATATTAACCCAGGTTAACATATAAGTGATGGCAAAGAATCCAGTGCAGTAATGTGACTTGTATTCCTTTTTCCTTTTTTTTCTTTCTTTCTTTCTTTTTTTTTTAGGATGGAATTATCTTCTAAGTTTCAGAGGTAGCTTAACAACTAAATGGAGGTGAAAACTGCTTTTCTTGGTTTCTTTCCTTATAAATGATTCTCTTCATTGCAGGATCTTACACATTTGTTCCATGGCTTCTCAGCTTTAAAAGGGGAAGTGCCCTAGAAGAAAAAGAGAATAAAATATTGGTCAAAGAAACTGGTTACTTTTTTATATATGGTCAGGTAGGTTGAAACCCTAATTCTGGTTTTACTGTTCAAAGCCTCCCATTTTGTGTTCATTTCTGACACAGTTTTTTGGTTTGTTTCTTAGGTTTTATATACTGATAAGACCTACGCCATGGGACATCTAATTCAGAGGAAGAAGGTCCATGTCTTTGGGGATGAATTGAGTCTGGTGACTTTGTTTCGATGTATTCAAAATATGCCTGAAACACTACCCAATAATTCCTGCTATTCAGCTGGTAAATATTAGTTCTCACACCCTGCTAATTGTGAAATGAAGAGACTTTGACGAAAAATCTGAGCTGCAAAATGCAAAAATGAAAGGATGGTGCCCTAAAATACAAATAGACAGAAAGACATTCCTCAATATATTGTGTTTTTTAAATCTTGAATAATAAGCTAGTCTGTTTTAATTGAGAAAGATGGAATTATTACTAATAGTTTTACCATTTTTATATACATTTAGAAAGGGTAGTAATTTCATAGCAACTTCTACCTTGTACATAATACATGGTACATAGTACTTCTACATAGTAACTTCTACATTGAGAAAAAATTCTAATGTATTTTCTTCAACACTTAATAACAACAATAATAATATCTGACAAGGATAGAGTGATTACCACTTGCCAGGCACTCTTTTCTGCATGTTATATATGCTTGCTTATTTAATCTTCGCATTTAAGGGAGTTAGGATCTAGGCACAGAGAAGTAACATAACTTGTCCCAGGTTACACAGCTAATTTTTAGACTTGGTTTAAACCAGCCAGTCTGGCTCCGCACCGGGAGCAACCAAAACTCTTCTTGCATGCTGTGGAAGAAATGCCCCTGGCCAGGCTTGAGGGTAAGGGAAAGTTGTACAATGGCTTCTTTCTAAATACAGGTGACATCTTGTGTCAGTGGACACCAGACAGGAGAAATGCCCCTGGCCAGGTTTGAGGGTAAGGGAAAGTTGTACAATGGCTTCTTTCTAAATAGCCACAAGTATTGACAATTCAGATGACATCTTGTGTCAGTGGACACCAGACAGGTGACTTAGGAATGCGAAAGTGTAGGCGCAAACCTACCTTTGCACCCAGGAGCAGTGAGAGGCAGAGAGCACGGCAGATCTTGTAAACTTTAGGTCTGTTTCAGCTGTAATTGCCAACATTTCCTTCATTTTATTTTTCAAGGGTGATTTAAAATTAATCCAGGCTGGTTTTGCAGAAAAATATTTACCTTAAACACATTTATTTTCTCTGTTGATTTTGTAAAAATCCAGAACCCTGAGGAATGGCTTCAGTTCCAGATGGTTACCGTGAATGACCGTGTGACACACAGGAACGGAGGCTGGCTATGCATTTTGAAAAACTGTATTTCAAAGGCATTTACAAACAAATGCCCAATAAGTCAGTTAGAAACTAAGGAAAATAGTTTCTAATAATGGAAATGATGTCATTCTGGATCTGCAGCCACAGATAGCATTGGTGGGGAGATGAGGAAGTTTATAAAATTAGAATTCCCTAACTTTCATAAAGAGATGTTTCCCTTCACCCAGTGCTGACTAGTAGTTTGGAGTTGCAAAATATTTATAAATGGTGAGACTACTCCAATCTGTTATTTATTTATATTTATTAGTACTAAAAATTTTACAAGTAACTCTTTAAAACGTTTTTCTAATCATCTGCTCCTCTAACACTTACTTGCTGTTAGAGGACTCTGCTAGATTTCTTAAGGTGTCTTACTTTTTAAGAATAATTCACCGGACTTTAAAAATATTTTTCATTACTAGTAGCTTACTGTTGTATATGAGTACCATCCTCTAGTAAGTTTCAGGTTTGCAATTTTAATCTGTTTTAGGGCAAATTTATTTAAAGCCATTTAAAACCACACATTAGAGTATATATAAGTACATAAAATGTTTCCATAGCAACCTGAAAAGATGTAAATGGCCAACTTAAGAAACCCAACATAATACCAAAGAACCACTTATATACCTAAAGCTGAATCTTATTATTTATTGTATTAATAAAATGTTTATTAGAAAAATTATACCTGATTGCTGTAATCTGGAAGAATTGAAGTAGCCGATAATTTAGTGTTAAAATGTTAAATGGACTCTATAGTTGTTCACACCCACCTAATCCTTAGAGTTAATATTACTTAATGCTTTGTGAGCTATGGTCTTTGTCAAAATGTTAGGTCATTTCCAATCTCTATGAAAATGACAAGTCTGTTCAACAAATAAATCTCAATCTTTTTATTCTTACTACTTAAGGTAGTCCTCAAAGGCTTTGTCAATTCTAGAAAGTGTACACATAACCTTTAATAAGTCCTGAAAAACTTTCTTTTGCTTGTATTCTGTCTTTGCCCATTACAAAAAAGCATACCCAGTGGGGATGGAAATTCTGTCATCCTTGATCACTACTGTGTGTTTGTCTAGAAGGGTGGCTGGTACATAGTAAATGTTCAATAAATAAACTCCCCCTGGCTGCTGCCTGAGCAAATTTGCATGCTTTGGGCTTTAGGTTAGAATAGACATGAACATACATGTGTTTATGTAGGTACATTTTCACTATGCTAATGAAACAATGAAACTATTCTAAAAATAGCCACAAGTATTGACAATTCAGATGACAGTTTTAATGTTTGTTAGTTTCTTTATTTCTTCTCTTCCCCCATTTCCTCCTCTTTCTTCTTCATATTTTTGTTTTGAAGTGGGGTAAATAATTACCTGATACATTGAGTGTAGTCCCTGAATGTATTTTGTATTACTAATTCACAGATGCATTTGTCCTTGTAAATTAGTTGCACACAGATTTATTAGTCATTTTTGAAGAGTTAATTACACTGTTGTTTTTGATTATAAAGACAAACATGGTCATCTAAGAAAACAAAATATAAGAGGTTGTGAAAAGTAATCCAGATAATGCTTAAATCCATAGTCGGGACTCTCAAGAAAAACTATATTAATGAATGTGGTATGTTAAGAAATGGTGTTTTCTTCAGTTTTTAATATTTATGCTTTTCATTTGTATGTTTAAAACTATAATTAGGAATATCTAGTATATATATGTGTGTGTAATTTTTCACATTTTTATTTAACATTATTATAAAAACTTTCCCTGTCAACAAAATTAAACAAAACTCATCACTAATAATTTAATATTCTATCAAGGGATGTTCCATGATTTACCTAATTGTTTAAAAAGTTATATATTGGGCTTCTTTTGGGGAAGTCCATTTTTTAATGAGTAGGTGATAAATGCATACATATCTGTTGTAACTCCTTTTGCTTATTTCTTCTAAATTTTTTTTTAGGCTAAGATAATTGCAATGGTTTAGAAGTCCGTTGGTGTATTTTGAAGTGTGAATGCCTATGTTAACATTTTTTTTTTACAGAACAAAATAGTTTTATTTAAGATTCTTTTCTTTTCTGTTGTATAACCACTTATAGTTCTTGTAAATCATTTTTTCCCAGGCATTGCAAAACTGGAAGAAGGAGATGAACTCCAACTTGCAATACCAAGAGAAAATGCACAAATATCACTGGATGGAGATGTCACATTTTTTGGTGCATTGAAACTGCTGTGACCTACTTACACCATGTCTGTAGCTATTTTCCTCCCTTTCTCTGTACCTCTAAGAAGAAAGAATCTAACTGAAAATACCAAAAAAAAAAAAAAAAAAAAAAAAAAAAAAAGTAGTTACCATTGCCTTTTCTGTGAGCTATTTGTTTTGGTTTGCTGAAACTAGTCCAAAACAGGAAATTTAACAGACAGCCACAGCCAAAGAGTGTCATGTGAATTACAAGAAATAGAGCCCATTTAGGGAAAGATAGAACTAGAAAGGCTTTTCATTATAATTCCATGTTGAACAATTGAGTCATAGCTTCTTATCTTGGAGGAAGGACACAATTCAAAGGGGCAGTAAGGATTTTGTAAAACGTGGCATCCATAATTTACTATGGAGCAAGTGCCCACATCTCTAGGACATTAAGACATTTATGAGAAATCTCAGGATTCATCTTCTGTTTTTATGTTAAATGCACTCCCTCCTTTTCAGTTAACATTATAAAAAGTAAAAAATGAAAATTTTAGAAATCTTGCATTAGACACATGAAAAAATAACTAAAAGTTTAAATTTAAATATGAAACAATTTTGCTGAAAATAGTATCCATATACTATTTAAGTCTTTTATGGTTATTTCAAGTATACAATTTCTATCTGTAATGTAATATATTACCCACACATTTTTTTCACAGGAGAGAGAGAATATCCTCATTTGTTTATGCTCATGTGTATTTTCTATAGTGAATTTCAGAAACTTTTAATATCAGGTAATTTCAATTTATGCCTATAAAGCATTGATTGAAAAATAACTAGAATTGTGCATATATAACACATAATCTCCAACAGAAGTTACTGAATACATTCATACTAATGTAATGTAATTTCCCTTTATTTCTTGCTCTTCTGTTTCAAACTGCTGCTATTGTAGTTTACATATCCCAACCTTTAAAAATATTCCTCTTATTAGCTTTATATTCACTTTATAGAAGTTGAGTTTTAATTAAAATTCTTGGCATCCTGAAGTATGTCACATAGCATGTGCTCCTTATAAATATGTTGATATCTCAGAAGACAGCATCCCGGTTTTCATTTTATAAAGTACCATACTTAAGAATGCTGTAATACTTATCTTTTATAACATGTTTCCTTCGCTTTGCTTGTCTTTTATGTCATCAGTTTTAACTGTTTACTTCATTTAACAGTTTACATCATTCAACAGTTTACTTCATTAAACAGTAGGTGGAAAAATAGATGCCAGTCTATGAAAATCTTCCCATCTATATCAAAATACTTTTCAAGGATATACTTTTCAAAACAAACGATTTAAATTTTATGTTTAAAATATAAACTTTAGATTTAAACTTTATTTAAATATCTGGTTCCTATGATTTTGACTTCAGTAAGTTCAAATAAAATATATTTTGCAATTCATTTTTACATTATAATTTAAAAAGAAGAAGCGATAAGTGGAGTCAGTTTCAATGCTAGGTGGGGTGGTTAATGATTTTTCTGGTGTTGCTGCTAATGTGGATTAACAAATAAAAACATTCATTGCCTTTTGCCTCATTGTCTGACTGAGTTTGTCTAGCAACACCCACCTTTTGAATTCTCGCTGTATAATTAAATGTTATTTTTAAAATCAGGTGAAACATGATAAATTAATTTGTGTTAGGATATGATAGTTTGGAAATGTGAGTATGTTCCATATCTGAAAAAGAATCTGTTCACATCTGTATCTGTCTAACTACCTAATTTTAAACTTTTTAGAACCGACATCAATTATGTTATTACCTTTAGAGTTGAATTTATCCAACAGTACAGTATATTTTGTGAGATTTTTAGTACAATATTAAGTATATATTATTGGTATAATATCAAGTATTTATATATTACTTATAATATTAAGTAGATGTATAACTGAGAAAAGCTAATAGCAGGCCAAGCATTCTTCTCCTAAGGAGCTGACTATGAGGTGGTGAAATTCCACCAGGACAAGCATCTTGTAGGGATCACGAAAGGCATCATTGAGGGCAATCTTGTTGGCAGCAACCTCATTACATCTTGGGCCCGACCCCCACTCTGCTGTAATTAGAAGGTTGTATTAGTCTGTTTTCACACTGCTGATAAAGGCTTACTCAAGATTGGGTAATTTATAGAGAAAAAAGGTTTAATGGACTCACAGATCCACATAGCTGGGGAGGCCTCATAATCACAGTAGAAGGCAAAAGGCACATCTTACATGGTGGCAGGCAAAGAGTGAATGAGAGCCAAGTGGAGGAGGAAACCCCTTATAAAACCATCAGATCTCATGAGACTTATCACTACCACAGGACAATATGGGGGAAACGGTCCCCATGATTCAATTATCTCCCACCAGGTCCCTCCCACAACACATGGGAATTATGGGAGCTACAATTCAAGATGGGATTTGGGTGGGGACACAGCCAAACCACATCAAAGGTGCAGTGGAGAATTCATAATCCTCACCATTTGAGGTTTGATGATGGTGATGAAGACAACAGGTGGGATTATAGATATAAGAGAAGGGAGGAAATTCTTTACCGTTGAGTTAATCACTTTACATGTTTTTAAAACTTTTTGACTTTTTGTTTTGAAGTAATTTCAGACTTTTAAAAATATGGGAAAGAAAAGTGTAATGAAACCCCTTATATTCTTCACTTATATTCCTAGTGTTAACATCTTACAGCACAAGGGTAAAAGTCAAGACACTAACATTAATACAGCAACTAATGCACAGACCCTTTGAAGACTGACCACATGCTAAGTTATAAAGCAAGATTCAGCACATTTTAAATAGTTGGCTTTATAACAATTACAGTTCCTCTACAGCATCATTAGTAAAAGAAATTGGTGATTAAAAAGTAAGGAAAATATGCACGTGGAAATTAAAGTGGAGAGAAATTACTTCTAAATAATTTATGGCTTAAACAGAAAGCATATGGAAATTAGAAAATGTTTACAACTAGATGACAAAATACTTCACAAGAAACCCTGGGGTGTAGGAAAATCAGTGCATACATAGAGTTTATAAACTTAAATGCTTATATTATATAAGAAAAATGACTGAAAGTTATGAACTAAGCACCAACAGCAAGAAAAAAACAAAAGCAAGACAAAACAAAAGCAAGGTAAAAACAAAATAAACAAAAAAACCTAAGCCAAAGGAATAGAAGAAAGCAATTAAGGATAAGAGCAGAAATTCAGAAACTGGAAAAGGCAGGTAATTAAAAAGGTCAATAAGACCAAAAAATTTATATAGAGGTAAATAAATATAAATATAGACATAAACAAACGTAATGATACTTTTATCATAAAAATAAAGTATTTTTATTTTATCATATTTAAACCTCAAAGTTTCTTGTGAAATATTTCATTATCAATATTTTCAAACAAAAATACAGCAAGCCAGCATAAACAATATTAGAATTGAATATGGGGAGAAAAGTATAGATGCCAAAGAGAAAAATGAAAAAAAAAACGTTTTGTCAAAAAACTTCAGCAAATTAGATGAGAGACAAATTCCTAGATAAATATAAATTGACAAAACTGATCAGTATAAAAGAGACAAAAATGAATCCGTTAGAGACGTTGAAGTAGTTTACAATTTACACATACAAAAATGGTCAGGCCAAGATGGGAAAATTTTCTCAAATATTCAAGGGGTAGACTACTTCTATATTATGTAAATTATTTTAGAGAACAAGAAAAAGAGAATACTCCCAAGTTCAACTTGTATTTTCCTCTATAATCTTGATACCAAAACATTCTGAAGGCAGAATTACAAGTAAAAATTACAAGCCAATCTTACTCATAAATATGTCTTAAAACATTAGCGAATTGAACTCAGCAGTGTATTTAAAAAGAGCATGCATAATAACCATGTTAGATTTGATCCATATGCGAAAATTTATATTAATAACAGATGTAAGTGATTATAACAAAATATTAAAGGAGAATATCATATGATCACCTCAGTAAATCCAAGAAAGAAAGAACAATTCAATATTTATCTATGGTAAACACTTTTAGCAAAGTGAGAATAAAGAAAACTTTAAAAATCTTGTGAACTTGGCAACCAGAACAAGATAATTATCCCTGGATTATTATTACCACTTCTATATTATACTGAAGGGTCTAGACATTTTAACATTTATTCAAATAATATTTATTGAATGTCTAATATTTACGAGGCAATATTCCTGGTAATTATTTAGTGGGAAGGGGGCAAAAAAAAAAAAAAAAAAAGCAGAACATATGGTTTGCTAGATGGTAACAAATACTATGGAGTCCAATCAAGTAGCAGACATAAGGCATTACTGGAAGAAGATGTGGTGCATACTTTAATAACAATCACGAATATTTATTAGGTATTTATATTGTGTGAGAGACTCTTCTAGGTGTTAATTTATTTCAATTTTCCAGCAACTCCAAAATATCAAGCCACTATTAATTTCCTTATTTCATAGATGAGAGTTATTTCATAAACTCAGTTTATTTCATAGACTTATTTCATAAACTCAGAGTCTACATAAATTGGCTGTTTGCTGTAAATGGCAAGGCAAGATGTGAACTCAGGTCCTTTATTTGTAAGTCCTTCAACCTCAGCACTATGTCATACAGCCTTCAGTCAGGGAAGGCCTCACTGAAGAAGGGCATGGAGAGGGTAATGTAAGTGATATGGTTTTGCTGTGTCCCCACCCAAATCTCATCTTGAATTCCCATGTGTTGTGGTAGATAATTGAATGAGAGACAATTGAATCATGGAGGTGGGTCTTTCCCATGCTGTTCTTGTGATAGTGAATTAGTCTCTCGAGACCTGATTATTTTAAAAAGAGGAGTTCCTCTGCACACACTCTCTCTCTCTTTGCCTGCTGCCATCCATGTAAGACGTAACTTGCTCCTCTTTGCCTTCTGCCATGATTGTGAGGCTTCCTCAGCCATGTGGAACTGTAAGTCTAATTAAAACCCTTTCTTTTGTAAATTGCCCAGTCTTGCGTATGTCTTTATCAGCAGCATGAAAACGGACTAATACAGTAAGATTTATGGGGAAGAGTATTTGAGAGAGAGGAAATGGAAAGCAAAATCCCTTCAGTGTGTTTGTGGAGCACAGTGGTCCCAGGATGCCTGGACAGCAGTGATCCATGGAGAAAGTAGAAGATGAAGCTAGAGAGTTAAGGAGGGGAGGGCACTGAGCCTGCAAGAACTTGCTGTGCATTGGGAGGGAATTGCTTTTAGTCTGAGTGAGAAAAGAAACCCTAGAAATTTCTGAGCAGAGAAGTGATGTGATCTGACTTACTTGTAAAAGAACCACTTTGGATTCTGTACTGTTTAGTCTACACGGGAGAATGGGTGAAAGCAGGAGACTAACAGGGGTCTGTAGCCATAATCCAGGCAAGGAATCATGGTAGCTTTGACTAGAGTGGCCGAATTGTGTGTTCTGTGTTGAATGAAATATTCAAGGATAATATCACATGATCACTTCAGCAGATCCAGGAGGCAAAAAGTACAATTTAATATTTACTTACGGTAAACACTTTCAACAAAGCGGGAATGAATAAAACTTTTTAAATCTAATAAAATTTGCAACCAGGAAAAGATAATTATCACTGGATGATTATTACCACTTCTACATTTTCCCCAAATATTTGCTCAAGTCCCAACTCCTGGTACCTGTAAAGGTGACCTTATTTGGAAATAAGGCCTTTGCAGATGTAGTTAAGATGTAACTTAAGTGAAGTCATACTGGAGTAGGGTGGGCCCCTAAATCTAATGTCTGTTGTTTTCATAACAGGAGGAGAAGAAACAGAGACATGCACACAGGGAGAAGGCCATGTGAGTATTAAGGCAGAGATGAGAGAGGTGCTTTTACCAGCCAAGAAACACCAAGGATTGCTGGCAACAACCAAATGCTAAAAGAGGCAAGGAAAGATTCTCACCTAGATCTTTCTGAGTAAGCAAAGACCTCCCGATACCTTGGCCTCAGACTTCTACCTTCCAGAACAGTGAGAAGTACTTGTTTTCAACCACCCAGTTTGTGACACTTTGTTATGGCAGGTCTAATAATCGAACACAGATGTTGACACTGAGAATATTGAAAAAGGTCATATTCTGTATATCTTTAAAAGTGTAACCCACAATATTTGTTTATTCTCTAAACATGGGAGCGGGAAGATAAAAAGAGAGGCATGAAGGATCACTCCCAAGTTTTAGCCAGAGCAACATGAATGATGATGAATATCCCCTAACAGGATGAGGAAGACTAGAAGAAGCAGCTTCAGAGTGGGCAGGAAGGGAGTTCAATTTTGAACATATTAAATTCTAGTTGAAAGGTGAACACCGAAACGGAGATGCTGTCTACGAAGTTAGGACTAGAAACCCTGTATGAGATCACCAGGGGTATAAGACCAAAGAGCAGAGAAGACAGTGAAAGAATGGATTCTGAATGTCAACATTCAGGAGTCCATGAGATGAGGAGGAACAAGCAAGGAAGACTAAAAAGAAATTACAATTAAGAGAGTAAAAACCAGGAGGCCTGAAGCCAAGTCAAAAGAAAAAATCATAAGGGAAGTTTCATTCAGCCTGTTAGTGCTGTTAAATTGCACGAAAGAGGGCGGGGAGGGCATGGTCAGGGAGCAGACTGCAATTGGCATGAGGCCAGGAAACACCCAGATGGGAAAGTGGCCTATATACAAATACTTGATTATATGATTTGGCTGTGTCCCCACCCAAATCTCATCCTGAACTGTAGTTCCCACAATCCTCATGTGTCCTGGGAAAGACTTGGTGGGAGATACTTGAATCATGGGGCTGGTTATCCTCATGCTGTTCTCGTGATAGTGAGTGAGTTCTCACGAGATCTGTTGGTTTTTAAAGGGGCTTCCCTCTTTTGCTTGGCACTTCTCCTTGCTGGTGCCATGTGAAGAAGGACGTATTTTCTTCCCCTTCCACCATGATTATAAGTTTCCTGAGGCCTTCTCAGCCATGCTGAATGCTGAATCCATTAAACCTCTTTCCTTTATAAATTACCCAGTCTCGGGTGCGTCTTTATTGGCAGCTTGAGAACAGACTAATACACTTGAGGATGAGGGTGCAACCTCATTAGAGACCTGCCTTACACTAGGGCCACAGAGATAAGTTGTGAGAGGTGGTCAGGTTCTGTATGCATTTTGAAGGTAAAAGAATCTATCTTCTAACATGAGGTGTGAGATTCACTCTCAAGTTTTTGGACTCATCAACTGAAAAGGCATTATTCACTGAGTTGGGGAAGGTAAGAATTGGAGAAGAAAAAAACATAGATTGTTCTAGCAGGTTTAATTTGGAGATGCCTGTTAGCCATCTGTTGGGCAAACAGTATTTGGCCATGGATACTGGGATTGTTTCTTTTTTCCTTTTACAATCAATACTCCTATACGCATTCTTGTACTTGTCTCCTCGTGTGAATATTTAATTCATTCCAGTTCTCATAACTCCTGGGAACATGGTAGAATGGCACAGCCTTGTCACTGAATGGGGCCATGTGACTATTTCTGACTAACCCGTTGTGAATTGAGCCCTATAGAATACTTCTTTCTCTCTGATCCATGATCAAAAAATTTCAAAACAGCGTATGTTGTTCCATCAGCCTAGATCCCTCAGAAACTATATTGAGCAGAGAACTCCCTCACCCGGCCACTTGCTCTGTGAGATTCATGATGGAAAGGCAATGTGAACAACAAATAAATTTCTATTGTCCAAAGTCACTGATATTATAGGCATGTTTGTTTCTGCAGTGTAATTGAGCCCATCTTGACTGATACTTTCCAGAATTAATTTTATCGTGCCATCTCATTCAACCTCCTACGACTCCCATAAAAAAAAACGCAGCCAGGGCATAGAGCCCATGTATTAATTTCCCCTTAGATAGCCCATTGCCATGCTCTTCTTTGACAACCTTGACATTATCTTCCATATCAGATACTGCTGATCTGAGCTTTGTTCTCAGTGCCCTTGGGCACTGTGTTCTCCTGGTCAGACTATACCCCTCCTCCTCAGGGACAGCTTTATCTGCCCATGCCCTGCTGCCTGAATGAACCAAATTACAGAGAAACTCATCCTGTCTTAGGTGTAATAATTCCCTGACTTCCACTGTAGCCACACACATACAAACAAAATGTACAATTAGAAAGGAATGTTTGAAGAAACAGCTGGCTTCTTGGCATGCCACCTGTGCCCAAGGACCCACACTCAGAAAGCCTCTGTGCTTACTTTAATGCTCCACTGTTGCCATCTTGGAAATCTTAATCATTTTTGAGCAAGGGTGCTGATATGGTTTGACTGTGTCCCCACCCAAATTTCATCTTGAAATGTAACTTCCACAATTCCCACATTTTGTGGGAGGAACCCAGGGGGAGGTGATTGAATTATGGTGGCAGGTCTCTCCTGGGCTGTTCTCCTGATAGTGAATGAATCTCATGAGATCTGGTGGTTTTAAAAAGGGAAGTTTCCCCGCATGAGCTCTATTCTCTTATCTGCCGCATGTGAGACATGCCTTTCACCTTCTGTCATGATTGTGAGGCCTCCCCAGCCATGCGGAACTGTGAGTGTATTAAACTTCTTTCTTTTGTAAATTGCCCAGTCTCGGGTATGTCTTCATCAGAAGTGTGAAAACAGACTAATACGGGCACCTACACTTTTATTTAGTGCTGGGCCCTGAAAATTAGGTAGCAGTTCTATTAGAAGATATTAGAGAGAAGGAGTAGAGGATAAGTTAAGAGCCTCATGTCTTGTGCCAAAAGTCTAGCATTCAAATCCTAATTTGCTTCCTAATTTTATAACATTAGTAACACTGAATTTGTGAAAAAAATGCACATGTAAAAACACTCAGAATAGTACCTTGCATATTATATGTGCTAAATACTTTTGCTTAAAAGATACACATGCCTATACCCACATACACAGACATAACAGGAGGAATTTGAATTTGAATTCAAAAGAAGGAAAGAGAAGTGTACTGTCTGGTTTCATTTTAGCAATGAAAACCAATGTGGAAGCTAAATTGGCCGGAAACTGAGGAATATCTGGTTTTGTTATCTTGTATTGTTGTTTTGTTTTAAGATATCTTGGGTAGACAGGGAAAAAAATGAGAGAGAGAGAGAGAGAAGGCAGAGCAGCACCCTGGAATTTAGAACACCGCTCTGCTCCATCCATCAGGTCATAGAATGACACCCAGCAGTGCGAATGAGAAACAAAACAGCTCTGACTATATCCCACCCCAGAGGCTACATATTTCCAAGATGTAGACAACTGGGGCAAAGACTTCAGCATGAGAGCAGAAGGCTGCCCTAAATTTAACCTTGCAGGAGTGAAAGGGAGCCAGGATTCAGGAATCGGGTGGCAGCAGCAAGAAAACAGAATAAAAGGGAGATGGATGAGGAAGAAAATGTGCAGGAGGAAGATCATTTCTGGGGCCTGGGCGTGACCATATGGGACCACCCTGGAGGTGTTAGCTGGGGACGAGTAGGGAAGACAGGGCTGTTTGGTCTTCACCCCTCAGGACACTCACACCCCCACCCCACAGCCTCCCTTTACAATGATAAGAAGCTGGTGAACCCTCACAGGGGTTTTTCCAAGGGAGGGAGTATATGGTGGAGGCTCCCGCTTGCCCATGGAACAGGAGACACTGTATGGAAAGCACCACATAAGGAAGGATGGTGTAGAGAGTTTGTGAGAATAAAAACACAGCCACGATTGTATTTGCATTTCAGATAAGACTATTGCATAATACATGGCAATCTGACTGTCTTGGAAATTAAGACAAATTGTTTTAATTTTTTCTCAAGCATAAGCCCCAGAATTGACAATGCTTCTAGATAAGAGTCCAAAAATCACAGCGAAAGTGAATAAGATGTTTCTAAAATAACAAACCGCCTAATGAGGAATCCCCTCTACCCCTCTGGAATGTCATCACCCAGTTTCAGAGTGGACATCGCCAGAGGTGACAACTTATCATTGTATTTAAAATCTGTGTCTCATGTACATAACTAAGATGTGGTTTGTACACTCAAAGCCCCATCTCACCACGTTCTAGGAAAGGAAAGCTAGTTCAAAGTAAGTTCCATTTAACCTACATTATCTGAGTGGATACAAGACAAAGAGGTAAGTTCCAACCACTCATGAGTTTGAGAGGCTGTAGTCATTTTCATTTATGACACTGACTAATTGGAATTGTAGTGATTGCTTGAGTGTTAACTCCAGGACGGTACTTGATAGCTCACCTCTGCAAAAGTGTGGTGAAAGGGACCCTACATTTCTCAAGATGAATTACACTTGGTGACTTTTCTGCAGGAAGAGGGGCCAACAAACACTGCTGATTACCTGCTCCATTGCCAACACATTCTATTTCAATAACCACAGTTGGTGCAGTGATAAACAAAAGAAGGCTCTTGCCTTCAAAAAGTTGCATCACGCATTTGTTAAGCCATGTTTGCAAGCCATCTTAGATAATCTCATGCCCATTACTAAATGCCTCAGCAAATGCCACCACTTGTGTTTCCAAAGTAGACTCTTCTTGTTATTTTTACAAATTAAAGAATTAGAAAAACAATGCAGGCATAAGGACTTTACATATGGATAGTTTATGGTAATTTTGTCCACATATTATAACTACAAATTAAGGCAATATGTAGTAAATAATTCTTTATAGATAGGCAGTAAATTTTAGTTTATAAGAAGACAATGAGCAGAGTGGTTTATTGATTACATCGATGGAAAAGAGGTTGCATGTTTGAGATCAGGGTCCCAGGCTTTCTGTTAAATAGTCTTTTTTAAAAAAAAATTATAAGTTTTCATCAAATCAGTGACAAATTCTGCAATATTTAAATAATTTAATGAATGGCAGAATAATCTATTTTTCAGAAGTTTTTTTTTTACATCAACTTTTAAACTATTTATGACACTTCTGTTGAATATATTGCAGATAATGGTTATCTGTTTTTTTCTTTCCAACTTTTAGGTTCAGTGGCTGCATATGCAGGTTTATTGCATGGGGAAATTTCATGTCGCACAGGTTTGGGGTATGGATTATTTCATCACCCAGGTAATGAGCATAGCACCCAATAGGTATTTTTTCAATCCTTACCCTCTTCCCTACATCCACGCTCAAGTAAGCCCTAATGTCTATTGTTCCCTTCTTTGTGTCCACGTGTACTCAATGTTTAGCTCCCACAAATAAGCGAGAACATGTAATATATAGTTTTTTGTTCTTGCATTAGTTTGCTTAGGATAATGGCCTCCAGCTTCATCTATGTTGCTGCAAAGGACATGATTTCATTTTTTATGGCTGTGTAGTATTCCATGGTGTGTATGTACCATATTTCCTTTTTTTTCTTTTCTTTTCTTATTTTTTTGTTGTTTTGAAATGGAGTCTCATACTGTTGCCAGGGCTGGAGTGCAGTGGCGCGATCTTGGCTCACTGCAACCTCTGCCTCCCGGGTTCAAGCAATTCTCCTGCCTCAGCCTATTGAGTAGGTGGGATTACAGGTACCCGCCACCATGCCCAGCTAATTTTTTCTATTTTTAGTAGAGATGGGGTTTCACCATGTTGGCCAGGCTGGTCTCAAGCTCCTGACCTCGTGATGCACCCGTCTCAGCCTCCCAGAGTGCTGGCATTACGTGCATGAGCCACCGTGCCTGGCCCCCATATTTTCTTTATTTAACCTACTGTGGATGGTCATCTAGGTTGATTTCATGTCTTTGCTATTGTGAATAGTGCTGTAATGAACATATGTATGCATGTGTCTTTATGGTAGAATGATTTATATTCCTTTGGGTGTATATCTAGTGATGGAATTGCTGGGTGGAATGGTAGTTCTGTGTTAAGTTCTTTGAGAAATCTCCAAACTGCTTTACACAGTAGCTGAATTAATTTACATTCTTACTAGCAGTGTATAAGCATCCCTTTTCTCCTCAATCTCACCAGCATCTATTGTTTTTTGACTTTTTAGTAATAGCCTTTCTGACTGGTATGAGATGGTATTGCAGCAGGACAAGCCTCAGACAAAACCCCTCAGACACCAAGTTAAAGAAGGAAGGGCTTTATTCAGCCGGGAACTTCGGCAAAACTCACGTCTCCAACAACTGAGCTCCCCGAGTGAGCAATTCCTGTCTCTTTTAAGGGCATCTGTTATTTCTTGACTTTTTAATGTTAGCCATTCTGACTGGTGTGAGATGGTATCCCATTGTCGATTTGATTTGTATTTCTTGATCAGTGATGTCCAACTTTTTTTCATATGCCTTTTGGCCGCATGTATGTCTTCTTTTGAGAAGTATCTATTTATGTTGCACTGTGGTTTGAAAGTGTGGCCGGTATGATTTGATTTTTTGTTTTTAATTTGTTGAGGATTGCTTTATGGTAGAGCATGAGGTCAATTTTAGAGTATGTGCCATGTGCAGATAAGAAGAATGTATATTCTGTTTTGTTTGGTGTAGTGCTCTGTAGATGTCTACTAGGACAATTTGCTCAAATGTTTAGATCCTGAATATTTTTATTAATTTTCTGCCTTGAACATCCACCTAATATTATCAGTGGGCTGTTGAAGTTTCCCACTATTATTGTGTGGTTATCTAAGTTTCTTCATAGGTCTCTATGAATTGTTTTGTGAATCTGGGTGCTCCAGTGTTGGATGCATACATACTTAGGATAGTTAAGTCTTCTTCTTGAATTGAACTCTTTATCATTATGTGATGCCCCTCTTTGTCCTTTCTGATAGTTGTTGGTTTGAAGCCTTTTTGGTTTGAAATAAGAATAGCAACCCCTGCTCTTTTTTGTTGTTGTTGTTTTCCATTTGGTTGATAGATCTTTCCCCAACCCATACTTTGAGCCTATGGGTGTCATTGCATGTGGAATGGGCATCTTGAAGACAGCATACAGTTAGGTCTTGCTTCTTTATCCAATTGCCACTCTGTGCCTTTTAAATGAGGTGTTTAGCATGTTTACATTCACAGTGAATATTGATGTGTGTGCATTTGATCCTGTCACTGTGTTGTCAGCTGGTTGGTATGTAGAATTGATTGTGTAGTTACTTTATAGTGTCGATGTACTTAAGTGTGTTTTTATGATGGCTCTGATCAGTCTTTATTTCCATGGTTAGCACTCCTGCAAGGACCACTTGTAAGGCAGGTCTGGTGGTAACGAATTCCCGTAGCATTTATTTATCTGAAAAGGTAAATAATCATTTAAGGTAGATGAATAGAAGACATGACCAATAGTAGAGAGTAGTATATAAAACCCTGATTAAAAAAAAATGATTTCAAAACCTAGAATCCAGCTTTTTTTTTTTCTAAGTAATTTTTAAAGGTAAATTTGACCTAAACTTGTATTAGTCCATTCTTGCATTGCTATGGAGAAATACATGAGGCCGGGCGCGGTGGCTCACGCCTGTAATCCCAGCACTTTGGGAGGCCAAGGTGGGTGGATCACGAGGTCAGGAGATGGAGACCATCTTGGCTAACACAGTGAAACCCCATCTCTACTAAAAATACAAAAACTTAGCTGGGCGTGGTGGCAGGGGCCTGTAGTCCCAGCTACTCAGGAGGCTGAGGCAGGAGAATGGTGTGAACCCGGAAAGCGGGGCTTGCAGTGAGCTGAGATTGCACCACTGCACGCCAGCCTGGGTGACAGAGCGAGACTCTGTCATTAAAAAAAAAAAAAGAAATACATGATACTGAGTAATTTGTAAAGAAAAGAGGTTTAATTGGCTCATGGTTCTGCAGGCTGTACAGGAAGCATGGTGGCGTCTGCTTCTGGGGGAGCCTCAGGGCACTTTTATTCAAAGCAGAAGGTAAATAAGGAGCAGGCATCTTCCATGGCAGAAGCAAGTGTTGGGAAGGGGCGGTGGTGCTACACACTTTTAAACAACCAGATCTCTTCTGAAAACTTACTATCATGAGCACAGCATCAAGGGGATGGTGCTGAAACATTTATGAGAAACATCTCCTGATCCAGTCACCTCCTACCATGCCCCACTTCCAATATTAGAGGTTCAAATTTGACACAAGATTTGGTGAGGACACAGATCCAAACCATATCAAGACTCTTACTTTTTCTGAAATAATATAGCAAGTAAATGTTTTGACTTTGAGCCTAAAGGTTATGCTCAACCTACTGTATTATGTTTCTCCGTCAATTTCTAGCACTGTATTATTAAGAAGGGAAAATGTTGTTCTCTTATGTTAGAAATAACATTTGAAACTGAAAATAAGACTTTCACTTTAGAATCAATTGATATATTGCATTCAGAATGGGTCACAAATGTGGAAGTGTTTTCAGACTCTGGGACGTGTCTATGAGATAATGACCTGACAGTGAAATTACAGAAACTGTTCAAATAATGAAATGTAAAGACTTAAAAATTTCTCTTCAAAAGGAAGGACATCCCCCTCTCAAATAAAGAATGCAAAAAAAGAGAAAAAAGAAGGAAGGGAATAGTTTCAATATTTAAAGAGCAGTAACATGAGAAGATGAAATTAGAATCAATTGATAGAATGTACCGATTTTAAGACTTTCTTGAGATACAATACACATGCTGTAAAATTTTCCTATTTTAAATGTAAAATTAAATGACTTTAATATGTTTACAAAGTTGTGCAAGAAGTTACAGAATTTAGTTAAAAATATTACGAACTTGATATTAGAATCCTGGGAAGAGAGGACTTAAAGGAATATGCAAAAGAAAGAAAGGAAGGGAGAAAGAGAGAAGGAGAGAGGGAGAGAGGGAGAAAGAAAGAAAAGAAAAGAAAAGTAGGTTGAGAAAAGTTTTGATGTGCTCTTTGAGAGAACATGTCAATTTTAATATCTTTTCAATCTTAGAATATATTTAGATTTACAAAAAGTTACAAAATTTTGCTGATAGTACCTATAATTCCTCACCCAGTTTCTCCTATTTTTAATACATTACTCACAAAATATTTGTCACAGCTAAGAAACAATGATACATTGTTATTAACTAAATGCCATACTCTATTTGGATTTTAATAGTCTTTCCACTTATGTTCTTTTTCTGGTCCTGAGTCTAGTCACCTGTACCTCATTGCATTAACAGACATGTCTCCTTAACATCCCCTGGTCTCTGACAGTTTCTAGTCTTTCCTTGTTTTTCATACCTTGACAGCCTTAAGGAGTATTGGGTGTTTTATAGAGTGACTCTCAGTTTGGGTTTATCTGATATTTTTCTTATGGTTAGAAGGCGGTTATATGTCTTTTGGAAAATAATATCTTACATATTTCATCAAGTCAGGGTACATGATCACCTGGCCAGATAGTATTTGCCAAATTCCCAAGAGATTACTTTGAAATTCAGATTTTTTTTTTTAGTCATGAAACTATTTAACTGTACATGCCACATTAATTTGGAAACAAACCCACAAAATATTCAGGTTAGACAATGTAGCCTATTCCTTCCTTTACAGTGATGTACATGTGTATCACCACTAGAGGGAAGCACTTGAACAACTAAAGTGTACAGTCTGGGTTATTCTTAAACGCAATTAAATTGATGATAGACAAACACCAAAATTTATAAAACCATGAACTGAAAGAATATTAAGAGACCAAACAGATACTTTAAGTGTTTCTTAAAACCATATGCCATGCCTAATGAAAGTTTACGACATGGCAGCTTCTACTTTTTCCTATTTGTTGGAACCCATGGTTCCAGTTCAGTTCCAAATCAGTTGTGTACCTGAGGACTTTGACACACTTACAATCTCCAGACCTTGGGGGCAAAGAGAAGGGATGATGGCAGATAGCAGCTGTAGAGAGGGAGGTTAGAGGGCAAGGTCTACCCTAAATTGGTTCAGTCTTTATAAGAATTTCTTTCCATTTTTGACTTTAAACAGCTCCTCCTCAAATTAGCCTGGATTTCCCAGGAAACGGTTACTGGGATTTTTCCTCCGTCTGACATAATTTTTTCTGGTTCTTCAATGTCTTGACTTCCTAATCCTTTTCTAGATTATGAACACTTTTTTATCTTCAGCCCAAAATATGCACATCCTTGACTGATGTACAATGAGATACACCTGCCCTTTAACTATTGTTTTTATTGATGTATCCTGACACCTACACATAGCACATACTTGTCTCCTTCTGTTTATGTTTTTAGGCTATTTATGTGTCAGTCACTGCTCTAACACAATTTCATCTATTATCTAATTTAATTTTTAAAAATTAATTTCTTAAAACTAGTCAACTTTAGTTTTTTAGAGAAGTTTGTGGTTTATAGAAAAATTGAGCAGAAAGCACAGGGTTTCCACATACTCCCTGTTTCCTAACCCCACCGTTTCCCCATTGATGAAATCTTGCATTAGTTTGGTACATTTGCTACAATTAATGAACATTTTTATGCTTATTGAAAAACGTTGATGTGTTAACTCAAGTCCATAGTTTGCATTAAGAATCACTTTGTGTTGTACAGTTCTGTGAGATTTGACAAGTGCATGAAGTTCTGCATCCACCATTACAGTAATACAGAATATTATCGCTGCCCTAGATAGCCCCTGAGCTCTACCTCATCATCCTCTCTCCTCGCATTCAAACCCATGGCAATCGTTGATATGTTACCACCTCCATCATTTTGCTTTTTTCAGGATGTCATACAGTCGCAATAATTGTATGTAGCCTTTTCAGATTGTCTTCTTTCACTTAGCAATCTTCACTTAATGTTCCTCCATGTCTTTTCATGGTTCGATATCTCATTTCTTTTTATTGCCAAGTAGTATTCCATTGTGTGCATAATCCACAATTTGTTTATCCATTCACCTGTTGAAGGACATCTTGGTTGCTTCTAATTTTCAGCAATTATGAATAAAGCTGCTGTAAAAGTAGGATTTTGTGTGGATGTAAGTTTTTGACTTATTTGGACAAATAACCTCATACTGTGTAGCACGACTGCTGGATCAGATGGCCAGACTACAGTTAGCTTTGCAAGAAACTGCCAACTTGCCTTCCAAAGTAGCTGTTATCATTTTGCATTCCCACAAGCAAGGAATGAGAGTTTCCATTGCTCCACATGTTCACCGGCCTTTAATATTGTTGTTTCAGATTTAAGACATTCTAACAGGTGAAGAGAAGTGTTTTATTGTTGTTTTAATTTGCAATTCTCTAGTGACATATGATGTTAGCATCTTTCATATGCTTTTCTGCCATCTGTATATCTTCTTTGGTGAGATACCAGTTTAGATCTTTTACCCACTTTTTCATTGAGTTGTTTTCTTAGTGTTAAGTTTTAAGAATTCTTTGTATATTTTGGAGGCAAGTTCTTTGTCAGATATGAGTTTTGCAGACTTTTTTCCTCATCCATGACTTTTTATTATTTAAATCTAATTTGATTTTTGTAACAACTCATGGGGCAGATGCTGTTATTAACTGTATTTTACAGATGAGGAAATAGTGCCATAGAGAAGTTATATATCTTGCCCAAGGTCTCAAAAACTAGTGTGAAGTGTATCTAGAATGCAGAGCCAGGCAATCTGAGTGCAGTTTGTTAAGCTTTCTGCTTCATCACCCTTGTCCTAAGCACTCATTACATTTGCATCACAGGCCGCTCATACTCAGCTGAGACCAGTTATGATCATGAGCCCCTGATATTGGTCTGTTTTTCATTTGTGTTACTCTGGACACTAATGCTTACTTAGAAATGCAAGAAAAAAGAAGAGCTATGGGCTAGCAATAGTAAATGTTTAAGAACAGATTTTAAATACTGTAAAATCAGATATAGCCTTTAAAATGTTTGATTGAGACCAACAGGAGGTGATTTTTTACTGTCAGTGACTAATGAGATGGTTTTTTAAAGAATCACATTTTAAAATCTGCTGTAACTTTCACATAGAAAAGAATTTTAGCCTTTTCTTTTGTGGAAGGGAAAATGAAACTTCAGGAGTGAGATCTAGTGTGCAACTATCCTCATTTTAATCACTTTGGCCTAGATATGTTCCACGGAAAGAGAAATAGTGTTCCGTAGTTTGCTTAATCAAAGGACACCCACAGAAGAAAAGGTGTATGGGTGACATCGTGGGTGCCTCACCAACGGAGCCAATCTTTCTCAAAATGTGCTGAGATCACCAACACCTTCTAATATCAAACTATCAAACTGAATGACTTCTTTCAGGCCTTCCCTAGCTTAAATTCGGAAACTTTTCATGATGTTCAGAATCTTCTTACTATTCTTAGGTATACATTAATTTCCAATGCATCTAAGTCTAATATAGTGATAACCATTTAACTATTGATCTGTCTGCCTCTCATCAACTCATCTTTCCATCTGTCCGCCCACCAATCCATCCATCTGTATGCCATCTGGAGCCTCCCTGCCTTTCAGAAATTGCGTACCTTTTCCGGAATCTAATTCCATGGTCCCTAACATCCCAGCGCTCTACCTCATCATGCTTCCTTTTGCTTCTATTTTTCCTTGTCGTAACACTCTTTCCTTCTCCTATTGTAGCCTGGATGCAGGGCTTAATCTCACTCATCAAGTTATATTTCAAATCCACCATTCTTAAGCATTTTGTGATTTCTTTCTTTTTTTTTTTTTGAAAATTCAGAGGATCATGAGGGTTCATGACATTCCCAGATGACAATCACCTCTACGGACTTGTGGCCCACATCTCCCTGGCTTCTTTCCTCACTTTACCTCTCTTCTTTTCCCATTGCCTCCATAGTCTCCAGGGTATCAAGGCAATCACTGGTCTTTTGCTTTGCAGGATATGCTTTTCACCGTATCCTGCCCTCTCTGAGTCTCACCAGCCAACATTTACTTACATTTTTTTTCCCACCAAAATATTTTTGTGTTTCTAGCAGTGGTTCTGGGAGGAAAATATTCATACTTACACACACACACACACACACACACACACACACACACACTCCAGTAAGCAAATATCATTGTTGACACTTTCATATCACCATGAATTTGATATATTAGACAGTTTATCACTTATGGCTACCCTATTTTGCCTTGAAGTGGCACATTTACATCCTGAGAGCTATTATTTCTCTTACAGGAAGAAAAACAGCAAATATGTAAATTGACATCTAAATAAGCTTTGCTTTCCTTAAATAGTTTCCTGGTCTTGCCCAGGAGTCTGTGCTGAAGCTCTGGGTGCAAAGCTCACTAAGTGGCCTTGGGCTGCTCTTCCCTTATTCTTTTCCCCCTGAGCTTTCTTATCCATAAATCTGAATGAAATTCCAATCTTTGTTCCTTACAGAACTGCATAGAGATCCAAAAACAATGTCTGCATAGTGTTTTAAAACTGTCAAATGCTAAGCAAACATAAATTCTTGTATTTGTTCTCAAAAATTAATTAAATAAATGAAATAATGATTATATAACATATTCAATGAAGAAAACATCTCCCAATTCTAAAAGTGCTTTTAAATTTCTCATTTTCACGTATTATACAATATGAAACACTTCTAGGCACTCAGAGATTGTGAATCGTTTTTGTTCTGCTGTGGCTGTGAGTTGTTTAAAACAGGAAGTAGTTTCCACATAGGGCTATAGCAAGGGGGTGGAGGGTGAGAAGCAAAGACTTATTTACCTAAGAAGACAAAGCAAGGACACTGCAGTGGCAGCCTCTGCGTGTCACCCTTTGGTGAGCCTCCTGACTGGATCTCGGCGGTGGGCCCTCACCACTCTGCCAAGTTTCATAGTGTGCTCTGAAGCTTAACGCTTAGTACCAGTTAATCTAATTCCTTAGCCACTCATCAAATTAATTTTAGAATAGCTGGGTTCAGTAAAGCTTTTGAGTTGGGGATACAAAGATGGTGAGGACAAGGTCCCCACTTCCAGGCAATTTGAACTGAGTCCCTCACTTCAAGTCCGTCACCTCTCTTCTCACCTCTTTGGAAATGCAGAGCATACCCTGCTGTCTTTATCCTCCTATTATTATTCACACCAATTAGGAGAAATTTGAGGCCAGAAACTGATGATCCTTTAACTACAGAAATATTCATTAATTGGCAGCTTGCTGGCGAATTGGCTTTGTGAGCTCCATTATAGGGAATTTCCCATGTTTTACATCAATGATAGCATTCATAATAATTCAAATAGGAAGAAAAAATGCTTGCCTTAATGCCACTCCTTGTTTTCTTGATTGCCCTCATTGTCGTGAGTTGCTTGTAAAATCAGCTAATAAGATTGTGTTATGTTTATACTGTGTTGTATGGTATATGTATTCATCTGCGAAGACTGCCATGACAAAATACCACAAACTGGATGGCTTAACTAAAACAGACCTATTATCTTTTTCTTTTTCTTTTCTTTTTTTTTCTTTTTCTTGAAACAGAGTCTCACTCTGTTTCCCAGGCTGGAGTGCAGTGGCAAGATCTTGGTTCAATGCAACCTCCACCTCCCAGGTTCAAGCAATTCTCATGCCACAGCCTCCTGAGTAGCTGGGATTATAGGCACCTGCCACCACGCCTGGCTGATTTTGTATTTTTAGTAGAGACAGGGTTTCACCATGTTGGCCAGCCTGGTCTCAAACTCTTAGCCTCAAGTGATCCACCTGCCTCAGCCTCCCAAAGTGCTGGGATTACAGGTGTGAGCCACCATGCTCAGCCAGAGACTTATTTTCTCATGGTTCCGGAAGCCAGATATCTGAACGCAAGGAGTCACCAGGGTTTGTTTTTTTCTGAGACCTCTCTCCTTGGCTTGCAGATTGCTCTCCTCCTGCTGTGTTCACAAAAGGCTTTTTCTCTGTGCTGCGTCTCTGCTGTCTCTTTCTCAACATTAATCCTATTAGACTAGTGCCCAATCTTATCACCTTTAACCGAAATTACCTCTTTAAAGGTTGTGGCACCAAATATTATCATATTGAGGTTTACAGCTTCAAATACGGATGGGGGCACAATTCAGCCCACAGCAATATATCCATCCGTGTGGGTTTCTGCTGCATACACTCCGGGGGTTCTGCTTCTGCTTACAACCTCCAGGGATTTATTTCCTGGCTCCCAATGTCAACCTTGAATATCAGGAGTTTGCAGCCACCACTGTGGTTTTATTTAGTGATCTATTATGGATCTACTATCCATTAATTCTTAAATTCTTTGAAGCTCTTTATACTGTCAGCTAGTGTTTCCTCTTGGGTAATAAGTTTGACATGTTGTTTTTTTCTAGAGGAAAATGGTGGCTAGGAGGCAGGACTAAATTGCAACTCCCACTTGGATGGAAAAAGCAGCATGTGGAGACTCACATCGCGAACTTTTGCTCCAAGAACTACCACAGGAAAATACCAAGAGAGCCAAGAGAATCCACAGACACTTTGAAGGAAGCAGATTGCTCCTGCAGGCTCCAGGAGGCAGCCCCCAAACTGTGAGTACCCAAAGTGTGAAAGTATACAAGGGGGCCCGTCCATCCCCAAACATGCACCCTCACTGGGGATCCTGACGGTCCAGATCACGGAAGAAGGATTTGGCCTTCCCTAAAGCTGAGACAATTTAGAGAGCTGAGTGAAATACAAAGGTAGAAGAATCAGCAGAAAGCACCCTGTGGGCTCTCTCGGTACCCAGGGAAGCCATTTCTGACTTTTTCTCTCAGAGGTCTTTGGGGAGGGCTGCAAGAAGAACTGGGAAAAGACCACAGGGAGAAGGAAACTTCCAGCTGAATTTTGTAACAATTTCAATGGAACGCAAAGTTTCCTGGACAGAACTCAGGGAAGGGGGTGAATCAGGAGTGCAGACAAAGCACAGAAGCTGCAGTAGGTGGGGAGGCACAAGATCTGAAAGCCCTGCTTGCTTTCACAGCCAGGAGGCTGGTAGCCTGAGGCAAGTTGTCAGCCCTGCTCACCCACTGTCTGGAAACAAACTCCCTGCTGTTGAGGGGAGCACAGTAGGAATGAGACTGGCCCTTGAGTTGCATGGGGAGCTGGGTGAGGGGTGTAATTGCCAACTTTCCCCACTTCCCTGACAACCTGCATGACATAGAAGAGGCAGGCAGAATCCCCCTGGGAGCATAACTCCATTGGCCTGAGGAACCATGCCCCCATCCCCCAGAGCAGCCACAGCAAGCCCCGGTCAAGGAGAGTCTGAGCTCAGGCAGGCCTAACCCTGCTCCCACCTGTTGGTCTTTCTCTACCTGCCCTGGTAACCAAAGACAAAAGACTTATTCTCTTGGGAGCTCTAGGGCCCCACCCACTGCCTGATCCACCCTATACTATCACAGCTGATGCTCTCTTGAAGGCAACACCTCCTGGCAAGAGGTCAACCAGCACAAAAATAGTGCAATAAACAAAACTACAACTCACAGTGTCCATTTCATTCCCCTGCCACCTCCACCAGAGCAGGCACTGCTATTCCCAGCTGAGAGACATGAAGACAGTTCACATTACAGGACTCTGTGCAGACACCCCCTAGTACCAGCCTAGAGCCCGGTAGCTCCTCTGGGTGGTTAGATCAAAAAGAGGCATATCAATTACTACAGTTCAACACGCAGGAAGCCACATCCCTAGGAAAGGGGGAGAGCACTACATCAAGGGAGCACCGTGGCCTGGCGCAATTGCTCATGGCTGTAATCCCAGCACTTTGGGAGGCCGAGGTGGGCGGATCATGAGGTCAGGAGATCAAGATCATCCTGGCTAACACGGTGAAACCCCATCTCTACTAAAAAAAAAAAAATTACAAAAAATTAGCCGGGTGTGGTGGGGGGCACTGTAGTCCCAGCTACTCAGGAGGCTGAGGCAGGAGAATGGCATGAACCCAGGAGGCGGAGCTTGCAGTGAGCAAGATCGCGCCACTGCACTCCAGCCTGGGGGATGGAGCAAGACTCTATCTCAAAAAAAAAAAAAAAAAAAAAAAAAAAAGAGAAAAAGGGAGCACCCTGTTGGACAAAGAAATCTGAACAGTAGCTATTGAGCTCCAGATCTTCCCTCTGACGTAGCCTACCCAAATGAGACGAAACCAGAAAAACAATTCTGGGAATATGATGAAACAAGTTCTTTACCACCCCCAAAAGATCACACTAGCTCATCAGCATTGAATCCAAACCAAGAAGAAATCGCTGAATTGTCAGAAAAAGAATTCAGAAGATCGAGTATTAAGCTAATCAAAAAGGCACCAGAGAAAGGTGAAGTCCAACTTAATGAAATCAAAGAAAGGATACAAGATGTGAAGGGAAAAATCTTCAGTGAAATTGAGAGCATAAATAAAAGGAATCACAACTTCTGGAAATAAAGGGCATGCTTAGAGAAATGCAAAATGCACTGGAAGCACTCAGCAATAGAATCAAACAAACAGAATAAAGAACTGCAGAGCTCGAAGACCAGGTTTTTAAATTAACCCAATCCAACAAAGACAAAATAAAAAAGAACTTTAAAACATGAACGAAGCCTCTAAGAAATTTGAGATTATGTAAAACAACCAGACCTAAGAATAATTGGTGTTCCTGAGGAAGAAGAGAAATGTGAAAGTTCGAAAAACGTATTTTCCTTGAATAATCAAGGAAAACTTTGTCAGCTGGGATAGAGATCTAGACATCCAAATACAATAAGCTCAAAGAATACCTGGTAAATTTATTGCAAAAAGATCACTGCCTAGGTACATAGTCGTCAGCTTATCTAAAGTCAAGATGAAGGAAAGAATCTTAAGAGCTGTGAGACAAAAGCAACAGGTAACCTATAAAGGAAAATCTATCAGATTAACAGTGGATTTATCAGCAGTAACCTTACAGGTTAGAAGGGATTGGGGCCCTATCTTCAGCCTCCTCAAACAAAACAATTATCAGCCAAGAATTTTGTTTCCAGGAAAACTAAACTTCATAAATGAAGGAAAGATACAGTCTTTTTCAGACAAAAAAATGCTGAGAGAATTCACCACTACCAAGCCAACACAACAGGAACTACTAAAAGGAGTCCTAAATCTTGAAACAAATCCTCAAAATACATGAAAATAGAACCTCCTTAAAGCATTAATCTCACAGGACCTATAAAAAAAACACAATAAAAAATAATAAAAAACTCCCAAGGTGTTCAGGCAACAAATAGCACGATGAATAGAACAGTACCTCACATCTCAATACCAACATTGAATGTAAATGGTCTAAAATGCTCCATTTAAAAGATACAGAATAGCAGAATGGATAAGAACTCACCAACCAAGTATCCGCTGTCTTCAGTATCTGCTGTCACCTGACACATAAGGACTCACATAAACTTAAGGTAAAGGGGTGAAAAATGATATTCCATGCAAATGGACACCAAAGCGAGCAGGAGTAGCCACTCTTGTAACACAAAAAAAAAAACAAACTTTAAAGCAACAGCATTTAAAAAAGACAAAGAGGGAGGATAATACAATGATAAAAGAACTAGTCCAACAGGAAAATATCACCATCCTAAATATATGCACCTAACACTGGAGCTCCCAAATTTATAAAACAATTACTACTAGACCTAAGAAATGAGATAGACAACAACGCAATAATAGTGGGGGACTCCAATACTCCACTGACAGAACTACACAGGCCATCAAGGCAGAAAGTCAACAAAGAAACAATGTATTTATACTATACCCAAGAACAAATGGACTTAACAGATATTTACAGAACATTCTACTCAACAACTGCAGAATATACATTCTGTTCATCAGCGCATGGAACATTCTCCAAGCTAGACCATATCATAGGCCACAAAACAAGTCTCAATACATTTAAGAAAATTAAAACTACATCAAGTACTCTCTCAGAACACAGTGGAATAAAATTGGAAATAACTCCCAAAGTAACCTTCAAAACCATGCAAATAAATGGAAATTAACCTGCTCCTGAATGATCATTGGGTCAACAATGAAATCAAGATAAAGATTAAAAAATTCTTTGAACTAAATGGTAATAGTAACACAACCTAGTAAAACCCCTGGGATACAGCAAATGCGGTGTTAAGAGTAAAGCTTATAGCCTTAAATGCCTACATCAAAAAAAGCACAAATAGACAATATAAGGTCACACCCCGAGGAACTAGAGAAATAAGAACAAACCAAACCCAAATCCAGCAGAAGAAAATAGATAACAAAGATTAGAGCAGAACTGAATGAAATTAAAACCAAACAAAACAAAAAATACCAAAGATACATGAAACAAAAGGCTGGTTCTCTTTATGAATGAAATTGATAGACCATTAGTGAGATTAACAAGTAAAGAAGAGAGGAAATCCAAATATGCTCAATTAGAAATGAAATGGGAGATATTGCAACCAATACCACAGAAATACAAAAGATTATTCAGGGGTATTATGAACAGCTGTGTGTGCATAAACTAGGAAACCTAGAGGAGATGAATAAATTCCTGGACATATACTACCCTCCTAGATTAAACCAGGAAGAAATAGAAAGTCTGAACAGACCAACAGCAAGCAGCGAGATTGAAATGGTAATTTTAAAAATTGCCAACAAAAAAAGTCCAAGATCAGATAGATTCACAGCTGAATTCTATCAGACATTCAAAGATTAATTGGTGCCAATTCTATTGACACTATTCCCAAGATAGAAAAAGAGGAAATCCTCCCTAAATCATTCTATAAAGCCAGTATCACCCCAATACCAAAACCAGGAGAGGACATAATAAAAAAAGAAAACTACAGACCAGCATCCCTGATGAACATAGATGCAAAAATCCTTAACAAATTACTAGCTAACTGAATCCAACAGTATATCAAAAAGATAATCCACCATGATCAAATGGGTTTCATACGAGGGATGAAGGGATGGTTTAACATACAGAAATCAATAAATGTAATACACCACATAAACATAATTAAAAACTCAAATCACATGATTATCTCAGTAGATGCAGACAAAGCATTTGACAAGATCCAGCATCACTTTATAATTAAAACCCTCAGTAAAATTGGCATAGAAGCGACATACCTTAATGTAATAAAAGCCGTCTATGACAAACCCCAGCCAACATCATACTGAATGGGGAAAAGTTGAAATCATTCCCCCTGAGAACTGGAACAAGACGAGGATGCTCACTGTCACCACTTCTATTCAACACAGCACTGGAAGTCCTAGCCAGAAAAATCAGACAAGAGAAAGAGGAAGTCAAACTGTTGCTGTTTGCTGATGATGTGATTGTGTACCTGGAAAACCCTAAAGACTCATCCAAAAAGCTCCTAGAACTGATAAGTGAATTCAGCAAAGTTTCAATATAACAAAATCAATGTACACCGATCAATAGCTCTACTATACATCGACAGTGACCAAGCTGAGAATCAAATCAAGAACTCAACTCCTTTTACAATGGCTGCAAAAAAAAGTAATAAAATAAAATAAAATACTTAGTAGTACAACTAACCAAGGAGGTGAAATGCCTCTACAAGGAAAACTATAAAACACTGCTGAAAGAAATTGTAGATGACACAAACAAATGAAAATACATCCCATGCTTATGGATGGATAGAATCAATATTGTGAAAAAGACCTTACTGCCAAAAGCAATCTACAAATTCAATGCAATTTCCATCAAAATACCACCACCATTCTTCACAGAACTAGAAAAAACAATCCTAAAATTCATATGGAACCAAAAAGGAGCCCACATAGCCAAAGCAAGACTAAGCAAAAAGAACAAATCTGGAGGCATCACATTACCTGACTTCAAACTATACTGTAAGGCCATGGTCACCAAAACAGCATAGTATTAGTATAAAAATAGGCACAGAGACCAATGGAACACAATAGAGAACCCAGAAATAGAGCCAAATACTTACAGCTAACTGATCTTTGACAAAGCAAACAAAAACATAAAGTGGGGAAAAGACACCCTATTCAACAAATGGTACTGGGATAATTGGCAAGCCACATGTAGAAGAATGAAACTGGATCCTCATAGCTCACCTTATGCAAAAATCAACTCAAGATGGATGAAGGTCTTAAACCTAAGACCTGAAACCATAAAAATTTTAGAATATAACAACAGAAAAATCCTTATAGACATTGGCTTAGGCAAAGACTTCATGACCAAGAATCCAAAAAGCAAATGCAACAAAAACAAAGATAAATAGCTGGGACTTAAGCTAAAAGGCTTCTGCACAACAAAAGAAACAATCAGCAGAGTAAACAGAAAACCTACAGAGGGGGAGAAAATCTTTGCAATCTATATATCTGAAAAAGGAATCATATCCAGAATCTACAATGAATTAAAAGGAATAAGCAAGAAAAAAACATAAGCAAGAAAAAAACAAACAATCCCATCAAAAAGTGGGCTAAGGACATGAACAGACAATTCTCAAAAGAAGATATAAAAATAGGCAACAAACATTTGAAAAAATGTGCAACATAACTAATGATCAGGGAAATGCAAATCAAAACCACAATATGATGCCACTTTATTCCTACAAGAATAGCCATAATCCAAAAGTAAAAATAAAAATAAATAGATGTTGGCATAGATGTGGAGAAAAGGGAACACTTTTACACCGTTGGTGGGACAACCACTATGGAAAACAATGTGGAGATTCCTTAAAGAACTAAAAGTAGAACTACCGTTTGATCCAGCCATCCCACCATGAGTATCCAGAGGAAAAGAAGTCATTATATGAGAAAAATACTGGCACAGGCATGTTTATAGCAGCACAATTCACAACTGCAAAAATATAGAACCAGCCCAAATGCACATCAATCAATGAGTGGATAAAGAAATTGTGGTATATATATACCATGGAATACTACTTAGCCATGAAAATGAAATAATGACATTCATGGAAACCTGAATGGAATTGGAGACCATTATTCTAAGTGAAGTAACTCAGGCATGGAAAACCAAATATTGTATGTTCTCACTCATGAGTGGGAGCTAAGCTATGAGGATGCAAAGGCATAGAATGATACAATGAACTTTGAGGACTTGAGGGAAAAGGTGGGAGGGAGAGTGAGGGATATAAAAGTACAAATTGGGTACAGTGTATACTGCTGGGGTGATGCATGCACCAAAATCTCAGAAATCAGCACTGAAGAACTTACTCATGTAAACAAACACCACCTGTTTCCCAAAAACCTATGGAAATAAAAAATAAAATAAAGTATGTTTTATTTAGAGAAAAAAATAGTTTGACAGGTTGTTTTCTTCCAAAGATGATAAGCTTAACATTGGAGGGTATAGATCTTGATGCTGGACTTAGATGCTCACTAATTTAAGGAATCACCATCAACAAAGAAGGAAAGAGAGAGAAAAGACTTGGGAAATGGGTTTGGTGGTTGGTGGAGGAGGCATGGGAGTTATCTTGAATATTCAAAGTGCGGTCTTTAAGAAGCAGCATTAGCTTTTTCTGTTCTGTATCTACTAGGCTCCAGTTGAGGCATTTTTTTTTTTTTTTGGACAAGGGGGATGTTTTTCTAGGAAGTATAGATGAAGTGTAACCGGCTACCTTACCATTAGTCAGAGCATTCTGGTGACATCAGCATTTCCCTCACTAAATATGCTGCAGAGCCCTATCTACCTTCTCAACATTAACACCCAGCAACCAGGAGAGGAGAGAGGCCTGGGGAAGACAGCCACCACCAAGTACACAAAGGTTGAAAGAGGACGTTTGTGGGAAGTAGACATTTGTGAATGTGGATTTAGAAGATTTTTCCCTGTGATGAGCTGAGTCATGGGTGAGAGCTGGAGAAAACAGAGGTAAGGCACATGATTTCAAGTGGTTTGATGGCAAAAGGTAACATATTTCAACTGATTTGATGATGAAGGAAGCGGGAGCGGTAGCTGGAGGGGCATCTCTGGCACATTAACAGGCTGAAATCATGAGCCAGAGAAGGGGTTTGAAGATGGAGAAGAGGGAGGCAACGTGGGGTCCTGGAGGGCTGGAAGGGTGTGGACAGGCAGTGTGAGGACTGCTCTAGCTGAGGCAGGCTGGAAAAATCTCAAGATGGTGCAGAGGTCAAATGTAGTGAAGAAAAGTACAATGATGCCTGAGACTATTTCCTTTGTAAGGTGTGCTAGATAAGTTTACTGACTGCACAGAGTGTGCTGGATTCAGGGCTAAATGCTCTCATCCTCTTTCGTCTCCTTCTTCCTCATGGAAATTTGCCTCAGATCTCTGTGTTGCTGTCCAGGAATAACTTGTGCCATGTGCAGTTTGATTTCTGTTGCCAGCAGTGAGTCCCTTCTCCTCTCTCTCTCCACCCTTTTTCCAGCAACACAGGCAGCCCAGGGGCTGAGCAGGTCCTCCTACCTGATCCATCGCTCTGTCTGCAAGCTCTCCTGTCACAAGTGAGTGGCTGACAGCCTCCAGAAAACACCAGTCAGTTACACTGTGATGTGCAGTCTGGCCAGGGCTCAGTGGAGAAGCCCACACTCATTTATCCATCACTGAATGTTGGTTGTGCCTCAGGAAACAGTCTGGTTGCCAGATACAGACTGGCCAAGAAAATGGACGTGATTAGTCCTCTTTTGGTCCGTATAATGTGAAGACGGTCATGTGAGCTAATGTGTGCTGAGCAAAGGGAGGATTTGGATTCTTTTGCTTTATCGGTCAATCCTCTTCTCCCATCAAATCAATGTGGAAATCAACAGAGTCCCAATGGCCTTCTTTGGTAAAGCCCTTGATAGTTCTATTTTTTAAGCAGTTTAATAAAGATCACAATGAATGAGATTGCAGGTAATTAATGATTTAGTGAACTGTTTGCAGTACTATTGAACATGAGCTGCAGAAATTATGAAATGGTAGGTTGGTCCTTCCCTACCTCTCTCCAACACCCCCGTCCCATCACCTGAAAACCCTCACTCTGCTGTCTGTGAGCCAGTACGAGAGTTTGAGAGATAGATTTTCAGAGCCTCATTTTCTGCCCTTTGAATGGCGAAAAAGCATTTTCTTTAAATTGAATACTTGCAAGCCTCATCTCATTGAAGTTTTTGGATGAGAAGCTCCGGTTAAGCTTAAATTATTATGGCCTTCACATTGTTTCCTAAACCAACTGCTTTAACTCAGGGTGGAAAATGCATCTACATTTCTTTTTCTTTCTTTCCATTTCTAATTAGATTTTGAGTTTAATAATGAATTAAGTTTAATAGGTCCTGAGCCCTAGAGGCAGCCTTTTTGAATTTCGCTTACTTTTGTTTGAACTGGAGTAGCCATGCATCACCAGGAGTAAACGAATTCATCTGTATTGTGAATTGTATTAATAAAAAACCATGGAAATGGTAGAATTTTAATGATTAGATTACTATTATCTAGAAATATTATAACTTTAATGATTGTGTTATTTTATTTATCTTAAAGTCTCAAATCATCATTTTCTTTTAAATTAATGCACCAGACCAAAACAATGTGATGAATCAGGGAATATTTGATATTTTAAGGACCATCCACATTTTACACTTTAACTAGAAAAAGCTTTCTGTAAATCTTCACCCACACACTTTTCTTTGAACTTACCAGCTATGAATTTATAATTGCGGAGAAGCATGTATATGTATCTAAAATGGCAGTTGGGGTGGAATAATTTGTATTTGATTTTGATTAATTTCAATTGGACACCAGTATTTTTGCTTATATAGGAAATTACTTTCTTGGCCATGAAGATTTTGCACATCTCTCTAATTGGAGTCCCTTAACCCTTCCTCTGAAATGGCACAGGGCTTTACTTTTACATATTCGGTGTATCTTATGTGCTTGAAGAGCAGCTTTCTATCCTGACAGCAGCGTGGGAGCTAGAGTCCAAGGAAACTGGTTTGAATTCCAACTGCGCTCATTTTAGATCTGCATACTTGAGCAAGTGCTTAAATTTCCTGGGTCTCAGTTTCCTGATCTGTGAAACAGGGATGCTAATTTATAGGAGGGTTGGTGTGCAAATGAGAGACAAGCTGATAAAACACGGAGTTCGCTTCCTGCCCACAGTGGTCAGGCAATTATTTTGCCGATGCGTCTGCCTCTGTCACTAGACAGGTGCTGATCAGGGTAAAGGCTATTTCTGTCTCGTTCACTTTTCTGTCCTCATTCCTTAGCACAGTGTTTTACTTACAGAAGAGATCAGTTCATGTTTCTTGATTGAGAAAATTAAATAAAGCCCATCATAAACTCTAACAAGAAAATCCAAAAAGGTGTGAAATTCCTACTTTCTTGCCCTACACCAATTTCTTTCTATATGTGATGCTAGTTTGTAAATAGATGAAGGCACTTACATTACACATTAGCTAAGGTCTTATCTAGAGGGTAAAATAATTTTCACATCTCAAGTAAACAGAGAGAGTTGAAATGGCCACAAAGAATTTGTTGTGCATTCTATGTTGTTTCCTATATCCATAATTCTCATTGTGTCAACACAGTGGTTCAAAAGAGCTTGTCAATAAGCTTAGTAAATACTCCACATAAGTTACAATTCAGATAACAAAAAGTTTGATGTAAAGGTGCTATTTTTTCATTTCTCATGAGTAGTCATTGTGAGAGATTGTGTCTTCTGTTTAAAATGTAAGACTTATTTTCTAATACCATGCCTGTATGAATTTAATAAGTACAATTATTTCTCCCATGCCGGTTCTTGGATTCAAACATCATAGAACATGACTAATTAATGAAGTAATGTAATTGGCTACATGTTTTAATTAAGAAGCTTGGGGCACATGCACTTTGCTTTTTTTCCCCCATCTATAGTTTATATATTTTTTCCTTTGGAGATGTATGATAAGGATGAGAGTTGCCTGTCAGAATGAGAGTTGGAGAACTTCTGCTTACAGAAGTCAATATTAAGTGTCTACTAAAATCGACTAGATCTCTACCAGACAAAGCTTCAGAATAAAATAAGTGATAATAACTACAAAAGCTGGACATGAACAAAAGCCGCAACCAGGATGCCCTGGAGGGTGAAGAGAAGCAGACAAATCCCCAGGGGAGAGCAGGCTTGCTCAGAGAAGGGGAGGTAGAAACTCCTTAAGTTATGTGGGAGGGTGGCAGGGGGGCTGAGGCTGGAAAATTACCTGTTGGGTGCAATGTTCACTATTGGGGTGATGAGTACTCTCCAAGCTCAGACTTCAATATATCCGTGTAACAAAACTGAACTTGGACATATTTCCTAAATCTATACAATTTTTTTGAAAAAGAAACTCCCTAGGTAATTTTTCTTTGGGGGTTGTGGGGCACATGTGAAAAAAATCTAGCATCTTTCTGCTAGATAAATAAGAAACCAGAAAAGAGCTATTGAAGAAACTAGGAAATTCTCAAAGGAAACAACCCAAGAATGGATGTCCAAAATCAACGTACCCACAGCTCTGACTGACCCCCGAAACATGCATAGGAAGAATAAACTCAAAGTATATCAGCTAAGGACAAAATATCTGGACTGAGACCAGAACTGCTGCCCAAGAAACTGAGTTTTCAGTTCATACCAGCTAACAAAATTTTATATAATTACTGAAATATATAAATCCACATACCAAAACTGTAGATGCTTTTGTATGTAACTATTACATGTATACAAAAAGAAATAATGAAGGTATGAGGATCATTTAAGTTATAATACTAATTTAAGTATAATTGTAAAAGCCGTATCATTTTGTCTTTTTAGATTTTCATTGCTAGTTGTTGGTAGATTTAAAATTTGTGAAACCATCTTTATTTCTCTCTGTATATGTATTTTTTGATTTATTTATGATTAGCATAATTGTAAAAAACATTTAAGCTTTGCTCACTCTCTTAGATTTTGAAGAGCGCTTCAGTATTTTGTATTGGCATATCCAATCATTTACTTCATCACTTAATAAATTAAACCTTTCCTGAGATAGATATACATCTGCTGGAAATGGGCCTAAATGAAATTGGCAACTCACATGTGTCATATCATTTTTTACGCACTTCAGTAGTTACTAACAATTAGAGGTAGGCAGCCCACCCCTGCCCCAGCAAACTGTCTACCAGGAGGTGCACTGCAAAGACGAGTATTGCAATCTGCATACAGACATAAAACCAATTCTCCATCCTTTTGTGTACTTTGGTAAGTAGTATGTATGAAAGACTTACTCGGGTGCAAATTCAAAAAGTTCTGAAGGTAGAATATACCAAATTGTTTGAAGTTTTTTAGGCCAAAGGATTAACCAAAGGTTTAGACCTCTGGCACCATTTTAGAAGATTAATCTGCTCACTCAACAGGCGTTATACACTTATCAGATGAGCCAAGAGGGGTACATAACTATCCTCAGCAATCATATATCAAGTACACCACTCATTTCTCCGATGAAATACTATTTGTACCATCCCTTATGTTAATTAATAATTTCTAGTACGCATACAGATTGAGTTATTACAAGGGCTTCTATGGCCCTTTAGATGGAATCCTGGCTTGGTCTTTCTCTCACCTATTATCCATAGACTATGGATAATAGTCCATAGTTTATTGTCCATGGCTGACATGTGATCAAAGGTCTTCCTCTTCTGACAAGCAAAAGCAGGAGGTGGAAGGGCAAAGAAAAAGTAAAAGTAGGAGCCTTCACTTTCCCAGTTAAAAATAAGAGAAAACGTTACCGACCACCCCACCCTCATTGTCTCAGAGCACTTTGTCCAGAAAACTTGTATATTCTTTCTCTGTCTTTTCTAAAGATAGGTAAATATTTTTAAAAGCTAACGTGGCCAATTTCACAACCTGGAAGTGTCTTTCTCAAAGACCTAGGAGCCATAGCTTGGAAATGTAAACAACAAGGAAGATGACGACCCTGTCTCTCATTTGCTGTGGGAGGGTAGGAACTTCATTTAGGTGGGCACCTTGTTCCAGGTTGTTAAACTGCTTCCAGTCATAAAGATAAGAGAGTTTATTTTTCCTTTATATAGAGCTAATTAAGTAACATAGATGGTCACCCCAAATACCAGGTGATTTAAATGAATTACGTGTAATAAATGCTACCACCGAGCCCTCTTACTTGAAGACTAATGGTTGTTATGCTGGAGAGTATGTAGGTTGTGTATCCGTGACTATACAAAAGGGTGAGGTTTCTTTCTGTCCTTGCAATCTCTTAGCAGATCACCTGTCACATGCATCACTTTCTCAATTAATGCTCATTCAATGATAAAACCATTTTTTTTTTCTCTACTAACTTTGTGGAGAGGATTTCTCGGTTGGATTCAATTCTGGTTTTTATATTCCCCAACAAAGGCTAAAGCTTGGGGAACTACGTGATTTATTTGTTATTTTTATTGCATCATGAAGATGACAAGATTTGTTCCTAGAACATTTTTTCTTTGTTTGTAGAAATACAATTTATTTTCTAGTGGAGTGGGTGAGCAAATTAACCCTCTCATCTCTGGTGGAATACTGTAACTCAGTTGCCTCTTTCAGTCACTGTTGAGATCTCCTATCAATCTAATGGTTTTCTCTAGCTGAGCCTTAAGGCCTTTCAGTTCATCCCAATGTGTCCATAGGTGATTTGATCAATAGTGTTTAGTCAAGTGTAAACTGGGCCCCAAGACAATTTAGTCAAAATAATAACATACACATATATTCTCTGAATAGTGACTCTTCTGGTGTGTCACTAGAGTTTGTAGCTCTGTATTTAAACAATTTCTTCAAATTTCAGATCTTTATCAGTATCTTCAATTTCTTTTTCAAAAAAGAAATTTAAAAAACGGATTTAACTTTATTTTTCTAGACTGTAGTAGAGAAATAAAATTATCCACCTCTCAGAAAAACACCCACAACACTAACTGCCCAGAGATTCAGACTTCCCAGTGTTTGGGCATCTGAGTATTTTTCACATTTTTGTTATTGCAAAGAGAACAAAGCAGCAATAAATGAATATACATTAAAAAATACTTTTAGAAGGAATAAATAGAAATCACTCCCTCCAAATTCTTACTAGCACCTACATATTTTTAAAAAATCATTTTTACAAACACTGTACTTTAAAAAAACAACACCATTTGAAGAATATTCATTTTCAATTAGGTTTTATGTTGAACATCTTACTATCAGTTCAATTCCAATAAGCCAAATTGCTTTCACTAAATTGCTTTCAGCCTAATCATATGCTATTTCTTAATCCAGTGCTTCTTGTAACTAGCATCAATTAATTGGAGTAATCTTAAAGAATTCATTTTCATTATTGGAGTAATCATAAAGAGTTCTTTTTCACTAGAGAGGTTGTATTTTAGGATAAATTAATCATTTGCTTGGGATTTATAAGAAAAGAAATTTAGGATTTAAGAACAATTTTCGGATTGCAGGACATTCCCTATATTCTGTTGCTTGTTTAAGAAGTTTAAGCCCTTAGCAGCGCCTGAACAAACAATGGGCCCTTAGGCCAAACATCAGTGACAGTAAAATGTTACTGAGCAGAAATCTAACTTCCAGTATTACAACATTGTAGCAAAGATAACTTTTTCTGAGAAGAGGGATGGGGTACAATAAAAGGGAAGTAATTATTTGTTTAAACTAATTGTGAGCTCTGATGACCTTTGACAATTATCTCTCAACTAATTTTAATATTAGAAGAAATCCTTGAGCATTGGTCTTGAACTTCACTCACCCAAATTCCAATTGCTTAAAAAATTAATATACTTTTTTATGTGGCTTAATTTTTAACAAAGAGCAACTGAAGGCAGGAGAACATTTGGCTTCAATCGCATCCTGATTCTTAATTTTGAACACAAAAGGCTGCTTTATTTCTCTTCAGTGATTACCACTAGATGGGGCAAGCCAGCAGTGACTCTTCCGACTCCTAAGTAGCCCATAATAGAAAGCTTCTTTCTCAGGAACTGCAGTCATCTCAAACACTCATATAATATATTAATTGTCTCTTTAAAAAGAGAAGATGGTAATGTAATTGTGATTAAGCCTAGCCTCATGTTCTACCTGTTTTGTGTTTTGGGTAGCCCTGGGCGGGGTCACTGTTCCTTCCCTTTCCTGACACACTTGTTTCTTCTAAGGAACTGAAGGAAATCACCAGGACTTTGAGGTGGTTGATTTCAGTAGAGCAAGAGATAATGTAAGTGCTGATGATTTTGGAAACCAAGGAGTATAGGAGGGCATGTAATATTGGTATCTTAATATTTTATCTTAAAGGCCAAAGAAGGGAGACCTGAGCTTTCAAAACTCTCTAAGACGAAGATCAATTTCGATATCTTGTCCTTGTTACCTAGGAGAGAAAAGGAAAAATGGAAGCATAGAGGAAGGAACTGAGATTTTGTCTGACAATGTAGAAACAAAAACTGACTTTGCCTTGCTTTTGCTATGACTAAGAACTTCCTGGGCCGCAACAGTCTGAAAAAAAAATACTGTGTACCTTGAGATAAGCCAAGAGATAACAGATCATTCTTACTGGTTCTGATACCTAAAATAATAAAACCTTGACTATTTTGCATAAATATGGACTTCATGACAAAAAATTTTATTCCCGATTTTTTACATATTGATATCTGAATACATATTATGAACTTTGTGAATATCATAACTGCACGAGAAATTGCTTTTTCCTGAAAGTGTAGACTACTATAAACTTACTAAACATTGTGATTTGCAACTGTTAAAAATATTTATGTTTTATATTTGTTGAGCCAGGTTTTCTGAAGTCTGACTCCCCTAGAACTCCTTGCAAATAAAACCTTTTCTTTTCTAAGTGACTCTGTCTCTGAGTCTTCCTTTGACAACATTTTCAACACATACACTGCATGCGAAGATGTTTGATAAAGAAGAAATCTTGCTTTCAGAAATAACAATCAGATTTGATGTAACCCTCAGGTTAGACAGTTTTTCCTTTGATTTATTTAAGCAACATCTTTTTAGAATCTTTTTATCGTTACTTCCAATCAAAAAGCAGAGACCACAGCCTATAATTCTGGAGTATTTTCAGCCTGGCACATTTTGCTAGGCAACTTCCAATATGCTTTCTCTTCTTTTTTGGTAACAGAAGTTTATGCCAGGTTAATTACTTCTCAGAAGGTTACATTGCTCAGTGTCCCACCCTGAAGATGGATGTGGCTATTTGATATACTTATAGGCAACAGAAGGTAATGGAAAATGTGAACAGTTTTGGTGAAACTTCCCTAAAAGTTATCTAGCTCCTGTTCTTTACTGTTTTCTTCTTTGCCCATTACCATTTCCTGTTAGCTGGAATAGCATCATACCTGGTGCTGGAGTAATAGTTTTGATTTATGAGATGAATTTGGAAAAGATAACCATGCACAACTGAGACAAAATAGAACTTGGCTCTCTGAGGATATTGTAGAACAGTAAACCAGCTGTGGATATACCCTCCCTGAATTCCATGAGAAAGAATGAATTGAATTAATTTCATTAATTTCTATCTTGTATAAATCACTGTTTCTTTGTTGTTGTTTGTTTGTTTGTTTGTTTTTTGAAACACTTTGTCTCCCAGGCTGGAGTGCACTGGCACATTCTGGGCTCACTGCAACCTCCACCACCTGGGTTCAAGCCATTCTCCTGCCTCAGCCTTCCGAGTAGCTGGAATTACAGGCATGCTCCACTACACCTGGTTAATTTTTGTATTTTTAGTAGAGACAGGGTTTCACTATGTTGGCCAGGCTGGACTAGAACTCCTGACCTCAAGTGACTCGCCCACCTCGGCCTCCCAAAGTGCTGGGATTACAGGCATGAGCCACTGTGCCCAGCCCATTTCAGGCATTTTATGAGTTGCATTTTGTCCCTCCGAAAATGATCTGGTCAAGGTCTTACCCCACTACCTCAGGATGTGCTCTTCTTTGGAGATGGGGTCTTTACTGAAGTAACCAAGTTAATGTGAGGTCGTTAGTGTAAGCCCCAATCCAAAAAGACTGGTTCTTTATAGAAGGAGAATTTGGACACAGGTGCACACACTGGGAGAATGCCAGGTAAACATGGAAACAGCTCTCTACAAGCCAAGAAGAAAGGCCTGAGACAGAGCCTTCCCACACAGCCCTCAAAAGGAACCACCTTGACACCTCAATCTTGGATTTCTAGCCTCAAGAACTCTGATATAATACATCTCTGTAGTTTAAGCAGCCCAGTCCATACTTTCTTATGGCAGCCCTAGAAAAGTAATACAGGGCCTGAGTATCAATAAGCATTTTTCAGGAATCATTCTAAGTGCTTCAAGTTGAGAAGATTTAACACATGAAATGGAGGTTAGAAAACTGTCAGAATGCCTGGGAAAGTAAACAGAAAGGAAAATGGCTGCTGGTTTCAGGAAGTCAAGAATCGCAGGAACACATGGCTGGCTGATGATCTCAGCGACCTGCGGACCAACGCAGGTGATCTGCAGGAACCTCCTTGGAAGCGGCAGCTTCCCGCACTCCATATCCACCGGCTGTGGAAGCTCACACATCTGCCTGCTCCTGATGGAAGCATAGAGGCTGCCACTCCTCTTCCTGATTCTGATGCCTGAGTGGGTGCCTCCTGGTGGTGCAGTCTAAGTTAAAATCCTGCTGGCAACCGGAAAATGTAGGTTTCAGGGTTTCAGCCCCTGTAAATACAAGGGAGAATATAGAAGTGGGCAGAAGTATTCCTGTGATGGAAATAGGAAATCCACCGCAGCCTCCGTTACTCATAAATACAGCTAATGAAACTTAGTAAACATTTTACATCTACGAAAAACTCTGTGTTCCCTTTCTCACTATGTGACCCTTTGGCAGTATTTACAAAGTATAACTGTGAAGTCGGTTTCAAAAGTATGCTTCATATCCTCCAGTTCCATGGGCAGGCTTTGTAATCAGCCAAACGGGATCAAACCCAGATCCTTAATTTACCAGCTGCATGACTTGGGAGACTCACTTAAGCTAGGTGTACCACCGTATCTGTAAAATGGGACTACTAACAGTATATATCTTCAATAATTGTGAGGACTGAATGACATGAAATATGTGGAATAATTTTCAGTGTGGTCCATCCTAAGTGCTCCATAAATGTTGGATCTTTGTGTTATTGCTGTGATTTACTTCATGCCTTTGGTGTGAATTTAGTTGTTTATGTATCAGCCTGTCCGCTGAGACTGTTGAGCTCTCCTAAGGTCGGGAGTCTTACGTTTTATATTTTATCCCAGTGAGTGGTAGGCAGTGTATTATTCTCAAGACACTGAGGTGGTTCTTATCTAATATCTGTAATTCTAAAAGTTTTCAAGGTTTTTAAATTAATTCAACCAACCATTCTTTCAACAATTTTGAGGTTAAAACTTCTAACATATCCTTGATCACCTCAATTCTGGTATTTCTATATTCCTGTACAAAAAGAAATGTACAGACAGTGTGGTGAAACTTTACAAAAGATTAAGTGTTGGGATGGGGAAGCGGGGACATAAGTAATAAGAGGGCTTAAATCTGCCTGGAAAAGGTGTTTATTCATTATGTCCTCATATGATATGTTAAGGAGTTCAACCTTACTGGGAGGCAATGGGAATTAAATAAGGGATTTATTGTGAATGATAAAGTGATATTATTACTTTTACTTTTTTAAATTATACTTTAAGTTTTAGGGTACATGTGCACAACGTGCAGGTTTGTTACATAGGTATACATTTACTTTTAAGATTACATTGGAATCACTGCCATAGATGGTTTGTCGGAGTGAGAGAGGAAAAGAAAATTAGTTAAGAGGGCTTGAACTTTGGCAGTCATGGAGAGAGAGGGGAGAAGCGAATGGGCTGTGCAGATGCTGAGCAGGCAGAGCTGACAGGAAGGATGGCCCTTGTGCAGGTGCGGCAGACCCGGTGACTCAGAAAGAAGTGTGAAAGGGAGGCGTGTAACTCAGAGGGAGAGAGCAGCCTCGGTGTGGTTGACCTTCGTGGGGGCAGCTTCAATCCTGCAGGAGCACAAGGCTGATTGCTGGAGATCAATAAATGCGGAAGATAAGATAGTGGGGGTGTTGAGCAGATTTCACTTCATTCAGTAAGTTTACCTGCAAAAGGAAGAAGAGAGAAAAGGCAGCAGTAGCATGAAAATGTGTCGATTTTGTCAATTGGAGCATTCTGTATATTCTGTTCAATTGATGGCGCTTTATTTTACTGCTTAACTATAAAAGCCATTGACTGCATGATTAAGTACATAATGCCAATAAAAATGACCTTCCATCCTGTTGTTTTTTAATCACCAAATGACTCCCTGGCTGTCAGTAATAATGAATTCATACACACCAACAATAACAAAATGTTTATTTAGGACAGGACCTCACGTGAGGCCAGCCTTCCTAAGGAAGTGAACAGTTACCTGCTTTAAGGAACTGTTTGCAAATGGACCTCCTGTCTTATCTCTCACAGACCAAAAACTCCTTTTCAAACAAAAAACCTGGGCATATTTTGCCAGCAACAAATCCGGGAAAATATCTTAGTAGGAACTGGGAAACACTGCATTAGAATCTGAACCCTTCAGTAGCTCGAAGTCACCATGCTTTCTTTTTTTTCTTTATAGTACAATTTGTTTTTCAGAAGAGTTTTACATTTACAGAAAAAAAGAGAAAATAATATAGTTTTTATATACTCTGTACCATATGTTACAAATACTAAAGCAATGTTGATATATTATTATGAACCATATTTCTTTTTTTTATTATTATACTTTAAGTTCTAGGGTACATGTGCACAACGTGCAGGTTTGTTACATAGGTGTACACATGCCATGTTGGTGTGCTGCACCCATCAACTCGTCATTTACTTTAGGTATTTCTCCTAATGCTATCCCTCCCCCAGTCCCCCATCCCCCGACAGGCCCCGGTGTGTGATGTTCCCCGCCCTGTGTCCAAGTGTTCTCATTGTTCAGTTCCCAACTATGAGTGAGAACATGCAGTGTTTGGTTTTCTGTCCTTGTGATAGTTTGCTCAGAATGATGGATTATGAACCATATTTCATCTTTTACTCGGGTTTCCTTGGTTTTTACCTGTTATCCTTTTTCTGTTCCAGGATCCCATTCAGGATACCACATGGCATCTGGGTGTCTGTCCCTTTAGGCTCCTTGTGGCTGTGCCAGTTTCTCAGATGTTCCTTGCTCCTTGTGTGCAATGACTTTGATAGTTTTGAGGAGTACTGCTCAGGGATTTTGCAGGATGCCTGCTATTGGGATTTGTCTGATGTTTTTCTCATGAGAAGAGTGGGATGAGGAGTTACTGGGGGGAAGACCACAGAGTAAAAGTCGCATTGTTATCACATCCTATGCAGTGGAGATATTATCAACATGATTTTTAACCCTTAATGTTGGCCTTGAGCACCAGGAAGGAAGTCACTAAGTGCAGCCCACACCAAGGAATGCGAAGTTAGGCTTCACCTCTTTGCAGGGGTTGGGGGCGGGTATCTACATAAATTATGGGAAATTTTACTGTATGAGAGATTTGTCTCTTCTCTCATATTTATTAATTTATTCAACCATTTATATCTTTTGAATCCGTGGATGTTTATATTTGGGTTATAATCCGACATTACTTAATGCTCAAAGTGTTTCAGCTTTGGCCTTTGTTGATACTTTCAGCTGGCTCCTGTACTCTTCTGACATGTCCTATTACCCTGACACTTTCTTTTCTTTTCTTTTTTAACACTTTGTTACTTTCTGCTCATAGTTTATATGGGTGTATATGTCTCTCTCTCTCTCTCTCTCTCTCTCTCTCTGTGTGTGTGTGTGTGTGTGTGTGTGTGTGGTTAAGGGGAAACTGTCTAGGCTTGTACTTGGGGCTCTTTAATACCCTTCCGTATTTTTTGTCCATCTGATATCTCTCACACCGAGAATATGTTTCTGTCTATCATTCATCTCTCATAGTTTCCACTTTATGAACAAGTTGATGTGTTACTTGGTGCATAAGTATGAATACCTTCTATATATTAATGTGAAATATTTAAAATGATTAAATGGTGTTTAATTTGTCCCACTGAATGTTTTTACTCAAATTCTCTTCTGGGTGCTGTCAGGACCACCATCCCGATTTTCTCATTGATTCTATTTGCCTTGTGCATTTTGTAGACCCTTTAGTCTTTCTGAGTCACTTTGTTTTGGGTGTGTCTCTTGCGTGTAGCGTGTGGTTGGCTCTTGCCTTGTGAGCCGAGTTGAAAATGTGGATATGGTGGATATGATTGGTTTCAGCTCTGACATATTACTATTGTTGAACTTGCTGTGTTTTCTATTATGTCATTTTTCTGAAGGCATAGTATTAGTGTGGTTTTATTTGTTTTCGCTGGTGACCTATACAGTGTTTTGGAGGATGTGTAAAGTGATAATAGTTAAGTGATTGTCAGCCACCAAGAAATTCCCCACCACTATTTCTTTTTAACATTTATCATTCTTTTCTTGTTCTCAAAAAGCTATAAAAAGGCAAACGCCCTTAGGATGTCCAGAATGGCTATGATTTGTCATGTCCTTTTGGCAAACGTATTAATAAGGCTTTTAATAAAGAAATGAAAATGTATCTGACATTTTCAAAAAGCCAGTCAAGATTCAGAGTGTTATTTATACCTTAGCAGTCAATTCCCTCAATATTCATATAAAAATTTAATGAAATTACAATTAAAATCCAGCAGAGTGTACCCAATTTAGAACTGAATAAAATGATCTTAAAATGCATATGAAAATTCAAAACTTTGGGAATAGCCATGACAATGCTTTTTAAAACATATTTAACAGATGTCAGCAAATACTGCAAAGCCACTGGAGTCAACTTAATACGGCATTGGGATAGATAAATAGATTAGTTTAACCAAGTAGTACACCAAATAGTTTTAACCAAATAGAAGCAAGGACCAAAGCCCAGTATACATGAGATAAAATATTAGACAAAAAACTGTATTCTAGTTCAGTGGCAAAAGGTAGCTTAATTTTTTTTTTTTTAGACGGAGTCTCTGTCACCTAGGCTGGAGTGAAGTGGTGAGATCTCAGCTCACTGCAACCTCCACCTCCTGGGTTCAAGCAATTCTCCTGCCCCAGCCTCCCGAATAGATGGGATTACAGGCATGTGCCACCACGACTGGCTAATTTTTTTGTATTTTTAGTAGAGTCGGGGTTTCACCATGTTGGCCAGGCTGGTCTCGAACTCCTGACCTAAAGTGATCCACCTGCCTCGGCCTCCCAAAATGCTGGGAATACAGGCATGAGCCACCGCACCCGGCAAGGGTAGCTTATTTAAAAAGTGGTGCTGGCACAATGACTTTCTACATAAAGGGGAATATTTAAAATCTCAGGCAGGAGTGAAGCATCCCATCAGTGGTCCCACGTGTCTGGGTGGTTGGCAAGAACAGAGTGCTAGGGGATAGGCTGGTGAGTGAGGTGGCTTTTTGACTGTGAACATCTTTGCATGTCACATAAGGAGTGTAAATTCAACCTTATGGGGAAAACGGGGAGCCACTTTTTTTCTATTTGGCTGAAGGATGACAATTGTCTATATGTTTTAGGAAAAAGTTGGCAGAAATACAAAGACTTTGTTGAAGGGGAGAAAAGTAAAAGTGCTGAAGGTAGCTAGGACGAGAGAGCTTGGGGAAGCAAGGCATGGAAAGACAGAGGGTTCTAAGAACCTGTGAAGAGCTCTGATTCTTGAGGAGGCAAAACTTGAGGTCAGGCATGGCCTGCTTGATCATCTGCCCAGAGCCACTCATGCCCACCATGTGCGTTGCAGATATTAATACGTTCCCGGCCTCATGTTCTTTCCTCTCTTGCTGTACAGTTATAGTAGGCAAAATGTGCTGTTTGTTTAGCTATCTGTCGTTTTTCTCTCACACCATCGTCCTCCTCTTTCTCAGCTCCTGGCACCAGTGTTCATCATGTGGACCTTCCATCCTCTTTATGGTAATCTGGTTCACGGTCATCAGCTCTGCAGTTTAATACTCACTCAAGGGAAACTGGAGATCTGTAGCTCAAAATGCAACCCAGAGTGTTCCCAAGTTGATGGAGTAGTCAACAGGGAGCGGCACCAGGGGAGGGGCTGCGTTTCCGGGTGTGCCGTGTCCCTCAGCTGCTGCTTGCCTAATGCAGCAGGTGGAGCTCACTTGGGCCACAGCAGACGTACCGCTGTTCGACAAGGATGACTGGGGAGTAAATCTTCTTAAAAACACACGCTAGATTAGCTGTAAAGTCTAATGAAACTGTGTAATGCAACATGTCTTTATTGAAACACAAAACATAGATAAGCCTGAATGCAAGAGTGAATATAAATGTCTTCACGTTACATGAGGATTTCTGTTTTACGTTTTACAAGCTCTCCATTGACTTGGAAGGTCCAGGAAGCAGTGCCTTGCTTTTTTTTTTTTTTTTCCTGAGGCTGTCTGTTATTATGGTTTCTATTGTTATGATTGTATATTATTCTTACATTAGTTTATGTGGTAAATATTTAGTGCCAGGTATTCCAAGAGGAATATTTATTCTCATTTTATTCTTCATTCTCAAAATCATTTTATTTTCAGAACAATCCTTATTTTATCAACTAGGGCTCTGCGATTTCAGCAAGATTAAATAATTTTCCCAAAGTCACACAACTAGGAAGTGAAAAATATGTAATTTAACTCAAGTGTATATGATTCAGAGGAACTGCAGCCTCCCCACACTGTATTTCTTCCTGAATAGGGCCAAACAACTAATTTGAATAGAGAGAAGTGAAGGATGTTTTGGGATATTTTGGCAATGTATTTTGCCTTTACTACAGTTTGTCTTTGTGCCTATAATCTTTTCTTTCTTTTCTTTTCTTTTCTTTTCTTTTCTTTTTCTTTTTTTTTTCTGAGACAGAGTCTTGCTCCGTCACTCAGGCTGGAGTGCAGTGGCGCGATTTCGGCTCACTGCAGCCTCTACCTCCGGAGTTCAAGCAATTCTCCTGCCTCAGCCTCCCGAGTAGCTGGGATTACAGGCATGCCCCACCATGCCCAGCTGATTTTTGTATTTTTAGTAGGGATGGGGTTTCACCATGTTGGGCAGGCTGGTCTCAAACTCCTGACCTCAGGTGATCCACCTGCCACAGCTTCCCAAAGTACTGGGATTACAGGTATGAGCCACTGTGCCCAGCCTCTGTGCCTATAATCTTAATTTAATTGGATAATGCAACCCATCATTTTAATGTGAGCACTGAATTTAAAGAGGATGAAGCTGGTTTTTTATCGTTTCCTTATACTCTTACTGACCAGGTTCAGAATCTGATAGTCACTAGATGTTATTTAGGACAAGTTATATAAGTTTTCTAAAGCTCAGTGTACTCATGTTCCAGATATTAAGTAAAAATAGATGTAAACATATCTAGAGAATAATAACCAGCAAATAAGCCATATCTCCTTCCTGTCTATCACACTATCCCCCTCACATCTCTAGTGCTTTAGACCCATAAAAGTTTACGCTTTAAATTTTAAATAAAACTCCTGTAGTGAGGATAGTGTTTAACCCAAAGGATACATATCTCATAGTGTAATTTTACTATTATGTTAAACAAAGAAAAAAATAATTTTGTGTTTTAGGATCTTCTTGGAATACTCTCAAATCTCAGTAAATTCATGGCTGTTTCTTTAAAATGCGCTCTGAAAATATAAGTTTTGGCTAGCATTCATGGGCAAAGTTAGGCATGAAAAAAAAAGGGAAGAAGTGTTTGGAATGGAAAGAACAAGACCAGCACACAAAGAAGTTCAGACAATTAAAAATTTTGAAATGAAAACATACAAACTTCATGAGAAAATAATGGAAAATAAATCACTAAATAACCATTTTGATAGAAAGCTTTGAATGTTGGGAATACTTAACATTGCCATTTTTATTCTCATCATGTTAATAATATTTTTTTAATCCATTTGGTTTGCTATAAATCCAAGCATCACTATGAATTATCTAAGCTGGAGAAGCTAAAGTTGGAGCAAAAATAAAGAATGACCTTCAATACTAAAGAGCAGAAGCTGGCTGCTTTCACTGTTAAAGATGACAGAACAAGAAGAGAGTCACAGAGAATGTGGTGTTCAAGTTCTATTTTCCCTGAAAGTAACAGATGTGGATTGTGACTGTTTGCTGAGGGAAATTGTGCAATTTTTTCTCTAGAGAGTTTGGTATGGCTTTGCCAGAAGACAATGTATTACCCGACTATCACAATTCATCCCCTTGCCTGCGGGAAATATAATTCTTTATTTGAGAGCTCGAATTATCTTCTATTTTGTTTCAAAGAATCTGGAATTCTATGACCACCATAGAAAAAAGAATGTCATTCATTTCTGGAATTTGTTACACTGGAAATATAACTCAAAGTCTTTGCCAAGAGTTCCTTTTTCTGAGCTAATCCTCTGATGGCCATTACATTTAAAGTCAAAATACAGCCTTTAACTTCTCACTGGAGACTCTCAGAGGTCTCTCAGCTGAGGAAGGCACTTATGTCCAAAGTGATATACACAAATGGTCAAAACTATGTAATGTCAATGAAGACAAATTGTTGGAAGTACCTGAAATATTTTGAAACTTGATGTACAGAAAATAGGGTAGTAAAAAATGTCCTGTCATTGAACTAGGTAATTGAAGAATCACTGAGTGGAAGCCTGCACAGAAAGAAAGACAGGAAGATGAATTTAGCTTTCCTCTTCATCAATATAATATTGACAGAATAACTAACGGTATAGCTCTTGTATGAAAAATTGTAAGTAAGGCTGACAGATATACTGGTGAGGTCTGTTCACTTGCTTTGTTCTAATGGGTTTATTTTGGGGACCCATCAGCTTCTATTTAAAATATTAAATAGAAAATTGACACACAGTAGTTTGTTCTAAAAGCTTTACATATCTCACTCCATCAATGATCATTTTTTTTGAGTACATGCAAGACAAATGTCAGACTCACAATATTCAAAGATGGGGAAGATGTGGGGCCTCTTTTCAATAAACTGTCAGTCTTCAAGGTTGCTGGAGTCCATCTCTGCAGGGGGAAACTGGGTAGATATTAGTTAAATATTAATCTACCTCTTTACCGTGCATGGCCAGCAACTAGGGCGTAATTCCTGCAGTACTGTTTGGCTCCCCGACACATTTACATTATTTTTATTTTTATTTTTACCTTTTCTACAGATGAAACCAGAGAAGGGGTCATGCAGATGGTAATAGCCATCCAAGGAGGGCGATGACCCCTTGTTAGTATTTAACCCATCTTCTGAACAACAGGCAGTGTGGTACTCACGAGATCACCAAACATTTTCTTCAATCTGAGGAATGGTTGCAGCCTAGGGCTCTCAGTAGTGAGGAACTGTATTGTGCTTTTTCATTTTATAAGAATGCTATGTTAGCCATCAGAGCTGTCACCGTACATTCACATGTCCAATATCCATGTCGGAGAAGCTGGTATTTCTGTTTCTGACCAACAAATGATATTTAAGGGAACTTCATTTATAAGAACATTGATCCATGCACTACTTTGCTGCATATGCTTTTGATATATAAACAGATCATGACTCAGACATGCAAAGGGGCATTTAGTTTATGTCTCCATAGGCTAAGTTAGCTGATCCATGCATTGATTTCAATATGAAAATCAACTTTGTTTCTTTGTTCATTTATTTAATTGAATTTACTTCCTTGATATGCTCTTTTAGTGTTGCATGTGCAAAACCATAATCTTATGCCTTGCTGCCCAGATCGCAATCTTTGAAGACTCATCCTTGAAGCACTGTGCAGAATTGTGAAGCAGATTTTAATTGGTGGGCTATTATGTTCTGGGTCCTGTTCTAGTTTTGGGAGATGCAGTAAGGAACAAAACATACAAAAATCTCTGCTCAGGGAGCTTACATTTCAATGGAAGGGATAGATAATAAACAAAACACACAGCACACGCAATAGTGGCAAGCACTTAGGAGGAAATGTTTAAAATGGAGCAGGCATATGAAACGTCAGAGCTGGGGAGAGGAGTGGGTGTTGACATTGAGGTAGCATGGCCAGAGAAAACATCACACAGAGGGTGACTTTTGGGTGAAAACTGAAGGAAACGAGGGAGCTATGCATGCAGCTAAAAGGAATGAGGGCAGAAAGGAAGCAGGAAGTAGAAGAGCATTGGGGTGTGGGTGGCCGGCATGTCTGGAGAGCTAGAGAGAGGCCAGTGCACCTGGAGTGCAGAAAACGAGGAGGAGGCTGAAAAGTAAAGAGGTCAGGCAATAGGGAGCCTTGTAGAGCCTGGCTTTTACTCTGACATGGGAGTCTCTTGTGGAGTTTTTCACATAGGAGGGATAAGGTATGATGTATGCTTTAACAGGTTCATCCTGACTGCTGTGTTGAGAATATACTACAGAGAAGCCATGGTAGAATCGGGCAGAAAGTTAGAGCAATACCTAAGGGGAGAGCTCATGGTGGCTTTGATAAAGGAGTTGACCATGAAGATAATAAGAAAACACAGGATGATGTGCTGCTGTAAGGAATAAGGAGGTGAGAGGAAGAGAAGACTCAGGAAAATAGAGTTGCTGTTACTTGAGTTTGGGAAGATTGTGAGATGAGATCATGTGGGTAGGGATATGTAAATTTGCTTTAGGGCGTAAGTTTTTGGTGCTAGTATGATTCCAAATGTGGGGATCAGTGGACAGGTGGATATATATTTTCTGGAGTTTGGGGAAAAATCTGAGCTTCAGATATAAATATGAAACTTGTCAACAAACAGGTAATAATTAAAGATATGATACTGAGTGACTAGAGAATTAGTAATAATTTTTTTTTTTAAAGCCCCGTGGGAACAGGCAGAGGGGCAGGACTGGAGCAGAGGCTTGGTCAACGTTTGAGGTTCCTATTAGGTCTGTGGTGTTTACTAGATGTCAGAGGAATTCCAGTCCCACTTTTGGGAGCAGCTTCCATTCAATGCTCACAATGAATCACCTGACTTCGTTAAAGTTCAAACTTGAGTCTAAATATTAAAGAACCATAAAATCCAAGTCTTTAGTGTGTAAAGAGGAGAAGGGTTGAAGTAGGCAAAAATGAGGTGTTTAGTCATTAGTAATTCTGCTGATACAAATATTGTTATAAAATTAAGTATATATTTATGTATATTAAAATATTAAATTAATATTGAATATATATTTAAAATTTTAAAATTATAGGCATTGACAGAATTTTGGCTAAATTTCTCAAAACAGTCTCAGAATAAGCAGAAGTTATCATTCTTTGGCCCTGAAGAAAGTCAACAAGGAAAATGCCTTGAGCATCCCCAAGAAGCTATTGACGTGACCTTTGCTCTTGACCTGTCTGCTTTTGCTTTGACTGGCCCACTTTCACCTCTCAGTAGCCATTGCTTTGATTATGCTTTGCCTTCAGGATCATACTGGTAAAGCATGTTTCATCTTCTGTTACAATTCTTCAAAGAAATTCTTCAGGATCTTGATCCCCCTTGTTTAAAATTTCCATTGAAAGCTCTGTTCTTGTCTGCCGCTGATCTGGATGCAAAAATTTTGGTCATTAGGTGGAAAATTTTCTCAACTTTAATTTTTCAGAAAGAATTGTGAAAGCTGAACCAGGTGAGATGTCGGTGGCATTGGCTTGTGTTTCTGCTGCTAATCGTCAGTCCTCTTCAATTTGGGTAAAACAATAACATTTTTTCTTTGCAAATTGATGTGAATGGCCTGCCCATGCAGGCTTCGTCTTCAATATCATCTTGTCCCTTATTAAAATGAGTTGTCCATGTATAAACTGCTGATTTCTTTGGGACATTGTCCCCATAAACTTTTCATAAAGCATCAGTGATAGCACCATTTTTCCAGAAGCTTCCTCATAAATTTGACATTTGTCCTTGCTTCAATTTGAGCAGAAGTTATGTTCCTCTGATAGAGGATCTTTTCAAAGTGCTTTCTTCTTAGTACTTCAAACTAGATCCTGTTCAGACATATAACAAAGTAGTGCAAGTTTTATTTTAGTACAAAAAAGTTTTGAAATCCATGCATATTTTTTTCATCATACACATTTTTCATGAGCCTTTTGAACACTTTTTGTGTATGTATATATATTTTTTAGACATATATGTATTAAACTAAAATTGACTATTCATCAGTATTATACCTGGCATCTTGAAATTATCAATAATCAATGATTGTAAGGACATACATTTGATTCTTAAAATTATTTACCATTGTAGCATATTACTTAGAATTATTGTTAATATCTTATATCTTAAGCATTTTTCTTATAGATCTCAAAATATTATTAACATCTTAAAATGCATTATCAATATTCATATCAAATAAGGTATTTTGGCTGTAACTCGACGTGAGCATCTCCTTATGTATTTCATATATTGAGATTTTGTAGTTGAAATATAATTATACACTGTATTTATTATTGCAAAAGTCAAATGCGATAATTTGTGATGATGGTAATTTATGTATAAAATAATTAGGAACTTTCATGTAACTAACAAATACACATAGAGATTGAAAAGTGATAGCAAAAGTAACTGCAAGTGCATTAGGTAGATATTGCTGGAATGATCGTTGTGTAATTTATAAGTGGATATAAATCAAAAATTATTTAAATTAAAACTTAAATAATATTTAAGGCAGGATAATAAAGATTAGATAATATCACAAATCCAAACTTTGAAGAAATATAAATGGTATTTATAACATAAAACAACATAAATTTTAAAAGCTGTATTTTTTAAAATTCTTAATTAAATGCTGACTTGACCTTTAATTTTTCTAAATAAAAATCCTATTTGGGCATTCTTGACATCTTGTAAAAGTGAAGTAAAAGTAGAATATCCACTTGGTGTCTTCAAAATTTAAAATAAAGAATATATCCAATACCACATAAATAACATCAGTGATTATCAATGAAAAATACGTAGATTAAAAATCATGGAAAGCGTATTGGAGAGAAATAGGGTACTCGGATATCGCAAAGGTGCAGTACACTGATTGTAGCAGACATCCAATAGCTAAGTGTGCAGAAGGGATTATTCCTGTGGTTCCATGTAAAACCTTTAAAATGAAGCCACTCAAAATGTTAAGAGTAAAATGTTTATACTTTAAAAAGTTGATGTATTAGATTTATTCCTATATTGAGAGGTTAATGCTATGATGACATTAGTCTTTGGTGGAATAATGATTTTAAGACTCGGCCATTAAGAATCTGGATAAAATATTATTTGAGTGTCTTTTTCTCTATGTATTAATTCATTCATATATATTTACATAAATTGTTTCTCTGTCTCTGTGTCCATGTTTCTAGCAATCAGTCTTTGAAACATAATGTAATGTTTTTCAGCACTTCAGATTTTTCACTGCTGAATCCAGGCTGCAGGTGCTTCTTTTTCTCTAACTTTTATTTTCCTTATTTTCCCCACAATTGATAATTTTATTTTGTTCTTAATTGTTTTATTCATTACAGACTAGATTACCAACTAGATGGAAAAGTGGCTTTTTTTTTTTTTTTAACAGGGAAAAAGGACCTAGAAAGCACTCAAAAAATACTTTCTTGTTAAGTGATACTAATTTTATAGTCATTTCTTTCTTCTCTTGCTGGAAATAGTCATGGTCCTAATTTTAGACTATAGAATTTAAAGAGAGATGAGACTATTGAAAGTACTTTCGTGATTTAAATTTTCAAAAGTGTATCTTAGTGACTACTTATTGACTTTACCATAAAGATATATTTGTCAACTCCATTAGGATTTAGTTATTTGCCAAAAACAAAAAAAATTTTAAAGAAGAGAGAAGAAAAGCAATTCCATTATTAGAATCTCCATAATGGTATCATCTTTTAACTATATTTTGACTACCACCTCCTGTATTTAGAGAGCGTGATGCTAAAAATACCATCTGGGACAACTGGGTTGTAGACTGCAGAAACTACAGCTGTTCTGGGGGTAAACGTTGATCAATGCCATCTGCATGCCAGTTGTTAATTACTACCATAGCAAAGCTTTTCTTTTTCTTTTTAAAAAATGGAAATAAGGCCACAGCATTAGACCTTTCACGCAGCATGGAATTTCTTTCTAAAAATCCTCAGAGTATGGTAACGTAGCGTAATGAATTATATAAATGATGTGTTTGAATACAGTACCACTAGAGGAATTGACAGCAAAAAGCCAAATATATGTAGCTTAATTCCATAAACTGCTGGAGATAGATACGAAATCTGCAAGACAGGAGAAAATCTTCATTAGGTTTATAAATTGCATTTACTAAATAGTAAAATACTTATGGCCAACACAAGTGATGATCCTTCAAATTCAGCCTTATCGATTTGGCCTGGGTCCTGAGTCCAGGAGTTGTGCTAGGCACTCACACATCATAATCTCATTTTAACCTTTTGTAGGTGTAGGGAATAATGCTCACCCAGGACAAAGTACTTGCCCCAAATCACCCATTGATTCTTGTAGATTCACAATATAAAATTAAAAGTTAAAATTGGAAAATCAATTCACAAGGAGTGGAAACTAACAAAGGACAATGGAGGTGAAGGAAATGTACATGGGGTGGTCTACAAATCCATCCACACTATCAAAAGACTCCCAGGGCATACCCTCCCAACAGTAGGTCAGAAATCTCACCTTCATTCCAGAATGGCAGCACATTAAAATGAAAAGACTGTGATTTTAGAATCACAAATGGACTGGCATTACTATTTTTAACCTCTAAGTGGAGGTGACAATGACATCCTCTGTAGCACATTATTCAGAAACTGTTTTTATAACTATGAAGGTATATTCTTAGCAGGCATTTCAACAACTTAAAAAATTAAGAACAATAACACTCTTTACAGAGTGCCCATATATTTTCCCTAAATTAATTCCTGCTAATGCTATTTTGCTGAGATGTTAATGAATTCTGCTAAGGTGAAGGTGCAATATAGAATGGCACAGTGGCAAGAATTTTCACTGAGAGCTCATGACTTCTCTTGTGTTGTCTCTAACTTTAATGGACTTTGGGATAATGATGACAAACATGACAAACATGAAGAAATAGAAAAACAAATCACAAAAATGGGTCTTACAGTGAAAAACAAAGCTCATCATTCATAGGTAATCAACGGTTGAGCTATAATGAAGTCTGGGTAGAGGTCGCCACTCTCACTGTCCACCCTCCCGTATGAGGACAAAAGTGACCTGGTGAGACATAATGACCTTAAGTCGTGAGACTTGACCCCAGTCCCCGCTTTATGTCTACTAACTGCACAACCCAGCCTTTCTGCTGAAGTTTCTTACTCTGTTAGAAGGAAGATAATATAATTTGTCTGACTACTTCTCAAGGACACTGTGAAGGTCAAATGAAGGAGTAAGGGTGTGAGAAAGAACTCTGTGAGCTCTGAGGGGTGATGTGATAGGAAGGCTTTCCTCCCTGGCTACACACTGGAATCATCTCGGGGGAGGTAAAATTGCCAATGCCAGGGCCACACTCAAGAACAATTCAATCATAATCTTTGGGAATAAGACCCAGGCATTAATGCATTAATGTTTATTTAAAGAAGCTCAGTGGCTTCTCTTTGGTAGCCTAGGTTGAGACCCACAGGATTATGGGGATGTTAAGAATACTGCTAAATGCACAATGTGCTTGCTGTCTTCCTCATTCTGAAATTCCCCACGCAGCCTCTATGGCAAGCCTGCTGAGCCCAGAAAGCCACAGTTTAGCGCCTTCATTACTCACACCCAGTGCTGTAGACCTCCCTCCTATAGATGGGCTACTGTGAGTGATAGCTGCTAGCTGTGTGCTCACTAGCTATGTGCTAATACAATCCTACAGTTAGATTAGAAAATAGTATGGACTAAATGACAATTTGAGACCTAAGGAAATGAGATAAAAAGAATTAATGGCATGATATTATGAGGACAAACACCAATACAGAACACATTTCCCCCCAAGATACAGAGTAGCTAAATACAAATTATCTAAATAATGAAATATTTCCAAACCATGGTAGAAATAGTCATTTATTCAATTATACAGGAACATCTCAAGTTGAATTGTTTTTAAATAGGAGAAGTGTTTTTAAATGATATTCCCAAATTAGAGTGGAGATATTTGTGATAAATTCAAATGTAGAATTTAGAAACAGATGTGAACTTGCTGATTATAATTATGCTCATTCTAAGGTGAGGAAATTATTCTCTGGATGGATATGGCAAGCTATCTTCATTGGATTAGATGCTTCAAATTTTTATTTCCTGTATTTTTTTGAAGTGTTTATTCACCTAATCCTTGAAGGTCCACATGATCCAAGAATCTTTTAAGAAATGTGCTTGATAAAGACCAATTTATTTTTTCAGAGTCAGCCAACAGTTTCTTACTCCTCAATGGAACAATTAACCGTCAGCGGCCCCATCATACCTCACAGAATTTTAACAATACCATTTCACAGGCAATCTGAATCTCTCCAAAAAGCAATCTTCACTCCAACTTGGCTTTTTCCCTGTCATGGCTTATCAATTCCAGCAACAGTATTCATGGAACGTGTGTATGTAGCATAAACTCCAGGAAAGAAGGTTGTCAATTTTAAGATATCAATTGAGCAGAGGTCTATCATTAATCTTTGAATCTTATTTTGGAGAAGATTGGACCACACGGCAATTATAGTGGTGACTGCTGAGTGCTTGAGACATTGTTTATACATGTCCCATTTAAGAAAAAGCAAGCAGGCTTATGAGCTATGATAAGCCCATCATATATCTTATACCTGCTTGTCAGCCACACGCCTGACAATTCCTCTTTGCTCTGAAACAATCAGATGACAACTTAGTTGGAAATTATTTAGATAATCCAGATTCCAACGATTGAAGAAGGCTCTGTTTCTGAGTCCTGAGTTGTTGTTTTTGTTGTCTAATTATTGTTATTACGATGAGTAAACTGATCCTTTCACAGCACTGATAATATAATTCCCAGGGAAGCTTAGGAAAATGAATGAATTGGAACATCTAGCTTTTATACATCCTGTGGGAGCACGAACAGGAGGAAGATATTTTTTCCAGGAATTAGTCTGAAAATGTAAAGAGTTAATGCAATTAATTTCTGCTCAACAACAAAATGGTTAGCCACCTTCTCGGGAAGAAGGCAAGGTCAAGAAAATCTGAAACAGAATGAAGCTGACTTCAAGCAGGATCAAAGCCAGCAACGATGTGGGGAAGTAGACAGGTGGGAGCATCGGCGGAGGCACATGTGAGCTTCCAGACGTGCTGGAGTGACCAGGTCAAGGCGTTGGCCATGTGTTAGCAAATCTTGCAGCTGCCAAGCTCAGTGCAGGGTGACAGCACCAGTTGCTTAGCATGACGTGGGGAAAAGATCCAGGCTGAGAGAGGAAACAGGTGCAGGATGGCTCAGGACAAGGGTGGGACGAATGAGTGTCTGTTGTTTGACCGCCATCAGGTCTCTTTGGTATTGTTTCCAGAGTCAAAGGTAGAGCACAGAAAGGAATCAGAATTATTTTATTTTTATTTACTTAACTTCTGTATCCACTGTACTGAAATATTTGCAGAAAATGGATATGTGTTTATGCACCAATGAATATTTTAGCCTATGTGCTAATACAATGCTACAGTTCCATAAAGGGATCCAGGAAATGTTTAATGAACTGCCTCAACATCACTTAAAAGCTCATTCAGGTCAGTGTTTGGGTTTGAATCCCGGCACACCGCTTTCCAGATGTCTGACAATTCCTTCACCTTTCTCTGCCTCAGTTTCCTCCTATGGACCATGGGGATTGTTCTAGTCACTACTTGATTCCACTGTTGGGAGGATTAAATACATTTATTCTTGATAAAAACACTAAAACACTAAAAAATAGCAGCTATTATTTTCTCAAAAGTCTTTTACACAAGTAGTCTAAATATACATCCTGGTGAAACCACTGAATTTGTTAAGGTTTTTTGCATCCTGACTGGCTGTGTTGAGTGAATTAGCTTGGAGGCAGAGGTATGATTCTCAGAGCAAACTTCAATTAATGAATTGAATTCATCTAGTTACCAGGAATACAGCAAAAAAATTGAAAAGCTTGAAGTAATTTTTTAAATATAATCAAGAGACTGTCAATTTGTATGTATGTCTTAAGAAACAAATAGAGCAGAAGCAATTTAAAAAAACATGAGGTCCTGTTCCATCATTTTCCACTTGGTTTACTGCCCAAAGCAGCAAGTTCTTTATGTAATTGAAGAAAAACATGTATGTACATGAAAACGCACAACTTATAGGTGTACAGGGTGCATTTCTGTAAAGTGAGCCCTTTTATGTAGCCACTGCCTGCATCAAGCTGCAGAGATGTGATGTCCAATGCATGTGGTTGTTTAGCATTTACCATGCAGTTACCAAAACTGGCTATTTTTATTTATTGTATAACTTTTAAGCATACTTGAAACAACTTTAGCATGTGAATTTACTTTTTATCTATAAAATTTATAAAATCTAAGTACAGATCAAGAACTTCTGTTGAAAAATTAACATCTGAATTCAGATGAATTGTAAATGTAAAATACGTAACTGATTGGAAAGACTTAGTACCAGGAATGTAAAATAACTCAATAAATTCTGTATTTATTCCATGTTAGGTTAAATAAAATATAATGAAAGTATGATCTGTATCCTTTTACATTTTAAAAATGTGGCTACCGCTAACCATTTCATCACATGTAGCTTCTATTCTATTAATTTTCATCCAGAATATTCCTACCCTGATGACTACTTTGTGCCTGTACCTAGCAGTAGTGGGAGTCTTCTTAGTACTCTTTAATTTCCCATGGTTTGAGAATACCACCATTTATTTATTTACTCATTCTACTGGTCATTTGGATTATTTTCTTTTTTTTTTTCTTTTTCTGCAATTTGGCTCAAGAAACCAGGCTTTTCTAACCCTTCAGAACCCTACTTTGTATGGAATCTCTCTATTCCTAACATTGTTGCATGTGGTGTCTCCAATTCTTTCTCGAGGTCATTTTTTTTTTTCTTATACAGTGTAGTTAAATGCAGTCTACTGGACCAGCATACACTTTAAATTTTTTTATTTTCATAGATCTTAAGAGGTACAAATGCTGTTTTCCAACCTTTCCTCTAGATTCACGGCAACAGAGGCTCTACTCTTAGAAATGCTTTCTCGTTGCGTCACATGTACTTCCTGCAGTCTACCCTGCAAAATTGTTTGCTGGCTACTACACCCCATTTCAACGCCAAGACCACATATTTTAGGTTTTTGTTACAGCAGTAGCTCAAGTCAAGGTACCAATTTCTATTTCAGTCAGAGTGTATGATCTGCCAAAAAAAAATTACCCAGAATCTCAGCTTAACATAACCACAGTTTATTTCTTGCGCATGTCCCCTACTGACTTCATAGTGGGTAGCTACTGCTATTCACACATCAGTCATTCATGAACCCAAATTTTCTTCAAATGCCTTAACCATTCCAAACTTCTCAGTATCTGAATGGATCATCTGCATTCAGGCAACAAAGGAAGATAGACTTGAGGGGAGAAGAACAGTGTGGCTCTGAAACACAAACATGGTCTGGTGGAATATCCCAGGAAAAAAAGCATAGCATGGGTGATATCCATCCCAGCCCTTCTCCTCTGCAAAGTCCTTTTCAATTTCCTTTGGTGCCATCTTAGTTAAATTCTTCTGATCTCCAACATTGGAAATTATCATGTATCATCTTTAATAATGTATTTTCCTCATTTTCAGGGGAATCATTATAAATTGTACACTATACCTCCTATATAGATAATCTACATTGCTTATCTTTTCATGTCATTTTTCTTTTTTTCTCTTTTATTGTTCAATTCATATGCACCTTCCAATTAAAGTTTTGTGAGTTTTGTTGTTGCTTCCTGTTCTTTGACTTGTTTTCCTGGGCCAATTTGTTTTTCTTTGGACTTTCCTTTTCCTATTACAGAAGTTCTTAAATGACTTAGGTTTCTTGATTGCTCACGTTTAAGAAACAATGACAGAGAAGCTGAATAGGAATTCTGTATGTGTTGGTTAGCCTGTGACCTGGCAGAGTGCACTCTGTGATGATTGGAAATGAGCCAGCCAGTGAGCTGGAGCACCCTTGAATGTGAAAATAAGTCAGCTTTATGCTAAGATTTCAAAGCCATCTCCAATTTCCTTGTGTCCCCCTGAACACATCTTCAGAGAATACCCCCAGGAGTTATTTATAGTTGTTTTGTTTTGCTTATGTTTTAGGTGTTACCTGGGCACACATGATGCTTGAGAGGTGGTTTTAGAGAGAGGATATGGACCACGTTCTCCCATCCTGTCTCTTTTCATACTTAAAATCTCTCCTGGGCTCTGCCCAGCAGGTGGGCTCCTGCCTCTACTCTCTAAGACTAATTTTCAGCCTAATTTGTCGATAGAGAACTCTGTCTACTTTCTGTCTTCCAAGTACAGTTGACCCTTGAACAACAGAAGTTTGAACTTCACATATCCATTTATGCTCAGATTTTCTTCTGCTTCTGCTATCCCTGAGATGTCAAGACTAACTCCTCCTCTTCTTCCTTCTCAGTCTTCTCAATGCGAAGATGATGAGAATGGAGACTTTTATGATGATCCACTTCCACTTAATGAATAGTGAGTGTATTTTCTCTTCCTTATTTTCTTAATAACTTTATTTTCTCTAGGTTACTTAATTGTAAAAATACAGCATGTAATACATATAACATACAAACTATGTGTTAACCTACCATTTATGTTATCAGTAATGTTTCCAGTCAGCACTAGGCTATTAGTAGTTAAGTTTTGGGGAAGCCAAAACTCACACGTGGTTTTTCAACTACGTAGCAGTCATCAGCCCTAACCCCCGAGTTCAAGGGTCAACTGTACTTATTTCCAATCACCATCTGATGGCTCGTACATATCTTTTACTTTTTATATGCTTGTAGACTTTTTTCTTTATTTTCAATTACATATATCAGATTTGGGAAAGGAGAGAATATTCTTAATCTATCATTTGAACAGGAGTTCCTGGTTGTTACACTTAAATTGATCCAAGAGAGGGTATTTCTTTTTCTGGAGGCCAATTGAATGGTGAAATGGAGTTGCAAAGCATTTGGCAGCATATTGATTTCACTGGACTATTTAAGGTAAGTGTGTCGGACAGGAGTTCCCTGCTATATTCTGGGGATTTTCAGACTCATTGCAAGATCTAATTGATGGAAGAGCCAGGAATCTGCTTTATTTTTCTCTCACAGAGCTCAGTATTAGTTTTGTATCAAAAGTGTCATTGTCATTTTGTTTTTATAGATTTGTTTTTCTTTCCCACTCTCTCTTCCCCTCTCCCCTTCTCAAAGCATCACAAGACATTTCTTCTTGATACATTGATTATATGGAATTCTCCAAAATTTTAATGATTAAAAGGTGACCCAAATTTTAATTGATGGTTTAATATAAATTGCTATCAAATAACAAATAGATAGGGAGTATTTACTTAACAAGATATGAAATTTTGTTTTATGTATTCTATGCGAGAAAATATATTTTGGTGTTAGCTCTTCTAGCTAGTGCTTATTGGATGCTAGACAGTTGATTAAGGGTTTTACATGAATTATCTTGTTTAATCCTCTCAATAGTCTTATAAAATAAAAATAGTATTAACTCCATTGTAAAGATGGTAAAATTGAGTACTGAAGAGTTTAAGTTGTTTATCTAATGTCTCGTGGCTAACCAATATCAAAAGCAAGATTGAAAAACAGGAATTCTGAATCAAAGTCTTAACAGCGAAACACTCCACAGTTAATGCACATGTTCTTCCACTTTGGTCATTTCATACCGTCATTATGATTTCTGCCATGTCCACACCGCACCAAGCTGTGTCTTCATGGTCTTTGGCCGTATTTATGTCCTGCCAATTCTATTGTTTATGTAATATTGGCCTTTTAATGCATTTGCTTTTCTATTTCACTTAAATTCATTTTTTTCAAAAAACCCTTATATTTCAAACACAAAAGGAAAACCCTCGTTGTTTTCTGTGTTGTACCAGAGTAGTAGTGTGGTGTAAGTGTGAGTGTGCAGTGTATAGTCTGAAGTGTGACAGAAAGACCCTGACAGACATGATTAAAGGAGTGAAATTTTATTAGCCAAAGATTAGAAATTTTATTAAATGTTAAACCAAACAAAAGACAACTCAGCATATTCACAAATGAAGGTACACCAACTTGCTGGCCCTCACAAAATGTCCCGGGGCCTATGAGGATTCTGTCAGGCATTAGAATCTCAGATTTTCTATCCTGGTCAGTCTGATTCCCATGACTGTTTTAACATCCAATTTAGACTTAATCCTCACCATTATTTCATGATTTTAAAGAGAACTGAAGTGGGAAAAACTTCACTTTGCAATAAAGTGATACTGAACGTCCTATGTGGCTATCACCTACATCAGTTGGGGTATAACCTGTCTTCGACACTTACACTTTGGGAAACTCCACTCAGTGACACAGCTCCTAAATCAATGAAAGTTTTGTTACTAAACCTTCGGCCAGTTTAATTAAGATGCTCTAATTCTTGTTGTAGAGCTCTTTCACCTCCCTGGTTAGCTTTATTCCCAGATACTTTATTTTGTGTGTGTGGCTATTGTGAATGGGATTGTGTTCTTGATTTGGCTCTGAGCTTGGACGTTATTGGTGTACAGAAATGCTACTAATTTTTGTGCATTGGTTTTGTATCGTGAAACATTACTGAAGTTGTTTATCAGTTCTAGAAGCCCTTGGGCAAAGTCTATGGGATTTTCTATGTATAGATTCATATTGTCTGCAAAGAGAGATAGTTTGGCTTTCTCTCTTCCTATTGGATGTGATTTATTTCTTTCTCTTGCCGGATTGCTCTGGCTAGCACTTCCAGTACTACACTGAATAGGAGTGGCAAGAGTGGGCGTCCTTGTCTTGTTCTAGTTCTCAAGGGAAATGCTTCCAACTTTTGCCTGTTCAGTATGATGTTGGCTGTGGGTTTGTCATAGATCAATCTTATTATTTTGAGTATGTTTCTCCAATGCCTAAATTCCTGAGGGTTTTTAACAGGAAGGGATATTGAACTTTATCAAAGGCCTTTTCTGCATCTATCAAGATGATTGTGTGATTTTTGTTGCTAATTCTACTTATGTGGTGAATGAATCACATTTATTGATTTGCAAATGTTAAACCAACCTTGCATCCCAGAAATAAAGCCTACTTGATCATAGTTCATTAAATTTTTTGATGTGGTGCTGGATTCAGTTTGCTAGCCTTTTGGTTGAGGATTTTTATCAACTAAGATTCCCATCAACAGTGAACTGGGTAAAGATGTGGTACATATATACCACAAATCATGTCCTTTACAGCAACATGGATGTGCTGGAGGCCATTATCCTAAGCAAATTAATGCAAGAACAGAAAAACAAGTACCATTATGTTCTCAGTTATAAGTGGGAGCAAAATATTGAATACACAAGGTTGCAAATATGAGAACAATAGATACTGGGGACTGCTTGATAGGAGAAGGTGGGAGGGAGGAATGGGTTAGAGGCTACCTATAAGGTACTATGCTCACTATCTTGGTGATGGAATCATTTGTACACTAAGCCTCAGCAACATTCAATTTACCCATGTAACAAACCTGCATATGTACCCCTGAACATAAAATAAAAGTAGAAAAAATAAAATTTAGAAATTCTTAATAAATAAAAAAGGAAGTGAGTAGAAGTGTAAAAAAAAAGAGAACTGGTGTAATAAAAGGAAGAAGCAAGAACCCACATGCTATTTGCGTAAGATGGCTATGTTGTCTAGGAGACAATAAAGTTTGGTAAAGTATTTTATTTAAAACAAAGATACTCTAGCAAGCTGGTTAGGTTATCAAGTTCTTTCCTAATATCAGAAAAGTAATATTGACTGTTTTATGTGGTTCTATGAGTTTTAACACATATTAGATTTGTGTGAAAACCACAATAAGGATAAAGAACAGTTCCATCACCCCCTAAAACTTACTGATGCTGCTCCTTTGCAGACAAACTTCCCCTTACTCAAATGCCTGGCAATGACGAGCCTGTTCCTTTTCCCTTTAGTTTTTCGTTTTCCAGAGTGTCATATAAATAAAACCCTACAGTATGTAACATTTTGAGACTGAATTATTTCATTGGATGTATGTCTTTGAGATTCATCTACATTGTTGAATGTCTCTGTAGTTAATTCATTTTTATTGCTGAATAGTATTCCATCCTATGGATGTACTACTGTCTGTCTATCCATTCAGTAATTTGAGGACTGGAGAACATTTGGTTGTTTGTGTGTGTGTGTGTGTGTGTGTGTGTGTGTGTGTGTGTGTTTTGGTCCAGTATGAATAGAAAGGTTATTAACATAGATATAATTTGGCTCTGTGTCCCTCCCCAAATCTCACCTTGAATTGTAATGATCCCCACATGTCAAGAGTAGCAACAGGTGGAGGTAATTGGATCATGGGGGCAGTTTCCCCCAAGCTGTTCTTGTGATAATGAGTGAGTCTCATGAGATCTGATGGTTTTATAAGCACCTGGCATTTCTCTTGATGGCATTCATCCTCTCTCCTGCAGTCCTGTGAAGAGGTGCCTTCCACGATGATTGTAAGTTTCCTGAGGCCTCCCCAGCCATGCAGAACTGTGAGTCAATTAAACCTCTTTTCTTTATAAATTACCCAGTCTTGGACATTTCTTTATAGCAGTGTGAGAACAGACTAATACACTCATCACAAGTTTTTGTGTGAATATAATTTTTAATTTCTTTAGAATAAATCCCTAACAGTAGTATTCTGGTCATAAAGTCAGTGTATATTAACTTTTTAAAGAAACTTGCAAACAGTTTTTCAGAGAGTGGCTCTGTCATTTTTTTTATTCCCAGGAGGGAATTGTAGCTATGCATGTCAGGAGAGAATCTGACACTAATGATGATATTCCACATGCAGAGATTCAGAGATTAAGGTGACTCTTCCAGTGAAGACAGATGAAAGCCATTTGGCATTGTACCTTTGTTGATCTAAACTAACAAAGGACATAGGGCTGTGTGTGTGTGTGGGTGTACACATACATCTATAGGCATGAATGAGGCAAAAAGCCACTGACTTATAGCTCAGGAAACCTAAAGTCAAGTTTTTGTTTTTACCCTGTAGAACTAAAGTGTGTAAAGTTTCAAGTTTTAACTAAAAATCGTCCTAAAAGACCACCAATGTTAAACAAGTGTTTCATGTATAGTAGACGTGTCTTTAAGCAATAAAAATTCCAAGAGCTGAATAAAGAAAAAAAAGGGGGGGTGGTATGAGGATTCCAGCTGCTCTGCATCACCAGCATTTGGGTTTGTCATTGATTATTTCTTCATTCCCTTAACATTTTAGCCATTCCAATAGATTTGTAGTGTTATCTTCTTATAATTTTATTATTTATTTAGTTGTTATTATTACTTTAATTTATTTTTTGTTAAAATGTAGGTGTGTATATTTATGGGGTACAGGAGATATTTTGATGCAGGCATACAATGCGTAATAATCACATCAGCATAAATAGAGTATCCATCACCTCAAGCATTTATCATTTCTTTGTGTTACAAACATGTAAGTTATGCTCCGTTATTTTTAAATTATTGTTGACTGTAATCACCCTGTTGTGCTTATCAAATACTAGATCTTATTCTTATCCAATTAACTATTTTTTTTACCTATTAATCATCCCCACTTCTGCCTCTCCCAATACCCTTCACAGCTTCTGATAACCATCGTTCTACTCTCTATCTCCATGAGTTTAATTGTTTTAAATTTTAGCTCCCACAAATGAGTGAGAACATGCAAACGTTGTCTTTCTGTCCTTGTCTTATTTCTCCTAACATAATGTCCTCCAGTTCAATCCATGTTGTTGCAAATGACAGGATCTCATTCTGTGTTATAAAATATGTATCACATTTTCTTTATCCACTCATCTGTTGCTGAACATGTAGGTTGCTTCCAAATATTAGCTATTGTGAACAGTGCTGCAATAAACATGGGAGTGGAGATATCTCTTTGACATACTGATTTAATTATTAACAGTGGAATTGATGATCATATGGTAGTTCTATTTTTAGTTTTTTGATGAACCTCCCTACTCTTCTCCACAGTGGTTCTACTAATTTACATTCCCACCAATAATGTACGAGGGATCTCTTTTCTCCATGTCATTGCCAGCATTTGTTATTGCTTCTCTTTTGGATATAAGCCATTTTAACTGGAGGGAGATGATAGCTCATTGTACTTTTGATTTGCATTTCTCTGATGATCAATGATCTTGAGCAAGTTTTCATATGCTTGTTTGCCATTTGAATGTCTTCCTTTGAGAAATATCTATTCAGATCTTTTAGCCACTTTAAAATCAGGTTATTAGATTTTTTTCCTGTAGAGTTGTTTGAGCTTCTTATGTATTGTGATCATTAATCCCATGTCAGATGGATAGCTTACAAATGTTTTCTCCCATTCTGTGGTTTATCTCTTTATTTTGTGGATTGTTTCCTTTGCTGTGCAGACCCTTTTCAACCTGTGATTCCATTTGTTCATTTTTGCTTTGGTTGCCTGTGGTGTTGAAGTACTATTCAAGAAATGTTTGCCCAGACCAATGTCCTGGAGAGTTTCCCCAATCTTTAATTTTAGTAATTTCTGAGTTTCAGGTTTTAGATTTAAGTCTTTATTCTATTTTGATTTGATATTTGTATATGGTGAGAGATAGGAGTCTAGTTTCATTCTTCTGTGTATGAATAGGCAGCTTTCCCAGCACAGTTTATTGAAGAGACTTCTTTCCCCATTGTGTGTTCTTGGAAGCTTTGTCAAAAATGAATTCACTATAAATGTATGGATTTTATGGATTTCTGATGGTTGCTATATTCCGTTCCATAACTTTATATGTTTTTAATGACAGCGCCATGTTGTTTTTGTTACTATAGCTCTGCAGTATAATCTGAAGTCAGGAAATGTGATTCCTCCAGTTTTGTTCTTTTTGCTCAGAATGGCTTTGGCTATTCTGGGTCTTTTGTGATTCCATATAAATTTTATGATTTTTTTCTATTTTGATGAAGAAGGTCATTAGAATTTTAATAGGAATTGCATTTAATTTTGTAGATTGCTTTGGGTAGTATGAACATTTTAATGATATTGATTTATCCAATTCTTGAACATGGAATATCTTTCCATTTTTTTGTGTTCTCTTTAATTTCTTGCATCAATGTTTAGTAGTTTTCTTGTATAGAGCTTTCACTTTTTTGGTTAAGTTTATTCCTAGCTATCTTATTTTATTTGTAGTTATTGTGAATGGAATTACTTTCGAGATGTCTTTTTTTAGATTGTTCACTGTTGGCACATAGAAATGCCACTGATTTATGTATGTTGATTTTGTATCCTGAGACTTTATTAAATTTATCAGTTCTAAGAGTTTCTTGGTGGTTTCTTTAGGTTTTTTTGAATATAAGATCATATCATGATTGGAAAACCCTAAAGACTTCACCAAAAGATAATTCGACTTTTTCCTTTCCAATTTGGATGCTCTTTATTTCTTTCTCTTGTCTGATTGCTCTAGCTAGGACTTCCAGTACTATGTTTAATAACAGTGGTTATAGTGTACACTGTTGCTGTATTTCAGATCTTAGAGGAAACGCTTTCAGTTTTTCCCAGTTCAGTATGATACTAGTTGTGGATCTGTCATATGTGGCTTTTATTCTGCTGAGGTATATCCCTATTATACCCAGTTTTTTGAGTGTTTTCATCATAAAGGGATGTTGAATTTTATCAAGTGCTTTTTTAGTATTAATTAAAATGATCATATGGTTTTTGTCCTTCATTCTGTTGATATGATGTATCATATTGATTGATTACATATGTTGAACAGTTCTTGCCTCCTTGGGGTAAATAAATCCCACTGCATCATGATGAATGATATTTCTAATGTGTTGGTAAATTAAATTTGATAGTATTTTGTTGGGGATTTTTGCATCAATGTTCATCAGGGATGTTGCCCTATAGTTTTATTTTTTTAATATGTCTATATCTGGTTTTGTTATCAGGGTGATATTAGCCTGGTAGAATGAGTTTGGAAGTAATCCCTCCTATTCTATTTTTTGGAATAGTTTGAGTAGGATTAGTATTACATCTTTTGGTAAAATTCACCAGTGAAACCATTGGGTCCCTGTCTGTTTTGCTGGGAGACTGTTCATTATAACTTTTATCTCATTACTTGCAATTGGTCTATTTAGATTTTGAATTTCTTCATTGTTTGATCTTGGTAGGTTGTATGTATCTAGGAATTTATCCGTTTCTTACAGGCCTTCCAATTTATTCGTGTGTAGTTGCACATAATATTCTCTAATGCCCATAGTAGTCTTTTGAATTTCTACTGTATCAATTGTAATGTCTCCTTCTGCATAGCTGATTTAATTTATTTGGGTCTTCTCTCTTTTTTTCTGTCTGGATAAATATTTGTCAGTTTTGTTTATCTTTTCAAAAAACAAACTCATTTTATTGATCTTTTGTATTGTTTTCCTTATTTCACTTTTATTTATTTCTGCTTTGATCATTAGTATTTCTTTTATTCTATTAATTTTGGCTTCGGCTTCCTCTTGCTTTTCTAATTCTTTAAGTTGCATCATTAAGTTGTTTATTTGAAAGATTTCTAGTTTTTTTAAATGAAGCCACTTATTGCTATTAAATTTCCTCTTAGTACTGCTTTCACTGTATTCTGTAGATTTTGGTATGTTGTGATTCCATTTTCACTTTTTCAAGAAATACTTTAATATCCTTCTTAATTTCTTCAGTTATCCACTCATTATTCAGGTGCATATTATATAATTTTCATGTGTTTGCATAATTTCCAGAGTTTCTCTTGTTATTGATTTCTAGTTTTTTATTACCTGTGGTCAGAGATAATATTTGATAAGATTTCAATTTTTAGATTTTTAAAATATTTTTCATGACCTAACATATGGTATATCTTTGAGAATGATCCATGCACTTAAGAGAAGAATGTGCATCCTGCAACAGTTAGATAGAATGTTCTGTAAGTATCTATTAGGTCCATTTGTTCTATACTGCAGATTAAGTCTGATTTTTGTTGTTGTTGATTTTCTCTCTGGATGATATGGAGAGTGCTGAAAGTGGGGTGTTTATGCCTCAAGCTCTTACTGTATTAGGGTGTATATCTTTCTTTAGCTATAATAGTACTTGCATTATATATCTGGGTGTTCCAGTGTTCCAGTGTTTGGGTGCATATATATTAACAATTGTTATAGCCTCTTGCCGAATTGACCCTTTTAACATTATATAATGACCCTCTTTGTCTCTTTTTATAGTTTTTGTCTTAAACTCTATTTTATCTGATATAAGCATAGTTATTGCTGCTGATTTTTGGTTAACATTGGCATGGAATATCTTTTTCTATCCCTTTATTTTCAGTCTCTATGTGTCTTTATAGGTGAAGTCAGTTTCTCTTAGGAAACAGATTGTTGGGTCTTTTTTTTCGATCCATTCAACCCATTTAATGTCTTTTTGGTCCATTTACAGCCAATGATATTGTTAAGTAAGAATGAACTATTGCAATTTTAGTATTTGTTTTTGGTTGTTTTGTGATCTTCTCTTCCTTCCTTCTTGTCTTCCTTTTTGTGAAGGTGATTTTCTCTAGTGGTATGTTTTAATTTCTTGCTTTTTATTTTTTTGTGTATCTGTTGTGTCTATTTTTTTATTTAAAGTTACCATGAAGCTTACATATAACATCTTATAACTCATTATATTAAACTGATGACATCTTAACGCTGACTGCAAAAACAAACAAGCAAAGAGAAAACTAATAAAAACTCTATCCTTCACTTCATCCATTTTTGTTTGTTTTTTTTTTTTTTTTTTTTTTTTTTTTTAAGACAGAGTCTTGCTCTGTCATCCAGGCTGGAGCACAGTGGCGCAATCTCGGCTTACTACAACCTCCACCTCCCGGGTTCAAGCGATTCTTCTGCCTCAGCCTCCCGAGTAGCTGAGACTGCAGGCATGCACCACCACTCCCAGGTAATTTTTGTATTTTTAGTAGAGATGGAGTTTCACCATATTGGCCAGGCTGGTCTTGAACTCCTAACTTCGTGATCCACCTGCCTCAGCTTCTCAAAGTGCTGGGATTACAGGCATGAGACACCATGCCTGGCCTCACTTCATCCACTCTCTATTTTGTTGTTTCTATTTATATCTTACTAAATGTCTTGAAAAGTTGTTGTAGTTATTATTTTTGATAGGTTTATCTTTTAGTCTTTCCTCTCAATATATGGGTAGTTTACATACCATAATTACAATGTTAAAATATTCTGTGTTTGTCTGTATACTTCCTATAACCAGTGAGTTTTGTACCTTCAAATAATTTCCTATTGCTTGTTAATGTCCTTTCTTGCAGATTGAAGAACTCTCTTTAGCATTTCTTATAGGACAGGTTTGGTGTTGATGAAATCTCTCAGCTTTTTTTGGTCTGGAAAAGTCATTATTTGTCCTTCACATTTGAAGGATATTTTTGCCAGATATACATTTTAGGAAGCAAAATTACTTTCGTCAGCACTTTAAATGTTGTATCACTCTCTCCTGGTCTGTAAGATTTCCACTGAGAAGTCTGCTGATGGACATATTGGAGCTCCATCATATGTGATTCGTTTCTTTTCTCATGCTGCTTTTAGAATGCTTTATTTATCCTTGATCTTTGGGAATTTTATTATTGTCTTGAGATAGTTTATTTGGATTAAATCTCTTGGTTTTCTATAACCCTATACTTCAATATTTATTTTTCTTTAGATTTGAAAAGTTTTCTGTTATTATCCTTTTGAATAAACTTTCTACCCCATCTCTCTTTGTACCTCCTCTTTAAGGCCAATAACCTTCAGATTTGCCGTGTTGAGACTATTTTCTAGATCTTGTAAGCGTGTTTCATTCTTTTAAAGTATTTTTTCTTTTGACTGTGTGTGACTCCTCTGGCTGTGTATTTTCAAATAGCCTGTCTTCAAGCTCACTAATTCTTTCTTCTGCTTGATCACTTCTGCTGTTGAGAGAGACTCTCAGGTATTCGTCTGTATGTCAATCGAATTTGTCAGCTCCAGAATTTGTGCTTGATTTAAAAAAAATTTCAATCTTTTTGTTAAATTTATCTGATAGTATTCTCAATTCATTCTCTGTGTTATCTTGAATTTCACAAGCTTTCTCAAAAGAGCTATCTTGAATTTTCTGTCTGAAAGTCATTATCTCTGTCACTCTGGGATTGTTCGCTGGTGCCTTATTTAGTTTGTCTGGTGAGGTCATGTTTTCCTGGGTGGTCTTGATACTTGTGGATGTTTGTTGATGTCTCAGCATTAAGGAGTTAGGTATTTATTTAGTCTTCATACTCTTGGCTTGTTTGTAACTGTCTGTCTTGGGAAGGCATTTCAAGTATTCAAAGAAAATTGAGTGTTGTGATCTAAATCTTTGGTCGCTGCAGCTATATCTGCATTTGGGGGTACCTGAAGCCCAGTAACCCTGTGGCTCTTGCTGCCTCATAGAGGTAATGCCTTGGTGGACTAGGGCAAGATCTGAAATAATTACCTGGATTATCAGGCAGAGACTCTTGTTTTTTTCCCCTTATTTTCCCCCAAACAAAGGGAATCTCTTTCTCCTTGCTGAGCTGCCTGGAGCTGGGAGAGGGATATCACAAGCATTCCTGTTGCCCCCACTGTGACTCTGCTGGGTCATACATGAAGAAAGTACAGCACTGGGTCTTGCCCAAGGCCCATGGCAAACACAGCCTGGCTACTGTCAATATTCACTCAAGGCCCAAGGGTTATTCCGTCAGCAGGTGGAAAATCCAGCCATGCCTGTCCTTTCCTTCAGGACAGCAAGCTTCCCACGGGCCCAGGGCAGTTCCAGGAATGCTGTGTTGCAGACAGGGTCTGGAGTCAGGAACTTTAGGAATCTCCTTGCTGTTTTATTCTCCTATGGTTGAGTTTGCACCCAGGGCACAAGACTGTCCTTCCCACTCTTCCCTATCCTTTCCTCAAGCAGATGGAGTCCCTCCGCATGGCTGCCACCACCCCAGGCCTTTGGCAAATACTACCTGGCTACCACCAATATTCATTCAAGGCCCAAAGTCTCTTCAGTCAGCTTGTGGTGGATGCTGTCAGGCCTAGGCCTCTCTCTCCAGGTCAGTGGGCTCCCCTCTGGCCCAGGGCAGGTCCAGAAATGCCATCCAGGAGTCAAGTCTTAGAATCAGCGACCGCAGGAGCCTACTTGTTGCTTTACCCTACTGTGCCCAAGGTGGTACCCAAGCTGCAAGACAAAGACCCCTTTATTATTCCCTCTCCTTTTCTTCAAGCAGACGGAATCTCTCTTGATAGCCACCAGAACTGGGCATGTGGCTGGGTGCAGTGGCTCATGCCTGTAATCTCAGCACTTTGGGAGGTCGAGGCAGATGGATCACCTGAGGTCAGGAGTTTGAGACCAGCCTGGTCAACATGGTGAAACCCCGTCTCTACTAAAAATACAAAAATTTAGCTGGACTTGATGGCAGGTACCTGTAATTCCAGCTACTCAGGAGGCTGAGGCAGGAGAATTGCTTGAATCCAGGAGGTGGAGGCTGAAGTGAGCCGAGATTGTGCCACTGCACTCCAGTCTGGATGACAGAGTGAGACTCCATCTCATAAAATAAAATAAAATAAAATAAAATAAAATAAAAATAACTGGACATGTGCTGGCTTACACCTGAAGTCAGCACAACAATGGGTCTCACCTAAGGCCTCTGGCAAGTACTATCTGGCTACTGTTTATGTTTATTGAAGGCCCAAGGGTTCTTTAGTCAGTAGGTGATAGAGCCTACCGGTACTGGATCCTTCCCTTCAAGGCAGCAGGTTCACTTTTGGACCAGGGTGTGTCTAGAAATGTCATCCAGGGGCTAGGACCTGAAATGGGGACCACAGGACTCTGCCTGGTGCCCTATTCTACTGTGGCTGAGCTGGTATCCAAGTTGTAAGGCAAAGGCCCCTTTATTCTCCCCTGACCTCCCCTGAAGCTGGGGGAAGGCGTCTCTCCTGGAGCTGCAAGCTGTGCTGTCTGGGGTTGGGGGATGGATGATGCAAGCCAGATAGTACTTGCCACAAGCCTTTGGTAAGACCCAGTGATGTGTTGGCTTCAAGTGTAACCCAGCGCATGCCTAGTTTTGGCGGCTATTGAGAGAGACTCCTTCTGCTTGAAGAAAGGGGAGGGAACAATAAAGGAGACTTTGTCTTGCAAAATGCTTGGCTGCCCTGGCTGGCATCTCACTAGGTTGCAAACACCCTAAGTCCACTGGCTCTGAGCCCAGCACAGCACTAGGACTTGCCCAGGAATTGCAGTTTTTGTAGCCTAAACTGCCGTTTGTTTATTTAGTACCTCAGAGTACTTTAGCCTGTGGTGGTGGTGCTATCTGGAACTCAGGTTCAGACTGCTGGGACAGATGAATCCCCAATGACTAGGGCTGGTCTAAATACTCCTTCTGTTGGCACTGGCGGAATTCCGTCCTGACGTGCTTTCCACTGTGACAGGCATCACTGAGTTCAGATGCAAAGTCCCACAGTCACTGTGCTATCCCTTCCCCGACTACATAGATTCTCTCTCCATGCCACGTGGCTGCTACCAGGGGATGGGAGAGGAGAGGTGTTGATAATCCAAGATCATCTTTTCTTTCCTACCCTCTTCAGTGCCTCTTGCTTTGCAGTGATGTTAAAACAAGGCACTATGATTGCTCATCTGATGTTTGATTCCTCTGAACATGCTTTCTTGCATGCATAGTTACTCAATTTGGGGTTCCTGTGAGAGGGACAGTCGCTGGAGGGTCTTATTCAGCTATCTTGCTCCACCTCTTCTTACAATTTGAACTATCACTTACCTAATGGCTAGAACTATTGAGACTTTTTGCACATGTTTATGTATTCATTGGAAAAGTGCCTGTTCAGATCTTTTCTCATTTTTACTGGATTGTCTGTTTTCTTACTCCTGACGTTAGCAAGTTTTTTCAACACTCTAAATAAAGTCATTTGCTACATTTGCATTTTGTAAATATTTTCTCCTTATCTATAGTTTGTATTTCCATTCATTTAACCACATCTTTCAGAAAGCAAATATTTTCAGTTTCAATGAAGTTTTATTTTTTCTTTTATCTATTACAGTTTTGGTGTTATATTTAGGAATTCTTTGCCTAACACAAAGTCATGAAGTTTTTCTCTATTTATTCTTTTAAAAAATCAATTTTACCTTTTTAATTATTTCTATTATATATTTTGAGTTAATATTTTGTGTAAGGTGTGAGGTTTATATTGAGGTTCATTTTGTTTGTTTGCACATAGATGTCCAGTTTTTCCATTGCCATTTGTTGAAAAGATTATCCTTCCTCCATTGAATCTCCTGGATCTCTATTTTGTTTCATTGATCTATGTGCCTGTTCCTTCACCAATACCATAGTCTTACTTATTGTAGCTTACAATGATAGTTGTAACTGAGTAGTGTGAGTCTTCCATTTTCTTCTTTTTTTGCTCAAATTGTTTTGGCTATCACAGTTGCTTTTTATTTTTTTGTAAAATTTTAGAATCAATTTGTCCATACCTACAAAACAACTCAAGAGCTCAGATCTTCATTTGTGCTTTGATCTGCAATGACCTTTTCTCAATAACAACTATCTTATTATCCCAAATTTCCAAATGGAGACTCCAGCTTAAATCACAGCCTTTCTTTGGGCTGCCAATATCTTGTATTGAGAAATATCTAATATTTATCTAGAAATATCCTAATGACTAACATTTAGTAAGTTCTACCTGAGAGGGCAGGCCTTCTCCCAAAGTGACTCAGTATTTGGCACTCAGGTGTCTGAGTGTGGCTTTTCAACCTTAGCTTTGCCTGTTTCCTAAAAGGTTTAGAGAGAAGAGTAGTTGAAACTTTTTTTTTTTTTAACTTTTATGTTCAGGGGTACATATGCAGGTTTGTTATATAGGTAAACTTGTGTCATGTGGGATTTTTGTACAGATTATTTTGTCAGCCAGGTACTAAGACTAGTACCCAATAGTTATTTTTTCTGATCCTCTCCCTCATTACACCCTTCACCCTTCAATAGGCCCAGGGTGTGTTGTTCCCCTCTATGTGTCCACGTGTCCTCATCGTTTAGCTCCCACTTATAAGCAAGAACATACAGTAATTAGTTTGCTAAGGATAATGGCCTCCAGCTCTATCCATGTTCCTGCAAAGGACATGATCTTATTCTTTTTTATGGCTGCATAGTGTTCCATGGTGTGTATGTACCACAGTTTTTTTCACCCAATCTGCCGTTGATGGATATTTAGGTTGATTCTGTGTCTTTGGTATTGTGAATAGTGCTGAAATGAACATACACATGCATGTGTCTTCATGGTAGAATGATTTATATTCCATTGGGTATATACCCAATAATGGGATTGCTGGGTCAAATAGTAGTCCTGCTTTTAGCTCTTTGAGGAATTGCCAACTGTAAATGGTTGAACTAATTTACACTACCACCAACACTGTATAACCATTCCCTTTTTCTGCAACCTTGCCAGCATCTGTTATTTTTTTGACTTTTTAACAATAGCCATTTTGACTGGCGTGAGATGATATCTAATTGTAGTTTTGATTTGCATTTCTTAAACAATCTGTGATATTGTGCTTTTTTATATGCTTGTTGGATGCATGCACGTCTTCTTTTGAAAAGTGTCTGTTCATGTCCTTTGCCTAATTTTAATGGGGTTTTTTTTTCTTGTAAATTTCCTTAAGCTTCTTGTAGATACTGGATACCAGATCTTTGTCAGATGCATAGTTTGCAAATATTTTATCCCATTCTGTAGGTTGTCTGTTTACTCTGTTGATGGTGTCTTTTGTTCTGCAGGAGATGTATAGTTCAATTAGGTTCTACTTGCCAATTTTTGTTTTCATCGCAATTGCTTTTGGAGTGTTTGTCATGAAATCTTTGCTAGGCCCTATGTCCAGACTAGTATTTCCTAGGTTTTCTTTCAGAGTTTTAATAGTTTTAGGTTTTATATTTAAGTCTTTAATCCATCTTGATTTGCTTTTTGAATACGGTGAAAAAAGAGGTCCAGTTTCAATCTTCTGTATATGACTAGTCAGTTATTCCAGCACCATTTATTGAATAGGGAGTCCTTTACCCATTTTTTGTTATTATCAGCTTTCAAGATCAGATGGTTGTAGGTCTGTGACCTTATATCTGGGCTGTCTATTCTGTTCCATTGGTCTATGTGTCTGTTTTTGTCCTAGAACCATGCTGTTCTTCTTACTGTAGTCCTGTAGTGGAGTTTAAAGTTGGGTAACATAATGTCTCCAGCTTTATTACGTTTACTTAGGATTGCCTTGGCTATTTGCGCTCTGTTTTGGTTCTATATGAATTTTAAAATAGTTTTTTCTAGTTCTGTGAAGAATGTCATTGGTAATTTGATAGTAATTGCATTGAATCTATAAATTACTTTGGGCAGTGTGGGATTTTAATGCTATTAATTCTTAAAAATGACAAAGGGGATGTTACCACTGACCCCACAGAAATACAAATAACCATCAGACACTACTATGAACACCTCTATGCACACAAACTACAGAACCTAGAAGAGATGAATAAATTCCTCAACACATACAACCTCTGAAGACTGAACCAAGAAGAAATTGATTCCCTGAAAAGACCAATGATGCACCCTGAAATTAAATCAGTAGTAAATAGCCTACCAGCCAAAAAAAAAAAAGCCAAGAACCAGGCAGATTCACAGCCAGATTCTACCAGATATACAAAGAAGAGCTAGTACCGTTTCTACTGAAACTGCTCCCAAAAAATTGAGAAAAGATTCTTCTTTCCCAACTCTTTCTATGAGGCCAGCATCATCCTGATACCAAAACCTGGCAGAGACAGAACAAATAAAAAGAAAACTTCAGGCCAATATTTGTGAAGAACATTAATAAAAAAATTCCTCAACAAAATACTTGCAAACTGAATCCAGCCAGCACATCAACAATCTAATCCACCATGATCAAGTAGGCTTTATCCTTGGGAAACAAGATTGGTTCAACATATGCAAATCAATAAATGTGATGCATCACACAAAGAGAACTAAAGACAAAACTACATGATTATCTCAATAGACATAGAAAAGGCTTTCAATAAAATTCAAAATTCCTTCATGTTAAGAACTCTCAATAAACTAGGTATTCAAGGAACATACCTCAAAATAATAAGCGCCATCTATGACAAACCCACAGACAACATCATACTGAATGAGCAAAATCTGGAAGCATTTCCCTTGAAACCCAGTACAAGACAAGGGTGTCCTCTGTCAACACTCATATTCAACGTACTATTGGAAGTTCTGGCCAGGCCAATCAGCAAGAAAAAGAAATAAAGACATCTAATTAGGAACAGAAGAAGTCAAATGATTGCTGTTTGCTGATGACATGATTCTATATCTAGAAAACCTCATTGTCTTATCCCAAAAGCTCCTTCAGCTAATAAACAACTTCAGCAAAGTTTCAGGATACAAAATCAATATACAAAAATCACTAGCATTTCTATACACCAAGAACAGCCAAGCCTAGAGCCAAATCAGAAACGCAATCCCATTCACAACTGCCACAAAAAGAATAAAATACCTAAGAATACAGCTAAGTAGGAAGTTGAAGGATGTCTACAGTAGGAATTACAAAACACTGCTTAAAGAAATCAGAGATGACACAAACAATAGTTGAAACTATTAATATAAATCACGTCTTAAATTTACTATGAATTTTAGTTATCTGGGTATCAACGTCTATTTTAGTAAATTTTTTTTGGTTTTTGTTTTTTGTTGTTTTTTTTTTTGAGACAGAGTCTCACTCTGTCAACCAGGCTAGAGTGCAGTGACACAATGTCAGCTCACTGCAACCTCTGCCTCCGGGGTTCAAGCGATTCTCCCGTCTCAGCCTCCCAAGTAGCTGGGACTACAGGCATGAGCCACCACACTTGGCTAGTCTTTTGTATTTTCAGTAGAGACGGGGTTTCGCCATGTTGACCAGACTGGTCTCGTGTCAAATTCCTGACCTCAGGTGATCCACCAAACTCAGCCTCCCAAAGTGCTGGGATTACAGGCTTGAGCCACCGCACCCAGCCTATTTTAGTAATTTTTAAAGAATAATTGTTTAACTAATGACGTTATTAAGTCTGAGGAATCAGTGTTGAGGATTTTTGTTTTTGTTGTTCTTTTTAAGTAGTTCTTATAGTCACACTTGAAATATAGCAAATGGATATTTTGACCAGGAATTCCAAGCTTGTGGATGTAGGAGATAGTATGTCAACAACCAGTTCAACTTTATTTAAACCAATAAAATATGATATCTGTGTTTTTCAAGTTCAGTTTTATTTATTTTTTGTTTATGCTTCTATGGGGATTAGCTCATTATGATTACTTGTTGATGAGTTAAGCATCCCCCCACCTCCTGTTCTACACATCAATCACATACATATTAAGGAAAAAAAAAAATGTGATAACCAAATTTTGTAAATACATCATATTCTATTCACACACTCTTTTTTTTTTTTTTTTTTTTTTTTTTTGAGAACGGAGTCTCTCTGTGTCGCCCAGGCTGGAGTGCAGTGGCACAATCTTGGCTCACTGCAATCTCCGCCTCCCGGGTTCATGCCATTCTCTTGCCTCAGCCTCCCGAGTAGCTGGGACTACAGGCTCCCACCACCATGCCCGGCTAATTTTTTGTATTTTTTTTTTTTAGTAGAGATGGGGTTTCACCATGTTAGCCAGGATGGTCTCGATCTCCTGACCTCATGATCCACCCGCCTCGGCCTCCCAAAGTGCTGGGATTACAGGCGTGAGACACCGCACCTGGCCCATATTCACACATCCTAAAGTTGGATTGGGAACAATTTTACCTTCATTTTCAAGTAACCATATTAGTGTGCTAAAGGCTCTATTTTAGTACGATCTAGGACCAGGTATTTCTGAGAAGCGCCACTTACTAGAAAATCCCCATGGAGTATCTGGTTGTCCTCTTTTTCATGCTTGGATACACAGTCATGTTTGCTTGAAAAGATGCAAGGCCAACATAGGAATCATTTATCTCTAGATTTCATCTGAAGCTCCTCTTGTTGGGGCTCCGGGACTTGTGCCTCCTGGGCTGAGTTGCTAAGGCTATGAACAAAAGTGTCTTTTTATACTGCTGAACTGGATTGTTTCCGCTGCAATTACTTTAAAGGGAGGACAATTTCACTTCCAGTGAACTACAGGGGCTAGATGATATGAGTCAGAAAATTGGATGTAAAATGCACACCATTTTATGTCCCCAAGGACCACATGCTCCTCTAAAATTTTCTGTCTTGGAATCTTTATTGTCTAATTTGCTAAGTGTATATCATGGGTATTTTAACTAAGTCATAGCCTATTAACTGACAATAGAAGAGTTTATATTTTAAGAATTTGAAAGACTTTACACAGTTTCATTTAGGTTTGTAGTTCAGTTAAATCAGGTTTTCTCAGCTGTGGGAGTACTGACATTTTGGGTGGATAGTTCTTTGCGTTGGTTGGGGGCAGGGGGCTATCCTATATGTTGTAGGATGTTTAACAGCATCCCTGGCCTCTACCCACCAGACGTCTGCAACTCTTTCCCTCTATCTCCAGTCAGAACAATCACAAATATCTCCAGACACTGTTACCTGACGCTGGGGAGTCGGAAAGCTAAACCGTCCCTAGCCGAGAACTACTGAGTTAGAAAACGGTAGCAGTAAGTAGCAATGTGTTTGCAGTGTTTGTGACTTCAAGTTTGGAAATAAAGTCTTAATTTAAAGACCAAAAAAAATTACATTTTGGAAAACTTGTGTTAAAGCCTTCACAGTGAAGGTGAGCTATAAAATGCATTGGCATTTATATTAAATGGATGTATTAAAATAGTCCGATGTTACAAATTTCCCAAGTCCCCAATATCTCTTTTCAAGCACGGATGACATAAAATCATAAGTTGCACATATGTGTCAAATTCACTTACTTTTGTGATTTAATTTTGCCATAAAATATTTACTTTTCCTTTATAGACAAGTTTATTCTTCTGGCTGTTGGATATTTGTATTTTATGCTGAACTCAATGGATTATAATAGAGCAGCTATTTGTGGAATCGTGTGAAAATATTCATGGCATTTTATTTTAGAATCACACATCTTCGTATTTAGTGCTGCAATTTTATGCAATTCACTTATGAAATGAATATGTTTTTCCTGTTTTTTAAAACTCATTTTCGTCCTTCTAAGTACCTCAGCAGGAGGTCTTTAATAGCTGTAATGTACTATTTTTCTGTTTGACTTTGCTTGTCTCTCTACAGAAGGCTAGTAACTAGTCATCTAATGCTACCTCCTCTTCTCTCTATTGTGTGGTATGTGAAGTCAGACTGATTTTTCTTAGATTTAAAATGGAGGATAGAATTATTCTCTTGAGACAGTAACTCTAAATTTTTTTCATTCATATGAGGACTATTTAAGACTCAAGGATATGAATGAAAGGAAGTAGCATGATTTGTTACAGGGTAATTTTTTATTAGGAAGTAAAACATTTTAAACAATAACATTTACATCACATAATTTAATATTTATACTCCCAGATAAATAAACCTCAGGTAATTCAGAAGTAGTAAGGAATGTTTCCACAATTTCAAAAAGTATTTGTTATTGTAACATAATTATATGTAAAATATAAACATTTTAGTTTGTTCTTTTTAATAACCACTTATTAAAATGTTAAGGAGATCTGGTATTAAAATAAAACATTTATTATACTGAAAATCCAGCTGAAAATGGTCACTTCTTCCTTTGGAAAGCATTGTTTACACAATTGTAAATAACATAATGACAGTCTAAAATAGCCTTTGCAACTAGAAATGTAATCCATCTTTCTCCCATCTTTGCGAAGGTGACTTTCACCACTGTATTTAGACACAGACTAGCTAGGTACTGCAAGGGATTACATGTATGTATGTATGTATGTATGTATGTATGTATTTAGAGATAGAGTTTCACTCTTGTTGCCCAGTCTGGAGTGCAAAACTAAACAAAGTACACACCCAAGAAAATAACATGATTTTTAATTCCTCTTTAGCTTGAAAGAGTAGTAGTAACTTCATTCTTTCTGTATGCGTATAAAGCTCAACAGAGAAGTCTGTTCTAGGACCAGGAGTCATGAGACACAGTGGTGAGGTGGCTAACTTTGAAGCCCATGACCCAGGGAGGCATCAAACCATAAGAGATTGGAGTGGGATGGTTTCTGGGGAAGCACTGCTGGCCAGTTTTGGGAGTAGGGGTAACCAGGAATTTTCAAAGTTTTCTGTTTATTTTCAGCACACTTTAAAATACTACTAGTTTTCATGTAATACCCGAAGGGATTAGCAGACACGAGCAAAACTAACCCGGTGCCCAGGGATGACAGCACACTCACTTACCTTATGTAAGCTCTTAAAGCACCCATAAGGCACCCTAAATACACCATTCTGTTACTTGCCTTTCAGCGCTCAGCAGTTTCAGTGGAACTGTTTCCTGCCTTCTAAATGTTCTGTCATTGACGCCCATGACAAAATTCATGAACGCCCCAGGAGACACGGTCATTCCCAGCCTCATGCCCCTGAGCTCCCAGCCCACAGCATCAACTCCAGGCTGGCCTCATGAGTTACTCAGCTGAACGCTTGCAGATACTGTTCTGTATCAGGTGAGCAATGATATTTGCTCGCCCACTGAGCCCTGTGAAGAGGCTCCAAGCCCTTCATCTCATCAAGGGGCAGTGAACATGGATCAGTCCATGGGACAGTGCTCCCTGCCCCATCCCTGCACGTGGCAGTCATTACCAATCCATTGGCACAACAGTCCCAGTGAGTGCTCGGACTTAGTCCTCCCTCACACATGGCAGACATTACCAATTAACACACTATTCCCAGTGAGTGCTCGGACTGAGTCCTCCCTCACACGTGGCAGACATTACCAACTAACACACTATTCTCAGTGAGTGCTTGGACTGAGTCCTTCATCAAATAGCCCATAGGAAGCCACTGCTAATTTATTAAGTTAGGACTATGGTTGAAAGCTTTATACCATCCTTATTCTGATTCTCTCTTTGTCACTGTGAAGTGGTGTCATCTTTGGCTAACTGCACCTATTGATCTTGACTTTTTCATCTGTAAAATAAAAAGGGACTTATTTTTCAATTCTACCATAATTAGCCTGACTGAAAGAAGGAAGGTGGAATATATAAAATCTGATACTTTTTCCAATTTATTATTCTATCATGAAAAACATATGATATTAGGTTGCCTGCAAGAATTTGAACACTTCACTTGCTTATTATGACTTATATGTTAGCAGGTTACTTTATTATAGTTATTGAGAAACATTTATAACAATTCTATTTACAAAAGAAACCTAGATTATTACCCAGAAATTATTTTTCAGTGGTGATCAAGAATTCTGTAAGTTAAAGTCAAGTAACAGTACAATAAAATGTCTTTTTTCTTAAAGAACACCTTTTTTCCAGCATTTTTTCTAAAAAGTTTCATGTCTTTGTAATTAACTATAGGTTCCAATTAAACCATTTTTAGCACTCAGTATTCACATGAGAACAATTCGACCCAAATTCACTTAACATATGGAGCTGCGGCTGTTACAGAAAAACGAGCTGAAGAAATCTCTGATGTTCTCCCAAGTCCCAGGTGTAGTCACTAAAACACCAAACTGAGGGTTTCAGTCAGCTTCCAGTGATACAGTATTAAAAGAACTACCATTGCTAGCAATTTGATTATGTAATAAACATTCTCTTTGGAAATGGCTAGATTTTTGGAGGAAGGGGCAGAACTGTACTTATGAGGCATGAGATCACAGTACTTAACAGCTATAGCCTCTGGAGACAGCTGTCTTGGTGAAGGCACTTGTGTGACCTTGTGTGACCTCGGGAGGTTATAGGACATCTTTATACCTTGCTTCTGCATGTGTGAAGAAGGGGTTGCCCTAGGGCACCATGTGCTTGTGTGGCTAACTTGGCTACTATATGCACAATGCTGGGGATGCTGTCTGTTAACTAGTATTGGTCCACTACATGTAAACCATGATCCTTAACAAAGAAAAGTGTTCCAGGTTGTCAGGTGTCCCTGCTGTGAACAAATGCTCAGGAAGCAGCTACAGCGTTCAGAGTTGTTGCCTGTCAGATATGATGAGGTCACAAGCTGGTTCAACAGTGGCCTTGGGGTCAGAAAACAAGACTGTGCTGTCAGGGATTTGGACATCCTGAAGCAGGTCAGTGATGATGAAGCCCATCAACCTTCCGTTCCCCTTGAGGATTTTAGGCTCTCAGCCCCAGAGCCTCCCACAGTGCTGAGGACTGGGAGCCAAGGAGATGCCGGCTTTTGGAGACCTGCTTTTGTGTTTCTGGGCTCTCTCAGGTGAGGTCTTCGCTTCCTCACTCACCAGTCAGGAGTGTGCAAAATGGGCCTGTCTCATCTGTCCATGACAGGGCTTGGCACCTCCTCCAAAGTACCACTGAGTTCATGGCACCATCGCCAGGCACCATTCAGGACCACTCTAATGATGCCTGGTCTCTGGGACAAGTCCTTCACTGCTGCGATTGTCTTCAGGTCCAGGGCCTTCTCCTGAGTTCTGCGTTGTCAGGTGAAAGTGGAGATCTTGGCTTATAAGTGGGGACCCAAACCTTGGCCACCCCAATACTCAGGCTACACACCAGACCAATGAAAATTAGAATATCTGGCATTGAACCAGCACATCAGGATTATTTTAACTTCTCAGGTTTATCTGAAGAGCAGTCATGGCTGAAGACCACTTCTGCTCCCCCAGGTGTGATCCCAGGCCCCTGTCACCTGGGAGCTTGTTAGACCTGCAGACTCTCAGGCCCATCCCACGATACTGAATCAGAATCCACATTTTCATAGGCTCCTCTGATGATTTGTAGGCATATTAAGGTTTGAGAAACTGTGGTTTAGAAATTACACTGTAATTTAATAGTTCTTGGCCTGCCCTCACATTCAATCATTCCGCAGTGTTAAAAACAAATTTCTGGCTTTCCCATCAGCTTTGATGGGCCTGGAGTGAAGTATGGCATAGATTTCAAAATGCTCCTCCCAAGGCTAAGTAAGAACCACTACAACTAAACTGTGCTACGTCTTTGTACTTTACATCCTTATAAACAGGTATGATTAGTAAGATTGCATTTAGAAAACAACAGGTTCAAAAAGAAACTTTGAAAACACAAAGAAATATTTTTTACCTTAGACTTCAACCAAGGGCTTCATTTCAAGCCTCAGAGCTGTCTCTTTCTACATTTTAAATCGTGATTAATTACTACCTCACTCAATAATTTATGCTGGACAATACTTAATGAGTTCTGACTTTTGGCTACAATATATACTTTTAGGGAAATGTATCACATAGTTTTTATTTTTCCTGTGCCAAGTAATGATATTGATAGGTTCCCTAATTTGAGGCTCTAAAATAAATGTTTCTTTTACCTAACAGGAAAATAAATTCACTTAAAATTCTGGTTTATTCAGTACAACCCTAAAGAGAAATTGCACCGGACAGGGTTAAATAGGTAAAGAAGACTTTATTCAAGACTGCTACAATTGACCTAGTACAGTGGCTTCAGCTTACAATATCATCTACGCAGGAGGCTGAGGCAGGAGGATCCTTTGAGGTCAGAACTTTGAGACCAGCTTGAGCAATGTAGTGAGACTCTGTCTCTAACAAAATTAACAAGAAAAATATTTAACCAGGTGTGGTGATGCATGCACACCTGTAATCCCAGCTGCTAGGGAAGCTGAGCCAGGAGGATCCCTTGAGCCCAGGAGTTCAAGGCTGCAGTGAGCTGTGATAACACTGCTGCACTCCAGCCTGGGCAGCAGAGCAAGACTCCTTCTCTTAAAAAAAAAAAAGACTATTATAAGAGGGAAGAGAGAGATTGAACTGAACTCTGCTGAAACAAAAGATGGAGAGTTTCTTTTGTTAAATTTTTTGAGTCGGAGTCTTGCTTTGTCCCCCAGGCTGGAGTGCAATGGTGTGATCTCGGCTCACTGCAACCTAAGATGGAGAGTTTCTAAGCACTAGAGTGAGCCAGTAGACAGCTGTTGGGAACCTCATGGTCAATGTGATTAGGCCATCCATGTTTAATTGTAAGATAGGCCTGTACTGTCCCACAGAGACTGTGAGATCGGGCCCCCTCTTCCTTGATTATTACATTTCAAAGGGATGGCTCCTAGGTCTTTGAGAAAGACATTTCCGAGTTTTAAAGCTGGCAAAAAGCTTTCAAAGAGATTGACATATATTTTCAGGTAGGCAAAAAGGTCAACTTTCTGTGAGTGGTTTGATCTTTGGGCTCTTTTTTAGTTCCTGTTGGTGCACAGTAGTAATAGGTCCAGTCTAGGACTCGAGCCCTGACAGGAGACTTAGCCACCCTCCTCTGCTTCTCTTCTTTTTCCATGGAGAGCTGTCATTGGTGGTGGTCTGAGCTCTTTGGTACACTGGTGATGGACTGGTTACACAATTTAAATTCAGCTTAGCAGAAAGGAGAGACTATGTTTAGGCCTTAAAACTAAATTATATCCTCCATTTCTATTGGAACCAAGTATCAGGCACTTCAGTAATGAATGTTAAAGAGAAACTTTTCTATTTTCCATTTTTCTTCATGTATATCATTTTTGGGAACCATGCAGGAGGAAGACCTGATCCTTAGAAAGAAATTCTCACACTTCTAGGAGCATACATTTATTACTGTTCAATACATTTCAAACACTATAGTCACCATTTAATAAGAAACTAGATTGCAGTGTCAACTGAACAGTAAACTGAAGGGGAAATGAGTTAAGGAATTGGCCACAGTGAGTTTAGTCTCTTCTCCCCAGAAGCCCAGCTGGGAGCAAGAGCAATTAGCCTCTTTCAAATGTTCCCTCTAAGGACACCAGTGACTTTTATTTGATTCACTTCATCATGATTATCAGTCATTTTACTTCACCTACTGTTGACTAACTGCTACCCCTTCTCTATATTTTGGGGACTCACCCACATCTTCAAATATAGGAATTTGAAAACCTTCTACATCCCTTTCTTTCTATAGTACCAGCATCCGATCAATTACCCAACGCTGATGACTTCTTATTAAAATTACGTGACACATAATATCCTATCCTCCCCTTTTCATCTTCACTAGCACCAGCTTAAACTACGCCTGCCTTTTCTCTATCCTGAGCCATCCATCAGCCTCCTAAATGGCTCCATGTCCCACTCTCTCATTGATGTGTCTCACATTATCCACAGACCAATTCTCCTAATGTAAGAACAGTTTTACAAGATGTAGCCTAAAGGGAAACTTGGGGAGGGGGTAAAAGGCACATGGGATCTCTTCATATTATTTCTTTTTTTATTTTAATTATACTTTAAGTTCTGGGATACGTGTGCAGAACGTGCAGGTTTGTTACATAACTATACACGTGCCATGGCGGTTTGCTGCACCCATCAATCCATCATCTACATTAGGTATTTGCCCCATTGCTCTCCCTCCCCTAGCCTCCCCACTACAGACCCTGGTGTGTGATGTTGCCCTCCCTGTGTCCATGTGTTTTCATTGTTCAACTCCCACTTATGAGTGAGAACATGAGGTGTTTGGTTTTCTGTTCCTGTGTTAGTTTGCTGAGAATGATGGTTTCCAGCTTCATCCATGTCCCTGCAAAGGACGTGAATTCTCAAAATTAAATGTGAATCAACAATTATCTAAAAATTAAAAAGTTTAACTGAAAAAACCCCAGCAACCCCCCTTTTCTTGTCAGATTATAAAATATTTTCCTGAGTTTGCACATCCTTTTCTAAACTGGTCTCTTGCCTTTTGTCCAGCCTCACTTCCTGGTACATGTTGTCATCATACTTTTTATTTAGCCATATGGAACTACTTATAGATACCAGAATCTTCCACTTTCTCTCACACTATTGTCTTTGTAGATGATGTTCCCTTTGGTCTGGGTGTCCTCTGCAACCTGTTAAGTGAAAAGCTCCTTTTTATTCCACAAATCTCTTCTTAGTTGCTGCTTTCATGAGGCCTTTCTAGATGGCCCCAAGCTAACCACAATGTTTCACATTTAAAAGTGCATAGCAATTGGTATATACCCTGCTTGGGCAAATGCTTATTATACACTAACGGGTTTTTGCATATCTCCCTACTTACTAGACTGTAGGCCCCTGGTTCAAAAGGGGTTCCCATGCGGCCTACAGTCTAGAAAGTAGGGAGATATTAAAAAACCATTTAGTATATAATAAGCATTTGCCCCAAACAGAGGTGTATACTCGTTGCTATACAGTTTTAAAGCTGAAAATTTTAGGAGTCTATTTATCTCTGTATTTCTAGTTGCTGAGATAAAATGGATCTCAATAAGTATTTGTTACATAAATGCATGAATCCTTTCTCTTGCTTTGACTGACAGACGCAATTTAAAATGTATTAATGTCCCCAAATGTCACTGAAATATTTATTATAATATTTCTGATGCTTCTTGTCCACTCTGAGAATTATGTGAAAGTTTGGGAAAAAGAAACAATCTTTTGTGCTTAAGATGAAAACTTATTGAAGATTAAAAGGTTGAAAAAATATTATACAATCAGACTGCATCTTTCATTCTAAACACCTAAGTCAAATAAATAAGTAATTAAACCATTTTCATGAATATTTTATTGAAAAAGATGAAAACCATATGCTTTTTAGAGTTTCCATCTTTCACTTAGCTGAAAAATTTTCATATGGAATAATGAAAAGTAAACCAATTTATTTGTAAGTTGTACAAGAGTTAGTGATCAAGGTATTGAGAATTAAATACAAAGAGTGGCAGACAGGCGCGGTGGCTCACACCTGTAATCCCAGCACTTTGGGAGGCCGAGGTGGGCGGATCACGAGGTCAGGAGATAGAGACCATCCTGGCTAACACGGTGAAATCCCGTCTCTACTAAAAATACAAAAAATTAGCCAGGCTTGGTGGGGGGCGCCTGTAGTCCCAGCTGCTAGGGAGGCTGAGGCAGGAGAATGGCGTGAACCCAGGAGGCGGAGCTTGCAGTGAACCGAGATCTTGCCACTGCACTCCAGCCTGGGCCACAGAGCGAGACTCTGTCTCAAAAAAAAAAAAAAAAAAAAAAAAAAAAGTGGCTATGCAAATTACCTTAAAGCATATTTAAGGCATTTAGCAGTATTAAGGAATGTAAGAATATAAGATTTTCACCGTGGATGAAAAAGGACGTGGCCTCTGAATGTGGATATTCAGTTAGTGACTCCAGGAGATGGGCATGGCATGTGGACCAAAGCCTTGAAGCCCACCCATCACCCAACTCCCCTTGTTGTAATGGCTTCCGTGAGACCTCATCTATGACGAAAGGCTGACAACTGGGGAGCCCAGGCATCTCATCCACTTAGTAGGCGTATTTTCATGAAAGTTTGAATTTCAACATTGTTTGTATGCTGGACCATGACGACTTCTCGGTGCAATAATAATAACATTAATGAGCCTACAAAAATGAAAACCACACCTGGAATTAGATGATTACACCAGCTTAACACCACCCTTACATCACACTTTCTGAGTGTTCAAAAAAGCTTGATTTCTTATCACAAAACTTTTCACAATTCTGATGAGCAGATAACTAATGTGAGGTTTCTACTGAGCAACTAAAATAATGAAAGTGAAATTGAGCAGCTTAAATTAAATCAAATTTTTCCCATCACTTTTACTCATTACCATATTGTCCACATACCAGGATATATGATTACAGTTGTTTTCTTCTTTTTCTTCTTAACTTGGACATTTAGAATGAATTATATCATGCATTAAATTGATATTTTACAACTGAATACTTTGGCTTTTAGAACACATAATTTAATTCAAATTAGTTTATATACAATAATGGCTTTATTTAAACTAATGAAACCCTTATATATGTTTTTAATATAACTTAAAGCCAAACATAATAGCCTAATTTTGTCAGGTTATTACAATAAGTCATTAAAACGAATATAAATGTAACACATTCTTTTTAAACATTATAACTAATTCCTTACAGGATATATCTGAGTGATAAACAATTTGATGTATTCCCTATTTATATAAGAGTAATTTCTTATAAACTATTAAAATTATTGGTGGATGTTATTTGCAAGAATGAATTAACTTCTTCTGAGGACAGTGGCATACATATATCTTTAAAAGATGCCTGATTGACAAAACTTCATGAAATTATGTTTGATGGAAGAAATTATTTATTAATGTACATACTATATGTATAATACACACACACACACACAACACACACACACACACACATCCCTGCGCCATCAGTTCAATGAAGCATGGTGGGTGGATGGTGCTGAGTGTTGGATAATTAGAATAGCTGGTGATCTGAAAAATTAAAACAGATTGTCGTCAGCTGAGCTACATGTTTTTATTTGCATGCTAGTTAAAAGAAAAACTAGTCAAAATGTCTCGTAAAATAATCTGGAAAGTGTTTTGGGAGCTTGATATTCTGAGATAGATTAAGGATTTATTAAAATACTGAAAAAGTTAAAATTGCTATTCAATATTGCAAAAGATGAAAAATGACTATTGGATAATTGTAAAATAGGCATAATATTGACCCTTTCATATATCTGTAGCTTTTTTCAAACTCTTTAATGCATCTGAGTCAGTTTCCTCATCTTTAAAATGGGATAATCAAACTTCAACACCAGAGACAGGCCTCACTTTCAGGGACTCTCCCCACTTGGCAGAGAAAATCTCTCCATCCCATGTTCTGTATCTTTTGGATTTCTATTATTACACTTAATATTATTAATATTATGCCCACTCAACACACACACATACACACACACACACACACACCAAACCCCTCCCCCCCCACACACACATAGGCACACACTGAATTTAAGTGTTTTCAAGGAAAGTGTATTTATTGCATTAAACAAGGAGACTAAACATATTTTTGATATCATCCAGTCTCTTTCTGAATAATAAGTATTGGTTCCTTAGGAAAATTACGTATATTAAGTGAAATCCTTGACGCAAATGTATCAAATGATGCTTGACACAATTTAGTGCTCCGTAAATTTAGTGTTTCTATTTTAGTTTCCAAATGGTGCAAAATAACCAAATCTCAGATTCACAAGATTTCAGGCTATGCAAAATTCTCCAAGCCAGACTCAGAGGCATTATGGGCATAAAAAAGTGAAATGCAAAAATGTGAGAAGGAGGAGAAGCAGAGCTTCAGACTCCATGGGAGTTTATGGATGTGTCAGTCCGCAAGGTAGTGCTTGGCCCAGAGAAAGTGTTAAATTCATTTCACGAATATCACCAGCATCATCATCGCCCGCCTCATCTTCACCGTTGTCTGGTCTGTAACCACCATTAACCTACCAATAGATACCTATGAAAGACACAGAAAAGTAAACACCCTTTATCACCATGGAGAACTGAGCTGTCAACTCAGAGACAGAATCTGGGAAGAATTAATTTTAATTATAGGGTCTGTGGTGGGGGCTGGAGAAAAACTAAGAAGACATGTTGGCTTCTCTTCAGGAATCAGACAATATCTGAGAAAAGGTAGGAAGATATTTTCTGTTATTTGCAACATTTATTTGTGACTCAGACACCTGACAAGGAGATAATTAAGTGTTTTTTTCAGGCCCAGCAATAAAGTCAGAGATAATGTAAATCTTTAAAAATAATGCAGAAAATTTAGAGCCCAACTGGCAGTGTTACGGTGCACTCTGAGGGATGTAGGACCCCCAAATAACATCTGCAAGGCACAGACAGGCAAAATCTTGGTAACAGTGATGGCTGTGAATCTCTGTTTGCTTGTTCTCCTATCTATTCCCCGTGCCAGTGGGTGTGGAGGGCTGTGTGGGTTGTGAGGCAAGAAGACACTGTGAGAGAAAATCATAGCCTGTTGCATGTTGGACCTGGGAATCAGACTGAGGGCTTTGCACACCAATCTGCTTTTCAGCAGCAGATATGAGAAGACTCAACCATGATTAGGCAGAACATCAGGGCCAAAAACTAATTTTTTATCCTAACATATGTCAAACATTATGCCTTGTTCAAGGCTGAGTTCTGAAATCTCCTGCACGCACATACACACACACAGCAAATGGGATCTAGAAAGAAGTACTACAGTGTAAGTGCAGACAACATAGAAGAGTAAATTTATGATGAATATACAAATGTTCTGACTTTTGCTCCAGAGATTACAAACTTTTATACACGAGTCAAAGGATATTGTCAAGGACTGAATGATAATTGGCACTGCAGGAAATGATGGCAACCTGGAGTCCACCTACTCTGTTTTAAAGTGAAACTGGAAACCAGCCCCACTGCTTGTTGCTGGGTGGGAAAATGATCCCAGTACCAGTCAGTCAAATTTTTTAAGTAACGCTGAATCTCTAAATTTTTATGGGTACCATCCCAATATTTGTAGCATTGTGTGTGCCAAACCAAACATGTCTGTGGGCCCTATGTGCCCCAGGAGAGCCAATATGTTACCTCCTTGGTGCACTGAATGAGAACGCATTAAATAGTGAAGTCTGCAAATGTTAGAAACACAAAGGTTTAATTACCATAAATGTAATATTTTACACTGGCACTTTGTCAGATCCGGTAATACAGTTTTAATAAAGTCGGAGCTAGAGTTGGCTCAAAGTGGTCAGGTTATATGAAATCTTCCAGGTGTAAGCCGGAAGGAGGCAAAATACAAATAAGTAAACAAAAAAGTAACAGAACTATACATTTAAGAAATTAGGGCACGATCAAGTTTATTTTGGAAATGCAAGTTTAGCTCATCACCAGGACATCATAAGTGATATAAAATAAACTTTTTGACAGCAAAAAAAGCAGGTAGTAAAATTCCATATTCATTCTTTTTTTTTGAATATTAAGTAGGAATGATGCTTTTAAGGATACTATCATAAGAATGAAAAGAAAATCCATGGAATGCAAGAAAATATTTGCAAGTGATATATCAGATAAAAACCCAGAATGTACATGGAATCTTACAACTCAACGACATAATGAAAAATAACCCAATAAAAACGTGGCCAAATAATTTGAGTAGGCATTTCTCCAAAGGAGATATACAAGTGGTGAATAAGTATTTGATGACTTAAATTAGTCGTCAAATAAATGCAATCCAAACCATAATGAGATACCACTTCATACCCACTAGGATGGATGAAATTAAAAAGGCAGCCAACAAAAAGTGTTAGAAGAAAGGGCAAAAATGGAAACCCTCATATATTGCTGGTGGGAATGTAGAATTCAGCCACTTTGGTAAACAGTTTGGTAGTTTCTCGAAAAGTTAAACAATAAGTTACTATATGACCCAGAAATTCTACTTCTAGGTATATACCCAAGAAAATCGAAAAACTTTGTTTACCCAAAACGTATACACAAATGTTCATAGCAGCAATATTCATAATAGCAGTATTCATAAACCCAAATGTTCATCAATAAATGAATGAATAAATAAAATATGGTATATACATACAAGGCAATATTTTTCAACCATAAAAAGAAACAGAAGTGCTGATACCTGCTATAACATGGATGAACTTTGAAAAAAATTATACTAAGCGAAAGAAGCCATACAAAAAATCAGTTACTTATTGCACGATTCCATTTACATGAATCTGGATATAAAATATTCAGAATAGGTAAATTCATAGAGATAAGAATGGGATTGGTGATTCCTGGGGGCTAGAGGGGAGACGAATGGGGAGTGACTGTTAAGGGGATAGAGTTCCTTTTTGGTGTGATGGCAATGTTCTAAACTTAGATCGTGGTAATTTTTGCACAACTATGAATGTACTAAAGCCAACAGAACTGTACACTTTAAAACGATGCATTTTGTGTATGTAAATCATATCTCAAAAACAAATTACAAAAAAAAATTAGGAACAGAAAGATTCTTCTGAAATGGTACAGACTCACAATAGGTTTTCATTTTCTTCTCTTACCAAGCCCCCACTAAAATGATAGAAGAAGGAAAATAACACAGATAAGGTGTTACAGGTGTGGCCCACAAACCGTACTGATGATAGACATGATTTTTTAAATGAGAAGATCATCTCCTAATGTCACGCACTCCCCCACATTGCAAACCCTGGAGGTCCTGGCAGTAGTGGCCCACATTCTCACGTGGATGCTGTGGCTGGGGCTTAGTGGGCTGTGTGGCAGCCACGCCTTCAGGTGGAAGCCTGTGCTCTCTAGCGCACTTCAGTCCCTTTCAATTCCTAGGCTGGTCACCCAGTCCATGTCACTCATTAGCTTTACTTGCTTTGTCACATATGTTTATGACTTCTGGCATGAAAGCACAATCCTAGAATGAGTGAGAAGCATGTCTGACAAGAGTAAGCAGCAATTTCTGGAAGTCTGGATGTGGTTAGAGGAGATGTACCTAGTGAAGTGGAGATGAGGAAGCTGCAGTCCAGAGCAGCAGCTCTCAGAATTGTTCATTCTTTAGAAACAAACACACGAAAATCACCTTTTAAAATCTCACTTGGAGGCACCACCCCCAGAGATCAGAATTCAGTTAGGTCCAGGATAGGGTCAGAGAATGTGGATTTCTATCAGCCTCCTCCATGAGGCAGATGCTTGACCTGCAGAACACACATGGACCAATGCAGGTGTAGAGTATGTAGGAGGTGGTCATGGCAGACGAGGGAGACAGCCGCAGAACCCCAAGAGAACACTGGGCCTGAAAACCAGCATTTACAAAAGAGTGCTGGAGAGAGGCTTGAAGCAGAAGACGGGAGGAGTGAATGTTGGGAAGTTGTTTTTAGATGAGCTAACACAATCCTCCCATATCTCCCGGCACCAAAGTGCCCACCCACCAGGCAAAAAATTGCATGGGTCTTTCCTCTAGAACTTTGATCTGGACCAAGATGCTCACATGACAGCCCTCCAAGTTACTTTCCTACTTCCTGAATCATTACCCTAAAATAAGGCTGCTAGTTGACAAGACTTGACCATACAAACAGAGCTTACAGGCAGCTTTTATTTTTTCCATCTCAAACATAACTGAACCATTGAGACCTCCTTATATTTAGTGACATCCTTGTGATGTAAAAGATACAAAGATTAACAACTAGAACAACTGATCACAGAAGCATCCAAAGATAGATGAAACTCAAAGGGTAAAACGGTGTCTACTGAGATATTCAAGAAAACAGTTCATCCATAAAATAGGAACAAGATACTTAAAAAAATGAAAGCAAAAAATACACTCAGACAATTAAAACCATGATTTAAGAAATTTTAGAATATTTAATCACTGGTAGGAATTTAAAAATCAAAGAAATAGCCTAGAAAGTGGAACAAGAATCAATGGGAATGAAAAATATGAGTGGAAACAAGAGATATGCAAGATTATTCCAAGAAATTGAAATTCAACTATTTCTAACTAATAAAAATTATTGAAAGAAAGAATGGAGAAAGTGGATGGGGAAATGGTCAAAAAATCTAACAAAATTATTTTCCTAGAGTCAATGGCCAGGGGTCTATAGATGAAATAAGCTTAACAAATCTCCAGCGAAATGATTGAGAACAGATGCGTGGTAAGTATGCCATTGTAATAATTGAGAACAACAAATATAAAGAGAAGTTCCTAAAATTTCCAGAATAATAATCACCACAAAAGGATAAGAATCAGAAAGGCATCAGACCCTCCAGAAATCACAAGAAGAACTGCAAGTCAGAGGATTTATGTCTATAGAATTTTAAGTCATACAATTTTTAACTTAGAATTTTGTTGCAGCAAGACTTTCGGTGAAGTAAAAATAAATAAAAAATTTGGATTACAAGGAATCAGAAAATTTATTTCTACTTATCTTTTTGTTATGGTGTTCTCTATGAAAATAAATGATAGTTCCAAAAAATGGAATCGATAATTGAATTCAAGCACGAGTAAAACATCTTAGAGTAATAATGTAGGAACATAAAACAAAAACAGATGGGGAGTAGACACAGATACTTTAGAAAGTAGCGGGAGCACAGAACACTCCAGCAGAAAGTTAGAGTGAAAAAGGGCAATGTGAGGTGAGATTTTTGACACTGTATTTGGAATATCTAATAAACAGTAAAGGCAGATGATACCAGGGAGAAAAAGTAACCAAGCTTGGAAGATATCATAGTTATAGAAATAAAGATTGTTTTGGAGAAACAAACAATTGTATACACAGTAACTAAAGATGAAAACTCTCTTCATAGATAGATGATGATACATAGATAGACAGATGAAAGATAGACAAACAGATGATACATACAAACAGATGATAGATGTAGATAGATAGGTGAATAGATAGATAGATAGATACATAGATACATAGATAAAATAGACAAACAGATGACAGATAAATAGACAAGCAGACAAACGGGTGATAGGTAGACAAACTGATCATTGATAAATAGATAAATAGACAAACATGATAGACGACAGATAGATAATAGATAGATGATAGATAAATAGATGATAGATACATGATAGATAGACAGACAGAAAAATAGATTTCTTAAATAATATTCAGATCTGCAATTCTACAACTTGGGATTTTTTTCTGCAGAGACATAATTTCCAACTTTGTAATGCCATTCAATTTACTGAGCTAAGTATTGAATTGTAGATTGTCAGCAGTAAGGTATTTTTGAAGGAAAAGGTTATCATATAGAAAGTGAATTGTCCTTTCTTTAAGAGACCTTGTTTTTCTTTAGTTTTATATTTCTCATCTTTCCAGATAATGAGAAATTTTGTCCATAACATTTTTGATTTTTATGACATCACCAGATTTTTTTCACTGCCTCTTCTCAGGAGACCAGCTAGCCAATTTAACAATGTGAAAACCCAACTTCTAGTTGAAAGGTATTCATACAGCTTCAGTCATATAATAAAAGGTCATGGTTTAAAATGTTGGTTACTACCAATTTGGTCAGTTCAATAGAACAATGGTAGAACTGACTTTAAAAATATCCTGTTGTTAAATTGCTTAGCACTGTGATGAGCAGTAACCTCATTGTATTACTGATTTCTCATATCTAAATTTTACATTAATGTCACGTTTTCTTAGTCATAGAAAAGTTTAGATCAGTTGAGCTTTATGTTTAGGATGCATGCATACCACATTTGTGTGTACAGCATCAAAGAAGAAGAATTATAATAATTCAAAGATATTAAATACACATTCAAATGGCTAAGGAGTTGAGTTTTCAGTAATCAGAAAATCTGGGATGAAATTTGCCTAATTGGTAGTCATTTGTTTATACTTGTAAAAAAATATTGTAAATATAAAGTGACATGCATTAGAGTCAGAAAGAAGATCTGGCCAAGAATATACTGATGCAATTTTAGTAAAGTAATTTTTTAGAATTTCTTCTGTTTCTCTTCCAACTAGAGTTACACACACACACACACACACACACACACACACACACACGTGTTTTCATGTTTAGGAGCTTTGTGAGGTCACACTATGCATATTATTCTATAATTTTAGGTAAATTCAGCAGTGACAAACACACCAACACTATAAAAACAAGGCCCCATAACACCTGCCTCATCCTAGAATCTTACAAAATATCACATTGTCCAACAGAAATGCCACCAGTTTGTAACCTCTGCTATATAATGAGAGATCAAGTTTGACTCTATAAAAATTTACAACCTGTCTATAGAAAGTACATGAGACAAAGTAAACAGACAGGTGAGATTTCTATATCTAACATATGGCCAATCAGAAAAGGTAAACAACCTTTCCACTAAAAAATGCTGAAAATGTGCTGGATAATAATTTCAAACATCTTCTTAAATGCATGACTGAAAAGATAAGTAAATAAGGAAAGTTCTTAATTATCAAAATTCGGCAAGAACAGAAATCCAGAAGTATAAGCCAGCATCGATCCTGCCAGCTGCCCAGGAGCCAGGAGGGAGGAGGGGCAGAGCCTCTGATGTTGGCAGGAGGGCAGATGAATGAAGGACTCTACAGGGAGCAGGACCCCAGAGGGCCAGTTGCTCAGGAAGGGTGGGTGTGGAGATGTCCACAACTGAGCACCTACTCACGAAGGGTCCTGACTTGCCCTGGGAAAAACTCATCCCAGACATTTCCCCCTGACTGCATCTGCAAGTACAGGTTGCTCCTCCCGTTGCAGTAGGGCCTGGATCCACACCACCTGTGTGCTTTTAAATTCGTTTTCCTGAGGAGCATACATTGAGCTCATTTTACGGAGGTTGATTTGGCAAAAGCAATTAAAATGAAAAATGTATCTTTGAGCCAGGAATTCCACTTCTAGATTTATCTATTCACATAGGTGCACACACAAGACAATGTCTTCAATGATGTTTTTAAAAGTGAAAAACAAAGAAAAGAAACAACTATATGCCCACCAATAAGGGTATATGACAATTATTTTAAACAGTAATAAATAATAAGCCACTAATAAAAAACAACTAAAATAATCAAAATAAAATATGACTGCAGCTATCATTGAACAATTTTTAACATCTTTGAATAGATCAAGATAAATGATGGAAGTCACTGTGTTCCTTGTCCCCCATTCCGATTTCTGTTATCTGAGAAAGATGCACTGAAAATTACACTCCATTTAGGAAGATAATTCTGGAGAAAACATGCCTGTAGCCTAAAAAAGTGGAAGTGAGGAATAAAACAGTACAAATAAGTAGAATGTTGAGGGCAGAAATCAACAAAATTCAATAGTTTTTATAAATGTAGCTGATATAAATCTCAATCCACAAACTCAGATCAGCAAGGTATATATATTTATAAAACTTGGGTATCCAAAAGTTTTGACTCTGAGCAGAAAATAGAAAATTCAACTTTGCTTATTTTCAGGCCCTGAAAGGTATGAACATCCAGGGCCGTACTGAATATCAGGCAGTGGGAAGCCATTCTCCTTGGACCGCCCAAACCACGGCGACCACACTTCTTTCAGGCCCACGTGTGCCCGTGCCATGCTAGCCTGCTGGGTGACACTGGGGACCTGCATTCTTGCCTCTGCAGGTGCACAGTTGGAATTTCCAATGGGAGTCTTGCTGCCTGAAGGAGCTCCCAGAATCACCTCAAGTCCCATAGCTCATTCAAGGAGGTCTAGAAGCAGCAGAGCCCCTCAGCCAAGAGACCCTGCTCTCAGGGCCCTGCTCTAATCCCCCACCTCCCCTTCTTGGTGTCCTAGGATTTACCCCCATCCCTTTCCTGGCTCCCAGGACTTTTCTCCTGCACAGACCCTCCAGAAAACCCAGGGTAATCTCTACAGGGGGTGTAGGCTTTTACAAAAGACAGGGAGAGACAGACTGCTTTCATCCCAGCCAAAAACCCCAGAGGAGTTGGGGGTGGAGGAGGGATTTCTAAAAGAATTACAAATCCTGGCTACTTGCTTGAAATGAGAAGGAGAAAATTCCGGGAAGTACAGAAACAATGTACTATTTCAGTAACGTATCTTGGCCACATAAAGAAAGAGGATTTAAGCATGTCCAAATTAAACCGTAATGAAAATGCTTACGGCAAGAAAGCATCAGAGAAAACAGAGACTTGTTGTCTAGTTTAAAATCAAATTTTAAATAAAGTTGTGACATCAAATTCAAAGAGAAAGGCAAACAGGTCTTTGGAAGCTATGAAAGCAAACGAACACAGACAGTTTAAAACCTGCAGCTTAGCAGTGTTGCTTCTCTGAATACAAAGGTGCCTGGTCCACGATCTCTGTTCTGAAGGGTCTGACACAGAAGACACAACACCCAAGAAAGGAGCACAGGAGTTCTCCAGTCTGCTTATTCAGCCCTCGGGGAAGCTGTCCTTGCAGCAGCTAGAGATGTCCTGGCTCTCACAGTGAGATCACTTGCTCAAACAGATCAAATTCACCAAGATGCCACTGCAAATAGACATCGTTCCCTTCAGAATCCTGGCTAAATAGAGAGCAGGTGGTAGTGGCTATCGTCTTCTAAATCAAGTTCATTTTCAAGAAGAGCAATCGTGTTTATCCTTGCATTTTCCCTACATTGTAAAATGTTAACTGGAATATATAAGATGATTTTCTTTCACATTTCACCATCCTGATTAACATTTGCTAGTAAACAAACCAACAAAATGTATAAATGCATTACTGGGAGATAATGAATGAAAATATCTCTTAGAGTTTTGTTGTGAGAAGAAACAGAAAACTGGGTTGGTTGTTGGAGATGGAAAAACTACAAGTACAGATTTGTGGTTTTTTGTTTGTTTTATTTTTGCCCCTTTGGGGGAGTTGATGTGTAAGCGAACGGGCATGATACCATAGAAGAGGAAATGATGAAGCAAAAGAGGGAGGCAAGAATTTCTAGTCCCATCTTTGAGGAGAGGAGAGGGAGTAATTCCCAGTGGGTTCCTGGAGTAGTTGGCCTTAGCCAGGATCACGTTGGTTCATGTAGGAACCGGAGGATGCAGAAGGTGAACACTGTTGCTGGACATTGACGGAGGACATCATGGGGTCCAAGAAGTCTTCTAATTTCTCTTTGTGAATGGCAAGCAAGAGCATCAGATGCCTCCCAGCACTTCCATAGATGCCATTGCTTCTCGTTTTGTGTGAGTTACTTCTGAAAAACTCCTTTCTCCTACATCTTTAACCTCTTTCTCTCCATTGACTTCTTCTCTTCCATTTAATGGCATTTTTTAAGTTTGCCCAATCTTAAACAATAACAACAATTCTCCAAATTTTCTCCACTTTGGCTACTGTCATTCAACAAATTCTTACTAAACAGCTGCTGTTTGCCAGATCCTGAGCTGATGCTAGGAATCAGAGACAAATACAAGGAGATTCTGTTCCTTGGGAGCACTAACCAGCTACAAGGCATGTCCTCTCTTTCTCCCTTCATAGAGAGGAATCCAAGGATAGTTGTTTATAATTTCTGTCTCCATTTTCTCACTTCTCATTCTATCTTCTGCTTATTGCAATTTGTTTCCTGCCTCAGGAATTCACTGAGATTCTTCTAGGGTCCAGTGATCTCAATGACAAATCAATCCCTGAGTCATTTTCATGCCATATTGAATGTTGTGTGCACACTCTATGGGAAACCTCAATGATTTCCACCTCCCAACATTCACATTCTTCTGTAACCCACTCCCTTAACTGCAGAAACTGTGACTTGCTTATAACCAACAGAATATGGCAATGGTGATGGGATGTCTCTCCCACAGTTATGTTAGAATATGTAAGACTCCATTTGGCAGACTGGAGTGAGAGATTCTCTTTGTTGGCTTGATAAAGTAAGCAGACATGGAGAGGAAGGCCACGAAACAAGAAACTGTGGGGTTCCTCTAGGACCTAACTAACAGTGGCTCCAGCCAACACTTACCAAAAAGTGGGGCCATTCAGTCATATAGACACAAGGAACAATTAGGCTGGTGTAAAAGGAATTGTGGTTTTGCCGTTACTTTTAAAAACCGCAATTCCTTTTGCACCAACCCAATGCATACCATGACCTGAATGAGTTCGGAAGTGAATCTTCCCTAGTCAAGCCTCCACATGAGAACACAGCCCAGCCAACACCTTGGTTGCAGCATCCTGAGATCCTGGGCAGAAGGCCCAGATAGGTGATACCCAGACTCCTGACCCATGGAAACTGTGAGAGAATGAATAGATGTTGTTTTAAGCTTCTCAGTTTGTGATAATTTGTTAGGCAGAATCAGAACATTACTGCATTGTATGAGTTAAGGAACATTTGTAACAGTTTACCATTTTCTCCCTCTAGAAAATTTCTTCATCCTTTTTTATCTGTATCATTTCTTTCTGATTTTACTGTTTATTCTGCAAAAATTTATTCCTACTCTGGTATGTGAGCTAATCTCCTCTCAGCTCACGTTCCCCTTAATGCTAATATTCCTCAGGGCTGCTCTCTCTGCACATGGTAGTGGCTTCTGGATTTGCATCTCTAACTCCAATTTCTTAAAATCCAAAGACACATATTTGTGATTTTTTAATGAACTCAACAATTCAACCTGAACATACCTAAACCATGATATACCTCCCGTACAACCTAACTAGAAATTAGACATCATCACTCAGTTTATCCCCCAGGCCAAATTTCCATAAGCAACCCTCTAGATCACTCCCTCTCTCTAATGTGCCTCATCCAAAAATTCTGATTAGCCATGAGTCAGTTGATTTTAAGGTGTAAGTGTCTCCATATCTTTCCCTCCTCCCTATCTCTACTGATAATATCTTGGTGTGGAAAGTCATTCTTTACTGGACTATTTCAACAGCACCATAATGGGTCACAATATTCTCGGCTTGTTCCCAGTCAATAGTCAGCCCAGTATTTCTTGAGCATATACCATGTGATGCGGTCAGAGCTGAGAGTAGCTATGGAGTACAAGACACATCTGATGACACCTTTATGGAGCTCACTTCTCTACCATCCAAAGATGCTTATTGCTCATCAGGGAACTATAGTCTCACCTCTAAGCAGTGCTACCCAAGATGCTGGTCTAAAAGAGATGAGGAGCTTGAGTCAGGTTGTAAATTAATGCATTACTATCTTCTTCAACAAAGTGTATTTTTTAGAAATCAGCTGAGCTAAATGAAGTGCACTTCATGAAGTCGTTGATTGACATTCTAGAGCAAGGTTCTTAACGTGTCTGAGGCCAGAACAAATGACCTGCAGACTGGAAGAGGATTCAGAGACAACACTTGGGTAGGAATGGTTCCATGCATCCCTCACTGTTGTTAAAATAACTTCTGTAAGAATTAATGATTTTTAATGCCTTTCTCTATAATTGAATTCAATGGCTCTCTTTCACTTATTAGATAATCTACAAAGTCCTATTATTAGCACAGAAAAGACCTTAATGAAATAGCCGTTGCCTCCCTCTCTATTCCTAACTTTATACAGTTTATTATGCGTCTATCATACGAAGCAATTTGTATTTTTTTTACTTTGACATTTTCTCTCCATTACATTGTAAATTATTTCTTCTATATAAAAAGTCTTTCACTTTCTTATCTCTTTGCTAAATGCTACCTTATTCTTTAAGATTCAGGCCTGATGCCAGCATTTCTATGAACTACATTCTGCCTCATAATATTTTGTATATACCTCCAGTTTAGATTTTATGCTATCTTTGAGGATAATTGTCACCATTCACTAGATTGAGTTCTTCAGAGGTGATAATTTTGTCTGAGTCATACATGTATACCCGGAGCATAGCACAATCCCTGGAGCTTGAAATATATGTGCAAAACAAAGCAAATTAGTCTTCATCTCAATATCTTCACTCTTGGAGCTATTTGTTTTCTAGGTATTCAGTGCTGTCATCCGGTAGTTAGCAGCAAAACATCCCATATATGTCTGTCTTGGAAAATTTATTTGTCTCAGAGATACTACATTAATGTAATAATAACAATAAAACCTAATTATTGAAATTGCAATATTGTAGCACACTACTGGGAATGATATTTTTGTGGCTGATAGAATCTCATAAGTTACTTAAGCTATTGACTCATATCTGCCTGGCCGGTCCTGCCCATAGGGAAAGTTTACCTGGGTGATAGAAAGAGTAAAAAAAATATAGAGAGAAAGGAATAGATTTGGAGCAGAGGTGAGGACTCATTTGTCTCTGTTGTTTATTTTTCTTTCTTTCTTTTTTCTTCTGGAGGCACTGCCTTTTTTTAGTTCTTTTTTTATTATTATACTTTTAGTTCTGGGTACATGTGTACAATGTGCAGGTTTGTTACATAGGTATACATGCTGGAGGCACTGCTTTGACCTTTTCTCTGTTTACATCAGTAGGTTCTAGGTTGAAGAGTTTGAACTTCCCCAGGTAATGTGAGTGACACTTCTGATGAGAAGTCAGTTGCATACAAGGAGGTGTTTCTTCCTTTCTTGGTGTGTAGGGATTATTGCTGCACGGGGTTTCATTTACTAATAACATACTCACCCCAATCACACTTGTTATGACCACACTTTTCTTTCTCAGTATAAGTAGAGTAAGTCTACCATTTTGTAATGATTATTCCACTATAATCGTTACCTACTTCCTCCTTTTGCACTGTGAAACTTTCATGCTTCTCATATATCACTTCTCCACTGTACCAGGCAGAATAAATTGCTTTCTTCCAGTAATTAGTCTTGGTGGAGAGAGAATAAACACTGTCTTTAAACAGAATACTTTGCAGCCTAACATTTTGTAGTAATTTGTTTTACCGATTTTGGTTACCTATGCATATCCTTAAACAACTAGGCAATTGAATCAATTTAATGAGAAATATTAGTCAACCTAACTGTCTTTGAGTCACTAGCATCACAGTGGAATGCTTTAGATCATTTGGTTTTAAAAGAAAGGAATGAAATAAGAATGTCAATCAATAACCAGATATCTTTTCACTTATGTGAATTGATTCACTTTACCCAATTGATCCACAGATCTCTTATTCATGAATAAATTACAATGTTTTAAAAGAAAATAATTCTATGACAATGAACTAAAGCAAAATGATACCTTTATTCAGGATTAAATCCATTTGAAAGAATAAAATTTATGGCCACATATTTTATGATTTCATTTATATGAAATGTCCAGAATGGATAAATCTACAGAGACAGAAAGTAGATTAGTGTTCGTGTGGAGCTTAGGGAAGAAGAAAATAGGGAATCACTGCTAATGGGTGGGGTGTTTCTTTGGGATAATGAGAATGTTCTGGAATTGGATTGTGGTGATGGTCGCAAACCTCTGAATGTACCGAAACTACTGAATTCTATATGTTAAAAGGGTGAATTTTATGGTGTGTGAATGATATCTCCATAAACAATAATATATAGAGATGGTGTTATCTATATTGTATTTCAATTTCAATGTACCTCTGTATTGAAAGCACAGTATTTTTTTTTCTGACTATGCCCATTGTTTCAAGAACAGAAACATTGACATTTTCTAGTTGATGAGATATCTTTAATTTATAGAGTATCAGATTTAGGAGTTCTTTATTGGCTAACACTTTAATTTTTAGTTTTTAATAGGGATATCTGTCCCTGAATAAATTTGCTAAGATTTCCCCTGACTGGCTGCACATCCTGGCTCAGCTTCCTGCCCCTCCCTGCAGCTGCACGGGCAGCTCTGGCTGGTCTCAGAGCAGAGCAGTAGGGTCTGCGAGGCACTGAGAGACAACATCAGAAGCTCAGACCCTCCTCCTCCTCTGAGAGAAACATAGCCCATTAATGCATGCCTACTTAAAGTAATAGTGTATCCCTGATGTTCTACTTACTGCTCATGTAGTGTCTACAACTACAGAAGGAACTCCATCCAGTCTCCCAGTCACTTATTGAATGACTTTCCTCAGTCTTAACAGTAATAAATAAGACTGAGGAAGGAGGATCATTTGGAAGCCAGGAGTTCAAGACCACCCTAGACCCCATCTCTACAAAAACTTAAAACAATTTAAAAAATTAAACAATAATAAATAAACATTACGCAAAGAAACATACAAACCAAGAAACCCTCCATGGGCATTTTTACTATGCTGCTTTCACATGATTCACCACCAACGTCATGCGAACAGCTGATTCTGCTATAAATCAAGTCTTATAGTGCAGATATCCTGGTAAAATGATTATTTTTAAAAAGTGAAAAGACTTTTGAGCCCAGATTAATTGCACAACTCACTTATTTTTAGCCTTTCTCGAATCGATAAACTTCTATTTAATGATCACTTAGACATTTTCTTTAAAAGATTATTTAACAAGGGCTTGTCTATACTTACAACCTGTATTTGCAATCAGTTTATGAAAAGATGTGGTGAGTGGCCCAGTAGCCCCTGATTAGTGGCTGGCAAGTCCAGCAGGTTTGTGCTGTTGTACACAGATGAACAAGACCAAGAACAAACGACATATTCAGATTTTTCTCTCCTCAAAAGGCAACATAAAAGATTCAATGAGCCTGTTTTGACTGTTACTAATAAATACCTTGATTATAAATTTTTAAAAATGTGTTGTACAAAAATTGTAAAATTCTTATACCTAAGTACATGAACAAGCCAGGCAATTGAAATATTAATTACAAAATATTTTTTAAAAGAATATGATAAAAAAAGAGACACTTTAAACATTAGTATGTTCCTACTACTAGATAAGATCTTTTTGGTTTCCTGTTGACTTGAATTTAAAAGGAGACTTTAAATATAAAACATGCACAGGAGAAGTTCTTGCTACTATAATGAAATCAGCTCCTTTTTATGTAGAAACTGATAAGTCTTTTGCTAGATTGTCTGTACCTGCTGTCTTAGGTGAATTATATTTTAGTTCAGCATTCTTTATAAGCTGCAGGAAAAAATGGGTATTTTATCATAATCTGTGCTGGCCATAGCTATTAGTTTTTTTTGTAAACCTGAATCCAGGACTTAGCATATATTTTGTCATCTGATGAAAAATGTTTAAAAGAGATAAGGAAATGAAAAGAAATGTAAATTAGATTTATTGTGTGAAAGACAATTATTCTTTTATTTTTATAATATATTCAGACTCTGCGTGGAGAGGAAACTAATTTTAGCTGAATTCTTAAGAGAGAAAAGGCACCAGCAAAGCTTCTTAAATTAGAAAAAATCCTAAAATATACAACTTCTTTCTCTAATCCAGAATTTGTTAGACTTATTTGACTATTAATACCAACTGATGGTAATCAATACTTGCATACTCTTTTCATTTTTAAATGGTTTTACTCCTTTGTTCTGCTTATGGTTGTCTCTGAATTAAAATTTTAGAAATATTCTACAGAGATGCACTGTCTATTTCCCTGCTATTTATTTATTTATTAAGGCCAAGCATTAATCAATCCATCCTAGTTGAACAAAGGCACTTATTTGTTCTCAGAAACACAGCACCGGCAGGGCATGTGTCTCCTAGCACAGCAGTCCCCAACCTTTTTGGGACCAGGGGCCAGTTTGGGGGAGGACAATTTTTCCACAGACTGGGAGTTGTGGGGATGGTTTCACAATGATTTAATTGCATTGCATTTATTGTGCACTTTATTTCTATTACTATTACATTGTAATATATAGTGAAACAATTATACAACTCACCAGAATGTAGAACCAATGAAAGATTCTATACAGTTCTAGAATGTAGAAGCCCTGAGTTTGTTTTCCTGCAACTGGATGGTCTTATCTCAGGATGAGAGGAGACAGTGACAGATCATCAGGCATTAGATTCTCACAAGGGGCATGCAACCTAGATCCCTCACATGTGCAGCTGACATCAGAATTTCAGCTCCTGTGAGAATCTAATGCCAGGGCGGATCTCACAGGTGGTGGAGCTCAGGTGGTTATGTGAGCAATGGGGAGCGGCTGTAAATACAGATGACCCTTGGCTCGCTGGCCTGCCACTCACCTCCTGCTGTGTGGCCTGGTTCCTAGTAGGCCATGGAACTGTACCAGTTCATGGCCTGGGTGTTGGGGATCCCTGTCCTAATGGGTGTTCCAAGAGACATAAAATAGTTGCTTCTTAGGAGCAAAGGATTCAGAGATCAACTCTGCCAGGAACTGTGGAGCTCAAGAGTGAATCAGATGCACTTTGCAGCGGGCTTGGACAGCAATGGGGCCATGGGGGAGCAGCAGCAGAGGCTAAGACACCCCTCCAAGAGAATGGGAGAGTTTTGAGGAAAGATCGTGTCTCATTAACTCCTGCATCCTCAGTGCCTAGAATAGTGTTTGGAACATGTCAGGTGCTCAGTAAATATTCATGGAATTAATAATATCTTTGGGCAAATTATATTTTTGAAAAGATTAAGAAAATCTTTGGTGTACTATTATTTAAATACATAATGGAATCATTTGATAGAGAACAGACATCAAAATTCCCTATGCTAGAAATGTGGGACAAAGCTCTTCTTTTCTCTGTGAGCTCTCTTTTTCTTGTTTATGTAATGGTTCTTTGAGTGGTTTTATGATTGCTAAGACACAGGAAAAAGCAGTTGCCTAATGATTACCCATAGTTTTCCAATTTGGGGGCTAATACTACTAAAACCATGTTGTTTTGAGGTGTTTTTAACCTAATCTTTTTTTTACAAAAACAACTCTTTTTGCCACTCCAGTATGTGGTTTTATTTGTGTTTATGGGAAATCAACAGGAAGTCAAAACCACGTTTCTGCTGTGGTATCTATTCACCTTTTGGAACTATTGAATAAAGTGATTTTTTCTATTTATTTAAAAATAAATGGATGGTTAACCCTTTTAAAGATAATTCTGGTTGCAGAAGCATATTAAAGATGTATGCAGTTAAATACCATTTAATACTAGTTGCATTCAAATGGCCATTTGACTTGGGGATATTTATGGTTCATTGGTTCTGATTATGCTGACTTTTAATATTTCCTAATTCAGCCTTAGTGTACTCTACTAAGTACTAAACTTTTAATATTTCATAATTCAGGCTTAGTGCACCCTACTGAGTACTAGACGTTTAACATTTCTTAATTCAGCATTAGTGCACTGTATTAAGTACTAGTGTAGTTGGTGGAGGCAAATTTGCATGCAGGACACACTTTCAAGGGATTCTGGAAAATGTGATTTTAGCCTTCTTACCTTTCTAAAAAGAAGTTTGGAATGGAGTTTCAAAGAGCCAATCCAGTCATCAAACACATTCATCATTAACTGATTGAGAGACAATTGCCTCCAACTCCAGGCATCACCTCTGTGTCCAAGGCAAGATGAAAGTGCAAGGCCCAGTGAAGTCCCAACTGTCATTTGTCTTTCCCTGATACCACATCCCATTTCCCAGCAGTGTCCTGCCTATACTTCATTACTCATAAAGGTCTCATAAGGCCACATCTAGCTGCAAAGGAGGAAGACAGAGGGCAGGAGCTCTGAAATGCCTTGACCAGGCAATATGTAGTGCCTGCTTTATCCACTTAAGTGTCATTCAAGAATCAAAATAAAGAATACTTTCAAGAACTCATGCTTTTAGGGACCACACAGTCTTATTGAAAAAAGAGCACTTGATAATAAAATCAGCTATTTAAGAGATGAATGAAGATGCTCGGCTTACGGGATTAATGGTACATGTTGAATCCAGTATTAAAGAAAGGTATGGAGCAGGAAATAAATGGTGTAAATAACATAACACCAAATCAACTCAGGCGGCAGTAGGAAAGAGAAGAGGAGTGGAAGAGAGAAGTGTAAATATTTGTATCTCTAATTGTGAGGAGTCAAAAGAATCACCTAAAGATAATAACTTAATTGAAGTTTAAGAGCATAAATAAATTAAAAAACAAATTGTAATAACATAATCAAATATATTACTGATATAGGGAAGATGAAAGGAAAAAAGAATAATTTATGATTTTTTAATAACTTCATCTGGAACTTAAAGAAAAGCAGAGGTGAATATATCTTTAGTTCTTACTATTGTTCACCAGTGTCCACCGCTGTTTTTTTTTTTTGTTGTTGTTGTTTTTTTACTTTAAGTTCTGGGATACTTGTGCAGAATGTGCAGGTTTGTTACATAGGTATACATGTACCATGGTGGTTTGCTGCACCTATCAACCCGTCATGTAGGTTTTAAGCCTCATATGCCTTAGGTATTTGTCCTAACGCTCTTCCTCCCCTTGCCCCCCACCTCCCAACAGGCCCCTGTGTGTGATGTTCCCCTCCCTGTGTCCATGTGTTCTCATTGTTCAACTCGCACTTATGAGTGAGAGCAGTGTTTAGTTTCCTGTTCCTGTGTTAGTTTGCTGAGAATGATGGCTTTCAGCTTCATCTATGTCCCCACAAAGAACATGAACTCATTCTTTTTTATGGCTGCATAATATTCCATGGTGTATATGTGCCGCATTTTCTTCATGCAGTCTGTCACTGATGGGCATTTGGGTTGTTTCTAAGTCTTTGCTATTGTAAATAGTGCGGCAATAAACATAGGTGTGCAGTGTCTGTATAGAATGATTTATAATCCTTTGGATATATTCTCAGTAATGGGATTGCTGGATCAAATGGTATTTCTGGTTCTAGACCCTGGAAGAATCGCCACACTGTCTTCCACAATGGTTGAACTAATTTACACTCCCACTAACAATGTAAAAGCGTTTCTATTTCTCCACAGCCTCGCCAGCATCTGTTGTTTCCTGACTTTTAAATAATCGCCATTCTAACTGGTGTGAGATGATATCTCATTATGGTTTTGTTTTGCATTTCTGTAATGACCAGTGATGATGAGCTTTTTTTCATATATTTGTTGGCCACATAAATGTCTTCTTTTGAGAAGTGTCTGTTCATATCCTTCACCCACTTTTTGATGGGGTTATTAATTTTTTTTCTTGTAAATTTGTTTAAGTTCCTTATAGATTCTGGATTTTTTAAAAGTATTGCACACATATTATTAACATTTAAAAAGAAATTTTTAAGACAAAATAAACCTAGACTATATTCCTTCTAAACACATAGAAGCAAGGCACACACACAAGCCCCAAATTAAAAACATAGAGAAAAATGGAGAAAAAGAGAAAAATTTGAATAATTAATAAAAAGGAAATGGCTTTGGGAGCCTGAGGGCAGAGGATCACTTGAGGCCAGGAGTTCAAGAGCAACCTGGGCAACATAGCAAGACCCTGTCTCTACAAAAAATTAAGAAAGAAATTAGGGAGGTGTGGTAGCCCTACCTGCAGTGCCAACTACTTGGGAGACTGAGGCAGGAGGATCACTTGAGCCCAGGAGTTTGAGGCTGCGGTGAGATGTGATGGTGCCACTGCATTCTATCCTGGATGACAGAGCAAGACTCTGTCTAAGAAAAAAAAAGAAAGAAACAAAAATAGGAAATGTAAAAAATATACAGCAAAGAAGACAAAGCTGAGATCAAAGTCACTTGTCATATCCATAAATGTAGATGAGATAAAACAAAAAAATTAAAGGAAAACTTTTCTGACTTTATCAAATACAGAAGCCAAACATTTGCACACAAAACAATGAATTCTAGAACATACTTATAAATAAATACTGAGGATAAAAGGAAAGAAAAAGAATTAACAGATAAACGTATACAAAATGAATTCAGGTATTGTAAGATTAAGTCATGCATGGTTAAATACAAGGCAAAAATACTAAAAGACATAAAGAGATACTTTATGTTGATGAATGTTCAATATAAGATAAAGATTTACAACCATCATGAATCCAGTGCCACCAATATTGTACATGTTGTACACTGAATTCCAAGAAAACGTCTCTTTCAAGTGTTGTGCTGTGGGCTCTGATACATGTGAGATTTTATTTTGGGTACTGCGTACAGTGAGAGAGACAGAAGACAGGAGACTTAACCTAGGGCCATCCTAGGTTGGAAGTCTCATGAGAACTCCTTGAACAGAGCTGGTCCCAAAGAGTTAGCACTACTCTTTGTACAGGAAAGCAATAAATAAACCTGCTGCAAAGGGTGCAGGAAGGAAACTCACTTGTCATAACTTCAGCATTGAGTGACCACATAATTTATCCTCCAAACTGGGACATTTTTGAAGGGAAAGACACACTTCTTATAATTGCACTACAACAAAGTCTGGGATAGGAACAGAAATAGTCTGAGAATTCATAACCACAGTACAGTTCTTAAGCCACTTTTTCAACACAAATTCACATTATCTGCATGTCTGTGAAAAACCTATGCAAACAATTTAACTTAAAGTAGTCTCAAGGAAGTAGTAATCCTTGGAGCCTGGCAAAACAAATACCATTCCTCTTCAAGGAATACAACTCTAAAACAGGCCTAAAAGGATTTTCACAGAAAAAGTTGAATATGAGCTTGAGGAAAAATATCAGGAAACATGCAAGGAATAAAATACAATTTGAGTGAAAGCAGCAGAAATCCCAACTGTAGAATGAGCCCCTTATTCAAACAATTAAGTAACTCCACAGAATTCAAGACAAAGAGGCAAATATAAAAGCTTCAATTAATTACCAAACTCTGTAACATACAATTTAATAATTGGTCATTTGTGTAGCTACAATTAAGTAATTAGCTTAAACACAATAGATGAGAAAAATACATAAAATAAAAACAATGGCAAATAAATACAAAAATAAATGAAAATAGTTATATGTGATTACATTGCTAAACACTAAGCTAATAATTTGAAAATCAGATTAAATGATACTTATTAGGGAAGATTAAATGTCTAAAATTGATCTTGAAAATATTTAAAATCTATACAGTCTATCATTGATGGGCCTTTGGGTTGATGCCATGTTCCTGCTATTGTGAATAGTGCTGCAATGAACATACATGTGCATGTATCTTTGTAAGAGAATGATTTATATTCCTTTGGGTATATACCCAGTAATGGGATTGCTGAGTCAAATGGTATTTCTGGTTCTCGCTCTTTGAGGAATCGTCACACCATCTTCCACAATGGTTGAGCTAATTTTCATTCCCACCAACAGTGTAAAAGCATTCCCATTTCTCCTCAATCTTGCCAGCATCTGTTGTTTCTTGACTTTTTAATAATGGCCATTCTGACTGCCATAAGATGATAGCTCATTGTGGCTTCGATTTGCATTTCTCTAATGATAAGTGATTGTATTAGTCAATTTTCACGCCGATAAAGACATACCCAAGACTGGGCAATTTACAAAGAAAAGATATTTAATTGGACTTACAGTTCCATTTAGCTGGGGAAGCCTCACAATCATGGCAGAAGGCAAGGAGGAGCAAATCACATCTTACATAGATGGCAGCAGGCAAAGAGAGTTTGTGCAGGGGAACTCCTCTTTTTAAAACCATCAGATCTTGTGAGACTTATTCACTACCACAAGCACAGTATGTAAAAACCACCCCCATGATTCAATGATCTTCCACCTGGTCCCTTCCATAACATGTGGGAATTACAGGAGTACAATTCAAGATGATATTTGGGTGGAGACACAACCAATCTGTGTCAGTGATGTTGAGCTTTTTTTCATATGTTTGCTGGCTGCATGAGTGTCTTCTTATGAGAAATGTCTGTTTATGTCCTTTGCCCAGTTTTTAATGGGGTTATTTGCTTTTTTCTTGTAAATTTGAGTTCCTTGTAGATTCTGGATATTAGACTTTTGTCCAATGAATGGATTGCAAAGATTTTCTCCCACTCTCTATGTTTTCTGTTCACTCTGATGATAGTTTCTTTTCCTGTGCAGAAGCTCTTTAGTTTAATTAGATCCCATTTGTCAATTTCTGCTTTTGTCACAATTGCTGTTGGAGATTTCATCATGAAATTTTTGCCTGTTCCTATGTCCTGAATGGTATTGCCTAGATTTTCTTCTAGGGTTTTTATTGTTTTGTGTTTTACATTTAAGTCTTTAATCCATCTTGAGTAAATTTTTGTATAAAGTGTGATGAAGGGGTCCAGTTTCAATTTTCTGCAAATGTATAGCCAGTTATCCCAGTACCATTTGTTGAATAGGAAATCCTTTCCCCATTGCTTGTTTTTGTCAGGTTTGTTGAAGTTCAGATGGTTGTGGATGTGCAATCATATTTCTGAGTTCTTTATTCTGTTCCATTGGTCTATGTGTCTGTTTTTGTACAAGTACCATGCTCTTTTGGTTATTATAGCCTTATAGTGTAGTTTGAAGTCCAGTAGGGTGATTCCTTCAGCTTTGTTCTTTTTGCTTAGACACCACAGAACATTATGTAGCCATAAAAAAGGAATTAGATTATGTCCTTTGCAGGGACATGGATGAAGCTGGAAGCCATTATCCTCAGCAAACTAACACAGGAATAGAAAAGCAAACACTGCATGTTCTCACATATAAGTGGGAGCTGAACGATAGGATTACATAGACACGGGGAGGGGAACAACACACACTGGGGCCTGTCGGGGGGGTGGTGGGGGAGTGAGAGTATTAGAAAGGATGCCTAATGCATGTGGGGCTTAATACTTAGGTGATGGATTGATAGTGCAGTAAACCACTGTGGCACACATTTACCTATTTAACAAACCTGCACATCCTGCACATGTACCCAGAACTAAAAATAATAAGAAGAAATAAAATATTAAAAATCTAAAAAAGAAACTACCAAAAATGTTTTGAACTTTTATTTTAGGTTCAGGGCTACCTGTGCAGGTTTGCTATGCAGGTTTGCTATGCAGTTCTGTGTCACACAGGTTTGCTGTACAGACGATTTAATCACCTGGCATACTTCGGCATTGAGTGAAGGCAATAAGCATAGTACCTGATAGGTAGCTTCTTGTTGCTTATGCTCCACCCACCCTCCACCCTCAAGTAGGTCCCAGTGTCTGTTGTACCTTTCTTTGTGTCCACATGTGCTCAATGTTCAGCTCCCATTTGGGAGTGAGAGCATATAGTATTTGCTTTTTTGTTCTGCATTAGTTTGTTTAGGAAAATGGCCTCCAGCTCCATCTGTGTTCCTGCAAAGGACATGATTTTCTTCTTTCTTATGGCTGTGTAGTATTCCATGGTGTATATGTACCACAAATAGCTTTCTTTCAGAAGTAAACAAATACATTGTAACTATTAATATTTCAAAGGAGAAAAAGCAATATCTTGATAGAAGCTGAAAATCTAATTGTTAAAATTCTACTTCATTCATGAAAAAAGTTATTAACAAATTAGGAATTTACGAGTACTTACATTGAATCAAAACCTAGCATAATGATTAATGGTAAAAGACAAGAGCCATTTTTATTAAAGTCAGACAATAATCAAGAGCACCAATTGTTCTTTATCATGGTTTGAGACAACTAGCTAAAGTATCGCAGAGGCTGGAAAAAAGTGCAATAATTTTTAAAGCAGGAGCACACAAGATCATTTGAAAATAATGAGGAAAAATCCAAGAGAATGAACTGAATTCATTTAATGAAATGAAAAGATAAGGAAGCTTAATAAGCTGACTGGTTGAAAAATTAACATATGAAATTGATAGGTTGCAAATAAACAAACACCATCCATTTAGAAACATAACAGTTTAGAAGAATTACTTCCAAATGCAACATGAAAGAGAGAAGAGCAGGAAGAAACACTTTTCCTTCTCACTCAAGGTTGGACTGTAAGTAATTTTAACAACTCCTGTCTGCCCCACGCCTTTAGACAAGAGCAATTTGCAACTCTAGGGCTGCTTACATTGCAAAGATCTCTATTCTCTCCCATCCCAGAGACAAACTCTGCTGTCAATATGACTTTGCTGAGAGAAATTAGTTCATGTGTCTATTAAAAGATTGCATACAAATGTTCAAAGCATCCTTATTTCTAATAGCCCCAAAATGGAAACTAGCCCAGTGTGCATCATTGGGAGAATGGATAAAAACTTGTGGGATGTGATGCAACGGAAGGCTCTTCAGCAATAAAAGGAAAAGGAAATCGTGATTGTGACATGTGCCATGGCTGAATTTCATAGCAACAAGGATGAGAGAATGCTAAACATAAGAGAATGCTGCTCCAAGTTTGAATCTGAACTTCTTGCTTTGTGTACCAAGCCATTCTTGCCCACATCCAATCTCCAATATCGTTCTCCATTTCCCAAGCCTTAGTCTTTTCCAAGTGGAATGACATGCTCAAATCAGTTTTCTAAATATGGTTAATACACTCATATTTGTGACTATGGCTATTCATTCATTTAGAAATATTTGAATGTCTGTGCTAGCCATCACACTGATACAATGGTGACATCATAGTGAAGAAGACAACGCAGTCTTATGGAACTCTGGGAGGGATGAAGGTAGAAGCTATGGGTCATGCATCTTATGCTTTGCTGGATCTTTAGTCCCTGGATCGTTGTAGACAATTGATAGACTTGTTAAATTGACACATGAGTGCATTGATAAACAAATTCATTTGAACAGAGCAAAAGATTGAGATTGATTCAGTTATTCAGTTGAAAACAGTTGAGAGGCTGTCTGTGTGGCAGTGAAAGACATAGAACAGTCCCTCCTGCCAGGGAACTGCCTTCAGTTGTGCAGAGCCAGACAAGAAATAAATAGGTGATGTGTCAGAAAGGGAGAAACACCATAAGGTAGGGAGGAGGAAGGTGGAGTGATGGAGATGGGGATGCTATTTCATATGAGTGTCCAGGAAAAGACTCTCTGACAAAGTGTCATTTGAGCAGAAATCGAAGAAAGGGAGGGATGGATCCCTGCAGGTATCTGGGGGAAAAGCATTCCAGGCAGAAGAAACTGCAAGAGTGAAGGCCATGGGGTGACGATGAGGCTGATGTGTTTTAGGAACAGGAAGTCGGGCAAGAGCTAGAGTGAAGTGAGCGAGGAAGTGGTGAGCAGATGGGCCAGAGAAACAATGGGCAGCCCAGTCATGAGGAGCCTGAGGCCATGGTGATGGGGCTGGGTTTCCCATGTAGCCGGCAGAGCCCACCACTGCCATCAGCCTGACCTAAGGCTGGTCCCCTCCCTGCTGAAGTGTTCAGTTAACGCCTGCAGCTGATGTCCTTCCTGCAGCCTCGCCAAGAACAACTGGACATCTCCCAGCATGTGTGCCTGAGTTCCTCTGACAGTGGTTATCACCTATAAACACACTATCGTGACACTTTTCCTGGCTGCCGTCTGGGATTCTCCTGCTCAAGTTAATGTCAAGGGGCCTTCTCACAGTGGTAGACGATGGTTATTGGAGCTGGCTTGGGTGGCTCACTAGAAGCGATTATCAGTGTTCATCCCAACTTGGTGTTCACTGGTGTCAAACTGACAGAAATCAACCACAGTGGAAACATAAATCACTGCTTTCTCCCCTCTCCCTGAGAGTTGGTTGTTAAACCTTTACTAGCACGTGACCAACAATATGTCTAAACAACAGTATGTCTACATTCCTCCTTATCTGCCGTCTCTTGATCCCCAGAATACTTTTTTTTTTTTTTTTTGAGAAGGAATCTCACTCTGTTACCAGCTGGAGTGCAGTGGTGCCATCTCGGCTCCCTGCAACCTCTGCAACCTCTGCTTCCTGGGTTCAAGTGACTCTCGTGCCTCAGCCTCCCAAGTAGCTGGGACTACAGGCACACGCCACCATGCCTGGCTAATTTTTGTATTTTCAGTAGAGACAGGGTTTCACCATGTTGGCCAGGCTAGTCTTGAACTCCTGACCTCAGGTGATCTGCCTGCCTCAGCCTCCCTAAGCGCTGGGATTACAAACGTGAGCCACTGCGACCAGCCTTAAACCCCAGAATACTTTTAAACATACCATCTGGTAAATGTGACCAAGATCATAAAGCTCTGATTGACAAAAGGCTCACCAGAAGCAACGGAGATTTCCATTCCTCTGGGAGTAGATGAGGAAGGATTCCTCCTTGCTTCAAGAGGAATTCTTTCCTTGGAACTTCAGCGTGCTAGTTTCCCTTGCCTGCTCTGGGGTCTATCCCACTCTTCAGTTACTTGCAGATGCTGGAACTCAATGATGTCGTTTGCCCCTAGAAAAATAAGCCTGATGTTTTATTTTATGCTTTCTTCTCCCGGTATCAATCCAACTGTCTCTCATGCCACAACATGACATATGTAATCCTTAAGAGAACCACAGTATGCAAAATTGCATGGTAAAAACCACAGGGCTAGGGGGAAAAATTAGGTTAGGGATACAACACTCAAAAACTTTGTCAGTGACACAGTAAAGAAAAAAAATATAAGAGCCTAACAAGAATGAAAGCACAATTTTCACATGTTAAATGGTCAGGACTAACACAACAAGTATGACACATTAAATTGGAAAAGACCCCAGGTTGCTTGTGGAAGGGGTGTAGAAACCACCTCAGCTTGTGAGATATTGTGAAGTCATTGCAGTATGGGGTTATTTGAAACTGGAAGAAAGTTGTAACAACAGATGAGATAGGTGCGGCTCATCACATAAGACAAACGGAGGTTGCTGGTAGATTTATGAAGTGTGTGCATTTTGTGTATTTCTATAGGGCTCTGTATCTGGGTGCAGTTTTTCACATACATCTAATATTTCTTGCAGACAAAGTCAGGCATAAACAAAACAAAATTCACATTAAGCACAAACTGTTTTGAAATACATCAGTCAATATAGGAACAAACTTGAGTTTTTCTCAACAAATGTTACAGCAGAATTGACTGCTCTTAATAATCTTTAATCGTCTTTACATACACTTGAATATATGGCACAACATCTATTTAGACTGGTGATTCTCGACCTTGGCTATCGATTAGGTCACCTAGAGACCTTAAGAAAAATATCAATGCCTGTGTCCACTCCTGGATGACTTAGAGCTGTCTCTTAGTATGTTGGTCCTGAGTACATTGTTTTATGCTTTGATAATCCTAATGTCTAGTTAGATTAGACATTAAGATTAGACTAGTTACATTAGACATTATGTAAATTATAAATATAAACACATAATACTATATAGTTTTCTAACTCACATATGTATTTATGCTTTCTCCTCCCAGTGTCAGTCCAACTGTCTCTCATGCCACATGAGAAACAGTTGATTTAGAAAATTATATGTAGTGTATGATTTAGAAAATTATATATAGTGGCTGGGCGCGGTGGCTCACGCCTGTAATCCCAGCACTTTGGGAGGCCAAGGCAGGCGGATCACGAGGTCAGGACCATCCTGGCTAACAGGGTGAAACCCTGTCTCTACTAAAAATACAAAAAATTAGCCGGGCGTGGTGGCAGGCGTCTGTAGTCCCAGCTACTCGGGAGGCTGAGGCAGGAGAATGGCGTGAACCTAGGAGGCGGAACTTGCAGTGAGCTGAGATCATGCCACTGCACTCCAGCCTGGGTGACAGAATGGGACTCCGTCTCAAAAAAAAAAAAAAAGGAAATTATATATAGTGTTATATTATGTGTTTACATTTATAATTTACATAAATAGTATTGACTATAAATCTCATGGTTTTTTCTTTTCATTTATACTATATCTGATTGCTCTCCGTGTTTCCATCTAAGTACTCATGAATGTTTTACTTATAGTAACCCCTTCTATCCATCTCTTAAATTTTGCTTATCTATTACAGTAGTGAACATCAAGTTGCCTCAACATTTATGATCACAAAAGGAGCAGGGTTCCTCTCTCACATCTCCCCAGGAGTGAGGTTCCTGGTTCATGGAGTACCGCAACTCAATTTCATTATAGGTGTCAGATTGTTCTCTGGAGTGACTACACGTGTCTACATCCCTACCTGTTAAAAATGCCCAAAGGATGTCTGTAGCTTTGGAATCAGGGACAAACTTGATATCCTAACTTCGTTACTTTTTTTTTCTTTTTCACCTCTGGCAATTTTGTCCACTTTCTTAGGAGCCGTAGGTATGTATTTAAAGATTTACTTCAATGTATCCCACATTTCCAGTTAGACAGTGGGATTGAATTTTAGAATATCCAGGCCTCCATATTGCTGGAAGTAAAATTTTAGAAACAGTTTGTCCATTGCCTTTGAAAAATTTGTTAGGATTTGCATTGCACTGAGGCCTTAATTACGGAAGAATTCACATCTTTACCACACTTCCTCCTACGAAGTGGAAAACCCCTTCATCTGTTCAGGTTTTATTTTTTGTCCTTTAGTCTAATTTTAGGGTTATCTTCATAAAGGATTTCTTCAGGGTTCGGTAGATTCATTCCTAGACATTTTCAAGTTTCTGAAGCTACTCCAAATGTCCTCTGAGTTCCTATTTTATTTTCTAATTGATTATGGCTGCTTTAGTGAACCACAGCTTGTTTCGAATGTTGTTCATGCCTCTGGCAATCTTGCTCAAGTTTGATAATAGTTCCAGAGGTTTGTTCATTAATGCTTCTGGGTTTTCAAGGTAAATATTTACATGATACCATCTGCATATATGACGGGAGTTTAATCTCTTTCCTTTAAGGGCGTCAGTCTCTTCCTTCATTTTCTTATAATGTGTTGCACATTATTCACCTGTAAGAGGAGTGTTTACTTTCCTTCAGGCTTAGGGGGAGGATTTAATATTTATCCAGTGTTTTCATTCAATGTGATGTTTGCTTTATGTTTTGAAATGTTTATATATCCTATAACAAGTTTAGAGGGAGTTCTATATTTGACACCCTAAAAACACTTTGTTTCCCACTTTAATCATGAAGTGAAGATTATCAAATTCCTTTTTGACAATATCAAGATGGTAATTTTTTTCTGTTTCAATTCATTATTGATATACGTACAATGTGAAACCATCTTTCATTTCCAGCAAACACCCTATTTGATTATAATATCATTTTTGCTAGAGTATACATTTGCTTTTGGGTATCAAATATATTTTTGGTAGCTAATATTTTATGTAAAATTGTTTCACCTATACAAATATATCAACATCAACTAGGATTTCCTTTACTTTTTACCACCCTTGTTTATTTTTGATGTTGGCATTCTAAGTCTTTTCCCTCATTTTCTATTCTCTGGACCATTTTATCTTCTTTGCCATATTCTGTAGCCACTTGTATAATATAGGAATTTCTTAAAACTTTGGCAGAATTCATTTGTAAAAACACATATGCCTGTAACTGTCATGCACACACGTGAGCGTGTATGTGAGAGAGAGAGAGAGATGCATGCATGTTGATGTGTGCAGGCTTTTAAAAGGAAAAGATTGGCGGGGCACAGTGGCTCACGCCTGTAGTCCCAGCACTTTGGAAGGCCCAGGCTGGGGGATGACCAGAGGTCAGGAGTTCGAGACCAGCCTGGCCAAAATAATGAAACCCTGTCTCTACTAAAAATACAAAAATTAGCTGGGCGTGGTGGTGGGTGGCTGTAATCCCAGGTACTCGGGAGGCTGAGGCAGGAGAATCACTTGAACCCAGGGGGCAGAGATTGCATGAGCCGAGACGGTGCCATTGCACTCCAGCCTGGGCAACAAAAGCGAAACTCCATCTAAAATAAATAAATAAATAAATAAAAATCTCTCTCTCTCTCACACACACACACACACACACACACACACACACACACACACACAAATAAAATAAAAATAAAAATAAAATATTTCGAATAGCATTATAAAATTATAAATTATTATTGACCATGCCACATTATTTCTCATTATGCTGTTTTATATTTTATAATGTTTTTGAAAAATTTAACCATGTAATTTAGGTTTTCAAATTCATTGGGGGTATCATTGTACAGAAATTTTAGACTATATTTTGAATCTTTAAATTTTTGAGTCATTTTGATAATTTTACCCTATAAAATCTGTTTCCTGCTTATTTGCATAAAATTTAAAAATCAGTATGTAGAATATTTTTTCCTATATCATTAGTCTTCTAAAAGAAACTTTTTTTTCCAGTTTGGTAATTAAATTTACTTTATTTCTATTGTATTTCATTTTTGTCTTCTCTTTAGTATTTTCTTTCTTGGTTTGTTTCTTTATGTTTAATCTGTTGACATTTTTCTTGCTTCTGAGTTCAGGATGAGTTTATTTCCTGATAAATGTTTTAGAAGCTGTATATTGCCCTCTGAATTCTGTCTGCATTCCATGCATTTTGATACCAGGAACTCACACTTGATGCCTGACGCTTGATTGCTAGTTATCGGGGGCCATCACTCCAGAGACCTTGAAGTGCGGTCTCCCTTTAGATTTCCTCCTTGCTGTGTGATGTGTCATATGTCACTGCCTGTCAAGAGCCAAGCTCTCATTCCAGAGACATAACTAACGGTGAAATAATGAAGAGCTGAAACAAACAGTCACATTAAATACCAAGCCCCACATTTCCTCAAAAGTTACCTACCTTTTTCTTTGTCCATTCAGGCTAATATAACAAAATACCATAGACTGGGTAGCTAGTAATCTAAAGGAATTTATTTATCACAGTTCTGGAAGCTGGGAAGTCCAAGATCATGGTGCCAGGAGGTTTAGTTTCTGGTGAGGAGGGCCCACTTTCTGGTTCATAGGGGGCACTTTCTAGGCATTCCCTCACATAGTGTAAGGAGCAAGGGAGTTCTTTGGGATCTCTATTATTATTATTATTATTATTTTTGAGAGAGAGTCTTGCTCTTGCCTAGGTTGGAGTACAGTGGCGTGATCTTGGCTCACTGCAACCTCTGCCTCCCAGGTTCAAGTGATTCTCCTGCCTCAGTGTCCTGAGTATCTGGGATTACAGGCACGTGCCACCACGCCCAGCTAATTTTTGTATTTTTAGTAGAGATGGGGTTTCACTTTGTTGACCAGGCTGGTCTTGAATTCCTGATCTCAGGTGATCCACCAGCCTCAGCCTCCCAAAGTACTAGGATTACAGGTGTGAGCCACCATGCCTAGCTGGGGGGTCTTTCTTATAAGAGCACTAATCTCAGCCATGAGAGATCCACCCTCATGACCCAATCACCTCCCAAAGTCCTCATACTCCTAATACCATCATCTTGGGAGTTAGGATTTCAACATAGGAATTTGGTGGGGGGACACAAACATGCAGACCATAGCACCTTTTCACCCCTCAGGGCTTTGCGGTAGCAAAAATATTCATTAATTCCTCAGTTATACAGTGAGTGTACACCAGGTACAAACCTACTGCAACGGGCCTTCAAGATAAACAATCAGTGGTTCCTTCCCCTTGAACCACACAGTACTCCTGTTCACAGTAAGAACAGCAGGGACAGAGAATAAGGGTTCTAACATGACCTAGCAAGATTAGGCCTCCATATTAGTAGTCACATTAACCTAAGAAAAGTTGTCTTCTAATGTAAGTGCTATTATGATATCTAATCTACATTCTAGGTGCCACATTCAATCAGGAATTTAATTGATATTTTCAGTTAAGAAATGTATTTTTCTGCCTTGTGGATTGACTGATCATCCTGTTCCTCTTTGATTCCAATTACATGATGTTTTCCAGACTAGTGTGTTCACTAACTGATAACTAGTAGTCTGATTTTTATATTATTTTATCTTTAACACAGTAAATCGTGGCAAGATTTTAAAGAGAATAAATAATCTTAGGTATTACACAAAACTCTAATTGTGAACTTTTGCTGGTTCATGTGATATTATGGGCTAACTATTGAATCAATATATTTCTGATGATAGTTTTGCTTTCTTTGATGTATTTGTTCATTCTCTCAATTAAATGATGAAACACTATGCATGTTCACCTAAGTTGTACATTGCAATAACTTGACGACGGTGGTCTGTGTTGTCACCTTGTTTATGGTATTGGCAATCCAGATGTGTGGAATGTTAATCAGGGAACATCCATAGGCTATTTTGAGACTCTCAAAGAAAAGTCAAAAGGACAGTAAGCATGCTTAAGGATAAGTACTCCCAAAGAAGTTTAAAGAGCCAGGGTATTTAGAATACTGTAACCACAAAGCAAGAAAGTACTCAAAACAAACAAACAGAAAACTGGGGCATGTCAAAAGGACTCAGCAGGCAGCCTGAAGGGGCTCCCACTGGACAAATTTAGGACTGCACTCTTGACTGAAGGGCAAACCAAACAAAATAAAAAGGTTCTGCAAAGAACATTGTTGAGATATCTGACACATTTGGAATGCGGATGTTAAAGTATCATACCAAGGGTAAACCTTCTGATTTTGATAACTGTACTGTGGTCACATAAAATAATGGGAATGTCTCACTCTTATGAAATACACATTGATGTATTAAAGGATCAAGGAGAATGATATATCCAACCTACCCTCAAGGAGTTCTGAAGAAGCAAAAACAAATTGTGGCAAATGTTTAAAAAAATGGTGGATCCGGCTAAAGATGATTTGGAGGTTCTTTACACTGTTTTCTAATTTTCCTAAAAGTATAAAACGATTTCAAAATAAAACCAAAATAAAAAATTGGAAAAATTGCCTTATCCTCTTTTTCCATGGTATGAAAAGCAAGTCACAGAATCCTCACCGAGGGAGCTGAGTTCACAGTTTGCTGAGTCAATGTGTGAGTGTCACCAACATGACACATCTGCCCATGCACAGGAGAGAGGCGGGAAGCTGGCAACTGCTGCAGGGGATCCAAGGCTTCTTTATGCTTTATGTACCAGCAGAGACAGACACAGCCTTTATTTAGTTCTTGCATGATTGGTGAAATTGATCAAAAAGTCTTTAGTTTTTAGATAAAGTGAAGCTAAATAAAATAGTGTAGATCCCTACTATGCAAAACATGTGTGAGTGAGTGTATCTGGGTAATGCTCTTCCTATATCTTTCTGGTGTGCTCTTGCTAACTGTATAGGCAATTTGGTTAGATGTCACCTTAATCTGGTTAACAACCAGTTGTTGCCTGATAGTAGCTAACCAGAGATGAAGACAGTGTAAGGAAAAGAGCTTAAACAGCTTTTCTAGGCCTCCTGGACAAAAGACAACTCTTTAGCTGGTAATGATAGGTCATAGTGATTTCTCAGAATCAAAGATTTTTCTTTTAAATTCTTAACCCCCAACTTTGTGTGTTACCCCAGTGTATTTGCAGCAGGTCACTGTATTTGCAGCAGGTGGTTTCTGGGTTTTGGCAGGGGCTCTAAACTCCAAGCATAATGTAAGAACAATGGTGGTAAAAACATGCATATCCTAATAGCAATGCTAGAGATGAAAAATTGTTCCGCCAGCCCATCACCCACTTTGTAGATAAGAAATTGAACTGGAAGGTACAAGAAAGCAATAAAATTGTGAGACTGTTATGGTGTTTCTGCCTTTACTCGTGTGAAAGGGGGAGGGGGGGTTTCCTCCCAGCAAGCAAATGAGAAGGGGCTCTAAGAGTGTCTTCAGAGGGCTTGGCACATGTCCCTAGACTGAGAGACATGGAGACCGATATTTGACCCACAGTTAAAAGTCTAAAGGCAAGCAGCTAAGACCAGAGCTGCCACCTGAATGCTTGAAAAGCAAAGCAAAGTGGCTATGTGGGGACCAGCTACACTTCACAGTGAGAGGAAATGTTTGAGTTTTGGGGGAACCAAGTATGACCCTTCTGATGGAGGCTGGCTTGAAGTTTGCTTAAAAGGGATTCCACTCACGATAGGTGGAACAAAGAGACCCCCACAGAAGGATGGACTGCCCAGAGGCTAAAAGGTGAGTCGGAAGCAATCAGTAATAGAAGCTTGTGCCAAACTAACTGCAGTGGGAGGATCCCAGCTAAAGGTAGCACAGCCAGTGAAGGGCAGCCAAAGAAAGAGAGGGTGAGCTGCGGAAACATCCCTAGTGCTTGCTGAGCAAGGTCACAACTCCTGACTGCATAAGATGGTGCCATGCCCCTCAAGCTGTTCCCCATCTGGGCCTCATCCTGGGGCAGTCAAAAGTGGAAATCAGAAGACCAGGAAAGAGAAAACTGTGAAGAAAGAAGGGGGCCATCCCGCCTTCCTCCTCTACAGACTTCCTGAAGCAGGACAGAACTGGGGCAGGGAGCAGTTTACATTGGACCAGAACTTGGGATTCTGATTGTATACTAGGGAGAGCTCTTTAAAAGCTGAAATGAGGCTGCACTTGTGACCAAAAGAAACTGGAAAAGCTAGAAAGCCTTCCTGAAATTTTTCCTGGTAGCCCGGGAGAATGGTTCTGCTGGGTGAATTAACGGGGAGGGGTGAGAGAGTAGAGCGGCTTTCTGCTTCCAGCCTTTGGGATCCAGCATGTTCCATAAAGTGGTTTAACACTTCAAATCTTCATTTCAAGAGTTCCACAGAAAATTCAACATCAGGATTCCCAGGACTGAGCTCTTCATTATCTAATCTTATCCTCCTTTTGAAATCCCTGTCTCGGCAAACGGGACCATATCCCAAGCCAGCAGGGGTTGCTCCATTGCACCTACTGGTGTTTCCACCTCCAGCCTCATGAAACTCACCAGAGTTATCTTGCATACCACTGCAAGGCCATTGTCCTGCTAAAAGAAATGAGTTCATACACATTCTTTTTAATGTATCACCTGCGTTTCAGCCCAGGACATGGTACCCTTCATGCCAAATTTCTACACAGCTGTCTCATGTAAACTCTCCTCCTGCTTGAACCATAGGCATCTACACTCTGTGATAGGCATTGTACAGCCATGCTGAACTACGAAGGGATCCCCCAAGGATACCGTTTTTCATCACTCTGAGGCATCATATCTTCTGCTGGCATTATCTAAAATGGTATCTCCTTCTCCAAATTATATTTTGTCCTACAAAACTCAGGTTAAGCATCACTATTTCATAAGCTCTTCTCCTGGCACCACGTTCTAATTTATGTGATCTGCCTTAGTCCTCCCCTCATAATCTGCAGTTTACTGTATCAAAGCCCTTATCATACTTGGCCAGGAGAGCTGACTTACTTATTTTCTCTTCCTTACTGTACTTCACACTCTTGTATGTTTTGCTTGAAATTACATTTCAGCACAATATCTGATGCCAATTATGTGTTTACATATTGTTTGTTGGATAGATAGAAAAATAATGGGTGAATGGCTTTCTTAATGCAGTATATTATTATTATTTAAACCAAAAGCTTATGTTCAATAATGCTTTGCAGTTTGCAAATTGTTTCCTATGTATTATCCTATTTGTGTCTTACTTTACCCTATACAAAAAGAGAATCCAAAGTTAAGAGAAGTTAGAAAACTTTGACAGGTATCAAACAGTATTTCTTTTCTTACTTTTCTAACAATTGCAACTTTACAAAAGAGTTGGAATTGAAGCACAAAATTAATTTTTTTTCAGAACTACTTGAGTATCAGTAGCCAGTCCATTACCCATGAACACCGAATACTTTAGTGTTCTAATAAGGAAAATACAAGGCAAAACACAGCTGTCAAAATCAGGAATTAATATGGATAGATGACTACCTTATAGTCCTCAGACCCCATACAACTTTGCCACTTGTATCTATGATATCTTTTATATCAAAGGGTCAGAGGTAAGCATTGCAGTTGGTCTCTTCAGCCTTTTTCAGTCTCGAAGAATCCCTCGGTGTCCCCCTCCCTTGTATGTCATGATCTTGATGCCTTTGAGTAGGAAGTAGGGTATTTCTCAGTTTGGACTTTTATGCTGCTTACATGATGTGGTTAAGATTATGCATCTTTGGCAGAAGTGTCACAGAAGTTGCACTGTTTTTTTCTCATCCATCTTCGGGTGGTATGTGTTGTTGGTTTGTCCACACTGATGATCATGGATGAAGGTGTTGTCTTCCAGGATTTTACATGGCAAGGCTATATTTTCTGCTTTATAATTAATACATATTTTGTGGAGCTATATTCTGAAACTATGTAAATATCCTGTTTCTCATCATGCCTTCAAATTATTAATTTATTTTCATCTGTATGAACTCAGGATTTCATTTTCTAGTCAATGGGTCATAATCTATTACTCTTATTATTTACTTTGATGCTCCAGTTGTCTTTGAGTTAACCAGTGCTCTTGTTCAAACTGACTTATGAGTTCTTTTGACATTTCCATCATACTTGGAGCACTTTGTCTTCTGGCAAAACAAGATGTTTCAGACTCACACCCCCTGCACCCCAACCCCAGTCTTGAAGCTTTTTCCAAGGAGCATTGGTTCTTTAGTAGAAAATAGCTGCTAAGTCTGCTTATTTCTTTGAGGATGTCATACCCTCAGTCTCTCTCAGTAGACAGAGCTAGTGGAATGCATATGTACACACACATTTACACTTATATTTATGTCTGTATCTATCCACATACTCTGAAAACCACCAGTTCGCACCAGTACATCCAACTCCAATCCAACATCACATGAAGTTTATTCTCATCTTCTCCTTTCCCATTTTTTTCTATTACTTTTCTGTGACATTAAAAAAACCTACTTTGAATCATCCTTAAGATATTTACCTTTTTTTATTATTCCCTCTGTATATAATCAACTTCTCAACTCCACGGCCACCTGCTTCCCTACACCAAACTGCTGCGGCTTCAACCTCTGGGCAGGCCACCCCTCGGAGGATAATTTCTTCCCACTGCTGGGGCTCTCTCTGACACTGTGACAGCAAGGCCCTCCCGGGTGAGCTTCCCCCAACCTCGGGCTCCCACAGCTGCCCGTTCTCCGCTGTCAGAACAGGCGCCTGCCTTGCTGTAGCTCACAGTGGGGTAGAATTAGGCTTGAGTTATTCAGCACAGGAAGGATAGGGAGGAGGAAGAGAAAGAGGAGAAGCAAGACCTATTGAGCAGTTTTAAGTAGCAGGACAAATTAAGAAATATGGAGCTTTCAGTTCCAATTTGATTGCTCCTCAAAAAACTCCTTGGTGGCCGGGCGCGGTGGCTCACGCCTGTAATCCCAGCACTTTGGGAGGCCGAGGCGGGCGGATCACGAGGTCAGGAGATCGAGACCATCCCGGCTAAAAACGGTGAAACCCCGTCTCTACTAAAAATACAAAAAATTAGCCGGGCGTAGTGGCGGGCGCCTGTAGTCCCAGCTACTCGGGAGGCTGAGGCAGGAGAATGGTGTGAACCCGGGAGGCGGAGCTTGCAGTGAGCCGAGATCCCGCCACTGCACTCCAGCCTGGGCGACAGAGCGAGACTCCGTCTCAAAAAACAAACAAACAAACAAACAAACAAACAAAAAACTCCTTGGCATCTCTTTGGTTGTAGAAGCTGAAGGGCTACAGCTGACTTCAGCTAGTGGAGCATGAAATGGCCTCTTGCTTCCTAATGGGCTGAGGGGCTAGGATCAGGTACAGCAAAACACTACTTGGGTTTCTCTTAAAGGGATGTGGATTTTGAAGAGGTTCAAAGCATTAGTTACTTACGTTATTTCCAATTTTTCCTTGATGAGTAATGCTTCGATGAACATTCCTGTAAAAAGTATATGATAGTTTCCTTAGGATCCATTTCTAGAATTGAAATAAATTGCTGGTTGAAACACTGAATAATTTTAAAGCTACACATATACATGCAGATACATACATACGCACACACACACAAAACTGTCCTAAAAGTAAACTAGCTTTTTACCATATGTAATATATATAGTAAAGCAAAGAAATACAAGAACCATCTTATAACACAAAGAGAAGAATCATATACCTATATATCTGTACCTCTACATATCACATACATAGGTTTACTCAGGATATCTAGAAGCATGCCTAACACAGAGTAGACTCCCCCCAAAATTTACTGAAGAAATGGTGCTTTCAAATATAGCACTATATCTATATTCTTTTCTGGTTATTTGAATACTTTATTTAGCTAATTGGATATAGATGATTTTTGTTCATTTTCTATCTTTTAATGAATTGAAAGAGCTTTAACTTTATTATTAATTAACTTTTTCTTACATATGATGTAAATATGTTTTTATTTGCTTATTATTGGTTTTCTTTGCAATGAGAGACAAAGAAAAAGGAGTTTAAATGTTTAAGTGTTAAAGTCTGTCAACCTTGTGCAGTGTTTAAATGGCCTTTTTTCTTTCCAAAATAGTATATAAATATCAACCTATTTTTTTCAAACAATTTTGTAGTAATTTTGGTATAAAGATGATGATATATATAGCCAATTTCCCTCCAAATTGCCAGCTGGTTTTGACAACTCTGTTTACAATCCATCTTTTCCCTATGGATTTGAAGTGACACTTTTATTATATACTAAATTTTTCAACTTGCTCAAAGCCACTTTTGAATATCATCTCTGTTCCAGTAATCCAGTGTGTTATCTAGTCCAGGTTTTAATTATAGCATACCATAATATATTTTGTTGTCTTATAGGTTATTCATCTTATTTATTTATTTTTATCTTTTCTCATGTGTGTTGTTTTAGAAAATCTTTAGAATCATTTCTAAAAAAAATGACACTGGTATTTTTATTGGAATTATGGGAAATGTATATGTTTTATTAAGGTTTATAGAGGTATCCTTTATTTTTAATATTCTTTTATGCCTAATAAATTCTCATACAAAAATGTAATCAGTCACACAGTATTAGTCAGACATTTTTATGTTAATATTGTTTATGGTTAATTTATATATAGTGTGTATATATATATTTAAATTCATATATTTTTTTCTATTCTAACTGAGCCTCTTGTGCTGAATATGTGTATTGTTGGTATAAGTAAAACTACTGATTATATGTATATACATTTTTCACTAGTCTCCTTACTGAACTCAGGCATTACTTTATGCATGTTTAATTAGATTCTTTGGGTTTTACAGGTAGCAACTATTCCTATGTATAATGTAACATCTCCTTATTTCAAATATTATATATTACAATGATGAATGCTAGTAATCTGCTCACTATCCATACCTCTCCTCCACCCCATATTTTTTAGCACTACGACACTGATTTTTGTTGGGAACGAGAAGTCGAAAATACACAGCTTCTGAGATTAAAAGACAAAATTCTAGAAATGGAAACATGTAGGCAAGTTCCAGACACCCTTCTGGCTTTATTGGCTATGAAGCTTTAGCAAGTTACAACATTGTCTAAGGAGACCCTGGGGACACCAGGTGACAAGAGAGAAAACACGGAAAACCTAAACTTCTGCAAGAGTTGTCTCTTGGGGAAACCAAAGGCATTTAATAAGCTGGGATGCATGTGAATTCTAACAATGCAGCATTTGACATGTTGCTACATGATTTCCACCTCTTGATGGAATCTTGAGAGGCGGGGATGAAGGGTGTTTCACTACTATGAAAACAACCCTCATGATCTAGAGATGTTCCATAATGCAACTGTTTACAGCCTAGACTAGAAAAACATCCCATACCTTGGAAGAACCTTGGAGAAAATGTCACACCATAGTTTTCCACACTCGTGAATAAAATGGATGCCTTCTAAGCCAAAAACTATGGTCCTGTTTCTTAAAATGTTGTTATATAAGTTTCAAAATTTGATTAATTTTATGAGTGACTAATATGGTTTGGCTGTGCCCTGCCCAAATCTCATCTTAAATTGTAGTTCCCATAATCCTCATGTGTCATGAGAGGGACCCAGTGGGAGGAAATTGAATCATGGGGGTGGTTTCCCCTATGCTAGTCTTGTGATCATAAGTTCTCATGAGATTTGATAGTTTTGTAATGGGCTTTCCCCTTCGCTCAGCTCTCACTCTTATCCTTGCTACTACTATGTGAAGAAAGACATGTTTGCTTCCCCTTCCACCATGATTGTAAGTTTCTAGAGGCCTTCCCAGTCATGCTAAACTGGAGTCAATTAGACCTCTTTCCTTTATAAATTACCCAGTCTCAGATATTTCTTCATAGCAACCTGGAAACAGACGAATACAGTGACAAAATACAAAAATTATCTATATTAGAATATAAAACAGACTTTTTAACCAATAGAACTCCAAAAAAATGGGAAATGTGGTCCATGTGTAAACCAATCACACCACCTGATGCTCACAACAAACTAAGTCAACGGCCTAAGATAGAAATGTACGTTAGGATTTTTGCCATTATTCAAACTTAAAACTGGACTCAGTCGAAGGTGAACAACTATTTTTCTTACCAAAAAAAGCAGGGCATGTGATTTCAATCCGAATACTCTATTTATATCAGCATCTCTCAATGACTGTCATCAGACGATAGAGAACTGCCGCTAGAATCATATTCCCCTTTCTGTCTTATTCAACCATCCCCTCCCTGACTCTCAAATTGGGTACCTTCCCATAACGAAGAAATATTTATATTTTCCATATCAGTAGAACTCATATGTTTCTATTTTGCTTTAATTGAAAATAGGACAGATGCATGAAATATAAGAATTTAATAAAAGGAATGCTGTTAGTACGTAACGGTACCAATAGATACTGGGAAGAATTTAGAAAAGCCAAGAATGTAAGCATCCTGGAGCAAAACTAATAAGAATCTATCTCAACCATGATGCTGCGTGATTGGGAGTGGGACATCACCCAGCTTGAACTTCTGCCATTGATAGAGAAGACTGGAACAGTTTGAGATAGAATGACATTGGCTCAGCCCTAAGTTTCTGTGGAATAAATTGTCAATGAGTGGATTCAGTTCTCATCCTCATCCCGAGGCTTTGATGAACAAAACTGATTTGTCAGCACATGACCTACTTGTTCTGTTTGTCTTTCAAGTATATTGCAAGATTTTCTGTATTGCTTGGCAATGCTAGCAACTCTCTATTTTTGCCAAGTTTCTGCCTTTTTTAAAAAAAAAAAAAAACTAGCACATTTGTTTTGTAAACATAATTGTATATTATTGTGGATCTAGCTACTTATTAGTTTCTGTCTATCTTATATCTGAATTATAGATGGGAGTGGAAGCCACAGCCCTAGAAGAAGGTGTCTTTCGGAGTAGATCAGCTCCTGGCTGAAATTTCTATTACAAGGGAATGAGATTAAGCCCACATTGAATTTGTACTGAGATAACCTTGTCGCTTCTCATTACCTAATTCTAAACAGTTATGAATAAGTGAAAGCTCCCATTGTCCTTCCTGGATTATGTCAATGTCAGAGAAATAAACACAGTATCTATACCAAATTGTGCCATTATCACATTGCCTTCAGCAGTTAACAGATTCTATTTAAACAAGATTGATAAGCTATTCTCGGATTTTCTGTGGGACCAAAAATAACCAGTCTTCTTTGTTGTCAGATAGGTTGGAATCCACTCTTCTAATTAATCTGAAGTTGGAAAATTTAAAATTTTCGTTCACTCTAATGAAATTATGATTTTCCTAACTGCACAGCACAGATGCTAACACTCAACCCAGCAGCTCTAGGAGCCAAGGCAGTGGCATGATAGACATGTAGGCTGTGAACAAGAGGCTGAAGCCTATGTTAAGTCAGAGCAGTTAATGAAAATCATGGCCATCCTCAATCAGCTCTGGGGATGTGTCTTTTTTTTCTTTTATTATTATTATACTTTAAGTTTTAGGGTACATGTGCACAACGTGCAGGTTTGTTACATATGTATACATGTGCCATGTTGGTGTGCTGCACCCATTAACCCTTCATTTAGCATTAGATATATCTCCCAATGCTATCCCTTCCTTCTCCCCCACCCCACAACAGTCCCCGGTGTGTGATGTTCCCTCTCCTGTGTCCATGGGTTCTCATCGTTCAACTCCCACCCGTGAGTGAGAACATGCGGTGCTTGGCTTCCTGTCCCTGCAATAGTTTGCTAGAATGATGGTTTCCAGCTCCCCTTTTCAGCAGCATGTGCATTGGATATTCTAATCACTGAAAATTATTTATTAGCTTTGAATATTGAGAACAGTCATGTAATATCCAAAAACTATTTTTAATTAAGGCAGCAGTTTCTTAACATACTAGATTGGGAGTCAGCAAACTGTAACCCATAAGCCAAATCTCAATGCCTATTTCATATAGCCTTATTTTGTATATGAGCTCTGAATGCTTTTTACATGTTAAAATGGTCAGAAGAAAATCAAAAGAAGAACAGCAGTTTATGATACATAAAAATTATGTGAAATTCAAGTTTCAATGTTCATAACTAAAGCTTTATTAGTATGCAGCCATGCTCACTTGTTTACATATCTGTGGTGGCGTTCGGGCTACAAAGTTAGAGGGTTCCAACCAAGCAACTGAACCAGTCTAGAAACAGAATAAACCTTCTGAGGTTGTCCCCATCCAAGCTTTGCCAAAAGACATCTGATCATCATCGTTCCTGTCTCTATGATGAGCTGAGCTTCAGGACCATTTCAGGCAATGGTTAATTAACTATAGGTGTCCCTTTGTGTTCTGAAACTCGAAAAATGTTATTAGGTGCTGCCACCCTGGTGACCCACACATCCCTGAGATAGAACTGTTGGCTGGGGAGGAGACAATGGTGGCCACTATCTTCAGAAACTGTCTTTAAGCAATTTTTTTTTCTTATAACCAAATCATTTTGTTATGGCCAGATGAATAGTACGTAAGATCAAAATTCATGTTTGCATCTTTGTTTCAAGAAGTAGTTACTTCTGACTCACGAATCTTTTCTCAGAGTTGCAGATGCATTCGTCACCACCACAGGTCTGCACAGTGGTTTGCAATTTGTATAGTTGCTGATAATCATGATCCAGTGTTGGCTCCACCAATGCATTCAGCTAGTCTTTGCTTCATTTCCCAACTCATCTAAAACCGTGGACTAGTTGTCAGGGGAAGGAGCTGAGCAGAGATGGGCATATGTTTGGTTTATGACACACTAGCCCCTACAAAGTTGCTTCAGGGTTCTCCACACTTGAAGTGTGGATGCCAAGAGCATGACACAGCAATTCATGGAAAATTGCAAATCTAGGACATACCAACTCCTTTTCCTTCTGTCCTTTTCCAGTGCTTGTTACTATCAGTGTTTCTATGTACATGAACTCCAGGTCTTTTTATAATTTTCTAAACTTCAAATCAGAGACAAAGCAATAATGAATCATTCCAGAGATAGCATGACCCCCACACCTTAACCACCCAATGTGAACAGGAGCTCAGGGACCTCCATATGCCTCTGTTTGGTTATCCGTGGACAACAGTTAACAGCCTGACAAGGAAGTCCATTCCAGTTTGGTTGTCTTTAATTATTAGATGCCCCCCCCCCAACACTTTTTGTGGAAACTCATAGGTTTCTACTTCTGGACCCTGAAATGACCCGTAATTAAACATGATCCCTTGTCCACAACATGCTCCGCCATCATATGTGAGGCGATTGTTTCTCTCAATTCCCACTTCAAGTTCAGAATTCCCTGCTTCCTTCAGCTCTTCCTAGTAAAGACCCCCTTTCAGTTCCTTCAGCAGCTGGTCTCCCTGCCTTTGGATACACGGCAGACTTCACATGTAATATGAGTGGTTTAGATCACAACTCCCTGAGCAATAATTATGCTGACACTCCTTCAATGCAGCATTCAGGATTTTTCTTAACTACATACCTTCGCAGCACCTATTTTCTTGGCAAAACACTAAAAATAAACACAAAGCCCAATAAAGCTAGTGCTTTTTGGCATGGAAGTTTTCTCATAAACTCTTTGCTAACTTACAGAGAAAGTTCACTTTGAACTCATTATTTTACTATCTCATGGAAACGTGGTACAAAGTATAATTCAAGGTAAAAACAAAATTCTTATTTTCCAAATATTTCATCAATGTTAGGTACATTTTATGTAAGAAGATAGATTAAATAAGTGAAATTGGTTCACAATTACTTAGTATTGAAGAGCCAAAACCTGAAAAATTCAATGGAGTTGTGGTGTTCTGATTTCAGGATAGCTTACTATTGAAGACCCACAGGGAAACACTAAACTGAATTTATTATGCATATTTATTTTTGGCTTGGAAAATGAGGACAAACGGCAATTCCTTCATTATTTCTGAACCATTTCCAATTTAGAAATTGTTGTAAACATCACCAAGCTTAAAATGCACATGGGAAATAACAAAGTAATGTTTAGCCTGGATAATTTGAGGTAATAGATCTAGAGACTAGCAATCCTGAGCACAGCCAGTCAACCGGGAGAAAGCCATCAATGTTAGTGCTCAAAAAGAACCTTTTAGATTACAAAACAGATACAGTTTGCAATAGGAGATAGGCAAATCCAGAGTGACTTCAGCTATAACCAAGGAATCATCATACCCTGAGGTATAATCTTTCCATCTGTCATACCAACGAAGCTGGAAAATTCTAAGTGCAAAGAATGAACTCTGTGACATTCAGTGCACCTCAATGACATGAAGACATGATAAAATTTGAGAGGATACAAGAAAGTATTAGAGGAAAAAATAATTTTTTCCGAAAATATTTTAAACTAATAGGAATCTGTATGAATATTCTAGCCTCATGCTTTATGTGTGATTAAAAAATAGTGAAAATAGTGATTTTTGGGGGGTATGTTTATACAAATGCATATTACGTGAATCATGTAATTGCATGCAAATAATAGAGACAGACTCAGAGCACAAGCAATTTCAATTCCTGTCTCTAGATGTGAGGCTTCTACTTGGAAATATTGGAACGATGTCAACAGGAAGGAGGAAAAAGGGTTGATTCAAAGACATACAGGCAGAATCAGTTTGAAATTCAGAAATGGCGACATATTGAGATTGTATGTTTTGGGATACATGGTTTTAGCATCCTGCATCATTTCAAATATATAGCAGCTTGTTCCCATTCCCCTTTAATATCAAGAGGAGCAGAGTGCAAGACAGATGGCCCTAATGGCCTGCAATGCCAATATTCGAAATTCCCTGCCCAACTCTAACAATAACGTCCTTTCAGATTTTAATAACACCTGTCACCCAAGGGACTCATGACCCTCCTCGAATTTCATTATATGCAACGTTTCCATTAGGTTGGTTGGTTGTTATTTTCTACCAGGGAAGAATCACATTAGGGGTGTGAAAATCGGCTAATGTTGTGATTCACATTGGTTAATATATTTTTTAAGTCTCGTATAATAATTGGACTCACAATTTCCTTCACATTGGTTTACAGTGTACCTAATTGCTCTATTAATTTTAACTGAACTGCACCTTGAAAATTAATGTGTTTGGAGAAGATGAAATTTAAATGTGTGTTACGCATCAAACATAAGCAAAAAGTAGTTTCTTCTTAACATATTTACTCCTTCTCATGTATCTTCTTGCATTTGAGAGACAAAGGAAATGAGGACTACGTAGATTACTCACATGGGGATATTTAATAGGATTGCAGGTCCATGGATTCATTGAACAAAAACGTTACTATTGAAAGTTAGAGAGAGCAGCGCAGTCTCCACGGCACTGTCTGCTTTTGTCAAGTGTACTTTCCCATTCCCCTGTCACCTGCCTCACCCTTACTCCAAAGACCCCAGAGTTGATTCCTTTCTGCTTTCAGGAGAGTCTGTTGTTGGATTAATGGCAAAATGAACATCTATCTACATTCCACTGATATCATAAATTTCAAGTTTTCACTGCCTTAAATATTAATATGTGTGTATGTGATTTATCTAGGAAGTATTCAACCAACTGGTCAAATCAGTCATTTCATTGAAAATGTAAAAGGTAACCTCCAGTCTTTGATTAATTTTGTCACTTTCACATGTGCAGCTTGGTGAGTGAGGAGTGTTGGTGACAGGGTTGTTGGCAGCTTAGACTGGATTAATTTTCCCTAACAGTTCAACAATAACAGCAACAACAACAATAACAGTAGCTAACACTTATGCCGTGGTTATCGTGTGCCGGCTCTGGGATCAGCACTCTGCACACTTCAGTGTATCGAAATCCAGTGAAGCAGGCTCTATCACCACCCCATTTTAGAGATGATGAGGCAGAGGCCCAGAGAAGCTAAGAAACATACGCAAACCACACAGGCAGAAGGTGGTACAGCCAGTGGAGCTCTTAACCCCTCTGCTAAAACAACCACAGAAAGAACATTCACCCAGGCCCCTCTTTATTGATCATTACATTTTGTGGGAGCCCTCTACGCAGAATTGGCTGCAAAATTTGCAGGGCCCAGTGCAAAATGAAATGAAGGGCCCCTGTTCAAAACTTACCAAGAATTTTGCGGCAGTGATAGCAAAGCATTAAGTTAAGCATGGAGTCCTTCTAAGTGTGCCCTGTACAACAGAGTAGCTCTCTCCCCCATGAAGCCAGCTCTGCCCATACGCTTCAGTTTCTTCAGCTAGAAGATGAAGATGTTGACAGAGGGTAAGACCCTCTTACATTCAGTGATTTTGTGGTGGTGAGCACTTTCTTACCTGACCCCATAACTGTCATTAACTCAGGAGAAAAGAGGGTCTGCATTTCCTGAATCAACAGATACTTCAACTAGTTTTATTCATTTAGATAAAATTTGGCTTCACAGGTAAGTTATATCCTTAATCCCTATGCAACCTTGAAATTACCTTGGTTGATCCTTTCTCTGTGTGCACACTCACAAACATAATCACTTTTCTCAGTGTAGATTGTCATTATCAAAATGAATCTGCGGCTTCTTTCCCTAAGTATGAAGACATGCACCTTCCCAAGGAGTATGACAGTAAAAAATCACCAGTGCTGGTAAGTCCCCAAAGAATTAAGCCCACAAATCCTTTGTTCCAGAGCTTTCAACAGTTCATCCTTTTCAGGAACATTAGTGACAGGGAACTGATAGTTGTATATTTTGATAAATGCAATTTATAATGTTTCTCATGAAAAATGTCTATTTATATTGAAAGGTACTGTTTGTGCCTGACATCTAATTCAGACCTCACATCCAGAAAGTTAAAAGTGAAAATTGAACCAGACTCTTCACTTTCCATGTCATTTCATTGAATCATGAATTCTCCATCTGTCCCCTTAAACTCAGATTCTAGGAAGTATAACCCTAAGCATTTATCACCCAGCTTAATTGCTCCTGTCTTCAGTACTACAAATAAGAAATTTCACCTGCCTTCTAAGGGTGTGTTTACGCTTGGATTTGCTTAGAGAATTTATATGTCAAATAGGCTTTAAACAATGTTTTATACCTTATTCTGTCAAAGTGAAAAAATGAATAGTATTTTTCCAATCTTTCCTTCACTTTCCCCTACTATAGTAGAATGCTAAAACTGGGTTCTTGCCTGCGGATACTTTTAATTTTCATACTTATATGAACTACTCCTCATATTTATTCTGGTCCTAAAATTTCACTTAGAGAATTAAAAAAGTAGCTCATTTTACTTGACAAACTTCAAGATATTTCAAACACTCAACTCAAAATTAATTCCACAAAAGAAGCTATTTAAACAACATACAAAACTCCCAAGTTAATTTAACCTTGAGCTATTTTTATACTGAAAAGAGACAGATGAATTATGTTCACCTTGATAATATAAAGGACAAATTTCAGTTTAATATTGACAAAAGCTAACATTTTTAAAGAAGAAACATATCTTTATGGTTGGCTATATGTCTTAGTCCCTTGTTGCTGCTATAATAGAATACTTGAGACAGGTTAATTTATAAAAAACAGAAATTTATTTCTCACAGTTCTAGAGGCTGGGAAGATCAAGGTGATGGCATCTGGTGAGGACCTTCTTGCTGCATCCTCACATAACAGAAGGTGAAATGACTGAACTTGCCCTCTTATAATGGCATTATTCCTACTTGTAAGGATGAAGCCCTCATGGCTGAATTTCCTCCAAAAGGTCTCACCTCTTAACACCACCACATGGCAGTACAATTTCAGCATGAGTTTTAGGAGAAACAAACATTCAAACTACAGCACTGTGTCAGTCAGCTTCCAAGATGGGCTCCAGTTGGTCTGCAGAACACTCTTCTGTTGTCCATATCCTCCTGTTGAGTATGGGCTGAATTTATTGACTTCTTCCTAATATTAGAATAAAATACAGGTGAGTGTGACCCACAGACTAGGTGGTACATGGCAGAGTGTACTCTCTCTCTCTCCCACCTCACTTCCTGTGGTGGAAGCCAGTGGCTATCTTGCTGCACACGCTGGCAGACTATGGTGAGGCTCCCATGGCAAGAACAGAGATCTCCAGCCAAAGCAGGAGAGGGACAAGGGCCTCCTCACACCATGTTAGGAGTTTACAAGCAGATCCTCCAGCCCATGAGATGAATGAGCCATGAGATGACTGCAGCCTCCTGAGCGATTCCCAACTCTCAGATACTATGTGAGATAATAAATGTTTGTTGTTTTAAACTGCTCAGTGTCAGGGCTAATTTGTTACATATCAATAGCTCACTAATACACTGGCCCAATATGATTATACATAGAAACTAAAGAGAATAACATCATAGCTAGATATAAATACCACAACCAATAATTTTATTTCATGTTCCTTATTTAGGATGGTTAATTTTTATTATTAGAAAATATATAAATCAAGAATAAACAAATTGATGTAGAGATAATTACATATATGGCTTAGATATCATTTTCTTCATTACAGCAAAACTCATCTGCTAGGATTTTAAGGTCTTTTCAAATCTGGTCCTGTCTTACCTGTTTAACCTTATTTTCTACCACTTTTTAGCAGAATCTAGGGTCTAGCCTGGCTTCATTCTATACCAGGAAGACAATGCGGTCATCCCCCTTCTCCACAGGGGATGTGTTTCAGGACTGCCAGCAGATGCCTGAAACTTCAGATAGGACTGAATCCTATGTATACTCTATTTTTCCTATGCATACATGCTTAAAATTATGTTTAATTTATAAATTAGGGACAGGAAGAGATGAATGACAACAGCTAATAATAAAGTAGAACAACTCTAACAGTATACAGTGGCAAAAGTTACTTGACTGTGGTCTCTCTCTCTCTCTCTTTCTAAATATCTTATTGTACTGAGCCATGGGTTACTGACACCCCAGCAAGGGAAGCCACAGATAAGGGGGACTACTGTTTGTGATATAATGTTCTCACTTCTTTGTTCCCCTGGTATAAAATTTGAATTCTCCTTTAATGCACTGTTCTGATGTCATCTTGCCCACCTTAGTTGGGGCTCCCTTCTTTTGACTGAATTACTAAATATTGTACTTGTTTCAAATCTGGCTAGTTTATATGCCATTTATTTAATATATATTTTGCTTCCTTTTTAAGATGATGGATTTCTAAAATACAAGGATTCCAAGACCAGCTAGCTCAGCACTGAATTTATTTTATTGACATAATAAAATTCTGATGAATTGATAGAGACATTATTATTAACAAAAAAGTTATACCATATAGTGCATAATAATTTATCAACAGCTTTCACAAACACTATCTAATTTAACTCTCAAATAAATTAATGTGTCTAGGACATTGTTATGAGCTAAATTGGGCTCCCCCAATTCATATATTAAAACCCTAATCCCCAGTACCACAGAATGTGACTGTACTGTATTTGGAAATAGGATATACATAGCATCTTTAGAAAGATAATGAAGTTTAAATGAGGTCATATAGTGGGTTCTAATCCAATATGACTGCTTTCCTTTTAATAAGAGGAGATTAGGACACAAATGTACTCAGAGAAAGACCAGGTGAGGACCCACCAAGAAAGTGGCCATCCACAAGCCAAAGGAAGAGGCCTCAGAGAAACACACCCTGCCGGCATCTGCATCTCAGATTCCAGCCTCCAGAACTGTGAGACAAGAAATTTCTGTTGTTGAAGCCCCGTGGTTTGTGGTACTTTGCTGTAGCAGCCCTAGCGACCTAATCTATATTGCCATAGAGATGAAGTCATGGGGTCGAGGGCCTCATTGTTGATGAGCAGGGCTGGGACGGGAGTCTGGGACTCTGACCCATTGTGTAGGTCTCCAGCAAACTCAGCACGTTGCTTTTCACAAATAAAGGTTTTTGAGTGTGTTTTCCTTTATTTTATGGTCTTGACTTTATGTTAAACAGTTTCACCTTGTAAATCTTTCAAAATAGTTAATCAAGTCAGGTAGGGCCAAGCATACAACCTCATTAACTGCTTTGTTCATTATAATGAATGAATAAGATTTAAGATAAACACATGCTGCAGTACTTCAGTTATCTCTAAGGACAGTAAAGGTAAAGACGTATCACCTGTGTGCACTTTTTTCACCTAGAAAATGTACACAGGCCAGTCGTGGTGGCTCATTGTCTGTGATCCCAGCACTTTGGGAGGCCGAGGTGGGCGGATCACAAAGTCAGGAATTCGAGACCAGCCTGACCAACATGGTGAAACCCCATCTTTACTAAAAATACAAAAATTAGCTGGCGTGGTGACACGAGCCTGTAATCCCAGCTACTCAGGAGGCTGAGACAGGAGAATCGCTTGAACCCAGGAGGCGGAGGTTGCGGTGAGCCGAGATCGTGCCGCTGCACTCCAGCCTGAGCAGTAGAGCAAGACTCCGTGTCAGAAAAAACAAAATGCACATGTAACATGATTTACCTCACATCTTCCATTTTGCTCCTTAACACTACTCATCATTCTCACATGGATTTATAAGAAGTAATTGTATTTGGAACATTAAGAAGATGGCGAGGTTATGAGAAATTAAATGACATGGTGTCTGGCATTTGCTTCAATGTGGGGAAGTGGATGAATTAATGCTCAAATTGGATGATGAATATGTGGAATTTATTTTGTTGTTGTGTATTTTTTAAATAAGAGTGTTTTTTTTCTAAGCAGAAAATAATTTTTAAAACTCTCCAAAAAATTGGGCTGGGTGTGGTGGCTCCTGTCTGTAATCCCAGCACTTTGGGAGGCTAAGACAGGTGGATCACTTGAAGTCAGGAGTTTGAGACCAACCTGGCCAACATGGTAAAACCCCATGTCTACCAAAAAATACAAAAATTAGCCGGGTATGGTGGTGCATGCCCATAGTCCCAGCTGCTTGGGAGGCTGAGGTGGGAGAATTGCTTGAATCCAGGAAGTAGAGATTGCAGTGAGCTGAGATTGTACCACTGCACTCCAGCCTGGGTGACAGAGTAAGACCCTGCTCAAATAAATAAATAAACTCTCCAAAAGTTGTCTATGCAGTTGCTGACTTCGATATTTGACAAGTTCAGTACAAATTTCCTGGTGGACACAAATTCATAGAAATGATACAAGTCCTACTTTGTTGCTGAGGCAAGGAGGGGAACTTGGGGCCTGAGAAGGATTTATCTACTAGCTAGACTATATTATGAGCATTTTCTCCAATAATAAAGCATGTCTCTTGAGGAAACTAGTATCCTTCTCAGAGAATTAAGCTCTTAGTGAAAACTTAAGTGTGTTGAGTTGGCTGGAAAGAGGACAGGGCTAAAGAAAAATACAAACCACACAGCAAAAGTAGTTACAAGCTGGGGCAACTGTTATGGACAAAGAATAGGGCTCTGGATAGAGGACACAGTGGAACCCAGGCAGCAATACCTGGGCAAGGACCGCCATCTCTGACTTTACCCTTGGATGGTCGTTCATACAGGTAAGACACAGCAGGGAGCAAACCACTTAGCTGTGATGAATTGGTGAGAAATCCATCTGTAGATGACAAAATCCAACACTTCAGATTAAGGGAACAGATTCAGCTTCAAAATGTAAAGTTGGCTAGAGGTGGGGAGGATAACAAAGGTGGATATTGGGGAAGGGCAACTGTTTGGAATGAAAAATGGAGCAAGATTGGCAGGTGCTTAACCAATACTGATAGCTATGGCAAAGGAGAGCAGGACTCCCCACCAGGTTGAATGCTGTTGAGAATGGCCCCTGAGGGAAGAGGTGTTTTAACACAAGAGTCCTATTGTCAGTCTTCTGGAGTGATTGGATTCCTAATATGCCAGATTTTCAACTATTGATATGATACCTCCTTTGATGTTAACTCAGAAATTTAAGTAATCCTGCAACTGTAAACACAGGTATACATTTAGGAGATTTTTTTTTTTTTTTCTGAGACAGAGACAAAGAAAACAAATGAGTGGTTATTGGTGATGTTTTTCTTGGTTTAACTTTTCAAACAAAAATTGCTTTCCAGTTTCTGGCTGGTTTTATGACCAATTCCTGTAGGTAAAGTAAGAGATATAGTGTGTAGTGCACTAATTATCTTTTCAAAAGGTCTCTAGATATTAAGATTGTTGAAAGGAAAGGGCTTTGACTCTACCTTCTTGCCTTGCCAAGTTACATACAATTTTTAACCTGGGGTTTAAATCTACGTGTCTTTTGTGGGTTGAATTGTGTCCTCCAAGAATATATATTTAAGTCCTAAGACCAAGCACATGTGCATGTGACCTTATTTAGAAATAGGATCTTTGCAGATGTAACCAATTTAAGATGATGTCGTGCTGGATTCGGGAAGATCAAGATGCAGAAACCCAGAGACACAAAGGGAGAGGTAGAGATTGGAGTGGTATATCTACCCACCAGGAAAGCCAAAGATTGCCATTAATCCACAGAAGCCAGGAGGAGGCAAGGATGGGTCCTCCCCCGGAGCCTTCAAAGAATGCATGAACCTAAAAACATCCTGATTTCAGACTTCTGGCCTAGAACTGTGAGAGAATAAATTTTTGTTGTTTCAAGCCACCTGGTTTATGGTATTTTGTTATGGCAACCCTAGGAAAAGCATACGGCTGCCAGTGAGTAAAGATGCTCAGCACACTAGGTGAGCACTTTGCTGCACTCTGGGGAAAATTTGAGAAATTTTGCCAGTGTGGTCATATGGAGCATTGTGAAAATAAATCATTGTATTTTCTTTACATTGTATAATTGTTGAAATAAAATTATCCATGAGTCTTCCACAATATTGCATGTCTTATAAACATAAATATTGATATTTGTGGAAGATACTGTCATCCCCTGTAGCAAAAGGCCAACGTGCTTACTGTCCAGTGTAAAATATATGAATTCTCTAAGCTCAGGGTTGCTCTTCCACAGTACAACCCAGTGCATGTATGGATGTTGCTGGCTCTGTTTATGCCACCCTGTGGGACTTGGGAAATGATACAAAAATAATAACATTACTCTGGATACTGCTACTGCTGTGAGTAAAAAACTTTCTTTTGTCTTTGACCCATGAATCTCATGCCTTCTGCCACTATCCATAAAATGGGCAGGCTAACTTGTTTGCTTGCAAATGTAATAAAATCTCAGAGTCTTTACAGTTCTTGACAGTGCTTATGACAAATATTAAGATGCAAATATTAGAAATGATAAGTAATGAATTTATGTTAACCTTTCAAATAACCTTTCAAAACTTTTGATGATAAACTTGGTCCTGTGCACTTAAATTTTATATCAAGATTTTTGCTGAAAATGTCCACGTTTCAATTTCTGGTGAAAGCAGTTTAATTTTGATCACCTGACATTCTTGTCACTTTCAACAAGAAACTTTGTTCGTGCAAGTCAATGGCAGACTTTTCAAAATAATGTATTATAGCCATTTAAAAATGTCCAAGTGTTAAAATTACATTGTAGAAATGGAAATGTATTTAAAATTCAAGAAAACTTTCAAATAAAGTACTTTGAAATAATGAAGAATTTGTTTATAGAAAGCACAACCTAGCTTGGATACTACTAAATGGGCTCATTACCTGTAAATCAGCAGCAGTGTCTGATTTAAAGACCAAAGCCCCCTCCTCATCTCCCTCTTGTCTTCAAAACTCATTGGGCTGCCTGTTTCACATCTTGAAAGCCAGGAATACAAACATGTCTGGCAGTCCCACTGTTGTTTATCTGCGAAAGGCAGCAGTGTTTTCTAGGATCCACTGCTGAAATAGATGGAGTGGAATGTGGAGGTAAGAGTTCCTCCCTAGCTGCACTCAGTTCTTGGTATTCTGTTTCACCAAAGAGAGGGGCCCATGCCAAGTTTTTTCAACCTAGATGTAATTCACTTGTTGACTTCTGCTAAACACCTCCATCAGGCTACCCAGAGGGCTAAAGGTATCACTATTTTAAGGCACATGTGTAATCCATTTACGGAACACTCCCTTTAAAGTTTCTCATTAGCTATATGAATAAAAATTGATCTAGGAAAAGTCAATCCAAATTTTTAGGATCTTAATTCACTATCCCCTTGTCAAAGGAAAACCATACTTTACTGATAGATCATTGTGAAGCCTCTGCCTCCATTGCCCCTGGATCTCCTCAGAGGCTGACATTCAGAATCCTCTGACAGGCACACCCTCACCTGTGGCTGATATCATGTGCCAAGGCTTGTCCACCTGGTCATGTTCCTGTCTCTGCCTGCCCTCTGCCTTTGGACTTGAGTCTTAGTGTACTCTTCCTTCCTATAGCCATGTACCTGTCCTGGATGTGTTCTTGTTTCTGCTGTACATTCCCTCTCCTATCAGCTTCCATTTGATAATAATCTTTTAGACTGTTCAGGCTTCAGCAGAAGGTTTAGAAACATCACTAATACTGATGGGGTTGTTTCTTATATTGATGACAGGACTAGTAAAAGCAGGGTAAAAGGAAAGCAGAACAAAAGTCAATCCATCAGAGACAATGTCCAAATCAATTGTGAAAATAAAAAGGCACATTTGGAGAAAAACAGATCTGGGGATATAGAGAAGCAGAAACCAATAGAGACAGTTGGAATAGAGAGTCATGGGACTGGGCAGTTGGGGGAGTGGGTTACTGTTAAATAGAAGAGTAGCCTGGGACTTGAGGTTGGATTGTTGACAGCCTCCGGCACTGACTTCTAAGTAGCTCTGGGACATTTGGAGCACAATAGGGAAGGGTTCCCTGTGTTTCAAAGGCTAAGAAAGGGACAGGCAATTTCCTGCTTCTTGACCTACAACTTAAGGAGAACTAAAACTTATGTCTGCACCTTGAGAGCAGACATTTTTCTTCCTATTTCCAGTTTGTAAAAAATATCCCTTTTCTCATTCACTCATAAATTCATTTGTTTACCAAAAATCTGTTAAACAGATAATAAATGCCAGCCACTTAGGCTACAGTGGTGACTTGGATGAAGTCTGTGTCTTTAAAGAGTTTCCAGTCTAGTGAGATGTACAAGGAGATTCACAATTTCCATGCAAAATAATGTATTGAGAAATTATACTGAACTTGAGATAGATTGATAAGAGAAAATGTTTGCCCTAAAGGCGTTCTTAGTTATATCAGTTATCTATGCTATAATAATTGCTGAGTGATAATTGACTCTGAAACTTACTGACTTTAATTAGTATGCATTTAGCTCATGAGCCTGTAGATTGGTGGTTTAGACTGGTTTCAGCTGGTGGTACTTCTGATCTCAGCTTGTCTCGCTCACATCTATGGCTGATACACGGTGGCCTTATTTGGATTGACTCCATGTGTCTCTTATTCTCCAGTGACCTAGCCTAGGTGTGTAGTCTGCCATGGCGATGGCAGAAGTGAGAAAGATTCCACACACTGAGCTTTTCAAGCCTCTGTTTGCACCACTTTGCTAAACACCATCAGCCAGGACATGTGGCCAAGCCAAGAGTGAGAGTGGGAGGACCCTACAAAGTTATATGGCAAAGGGTATTAAATTGGGCCATTGAAGCAATCAGGGTACCCCACCATCCTGGGAGACAGCAGGCCACTGTCTTGTTTCTCTCATCAGCTCCCAGAATGAAGAGGCATTTTCGTTTACACTATCAACGAATAAGACTTCAAAATTTCCCAACAAAACAGATACAGGTCTAAAACCCGAAATGGTTTGGCTCTGTGTCCCCACCCAAATCTCATGCTGAATTGTAATCCTCAGTGTTGGGGGAGGGACCTGGTGGGAGGTGATTGGATCATGGGGGTGGGTTTCCCCCTTGTTATTCTTGTGATAGAGTTCTCACGAGATCTGATTGTTTAAAAGTGTGTGGCAATTCCCCTTTTGCGCACTCTCTCTCTCCTGCTCCACCGTGGTAAGACGTGTTTGCTTCCCTTTTACCTTCTGCCATGATTCTAAGTTCCTGAGGCCTCCCAGCCATGCTTCCTGTACAGCCTGCAGAACTGTGAGTCAATTAAACCTCTTTTCTTTATAAATTACCCAGTCTCAAGTAGTTGTTTATAGCAATGCGAGAACGGACTGATACAGGGTCTAAAGTGTTCATTCTTTATTCGGCAAAGCCTAGGATGTATCGTTTAAGCTGAAGTGTCTTCCTGGAAGTTCTGATAATCTACTGTTTTGTGCGGACTTAACCCTTTGCCACATGATTGAACTCAGCTGCATATCACAAGCGGCGGAGCAAGGGCTTTTACTGGGCAAGTGGGATGGAGCAGTGGACAGAAAGGACCCTGCCACAGCTTCCGAGGGTCCCCATCATTGACTTATCCCACATTATCTTTGAATCATGCAGGGCACTGGTAAGAAACAGATCCTTGCCACCCTAGGAGAATCAGTGCAGCCGCTTCTCTGCAACCAAGAAAAGACCACTGCCATGACAACACCACACTAAATGGGTCTCCTGGAAAGGAGGGAGCCCTTTATTGTCGGTCTGCAGATACCACAATTAGCTCACATGAGATAGAGAGTGACAGGGCCGTGGAATCGCAGATGGGTCTTTTGTCATCTGGAAAGAGGCTAAGCTGACTAATTATCTGTGAAGGGAGAGCAAAGGTAGTGCCTGCCCTCTCCTAGAATCAAAACCACATCCACCCTTGAAGGAGAATAAGCACCTCAGTTGCAACTATTCAGTAGTGTAATTATCCATCACAGCCACATTGCATATTTTCTACTGCTTAAAAAAATTTAGTTTATTCAGAGATTCATTTTTTCTCTCTCTGTATGTAAATTCAATCAAATTAACCCATGATTCTTATAAATATCTTTTAATAATTGGGTAAATAAACTGAACTGACTGAACTGAATTACCTAAAGGAAAGTATGGAATTTTTTCTTTCTCATTTTTAAAAAAGAAAGCAGATTAATGAAATTAGGGACAAATCTATTGCCAATATATAACTTCCATAAGTAGATAGCATAGTAGTTAAGATGACACTATCAGTTGTATATATTTTGACAAGTTACTTTTCTTTCTGATTCTCATATGGCAGTCTAAAACATGGTGATATTAATTATACTCATGCAGATGGTTATTTTGAGAATTAAATAAGTTAATGCATGTAAAAAGCTTAGCATAATTCCCAAAACATTGCACTGAAAATCACCGTTGTAATTAAGAATCTTCTATTAACTTGTTAGTTCTGAGGTTGGAAGTCCCAATCTTTAATTTTGAAAAGATTAAGTATCTCCTCCATGCAAAAAATTCTACCAGATTCTGGAGGGATATAAAAATGAAAGCCATATACACTTTGCTTTTAAAGGAACTTATAAACCAATAGAGGTTGCTGTCACCTATGTGGAAAAGCATATAACGAAATAATGTAAGGAAACAAAAACCTATGGAACTAGACAGAAATGAGGGTGGTCATCTGAGAGGAGGTGGGGCTTTGAGGTTTCTTGCAGGGAAAAGGGGGATTTTGAATAGTGAAAGGATTCCAGGCAGAAGAATACTAAGCAGATTTAAGGAAGCTGGAAAAATCAAGGTGCATTTATAGTTCAATAACCTACTGAAATGTCAGAGAAATGTATTATATGACATTATTATAATTCACATTATGTAATTCACATATAATTACACAACTATATTAAATACAAGACCTTACAAGATTATGGTTATTTAAGGGTAAACATTATGATTGCATAATGTCTTCATTAATACTGAATATTGACCATAGTAAATGAATCCAAACACCATTTCTTCATTCATTTAGTTAACATTTATATTGTGCTTACTATTTGCCAGGAGCTGCAAGTAGGACTTAGAACGCAAAGCAAGTAAGATTCACACTGAGTTCTCAGGAAGTGTGAGTAGATGGAGGGGGAAAGTTGACTTAACGGGCTGTTATAGTGGCATGAAGCAGCGGCTGCCCTGGAGCCCCGAGAGCTCCTAGGAGGGTGATACAGCTCACACTGTGGGAGGGGGAGTGAGGAGGAGAGTGGCAGAGTTTCTGGAAGAGGTGAAGTGAGGGCCCGATTGTGCGGGATGACTAAGAATTAGATGAAAGTAAGAAAGGAGGGGTCGTTCATATCAGAGGCATTTTTTTCTACATATTAACCAGAATTTTAATTTTCTATGTGTTATATGTTCATATACTTTGCTAGTTTATATTGTGTTGTGTATATATAAAAATGCATACATGCACACAGTCAATTTGTAAATACTTTTTTTTAAATTTTATTTTAAGAAGAGTCCCAGGCCTGGCCCAGGGCTCACCCCTGTAATCCTGCACTTTGGAAGGCCAAGGCAGGTGGATTTCTCGAGCCCAGGAGTTCAAGAACAACCTGGGCAACATGGTGAAACTCTGTCTCTACGAAAAAAAAAAAAAATTAGCTGGATGTGGTGGTGTGTGCCTGTAGTCCCAGCTACTTGGGAGGCTGAGATAAGAGGATCGCTTGAGCCTGGGAGGCAGAGGTTGCAGTGATCTGAGATCACACCACTGCACTCCAGCCTCAGTGAGAGTGAGATCTCATCTTGAAAAAAAAAAAAGGCCATTTTCTCTCATATTAGCTGCAAGTATTTGTTTTTGTCCTTTTCATCTTTTACTCTATGTAAGTATAGTTAAATTTATCAATTTTTTCCATATTTATTTATTAAATAGATGTGTAAAGTTGTATGTGTTTATCAACAGATGAAAGGATAAACAAAAGTGGTGTATATACACAATGGAAAATTATTCAGCCATAAAAAAGAAGGAAATCCTGTCATTTGCAGCAGTGTGGATAGAACTGATGGTCATTATGTTAAGTGAAATAAGCCAGGCACAGAAAGACAAGTATGGCACCTTCTCACTCAAATATGGGAGCTGAAAAGGTGGATCTCATGGTGGTAGAGAGTAGTTTAGTGGTTACCAGAGGTGAGGAAAGAGGAAAGTGGGGCAGGGGGTGAAGAGAGGTTGGTTAATGAGTAAAATAATACTGTTAGAAGGGTTAAGATTTAGTGTTAGGTAGTTCAGTTGGATGAATAGTTATCTAACTATAACTACTGCTATAGTTAACAATAATTTATGGCATGTTTCAAAATAGCTAGGAGAAAAAAGTTTGAATGCTTCTAACATAAAGATAAAAGTTTGAGATGAAGAATATCCCAATTAACCTGATTTGCTCATTACACATTGTACACATGTATCAAGGTATCACATGTAACCAAATATATGTAAACTATTAGGTATCAATAATAAAGTAAAAATATACATATTTATCATGTACAGCATAATGTTTTGAGGTATGTATACTTCAAATGGTTATGTCTAACAAATGCATTACCTCACATAGTTATTTTTTGTAACAAGAACACTTAATACCTACTCCCAGCATTTTTCATGGATACAATCTATTGTCATAAACTACTCACCATGTTGTACAATAGATCTCTTGAACTTATCCTTCTTCTCTAACTGTACTTACATATTCTTTGACCAACATCAACCCCAACTACTTCTTCTTCAAACCATACCACCCTCTGGTAGCACTTATTTCACTTAACATAACATCCTCCAAGTTCGTGTTCATCCATGTTGGCAATAAATGACAGGATCTCCTTTTCTATGGTTGACTAGTATTCTACTGTAGATATATACCACATATTCATTATCTATTCTTACAATGAACACTGAACGTGGATTCCACATCTTGGTTATTGTGAATAGCACTGCAATAAACATGGGGGTACAGATATCTCTTTGACATACTATCAAGATATTGTAACTTCCCTTTTTGGGGATATTATACATCAGGTATTTTCTTTTAATTAAAGATAAAAAGAGTAAGAATTGCTTCTATGTGGCTGTATTAGTAGAACCAATCCCTTTCTGATTTGTATTTAATGGTTTTTATTGTATTTGGTGTATTTGTATTTTTTATTTGATTTTGTTGGATTTAGGTACAGAATTATTTCACCTACAAATGATAATTTTTCCATGTCATTTCCCATTTTACAATTTCTTTCTTTCTTTCTTTTTTTCTTGTCTGCTTGCTCTGGCAAGTCCTTCTGAAAAGACTTCTAAGTGCTGATGCTAGCAGTGAGCCTTCCTACCTTGATCTGGGCTACACAGAACCACTCTGAGCATTTCTCCTCCAAGTATGATACGTGGCTTGATTTTACCATTTTTTTAATCAAGTAAAATATTTAACTGTTCCTATTTTATACAACTGTTTTTTTTTCTGTTTTCAGGAAGTGTATTGAGATTTTTCAAATGTTATTTCTTCATGAAATGAAATGATAATATTTTTGTTTTATTTAAATTTATAGTTTACCTAATCTTTAACTATAATTGCATTCCTGTAATGAATCTGTTTTTGTGTAGGCTGTTATTTTTTTAATGTGTGTTGGGTTCTATTTTGTTTTGCAAAAGAATCAAAATTTGATGTGTTTCCTTTTTTATGCTATCTTGAGGCTTATTCAGACCTTACTTTGCTCTGGTATGGCTGCCAATTTACAATAGAAAAAAATTGCCCCCCTCCATACCCTGTCCATCTCCTACATGCTCCCAACCTCTCTCCTTCCTTTCAAATCTAGAGTGAGACCCTCTTACTGGTAGGCTCTAAAATCTGAAATCATATTTAGGAGAGTATCTTGGAAAATGTAGCTTTCATATTCTTTCTGCAGTGGAGACAAGAATTATTTATTTATTTATTTATTTATTTATTTATTTATTTATTTATGAAATGGAGTCTCACTCTGTCCCCCAGACTGGGGGTGCAATGGCATGGTCTCAGCCCACTACAGCCTCTGCCTCCTGGGTTCAAGCGATTGTCATGCTTCCGCCATGGGAGTAGCTGGGATTATGGGCACCTGCCACAACACCCATCTAATTCTTGTATTTTTAATAGAGATGGGGGTTTCACTATGTTGGCCAGGCTGGTCTTGAACTCCTGACTTCAAGTGATCCCCCTGCCTTGGCCTCCCAAAGTTCAGGAATTACAGGCACCAGCCACCGTGCCCACCAGGAAACAAGGCTTTAGAACATGATGGTGACACCACTGGGGTAGACAGGAGGCAATCTATCAGGGTTGTCAGAGAATCAATTTTTAACTTTACTTCTCTGATATGCCTTATGCCCCATTTTAACTTCGAATTTTGACTTATTTATTTTGGCTTTATATCATTACTTCTTTTCTTCTCCTTTTTTTTATTTTGACATGCTTTCACTAAATTCCCAGGATATACGTTTGTTTAATTTAATTCATTCTTTTTTTAGTGACATAAATATTTAGTTTCATGTATTTGACCTGAGTACTGTCTTACCCACATCTTAAATTACTGCCATATAGCCAAATATATGTATTTTCCTCTCCTACTATAAAGACTATACAGCTTCCAAATGTCATCACAGTAAAACCAGTTCGTATGAAAGACATAATGGTAAATATTTTTAGTCTATGCCAGTGGGAGCGTGACTTGAGAAAAACTTTGTTTATAAAAAATGTTGGCTAGACATATAAAATGCGTTTAAAATTTTCATGTGTTTTAACTCAATAATCAAACTTCTAGTTTATCCTAAGGAGATCATTAGTGATACACAAAAGGCTTTATGTGCAATGACGTCAATCCCAGTTCTATTTACAAAACTTGAAAACAGCAACAATGTTAAATAATAGAGCAGTGGTTAAATGTGAGTTTTGGTACATTTATGTGATGGAATATTCTACATCCATTTTTTTACTCTAAAAATATTAAACCATTAAAAGTGATTTTCTTGGAGAATATTTAAAGACACAGGAAAATTCTTATGATTATATTTTGTAGTATAAAAAAACATATCTAGTAGGAGCAATATGTCTTTAATTTTGTGAGAGAATCATTTGCAAAATACATGCCAAAATGTTTATAATGATGATTTCTGGGTGGTAGAGATACAGATAACTTATATTTTTAATCTTTTTTCCTTCAAATTCTCCATATTATGCATGCATTGCCTTTATAATAATAGAGAAAGAAATGATAAACATTTATATACTACATGGGAGATAAAGAATCCCAATTTAGGAAGTAGCCTGGGCATACATCTCACCATATAAAAGTATCTGAAAAGCAGCCTGGTGCTACTTTTGTTCCAGAATATAAATTTTTAAAATTTTCTGGATCTCAAGCAGTGATCAAATATTTTAACTTCCAAAATTATTCCTCACACACACATTTAATTGTTAACAGAAAGTATGCCAAATAAATAGAACATTTCTGGACTCATGTTTATAAGAAAGCAGATGTACTTCCTTAGAAGCAGGAGAAATGCAGCTGCTATCCTCCTTTATCATTAGCTGGACAAGCTTCTCTAATATGTCCATAGAAAGTATTCAGACATTCATATGGCTTGGATATTTGTCCCCTTCAAATCTCATGTTGAATTGTGATCCCCAGTATTGAAGGTGGGGTCTTAATGGGAGGTGTTTAGATCATGGGGGTGGATCATGGGGGTGACTTGTTGCTGTTCTTGCAATAATGAGTGAGTTCTCACTCTGTTAGTTCAAGAGAGATCTGGTGGTTTAAAAGAGACTGACGCCTCCTTCCTTCTCTCTTGCTCCTTCTCACTATGGGCTATGCCCTCTGTATTAGTCCATTTTCATACTGCTGATAAAAAGATACCCAAGACTGGGCAATTTGCAAAGAAAAGAGGTTTAATTGAACTTACAGTTCCACGTGGCTGGGGAAGCCTCACAATCATGGTGGAAGGCAAATAGGAGCAAGTCATGTCTTACATGGATGGCAGCAGGAAAGAGAGCTTGTGCAGGAAAACTCCCCCTTATAATAACCATCAGATCTCATGAGACTTACTCTCATGAGAACAGCACAGGAAAGACCTGCCCCCATGATTCAATTACCTCCCACTGGGTTCCTCCCACAACAAGTGGGAACTCAAGATGAGATTTGGGTGGAGGCACAGCCAAACCATATCACCTCCCTTCACCTTTCACCATGATTGGAAGCTTCCTGAGGCCCTCACCAGAAGCAGATGCAAGCACCATGTCTCTTGTACAGTTTGCAGAAGTGTAAGCCCAATAAACCTCTTCTCTTTACAAATTACCCATCCTCTGGGATTTATAGCATTGCAAACCAACTAATGCAGGGACCCAAATTATTGACAGGTAAGGTTATAACTACGGGCCCAGGTTAGGGTTGTTAAATCTTTTATTTAAATACAAGAAACCAGAAAAGTACTTAATGTTGAATCAAAGCTGTTCTCATGAATACTATGCACAACACATCACCAACACAGAGTAAGTCAGTGCTTCTTTAGGATTTAAGTGGGTGGATGGGGTTTCTTTTAGATATCTTTTAATGAAGGATTCTGGGCAGAAAAAGGCAAAACAAAGACCTATTTTAAAGCGTGTTTTGATCCTGTTTTGGAGACTATCTGGGAATTACTGATGTTTGAAAACTATTTCTGTAAATCAAAACTAGACCATAGAAATGAAATTTATCCTTCTCATTAGAAATGTAAGATATATTTCATAATCCAATTGCAAATAGAGCTGGCCTTCCCCAACCAACCTATCCAAAGCAGGTCTGTGTTGATAATGTTCAGTTTCTTTCTTTCATCACCCTACTCTTTCTCTTTCTCACTCTTTCTCTCTCCCTTCCTTCCTTTATTGCTCTCTTTCTCCCTTCCTTCTTTCCTTTCATTGCTTTCTTTCTTCCTCCCTCCCTCCCTCTCTCCCCGCTTCCCTCTCTCCCCCTTCCCTCTCTCCCCTCCCTCTCTCACCCCTTCCCTCTCTTTCCCCCTTCCCACTCTCGCGCCCTCTCACACCCATGCTCCCTCCCTCGCTCTTTCTTTCCCTCCCTTCCTTCCTCCCTCCCTCCCTCCCTTCCTTCCATCCTTCCTCTTGCTCTCTTACACTCTCCTGCTCACTTGCTTGCTCTCTCTCCCCCTCCCAAGATGTTCCTTCATAAAAGCAGCTTCTCTACCTCATAGGTACTGATTATGTATCTGTTCAATGAATGAAGACATGAATGAATAATTGGGTTATGCAGTGAGCAATATTTAAAGTCTGTTCAGATAATTACATGTATAACTGGATTATTTTCAATAACAAGAAAAAACTGGTTTTGAAGTATGCGATTGGACAGTAATAAACTTATTTCATTTTTTTCATGACAATCTCAGACAAAAGACATTGCATTTTTCTTTAAGTGGGGTTTAAAATTAAGTGCTGGGGGATTGTTTATGATCCAAAATGGACAGCTTCTCTTATACTACTGAATGTAATATTACTTCCTATGATATATTTTAGAAGTGATAATGACGAAGGAAGTAGATGTGTGCAATTACATTATTTTTTACTTTGAAACATAGTCTATTCTAAACTCTGATTCTTTTCTTTTTATGAAACAAGTACCAAGGCATGACAGTGAAATTGTTGCTTCTGAATATGACTTAAACATACCTTCAAATTTTACTTTCGTTAGAAGGCTAAGCACTGTGTGCACAGAAGCACTGTGTCATGAGATTTGTTTCTCCATCAGTGACTCTAGGATTTTGATTAAAATTCCTGCTGTGTCTCTCAATTCCAAGTACTTACTGAGAGTGAGTTTGTGGTATCGTTTAAGGTGAACTTCATGTCACATTCCTCCAGCTGGAAGCTGTGTGACCTTGAGCAATTTCTATGTAAGTTTCAACTATAATATGAGAATTAGCAATAGTGCCTGCTACTATTACTTTCAATGGCAAAAACTGCCAATACTATTGCACCAACCTAATATTTTGATTAAGTGTGGAGTACATTTGTTGGTATAGTTAGAACTATGCCAGTTACATGGCAACACTGCTCCTGCTACAGTTATTATTACCATTAACATTATTTAATGGTCTAGGAAGCCACCATTGACCTTGAGAGCTGACTAGATGGTCAAAGAGCACATGAGCTGAGCTATCCTTAGGACCTGTTCTTAGCACTTGCTTTTAGGATTTCCCAACTCATTGCTGCTTTCCATTCTCTTGCATCAGAACGTTCCCAAACCTGTAACTACTCAGTCATGTTACCTCTTCTCCCGCTAGACATTACAGCAGCCAAGACTCACTGTGAGGAGACTAAGTGAGTTGTTTTCACTTAATGTGTATTTCAAAAAGAAAGAGCTAACAAGAGTGAAACTATCTCATTGACAATCACAATGTTTTCTGTAATGGATAAACAGCAGTAGAATTTAGCATGAATTTATGGAGGTTAAAGGATCATTTTGTAATGTCTAAGAATCCTGCAATAATCATAACATAATACCAGTTTCCATATTTAACCTTCACAGGCATGCTCTGAGGGCTTTACATTCATTAATTCATTTGACTCTCTTAACAAATTTACAAAATATTAAGTTGCTATTATTTTGCCCATTTTACAGATAAGCAAACTGAGGCACAGGTGATTTAAGCCACTTCAGCAGAGTACACTGACCTTTGGTACCATAACTGCGGAGCCACAGAGCATGTCCGTAACCAGTACATTGCAGCCAAAGGCACGTACTTACAAAAACTTTAAAATGTGCTAATTTGGGATATTTATCTGCTTAAACTATCTCAGGAGCATTATGACATTTACCGAACACTTGTGCTACCTTACTCTTCTTCCCAAAGAAAGTTGGAAATCTCATGCAATGCTTTTCCTCTGTCTCTCAATTTATTTTGTGCAGTGTCTGCCTTTTAGATGTATTCTGACAGCTTCATGACTAGTAGTTTAGCTTATTTCTCGGTTTTAAATTAATAGTGGTTTGAAGTATTTCTTTTGAGCGTTATGCCTATCACAGGCCGCACCCAGACTCTTTTCTCTGACAATGAAAAAAGGACTGAAGACACAGTAAGGAAGGAAACTCTGAAGTAACCAGGTTGTGCCAATGTGGCGAGCAGGAAGGCAGTGGGTGCTAGACTAACTGCCATCTGTCCTAAATGCCCCTGGCTAAAAAGCAGTGGCACCTGCAGTACCCACCTCACTCAGGACTGGGGGATTCCTCAATGCATCAGGAAGGCATTTGTCAGGAAGGAGGGAGCCACGGGGAAGCCCACACATGGCACCATATATTCGAGATCTCCCGGGGTCCTTTGCACTGTGAATTAACACATTTGATTATGATACTAAGTGGAAGTGACACTAGCCAAGTTTGAGTTTTCCCATCGGTCCTTGAGCTGAAACTTGGCTTTGTGGTTTGGCTTTGTTCAAAGGCATTACTACTTATTTTCACTCTAAGCTGAATATAGTTAAGTGTTTTGAAAGGTAAAAAATATATATGGCAGGTCTTTATCACACATTATTGATTATCTCCTTAAAATATTACTGAAACGAATTTGTTTTCATCAAGTAAAACAAATCGCACACTCCCCCAAATGATGGTTGTGTACAAATGTCAAATAATGAAGCTCTATCATTGTGAAACTAGAATCATTGTAACTGGGTCACTGAAGCCCTTTTAAATTGTTCCACATTAAAATTAAATGATCATTAAGTGTAAAACTGCATTGAATTGTACCATATTATCTGGAGAGAAGATGGCGCCTGACTAGTCCAGCAAGTTGATCTTAAGGTTAGAAGAGGCATTACATTTTGATTTTTTTTAAAATGGATAACTCCAAATATGGAGTTGTATGAGTTCTTACATTAAATATACTCTATGTGTGTGTGGGGGGGTGTAGAGGTGTGTGTGTGTATGTGACTAAAGTGTAAAGATTAGGGCTTTTCCTCATTCCTCACAAAAATGTTTCAATTGGTTAATTGTAAACTGAACAATTTTTTTTTTTGAGAAGGAGACTTTCTCTGTTGCCCAGGCTCGAATGAAGTGGTGTGATCTCGGCTCGCTGCAAACTCCACCTCCGGGGTTCAAGCAATTCTCCTGTCTCAGCCCCCTGAGTAGCTGGGATTAGGTGTGCATCACCATGCCTAGCTAATTTTTGTATTTTTAGTAGAGATGGGGTCTCACCATATTGGCCAGACTGGTCTCAAACTCCTGATCTCAGGTGATCCACCCGCCTCGGCCTCCCAAAAGTGCTGGGATTACAGGCATGAGCCGCCATGCCAGGCTGCAACCTGAATAAATTTCTAAAGACAGTATGATGTGTGATCCTCTCTTCTAATCCAGTAATATCCATATTAATAGAGATACTTCTGAAACCACTCAGAAGCATTGATTTGTGGTTTTCTACTTCACTTTCCTTCACTGAACCATTAGCCAGAGTGTGGTGGAAAAATAGAAGATTCTACATTCTCTCAAGTTTTGAGTCATTGCCAAGTCCAGAGCAATGATATGGAATGGGAATAGAGTGACACCTTCCAGACATCGGGGCCTTCTAGGGGAATCAGAAAACTTTGAGTAGGTCCTACTTGGGTTCTGCAGATCTGCTTGTCTGTTGCCACCCATCAGGTATCAACAGGTATTACTGCCAATATTGTTGGCATTATCAACACTCTGTTCTGCTTACTAGAGACCGAATGTGTGGCGGGCTTCCTGAAAAACGTGGGCTTAACTTGCTGCAAGCATCACAGAGACAGAAATTCCTACCTAGACTAGGACTTGGGAGTTTCATTCATAAAACTCTTATGAGAGACTTAAAAGTTTGCTGAAAAAATACCTTGAAAAAATGGAGACACGTTATATGGTTTGGTCAACACTATCCTTATCACATTATAAAGAAAGGAACTAACCCGAGTTTGGGTTACCTTGATTTTAGAGAACCTATGTCTACACTATCCTTATCACATTATGAAGAGAGGATTTATCTCCGTTTGGGTTACCTTGATTTTGGAGAACCTAGGTCTACACTATACTTATCACTTTATGAAGAGAGGAACTATCCCAGTTTGGGTTACCTTGATTTTAGAGAACCTAGGTCTACACTCTCCTTATCCCATTATGAAGAGAGGACCTATCCCAGTTTGGGTTACCTTGATTTTGGAGAAACTAGGTCTACACTATCCTTATCCCATTATGAAGAGAGGAACTATCCCAGTTTGGGTTACTTTGATTTTAGAGAACCTATTTTAATTCCGGTTCCCAGCAGTTATTTCCATTTTCAAATAATTTGCTCAGAGGGAAGTAATTGATCTTCTTCTCCATACTGAGATAAAGTCTACATCTCACCATATAAGACCAGATTGGTCATTTTATTTTTAATAGTCTTTTGTTATTTTGTTTCACAGTAGCTTTTGAAAAGGAGTGGTGATAAACAACTTAATAATTTGTGGGAGCCAAATCATTTTAATTGTGTACATTTAAAATCTTTAAAAAATATGTAGAGAAAGTGGCTGGGCAATAAAACATTGTGCTTTTCAGCCAAATATAATTAATAACTAACAAATTTATAAATTATCAGAAAAGAAAATGTGCTGATTTTTCAGTGAAAATGAACATGAAGTGGAATTGAACCCTAGTAGGGAACTTTCACTTTGGTGTTTAGGCTAAGAAATCCTGTGAACCTGTTGAAAATATGGGTTCCAAGAAATAAAGAATAAAAAGACAAAAAAGCTAAGCTCTGAAAATGAGTGCTAACACTTTTGTAAAACTGCCAAGAATCTCAATACAACTGCCAAAGTTTTGATTTTCAGAAAAACACAGTGGAATTGCTAACATGCATGCTGTATAAATGACTATTCATTGAATGAATGCTGTAGCTTATATGTGACTGCTTTCCCTGGCTGACTAATATATCAAGCATGGTACTTGTTTTGTGCTCTGAAAAACTTTCTCCATTACCATAGTAACCTCTTACATGTTGGCGGAAGCTGATGTCATTCTAGGTATTATTCATTCTTAGTGGATTGATACTCAGTGTGCTAATAAGTCTCAATGATAAAAAGAACTAAGTATACATACCGGTTAAACATTACTTAACCCTTTCACCCCATGGAGTCCCCAGATGTCCACTGAGAGCATTACCGAGAACAGCTTAGAATGCTTTCTGTACTCAAGATGGTTATTTAGCAAGAGTCACTGTTAAATCATAGCTTACTTTGCTCAGTATTTTTGCCTCATTGTATTCATCTGCTAGGGCTGCCATAACAAAATATCACAGACTATGTGGCTTAAGTAACAGAAACTTATTTTATCACAGTTCAGTTCTGGAAGTGAAAAGTCTAAGATTAAGGTTCTGGAAAACTTGGTTCCCGGTGGGGCTCTCTTCCCTGGTTTGCAAACAGCTACCTTCTCACTGTGCCCTAACATGGGAACCAGGAAATGGAGCTGTTATCAAGAACAAGTAGAAAGAAATCTTCAGAGGAGGAAGGGCTCACTGGTCTGTTGAACATCACGTAAAATAAGCAGAAAAAGCATTTATTGGATTTGGCAATTTAGAGATTATTGGTGACCTTGGAAAGTGACATTTTAATAATGTAGTAGACATGAAACCATATTTCAATTGCTTGAGGAATGCACAGAAAATGAGGTAAGAGATATACAGAGTTTAATTTCCAATGAGTAAAAATGGCATACAATGATAACTTAGGAGTGGTGGCCAGAGACTGGAACACAATTTCATGGGACATATTGGAGCATATTTATAGGCAGACAGAAAATAGCACATAGAAAAGAAGTAGAAGAGACAGAGGCCTTCATGGAGCAAGGTCACAGTGAAGGCAGGATGGAACAGATTCTCCAGTAAAGAATGAGGTAACAGTCTCAGAAAGGCACAGGATGTAAAGGCAATATGCAGAGTTCTCAAAGAACTGAAATCAGAACTACCATTTAAGCCAGCAATTCCATTACTGGGTATCCAGCCAAAGGAAAATAAATCACTATATGAAAAAAGACACCTGCACCTGTGTGTTCATCACAGCACTATACATAATAGCAAAATCATAGAACAAGCCTACACGTCTATCAATGGTTGACTGGAGGAAGAAAACGTGATGTCTATACACCACAAATACAATGCAGCCACAAGAACAATAAAATCATGTCTTTTTCAGCAGATGGATGCAGGTGGAGGACATTATCTTAAGTAAAATAAGTCAGAAACGAAAACTAAATACCACATTTTTTTCTCTTATAAGTGGGAGCTAAACAGTGTGTACACATGGACATAAAGATGAAAATAATAGACACTAGGGCCTCTAGAAACAGGGAGGGTAAGATGTGGGGGGTGAGAGTTGATAAATAACCTATCAGGTAAAATGTTTACTATTTGAATAATGTGTACAATAGAAGCCCAGTCCCCATCAGTATGCAATATACCCATGTCATGAATATGCACAATTACCCCCTGAATCCAAAATAAAATTAAATTTGAAAAAAGGGTAGGAGCATTCTCAAGAGGCATCTGCCATATTTAGCCACCAGAACTCACATCAAGTTGTGGAGGTTTTTTCCAATTCTGTGAAGAAAGTCATTGGTAGCTTGATGGGGATGGCATTGAATCTATAAATTACCTTGGGCAGTATGGCCATTTTCACGATATTGATTCTTCCTACCCATGAGCATGGAATGTTCTTCCATTTCTTTGTGTCCTTTTTTATTTCATTGAGCAGTGGTTTGTGGTTCTCCTTGAAGAGATCCTTCACATCCCTTGTAAATTGTGTTCCTATGTATTTTATTCTCTTTGAAGCAATTGTGAATGGTAGTTCACTAATGATTTGGCTGTTTGTCTGTTATTGGTGTATGAGAATGCTTGTGATTTTTGCACATTGATTTTGTATCCTGAGACTTTGCTGAAGTTGCTTATCAGCTTAAGGAGATTTTGGGCTGAGACAATGGGGTTTTCTAGATACACAATCATGTCATCTGCAAACAGGGACAATTTGACTTCCTCTTTTCCTAATTGAATACCCTTTATTTCCTTCTCCTGCCTGATTGCCCTGGCCAGAACTTCCAACACTATGTTGAATAGGAGTGGTGAGAGAGGGCATCCATGTCTTGTGCCAGTTTTCAAAGGGAATGTTCTAGTTTTTGTCCATTCAGTATGATATTGGCTGTGGGTTTGTCATAGATAGCTCTTATTATTTTGAGACACATCCCATCAGTACCTAATTTATTGAGAGTTTTTAGCATGAAGCGTTGTTGAATTTTGTCAAAGGCCTTTTCTGCATCTATTGAGACAATCATGTGGTTATTGTTCATATGGAACCAAAAAAGAGCCCGCATTGCCAAGTCAATCCTAAGCCAAAAGAACAAAGCTGGAGGCATCATGCTACCTCGCTTCAAACTATACTACAAGGCTACAGTAACCAAAACAGCATGGTACTGGTACCAAAACAGAGATATAGACCAATGGAACAGAACAGAGCCCTCAGAAATAATGTCACATATCTACAACTATCTGATCTTTGACAAACCTGACAAAAACAAGAAATGGGGAAATAAAGCACTGATTTTTCTTGTATGAAATAAAGATGATAAAAATTCACTTTTGCACTCACCACCACAGATAGCTACTATTAGCATTGTTGTATGCACTATAAATCTTTTAAATGTATAAAAATATGCATATGATTAAATTTCAATACTAGCTATACAATTCTACATTTGCTTTTTCACTAAACAGTATAAGCTTTTCCAACCTTCCCTGCCATTACACATTCTTTGCAAACTTAATTGATAAGGGCTGCGTAGAATTCTATGATTTGGACAATTGAAATAGCAACCGGGGTCACCCTACTTCCTAAGCTGTAGATAAGATTGGCTCAAAATCGCACATATAATAGACTGTAGAAAGTTCAATGCCCTCACTAGGATTTCTATAAATTACTGGAGATGTTCTTTTTCTCACCGTCAATCCTGGCTCTCTGTTCAGGCTTCCATTAAATTAGTTTTCTCTTAGAATCTTCTTACTATCTCACATAAAATTTCCTTGTCTGTACCAGACTGACCTAGATATGAATTTTGGGTATTTTCCTTAATAAACATCACAGAAGACATTTGTGTGTGTGACTGAAGGTTTGGCGAGAAGAAGGGGTTTACTTTGCTGCAATGCAAATAATCTGAAAACTAGCATTAGACATCACTCAATCCATTTTTTGGTTGAGGAATTTTTTAGAGGCTTCTATTTTATACTTTGTTCTCAGCACGTGTCTCCCTCTTTCCCCTGCTCTTCCTTTCCTGCATGTTTGTTCACTTTTCTGCCCCTTTTTTCTCCAGAGCTAAACTGAATTATTATTTTTATTTATTATACTTTAAGTTTTAGGGTACATGTGCACAATGTGCAGGTTTGTTACGTGTGTATGCATGTGCCATGTTGGTGTGCTGCACCCATTAACTCTTCATTTAACATTAGGTATATCTCCTAATGCTATCCCTCCCCCCTCCCCCCACCCCACAACAGGCCCTGGTGTGTGATGTTCCCCTTCCTGTGTCCATGTGTTCTCATTGTTCTTTTACTTTTAGAAAACAGTGTGGCTTTCAGTAGTGTCTGTCCTTCAGCTGAGTTCTGGCTCTTTGATTCTCTTAGAAGAGAAATTTTCCATTTTCTCCTCTTAGTTACCATGGGGTAAGAGGTGGAGAGACTGACATTTTTCCATTTACAGAGGGATATCCTATAATTCCTCTAATGTTTGATATTTTCAATGTTTCCATTTTTGCTGATATAAATCTATGATAAATAAAACAATTTAATAATACAATAATTTATTTAATAATTCTGTGATAAATATCTTTGTGGCTAAATTTACATCTATATTTGATGTCTTGTTCTAGATGTCTAGAATGACAATTTCTGAAGTCTGGACATTTTCTAAAGCGTGTCATACTTATTGGCAACTTGTTTCTAGAAAAGCTATACCAATTTTTATTCCTATTAGCAGTGTACGTGGACACCTTTGTCTTCTCTGGTGCCTATAATTCTTTTTAATTTTTATCTACATGATATTTGAACATATATTCTCACTTTCTAATTTGCATTTCTTCAACTGCTAGTATAGTTGAATATTTTTTCTGTGTGATTGGAAGAAATGTGAATTTCTTTTTTTCTCAATTGGCCCTTAGTCTCCTGGAAGCTCTTTTTAAAAATTTAATTATTTTTCTTAAATTGATTTTAAGGGCTCTTTGCATATTTAGAGTACTAACCAGTTCCTCATCAACTATTTTATTTTTTTCGTCTGCTAAGTATCCTACAGTTTTAAAACCTGCAGATGCATAAGTGTTCTAAGTAGCACTTTGAGAAGTTCACATTTCCTTTATGCTTCTGCCTTTGAGGTGTGGTAGGAAGCTTTCAAGAGGACCCTGAGGAACACCAGTAAGAACCACCAAGCTAAGCCCTTCCCAGGTCCTGACCTATAGAAACAGATAATACATATTTATTATTTTATGCTGCTAAATTTGGAAGCAATTTGTTATACATCAATAGATAACTGAAACAGTGGTTATCCTAAGCCTTTCAACCAAGTATTATGTAGAAAGTTACCCTCTATGTTATCCTAGTTATGTTATTGTTTAATTTTATCAGTTGAATGTTTAACCCATTTGCCATGTACTATTGTGATATGGTTTGGCTGAGTCCCCACCTAAATCTCATCTTGAATTCCCATGTGTTGTGGGAGGAACCTGTTGGCAGGTAATTGAATCATGGGGTTGGGTCTTTCCTGTGCTGTTTTCATGATAGTGAATAAGTCTCATGAGATCTGATGGTTTTAAAAATGGGAATTTCCCTGCACAAGCTCTTCTCTTGTCTGCTGCCACGTCAGACGTGCCTTTCATCTTCCGCCATTATTGTGAGGCCTCCCCAGCCACGTGGAACTATAAGTCCAATAAACCTCTTTCTTGCATAAATTGTCCAGTCTCAGGTATGTCTTTATCAGCAGCATGAAAATGGATTAATATAGTAAACATGAGGCGAATTACATTAAAAAAAAGATGTTTTTTCTTTATTTTGTAAAATGAGGATTACACATCTCTATCTTCCTTGTAGGAATTTGCATTGATCAAGAGAAAAGTTATTTGTGAAAATGCTTTGTAATTATAATTTTGAAACACGTTATTGTGGTTATATACAATAAAAGAACCTTTCACATAAATGCTTTCATTTATCTATACTGTATTATTCATGCCTTCTTATTTTCTATATTTTTAATTCTTTGGCATCTTGGGGCTCTGCTGACCTGGAAAGACTGCCTTTCTCAGGAGATACAATGATGGTACAGGCGTTGAGTAAAAATTTACATTCCAAAAGGGAGAAAGTGGCTAAAGGAAAGTATTTTGATCACAACCATTTAACTAGTCTCTAAGAAATTACAAACTTTCCTTCATCTTCCTGTTTTCTTCTGAGACCTGAAAACTCTTCCAAACTCTTCATGTTACCCAGTTCCAAACCATGTCCACATCTTCAGGTATCTTCAGAGCAATACCTCACTTTTTGGTAGCAATGTTCTGTGTTAGTTCATTTGCATTGCTATCCAGGAACAACTAAGACAAATTTTTAAAGAAATGAGGTTTATTTGGCTCACAATTCTTCAGGCTGTACAAGAAACATGGTGCCAGCATTGGCTTCTGCTGAGGACCTTGGGAAGCTTCCAGTCATGGTGGAATGTGAAGAGAGAGCAGGCACATCCCATGAAAAAAGAGGGAGCAAGAGAGATATCAGGCTCTTTAAACAACTAGCTGTTATGTGAACTCATTACTGTGGTGAGGACGCCAAACCATTCATGAATGATCTGCACCTGTGACCCAAACACATCCCACCCAGCCCCACTTCCAACAGTGAGGATGATATTTCAACCTGAGATTTGGAGGGGACAAATATCCAAACCAAGTCAATATGTGTGTATGTGTATATATATTTATAAACTATATAGTTGCTTGTAATTTTAATAAAATTATATTTTGGACAGGGAATTTTGTTATTTTTTTTGTACCTTCAACGCCCATTATACTTTCTGATCAGATGAACAAATAGCTGAGGAAATAAAAGACAGTTTTTGTAGCACATGATATTTCTGTATAAATCTTCTTTGATGAGGACAGACCTTGTTTGTAAGCTGTGTTTCTTTAATTACATTACTTATGGACATCAAGTGATACTCACCAGATTTACAGTGTGGGTGTATGAGAAGAGCTTACTGCTCTGCACTGAAATACCACCTTGCTATCATTGAATACCATTGCAGTTTTTCTCACTAAGATTTACAGTGATTCTTCTGCTGACAGTTGCCAGTCACACCTTTTCAGCTTATCATGAAATAATACTTTCACCGTCATTACCATCTTTCAACATTTATGGATACGCAATGTGAAGATGGCACCTTGAAGGACAGTTTTTGGCTGAAGAGTCAATCAGCCAAATATAAAATATTCTTCCTACCATGATGAAGGCAATTTTCTAAAAACAAAAATGACCGCTGTGGTAAAATTTAAAACAGGAGATTAAAGAACAAACACATTTTTTAAAACCCTGACAAATTGCATTTCTCTCAAAAAGAAAAGAAACTACACATAATTATATATTTTCTACCACTCTTCTAACCATATAGAAAATTCTCCTCTTATATAACTTTAATACAGGAAAAAGGAGGTGAAATCAAAGTTAGATTAAAAGATAAGGAAGGACTGAGATTGTAGTTAAATGGCAGCCAGGAAACAGATGAAGTTGAATGAAGTCTAAATGAAGAGTGACAGGAGAGAAATGCATGCAATGAGTGAAGAGCAGCTGCTCCTCCAGCCATCAATTGGGACGTGGGCTCAGAGCAATGAGCCAAGACCTAGCACAAATCTAACTTACTCTTGGGCTGCCAAGGGAGAACATAACCAGAAAGCAGCACCCAGCCAGGTGGTGCCATTGCAGGTTTGTCTTGCAGGGAAATGAACTGGAGCTTGTGTAGCAGGAGTTAGCAGATGCTTCTGAACCTTTTTGGGTTACAACTGCACCACTTTGCCAACTCCTGCATTTGCTGATGCACAGTGTCCTGGTATAATAGTGCAAGACGAAGTATCATAGCACTTTTTCTAAGGCAGTGGTGAGATGGTGGAAAGAGCTTTCAAATCAGAAAAACAGCCATTAATGTGAATTTGTAATTGCCTTTCTAGCAGCTGAATTGTTCTGAGTACTCACTGACCTCTTTGAAAGACTTGGTTTTATCGGTAAAATGAGATCAATAATAGCAATTCATAGCTCACACACTAAACAAGGTTGCTGTGAAATTCTCCAAGGTAACATTTGATACTGAAATCTGTAAATTGAAAAGAAGTTGGGAACTACGCAAGCCTATGGAGAGGGAAGCTCCAGAGATCAACTTGGCATTGTGGAAAATGCAATGAGAGATGCTGGTGCCTGGCACCACCCCCCAGCTGCCAAATCAGAATCTGTATCTAACAAAATCCCCGGGTGATTCATATGCACATGAAAGGATAAGAAATGATCTTTTAAGTCACGTTGGTGAATGCAAGAAACTCAACTTACTTTTCATACTCAAGGGAACTCCTTAAGTAAAGTTTATGTACTAGTTGAAATGGTTTGGCTCTGTGTCCTCACCCAAACCTCATCTCAAATTGTAATTCCACGTGTCGAGGAAGGGACCAGTAATCCCCACATGTTGAAGGAGGGAGGTGATTGGATCATAGGAGCAGTTTCCCCCATGCTGTTTTTCCTTACAAGATCTTCTTACAAGATCTGATGTTTTTATAAGTATTTGGAAGTTCCTCCTTTGCTCTTCTCTCTCCTGATGCCTTGTGATGAAGGTGGCTCCTTTCTGTTCCACCATGATTTTAAGTTTCCTGAGACCTCCCCAGCCATGTGGAACTGTGACTCAATTAAACCTCTTTCCTTTGTAAATTACTAGTCTCAGGAAAATTCTTTATAGCAGTGTGAAAATGGACTAATACAATAAATTTGTACCAGGAGTGGGGCACTGCTATAAAGATAACCTGAAAATGTGGGAGCAACTTTGGAACTGGGTAACAGGCAGAGGTTGGAACAACTTGGAGGGCTCAGAAGAAGACAGACAGACGTGGGAAAGCTTGGAACTTCCTAGAGACTTGTTGAATGGCTTTGACCAAAATGATGATAATGATGTAAACAAAAAAATTCAGGCTGAGATGGTCTCAGATGGAGATAAGGAGCGTCTTGGGAACTGGAGCAAAGATTACTCTTGCTTCGCTTGAGCAAAGAGACTGATGACATTTTGCCCCTGTCCTAGAGATCTACAGAACTTTGAACTCAAGAAAGCTGATCTGAAATGGCAACTTATGTTTAAAAGGGAAGCAGAGCATAAACATTTGGAAAATTTGCAGCCTAATGATAACGATAGAAAAAAAATTTCTGGGGAGAAATTCAAGGAGGCTGCAGAAATTTGCATAAGTAACGAGGAGCCGAATGTTACTAGCCAAGACAATGGAGAAAATGTCTCCAGGGCATGTCAGAGATCTTGGTAGCAGCCCCTCCCATCATAGGCCTGAGGCCTAGGAGGAAAAAATGGTTTCATGGGCCAGGCCCAGGGCCCTGCTGCTGTGTGCAGCCTTGGGACTTGGTGCCCTGCATCCCAGTCACTCCAACTCCAGCCATGGCTAAAAGGGGACAATGTACAGCTCAAGCCATTGCTTCAGAAGCTGCAAGCCACAAGACTTGGCAGCTTCCACATGGTGTTGAGCCTGCAGGTGCACAGAAGTCAAGAACTGAGGTTTGGGAACCTCCATCTAGATTTCATAGGATGTATGGAAACACCTAGATGTCTAGGCAGAAGTCTGTTGCAGGGGTAGAGCCCTTATGCAGAACCTCTGCTAGGGAAGTGTGGAAGGGAAATGTGAGGCTGGGGCCCCCACACAGAGTCCCTACTGGGCCACTGCTTAGCGGAGCTATGAGAAGAGGGCCACCATCCTCCAGAACCCAGAATGGTAGATCCACCAATAGCGTGCACTGCCTGGAAAAGCCACAAGCACTCAATGCCAGCCTGTGAAGGAGCTGCCCAAGGCCATGGGCATCCGCTCCTTGCATCGGCATGCCTGGGATGTGAGACATGGAGTCAAAGGAGATTATTTTGGAGCTTTAAGATTTAATGACTGTCACTGGATTTTGCTCCTACATGGGGCCTGTAGCCTCTTTGTTTTGGCAAATTTCTCCCATTTGGGATGGGAGCATTTAACCAATGCCTGCACCCCCATTGCATCTAGGAAGTAACTAACTTGCTTTTGATTTTACACGCTCATAGGTGGAAGGGACTTGCCTTGTCTCTGATGAGACTTTAGACTATGGACTTTTGAGTTAATGCTGAAATGAGTTAAGACTTTGAGGAGACTGTTAAGAAGGGATGATTGGTTTTCAAATGTGAAAAGACATGAGATTTGGGAGGGTTCAGGGCAGAATGACATGGTTTGGTTCTGTGTTGTCACCCAAACCTCATCTCGAATTCTAATCCTCACATGTCGAGAGGGGACCTGTAATCCCCACATGTAGAGGGATGGAGGTGATTGGATCATGGGGGCAGTTTCCCCCATGCTGTTCTAGTGAGTTTTCATGAGATCTGATGGTTTTATAAGTGTTTGGAAGTTCTTCTTTGCTCTTCTCTCTCTCTCTCGTTGCCTTGTGAAGAAGGTGGCTGCTTCCCCTTCTGCCAGGATTGTAAGTTTCCTGGGCACTCCCAAGCCATGTGGAGCTGTGAGCTGATTAAACCTCTTTCCTTTATAAATTACCCAGTCTCAGGGAAGTTCTTTATAGCAGTGTGAAAATGGACAAATATACTAGTTATTTGTCTCAATGCACTAAGACCTACTTACCTCTGATCAAAATTCAGAAGAAAATTTTTTCAATGTAAACTAAAAACATAAATGACATGCTCAGGATAAAAATATAACATCCCAAATTCAGGAGAGTTAAATGAAAACATTATATGCAATCATGAAATCTGAATTTGAGTCCTAAATGTTTTCCTCACCGGATTTGGGAAAGAGCTATGTTCAGTAATCTCAAACATTAAATTGAAGTAATGAAATTAATGGTTTCCAAGAACTTTAAGATTACAAGAACTATTTTATATAGAAGTTATTTTAAGCTATATAGCAATTTACAAATGTTAATTATTTCTGTTTAATTGTTTCTTAAAAGGTTTAACATCTTCTACACCAGAGTATCATGACAGGTAAAATTAGCTACAATCCTTCTGTAAACACTGCCACTTTGACAACCTGGTTATGTGTGCCTATAAATAAAATGCTTCATTGGAAAATATTTTTCACAGACCAAAATAACAAGAAAAGAAAGTGTGCCATTGCCACAGCAAGTAGCACACATTTATCTTGTGAAAGATGCAAATGTTGAGATATATGCTTACATTCACTTTTACTGTTGATCATTTCTAAAACAACTGTGAGGTCCAAATTTAGTGGCCATCTATGCTTATTATATTTTAAATCAGTCATTTATTATAGATGCCATTTTGTAAGACTGCAATACATATGCTATGTATCAATTAATTCTCTCATCTTAATGTTCTGCCTCCTCTATTTGTCTTTTGCTTTCATTTCCATACCTATGCACCTCTTTCTACAGCTGCTCTTTGAACAACAAAAGTTTTGAACTGTGTAGGTCAACTTATATACAGATTGTTTGCAATCAAATGAAGCTTGAAAATACAGTATTCATGGGATACAAAACCTGCCTATACCAAGGGCAGACTCTTCAGATACACAGGTTTCACATGGCTGACGTGGGGACTTGCGTATGGACAGATCTTGGTGTACTCAGGGATCCTGGAACCAATTCTGTGTATAACAAAGGACAACTGCACTTTATATTTCTCCTCGTAAGCTGTCTTATATTCTTTCAGAAAGAAAAGAATTAAAAATAGATACTGTGGAATGCTGTTCAGAAGCAAATTCTGTTTGAAATGTACATTATATACCTGTATATACATGATATATATGTATATGTATAATTTATATTTTAAGATTTAAAAATGCATTTTATGGTGGAACCAAATTTAAGAATGTTAAGTAACAATCACATATAACAATTGTACTCGGTATTGTTAGAAAGACAAGATGTCATTTTTAAAAATTGCAGTTTTGAACATTGTGTTTTCAGAGACCAATGATATTTTTGTTTTTACTCTTAGTAATTTTTTAAAATACAGGAATAAGAACAACCACCTGAAAATTTAATGGCTAACATAAACCACTTTGGCCTCTAGAGGTTTATTTGAAATGGCAACTCATTTTTTTAGGCAAATATATTCTGGTACAAAGAAATTTCTAAAATGCCCAGAGGTGATGCATTTAGGAAGCTGATTTGAAACAAGGCAAAAAGATTAATTGCAGAGATTTCAACTTGAGATAAATGGAGTCAAAGTGGCAAACTGGCATTCGCATTTAAGATGTAGACTGACTGAAGAGGGATCTGATCTTCATTGGTAATTCACCTTCTAGTGCCTCGGTCTTCAGGCAGAAGGTGGCTCTCCAAGATTCATAGGGGTGGAAGTGCTTCCATGAGGAGCATCTATTTACCCTATTCTCTTGACTGAGAATAAACTAGTAAATTACAAAATCAGAAAGGCTGGTGTGGGGAATCTCCATTCTTTATTTGGCTTCCTTCCATCCTGGCATTGTATCTTGTCTCTTCCATAACCCATAAGTGTATCTCATGACTTTCTAGCAAATGGAAAATATGCTGTATCATCATTTCAACAGACTAAAAACGCATTCTCTGTCCTAGGTCAGCTCCACCTCTCTCAGATATTTTTATTTTTAAATATTTCCATGTCTATAAAGAAAGAATTTGTTGCTAAAAATTTCAGATAATATAAAAGTTAGATTTTTTTCCTAATAGAAAGAGGATGATATTCTTACTTAAGATATACTTAAGCCCTGGCCCGACATTGAACCTGCTTCTTTATTTTCATGGCTCCATAAGGGGAAAGCAGAATCAAAACGGTGTGCAACTGGCCACAACAGGCCTGGGGCTTTACTTCTCCTTCTTCTGCCTTGAAATGATCCACTCACTTCAGTTCTCCCAGACCCTCCTCAAATACTTAGTTTCAGAATCAGTTCTCAGAGTGGCCTTTCCTTTATCTGGAGCCTTAGCATCCCATCTGTGCCATGTGGCAATTATGCTGTCATTTCCCAGCATGCTATTTCTGCCCTCTTGGTGCCCACAGTTTCTGAGATACATGACATGGCCACAGAGACCAGGAACAATAGCTTAAGTATCTATCACTGTTTGGGGGGTCTTGAGAGAAGATTGTGTAGACGCTTGCAGATCAGTATCTATGATCATCTAAGACTCTAAGATCAAGATAGAGGTAGGTTTGGGACAGGAGAAGACATGATATTGAAGAATAAATAGGGCCGGTGTGGTTCACACCTGTAATCCCAGCACTTTGCGGGGACAAGGCAGGCGGATTACAAGGTCAAGAGATCAAGACCAGTCTGGCCAACATGGTGAAACCCTGGCTCTACTAAAAGTATAAAAATTAGCCAGGCGTGGTGGCGTGCACTCGTAGTTCAGCAACTTGGGCGGCTGAGGCAGGAGAATCGCTTGAACCTGGGAGGCGGAGGTTGCAGTGAGCTGAGATCGTGCCACTGCGCTCCAGCCTGGGCAACAGAGCAAGACTCCGTCTCAAAAAAAAAAAAAGAATAAATATCAGCCGGGTGTGGTGGCAGGTGCCTGTAGTCCCAGCTACTGTGGAGGCTGAGGCAGGAGAATCGCTTGAACCCGGGAGGCAGAGGTTGAAGTGGGCCAAGATCGTGCCACTGCACTACAGCCTGGGTGACAGAGCAAGACTCTGTCTCAATCAATCAATCAATAAATAACATAAAATCTAATTTATATGCCTTTCCTCCTATTAATCTGTCTTTTGGCTGGGCACAGTGGCTCACGCCTGTAATCCCAGCACATTGGGAGGCCGAGGTGGGTGGATCAGCTGAGGTCAGGAGTTTGAGACCAACCTGGCTAAAATGGTGAAACCCCGTCTCTACTAAAAAAAAGTACAAAAAATTAGCCGGGTGTTATGGCAGGTGCCTGTAATTCCAGCTGCTCAGGAGGCTGAGGCAGGAGAATCACTTGAACCCAGGAGGTGGAGGTTGCAGTGAGCCAATATCATACCATTGCACTCCAGCCTGAGCAATGAGAGTGAAACTTCATCTCAAAAAAAAAAAAAAAAAGAATATCTAAAACCTTTTTTTTAATGTCTAGTGGTGATAATTTTAAATACAAGACTGTAGCTATTATAAAAAATATATCCTATTTAACTCGTTTATAAATATAAGATTTTTTTTAAAACAGAAAAATTAAAACTGCTTTGGTTGTTAGAAAACACTGTTAATGACAACAATGTAAAACAATGACTTACCTTTCTGATCTAATTAGTACAAAGCATAATACTAATTACATAAATCATTAGATACATCAGATTCAGCTGGCTGAAGGTGTTCATTGCAATAACAAAGTCAATATACCATATATCAATCCTCAAGAATTGTGAAATTGTAATAGAGCTGCGTGCTCACTTATCCTAGTTTTCTAACCATACCTGTAAAAATATGTAGCTAGCACTAATGAGAAATGGAAAAGCATCTTGCTGTCTAGTGTAGGCTGGCAATAGAATAACAGTCAAGGTGCTAGTGTCAGAGCAGAAATGACACAGAGAGTTAGAACTTAAGCAGAAAGAATAATGTTGGAGACAGAATCAGTTTCAATATGATGGATTGATCTAGGGAGGAAGTTTTACTACAAATGAAGACAGGGCTCAGAGACTTAGGCTTGGGAAATGAATTTCATTTTAAATCAGGGTGTAAAAATTCTACTTTTATGAAAAGTTACTGATAACTGGGAGAGTAATTAAACTGGAATCAAAGTCCACATAGCCATAAAGCCTACGTGGGACTAAGCCTAAAGTAATAAGACCCAGGAGACTCCTACGTGGAACACAACAAGGATCCAGGGAGGAAAAGCAGCCAGTGCTGCTTGTGTGAAACGCATCCTAACTTCAGAGCTCCTGTAATAAAAGTACCGTGGGGATATCATGGCTGTAAAAGTTTGATGCTCACACTAGGAAAGTAACCTGACATTTGTTTGATAAAGTGACGAGCTGCTCAGTCATTAATCCTTTGATACAGCTGAAGTAGTTTTTATTTTTATGTAAAAGTATTCCACATTTTGTAGCACTGCTAAATTACATTCTTCCGACAATAGAATTTAGCAGAAATATGTTTCCCTTTTTTCTTTTCTTTTCTTTCCTTTTCTTTTTCCTTTCCTTTCCGTTCTGTTCTGTTCCATTCCATTCTTTCTTTTTTTTCAGAGACAGTCTTTCCCTGTCTCCAAGGCTGGAGTGCATGGCACATTCATAATCTTCTTTCCTTCAGGGGTTTTCAAGACCATTAGTCATTGCTTTATACTGATATTAGAAACTGATATGAGTGAGTGAACAATGATAATTGGTAATTACATTAAAGATAAAACATATTCAAAGTGAAGCAATTATGCTCTAGAAAGTAAGAATATTTTAAAACTGAAAATGTTCCAGATCATTCTTATGCTTTTAAAATTGTAAACATGAAAAACTCATAGATTTATAAATAGATTTCACACTACATATGTGGACTCAATAACTGCTGCACAATATTTAAAGTTTTCTAAACCACATCTTACTTGTCCATAAGCTTGGCATATACAAATGACATTAGTGTATCCATGGTAACCAGACAAATTAAAGAGGTGAATAGCTTAAAATCAGAGTGAAACTGAAAAGGTGAAAAAACATGTATCTTACTATAAAGCCTGTAAAGTAGTACCCAGTACTTTTGTGAAGAAGCGAAGATAAATTTTTATAATTTAGGAGAAAATGGAAACTTTACAAATGTTGAACCTTGGGGTTCAGAGAATTTGAAAGCATCTTTTTATCTCCTACTCATATATGGCACAGTCTTTGAAATGACTTATTAAAAAAATTCAAAATTGTCTAAACTTTGGGTGATTGTCTACTATGAAGGAAAATATTAATTTCAGATTAGTTTGAACTGAAATTTAGAATGCCTCTTAACTGATTATTTATAAGATGATTGTTGAAAATCTTATAATTTACTCTGGGTATTTTCCTATGAGATACACTTGAAGTAATTCTTTTTAAATTACATATATGTATATATATATATGAATTTCTTCGCTCATTTTGCTTTATACAAAGTTTTCACATTTGAATCAATTTCCCTTATTTCCCTTAATATCTTTGAAATAGCCATGGGTGGTTAGTGATTTTTTAAATAAATTCTTACAAGTAATTTGATGATAGTATTAAAGAATACGTAAGCAAAGATTTTCACTTCTGGTCAAGAAAGAGTTATACAGAGCAAATTTACTCATTGCCTAAAGTACTAAAAAGCCAGACAAAATGTATATATCGGCTGTTTTCAAGATGGTGAACATCAGCAGTGAAATGCAGTGATCCCTGAGAGGTGAGGAACAAACAAGGTCAGTCCTACAATTACCCAGATTAACCAGTGTATACTTTGTTCTCACACTGCTGATAAAGACATACCTGAGATTGGGTAATTTATGAAAAAGGTTTAATTGACTTACAGTTTTGCAGGGCTGGGTAGGCCTCAGAAAACTTACAATCATGGCACAAGGGCAAGCAAACACCTCCTTCTTCACATGGTGGCTGCAAGGAGAAGTGCAGAGCGAAGTGGGGGAAATGCCCCTTATAAAACCATCAGGTCTCATGAGAACTTACTCACTATCATGAGAACAGAGCATGGAGGTAACTAACCCCATGATTCAATCACTTCCCACCGGGCCCCTCCCACAACTTGTAGGAATTATGGGAACTACAGTTCAAGATGAGATTTGGGTGGGGACACAGCTAAACCATGTTGCTAGGATTACTGCCCAGGGAAAATTTCCAGATGCAGCAGTACAGGGAAGGGGAACTCAGGTGGATGTGGGTCGACTACGGAAATGAAGAGATTGGCTAAGAATCTGAGAATGCCAACTCAGCTGGAGTTCACAGGCTGAGTGCCAGAGATGAGACAGCTGCACAGAGAGACAACTTCGGATATCTGCAGATGATCTTCCTCAAGCCCTCACATGAAATCCAATCAACCTATGCATATGAGGAAAATGTCTGAGGCTGGGAAAATAACTACACAAATTATAGTGAAAACTCAGTGAAATTCACACAGAGCTAGGAATAATGTCTGTTTCCACAAGCCAGAGTGGGAAATCTTTTAATTATTGGGGTACTAAGTAGAGTAATCCCAGGAGTTTTAGTTCAAATGTGGATAAGTTAGACCGAGACTAAACATTTTTCTTTTTCAAACTCACATCTCAAAAGCAAGACCCCAAAAGATTAATCTATTTTTAAGAAACCTAAGTGTGTCATAAAACAAAGCTTAAGAATATTTATAGGAACATCCAGCAATCATAAAGGAAAATCACAATATCTAGCATTCAATCAAAAACAACCAAGCATGCAAAGAAACAAAAAAGATGCCCATAATCAGAAGACAATCAATCAATTGAATCCAACCAAGATGATAGAGTTTGTAGACAAGTATACACCAGTAGTTATAAGGGGCCCATCCTCCATGCTTGGTGTGGACACCAGACTCTGGTCCTCTGGGAGCTGATGATCACTTTTAGAAAGGACAAAGAGGCATTGTGGAAGAGCTGCAAATCTCTACAACACTGTTATGTGTCAGTGGATTCTACTGAATGTTAGAGAAGATATCCATCCAGGGCTTACCATCCATGGATTCATTTGTGATAGTACCAGAGTATTTGTATTTGGAGGAAGAGTTGAAGATGCAAGATACAAGTTCTGTGAGTTATAAGCAAGTTGTTTATTATGGGAAAAAAAGGAAAATCCCATCCCCTATCTTTTTATGTATCTGTTTGTATTTAAATTAATATAAATTTTCTCTAATGGTAACAATGGCTATTCATCTTGTGGTCAGAAAATAAAGGTGAAGAGTCAAAAATAATATTCCCAGATATTTAAATAACTTGTATGAATTGGAGCCACAGGATGCTTCTGGAGCTTTTGATTGTAACAGTCCAATGGCTCAATGGATTGTGCCTTCTCTGAGACATGTGGCCATTCTAGATTGTAGCAAGAAAAATTCTGTGGCAAGAAAGATTCCAGAAGTACTGAAATATATATTACTGATGAAATATGTGATGCTTAGCTGGATGATCTATGGCAATTTGATATTAAGTCTATATGATACTTAAAACCACAAATGAAAGGAACAGTGCCACTGCAATGAAGTTTTACATAGCCTTTTTAGAGAAAAGAAGATGCATATTTTTGGTGGATGGGATCCACATAAAGGGAAAAATAATAAATACTTGCTTTATGATTATGAATGGCAATATAACAGTTCATTTTCTTACCTGAATCTGGATACAATAAGGTAGGCCACGCTAGTATCAGATTCTTGGAACCATTAAATAAGTAATCAAGATATAAGAACAACAGCTCACCATGTGCTATTGCAGGTGGTACAGGTGCTCAATTGTCTTTTTGGGGTGGAAGTGATAGCTACAAAAAAATTGGGAGTAGTCACATATGCAGCAAAGATCTTTGTTACTTTGCTACTAAGAAACCACTAGCACCATCACAAATTCTACAGATTAAAGCTACTACCAACACTTACGTCAAGTGGCATAAAGTGTCCGTAGCTTTCGCAGTTAGATATGTATATGCTGTACTAAATTGCATCATTAGATTCTCCAGCATCACCATTTAGGAAAAGATTCAGAATGCATGCTCACAGCCAGGCGGTAATAACATTATACCCCAAAGGATTCAAGTTTCTCTGTTTAAATAATTTAAAATTCCAATAATATAGTAAACCGTGAAAAAAACTGGACATATAGCTGTGAGGGGAAATTCAGTAGACAACAAATTAGATCTCCATATATGGGCAGAAACCATTTCATTTTTATTTGGTGACTAATGCTTTTAATCATGGCAGTTATAAGATGAATACGCTAAGGGAAATTGAAATTCACTCTACTTCAACAAAAGTAGATGAACTAAATAGTTGCCTGAGCTTAAGAAACTTCTGTACCCAGCACTGTTTTGAGCAAACAAATGATGGAAATCCAGTAGATCATGATTCTAGTAACTGGTTGTGGTTCACTGTTGTCTCTCACGTACTGGGTTGGGGCAAAAGTAATTGTGAAGAAGTAACTGCGGTTTTGCCATTACTTTCAATATAATTAAATTTAGAATTTTTGCCATTGAATGTAATGGCAAAACTGCAATTATTTTTGCTCCAAGCTACAGTATATATTCTCCATATTTTAAAAGTTCAATGTTGGCCGGGCGCAGTGGCTCACGCCTGTAATCCCAGCACTTTGGGAGGCCGAGGCGGGTGGATCACGAGGTCAGGAGATCGAGGCGGGCGGATCACGAAGTCAGGAGATCGAGACCACAGTGAAACCCTGTTTCTACTAAAAATCCAAAAAAAAAAAAAAGAAAAGAAAAAAAAAAGAAAATAAAATTAGCCGGGCCTCGTGGCGGGCGCCTGTACTCCCAGCTACTCGGGAGGCTGAGGCAGGAGAATGGCGTGAACCCGGAGGTGGAGCTTGCAGTGAGCCGAGATCGCGCCACTGCACTCCAGCCTGGGCGACAGAGTGAGACTCCGTCCCAAAAAATAAATAAATAAATAAATAAAATAAAAATAAAAAATAAAAGTTCAATGTTTAAGTACTTTCTCTAACCTTGTTTCATATAAACAGTGGTCTCTGCAGCCAATTTTTATTGGATAATATATGTTATACTAGTTTTATTGGCCACCTGATTTTATTCCTTTTAAAATTATTTCTAGTTAGTACAGAGCTTAAGAAATATTTTAAAAGAAGAAAGTTCAGAAGTTTTGCTTTTGAGTTGCTATGATTTTCTAAGAATCATAGCAAAATACAAATTAGTAATAAATCTTATTGATTCTTGCCAGACCAATATATTTGAATAAATTTATAGTCAATTCATGTGATTTATGTGGCCCTCAGTCTCTTCATTAATAAAATACCTTACATTTATACATTTTCAGAATTATAACTCTGTATTTTTGTGAAATATGAAAATTTTCATGAGCTATTAAATTGAATTCTTCATAAGTTAAAATTCAAAATTAAAGCATATGTTATACTATTGCAAAAAGAAGCATTTTAACAGGATACAAGTTTTAAAATAGTGCTTTAATTACTTGTAAGACTTTGTAAATGTTTTAAATGTTTCATTTTCACAGAATTTACTTCAAAATTATATAAGCTTACTTCCAAAATATAAATACTGTACAACTTACTGAAGCTCCATTACAACCTTGAAGATGTAGAGAGACATCAGCATGCACTACAGATTACTTTTAAATCTATTAGAAATGCTGTAATTTTTCTGCCTATTCAAATCTGGACTGAATGTGCAGAACAATAATTGCAGAATAGACATTTAGAACTAAGAGCTGCAGTAGTTTCATAGGCTCAGGTCTCTATTTTTTACACACATACCCTTTTGCCAATTTAGTTTAACTGAGTAGCTGTGTTCCCATAATTCATGTACAAAAGTGAAACAAAGGTGAATTTGTTTGTGCAGGGTTGATATGTACAGGTGTTGTAGTTACTAATTTAAGATATATAGTATGGCTCATATATAGTTTTTGTAAAGAAATTATATTTTTATACCACAGTATTTGTCATTAATATGTTTTATTAATTCTTTTGAAGAAAACATGCAAATGCTTAGGTGCATAATGAATGTTTTCCGAACTCCAAGTGCACTGCCACGGTATGATTAGAACACCTTTCTGTGGTTATATCAATCCTAGAGCTTTGAATGTGCACTTTACATGCAGCGTTGACAAAGAGTATTGTTGGCTTGCTCCAGCAGCATCTCTGAGTGAGTCCTGCATTCTGCATTTGTTGAACTCATATGTTTTGCCTTCGGCTTATGACTGTTTTTCTAACTGATAAAATTTTAACTTACTTCATTATTATGTTTTAAAATCATTTACGTAGACACATTTAATCAAACTAATAAACTAATAACTAAGACATATGCCAACACACTTAATCAAATGTGTCTATGTAAATACACTGACATATACTAAACAAACACTTCACCAAAGTTAAATTTAAAATAAATGGCAATCAAGTTTGTACATACTACATGCTAACCCTTGTCAGGTGCATAGGTGAATTTAGATTAAAAATATGAATGTAAAGTTGTAGTAAGTATATGTTTGAAGAACAATGATTTTGCCACCTATTTTTACTGGAGAAAGACTGAATATGTAATAGCTTATTCTCAACATTCTTAGCAATTTTCTTCTTGAAGCATTTCTCTTAACAAGAAGACATTATTTGACTTTAAGCAAAGTATAGAATATGTGTAGGAATGCACACATTTGTACTCGTTTCATACTTTCAAGTGGTTGATTTACATAGTTTAAATTCCCCTGCAGTTGCAGAGCAGGAGGTGAACATGAAACTGACTAACCAATGGCTCAACTTTTCAGGCAGAAGGTTGGCATTTCTATAGCAAGGAACCTGCTAAACTAAATAAACAAATATTTTCAGTTTGAGAATTAGCCAACTCTTGTTCATTTTCTGGCTTTTGTGTGTTAACCACCAATCACACTTATTTCTTGCAGAAATGACTAGTGACTTAAAGATATTATTGAGACATCTTTGTGGCTTTGCCATTGTTAAACAGATGGTCTGGCGCAAATAGAGAAGATCAATTAGCTTCTCCTGATTTACATATTTTTCTAATAAAGATCCTTTTTTGTAACAAAGAGGCATATGATACAGATAGAATTTCCCATAAGAAGAATTATATTGAGTTAAATTACTTTCTTCTTCCAAATTGGATGAGCAAATCAGATGTAGCAAACCTTTATGTCATCGTGTGCTCTGTGACTTTAGCCAAGGTATAGAATATGAAAGTCTGCTGTTGTAATATTCCTAAACTTTACATATACATGAGATAAATGTAAATGGTCTAAACATTTCTATTAGAAGGCAGAGATTGTAAAAATGACTAAAAAAGCAAGACCCAATAATATATTTTTTACAATAAGTGCACTTTAAATATACAGACCTAAATCATTTAAAAGTAAGAATAAGAAGATATAAGGTATCATGCTATTATGAACTAAATGTTTATGCTCACTGCCCCCTCCCCCCACAAAAATCATACATTTAAACCCTAATCCCCAGTGTGATGGTATATGGAGGTGGGGGTCTTTGGGAGGTAATTAAGGTACATTAAATCATGAAGATAGACTTCTAATGATAGGATTATTATCCTTATAAAAAAATAGACAGGATGTTTGTTTTTCTCTGCGATGTGAGGTTACAAATAGATGGTTATCTACAAACCGAGAAGAATGTTCCCACCAGACCCAAATCTGTGAGTGCCTTGTTCCTGGACTTTCCAGCTTCCAGCACTGTGAAAAATATTTGTTGTTTAAGCCACCTGGTCTATGGTATTGTGTTATAGTAGCCCAAACTGGCTAAGACATATGCTAACACTAATTTAAAAAAAAGCTGAGTGGCTAGATAAATGTGAGAAACAAAAGTAGATTGTTTTACCAAGGAATATTATTAGGAATAAGAGGATCACTTAGTGATAAAGTGATTAACTCATTAAAAGTACATGACATTTCTGGGGGTCAGAGCAAGATGGTGAAATAGAAGCCAACACCATCCTATGTGCCCCCTGCAAGAACACCAAATTTTAACAATGAGCTACACACAAAAATGCGCCATCACAAGAACCAAAAATAAGGTGAGTGATCACAGTACCTGGTTTTAACTTCATATCACTAAAAGAGCCACGGGGGAGGGTAGGAAAGACAGTCTTGAATTGCCAATGCCACCCCTCCCCCATTCCCCAGCAGCAGACATGTGATATGGGGAATCTGTGCACTTAGGGGAGAGGGAGTACAGAAACTGGGGAACTTTGCATTGAACTCAGTACTGCTGTGTCAAAGAAGAGAGCAGAGCCATGCTGGGCTGGGCCAGTGTCCATACACAAAGGGGACATTTGAACAACTCTTGCCGGAGGAGAATCACCCATCCAAGAGGTCGGAACTTGAGTTTCTTGGCAGGCTTTGCCACCACAGGCCAAGGAGCCCTGGGATCCTAGGTAAACTTAAAAGGTAGTCTAGGACACAAGGTCTGAAATTCCTAGGCAACTTCTAGTGTTAGGCTAGAGTTAGAGCCAGTGGACTAGGATGGCAAGTGACATACTAAGACACCAGCTGGGGCAACTAAGGGAGTGCTTGAGCCAACCCCTCCCCAATCCCAGGCAGTGCAGCTCACAGTGACAAAAGTGACTCCTTCCTTCTGCTTGAGGAGAGAAAAGCAAAGTGAAGAGGACTTTGTCTTGTATCTTGAATACTAGTTCAGCCACAGTAGGATAGGGCAATGGGTAGAGTCATGAGATCTCTGTTCTAGGCCTTAGCTCATGGATGATATTCTTAGCTCATTACAACATTTTATGGTTGCCTTTGTTCAAGGCAGCCAAAAGAGAATCTGCTGCCTTTTAGTGAAGAGCCTAATCCTGGCAGGATTCATCACCTGCTGACTAAAGAGCCCTTGGGCCCTGAATAATCACCAGTGATACCAAGGTGATTATTCAGCCCAAGGTGATCATGGGCCTTGGGCTCTGAGACATGCTGGCTTCAAGAGTGACCAAGCACATTCACAGCTATGGTGACTATGCTAAAAGACTCCTTCTGCTTGAGAAAAGCAGAGGGAAATGTAAAGGGGATTTTGCCTTGCACCCTAGATACCAGCTTGACCACAGCTGGGTAGAGCAACAAGCAGGCTCCTGGGGTCCCTGATTCCGTGACTAGGTTCTTGAACAGCAAATCTGGACCTGCCTTTGGACAGGGGGAGTTCCATTGACCTGAAGGGTGAGTCCTAAGCCTGGCAGCATTCACCACAAACTGACTGAATAGCCCTTGGACTTTAAGTGAACATTGGTAGTGTCCTGGCAGAATACCCTATGGGGTGGTGATGGTAGTGGCCAAAATGGGAGGCTCTTCTGCTTGCAGAAAGGGGAGGGAAAAGCAGTAATGACTTTGTCTTGTGGTTTGAGTGTGGAAACATAGGTGGTAGACAGCTAGTGGTTACAATGGGCCAAGGGCAAGACCAAGTGCTGTGCTGGCTTTAGATCTAAACCAGTGCAGTCCCCATGGTGGTGGCCACAGGGCTGTTTATGTCCCCCCTCACCCCAAGTTCTAGGTGGCTCAGCACGGAAAAAGAGACTCCATTAGTCTGGGAGAAAGTAAGGGAAAAGAATAAGAGTCAATGCCTGGTAATCCAGAAAATTCTTCTGGATCTTATCCAAGACCACCAAGACAGTACCTCTATGAGTCTCCAAGAAGCATAGTGTTATTGGGTGTGGGACCCAAGCCCCTTTGAATACCTGGAAAGCCTTCCCAAGATGGATGGTGCTCAGGTGATGGGTGCACCAGCATCTCACAAATCACCACTAAAGCTACTCATGTAACCAAATGCCTCCTGTACCCCAATAACTTATGGAAAAATAAAAATAATAAAAATGCAAGTGACCTACAGAAGAAGGCATCAGAGTCTCTTAATAGAAGAACTGATCATGCAGAAGAAAGAATTAGTGAGCTGGAAGACCATCTATCTGAAAATACACAGAGGAGATAAAGAAAAAAAGAAGAAAGCACATTACACAATCTAGAAAACAGCCTCAAAAGGGCAAATCTAAGAGTTATTGGCCTTAAAAGGAAAGAAGAGAAAGAGATAGGGGTAGAAAGTTTATTCAAAGGAATAATAATCAGAGAACACTCCAAATCTGGAGAAATATGTCAATATTCAAGATGAGAAAATTATAGAATACCAAGCAGATTTAACCCAAAGAAGACAACCTCATGTCCTTTAATAATCAAATTACCAGAGGCTAAAGATAAAGGATTCTAAAGGCAGCAAGAGAAAAGAAACAAATAACATACAATGGAGTGTCACTTCATCACTTCATCTGGCAGCTGACTTTCAGTGGAAATCTTACAGGCCAGGAGAAAGTTGCATGACATTTAAAGTGCCGAAGGAGGCCAGGCATGGTGCCTCACACCTGTAATTCCAGCACTTTGGGAGGCTGAGGTGGGCGGATCACCTGAGGTCAGGAGTTTGAGACCAGCCTGGTCAACATGGTGAAGTCCCATCTCTACTAATGATACAAAATTTAGCTGGGCTTGGTGGTGCACGCCTGTAATGCCAGCTACTCAGGAGGCTGAGGCAGGAGAATTGCTTGAACCCAGGAGGTGGAAGTTGCAGTGAGCTGAGATCATGCCATTGCACTCCAGCCTGGGTGACAAGAGTGAAACTCCATCTCAAAAAATAAAAATAAATAAATAAATAAGTAAAGTGCTGAAGTAGATAACCTTTTACCCTAGAAAAGTATATCCAGACCAAAAAACAAAAAAAAAAAAAAGAAAGAAACAAGGCTGAGGGATTTTTTATCAACCCCAGTCCTGTCCTACAAGAAATGCTGAAGGGAATTCTGCAATCTGAAAGAAAAGAATGGTAATGAGCAAGAAGAAATCATCTTAAGGTACAAAACTCACTGGTAATAGCACACAGAAAATATAAAATATTACAGCTCTGTAACGGTGGTGTGTAAACTACTCAAGTAAAAAGACTAAATGATGAACCAATAAAAAATAATAACTTTTCAAGACATAGACAGTATAATAAGACATAAATAGAAACAATAAGAGCTTAAAAAGCAGGGGGACGACTGGGCACAGTGGCTCACACCTGTAATCCCAGCACTTTGGGAGGCTGAGGCAGGTGGATCACTTGAGGTCAGGAGTCCGAGACTAGCCTGAGCCTGACCAACATGGTGAAACCCCGTCTCTACTAAAAACACAAAAATTAGCCAGTTGTGGTGGCAGGTGCCTGTAATCCCAGCTACTCAGGAGGCTGAGGCAGGAGAATCACTTGAACCTGAGAGGCAGAGGTTGCAGTGAGCTGAGATCATGCTACTGCACTCCAGCCTAGGTGACAGAGCAAGACTCCATCAAAAAAAAAAAAAAAAAAGAGGAGGACAAAATTAAAGTGTATAGTGTTTGTTAGTTTTCATTTTCCTTGTTTGTTTATGCAATCAGTGTTAAGTTGTTAAGTTTAAAATAATGGGTTATAAGGTAGTCTTTGCAAGCCTCATGGTAATCTCAAATTGAAAATCATACAACAGATACACAAAAAATAAAAAGCAAGAAACTGAACCATATCACCAAAGAAAATCGCCTTCCCTAAAAGCAAGACAGGAAAGAAGAAAGAGAAGACCAAAAAACAACCAATCAATGTGATCAATTGTATCAACAGAATGAAGGACAAAACCAGGCAATCATTTCAGGTGCTGAAAAAGCATTTGATAAAGGTCAACATCCCTTCACAATAAAAAAAAAAAAACCTCTAAAAAAAAAAACCTGGATATAGAAGGAACATACGTCAACACAATAAAAGTCGTATGTGACAGACACACAGCTAGTATCCACTGAATGGAGAAAATCTAAAAGCCTTTCCTTTAAGATCTGAAGCACATCAAGGATACTCAGTTTCATCGCTGTTATTCAACATAGTACTGGAAGTCTTAGCTAGGGCAATAAGACAAGAGAAAAAATATAAAGGACCTCTAAATTGGAAAGGAAAAATTTGAATTATCCCTGTTTGCAGATTCTATAATCTTATATTTGGAGAAATTTAAAGACTCCACAAGAAAACTATTAGAACTAATAAACAAATTCAGTAAAGTTTCAGGATACAAAATCAACATACAAAAATCAGTAGCATTTCTATATGTCAACAGTGAACAGTTCTGGAAAAAAAATCCAAAAGTCATCCTATTTACAATAGCCACATATAGAATTGAGTACCTAGGGATTAACTTCATCGGAGAATCTGAAGATCTCTTCAATGAAAGCTATAACACACTGATGAAAGAAATTGAAGAGGACACAAAAATGGAAAGATATTCCATACTCAGGCATTGGAAGAATCAATATTGTTAAAATGTCAATACTACTGAACACAATCTATAGATTCAATGCAATCCTATCAAAATATCAATGACATTCTTCACAGAAAGACAAAAACCATCCTAAAATTTATAGATAACTTCAAAAGACTGGGATTAGCCAAAAAAGCTATCCTAAGCAAAAAGAACAAAATTGGAGAAATCACATTACTGGACTTCAAATTATACTACAGAGCTATAGAACCAAAGCAGCATGGTACTGGCATAAAAAGACACATAGATCAATGGAACAGAATAGAGAACCCAGAAATAAATCCATACATCTACAGTGAGCACATTTTTGAGAAAGTTGCCAAGAACATGCACTGGGGAAAGGACAGTCTCTTCAATAAATGGTGCTGGAAAAACTGGATATCCATATGCAGAAGAATGAAACTAGACCTCTATCTCTCACCATACACAAAAATCAAAATGGGTTAATGGCTTAAATCTAAGACCTCAAACTATGAAACTAATACAAGAAAACATTGGGGAAAATCTCCAGGACATTGGACTGGGCAAAGATTTTTTGAGTAATGCCCACAAGCACAGGCAACCAAAGCAAAAAATGGACAAATGGGATGACATCATGTTAAAAAGCTTCTGCAAACCAAAGGAAACAATCAACAAATAAAGAGATTACCAACAGAATGAAATAAAATATTTGCAAACTACCTGACAAGGAATTAATAACCAGAATATATGAAGAGCTCAATCAACTATATAGGAGAAGAATAATAGTCTGAATTAAAAATGGGCAAAAGATTTGAATAGACATTTCTCAAAAGAAGACACACAAATGGCAAACAGGCATATGAAAAAGGACTTTGCATCATTGATCATCAAAGAAATACAAATCAGAACAATCACACCACTACACTCCAGCCTGGGCAAGAGCACAAGACTCTGTCTCAAAAAAAAAAAAAAATGTCATGAGATGTCATCTCACCCCAGTTAAAATGGCTTTCATCCCAAAGACAGGCAGTAGCAAACGCTACAAGGAGATGGAGAAAGGGGAACTTTCATACACTGTTGGTGGGAATGTAAATTAGTACAACCACCATGGAGAACAGTTTGGAGATTCCTCCAAAAACTAAAAATAATGCTACCATATGATCCAGCAACCCCACTGCTGGGTATATACCCGAAAGAAAGAAAAGGAGTGTATCAAAGAGATGTCTGCACTCTCATGTTTGTGGCATCACTGTTCACAATAGCCAAGATTTGGAAGCAACCTAAGGAGCCTTCAACAGATGAACGGATAAAGAAAATGGTGCATATACACAAAGGAGTACTATTCAGCCATAAAAAAGAATGTGATCCTGTCATTTGCAGCAACACGAATGGAACTGGAGTTCATTATATTAAGTGAAATACATCAGGCAAAGACAAACTTTGGATCTTCCCTTTTATCAAAGTGGGAAGCTAAAAACCAAAACAACTGAACTCATGCAGATAGAGAGTAGAAGGGTGATTACAAGAGGCTGGGAAAGATAGTAGGCAAGTTGTGAGGAGGTGGTTAATGTGTACAAAACAATAATTAGAAAGAATGAATAAGATCTAGTATTTGATAGAACAATAAGGTGACTAAAGTCAGTAATAATTTAATTGTACATTTTAAAATAACTTAAAAAGTATAATAGGATTGTTTGTAACATAAATGATCAATGCTTGAAGGGATGAATACCCTATTTTCATGATGTGATTATTACACATTGCATGCCTGTATCAAAGTAACTCATGTACCCCATAAATATATACACCTATGTATCCACAAAATTAAATATTAAATTTAAAATTTACAAAGGAAGTATGTAACAATTTAAAATATTTATGGAATGAAAAGGGAAATTTTCAATACAAAAGTAAAAACTGATAGCATTACAAGGAAGAATATAAAAATTCACAATTACAGCTGGAGATTTCAACACCCCATTTTCATTTCTAATTGATAAAATCGACAATAGGTATATAAAAGACTTTAATAACTCTATCAACCATCAACATAATTAACACTTATAGTAACTCCAGCTATAAACAGCAGAATGTGCATTTTCTTCAAGTGCATTTGTCATATGGTTTGGCTTTGTGTCCCCACCCAAATCTCACCTTGAATTGTAATAATCCCGGCGTGTCAAAGGACAAGGTGGAGATAATTGAATCATGGGGGTGGTTTCTGCCATGGCTTTCTCATGATAGTGAGTTCACACAAAATCTCATAGTTTTACAAGGGGCCTCCTCATTTCCTCCGCCCTCATTCTCTCTCCTGCCGCCCTTTGAAGAGGTGCCTTCTGCCGTAACTATAAGTTTCTTGAGGCCTCCCCAGCCATGTGGAACTGTGAGCCAATTAAACCTCTTTTAAGTCTCTTTTCTTTATAACTTATCCAGTCTTGGGTATTTCTTCATAGCAGCTGTGAGAAGGAACTAATACAGTAAATTGGTATCGGTACAGTGGGGCACTTCTGTAAAGATTCCTGAAAATGTAGAAGAAACCTGTATATATATAATATAGATACAGAATAGATTATATATGTATATGCAGAATAGATATATATATGCAGAATAGATTATGAGTGTAATAAAATATATAGAAATAATTCACTTTACACGTTTCCATTAGATGAACTTAATACTTTGTTTCTAAAAGTGATAAAAACTTTAATTCAGAATGTTGTTATAGCCATCTTCTTTGAGGTTTCTATTTTAGGTAATCCTCTTTTACCAGAATATACCTGATATGGCTGCCAAAGCTGGATAATACATGCTTCTGTCCTAGTAAAAAAATTACTATTACAGAATTTGTTGTCTCCATGTAAACAGAGAAATTACCAATGACAAACGAGCATTCATATCTCACTTTAAAAAGAAAAATTACCTTTGGGAACTGAACCAATATTGACATTCTCAATAATACATTACCCATATGCTTAAGTTGCATGTGATTTTTTCAAACCTTATCAATTACAATTGTGTATTTCAGCCCACTGTAATCACTACCTGATGCAGAATGTAACGGAAAAGCTAGAATGCAAACATGATTTTCTACTTATGACTTTTGCTATTTTCTTTACATGTTTCGTCTTATACTGTCACCTGCTAATACAGAAACTTAGATATATGATATGAACATATATCCAATATATAACCCATATTTGAGAAACATGCACTGTAGCAATACAAAGCCTGAACTCTCCTGCTGACCACATTAGGATTTTATCAGGCACCTCTACCGTTTGATGTCTGTAGAGCTTTAAAGATTGGTTACCAGAGCTTAACTTCTGGTGAGCTAAATATGTGCAAGCTGCTTCTTCTATACAAGTCTTACAATATAAAGAGAAACAGAATGATTTCAAGTATTAAGCAACACAATAAACATAAAAATGGGTAATATGGCTGGGCGCAGTGGCTCACGCCGGTAATCCCAGCACTTTGGGAAGCCGAGGTGGGTGGATCACCTGAGGTCAGGAGTTGAAGACCAGCCTGACCAACGCTGCAAAACTCCATCTCTACTAAAAATACAAAATTAGCCAGGCATGGTGGTGGGCACCTGTAATCTCAGCTACTCGGGAGGCTGAGGCAGGAGAATCGCTTGAACCCAGGAGGCGGAGGTTGCAGTGAGCCAAGATCATGCCACTGCACTCCATTCTGGGCGACAGAGCAAGAATCTGTCTCAAAAAAAAAAAAAAAGGGTAATATTCCTCATATCACATTTATACACATTTATATTTGTCTGGCATTAAATGCATAAAATGCCAGGAAGACAGTAAGGTGCTGAAATGATTATTTTACTTTTAATTCATAGTCAATCTTGTTAGCTTTCATTATTTTATTATGATTTTGTAAATTATTTTAATAAAAACTAACTCTGACTTAGACTCCATTACATTATATATGGAAAACATCATCATATAGTTTCATATTTAAGCTCAATTAATTAGTTTAATTAAGCCCATCTTAAAAATCACAGAATACATTTCAAATCACCTAAGATGTAATATAAATGGCAATTAAAAAGAAATATAAATTGCAATTAAAAAGCGGTATCTCAAGTCATTATTTAATCCATACTTGAAAATGCAGCCTTATAATGTCACCTAAGTATGAAGTTTGAATTTCATGCAGAAAACTAACTGTAGAGTCTCTGTTTTTCATATATTCATGTATCATACAATTTATCCAGACATATCCAATAATTAATATGGTAGTAAACTCATTTGAAGAAAGTTACTGTGTACTATGTTCAAGACCCTCTGCTATGATGTATATGTATATGTATACATACGCACATATTATGTGATTATATATAATCACATATTATACATAATATAGAATTACAGTATATACATACATTATATAATCACATTATATATTATATTTTATATATACATTACATAGATTATAATATATATTAATGTGTACAATATGTATATATATAATCATCTATACAGTCATTCACTGCATAAGGATGTTTGGGTCAACAACTGACCGCATGTAGGAAGGTGGTCCCATAAGATTATAATACCATGTTTCTATTGTACCTTTTTTACGTCTACATAAGTTTAGATATACAAATACTTACCATTGTGTGATAATTGCCTATGGCATTTGTCACACGAACATGCTTTACAGGTTTGTAGCCTAAGAGCAATAGGTTATGTACCATATGTCGTGTGTGTGTGTGTGTGTGTGTGGCAGGGGCCTCCTGTCACCGGGGCTGGAGTGCGGTGGCGCAATCTCGGATTTCGATTCACTGCAACCTCCGCCTCCAGGGTTCAAGTGATTCTCCCACCTCAGCCTCCTGAGTAGCTGGGACCACAGGTCGTGCCACCACACCCAGTTAATTTTTTTGTATTTTTGGTAGAGACGGGGTCTCGCCACGTTGCCCAGGCTGGTCTCGAACTCCTGAGCTCAGGAGATCCCCCCGCTTTGGCCACCCAAAGTGCTGGGATTACAGATGTGAGCCACCGCGCCCCGCCTGTAGCACATGTCCTAGGTGTGGAGTAGGCTACACCACTGAGCTCTGTGTAAGTCCGTGCACCCTATGTTGCTCGCACAGCCACACAATCGCCTAAGGACACATTTCTCAGAGAGTACCCCTCATTTCTCAGAGCGCACCCCTCTGGTAAAGCAACGTATGACGGCGTGTCTTCATTAACCCCATTATTAATACAGCAAATAGCCCTCCTGGCGAAATGTGGACAGGGAACGCGTTTACACAGCCACCCAAGGACAAAATTGGGGGCGGGGGTAAGCCTTCCATTTTATCACACTGAATGCACTGGAATCGTCTGACAGCTGTGACGGAGCAGTCCCCTGGAGACAGGCTTGTTCTGGCACATGTTCTCTGGTCCAAGGCTGAAGTTGATTTTTGGAGCCCTATTCAGAAGGCTCTTGAATGACCAGAGAGGGCGAAGGACTGTTACGGCCTCTGTAGCTTTAAAAGGGGTCACTCATTTCATCTGGTAACCACTGCCACAGTCCCCGCGATGGCCTTTGTTCTGTTAGGACTCCCCAGGGGGACCTCGGCTCCAGGTCACAGCTCTGGGCACTCCCTTCTCCTCCTGCTCCCAGGATCTTGCTAAAGTGGAGACGGAAGGAAAAGTTTCAGGAGTGAGCTGCGTTCTTAGAATTGTAGCAGAGAGAGAGGAGGGAGAGAGCAGAGGATCGGAGGGCAGGAGTGGAGAGAGGCGCGGTCTCCTGGAACGCGCGGGGGAACGTGGAAAGGAGGGCGCGGGAGACCCGGAGGGCTGCCCCGGCGGGGATTAGAAGCGAGGCGGGTTCAGCGTCCTGGGCGCCGCAGGAAAGTGACCCGCAGAGCGAGGCGCGGCGCCCCGGGAGCTGGAGCTCAGCCCCACGACCCGCGCTGCGGCGGGCACCACGCGGGGGGCGCGCGGGGAGGGGAGAGGCGGGGCCGGCGGGGACTGTGTCGCCGCCGACGCCGCGGCTGCGGGTCGCAGAGGCGGGCAGAGAGAGCCGCCGCCGAGCGGGTGGCGGAGCAGTCCCCAGCCTCCAGCCGGCCTGGCTGCGCGCAACCGCGCCGGCCCCGGGCACAGGGGCAACTGCCGACCCCTCTCACCCGCCGCGCGGGGCTGGTTTCCGAGCCGAGTCCCGGCCATCGCCGCGTCGCCTGGCGCCCGGCTCCGGCGGACCCTTCTCCGGCAGGTAGGGGCGTCGGCGGGGCGCTGCGCGCGGTCCAAGCGCGGGGAACGCGGCGGGGCAGCCTCTCCGAGTCTGGAGGTACGCGGGGCGCAGAGGCTGTTCTGCACCGCCGGGCTGGGGACGCCGGGAGGGTGCCCCGGGTCGGACTTGCGGCGCTGGGTCCCCACCCAGAGTTCCCGCACGGTGAGGGTTGGACGCGTCTGGGGGGCGTGGAGAGGAGGCTTGTCGGTCCCTTCCTGGGAAAGGAATCGCGGGGACTTCCCAACCGCTAGGACGCGTAAGCCGAGGCTGGGAGTAGAAGCCTTCTGAACTCTGGACCTACCCCAGAAGGAGGGGGCGAAACTGGCCATTTCGAGGGACGCGGAAGCCCCGTTGCTAGGGGAGATGGGGGAAGCGGCGTGGTCACCTACACAACCGCTCCCAGGCGCGATGGGGGCTCTGCTTCCTCCTCCTCTGTTTCTTTGGGGATGGAAAAGAGAGCAGAACAAAGATGTAGAGTGAAGGAGGGCTCCCCAGCTGTTGCCTCTTGCGCGGATTCTGCTGACCCCTCTGCGCGACCCCAGCTGGGCAGTGTCAGCTCCATTGTCTCAGAGGCCGGCGGCCAAGTGAGGGACCAGTCTCACCCGGGGGGCGTCGAGCCTCAGCGCATCGCCCCGTCTTCCCTGGCTGCAGAAAACCACTAGGCCGGTGGAAGTGCTCCGTTTAATTGGTCCCTAGTACGCCCCCGAAAGGAAATGGAGACGATTTCCGTCAAGTTCTCTTAGTATTTCTGTCATTTACAGAAAAGCAGTAGCTACTCACATGTGGCTCAGATGTCTGTGTGGGGGTTGTGAGCCAGGGCATTAAAATTGGGTGTTAACCGTTTGCCACTCAGAAGAATTATTAGCCATTGGAGGAGGAGCGGTTTCTCTTGCTAAGCGGGGTTAAGTGAAACTTGGCTGCTCTGAATTGGCCAGAGGAGTAAATGAGCAGAGGGCTGACCTGCGTCTTCCAAAGGCAGAAGCACAGGGGAAGCCCGGAGCCTCTTCTGAGTTAGTGGCTTTCTCTGCGAATCTCATGCGGTCTCTGGAGTCTGTGTTGGGATGAAGGTTAAAGCATTTACAACACGCGTTTGTCATGTGTTCTTGGGACTATTTCTGACGCTCCTGCGGTCTATCCATGCATCTCCCAGTGCTTTTCACTTAGAATCTAGAGGAAGAACAAGGGATCCCAAAGTCGTCAATGAGATCCTGAGATCAAAGCCACATGATTGAGGAGGGGCCAACCACAGATCCACTGGGACAACCAGCTTCTTTCTTTTGGGATTATTGCATAGCTACCAGATTAAATTACATTTTCCTCTTAGTATTTTTAATTTGTAGAAGCCTCGAAGGTAATTTGTCATCTGTGGATTAAGGGTGCTCTAAAACCTGTCTATTGGTCTTTTTGAAGTTATTTTAGTTTGTTAATATTAAACAAGCATATGTGACATTTACTTAACACTATGACATGTGATTAACTTTTGTAAGCATATGAGGTTTACATTTGATGGATGTTTTGAAAACAGTATATACAGCAATGCATTATAGACAGCATATGTTCCAGGGACTATACTACTTGCTATAGACATCACCCAGAGTGTGATATTTATTTACTGAAGGAAAAATGTATTTAACCAATACAATTTCATCTAGAGGGCAGAATGCTATGGTTGGGTTTATCTGTGTACTATGAGAATTGGGAGGGGAAATTTAATAAAGTAAAATGATTTGTTTTGTATACATTAAAATAGCTCAAATATTTTGCACGTGTAATTAATACTATGAAGGTTTCTGCCCCTCTCCTCCACCCCCCTGGCCTGAGAATGCTTGAAGATACAAGCCCCACCTGCTGCTGTGCTGGGTCATGAATGTAATCTGTGAGTAAGTTAGTTGCCTGTGGATAAAGGAGAGTGTATACTGAATACAAGTTGGCTGCAGAACCCCAGTGTTCTTGAAGGAGACTGAATAAAAATAGAAATATTGCCTTCTCCTTGAGAAATCAGAAAATAAAATCTGTTGGGTGAAGCCACAATCATACATAGAATCATATATGATCCAAATATATATGTATATGTGTGTATCTCTATGTGTGTACATAACTTGCAGATCTTAAATGTGTTAAAACATTTGCATAAGTGAGAAGAGATACGGCATTGGAACTGTGATATTTGAAAATGATACTTTAAGCCTGTGCTCAGTTGAGCACCTCAAAAATGTGTTTGCCCTTTCCGGATCTCATCACCAGGGCAAATCCAGGCCAATAAAAACACATGTTCATAGAACGAGAAAATGCTGGGGTAGAACGGTACTTTCAAAATGTTCTGTTCAAGCTTGCTCTACCCCAAGTGAAGGCGAAGAGGTCCAGAAGACTTAGGTAATTTTTTTTTCAAGATCACACAGCTAGATATTGGCAAGGATGTTGGGTCTTGCTGTCTCCACCAGAATGGAGTGGTAGATGTGGAGGGAGAGAGAGTGATTTGATTACTTTCTCCTGAGAAAAGGGCTGGCCAGTGAAACCTACCACAGACGTAATGCCTCTCTCTCCTCTCCTTACTCCCTTCCTGTGTGATTCTCTGCCCACCAACCTTTCTTCTACATTCTGCTCTGTACTAGAAATAACTCATTGTTCTTTGAGATTTCCAGAGAGCAAAGAGTGAGCATGTGAAGAGATCAAGAAAAAACTTACTGAGATTAAAATGCATACAATTTAACCAGGTGGACTTTAAAAATTTAAAAAGCCAGGCCGTAAAAGCAGATGATTTTCACCTGAATTCCACTGAGGCAAGGAAGGACACAGTCCTAGAGGGAGAAATGTCATCATCACTCTCAGAAACTGAAAAGCTCACAGTAACAACACCTTATCTGTCCCAAAGTTGCTTTTCCATTTAGTATCTCATTTGATCCTCACAAGTGCCCTGTCTAGATGTAGGGAGGCACACCCATTCCACATTGCCAATTTCCTATGACTGAATTCTGGTCCTTCTCCTTCTCACAGATGTCCCCAGGCAAAATTAGGGGTTCCTCTGGGGCAAGGATACATGTGGGTGATTAGCACCCTGTAACATCTATTGTCTTAATTTAAGTCTATTTTCATCTTTGTATCCTAATAGCCTGCCCTGGATGTGCTATTCAGTAAGGATTCAGTCAGTGCTTTCAGAACATGGTTGACTCATGAGTTAATTGAGATCAAACATTTATACTCAACTTGCCTGTTTTAAGCATGGACTTTTTTTCAAGAGAATGTGCTAAATAATTTTCAGACAACGCAAAATTATAAAAATTTATTAACAATTCTATAGTGACATTTCCTGAAAATGAGTAGTCATTCAAGTATGCAGGACCTTGACTTTGAAGATTGTAAATTTCTAAGGACTGGCGAGGTGTGCTCCTTGGGATGCTAACTCTAGATTTTCTGGAGGTGCCCAATAAGAAGTAGATTCCCTGGCCTGTTCCAGGCCTGCGGAATCAGAATCTGGGGCTGGGACCACAACCTTCTGCTGAGTCATTTACAGGAGCACACTGCGTTTGAGAACACAGTGGATGGTCTTTCAAAAATGTACACTGGGCGCACCCCCAACCCCCCATCTAGCTAGAGCCACTTCTCTTTCCCACTTATATAGGAATCTGCAAAGATTTTCTTACTTGGTTAGTTTTATGTTATTATAATAACTAGGAAGACATGACAATAAACCAGGCCATTAATTCCAAGGAAGTTTAGGTTTACACTCTCAACTGTGACTAAAAGTAAACATGGATGAAATATTGGTAAACTTTAAGTGGTAGGATCAAATCAACTCATTTCTTATATATCCCACACAGGATTACAATTCTTTGTATATAATTATGTTTCTAAAAATAATTATGTTAAGTGACTTGTTCTTTGTAATTTCTGTGATGTGCTTATTTCTGTGGCCAGAGAAAAAGCCTGGGCAGAAGCGTCTCCGTTCCCTCCCTCCACTTCATGGAAGTCCATTCCTGAGCTCTCCTCAGCCTGGCTTCTCTGACCCCCTCCCTGGCACGGCCCCTCTCTCCCTCTGCTCCGGCGGGCCCTCTGTGCCCTCGCTTTGGCCCCTCTCTTCCTTTCTTTCCTGTGGTCTCAAGTCTCTCCTGCACCTCTTGGTGGGTGCATGTGCCTGGCCTCCACGTCTGCATCTCCAGTCCTGACCTGGAGGTTCCATACCACACCTGACTCCTCACATCCACACTGGAATCCTAATCTTGATTGTTCTCTCTAGGCTGGCCTCTGTTATTCCCGTTGATTCCTGTTTTTTTTTTTTTTGTTTTTTTTTTGTTTTTTTTGTTTTTTTTTTTTGAGACGGAGTCTGTCACCCTGGCTGGAGTGCAGTGGCACAATCTCATCTCACTGCAACCTCTGCCTCCCGGGTTCAAGCGATTCTCCTGCCTCAGCCTCCCGAGTAGCTGCGATTACAGGCGCCTGCCACCACGCCCGGCTAATTTTTGTATTTTTAGTAGAGATGGGGTTTCACTGTGTGGGCCAGGCTGGTCTTGAACTCCTGACATCGTGATCCACTCGCCTCGGCCTCCCAAAGTGCTGGGATTACAAGCATGAGCCACCACGCCCGGACTTGATTACTGTTCGTTGGTTTATTTCCTGCTGTTTTTCTCCTTCTTCCTTTCCCTCCCCCACATCCCATTTTCCATTAGTTATCAAGTCTTTACAATGTGTCTTATAAATATGACTGAGATGAGTCTTCTTTATTCTGACCTTTTAGGACTGCCCCGGATCCAATCTTCATCATGCCCTGCCAGGGCTAAGGGACCAGGCCCTAATTCATCTTCGTGCTCCAGTCTTACAGTTGCCAGAGTGATTTATCTTAAATGCAAATTTAGCCATGAAACCTGTGGCTTAAAAGACTTGAATGATTTTCTATCATCTGCAGCATAAAGTGCCTGCTCCTCCCCATGACAGACACCTTCTTGACCCGCTCCCTGCCCAGCTCCAGCCTCCTCTGACACCTCTCCCGACTCACATCCCTGCATTTTACAACACCGAGGTGCTTGTTCTCTACGTGGAACTTAGCGTTTCTGAATACACTGACTTTATTCATCCCCCTGTACACTGGGCATGAGCTGCTTCTAGCTTTGTTCAGCTGGAATCAAATCCAGATCATCTTCCCCCAAATACCCCACTTCATAGAGGTCCCTCTTCTGCTGCCTGCCCATCTTCGCTGTTAACCCTTAGTGTATCGCGCTTATTGAAACGCCGGACTTTCCCTGGCACTGTGGTTACTGCTTCTTACTCATCTCTGTGTGTCTGGATTGGGTTGGTGTTACACGAGTGGATATGAGCACAGCAGAAGATAAAAGCGAGCTTCCCTAGAGGCAAGAGTGCCTGGGGGAGATTCTAGCTTCAACAGCTCCCTGAGCTCTGCTTAGGGACCCTCTATCTCACCTGTTATCGTATCTCTCCTCTGCCGGTAACCCCGGGTCCCACCTTATTCATCCTCTGACTCTCTCTCATCTGCTTCTCCCTTCCATAAAAGACATCTGCTCCTTCTACAGATGAGGAAAAGAAAACTCAGAGAGACTGAATCATTTATTCAGAGTTACACTGCTAGCTTAGCGGAGATCCAGACTTGCAAAAAGGTCTGATTATTTTCCCTGTGCTCTTAGCACCTTTTAAAAGAAGAAAACTGGCTTTTTAAACAAGCGCCATATAGAAAACCATCTATAGCTGGAAACAAGAAGCCACCACCACCAGTGGGCCAGTTCCAACCTTGGCCTGCTGTGTACAGCCTGTAAGCTAAACATGTCCTTTGCACGTTTAAAGTATGGAGAAAACCCAAAACGAATAAAGAATGTGTGACCGACTGAGACTCTGCAGCGCATACAGCCTAACGTATTTACTCTTTGGCCTTTTACAGAAAATGTTTGCTGAACCCTGATCATTGGAATAATGAGATCTGAACATGATGTTTAGTATAATTTATGAGGTAGTTGACTTTGGCAAATAATTGTGATGCCAGAAAAGACTGGACATATAAAAATAAGTTGTAATCCCAGCACTTTGGGAGGCCGAGGCGGGCGGATCACGAGGTCAGGAGATCGAGACCATCCTGGCTAACCCGGTGAAACCCCGTCTCTACTAAAAATACAAAAAATTAGCTGGGTGTGGTGGCACGTGTCTGTAGTCCCAGCTACTCAGGAGGCTAAGACAGGAGAATTGCTTGAACCCAGGAGGTGGAGGTTGCAGTGAGCCGAGATTAAGCCACTACATTCCAGCCTGGGTGACAGAATGAGACTCCATCTCAAAAAACAAAAAGCAATAAAAAATAAAATAAATTGTAGATTTATTGAATTTTAAGAAAAAAATGAAGGGAAAACCCACAGTATATTTAAATACTTGATGTCATATTTGTTTCTTATTTTTGATGCTTATTATTTATCTACAACTATTTAGCATGATCGACATAATTTTAAGTAATGTAAGTAAAGTTAATTCCTCATGAAGTCATTCTGGGTATTTTTGGTTAAAAATGCTTGAAGATGTAGAAAACAGTGAGTTTGATGTTCAAATTATCATAAGCTGAATTGAATTATACATAAAAATTGATATTTGAATATCCTCTTTCTCTATAACCAAAATGTTGAAAACATTTTAATGTCTTTTTTATTACTGAAATTAGTTGATATTTTAAAAATAAACCCAGGAGGCTAAAAACTGTAGCATGTGGTACTGTGTGCCTTTAACGAACACATTTGAAATATTAAATAATTTCTTTAAGAATGATAAAGTCTTATTCAAGCTTACTAATGTTTTTCTAATTTAGATTATTGGTTATAAGCAGCTGAGTAATATGTGGTTGGAGTCCCTGGGTTGAAATCATTTCATGAGCTCTCAAATCTTCTTTTGAAAAGTCTATTAATATACCTTTTATCTTTATTATTTGGAACAGAGAATCATTAACTTTACATTCATTTCAGAGATTTAAATCTATATGCAAGAGCAAGACAAATGAAATTCGGCCTAAGAAATAAAGAAACTTAGTAGAACAGAATACTGAGAATATATTTTTATATTGAGTGTAGCTTGCTATTTTCATTTTATAGCGTGTAGAAACAAGTTTTCTGGAGTGAAGCTAAGATATGTTATTTCTAAGGAAGGGAGTTTGCTAAAGCTATAGATATATAAGCATTCAGATCAGGATGATATATGGGGTTTCCCTAATATATAATATAAAACAGACATTGAGGCAGGAAATTACAATATAGTATAATATGGTCAATAAGAAAGTAAACTTGAGGTGGAGAAGATTCCTGTTCTGCATGTCAATTCTCTGAGATGGTGAATATGTGGAAAACCCCCCTAGGCCTCACCTGTGAAATGGTACAGGCACAGCGCAGGCAACAAGAGCTGCAAGGCAGGGGCCAGCCTCTGCCGGGAGCCGACGATATATAGACCATAGAGATGATTTCAAAGCAGACCTGTTCTTCATAATTTTGGCCCCAATTTTCTTCATCAAGGAGAAGAAGCTCAAAAAAGTTTTTTTTTTTTAAATAAAAGGTCAGAATCTTGGATTAAAGCCAAAGACAGGTGAGGAAATTAAAACAAAAATTCATTTAGCTCTTTGAAGATCATTCAAGTGAGGCTCAAGTTAATCCCATGCCAGGAGACTGAAAGAATTGCAAATGTGCCTTTGCAGGTGCTACTTGTAATCTTTGGGACATGATGGAGAATTATAGAAATGCCAGAAAACGGGGTAGGTCAGATGAGCTGCATAAAGAAGCATCCTCAATGATATGAGGTGTTACATAGGATTACATCAAAAATAAATTATATATGTAATATATATGCACACATCACAAATACTTTTTAAACCTTTAAAACATGAGGAGCTAGAATATATCACAATAGTAAATCATTGCAAAGTAACCTGATGACCTAGTATTTAAAAAAAGCCAGATAAAATTAATATGAGAGTTTGCTTATCTATAACATTAGGGATGTGGACTAATTAATTTCCAGGGTTCCTGTGTTCTAAGAATTTATCATAGGTTTTATTATTATTTTTTTTGCCTTTACTTGGTGTCAGTTTTTTTAAATTGTGGTAAAAAACACAACAAAATGTATCATTTTAATCATTTCTAAGTGCACAGTACAGTAATGTTAACTATGTGGGCATTGTTGAGCTACAGATCTCTAGATTTTTGTTTTGTTTTGTTTTGTTTTGTTTTTTGTGATGGAGCCTTGCTCTATCACCCAGACTGGAGTGCAGTGGCACGATCTCAGCTCACTGCAACCTTCGCCTCCGGGGTTTAAGTGATTCTCCTGCCTCAGCCTCACGAGTAGCTGGGACTACAGGCACATGCTACCATGCCCAGCTAATTTTTGTATTTTTAGTAGACTAGAGATGGGGTTTTGCCAAGTTGGCCAGGCTGGTCTTGAACCCCTGACCTCAGGTGATCCACCCACCTCAGCCTCCCAAAGTGCTGGGATTATAGGCGTGAGCCACCACGCCCAGCCCAGATCTCTAGGAGTGTTAATCTTGCAAAGCCGAAACTCTACACCCATTGAACAACAACTCTGTATTTCCCTTATAACTCAGCCCCTGGTAACCACATTCTCTCTCTCTCTTTCCTTTTTTTACTTTGAGATGGAGTCTCTCTCTGTTGCCAGGGCTGGAGTGCAGTGGCATGATCTTGGCTCACTGCAACCTCTGCCTCCTGGGTTCAAGCAATTCTCCTGCCTCAGCCTCCCAAGTAGCTGGGACTACCGGCACACACCACCATGCCCAGCTAATTTTTGTATTTTTAGTAGAGACGGGGGTTTCACCATGTTGGCCAGGATGGTCTCGATCTCTTGACCTTGTGATCCACCCACCTCGGCCTCCCAAAGTGCTGGGATTACAGGCATGAGCCACCACGCCCTGCCAATAACCACATTCTATTTGCTGTTTCTATGAGTTGACTCTTCTAGGTACTTCATGTAAGTGGAATAATGCAGTATTTGATATTTTGTAACTATTTTTTTCATTTAGCATAATGTTCTCAAGATTCATCTATGTTCTAGTCTATGACTAGATTTCCTTTACTTTTAAGGCTGAATAATACTCCATTGTTATGGGTAGGCCACATTTTCTTCATCCACTTGTTTGTTGATAGAAATTTAAGTTGCTTTCATCTTGGCTTTTGTGAATAATCCTGTGATGGACATGGGTGTGCAAGTATCTCTTCAAGATCCTGTTTTCAATTCTTTTGGATTAAAACCCAAAGAAGTAGGATTCCTGGATCATATGGTAATTCTACTTTTAATGTTTTGAGGAACCCCTAAACTGTTTTCCATAGTGGCTGCACCATTTTACCTCCCCACTAAAAGTGCACAAGAGTTCAAGTTTCTCCATATCCTCACCAGCACTTGTTATTTTCTGTTTTTTTGTTTGCTTGTTTGTTTGATAGTGGCCATCCTAACAAGTGTAAGGTCATATGTCATTGTGGTTTTAATTTGCATTTTCCTGATGATTAATGATGTCAAGCATCTTTTCATAAACTTTTTGTTCGTTTGTATATCTTCTTTAGAGAAAGGTTATGCAAATCCTTTGTTCGTTTTTTAATCAGGTCATTTTATTTTTTTGTTACTGAGTTGTGAGAGCTCTTTACATATACTGGATATTAAATTTTTGTCAGATATATGGTTTGAAAATACTTTCTCCCATTCTATATGCTTTTTTTAGTCTTTTGATCATCTCCTTTGCTGCACAGATTTTTGGTTTGATGTAGTCCTATTTGTCAATTTTTGCTTTTGTTGCCTGTGCTTTTGGTGTCATCAAGAAATCATTGCCAAATCAAAGTCACAAGGTTTTCATCATATGTTTTTTTCTAGATGTATATGGTTTCAGATCCTACATTTTGTCTTTAATCCATTTTGAGTTGTTTCTTTTGCTGCATAAGGTAAAGATCAAATGTCATTGTCTTGCAAGTGGATATCTAGTTTTCCAACACCATTTGTTGAAGATACTATTCTTTCCCCATTGTGTAGTCTTGGCACTTTTGTTGAGGATCATTTAACTTTATACACAAGAATTTATTCTGGGCTCTCTATTCTCTTCCATTGGTCTTTATGTCTGTTTTTATGCCAGTGCCATACTGTCTTGACTACTGCAGCTTTTAACATGTTTTAAAAACAGAAGGTATAAGGCCTCCAGCTTTATTCTTTTTTTCTCAGTATTGTTTGGAATCTTTGGGGTCCTTTGAGATCCCATATAAATTTCAGAATTTCTTTTCAATTTTTGCCAAAAAATGCCTTTGGAATTCTAATAGGATTATGTTGAATTTGTGTCTTACTTTGGATATTACTTGTATTTTAACAATATTAAGTCTTCCAATCCATGAATACAGGATATCTTTCCATTTATTTCTGTCTTCATAAATTTCTTTCAGCAATGTTTTGTAGATTTTAGTGTATAGGTCTTTTACCTCTCTGGTTTAGTTTATTCCTAAGCATTTTATTCTTTTTTGATGCTATTGTAAGTGGCATCATTTTTTAAATTTCATTTTTGGATTCTTCATTGTTAATATATAAAAAGCAACTTCTTTTTGCATGTCAATTCTGGATCCTGCAACTTTAGTGATTTCATTTATTAGTTCTAACAGTTTGCACATGTATGTGTGTATGTGTGTGTGTGTGTGCATAGTCCAGAATTTTCTACATACAGAATTACATGTTAACGGAGATAAGTTTACTTCTTCCTTCACAATTTGAATGTCTTTAGTTTCTTTTTCTTGTCTAGTTTCTCTGGTTAGGACTTCTAGAACTATGTTGAATAGAAGTGGCAAGAGTGGGCATCTTGCCTTGTTCCTGATCTCAAAGAAAACACATTCAGTTTTTCACTGTTTTCTCCATGGAGTATGATGTTAGCTGAAGCCTTTTCATATATGACCTTTATTATGTTGAGGTAATTTCCTTTCTAGTTTGTTGAATTTTTTTTACCATGAAAATATGTTGAATTTTGCCAAATGCTTTTTCTTTATCAATTGAGATCGTGTAATTTTTTATATGTCATTCTGATAATGTGATGTTTTACACTGATTTATGTTTGTATGTTGAACCATCCTTACATTACAGGAATTAATCCCACTTGGTCATGGTGTATGACCTAATCCTAACCCTAACCATTCTTCTCTTGTCATGTTGGGCAGCAGCAGTGAGCCACAGTTCTTAGCCATGTATCCTTGACTTAAAATATTTTCAACTTACAATGGGTTTATGGGACTGTCATAAACCAAGGAGCATCTGTGTATTTAACTTTGCCAGAGATCTTTATATTTTTACAGGCTTTCGTATTGCTATCTAACACCTTTGCATTTCAACTTAAAGGGGCTCCCTTTAATGTTTCTCTTAAGGCGGTCTGGTGGTGATGAACTCCTTTAGCTTTCTGTTATAGAAAGTTTTTATTTCTTCCTCATTTTTGAAGGGCAGTTTTGCCACATATAATATTCTTGCTTGCTAGGTTTTTTTTAAAGAAAAACTTTGAATATGTCATTCCACTCTCTTCTGGCCTGTAAGATTTCTGCTGAGAAAACCACTGATAATCTTATGGGAGCTCCCTTTGATGTACCAAGTCACATTTTCTTTCTGCTTTCAAGATTCTTTCTGTCTTTGACTTTTGCCAGTTTGATGATAATGTGTCTTTGTGTCATTTTGGATTTATCAGAGTTGTAGTATGTTTAACTTCTTAAATTTGGATGTCTATTTTCATCCTCAGATTAGAGAAGTTTCCAGCCATTATTTATTCAGATAAGTTCTCTGCCTCTTTCTCTTTTTCTTTTCTTCTGGGTCTCTCATAATGCATATGTTGGCCCAGTCAGTGATGTCTCATAAGTATCTTATGATTTCTTCATTTCTATCTGATTGGTATTATAGAAAATAATATCACTTATATTATTATCTACCTTCTGATTAGATGACTTCAAATGACTTATCCTCAAATTCAGCATTTTTTTTTCTTTTGCTTGGCCAAGTCTGTTGAACATTTATAGTGAATTTTTCAGCTCAGTTATTATATACTTAAAGTCCAGAAATTTTTTTTTAATGTGTAATTCCTATCTCTTTGTTAATATTCTCTTTTTGTTCACACATAGGTTTCTGGATTTTTTTCTTATTTGTCTATCTGTGTCTTATTTAAACTCATTAAGCTGCTATAAGATAGCTATTTCAAATTATTTGTTACATAATTCATAGATCTCGACTTCTTTCAGGTTGAATTCTGGATATTTATTTTGTTCTTTTGATTGGGCCAAGTTTCCCTCTTTCTCTGTATGCCTTGTAGTTTTTTGCTGAAACTTGGGCATTTGAAAAAAAAAAAAAAGCTATCTTTCTTAGTCTTTATGGACTAGCTTTATACTGAGGAAGACTTTCACTAGTCAGCCCAGCTAGAGGTTCTGGAGGCCTCTCAAAGCTTTTTTGGGGATGCACTTTCTCTGGCTAGTATGTGTAATTTTCCAGAGAGGTTTGCTTGTTTCTTTTCTTGGAGTTTGTAATCTCCTGCTCCCTCTGGTGTTTATCTTTGTTGCTGCTTCAGCAAGCCAACCGTTCTCTTTTGTTCTCAGTGGCTCCCAGGGATCTAAAGTATGCAAGTTTTGTCAGTATTCTAAATCAGGTTGAAGAGAAATCAGTGTCTTGCTATCTCCTGAAAGCCCTAACATTGGATGCATTTTTTCCTCCTTCTCTTTCCCTCCTGAGAGAGAAGCTATGAGTTGAGAGTTTTCTCCCAGCTGTGCTGAGCTCTGCCAGCTTGGGGTAGAGGGAGGGACGGTAGAATGTAAAGGCTTTTCTTATCCATTTCAGTGCAGATATTCTTGAAGTTGCATTCCCTGAGGGTACTGCAGCTTCTTCATTGGTTTCTGAAGTTCTCGTAAAGGTGTTTGGTTCATATGTTGCTTTTTAGACAGTGTCTTTTTGGGAGAGTGAGGGATGGGACTTACTATTCAGTTATCCTGTTACCATCCCATAGACTGGAGTTTAGTTTAATTTTAACCAGATGTTCTGCAAACTTTCCTGGATTTTCCAGAGGACACCATTGCTCTCATTAGCTGTCATTCCTATTTGTGGACAGGAGAAACTGAGTAAGGTGAGAAACGCTGAGCTAAACCAGGTTGCTTTAAAGTAAAATGTTTAATAAACCAGTGTTAGCCTTAGACCATCAAAGATAAATTTTAGTAAAAGATAGTTAAAAGAACAGGTAGAGAGATCTGAAACCTTCAGGGAGTAATATAAGTAGAGGACTGATCAAGGTCAAATAATGAAAGACCAACAGAAACGGAATTGGAATCCCAGATAAATATCAACTTGCACAGTATGATACTTGCACAACCTGAAGAGTATTTTTAAGTGACGATTTCTCTCCTACAGAAACTAGAGAAAGGGTTTTTGGTTGTTAATAGAAACATTACAAAGTACAAATAATTCAAAAGAAAAAAATGAAAGAATTCATAATCCTACTACTCTATGGAAAGCTACACTTTACACTTTGCTGTACATCTTTCCCTAAGGTTGACTGTCGGATTGTGTATACATGTATGTGTACATATGAGAATATACAAGTTAGCATTAATTCCACTCTTTCCTCATAATGTAGTAACCACATGGTTTGAATGAGATTGGTCCAACTCAAGCTCTAAAAGTGGGCTATGATTGGCTTCAGTTGATCAGCATAATCTTGCTTGCTCTGATGACTTTATTTTACCTTTGGTCACTTTTCAAGTTTAAGAATAGCATTAGAAGATATACCTAATGTTAAATGACGAGTTAATGGGTGCAGCATACCAATATGGCACATGTATACATATGTAAAAAACCTGCACATTATGCACATGTACCCTAAAACTTAAAGTATAATAATAATAAAAAAAGGAATATGACCCAACTGAGTGTGGCCCAGGACTTTTCTTGCATCATGGACTCTCTCTTTTTCTTCCCCCGCCCAACCCCAACATTGTTTTGCTACAGTCATGGTGCTGTCATCCCAGAAGCCCTTTTATTACTAACTTTGCTACAAGATACAGCAGAAGTTGAGTACGTTGAGTGAGAAGAGCAAGGGGCTAAAGCCATGGTCAAGTAACACCTGAAATAATCCCCAATATTAGTTCTGCCCTAGAATGCTTGTGGATTGCAGAAGGATAGTCATGATAGTTAATTTTTATTTTTTGTTTGTTTGTTTTCGTTTTTTGTTTTTCGAGACAGAGTCTCGCCCTGTCGCCCAGGCTGGAGTGCAATGGCGCTATCTCGGCTCACTGCAAGCTCTGCCTCCCGGGTTCACGCCATTCTCCAGCCTCAGCCTCCCGAGTAGCTGGGACTACAGGTGCCCGCCATCACGCCCGGCTAATTTTTTTGTGTTTTTAGTAGAGATGGGGTTTCACCGTGTTAGGCAGGATGGTCTCGATCTCCTGACCTTGTGATCCATCCTCCTTGGCGTCCCAAAGTGCTGGGATTACAGGCGTGAGCCACCATGCCCGGTAGATAGTTAATTTTTTTTTTTTTTTTATATTTAACATTGATAGCTGTTTTTTTTTTTTTTTTTTTTTTTTATTGTACTTTAAGTTTTAGGGTACATGTGCACATTGTGCAGGTTAGTTACATATGTATACATGTGCCATGCTGGTGCACTGCACCCACTAACGTGTCATCTAGCATTAGGTATATCTCCCAATGCTATCCCTCCCCCCTCCCCCGACCCCACCACAGTCCCCAGAGTGTGATATTCCCCTTCCTGTGTCCATGTGATCTCATTGTTCAATTCCCACCTATGAGTGAGAATATGCGGTGTTTGGTTTTTTGTTCTTGTGATAGTTTACTGAGAATGATGGTTTCCAATTTCATCCATGTCCCTACAAAGGACATGAACTCATCATTTTTTATGGCTGCATAGTATTCCATGGTGTATATGTGCCACATTTTCTTAATCCAGTCTATCATTGTTGGACATTTGGGTTGGTTCCAAGTCTTTGCTATTGTGAATAATGCCGCAATAAACATACGTGTGCATGTGTCTTTATAGCAGCATGATTTATAGTCATTTGGGTATATACCCAGTAATGGGATGGCTGGGTCAAATGGTATTTCTAGTTCTAGATTCCTGAGGAATCGCCACACTGACTTCCACAATGGTTGAACTAGTTTACAGTCCCACCAACAGTGTAAAAGTGTTCCTATTTCTCCACATCCTCTCCAGCACCTGTTGTTTCCTGACTTTTTAATGATTGCCATTCTAACTGGTGTGAGATGATATCTCATAGTGGTTTTGATTTGCATTTCTCTGATGGCCAGTGATGATGAGCTTTCTTCGTGTGTTTTTTGGCTGCATAAATGTCTTCTTTTGAGAAGTGTCTGTTCATGTCCTTCGCCCACTTTTTGATGGGGTTGTTTGTTTTTTTCTTGTAAATTTGTTTGAGTTCATTGTAGATTCTGGATATTAGCCCTTTGTCAGATGAGTAGGTTGCGAAAATTTTCTCCCATGTTGTAGGTTGCCTGTTCACTCTGATGGTAGTTTCTTTTGCTGTGCAGAAGCTCTTTAGTTTAATTAGATCCCATTTGTCAATTTTGGCTTTTGTTGCCATTGCTTTTGGTGTTTTGGACATGAAGTCCTTGCCCACGCCTATGTCCTGAATGGTAATGCCTAGGTTTTCTTCTAGGGTTTTTATGGTTTTAGGTCTAACGTTTAAATCTTTAATCCATCTTGAATTGATTTTTGTATAAGGTGTAAGGAAGGGATCCAGTTTCAGCTTTCTACATATGGCTAGCCAGTTTTCCCAGCACCATTTATTAAATAGGGAATCCTTTCCCCATTGCTTGTTTTTCTCAGGTTTGTCAAAGATCAGATAGTTGTAGATATGCGGCATTATTTCTGAGGGCTCTGTTCTGTTCCATTGATCTATATCTCTGTTTTGGTACCAGTACCATGCTGTTTTGGTTACTGTAGCCTTGTAGTATAGTTTGAAGTCAGGTAGTGTGATGCCTCCAGCTTTGTTCTTTTGGCTTAGGATTGACTTGGCGATGCGGGCTCTTTTTTGGTTCCATATGAACTTTAAAGTAGTTTTTTCCAATTCTGTGAAGAAAGTCATTGGTAGCTTGATGGGGATGGCATTGAATCTGTAAATTACCTTGGGCAGTATGGCCATTTTCACGATATTGATTCTTCCTACCCATGAGCATGGAATGTTCTTCCATTTGTTTGTGTCCTCTTTTATTTCCTTGAGCAGTGGTTTGTAGTTCTCCTTGAAGAGGTCCTTCACATCCCTTGTAAGTTGGATTCCTAGGTATTTTATTCTCTTTGAAGCAATTGTGAATGGGAGTTCACTCATGATTTGGCTCTCTGTTTGTCTGTTGTTGGTGTATAAGAATGCTTGTGATTTTTGTACATTGATTTTGTATCCTGAGACTTTGCTGAAGTTGCTTATCAGCTTAAGGAGATTTTGGGCTGAGACGATGGGGTTTTCTAGATAAACAATCATGTCGTCTGCAAACAGGGACAATTTGACTTCCTCTTTTCCTAATTGAATACCCTTTATTTCCTTCTCCTGCCTGATTGCCCTGGCCAGAACTTCCAACACTATGTTGAATAGGAGCGGTGAGAGAGGGCATCCCTGTCTTGTGCCAGTTTTCAAAGGGAATGCTTCCAGTTTTTGCCCATTCAGTATGATATTGGCTGTGGGTTTGTCATAGATAGCTCTTATTATTTTGAAATACGTCCCATCAATACCTAATTTATTGAGAGTTTTTAGCATGAAGGGTTGTTGAATTTTGTCAAAGGCTTTTTCTGCATCTATTGAGATAATCATGTGGTTTTTGTCTTTGGCTCTGTTTATATGCTGGATTACATTTATTGATTTGCGTATATTGAACCAGCCTTGCATCCCAGGGATGAAGCCCACTTGATCATGGTGGATAAGCTTTTTGATGTGCTGCTGGATTCGGTTTGCCAGTATTTTATTGAGGATTTTTGCATCAATGTTCATCAAGGATATTGGTCTAAAATTCTCTTTTTTGGTTGTGTCTCTGCCTGGCTTTGGTATCAGAATGATGCTGGCCTCATAAAATGAGTTAGGGAGGATTCCCTCTTTTTCTATTGATTGGAATAGTTTCAGAAGGAATGGTACCAGTTCCTCCTTGTACCTCTGGTAGAATTCGGCTGTGAATCCATCTGGTCCTGGACTCTTTTTGGTTGGTAAACTATTGATTATTGCCCAATTTCAGCTCCTGTTATTGGTCTATTCAGAGATTCAACTTCTTCCTGGTTTAGTCTTGGGAGAGTGTATGTGTCGAGGAATGTATCCATTTCTTCTAGATTTTCTAGTTTATTTGCATAGAGGTGTTTGTAGTATTCTCTGATGGTAGTTTGTATTTCTGTGGGATCGGTGGTGATATCCCCTTTATCATTTTTTATTGTGTCTATTTGATTCTTCTCTCTTTTTTTCTTTATTAGTCTTGCTAGCGGTCTATCAATTTTGTTGATCCTTTCAAAAAACCAGCTCCTGGATTCATTGATTTTTTGAAGGGTTTTTTGTGTCTCTATTTCCTTCAGTTCTGCTCTGATTTTAGTTATTTCTTGCCTTCTGCTAGCTTTTGAATGTGTTTGCTCTTGCTTTTCTAGTTCTTTTAATTGTGATGTTAGGGTGTCAATTTTGGATCTTTCCTGCTTTCTCTTGTAGGCATTTAGTGCTATAAATTTCCCTCTACACACTGCTTTGAATGCGTCCCAGAGATTCTGGTATGTGGTGTCTTTGTTCTCGTTGGTTTCAAAGAACATCTTTATTTCTGCCTTCATTTCGTTATGTACCCAGTAGTCATTCAGGAGCAGGTTGTTCAGTTTCCATGTAGTTGAGCGGCTTTGAGTGAGATTCTTAATCCTGAGTTCTAGTTTGATTGCACTGTGGTCTGAGAGATAGTTTGTTATAATTTCTGTTCTTTTACATTTGCTGAGGAGAGCTTTACTTCCAACTATGTGGTCAATTTTGGAATAGGTGTGGTGTGGTGCTGAAAAAAATGTATATTCTGTTGATTTGGGGTGGAGAGTTCTGTAGATGTCTATTAGGTCCGCTTGGTGCAGAGCTGAGTTCAATTCCTGGGTATCCTTGTTGACTTTCTGTCTCGTTGATCTGTCTAATGTTGACAGTGGGGTGTTAAAGTCTCCCATTATTAATGTGTGGGAGTCTAAGTCTCTTTGTAGGTCACTCAGGACTTGCTTTATGAATCTGGGTGCTCCTGTATTGGGTGCATAAATATTTAGGATAGTTAGCTCCTCTTGTTGAATTGATCCCTTTACCATTATGTAATGGCCTTCTTTGTCTCTTTTGATCTTTGTTGGTTTAAAGTCTGTTTTATCAGAGACTAGGATTGCAACCCCTGCCTTTTTTTGTTTTCCATTGGCTTGGTAGATCTTCCTCCATCCTTTTATTTTGAGCCTATGTGTGTCTCTGCACGTGAGATGGGTTTCCTGAATACAGCACACTGATGGGTCTTGATTCTTTATCCAACTTGCCAGTCTGTGTCTTTTAATTGCAGAATTTAGTCCATTTATATTTAAAGTTAATATTGTTATGTGTGAATTTGATCCTGTCATTATGATGTTAGCTGGTGATTTTGCTCATTAGTTGATGCAGTTTCTTCCTAGTCTCGATGGTCTTTACATTTTGGCATGATTTTGCAGCAGCTGGTACCGGTTGTTCCTTTCCATGTTTAGCGCTTCCTTCAGGAGCTCTTTTAGGGCAGGCCTGGTGGTGACAAAATCTCTCAGCATTTGCTTGTCTATAAAGTATTTTATTTCTCCTTCACTTATGAAGCTTAGTTTGGCTGGATATGAAATTCTGGGTTGAAAATTCTTTTCTTTAAGAATGTTGAATATTGGCCCCCACTCTCTTCTGGCTTGTAGGGTTTCTGCCGAGAGATCCGCTGTTAGTCTGATGGGCTTTCCTTTGAGGGTAACCCGACCTTTCTCTCTGGCTGCCCTTAACATTTTTTCCTTCATTTCAACTTTGGTGAATCTGACAATTATGTGTCTTGGAGTTGCTCTTCTCGAGGAGTATCTTTGTGGCGTTCTCTGTATTTCCTGAATCTGAACGTTGGCCTGCCTTGCTAGATTGGGGAAGTTCTCCTGGATAATATCCTGCAGAGTGTTTTCCAACTTGGTTCCATTCTCCACATCACTTTCAGGTACACCAATCAGACGTAGATTTGGTCTTTTCACATAGTCCCATATTTCTTGGAGGCTTTGCTCATTTCTTTTTATTCTTTTTTCTCTAAACTTCCCTTCTCGCTTCATTTCATTCATTTCATCTTCCATTGCTGATACCCTTTCTTCCAGTTGATCGCATCGGCTCCTGAGGCTTCTGCATTCTTCACGTAGTTCTCGAGCCTTGGTTTTCAGCTCCATCAGCTCCTTTAAGCACTTCTCTGTATTGGTTATTCTAGTTATACATTCTTCTAAATTTTTTTCAAAGTTTTCAACTTCTTTGCCTTTGGTTTGAATGTCCTCCCGTAGCTCAGAGTAATTTGATCGTCTGAAGCCTTCTTCTCTCAGCTCGTCAAAATCATTCTCCATCCAGCTTTGTTCCGTTGCTGGTGAGGAACTGCGTTCCTTTGGAGGAGGAGAGGCGCTCTGCGTTTTAGAGTTTCCAGTTTTTCTGTTCTGTTTTTTCCCCATCTTTGTGGTTTTATCTACTTTTGGTCTTTGATGATGGTGATGTACAGATGGGTTTTCGGTGTAGATGTCCTTTCTGGTTGTTAGTTTTCCTTCTAACAGACAGGACTCTCAGCTGCAGGTCTGTTGGAATACCCTGCCGTGTGAGGTGTCAGTGTGCCCCTGCTGGGGGGTGCCTCCCAGTTAGGCTGCTCGGGGGTCAGGGGTCAGGGACCCACTTGAGGAGGCAGTCTGCCCGTTCTCAGATCTCCAGCTGCGTGCTGGGAGAACCACTGCTCTCTTCAAAGCTGTCAGACAGGGACACTTAAGTCTGCAGAGGTTACTGCTGTCTTTTTGTTTGTCTGTGCCCTGCCCCCAGAGGTGGAGCCTACAGAGGCAGGCAGGCCTCCTTGAGCTATGGTGGGCTCCACCCAGTTCGAGCTTCCCAGCTGCTTTGTTTACCTAAGCAAGCCTGGGCAATGGCGGGCGCCCCTCCCCCAGCCTCGTTGCCGCCTTGCAGTTTGATCTCAGACTGCTGTGCTAGCAATCAGCGCGATTCCGTGGGCGTAGGACCCTCTGAGCCAGGTGTGGGATATAGTCTCGTGGTGCGCCATTTTTTAAGCCGGTCTGAAAAGCGCAATATTCGGGTGGGAGTGACCCGATTTTCCAGGCGCGTCCGTCACCCCTTTCTTTGACTCGGAAAGGGAACTTCCTGACCCCTTGCGCTTCCCAGGTGAGGCAATGCCTCGCCCTGCTTCGGCTCGCGCACGGTGCGCGCACACACTGGCCTGCGCCCACTGTCTGGCACTCCCTAGTGAGATGAACCCAGTACCTCAGATGGAAATGCAGAAATCACCCGTCTTCTGCGTCGCTCACGCTGGGAGCTGTAGACCGGAGCTGTTCCTATTCGGCCATCTTGGCTCGGGAAGTGATAGTTAATTTTTGAAAATTGATCTTAGTCTTTTGATTGAGAACTATAACACACACAGAGAAAAATGCAGGTGATATACAGGCACACGTAACAAATTAGTATAAGGTAAACATGTATCAAGAAATAGACTATTATAAACCATTCCACCATCCAGCACCCTTACTTTCATAGCATTTATTTATTTATTTTGCTTTTCTCTGTTGTTTTGTCACCTAAGTACACATGTCTAAATGCTATCATTTTGTTTTGTGTGATTGTGAACTTTATGTGAATAGAATTATTCATTTTTGCTGTATAGTCTGCAGGTTATTCAGTTTTGCTGCTGGGTACATTTATTCTTGTGAGTATACCAGAATGTATTTAATCATTCTGTTACTGGGATTTTGTTTTCTTTTTTTTCTGCCATTTGAGTAATTATGTTTTGTTTTGTTTTGTTTTGTTTTTAGAGACAGGGTCTCACTCTGTTTCCCAGGCTGTAGTGCAGCGGTGTAATTGTAGCTTATTGTAGCTTCAAATTCGTGGGTTCAAGCGGTCCTCCCACCTTACCTTCTGAGCAGCTGGGACTGTAGGCATGCACCACTATGTCCAGTTATTTAAAAATATTTTTGGAAAGATGAGATTTCACTATATTTCTCAGACTGGTCTTAAACTTCTGGCTTCAAGTGATTCTCTCATCTTGGCCTTCCAAAGTGCTGGGATTACACACATGAGCCACTGCGCCTGGCTGCGTGTTGTGAATAAGGCTGTTATGTGGTATCCTGGAATGCCCCCTGGATACGTATGTGTACATGTGTCTGTAAGGAGTGTGCCTAGAAAGGGAGGGTGAAATCATATAAATGAATATCCTAGAATGTAAATCTTGGTTCTAAAAATCCTGACAGGTTAACATTTCAGGCCAAGAATAACAAGAGGAAATTTATTAGGGAGAGTTGTACGCCCTGCTGGTGAATTCAAAATATCAATGGTGCATGTTCAGAATGTCAAGGACCTGTCTTTACAACAGACACTTGGAAAAATATGTGGGTATTAGTTAACTAATATTCACCATAACAAGAGCAGCCTCACCACAATTAATGTAGATATACTATTGAAATTGAAATACAATGTCTAATATCCCAAGTTCATGATTTTACTTTTAGAATAATATATTCATGTCAGGGAGCCACCTGTAGTTAAGAATTTTATAAACTGGAATACTGCCTCAGTGTTTTGTTTGCTGCTCAGTATTTTGTTTGTTATTATTGTTTGCTGGCTGCTGTAACCAGAATACCTTAGACTTGCTAATTTATAGACAACATAACTTTAGCTCTGGAGGCTGGGAAGCCCAAGAAAAGGCACCAGCAGATTTGGTGTCTGGTGGGGGCTCTCTGCTTCATACGTTGTGCCTTGTTACTGTGTCACTGGTACAAGGGGCAAGGGAACTCGCTCCAGCCTCTGTTATGAGGCACTAAACCTCTTCATGAGGGTGGAACCCTCATGACTTAATCACTTCCCAAAGGCCTCACCTCCTAATGTTATCCTGTTGGGTATTATAAGCCAGCATATGAATTCTGGGGGGACACCAACATTCAGACTGTAACAAGTCTATACAGAGGAAATAAACTAGAATGGCTAATGCCCAGAAAGAATAATGTGAAAAGTTTATCCTGGGAAGGTTTACCGGGTAAAAGGGTAGAAAAATATAGTAGCTTTCACATAGAAAAATGATTATGCATAATTTGTTGTCTATACAGTTGACCTCTGACCAATGGGTGGTGTTGGAGATGGTTGCATTAAGGCATCCTTAATACGACTCATAATTTAACATAAATTGGATTCTAATAATTCCAAGAAAAGGAAAATGAGATCTTACAACACATTTTGATACATCAAGAAGATGTTCCAACAGAAACAGGAATAGCATCTGCCTGAGATGTCTAAGATGTCCTGAGTTTAGTTGATGATTTTTTAGGGTCTTCTAAATATGTCTCCTTTTCCAGGAAGGCAGGAAGAATTTACAGCCTCAAATAGCAAAATCCTGGGTAACCTTTAAAATATCCCACTGGAAGCATTTTTAAACTTTTTGAACAGAGAGGTGTTTCTTAGTCCTAAATTAGAGCTTCCATTCACCATGCGTAATGTGACTTAGACAATTACACCAGTTTTCCATACAAATAATTACTACTTGAAGAAGTGATAAAGTCAAAACAACGGAAAAAGTAACCTCTAAGGACAGATATTTAAAAAAAATGTTGGGCAAAATCACATGCCATAGTGAATAACTCTTAGTGTGGTCTGCTGTATAGTTCTAGATTACCTCATTAGGACAATTTTAACGAGTAGAAAGAAATACAGTGTGGAGGGGTACTTACTGAGAAAAAAAGAATATCAGAAATAAAAATGCTTTAGAAATTCATGATTATTTTAATTTTCTAAGATAACTTAATGGAATTATACATCTCTATCATGCCAAAGGATGCACATAAATTTAGTAATGTGATCTCAGATTAACACACTTTTTCAAAAGAATAGAGACACCAACTTTAAGCATCTTGGAATAGATGCTGCTTTAAAAGTGTTGAAAATAGAAAAAAAAAGAAATTGTATTATGTGGATATTTCCATAATTTTAAAAGATCAGTAGCATAAACACATTTCTTGAGTCTGCATCTTGGTCATCTTACCAGAGGCAAGAAGTCCAAATTTCACACAGGTGAGCACTGAATAGTTTAATCTTGCATCGCAGATGGCTCCAGGTCAGTGGCCAATAATGATTTGTAACATGCCAATGATGGTGTAGGAAAGCCAGCTCTCTCCACAGAGTGCAGCCTGCTTTATAAAGTAAAACAGGCTGGTGACTTTTTCTGCATGGTGGAACTCAAAGTTCCCTTTTCTCTCTTTCTTTGTACTCCCACCCCTCTGTTTTTTCTATTTCTTTCTCTGTTTGTTTCTTCCTTTTTTCTATTTCTGCCTTCTAATCTGCGGATTTGACTGCATTTAGTGGTTCTGTTCTCTTGATTCTGTAAAAGTACTGCATGTATAAGCCAATTGGAAACTTGTATAGATATCATACATAAATTTGAACACTGGAAATAATGGAAACAAACACAAGATTTGCTTGGCCAAAATAAACAATATGCAAAATACACACACACACACACACACACCCACACACACACACACCCCACCAGAAAAAAATCAAACTTTTACACTAAGTCCAGACATTTTTAAGAGTTTACAAAGGCTATCTAAGCATTATGCAAAAATAATGCTAGGAAGACCATTTGTAGGAGTCAAAGTAAATGTACCCGGGAATGAATCCTTTATGTCTTGTTTGCCTTAGGAAAAGGAATTGAAATTAGTGACATTATATAAAAAAACTGAAAACATAAGTTTTGAGAAGATGAGTACTTGTACACTTGAATACTGTTCGTGTTTTAAATAAAAAATTGTTTTAATATACCATATCTAGAGGAAGCGTATTTTTTGACCCTGAGACTATAACCCTGGGGCCATCAGTTTACAAGATAGCAACTTACTAGAATTATTTTTGAGTGCATTTTCGCTGAGAAAATAATAAATGTGAAGATAAAACATTTAACATTCATTTTCCGTAGTTATGCTTTCTTGTCTCCTTCCCTCTCTCCTCTCCTTTTTCTCTCTCCTTCTATGTGACCTGGGCAAGTCATTTAATATCACCATCATGGTGTTCTAATTTATAAATTATATGTCGTAAGATCTGTCTGGTATGCTTCAGTTTTAGTGAGAATCAAATTATGCATGTGAAATTATTTACAAAACGATAATATGCACATTGTAATAGATGCATACACAATTATGTATCTCTGAAGGTAAAATATGCAACTGAAATGGCAATGAAACCCCATATCATTTTATTTGAAAAAAATCCAATTTATGTGTGATTAAAGATATAATCAGACCATATCTGGTTTTTAGATATTAGAGAATATTTTATCTCTTTGTTGTGAATTTTAATCTCTCAGTTTAGCAATTTGCAAATAACTACTCATTTGGGGAATTATTAATCTTGATTCATTGCATTAATAAAATATGGCACATTAAACAAAATTGCTATTTGTCAAGGAGAAAATCGGTTAGTAAAAATCTATTGACAATCCGATACATTTTTACAATTTATTAATACATTGAAATGTTCATCAGTCTCAGATACATTCAAGCCAATAAACTTTTAACACACCCTGTAGTATGGATGCATACAATTTAAAAGCATAGAAGACAAATGAGATTATAATAGAATCAAAGTGTGCAGTGATCACATTGAACTAAATTCCCTATGTATAGACAGTAAGCTTTCTCTTCCAATGATAACTCGCAGTGGATGTTGCTGATGCTTCTCTTCTGAGTCAGTAGAGGATTGGAATTAATTACAATTTGGGCTAAGGGGCCTCAAATGAGTCTGTGCAATGGGTGATTCCCATCTTCCACGTGTTCTTTCCTCCCACGTCCCCATCTCTCTTTTTCCTTCTTTCCTTCCTTCCTTTCTCCCTCTTTCCCTCCTTTGCTCTTCTTCTGTCACTTCCTCCATTTCCTTTCTTTCCTTTCTTCTTCCTTTTATCCAAAATGTATATAGGTCTATTTTGCTAGGTATGAGATGAAAGCAGCACAAGCTATATTCTCCAACCTTCTACAGTCAAACTGGGGAGGCTGGAAATAAACATGTGTGACAGCCTATCTCAGGAGGGGGAGACAACAGAAAGTGTTAGAGAAATTTAGGAAGAAGCAGATTAGTGAGACTAGAATAGATAAGGAGACTTCACGAGGGTGTTGTACTTCTTAAAGGGTGCCTGAAAGACAGATACAATTAAGTGATATAAGTAATCAATACAGACTATATAAGATTTTATGGTTTATTAAATATTATTTTGCAAGTCAGCACTGACTAGCAAGGAGAGCAAACAATGGAAACTTTAAAAATGAATTCCAACTTATTTTAATTATCTACAAAGTCTATTTCCAAAACAGCTATCTGTTAGAGGGGAAGAGTCTTGTTTTTTAATTCTTTTGATCTCAAACATAATTGCCTGTAATATAAATGTATTAGGTGCCTGCATACTACTTACTGCGGTCACCTTTTGTGCAGCTACCTGGTAAATGGCACTATTCAAACTGATAAGTGTGCTCTTTATGTCTGATAATCTACCTCTGAACCTGACATTTGGGACCTTAAGTAGCTTTGCTTGTAAATGTAATTATATATAATGATCTGTTTTGTAAATAGAATGGCTTTTCTTTCCTGTGACTAGTCAACAAAATCTGAATGTGGAAAAAAAATAACAGAAGAAATGGAGCATTAGAGATTTCAGAAAAAGTTCCTATTTTGTATACGTTTTATACTTTCTCTAGATGTACATTAAGTACAGTTTCATCATTATTAATCTGCAATGATATAAATATGACTTGAATTTATCTAAACATTGGTTGGAGGCAGACTGAATTTGTTGACTTTGCATTTCCCCCAGTCTTTCTTCTCAATAGAATATTTCTAGTATTGTGTACACAGGTTTCCCAATAAATAGTTATTAATTATCTTCCAAATGTGAAAACAAATTGAAGGTCAGGAAGGGAAGAGGAAAACAAATTTAAGTACAAAGACTGTTTTGCACAGCTATTGTTCATGTCTTGGAAAGGAATCTTCTTACCCTGCTTTGATGTAGCCCAGAACTGGGCCAGAATCTTGGAGACCCCCAAATTCTTCCCTGTTCAGAAAGCAATGACTTCTATGAATTATAAGATTCAACTAATATGCTAAAAAGAAAATCTGGCAAGTCTATTGCTATTTGTTTACTGAATAATGAACAAATAGCTATATAACTAAATTACATTTAACATGTTCCTTTTTTTCCCACATGGATTTACAATTGTATTTCAGCGAAGAGTCCAGTTCTTGAATCCTGTAATTTCTAAGAACATAGCAATATCTCACTTTTCATGAGTGTATAATCTTCCTAGGGCTAGCATGACAAAATCCCCCAAACTGGGTGGCTTTAACAACATAAATTTACTGTCTCATAATAAATTGACTCCAATAAATTTGGAGATTTATTGACTCCCATAAATCTTGGTGTCTAGAAGTCCAAGATCAAGATGTGAGCAGGGTTGAGTCCTCCTGAGGGTGGTGAGGTAGAATCTACCCCATGCCTCTTTCCTACCTTCTGGTGACTGCCTGGCAATCTTTGGTGTTCCTCGGCTTGTAGATCTCTGCTTTGTCTTCACAGGATCCTTACCATGTGGGGTGTGTGTGTTTGTGTGTGTGTGTGTGTGTCTGTGTGTCTGTCTGTCTCAATGTCTAAATTTCTGCATTTCATAAGGACAAAAGCCTACTCTCATAACCTCATCTTAATGAGGTATATCTGCAATGACCCTACTTGGAAATAATTCCAAATAGGGTCATATTCTGAGGTACTTGGAGTTAGGTCTTCAATATATGAACTTGGGGCAGGGGCACACACTTCAATCCATAACAAAAAATGCCATAGAAAAGCCTCAATCCTTTCTACATAGAGCAATTTAGACAGAGGATAACATTAAATATGGAAATAGACATTACAGGGACTTAGTGAAATGAATGCTGGGGTGGATGAGGTCTCATGTGCAGTGGCCCCAGTGACAGTGAAACAGACGCATCTGCTTGATGCAAATCAGGGTTCCCAGGGACCTACCAGGGAGGAGACATCTTGAGAGTTGAAGAGCATGTGGACCTTGGTCCAGTGAGCAAGAAGCTCAACTCCAACATATCTAAGAGGAAACTCAGATTTCTGAATAAACTTGCACTTTTCCTGAATTTCCTGGAGCCAATGGAAACTGAGTCTGCCCTCCTCCATCGTATCTGTTTCCATTGCCGCTGCCCAGCTTCGGGCCTTACTTTCAGATGCCAGTGCCCTGGCCGGCAGTCTCCCATGACGTTTCTGGCAGTAGCATCTTCCCTTTATCATGCTTCCTGCACATCACTACCTGATTCATCTCCTTAGCACCAGTTTGTTCATTATTCTGCAGACCACAAACCTTCAATGTCTTCCCACCACCTTCCCATCTTATTCAATCTTATTCAAGCTCTTGACCCCAGCAGTCAAATCTTTTCAAAACCTGGCCTGAGCCTCCCTTTCTCATGTCAGCATTCAGTAAAGTTAAAGGGTCTCAGCTCTGGAAGACTTTAGAGGTCATCTGGTTTAACCCTGCACCACATGCATGAACCCTACAACATCCCAGCCAAGTGTGCGTGTCTTATTTCTGCCTCCTGTTCCAGGAACTTTACCTCGTTACCCCACTGACCTGTGTGCATGACATTTCAAGTGTTGATATAGTGTAGATATCTGTCCCCACCCAAATCTCACATTGAATTGTAATTTCCAGTATTAGAGGTGAGGCCTGTTGGGAGGTAGATTGGATCCTAGGCGTGGATTTCTCATGAATGGTTTAGCACCATCCTTTTGGTGCTGTCCTCATGATAGCGAATGAGTTCTTGCAAGATCTGGTCATTTATAAGTGTGTGGCACTGGCCGGGTGCGGAGGCTCACGCCTGTAATCCTAGCACTTTGGGAGGCCGAGGTGGGTGGATTGTCTGAGCTCAGCTGGAAACCAGCCTGGGCAACACAGTGAAACCCCATCTCTACTAAAAATACAAAAAAAATTAGCCTGGGGTGGCAGTGTGCGCCTGTAGTCCCAGCTACTCAGGAGGCTGAGGCAGGAGAATAGCTTGAACCTGGGAAGCAGAGGTTGCAGTGAGCCGAGATTGCGCCACTGCACTCCACTCCAGCCTCGGCAACAGGGCAAGACTCCGTCTCCAAAAAAAAATAAATAAATAAATAAATAATAAAAAATAAAGTGTGTGGCACTTCCCCTGACTCTCTCCCTCTCTCTTCTGTTTTCGCCATGTGAATTACCTGCTTCCCCTTCACCTTGCACCATGATTGAAAGCTCCTTGAAGCTTCACCAGAAGCTGAGCAGATGCCAGCACCTTGCTTCTTGTAAACCCTGTATAACTGTGAGCCAGTTAAACATCTTCTTTTTAAAAATAAATTATCCAGTCTCAGATATTTCTTTATAGCAATGTAAGAACTGTAAGAACAGCTTAATACAAGTGTGTGCGTGTGCTTTCTCATTTCTGTGTCTTTCTTTGTGCCATGATCCTCTTTGAAACACCTTCACCTTTGCCTTACCTCACCAGTGGATTTTACCCCCATCATTCTCCACTATGAAAAATGATTATAACCTCTGGAGCATGGATTGGGATTGTGTGTGATGACAGGGGTAATGACATATATGAGATAAATGATTAAGAGTGAGACGATAATAGAAATAAGAGAAAAAAACAAATGGAATTTGGATATGCAGGTTTGTTTTGAAGGGTTGGATATTTTACATAAAATTTATTTTTGAAAATATAAAGATGGGCTTTTAAAATCATTTGCTTGTTTAATATTGTTTCTGATTTCAAGTTAAAATGATTGCCCTATAATTTATATTTTTAAAACTTTTTTAAAAAAATCAAACTTGTAAAATAATAGTTCATATTCAGAACTGAAATAAGAGAGTGAAGTGTCTGGGAGTGTGAGGACTAGAGTCCACTCAACACACAGACTTTACCTCTGGTTCCCAGCGAGAACGACCATTCAAAATCACCTAGGACACCACGAGATAACGTGTGATGAGTGCTTACAGGGGAAACCAAACTCACTTACCTCAAAAAATACATTTTATAGTAGTGCATTATTGCCTCAAAAATAATTTTGTTTTATGTATAGACTAGGATGCAATAAAATCCATAGCTAAATTATTTAGCTCTCCCCAGTTTGAAGTGCACGTCAGGTGTTAGGCACCTAATGAAAATAATTGAATTAATGAAATGACGGATACCATTCCCTAAGCATTGTGAGTGCTGTGCTCTGCTCACAGTCCTCGAGCCATGTGGGGAGGTTGCTGTGTTTTATTATTTCACTTGAATGTGCATTTATTTGCTGTGGGGATGACCCTGTGCATCTGGCCTTTACCCTAGATGATAGAAGCACACACTACCCCCCAGTTTTGATGACTAAAAATGTCTTCAGACATCGTTACAATGTTTAGGGGGCAAAATCACCTGAAGTTAAAAACCGCTGATCTTGATAGCACCAACTCCATAATCTACTTTTCGTTTAACCAAGTGACTGAACTCTTTGTGGACACTTCCTCAGTGGACCACTCTCTGGTGGCCTAGCATGCCAGGTAGGTGTATGAGCTTGAAGAGGGTTTCACGAGAATCCTAAAAATAAAACCCACACATTTTGGATTTCTTTAATGAATGTATTGCACTTAACTCCAATGATCAAGAATTCATTAACTTTTACTCATTTTACACATTGTGTGTGCTTGAGCAAATGATCCTTTTTTTTCTTGTTTTAAGTGTGGCAACAGATGCTGCTCTTCATCTTCCTAGGTCTGATTTTTTTTTTTTTCTGGGGAGGGGATAGGGAGGAGAGATGAGAAAGACACCAGCTGGTGAATGCAGAATTAATTACAGATTGTTTCCCTCAAAAAACACATACATGGATGACCAACCTCTAGTGACTTTGGCAGCTGTTCCTGCCCTTTTAAGATTACTAGTAACTGGACAGATACTCTATTCTTTTTCTTGGAAGCATATGTTGCAATTTTGGGGAATTTGGAAGAGTAGAAGGTTTGTTACAGATACTATATCTGATGAAAAATTTAGACTACGCATGCATTTGCTTCCAAAATCAATTATAAAACTTATTAATTTACTAACTTTTTGGTAGAACTTGAATGTTTGTGAGACAAAAATGAATAAATACATTTCATAAAAAGGCTACCTTAGAAGTCACCATATATGCCTTAAGAGAAGAAAACTTTCAGAGAGGTAAAAAATGATTTTTTATATTGTATTTGAAAAATAATGACCTCAACAATATTTAAGTGATCTTTAAGATTTGTTGTTTCCATGGCAGCAGTTTTGTGGGGGCATCTTTTTTCCCCAAATGCTGATTTGTTAATGGTTTAAGCGCGTTGAAATAGAGCCTTTCAGGAAATGCTTGGGCAAAACAAACAAGATTATTACTGAACGAATAGTGCTAGAATCTTTACAAACGAAATCATTTTAATTTAAATTATAGTTAAAAAGAAGAATTTTAATAATCTCAAAAATACAATTTACATATTTTATCCAATTTCTCACTTTCCATTTATTCCTCAACCTACCAAATTTGAACTTTTGTCAAAGTATGTCATTAATAAATACATTGTATCTTCCTGTGAATATTCTGTTATTTCTGCCTTTTTCTGTTGGTCACTACATCTGCTGATTCTACTGCTAATATTTCTCTCTAGTCTATTACTTACTTTTTATGCAGAAGCAGAGTACTGTCAGGGTTATAACAAGCACAGACTTTTAGACAAACTGCCTAGGTTTGAATCTTAGTTCTGCAATAGGCTGATCTTGTGGAAAGGCAATAGAGTCTGCTATCTTTTTCTTTCACTAACAAATAAGGTCAAGTCATTAAATTTGGATGAAGTTACAAAATACTGTGTGATCACAGATGGTGAGTTAATTATCATGAGGTTGGTGGATAAAATCAACTTTCTATGACAAAATGGTTCATAACTCCAAGTGAACAAGCACGGCTTTCTAAGACAAATTTCTAACAAATGTAGCTTTTTGCAATGAACAATCATAAACACAGTCCCTGGAACTTATACATTATTAAAACAGATTTTTCAATATTTATAGGAAGGGTTTTTTTTTCTCTTAGCAAAGGGATTTCATTTAGAAACCCAAGTTCATGATGACAAGCTGCAGATTAACTGTAGTCAAGTTTGATCATATCTACTAAGTAAATATTGCCAAAATTTTTCTTGTTTTTTAATAAGATGTAATGGTTAAGTGCATACCTTGATTTAACAAATTCCCCATATCAACAGCCTCCAAATTATTTGCATGACTCCTTATTAAACTGTTAATTAAGGTTTGTAACCTCTGGCTTCAGTTATAGTTTATTGTAATGGCTGAGTCAAAGAATATGAGGCTTATAATTTTCTCTTTCTATGCATACTCATTAAAGAAATCATTTTGCAAGGATTCCTGTAGCTGCTCAAAATTGTTTGGTAATTTGAATAATATGAGTGATCATTTTGTATACAGCTGCCTTTCTAAAATCTCTGTGGTAATGGTATATGCCAATAAAAGGATTCTTTGAAAATAACAGGTTAGTTTCATAACTTATTTATTTAATTTGTAAGGATTATTAATGTAGGAATTTCAGTTCAGTAATAACTCTGTTTGTTTTGCCTACCTTATTTTTGAAAGTGCATTTTTTTTCCAATTGGCCTTTCTAACATTTCTAAGTTAGCAGTATGCCAATGAAAGGATTCTTTGAAAGTGAGGGTGTTAGTTTTCTGTTTAACAAGGACTTTCCAAATGTGCCCCTTGCTTTATGATCTGGTATCTGTGTATCTCTGGTGTAAACATGTCACTTCAGTGACAGTTCACTCTCTGAAACCTGATTCCATTCATTTTGACACTGGAAAATTGGTAACTACAGGATCTCCAGGCATTTACTGAAACATGAGGAAGTAAGATTATGGAAAATAAGATAAATACAGAAAATAGTGACAGGCATCTACAGAGGTGAAGCTTTAAGCAATTAAGTGGGATGAATGCTTCATGAAAACAGATTAGCACTTGTATTTACCATATCCGACAGCCTTTTGTTTATATGGCATTTTAAACCAAAGCATTGTGAATTAGCTGAAGGACAAAATCTCAAAAAGGGGCAGACCCCATTAACAGTTTACCTTTTGGCCAGATGGCATAACTTAGGGCTATTTATCTGGCTGTGAGGATAGAATTTGGGATGACAAACGTTAGGTCTGATGCCAAGAATAGGACAGGAAACTAATACAGTGAGGAGACATGGAGCTATCTGTTCTAAGTTAATATAGCATGATTTAAAATGCTAGTTCATGTATTAACTAGAAAATATTAGTTCCCCAAATTGTACTTGAAACATGAGAGTAGCTTCATTTTATTTTGTCTCTCCTCTCCTCTCCTCTCCTCTCCCCTCCCCTCCCCTTTCCCCTCCTCTCCCCTCTCCTCTCCTCCCCTCCCCTCTCCCCCTCCCCTCCTCTCCCCTTCCCTTCCCTCCTCTTCCCTCCCCTCTCCTCTCCTCTCGTCTCCTCTCCTTTCCCCTCCTCTCCCGTCACGTCACCTCCCTTCCCTTCACCTCCCCTCACCTCCCCTTTGCCTCCCCTCTCCCCTCCTGTCTCCTCCCTCTTCTCTCTTCTCTCTCTTTTTTCTAAAAATGAAGTTTTCAGCTTTTGACGATGTGAGAGGAAGAGAAACTGACAATAACTTAAGCAAATGAAGGGGTGGGAAGGAAACAAGGTAAAGGTTTAGACCAGTGTAGGGTTTAACTTTCCCCAGGTTGGAAGTGACGACTCGATGGCAACATTTCAGGTCCCAGAAAACTGCATACTCCTTTTAACATTCCCTTTCATCTCTCTCTTTACATTTCCAAATCTTTCAGAACATAACCTAAATATCATTTCCTCCAGAAAGACTTTCTTACTAATTCACCCCAACTTGGAATAATCTCCTGCCTTCCAAACACCAGTACTAACCACCAATTGTCCTTATGGTTTAACTATATATTTCCTTATATTTTTTATTGTTAGCATAAATATTTTCTTACGTATTTTTTTCTGATCTTTGATTCTCATCTCTCTGCTGGAGCATGAGGATCACTAGGGCATTCAGAGCAGGTAGAGTTACGTGCACCCTTTTCTCACTCCAGAAACTAGCATGAGCCTTGAGGAGAGTATACTCTTCCTTGCACACTTCTTCATTTGCTGAACTGCCAATCTGGATACCATGTATTCATACTTTAAAGCCATTTTTTTTTAATCTTACTAAAGTGGTCTCTTTTGAAAGCACACAGGTCTTCCAGTGTTTTGGATTTGTGTTTTCTCTATTAAAACCCCACCAGGGCAAGCTTCACTAGAGCTACTGATGTTCGCCGTGCACATGAACTAAAAATGTTGGGTAACATAAAATGAAAAACATAATCAGAGGCAGACTGGGGACCTGAGTCTGGGTTATCTTCAGGATCAATTCACCTTGAACCTGACAGTTAATTGTGAAGTGCATAACTGGATGGCAGGGTAAGTTACAATGATCTTTCCCAAAATTACAGCCTCATCTTGAAGAGTGTTTCTTTAATTCATGCTGATTTGATTAACCACAAGGGTTCTCATTTACAAATCCTTGGGAATACTGAACACCTCTTATGATCATCCCTGGTGCAACAGAACCAATTTTATTGTGACTTCAGCTAAGTTGATCTGGTAACCCACTTGGGTGCCACTGCGATTGCCTTTGATCCACTCTGTTACAGCACAGGGGCAGAGTGGGGGATTTGATTGAAGAATATTTATTTGATTTCTCTCTCACTAAGGTTTTCTAGAACCCCAAGTAGTTCCCAACAATTTCCTGCCATCCCCACAGTAAGCCTCCCACCTGGACAGGTGGGTCCGTGTGCATTCCCAATTCCTTCTGCTCCCAAGTGAGCTCAGTGCTGATGTCTCTCTGCATTTCCTGCTGCTCAGACTTTCTAGACACTTCTGTGGATCCTTCCATTTCTGCTACTTCCAAGTCACTTCTAAGTTATATGGGGGAAATCTAGAGAGAGAAGAACTGGGAGGGTGAGAGTCCACTCTACCAACAGCCATGTATCAGAGTCAGTCGAAGGACGAATTACTGGGAACCAAAAGCAAAAGAGGAGATGTAGCATTAAGGATGCTGAAAAAATGAGAGACTAAAAGGATAAACAGGACTAAAAGCTGCAAAGAAGAATGGGATGATGATATTTCAATGTTTGGTGTGACAGGATAACACCAGTTGTTGACTTCTAGAATTATTTCTTTCAGAGAAGATAGATTTGAATAGATCAAACGTTCACCTAGGTTACTTCCTTTAATAATGGCACTGCAATTAAAAAGCCAGCTCTTTAGTTTCATTATGTTACTAACATATTAATTCCATGTGATTATTTGGTTAATGGATATTGCTTTGCTAAAATACAGGCTCTGTGGAGACAGAATATGTCTGTTTTGATCACTGCCATATTCACATTTAGCTAAGTGCCTAGCTTATGGTAAAAACTTAAGTTTTACTTGTGTTTATGTTCAAAATATAACAAAATGTATCATATATACAATATAATGTTATGTTATACTTTTAATTACTATTGAGGTTTGATATTGTTAATGAGTATTATCACTATATTTCCTATTTGGGATAATTATCTTTACCCATTTATATAGTTGGGTCTTAAAATTTTTTTATTGATTCACATGATGCTATCAACTCTATCGTGAGAAATCTTGTCAATGTTTTCTAAGTTTTTCTTGCGTTTGTTTATGGTTTTTTTTCAAATGGAGACAATTTAATTTTGTTACCTTCATAGTTATGGATCTTTTCTTTCATGACTTTTTTTCACTGCATTTAGGTTTAGAAAGTATTCAGTCATACAAAGATCAGCCTTGCTGGTAGAGAGAATAGCATTTGTGCAAACGTGGAGTTGGCCTGGTGAGGTGGTTTCCAGGAAGTAAAAGAAAGTCAGTGAGACTGAAATTCACAGTGGAGAAGATAGTTTAAGGTGAGGTTGGCAAAGTTAGTCCGAGGTCAGAGTATGCAGGGCTTTGAAGCTGTATTAAGGATTAGTGTCTTTGTTCTTAGAGAAATGTGTAGCCCTTGAAGGGTTTTACACATAAGACAATAAGAGCAATGTAAAGACCACTCTGGAGGAGGAGGAAGAACATCGGGAGGAAGCAGAACAAGGACAGTGTGCAATGAAGATGGTCTTAGCAGTTTCTACGGAAGTGAGTGCTTTGCTGACTAGGTGGCAGAAGTGGAGAGAAGTGGATGCATTTCAGAGATCTATTTTAGAGGTAGATTTGGACTTGAGATAGGTTTAAAGTGGGCTTCGGGAGAAGAGGAAGATAGGAAGGAGGATGACCCTGTTTCTGATATGAGCAGCTGATGGGTGGACGTACTCGTTACTGAGACAGGAAACATGAAAGAAGATACAGCTAAGCCTAGAACATGCTTTCTAATTTTTTTTTTTTTGAGAAAACTATGAGATACTCAAATGAAATGTGAGTCAGACAGTTGACATATGCTTTACAAAGCTCACACAAGGCACAGGGCCTGTAAATAAAATATTAGAAGTCACTGGCTAACAATTAATGAATATAAATATGGATGGGCTCACTTAGGGATATAGAAGAATGAGAAGAGAAAGACTGGTTCTAGACATTGAAGAACCCCTACATTTAAAGATCAAACTAACAGCACAATTAGGCCAGAAGAGTCAAGGGATATGTAAAAGAGTATGAGGTCATCAAAAGCAGAAGGCCCGGCCTGGTGGCTCACGCCTGTAATCCTAGCACTTTGGGAGGCCAAGAAGGGCAGATCACTTGAGGTTAGGGGTTCGAGACCAGCCTGGTCAACATGGTGAAACCCTGTCTTACTGAAAATACAAAAATTAGCCAGGCGTAGTGGTGCACACCTGTAATCCCAGCTACTTGGGAGGCTGAGGCAGGAGAATCGCTTGAACCCAGGAGACAGAGGTTGCCGTGAGCCGAGATTGTGCCAGTGCACTCTAGCCTGGGTGACAGAGTGAGACTCTGTCTCAAAAATAAATAAATAAATAAAATAAAAATAAATAAATGAAAAATAAGAGCAGAAGAAGCAACTACTTCAAGAAGAGGGGTAATTAGCTGTGTAAGATCCCACTATGTGTTTAAGTCAAATGGGTAACAGTATTAACAACATGGAATTTATTGGTTATCTTCAAAGGAGCTGTTTGAACAGAGTAGTGATATCAGGAGAAAAAGAGGGATGAGGAGTGAGAAAATAACCATCTTCTGCTTGTTTTTGAGAAGAGAGAGTGTGGTAACTGAAAGAGATGGGAGAAATGAATGTTTTTAAAACAAAAGAGGCTGGGTGTCATGGCTCATGCCTGTAATCCCAGGACTTGGGATGCTGAGGTGGGAGGATTGCTTGAACCCAGGAATTGAAAACCAGCTTGGGCAACATAGTGAGACCCCCATCTCTACACAATTAAAAATTATCTGGGCATGGTGGCACGTGTCTGTGGTTCCAGCTACTTAGGAGGCTGGGGCAGGAGCATCACTTAAACCTGGGAGGTCGAGACTGCAGTGAACTATGATTGCATCACTGCACTCCAGACTGGATGATAGAGCAAGGCCCTGTATCAAAATAAATAAATATTACAAAATACAATGTTTTAGAGAAGGTTTGTATATGAGAGGACACATCTAGTGTGAAGGATTGCATGACAATGCAAGAGAAAGAGGCCCCTACCTTAGAAAGTGAGGTCCCTAACAAAATGGAAGAGAATGGCACCCAGAAGAGCAAAAGCCAGCTGGCCTCCACTGTGAGAAGAGATACCTGCTTCATTTAGATGGAAGGAAGAAAAGGTATGGTTTGTTGATGGAAAGATGGGTGGATTCCCATCTGATGACTTCTGTTTTCCTTTCAAATTATGAAGCATGGTTACTGGTGAAACTGATTTGGAATGGTGGTGAGGGGAGACCACATTGTGTCATAGAGAGGACCATTCATGTCAGGGTAAGGGGGTTTACATAGCTAGTAGCAACCTGTGTAGTCAAGGATTTGGCCTCATCCAAAGAGAAGTTACCTCCCGAGAGGTAACTATTTAAGTGTTGGACTTTTTGAGGTGATAGAAGTGTCTTTGTTGTGCATGGTATGCCTCTGGGACCACACCTGATAGTTTAAGGCTAATGAGATGACTCAGGGTGGGGCTGGCCCAACCACATAATCTAGGGGTGGGAGTTGTCCATGCCAGAATGACCATCATATGATTAGGTTACATGATATAATTTGACCTAAAGACTGAGTTCAGCCATGTGGGCAATGCATCATCAATCATGCTTTTTTAGTGAAGCCTCAGTAGAAATTTTGGACACTGAAGCTTGGGTGAACTTTCTGGATTGGCAGTGCTCTTTGTGTGTATGCCACACATTGATGCTGGGAGTGCAGTGTCTTTGAGGACAATAGAAGCTCTGCACTGGAATTCTCCCAGACTCTGTCATATGTATTTATCACTTTTTCTGGTTCTAATTTGTATGCTTTCCTTGAAATAAGCACAGCAAATATGTATTTAGTCAGGAAAAAATAAAGATTTCCATTCGGGATGACATTCTATTTTCCATATAAATAAACTATTATTAAATGAATTAAAATGGCCTTGAAGGAAAAAATGCAGATGTTCTTTTTTAGTGATTTCATCTGCATATATTCAATTGAACATATATAGCACCCTGCAAATGGTTCTCTGATTTTAATACTGGAACATTTTTCCTTACTGGAAATTTTATATCACCTTCCTCTGCCCCCTTAGTTTTGCATAGTTGTGAAAGCAGATTTTTTTTATGTTTGCTCAGATAGGCTGGATATTACTGGAAGTGTTACAACTCAAGCTAATTACTATAATCATTACGCAAGAATTGAAACGGTGCTTGTTCTGGTTCTAAGAGGTTATTTTCTTGCTTTCAAGTTCTGGTTTAACATTTTGTTTATCCTTTAATTGTACTTGTGTCTAAAAATTGTTTTTATTGCATCAGCTATATTAATGGGAAATTCAGAAGAAAGCCTTCAAACAAGAATATTATTTTAGTCATCTTTTAGGATCATTCTTAGAAACCATTTCCCTCCCTTGGACCACCATTTCTACATATTGTTATTGAAAGTGGGAAGTTTCATCTTCACTATCCTAAAGCTTCTAGGGAAAGCTGTCTTTAGTTTTGACATAATATTCATTAGCCCCAGAAGAAACCCAGTGCTCAGAGAATCCCAAATTTACTTGATTGTTCTTAGGTTTGGTAGACACAGCAAGAAAAATGGGTCATGCTGCTGTCAAAGTAGCTGACTCCTGGCATTTTTCCTGAATGTCCACACATAAGATACTAAACCTTTTACGAAAAAATTGCAGTTTTTTTTTTCCAATTCTACCCAGGAAGGGTGAAAGTGGGAAACACGGAGTCTCTACTCACTCTGCTTCTACATTAAAAAAAAACCCTCAAAGAGGAATCTCTGCTCTTCATTGGCTCATTTTGTTGACTCTGTAGCCAACTAATCTCTATAGGTGAAAAGTAATACCTGACAGTTCCTTACTACTGCTACTACAACTCCTCCTCCTCCTCCTCTTCTTCCTTCTTCTTCCTCCTTCTTTCTTCTTCTTCTTCCTTCCTTCCTCCTCCTCCTCTTCTTCCTCTTCTTCTTCTCCTCCTCATCCTCTTCCTCCTCCTTCTTCTCCTTCTTCTTCTTCTCCTCTTTCTTCTTCTCCTTCTTCTTCTCCTTCCTCTCTTCCTTCTTCCTCTCTTCTTTCTTCTTCCTCCTTTTTTCTTCTTTCTTCTCCTCTTTCTTCTCTCCTTCCTTCCTTCCTCTTCTTTCCTCTTCCTCCTCTCCTTCTCCTCCTTCCTCTTCTTCTTCCTCCTCTTGTTCTTCTTCCTCTTCTTCTTCCCCTCTTCCTCTTCCTTCCCTCCTTCTCCTCCTCCTTTTTCTTCCTCCTCTTCCTCTTGTTCTTTCTTGCTCTTCTCTTTTTAAAAATTTTTTTAGCAAAGAGGAAACTCTTTGAATGGGGAAATAATCTGCCAAACATCAACAGCTCTCAGTTCTATTCACTTGTATTACTTAAGTACAGGCTTGGATAATGTGACAAACAAACAAACAAAAAAACAACATCTAAAATACCAATTGTCTCAATAATATAGATGCTTATTTTTCTTTCCTATCTGTTGACTGACATGCACAGCCTGGGGCTGGCATGGTGGTCCCATGATCATTCCGGACCAGAATCCTTCTATCTGGTGGCTTCCCATAGTTCAATATGGTAGCTGCAGCTCCAATGAACATTCTCACATTTTAACTTTCAAGGTTAACACTATTAACACTATTAAACACTATTATTTGAAAAATATTATTTGAAAAATAACAAAATATGCCATTTCCCTTTCAGAGAATAGTGTTTAATATAATAATTCCCTGTTAGGGAATCTGTGGAAAATTTCATTCATCACTTTCCCTTGAGCCCCGTAGAATGGAATTTACTCTATGGCTTTACTTAGCTACAAAAAGTAATGGAATATGTAGTCTTTTTTCTTAGGTGTCCTCAGGTCAAACCAGAATTCAAGAGTGGTATTACTTCACTGTAGTGTCAATAGGCTAGAACCATGCCTTGTGCTTTAACTATAGACCCAGCTGCTTCCAAAATACTAAGTACTTTTCAATATTTTACTTAATGTTGATCATTTTATTTGTCTTAATACCCTTTCTTCTGAAAATTTGGAGTGGGGATATTTTAGGAGATGTCCAGCTGATAAAAGAAAACTTCACTTTTGTGGAACTCCACATGTTTAGCCTTTCTGTGTTTTATGTCTGTGTGTATATGCGCATACGTGTGTGTGCATGTGTGTGTGCATGTGTGTGTGCACGTGTGTGAGTGTGCTTACTTTGGTTGGATACAGGAACATTGCTAGATGCGGTAATTTTTAAAAATCAATGCCATTGGAATATATAGTGTAGGCTAAGTGAGAGTATTTATTAATTCCCTAGTGATCTGCTTCAGCTCAGCCTTAACTGAGTCACTTGGAGAAGAGAGAAACAATTTCAGTTTTGATGTAATCTCTTTAGGACCAGTAGTCAGAGAGCTACAGATTTACAACTGACTCCTTCTCAGGGATTTAGTTTTGCAGTGACTACCCTGGACATTCACAGTGGAATAAGTTTATTAGATTATTAAAGCTGGGGAGGGGACAAGTTGAAAATAATGTTGCAAGAGAGAGCAAACAGTTTAAGTTATGAAATACATGGAATCCTTGTTTCTTGGAGCTGTATTTCATGTATTCAGGAGTCAGGGTGGGGGTGGGGGTTGAATTTTAACAATAACAGTAACAAGCTCTGTAACCTTGGACAAGTTACATAACCTGTCTATATCTTAGTTTTCTCATCCACATATAGGGAAAATGAATGTATTGTTCACTCATCACTTAATAATGAAACTCTCAGAAGTGAATCAGTCAATTTAATGACTTGACAATAACTTTGGAAATGTTAATGAAGGAATACCTGAAACTTTTAGTATAAACCAGATTTGAAGACTTTTCTTATTTCTCACCTTTTCTGTGTGAGAAATAAGATATGTCTATACAATAAGACATTCAACAGTTGAATGTCTTAATATATTATTATAAAAATGGAGGAAGTAAGAAATATTTAAAATCTAAACCTGTCATTTTACTAAGGAGACGGAACAGGATACCAAATAAATCCAACCTTAAGTCCATCATCACAAATAGTGTTGTTGAGATTCCTGGAACTAATGTTTGGGGTTTCTGATGTCAAGTATTATGCTCTTTCTTTATTTTTATAGATGAAGGAGTGCACATGTGCAGTTTTCTTACATGGATACATTGGAAAATGGTGAAGTTTGGGCTTCCAGTGTACCCATGAACTGAATAATGAATAGTGTACCAGATGAATAATGAACAATGTACCTAATAATGAACAGAATAGGTTATTTTTCAACCCTCACCCACCTCTGCATTTTGGAGTTCCCAGTATCTGTTATTCCCATTTTTATTTCCGTGTGTACCCATCATTTAGTTCCCACTTATAAGTGAAAACAAGTGGTATTTGATTTTTTGTTTCTGAGTTATTTCACTTACGATAATGGCCTCCAGCTCCATTCATGATGCTGCAAATGACATGATTTTATTTCCTTTTTATGGCTGCATAGTATTCCATGATGTATATTTTCCACAGTTTCTTTATTCAATCATCAGTTGATGGACACTTAGGTTGATTCCATGACTTTGCTATTGTGGATAACGCTGTGATAAACATATGACTATAGGTGTCTTTTTGATATAACAATCCTTTTCTTTGGGTAGACATCCAATAGAAGGATTACTGGGTTGAGAAGTAGTTTTATGTTTAGTTTCTTGAGAAATCTCCATACTGTTTTCCATAGAGGTTGTACTAATTTACATTAACACTAACAGTGGGTAAGCATTTCCTTTTCTCTGAATCCTCACCAACATTTGTTTTTTTGTTTTTTGTTTTTGATGTTTAATAATAGCCATTGTGACTGGTGTGAGATAGTATCTCATTGTGATTTTAATTTGTATTTCTTTGATGATTAGTGATGCTGATAATTTTTTTCCTGTGTTTTCCACTTGTATGTCTTTTTTTGAGAAATGTCTGTTCATGTCCTTTGCCCACTTTTTAATGGGATTATTTATTTATTTATTTTTCTTGTTGAGTTGTTTAAATTCTTAGTAGACTGTGGGTATTAATCCTTTGTCAGATGCATAGTTTGAAAATATTTTCTCCCATTCTGTAGTCTGTCTGTTCATTCTGTTGCTTGTTTCTTTTGCTGTGCAGAAGCACTTTAGTTTAAGCCCATTTGTCTATTTTTGTTCTTGTTGCCTTTGCTTTGGAGATCTTAGTAGTAAGTTCTTTGCTGAGGCCAATGTCCAGAAGAGTTTTTTCTAGGTTTCCTTCTAGAATGAGCACTTTCTTTTTCTATTAGCACAAAATATATTTATGTATGGGAGATAATTTAATCCATGAAAGTAGATAGACTAATAAAGAGAATGTCACAGAAAGAAAGGTTCAAGGTGGGATCAGAACAAATAAGAATATTTAAAGGATACAGAGAGTAGAAAAACTGTGCAGATAGGAGAAGTAATCAGAGACTAGAAAGATCACTGAGGAAGTATAATATCGTGAGAAGGAAAACCAATGTTAAACAAGGTAAGTGAGCAAGATTTTTCACTTTAGAAATTAATGGATTATTAGTGACTTCATCAAGAGAAATTCCACTAGTGGTTGTGTGGGTATGGGACAGAGGGATCAAATCCAGAACACAGTGGGTCTGAGAGTGAATGTTGGGGTGACAAAGTGAAGACAGCAAATACTGATTATTCCTCACCAAAGCTTAGCTCTGAATGGAATGAAAGTCAAGAGGTAGAGGAACCTATGGGTGATTTTTTCAGGGAGGCTTATCATTCTGGAGAGGTAGCTGCTAAGATTGATCCCTACTGATACAGTATCCTTGCCTCCCTCCAACTTCACTCTGAAATATTAGACAACAGATGCTCTTTTTATTTATTTCTGTGTCCCTAGTGTTTAGCACTATGGCTAGAAAACTCAAAATCTTTTTGTGGAATGAACAAAAAATTCTCACATGGCACTCTAACATAAAGTTAGTTTTTGTACCATGCCAGTCACCAGTTGCAAACTTGGATCTGGCCACTGGTGTCTGTAAGAATATTCAACTTAGGTTTGAAAAGAAGCAATGGAAGTTTTAAATCTTCCCTTTTTGAGTTCTCCCAACTGAATAGTGTGTACCACTCAGTCTAATCTATTGCATTTTTCTCCATCCTGTTCACCTCTGCCTTTACCTGGTGCTTTTCCCTGTGAGATGCATCACCTGCAGCTTACTAGCTACAGCACCAGATTTAAAAAATAGACTGCCTGAGTTGTTATTTATCGGAAAAAATTGCTTTCCAGTGTTTCATGTCCTGTACCTGAGTTAAGAGGGATGGTTTTTATCAGTATTTGCCAAAAATTCTTTTGAAGAAAATGTCCTTTTTAACGTTAATAATTTAATGCTCAGACACATAATATTCAATATCTGCTTTGCAGAAGAGTAAGCTGCTTTTATAAACTCAAGAACTCCTCACCACTGTACATTGCAAGGCAGGACAGGGCCCACATTTCACTGGTATTGGTCAAATATCAATCTGCATGGACACCCTCTCCATTCAGTTTTCAGTTCTTAGGGAGCTGGCATTTCATTCTTTGAGCAAATGAATGATGAAAGATCTAAAACATCTATTAAACTTCATAGTTTGTCTAGGAAACCAGGAGAAGAAGGTGTGAATTGATGATGAACCTCCCTGTGGGACAAATAACTTACGATCTGCTAAATAGTAGATAGAAGGCTATGGCTAAGAAGTAATATTACAGTAGTTGTGTGCAGATATTTCTCGCATTGAAAAATGGGTTGATTAATGGCATGCTTATGGAGAAAGCGCTAATCTGGGATTCTGTTACTGTATTTAATTAACTAGTCAACCATTGAAGATCCATGGAGCTTAGGTCTACAAGTGAGAGATAATCAATTTCTGATTTTGCTCTGTCCACAGCTGAGGAGAAGATGGTTGCAAACCTGAGAAAGCTCAGCCAAAAGAGTAGATCAATATTTCATTTTGTCTTTGTTACTGGTTATCTAATGGGAGGAAATGCACTTCTCTTTTCCTTACTTTTTCCTTGGCTCTACACTGGCACAATTTTCAAGGAGCTCAGAAATGTGAGTTGGAAAAAGAGTATTAAATTATTAGTGTCATTGCAAATGACAGTTACATGCCAAGGTTATGCAACCAATGTTTGTCACTAAAATTAAAAGTAATAATGTAATGGGAGAAGTATATTATCAGCAAATGAATGATTCAAGATTTTTAGGGATGATCAGCTTGATTTCTGTAATTACATGACTAGCTTCTCACTTTTCTTGTGCAACTATTGAATGAGAGCCTGAACAAACTACACTGTAATGAAGGACACTGGTAGGAAAATATTTGTTATTATAGTCATATATGCATATTCATGCCATGAGCAATGTAAATGGTAGAAATGTCAAAGGCTATGCCATATGAATTTTAAATGACTTATTGTTATAGGTTTTACTTTGTCACAAAGGTTGTATTTTGTAGAACTGTAAAAGAACAGTGGCTCTTGTGTCAAATGAGAATATTGGAAAAACTTTTTTTGGCCCATGTGGATCAAGCCTTTGTTTTACTCACAGTGACACTTTAAGATGCCATCCAAAAGAAGTGAATCTGGTATGACTGAGGAACACACTGAGTGATTGTATGGTGTAACTGATATTGCCTTTTCACAAGGAAGAAACTATTTAGAACTTGTGTGATTATACATAACAAATTTCATAGGTTCAGTCTGTTAAAGCCTGGAACATTAGAGATCTCTTTGCCACTCCCAGAAAATAAACAAATAATATGAATAATTTTTGCTGGAGTATAAGTTCCTTAGGTAGGAATACAGCACACCAATTTCTTCAACTGCTTCCATATTCACCATAACATGAGTGCTGCAAAGAGCCCATTTCTGAAGAGCCACTCTCACAAGGCACAGTTTGAAGAGCTTAGTTGGATCAGAAGTGCAAAGCTTCATGTTTTTCTACAGGCAGAACTATTTTGAGACAGTAACCTCAATGTCAGCCAAGAAAGAGAAAGTCCTGTCTTATTCACAAATATATAGCAAAATTTTAATTTCTAAGATGTTGAAAATTATAAAACTTTATTATATTGATCAGAATGCACATGCGAAGTGTTGATTTAAAGATTAGGAAATACTCTTAGGTGACATAAATATTGGGACGGAATGAACGTTGTTTTCATTTGACATGACCTGAGACTTTCCTTGCAGGAAGACCACAACAGTTTCATAGGGCAGTTGGCTGTTACTGAATGCTTATTACTCAATATGCCTCAGTAGCCCTGGATGACCCCTTAATATTGACTATTTGTGACAATATTTTTTCAAATCAATATGGGGAAATTGAAGTAAAAATTTACATATTTTCTGTAAGTGACTTTACAGACATATAACTTATATATTACATTATACATCTAAATTATGTATAAATGTGTCTATATAACATCTATATTATATAGATACATGTATTAATTCATAGATATATGTATAATTATGCATCTATTAATTTATATATTTGTTTTATATATACATTAATTTTTGTATTTTATAAATATTAAAATAAAACATGTATTCACAATATTCTATAAGAAATACACTTTTTGATACACTATAATATTGAATAGATAATTGATTTTACCTTACAGGCTATTATATTTCACTCTTTAGTTTTTGTGCTTTAAAGATTATGGGTCCAGCATTTCTTTTCATCTTTCTTTTAAACATTTTACCATAAAAAGTTTTCATTATACTGAAAATTTAATATAATAGCAGGATAAACCTTCAGATACTCTAGATTCAACAATATTTATTCAAAAGAAGACCTACATGTGGCCAAAACAAGCATATAAAAATGCTCAATATCACTAATCATTAGAGACATGCAAGTCAAAACCACAATAAGATACCATCTCTCAACAGTCAAATGGCTGTTATTAAAAAGTCAAAAAATAACAGATGCTGGCGAGCTTGTGGAGAAATGAGAACTCTTATACATTGCTGGTAGGAATGTAAATTAGTTCAGCCATTGTGGAAAGCAGTTTGGTGATTCCTCAAAGGACAAAAAACAGAGCTACCATTTGACTCGGCAATCCCACTGCTGGGTATTTACTCAAAGGAATACAAATCATCTTATTATAAACACACATGCATGCTTATGTTCATTGCAGCACTATTGACAATAGCAAAGACATGGAATCAACCTAAATTCTCATCAACACTAGACTGGATAAAGAAAATGTGGTACATATACATCATGGACCATGGAATACTATATAGCCATAAGAAAGAATGAGATCATGCCATTTGCAGGAATGTGGATGGAACTGGAGGCCATCATCCTTAACAAACTAACACAGAAACAAACAAACAAAAAATCTCATGGTCTCACAAGTGAGAACTAAATAATGAGAACACAGGGACAGAAAGGGGAACAGAAAAAACTGGGGCTTACTTAAGGGAAGAATTTGGGAGGAGAGAGAAGTTTAGAAAAAAAAACTGTCAGGTAATATGCTTAGTATCTGCGTGATGAAATAATCTGTAAACCAACCCCCAACCCCCGTCACAAGTTTACCTTTGTAACAAACCTGCATCTGTACCCCTGAACCTAAAATAAAAGTTAAAATATTTTTTAAAAATAAATAGTTACTGGGGTTTTTGGTTTTGTGACTTTCTTTGGTGTCTCAAATCCTATGGTATTTATTGAAATGAGTTAAACATGCAAATTTATCCTTGAGATTAGCCTTTATTTTGAAATCTTACATACAAATTCTCAGGAAGTAATAAATTCACTGGCATTTATATAAATGTGGCTATTGATGTATGGACTAGGTACTGGAGGATTTTCCATAATAACAGAAGAAAATTGATTTTCCCTATAGTTTTGAAGAGTGTTCTTGAGAAACAGAGTTTTCTGTAACTGGAATAAAGCCATGAATCAGGGAAAATGTGAGAAAGCCCATCTGCATTTTATTCTATTATTAATTTTAAATAAACCATGTTCATTTATAGTTTATATTTATTTATAGTAATTTATTTTATAATAATGTGATTATTTATAATAATATGATTTTATTATTATGCTACACAGTTATGGTTTTTTAAATGAATATGTCAACATCAACCTGAAGCTGAATACAAACGGAGAAAACATAGTTTTGTATTCCACAGAAATTAGGTATTTGATTTCATCTCAAAATATTCTGTGTATTTATTTTAATAAAACACATTTTCAATATCAAATATAACAAGTCTTTCGCTAAAGAAAGTATCAAATAAATATTTGGGAGGGATAAGGAATGTAATTTTTAAGTGAGTAAAATAAAGAATAATTCTTTGATGGTTTGTTTGAAAAAGAGATATTTCCAAGTATTAAAGTTTAATTGCAATAATTTATGTTTACTATGATTGTAAAATGCACAGTAATATCCAATAGGTAATTTCACATATTTTAAGGATAATATACCTTCATGAAACAAGATTTTATTTTGGTAAAAAAGAATCCCAGGCCGGGCTCAGTGGCTCACGCCTGTAATCCCAGCACTTTGGAAGGCCGAGGCGGATGGATCACGAGGTTGGGAGATCGAGACCATCCTGGCTAACACGGTGAAACCCCGTCTCTACAAAAAATAAAAACTTAGCCGGGCGTGGTGGCGGGCGCCTGTAGTCCCAGCTACTCCGGAGGCTGAGGAAGGAGAATGGCGTGAACCCAGGAGGCGGAGCTTGCAGTGAACCGAGATTGTGCCACTGCACTCCAGCCTGGGCGACAGAGCGAGCCTCCCTCTCAAGAAAAAAAAAAAAAAAAAAAGAAAAAAATCCCAGAATATTTTATTTGACCAAAGTTAAGGTACTAGGCAAATCAATTACTTTCCCTTCCTTTTTTTCTTTTTTTTTTTTTTTTTAATCACACACTTAAAGAGCATGATAAGGCTGGGCATGGTGGCTCACACTTGTAATCCCAGCACTTTGGGAGGCCGGGGTGGGTGGATCACCTGAGGTCAGGAGTTCGAGACCAGCCCGGCCAACATGGAGAAACCCCCTCTCTACTAAAAATACAAAATTAGCTGGGTGTGGTGGTGCATGCTTGTAATCCCAGCTATACGGGAGGCTGAGGCAGAAGAATCGCTTGAACTTGGGAGGCGGAGGTTGCAGTGAGCCGAGATCGCACCATTGCACTCCAGTCTGGGCAACAAGAGGGAAACTCCGTCTCCAAAAAAAAAAAAAAAAAAAAAAAGAGCATGATAATTTATTTTGTTTTTTATTTATATCCCATACTATACGATGTTAGATATTTACTGTTTTTAAGCTCTCATGTATTAATATGTTTAAATTAATATTCCAAGTTGTGACCTAATTTATTCTAGGTGGAATGTAGCCATCAGTTCTCACTCTCAATTGATCTTCCTTTAATCAGGAACAATCACCAGATGTTGTCCAATCACGTAAAACCTTAGATATGAGATGAGAAGTGAAAGAATTCACTGAGCCATATTTTACTTTTGTATTCACTAATTTGTTTAACTTTTTAAATTTTTAATTTTCGTGAGCACATGTGAGGGGTATATATTTATGGGCTATATGAGAGATTTTGTTCAGGCATGCAGTGCATTAATAATCACACCGTGGAAGTGGGGTATTCATCCCTTCAAGCATTTGTCCTTTGTGTCACAAACAATCCAATTATACTCTTTCAGTTATTAAAAGAGTTACATAGTTATAAAAGGTTATATAGTTATACCTATCTAACTTTCTATACCTATATAAAGAGCTTAAATATACAATTAAATTATGATTGATTTTAGATCCCCATTATACTATCAGTTACTAGGACTTATTTATTCTTTAAAATTTTTGATACCCATTAACCATTGCTAACTCCCACCTACCCCACCAGCATTCTTCCTAGACTCTGGGAGCCATCTTTCTGCTCTCTATCTCCATGGGTTCAGTTGTTATGATTTTTAGATTTCACAGTTAAGAGAGAACATGCCATGCAATGTTCGTCTTTCTGTACCTGGCTTATTCCACTTAACATAATGACCTCCAGTTCCATCAATGCTGCTGCAAATGATAGAATCTCACTCGTTTTTAATGGCTGAATAGTACTCCATTGTGTATAAGTACCACATTTTCTTTTCTTTTTTTTTTAATTTTACTTTTTATTTTAGGTTCAGGGGTACATGTACAGGTTTCTGATACAGGTAAATTATGTGTCACAAGGGTTTGGTGTGCAGATTATTTTGTCCCCCAGGTAATATGCCTACTACCTGATTCATGTTTTTTCAACGCTCACCTGCCTCCCATCCTCTACCCTCAGGGAGGCCCCGTGTCTGTTGTTCCCTTCTTTGTGTCCATATGTACTGGATGTTTAGCTTCCATTTATAAGTGAAAATGGAAAGTATTTTGTTTTTCGTTCCTTTGTTAGTTTGCCTACAATAATCGCCTTCAGTTCCATCCACGTTGCTGCATAGGACATAATCTTGCTTTTTTATGGCGGCATAGTATTCCATGGTGTATATGTACTGTATTTTATTTATCCAGTCTACCATTGGTGGGGATTTAGGTTGATTCCATGTCTTTGCTATTGTGAATAGTGCTGTGATGAACATACGAGTACATGTGCCTTTATGGTAGAATGATTTCTATTTCTTTGGGCATACACCCAGTAATTGGATTGCTGACTTAAATGGTACTTCTATTTGAAGTTCACACATTGCCAAACTGCTTTCCACAATGGCTGAACTAATTTGCATTCCCACCAGCAGTGTACATGCATTTTCTTCTCTTCACAACCTCACCAGCATCTGTTATTTTTTTTTACTTTTTAATAATAACCATTCCGGCTGGTGTGAGATGGCACATCACTGTAGCCTTGATGTTAAATCAAAGGAGCAGGGAAGAGGGATGGAGTTTGACTTACACCTTTAGGGAGTATTTGGTAGCAATGAAGACCTTGGCATGTTGGAGTCAGAACAAGGCTTAGTTTCTGCTTTTAATACTTACTGTGTGCTTGGACAACCTCTCCTGTCTTTAGTGAAATGGAGATACCTAACTCATAGTTTCTGTGAGGACCACATTTGAAGATTGTGGTTAGGGTCTGCCACATCGCAATCTCTCAGTCTATTCTAGTGACTTGCTGGTACATTTGCCATCATGTTGGGTCAGTGACCTTTGGCCATGTGGTCCAGCTTCCGTTATAGCTGGCCTGTGCGGCACTGTTCTGCGTGAGTGCAGACCCTCATGGGTATAAGGCCCCCAGTTCTCAGTGTGTTTTGACAGTCTATGATACAGGAGAGACAGACAAAAGTGAGGTCAGGGGCTACGTAGCACAGCCTAGAAGTGGCCTTGGATGACTGGGGTTTCCAGAGACGTCAATAGCTGCTTCTGCCAGAGGCCCTTAGGGTTGCGTTCTGAGCGCATCATTTCCAGAAGGCTGCCATCCATTTTGTTATAAGTGAACTGAAACTAGGGAGCTTTTCTGAAAATAGGCTCTTCTAGGGCAGTTGGTTTTAAGGGTGTTGAAACAAGATCAAGAGGACCCTGAAGGTGCATGTTGGCAGTTTAAAGTGTGTAATGTGGCAATGCAATATCTCTGGAGAAGAGATTTATCTTTAGAGAATCTATTTCTCTCTCCCCATGACACACACCCTCCACAATATATTATATACATATAGCTTATGACAAAGCTTGTCTGGCACTTTATGTTAAATTTCCACAGTTGCTCTCTGAATGTTTATTGTCCTCATTCACTTTCTGAATTTTTTTTGCAGAGAAAATACTCACTACAATAGCATTTCACGGATACCTGAGTTCCAGAGTGCGTCATTATACAGAATGCCATGGTCCTCACTCTTCCCATCACAGCATGGATGCAACACAGAACCCCAAAGTGGGGCATGGAAACCTTGTGTTTCCTCTTCTCGCTTCATTCTTGTTTGTCAGTGTAGTCAAAATAATAACATTTTGTATTTGCACAACATATTTCAGAACAGATCTTCAAATCACTGCAGAGAAAATCATATGAGGTTGATAAGTGGTGAATGGTAACCATTATCCTTCCTCCAGGAGAAAGGCATAGAACAGAATCAAAGTTGTCTCAGAATCAACTTGTATCAGCTCTAAGAATAAAACTCAGGGCCGGGTACGGTGGCTCACCCCTGTAATCCCAGCACTTTGGGAGGCCGACGTGGGTGGATCACGAGGTCAGGAGATCGAGATCATCCTGGCTAACACAGTGAAACCCCATCTCTACTAAAAATACAAAAAATTAGCTGGGCATCATGGCGGGCACCTGTAGTCCCAGCTACTCGGGAGGCTGAGGCAGGAGCATGGCATGAACCTGGGAGATGGAGCTTACAGTGAGCTGAGATCGTGCCACTGCACTCCAGCCTGGCCAACAGAGCAAGACTCTGTCTCAAAAAAAAAAAAAAAAAAGAAGGATAAAACTCCGGACTGTTGAGCACTGAGCCCACTGTCAATTCACTGGTACCCACAAGCAGTGTGCACAAATAATGTTTAACATTGGCTTTCGTGAGGTTGGGTGGGGGGCCCCTGATTGTGACATTTCCTGGTGTCTCGAGTGTGAACATGCCCATCATGGCTGATTTCAAGCTACCAACATGATGTCACTGAACAGAGTTGGGAGAGATGTGTACCATTGGGTTTTGACAGCCAGCGCACACCACTCTGTATACTATTAAGCACATCTTCTTGGATATTTAGTTAAAATTTATTGGATCATTATTAGGCTATTTCTAAGTGCAACATAATGTACTATGGCAGTTATAAAGAAATAGGCTATAGGCCATTTATCTAAGAGCTTACAAATAAAAATGGTGGATGAGATGCTGTTAGGCATTGGTTGAATAACAATCGCCATAGAAATGCCAAGTGGGTAAGATCACTTAAGACTGGATGAGTAGGGCTTTGCCTAATAGTATGTAAATAAAGAAAATCTTCAGTGTGCATACTGATTAATGAAGGCAGTCCCTATTCTCTTATTCTAATATGGATCATTCTTTTGAATTTGTCTCCCTTCCCTCTAGTTAAGATACAACATTATGTATACTTTCCAAAAGACAGTGTGGTTTGTTGGAAAAAGCAGTGATTCATCAAAAAGTTCTAGGTTTAAGAGCCAATGTGTTACCTTCTAATACAAGGTGTTGGGAAAGTCTCCTAAATGCCCTAACATATCTGAGTCCATGTTTTCTTCTTATATGAAATATATGAGATAATCTTTTAAAATCTTTTGATCTACTTAGCTCGTTTGTTTTGAGGATAAATGATGTATTCAAAAGGTAAAAATTAGTTTACAAGTGTACCATGGTGTATTACTGCTGCTGCATATGATAATGATGATGATGGTGGTGGTGGTGGTGGTGGTGGTGGTGGCAGTGGTGGTGGGAATGAGAGTTAGGATGATGATGCTGGTGGTGGTTAGGATGATAAAAATGGTGATGATTGTTGTTGTGGTGGTGGTGATGAGAATGATGACGCTGACGATGATGATGGTGGTAGCAGTCGGTGGTGGCAATAATGGTGAGGATGATAGTGGTGGTGAGGAGGATGATGATGGTTGTGATGGTGAGAATGGTGGTGGTGGTCTTGGTGGTGAAGACGATGATGATGCTGGTGGTAGTTGTGTTGGTAATAAAGGTGAGGATGATAATGGTGGTGAGGATGATGATGACAGTGATAGGATAGGGTTGAGGAGGATAATAATGATGGTGGTGGTGGTGGTGATAGTGAAGATAATGGTGTGGATGATGATGATAGGGTGATTATGTTAGTGTGATGGTGTGGTGGTTTTGATGAAGGCAGTCTTGATGGTGGTAATGATGATGATTATGATGATGAATGGTGATGATTATAGATATATCAATAAATACACTCACTTCAGCTGCTCACTTCAGTATTTTAGGTTCAAGATTAGCAAATAGGGTTTGCTAAGAATTCATTAATTATTGTAACTAGCCTTACTAGTAAGAATCAGTAAAATGAGAAAACTCAATGAATGCCAACACAGACATTTCTCCTTGTGCACAATTAATGAGTTCTTTTTCTCCATTTTGGGGAGGATGGATAGATATATCTATATCTAATGGATAGATCTATCTATAGATATACAGATCGATAAAGAGAAGAGAGAATTCCCACAGCACTGTGTTCAGATTGCACTGAACATACACGAGGGCAGGGATTTGGAGAGAATCTTACTGATTGTTAGATTCCCATATGTTGTAGGCAGAATAATGCTTCTTGAAGATGTCCATGTCTTGATCCCCAGAAACTTTGAGTATATTACTTCACATTGCAAAGGTGACTTTGCAAATGAGATTAAGTTAGGAATCTTGAGATGGTGAGATTATTTTGGGTCATCTGGGTGATCCCATATGATCCTACAAGAGAGAGATTATAAGATACCACACAGCTGGTTTTGAAGGGGAAAAAGGGGCTACAAGCCAACAAATGCAGGCACATCCAGAAGCTGGAAAAGGCTGGAGAACAGAGGTTCCTCTGGATCTTCTCAAAGGAGCACAGTGCTGCTGACACCGTTTCTGTATTTTTTTTTTTTCCAGTAACGCCTATTTTGGACTTCTGACCACTGTAACTGTAAAATAATAAATCTGTGTTGTCTTAAGGCACTGTTTGTGATAATTTGTTACAGTAACAATGGAAAACCAATGCAACATAAATAGAGTAAGGAGTTAGTAAATACCTAATGTGTAAGTAAATGAAAGATAGAATGAAGCTTATTAGATTTTATGTTAAATGCATGTGTGAAAGTCAATCCTTTGGGGATGGAAAGACAGTTATATTTGGTGGGTTAATGGGAGTGGGGAGAGTGGTCCTGGTAGCTATTTGAGATGAACAACTTTCAGATTATGGTAATAATATAAATAATGAGAAAAAGAAAAATAAATACCCAGCTCCTCCTGCACTAGAAGACATTAAAAAGTGATTAAAAGTTTAAAAGACCCTAATATGTTTCACTTAAAATGGAAGCTAATTTTGATAATAATGCAAAGCAGAAGGAGTCATAATGAATTCAAATTGTCTGAACTGAACTTTGGTGCAGACTTTCTGGCCCCTGCATGGGCAAGATACTTTGGATTTCTGTCCTCCATGATCTGCCATGTGGCTGGCACTGAATCCAGCTCTATTTCATCTCCATAATGTTGATAGGGCCAGCTGGCTGGCAGATCACACAACTGCCTTTGTGGACCCGTGGCCTGGATTGCAGATGGACAAGAAGTGAAGCATCTGAGCAATGCAGAGAGACACTGGGCCTCAGAGACACTTCAGCCACTGGCGACATGATTCCTCACCCATCTGCTCTTCGACACAGCTGCTGGGGGTGCTACTGCCATGGCGTCAGCCATTTGGCAGCTGAGCACAGAGTCTTGGAAAGAACGACAACCTTTGCAATTGTCTGGTAGTCCTAGCCATGCTGTACCCCTGAGCTTTTAACTTGAATATCACTTGTGGGTAAAACAAAGGACAAGCATGCTCAAGTCATGTCAGAAACTGAGCCTCCAAGTAGTGTTGATGCTTTACTTAGATTTAACACCTTGGACTTGAATCTAGAGTCTTTTGTTCCTTAAAGAAAGTATGAAAGTAGTTTCTTTTTCACCTGCAGGAGTACAAACAAAATTACAAATAGAGAAGCAAGCTGGTGATGTTTGTATTCTGGTTTGTATTCCTTGGTGATTTTTAACTAAGGCAAATAATATGGAATGATTTGTAGCACTTTGAGACTGATTTAAGTTATAATGTCTGTGAATCTGTAATAGAAATAAACTAAATTGAAAAAGAAAAGTAATGATTATCATTTGTCTTTTATTTTCTTAGACCTACCAAAGCTATCCCTCTCTTTTGGAAAAAACAAAACAAAGCATGTATTGAATCCCTGCTAATATTTTGGAACTGAATTATTGCATTTGGGAGAAAAGCATTATATTATTTTATTTTTTCATCTTTGCCAGCAATGGTAACTTGCTCCTTGACAGTGTGTCTTAAAAAGAAATATCCACAGGCATAATGCATGATTAAAAATGCACCTAACATTTTACACATTTGATAAATATTAAGGTCAGGAAATCAATATTTTGCGGCACTTGGTATTACCCCTTGTGCCTTTTTATAGAAACTTCTTCCTTTGTTTTTATGATACCGAAACAACATTGTTGCCTCTAATATATCATGTCCTCCTTGCTTTCCTTCACATGCACATTTTAATCTGTACTTTTCTTAAATAGGGGGGTTCTAAAAAACTCCATCTGTTCTATCTCCATTTGTTTTCATACTATACAATCTCCCTCAGTAATTCCTTCTTGTGCCGTTGGCTACATCTTTCAAGTATACCTAGTAACTTCCTTATTTACACCTTCAGCCCAGGTCTTTCTCCCGAGTTTCAGATGTATCCACACAGCTGAAGAGTCCCTCCTCCTGTAGCTTGCTCCCTAAGTCTAAAGTTGAACTGGCTCCCAAAACTGAGGCTGCTTCTTCAGTCTGCACACAAGTGACTGGTCCTGCCTGGCTATCTCTCTAAGCCTCATCTTTATTTCTCACATTACCTTGACTTGTCCATTTGCCATTTCTTGAACCTGTTTCCATCTCACCAGTCCTACAGTGAAGCCTCTGGTTTAGCCTTCTTCTATTTGTTACTTGAATTGTGCAGTCCTATCTTAACTGTCCTATCTATGTATCTCTAGAATGCCTCCTCTCCAATTCATTATCGCAGTAATTCCAGAATTATTCCAAACATGATCATATTTTTTTGCTCCACAAAAATCTTACAAGGATTCTGCGTTGCCCAGGGGATAAATTTTCACCCCCAAGATTTGTAGGAAAGGCCTTTCATGATTTAATCCATAGCTATTTCTCTCAACTTGTCTCTTATCACTTCACAACTAACATCTAATGTTCTAGGCATACTAAAGTTCCTGTGGTTTTCTCATGGTAACTGTTGTCTGGGAAATAATCCTGAGGCAATGGTAGCTTCCAAATACACTACCAGTCAGGCTGTTCCAGATGTTGAAAGACAGAAAATATCACACACCAAATTAAAACGAATGAGTCACTCTATCCACTAACTTAAACACATAGGAAGAAGCAATGGGAAAGAAATGGGCAAGTTAACTTCTACAGAGCAGGCTTCAGGCTGGCGGAGGGCCCATATCTCCCTGAGTCTAGGGACACTGATGATGATGATATGGTTATGAGGACCCTGACTGAGGTTTGAGGGAGGGGTCCATGGATAGAAGGTGTTTTGGGCCAAAGATACATGCTTCCTCTATGGGAGAGCAAGGTCATCTGGCTACAGGCGTCTCTTGCACCTTAGCCTCCTGGACAGCCATGGTTTTCATGTACTTTTCTTGGATTGTGTATATGTGGGACCAAAATGGAGAATATGCTGAGTGTTACCAGTGGATGGCTAAATTTGGGTGACAGAGCTGTCAACTTGGAGGTGGCAAGATCATGATTTGGTGCTTCTGTCCTTTCTGTCTATAAACATTTCTCTTTTTGTTGAAACGTGTTTTATTTTATTTATTCCGTCTCTCCTTGGCATGTCTTACAGCTCACTCACTCTCTTCTCGGCTCTGCCTGAGGTGCAGGAGCTTCCTGTTTACACATCATCCATACTGAACATTTTCCCTATATCTTGCAAACTACCAGCTTACCTACAGCTTATGTTCAACCCTTTTTATGAGTGCATCCAACCTGTTTGTGTATCTTGCCTTTAAGCAGAATTAAATATTCTCAAATACATTCTCAGATGAGTATCATCAAATTTATACGTGTGTTACAGTTATGTGCTGTGATATACCCCATGACTTCACTCCTTCCTCCTGTTATATCTGTCTCAGTCTGTTCTGTGTAACTGTAACAGAATACCTGAGACTGGGTACTCTGTCCCAGAAATTTACTGGATCACAGTTCTGGGGGCCAGGAAGCCCAAGGTCAAGGTGATGCATCTGTGGAGGGCCTTCTTGCTGTACCATCACATGGTAGAATAAGAAAGGATGAGAGAGAGCTACAGGGGACTGAACTTGCCCCTTTTAGAGCAGCACAAATCCCACTTATGAGGGTGGAGCCCTCGGTCTAATCCTCTCTGAAAGGTCCCAACTCTTAGTACTCTTTAATACTCTTTTTTTTTTTTTTTTTTTTTTTTTTTTTTTGAGACAGAGTCTTGCTCTGTCACCCAGGCTGGAGTGCAGTGGCCCAATGTCAACTCATTGCAACCTCTGCCTCCCAGGTTCAACTGCTTCTCCTGCCTCAGCCTCCTGAGTAGCTGGGATTACAGGTGTGTGCCACCACGCCCAACTAATTTTTGGTTAAGTTCAAGGCTGGTCTAGAATTCCTGACCTCATGATCCCCCTGCTTCAACCTCCCAAAGTGCTGGGATTACAGGTGTGAGCCACCGCGCCTGGCGTTAATACTCTTACAATGACAATTAAGCTTCAACGTGAGTTTTACAGGGGACAAACATTCAAACCAAAGCAGCATCTATCATCAGCCTTCCCTTTGACAGGCTCTTTTATATTTACCCTTCAAGACCCAATTCTCGCATCCCTGGGAAACTTCCTTGACCCTACCAGTCTGGATGAGAAGCCCCAGAGATAATGTTTATTTTGTCTACATCTGTCATGGTATTTAATCATACTTTACTGTAACTTCATGTTTACCATTTCATTCTCTCACATTACACTGGGAACAGCTTTGAGTGGAAATTTTAGTAGAATCTTTTATGTGTTGTTACTCTTAGTTATCCCAGGCTGAGTTATTCCCACGGTTGGAATATGAGGTTATGATGTTGACAACAAATAGTATATTTCCAGTTTTGCCTTCACTTTGGATTGCAAATATTCTGGTGTCACTTCAAGACTGTGTCTTCCCCCGATATTTTAAGAAATCTCAAGTGGATGTTTCACGTGTCTTCTTAGCACAGCCTTCTCAGCTCCCACCTGGGGTCAGTCATCAAACTTCTTCTCTTCCCTTACCTCCTCATGTCATCTTCTGCTGCCGATGCGAGTGCCCCAAGCGAGAAGAGAAAAGTGTGTTGGAAGCATGTGCCTGTTCTGTAGCCTGTCTCCCCCTGTGCTCCTTCTGAAGGCAGGACGCATCCTCACCAATGCACTCTGATGGTCCAAAGCCATGCGCTGCCTCCATGTTGCTAAACCGTGTGTGTTCCTTGATGTGCCATACATAGCACCTTGGGTTCTCTGATATTTAGGGCAAATACTCTGTCTTTATTTTATACTCTGTTTCATGGACCAAGTTAATTCTGCCTTAACTTGACGACAAATTACAGAAATTGTACACTGTGGAATTGCTTTTCTTCCTGAAATTTTTCTAGTCTGAATTCTGTGTTGCTCTGCCTTAAAAAAAGAAAAAAAAAAAGGCTTCCTTCCCTGGGTCTTTTTCTTGTGCTTTTATCATCAACAAAAAACAGAAATCCAAGGTCAGCACTGGCCTCCCAATCTTTTCTATAAATACCTGTTTGAGAGTGTTCATACATTCATTTCCCTTGAATTACTACCTTTATGATGTTGGCTCCAAATGCTTAAACCCTTAGCTTTGCCATCTCATTCAAGCACTGGCCATGTTCTTATTCTTGTCCACTTATGCACAGAAGTTTTGATGTTTGCCTGGTTCCATGAATTTCTCAAATCCACATTTATAATATTTTATTTGAAAACCATCTGTCTCAGCCGGGCGTGGTGGCTCACGCCTGTAATCCCAGCACTTTGGGAGGCCGAGGCGGGCGGATCACGATGTCAGGAGATCAAGACCATCCTGGCTAACACGGTGAAACCCCGTCTCTGCTAAAAATACAAAAAAATTAGCCAGGAGTGGTGGCGGGCGCCTGTAGTCCCAGCTACTCGGGAGGCTGAGGCAGGAGAATGACGTGAACCCGGGAAGCAGAGCTTGCAGTGAGCTGAGATCGAGCCACTGCACTCCAGCCTGGGCGACAGAGAGAGACTCTGACTAAAAAAAAAAAAAAAAAAAAAAAAAGAAAGAAAATCATCTGTCTCTACCTATCTTTTGGTAGTGGTCTTCCATAAACTTGGAAGAGATCTGGATATAATCTAACCAATGCAAACTTCTCAAATTATACAGAAACCTTATTTATTTATTTATTCTATTTTACCTGCTAACATTGGAAATCTAGCAGGTATTTAATAAGTAGTCATTAATCGGCTAGTCTCAAAAGAGAATTATTAAATATTTGGGGCTGTGTGTCTTCTTTAAAGCAATTATTTATCATTTTATCTAATCAGTTAACAAGGTTTTATTAGGTGCTCATTGTGAGTTGGGCAAAGGACAGAAAGTAAAGCGTCACAGGCACACAGGTAAGCTGAACTCGGATGATATCTGCCAGTGTATATGTGAGATGTGATAGATCCCTGAAGGCCACTGGCTTTCCGATTTTTAAAACATTTTTTAAAATTTATTTTCTAAATTGACAAATAAAAATTGAATGTGTTCATTGTGTACAATATGATGTTTTGAAATAGAATTTGGAGCCAACATCATAAAGGTAGTAATTCAAGGGAAATGAATGTATGAACACTCTTTAACAGGTATTTATAGAAAAGATTGAGAGGCCAGTGCTGACCTTGGATTTCTGTTTTTCGTTGATGAGAAAAGCACAAGAAAAATATGCATTGTGAAATGGCTAAATCGAGCTAATTAACATAAGCATTGCCTCACATAGTTATCTTTTTTTGTGTGTGTTGAGAACACTAAGTCTACTGTCTTAGCAATTTTCAAGAATACAAGAATTTGTCATTAACTGTAATTACCATGTTGTGTAATAGATCTGTTGAACATATTCTATCTAACTGAAGTTTCACATGTTTTGACTGACATCCTCCCAACTCCCTCCTCCTCCTCCCCTTACCACACCTTCCACTGGTCATTATTCTACTCTCTACTTCAGTAAATTCAACTTTTTTTGATTCCACATATAAGTGAGATCATGTGGTATTTGTCATTTTGTTCCTGGTATATTTCACTTACCATAATGTGGTCCAAGTTCATTCATGTCGTTGCAAATGACAGAATTTCCTTCTTTGTTGTTGAATAGTATCCCATCGTGTAGATATATCATATTTTCTTGTATCCATTCATCTGTGGATGGACACTTAGGTTGATCTATATTCTGGCTATTGTGAATAATGCTAATGGATACTTAGGTGATAATATATCTTGGCTATTATGAATAATGATGCAATGAATGTGTTAGTGCAGATCTCTCTTTGACACACTGACTTTATTTCCTTTGGATATATATCTGGTAGTAAGACTGCCGGATCATATGGTGGTTCTATTTTTAATATTTTCAGGAACTTTCACACTGTTTTCAATAATGGGTGTACTAATTTGTATTCCCACCAACAGTGTGCAAGACTTCCCTTTTCTCCACATCCTTGCAACACTTTGTCACTCTTTGGCTAATAGCCATTTTAATGGGTATGAGGTAATATCTCATTATGGTTTTAATTTGAACCTGATGATTAGTGAGTTTGAGCCTTTTTTTTGTATACCCGTTGGCCATTTGTATGAATTCTTTTGAGAAATGTCTCTTCAGATCCTTTGCCCATTTTAAACCAGGTTATTTGTTTTCTTGCTATTGAATTGTTTGAGTTCCTTATGTATTTTGGATAATAATCTCTCATCAGATATATGGGTTGCTAATATATTCTCCCATTCCATAGGTTGTCTCTTCACTCTATTGATTGTTTCCTTTTCTATGAAGAAGTATTTTAATTTGACACAATCCCATTTGTCTAGTTTTGCCTTTCTGGCCTCTGAGTTTGGGTTCATATTTAAAAATCATTGCCCATATCAATGTCATGGTGCTTTCCTCTATATTTTCTTCTAGTTGCTTTATAGTTTCAGATCTTGAATTGAATTATTTCATCCATTTTGAGTTTTTTTCTTTTTGTATGTGTTGTTTGGTAAAGATATAGCTTCATTCTTCTGCATATGGATATTCAGTTGTCCCAACACCACCTACTGACAGGACTCTTCTTTCTCCATTGTGTGTTGGCGCCTTTGTCAATAATCAATTGACTGTTATTGTGTGGATTTATTTCTGGGTTCTTTATTTTGTTCCATTAGCCTATGCATCTGTTTTTATGCTGGTACCGTGGTATTTTAATTACCATAGCCGCCTATTATTTTGTGAAGTCAAGTAGTGTGATGCCTCCAGCTTTGTTTTATTTGACCAGGATTGCTTTGGCAATTTGGGGTCTTCTGCAGTTTCACAAAAATTTTAGGATTGTGTTTTCTATTTCTATGAAAAATATTGGAATTTTGATAGGGATTGCATTGAATATGTAGATTACTTTCAGTAGTATGAACAACTTAACAATATTAATTTTTCCAATCCATAAACATAGGATTCTTTTTATTTATTTGTGTCTTTTTCAATTTCTTTTATCAAAATTTTACATTTTCAATGCACAGGTCTTTCATCTATTTGGTTAAATTTTAGGTTTTTAGATCATAATGCACATTAAGTAATACATTTAACAGGGCATCAAACATTTTGTTTGTGTGCACAAACCATGTAAACATACACATACTTGTAACTGAAAAAACAGTATAACATATAACTGAAACAAAAGTTTCACAAAACAATATTTGTCTTATTGTATGAGATAGACTTTGATACTTTTAAGCCTAAAAACAATGCTAGTTGTTATCCTCTGAACTGGGTCCTTGAACCACAGTTTGAACAGAATTGCTGTGGTTTACTTGAAGTTGAAGACAATTGGCATTTATTTCGTTCCTCAACATAGGAAATGGTATGTGTATTATAAAACCTTAAAAGAAAAGAAAACTTTTAATTATATAAATATAATGAATGAAAAGAGGTCAATATTTAGTTCAAAAGAAAGAATTGAAATACTCATTTTAGCACTAGATCTTTTAAAGGCAAAAAGGGGTTATGCAAATAAAAATGAGCATTACATATGCATTTCCTTTTTTATTAAATTTTATTGTCCTATAGTTATACAAAGTGTATATCATTATACACATATAGATAGATAGGTGATAGATACACACACATACACATATATGTTATCACATAGTGAGGCTACATAATAATTGGAATTAAGCAACCATTATCAAGCAGCCCTGAGAATAATTAAGGTAATCCTTTATGAAAATTTTATTTTCAATTTTCTTAAAGAAAGATTAAAAATTTTAGGAGCCTTACAGTAAAATGAAAAACAAAATTAAATATCAATTTTCCACAAACAGTGCTTGAATTTCTCTCCTAGCAAAGATAAAGGTGCCAGAGCTTCAGACACATGCAGATTCTCCCCTTTTTATACAACGTATTCACTGTGCCAAAGTGTGGCCTGCTTTACATGGAAGTCGAATTGGCTTTGGTGATTCCTGCTGGCTTCCCCATTTCCACTGAATTTTGCCTTGGGAAATGTCTCCTTGTCCTTTTGCCTCTCATGTTTCCAGGAGGGCTTGGCACATCAAGAGGCATCATCTTTGCCATGCTTCCTTAGGTCTGCTTTGAATCAAAGGGTAAGACATTGATGACTGACAGTTGAGTGTCCTGAGTGTGGGCACCTCGACTGTGTCTTTTCACAAAAGATTTGCAACTGTGGCGATGAGCATACAGTGTAGGGTTCTATCAGGTACTTGAAGATAAAATCTCCCTGAGGGAAGTGAGGAGAGGATGAGGCCTTTGCTGTCTCGCAGCAGAAGCCTCCTCCACTCACCTCAGCTCCCACGAATGGATTATAAACCCAGGCACACCCTGGAAATTTTTCCAACACCAGCTGGCAGAGCTGTCTGCCCTTGCTCCTGCTGCCTCCTGTAACTTACACGTGAGCACCTGCCACAGAAAGTCCAGGGTTATGACCTTGGGATTCAAGGATCTGCAAGAAAACAGTTCAAACTCTAGGCAGGTGTAATATCCCATCCTTGGGTATCTGTGTGGAGAGACATTGACCTTTTGTATTATTTTCATTTCAAAATTCATTTCAAAAACCCACTATTTTTGTCATTCGCTCATGTATTGGTGAGCACAGCTCAATATTTGTGGTTGCCTCTTCACACAGATCAATGAAGCAGTGAGCTGATGAGATGTTGATTTTTTTTTTTTTTTAAGTTTTGTAGATACATTTCCTCAATAGCACTGTAATGGGTTGAATTGTGTCTCTGGAAAATGTTGAAGTCCTAACCGCTGTACCTGTGAATGTGACTTTATTTGAAATTAGACCTTTACAGATGTAATCAAGTTGAGTTCATTAGGGTGAGTCCTAATCCCATATGACCATTGTCCCTACCAGAAGAGACACAGAGACGTACACAGAGAGGGAAGAGTGTGTGAAGACACATAGGGAGCACTCTGCGTGACCACAGAGGCAGAGACTAGAGTGACATATCTATATGCCAAGGATTGCTGGGAGCCCCAGAAACAAATGCATGGAGCAGGTTTTCCCCTAGAATCTGCAGAGAGGGCATGCCCTGCCAACACCTTGACTTGCATTTCCGGCCCCCAGGACTGTGGAAGATTACATTTCTGCGTTTTAAGCGACCCAGTTTGTGGTGCTTTTCTTTTTTTCTTTTTCTTTTCTTTTTTTTTTTTTTTTTTTTTTGAGACGGAGTCTTGCTCTGTCGCCAGGCTGGAGTGCAGTGGCGTGATCTGGGCTCACTGCAAGCTCCACCTTCTGGGTTCATGTCATTCTCCTGCCACAGCCTCCCGAGTAGCTGGGACTACAGGCACCCGCCACCACGCCCGGCTAATTTTTTGTATTTTTAGTAGAGACGGGGTTTCACGTCAGCCCGGATGGTCTCGATCTCCTGACCTCGTGATCCGCCCACCTCAGCCTCCCAAAGTGCTGGGATTACAGGTGTGAGCCACAGCGCCCGGCCTTGAGGTGCTTTTCTGTGGCAGCCCTAAAAACTCATGCAAGTGCACAATCACTGTGCCAGTAAAGATTCTATAAGAAAAACAAGGTGCAGGAACACTAAATTTTCCATACCTAGAAATCAAAAGCTTTAATTTTAGACAACTTCCCTGTATTTAAAATTACAGCACTATGACCAGATATTCAACCTGGAAATTAGTTACTTAAAAATTGTTATGGTAGACTAAAGCCCCTCTAACACCCTTCCTAATGGTCCTGCAAGTGGGCTCATGTTCTTTTCTTTAGGGCTTTTAGAAAATGTTAGATATGCACCTGCAGTGTTCTCTTCAACAACAAGAATTAACCAGAGATTTTCTTTTCTAATGTTGAATTATCATTGCTTGCAATTAATATTTCAGGCTAAGAGTAAGCTAAGATGAAAGAACTCCTATCTATGAAGGCACACTGCTGTCTATTCATATGATGCAGTTCACCATACACTGGGACTTGAGCAGCAGAGCTTCGCTGGCGTGTTACCATGTTGCAGAGTTGCCATGGCAATATCAAACCAATGAATGGGCCACCTCCCAGAGACAGGGTGGTGAGCAAGTGTGAAATTGATTCAGTTGTACACAGGGATACGCTCAAGCCAAATTTGTCAAGATAAAATTTCTGGTAGGAAACTGCATTTTAAAATAGACATTATAAATATGATATTAAATATTTGCTTTGGATATTCCAGTAAAAGGGTACTTGAAAATTAAGTGTACTATGCTAATTTTATGCTTTTCAATGTACTGTCTACTTTGCACTTATTTCAGATAACACTGATTTTTCCACTCATTTAAATTTGGATATCTAAAGAAGAATTTTACACTTTACATTAATATTTTCAGTTATGTGTCTTTGAAGTTAAACTGGTGTTATTTGCTTATTTTATATTAATGTGCTTAGGGAAATGACTTTTTAGGAAATACAAACAAAAGTTATGCATATCATTTATTTTTAGATGACATTTATAAATTACATTTTGCATTGAATAGTATAAATATTATAAGTAGTTCAAATCAGATAAAAATAACCAAGTTTTAACATTTTAGGACTTTAGGAGCCTATGGTTAGGCTTTACAAAAATAATGTATTCACATGATATTTTATTGTTTTCAGAACTTATTTTTAGCACTCCATTGTTATAGAGTTATTAGATATTAAGTAAGTCTTGAACTTGGTCACCATAATCTTTTATGATACATTTTTATTTTGAGCTACTTGATACAATAGATGTTATTTGCTTCCTGTCTTTTCTTACTCATGATGCATATACAAGGCTTTGTCTGTCCCATAAGGTTGCTGAAAACACTGAACAGGGACGGGTCTGTCTGTGATGTGTCAATTACTGAAATGCCTCTCTCAGATATTAAATGCAGTTTATATTAACAAAATACATTGATCAGGTATAATCAGTTTGAAATTAGGAGATGACTAATCTCAGGAGACCCTTACATACTATGGACTGTCTCTTTCCCATTAGTTCAACTTGTAGAACAGAAGAGCATGACTTGTTTACGTAACAGAAACCAATATTTACTCTCTTTTATTCTCTTGGCATAGACTTCCAAGGGCAACGTTTGCCAGATCCTGGCAAAACCCTTGCTGACAATGCATTTCTTCTTGGGTAATTAAATGGAACTCTCTAAACTGAAGCAATGCTGCTTGAATATTTTTATAACTTTCTAATAGTTACATGTGAAAACCTTGGTTTTTTTCTTATAAAAGGTACAAATGTTTTTAACTGAAACTGAGGTTAGGTATTATAAAGTGTGTTCCATTCTGTGCCTTAACCTAAAACTGTGGTTTTACATTAATGTTTATTTTAAGGCACTAGCACATTAAACTGATGCTATAGATTAAATCAGACTTTCTATTCAATCACGCAGATATCTACTTGTAGCAGATGCTATTATGTATTCTTATTTGTAAGCCCATTATTTCTTATTTGTAAACCATTCTTAAGGGAAAAAATGCATATTCAAAACCATAAATGAGATGAGCTTCTCAAGTGAGTAAATCAAATAAATTCTCTTGCTACAAAGTCTTTCTAGAAGTAATGGTCTATTGTATGACATTAGTAAGCCTATTCAAAATGGAATCTCAGGAGACAAGGAGAATGTTTATAAGGACATCATTCCATCAATACATGTAGGCATTTGTGAGCCTGCACTCTGGAATCAATTAAACCTTCGAATTTTACTTTCCCAAGTAAGCTTTTTCACAGAAGGTATCTGTCTTATCTTGGGCTGCTCAACAATGTATTGTAGATTTTGTTTATGGACTTTATAGTCAATACAAAATAAAAATTCATTTCTCATGGTTCTGGAGATTGGAATCTGAGATCAGATGCCAGCATAGTCCATTTCTGGTGAGGGTCCTCTTCAGGGCTGCAGCCAACCACCTCCTCAATGTCATCTCACATGACAAATAAAGCATTCTGGAGTCTCTTTTTAGAAGGGCCCTAATCCCATTCATGAGGGTTCTACCTTCATGACTTAATCACTTCCCCAAGGCTCCACCTCCAAATACCATCACATTGGGGTTAGTATTTCAACATATGAATTTTTTAGGGGGTACGAATATTTAGTCCTTTGCAGAATCCCAGCTGTCAGAGAATATAAGAAAATGTAGGAAGAGTAGAAAAAGGGATGATTCATTTTAGAATCACTGTGACATGCACACTGGTCCACCATTGGATGCAGGTTTTAAGGATGGCATATTTATATAACAGCGTCCCACTTCTGGGAAACTTACTATGCAAACTGCTTAGGGTATTTCCATTTAAAATGGCTTCATATCACAATTGTGATATGATTTTGGCATAGATACAGTCACATGCCACATAATGATGTTCTGGTCAACAATGGTGGTCCCATGAGATTATAATACCATATTTTTACTGTACCTTTTATATGTTTAGAAATACAAACACTTTTCATTGTGTTACAGTTGCCTAAAGTATTTAGTATAGTGCATGTTGCACAGGTTTGTAGCCTAGGAGCAATAGGCTATACCATATGGCTTGGGTGTGTAGGAGGCTGTCACATTTAGGTTTGTGTAAGTGTTTAATGACACGTTTTCAGAATGTATCCTCATTGTTAACGGACTGTGTTTGTGATATCCATATGTATACATATGTATAAATATGTATATGAACCAGTGTTGGTCTGTGAAATTTTGTTATTAATCTCTAAAGAGTACAGGCATTGACAGGATGTATCCAGAAGTATTTAGACCAATCTGACATTGCTGTGACATCCAATTGCCTTACTAGGAAACTCATTTCATTGGCATGGACCAGATAAGGGAAATGCTTTCTGCGTTTTGTTATTGGAGTTTTAAAAAATCTTAATTTTTTAATGTGAAATATTTTATAACAATATAAGTATTTTAAAAATTGTTTATTTTTAATTTTGTGGGTACATAGTAGGTGTGTCTATTTATGGGGTTTTGATACAGGCATGCAATGCATATAATCATGTCATGGAAAGTTAGGTCTCCATCCCCTCAAGCACTTATCCTTTGTGTTTCAAACAATCCAATTATACTATTTTAGTTATTTTAAAATGTATGATGAAATTATTATTGACTGTAGTCCCCCTATTAGGTGATTAAATACTATGTCTTATTCATTCTTTCTAACTAATTTTTTGTACCCACTAACTATCACAACCTCCCCCCAACACACTCTCCCACCACCCTTCCCAGCCTCTGATAACCATTCTTCTAATTTCTATGTCCATAAGTTCAATTGTTTTGATTTTTAGATTCCACAAATCAGTTAGAACATTTGATGCTTGTCTGTCTGTATCTGGCTTATTTCACTTAACATAATGATCTCCACTTCCATCCATGTTGTTGCAAATGACAGGATTTCATTCTTATTTATGGCTTGAAGAGTACTCCATTGTTTATAAGTACCACATTTTCTTTACCCATTCATCTGTTGATGGACACTTAGGTTGCTTCCAAATTCTGGCTATTATGAGCAGTGCTATAACAAACATGGGAGTGCAGATATCTTTTCAATATACTGATTTCCTTTCTTTTGGGGTATATACCCAGCAGTGGGATTGCTGAATCATATGGTAGTTCTACTTTTAGTTTTCTGAAGAAGCTCCAAACTGCTCTCCATAGTATTTGTACTAACTTACATTCCCACCAACAGTGTACTAGGGTTCTCTTTTCTCCACATTCTTGCCAGCATTTGTTATTACCTGTCTTTTGGATGAAAGCCATTTTAACTGGGGTGAGATGATATCTCAATGTAGTTTTCATTTACATCTCTAATGATCAATAATGTTGAGCAATCTTTCATATGCCCGTTTCATTTGTCTGTCTTCTTTTCAGAAATGTTTATTCAAATCTATTGCCTTCTTTTTTTTTTTTTTTTTTGAGAGGGTCTCGCTCTCTTGCCCAGGCTGGAATGCAGTGGCACCATCTTGGCTCACCACAACCTCCATGTCCCAGGTTCAAGTGATTCTCCTGCTTCAGCATCCCAAGTAGCTGGGATTAAAGGCGTCCGCCACCATACCTGGCTAATTTTTGTATTTTTAGTAGAGACGCGGTTTCGCCATGCTGGTCAGTCTGGTTTCCAACTCCTGACCTCATGATCTGCCCATCTCGGCCTCCTGAAGTTCTGGGATTACAGGTGTGAGCCACTGCACCCGGTCCCTATTGCCCATTTTAAAATCAGATGATTAGATTTGTTTTTCTATAGAGTTGTTTGAGCTCTTTATGTATTCTGGTTATTTATCTCTTGTCAGATGGGTAGTTTGAAAATATTTTTTCTCATTCTATGGGTTGTCTCTCCACTTTGCTGATTGTTTTCCTTGCTGTGCAAAAGGCTTTTTAGCTTGATGTGATCCTATTTGCCCATTTTTGCTTTGGTTGCTTACGCTTGTAGAATATTACTCAAGAAATTTTTGCCCAGAACAATGTCCTAGAGAGTTTCCCCAGTGTTTTATTTTGGTAGTTTCATAGTCTGAGGTCTTATATTTAAGTCTTTAATCTGTTTTGTTTTGATTTTTGTATAAGGCAAAGATGGGGGTCAAGTTTCATTCTTCATTCGTATGGATATCCAGTTTTCCCAGCACCACTTTTGAAGAGACTGTCTTTTCCCCAATGTATGTTCTTTGCACCTTTGTTGAAAATGAGTTCACTCTAGGTGTCTAGATTTGTTTCTGCATTCTCTATGCTCTTCCATTGGTCTATGTGTCTGTTTTTATGCCACTACCATGCTGTTTTGGTTATGATGCCATTGTAGTATAATTTGAAGTCACGTAATATGATTACTCCAGCTTTATTCTTTTTCCTCAGGATTTTCTTACCTATTCTCTATATTTTGTAACTCCATATAAGTTTTAGAATCTTCTAATTCTTCCAAGGATCTTCTATTTAGATTCTTCTTTTTCTTTGAAGAATGTCATTGGTATTTTGACAAATATTACATTGAATCTATTGGTTACTTTCAGTAGTAGGGACATTTTAACAATATTAATTATTGCAATCCATGAACATGGAATATCTTTTAATTTTTTTGTCCTCTTCAGTTTTTTCATCAGTGTTTTATAGTTTTCATTGCAGAGATATTTCATTCATTGGTTAAGTTTATTCCTGGATATTTAATTATATTTGTGGTTATTGCAAATGGGATTACTTTTTTATTTCTTTTTCAAATTTCTGACTCTTGGCATATAGAAATGTAACTGATTTTTGTATGTTGATTTTGAATCCTGCATCTTTACTGAATTTGTTTATCAGTTCTGGTAGGTTTTTTTGATGGAGTTCTTTAGGTGTTTTCAAATGTCAGATCATATTATCTGCAAACAGGGATAACCTGAATTTTTCCTTTTCAATTTTGATACGCTTTATATCTTTTCTCGTGTCTGATTGCTCTAGCTAGACCTTCCAGTATTAAATTGAATAACAGTGGTGACAGTTGGCATCCTGTTATATTTCAGATTGAAGAGAAAAGGCTTTTAGTTTTCCCCCATTCGGTATAATATTAGCTGTGGGTCTGTCATGTACAGCTTTTATTACGTTGAGGTTATGTTCCTTCTATACCCAGTTTTCTGATGGTTTTTATCATGAAGGGACGTGGAACTTTATCAAATGTATTGTTGAATTTGGTTTGCTAATGCTTTGTTGAGGATTTTTGCATCAATATTTGTCAGAGATATTGGCCTGTAGCTTTTTTTTTTTAATGTGTCTTTGACTAGTTTTGTTATCAGAGTAATACTGGCTTCATAGAATGAGTTTGAAAGTATTCCCTCCTCTATCTTTTGAGAAAGTTTGAGTATGATTAGTATTAGTTCTTTAAATATTTGCTAGAATTCAGCAGTGAAGCCATCAGGTCCTGGGCTTTTCTTTACTTGGAGAGTTTTTATTATGGCTTCAATCTCATTGCTTGTCATTGGTCTGTTCAGATAACAGATTTCTTCATGGTTGAATATTGGTAGATTGTATGTATTTAGAAATTTATTTGTTTATTCTAAATGTTCTAATCTATTGGTATATAGTTTCTGATAGTAGCCACTAATGTTCCTTTGAATTTCTGCAGTATCAGTTTTAATGTCTCTGTTTTAATCTCTGATTTTCTTTATTTGAGTTTTTTCTCTTTTTTTCTTAGTTTGGCTAATGGTTTATCAATTTTATTTATCTTTTCAAATAGCCAACTTTTTTTTTTTAGCCAGGCATGGTGGTGGGTGCCTATAATCCCAGCTACTCAGGAGACTGAGGCAGGAGAATTGCTAAAGCCCAGGAGGCAGAGGTTGCAGTGAGCAGAGATCATGCCGTTGCACTCCAGCCTGGGTAATAGAGTGAGACTGTGTAAGAAAGAAAGAAAAGAAAAGAAAAGAAAGAAGGAAAGAAGGAAGGAAGGAAGGAAGGGAAAGAGAGAGAGAGAGAGAAAGGAAAGGAGGAAGGAAGGAAGGAAGGGAGGAAGGAAGGAAGGAAGGAAGGAAGGAAGGAAGGAAGGAAGGAAGGAAGGAAAGAGGTACTTAATTGAGTGGGTGTTTAACTTTTGATAAGTAAGTAGGTGATAACAAGGAAAAATAAACTTCCAAGTGGAAGCAAAATGTTTTCTACAGGCTATCGGCTGTGTTTTGGGTTGACAATTAGAACAATTTGACTAGGATAGAAGCATAATGAATGTGGAGTACTTGAAAGTAACATGGACAAATGTGGGAATGTGGCCAGTAGATGGAGATTTTTAAATGTCAAAAGATTGAATATAATCTTGTAGGAGGTGAAGATGTATTGAATATCTTTGAGCTGAAACATTCCACAGAAAACAACAAACTGTAGGAATTTGTTTGCCATATAAGTTGGAGAGAGGAAGAACTGTAGGCAGGATAAAAGGTTTGGAGGATATTGAAGTAGTTTAGCCTCGGAGATAACGAAGTAAATAATCAGGATGATGGAAGTAGAAATAGGAAGGGAAGAGCAGTTAAGGGAAGTGTCAAAAGAATGAACAAAACTTGATGACTGGTTATGAAGGGAGAGAGAAATATAGATACTAACTTTAGAGCTTGGAGCACAGACCCTTGGAGAAAAGAGGATTTCTTGACTGATAATCGAAGTTGATAAGGGAGAATGACTTTGTTAGCCCGGGTGATAAGATTTAATTATACCCGAATTGAGATACAGCAAATAAAAATGGCCAACAGACAGTTGAAAACATGAGGAAATGTGGGAGTGGAGAAAGAATTCAAAGATACATTGCGATTACCTGAAAATTACTAACAGAACCACAAAGAGGATACTCATGGCATCTCTTTGCTTTGTGTAATGAAATGAAGAGAACTTGGTGATATAATGATGTTTTTGAAACAATGTCATGCAGCACATTAAAATGTGAATGAGCATGGCAAAGTCAGCTTCTGTTTTAACATCTTTATTGAGATACAGTTCACAAACTATAAAATTCCCCTTATTAAAGCATACAATTCAATAATTTTTAGTACATTCAGAGTTGTGCAACAATCACCACAATCATCACCCCACTACCCACCCCCCTGAAAAAACTCTCTGTACTCATTAACAGTTACTTCCTATTTCAACTCACCTGCTCCACCAGCTTCTGGCAACCATGAATACATTTTTCGGTCTCTTTAGATTTCCTCACCTATACTGAACATTTAATGTAAATAGAATTATACATGTGTGTCCTTTTGTGTCTGGCTTTGTTCACTTAGTATAATGTTTTCAAGGTTCATCCATGTTGTGGAATGGATCAGTACTTCATTTGTTTTTAACACTGTATTCAGTATTCCATTGTAGAGATAAACCATATTTTATTTTCCATTTATCAGTTGATGGACATTTGTGTTATTTCTACTTTTTGGTTATAATGAATAATGTTGTGAGCATTCATGTATAAGTTTTTTATAAATGTAGGTTTTCATTTATTTTGCATCTATGAGTGCAATTGCTGGGTCACATGATAACTCCAATTTTAACATTTTGAGAAGCTATCAAACTTTTCCAAGTGACAGTGATATTTTAAATTCCACCAGCAATGCATAAGTGTTCTAATTTCTTCTTATCTTCATTAACACTTATAATTGTCTGAGTTTTGATTATAGCCCTCCTAGTGAGTGTAAAGTATCTCATTGTGGTTGTACTTCACATTTTCCTAATAACTATATATTCAGCATTTTTTATGTGCTTATTGGCTGTTTGTATATCTTCTTTGGAGAATGATCTACCCAAATTCCTTGACCATTATTTACTTGGGTTGTCTGATTGTTGAGTTGTGAAAGTTCTTTATATGTCCTGGATAGCAGACCCTTATAAGAAATGCTTTGAAAATATTTTCTTCCATGGTGTGGGTTGTCTTCCCACTTTATTGGTTTTATCAACTCCATGACAAAAGTTTTAAATTTGGATATAGTTCAGTTTATCTACTTTATTATTATTATTATTTTTTGCTACTTGTTCTTTTGATGTCATATCTAAAAAACCGTTTCCTAATCCAAGGCCACAGAGATTTACTCCTACATTTTCTTCAAAGAGTTTTGCGGTTTTGTCCTTTAGAATTGGGTCTGGGATCTATTTTGACATAATTTTTCTGTCCAACTTTCTCCTTGTACATATGGGTACCCAGTTGTTCCAGCACTAATTCCTGAAAACCTATTATTTTCCTAGTTATATTTTTTTTCAAGTTTAATTGACCATAAATGTGTTTATTTTTGGAATTTAAATTCTATTCTTTTGATCTATATGTCTGATTTTATGCCAGCATCTCACTGTTTTGATTATTGTAGCATGCAGTAAGTTTTGAAATTAAAATGTGAGCTGTGCTCCAACATTGTTGTTACTTTCAAGATTATTTTGGCTAGTTTTGATTCCTTGCATTTTCATATAAATTTTATGATCAGCTTGCCAAATTTATCACAAAAGTCAGCTGGAATTTTGATAGGGTTTGTATTACGTTTGTAAATCAATCTGAAGAGTACTGCCTTCTTCACACTTTTGAGGCTTCCAGTCCATGAATGTGTAATGCCTTTTATTTACTTTGATATTGAATTTCTTTTAACAATGTTTTTTTGGTTTTAGGATACAAATTTTCTACTTCTTTTGTTAAATTTATTCTTAAATGTTTCATTAGTTCTGATGCTGTTGCCAATGGAATTGCTTTTTTAATTTTACTTTTTATTGTTAGCATATAAAAATACAATTGATTTTTTAATATTGAGCTGGTAATTTACAAACTTGCTTAATTATTAGTTCTGATAGATTTATGGTGTATAAATTTCTAGGATTTTCTATGTACAAGAGTATGTCTTCTTTGAATAGAGATAATTTTACTTCTCCCTTTCCTCCAGATACCCTTTATTCTTTATATTATCTAATCGTCCTGGCTGGAAACGCCCTTCAAATGTTGAATAGATGTGGTAAAAGCAGATGTCCTTATCTTGTTCTGATTTTAACGATAATATTTTTAGGCTTTCACTATTAAGTAGTATATTAGCTCTGGGTTTTGTGTAGATGTCCTTTATTGGGTTGAGAAAATTCTCTTTCCAGTTTATTGGGTGTTTTTAACATGCGCTATTATTGTCTACTGAAATAATTGTGTGTATTCTGTCCTTAATACTATAAATATGGTATGTTTGATTTTCATAAATTAATTGTTGATTGATTTTCATATATTAAACAAATTTCACATTCCTAGAATAAATCCTAATTGGCCATGGTGTATAATACTTCTCAAATGTTCCCGGATTTCATATCCTTGTATTTTATTGAAGATTTTTGCTTTTCTAGTCATGGAAATTATCTATACATAGTATTATTATGATCTCTGCCTGATTTTGGAAATACTTGCCTCAAATAATTACTTAGGGTGTGTTTTATTTTATTCTACACTTTGGAAGTGTTTGTGAAGGGCTGGTCTTGCTTGCTTGGTTTTTGCTTTCCTTCTTTCCTTCTGTTCTTCCTTTTCCTTTTTTCTTTCTTTCTTTATCCTTTTCTTAAATCTTGTTCTATCACCCAGGCTGGAGTGCAGTGGTACAATCATAGCTCACTGCAGACTCAAACCCCTGGGCTCAAGTGATCCTCCTGCCTCAGCCTCCCTTGTAGCTGAGACTACAAGTGTGCACCACCATAGCTGGCTAATTTTTAAATTTTTCATAGAGATGGGGTTCCTACTATTTTGCCCAGCCTGATCTAAAACTCCTGACCTCAAGCATTCCTCCCACCTTTGCCTCTCAAAGTGCTGAAATTATAGATGTAAGCCATCATGTCCAGTCTATTTCTTAAATGTTTGTGATAACACACCAATGAAGCCAGCCATCTGGGCCTGAGAAGCAAACATTTAAAAGTAGCGTTTCTTACCTGTTTGCTTACTTTGGGTACAAGTGTCTGAAATACCTTGTACTTTCTACTAAATCCATGCATATTTCTAAGATAGTAATTCAGGAAGTCTTTTTATTCAGAACTTTATACAAATTTAAAAGACTACATTGAGATTGAGCAAATCAGTTCATGATTATGAATGCCATGGTGGTAGCCAAAAGCCTTGCCTCTTTGCTGGCCATGCTATGCTGTTTAGTGGTTCTGTAGAGAGATTAATGCTTGCCTTTGGGATGGCCATTATTTTGAATTAAAACATCTCTTGGGTCTATTAGGCACTTACTGAAAATTAGCTTTAAGGACAAGTAATTATCAAAAACATCTTAAGAAAGTGTAAAGTAAGACTCACAGGTTATTATAATTTTGGGTTTTTGGTATAGGTAAGTTTGAGTAAATATAGATCAGATTAGTAGGTTTTGATATTACAGAAGAAAAAGAAAAAAAAGATAGCAGAAGTCAAGCAGTTTGTTCTGCAGTTGCCATTATTATTTTTTTCTTTGGACTCTTAAGAAAATACCTTTTTGATGACTGAATCTCTGTGAACTGTGGAAACCTAGGAATTGGTTCACTGGTTAAGGATAAGAGGATACAGTGAAGATAAAAGCAGGGATCAGAGGATGGCTCAGGACTGAGGATTAGCCCTGGGATGAAAAAAAAAAAAAAGACAAAATTGTCAAGATTTGTGAACCTTTGAGAATAGAAAAAATAATACAAGTGGTGCTGAATTTGGCAAGGACTACAGGTGTTTATGTCATGATGTTGATAACTGATTTTAGAAATTTCTAAAATCTTAAGAGGCTAATCATGAGTATTGCAGAGAATTCTAATGTAAGCTTTTCATTAGTTGTATACCAATATTAAAATGTATTTTTTAAAATGTCAAATGTGGCAAATGTGGAAAACGAAATGAGAGTGCAGTCGCTGCTACCTGGAGCCACTCTCTTTGAGTGAAAGAAGCCATGTGAGCAGGAGGTCTGCAGGTCTTGTGGGTTCTCTGGCTGCAAATGGTGTTGCAGGATGCTAGCATTGCCCCTGTGTGTGCATGACCTTGCATATATGTGTGTGTGTGTCTGAATAGTTCAAAACAAAACCAAGTAATGGGTCAAGGGCTTTTCTATATTTGAAAAAAAAAAAAAAGTTGGCTGACTGTGAGTTCCCATGTGTGTCTTGTATGTAACTCTTCCTGGAATTGACTGGAGAAAAGTTTCCATGAAAGCAATCACTGACACAACCCCCACATCAAGTTTCGTTGTTGTTTTTTGTGCTGTTTTTTCTTTTTTTTTTTTTAAACAGGGTCTTACTCTATTGCCCAGGCTGGAGTTCAGAGGTGCAGTCACCCTCACTGCAGCCTTGACCTCCCAGGCTCAAGCAATCTTCCTGCCTCAGCCTCCTGAGTAGCTGGGACTACAGGTGCATGCCACCATGCCCAGCTGATTATTAAAAAATATATATATTGTAGAGTTGGGGTCTGGCTATGTTGCCCAGGCTGATCTCAAACTCCTGCCCTCAAGTGACTCTCCTGCCTTGGCCTCCCAAACTGCTGGGATTACAGGTGTGAGCCATCACATCTGGCCCCCTCCATTTATTTTACTACCTTTTTTCTTAATGCTGGCATTGAGCTTTACAAACACTGAAGTTTTACTAAGGCCTATTGTCTATAGCCCTCTCCCACTAACCTTTGGGTATAATCTTTATCATTTAAATAACTTAAAATACAAGTGGTTCTTGTTTTATTTGGAAAAAAATACAATTTCTAATGTTCAGTTATTATAATAAGTAAAGCATGGAAACCTGGGATGTGGAGGACCATCAAGATTATCTGCTCCAGCCTTCCCAACAATGAGTGAATGCTTGTAATAAAAAGTGGTCATCTAGTCCCCAGGTGAATGCATCTTATTTCGGTAGATCACAGTCTAGGAAGACAGTGCGTTCTATATTTTTGCAGCCATAACTGTTGCCTTGCTTTAGGTCCTTCCCTCTCCATTTTAAAAATGTCAAGTTCCTTTATCGTTTTTTTGTGACATAGGTTACTGAAAATGTTACTCTTCTGATTATATTCCTCATGATTTCAACTTGGTGACCTCCACTTAATGGTATGCTTTAAACACTAGATCTATCGGTATATTTGAAAATACCGTTAAATTAAATGGGGAGGGGAGCATGTTAATAGTGGTTTTGTTAACAAGTTTTTGCTGTAGCAACAGGCAACACAAGAATCTTCTGTCCAACCACAACAAGTGCTAATTGCTTGATGACCTTGCATGAGGACTGTGGGTGTCCGCTGCAGATAAACTGGTTCAGCCTCATGGGTCTTTCATTCTGTGACTCAGGCAGAAGGAGGAGGTAATATCTGGAGCCACTCTTCCCAGGATGAGACACAAGTCTAAGCGAACATGCAGAATCTCTCAATGCCTCCTCGCTTCTCTGGCTGTAACTGGCATGCTTTTTGTCCCACCCACATTCCATGAGTCAAAGCAAATGACACGGCCAAGTGTAAAACGCCTGTACTTGTTGAAGCAGAGGTCCAGGAGAGAAGATACAGATGCAGAAACCAGCAACAAGTGGGAGGGATGGTTGTTTGCTTTCACCCAGTGCAGTGGTTATCTTAGATGCGGATTATAGGCGATTTTTCTTTTCTCACCTTTTCAGTTTTATTAACATTTTTGTGGTAAATATAGGTTACTTTAGAAGTTGGAATATAATGTCATTTTTTAAAAAATAAAATTTTAAAAATGTAGGACTTTTAAAAATGCTACTTAAGCTCAAATGTCTGTATATTTAAAAATTAATTGTGTATAATTTGCATATGCAACATTTATACTGTTTTGATACTTCTAGCTTATTAACTGAATTATTCACTGCATAGCAAAATTATCATGGTAGGAAATGGGAATCAGAGAGACCAGGGATAGACTGGTGATAGATTCTGAACAAGAAAGAAAGTAGGATAAGGAGGTCAGTTTTCTCCATTGTAGTCTGGGAGTAGAAGCAGGTCAGAGATAACACTGAGCAGTTTGATCTCCTCACCAGACTTCACGGGCTCAGAGATAGTGTAGCAGCCTCTCAGACTTTCATATTCTGCTCCTCATCCAGATGCACTGTTTTCCTTTTTAAAAGTCAAACTAATAAATACAGTCATTTACAGTCTTAGAAGGTCAGGTTCAGTATATTTCATGAGCCCTGATGGTTGGATTTCTTGTTTATTTATTTATGTTTAAGGCAGGGTCTCACTCCATTGCCCAGGCTGGAGTCCAGTGGCACAATCATGACTCACTGTAGCCTGGACCTCCTGGGCTCAAGCGATCCTCCCACCTCAGCCTCCCAAGTAGCTGGGACCACAGGCACATGTCAGCACACCTGGCTAATTTTTCTATTATTTTTGTAAAGATGGGGTCTCCCTATGTTACCCAGGCTGGTCTCAAACTTCTGGGTTCAAGCCATCCTCCTGCCTCAGCCTCCTAAAGTGCTGCGATTACAGGCATGAGCCACTGCGCCCAGCCTAATTGGTCAAGCTTCTCTTGCTTGGATTTGTCCTGAATACATCAACAGCTGGCTGGGCTTGCTAATGACGTCCTTCATGACTTATGTCTCTTGTTGGCATCCAGCTTTCTGTAGTTCTAGGGGAAAGTCAGGAAACTGTCTAAAAGCTCCATGGTTATATGAAGCAAGGAAATGGGATGAAGATCTATTACCTTTCCTTTCAGTGAGCTTTTTCTAGTTGCAAGAGACAAGCATAACTGTGGTATCAAGAGTCTATTGGTATATGGGTTTCTTGATAGAAAATCATGAAATAAATTTTAAAATAAACTTTATCTCTCATAGAACCCATTAAACATGCTCAGTGAAGGCAGCACTAACTTTTATGTAACAGGAAGAACTCTTATCTCTTTAATTCTCAATAAAGCTTCAACTCAGTAACTTAAAATGTTCAGTGTCTGAAAATCCTCAATCTTTCTAATACGATTTAAAGTTAAAATCTTCTCCCTTTCCACAGCAGGGGGCCTACCAATAACAATTTGTGTGTGTGTGTGTGTGTGTGTGTGTGTGTGTGTGTGTGCGCTTGTGTGTATTTGTATATGTATGAGTGACAGAATAAGAGATTCTTTTTTATCCTACCAAGCATTTCCTCTCCCTCAGTTTGTTAAACACAGTTGTTAATCACAACAGGGTCAAAGTTTGGTTAGGAAAAAAAGGAAAACTAGATGGGGAAGTTCTCACTTGACTAGTTCTATTATAAGGTGTACTGACACACTCCAGTGTGACTAGTTCTAGTATAAGGTGTACTGACACACTCCAGTGTGACTAATTCTAGTATAAGGTGTACTCACATACTCCAGTGTGACTAGTTCTAGTATAAGGTGTACTCACACACTCCAGTGTGACTAGTTCTAGTATAAGGTGTACTCACACATTCCAGTGTGTAGAGCTAACCCTGTCACACCTCAAGTGTTCATGGGTTTATCAGATGCCCTCTATCCTATGATGACCTTTGAATCCTTAGACATATTGAACAGTCTCTATTCCTGGGTTCACTTCTGCAGCCCCAAGAATCTGGTGATTCCAGTCCTAGCTTTTCATCTGCTTAGAGCTTGTACATCTCTCCAGATTGCACAGAGAATGAGATTCAAGATGACCAACCCGCCAGCTATGTTTCCTTCTTGACCTGTATGGGTCCTAGGACGACATCATACATCCTTTGCCTGCACACCTCTAGGGAGGCTGATAGGTCTCAGTGTTGCAGACCTCAGGCCCTTGCTCTGCTGCCAAAGGGACAGCTAGTCCTTTTTTGCACTCTAGATGGCTGAAGGAAAAGCCAAGCCTGAGCCCCAGCACCCATTAACTGTGTGAAATACAACAAGCTCTCAGTCCCACAAAAGCCCTTTGAACCTTTCTCCCTTGGGGGAGAGAGGCACAGACCCATAGCACACTAGCGGATTTCCCCTAATAAACTCTCTACTGAAATTTTCCCTCCCCTGCCAATACCGCCCTATGTCCTTTTGATGTGAGTTTTACCAGTTATTGGTATTCTGCTTTCACTTTGGTTACAAATGTATGCAATGGTCCCCTGCCCGCCCGCGTATACATTTCTTCTCTCTGTTCCGTGTTTCTGGCCATGGTGTGGTGCCTACGCTCTGGTTAATTCTGTCTTTCCCAGCCCTGTACCTGGCAAGGCTAATAATACCTTAGGAAGTGCAGGTGTTGCAGAAAGATTCCAACCTAATTTCCAGCAGGTGAATGGATATGCCATAGAGTTTAAATCCTTCTAGGTAGACCCTTTCAAGTCTCGGCAACTGAGGGCCTATGAGATAATGTTTAATACCAAATCTAGCTGGGGCTGGAAGGGATAGAGAAAGGCCAGGCCAAAAAGCTGATTGTCAAGCGCTCAGGGCTAGCACCCTAAGACTAAAGAAAAAGGCAAATCTGGAGACCAGATTTGAACACGTAAGTCATGCTCAGAGAAGCTGGTAAGCTGAAGTTCCAAAACTACAGAAAGGACTTACACATATGAGAGTGCAAGATAATGAAACAGGTGGCAGATGTAGCACTAGAGACAGGTCAGATGTGGAAATTCTGCATATTGGACCTAGAATGAATCCTGGCTCCTAGAAGGAGGAATCCTCACTTAGCCACCGCAGTCTTTTAAACACAGGCTCTGTACATCCCTGGAGGGATGACCTTGGGACTTCCACGTTGTAAAGTTCTTTTGGGAAGTACTGAAGCCTGAGAGTTAGTGCATTGGCCACTGTCATACTGAGGAACAACCAGCTGGTAATATTGTCTTCTGCTATGAACTGAAGGAGTGAAATGGAAGAGTAAAATGTGGGATGGAAAACAATAGTAATTATATAAAGCATTGTTATTTATTCGACACACAAAATGTAAGAATCTATGCTATCTGAAAAATAACATCTTTAACTAATTCTTTTTCATTTTGAAAGTAACTGCTCTTAGTTATGAGTGATTTTATTCAAATAATCCATTGAATTATGAATATAAAAGTTATTGTCCTTTTGGCAAAATTGACTGTAACATATTTTTAATAATTTTAGGGGCATTTCAGCTTTAAGTTGAATTCCCAGTGAACTTTGCAGTGTTTTTCTTTTCTTTCTTTCTTTTCTTTTTTTTTGAGACAGGATCTCGCTGTGTTGCCCAGGCTGGAGTGCAGTGGTGCAATCACGGTTCACTGCAGCCCCAACTCCTGGACTCAAGTGATCCTTCCACCTCAGCCTCCTGAGTAGCTGGGACTACAGGCATACGCCACCACATCTGGCTAATTTTAAAATTTTATATAGAGACAGGGCCTTGCTATGTTGCCTAGGCTGGTCTTGCACTCCTGACCTCAAGCGCTCCTCCTGCCTCAGCCTCCCAAGGTGTTGGGATTACAGGCGACAGCCACTGTGCCCAGCTTGCAGTACCTTTCCATTTGATTCAATTTTTCTAAAATTCCCCACCATACAGTTTTCTTGAGTTGTCCTTTTCATGAGGTGTTTGGTCATTTTTTGTTTAATGCAATATGACATTTCACTAACTTTTAAGAGCTATACAAAAATGAATGAGAAATGCCACATTGATGTAATTAACCTGTCCTTGGAGTGTGCCTTCAGGAGAGTAGTGACTTAGAGGAGGGAATGGCTAAAGGCTGGATTCTCGAGGCAGATAGCCAAATCTGGCTATTAGAGAGCCTCAATGTCTCATATATAGGATGAGGATAATGAGAGATCTCCTTACCATGTTGTTGTGTGCATATAATACACATAATAGAAGCTCTCTCTGTGCTCCAGCACCGGGCACCAGCACAGCGTGGTCTAGTTTATTATCTTCCTGACTTCATGGCTTTAATTTCTGTCTCTCTCCTCCATCTGGAACACCACATCCAACTCTTCCTGCCAGCATCAATTCTGCTCTACCCTTCAAGGCCTCACTCATGTCCCATTCTTCCTGGAATGCTTCCAATCCACTGTGTGTTATATGATCACTTTTAATATCTATTCCTGAAATAGTGTTTTCTCTCCATCACTTGGTATTAAAGTTGTCAGACACTTTGCACTGACTACAAGACATACTTATAGTCCCATTTACATTGTAATCATTTTGATGCTAGGAAAGGTGATCGAGAAGTCTTTTATTGACAAGGTATTTTAAATGACTAATTAACAAGAAAACTATGTATCCATATATTTATAAAAATCCCTAAACTTGCCCCTTTTACCCCACCCCGATATCTCCTCCTGATCATCTAATTCTATTTTCATTCCACTTGAGGAGTTGTATTTGAGTAGCTTAATATAAGAGACAAAATAGCCCCATCAGGGATCTTTTATCCCTTTACTACGCAAGTATATATTGTGTGCTCCTCTTTATGTTTTGATCAAAAAATTAGTTTTTAAGAAGATCTGGAAAATGAAGTTTTCAGGATTAAATTACTTCTATTTCTTTGTTTTTTACCTGGCTTGAGAAGCAGTTACCAATATCAAGCTTGGCTTTAAGGTAAGTATTTGACTTCATATTTATTCGACACATAAAAAGCTGCCGTCAGTTGCCAGGATTTGTGCATTTGTCTGAAATGACCTAGTAAAGCTGGGAAATCTGTGTAGGGTTTTCCCATGTTTAATTCAATAATTAAAATACTAAAAATGTTATGTAAACTGCCATTTGAAGAGTGAAAACCAGATAATGAGAAACGTGTTTATATAACAAAATATCTCATTGCAATCCATTTCACAGTTCCTATTTTAAACCCAAATGGGAGCAATTATGCAAAATTAAATATCGAGGTAATGGCAGTGCCAGATGTCCATTTGAGGACTTTAAGACTGGAAATGACCACTTAGAAAAGGCATGTTATAAACAAGCATCTGGCCCAGGATTCCATATCCCTTTTTGTTTGGTGGGTGCTGTGTACTTATAAAGACTCTCCTTTTGAAGAAAGCTGCCAGTGTCCTTGCCAGGGGTCCCACTCTTCCCTCCTTGCCTCATCTTCCCCACTGGGATGTCTGGCTGGAAAAACAACCTGGCATCCTGGTGCCCATACATTTCTCGTGTTCAACTTCAGAATATGGGTACTATTCGTCGAGATACACATCACTAAGAGCATTGCGACATTTTCACATCCCCAGGTCCTTTACTTTCTAATTGGTCTTGTGGTGTGTTCATAACTATGGACTGCATGTGGATCACAACAATTATTGGGAATACATTTTCAGCTCACATATATATTTATTATACATTATAATTATATGTATTATGTATTTATGTATTATTACATATATTTATTATATAATAAATACATATTTATTTTACATATACAGTTATATGCGAGCGTCAGAACACTGTAAATATAATGGCTGTGAAATTATATCTTTAAAGTCTTATTATATTTAGGACCATGGAAAATTTGAAAGGGGTTAATAATATGATTTTTTCCTTTGTAGGGGATGTTAGGGTAGAAAGACCAATGGCATCTTCAAAGGCTGCTTGGCCTCTTGTGGAAACTTGGACAGAGTGGTGGCCCATGCCCTGTGTAGTTATTTGCAGTTACGGTTGTGTGTCCTTACCAATGTGGAAGTAACTTGTGTCTTTTGACTGAGTCTCTTGCAGTTTTCCCATGAGTCACCATTGCCTTGCAATAACCTCAGTAACTAAATGAAAAGCTGTTAGAAATTTAGTATCTAGAAGGATCATCTCAAAGATGACTGAGTTAGAGCCTGGAAGAGAAATCCGTTTGAATGCATTTAGGTCTGAAGGATTAATGCTGATCATTGAATTTCTATAAATGCTAAAGGCAAGAATTTTTTTTTTTTTTTTTGAGATGGAGTCTCACTCTGTCACCCAGATTAGAGTGCAGTGGCGCGATCTCTGCTCACTGCAACCTCTGCCTTCCGGGTTCAAGCAATTCTCCTGCCTCAGCCTCCTAAGTAGCTGGGATTACAGGCGCCCTCCATCACATCCGGCTAATTTTTGTATTTTCAGTAGAAACGGTGTTTCACCATGTTGGCCAGGCTGGTCTCAAACTCCTGACCTCGTGATCCACCTGCCTCGGCCTCCCAAAGTGCTGCGATACAGGTGTGAGCCACCATGGATGGCCAAGGCAAGCTTTCTTTTTTTGTTTTTTGTTTTGTTTTGTTTTTGATATCTCCAAATTAAGATAATTCTGTAGAAAAATAAAGAGCCATGCCTATTGTTTGGGCATTTTAATTAATGCATATAGCTGGCCACTTCCTAAATAATATTTCAAACTGCTATTACAATGACTGCTATTTGTTAAGTAAGAAACCATTTGGAGTTTAGGTGATTTGTGATCAGGTGTTTTGAAATTCATGATAATTTATAGATCCAGGGATTCCAATGACATTGACTAATTGACTGCATTTTCCTGAGTGGCAAATAATATAATTCAAATACGTAATAAATCAATGTTTGATACTTAAAAATATAGATGATAAAAATAAATTTAAAAAATAAAGTCAATAAAAGAGTTCTAATTAATGTCATGGTTTGCACATACTGAAACACTTAAACAGGAACATTTTGCTATACTGCATCCCTGGATAAACATTTTCCTATACAGCATCTACAGATTAGAGGTCCAGTGTCTCTCTTTACTAAATCATACCCATAATGCAGACCTTGAGATTTCTATGCTTAAAATTCTTCAGGTTAACCTAGAACCAAAAGATACATGTGCGACAATTTGAGGGCAGAATCATGCTAGGTTTTTCTCGATTTACCAACCTCAAACATCTAAAGTTGTTTATCCTCCTACTAGCTGGACAGTTCTTTTAAGCCACTTAGTGTTTACAAAGCATTAATTTTAGTGTTCCTAGTAACAACTCTCTCTTTTTGCGCTCAATTTATCTGTTTATTTGGTTAAATTTAAACTATAACAAGTAAAACTGACATATACACGTTTGTTCCTAGTAACAACTCTGTCTTTGTGCACTCAGTTTATCTGTTTATTTAGTTAAATTTAAACTATAACAAGTAAAACTGGCATATCCATGTTTGGGACTACAGGAGAGTGCACTCTTGGTAAGCTCACATCTCTACAGGTGGAAGTGGAATGCCCCATTTGCCTGGAGATGATCCCAGTGGCTGTCTGTGCTGGGGATGTCACTCACACAGTTCAGAGTACTTTACAGTGGGACTGGAGGATAGTCAGTAAATAGAAGTCAGTTGAAAACTTCCAGAGTAGCTGCTTGTTTTGCATAATTTAGCAATTCAGAAAATAACATATATAAATACATGTAACACTTAGACTGAATAGACAGTCTAAGAATACTGAGAAAAATGAAAGTGCATTAATTGTTTTATAAGCCTTCAGCAAGCATGTTTCTTTCTATAATGAAATGTAAAATTAAGTTTTTTTCTTCTGTATGGAAGAAGATGTGAATGGTGATTTAATTACATTAACTTCAAATACATTGAATGAATACACGCTGCCACCTGTGTGCATATGATGAATACAGTACATATAAACATTTTAGGATATTATTTTTGAGTACCCATTTTAGAAAAGTGAAAAGCGATATAAGAACTTATTAAGATGATTTATCATTCACTAAAGTCATATAGCAAAAAGAACAAAGTATGTTACCTAATACAGAATTTCTAAATGTAGAACCATATCCTGGTAATGTGAATATGATTAGAGATTCCAGGTGGAAATCGTTTTTGACTGTCAGAATCTTAAATCATACCCAGATGATATAGACATATAATATGCAAGCTACATTGAACATCCAAACTCTATTACTGTCTAATTCTTTTTCAAGGATGTTCGCCAATAATTGAGGTATCTTTTTTTCTACTTATATCTCTCGCCCTTCTTCTTGCCTTTTTTTTTGTTTGTATCTTGCCTGTATTTCTCTTCATTGTGGTTCCATTAGGGTTTACTCTATTCCTACTCTCTCTCATTGGATAGCCCTAGGCAATGTTACAAAGTAGGGGAAGTGGACAGGTGCAATGGTTCATGCCTGTAATCCCAGCACTTTGGGAGGTGGAGGCAGGTGGATCACCTGAGGTCAAAAGTTTGAGACCAGCCTGGGCAACATGGTGAAACCCCACCTCTACTAAAAATACAAAAATTAGCCAGGCATGGTGGTGGGCACCTGTATTCCAGCTACTCGGGAGACTGAGGCAGGAGAATCACTTGAACCCAGGAGGTTGCAGTGAGCTGAGATCATGCCGTTGCACTCCAGCCTGGGCAACAGAAGCGAAACGCTGTCTCGAAAAAAAAAAAAGAAAAAAAAAAAAGAAAAAGAAAAAGTAGGGGAAGTTTGTCAGCACTGTTAGAAACCAGTGAAACAATTTGGATTTTTACAGCATTCCCAGTGTGTTTATTGAGCTAATGTATATTCATTGCTTCATTTGAGAGACTGTGTATTATTTAGGTACATTCAATAATGTATTTTCTATGTATCATGAAAGCCATTTTGCAGAAATATGAAGAAAAGATTTTCCTAATTTGAAAATATTTTTATGTAAATTAGTTCAGATTCCCCAGTACTTTTCATCATGTTTGTTTGATTTTTGGGACCTTCTCTTGACCGTTTGTGACTGTTTCAGGTTTGCAGAGGTAATGAGAGTTCTGTGAAAGTATATTGAGCTGGATGTTGAAACACCACCGAGTCATTTAGTTTTTCCTCTTGACTTTGCATCTTGATTTGGTACAAGTCTACCCAGTTCCACATGTATGAGTTCAGTCCGTTCCATATGACACTCTCTCAGGTAATGGAAATACAAAGTAAAAATACACACACTTCTAAACCTGAGATCTTTAAAGAGAGGATATTCTGACCAAGAGTGGCAGGTGGCACAACCCAACTGAGCACCCAGCTCACCCAAACCCAGCCAGGGGAACCAGAAAGATATCTAAGCAGAGTATTCGAATTCATAGTGTAAGTTCCCGGAAGCAGTGCTGCAGGAAGAGAAAACAGGACAATTACCAAATGGTCTTGTGTCTGTTTTGGAAATGGCTTCCATGTTAGGTGAAGATTGAGTTGAATCTTGAGAAGACTGGATATATGAGTAGGGATTGGACAGATAGAGGCTGTGGGTGTGTGTTTTGGAGATGGGGTGGGGTTTAGGATGAAGATGAAGACCCTCTCTCACAAAACGAAGGCAAACTATTACAGTTAGGAAGTGTTAAGGCACACGGGCTGGGTTATTATTTAAAAGTTTCCGAGTACTCCTGGAAGGTGGAGAATGATAAAAGTATTATCTTCTTTGCTGACCTCTTAGGATTATAAGGTCATTCACCCCAAATTGGAGTTATGAATGGAAAATCAATTTAAAGTCACAAAATTGTAATATTATTATAATATTCAACTTTAGCATTGATATTTTAGATTCAGAGAATGCAACAGATAAAGTTTATGAATAAATATTAGAATATTTAAAAATAGATTCTATCAAAGAGAAATAATATTTGTAGATTTATAAAATTACATCGTGTGCATTTTGGCTGTTACAGTTTATATAAAATCATAGGAGCAAGAATGATTAGCTTGTTTTCATTTCTACTTAAAAAAATCAGCTATGTAGAATTCTTTTGCACACATTTATTTTCTTTATATTTTTGATTAACGAAGGCACTCAGGTTGTGATATAAAAACTACTTTTTGGAACATATCCGTAAATCATGCTGGAGATGGAATAAAGACTCATGCATCAAGTTGACAGAGTTGATGGCATTATCCACGCAGAATTCCTGCATTTGGATGCAAAGGGTGCTAGAAGAGACTTTACTTAGGCAGAAAAGCTTCCCTCATACGTGATTCTAATATGCTTTTGGGTTGCTAACATGGAGTATTTTAGTACATTGCTAAACCTCATATTTCAATAGTAGGAATACCACAAGTATGCATAGAGGACTTGGAATATTATAATCCAGTGATATACTATTTTTTAATAATTTTAGAATTATTTAAAATGAAATCATAGCATGTATTATTGCATTTATATGGGTAATTCTGGAAGGGGATTTCAATGCATCCATTGACGAAGTGCTGGAATGACGAATGATAATAATTTGCTCATTTTTGAATTTTGTATTACTCAGTGATTTTTCTAAGTTACAAAGCTGATTGTGGCACAAGGTAGAATATTTGGAAAGCAAGATAAGCAAAACGAAGGAATTAAATCCACCTTCAATATCATCGGGAAGAAAACAGTAACTCCTAACTTTCCAGTGCCTACCCATGCAGTCTTTTAAAACTGTTTTGAAAAGACATTATCAAAAGATTAAAAATAAAGAATCCAAAGCAAGGAGTGTATCTTTGAGATTTACCCGTTAAAGTAGTTTTTTGTTTTTTGTTTTTGATACGGAGTCTCGCTCTGTCACCCAGGCTGGAGTGCAGTGGCACGATCTTGGCTCACTGCAAGCTCTGCCTCCCAGGTTCATGCCATTCTCCAGCCTCAGCCTCCCAAGTATCTGGGACTACAGGTGCCCACCACCACGCCCAGCTAATTTTTTGTATTTTTAGTAGAGACGAGTTTTCACCGGGTTAGCCAGGATGGTCTCAATCTCCTGACCTCATGATCCACCTGCCTCAGCCTCCCAAAATGCTGGATTACAGGCATGAGGCACCGCACCCAGCCTAAAGTAGTCTTTGAACCAATTTTAATATATGTAATTGGATAAAGTTATTTGCATTGTCTATGATTTCTGGTCAAATGCTATTGAAATCAAGTATTTTTTATTGGTACATAAAAATTGCACATATCTATGGAGTACATGTGATGTTTTGATACATGCATGCAATGTGTAATCAGAGTAAATGGAATATCCATTACCTCAAACATTTATCTTTCTTTGTGTTGGGAAACTTCCAAATCTTTCTTATAATTATTTTGAAATATACAATTTTTTTATTAATTATAGTTACCCTACTGTGCTATAGAACACCAGAACTCATTCCCTCCATCTTGCTGTGTGTTTGTGCAGAGTAACCAGCCTCTGTTTATCCCCTTCCCTTGCACCCCTGTCAGCTTCCAGGATCCAACATTCTACTCTCTACCTCCATGAGTTACCCTTTTTTAGCTCCCACATATGAGTGAGAACATGAGATATCTGTTTTTCTGTGCCTGGTTTATAAAATCAGGTACATGTCTGTTAGAGCAACTTTGGACCAAATATTTTGATGTGCAACAATGATTACCATTACACATAATTAGATTTAATACTTTTAAAATTGTATTTTTACAGAATAATTATAAATTGAAATCTGATCTTAGAGTTGGCCCAATAGAGGTATAATTTATCAATATGATTAAGACAAAGTTAGAAATTTAATGGCTTTCCTCTTTTTAGGCCCATAACAAAAGTGTAATTTAGTTATGAGCAAGATCTTATTTTCTTTTGCAGTTAACTGAGAGTAATAGTGAATCATTGGGAAGATATTCTAAGTACTATCATTCATTATATTTATTAACTCTTAGATTTTGTTGACGAAAGAGTCAAACTCTGTAAAATATTTTCAGAGATTTATTCTGAGCCAAATACGAGTGACCATGGCCCGTGACACAGCCCTCAGGAGGTCCTGAGAACATGCACCCAAGGTGGCTGGGGTACAGCTTGTTCTTATGTATTTTAGCAAGGCATGAGACATCAATCAAATACATTTAAGAAATACATTAGTTTGGTTCAGAAAGGCGAGACAACTCAAAGAGGCAGCTTCTAGGCTATAGGTAAATTTAAACATTTTCTGGTTGACATTGATTGGGTTTGTCTAAAGATCTGGGATCCATAGAAAGGAATGCTCAGGGTGAAGATAAAGGATTGTGGAAACCAAGTTTTATTGTGCAGAGGGAGCTCTCAGCAGACCTCAGAGAGAGCAGGTTGTAAATTGTTTCTTATCAGACTTAAACGGGTGCCTGGCTCTTAGTTGATTATCTCCTGGATCTGGAAAGAAAGGAAGGAAAACAAAGGGAGAAGGGGATTCTCTATAGAATGTGGATTTTTCCCACAAGAGACTTTGCAGGGCAATTTCAAGATATGGCAAGGGAATATATTTTGGGGTTAAGTATTTTTTTCCTTGTTTCATAATGTCATGCCAGAGTCAGATTGAAAAGTAAGTCACAATATATAGGGTCAAATGAAACCCATCTGATGAGAATTTGTGGTTTATATGACATGACTCCCTAGACCCCTTAGGTAGGAATTTGGGCAAGATAAAAAATCCGAGCTTAGTCCTCAATTTATATGTAGATAAAAATATAAATAATGGTTTTCCAAAGTTATAAGAAATTGAAGGATGGAGAAATAACTCGTTTGCTATTTATTACAATGTTCAATCTTTAGCAAAATATTTTAAGACTTGATCTGTAAACTAAGATGGATGAATTACTAGAAGTTTCAATAAGTTACCATATAAATGTTTTTAGAATAGATCTTGACACAGAGTAGGCATTCAATTAGCATTAATAATTTTAAATGATATTATATTTATGAGATGCATATGTTGTATACATTCATGTAATTTACACATAACACACACACATACACACATGTATCCCAGATAAAAAAAGAAGAGATCATTAGAAAAACATACTAACTTAAAATAAATGAATACAAGAAAAATACACAGATTTTAGCTGAATTAATATTAACAAATAAAGTTTATAAATGATAATTTTACACTGAATATGGAGAAATCACCTTTATGTATGAAATATCCTTATTTGACTATTTTTTTAAAAAATATATTTTTTCAGAACCTTCCCTCATCTTTATACTATATTAAATTCAAAAAAAATATTTATAATGGGCTGGGTACTACTGAAGGTCCATTTGGTAGGCTGAGGTTCAGATATGCTAAGTAGTGTATCCAAAGAAAAAGAGCATCTAGAGATTTTTATTGCTGCTAACTGAATCTCAACTCCTTCCCTGGAGATGAAGGCAGGTCACTGCAGGGCAGATGCAAAGTGGTCACTCTTAAGGGGCTGTATTTGTCCATTCAAGGTAATCCTTTTAAGCATCAAATGTCATGTAGGTGAAAAATGGGTCAGGTAGTTTAGAAAATGGTGGAGTAAAGCAACTGCCAAATTCAGGTAAGAGATACTGGTTATTATGATATAACAAGTGGTGGGATTCTTATGCTGAATCTCAGAGCAGACAACAGCTTCTTCTCCAGCTTGTCTGTCCTTAACCCCTCAGTCTGGAGTTACTTTCAATTTCTATAAGGACCCTTTATACCCTGTGATTGCATTATTGTTCCACAATATTCTGAAAAGCGCCTATTTTCCTATCTTTCCAATGAGATCCCCAGGGAATTTGAAGGCAGGAGTTTTCTTTGTTACCAAAAACACCAGCGGTTCACTCTAGATTCTGCAGCTTGCTGCACAGAAAGCCAATCACTGAGACAGCAAGTGTTGCTAAGGACAAAGGCTTTATTGGGTGCTGCAGCTGAGGAGATGGGAGATCAGCCTCAAATCCATCTTCCTGACTGACTGAAATTAGGGGTTTATGTAGCAGGGAAGAAATGTAACCTTGTGTGGGAAAACAGGAATTAGGGAGCGGTAAGGAAGAGGAGTTGGTCAACAGGAAGCAAGTGGTCAGTTAAGCAATTATGACCATGACTGTGAGGAGTCTGGCATCTCATTGTCCAGATGCAGTGATTTGGTGGGTTTCAGCTTCTTGATATTATCTGAGTGGACTGCTGGCTTTCTGAGAAAAGAATTCAGATAAGACAACTGTAATTTTTTCAAGTTTTAAGGCTAGGAGTGTCAATTTCTATGTTTATTTCAAATGAACCATAAACATCAGTTCTATTAGACAATTGAGCTAGTTTCATCATCAGGGGCCATATGATATTTCACCACTTTAAACTACCAAACAATGTTATGTCAGAAATGTTATTCACGTTTTAAATTCAACAGCAAGTTTTAGCAACAAATTTTGATATTCTATAAATTAGGAATATGATTTTAATTGAGATTGACAAGGTATATTTTATGAAAGAGTATAGGATGAAGTTAGCATCTGCTCATTTTTGGCACCACTGAGAATAAAAATTCATATGTAATATTTTTCCACCACACAACATTATACATATATAACCAACATTTTTCACATGAAGATTCTCCTCAAGAAGGGGAATGACCGCCCAAGCCATCAAACTCTACTTTTAAACACCAGCTTATTATAGCCATACAATCAGGTGGCATTCTAAGAGCAACCTAAAGTTATAATACATCCGTGAGCAGAAGCTATCATCTGGGTCATAAGTTACCTTCTCAGAAAAGACAAATATATCTGAATATAGCCATTACATGAAGCACTTAGATCCTTTTCTCCAAAATAATATTTTTTTCTGTTTGCAAATGTAATGCAAGTTTACTGCAGAGTATCTGGAAAACAAATAAAATATCTAAATAAGGAAATATGTTTTTATTAATGGTATTTTATTAATACCATTTCTTAGGAATAACACCCTTTAAAATATTTTTTCCGAGCTTTTTATTATTATAAACACATATTCAGTTAATGTTGTAGAGATCATCCAATATATTGAATTTTGTGTGTGCCCTCTACTTGTCAGAGTATTAAATGCAATCTACTGGTATTCCTGTGTCTTGAAAGAAACTATATCTGTATGTCACAATCAACGCTGCCTATGTGGGAAAGGGAAGTTTCCCTTATTTGTACTTTGACAAATGTGGCTATTTCCTAGGCTGTACTGGTCACAGAGACTGTGCCAAGGACCTGCATCATTACTGGCTCAGCGCTAGGTAGAGAGGGTAGTATGGAAAGTGGGGCATACATAAAACATCGTTTCCTCTGCAGCATCTTTGAAACCAAGAGCAGATTTAGAAACAGTTTTTAATATACTTCCCCTCCTGAAAATAGAAAAGGAAAAATACCAAGGAAGGTATTTATTAAGAGCCAGGTTCCAGAAGACATTGAGTTATGAAGTTATTTTTATGGTAAACATTCATTATACTTGCAAATATTTCCACTTACCCCTTTCAGAACTTAGGTGGGATTGCATTTGGGAGTCATTCATGGTTGAGTAGTACTGTGTGATTAGTTATGGTGAATTGGATATGAAAGAATGTGTTATGTGTCATTGCCAAGGCGTGACATACACTGTTAGTGAGAGGCCTTGGACATCCTTTCATTTTCCTCAGGTTGCATGATTGCCAAAGTTCAAGGCTAGGCTGAACAGAGACCCCTGCCTAACCACGATGGGCAGGTAACCTGAGAGATAAATATACTTTCTTTTCAGCCACCGAGATTTGGGGGCTGATTTTTACTGCTGTATAGTTTAGCCTGTTTTTACTCTTGATAATAATTGAGTATTTGTGGACTGTGTGTACAACACATTGGAATCGGTGTTGAATAAATGAGTACTCCTTTCTATGTGATCGTGGAATAGACATTAGAATGGTATTTCAAGGACTAAAGCAATGGCACAGGCAAAGGTGAGCTGAGAGCAGTGGTGAGGCGGACTAAATTCACAGTGGCTGGGAACAGTCTCTGCTTACACTTGTTGTGCTGGAATAATTTTTAATACCAACTTATTTTTTCTCAAGGGCCCTGGTTTGGATGATAAATTATGTCTTAGTTTTACATAAACCACATGTTGACTTCTTTATCCTTACCTTTTCCTACCGAACAGATTTTATGATCTAATTATCATTGTTAACCTGATTGCTGTGTTTTGGTATATTTTCATATTACAATTTAACTTCTCATATTTTATTGTGCTACATTTCCCAGTATAGCCCTTGATGTTTTCATTAATGTGTTTTCCTTTCCCCTGGATTATAAAATACCAGTATTTATTTCGCTCCCTACTTTACACTACCTGGTAATAAACACAGTGAAATTTATTGTTTCATGAAATTGTTATTACTGTTTAGTCAGTAATCACTGTCACAAAAAAGCAAATACCAGTGCAGAACTGTCTTCAATCCAAAAAAGAAAATGACATCTGATGCCCCAATATTACTTATTTTACCTTTTCGAAAGTCTTGTTTAGGGCTCCGGGTATGACCATATATATATTGAACATTATTGTCTTCTCTCTCTCCCTCTCGCTGTCTGTCTGTCTCTCTCTCTCTCAAGCAAGTAGTGGCATCAATCTATTTGAAAATTTAGAGACCATTAGCAAATGTTTCCTGGAATTGTGTGTCTGGAAAATTGGTGGCAATCAGCAAGAATAGTTCAAAAACAGTTCGATTTTCTAGTTCCTTCGGAGCAAAATTACACATATATCACCATGGGCAAGTCTTAAGAAAGGTGTTAAGATGTCATTAATTTATTCTGATTAACTTTCCTGGCTCAAATTTCCTCAGTTTAATTCTTTCATATGTACTTTCCTCTTTAACCCTTTGCCTTTATTTCTAAATGTGTGCAGTGATATATATAGGAATAAATATTTCATAATCCATATTATACTGCTTTTTTAAAAAATCAAATTTTTAATAATCACCTCAATGAGAAGAAACTTTTGTTTTCTTGAAAACCATTATCAAAATCCTGTTTTCTAAACAGCATATTTCCAGCACAGATTAAATTGCCAGTATATTTGTATACTAAGAAAGCAGACATTCCATTTGGAAGTACTACACATATTCACAAAGGTCTGTAAAATCTGAGTCTTATGCAGTGGTTCTCAAACCTTGGTATGCACTATAATTGTTTGGGAAGTTTTAAAGAGTAGTAATGCCTGAGTTTAACCCTAGAATCGGGTTTCATTGATTGTAGCCGAGTATTGATATAATTTTGACTTCCTCTGGTGATTCTAAAGAATAGTCAGTATGAAGAACTACTGTCTCAGTGGACCCCAGACTTTGCTGTGCACATTTTGTGTTGAACTGTGTCCCCCAGAAGGATATGTTGAACCTGTAATCAATGAGACCTGCAAATGTGACCTTATTTGGAAACAGGGCTTTGCAGATGTAATCTAGTTAAGATCAAGTCATACTGGAGTAGGGTGGGCCCTGAGCCAATGACTGATGTTCTTATGAGAGGAGGGGAGTTTGGACACAGACACGCACAGAAAACACCATGCGAAGACACAAGGGTACAGAAGACATAAAAGAGAGAAGGCCTTGTGAAGACAGAGGTGGAGATCGGAGTGATGCATCCACAAGTCGTAGACCACCAAAGATTGCCAGCCACCACTGGCAATCCAGAAACTGGAAGAGGAGAGGAAGAATTTTTCCTTACAGCCTTCAGAAGGAGCACAACCTCACCCCCTTGATTTCAGAGATGCAGCCTCCAGTACTATGAGAGAATATATTTCTGCTGTTGTAAGCCACCATGTTTGTGCTACTTGGTCATGGCAGTCCTAGGAAATTAATACAGTGCATTATCATCCTTTGTTGAATATACAAAAGACAAAGAAGTTCAGTCCTTGTGACACACAGACTTAACTGAGTTTCTGGGAGTAGGTCATGGATGGGCTGCTGAAATTTCCTGCAGCTCTGTAGGCCCTTGTGGTCCCCAGCCTTGCATCCTTAGAAGAAGTCCCAGGTCCCTCACCTCATCTCCTGACTCTTACCTGCATTCGAAAAAGATCACCAGGAGAGTCCCAGGAGTCTGTCCTGCAGTCTGAGAAGCCCTGTCTCTGGGGCATCAGGAGGTGCTCCAGGGGTGAGCTTGTTTGCTGTAGCCAAGAAAATAATTTGTAAAATGTGTAAGAGCTTCAGTCTCCCAGAAATGGAGTTAGTTGTTAAAAACACAAGTTTTTCCTAAACATAAAAGAGGAGCATTCAGTGCTTCTTTGAAAATCTAGTTGAAAATTGAGTTCAACACAAAATATTAATTCACTTGCTCTTTAAAATAAAAAAAAAAAGTCAGGCTCATAAATGGTTAATGTCTCCATCCTTTCATTTTGAGTGCCAGGCTTTGGTTCTTTTCTTCTTTCTTTTCCATTTTTAGCTTACAGTCAATGGCTTTTCATAATGATTGGAAGGAAACATAACAAAAATCAATTTCATGACTTATTTTTCCTAACAATATTGGACAATGTGCTTTAGAAAAAAAAAGTATTTGAAATGGGGTTTTAATGTTGTTGAGCCTTCATTTTTATGTTAACTGTTTTCTCTCTTTTCTTCCTTGTCCTTTTCACTGTGAAAATGACCTACTTTGAAGTTTCAAATAAAAAGAAGTTAAATAGGCTTTTATTTGGCTCTTGATTCTTTTTCTAGCAAATTTGGAAAAGGTCCTGACTTTGAGTATAACATGGCTGAGTGTAGAGAAGAAAAGAAAGAGCTTACCCTGACTTGTCTCTTTTTCCTGGTATGCTCAGGAGAACTTTTCTAGCGTGGAGACTAAGCAACTAACTTGCCAATATTTGCACTCTATGAATAGAAGCATTTGGATAAAAAGATACAAAATAGAGGATGTTTATCTCCTTTTAAAGACATAAGATTAAAAAAATTTAATTATATTGTGTGTGGGATGTGTGGGGGGTGGGGGTGGAGGTGCAGGGGGCTGTGGGGAGGATTTGGGGTATGTATGGGAGTGAGTTTGGAGGGCTGTGTGTGGAGTGTGTTTGGGGTATGGAGGGGTGTGTGGGGTATGGAGGGGTGTGGGGGGTTATGGGGGAGTGTTGGGGTGGGGGGAGCTGTGTGTGTGGGAGTGTGGGTTGTGTGAGGTACGTGTGGGTGTGTGGGGGGCTGTGTGTGGAGTGTGTCCGGGAGTTGTAGGGGGTGTGGGGCATGTTGGGGACTGTGTGTGGGATGTGTGTGTGGGGTTGTAGGGGGTGTAGGCGGCTGTGTGTGGTGTGTGGGGTTATGAGGATGTGTGTGGTGTGTGTGTGGAGGGGGGTATGTTGGGGGTATGAGGGTGTGGGGGTGCGGTGTATGGGGCTTTAGGGGTGGGTGTGTGGGGGCTGTGGGGTGTGGGGGTTGTATAGGGGATGGTGGGTGGGGGAAATGTGGGGGTGTGGGGTATGGAGTGAGGTGGAGGCTGTGGAGTGGAGTGGGTAAGGTGTGGTATGTAGGGGTGTGGAGGGGCTGTGTGTGTTGTGTGTGGAGCTGTGTAAGAGGGAGTGTGGAGTGGGGTGGGGCTGTGGGAGGCTGTGTGGGGTTTGTGGGGTACGTGTGGTGTGTGTGAGGGTGGCTGTGTGTGTGTGTGTGTGTGTGTATGTGTATGGTTAGGGACCTGGCATTCATTCTCTCTTAGAAGCTTTGATACGAGCACAGGGCCATTCTCAACAGTACATGATGACAATTATTGCTTTCTAATTAAAAAAACATTGTATGCAACTCCTGAAATAAATTTTTGATGTAATTGTTTGTTAAAATTTGTACGACATTGTACTCTTCTCCAGAGAAAATTGCAATCACGCTTCCTTCCAAATAAAATTCCCTCTGCCACCACACAGTTTGGTGAACGCCTCCCTAGTGTTCGTCCCTGTGAGCGCAGGTGGAAGCACCTCGCTGGCCTGGGGTCACCAGGAAATGAACGCTTGCACTGTCATTTCAATGTCATCTGTGAGGGGCCTCTTTTCTCTCTTGAAAGCGATGAGTAAATGAAGAGTAGTGAAGCGGGGGTGAATATCATGCTTCAGAAATGGAAAATTTATTAGCAGTAATTTAGTGTGAACACATAGCAGCATTAAAATAAACGAAAATGCTCAAGTGGGTCTTCGAAGAGGAGTTTAAGATGGAAACGTAAGCTTCCATGTTCCTGTGAGTTAAGCTGTATAAAAGGTGCACAAGGCAGGCTGGAGTTGGGTCAATCCAACAGAACAGAGGTTTCTGGCAACGGATTCTGGGAATCAGTTCCCGGAGGGAGCTGCCGGCAGGGGCAGGAGCTGCTCTCAAGACCGCAGTGTTTCCTTCACCTGGACGCACCTGAGACACCACCCACGGCAGGACGGTGCAGTCTGTGCTTCAGAGTATGAAGCCCCACGGACGAATTGTTTTCCTGTGAATTTTGAAAGTGGGAAATAAAGACTATGGTTTACATAGTGGTGTATCTTAACCCATGACATTAGGAAGTTGTTACCTGTAAAACTAGACATGAACAGGTGTGACTAGCTACTGAGGATATGGATACATTTAGCCCCAGGCTCTGCCTTTTTCAGAGCTTCACCCATGAATCCACTAAACACACCTTTCTCCAAAGCCGAGGTCAACACTCCAGCTCAGATACCCGTGATGAAGTCGCACTTAGAGTCTGTCGGGCTCCTATGTCGCTCCCAAGCCCTGTTAGCATGTCACGCCCTCTGTCCCAGCAATAATACCTCACCTGCTGTCCTCCTCTGAGAAGCACAGAACAGCCTCTGACACCCAGGAGGGTGCAGCTGGCAGACACAGCTGGCCCATGGTGTTCCACTGAACATAAACAATTTTTCCAAACCTCAAGTCTCAGACCAGGTGTCTCTGTGCTCATGATGGAACAAGACCCCTCTGTAACATATGAACACAGACAAACGTGATTATTATTCAGGCCACTCAAACACGGGCTACCCAAGACACCCTTGCTGGCTAATCTGAGTGATGCTGCTTCTTGACCAATTACAGCCTTAGCCTGGCTCTTGTCCTCACTCCTTAGAGATAAGATTTACCATGAGGCCAATCATAGAACTAATCCATGTCCTGACAGCATCCAACCCACAGAATATCCCACTTCCTTGAACACCCTCTAAAATTACCTAACACAAGTCTACATCCTGTAAGTCCCTCTTGCTGAGATGCCCCACGATGCCTCACTGCCTGCATTCTCCCTCATTGCAGCCATGGTAACCCTAATTGGTTTAGCCTCAGGTGTCCCTGCAGGTCGCAGGTCGTGGTGGAGAGCACTGGCACTCTTTCCCTCCTTCACAATGCCTGCTTCCCTCATTCTTTCCCTAATAAGTCTTTCTTGAATCCCAGCTGGTTATTCTAGCTCTTGCCAGCTGCTCTCCTCCCTAGCCAGGTGATTATTACATGGCCATCTTTTAACAAATATTTTGGAAACCATATACTGGAGGATTGGCCTCAACTGACCTGCACTGGAATTCCTCAATTCCCCTGATGCGGCACTTCGGTGCTGGATAATTTCAGACATCCTGGAAGCACTATGCAGGGACACTTCTTTGCATCCTTTGTTGCAATTCCTGGAGCTGAGTCTGTTCTTGTAGCCCCCACCAGCCCAGTGTTGCTGAGCGAATGACAGGTCTTGTACCATTGCCTGCTTGATATGTGACATTCTTAGAAATATTCAGTCATACATTTGTTGGATCTCTGCATTGGGAAATGAGTGTGAACCAGTCTTCAGCAGCACTCTTCTAAACAGAAGTTTCTCTGATGATATGATTCACAGAGGCTGAGGGAGAGGAATAATTTTTTGCCTCTTTATCATCAGTTATGGATAACTTTTGCTGAAGGGTTAAGACACAGTGAATTCTGGCTCACACAGATCAAAAGCGAATTTATTCCTTTCCTGACTTTAAATTCTTAAATACATTCAGTCTACATACTGCATGGGTATTTTGACTCTCTGAACTCTAAAGTGAAAATGTCAAAATCTTGACTTCTGTGGTGAGTACATGGCATCTCTCTTCTTAAATTAGCTCTAATTGTTTTATAGATACATATGGATTTCTTTCAGGGACCAGTCACAGAAGCCTGGAATATCCAGATTGGAAATTCACAGTTCATATTGGCTTTATTAGTTTTGCTCCAGTTGTCTTAGTACTAGTAGGCTTGTTTAATTCATTCCACAAAATTGAATGGATTAATGGAATCAGGTCAAATCTCCCCACCCCACATGGCTGGAAGGGTCTGACTCTGATATGTTTTATAAAGAGCCTGACTTACAGCTTGCTCTTGAGTTAAAAAAAAAGTTCAAAAACAATTTTGCATATTATATAAGGTTACATCCCTAAGTGATTGATTAACTAGCGCAGTGAAGGTAGTTCCGTTCTTTTAGTGGAAGGTTAATCAGGTCTCTAATACCCCAGGCAGTCGCTCCCCTGCAGATGCTCAAGTCCCTCTTGGCTCTCTAATCACTAGACAGTCAGCCCCCTCTCCACCTGCTGGGAGTGTTTTGACAGAAAGCAAGGACTTGGCCCTAAGCAGCCTCTGATCCTTCCAATAAATAACGCTGCTGATCTTCACGCCTCCTCTTCTGTCTGCCCAGCTTCAACTCCAGTCCTTCTGTGTAAACCTTTAACTTTTTTTATTGTATGGATTTTAATGTTCATTGTGGTGGCTACTTTGAGTGGTTTTACAGAAAAAAAGGAGTGCACGTGTCAGAGTTCAATGCAAATTCAGAAATTAAGTCCTTTTTTTTTTTTTTTTTTTTTTACCTTGAGCAGGCTAAGGCTTCCCTTTTAATTAAAGAGCTGCACTCCAGCTCTCCAGTCATAAAAGGACAGCAGCCAACCGCTGTGGGCTGAATTTGGGGCTGCCTTTGAGTCAGCCTGAGCTGATGTGTTTTCTGGAATGACTTTTTCTTTTTTGAAGTCGATCTACAGGAATCGGCCTCATCAGCTGTGTGTGTTGAGAGGTGGGGACGGGGGAGGGATGTGTCAGACTCTGAGCGTGGACCAGAACTGCGCTCGGAGACTTTCAGTGAAAGCAGAGGAGAGATTTCCAAAGGTTGTATTTTCCTTCTGGTTGGAGCCTCTCATCCACATTGTGGTAAGTGGGTCAGCTCTGGTTCACTCTTCCTTTTAGAAGAACAGGAGAAATCCATGCAGGATTAACTCTGCATTTTCCACAAGTGAATTTCAGTTCCCTTGTTTTAACTTTAAAATGTGCATATGTCAGTATCAAAACATTTTTCTTTGCTTTGGTTTTTGTTTCTGCTTTCTGATAGCTAGATTCAGCTCAGCCTAATTCAATCATTCTCTTTAAAATTTTAACTCTAATTAAAGCTAAAAAAAAAAGTCCAAATTCTGAAAGTCTTCGTGAGTGAAGAGGAAATATTGAAAAGTTTTGAAAGACAGACAAAAAAAGTGATTTTTTTCAGGTATAAATGCTTTAGCAAAGTCTTGTGTACAATTTAAGATTGAAGCTCATAATAGAAAATAGTATTTTTTCTTATTCAAGAGCACATACACATTCATTTTAAATGCCTGTATGGTATGTGTCATACAATTAAAACTGACACCTTTTTTTTACAATATGTGATGTGTTTTGCATATGTCATATTTTCACAAAACATAATGTACTTTTGGTAAAAACAGTGTATCTAGGTTGTCTGAATTTTTCAGCCTTGACACTTTATTTCTACGAAACAATCACTACCATTTGATAGAAGAAATAAAACCTAGTGTTAGCTAGATCAGCAGGGTGACTAAGGTTACAACAATCTGTACATTTCAAAACAGAAGAGCATAATTAAATGTTTCTAGCATACAGAAAAGACAAATTCTTAAAGTGATGGATCCTAAGTACGCTGATTTGGTTTGTAAAAGTTAGATGAATGTACTAAATTATCACATGTACCCTGAAACTATATACATCTATTATGCATCAATACAAATTGTTTAAGTTAAAAAATAACAGCCATCATTTATGAATGCTTCCTTTACTCAGATGTTAGTTCTTCATATGCGTTATTTCACTACATGCTTACAACAAACTCATGAGTTAGACATTTTTGTTACTCTCTTAAGATATATATTTATAGCAAAGTGATAAATACACATGGTGAAAATAAACCAAATGATACTGAAGGTTCATAAGGAAAACCTACAATCTCCCTGTAGCTATTCTTACCTAGTTTTGCACCCCAGAGCAAAACATTTAACTATTTATGTTAGCTTTGGGAGGATTTATCTCCAGATTCCTAAATAATATGTCAAGTCTGAAATTTTTTTTAGATGTTGTCTTATTGATATCCTGCTATTATGGATAGGGATTCAGCTCATCCTACACCACTCTCCATCTCCTATCACCCCATTGTGTTTAATATATACATGTAACTTTTAGTTTTTCTCCTGTCAGTCACCTTGGTAACTTCAAAAACCCTTAAGCCTATATTTGTTGTTCTATCAACTATAGACAGTATTTCTCAACTCATTTTATAAAATGCAATTGGTAGTTCTCCTGCCCTCTCCTGCCCTGCCGTTCCCCTCCACTTTCTAATTTCAGTCAGCCATGGTTTGCTTTTGATCAGCTTGAAACATACAAAATTGCCTGTGTGTGATTACCGGTGGTTTCATGCGGTCATGGTCAAGGTAAAGAACATTAGGTTGTGTTTCATAACCATTGTAAGGTCTTCTATATCTGTGGGATGGTTTCAAGATGGAAAACCAATTCATATTATTTATAATCTTGTAACTCTATATGTATGTTTAGAAACAGGGATACATAATAGAAAAAGATAACTTTTCCTACTTTACCAGCCCTTATTGCAAGTGAGAAGTTGCCTTAGAATAATTCTGCTTTTGAGTAGTCCACCATTCCCTATCCACGGCTGCTCCACTGCTGAAAATACCATTAGTACTGAAAAGGTGAATCACCAGCACCTTGGAGATAGCCGCTTTAGTGAGACATGTGGGAAAGGGGGCAGAGATCAATATCAGCGTTACTTTCATTTGTTTATTCCACAAATATTTATTGAGCACTGCCATGAGCCAGAGATTGTGCAACAGGGCACAGAATGAATCACACAGTGAATCTGATTCCGGCCTTCAAGTCGCTGACACTCTAGTGGTAGTAATTTGTGTGTGGCTTTCCATAAATAAACATTGTAGTGATAGAGAGAGAGAGAGACAGACAGACAGACAGAGAGACAACACTAAACTTCTCACCTCTAATACAGAAATAATAAAATTCTTATTTGTGTTAAGTGATCTGGAAGATTTTTTATTTCCATATTTTTAAGAATTAAATTCAAATGCATATAACAAACCAAAAGCAAATTGTCTTTCCATGGTAGAACAATATTTTTAAAGGTTGTTATTCAAGTGATAGGTTGACACTTTTTGTTTTGTTTGTATTTTAGCTGCTACTGACAAATATGAGTTGAAAGTGTCCACTTTCTGTTCCTGGACTTGCTACTTCATAGAAAAAATTGTTTCAATGGTGAAATAGGCAGGAATGAATAAGTACGTGTTGAATTCTTATGTGATTTGTAAGGATGAGTATGATCTCCTCTCGCACCATTTTTATTCATTGGAACATAAAACTGCTTCAATTGATATCAAGTGCAAGAAATCCATGTGTATGAACAACTGGAGTGCTGAACAAAATTACCTGTGGTTTATTTCTCCTTGTGTAGGTATTCTTTTTCTTTTTTTCTTTTTTTTTTATTATACTTTAAGTTTTAGGGTACATGTGCACAATGTGCCAGTTAGTTACATATGTATACATGTGCCATGCTGGTGTGCTGCACCCATTAACTCGTCATTTAGCATTAGGTATATCTCCTAATGCTATCCCTCCCCCCTCCCCCCACCCCATCCCCAGAGTGTGAAGTTCCCCTTCCTGTGTCCGTGTGTTCTCATTGTTCAATTCCAATCTATGAGTGAGAACATGTGTTGTTTGGTTTTTTGTCCTTGCGATAGTTTACTGAGAATGATGATTTCCAATTTCATCCATGTCCCTACAAAGGATATGAACTCATCATTTTTTATGGCTGCATAGTATTCCATGGTGTATATGTGCCACATTTTCTTAATCCAGTCTATCATTGTTGGACATTTGGGTTGGTTCCAAGTCTTTGCTATTGTGAATAGTGCCGCAATAAACATACATGTGCATGTGTCTTTATAGCAGCATGATTTATAGTCCTTTGGGTATATACCCAGTAATGGGATGGCTGGGTCGAATGGTGTTTCTAGTTCTAGATCCCTGAGGAATCGCCACACTGACTTCCACAATGGTTGAACTAGTTTACCGTCCCACTTGTGGTATTCTTTTTCATAAATACCTTGGGAAAACAAGGGTTGTGTTCACTCTAGGCTGTTACTTTGTAATTCAAGTATCAGTCATAGGTCACAGTCAGCTTATAGCTAAGAAGGATACGTACCATATAGAAGAGCATCTAGATCATAGCCCTCCATCCGTATGTTTGGAATCAGTGAAGAAGTAGAGCTATCTCAAATGCATTAAAAAAAATATCAAATGCCCGCTGTGAGGTTTCTGTGAATTCCCAGGGAGCTGAAAATTTTTATGATTCCTTTTGGCTCTAAATTACTCCTCCACCAATTACTATAATTTTCTGTCTGTCTCACAAAACTCACATGCTTTCCCAGTTTTGGGTTGAGAGAGTTCGGACATGAAATGAGGTCCTTTCTTTGTAGCCTTGTACAGGCATGGAAAGAAAAGTAAACAACAGAAAATCCATTCACAAAGGCCATTTGTGAGCATAGCAGATTTTATGTAAAGTTTGGGAAAATTTTCTTCAATTCCACGTCCAGTAATTTGGCCATCTATTTGCACAGTCATCCATTGTATTTTTAGACACACCCCCAGGACTTATTTGTACAAACAAAATTATTCAGCTGAAAAAAAGTCAGCAGTACTTCTCTAATTACTCCTATTTACCTAATCCTTGACTTTTTAAGATTACATTTTCTTGGACTCTGATTCTGATGCAAAACTTTTGCCAACACTGCCCTGAGAGAGTGTAAGGGTAGGGGGAAATTGATGAACAAAGGTTGTTCAAGAGTTTCTGATTATGTCAGACAAAACTGCTTTTGTACTTTGGCTCTGATATTTGCTGATCATTGGCATTGCTTAATTTGCTGAACTTCTCTCTAAGCTGCAGTCTTTTTGTATGAAATGTGGGTAATTATAACATTTTACCTACTACATAGAGCTGTGAGCATTGAAATAACACAATGCATCAAAGGTGCTTAGCATAGTGTCCAGTACCTTGTGAGAAGCCAATAACTTTCCTTTGTTAACATTGTATTATTAACGCTGCTACTGTTGACCGTTATACATTCAGAAGACTTTAAGTTCCATCAATCATCTTTAGAAATTTTTACTACTATAGAATTTACTACATTTAAAAATAGTTCCCTAGGAGAGAAGCAAAACTAAAAAACAAAAGGTAAATGGTGGGGAAAACCATACCCTAGAGCTAGTGTCATGGCTGAACTATTTTACTTTCTGTTAGAAATTCTAGGACTTTGAAGTGAAAATACTTTGAAACTTAGCAACCATGGTATGAACAAGAACACTATTTTTTCTTTCATTTTATGGTTGCTTTTGCAAAATGTAGTAAATGCAGCCCCTAACAGACCTGTTAGTGATAACGGTCTTGCCTTAAATGCCAACCTGTATTTATTTTACTACGGTTTTTTAAAAGTAAATAAGCTTTTCCAACTTTATATTTTCCAGCAGGTCTTATTGAAAATGGGCTTATTTTTATGCCACTTATCCTCATGAAGATTTTTTTTTAATTTTACAGAAAGAAATATGAAGAGAGAGAGAAAAAAGTAATCCCAGGTCCTTTTTACTTGAGGGCTTCTTGTGTGGCTTTGAACTCAGCAGGTAGGGTGTTTTGACCCATATAAAAGCCTTACAAAGGGACCACTTTTTTTGCGAGGTAGACAGAGATCACTGTGGATGTGTGCTTCATTCAGTGCATCGTTTCCCTTTGCAGATGTGTGTCCCATGGAGCACCGCAACTGAATTTTAAGCTTTCAAAAGTAACATCTAGTATTTGATGAATTTGGACTGTGTTGTGAGAAAGTGGAAAATTAGAGAGCTCCCTGAAACCTGTTAGAGAATTTCCTGTTATTTATTTTAGCTGTACACCACCAGCAGAGTAATTATTTGAACTTTCAGTAGGTTCCATCCCAATAGATATTTTTAAAAAATGAGAAGGAACATAATTTTAAATCACATATATATAAATTATATGCAGACGAAACAAAGGGGAAAACCAAATTAGTTCTTCTCTACTTAAAGAACTATGAATTATATGGTCATCTAAAATCCGATTGGGGACTAGACAGTTTATTTCTTTTTAAATATGACAATATAGTAATTTTTTTCAAGTGTCAAGATGATTCTAAATTCTTCCATGCAGGGTATATGAGGAGGCTGTGTCCAGAGAAGTTATAAGATAATCCTAGGGACCCAGAGGCTATGCACATTCACCTGCATCCCAGACCTTTGTCCCAACTTCCAACCCTGCCCTGAGCCTAGTCCTTCATATTTCTAGTCCTTGTATTTAGAATAAGGCAAGGTAGGCAGTGGGTGAACACTGCTGAGTGTTTGGTTATGTGACCTTTATGTTATCCTGAGGCAGTTCACCAAGACGTTCAGGAGCCTACATTTCCTCAGGCCTCTCAATTTGGGAGAGTGTGACTTTGAAATTGGTGCTCTCAATTCTTTCAACCTGCTGTGGACTGAATGTTTGTGACGCAACCAAATTCATATGTTGAACCGAAATCCCCAGTGTGGTCATATTAGGAGGCTGGGCCACGGGGTGGTGAGGAAGTCATAATGGTGGGGCCCTCATGATGAGATTAGTGCCCTTATAAGAAGACACACTAGAGTTTTCTCTCTCTCTCATTGTTATGTGAGGATATGATGAAAAAAAAAAAAAAAAAAAAACAGCCCAGGAAGAATTCCATCACTGGACACCAGGTCTGCCAGTGCCTTGATCCGGGACTTCCCAGCCTCACAACTCTGAGAAGTACATGTCTGTGATTTAAGCCATGTGGCCTCAGGCATTCTCTTTTAGGACCCTGAATGGACTGAGGCACCACCCACACAAGCATACAGCATTTCATCAGTTTTTATAAGATGTAGACCTCTTGCACCTTTGGTTCTTTGTAGGCTGTTTTTCCTTTCCTTAACTCTTGCCTCTCTGATGCACTCTTTGCTAGTCATTTTCTACGTAATTGCGATCTTGAACATGTGTAGATTTTTAAGATATTGGTAGGAGTTTTGAAGATGTTTTGACAGTAATTTAATTTCTTCTTCCAAGGGAATTTTTTGAAAATCAACATAGTCATAGAATATGTCACTAATAAATGAAAACATTAAAATGTAACCAAATATGGGGAAAAAAATCACATGGTATGTTGCAACTGTGGCCTAGAGTCTTGCTTTTGAGAAATCAATCTGTCTTGACTTTGAAATATTAAATAAAGGCTATGTTGGAAGTGGGTGGTTTGGTCCTGCAATATTCTGGACAATACTGAGGAATATTTTCACTCCAGAAAATAGTTCCATATTTGTAGAAGAATCTTCATTTTTAAACTACCACCAATGGAATCCATTTTCCATCTCTACTCCTGCAGCTTTCTCTTATTGACTAAAAAGTTTCTAATGAATTTGAGGCAAAACTAGAGAAAATATAACACTTGCTATGAAGTAGTGGAACAGGTATGGAAAAGCATATCCTGAATTGAGGGAACATTCCTGGAGAAAGAACCTGGAAAAATGTCCAGTTTCCATTTAAGCCCTGGTTAAGCAGTATGTGGTTTGGAAGTGAAATAATGAGCCTATTGAAAAGTATGTAATAAATGAGTATTTAGACTCAAAATCTAAAATGAATTATGAGGGATTTGCTCTTTGTTTTAAAAAATATATTCCAAAGGAATATTTTGAGATATCATGAAACACACATCTCGCCTAAAAACCAACTGAGAATTAGATTTGATGTGTGTCATGATTGTGTTGGAGATGAAGAGACAGAGGGAATGGTCAGTTTTGCTAATTAGGAAAATCCTGGACATGTTTACATCATCTTACAATGTTTTGATCAATCTTGGAGGCATTAAATTGACTACTTTTCCTAATAGAGATAGTGCATGTGTTCTGAATTGTTAATTGGCTCTAAAATTAGTTATAGTTTATTTCTAAATTGAACCAAAGTTGGGAAAAATTCATGGACTTAATATGAAATATGTTATTCATCAATTTCATATACAACTTTGGTTTTTTATGATTTTAGATGTTGAATCTTTGAAATAATATTTATATTATCTAATGATAACGTTTGATGTTTGGATAGTTCATTGTCTTTACATTTTAAATTTAAGCTACTTTTTTTTCTTTCAATTCATGTGATTAACTTCTTCGGATGAACTTGTTAATTTTCTCCTACTCTGAGTTCATTTGAATGGCTTATTTTGTCACTTATAGCACTATCTATATTTTGCTATATTTAGCAGTTTGGTGGCTATGATTGTACCAGGTTAAATGAACAAAGGCAGTTCAATAAATCATCCTGTTACAGCTGACACATATGCTTATGCTATTTGCCTGTCTCTCAGTCAAGCTTTAATAGATTACTCTTTTCCAAATCTTTTTTTCTTAAACACTAATTATCCTTGATCAATAACAAATACATTCAATAAATATATTGAGTGCCTGTATTAGTCTGCTATTACACTGCTACAAATAAATAGCTGAGACCAGGTAATATATAAAGAAAGATTTAATTGACTCACAGTTCTGCTTGGCTAGGGAGGCCTCAGGAAATTTATAATCATGGCATAAGGGGAAGCAAATATGTCCTTCTTCACAAGGCGGCAGGTGAGAGAAATGCAAAGCTAAGGAGGAAAAGCCCCTTCTAAAACCATCAGATCTTGTAAGAACTCACTCACTCTCACAAGAACAGCATGGGGAAACTACCCCCATGATTAATCACCCCCCATGAGGTCCCTCCCCCAAGAGTGGGGAACAATTTGGATTGCAATTTAAGATGAGATTTGGGTAGGGATACAGAGCCAGACTGTATCAGTGCCTATATTGTGTATAACCTAATGAGGCATACTAGGATATTTTGGTGAAAAAGACATCCCTGCACCAAGTAACTAAATCTGAAACTTCCTTTTGGGAAGGCCAGGCAAGGACTAAAATACTGAATGTAGTATTTGAAAAAAGAATGCAGTAGTAACACCAAGGAAATGAAGTAACATTTAGAGAAGTATAGATGAAAATCATAGTGAGTGAATGGGGCCATTTATTGCAATGGTGATAGCACAAAAGAACTAGCAGAATGACCAAACCAAAGTTGAAATGCTAGTGGAGAAATTCTTGACAACACTAGCTCAAATATTAACATTGAAGTTGATTTAAAGTTTTGAATTGTTGAAGTCATCTTTAATATATAAATTCAGGTCCTGGATTCTGAACTTTTCTATCATAAATGTTAGTGTAATCCTTGACTTTTTTTATTTTGATGAATATTCCTTTAGCTGATATTTATTTTACGGAAGGGTTTTAAATAAGCACTTACCAACTTAATTGCAACTGTGTTTCTGTTTTCCTCACTACGTTGTCAGCCTTAGAGAGCAGGTACAATGTCTGTTTTTCCACTTGTATACCTCTGCACAGTTCATGGTAATGGGTACCATATTATTGAGTAAATGGCTGGATGCATAGTTGGATGGATGGATTGGTGGTTGTCTAGCTGGATTAATGGATTTGGAATGTCCCAGCAGGATGATCCACTTTTGAAATATTCTATCCATGTGTAAACATTTCTACTTTTTCAGGAATTATCAGTGGAGTGTTCTGTGGGAAACAAACCATATCGGTAGTGGCAATGGGTTCTGATAATAAGCAAAGCCCTTGTATCCTTTATCATAGTCCTGTATCACAGTTATATGCTTGTTCAGTTTTATATGATCATTTCTTAAAGGACTGACTCTTAGACATAATGTGGACTCCTGTGAAAGAACTATATTTGAAAGCTAAATATAGCCATGAGTGCCAAAAATGTAATTAGCACTGCTTTTAAGGAGCCCATCTTAGTAATCTATCTTTGTTTATCTTACAGGAATACTCATCATCTGATTTGCTCCATGTGAAAAAAAATCCCTTCCAATGTCCAAGTATCCTGCAATGTTGCAGGGTACTGATATGGTCTGGCTCTGTGTCCCCACCCAAATCTCATCTTGCATTGGAATCCAAATTATAATCCCCACATGTTGGGTGAGGGTCCACGTGGGAAGTGATTGGATCATGAGGGCGGTTCCCCCATGCTGTTCTCATGATAGTGGGTGAGTTCTCATGAGACTGATGGTTTTATAAGGGGCTATTTCTCCTTCACTTTACACTTTTCTCACATGCCATCATGTGAAGAAGGACTTGTTTGCTTCCCCTTCTGCCATGATGGTAAGTTTCCTGAGGCCTCCCCAGCCATGCAGAACTGTGAGTTAATTAAACCTCTTTCCTTTATAAATTTCCCAGTTTGGGGTATTTCTTCATTGTATCATGAAAATGAACTAATACAGTAAATTGGTACCAGGGTAGTGGGGCGCTGCTATAAAGTTACCTGAAAATGTGGAAGTGACTTTGGAACTGGGTAATAGACAAAGGTTGAAACAGTTGTGAGGGCTCAGAAAAATACTGGAAGATGTGGAAAAGTTTGGAACTTCCTAGAGACTAGCTGAATTGTTCTGACCAAAATTCTGATAGTGATATGGACAATGAAGTCCAGGCTGAGGTAGTCTTAGATGCAGATGAGGAACTTCTTGGGAACTGGAGCAAAGGTCACTCTTGCTATGCTTTAGCAAGGAGACTGATGGCATTTTTCCCCTGCCCTAGAGATCTGTGGAACTTGAACTTGAGAGAGATTGTCTGAAATTGGCACTTATGTTTAAAAGGGAAGCAGAGCATAAAAGTTTGGAAAATTTGCAGCCTAATGTTGTGATAGAAAAGAAAAATCAATTTTCTGGAGAGAAATTCAAGTCTTCTGCATAAAGTTGCATAGGTAATGAGGAATCAAATGTTAATCACCAAGACAATGGGGAATTTGTCTCCAAGGCATGTCAGAGACCTTCTCAGCCGTTCTCATTATAGGCCCAGAGGCCTAGGAGGGAAAAATGGTTTTGTGTGTCAGCCTCAGGGCCCCCTTTCTCTGTGCAGTCTCAGGACATGGCACTAGGTGTCCCAGCTGCTTCAGCTCCAGCCATGGGTAAAGACCAAGGTACAGCTTGGGCCTTTGTTTTAGAGGGTGGAAGTCCCAAGCCTTGACAGCTTCTGCATGATATTTGTCCTCTGGGTACACGGAAGTCAAGAATTGAGGTTTGGGAACCTCCACCTTGCTTTCAGAGGATGTATGGAAATGCCTGGATATCCAGGTAGAAGTCTGCTGCAGGGGTGGAGCCCTCAGAGAACCTCTGCTAGGGCAGTGCGGAAGGGAAATATGGGGTTGGAGTCCCCACACAGAGTCCCCATTGGGGCACTGTCTAGTGGAGCTATGAGAAGAGGGCCACCATACTCCAGACCCCAGAATGGTAGATCCACCTACAGCTTGCACTGTGCACCTGAAAAAGCAACAGACACTCAGTGCCAGCCCATGAAAGCAGGGAGTGGAAGGGGTGAAGGGAGCTGTACCCTGCAAAGCTACAGGGGTGGAGCAGCCCAAGGCCATGGAAGCCTATCTCTTGCATAAGCATGACCTGCATGTGAGACATGGAGTCAAAGGAGATCGTTTTGTAACTTTAAAGTTTAATGATTACCCTGTTGGACTTTGGACTTTCATGGGGTCTGTAACCCCTTTGTTTTGGCCAACTTCTTCCATTGGAACTGGTGTACTTACCCAATGCCTGTATCCCCATGGTATCTAGGAAGTAATTAACTTGCTTTTGGTTTTACAGGCTCATAGGAGGAAGGGACTTGCCTTGTCTTGGATAAGACTGTGGACTTGGACTTTGGGTTAATGCTGGAAACAGTTTAAACTTTGGGGAACTGTTGGGAAAGCATAACTGTGTTTTGAAACGTGAGAAATATGAGATTTGGGAGGAGCCAGGAGTGGAATCATATGGTCTGGCTATGTGTCCCCACCCAAATCTCATCTTGAATTTTAACCTGGATTGTAATCCCTACGTGTTGGGGGAGGGACCATGTGGGAGGTGATTAGATCATGGGGGTGGTTCCCCTATGCAGTTCTCATGACAGTGAGTGAATTATGAGATCTGATGATTTTATAAGGGGCTTTTCCTGCTTCTTTTAGCACTTCTCCTGTGCCATATGAAGAAGGACATGTTTCCTTCCCCTTCTGCCATCATTGTACATTTCCTGAGGCCTCCCTAGCCATGCACAACTCTGTGTCAATTAAACCTCTTTCCTTTATAAATTACCCAGTCTTGGGTATGTCTTCATAGCAGCAGGAAAATAAACTAATACAGTAAATAACAAACTAATACATGTACTTGCTCCCAGACTCTTAGAGGGGTAGTGTTGGTATAGAAAGAATGGAACCCCGACACCTCCACTGCCTCTTGTGGAGCTTTTTGGGACTGAACTCAATGTGCTCACACTTTCTCCAAAGCCAGCCAATAACACAAGGGAGCTACGTGCCCTGTCACCCTCTACAGTCCTTCCAGCTGCCATGCTTCTGCTAAACCTTAACTACTGGTTGTTCTCTTAGGGTTTCACCCCTCTCTTCTCTCTTGTTCCTGTTCTCTGATCCTACAGTGCTCTCTCTCAGCTCAATCTCAGCATGTCTAAAAACTGCCCATTTTAAAAATAGGCAGTGTAAACATCATCAAGCTTCCCTTGATTTTCTCAGCTAGTTGGGATCTCTTTCCTACAGCACTTTGTAATTCTAACGATCGATAATTATCACTTTCAGTTTTGCAGATTTCTGGAAACTCTGATTTTAGTTTCCGTCACTGTTTTGGAAGCTTCACATGATCATTTTAGTCGTGCACATAGGCCTAGGGCGGCATCTAAATGTGACCTTTACTGCATGCATCAGGGCCTGTTATCCAGCCTTTGTAGCTCCTGGTGGCATGGCTTCTGCCTTTGCCCTGCTCCCCTGTAGCTATGTGGGTGTTTTCTTGGTTCCTCTGCTAATAATTTGCCATTATATACGAGTGACCCATGCTGCACGCTCTGCCTAGGAGCCTTCCCCAACTAATGCTGATTCATCATGCACACCTTGTCTTAAAGCTTTCTCATCGGACCTAGCCAGAACCCTTCCTTGCACCCCACAGCTAAATTACACCATTCCTGTTCTTCTCTTTCATCTTAACCTATTCCTGACTTTCATGGTATTTTTCACAATTGCTATATGTATGTTAAACATAATAAATACACACACGCATACATATACACATACATAAATACATATATATCAGTGCAGAAACAAATATCTGAACCCACTTACCCACAAATGATTTTTTTTTTGAGACAGTCCTGCTCTGTCACCCAGGCTAGAGTGTGGTGGCACGATCTCAGCTCACTGCAACCTCCGCCTCCAGGGTTAAAGTGATTCTCCTGCCTTGGCCTCCCGAATAGCTAGAATTACAGGCATGCACCACCATGCCCAGCTAATTTTTTGTGTTTTTAGTAAAGACAGGGTTTCACCATGTTGGCCAGGTTGGTCCCAAACACCCGACCTCAGGGGATCCACCTGCCTCAGCCTCCCAAAGTGCAGGGATTATAGGTGTGAGCTACCCCACGATGAGATTTTTGAAAGTAAATCCTTGTAACCAAAATCAATGTAAAAAAATTTTTTAATCTTTATTTTTTGAAGGACATTGAAAGGTACTCAATGGTGACCCCAGCAACACTCTTCACAATCTCTCTTCCTCACTGCCTTATTTTCCATAGGCAGGTTCAGCTCCTCTCACTGGCCGACAACTCAAGCCTGTCTGCAGGCCAGCCCAGGAAACGATGGAGTCCCTGGAAGTTTCCTCCTCATTCTTCTCATGGCCTTCTCCTGTGCTTTCTCCTTGATCTGCCCAGCCCTTCTTCTTATTCTGTATCACACACAGCTGGGGCTGCAGGCTTTGCACTGGGGAGAAAGGGCTAGAAATGGGTGCAAAGACAAAGGGGGCTTCGGAAAAAGGGAAGACAGTGGGAGTGCTCTGGGCCACCACGGTTCCTTAACGCTTAGCCTTTCTCTAGACTGTGAATCCCATGAGGGCAGGGCCCAGGTCTGTTCTGCTCACGGCACATACACCAGCGAGGTGCCTGGCCCCAAACAGGTGCTCAATGCTATCAGCCAAGTGAATGAATGAAGGAACAATTTTGAAGTCATTAAGCTGATGAGTAAATGTAGTACTGAACAAAAGACACTAGAGGGAGATCAGAGAAGGACTTCAGCAACATGAGCACAGCAGAAGCCAAGATTCAGCCGCATTTGATAGCGTGGAAATTTCATTTCTGCTTCTTTGTCTTCAATTTAAAAAATTTTAAAAATAAAATAAAAGTGAATTTTATACAGAGATTTATTTATTTATTTATCTGAACTGAATCCGACACTAATCCTTTCTGTTTTTAATATAGGTCATGATGGCCCTACCATTTGTAGAATAATGTTAAGACTGTAGATAGACATTCTAAAACGATAGTTATTTGAGTAAAAGCCTCATGGAATGGCCCTGCATAAAGAGATTGGCTAGAAGGAACACCACTACAGTCATCTGAAAGGATGAATCATGGACACTTGAAAGAGTGCTGGGGAGGAAAACACTGGGCCCAAAAGGAAATTGTCAGACCGTCCTGACAATTTCATAAAGTATATAAGAGAAACAGGAAATTATTTAGGAACAAACAGAATAAAGTTCATGTGAAGCTCTGGGACTGACTGAGTGTTACACCTGAAACGGGTATCCAGGCTTACTCTTTCTTCAACCTTGACAATCCCCTCTCTAGACATTGTTTGTCCATCTGTAAAATGGACTAACAGTAGTACAGAGTTTGTAGGATGAGGAGGTGGCAAGGATTAAAGGAGAGAGTGCACATAAGGACTAACACAGGGACTGGACCAGCACACACATAGTCAGAATGTACTGTGTGTGCTCCGTCGATGCCTTTCCATGAAATTGATTAAGTTTACTAATATTTGCCTGCCTCAGCCATTTCCTCTCTTGGGCTCTTTTTTAATGATTACGCTGCACTAGACATTTTTTCTTGTACTGTACTTCAAAATATTTGGGACCTGGAGCGCTTTGTGGGCAAAAGTACTCTTCTCTTATTGTTGAAATCCTCCTGTGTGTTGGTTCATCTGGAGAAATAGAAAGACAAGGCCCCTGCCCTTGTTTATGAAGAAGCATAGAGCACAGTGCTACTCTAAAATCATTTCAAATTGCATGCATAGGTGCTGATGGAAGCGTGCGATGTCGAAGTTATACAAGCATTTTAAGTTCAGCCACATTCACGCTGCCATTTATAGTAAATCCTCCTTCTTATATTTGCTTTATTCTTGGCTGCAGTATTGCTGGATCTGGCAGAGACTCTGATAAGCAAATGGCCAAGAGCTATCTTGACAAGGAAGAGGTGACCTTGAGGCAGAAGAGAGGAGGAGAGCTGAGAGAAACAAGTAGATAGAATTGCAGAATGGTTGAAAAGAAAAAAAAGGAGCTTTTGCCTTTACTTTCAGCTTGTCTGTGTTAGTGCTCTTTTTCCTCTGGATAGATAAGTCTACCGGAAGTTCATTTCCAGATGCTTCAGTAAAAAATTAAGTTGACTCATAGTAATAAAAGAGATGACAGGAAAGTCTTCAGTGGGTGCAAAAGCCATCATGATTTGAATGATGAATTCTTATATGAACTTTAAAAATTAAAGATATCCATTAGGTATCACATATATCATTTTGAAAATGATGTGTATTCTGCCTAAATTTGAAAGAGGTGAGGTATCACTTCAAAGATTTGAGTCCACGTAATTTAGCTTTCCATAAATAAGAGTAAATCAACATAAAATATAAAGAGACAATGGCATAGTAAGATCTTACAGCCTTTTAGTTTTAAAGACCTGGGTGGTGGATCTGCTCTATTGTTTTCAGTTGTGTTACATCACAATAAAAAGAGAAAAAAAGGACCTTAAAAAATGAATCAAATTAATCATTTTAAAAAGTTCTAAATTGGAAGTCACACTGAAACAAATGAAAAAGGAATTAATTTGGAACTACTAGAAAAATAACATGTAGCCAGTATTGGATTCAATTCAATTTCAAATCAGAACAACTTTTATGTTTTACCATCTGCCTCACCAAGAGCCTTATAAAATTTGAACACTACAGTCTTTAGAGATTCACATATGAGGAAAGCTTTTTAAAGACCATTTGATGAATATAAAACCAGAATAAATAATGTTGGTTCTTGTCCATAAATAGAGTTAGTAATTAGTGATTACTAAAAAGATAAGTCACATCTGTCATATCATGGGCTCAGATATTCCATTTGAACTTCTGCCCTCTACACAGTCCCACAGTAGTCCAGTTTAATGGTCTTCTGACCCAGGGTAGGTAAGCAAGTTGAGACTCAGAGAAGATAAGCTAGGGTACTGTGCTCCTCCAACTTGTAAATTGAAAAAAAAAATGGAATTGAAGCTATGGCTCTAAACTGTTGGATTTAGGCATAATACTTATTTTTAAAAATAGGCAAGGAGCATGAAACAGAAACAACTTATTTCTGCAAAATGCTTGTGTTCCAGTTGTGTATTGAGATGAGCTAGATAGAAGGCAGGTAATATTCTTTTTTTTTTTTTCTTTTTTTTTTTTTTTTTTTTTGAGACGGAGTCTCGCTCTGTCGCCCAGGCTGGAAGGCAGGTAATATTCTGATAAAGTAGACTCTTTACTTTCTTCACATATATATGCATGCATGTGCATATTTGTAGAGACTTGAATCGCTTGTTGGCTTTACTTTATGGATAAGATATGAACATTTTATTTGCCCATTTAGTTGACTCTTCTGCAGCTCCTCTGGACATACACTGTAACATATGTGCCTTTACAGTCCTGTGTCTTGCATGTTGCCTGCTTAATGAGTTAGTGAATGCTTAAGGAAAGGAATCCTTAACAAGGAAAAAGGAAAAAGAGAGACAAGATGCTAATACTAGAAAAAAAGTAATAATATCATTGAATCAAAGTTTTACCAAAGCTAATCATTTTAAGAAAATATAAGATTCTACAGGAGACAGGATGCTTAGGTGGTAGACACTAATAAGACAAATCCAGCTACTGTCTGCACAGTCTTGACAGAAATGCCTTCAGGTTTAAAAATACTAAATCACTAACTGTTTATTGATTTAACATTTAACATGTGCCAAGTACTCTGACTGGGTTAAAATGTCAAACAAGACATGGTCCTTGCCCAAATGGAGTTCACAGGAAACACTCGAGGAAATAAATAAATGGACTATAAAGTGACAGGTGCTGAGATAGTCCCTGCACTACACAAAGGGAGGCTCAGAGGAAGGGGCACCATCTATCAGGGTGGGGTTGGGAGGGGTAGGCTCTGACTTTTGACAACCCATTCCCATTACCTCCTTTCAGACCGTGAGAAAGGTAACTCTTCAAGAGTGATACCTAGTTTACATTCTTGCTACCCTGTTAATAGAGCCTGCCTTCCCTGCTAAATGAGAAAATAAACCAAGAAAATTATTTCAAGAACTAGGTCTTGAAATTAAACCAGTATGCAACTCGGGGAGATGTAGCCAGGTTAAGAAGAAGGGGTTATTCCAACACAAAGACTCTGAAACAAGAAATAGCACTTCATGTTTGAAGACGATATAGTGTTTAGGGAGTGGAGCTGAGATGAGAGAGACAAAAAGTAAAGCTAAGTGTACTTGTAAAATAAAGTTTATGGCTTGGAAAGATGGGATTGATTATGGCAACACTTTAAGGTCAAGAAAACAAATTGGGCACGTTGTCTTAAGAGGGCTAAAGTTTAATTAAATTTGATTAAAATATAAAAAAGAATTGATTTCAGCATTTTCTGAATATGGTAGGGCTCATTTGTGTGTCTGGGAAATCTACATAATCTTTCTGGATTTGACATTCTGTCTGCCTGTAAAAACATTGGAAATATGTAAATGACTGATTGTGTCTAAATGTGTCCTCAATTCTGGATATGCTGAAGACATTCTAAAATTTATCTTTACTTGTCTCCTCTTTTTATTTCTTGATATCTAGTTAGGTAACATGCCCTCCTGGTTATGTTCATGGAAGTTATCCTTTTATGTGTAAGAAGCCACCTTCAAAACTTAGTGTCATAATAGATGAAGAAGGAACACTTCCCAATCACTCTATGCAGCCAGAATGCCCTTATCCCCAAACCAAAGACATTCCATAGAAACTCCAGACAAAAGTCCCTTATGAATATAAAAAGCAAAGTATTCAACAAAATGCTAGCAAACCCTATGCAGAAACATATAGAAAGATTTATTCACTATGACCAAGTTGGACTTATCCCAGGAGTATCAGGTTGGTCCAAGACATGAAAATCACTGAATATAATATATCATATTAACAGGCAAAGTATTACAAAAGACAAATTAATAGGTAAAGTAACACAAAAGCCAAATGATCGTCACAGTAGACTCAGAAAAATCACTTGACAAAATATAACTCCCTTTTATGATAAAAACACTCAGTAAATGAGAAACAGAAAGATGCTTCCTGAACCTAATAGAAGTTTATTCCTAAGATGAGGAACAAGACAATACTCTCTGCTCTCAACACTTCAATTCCATAATGTACTGAATGTTCTAGCCAGGGCACTTACATAACAAAATGAAATAAAAGTAATTCAGATTAAAAAATGAGAAGCAAAATTATCTATTCTTAGACAACATGATCTTGCATATAGAAAATTGTAAGAAATCCATATAAAATGTAGAACCAATAAATGAGTTCTGAATGTTTACAGGATACAATATCCACAAACAAAAATCCATTGTGTTTCTACAAACCAGCAATGAACAACTTAAAAATGAACTTACAAAAACAATTCTAAATACAAATAGCATCAAAAAGAACAAAGTGCTTAGGGATAAATTAACAGAACAAGTGCATGATTTGTACATTTAAAACTATGAACTATTGTTGAGAGAAATTAAAGAAGCCCTCAAAGGGAAAGGCATTCTTTTCCATGGATTGAAAGACATTATATTGGAAAGATGGCAATGCTCCCCCAAAGTGGCCTACAGATAAAATGCAATCCCTATTAAAACTATAGCTGGACTTTTTGCAGAAATTGACAATCTGACCTTAGAATTAACACATAAATGCAAGATATCCAGATAACTAAAAACTATCTTTAAAATGAAAACAAAATTATAAGACTGACATATCCCAATTACAAAATTACTACAAAGCTACAAAATAATCAAAACAATGTGATACTGGCATAAGGCTGGATATATAAATCAATGAGATATAATTAAGAGTCCAGAAATAAACACTTATATTTATGATCAATCAATTTTGACAACAGTGCCAAGACTATTCTATGGGAAGAGTCTATTCAACAAATGTTGCTGAAACAACGGAATATCCATATGCAAAAGAATGAACTTGGACCCATACTTCATACCATATACACAAATTAACAAAAAAATAGACCATGGAACTAAATGCAGTGGCTACAGTTTTTAAATTCTTAAAACACAGGAGTAAATTTTTGTGACCTTGGATTAGGCAATGGTTTCTTAGATATCATGCCAAAATCACAGTGACAAAAATGGTAATTTGAGCTACATTAAAATTGATAATTATTATGTTTTATAGGTCATCATCAGAGCAGTGAAAACACAACACATAGAATGGGAGAAAACATTCAAAAATTTTATATCTGATATAGGACTTTTTTCTAAAATATTTAAAGTGACTCTTGCAATATAACAATAAAAAGACAACCCAATAATAAAGGGTAAAGGACGTGAATCATATGTTTCCAAACAACATAAACAATTGATCAATAAGGAGAGAAAAAGATGATCCAAATCATTAGTAATTAAGAAAATGCAAATCAAACCTACAATGAGATAAACTTCATACCCATAACTGGCTAAAATAAAACGTCAATCAGACAATAACAAGTGCTGACAAGGATATGAAGAAATTGAAACCCTAATACACTGGTAGTAGAATTGTAAAATAGTATGCCCTCTTTGGAAAAATTTGGCAGTTCTGCGAAATTTTTAATGTAGTGTTATCACGTGATCCAGAATTCTACTCCTATGTATAGACCCAGGAGAACTGAAAACATATGTCCACACAAAAACCTGAACATGAATGAATATTCATAGCATTCTTCACAATAGCAAAAGAGCTAGAAACAACCTAAGTGTCCATCTACTGAAAGAAACAAACAAAATGTGGTATACCCATTGCAATTGAGTATTATTCAATATAAAAAGGAAGGACATATTGATCCATGCTGTCAGATATATAAACCATGAAAATATGCTAAGTGAAAAAAGTTAGACACAAAAGGCCACATATGGTATAACCTCATTTGTACGAAATGTCCAGAATTGGTAAATCCCAGAAACAGAAAGCAGATTAATGATTTCCAGAGGCCTTCAGATTGTTCTGGGTTTTGTTTCCAAACTAGCTCATCTACAACTGTCTACCTCCATACTAAACAATCCATTAGTATAAAAGTGAAATACGCATATTTTTCTTTCCTGACCTGTTTATACCATTCTGTATTGTGAATTTTCTTACCCACCTTCCTTTCTCTGCACAAATGCAGTCCCTTATATCCTGAAGTAGAACACATCACTCTGTCTTCACTGCTCCCATGGCACTGCATAAACACTTTGATTTGGCATAAACACTTATGTTTACATGTGGCTGATGATTTTCACAAGTGCCCTCCTTCCTCCAGGAAACTATAAGTTACTTGAGAGTGGGACACATGCATTTTTCTTCATTATCTTATCCAAGTCAACTTTTATGAAAACATTTTGTACACACTAGTCTTTCTATAACTAGTTTTTAAATTGAATATTTGAAGAGTAGCATTTTCAAGTAAAAATGTATATACAGTAGACATTAAGGAGAAAACATGTTCACTTTCTTTGTATTTTGTGCCTAAGTACAAAACAAGTTAAGACTCTTTCAGAGCGAAATGCAATGTTCTGAGTAAGCGCAATCCCCGGTTTTCCTGGGGATTCGAATTCCTTCACCATCGTAGTCTATGCTTGAAATCATCGAGAGAACTGTGGATGGTATCAACTCCATATTCTCTTTTAGCTCTTCCTCGGCCGTTTAGTGATGGGTCATATGATGATGACTTGGGAACTGAACCATGGGCAGTAATCCTTTTTCCCTTGTTCGTGTATAAACCACGCTGCCGGTGAATTAAGCTGAAGATTTCTCTCTGTGCCCTTGAAATGTGCTCCTAGGGAATTAAGGCATTCTTGGTCTGGAATTTGAATTCCTTCCTTACTGCTCTAAGTGCATTAAATGTTGCAGTATTTTAGAAACTACTTATTGTTTTAAGAAGGTTGTTAGAATCCATCAGTAAGTCAAAGCAGTACAAAAGTGTAGAAAGAAAGGAATTGTTAGGACCTATTCATTTATCTCCCTACGTCTTAATTGAATATGAAAAGAGGAAAAGGTCAGAGGAAAGATAAAGTATTGTGTACATTGTCCACACTGTAACAAAAGTGATCTGCTTGAAATTTCCTTTCATTCTGGGGCTTGAAACCTGCGAATGGCTCCTTCCCCAGTATCCCCAAGATAAAGTTCAAATTGCTCCAAACCATTTTGTGACCTGATCTCTGATTCCATCTCAGTGTCCTCTCTCATCTGTTTGCTCATCCTTAACTCCAGACTCCAGCCATCCCTGAACATCTTCATTTACACAAAAGGAAGCTGTTTTCCATTCTTTCTTGCCACCGAGTGTGCCATTTTCTTCAGGTTTTTGTTTTCCTAGAGCAGTGATTCTCAGACTTAGTGTTTAGCAGAGAGCCATCTGGAGGGCCTGTGAGATCCCCAAGAGCGCTGGACCCACCCCAGAGATTTGGATGCAGCCCTGTTTGATGGGAGCACAGAATCTGCATTTCAAACAAGTTCTCTGGGGATGCTGCTGCTGGTCCAGGGGCCACGGTTAAAACCACAGGACTGCATCACTCTTTCATACGCCCTCATTCCCTCATTCCTTCTATGCATTCTGCAGATTTCAGCTATGATAGCTCATTTCAGCCAATCTTATTTGATCCCTAGCAGTTGGGCAGAGGCTTTTCTGTGTATACCTGAGTAGTTTTACTCCTCCTCACTATAGCACTGAACAACCTGTTGTTGTAAATGCCTAAATAATGTCATTGAAATGGTAAGCTCTTCACAGGTACGGGCTTTCATCTGTGCCATGGTTGTCTCTCAGGGCCTAGTGCCTGCCTGATAGTACAGTCTCCATAAACAAAATTACTAAAGGAAAATAAAGAAGAAATAAATAGAGACTAGGATCCATGTTCAGTCCATCTTGTGTTTTCTCTAATACCAGCAAACGCTGTGCATAGCAGAAGCCCTGCACACATAACAAGGGATGGTTTTACAGGGAGCCAAGGACAAGACTTACTGAGTACCCAATAGATGTACTTATTTATTCTATTGATGTTTCCTAGATATATCATACCCAGATAATCGATTGTCTTTCCCTTACACCATCCCCTTCCTTTTCCACTCTGCTTCTTCTTCCTCCACTCTCCTTTCCCTCACCAGATAGGCAGATGGCCTCACCAAACACCCAAGCACCTAGAAAGCTGGTCTTCTCTCTCACTTCCCAATCCTGCCAGTCTTCAAGCTATTGCTTCCTGAGAATTTACCCAGTCTGCTCTGTCTTCACTACCATGACTCAATTTCAAGCCCTCATGCTCTCTCCCCTGGACTATTATAGGAGCTTTTTAAATAAGTTTCCTTGCTGTCCATCTTGTCTCCCTCAAATCTGTTCTTCACAGAGCATCACGATTTAACTCCTCTGTTAAAAATCTGCTATCCACTCCCCATCTGCTGCAAGAGTGGTCTTCATTTTTCAGGTCAGGGATCCCTTTGAGTAACTACAGACTCTCTCCCAAGATTCTATGGAAGAGATGCATGTAATTCAGGACAGAAGAGCACCTGCAAAAAAGAGGAGAAAAGACTTCCCAGCAGGAGACACCTCCTGCAAGGCATTGTGCATTAAGACTGTGGTGGCAGTGGCTGTCCTAGAACATTTGCATTGCAGATGAGAAGCTGCTAGAGTTGAGCCTGTAGAGACAGACAGGAGCACCTCACAGAGGACATTGTATATGGTATGAAGGAGCCATTGCCTGGGCCAGCCACCACCTCTTCCATGCCTCCATCTTGCTTTGTCTAAGCTTACGTTTGCATTTTCCACACTGTGTTATAGTGGCTGATTTGCTGTGCTGGGAAATCACTTTAAGGGCAGTGACTGCCCCTTATTTGTATCCATATGCAAAAGTACAGTAGCCTGTCAGTCAATAGTTGTTGAATGAGTGAATGTAGAATGAACCAATGCTTCTGAGTTACCTTAGTTTTACACCCTTAGAAATCCTTTTCTCACTGTGTCTGTTGCTGCTATGTTAGGAACTCTGTCACTATTTACAACACTTAAACAATAGATTATAATTTGCATGCAGTAAAACACATATATACTACATGTACAATTCAACCAATCTTAATGTATCTCTCTATATTTATACGTGTGCAACCACCACGAGATCAAAATATGAAACATTTCCATTTGTTCTAGAAAGTTCCCTAGAGCCCTTTTCCTATCAATAGCCCATTTGCCTGATTTCTATTATCATAATTTTTTCCTGTTTTTGGATTTTATGTAAATAAACAGAGTCATAAATTTGACACTCTCAAAATATCCCCCATCAGATTCATGTAAGACTTTTATTTTGGTGATACTTCTCCACAACCATCGCACTACAACTTACCTTAATCCACTCAACTAACACTTACATATTTGGCTTTAGAGATGTATATCAATATCTTCTGTGGTCTGGAGATAATTCTTATCATATTAGCACCTTAGATGTAATTGCCAGTATTCATGATATGTTAAAAAATTATTAAATGTCTACTAAATTTGCTACAGCTTAGCTACTTCACGAGACTCTAAAATTCGGTTCCCTGCTATACTCTTAAATTTCAAATATAAACATATATACCTCTTCCCTTGATAAAATCTTACTTCCGATCTGTATCTTTTCTTGACACTTTCCTTCTCTTGACACTTTTGGTTGACTGGGTCTGTATGTTGAAATGTCTGCCTTGATAGATACTCGAGGGTGTAAAAGTAAACATCAATGTAGCAGCATCATGTCAGCATTTTGAGAGAAAGCCCACGCAGGATGTAAATTAGCAGTAATAGGATGTAGCATCAGGAGGTATCACAGCGATACATCAGTGCAGCTAACCTGGCCAAGAAGAAAGGGGAAGGGACTGATCGGGAGGCAGTTTGCCCGCTGTGACCCTTGAACACTTATTTTCTACTCATTTTACACAACCCCTTCCCTTCTCCACCTTCTCCTCTCCAGATGTCTCTCCTATGTGTGTCCTCCCCTCTCCCTCTCTCTCCCTATATACACAACACCAACATGTAGGGTTGAAGTTCATCAGGCAAGGGACGATGCGCGGTGAGGAAGGTAGAAAAAATGTGACAGACAGAAGAAAGGCCTGTGCTAGGAGTTGAAGGCAAATGGCATACTGGAAACCTAAGCCTAAACCACCTAGCAGGAGGGGTATTGCCCCATGATGAAAGGTATGGTGGACTCTGTAGCCTGAATGACTTGGTCAACAGAGTCATGCTCCTTTATGGCTGAATGATCTTGGACATCTTGCTTAGTCTTTGTGCCTCAATTTCCTCATCTGTTAAAAAAGTATTAGTACCCACTACATTGTTCTGATTCTTAAATGAATCGATGCCTATGAAGATATTAGAATAATGCTTACCACATAATAAGCACTTTTTAATTGTTTGCTATATAAGTTGAAGCCTTAAAAAATGGAGGTCATTTCCTAGAAATATTCACTTAGAAGCTTATTTATAACTTTCTTACTTTTTGAATAATAAATCTGAATATTTATTCTGGAAATGCTAAAGGGAATAACACTAACGTATTTATTTTTTGACTACCTGAGTTTTAGGGCTGCTCTGATGTTTGATGTTGAAGCCACACTGAAGAAGAGAGGAAGCAGGGATGAACCGTACTAAGAGCATGCATTCATGTTACTGTTTTCAGGCATCCCAGACTCATTCTCTTGATGCAAAGTCTGTGGGTGGAACTTCTGGATTTTGGGCTTCTAGGGATGAGAGGTTTCCAGTATTGGCAACATTAGATAAATTAAGGAAATATTTCATTGGGTCAGATCAAGTCCGCCTTTATGAGGAAACTGTGGAAAGAAGGAAGCAGAGATAGGGATGGAGATTTCAAGACAGGAAGAGGAGGACTCACCTTTTGGTCGATGATGGGATGTGCTGTCCACTTCCCACTTGTCACTGCCTCTGCTCTGTCCCCAGTTCCTCGCCCTTGGGGGCCTTGAGTGGCCTCCACTTCCCAAACACACTATCCTCTTTATTTCTCCTGCTCCAATAATTTCCTATGATATTTATGCATTTCAGATCTAAACATCCCACTCCTCTGCATTAAAAGCTTCCTTGTCTCTATATGACTCATGAGAAGGAACAGAGCCTCCCATCCCCACCCCGCAGCCTGGCCTCTACTTACCTCTCTAACTCACCCCTCAGCTGGCTGTGCCAGGTACTATCCTTTAGCCTTGCCAAACATTTCTGTTTATTTCTTGAACATGTCATGAAGATACCACACACCTCTCTTCTGCCCACCTGCTTTGCCTAATCTCTTCCTACTCATCCTCTGGTGTGTGCTAGGCACCACATCTTCAGAAACACACTGCAAACCCTCAAGCTTCGGGTGCCTGCTCCATAATGCCATGCATTTTCTAGTGTAGTCTCTGTAATTCTGTTTCCCAGTGTATAATCTTTGTAAGCTCCACAGGGTAGGGTCTAGGTCTGATTCATGACTGTTGCATGTTGAGTGCTCAACAAAGACTTCCAGGGCTGATAGAATTCTATGGTAGTCCCCCCACTTATTTGCCGTTTTGCTCTCTGCAGTTTCAGTTAACCACCGCCAACTGCAGTCTGAAATATTAAATGGAAATATCTAGAAATTTCCATTTAATATTTGTATTCTATTTCTAGAAATTCATTAATTTTAAATTGCATGCTGTTCCATGCATGGAGTAACATGATGAAGTCTCATGCCATCCAGCTTCATTTCTTTCTGGACATGAATCATCCTTTTGTCCATTGTATAAGCACTACATGCTTCCTGCTCGTTAATCATCCACGTCGTCTACTCCTGACATCCAGTCATCGACATTGTCGTGGCTCAGTGATCCTGGGCCATCTGAAGCAGATGATCCTCTCTTGGCTGCGGTGTTAGGTCAATAGTAGCCTGCTCCATACCAATGCCTACGTCATTCCCCTCACATCAGGCATCAGTAGGCATTTTATCATCTCACATCATCACAAGAAGAAGAGTGAGTACAGTACAGTAAGATATTGTGAGAGAGAGACAATGAGAGACAGCACATTCACCTAACTTTTATTATAGTATTTTGCTATAATTGTCCTGTTTTATCATTGTTGCTCTTAATCTCTAAATTAGACTGTGCCTAATTTATAAACTAAACTTTATCATAGGAATAGTATAGAAATGTATAGAAAAAAAAACAGTGTATATAGGGCTCCATATTATCTGTGGTTTCAGGCATCCACTGGGGATCTTGGAAAGTGTCCCCCACAGATTGGGAGGATACTGTATAAAGTTTACTTGTTTAGTACCTGGTTCATGGGTAAACATGGCATAATTACTGTGAAGGGGTTTCTACTAGTCATTGATACCTGCAAGACTCTAGGAAAGGCAGTGATGTCTTCAAGGCAAATCACATAATAAATATTTTCATGAATATAAAGATAGCATTAGATCAATACAACATCAGGGGTGTGTGAAATAGTCACATCGTGATGGTTGGAATTGTACTTGTTGAGCACCTAGCTTGTACAGAAGAACCCTGGGCGCTTGGCATTACAGCTGCCATTTCTTATCACAGGAATTTGAACCTCAACCAGGTGACCTGACCTTTAGGGAGTGACAGATACAGGATTCATATCCAAGGAAGTTTACTGAAATAGAAGTAAGGAGGGACAACCCACTAGAGGAGCCTTGGTCAGGGAAAGGATGTCCCAGTCTTCTACGGTTTCATTAGCCTCATGCACTGTGGCCAGAATTTATCTGTGTCTGTTGCTTTACTCTGAGAAGTCCTTCCAGTTATTTATGGGAGTGTGAAGTATGGAGAGAGAGACAGGGAGAGGAGGAAGAGAAAAGGAGGAGGGGGGAAGGCAGATGTTGGTGGGGGATGGAAAAGAGAGGGATGGTGGGGGATGGACGAGAGGAAGAGGAGGTAAGAGGAGAGGCCAAAATAGGCTAAGAGAGATTCTGATGGGAAACATGAAGTCGTGGATCATGAATCAGAGACATGGATCAGAGCACGGACCACACTCACAGAGCATCCTGGCACTGGTTTCCAAAGCCCCACTATTCAAAAAGCAATGGACGGAAAGCCTGATATCATCCTGCAAGGGCAGTGGAATTGTAACACAGGAGAGGAACCAAAGAGTTCAAGGACTCTAAGCTTTTATAAGCTGCACATATGCCCATTTGAGAGAAAGAGTGAGAGAGAGAAAAGGAAACAAATTTTCTCTTGGAGAAGAAAAGAGAAAGTCTCCAGGCTTATCACCCTGAAATATAAGCCCATGGGCCTGGGAGGTAATTCTCCAAATTGCTTCAGAGCTACACACACGACGTCCAGCTTCCAAGGTATGCTTTTATGTAATCACCATTTAACCAAGGCTGCCAATGCTCTTTCCTCTGACAGCCCAAACTGTGCAGATAGGAGAAAATATTTATGGAGAACAATATCGTAACAATGAGGGCTACTTAAACTTATCCAAAAGGCCTGAGACTTCAGTTTGGAGAAATAATTTAATGTCATTTGTGAATTTGGATATTTCAGTGTACATTCTTTTTCTAGAACACCTTAAAATATTGTTAAATTTTGGGAACCTCTCTAGTGACTATATTGTATCCATTGTCACTCAAAGAAAATTAGCAACAAGGGAATTCATTTAGAAGAAGAAAGTCAAACTTGCAGCCAGATCTCCCTATGATCCGTTTTAATGGCGCCTTCATGGGGGATATTGAAAAACAATATACACTCAGTCTACTTGTACCTACATGCTTGAATGAAGAAGGGGCTATACTCCACTTCATTTCTTTCTTCTTCTCCTGTCATGTATGGTAAGTTATGTTTACTTAAGTGTTCAATAATCCTGCCTTTAATAAAATATTCCTCAAGACATTATATGTCATGCACCAGAAAATGCTTTAGAGCAATTCTAATTCTCTGGCTCTCCCTTTGTTGATCTCTGAATGTTCACTAATGTTTTGGACTTCATAGGAAATAGGAAAAGTAGAAGGTCTGAGACTCAAATAACGAGTTACCTACCTAGGAAGAGCCTTCCCTATGATAACTAGTTAAGAAAAATGCAAAGCATTGCATTATAAATGCTGGATTGACTGGTACATGAAAAAAATGAATATAAGCTTTAGAGAAGGTCAGGAATAATTTAAGCAATAAAAAAATCAAGAACAGTTTGTAGATTAAATGGGCTTGAAGTAAATTTGAAGAATGCATGGAATTTGAATAGGTAACTTAGTGTGATTAAATTGTAAATAAGAGCATGATTCAACTAAAGAGGCATATTTTGTTTAAAAAATCCATGTATATCAATGGGAAAAGTATGAAGGAGAGGCTTCTTATTTAATTGCCTCACAATTCCTTTCATCCTTTTTGGGAAAATTAAGAATATCTTTTAGATCATCAAAAAACTTTCAGATATTGTCTTCTAAATGACAAATGTATAGAGATCTGTTCAAACATTTCAGCCTGGTGTCCCAGCTGTCTTATTTAGGCCAACAGTAATCGCTAAACTTGCTTCGTCATCAATAAATTTTTTTTTATCTGCCTATTCCTGGTAACTGGTTGCAGTATACTATTTATTCCCTCAAACTGATTGAAGAACAAGGCAAAGAATACTTAATTATTCATGTGCTCATATTCATCCATATCACACATGTGCACATAAACCTAGGTAGAGTCATACAGACATAAAACAAAACGGTCTGTTTCTTATTCACCATTAAGATATGCAAACTTTTGTCCAAGGTCAAACACCTGAAATGGAAAAGTCTTCCTAGATAGTTGTAACGCATATGCTGGAAAGATTTCAAAGTGGTTGTTCGGATTCAAGTGAAAAACCTTACAAATGCTTTACAAATGTCCTGCTTTAGATACCCAGTTTAACTGGTCCTCACTAGAATTTAAAACATTTCATTTTGATTAGGGAAAAAAATCACCAAAGGAAGTGGGTGGCCAAATGCCCTTAAGGAGCAATTAGAACATCCCATATAGCCTGAGTGTGTGTGTGTGTGTGTGTGTGTGTGTGTGTGTGTGTGTGTATCTTCATATATCCATATCAATGCACATGCATGTATTTGCTATTATATTAATCTATATTGTATTACAGAGAGTAATTTTCAGTCTTTTTGAAGCAGTTTTTAAAATTGCATTTCTTTTCTACATCAGTACTCTATGAAAGTATTTGAATAACCAGGGATATTTTCTAGCCGTTATATGACAAATTCACTTTTAGTCACTAAAGCAGGGCTCAGCTGGGTTAGCCCTCACTGCCCTCTGACATGGAGAGGGCAGTTCCTATTAACCCCTACTTCTTTCCAACTGTGCAAGTCTGTATTGTAAATTTCTTCTCATTTACTTCACAATTGCCCACATCTAACTTGAATGTCCGTTTGTTCTGGTTGGAGAAATGTGAGACTACGTGAAGCTGAAGTGAACACACAGCCCTGTGGAGTCCTGAATCCGAGAGCTAGTGGTTTCACAGGCAGGCCAAAATCAGGAACAACCTCCACAGTCACTAGACTGAGATCAGGGACTTTATGAGAGAGTCAAGGATGTTCAGTCATTCAAGGTAGGCTTGATCCTGGTCCTGAGGCACCAGGGGTTGACCAGAGGCTGATTCTATAGCAAGAGCTGAGTGTATTTATGCCTTATTTTTTGACAACTCAGATATTTTCTCCTCTGTAGGCTTCAGCCTCAAAGGACCCTAAGTTATTAGACCGGAGTTATGTTCCCAGGAGAGGTCTTGACTCCATTCACCCAGAAGCAGTCAATATTTGTGATAGAGGAAATTATAAATTTAGCTGTCAGCCATTGTGTGTGAGACACCTGTGGCTCAAGGTCTCTAAATGTGTGTAATTTACTTCATCAAAGGCTAATATTTATAAGCCCCAACCTATTCACAGGGCAGAGGCAATGATGCCCCATCACAGAGCTTAAATTTGCATAACAAAAAACTGTTGTGTGTGATTTATATCTTCATTTAGAATTTTTGTCATGACCTACTGTTAATACGTACCTTTCCCAAATTGGTGATGTTTGCAAACTTTAGTTTTAATTTCTTCATTTAATAAAGCATGTCAATGCAGGCACTATTAGATTAGGAATTATCTGTCAGCAGACTGGCATTATGAAACTACATGTTTTACATTGTCCAAATAGGTTTTAAATGAAAACATTAAGTAGTATCTCACCTGGGGCCTTTTTGGAGCTGTGTCTCATGTATCCCATTTTAAAAGATATTTACTAAGCAATTTCTAACTTTTGAATGCTTATCTCTCATTAGAATCATTGCAGTTTCTTTTTTTGTTTTTGGCTGGGAAATAATTTAGCCTTATTTGAAAAAATCTGGTGTATAATAATGCTAACATTTAAGAGAAAAAAAATCATGTGTTCATATCAGAAATAGTGTGAATAATGAGCAGCTGTATGGTGTATAAAAGAGAAAAAGGGGTTTCTTGATTATTCAAAAATGAGTTTGAAATATTATGCATTCGTATTTGGAAAGAACAATAGTTCATTGTAATAATACTGAAAAATAATAAAATAATTGTGCTTTATGCGTTTGAAAATTTTCTGGAAATGCAAAACAATACCCTCTTTCGAACGCATGGATTTAATTTTGTACTTAATGACCATATTCTGCAAAATAGATAAATTGCTAACCATATATTTAATTTAGCCTTGGTCATTTCTTGCTACTGTCATCAACTCTGATACCATATTTAAAATATAAGATTTAGCCGGGCATGGTGGCTCATGCCTGTAATCCCAGCACTTTGGGAAGCCAAGGCAGGTGGCTCACCTGAGGTCAAGCCTGACCAGCCTGACTAACATGGTGAAATCTCATGTCTACTAAAACTACAAAAATTAGCTGGGCATGGTAGTGGGTGCCTGTAATTCCAGCTACTTGGGAGGCTGAAACAGGAGAATTGCTTGAAACCGGGAGGCAGAGGGTTGCAGTGAGCCAAGATCGCGCCATTGCACTGCAGCCTGGGTGACAGAGAGAAACTCCATCTCAAAAGAGAAAATAAAAGAAAAGAAAAATATATATGTGTGTGTATATATATATATGTATATTATACATGTATATATGTATATTTTATGTATATATGTATATTATATATATTATATATAGCTATATATAATATATATAAAAATATATATTGTATATAATATATATATTATATATTATATATATATATGATTGAAGGAGTCCTGAAATTATTGTTCTGACCACCCAACAGTGAGTTGAGTTTCTCAGGGATGGATATAGAGGAGGAAATTTTAATCAACTTCAAGTTACCATTTTTAAAAAATTTTATGAAGGAAGTAAAGTTAATGGAACCAAAATTATTTTCCTCAGTATTAATGCCTGCATTAGAAATTAATTTTTGTTTTGTAGTGATGAAATATGTAAATAGGTTTAAACATAGTTCTACCAATGTTTAGAGCATGAGTATGTGGTTTCAAAGACAAAAAGATAAAAGGGCTTCTTAATCTGGGGAAATTATATGTAGATACAGTTTATACATAGAAAGCACATTCTAAGTAGTTTAAGAAATCTGTGAATACATTTCTCAGTGTATCCTCCTTCAACTCCTCAAAGTGGATTAGATGTTGGCTCTTGTTGTTTTAGAGGTCTACATTTGTAGTCTTACAGTTTCTAGCACACAACACTGTGCTATCTTGATTGTCTCTATTTCATCTGACGATAAGCACTTTGAGGTCAGGGAGTCAAGTTTCTCTTATAGCACAAAGAGTTGCCAAATGTTTATGGAATACATGAGTCGATGAAAAATAAACACATTTGATAATGAGCCCCTGGAGATGAGATGTTAATTCTCACGGGGTACCTTGGTTAAAGTTCTTATAAGAAATGCCTTAAGTTATTGAAAAAAGTAGGGCTCAAATCAATTATATTTTTAATAACATATTTTCTTTGTCAAGTGCACAACATGCCCCTCTGAGTGTTATGCTTTTTTTCAGTTTAAAGAGTGAATGGTATCATTAAACTCAATTGTCTTAAGATGTTTGCTGAGTTTGTATACATGCAGAGGCATGCAATTTGCAGAAAATTAAGACATTCAGACATTTAAGGAAGGTATATAGGCAACATACTATTTATCCGGCATTGTATTAAGAGAAGGGGGTAGGGACATCTACATGGATACAACCTTACCCGAAGATACATTAGATAACATTCACATAAATTCACAGTTATTTTATGCACATGTAAAGATTTGTATTGATTTAAAGAGGAGAGAGCTTTACTTCCCGTGTTGGAAACAGATATAGTTGTGTCTTACAGTTTTATTGAAACATTACAAAACATCCAAGAAACCCTTTAAAAATACATTATAGATTCCTGGTATATAAAGGCTCTGTTTTAGACATATTTTATTCCTGAAAAGCACCCAAAATGGTGACTTTTGTGACAGTGACTCTCAATAATTAATTGTGGAATCAACGAATAAATGAGGAATCAGCATTCCTGATGAAGGCTGCAAATCCTCATTCTAATTTTTGGAAAAGCCAAGTTAAAGCGTCCATAATCATCATTTGGTACATACATAAGTTTTTTTCCTTGTTAATGTTAATGACAACTTTTCAATGAACACCAACAACAGAAACCAGAAATTTTATGTGCATTATTTCTAACCTTCAGAATAAAGATTAGGAATTATATTTCACATGCATAGATGAGGAAACTGAGGCTTTAGCAGGTTAAATAATGTGTTTACATTGATACTCTGGTAAGTGGTAGAAGCTGGATTTGACATCAGGCTGTTCTGTGCGAAATCTTCAACTTATTATTTTACATCACGCTACTAAAATGTGTTAGAATATTATTCAGTGAAAATGTAATAGTCATGACCCCTTGTTGTATAGATTTGAATTTCATAATCTTCTAGTTTAATAAAAGCACTGCTCTTTGAGTTTTGTTCAGTAAGGAATACAAAATTATGTTACTGCCACAGAAGGATGGGTGCACTTAACATATTGTTCATGTTTACCTTTCCTATAACCTCAAACCTGAAACATAAATTCTAGACTATGTCAACTTGTCTTTGGAGAAGATCATCATAAAAATGTATCAATTTGCAAAAAAAATGTATCACTTTGAATTTGTAAACAACTTAAAATATAACCTTTTGGTTTGCTACCATGGCTATTTCATTATGAGTATGATATTCACTTTTATAACAATAAACCCTAGCAGACCATATATTTCTTTCTGATTCCAATTCAGTCAGATTTACTTCATCCAGTTGGGTTGTACAGTTAAATTCATTGCAGTCTGCAGAGGTAGGAGAATCCTAAATTTTAAAGCTATGCAAACCAAAAGCTTTTTGTGGATAATTTAAGTTTTACATTCTGCTCAGAAAAGCAGAAAGATGTGTTTTGAAATATAATGCAAGTTTTTCATTACTAAGGACAGATCAAAGATCTCTGATTCTAAGAGGTGGCTATTTTAAGCTCCTGCTATCAATTTCCTATTCACACACAGCAACTGGTGGCAACTAAAAATAATCCGCTTTACTACCAGCTAAGAATCTGGTCATATGTGGCTGATGGACAGTGTGCACGAAGAAGATTTAGGATCCTTCTATCCGTGGCTTCTCTCCAGCCCACTCATCAGCTTAGTTTGCTGCCATTTGAAAGCTATTGAAAAGCCATTAACAGGCAGGACCGGGAGAGCCGCACTGCAGCACACCTCCGTGCAGCAGAATGTGGCTGCATGTGAACACCAATTAGAGCTGACTATTCCCGGGATTGTGGTACTCGGGGCTGTGTCAATCAAGGGTGCTACAATAGCACGTGCACCAGTGGTGCCTCAAGACCCACCGGGGAGAGGCTTATCTTAACTCCAGCTGCCGAATGAGAATGAGTTTGAAGCTTTTTGCAGGATCATGGAACAGAGCCTCCATGCAATAGTGCATCCTGAGGTAAACTGTTACCTGAGTAAGGGCTTTAAGTAATGCATTTCCTGGGAACGACAGTTGTGACAGAAGAGAATGCTGGAACCCGTAGCAAGATTCCTGTCTGAGATGGAAAGATGTCTCACTATCATTTTATCAAGTGCTGTAAGTAAGCTTGATATCTTGCTCATGTGGTTATTTGTCTTGTTGAAGTATTATTTTGTGCAGATGCCAAAATTAAGGCAGTTCTCCTGGTATACCACATTCAGATGAGTGACATAGACTGGTGACTTAGAAGAATATTTTACAGGCTGGATATATTTCCTTTTAATTTTAGATTGTGAAATAATTCCAGTGTGATCCAAATGCTAATAGCACAGAGATCTTTAAAACTTCAGCTTTTTAAAAAAAATGATTCATAGACACAGCAACCAGAAAAAAAAAAAAACACCAGAAACACATGGAAAGAAATTACAAAAGCATATTTTTGCTCATTGGCACATGTTAATAAAGTACATAAAAACTAAGTTTATTAATATATGGCTGAGGTCATTTAGCTAGTATTTTAGTCTCAAGTTTTACTGCTTAAGCCTCTATTCAATGCTTTTTGTAAGTGTGATCTTTAGGGTTATCCTTGACTGTAAACTTTTGTCCTTGTATCATTCACCTTGCGGTGCTTAGGGACTCCAGGGACTCTGTACCAAATGCTCTCCACTGATGTTCATATGGTGAAATTTAGTTTGTCACCAGGTTCTCTTTTGGGCTTATCAAGGGTTTCTTTAGCGTCTGAAATTTTGGCAGAATTTTCTGAGCTAGAGAATACTTCCATCTAAACCAATTCTGGATGGTAATAATGAAGAGGAAGACATATTTATCCAAAAATGGCTTGCTGGATATACATTTTTGTCCCCTGCAGCACTTCTGAAAACTTCTGTACATATATATCATGATCTTAAAGTGACAGATGACATTTGCAGAAAATGGTTTTCTTTTAAGCTTAAGGTTTTGCTGCCAAAGGACATCACAATGTTAAATTGAAGCAGCATATTAAGGGAACACATGTGTTGAATGAATCTTGAGCTTTGCACTAAAGGAGACTAAAAAAATAATGATGATTGAGAAGGTGAAAATATTTACCTTTCTCTTATTTTTGGTAGAGAATGTATACAGGAATTAAAACTATGATTAATGGAAATAAAAATGCCTTACTCTTAAGCATTGCCAAGAATGTCATGCTTTCATGTTGCAGAACAATTTCAATTCCCAAAAGGATTCACTGGTCATCTCGTAAGTTTGCAGATTAGCTCTTTAACTAATAAGAATTAGAGGCATGCAGCGTATTTAAGAATTTTGAGAATAGTCTTCTGCTTTAATCTGTTAACTCTTGGGGTTATTTTCTTGGAGAAATAGACACAGGGCAATACTCTGACTGGTTTTTGTATTGCCTCTCGTGTTTTACTGCACTAGCAGAATGTCATTATTTTCCTTGCTGTGCCTCTGCAGAGGAAAAACTCTGCATCTTTCCTACAAGGAACCTGGATGCTCATTAGACACATTGAACACACCTGGTGGAGGGCAGCCATGGAGCATGGGTGGAAGCACAAAGGGACAGTGACATGGACGTGAGAGATTCAGGGAGCAGTTGGTCACCAAACACAATATGAGTCTGCCCTTTCCTGCCTTTTGTTCTGTTTTAGTTGAATTATTTGATTGTAGAATTTCGGAAAATTGTAGACATTTCAGAAAATTGGTGATGTCAATTGGAGCCTGTGAGATATTTCTTTTAGCATGCTAGTATAAGAGATGAAATCTAAAATTAATGAATTTAAACATTCCTGATGCATTTCTGAAAGTAATTAGCAACTACTTACTAAAGATCTGACTGCTTTCTAAGCTTTGAGTGTGACAGTCTATAAAATGGAAAGGAAGCATGAATATTATGAAATGCTAACTTTACTGGAGAAATGGTGCGATGTGTTAAGGAGTTCAGAAATTATACTGCATTCTGTGCTGAACTAGTGAAGGGTGTTTTATGAAAAAAATGCATCTTGAGCTATATCTTGGAAGGATGAACAAAATATAGAAGAAGGCCGGGCGTGATGGCTCACGCTTGTAATCCCAGAACATTGGGAGGCCAAAGCAGGCGGATCACCTGAGGTCAGGAGTTTAAGACCAGTCTGGCCAACATAGTGAAACCCTGTCTCTACTAAAAATACAAAATTTTGCTGGGTGTGGTGGTGGGAGCCTGTAATCCCAGCTACTTGGGAGGTTGAGGCAGGAGAATTGCTTGAACCCGGGAGGCGGAGCTTGCGGTGAGCTGAGATCGCGCCATTGCACTCCAGCCTGGGTGACAAGAGCAAAACCCCAACTCAAAAAAAAAAAAAAAAAAAAAGAGTGAATGCCCTCATGGTATCCTAAGGGTTTATTGATAAGGATCATAATTCATGGTTTAATGGTTGTTCCTGATGCGTAAGATTTTCCCAAATTGTTGTCTCCCATATTGGGCTGATCTGCTGGCGAGGTTCATCGGCCTTCGTCACACTCCATTCCTTCTTCGCCTGTCCTGCATTTCTACCACATATCTGTCTTTCATTCTGAGCCAGATTTATCACCATAGCACGTTCACTTTCAAGCCAGACAGCAATGCAGGAAGTGGATGAATTCCAGGGCAGGAGCAGGACCTTCTGAAATGTGCAACATTAGCATCCCATGTGCTCCTAGTGAATCACAGGAAGCCTTCAGGTGGGATGCTGGGTGACCAATAGCTAATGCTCGCAAGGAACTGTTAGTCACCTGGGAAAATACTCATCATCTAAGGTGAAAAAATTATACGCTTCAAGGTCGAAACTTAATCTAACAGTTGTTATCTCCAGTTTATGATAATATCTGTTACTTTGTAAAACATTTTTACTTTATTTTAGAGAAGGGTTAAAAACTAGAGTGTAAAAATTTACTGTGGAAGCAGGATATAGCAGGAAAGTGTAGGAACACCACAGCAAAAAGTGTGGCCATTTCATGTATCTTGGTAGCTGAGAAGTAGCTTTAGACAGATCTGCAGTGAGAGCCAGTCTCAGAGCCCCATGCCTGTTGAGAGGTAACACATGAACATGACCAGGCCCCAGCTGAGGCGCAAGCAGAAATGAGAAATGGAACTCAAGGGAGTCATGGGCTCACAGAACTTTAAGGCCATGTGAGACTTGAAACTACTTTTGTTTTAATGAACTGAAGCGGAGGCTTGAGGTCTACCTGTGGAGTTCCCTTCACGTGCCTCTGGGGGTGAAGCATTGCAATAACTACACCTGACCTATTTCTCTCCTGGTTCAGCTCTTCTCTAAGCATACGGGTTTGGGGCAGCATTGTTTGCAGCAGGAGGAAGGTTAAAGTTATTTAAAATGAATATTCTCCAGAGCTGAGAATTCATTTACAACACCTAAGAACGAATTGTATCAGAAAATCTGTTACTTTATATGTTGTATTAGTCAGGGCTTTCTTGAGGGGCAGAACTAATAAGATAGATGTATATATAAAGGGGAGTTTATTAAGGAGAATTAACTCACACAATCACAAGGTGAGGTCCCACAATAGGCCATCTGCAAGCTAAGGAGCAAGGAAGCCAGTCAGAGTCCCAAAATATCAAAAGTAGGAAAGCTGACAGTGCAGCCTTTAGTCTGTGGTCAAAGGTCCAAGAGTCCAAAAGCGGAAGAACTTGGAGTCTGATGTTCAAGGGCAGGAAGCATCCAGCATGAGAGAAAGATGTAGGCTGGAAGACTCAGCCAGCCTGGTTCTTCCATGTTCCTCTGCCTGCTTTTATCCTAGCTGCACTGGCAGCTGATCAGATGGTGTCCATCCAGATCGAGGGTGGGTCTGCCTCTCCCAGTCCACTGACTTGAATGTTAATCTCCTTTGACATCACCCTTGCAGACACACCCAGGAACAATACTTTGCATCCTTCAATCCAACCAAGTTGACACTGAGTATTAATGATCACACATATTAAACATGTTTTATGATACCAAGGTTAAAACCCATTTTTTTCCTCAAGCCACTCATGCTGATGAACACCACCTCCAGTAAAATGCTTTCCTCACTTTTCTAGCTATCGCACACACTGTTCGCTCATTCAAGAACTTTCACTGCAGTGTTTCTGCAATGCACTAACACACCCAGAAGCTGCTCCCTCCATGTCCTCACTCTCCCATATCCTGCTCTCCGCCTGGTCCAGCGCCCATAGTCCATTGCTGAAGCCACTTCACTCCTTGCCCTCACCTCCCTCTGTTCCACTCGAGTGACGAATACCTACCCAAGGTGGAACCCCCCTTTCCAGCATGTCTGTCCTTGCCCCAGAGGAGCTGGATGACCCTTGAAGGAGGACATCAGAGCAAAAGCAGACTGATTTCATTTAACATCATGATCAAACATCTCACCCAGGCAGGCAGCACTCTCCTGTACCCTCGTCTTGTTTCTACGGTAGGCACGACTGCTCATGCCTAGAGACCCCTTCTTCTAACTCCAATCTCCCAGGCTGAGGAGTTACAAACCTACCCTCCCACCATTAAATCTGCAGAGTGTCTGCGCATGTATTCCTCTTTGCCCACTTCTCACCTGCAGTCCTGAATTTCCTCCTGTGTGTCCAAGGCCAGTGCGCTTGCAATTCTGTCTCCTTCTGCCTCCTGCAAGCTTGCATTTCCCTTCAGCTCTCCCCTTTCTCTCCTGCATCAGCTTCCAACAGAGTGAATATGTGGCCAATCCATCCATCTTCCAATTAAGCAAAAGTCCCCCCTTGTTCTCTCTTCCCTCGGGCCACCACCCCATTTCCTTGTTTGCAGGTCATACCTTGAAACGATTGCCCATGCCCGTGGCCTTCGACCCTCACCTCCTTGTCTCCTCTTCCATGACTGCATCCCGCTGCTTTCCTTTACCACTCAGTGGAATCCACTTTACTTAAACCACCTTTATGTGGCAAAATCCAATGGACACTAGACCTGCCTCATGTTCCTTAATTTCTGATGTGATTACCACGTCTTCTTCTGCAGCTCTTGGGGGTTTTCTCCTAATTCACTAGCAGCTTTTCCTCCACCCCAGTTGCTGGCTTTCTCTTCTTCTTCGGGCGTGGCCCTAACTTTCTTTTGACAACCTCATCCATTCTCATGGCTTTAAGCATCATCTATATTTTCCCACATATGAACCTTTAGCCCAGATGTCCCCTTAGGCAGCCCTCCCTTCTGTCTCTTAACAACATGGACATCTTTTCTGGCAAATTATATATCTAGGCATTGTTTCTTGATAGCTAAGTAGTGTAATAGTCTATAGCATTTATTAAACCATCTATTTATTAAACTCTTCTTTTTTGACAGGCATTAAGACATTCTGTTTAAGTATTTTGGCTTATAGGAATATTGATTCACAAGAGCAGTAACATTGAATCAAATGGTATGTGTAGTTTAAGGTTTTGTAGAAACTGCTAGATTTCTTTCAGTGAGGAGTAGCACTTCAGATTACCACAACCAGCAATCAAAGGACTCGCATCACTGCACCTCAGCCAACCCGGAAACGTGCCTTCCTCCCAAAAGGATGTCAACTCCATCGTCGAAATATGGTTTCCTGTGGGGCTCTCCATTTTATATAATAAATAGTTAAGGGTGTTCCACCACTTTTAACTAGTCAAATTTCTTCATATGTGTTTTCATTATTTACACTGGGTTTTTAATCCTTTTACTTATCAATTTCATGTAAACCTTTATGTAAGGAAATATTAATGTTTCTCTTGATATGAATGTGGTGTAGATGGTTTACCTATTTATTTTTTTTTTTTTGAGGGAGTCTCACTCTGTCACCCAGGCTGGAGTGCAGTGGCATGATCTTGGCTCACTGCAACCTCTGCCTCCCTGGTTCAAGTGATTCTCCTGCCTCAGCCTCCCAAGTAGCTGGGACTACGGGTGCGTGCCACCACACTCGGCTAATTTTTTATTTTTAGTAGAGATGGGTTTTCACCATGTTGGTCAGGCTGGTCTCGAACTTCTGACCTCAGGGGATCCACCCGCCTCAGCCTCCCAAAGTGCTGGGATTACAGGTATGAGCCACCGTGCCCAGCCAGTTTTCCTGTTTTTGACTTTTGCCTTTGTTTTGGGTGTTGGATGGCATCTGATTTTTTACTAATTGTGTAGAAAAATATGTCTCTGTTCTATGGATTTTTGGTTTCATTTATTGCTTTGGGTAGCCTATTTATTCTAAAGCTAAATTAGTTTTCTACATCTTAATCTAAACTTTCATTTTTGTATTTGAAATTTTAATTCATGTGGAATTAAGGTGTGTGTGTGTGATTTAAGGTAAGAGTTACTTCTTTCCCTGTTTCATTTCTGCATGCACAATACCTACTGAATTGAAATTTGCTTTTGTCGCATTCTAAATTTCTAAATATATTTGCATCCATTTCTGGTTTATGTTTTTGTTACATTGATCCATTGATTTAGTTTAAGGTTACACTGTATTCATTATCTTAGCTTTTGATAACTTTTGAGATATGATAAGGTAAATCTCTCCTGATTAGTGTTCATGACAGTCTTAGATATTCTCAAATATTTACTTTTCTCTTCAATATTAAAATAATTTCAACTAGTCTTAAATGAAAAAATATTTCCCTTTTTTTTTTTTTTTTTTTTTTTTGTGTGTGTGTGTGTGTGTGTGTGTGTGTGTGTGTGTGTCTTGCTCTGTCGCCAGGCTGGAATGCAGTGGCACAATCTCAGCTCACTGCAACCTCCACCGCCCAGGTTCGAGCAATTCTCCTGCCTCAGCCTCCCAAGTAGCTGGGACTACAAGTGCATACCACAACACCGAGCTAATTTTTGTATTTTTAGTAGAGACAGGGTTTCACCATATTGGCCAGGATGGTCTCGATCTCTTGACCTCTTGATCTGCCCGCCTTGGCCTCCCAAAGTGCTGGGATTACAGGCGTGAGCCACTGTGCCTGGCCCCAAGTTGTTTTTATTTTTGTTTTGTTTTGTTTTTACAAATGCACCCAGCGTTTCAAATTTAAAAATGTATTATAATAAGATCTAGAGCTTTATAGTACCTATATTCTACTAAATAAATTAGTTTCAATACATAGTGTGATGACTTCAAACTGAGACTAATCTTTATGACACTGTATCTCTAATTATAGGAATCTTATATTACTTTTACCCACACTATTTTATAATAGTGTTCAAATAAATGATGTCCTCATACTAGTGTGAAGTCTAGGATGTGTAAACATAATGCAATTAAGAGAAAGATAGAAATCATCAAATATGCTGCTAAGGGAAATCTTTAACCTCAGATATCCATATCTGTGTCCATATCCAGATCTGTTCTATGCCTCCCTCTCTATATATGTATGCATATATACACACATATGATATATAAAATCGTAAACTTATAGTATATGTCTCTTGTTCAGCCTTTATACATTTGACTTTTATACAGACTTCCAAGAACATCATGGGCTGCTGGTGTACTGATGACCTAATGATATATCTTTGTGTTTTGCTCCGTGTTGACGTTGCATTATTTAAGGCTTGCCATTATATCTGGAGGGTTTCACACTAACATCCTTACTTGGCATCTGTTGTTCTACTTGGGTACCCTTCCTTTTAGGTTGTTTGGTGGATGGGAAAGGATTCCTTATGCTTTCAATGGTTGGCCCAGACTCAGTATCACATTAAAGATATAAACATGCCACAGTAACTTAACTGATAGACCTGGATAGATTAAGTCAATTTTAGTTTCCTTTTATTTTATTCATTTATTCAGTATTTAATTCATGTATTTATTATTCATGACTTCAAGAAATATTATTTAACTCCTGGTCCTTTTCAAGGAGTAATCTAAGGGCTAAAGATATAAAGATGGCTGGGCACAGTGGCTCACGCTTGTAATCCCAGCACTTTGGGAGGCCAAGGCGGGCAGATCACTTGAGGCCAGGAGTTTGAGACCAGCCTGACCAACATGGCAAAACCCCATCTCTACCAAAAATATATAAATTAGCTGGAGGTTGTGGCACATGCCTGTAATCCCAGCCACTTGGGAGGCTGAGGCAGGAGAATCGCTTGAACCCAGGAGGTAAATGTGGCAGTGAGCTGAGATCACACCATTGCACTCGAGCCTGGGCAACACAAATAAATAGATTAATTAATTAATTAATTAATTAAAAATAAAGATACAAAGACGAACAAGCAAGCTAACATTCCTACTCTCTTGAAATCACCATACCAGTGTGTGAGACAGAGTAAGTAAGTAAAGAGATGTTATAAGAACTTTTGATGGCATCAACTAATGTGAGAAAAATAAAGGTGTTTAACGAACTACTGAGTGACCTGGAAGCAGAGTGGACTTGAGGGGTAATTTTAAATAGGTTGTTAAGGGAAAATCACTCTCAAGAAGTGGTCTCTAAGTTACTGAAAGGAGTGAGTGAGTCAGCAACGTGAAGACCTGTGGGAACAGTGTGCCACACAGAGGGAACAGCAAGTTCGAAGACCCTGAGGCAGGAATGAGCATGTTCCACATTGTTAAGCCAGAGAATCTAGGCTGTCAAAAGTTAGGTTTTTTGTTTCACTTTTTGTTAATTCCTCCCAAACTAATAGGTCAATACTACTTTTTATTTCGGAGTTACTTACTCAAGCTAATAGCCCTGGGCTCCACTTACCTTTACTTCCAAACTTTTTAAAAAATTCATTGCTTCATGCTCCTCAAATACCTTTCCACTCAAATATAGCATTTCATCTCCCACACTGTTACTGTACTGAAACATCAAACTCTCTTTTTGGTTCCAGTTTATCTCAAATTATTTGCACATTTTCACTCAGTGACCACCTCTAACTTCTTAACCTCTCGCTGCTTGCTTTTCTGAAAATAATTGTCCTTGTAACACTGACTTGTTTCTGCCCCTCTCACTTTTCCCACCTATGCCCATATTTTAAGTTTTTTAATCATTCACTCACGCCAGACATTCTGCTATGCACTCAGTTTATATGTATAAATAGAATTTTTTTCTACAAGAAATTCACAATCGAGGAAAAATTGAAAATGAATAACGAATTTTCAATTTCCATCTGTAAGTCAGTATTATGAGACAAGACAGGGAAAGGCACCCAGTTGTTCCATGAGGAAGGTGTGTGCGGAGCTGGGGCAAGCTCATCAGAGTAGGCAGAAGGCATTTCAGGATGAGGAGGCATTTACTGAAGATCAATGGATGAGGAGCCCAGGGAGGGAAGAAGGCCTGCACAAAGCACCATGTTGTGACTGCGTAGTGCGTTCAAAGCAAAGAGATGGAGAAAGAAGAACAATGTGCAGTAGTTGGACAAGTCTGATGTGTTTCTGTGTTACTCATTATGCAAGGGAGGGAGTTCCTTGAATGATTTTCAAGAGCGAGTGATGTGATCAGCTTTGCATTTTAGATCTGTCATTCTGATGGTACTGTAGAGTGTGGATTAAAGGAGAGACTGAAAATGGGAGAAGCCTTGAAATAGCCCAGGTGACAGCTTAAATCAGGAGGGTGGGGACAGGGAAGGGGAGGCGTGGTCTGACTAGAGAGGTATTTATAAGGTGGAATTAACAGAATTTATTGTCTGATTAGTGAAAAATTCTGTGTTGCTTTGCTCTTTTAAAAACATGCATATCCTACGTAGGGTAATTATTTCATCTCCAACATCTCTGTGGCTGGGTTCCAGGAAAATCTACCAGGCTGTGCCCTTCATTGGGATCTCCTGATTTGCGCTATTCAAACCCAAGCAGACCCTGTATCTTATCAGCACTTCAAACCTGCACTGTCCAGACTGAATCTATGCTCTTCCTTCCTAAACCTGAATGTCTCAACCCTGAATGACATAGGAGCCATAGGTCAGGTTTAGAATTTTCTAAGGACTTTTTCTGAAAGCAACTGGAATCCACTAAGATGGAATTCTTAGGAATTCCTAAAAGTGGAAAGTAAAGATTTGTGTTAGAAAGATTGACTATAGAGAACAAATGGGAGGGAGCAGTGGCACAGTCTGGGAGGCCAGGTAGGTGGCTCTTAGGATGACCCACATGGGTGAAGAGTTTGTGTTGGTGATTGACCTGAGCATGGAGAAAACTGGATGAATTTGAAAAAGACTTCAGTACCAGGACCTTAAGGCCTTGGGACGACTTCGGCATTGTGGAGTATACGATAAATGGAATATTCAAGGCACTTAGGTTTGTGTGTGAACAGCTATGTGTATGGTGTTACTAAGTTTCAGATGGGAAGAGCAGGCTTGGGCATGCCAAGTCCCACGGTATGCAAGAAGAGCTGTCCAGTATGTAGCCATAGACACACAGCTGCAGCTCAGGTGAGAGATGCCTATTTGAAATAGGCATGGGAGTTGTTAGCATACTGGTTTCATTTAAGCCACAGGAGGAAAGGAAATAGGTGACAAGGAAACAGATGGCTCAGGTCAGAAATTTTAGAAGGGCAGATAAAGGATGAGTGGTTTGCAAAGGAGTTAAGATGTCTTCAATCAACAGCTCGGGTAACACTGTTTCAAGAGGCAGTGTCTGCTAAGCAGGCTGGCATGAAGTGAGAAGATCACAGTGCAGGCAGGACCAGCATCCTCTGGAGTAATCGATGAGGAGGCCATTAGTGATGTAGACGTAGAGCAGGGCCAGGGGAGAGGAGGGAGGAGTTCTTGCAATGACTTGAGCTGCAATTGGAAGGGAATGAAGAGTACAGAACACATATGAGCTTTGGCTACTAAAAGGAAAAATACACACAGGGCAGTTGGTGGAGGAGGTTGTGCCACTCCAAAATGCTTCATTTTTTTGGAGAGGAAACACATGAGCAGTGTTAAATTTACTGCAGCAAAAGTAGGTCACATGTGCTGATATGTGCATCTTCTTCCTCATCTTTGGAAAGTGAAACCCATCTATCCTTTCACATTCACCCTCTGCCGGTGGTCCAAAGCCCTCAACAATTTGTCCTGTATTTACAGAGTGAACCAAAAATCATCAAAGGCCATGTGTTGGGCCTGGGTTTTGTTTTTAAAACTTTTGGCATCCTACAATGGTTTGAGAAACTGGGATAACGGTAACGACAACCATAAGAGCAACAAGACAGGTTTGGTTGAGGTTTGACATAAAGGAAACTTTGTTTTTCACTAATTTTCATAAATTAATGCTAGAATAGAACACACAACATCATGGTTTAAGAGTGACTGTTCTGTCAAAATGAGCCTTCTTGGCAGTACTATGAAAACCTGTTCCAAACCACAGTTCAGTGATGCTTTGCTTTCTAAGGAGAAAGCTTCATACTGTGGAGTCCATTGAAATAATTCTTAAACTGGAGTTTCAAATTGACTTGTGCATTCAGAAAATGCTCAAGAGGTCACTGTTGAAATTTCAGTCAATATGTCATCTCCACATATATTTGTGGTTGCAAAAGCTTATTGGACGCTTCTCGATACTTTAAAACAAGATAAGAATGCAAACGGAAATTTGAGACAACCTTGTGTGAATCAATGCTGCATTCTAACTACTCTACCATTTTGGTTAGTTCAGCTTAACACAGTCTTTTGCTAATAGAAAGGGGTTGAGAGAAGGATAACTAAAGGCAAATAGCTTCAGGGTCTTCTGAATAAGGAAAGATGAAAGAGACTTGAGTTATTGATTATCTAGAAATGAGAAGTGACAGGAAAGGCAGGCACAAATTAACGAATGCTTTTGTGGAAATCAATTGGCCATTCTCCTTCATTCAAGTTGTTAGTAGAAAAAGAGGAAGAGAGTCGTTGAAGTGGGCCAGCAACAAATATAAGATTAAGGAAAGACATTCCTCCTGCTGCCTCCTATTTTAACTATATTAAAGTCATTGCTGCAAAGTATTATTGGGGGAAAAATGCCATTCAAAGGTTAAATTATTTCCTACATGTCTAGTTCATTATTCTCTACTCTGAACAACTTTACTTATTAGGTTTATCTTTGGAGAACCGAGTTGAGATTGAACCCCTTCCACACAGCACTCATGAGCTGAATTTATGCAGGGCAACATTTTGCTTCACCTTTTCCATTCTTAGGGAATCCTAAACAAGTCTTAATTTCCCTTTCATCTCACAGTGATACCTAAAGCACATCACCTGTGATGTACCCACAAAATCAGTTCAAGTGAAATTCAGTAAATCATGGCCTGGCATACTTGGCCAGTGTGAGCTGTGATAACAAACACAGTCATGTAGGTTGGACAGGGAGGCAGCACATCCCTCCATGATCATTAGGGGAGACTCCACTGCTACTTATGGGACCACAGGGTCAATCCTAGGGTCTCTTAGCTACTTTGCAATTTTTATCATCACTTAACTCTTCTAGGGCTTGGTACTTAATTTCCTCATTTGAAAAATGAGGCCAATGATACCATCCCAATTCATTTCCTAGGTAGCTGTGAAAGTCAATCAATTTATTAATAACTTCTCCTTACCGTTATTCTTTCCTTTATCCATTTTGCAGTCACCCAACTATACAATCAGCTCTTACTGAGCCACTGCAGGAGACAGTGCAGGTACAGGCACTGCCCGTGGCATGAGACTGTGGACGTGAAAGGACGTATTTTTTGACTGAACCCCAGTCTGCAGTCTAGTAACAACATGTGAAAGCTCTTGGAAATGTGTGATGCACCATGCAGATTGAGAGACTAGGGCAGGAATGGAGTTACTATGCTCTTCCCCACTTTAATCAGACACGTTGGTAACTTTGGGTGTTTTTGTTTGTTTGTTTTTGGAGATGAAGTCTCGCTCTGTCACCCAGACTGGAGTGGAGTGGCGTGACCTTGGTTCAAGCGATTGTCATGCCTCAGCCTCCCGAGTAGCTGAGACTACAGGCATGCACCACCACGCCCAGCTAATTTTTGTATTTTTAGTAGAGACAGGGTTTCACCATGTTGGCCAGGCTGGTCTCAAACTCCTGACCTCAGGTGATCTGCTCGCCTAGGCCTCCCAAAGTGCTGGGATTACAGGTGTGAGCCACCGTGCCCGGCCTTTGGGTGTTTCTTTTATCTGACCCCTCTGATTTATAGTAAGTGACAGAGGCTGGCATCTGTTCACAAGACTTCTTTTCTATCATTTAAAAAATAATTAGTTTTATTTACTAATCCTACCCCCCCAAATTTTGTCTTATTAAAAATGTTCATTATGACAGCACATAACTGAATCCCCTCAGTATTTTGTAGATTTATTTCAACACTTTGCCTCTTAACTTTCTGAAAGTCTGGTTCTAGATGTAACTCTTCCATTATTGTTTTGGTCTATTTTGTTAAGTCAGGTTTATGGAGGTATAATTTACATACAGAACTTATTTTTAGGTGTATAGTTAAAAAAAAATTTGACAAATGAGGGACCCACCATGTAAGGGACCCACAATGAACATATAGAATATTTTTCTCACTCCAAAGAGTTCCCTTGTGTCCTTTATAGTCAATCTCCTTCCATAATCACTAGCCTCTGTCAATCACAGATCTGATTTCTGTTTTTATAGCTTTGCCTTTTCCAGAATGTCATGTAAATGAAGTTGTACAATATGTGATCTTCTGAGATTGGCTTTTAAAATTCAACATCATGCCCTTGAGATCCAGCCAAGTTGTTGTCTACCAATGCTTCTTCCTTTTAATTACTGAGTGGTGTTCGGTGGTGTGGATGCGCCATGGTTTGTTGAACTATTCACCTATTGAAAGACATTCCGGTTGATTGTAGCTTTTGTCTATTACAAGTAAAGTTACTATGAAGAATCCTGTACTGGTTCTTGTGTGGATGTAAGTTTTCATTTCCTTTAGTAAATGTTCAAGAGTGCAATTGCTGGGTATGGCAAGTGTGTTTAGTTGTTTAAAAAGATTGGCTTTCATTCTTCAGCATGATGCATCTGGCAATCATCCATGTTGATGCATATATCACAGGTTTATTCATTTTTATTGTTGAGTAGGATTCTCTTTGATGGATATATCACAGTGTGTGCACCCCATTCACTAGTTTGTGGGCATTTATTTGTTTCCAGTTTGGGGCTATTATGAGTAGAGCCTTTATAAATATTCAAAGACAAGTTTGTTTGTTTTGCATGGGCGCGTGGTTTTATTTGCCTCAGGTAAACACTTAAATACTTAGGACTGGGATTTCCCTTGTATCTTGAGACACTGAAATTCTTGGCCTGCCATGGAGGATTTCACTAGCAGAAATCATAAAAGTGCTGTACTCAAACCATTGTGATTTAATTATTAAGCCATGGGATGGGAAATATTAGGTAAACCATTCTACTTTCAAAAAATCTCAACTGGGCAAGTTCAACACAGAATATTTCTGGGCTTTCTCCTTCCACTGTGTCCATTATGTCCTGGGCCCAGTTTCCTGGGTCCAGCCTGGGGTTCCTCTTTCTTTACCTGGCTCTTGAGTTTCGGATCCTCAGCTCTGAGACGGGGAGAAATTCCTGAGCTCATTCTGCTTACATAATAGGCTTCTGGTTTCCATGGCTATGTGGTCTAGCAGTGTCAGCCCAGGGATGCTCCCACAGTGTCACTTTTGATGTCTTCCAGTTTCTGATTTCCAGGGTTCTTACACTCCCACCACTCCACTCCCTTTCCAGGTACCTGGTCTAAAATGGTTGGAGCATTTATTCTACCATCTATCTGTCTGTCTGTCTATCTATCTATCTATCTATCTATCTATCTATCTATCTATCTATCTATCTATCATCTGTTTAAATTACTGCAACCCATGAGCTGAAATAATAAACCTTAATCCTCTTTAACTCTGTTAACACAATGGGAAAGATTTGCTCTTTAAATAATTAGTAGCAATGGTGTTTTTTAATGGAAGACCCATAGTCTGTTTACATTTCAAACTGCTTTGTAAAGAAGAAATTCTTAATGAACTCAAGCTCCAAATTTTAATTAACAGTCTCTAAAATGCATAGCATTTAACATCTTTTTTTTTCTCATTTTCTTATCTAACATTCCCTTATCTTCATCATTGATTCAAGCATAAATGACATTTCAAAAGTATATTTAAATAATTAGCTTTCGGTAGTGTCAATGAAGGCCATAGAAAGACAAATCTGTGTTCAACCCTCACACCCATGAACAGGCCAGAAGACACTGGTTTAAAAATATAGTCTGGAGTATAGTCTGAAAATATTTTTAGGATGTTTGGTTAAGAGTGTTTGATGAAGTTAATAGTGGCAATTTTATTCCAAGAGTATAAGTAGGATAATACCAGCAGCATTCTTTACTGGTTTTATGAAAATTTAGAAGTTGCAGAGTGTTGTTTTGGGCTGGTTTCTAGCAGTTCTGTGCCTTATCCCTGCACCCCCAGGAAACAGTAGCAGAGACATCAGGGGTGGGGACAAGACAAGAGGCAGTGGCCATGACAGGTCTCCTGAGTCTTCCTTACTCATGATGAGGGCTTACTTTGGACCAGATCTAAGCTAGGTCTGGAACATCAGGCCAAGACTGATCATATAATAAAGCTGGTTTGGAGTTAAAACCAAACTTACATTGATAAGATCTGACACATTTTCATGCTACTTACAATAGTATTTGGTAAAAGAGATTGAGTCATCAATAGTAATCAGTACACATAAAAGACGGTCATAAATGTTCTTTAATGAAGTCATGTTTCAGCAGTTCTTTTCTTGATTCCCCAGTGTCTACGATAGTTTGCAGTGTCGAAAATGACCTCTACACCTTGTAAGTTTGGTATGTACGCTGTCTCCTGTAGCTTTAAAAAGGCTCTCAATGTGATTCCTAACATTCAGAGAACTCAAACTTGCCTACTCTGTGCCCCGATCTCCTTCCACCAACCTCCTTCCACCAACCTCCTTCCACCTCCCACAAAATAAGGAGTATGGTCTCGTTCATCTACAAGGATTCTGGGGAAAAGATCGCCAGTGGTTTTCCCCTTACCAGCTGTGACTTTGCTGAGGAAACATACTGAGTTGCAGAAGATGATGGATCAATGTTGACTGGAATTACATGGAGGGTGATAGATCAGGAGGAGGCTATGAGTGTCTGAAAGGAATGCATAATGGCCTCAGGTGGCATTACCACCCAACACTGCCTATCCCACCTGTTTTATCTTCCACATCTACCTTGTACATTCTCCACCTTTCCCTATGCCAAAGACTTGACGCTGGATCCACAGAGGAAGCGGAATCAGTACCTCCAAGTTTCCCAGCTCAGACTGAACAGAGCATAAGTAGTCCTGCCCCAGGGTGCAGGAAGGTGGGGACTCAAGAGCCAGGTGGGAAACCCTCTTAGAAGTGCTTACAAGGTATGCACTTACTCCCAGCCCTGCCTCAGCCCTGCCCAAGTTTCAGGCTGACTGTAGGTGACCCCTGTCCTCTGGGGCACTACATTTTTCCTGGTTCCTTAGTTTGTGATCACATGTCTGCATGAGGAGAAAGTGGTAGCTCCCATGAAAGGAAAGTAAGAAAAAGGAGGGCTTTTCTTGTTTGTTAGTTTGATTTTCTTTTTTTCCCTTGTTAAAATTTTCTTAATGTATCTGGATTATATCATCCATGATGTAGTTTTTAGCATGCTTTTCTTTCTGTGTTCTTCAATTAATTTTTAACACATGACCAAAGATTTTAGAGGCACACAGATGAACCACATAACCCCATTTTATTAATATATTCAGAAAAATATTTTAGTTGACTCAATTCAAACTCAGCTATGAAATTGTTGTATTAAAGGGTAGTAATCAAAGTTATGGAAAAAAATCTGTTATGCATTAAGGGAATTCCTCGTGTCTCTCTTCAACTCATGATTAAGCAATTTATGTCATTCTGTAGAATTTGTAAATTGGCATTAAGCCTTCATCTTTGAATTTCAAAATTTTAGCCTTTATCAAATTTCAGATCAAAAGGCATGAAATCTAACTTGACCTTCTCCAAGCACTAAATTCTCCTTCCATCTGAGTGAACTGAGCACTATATCTAGTCCTCTCCTTTAGATATAGGTATATTTAGGCCATTGTGCTATGAAAGTATTCTGTGACTAATCTGTCAAAAAGAGACAATATTGGTAATTTTGACATTATTTAGAAATAATTAAATGCACCCCTTTGAAAATCACATATTGCAATATTTTCTCATTTTTACAGCTTTAAAATATATAATAGGATGAAACTTCTGCTTGTGTATATAAACTTACAGCTAGTTTAAAGAAACTGTATGCAGCTAATATCTGTAAACTATTCCAGTTGCTTGATGGACATTTCCTACTTGAAGCATTGTCAGCGAACACTATATATATGTACTCTGATACATATGAATTGATAATTGATACATTTGTATCACAGTCATATGCATGCATATATTTGCCCCTCTTCTAAATCCATGGCATTTTCCCTTGTGATTGATGGTTTTACCTTTATTCTTGTCACTGCAGTTTGAAAGTTCAGAGACTTTTCTTTCTCTACCTTCTGACTCCACTTTCTCCCTTGTCACCCAGTAGGGCAATTCACCATCTCTCAAAGGTTCTTTCTCTTCATAATCCCTATCATTTACCCCGGCATTGCATTTTTTTTGTTCGAACTCAGACTCTCCTAACTTTCACCCAGAATTAGTGCATATGCTTCGGGAAGATGCTCCCTACCATGTCTCTCTATGAGCTGCTCTAGAAGCCTCCAGATTTTTGATGGACTCCACTATTTTTTTGTAATGCTGTTTGCAAATCTTTAATGGTTCCTGTGGCAGAACTGAAAATGATGAAACTATTTTTACTCTCTCAGAAATGTGGAGATTCCAATTCTTGTTTTAGCTTTATTTTCAACTTTTCACCCTTATGTATCTTTGCTTCTGCCAAACTGATAAGTGCTTGAAATTATCCTATAACTTCTGCCTTTTTTCCATTTTTTTCTCAACTTAAAATTGAGAAATTTTTTCTCATCTTTGAATTTAAAATTTTTAGCTGTGATTAAATTTCAGATCAAAAGGCACAGAATCTCTAAGTACTAAATTCTCTTTATGTATGAGTTAACTTAGCACTTTGTCCATTCCTCTTTTTTAGATATAGGTATATTTCAGTGACTATCTTCTTTATCCTACTTGGTAAACAGTATCAATGCAAAGTAACTTATTAAACTTGTAACCATCAAATGTCTAAATACAAAGCTTTGCATATAGCAAATTCCAAATAATAGATTTGAATGATTGAATACATTAGCAGATGAATGAATGATTGGATACATTAGCAGATGAATGAATGAATGAGTTCCTTTAACATGACAGGACCCTTGATATGCTCTGTAAATGCAACTGTAACCAAAACAGAGATGGCCCCTGTATTCATGAAGTTTATGGTCTATAGGGCAGAGGGAAAGGAAGAATACTGATTAAAGTCTCCCTTTCATCATAAGAGCATAATTATGTGGTGAGCCAACTGCTTTACATCAACTTTTCAGATACATTCAGATATTAAAAAGAGTACAGTGCAAGAATTGGGCTCAATGGGCCATAATGGGACAAAGATGGTCAAACTTAACTTACATGATCCAGTAATATGCTCCCTGGTCCTTCTCTGGCTTTAATATTCCCTGGGCATGGTCAGTGGTGTCTCCATATCCCAGGAGGAGAAGCACTGAATACTGATTTTCACTGCCTCTCAACTCTTTCTTACATGTGTGCACACTCAACCCCATGGCTATGTCTTCATGACCAGGGATTTTATCTTCTACCTTTTTATGTCTTAGTTCACAGCCAAGTGCAGAGAGGACATTCAATGAATTCCTTGTTTATGAAGAATTGACTGACTGAAGGGAATTGTTGTTCTCATTATAAGCACAGCACATACTGAACACAAAATATGAAGCTTTCTGATATCAGAAAATGTATTATTTAAAAATAAATAATATATAATAAATATTCTATATAATACAAAATATAAACTCTTGTCCTACTTGTTGAAATAAGCTATACATTCAAAAGAGGGCAGAACTAGTTATGCCAAAGACATATGTCCTTTGGCACAAAGAAATCGATCTTTATGGATTTTTATATTACACGAGTCACTTGGTTGCCACTGGCAGAAATCAACTCATAATGGTTTAAATACAAAAGGGAATGTATTGGCTTTTATATTTGGAAAATGGCCCTTATACTCAGAAAATCTGAATGCCAGTGGCTTCATGTATTGCTGGATCAGGGGTCAGGGGATTTGACTGATATTTTCCATTCTAATTCTCTCTCTCTCTCTCTCTCTGCATCTCTTTCTCTCTCTTTTTCTGTCTCAGAAGAGATTGACATTGACAGCCATGATATCCTCATGGGCTGATATTTAAACAACAGAGAGGGCATTAAAAAAATATTCCAGTGTCCCAGGAAGGGGAACATCACACACCAGGGCCTGTTGTGGGATGGGGGGAGGGGGGAGGGATAGCATTAGGAGCTATACCTAATGTTAAATGATGAGTTAATGGGTGCAGCACACCAATATGGCGCATGGATACGTATGTAACTAACCTGCACGTTGTGCACATGTCCCCTAAAACTTAAAGTATAATAAAAAAAATTCCAGTGTCCATTTATCAAACTTAAAGGAAAGATCCTGAATTGTCCCACTAGGGCCAGGTCCTACACTGGAATCAGTCATTGATTGTCAGTGTCAGAGCCATTATGGTGGGCTCAGCCCAGTTCAGATTTCCAGTCCCGTGGGCAGTTGACTTGGACAATGTTTCTACTAACTTTCAGGACCACATGGAGTGACAGATATGAGGTGCTTCTCCAGGGGAAGGATGCTCCCAGAAAAAATAATGGAACACTCTAGATGGTTAATGAAAATGGCAGAATCTGTATAATGGAGTAGCAGGAAAATAGGAATAAGGATGGAAGATATATGGAAAAAGCTGACTTTATTTTGAATACAAATTAGTATTAACCTTCAATAAGCAAGGTAGAACCATTGACTATTTCTATACCATTTCTATACCATTATTTGTATACCATTATTCTGAATTGGTATAATAACAAACTTGTTTTTAAAGTCTACATAGTAGAGTGAAGTGGTGAGAGAATAAAGCCAAGGGTGTTTAATGCAATAATTAAGACTTGCAATGAGGAGGGTTCTTATGTTGGACACAGAGAAACTTATCTGTGAATTGGTTTCTGTGTTCTTGCATTGATCTTTAAATTGACCTTGCAGAATTTCTTTCATCTGAATGTGTCTTAGAAATTAATAAAAAGCGGAATGAAAATCATGAAAAACTATAAAATATATGTAAAACCTAAAAATGACAATAGAGATTTTAGCATCTTATTTTTCCCAAATGTATTTACAGTGAAAAGAAAAATAAAACAGGCATTGTAAAGCCAAAATTTAATATTAAATGTGAACTTTAGTTTTGTCTCAGGCCTTTTAGTACTGAAAATGTTTTATATCAAAAAATTAAATAGCAAATATTTTATATCAAAATAATATTTTAAATAAAATTATTGTCAAGACACATGAAAATCATGCATTTTTTTCAGTTTTACTTGCAATCATGAAATTTAAGTTACACACATACATACATACTTTTAAATTAAAAACAAAGAAATTTAAGAGAAATCATTAATATAAAGTATATGCTCGTTAGTCTTGTATCTAAAATGTGTAATGTTCATTTTGCAATGTTGCTTCAGACTCAGACTAAAGGCATCCAGGAAGCTGCCTGAATGGAGCCAGCAAGGGCTTCTGTTTCTATAGGAGGGAATCCTGTCTGAGACTGTCTGAGCACCAGAGAATTTGCCTATTAAATACCTTTCTGGCAGGAACAGTGAGCTGAGTCTCTTCCAACCGGAATTGAAGATGTTGATCAAAGATGAAATATGTAGATATGGATTCAGAGCAGAAAGATCGTTCAACATTTGAGGGTTCAAAAATGTATATTTAGGGTAGAGCATCTAAATTTATTTTACTGAGTATAAAACCAAAGAGAACTTCTCTTTTGGGATATAGCCTGTTTGGGCCAGGAATCCAAGCTTGTCTGAGACTGTCTTAATTCCAAAGCATCATCCTCTCTTGGAAGAAATAGAGCAACAATTTGAGCTCTTACATCTTGAAGACGCTCAGTAGTGGAGGCATGGTGTTTAGAATGGCAGGGGCATTTAGGAAAAGACAGGTTCTGGTGTGCAGCATATGACGCTTCATCTGAAGGCATCTGGAAACAGCCATAGGAGGCAGTTCTGATCTTAAAGGGCCAGATTTTTTAGAGAAATTGTCATCTGATAAGTCAGTAGCTACGATGGGATGTGCCAGACCCTTGGCTGATGCTTCACATGCATTTTATCATTGGATCATCCCTGTGAGGTAGACACGAGACACAGAGAGGAAAAGGAATCTGCCCAAAGTCACACAAGCAATAAACGGTTGAGTGAAGATTTGGCACTGTGCAGTTGGTTCCCAGGGCAGGGCTTCAAATCAGCAGGCTCTCCAGAGCCTGGATGTAGCTGGCTGGTCTCTGCAGGGAACCTGGCCGGTGGGTGCCCTGCAGCACTCTGTGCGCTGGGGCCTTAGCACTTGGATATGACTTTGGAGCTGTCTGTGGCACAACCTGCAGGGCATAGTACACTCTGTCAGCCATAGGTTTGACTGGACAGCTGGGTCTACTGGGATAATGAAGCAGAAACATCACATCATGAGGAGAAACTTCAGTTTTATTATTACCCTGAAACGAACCCTAGAAAGAATTATGACTGTAAATCTATATCCACTGAAAGCTTTTGATCATGACCAAATCACTTGTTGTTTACGAAATATGGTAAGGGAAATAGTAAGTGTCAGAAAGCATAGATGGATGTGCAAAAAGTAAATATACCTTACATTATACAGTAATTTTTATGTCATGTGTATTGGTGTTATTTCCATTTTAAAGAGAAAATACTTACTACATTCTCTTACCAGATAAACATGCCCAAATAATTGGATGGAAACACAAGAAATGGCCTATTGATACATAATTTAAAGAATTAAGAGATAGCTGTAAACTAGTGAAATGAAAAATATTGTTGACTTTCTTGAGAAGAATTTAAATTATTTAGGTTTATTTCTCTGTCTTTCAGAGAAGTGTTTAGGTGCAGGATTATGTGTAGAACTAAATCCTCAAATATTTTAGGGCATAGCGTCTATATGTTGCACACATGTAATTTCTTTCAACTATTTATTGCTCTATAAAGAGGGATATAGACCTGCAGCTTGATTACAAGGATGGTAAAATCCAACACATTTTAAAGACTTCAGTGCTTAAGGAGGGGTTATTTTTTTTAGGCTCTGGGGGAGTAGGTTGAAATTGATTATACTCTTGTCTTTGAGAATCCACATTGTTCCTTTGTTTCATCGTCATTGTATATGCAGTAAAAAAAAAGTCTTTGGAAGAGTGTTATAACAATGGATTCTGAGAATAAAACTTCTGCTAGAGGAGTTGTTAGGAGCACAGATACCAATGTGTGTGTGTGTGCGCGCGCGCGCATGTGTGCGCGTGTGTGTGTGTGAATGTGTCTGTGTGTCTACAGCACCTGCATGTAAGCATGCTAATTCCTGAACAACTATCTTTTGGCCTCTCAGAATTCCTAGCAAATACTTTTGTAAAATAGGGTAAACAATAAGTTTGTGACTACATTATTTGTGAAATACTTCAGCTATGTATATATGTTTTTAAAGCCCCATAATCTAGCTGCTTGTGTCTTATCACTTTCTTTCATGTTCCTATAGTGGTAAGAACACATAACATAAAATGTACCATTGCAACCATTTTTAAGTGTACAGTTCAGGAATGTTAAGTATATTCTCATTGTTATGAAACAGATTTCCTGAACATTTCATTTTGTCATTCTGAAGCTCTGTACCCATTCAACGTCAACTCTCATCTTGCCTCAGTCCCTGGCAACCATCATTCTACTTTCTGCTTCTGAGTTTGACCTCTTTAGAAGCCTCATATAAGTGGAATCCTACAGTATTTATCTTTTAGTGATCAGTTTATTTCACTTAAAAAGTGTCTTCAATATCCATCCATGTTGTGGCATGTACAAGAACCTCTTCCACTGTAGGCTGAATAATATTCCATTATACATGTATACCATGTTTTGTTTATCCATTCATCTATGGACATCTGCTTCCACTTCTTGGCAATTTTGAATAGAGCTTTTGTAAACGTGGGTATACAAATATCTCTCCAACACCCTGCTTTCAATTATTTTGATGTATACCCAGAAGTAGCATTGTCAGATCATATGATAGTTGAAGTTTTCATTTTTTGAGAATACTCCAAACTGTTTTTCACAATGGCTGCACCACTTTACAATCCCAACAGTGAACAAGTGTTACAATTTCTCTACATCCTCACCAATGCTTTGTATTTTCTGTTTCTTTGATAGTAGCTATTCTCTCAGATATGAGGTCATAACCTGTTGTGGTTTTGACTTGCATTTCTCTGATGATCAATGATGTTGAGCATATCTTTATATGCTTGTTGGGAATTTGTATATCATCTTTGGAAAAATATCTATTCAAGTCCTTTTCCCATTTTTAATCAGATTATTTGATTTTTTGTTGCTGAGTTCTAAGAGTTCTTTATGTGTTCTAGATATTAATCTCCTATTAGGTGTATAAGGGTAAATATTTTCTCCCATTCTGTAAGCTGCCTTTTCACTGTGATGCTTATGTACTTTTATGCACAGAAGTTTTTAAGTTTGATGTAGTCTCATTCGTCTATTTTTGCTTTTTCTGTCTGTGCTTTTGGTGTCATAGCTAGAATTCATTGCCAAGTCCAATGTCATAAATGTCATAAAGATTTTTTCCCTGTGTTTTTTTCTAAGAGTTTTACAATTTTAGGTCTTCAATCCATTTTGAATTAATTTTGTATATAATGTAAAATAAGTCCAATTTTATTTTTTTGCATGTATGTTATTTTTGTTCTTTTATTATTATTTTTCAGTTTTGAAAACTGGTATCATTTAGTATGTTCAATCTTTGATAACATTTGTTTGTATTAAAATATATTCTTCCCCCGGTGTAAAACATGAATGTTGTTAGAAAATGGAAGAGGATATATATGCTTATATGCACACACACACATGCATATATATACATATATATATATGTGTGTATATATATATATATTCTTATATAGACTGTGTCCCCTAGAAGCAGAGAATGAAGAGTCAGGTGCACATTCCTATGTATTGAGACAGCTCAACAGAGAAAACCCATAAGGGAGTGAAGGAAGCAGGGCATAGAACAGAAAAGAGCAGAAAAACTATGTAGTCTTTGGCAGAGTCTATTATCATTCCAATCCACTTTGCTTTAGGGTACAAGTCACAGCATGGAGTGTCTCTGCTTGAGTCAAGGGGACATGTTTTTGTATCCTTGTGTAGGTCTCTCAGTGACTATGGCTTATGGGATGGGGTTAGGGTATTCCATTCCCTAGGAGGCTGAGGCTGACAGGGCAATTGTCTAGAGGAGGGGACAGCTGTGAATCCTTCCAGCCAGTACCAAGGTGACACGCTTTGGCTCTGTGTTCCCACCCAGTTCTCATCTTGAATTGCATTCCCATAATTCCCACATGTTGTGGGAGGAACCCAGTGGGAGATAATTTGAATCACGGGGGCGGTTTCCCCCATACTGTTCTCGTGCTAGGAAGTCTCACGAGATCTGATGGTTTTATCAGGGGTTTGCATTTCTGCATCTTCCTCATTTTCTCTTGCTGCTGCCATGTAAGAAGTGCCTTTTGCCTTCCGCCATGATTCTGAGGCGTCCCCAGCCATGTGGAATTGTATGTCCAATTAAACCTCTTTTCCTTCCCAGTCTTGGATATGTCTTTATCAGCAGCACGAAAATTGACTAATACAGTAAACTGGTATCAGTAGAGTGGGGTGTTGCTGAAAACATACCCGAAAATGTGGAAGTAACTTTGGAACTGCATAACAGGCAGAGGTTTGAACAGTTTGGAGGGCTCAGAAGAAAACAGGAAAATGTAGGAAAGTTTGGAACTTCCTAGAGATTTGTTGAATGGCTTTGACAAAAATGCTGATAGTGATATGAACAATAAGGTCCAGGCTGAGGTGGTCTCAGATGGAGATGAGAAACTTGTTGGGAACTGGAGCAAAGGTGACTCTTGCTACGTTTTAGCAAAGAGAATGGTGGCATTTTGCCCCTACACTAGAGAATTGTGGAACTTTGAACTTGATAGAGATGATTTAGCCCATCTGGTGGAAGAAATTTCTAAGCAGCAAAGTATTTAAGAGGTGACCTGGGTGCTGTTAAAAGCATTCCATTTTAAAAGGGAAACAGAGCATAAGAGTTCAGAAAATGTGCAGCCTGATGATGCGTAGAAAAGAAAAACCCATTTTCTGAGAAGAAATTCAAGCTGACTGCAGAAATTTGCATAAGTAACAAGCAGCCGAATGTTAATCCCCAAGACAATGGAGAAAATGTCTCCAAGGCATGTCATAGGTCTTTATGATAGCCGCTCTCCTCACAGACCCAGAAGCATAGGAAAAAACAAAGGTTTCATGGGCCAGGCCCAGGGTCCCTATGTTGTGTGCAGCCTAGGGACTTAGTGTCCTGCGTCCCAGCCTCTCCAGCTATTGCTAAAAGGGGCCAAGGTCCAGCTGGGCCCATGGTGTCAGGGAGTGCAAGCCACAAACCTTGGCAGCTTCCACATGATGTTGAGCCTGCAGGTACACAGAAGTCAAAAATTGGAGTTTGGGAACCTCCACCTATATTTGAGAAGATGTATGGAAATGCCTGGATGCCCAGGCAAAAGTCTGCGGCAGCGGCGTGGCCCTCATGGAGGACCTCAGCTAGGGCAGTGTGGAAGGGAAATGTGGGGTCAGAGCCTCCACTGGGGCACTGCCTAGTGGAGCTTTGGGAAGAGAGCCACCATCTTCCAGACCCCAGAATGGTAGATCCATCGACAGCTTGCACCACACACCTGGAAAAGTCGCAGGCACTCAATGCCAGCCCATGAAAGCAGCCAGGAGCCGGGGCTATACCCTGCAAAGCCACAGGGGTGGAGCTGCCCAAGACTATGGGAACCTACCTCTTGCATCAATGTGACCTGGATGTGAGACCTGGAGTCAAAGGAGATCATTTTGGAGCTTTAAAATGTGACTGCCCCACTGTATTTTAGACTTGCATGGGTTCTGTAACCCCTTTGTTTTGGCCAGTTTCTCTCATTTGGAATGGCTGTATTTACCCAATACCTGTACTAGCATTGTATCTAGGAAGTAACTAGCTTGCTTTCGATTTTACAGGCTCATAGGCATAAGGGACTTGCCTTGTTTCAGATGAGACTTTGGACTGTGGACCTTTGGGTTAATGCTGAAATGAATTAAGACTTTGGGGGATTGTTGGGAAGGCATGATTTGTTTTGAAATGTGAGGACATGAGATTTGGAGGGGCTAGGGGCAGAATGATATGGTTTGGCTGTGTCCCCACCCAAATCTCATCTTGAATTATTCTCCCATAACTCCCACATGTTGTGGGAGGCACCCAGTTGGAGATAATTTGAATCATGGGAGCAGTTTCCCCCATACTACTCTCGTGGTAGGGATTAATCTCAGGAGATCTGATGGTTTTATCAGGGGTTTCCATTTTTGCATCTTCCTCATTTTCTCTCGCCACTGCCATGTTAAGAAGTGCCTTTTGCCTCCTGCCATGATTCTGAGGCCTCTCCAACCATAGGGAACTGTAAGTCCAATTAAACCTCTTTTTCTTCTCAGTCTTGTGTATGTCTTTATCAGCAACATGAAAATGGACTAATATACCAGGTCAGCGGGGGATGGGTAAAGGGCATTGGGCAGGACATCAATAGTGCCCACTTCCATATTCCAAATGTCTGAGATCTTCGATATAAAGCATCTCCTAAATTGAAAATATAAGGAGAAGTGATTGAAACATAATTCATCCACATCAGATAAATAAATATACATTCTTACTCATAAATGATAAAGTCAATTTTGTTTTCCTTTACAGAAAATATTCCAACAATTATTTTATTTCCTTCTGTTGATTCATTTTCCTTTTGGAAAAAAAGTAGGGCAATAAGCAGTTTATTTCCATTCATGCCCATAATAGATTCATACTGAACCTTTCACCAGAATCCGCTTCATTCTCAGCTTTTTGAGTTCTACTCATAAAGGGTGAATAATAACCAATAAATCCAGTACAAAAGTTAAAGAAAAAGCAATCAGTGAAAACAGGTACTCCATCCTAATTGTCCCGTTTCCTTGGTGCTCTATGGAGACAGCTGACTCAGCACCAGACAGCAGGCTGCCAGTGTCCACCACACATCCCTCTAAGAGGCTCACCTAAGAAGGCACATACGCCTGCTGCAGCTGAAGCTTCCAGGCCTCCTATGTTGAATATCATCTTGAACGGTCTTAATGAACCACATAATTTCATCTAGAAATGTTACTACATACTGTAGCTACAGAAATTGCCAAAATATTTTTCTCAATAGCTGTAATATTTTAATTGTAATCATAATCTGAATATGCTCCCTCCATTGTCTAGCTCTTTGGACCTCTGTCACCAATCAGGTGGCTGTGTTTGTGTAGAGCTTTTGCTTTGTTCTGTGTTCTGTTCCACTGGTCTAAGTGTCTATTCCTCTACCAAAGCCACAGTTAGGAAATGTCGAAGAGAGAAGGTGACCTAATAGATTTATATCCTCCAAAAATAGAGGAGAAGTTATGAAAGGTTTATTTTTATTACCTGTAATTTTTTTAATGAATGCTATACTATTTTGTGTTTGTTTAATTTTATCTGCAGCATATTTCGAGAGGTGGAAGAAATATATATCTTGGTTGTAGGAAAGATGATTCTACATTTTATTAAATATTTCCAGTTTGCTTTTTAATTGTAATGACATTTGTAAACTTAATCAATGTTTTTTTATCTTCTTACATTTTCCTATATGTTAATAAGGTGGAACATCTTTTGTTAGGTTTGAAAATGTAGCTCTCTTCTTCTGTGTGTATTTTGACTTGCATTCAGCAAAGTTCCGGACTATCACTCCTAATAGCTGACTCATAGGGTGTGTTGGTTTCTCTATGTAGCTAACAGTATTTACAATAATAACTGACTTTTTTCCTCTTCCTACCCACATTTTATGCTCCTTATATATTTTTCTATTTTTTTCTATGCTAAGACCTTCATTTTGAGGTAGAATAAAAGCAGCAATAAAGGGCCTTCTTTTTCTAAATTTTAAACACAATTTAATGTTTTAAAATAAGCCACCCTTTCATTCTGCTGACAAACTATACATTCATGGGTTCATTTTGCTAATATGTATGCACGTAGGCTATTTGCATGTGTTTATACAAGAGATTGACCTGTAATCTCCTTTTTGGGATGGCCTCATTTTGGTATCGAGCTTATGCTTGTCTCAGAAAATGAACTGAGGTAATTTTCTTCTTTTTCTATTGTACGAAAGAACTGGATGAAAATGCAGGTTATCTCTGCCTTAAAGACAGGTTAAATCATTTGGGTCATTTTGTTTGTTTGTTTTTATTTCTGGTCTATAGATTTTTAAAAACTGATTTAATTTATACAATGATTGCATAAATTGGTTCATTTTCCACTTCTTCTTGAGTCACTTTTTGTAAGTTATATTGTTCTAGAAATTGTCAATTTCTCACGTCTTTCTTCACCTTTCCTCTTTTCTTGTTTCATGTCTATTAATTAATAGCATCATTTTATTTTCTTCCTTCTTTTTTTTGTTTCAACTTTGTGTGTGTGTGTGTGTGTGTGTGTGTGTGTGTTTTCTAAATTCATGTGCCAGATACTTCGCTTATTGACTTTAAAACTATATTCTTTTCTAAAATGTATTTAAAGTTAATAATTTATTTCTATGAATTGCTTTAGTTTTATCCACAAAATTGTGATGGATCTCCTTTCATCAATGGTTAATTCTAAAAATGTATTATTTCTGTGATGTTTTCTTCTCTGAACCATGCTTTATGTAGAATTGGCTTTGTAAGTTTCTGAACATATGGGGAGGTATGGTTTCATTTCTTTAGTTGATATTCCATTTTCAATTATGTTAAGAAAACGCCTGTGTAATTTTGGTTCCTCAGAATTTATTGAGATTTGCTTTGCTTTATGGCCTAAGAGACAGTTAATATCATAAATCATCTATGAATTCTTGGAAAAGAATGTTTCCTGCAAATTGTCTGCAAGTTTCTATAAATGTACTTAGATCAAATTTTCTGTGCTCTTAGTAATGTTTTGCCTCTTTAGCAATCACAGAGAGATTTGCTTAAAAATCTTGAACACTGAGAGTACCATGGCCACAGGAAGATTTTTATTCTAGATGACATGGGGCATTTCCGGTAGTTGTACAGCAGAATAAATTTACATATTCTTTTTTTTTTTAGTTCATTTTCCTCTTCACTTTACTCTTTATATTTCTAGTTAGTTATAACATAATGTCTCGACATCATGACACAGTGCATAGGGTCCTCCAAACCAAGGTGCATGGAAACCATGTGTGTATATATATGTGTGTGTGTGTGTGTATATATATATGATATATATATGCTATATATGATATATATGATATATATATATCATATATATGATAGTATACATATATATCATATTATATACATATATAATACACATATATACACACACATACACAAACACATCTATTTAGATGTCTAGGTATAGATATATAACTAGATGTCAGATATTTCCTGGCTTTCAAGTTTAGTCCTACAGAGGTACGCACTCGCTGAGCAGGGGCTTCTGGCCATAAACTTTTATCTGGAATTGCAGGATAACCATATATGTAGAATCCCTGCCACCTCCCTTGCCCCCCTAAAAAAGTGTAACACTGGAGATAAGAAATCCATTACAAAGATGAGCTTCATGACACTGCCTCAGGCCAGATAATTTTGTAAGGAAAAGCAGTTAGATGGGAACACGGTGTCATCTTGCATTTCTGTAAGAGCAGGACTAAGCATTTATCTGCCACATGTTAAGTGCTGGATTAGGTCCTAATAAAGAGTGTGATATTTCTTCCATCAACATAATTGTCCGTTCTGCAATTTCATTCAACAACAACAGCAAAACTATTGACTACCTCCTGTTCCAGAGGCTGAAAGTAAGCAGGGGAAGAAACAGCCCAAGTTCCTGCCTTTATGGGGCTTACTAAAGCAATAAGAAAATATATAGAATTGTATTTTAGGAAATCGATTAGTATAGATATTAGTATAATGTACGGTTGAAGGATAGTAATTGATATTGTAGGAGAGCCGTGTGTGGTGGTAAATGCCTGCAGTCCCAGCTACTTGGGAGGCTGAAGTGGGAGAATCACTTGAGGCCAGGAGTTTGAAGCTGCAGTGAGCTATGATTATGCCACTGCACTCTAGCCTGGGCAACAGAGCAAGACCCCATCTCTAAAATAAATAAATAATTAGATAGGTAGCTATTGTAGAAGTATAAGAGTGATAAATACTAAGGAGAAAAATAAAGCAAGCAATAGGAATTGAAGTGTTTTTCAGGGGACATTTGCCTTGTTAAAAGGGAATTTTGAGTGACCCCCATGAGGAAGGGTATCTGTTGACCAGTCTTTAGCTGTCAGAAGTCCACTTGTTCCAACGTATAGTTTAAATCCATTGTTTCTTTGTTGACTTTCTGTCTTGATGACCTGTCTAGTGCTGTCAATGGAGTATTGGAGTCCCCCACTATCATTGTGTTGCTGTCTAATTTCTTAGGTCTATTAGTAATTATTTTATAAATTTGGAAACTCCAGTGTTAGGTACATATATATTTAGGATTGTGATATTTTCCTGTTGGGCAAGGCCTTTTACCATTATATAATGTCTCTCTTTGTCTCTTTTAACTACTGTTGCTTTAAAGTTTGTTTTTTTCGGATATAAGAATAGCCACCCCTGCTTCCTTTTGGTGTCCATTTGCATGAAATGCCTTTTTCCACCCCTTTACTTTAAGTTTATGTGAGTCCTTATGTGTTAGGTGAGTCTCTTGAAGGCAGCAGATAGCTGGTTGGTGAGTTATTCTACATTCTGTAGTTCTGTGTCTTTTAAGTGGAGCAATTAGGCCATTTACATTCAATGTTAATTTTGAAATGTGAGGTATCATTGCTTACATCATGCTTGTTGTTGCCTGTGTACTTTGGTTTTGTTTTTTGTTTTTGCTTTTTAACTTGTATTTTTGTTTTATGGATCCTGTGTGCTTTATGCTTTAAAGAGGTCCTGTTTTGATGTGTTTCCATGATTTAAATCTCCTTTTAGCAGTTCTTACAGTGGTGGTTTGGTTATGGCAAATTCTGTTAGCATTTGTTTGTCTGAAAACAACTGTATCCTTCCTTCATGTATGATGCTTGGTTTCTCTGGATACAAAATTCTTGGCTGATAATTGTTTTGCTTGAGGAGGCTGAAGATAGGTCCCCAAGCCCTTGTAGCTTGTAGGGTTTCTGCTGAGAAATCTGCTGTTAATCTGATAGGTTTTCTTTCTTAGGTTACCTGGTGCTTCTGTCTCAGAGCTCTTAAGATTCTTTACTTCATCTTAACTTTAGATAACCTGATGACAATGTGCCTAGGTGATCTTTTTTGTGATGAATTTCCCAGGTGCTCTTTGTGCTTCTTCTATTTAGATGTCTAGGTCTCTCTCAAGGCTGGGGAAATTTTCATCAATTATTCCTCCATATATGTTTTCCAGTTTTTCAGAATTTTCTTCTTCCTCAAGTACACTGATTATTCTTAGGTTTGGTCATTTAACATAATCCCAGACTTCTTGGAGGCTTTGTTCATATTTTCTTATTCTGTTTTCTTTGTCTTTGTTGGATTGGGTTAATTTGAAGACTTTGTCTTCAAGCTCTAAATTTCTTTCTTCTACTTGTTCACTTCTATTGCCGAGACTTTCCTGAGCATTTTGCATTTCTAAAAGCATGTCCAAAGTTTCCCAAATGTTTGATTGTTTTTTCTTTAAGCTATCCATTTTCATGAATATTTCCCCTTTCATTTCTCATATCAGTTTTTGGATTTCCTTGCATTGGGCTTTCACTTTCTCTGGTCTCTCCCTGATTAGCTTAATAACTATCCTTCTGATTTCTTTTTCAGGTAAATCAGAGACTTCATCTTGGTTTGGATCCATTGCTGATGAACTAACGTGATTTTTTTGGGATGTTGAAGAGCCTTGTTTTGTCATATTACCAGGGTTGGTTTTCTGGTTCCTTCTCATTTGGGTTCCTCTGTCAGAGGAAAGGTCTAGGGCTGAAGGCTGTTGTTCAGATTCTTCTGTCCTATGGGGTGTTCCTTTGATGTAGTACTCTCCCCATTTTCCTATGGATGTGACTTCCTGTGAGCCAAACTGCAGTGATTGTTGTCTCTCTTCTGGGTCTAGCCACCCAGTGAGTCTACCCAGCTCCAGGCTGGTACTGGGGGTTGTCTGCACAGAGTCCTGTTACATAAATTGTCTATGTGTCTCTCAGCCGTGGATAACAGTACCTGTTCTGGTGGAGGTGGTGAAGGCTGCAGTGGACTGCATAAGTGTCCTTGGCTTTGGTGGTTTAATATTCTATTTTTGTGCTGGTTGGCCTCCTGCCAGGAGGTGGCATTTTCCAGAAAGCATCAGCTGTAGTAGTGTGGAGAGGGACTGGCAGTGGACGGAACCCTAGAACTTCCAAGATTAATGCCCTTTGTTTGCCACTACCAGGGTGGATAGGGAAGGACCATTAAGTGGGAACAAGGCTAGGTGTGACTGAGCTTAGACTCTCCTTGGTTGGGTCTTGCTGTGGCTGCTTTGGGGGATGGTGGTGAGATTCCCAGGTCACTGGAGTTGTGTACCTAGGAGGATTATGGCTGCCTCTGTTGAGTCATGCAGGTTGTCAGGGAACTGGGGGAAAGCCGGCAGTCACGGGCCAGGCAAACCTAAGGGCTGATCTCACTCCCACCGTGCCCCACAAACCAACAGCCCTGAGTCTGTTCCCAGGTGGAGGGCAAGATGGGTTTGAAAACTTGCCCGAGGCTATCCAACTTCCAGCTGCAAGAGAAAAGGGCTTTAGTTCTTTCCCTGCCTGTGAAGTCTGCATGCCTGATTCACACCCTCCCCCGAGTTCTGGCCAGGATGCTTCTCATCCTGTTAAAAAATGTTACAAAGTTCAGCTAGAGAATTCCTTCTCCCTCTGGCCACCCTCCCAATGAATCCCTGTGGTGCCAGGCAGGAATGGGCTGCTTGGGGACACAGTGAGCTCCCAGGACCTTTCTGCTGCTTCCTCTACCCATGTATTTTGCTCAGCCCTCTAACTTGACTCAGCCCCAGGTAAAGTTGGAAACTTCTCCCACAGACAGACCTTCACCTTCTCCAGTGGGGGTGTGTGTCTGGGAAAGGAGGGTCTCTCTTTCCCTCTTCTGCAGTTGGGGCACTCATAGTATTTGAGGTTTCTCCCAGGTCCTGCAGGAGCAGTCCTCTTCTTTCAGAGGATCTGTGGGTCCTCTCGGGATTGCTGGTTTCTTCTTGAAGTCAATCTGGAGCTAAAATTCACAATGCAAGCCTCTACATGCTGCTCTGTCCGCAGCTGCAATCCAGTCCTGCCTCCTGTCCACCATGATCCCCTGAATCCCTGTGTTATCTTATAGATTCTTTCTTTATTTTTTTTTTGAGATCAACTGGTCATATTATATATCTTATCGATTCATAGACATATACGTACATGACACAGCTGACCCACTTGGACTTAGATTAAAAGAAAGTCAAAATGCGCAATAAATTTTCAGATTACAAAAGAATCAATTTATAAACTAATGTTTTAGATCAAAACATGGGGAATTATTTAGCAAAAATACATTAAAAATCAAGATTTGAGACATGAATGGACTTAAAATTTAACAATTATGGTCTTTGAGTTTTCCAAATCATAAAGGAAAATAAGAAAATTGATTTAAGAGCCACCCTCTACATTCCCTCTTGACAGCCTGTGAGGGAAAACTCAATGAATCATGATCTGTCACTGTGGATTTTTTAAAAGTTAATTGAAAATTTCACCAAGAGACGCTTCTTAAGAGTTACAAACTAGAGGACTGCTATGTTTATTCAATTATCCTCAGCCATCAACTGCTGGCTAATCAACACATGGCACTCTGTGATGTTATTTGTTTTAATTCTTTAGGCTTTTTTTTGTGGCCCTGTTGATCCCCTGGGCACCTAATGACAAGCCAGAAAAGTCACAGAAGTCAAAGTGTCACAAGTATCAAAGTCAATCAATCAAGCCCTGTGCAGTTTTCTACACAGATGTGAAAGCAGAAGACAGTTATGGTTCTTTATTAATGAGCTTTCTCATACAATCTGTTTCTGGCAGTGATCATAGCTTTTATCAAATAAGTGTACTCCAGAGCAATTTGTCATCGTTTCAGAACCACTGTTGTCTATTTGCGTTTAGGTTACTGGACAGGGAATATTTTATGTATAGTTAGTTGATATTTCTCACATCACTTTTATGAATACTTATGAAGAGTCTTATGAAAACATATGATACTAAAACGTATAGCTTCTGTCAAATGCAAATAAATGAACACAAAATCCCCCAACATGGCTTCTTTTTCTTCCTACATCCTATGTAAAAGTACTTATATATTCAATACCTGGCATTAGAGAATCATGGTGCTTTGGTTTGTTTCTTCTCTATGGAGCATTTTTTATTCTGTTTGTCTAATTGCCTCTTTAACCTTAGACAAGTCACAACCTCTCTCAACTTGGTTTTCTTTATATGCTAAACAGGGATGTTTATGCTGGTGCACCTGGCGGCTGTGAGAATAAAGACTTGGAAAGTGTCACAAGAAACAGAAGTGGAAATAGTGTTGTCATGACTTGTTGTTCCTTCAAAGGACCAGGGCATCTTTCCAAAGATGAACTATACCCTTAGTATATAATCTTCTTGGATATGGCATATGATCAACCACATTTTGTGCATGCATAGTTACTTTAACCTCCTTGAGACCTGATATCATAAATAGCTTAAGAATATATAAACACATCTGAATCTGTGTTTGCAAGCCAGCTTCTAGAATTTTTAATGCTTTAACATTGATTTTCTGCCAATAGTAAAATTTTAACCTAGTGGTAAATATAAGTGTTTATACAATTCCATTACAGGTGCTTTGACTGGTGTTTATAGGAAGTAGCCTTTTGAAACAAGGGGGATATTTTAAGTTTCAGAAATGGGAATTCACTTTGTTAATCACTATATAAATAAAACAAGAACCGTAGCAGCCAAAATTCTCTCCACAATTTTGAGAAATATCTCTGTGCCAACCCTCAGTCTTTATACTTAACCACAGGTTTCTTGGAAATGAATGTCACTGATGATGAGAAAAAGAGTTTAGCAATAAATTAATGAAAAATGTCCACTGTATCATATAAGGAGTTGATAGCACATATATTCTCCTGTTTTCCCCACTCTGTTGCCCAGACTGGAGTGCAGTGGTGCAATCCTAGCTCACTGCAACCTTAAACTCCTGGGCTTATGCGATCCCCCACCTCAGCCTCCAAGCAGTCGGGACTATAGCCACATGCCACCATGCCTAGCTATCTTAAAAGTTTATTTATTATTTATTTATTTATTTATTTTTGGAGAGATGGGGGTCTTCCTATTGTTGCCCAGGCAAGTCTTAAACTCCTGGCTTCAAGTGATCCTCCTGTCTCAGCCTCTCAAATCACTGGGATTACAGGCTTCAGCCATTATACTTGGCAGCATATATATTCTATTACCTTAAATTAACAGCGTCATGATTAGTCATCATGATACGCAAAAGCAAATCTATTAGGTTGTTCTGAAAAAGTTTGGAATGATTTTATGCCAACATTTAACATGCAAAATTAGTATTACTCAATTAGAAGGAACTTGACACAGTGATGAAATCTGGAGGCTTTTGGGATGGATTGAAAGAAACAGGAAGAGATGGATGGTTAGTAATTGTGTTGAGCTTAACTACATATGCATGTCTAATTCCATCATTTGTTTTATTACCACAGAATCTTGAGAAACACACGAACTATTTTTCCCCAATCTATAAAAAGGGCTTTGGATTTGCAATATCAAGTGCAAGGAGAATTGTTGCATTTATGACCTGTGCAATGGACAATATAAAATCAAGTGTGCTGTGGTGCACACTTATAGTGGTTATAATAATAGGTCTGGTGACGCTCCCCTTGCATTTCTTCCAGGTTGCTTTCAGCTATGTAACGTTTTTCGATCCCATGAGATGGAAATCGACCAGTGCTTGCTAGAGTCCCTTCCCCTTGGCCAACGGCAGCGTCTAGTGAAGCGCATGCGCTGTGAGCAAATCAAAGCCTACTATGAGCGCGAGAAGGCTTTTCAGAAGCAGGAAGGGTTCCTGAAAAGGCTGAAGCATGCGAAGAATCCGAAAGTTCACTTCAACCTCACGGACATGCTACAGGACGCGATTATCCACCACAATGACAAAGAAGGTACATGATAAGAAAGAAGGACCCGTTTTCTGATGTGATTTTTCATGATTGATTTTTGTTGGTTTGTTGTTTTTTTGATGGAGAGATGGGGCAGAAAAGTCCTTTTAAATATTGGAGGCTACTATCTTTTAACTGTTTGTATTATTCAAGAAAAAAATGCTCTTTGCAAAGAACATCATTAAAAGTCCTACCACCTAGTAAGATAAAAAAATGTAAAAATTGTGGTGAGATTGTATTTTTTTTTTTAAAGAATTAGCTATCAGTAAAGCAAGTGAGTTCCTTTCCAATTGTTTAATTCTAATTGTTAGGGAAACTTTTTATCAATGAATTTTTTTTTCTATTTAGAAAATTTTTATAGAGACAGGGTCCCACTATGTTGACCAGGCTGGTCTCGAACTCCAGAGCTCGAGCAGTCCTCCAGTCTCAGCCTCCCAGAGTGCAGGAATTACAGAGAATTGTTTTTCCTGATGATGATTTGGGGCTATGGAATTTGTTCATCCTTAGCTCATGCTTTGATAGATGCAGCAGTAATGTCACTTTCCCCGACTCTCAGGAGTCAATTTCTTTTCTCCCTTAAAGTTGTTTGGCTTGTGGTATCATGTTTTTCTAAGATTACCCAATGCAAATCTCAATTGTCTTCACAAGACTGTTAAATTTTTTCACTTTTTATATACTCTTGTATGTGAATTTTTCTGTTTTCCTATATAGAACCCACTTTCCCAAGTTCAAATGTGAGATAAATGTTCCAGCTCTGGATGTAATTGTTGTAATTGTACAAGGCTTCAAAGAAACAGATATAAATCAATTTACCTTGACTGGCTCTCAAATCAGTATTTGGATGAATCTAAAATGAGCATCTTCACAATTCATTACTCACAATTTGGAATCCAAAAAGCTCCGAAGCCGTTATTTTGATAGCTCATTTAGTGGCAAAACTTTCACTGACCTACTTATGGTTTATAACCTGTTCAGTTTGGAAAAATAATAAATTCAATAACATATGTGCTTTGAAGGCTTTCAAATGGGGATTGTGGATCTATAGCTAAGAAAACCTATAGCACATTATATACAATAATAGTTATACATGGTAAGAAGACTCAAGTCATTTTTTTCATGGTTTTGTATGGGCTTTTTCTAGTTAAACTGTAATATTCTGAGAATTTCTGTTTTGTTTTTTTTTTTTTTTTGTCTTAAACTGCAATGACAGTAACAGTGAATCTTTGAGCTGGAAAGTACCTAAAAACATTTGGTGTGATCCACTTACTTTACCCATGAAGGAACTGAAATTCAGCCATTGTATCATATTTTCTGGAAAGCTGTCTGGAGCACTCTGATCTTTCATTTTATTATTCTCTTCTCACCTATGGCTGTTCATTGAATGGCCATCTCCTCTGTGAGTCTGTGAGCACATCGAAGGTAGGGAGAATGCCCATTAGGGTCATTGCTCCCTCCTGCCCATCTCATACCTTCCAGCAGCATTGAGCAAAAGAGAGTAAAGTGATTGGTTCTTGTTCAACACACAGTAGTTGTTACAACAAACTTAAATAAGAAAGCAGATCTTAAAATTTAAGCCCTATTTTGATTTAAAAGTAACAAAACACAAAAAATAATTGGTGCCAGGTATGGTGGCTCATACCTATAATCCCAACACTTTGGGAGGCATAGGTGGAAGACTCTCCTGAGGCCAGGAGTTTGAGACAAGCCTGGGCAACATAGCAAGACCCCATCTCTACAAAATATTTTTTAAAATTAGCTGGACCTGGTGGTGCATGCCCAGCTACTCAAGGAGTTGAGGTGAGAGGATTGTTTGAGCCTGGGGATTAAGGATATAATGAGCCATGATGGTGACCTGCACTCCAATCTGTGCAACAGAGCAAGACCCTGTCTCAAAAACACTTCTTTTAATGTATTGGAAATGTTTTAAAATTTCTTGTACCAAATATCTACAGTGCACCATTGTGTTTAGGTTAGGGTTAAAAGAAAACTCATAGTAGTAAATTACTAACTAAAAAGCCAAGAAGCAGTTATTATATAAGTTACGTTTCCCCAAACATTCATGTCATACAATCTGAATTAATGCTTTCTAAGCAGATGTTGTAGGTGTGAAACTATGCAACCTAGTTTCTGGTGGCAAGCTAGGCAAGAGATGATGGTGGCTTGGACCCAAGCGGAGCTAGGGTGTGGTGAGAAATAGTCAATTTTAGGATTTATTTTTAGGATAGAGCTGACAGGAAATGCTGATTACCTGGCTATAGGGAGTGTATTGATTTTCTATTGCTACCAAAACAAATTATCACGAATTTAATAGTGACAAACAGCGTAAGTATTACCTTACAGTTCTGTAGGTCTGAGGTGAGGTATGGGCTTCGGTGAGATGAAAACAAGGTGTCATCAGCACTGGTTCAACAATTCCAGCTTCCGGAGGCCACCTGCCTTCCTTGGATCAGAGCCCCCTCCTCCGTCTCCAACATCAACAGTGATGGATACGGGGCAGGGACAGTGCTCCTTCTCACGCTTCAGTTTGCCTGTTTCTTTGTCCATCCTTGTATCTGACTGAATCTTCTGCCTCCCTCTTGCACCTTTAGGGGCCTATGTGATGACACTGGGCTCTCCTGGGCTATGCAGGTTCATCTCCTGTTCCAGAGGCAGCTCACTAGTAACCATGCATCCCTTTCTCCAGATCATCTTGCATAGCCGCAGATGTAACTCCAGAGGGTGAAATCGGGACAGCCAAAATGCTCCCTACTACAGGGAGTGAGAATTCCAGGATAACATCAAGCTTTTGGGGCCTTGACAACTAGAAGAATGAAATGCCATTAGCCACAGTAGGAGTGCCTCTAGGAGTTGTGAATGAGATGGGGTGGCATCCTGGCTGGAGACGTAAATTGAAAACTCATGAGCATATAGATGATACCGAAAACCCCAAAAGTGGTTGAAGTGACGTAGAGAAAGAGTTTAGGTAAAACGATACGAAGTCTAAGAACTGAGTCCCAAGGAATTCCAATATTAATAATTCAGTGAAATGAGGTCCAATCACAAGGAATGACCAGGAAGAAAGGATGAAAATGAGGGAGGGTGCTTTCTTGGGAGCCAAGATGAGTTTTCAAGGAGGAGAAATTTTTATTGATCAAGCAGGAGGAAGCCTGAGAACTGACCATTGCATTTAGGAGTATGGAGGTGATTAGTTTTCTTGACTTGTTGGGAGCAAGAATTTTAATGGATTAGGTTCTGTACAGAGTAGGAAAACAGGAATGGACACAGAAAGTATAAAGAGCTCTTTAAAGGAGGTTTCTGTAAAGAGGAGAGAAATGGAAAGATTACTGAAGAGGGAACAGACGTTAAGAGCTTTTTTTAATGATGGGAGAATTAACAGCAAGTGTATGTGCTGATAAAAATAATTCATTTGCATTTCTCTAATGACCAGTGATGATGAGCTTTGTAGGCCACATAAATGTCTTCTATTGAGAAGTGTCTGTTCATATCCCTCACCCATTTGTTGATGGGGTTGTTTTTTTATTGTAAATTTGTTTAAGTTCCTTGTAGATTCTGGATATTAAATGTGGTACATATACACCATGGAATACTATGCAGCCAGAAAATAGAATGAGTTCATGTCCTTTGCAGGGACATGGATAAAGCTGGAAACCATCATTCTCAGCAAACTAACACAGGAACAGAAAACCAAACACCACATGTTGTCACTCATAAGTGGGAGTTGAACAATGAGAACACACGGACACAGGGAGGGGAACATCACACACTGGGGCCTGTCGGGGGATGGGTGGTAACGGGAGGGAGAGCATTAGGACAAACACCTAATGTACATGGGGCTTAAAACCTAGATGATGGGTTGATAGGTGCAGCAAACCACCATGGCATATGTATACCTATGTAACAAACGTGCACTTTCTGCACATGTATCCCAGAACTTGAAGTAAAATTAAAAATAAAATAAAAATAATTCATGTGAGAGGGAAAATCTGGTGACACTAGAGTAAGAGAAGGCAATTGATGGAGCAAGCCTGTGCACATGCATACTGTGATGAGTTCAGCTGCCCACTGGATGGGCTTGGCTTCAGCTGGGATCACCTCTAGCAGTCATTCTCAATCCTGGCTGTATAACAGAATCACCTGGGAAGATTTTATTTTTTAATTTCCATGTCTAAGAACTGCCCATAAAGATGCTGATGTAATGAGTCTTATATGGGGCCAGGATGGTTTTTAATGGTGCCTAGGAGACTATGGAGTACAGAGAGAACTGAGAACTTCTGATCTAGAGAATGGCAGATGTGGTATGAACCTGTGGTTATTCTCCTCCTGGTTTTGATACTAATCAATGAAAGAACCATGGCCCTTGGCTAACAGTGAGGGTGTGGAAAATGAACTGAAAGTAAAGCAAAGAAGGGAACATGCAAGTATGGGAGAACAAATGGACCAAGGCAAATACTGTATATTTTTAAATGGGACCTATAGAAAAAAAGATATAAAAAATAAGAACTACAAAGAAGGATCAAATGTGATTCAAGAATTTCAGTAATGGTTCGGCATGGACTCACTGCTCCTTTGTCCTTATTCTTAGGACATGAAGAGTTTCCCATCCTGAAACTTTCTATAGTTTTTAGAATACATCTGTCCTTAATTTGTCTTCCCAGAAATTATTTCACATGTATATATGGATGCCATTTTGGTGGAATATAATATAATCTTATCAATAGGCAGTCAATATTTGTTACATAATTAAAATCTGTTGATAACCACAGACGCCTGGCAAGGCTTTCTTAACATGTATTTTTAAGTGTAATAAATGGATAAGTGTATTATGTATAGCAGTTTGTTTATATTATGAATATTGGTATAAAGACACTAAAATCTAAGCAAGCAGTCAGATCTGATTTTTCAATTCAAAAGAAGCAGAGAGTAAATTTTTATTTGAATTAATACATGATTAACTTTTAGTTGTGTTTTATTTTATTTAAGAAATTGCTCTTTTGTGTGTTTCTTTTTTGAATGGCAAAGAAGAGAAAGGACTGGATAGAAAAGTCTCACATTTTGCATGGTGTAATGATTATGTTAAGGTGCTCAAAGTGATAGGAACAACAGGAAGCAGACAAAAACAATCACCCACACACAAACATACACATGTGCACACACACAATGTGTTTTGCATGCTTTCTCTGTGTACACAGCAAACTGTATACACCCTTCCTATATGCTATATTGTTAATGCCTTGTGAGAGAAATAACACAAAAATTTCTGAAGATATCGGAGGGAAATATCCTCAGCAAGGCAACCTATATAATTTCATCTCTTTTAGTGAATAGTTTCCATTACTAATGGAAGCAGAAGTGATGGACTATAGTGAAGGTCATCTTCAGCATCAAATGATGAAGAAATAGTTGACTCCTAGAACTCAATGAAAGAGTCTGAATTTGTAACAATTATTATAATTTCAAATGCATTATTGCAATGTAAAAATTAAAATATTTGGCTCTAGAGGGTGTCTGTTCAGCTCAGTCTGCTATATCAAAATATCACAGACTAAACGGCTTACACAGCAGACATTTATTTCTCACAGTTCTGAAGACAGGGAAGTCCAAGATCAAGGTACCTGGCTTGCTGACAGCCACCTTCTTGCTGTGTCCTCACATGGTGAAGAGGAAGCTCTGATTTCTCTTCTTTTAAGAGCACTAATCTTATCATGGGACTTCATCTCATAAACTCATCGAACCTAATTCCCTCCCAAAGGCTACAACTCCTAATACCATCACATGAGGGTTAGGGCTTCTACATATGATTTTTGAGGGAAAGGAACATTTAATCTGTAATAGGGCATATTTATTTGGTACTTGGAGCTGACCCAAGTATAAAATAATGGATATACATATATTACTTCCCTTGAGTTTCTCATCTACCTTGGAAATACCCTCGTGAGTACTCATATACCTCACTGTGCTAGGGGAAAAATATGAATTTCTTACAATTTAAGAAATTTGGATTGCAAATGAAAGTAATCTCTTTAGAAACAGTATAACGTCTCTAGCATATGTATTACTTCTCCCAAAAATGCACATAAGAAAAAGTTTTCACTTCATAGTGGTGATATTTTTATTTATCTTTAAGCTATTGAAATAGTCAAATGCACTTGTTTATGCAATTGAGAAAGTAAAAAAAAATTGCCATAAGAAAAAAGTTTCCATTTAAATTATTGTTTAAACTTGCAGATTGTATATTTGTATGAAATTTTATCTCTTATTTCCAAGTACTTTTATTGGCTGGCTGAGTATAAAGAATCAAATATACTTTTTCAAAGGACAATATGTCTGTGGTTTTTTTCATGTTAAGGTTTATAGTATGTCATTTAAAAGTAATTCAGGATTTTTTTTGCTTTATAAATGTATTTTTTTGTCAGTGTAAATTTAGTGTCTTTGATGTTTTTATTGTTCTGGGAGTTGGTGATATTTCAGTGTGTAATTTGTCATTTTAATATGCTGCATCAATCTAAAATGTGTTCAACAACTCTTTTTCCCTCTAAAAGGAAAACTGTCCTAAATTTTCTTTTAAGGCTGTAAATTCAACTCTATTTGAGTTACGCCACATGAAAGAAAAGGGAAGTCTGAGGGAGAGAGAGATAGAGAAATAGAGTGAGTGGGTGACTTAAAAATCAGAGAGGAAGTACATAGGGAAAATTTAAGAAGGAATGTGAATTCCCCTATTGGAATTGCCACTCCCAAATATTGCTTCGTACTAATTAGTCCACAATGTGTTTCCATTAAAAGTAACTGCTGATGTTATTATCTGGTGCCTTGCAGGTATGTTCTGCACTCTCTGAGCTCTACATGCCTTGACTTACTCCTTTCAATAACATATGTAGTAGGTACATATGTTATTGAAAGTAGGTAGGTCATGCACCCCACTTGGTGGGTGAAGCAATGCAGCCTTTGAAGAAGAAACTGCTACCTCAGGGCTTCCTGAGTTGAGAGACCATGTTTTTATAGACAACGTCATACTGCAAAAGTGATTTATGTGGTATAGTTAGAGAAACTTATCTTCACAGGTTGATTTACCTTCCTTGCCATTTGAAATTCTTTATTCCTGCTTTCTAGTGGAGCTCTCTGCCTGCTGTCAAGGGAATGTCCAAAGGCCAGGAGAAGTATTCTTTATGCTTTGGGGTTTTTCATCTTCTTTCCCTGATCAATCCCTCCCCGTTCTTCTTCCTTTTTTTTTTTTTTCAAAAGCAATGTTATTTATTTACTACTTAATATGCCAAATGTTTACTAAGGGCCTGTTTCAGTCCAGTCACACAAAGAACTTGTAAGCATATTTACAGAACTATAATATCATACTTTATTTATATCTCCATTTTATCACAAAATTCTAAGTAATCTATTAGGAAAATTGAAAAATATCAAAATGTAACACTGGGATACCTCTGTTTTCTTCTCCTACTCCTCAGATCCTTGTACCAGCTTCCTTAGTTGGTTACCTCTTCTATTGATCTCAGACTCTGATTCTAACTCTGTTTCTACCTATCTTCCCTGGAAGATCTCATTTTCCCCCACTGCATCGACCTCACCCACTCTAATTATCTTAAATCTGTATCGAGACTTTTTTCCTGAGTTCCAGTCTTAACTTTTCTGATGATGTTGCCTTTATTAATTGTCGTGTTCAAAGCTGAATATAACCACCCTCATCTTCTTCCCAAACCAAAACTTCCTCTGTGATTCTCCATTGATGTGCCATCACTCCCCTGGTCTTCCAGGACAGAAACCTTGAAGTCACTTTGATTTTTGGTGCAATTTTGTAAAGTATTGATGGCTTTACCTCTTCTGAATAATCTACAGGACATATCAACTGTCTGCGTGTCATTCAGAGCCCTCTAAATAGATGCCTAAAATATGTCGATGATCAATATACATTGAATGATGTATTCATTGATAGGCTGGACATCTCTTCATTTAGAAGTTCATAGGTAAATCATTAGGACCAAGCTTTCTCTCCCCTATGTACCCCATTCCCAAAAGTGTAGGCTGAGGTCAAAGAACAAATTTCATATATGCCTTAAGTGTTTTACACATAAAAAAGTGAAATAAGACTGCCCATTTAATTGTGATTATTTAGTCCAGCTGTTTCCTTGTATTTACTAGATTGTCTCAGAAGTTAAAATTCCACAGTAGTTGGTTATCAAGTAAGCTTATTTAAAAAAAAATTATCTCCTAGTATCTAGGGTATAAAGATAGAAGGAGCCTGTTATAATTTTCACAACTAGCATTTAGTGAGTGCTGTTTTTATGAGTGTGACCCATCTGGGCTGGCACTGTTTCCACAGGGGTGGTGATGGCGTTTTATTGGATGCAGCTTTATCCTCTCTCCCTGACCTCCCACAACCAGCTACATAAATTGGCAGTTTGAAAATGCGATGCTCTATAAGCGGATTTAAGCTGACACCTCGGAAATTGAAATCAGAACCCTGCCACCTTTAGAATCCGTCAAATCTACTAGGAACATGACCAAGCCTGGATCCATATACGCATTTTTAAATGAACATTACTGGATGTGATGTATGTTAAGTACTCTGCAAGGATGACTATTTCTCCAACTCAAAATTAGGAGTGTATTTGACATGGAATGTATGTAGACTCTCCCCAAAAGAGTCAGATTTAACCACTACGAATGTCTCCTATATTAGATACTTCGGATTGTAGAGCAAATATAAAATATCAGCCTGTCCTAAGGAAGAAATGGGGAGGCAACATTCCCAGCAAAAACACATTGACAACATGGTGCTGTCTGCATCTTCCCTGTTCCAGAGTGGCACCAAGCCTAGCAGAGAGAGGGAAGTGGCAGCTTCATCAGCGTCACTCCCATTTCATTAACTGCTCAATAGGATGGGAACATACCGCCCTCTGAATGTGAAGCTGTGGATTCATCCTTTCCTCTTAACTTAGCACAGGAGGGGAAGGATGCAGGAAGAAGTAGCTCAGATAAGATGTTTGCTGGGGCAGCTACAAGGTACAAAAGAATGACTTCTGGATTTTAGACAAAAAGGGTGAGTTTTCCAACTCCACATACATACCTACATCAGAGATTTGTATGGTTAAATATGTAGAGCGCAGGCACATGCTGACTCTAGCCCTCCGGGGCAGGTTAGAATTTCACATAGATACATTCAGTGCATTATGATGCCTTCAATTAATAGGGAACAGCTGCTAGGTAATTAAAGATGCCCATTTCCAAATCAGATATAAAATTACAAAAGCTTGCAAATTAATTGCATTTAAATTCTGAAGGATCCTGTATGAAGTGAATGTATGGCTTAATATTTCATGAACACAAATTCATATTTCTAAGAAATATTATTTTAATTGTCTGCTATATAGTCACAACTTTCATAGGTGTTGTGAGAATAATTGAAAAAAGAGGAAAAAAATATACCTAGATGGAAAGATGCACCATTCATTAAAAGGGAGTTGCTGTGGGCATTCACTGGGGTGAGGTAGGATGACACGAATCTGAAACCGTGCTCTCTTCAACATTTTATGAGTTTGGTAGGAAGAGAGAAAGGGACTTTTTGGCTGTAATCAATAGCGTGAGAGCAGCGATGGAGCCGGAAGAAAGCAGATTTCTGATATGAGAACATCATGATAGAAGCAGCATTACTTAGGTTTAGCATCAAGGATCTAACTCTGGAGTTCAGTCTGGGGGTTGATCTGTACTCTGATACTTAAGAGCTGTCTGTCCCCGGCCAGGGCACTTTCTGCACCTCATATTTCTGCAGATAAGGTTACGAGGTAAGTGCTCGTGAAGGTTAGTTGGTTAGATAATACATGCAAATACCTGCAAAGGAAATCTGCCATGTATTGCCACATGCATAATAAATGTTAGCTACTATTATGATTTGAATTAAGAGATATTATCAGAGTCGTAAAGTTGCTAAATAATGACATTGTTATATAATCAGTGATCGTCACCGTGAGTGTAAATTATAGGAATAACAGCATAGCTTTAGGAACGTTTTAGGCAATCATATTTTAAATTATGATAAAATGGAAAAAGGCTGAAGATAGACACATAAGCTAAGGGCACTGATGTAAACAAGATAATGAGAAACAGGAATTTGATAGCACCTTTGGAAATGTATTAAAAGGGAAAAATTTACATTATTAAGGAGCGCTGAGCAATATTTTTATTCATTGTTTTCTGCTAATGTGTGATTATATGTACGCGTGTGTGTGTGTGTGTGTGTGTGTGTGTGTGTGTGCCAGCCATCTCTCTAAACACTTTATACATATTGTCTCATTTAATCTGAAAAGAATCCTATGAGGTACTGTACTGGGTTAAAAATTTATGTCTACTGAGAACTTCTATGATGTGACTTGGAAATGGAGTGTTTGCAGATGTAATCAAGTTCAGATAAGTCATCAGGATCAGGGTGGGTCCCCATCCAAGGACTTGCGTCCATTGAAAAGAAGGGGAGAGTGTGGGCACACACAGAGGGAGGGCAGCATGAGAATATGGACCAAAGCCCATGTGGAGTGAGTGACACTGCTGCAAGTTACGGGACAAACCTCAGCAGCCCCAGAAGCCAGAGGAGAGGCGTGGTTTGTTACTCTGGTAGTCCCAGGGTCAGCAGTTCCCAGAATGGGAAATGTACTTGCTTTCTGCTGTGTCTACTGTGTCTTTGCTCCAGGGATTCCCCAACCCGCCAGGAACACCCTTCCTCCATTCCTTGCAGATGTACCTCTCCTCTCCCCTGCGGAGCCCTCCCCGACATCCTCAGGTGAAACACACGAAGCCCTTCCCCTGCAGCATTGCCAACACGAATTCCTTGAAGTGTAATCTCTGTTTGCGAGCCCATATCTTTCACTAAAATGTGTGTTATGCAAAGAAGAGGATCAGGATTCCTTAATTATTCATTCATTCATTCATGTAGCAAATGTTTATTGAATCCTTGTCATCTTCCATGTACTGTTCTAAGTGCTGGGGATGTGCAGAAGGAGGAGGGGATTCAGGGAAGCAAGAAAAGCTTGAGCAAAGGAACAGTGAGAAAGAATTTTTCTTTCCTGCCCTAATGAACTTCATGATATTTCTATCTCTATTCCTAGCACAGAGACTGTGTATGAGTCAGAGTTCTCCAGAGAACTAGAACCCATAAGGTGCACATGCATGTGTGTGTGTGTGTGTGTGTGTATATATATATATATATATGCATATATATATATATATGCATATATATATACAGGTATATATACAGTGTATACATATATATTCAGGTATATGTGTGTATATATAGGTACAGATACACATGTACATATATGTACCTATGTATATATGATATATATGTATATATACTTACATATACCTGTGTGTATTTATACATGCACATATATATTTATTTTAACCCAGTATTTTTGTATATTTTAGGGAAGGGGGAAGGAAGGAATGAATAATGGGTTCTGCTCTTTATAATTAAAAAATTGTCTCCTGATTTTGTAGTGTCACTTCCTCTGTGTCAATTTCTCGCGCCATACAATGTTATTTCTTAGAGCTGCTCCCTTCTCATAAGCCAGATGTCTAATAAGGATTAATGGCAAAACATGAAATCTGTCATTTCTGTCTCTTCACCATCAAGTTTTGATTAAATTGAAACTGAAAAAAAGCAAACATTTTAGTTAGCTGAATGAATGCTACAGCTCAGGTCTCCGATCCATCGAGTTTTAGACAGTATTGCCATAGCTGGTATAAACCTAGAGTTTTCTGATTTATTGTGCTCACAACAGTCTATGAGAAAGAAGAAGAACTGGCTGGTGATTTTCATAGGAAAAAGGCACAATCTGTCAGCAGCCCAGACTGCTGCTTAGTGTACAAGTGCAGCTGGAAAACAATCTGTAGATGATCACTGCCTCTGACAGTGCCACCATAGTACACACAGAAGTAAAATGTTCTACAGGGAAGATGTAGACGTGCCATTTATAAGATCAGAGAAATCACTTACTGAGTGCAAGAATGGACAGAACAGAATATATTTTCTGGGTTTTTCTCTGAGCCTTTTCAATACACAGAGAATTTCTAAAACTGGACATGCATAAACACTGCTTCATAAAGCAGCATTTGCAAACAGTGTTAAAACTGCCCCACTGGAGCCAGTGCCTCTGACCTTCTCAAGATCATTACTCTTTCAGCCTTTCATGATCCACAGAACAGAATCATATTCACAGAAGGGGAAAAGAATTTTAATGTTTCCCAAAGTAGAAAGAAAAGAAAACCAAACCACCTCCCCTTCATTTCAGTTTCCCTCATAACCAACACGTCTCGGAAGGTGTCTGTACTCATGAGTTCGAACTTCTCTCTTCCATTGTCTCTTGAAAACACCCCTACCAGGCTTTTTCCCAGTGATTCCACCAAACCTGCCTGTAGCAATGATCTCTTTGTTGCCAGGCTCAGAGGGTACATTTTTAGACCTTGTCATATTCATCTACAAGCATCATTGACTCCATTATTTCTTCCTTTTCCACTGACTTCTTTCACTCTGTTTTCTTCAGTTGACTTTCTCTCCTTGGTTTTTCATCTGCTTCACTGATCCTTCCTTCTCAGTCTCCCATGCAGGTTACTCTTCCCCTCTGCAAATTCTAGAGATGGTACCTGTATTGGTTTGCTAGGGCTGACGTAACAAAATACCACAGGCCCAGTGGCTTAAACAATAGCAATTCATGCTCTCAAAGGGCTGCAGGCTGGGAAGTCCAAGGTCGGGGGTCTGGCAAGTTTGATGTCTGGTGAGGGTCTGCTTTCCAGTTCATCAATGGCAGCTTCTTACTAGGTACTCACAGGGTGGAAAGGGCAAGGAGCATTCTGTGGTCTCTTTTATAAAAGCATGAATCCCATTGATGAGCAATCTACCCACAGAAAACCCCAGGTAATCACCTCCCAGAGACCCCACCTCCTAGTACCATCACATTGGGAATTGGGCTTCAACATAAGAATATTTTCTTTAAATACCTCTAGCCTGCTCCTGCCTTGGGGTCTTTGTACTTGCTGACCCAGATTCTGCATGGATCACCATTTGCATCTGTCAGCTCTCCACTCAAATGTTGCCTAATCAGTGAGGCTTGTACTACTGACCTACATCAACCCAACCCTCTCACTGTCTCCACTCACCCGCTTCCTTCTTTTTCATTGCACTTATAACCTTGAAGCAAATTCTTTATTTCCTTGATTTTTTATTGTCTATCCTCTCCCAGGAGACTGTAGGTTTACATGAGTAAGAGCTTTCTTTGCTTAGTTTATACTGTTCCCTGGCTTCTAGAACAACGACTTGCACAAAGTAGGTGATCAATAATATTTGCTCAGTGAGCAAATAAGTAAAGGGAGCCTCTTCCTAAGCATCTTTATTATACGGGGACCCTCAGTCCCCACTGTCATGACCTGGTTGTGGCCATCATAATTTTGCATCTGGTTTATTGCAACTGCCCCTAAACTGATCACATTATCTTCAGTCTTGTCCTCCCTTAGATCCATTCTTCTCTCTCTAATGAAGATAATCCTAAATGTACTGTTCTTGGTTCTGCAAAAAAAAAAATAATAATAATAATAATAATAAATAAAAATAAATAAAAAATCTTGTAATAATGCTTAGTTTCCAAACTTCTTTTCAAGAGAGTAGTCCTTGTTGATCTTTAATCTTTCCAGAATGATTGTTGACATAACCAGACTTCACCCTTCCCATTTCACACCCAGCCCACCTCTCACACCAGCACTTCCCACTGTACCTAGGCTCATTCAGCTCCTCAAGCCTCTTCTGCCATCCCCTATCTAGAACTTTGTATGTTCTAGTCCCAATACTTGCAGCTCTTTCTGTGTAGATCATCCCCATTCATCACTTAGATCCCAGTTTCTGTCTGAGCTCTGAACCTAGAGCACTTCTTCAGAGAAGGCTTTGCTGCCTCCCAGTTTGGTCCCACAGTGCCTGGAGCTGCTCCAATCCCAGCAGATGTCACAGAGTGTATCAGGGCATTGAATATTTGCTTCATTGGATCCAGAACTCACAGCGGGCTCCATGAGAGCAGGCTCTGGCTCTCATCCAAGTGGCTGGATCCCAGTGCCTGGCAGAGTGTAGTTTCTCACATATTACAGATGTTTCAATTACTGTCCATGTTATTTTTTGCATATTTGTTTTGCAAATTAACATAAGATGTCAATTTCTAGATAGCTAGCAACTGTTTCTACAATGCAAAATAAATGAGTTTTTTCCATTCATCTTATTGAATGTCAGATTGCCAGCTGTCTAGTCTATTATTTGCCCACATATCCAAGGTTAATACATGGTGTCTGGATTAACCTCTCCAAAACTCTATAATGCAGGCTTTGCATAGAGTTTGGCATGTTTTAAAAATCATCCACATAGAGAGAGAAGCAAAATTAGCTCTATGAGCACAATCAAGAATGCCACTTTTTAAAACACCTTGAGGCACTTTTTAATCCATAGCTTATGTTTCTAGTTATTATACACATGGAGAAATTGGTCTTACTACTATGCCATAGGACAAGGAGGCATAAGGTTGGTAAGAACCCAAATTTCTTCATTGCATATCTCCTCTCACCATTGTGGACCCCCAGTGGATCCAGCCTACAGATGGGGAGATGAGGGAGTGTATGGGAGAGGTTCAGGGCTTTATTAGGGTCCCAGATTTCATGCATGAACAATGGTGTTGTAGCTTATATTTTGCATTTGTGTAGTGACTTCTTATACATATATAGTGACTTTATTAAAATCTCAATGGCCATTAACAAATTCTTGCCAATATGATTTTTGAGTCAAACATGTCAAATGTCCTTCTCATGGTCTTGGTCTCTTTCATGGGATCATATCCAAATTTTATTTTTCCAAAGTCTGGTCACTGCTCTAAAATTTCCTCTTGCATTTTTAATCAAAAACCATGCAAGCATGTAAAACCATTTATGTCTAACGTGAATGTGTTTTTCCACACACCCACTCTTGCTTCCTCACAAAAATATGCTTCTCTTTCCCACATGTGTGTGTGTGTCAATAATATGGCTATTTTTTTCTAGAAACTTCAGTCTGAAATCTAATAGTTATATTTGATATTCTCTGTATAAACTGACCATGGGTCTTTCACGTCTCCCTTCCAGACTCCACTAAGGAGTTTCAGTAAAAGGCTTTGCTCTTCACCCTGCATGTGACTCGGTGCCTAAAGTGATGCTTGTAACTTTTACATCATCCTTCTCCATTGCCTACTATTCATTTCCAATGTTGTTTCAGCTCTCATTCATTCATTTGTTTGCCAAATATGTTTTCTGTGGCATATATGTGCCCAGAATTGTGTTCTGTGTGGGAGGTTGTACTGAGCCAAGGCAGGTGAGGTTCTTGATTCGTGGAGCTTATGGTCCAGAATAAATACCCGTCCCATTGGTCTTGTTTTTCTCATCTTCCTCATCTTTCTTTTTTTTTCCATCAAGAAGGTGAACATGTGCTCCTTGTTATTACTCTGCTAGTAGTGCTGTTCCACAGCTATGGGGGTGGGGGTGGTAAATAAAGAGAGAGAGAGCCAGAGTTTTGTTTCTCTCCTAAGAGATTTCTAAAGCCATCCATGTTTCTCTTTTATGTTTCTCTCTAAGTCTTGAATGGAATGTAGAAATGTAGTTAGGCATTTGACTTCAGAGACTCTTTATCCGTATAACTACATTGCTATTCATGGTCCTCCACAATCTCATTATTCCAATATGACTTTCCATTTCTCTATGTTATACTCCATAAACAATGGTGCCCCAAGACCGTTCCCAGGACAGCGGCATCCTCCTCATCTGAGAACTTGTTAGAAATGTAAATGATCAGGCCCCATCACAGACCTGCTAAATCAGAAACTGGAGGGTGGGGCCAGGAATCTGTTTCAGTAACCCCCACCACGCTCCAATTTGAGTTAGATTCTAGTGGTTTTCAACTTCACATATTTGCTAAATTACTCTTGGATACCACTGATATTATCCGTTCAGGGGATAGACATGCTAAACATTGTGCAGTCTATGGCACAGTGCTAAACAGAAAAATGCCTGTCCCATTCCAAATGCCTCAATCATCTCTGTTGAGAAACATGATGAATATGATCTAATAGGGACCTTGCCGTTCCTTGAATACAGTGGTTCATTTTCTGCCTATTGTGAGCAGTGCAATGTCAGAGATAACAAGAGGCCCAGGTTTGTGTCTTCCCACAATGTCAGGCTTTTACTGACGTTACTTCAATCACGGGCTGCATGGAATTCCCAGGGAGACAATTCTCGGTGGTGCTTCCCATTCACTTGTAGTCAGAGCCGCGGGCACACAGGCTCAAGCCACTCCACACATCAATCAAGATTGCAAACCATATATACTAGTATATGTAATCAATAGATAAATGCTATAGATTAAATATTCCACAACAAACAAAGTGACATTTAACATCAAGGGGAAAGAAAAAGGGTTAAGGAACCAGTCCAGGGAGAGAGATGTAGACAAAAAGAATATCCTGGTCTGGCCTGGGCAGACCATGAGTCGTGCATGGAAGGGTCAGTGATGTGGGCAGAGCCTTCGGTGGTAGATTCTGGGTGCTTATCACAAGGGACAGTAAGATAGTGTCTGTTAAGAGGCCGTTTCGAGCTGCTGAAGTCTTGCTCTTTTTATGGGCAAGAGTCCCCTGGTTAGGACTGATAGTGGAAGAATGTGCTTGGTCATGTCTTTATCTGGCTGGATGCATCTTTATTGATCAGGCAAAATATCTGATCCCTGCTGGCAACGTGCCTTATGAAATGTAAGATAGAGTCTTTTTCTAAGATGGAGCCACTAATGTCAAGGGTGCTGTATAAATGGCCTCTGTGTGTTTCCTCTTTCTGTTTCTCATCCTTACCCCCATCTCAAAATATCTAAATTCTATTCATCTTAATGCCTGAATTAAATAGTATCTCCTTCAGAAATCTCCCCTGGTTTCCTCAGCTGAAGGAGTTGTATTTCTCTTCTGTACGCCTACAGGCATTTTATCTGTGGATCTATAATTCACTTATTTATACAATTATGATTCAATTCTCGATATAAGTGCCTTATCCTTCCCACTTTAAGCAACTCAGATGTGAGATTATGTCCTCAATCATTTACAATCCCAAGCAGAGTTGCTGGCTTGTGACAGGCTCACAGGAGAAGCTTCCCTTTCCTTCCTTCCTCCTGTTCTATAGTAGCCTTTGACGACAGACAGTAAGAATTACTGATTAATTTAGCAATTTGCCAAAAAAAAGAAAGAAAGAAAGAAAAATACCCAAACCTTATAGTCCATGACCTAACTCTCATGGGAAGCATTTACAAGCGGGAAATCTGTGTCTGATAAATGAGCTGCTTTATGCAGAATTGGTGTGTTATCTGAGAAGCTCTAACTGGGCTAAGCACTGCCGCGTGATTGTGGAAGCCATTTTTGAATACCCTGGGACAACATAGATTTGACAACTGCCTCTGTTTCCTTCTCAATTGAAAATTATTCTATAAAGAAAAAGAATTACCTTCTTGTTCTAATAAAAATAAAGATCACAAACACAATTTTACATCCCATTTGAATTGTAGAAAGATAAGGTTTAGCATTAAGCCTGAGAATCTGGGGCCCTGGTGTGTGTCCCCTGAACTTCTTTTTTGAGTGGGACAGATGATAGGAAGAAACATGCTTTATGCCTCTGGCGATTCTGAAGGAGTAAGATGTGTTGCCTTCTTTTCGTTTTTAGAAACAGTCTCGCTCTGTCGCCAGGCTGGAGTGCAGTGGCGCGATCTCGGCTCACAGCAACCTCCGCCTCCCGGGTTTAAGTGATTATCCTACCTCAGCCTCCTGAGTAGCTGGGATTACAGACATGTGCCACCACACCCAGATAATTTTTGTATTTTTAGTAGAGACGGGGTTTCACCATGTTGGCCAAGATGGCCTCGATCTCCTGACCTCGTGATCCGCCCGCCTCGGCCTCCCGAAGTGCTGGGATTACAGGCGTGAGCCACCGCGCCTAGTCAGATGTGTTGCCTTCTTAGATGCCACAGGAGGGGTGTGCAGGCTGGATTCCAAGCAGGGGCAACCCCTAGGGCATTCTCTTTTCATCTTATGAGATTGTTTCAAGCATGAAAGGTGTGTTTTGGCTTGTGTCTCCTTTTAGCAAGCCTGGGTTAGTTTGGATCCACTGAGAAGTGAACACAAAGAGGAGGTTAGATATACAAGAGATCTGTGAGGGCAACACCAGCAAGAGGAAAGGGGGTATGTGCTATTGTGATAGAACAAGATATATATCTCTTATTGTGTGTGTATATATCTGTATCTGTGTCTATTTGTGGATCTGTGGATCTGTATATATATTTGATCTCTGACCTTAGTTTCTGACACAGAGTTCCTATCTGAGGCAGAGCTCCTAATCCCTTGGAATTTCCTGGGTGATAGGGACATGTTTTGTTCTAATAAGGGAGCCCCTGGTGGCTTCTGGCTGGGGGTTGGTCACCCAGCCATGATTATGAGCTTGGAATTCTCAGCCCCAACCCCTAAACTTTGGAGGAGGAAGAGAAGTTGGATGTTGAGTTAATAAGCGAACATGCCTATGTAACGAAGACTCCATAAAAACCTCTGAACTATGGGGTTTAGAGAGTTCCCGGATTACTGAACACACTGGGGAGCTGTGAGGGCCGCCTGGTGAGCCTGGAAGCTCCATGCCTGGCCCCAGACCCGCCTTATGTGCCTCTTTGCCAGCTGTTCATCACTCTGTGTTTTAGTACCCTTTATAGTAAATGGTAAACGTAAGTCAAGTGTTTCCCTGAGTTCTGGGAGTTGTCCTAACAAATTATTGAACCCAAGAAGAGGGTCATGGGAACCACCCCAATTTTTTTTTTTTTTTTGAGATAGAGTCTCGGTCTGTTGCCAGGCTGGAGTGCAGTGACACGATCTCGGCTCACTGCAACCTCCACCTTCCGGGTTCAAGCCATTCTCCTGCCTCAGCCTCCTGAGTAGCTGGGACTACAGGCGCATGCCACCATGCCCAGCTAATTTTTGTATTTTTAGTAGAGATGGGGTTTCACCATGCAGGCCAGGATGGTTTCGATCTCTTGACCTCATGATCCACCTGCCTCGGCCTCCCAAAGTGCTGGGATTACAGGTGTGAGCCACTGCACCCAGCCGAGAACCCCAATTTGTAGCTGGTTGGTCAGAAGTACTGGCTACAACCTGGGGCTCAGAACTGGCATCTGAAATGGGAGGAGTCTTGTGGGACTGAGCCCTTACCTGTGTATTTACCTGTGTTAAATTGAATGGAATTGCTGGTGTCCACTGGCTGATTGCTTGGTGTGGACACAACACCTACGCATGTGATCACAGAAGTGTTTGTGTTGAGTGTTTCAGGTGTAGTAGAAGGAAAACCAGTTGTTTGTTCTTGTTATACAAGGAAGGTCCCAGATGAGGCTGGGAGGGCCTTCAAATATCCCGTTCTGGTGTGATCCTGCTGACGGTCTATATGGCTGCCCAGACTGCTATCACAAAATACCACAGCCTGGGCAGCTTATACAGCAGGCATTTATTTTCTAACAGTTCTGAAGGCAAGAAGTCCAAGATCTAGGTGCCATGTCAGGAAGTTTGGTTTCTTCTGAGACCTGTGTCCTTGGCTTACAGGCAGTGGTCTTCTCACTCTGTCTTCACATGTTCATCCTCTGTCCTTGTGTGTCTGGGTCCTAACCTCCTTATTTGTGAGGGCACCAGGTATATTGATTGGATTAGAGCCCACCCTAATGACCTCAGTGAATTTTCATGAACCTCCTTAAAGACCTTCTCTTTGAATAAACGGTCACTTTCTGAAGTTGCTTCAGTGCAGGAATTTTGGGAGACACAGGTCAGCCCATAGACCCAGAGCAGGAGAGAAGAAAGCAGCAGACCTGGTAGGAAATGTTTCAGGACGTAGCAGAGCTCTAAGAATTCTCCAGTAGGCTGAGGGGTAGTCCTCATCCAGGCAGAGTTGGCTATGGGAGGATCCCACACCTGGCAGGAGTGGAGCCGCCTTGATGAGCATCCCTGTCATACTCAGTCGAGTGGGCTGGGAGCAGCTGGTGATGTGTGGTCAATGTGTGATTCGCACAGCAGCTGGGGCCTGGGCCACTCAGACTTTTTGCTACAGGAGATTTAAGTAGGCCTTTCCATGTGCAGTGCAATCCTTTTTGTCATATTTTAAAAATACTTTAAAGATATCACACGTATTAAAATATCTAAGTATTTTAAAGACAAAGGCCTGTAATATTTACACTGAGAACTGAGATCCAGGTAGGAATATAAGGGCAGGAACTGCAATCGGCACATCCAGCGAAGGAAGCTGTGATGACACCAGGCCAGAACAGGGTCAGGGTCCCAGCCAGGGGATATGGAGGTGATCACACGTCAGCTCTGAATACTCTGATTCAGAGTCACAAAAAGAGACAGGCAATGATCGTTCCTAAAACTAGTTGAGGGCTTAAACCAGAGGAGCGAATGTCTGAACCAAAATAATTCCCTAAATTTTTTATTTTTACTCATAGGAAGTTCTAACTTCCTGAAATGTTACAAAATTGGTGCTGGAAATCATGACGAAGAGAAAAGACAACAATTTTCCTGGTCGATCTGGATGTTCAGCGGCCTGAGGACAATGCCGCAGCAGTGGGAAGAGGGGTGGTGTGTAACTGGGGAGTGAAATGCTTCCTGGAAAGTAGTTTATTTGCTGTGAAGGCAGGGGAAGGCATGGGTCATGGGTGGTACAGCCAACAGCAGCAGCCCAGGCTTGACAGGGTCCTGGAACAACGGCTGCTTACCCCATCAGTCCCCTACGATTCCACCATGGTCAAGAATAATTATCAAGTTCAAATGGTTCTGCTTTGGTTTGGCTGCCTATTCTAAAATTTAAAAGGGAGCTATATAACTTTGCATTGTTTTCAGATAACAAGGATTCACATATAATGACTGATTCCACACAATGGAAGAAGATTATGCAGTTATTAAATATGGATTTATGTTAAGCATAAATATATGCATAGCAAAGTATAATTAGAATATAAATCTCACTTCTCTGTAGATTAGTAGACTAATTGCAGTGCAGTGTCTTCTCGCCAGGGGTTTGATAAATAACATTGGCAGAAGTGGTATGGATAAGCCCCTGGTTCTGGCCTTGTGATTTTCAGTATCCTACATAATTATAATCACACAGTCCCTCCTGTGTGTTCCAGGCTGATGTTTTCTTCACCTTAAACCAGACCAGGCTTGTCACTTCTCCCTCCAGAGCTGATCTACCAACTGCAGAAAAATCACAGCCTCTCATAGTTGCACAAATTTTACTTTAAGATTCAAAATTCCTGTAGCTTCCTGGGTTCTGCTCTGCATTCATTTTAAACCACTCATTTCTGGGCTATATACATTTTCTAAGTCTGTAGCTGGAAGAAGTGGAAAACACATTGAATGTAGAAGGAGAATCTAAAAAGAACTTGATGTATTTGAACAACGCACTTAACCCACAATAGAAAAATGAACAAGGGCGAATGTAAATTCCAAAATACTGATTAGTTAAATAATTTATAAAGTGTGATTTTTTGGGAACAGTGTAATATTAGTGCTACCCTTTCCCAATAAATAAATCCAAAGTTTGCATTGGTAGAAGTACATTATCTAAAACGAGGGAGGCAGAAGGACTGGGATAATAAAATATAATTTGAGAGCCTTGGTGCATCTAGCTATAGAAAGGAGATTCTGGGACAAAGGATATTTGGACTGTGAGAACGATGAGGAGCCTAAAACCATATTACATGAGGAAGAGGCAGAGTGACTATAGGTTTTTCACTCAAAGAAGAGAAAAGCTCAAAGCAAAATAACTTTGAGTATCTGAAGCATTTGCCATGTAGAGTTTACTCTTAGAGCTTATTCTTCTTATTGTGACTTAGTTTGTTCAGTATTGGAGCTGGGTAAAAGAAGGCCTTTGTAATTCTTTCTCTTGTAAAAAAATAGGAAATTACAAGACCCTAATTACAAGGGCCTTAATTACAAGAGCCTTGTAATTTTTTTCCCCATGTAAAAAATTACAAGAGAAACAGAATGTAGCTCCATGCAAGGAAACAGATTTACACATAGAAAACAGGATGCCCTAGGAGGTCATGAACAAGTCGGAAACGTTAACTAAACTTTCTAAACTTTCTCATCGGTAGGAATAGTACCGATGTGGTAGATCATATGAATACGAATTTGAGGCTTTAAAACTAGAAGTTACAATTCTCATTATTATTTTATTATTTTGTACATAACTGAATTAGTTCATCTTTAAAATTTCACCCGCTATTATCGCCACCCTATTCTCCAGGTTCTTTATACTCAAATGATTACATGCTTGCACTGGAACTGCAGGTTGAGCTAGAGCTGCTCCACAATTCCTGAGTCTGTCAGGAACAGACTTCCCATAGGTTTCTTCATAAATAGATGTTATTTTCAGTGCCAAAGTAGGCGTTAATTTAGGCAGAAAACAGACTTCCTGTGAATTCTTCCTTCTTTTCTCCTGAACTTTTTATGCAGGTGGGCATTTGAAGGGCCATGGGTTAAAGAATACACAGTTGTATAAATTTATTAAAGTGCTTCATGAAAATATATTTTAGAAAGACCGTCAATTTTGGAAGCAGTGATGTGTGAGTTACAAAAGTCACACAGTGTTTTTATGTACCCTAATGGCATGATGCAAGTCAAGTTAATGTCTTTGAGCCTCGGTTTCCTTACTAACCAAGTGGAGTTAGTACTGGCTCATGAGCTTGTTATAAAGATTTGACAACAGCTAAATAATTGTTAAATGGTAGCTTTCTTATGAATAAACTGTCAAGGGATCACTGTAAGTATGTATTGTCTTTATATTTAATACAAATTATAATTATTACAAGGAAGAAGAGATGATTAAACTATTGCTGTAAAATACTGTGACAATTTTAAAACTTTAGTTGATAATCTTTAATAACATACATTGTTGATATGACAACAATTTGCTTTTCAAATTGAATTTTATTTTCGTAGTTCAAATGCATTTCAAATCTGCTAATCCTAAGAAATAGTTTGTATTTTGAATTTTCCAATTTTTTAATATGCCATTATTTTTATCACAAAGAACCTTCAAAAATGCATTGTGGACATTAAAATACATTAAATAGTATAATTATTTAGCTACATTAAATAACTGTACATTTAGTTATCTATGTCCATGTTTGCCTTTAAATACATATACAGACATTTTTAATCATACTTGCTAATTAAACTAATAATTGTAAAGGAACCCACTTTATTATGATATTGTATTATAATAGTTAAATCATTTTACTTGAGTGACCCATAAGGATTTCTAAGTGAATAATAGAGATTTTTATTATCTTTGCAATTATCATATTTAGTAAGAATTCAATTAACTTTCATTGTCAAAACTTAGCTATGCTGAACTCAGACAAATAATCTATTTCCTTGCCTAATTTTATTAACTGCCATTTTGTAGAAAGGTAATGAATGTACAAATACAGAGTCTCTGAAATATAAAAGATAAAAAAAAAAATAGCAGCAAAGAAGTTAAAGCCGAAAAGCTCAAACAATACCAAACCAGACTTTTAAACTCCACCACAGCCTACATTTTTCTAGTTGTTTCATTTCCAGCAGAAAATAATCGATTAATCAAGGAATGATATGTTATAAAAATAGTATTCAAAACAAGATTCTACATCTAACAATTTGTAGTGGGAACTGTAGCATGTCACTTGCTTTTTGTATAATATAATGAGTTGTATATGTACCTAAGTTATTTTGCCAAATGTATATATGAACCAGCTCTCATCTGATGTCCCACTACTTTTCCCACTTATTGTATAAAATTCCTCATTTCTCACATAAGTAAGCCCAATGCCTTCCACCAGATACTCTCAAATTCTGTTTACCATGAAGGTCGAACTCAGTGATTCAGAAGGTGGATACCATGCAAAACAAAACAAAAATGCACTTGTACAAGATTTGTGAATCCTTTGGACTTCAGTGGGAGGGTTTGGGAGCTGCAACCATCAACAACTGAACAGCCATCCTTTATTCTTTTCTCACCTTTTCTTTCTTTTCTTTATTTTCCTTTGCACAAAATTAAAATTCCTGCTATTTTCTTTTGCACGTTATTTCCATTTTTTCATCTTAACTGCCCAACTCATTTCCTACTTAAGAATGGGAAGTCTCCTTGGTCTTGCGGTACTCAACGTCGTGCTGCCACCACGAGCTATGGGGGTGCTTTGGAGCAGAAACATTGGGAACAACATTTTCTGTCATGCTATGGCCTTAATTAAGTTGCAGCTGTATTCATAAGTTTAACATGAAAAGGACTTTTAAATATAGATGTCTAACTGACTTCCAGAAGGGCAAAATCTTCCTAAATAAAATTGAATAAATGCCATTTATTTATTTTACTTAAATTTCTGTTTTAAAGTTGGCAGTGAATCTAATATTTATGCAACCATTTGTCTCCAGCACTTTTTTGGGTAATAAACATCAGTGTGGCCAAATGTCACCTCATTCCACTTGTGTGTCAATGACAAATATTGATAATAGACAATGTTACTGAAAAAAGTATAAGAATTTTCTTGTAATTATTTTGTTTCTAAAATAAAATACTATTTTAAAAATAGTATCATAGCCCCACAAGACACATTCCAAAAGGTATGAAATTTGTGGAGGTGGCGGGTAGGGGAAGAGTTTCAGTTCAAGTATATTAATTCCTCAGATTGCTAAGGATCATACCTAACTGTGATGTAACTAAGCTTCTTCATGTTCTGAGTCACCATTCTCTCCTGTTTTAAAAATTATGATTCTTATGGTAGATGTAGGTTTTGATTAATTTTAACACAGCAAGAGATTAACAAATTATTATTGATATGGGCTTTTCAATTTGCTCTTTCATGTGTCCCAGTTAGAATCAGCCTCAAATCTTCACAGCATGTACAGTTGCAAGGCATTGCCCAAAGGTCTGTTTTTTTATTGAATGGAATATATGCTTATGTAGCCTAAGTAAGTATGAGGCTCATGAAAGTGTCTCGGTGCCACTTCATTTACTTCACTTATTCTTTACACAAAGGATTTATTTGTGAGCAATCTGCCAGGTTTTTGCCTATTAGATTGTATTTTAAATAACGGAAGGAAACCCAGAAAACCAGGGTCATCTGAGTCCTGTAGATAAATTAGAGGTGTAGGGGTGTGTGTCTGTGTGTGTGTTTGTGAGAGAGAGAGATAGAGAGAGAGAAATATTAAGAGGAGAAAGAGAGAGAGAAAGAGTGAGATATTTGTACTAGAAACAATTATTTCCTAGCACAAATGTACTGTTTACTTGCTTTTATGTTTTGTTTTGTTGTTTTCTTTAGAGACAGGGTCTCACCGTCCTGCCCAGCCTGGAGTACAGTTACGGATCATAGCTTACTGCCACCTTGAACTCCTGGGCTCAAGCGAGCCTCCCGCCTCAGCCTCTCATGTTGATTTGTAAAATAAGGATTCACTTCGTCTGAATTCAAGGGGATACAGGATGTACTTATTCAGTAATACTTGTCACTTTCTTAGTCACTCTGATTTCTAGCTCAACCAATTCTTTTGGGTTTAAAGCAAGGTGACTTTTGCAGTCCAAACTAAGTTGATGATATATTTGATGAACAGAGGTAAGCCGGGAAAATAGCTGGGACTATTAAAATGGTCATATTTCTGAATCTTTAGGAAACAATTCTCTATATGGGGCAAGTCCTTGGTTTAGAGGTCACAACTCAGTGACAACACAGGAAGCGCCCCCTTTCCCAACAAAGCAGATGCATTTTTACTGTCCCTAAGTTGACTGAAAGACATCACTTCCAATAACAATATTTTGAAATCTTCCTAAAGTCTGACTCATTCCCTCTAAAGTTTTTGACTTACTGTTTACATTTAATAATGAACTTTAGAAAAAGACATCATGAATCAAATGAAAATCTTCAGTATATTTAAGCTAATCAGACTTGGGCACCAGGAAAATACTGCTCTTGAGCCAGCACTTGCTCCTTAAAGAATGATCTTCATCATGTGAGCTTTCTATTTCCTTGATTTTTCATGAAACAGAAATGTCCTCAGCACTTTTGAAACTGACTGAGGTATTTGGTATTCATCAGTATAACCTAGCTGGTTCACACAAAATGGGATTTTAAGAAATGTTTCAGGTAAAAACTGAAAGTGAGTAAATTAAAATAAAATGCTCTTCATGCGAGGACATCAAATACTGTTGATTTTGCCTTTGTGGGGCAGTTCTCTCCTGTGAAGGCCTAACTCTGACAGATAGATTGCTCCTGCAGCTTCCGTGGTCTTGAGCAGCCTGGGAAGGAGTAGGCTTTGGCAGTTTTGTCAAATCCTGAAGCCTCTGGCAAACGTTGCGATTGGAATTGATAATGTCCTAAGGGCCAGCATTTATCTCTCTTCCTTAATGTGTCACACGGCGCATATCTTTCTACATGAGCTTCTCTGGGGACAACAGTTATGAATGCTTAATGGGGCATATGTCTGAGGGTTAAAAGAAAAATGTGCTTATTAATGAAGTACAAAAAGAAGGGTAGTGATTGAACTAGGAACCTGGGAAATAACTGGGTAAATTGTCAACTTCTGAGCATGTGACTTATCTGACTCTGAGTAGAGACCGTTAAAAGCTGATGTCCACACTGTGGATGGGACTTGAACTAGCTCCGTCTCCATGGAGTCATTCTAAGGTGATCAGAAACCATAACAATGAACTTAAAGCCACTCTCACGACTACATGTACATATATCTTGCATGTCAGAAAAAAATTCCAGATGAATATTATACAGATAAGAAGGCTTAATTATCCCCAAAGTTGCTGTCTTTATACCTCAGAATTACTGAAAAACCTGAACAGGATTTATGCAAATAAAATTATTTAACACTAGATTTTCTATACAGATAGTCTTATAAATTACAATGATAATAAATAATATATGACTTAAGAAGTTTATAAAGTTTAAGAACACCATTGTCAGGGAATTGTGGCTCTTTATGGTGGTAAAAGACACCTAACATAAAACTCATCATTTTGACCATTTTGAAGTGTATAATTCAGTGGCATTACTACATGGAGAATGTTGTGCGTCCATCACCACTATCTGGCCCCAGGACATTTTCATAGCCCCAAGTAGAAATATTGTGCCCATTAATTAGTCATTTTTCATCTCCCCACTTCCTCTAGCTTTTGACAACCACTGATCTGCTTCCTGTCTCTGTGAATTTCCCTACTTTTGATATTTTATGTAAGAGAAATTACACCATATATAACCTTTGTATCTGGCTTATTTCACTCAGCATATTTTTAAGGTTCATTCATGTTGGAGCCTGCATTGGTACTTCATTGTTTTCTTATAATAACATTCCATTGCATAGATATAAAAAACTTGGTTGATGCATTGATCAGTTCATGAGAATTTGGTTTGTTTCCACTTTGGGCTGCTGTTGATAGGGCTTCTATAAATGTAAGTCTTTGTTGGACTACCTGGTTTTCTTAACTTTTAAGTTCAGTGGTCCATGTTCAGGTTTGTTATATAGGTGAACTCATGTCATGGGAGTTTGTTATACAGATTATTTCACCATCCAGGTATAAAGCCTAGTACCTAGTAGCTGTTTTTTTGATTCTGTCCCTCTTGCCACCTTTCACCCTCCAGTTGGCCCCAGTGTCTGTTTTTCCCCACTATGTGTCCATGTGTTCTCATCATTTAGCTCCCAGTTATAAGTGAGAATATGTGGTATTTGGTTTTCTGTTCCTGTGTTAGTTTGCTAAGAATAATGGCCTTCAGCTCCATCCATGTCCCTGCAAAGGATACAATCTCATCCATTTTTATGGCCACATAGTATTTCATGGTGTACATGTACCATATTTTCTCAAACTATTCTACCATTGATGAGCATTTAGGTTGAATCTATATCTTTGCTATTGTGAATAGTGCTGCAATGAAAATGTTCCTTTTTCTCCCCAACCTCACTAGCACCTGATATTTTTTGACTTTTTAATAATAGCCATACTGAGTGGTGTGAGATGGCATCTCATTGTTGACTGCCAGTTTTTAATTATTTTCAGTTTATAGCCAAAAGTGGGATTTCTTATTCATATGTAATTGCATGTTTAATGTTTTTAATAACTACTAAACTGTTTTCTACAGTGGCGAAACCATTTTACATTCTCTCCTGCAATATAAGAAGGTTCCAATTTCTTCACATCCTCACCAACACTTAATGTTCCTTTAAAAAATTTATTTATTATAATCATCCCATTTCCCAAGCATCTTTCATGTCTTGTTGGTCGTTTTTATCTCTTCTTTAGAGAAAAGTATTTTGTCTATTTTTGTTTGACTTTTTGTTCTGCAGTTCTAAGAGTTCTTGGTATACACATTTTATATACTAGACCTCTATCAAATATATGCTTTGCAAATATTTTATCTCATTCTGTGGGTTTTTAACATTCTTTTGATAATGTCCTTTAATGCACATTTTTTAAAAAGTTTTGATGAAGTCCAATTTATACATTTTTGTTCTTTTGTGCTTGTGTTGTTGGTATCATATCTGAGAAACAATTACCAAACTCAAGGCCATGAGGATTTCCTTCTAAGAGTATTAGAGTTGGCCAGGTGCCATGGCTTACACCTATAATCCCAGCACTTTGGGAGGCTGAGGCGGGTGGATCACCTGAGGTCGGGAGTTCGAGACCAGCCTGACCAACATGGAGAAACCCCGTCTCTACTAAAAATACAAAATTAGCCGGGTGTGGTGGCACATTTCTGTAGTCCCAGCTACTCAGGAGGCTGAGGCAGGAGAATCTCTTGAACCCGGGAGGCAGAGGTTGCAGTGAGCTGAGATCGCACCATTGCACTCCAGCCTGGGCAACAAGAGTGAAACTCCGTTTCAAAAAACAAACAAACTAAAAACAGAGTATTAGAGTTTAAGGTGTTATATTTATGTCCTTCATCCTCTTTGAGTTATTAGTTTTATATATGTTGTGAGGTAACATACCACCTTCATTATTTTGCATGTGGATATCCAGTTGTCCCAGCACCACTTGTTGAAGACACACTTCCTTCCTCATTGAATGATCTTGGAACCCTTGTTGAAAATCTGTTGAACATTGATGTATGGGTGTATCAGTTCTGAATTCCTGATTCCATTTCATTGGTCTATAGGTTTATTCTATTTCAGTACCACACTGTTTTCATTAATGTAGCTTTACAATAAGTTTTGAAATCATGACAAGTAAGTCCTTAACTCTGTTTGTCTTTTTCAAGATTGTTTTGGTTATTCAGCTTCCCTTGCAATCTCATATGAATTTTAGGGTCAGCTTTTTAATTTCTGCAAAAAAAAAAAGTTTTGGGGATTTCGATAGGGTGGATCATGGCTTTTTTCATGGTAAGCAAAATATATTAGTTATTGTAGGTCAATTTACCAAAAAATGATATTACTTAGTAAGCAGTTACTTACTAAAATGTTAGTACTCATTATTTTAACAGTAATATAGCAAAAAATTTTATATTCACTTGGTATAAATAAAACACATCAAAAATTCACCAAAAATGTGTAACTATGATTTACCAGAAAGTGAACATCATATAACCACCACTGAGGAAACAAAGTAGAACACTGCCAGGATCCTTGGAATGAAAGGTTGATTTAACAGTTGAAAACTAATGTGATTTTCTATGTTAACCACATAAAGGAGGAACAACCATATGCAACTGATGCAGAACTTCTAAAAATCAGAAGAGAAACCACTGCTAAAATGTATCACAAAATATTTAACTGCATGTTAAAGACACAGAGTGGTTTTTTCAATTGTTTGAATTTAAAAAATAAGTATGGTTTCATTAAATAATCAATAATCCATGGACGATAGCATTGCTGTGAACGTGTAGCAGCTGAAATTCTCTTGTATTGCTGGTGGGAGTATAAGACAATATGGCCACTTTGGAAAGCTGTTTGGCAGTTTCTAATACATTTTAATTTATGCCTATGTTCCAGCAATTCCACCTCTAAGAATGTGTCTATACAAATGATTGCATGATTTTACAAAAAGACTTGTGCAAGAATGTTAATAGCAGCTTTATTTAGAATAGACAAAAAATAGAAACAACACAAATGTCTACCAATGGGGAATTGGATGCACAAAGTATGGTATACTTATATAATGGAATCCTACACAGCCAAAAGAGGAAGACAAACCATTGCTACACAGAACAATATGGATAGATTTCACAAACACAAGACTGAAAGAGGCCAGACACCCCAAAGAGGACATGCTGCATTTTTCTCTTTAAATGAAATTCCAGTGTAGGCAAAACTATTATCATTGATGGTGGATTTCTTCAGAATAACGGGTTGTCCCTGGGGATACCTGCGGGGAAGGACCAGGAGGGAACTTCCTGGGATGATGGAGATTTCCTTTTATCTTGAGCTGAATGATAGTTACACAGGTGTATATACAGGTAAACATTAATTAGATGCATATTAAGATTCGTACATTTTACTAAGTATAAATTACACTGTACCCCAATTGAAAAACAAAAGACTACTTTTCGACTACATGGAACTGCATAGTTGCAGGAAGTCAGAAGACCCTACCTGTGTGGGCCTCATTCTGGACCTTATTGTTTCTTTCTTCTAGTTGTCTGTTCTTGGATCAGTGCTCAAAGGTTTCAATTGCTGTAGCTTTCTAATAAATCTGATTTCTGGCCATGTAATACTTTGCTCTATTTTTAACTCACGGATGAATTCAAGCATTAAAAAAAAAAAAAAAATACCCTGCCCTTCTACTCATCTTCCATGAATCAGTTGACACAAAGCATGTAGTCTGGCAGGGCAAACTTTGCTCCTGTGAAATTTCAGTTTTAAAATGAATTTAAATGAGTGAATATCTGTGATGTATCCTATACTCAGTGTTGTGTCTGTCCATTTACCTGGTGAGAAAGACTTGAGGACAACAATAAAAGAAAAGTAAACCAGACAAGAAGTACTCCAACAACAATAAATCCATGAATGTTCAGTACACTATCCATGTGGCTCTCCTCCCTTCATTCTCTCTTGCTGCTAGATGCCCTTTCTTTACTTCCGGGACCACCCACTCCCCTCGACAGTGCTTCTGTTTACCTTCCACTGTGATCACGAAGTTGGCTAAAGTCCTATCCCCAGCTATCTGCAGAATTCCACCCAAAAGAGGTCTAGAGATTACTCAGCACGGGAGGACATTTCTTTTCCAGGAATTCCAGTTGCATCTTGAATTGAAGTTCAATTGTGTCATTGATTGTGACACAAGGATCTAATGTAGAACAAAGGCATTAGCTCACATGAAAACTGCATAGAAGTTCTGATTTAAATTTATGCCTATCACTGCTGCTGATGAAATAAAAAGAAAAATAAGAGTATTTTTAAGTATCAATTTGTATGATTTTACTTTTAGTGTCTGATTTATGATCAGTTATATTGAACTTTATTTACAAAGGGATGTGTATTACTCTTTTTCTTTCTTTTTCTTTTTTCTTTTTTTTGAGACAGAACCTCACTTTGTCACCCAGGCTGGAGTGCAGTGGTGTGATCCCAGCTAACTGCAACCTCTGCCTCCAGGGTTCAAGCAATTCTCCTGCCTCAGCCTCCCCAGTAGCTGGGGCTACAGGCGTGCACCACCACACCTGGCTAATTTTTGTATTTTTAGTACAAACAGGGTTTTGCTATGTTGCCAAGGCTGGTCTTGAACTCCTGGCCTCAAGTGATCCACCCGCCTTGGCCTCCCAAAGTGCTGGGATTACAGGTGTGAGCCACCGTGCCCGACCTCGCTCTCTTCTTTCTCCCTCTGCCTTCATTCCTCCTCTGCAGATTGTGCTCTTATTTGCATGTAAGCTATTATGGCACTTAGGTCACCTTCCATGTCCAGCACCGATAATTAAGTAACTAGTCTCTGTGTCCCAATTCCAAATTTCCAGCTGGAGAATCCATCACGCCCAACTGGGGTCAGATGTCCAGGTCCACTCAGTGGTATTCAGAGAATAAAGATGCTAGATATGCAGGAGGACCCCTTTCTGAACAGCTAAAGGAGGTAATGTTCAGAAAAGGAGTGTGGACAGATATGTACAGTGGTTATTAGAGAATAAATGAGATAAATAAAACTTGAGATGTGATTTCCGTTCCCAATTTGAAATGTATCCTTTGATATTTCACATGGTGATTGTATCTTATTCCTGAGGGTTTGGGAAATCTTGTGATCCTGTGGATTTTTCTCAAATCTCACATCAGACAAACACACAAAGGCTATATGAGCACTAAGACTCCCTGATTAATTAAAACCTGACAAGATAAGGATGTCATAGAATTATCTAAGATAAAAGGAAATGCATGATGAAACTGCAGGGTGGGGTGTGACCTCAGTTCCATAATGACATTTTTCAGATAGGACTAAAAGACATGTTTGAATGGAAAGGAGAGTGAGAAACAACCAGTTTAACCTGCAAGTTCTATTTGAGATTTCTACCACAGAAGCTTTGCTTCTAAAGCCACATGCTCAATAATTCTCGCCTTTTTGAAAAGCTTTCTCAAAGAGTCTCTACTGCCTCCTTTAAGCTTTCGTCCTGTCCCCAAAATTGACTAAGCAATAATCATCCATAATATTTATATGGTACCTTATTTCTCACAATAATATCATACTTTCATCACAGTTTTACAAATGAGGGAACTGAGGCCCACCCAAAAACTCAAAGAGCATAGTAAGTGCCACAAACAGCACTGTGATACAGTCCTTTTGATTCCCAGGTTAGCCTTAAGGAGTGGGCAGTGACATACTGAGATATTTCTCTCCCACTTGACTTACTTTTAAAAGACTGTCTCTCTCTGTCTCTCTCTCTCTCTCTCTCTATATATATATATATGTGTGTGTGTATATACACATATATATAGTTATTACATATATGCATATGTATACCATATATACTATATACACACATGTATATATAGTTATTACATATATACACATATATGTATTTATGTATATATAGTTATTACGTATGTATATATAGCCATTACAAATAACATTTTACTCACATTTTAATAACTTCCACAGATATTGGCATGGTGTTCTTTATTTTTGTTTTTATTATCTCAAGATACAAACAAAATTCCAGATTAGTAGTTATGTCAGTTCTTTTTGTTTATTTGTAAAAGTGAGTCATTTTTTGAAACTGTTTATTTCTAAAATTTGGCATAAAAAAGAGCATTTTAAACTTACATAACATAAATTGTCAGAGCATTATATAGAGAGAAAATAAGAAGGGAAGCATGTATTTATATTGCATGCATCCTGGATTTACTACTTCTACATCAAGAGCTAAGGAAATATGCCATCAAGTTTATGATGTTATAATACTGTCACTTTACATCTGTCCTGGAATATATAGAGTCAATGATTTATATGACTGGTTTCGGTAAGCAGACCATTCCTGATTCCCGCCAGACAATTTGTACCACAATTGGATATGTTAAAAGTTCTGTAGAACATGTAAGTTTGACAATAGCCTTTTGAATATTTTTTCCATCTTACAGAAACTTGGAAATTTCATCTTCAGCAAAAAATAATAATTATTACTATCAATCTAATGTTAGCTAATTTCTTCTTCTCAATGAGAGATACATATTTTTAGGGACTCTTCTGTCAGTTTTTAAGATAATGGGGGAGACTGCTCCTGGAGTTACAGAGAGACGACCACTGAAAAATTTGTCCTTCATAAAGCACTGAGAACACTGGCACTATCAACTTTTTCAGGACTTTGGAGATTAATCAAAGGCTTCCAACAATCTAAGAAGCATTTATAGGCTGGGCATGGTGGTTCATGCCTATAATCCCAGCACTTTGGGAGGCTGAGGTGGGTGGATCACTTGAGGCCAGGAGTTTGAGACCAGCCTGGCCAACAGGGTGAAACCCTTTCTCTACTAAAAATACAAAAATTAGCCGGGTGTGGTGGCAGACTCCTGTAATCCCAGCTACTCAGAGGCTGAGGCAGGAGAATCTCTTGAACCTGGGAGGCAGAGGTTGCAGTGAGCTGAGATTGAGCCATTGCACTGCAGCTTGGGCAACAACAGCGAAACTCTGTCTCAAAAAAAAAAAAAAAAAAGAAGAAGAAGAAGAAGAAGAAGGATTTATTCAGGAACAAATGGTTGAACTTCGGCAAGAGCAGTGTTTTGTGGTCCTTTGACGATTGTAGCCACATCCTCTCTTCCCCGGCTCTATAATAGCCCTAAAACCCAGCAGCCTTGCAATCTTGGCAGCCACGAAAACCAGCAGCCTCGGAGCCACTGGTGGCTGCAGACTGGGTTTGGATCTCCTCCAAAAACACCATTCTTAGGAGAATTATCATTTGACATATCTGGCAACTTCCACTCACAAGATTTGTTTTTATATAAAGTGACTCAGAAAAAGCTCACTACAAACCTTTTCCCTGGGGCATTTGTAGAAAACAACCAGCAGGAACCCTTTAGTATTGCAACAATTGGTACAAACAGGAAGCTGGCCAAAAACACTTAGAAGGAAAACCTGGAAAATGAGAGGTCCATAGAGTACTTCGAAAAACTGCAATGTGTTCCTCAGGAACTAGAAGGCTATGCACATGTTCAGAGCTGTGGGTATGCTCATAAGATACCTGGGAAGACCCCAATTTCTCTCCTAGGACTGACCTTAAGGCTTTGCACAAATAGGAAGTGCAGACTAAGGAAAAGATGTAAACTGTCTCCAAGAGCACCACAGGAATGCCCCAGCATAGAAGCCCAGATCCTAAGCGAAGGCTGAGAGGTTTATTGTTTCAAGCCATTTAAGGAAATATGTTTACTCATTGACTACTACGATAAATGAGCAGAGATTTCAGTGGCTACACATGATACGTAATATAGACATTGCAGATTTAGTTACGAAAAATAATGAAACAAACAACCAAACAACAATTACAAGCAGAAACAGCAATCTACCCAGGAGCGGAGAGGGAATCGGATTTTCAAAGTCTCCACATTTTATTATTCATCATGTTTAGTGCTATGTTTGGAATGTTTGTCACCCCCCTGCAAACTCATGTTAAAATTTAATTGCCATTGTAATAGTAATAAGAGGTGATTAGGCCATGAGGACTCTGCCCTCATGAGTGGTTTAATGCTGTTATCACTGGAGTAGGTTTGTTATCGTGGGAGTGGCCCCCTTTTAAAAGGATAAGTTTGGTCCCTTTTGCCCTCCCCTTCTTCCTACCTTACACCATTGGATGACCCAGCAAGAAAGTTCTCACAATATGCTGGCCCCTTGATTTTGGACTTCTCAGGATATAGAACAGTTAGAAAATAAACTACCATTTTTAAAAATAAATTAACCAGTCTGTGCATTCTGTTATAGCAGCACAAACCAAACTAAAAAACATAGTTGTCAACAAAAAATTATGAGATATTCAAATAAACAAGAAAGTGTGTTCCACAGAGAGAGAAAAAAGTAGTCAACAGAATCTGTGTCTGAGAGAGCCCAGATATTAGATTTACTAGAGAGGGATTTTGAATAAACGATCATAAAAATGTTCAAATAACTAAAGAAAATTATGTCTAAATCGCTAAAGGAAAGTATGAAAGTGGTATCTCCCCACATAGAGAAGAACAATTATAAAAACAAACAAATAGAAATTCTGAAGTTGAAAAGCACAGTAACTAAAATTAAATATACATTAGCAGAAATAAAGTGTATTTAAGCTGGCAAAACAAGCAGTGAATTTAAAGATAGATCAATTAAGATGATCCAGTCTGAGGTAGAGAAGAAAAAAAAAATGAAGAAAAATGAGCACAGCCTAAGGGGCCTGTAGAGCACCACCAAGTGTACCAATGTACATAATGGAGTCACAGATGAGAGGAGAAAGACAAGGCAGAAAGAATATTGGAGGTACTAATTGGTGAAAACTTGCTGAATTTGGTGGAAAATATTAATCTACACATCTAAGAAGCTTCTCAAATTCCAGGTCAGATAAACTGAAACAGATCCATACCTAGACACAACATAAACTGTGAAAAGCCAAAGGCAAAAATTATCTTGAAAGCATAAATACAGAAGTTATGCTTCATGTACAAGGGTTCCTCCAGAAGATTAACAGCTGACTTCTAATCAGAAACCATGGAAGCCAAAATGCAGAAAATGACAAATTCAAAGTGCTAAAAAGGAAGACTGCCAGCCAAGAATTCTATATCCATGAAAATGACTTTTCAAAAATGGAGGAATATTAGGACATTCATTGCAAACAAAAACTAAGAGAATTTTTTACTAACAGGTCTGCCCTTCATGAAATAGCAAAGGGAAACTTTCAGGCTGAAATGAAAGACATTAGACTTGAATTTGCATAAAAGATAAACAGCACTTGGAAGTTAAACACATAAGTAAATATAAAAAAACAGTATTGCCTATTTTTGTTACTCTAATTTTTAATTATATTTAAAACATAATTACAGAAATAAATGAATATAAGTCTGTTATAAATGAGCACACAATGCATAAAGATGTAATTTGTTTAAACATAATGACCCAAAGTTAGAAGGGTAGTAGTGGTAGAGGGGACAGCTGACTATATAACAGCAAAGTTTTTGTACACTCTTGAAATTTAGTTGACATTAATTTGAACTAAATTATTATAAATTAATATATTAATTGTAATCCCTAGGGAAATTATGAGAAAATAAATAATATATGAAAATAAATGCTTGAGAATCAAAATGACATGTAAATTAGTACCTGTTTACACAAAAGAAGGCAGCAATGGGGGCATAGAAGAATGAAACAGGTATAATACACATAACAAACAAAAGCAAAATGGTAGGCATAAATCCTACTTTATCAGTAATTGCATTAATATAAATGGATTTAATACTCAAAAGGCAGAGATTAGCAGAATGATTAAAAAGTCATCCAGCTATATTTTGCCTGTAAGAGACATCTATTGGATTCAAAGACACAAATTTGTTGAAAGTCAAACGTGGGAAATCATATACCATTCAAAAAGTAACCCAAAAAGAGCTAGAATACATATGTAAATATCAGGTAACTCAACTTTAATGTAAAAATTGTTATTAAAGAAAAAATAAGGACATTATATAGTGATAAAGGAATTATTCCATCATGAAGTCATACAAATTGTAAATATATATGTGCCTAACAACAGGGTTCCAAAATACATGAAGCAAAACTGAGAGAATTAAAAGGAAAAATAGAGCATTCATAGATATTTGAATATTTCAGTACCTTTCACAGCAATGGATGGAGCTAGACAAAAGTTCAACAGGAAAAAGAAGACTTGAACAACCATATACAGCAGAAATTTATCAAACATACTCTTCCACAACAGCAGAACACTCCTTCTTCTGAAGGGTGCATGAAACATTCTCCAGGACAGACCACATGCAAAGCCATAAAACAAGTGCCAATAAATTTTAAAAGAATTAAAATATTACAAAGTATGTTCTCTCACCATAATGGAATGAAAATAAAAATACTTACTAGATGGAATGTTATAAAATTCACAAATACACAAAAATTATCTATTATGGGCTAAATTTTGTCCTTCCCTGTCCCCTCCCCTCAATTCATATGTTATACCCTTAGCCCCCAGTAAATCAGAATGTGACTGTATTTGGGAACAGGGCATTTAAGGAGGCCAATAAGTTAAAAAGAGGTCATTAAGGTGGGCTCAAATCTAATATGACTGGTGTTTTAAGAAGAACAAGTTTGGACACGCACAGTGTGTGCCATCAGAGAGTCACATGTGAGGACACAGTGATGACACAGTGAGAAGGCAGCCATCCACAAGCCAAGAAGAGAGGCCTCAGAGGAAATCAAACTGCCAACACCTTGATCTTGGACTTCTAGTTTCCAGAACTATGAGAAAATAAATTTCCATTGTGTAAACTAGCCATCCGAGGTATCTTGTTATGATAGCCCTAGCAAACTACTACATTAACCAGAATACTCCTAAATAACCAATGTATCAAAAAATGAATCACAATAGATATTATAAAATAATGCTAGATAAATGAAATGAAAATACTACATACTAAAAGATGTAAGGTATAACTAAAGCAGTTCTTAAAGAGAATTTTATAGCTATAAACACTCATCTTTCTTTAAGAATTTCGTTTTTGCTGGGAATGATGGTTTCCATGATGAGTTAATGGGTGCAGCACACCAACATGGCACATGTATACCTATGTAACAAACCTGCATGTTGTGCACATGTACCCAAGAACTTAAAATATAATAAAAATATATTTTAAAAAAGAATTTCATTTTTAAGAAAATCTTTAGATTCACAGCAAAATTAAGGGGAAGATACAGAGATTTTCCATATAGCCCCTGCTCTGACACATGGGTAGCCTCCCCTGTTATTAATCTCCCCCACCTGAATGGTACACGTTTTACAATTGATAAACCTACATTGACACAACCTAATCACCCAAAGTCCATAGTAATAAATGCCTATATTTAAATACATAAAAGTATCTTAAATTAACCTAACTTTTTATATTCAAAAATGAAAAAAAGTAGTGAACAATATCCAATGCCAATAAAAGGAATGTTACAATAAAGGTTTGAGTAGAAATAAAAGAAATATAGAGGAAAACAATAGAGAAATCAATAAAACCAAAACTTGGCTCTTTGAAAATATCAACACAATGAAAAACCTTAGCTAAACTGACAAAAAAAAAAACAAAAAAAAACCTGACCAAACCAAACCAAAACAAAAATTACTAAAATCAGGAATGAAAGAAGATACAATAGTGCCCCCTTACCCATGATTTTGATTTCCATGGTTTTAGGTACCTATGATCAATCCTGATCCAAAAATAAAAAATAGAAAATTCCAGAAATAAATAATTCCAGAAAGTTTAAATTGCACAACATTCTGAATAGCATAGTGAAACCCTGTGCCATCTCACTCCATTCCATCTGGGACATGAATCAACTCTTTGTCCAGCATATACACTGTGTACACTACCTACATGTTAATCATCAACATCGTCTGCTCTTGTTATCTAACCATTGACATCATCATGGCTCAGTGATCCGGGATCACCTGGAACACAGGAGCCTTTTCTGACCTATCATCAGAAGGTCAGTTGTAGCCTAATGCAACATCGCGGTGTCTATGTCATCTTGTCACACAGGCATTTTATTATCTCTCATCATCACAAGAAGAATAAGAGTGAGCAAAATACAGTAAGATATTTTGAAGAGAGAAGGAGACCACATTCATATAACTTTTATTACAGTATATTGTTATAATTGTTCTATTGTATTATTGTCATTAATCTTTTGCTGTGCCTAATTTATGAATTAAATTTTATAAGTGTGTGTGTATAGGAAAATCATAGCATATATACAATTTTGTTCTATCTGCAGTTTCAAGCATACACTGGAGATCTTGGACTGTATCCCCCAGAGAAAAGGGAAGTATACTGTATATTAGAATCAAACTTAAAATGGGTTAAAAGGTAATACTAGTAAAATTATATGCCAAAAAGTTAGATAAACCACATGAAACGAAAAAATTCCTAGAAAGACACAAATCATGATAGGCTTATATCGAATAGATTTAATTAATAAAATCTTTCCACAAAGGAAAACCCAGGCACACATGGCTTCATGGAGGATTTCTTCCAAATGCTTAAAGAAGAATTAATACTAGTTTTCATAAATGCTTTTAAAAATATGAACAGGAAGGAATACAGCCTAACACACTCTATATGACCAATCAAATAATAATAATATCAGTAACTACAGGCATACTGAAATATAAGATCAAGAGAAACCATAGTAAATTGAAACTGACTCATAGCTGATGCACATGATATAGTTATCAGATTTGATTTCGTAATAACTCCAACCAACATGTACAAGAAATAATGATAAAACCTTCTACCAGGTAATTAAAATCTATATGAAAGTATCAAATGGAAAGTGTAGGACTAAAAAATAATGTGACAAATTAAAATTGAATTGATGGGCTGAACAGTTGATTGTACGTGGCTGAAAAGGATTTCATATTGTGGCAGGGCAGTAGAAAATATCCAGGGTAATATATTGAGAGAAAGCAAAGAAAGGCCTAAGAGATATAAGGAACATGATGATAATGCTGAACATATATCTCAGTGTGATCCTTGAGGAGGAGAAGGAATGAAATGGGTTACAAGTAACATTTGAAGGGAAAAATGGTAATTCGGTTTTCAGAACAAATTCAAGATATTTAGCCAGTGATTCAAGAAGCACTGCAAATCCTTCTAATATGTAATTGTGATCCCTTTTGTCCTCCGTCTTCTCCAGTACCAGTGCCAACTAGATTATACACTCTATGAAGGTAAGATTGTTTTCTATTTCTTCTCTGTACATCTGCACCTCTTGGGATAGTGCTAACTATTAGTACATAAAGGATGCTCACTAAAAATTTGTTTCATTTGTCATAACTGCACACTGGATTGGGATTGGAGAATCTGGGTCAACCTGGCCACGAAGACCTTGGACTTGGCTTACAGTCTTCAGGATTTAGTCAGGTCCAGTTTTGATCAAGTTGAGTGGGAAAAAAGAAGTCTGAAAGCCATGGCCAAAGTGACATGAAATGAATTTTAACTGGTTGAAGACTGTGAGGTCTCTGGGGCTAAGGTGGGTCTCGGCTAGTGCTTGATTCCGGGGTGCTTCAAGCTAATTGGCCCAAATTCCCTTGCCAAGGCTGGAACCTAATGCAGCCTTGACTTCATGCCCAGCCCTCATGGGTCTCCTTGTCCAGGAGGGTGGCTGGTAACAGTCTTGAGCATCCTGTGAGTGCATGTGGATCTGAATCAAATCAGAAGCAATCACATAAGGTGTGATTGAGCAGCTCACTTGAATAAAGACTTCAGGCAGAGCACACCAAAGCTCCAACAACCTGGCTAGACCCTCTTATCATGACCCTGTTGTTTCCAGGCTGGACGGAAACAAGCTAAACAGTCCTTGGATGCTGATTCCCATGGCTGTCTATGCTTCTCAGTATTATAGGAACATAGGGATCAATGGAATATAGGGATCAATGGAACATAGGGATCAATGACATAGGGATCAATCAATGACGTCAAGGAACATAGGGATCAATGGACACATCTTTGACTGCCTGAATTTAATAACCTGGTGACAGAACAATTTGTATCTTTACGAAGTTTGGGTAAGGATCTTAAGCATAGTGAGGGTCGAGGGTCATTGCCCAGACTCAGTCTTTGATTGCAGGCCTCCCCATCCACTGCAGCATGAGCACCTCCTGTGAGCTCACCCTGATTATTCCGGATCCATGTAAGGGAGGTCTAGCTTAATATGCATGTATTGAGAATACTGTGTGTCCTGAGGGATCCTGTGGGACATGTGGTACTAGGGGCCAAAGTCTCAATGGCAAATTAATGGGAAAGGATCTTCTATCAAGTCTTTGCCACTTACTAATTCTGTCTCTTCCAAATGAGGCGTTCAGAGGTAATTTCCTGAGATTGTAAAATCTTAGCAGTTTTTCTCAGAATGTCTTAAAGGGACCATCTGCACCAGAATCTCCTGCAGTGTGTGTGCATGTGTTTTTTTAAACACACAATTTTAGATCCCACAACAAAGCTCCTAAATCAAAGGATTGAAGAGATGGGACTAGGGCCTGATTCTAATGGGGGCAGAAATAGCTCCCAAAGGTGCAAAAATGGGATTTTGGAGGACAAAAACTCAGCTAAAGCAATGGTTTTGTGACCCTCCATCCGGTCACATTCCGTAATCAGATATCCCAGCCTGTGTGTATTATTACAATTTCACAGAGGGTGAGGGGGTGATAATAAAAAACAGATTGAGAAGCCCGGAACTAGCAACATTCATCTTAATAAAATCCTCAAGTTATTCTTATACATCCTAAAGTTTGAGCTCTACTTAGGAAAGGAAATCTGTATTTCAGCAGCATTGCTGTGCAAATAGACATTTCTGTGGTGTTGATAACATAATTTCTATATTCCTGCTTCTTGCTTCTCTTCTTGATTGACATGTTAATGAGATAAGATACAATTTTCAAAGGCTTTCTCAAAGGACTATCAACTGTATGGAAATTCTCAGGCATACTTTTTTAGAAGTCTTCACATTGATGTTTTCATTATCATTTCAGGAGGAAAAAAATGACACTGGCTTGATACTTTGTTGTTATTCATTGTAACTTCTTTATTTAGAAATAAAATCAAACTTACAGAAAACTTTCCCAGGTAACACAAGAACTCCCATATCCCCTCTAACCAGGTTTACCAATTGCTAACTTCTTATCACCTGTGATTGTCCTTCCCTCTGTCTGGAAACTGTCTTCTGCAGGGCTTATAACAGGAACAGAATTGAGAACGCAGGTATGCTTAGTTTTATCTTCCTTTCCTCTGTTGATGTTAAATGTAACACCTTTGTGAATTCAAGAGCCACTGTGGTGGAGATTGTGTGAGAGGAGGTATAGATTGCTATGCAGTCACATGTCCACACTAGCTAATGGGGTCTCCAAAGACCTTACAGATAAATGGTGGCAATACAGTATCTAGAAACACAAAATAAATGCTGACAACCAGGTGGACTATTGTGATTGGTTATTGTTGGTGATGGTGGGAAGCAGCTGTGTAGTCTATTAAAGCTACTTAGCAAATTTTATGATATATTTTAGTCCATTTTTTACCCTAATAGCTGAAAATTTGGAGAATGAATGTTTCTTTTTAAATATCAAATCATGCCCCCCCACCCCCTCCCACAGGCATCTCGATGGAGTTCTGCTGCAGCTTGATGATGAAGCCACAAATATACAATAAATGCTGAATCCCTTCCAAGCGGCAACACTATAAAAGGAAGCCTGCGCTTCGTTATTCTATTTGGTCCCCAGATGGCTGTTTTCCTTAGGCTGTTTCCTTGCCGATTTTGTCATAACAGAAAGATTCAGAGTGGTGCTGCCGTTTCACTTGACTGGCCGCTCCAATCATGTTATTACAAAGTTGCTATGAACCCGTACCTTTTTGGATAAAGTATTTTAACAGAAATTTGGGTAATTTCCCACACAATTAGTAATTCTGAGGCCAATAAAATGGATCTTGATCCTGGCTGTGATTTTGAAGTTTTACTCTCTGATGCCGTTTGGGGTTAAGGGCACAATCACTGGAGTCCTGTTGCTACACTTGAGTTCTAGCTCCATCATGTACCTACAGCTTCAGGGAACCACGTAATGTAACAGAGCCTCAGCTTCCTTATTAGTAAAAGAAAGAGTGACGATTATAGTGTCTGTATTATAGAGGTGTGGAGGGAATTAAAGTAATTCTTACACGTAAGGTACTCAGTACAGGGTTATACCAAAGATGTTCAACATGTATTCGTTTCATAATTTTCTTCTCAAAATTATTATAAACTAATTATTACACAAATGATATTTTCTTCATTGTATCTTCACATTTAGGTCTCTTACAATTCCAGTTTTTAACCCTTAGCAGAGCCATAGAATTTAGTTCACACTACTATCTTTATATGCGAAGAATAACCTATTTCTCTATTTGGCCAGTAGTCGACTTTGTCTTATTCTTGAGTCCTTACTCATGGTAATGATGGGCAAGCCAGTTAATATCGAGTCTGTGGTTCTAATATGGTTCCATCTTGATCATGCAAACAGCCCTCTCAAAAAAACTGTCCTATCTAGGACAAACAAAACTCAGATTGCCCTTTTCTCACTAGGATGATGCCGGGCTGGATGGAGGAAGAAGCCTTTCTTCCTAGCCTGTTTCTCTGTGATGAAAAGGACCTTCAAAGAGCTTGAGTGTAGCCCTGCTCTCATTCCTGGGCATTCCTGTGCAATGTTCTTTATGAGTTTCATGATTGCCCACTGTAGTGATCTGGAGCTCTCCCTTGCCAGCTTCTGAAAGCTGACTGGTAAAATTCCAGGAATTTTGTGAGTTGGTTGTGAAACAGTTAAATACTACCTATATTAATAATTAAATGACACGAACTTACAATGCAGTAGATTGTATTTAAAGCAAAGGTAATAAAGATTCACTTTCTCCATGCTCAGCATTCTCCTTTGCCTTGTATATTTCCCCCTTTGTTCTACTTTTGTTTGATAAATTATACACTCATCCTCCAGGTTAATATGCTAAATTTGCCTCACGTATGTTCTGCACTTAAATTCAACATTTAGTAACCAGAAAGTTTGGAAAACATTCAGAATAGATCTTAAAGTGTGGATTCTATGATATATTATTATGGGGTTTTATTGCACGTAGTCATTCCAGTCATTTATTGATCCTTAAGAAGTGCCTGAAGCATGCTACATATGTTGTCTCATTTAATTCTCACAAACCCCCATGAAATGAGTACAACTGTCCATTGTTCTACTGACAAAAAACTGAGACATAAAGTTCAGTAGCTTTCCAGGTCTCATGCTGAAACCTGTGTAACCCTAAACCCAAAGAATATGGATCACTGATTTCTATTATGTATAATTCACTGTGTGTCTGCATAATGGACTCTGCATAAAAATCTGATTGCATTTTACTAATATTATAACATGATACAATCTACTTCACACTATCTTTGTAGTGAGATCACACTTATGCTATTTCTTTGCAGAATATAAAAAGTCAATATTAGTTAATTCATGATGGATAATTTCATTTGCTAAAAGAATAAATACTAGAGTAAAAGTGCTGTCTATCATCTGAGGAAACCATTGGCAAATGTATGAAATGAACTTTCTATTCTCATGAAAGGGATTTTAAACACTAAGAGTAGTGAGTACATGAGTTTGCAAGAGGTGCCTTCATTTATTCTATATATATATAGAGAGAAAGGGAGGCAGAGAAAGGGTGGGGGGAAGAGCATCTCCATACCACGAAACAGGACGGTTCTTAGAAATACAGTGAAGAACAAGAGAAAGATGGCCTTGGCCTCCTCAACTTCTTGTAACAGCAGAGAAAGAAGATAACCCAGTTGGCAAATGAATACGACACGAGCTGTCAGGTTACAGCTGATACTACAAGTTTGCCACCTTTGAGAATGTTTTTGTAACACACTACTCAATGTTAGCAGATTCTAGGTTATGAAAATAATTAAATCCTTGATTGCAGAAAGAACATCATCAAAGGAAAGTCCCTTGGCAATGAGTAGATGTGAACATGCTTCTATTTAGGAACTTCTTCTGGATGTGCTCCAAGGGTGCGCTGATGTAAGGAAAGCGTGGCCAGGATGCACGGGGCAGGGCAGGCTGACCTGGCTCACAGGCGGAGGCCTGTCTCCCTCATCACACCCACTGCACCCACCGTCAAAGAGCTTGGCCTTCCTGGAGAGGAAGCTTTGCATAGTCACGATGTCTGCCAAGACTCATGCTGCCTTCTGTGATATGCAGTGAGATTTGGGGAAGATAGTCAGAGACTAGACATTGGAACACATAAAAGAATTGGAGTGCCATAGGAAAGAAGGCCCCTTCAGGCAACATTTCAAGTTACAGATAAAGTTAATGGGAAGACAGTATGCCTCAGTGAGGAATGAGTTTGAACCTGAGCCATTTTGTCCAGTTGTGTGTAATAATGAAATAAAAGAGTAATTGTTGCTTTAATTTTGTGTGTGTGGAAAATGCATTCATGGTATTTTATTAAAAGTATGATATTGCTGTTAGTAGTGGAAACAATTATAGTGCCTTGGGGGATTGAAGAACCTTTCTATGGGGCTTGTCTTATAGCTTCATTTTAAGTAGCAGAGAATGGAACACAATCAATCAATCTCTTAATACTCTGTGGCATTCTGTGTACTAATGAATTCACCTTTGCTGTTCAAATGGAAATACAGGTCACCTTTCAACTGTGAATTTATTCGAGTAATTGGTATATAGTTTGATGTATTTGACTTAACTAATTTGGATATATGTGGCTTTGTTCTGACGTGCTTTGTGAGAATGGTGGAAACATTGCCAAGGGCTAATGGCACCAGTGGAAGGTTAATGTGCAAAAGTAAACTTTTATTGCTTTAAGCCAATGGGCCTTAATGAATTAAAAAATAAAAATAAAAATTCAGTGACCTAATGCCCGTGTGAACCTAGTGAAGTAATTTCTATCATTTTGCTTTTCTGTTCTACAATGGATGAATACACAAGACACTTTGAAACAGTAAACTTTAAAAAATCTGTTTCACTTTCTCATTCATTTGCATGATTGTAATACGAAATTATGTTGCCCAACCATGGAATAAGTTTGAAGATGACAAGAAACACCACCAATCATCATAATAAATAGGGTCAGATGGCACAGAAGCCGTAGTCTTTGGTTTTCACAGCTGTTTGCATTTTAGATATTAACGAAAGCCTACACATTTGGTTCCACACGTGGAAGAAGGACTCTCTGTAACTCCATTCTCCTCTCTGTTGTTTTCAGTGCTTCGGCTCCTGAAGGAGGGGGCAGACCCCCACACCCTCGTCTCCTCGGGAGGGTCCCTGCTCCATCTGGTAAGAACCGCGACAGTCAGTGCCAGTGCATGGGGACACCCGGGGGAGAGTACATTACAGGTTCAAACCCAGGAACGAAATGTACATCTCACAGATGATGATCAGAAAGATGATGTGTTTCTAATTAACAGGCTTGGATGATAAGCTGCAATTATTATTAATTACTGTATTGAAGTTTGTAAATAATCTAGAGTTTCTACCCTAAAGAAATCACTTTTAAAAACTAATAGCATTCAAAATAAGTAAAATAATATTGTATCAATTATACAGTATTAGGCAATCATCCTTTCTTTTTTCCTACAAGTTGTCCTTATTCCTCTAATGAAATTTTACTATACTTTGCTCGTGATCCAGCTCTTATAAAGGCAAATACAGCCTGCCTTGTAGTATTTTAGAAACAAAGTAGGGGGTAAGTGAATAAACAAATAAATAACTACATTTAAAAATATTATATTATAAATAACTGCATTTAAAATATATTAGATTCGTGTGCAAGAAATTGTTGCTGGTTCTGTTCAGGGCAAAAATGAGGTAAAAGTCAACAAGTATTCGATTTGGTGGTCTTTACAACTAATTTAAAGATAGAAACTTAATTTTGAAAAATATAGAAATTAATGTAAGATATCAATCTAATTTATGATTGTCTCTCAAGACAAAAAGTAATGCTATATTTCTTCACATTATAGCAAACTGTAGTAGAGGGGGTCATGCCCTTAACTTCCAGAAGCTCCTTAACATCACATAAATTTTCAACCTTGATTGCACCTGGGGATCATGTGGGTGTTATTAAAATACTGACACCTGACTCCCAACCTGAGTTGAGCCCACAAAGATTCTTACTTATTTTTTCTGGGATGTAGCTTGACCGCTGGGAGTTGTTAAGACTTCCCAGGTTATTCTAATTTATGGCCAACATTGGGGAAAAACTGCATGAAAGAGAAACTGGTGTATACCAAAGGCTCAAGAGATCTGGAATGCAAGTTATTATACAGTCAGCAGAACAGAAAAAGAACAGAGAATATTGTGATAGAAGACAGTTTGCCAAAGAATATAGGCGTTTTCTCTCTAGCACTGGAAATAGATACAAAGAGAGATTTCAAGGTAACGTTTTCCTTCTCTGGAATGTTTTGGTTATGAAACGTCTCTGTTTTACACTCAGATCCTCATATGGCTTCCATGATATTTTCAAGGAGCCATGTCTCATTAGTCCCTAGATCCTAGGTTTAATTTTAAGCAAGCCTAGACTAGGCACATTCTGCTAAGAGTCTTCCATAGATTAATATTCTCTTCATGGCAAATATCGTAAGCCTGTTTTTTTGTTTGTTTTTGTTGTTGTTGTTGTTGAGACAGAGTCTCACTCTGTCGCCCAGGCTGGAGTGCAGTGGTGCAATCTCGGCTCACTGCAAGCTCCGTCTCCTGGTTCACGCCATTCTCCTGCCTCAGCCGCCTGAGTAGCTGGGACTACAGGCACCCGCCATCACGCCCAGCGAATTTTTTGTATTTTTAGTAGAGATGGGGTTTCACCATGTTCGCTAGGATAGTCTGGATCTCCTGACCTCGTGATCCACCCGCCTTGGCCTCCCGAAGTGCTGGGATTACAGGCGTGAGCCACCGTGCCCGCCCATAAGCCTGTTTTTCGGGAGGTCTAGTTATCAGCATGTTTGCACGTCCCAGTAGAAAACAGACCTCTTCCATGAACATATCAGTGCAAGTCATTGTTGCTGTTACTAGGAAAGTGTTATTTCTGTGTATTTATGTGTGAGAGAGAAAGAGGAAGGAAAGGAGAAGGAAGAGGAGTTGGAAGGGAAACAAGGAGCACAGGGGACAGGGAGAGACTGTCACTTCTTCACGTGTGTGTGTCTGTGTGTGTGTGTGTGTGTGTATATATATAGAGAGAGAGAGATTAGATATGTTAATTTTTATATTTTTCAAAATTAAGTTCCTATCTTTAAATTAGTTGTAAAGACCACCAAATCAAATACTTGTTGACTTTTACTTTATTTTTGTCCCTAACAAATATTTTTCTATATATAGATGATATAGATAGTATCTGACTTTTAATGAACACATATATCACTATGCTCCCAATCAACAAATCAGCAGTTGCTTTCTTGATCTTTGAAATAAAGCCACACCACCACCATCTCTCATCCCCTCGACAGCTGCCAGTCGGTTTTAAACCACCATCCCTCTTTTCTGGGTACACAGCTTTCTTCCTCTTCTCCCAGGTTCCATCTTTGCCTGCACTATACTGTTTCCCATTCACAGCCGGGTCGTGTCACTTCTGTATCTGAAATGCTCCAACAGCTTTCCTTCTCTCATAAGTAAAAGCCAAAGTCCTGCTTATGGCCACACCATGATCTGTCTCAAGCCCCAGCCCACAGCCGTTGCAACTTCTCCAGTCACTTTCCCTCTGCGCTCTGCTCTGCTGACACCGGCCACCTTGCTGCTCCTTCAGCGCTGGCCCGTGCTCCTGCTCCGTGTGCTCTTGCCGGGTTTCCACCCAGCACATGCCTCTCAGATGTACACGGCTCGCTTGCTGACTTGCTGTGGGTCTCTGCTCAACGTGATCTAAAGGAGCAGCCCTCCCTGGCTTGCCCTATGGGGTATAGTAACTCACCACTGACGCCTCACAAGCAACTCCACTTCCATTCCTTTATCTTGTTCTTTCCCATCTTTTATAGCACACTTGTCACCAAACCCATCATAGGTTCATGTGACTATTTTCTATTTCCTAGAATGTTAGCTCCATGAGAGATAGGACTTGTCATATTTTCATGAATATTATAATGCCCAGGAGAGTGCCTGATACTCGGAGATGCTCAGTAGATTTGTTAAGGAGATAAGCTAATTAATTAATGTTACTACTTAATTAATATCTGACACTGTGATAGATATTGGGGTGAAAAGATGCAAAATGCATATACTGTGTCATCTGAGGGAGACAGAAAAATAAACCACTGATTGCAGTGGACTGGAGAGGGATAAGCAGATGATAGCGAAGGAGGCAAACAATGGGGCCACAATTATTTTGTTGTGGCTGCTTCTGGGCATCAGTTACAAAGGCTTTTCTCACTCTCCTGGTCCGGCTTAATAACCCATTTGTCCAAGCTCTCATAACATACACTCCTTGCTTCTCTGTAGATATTGCCACAATGGGGTATAATTAATGGAATATGTGGCTTTTTCTCTCTGCTAGACTGAAATCTCAAAAACTGTGACTGTCTTGGATACTTTTCTTAGCAAGTGATGCATAGTGAATACTTGTCCAAGGTCTCATAACATACACTCCTTGCTTCTCCGTAGATCTTGTCACAATAGATTATAATTAATGGAATATGTGGTTTTTTCTCTCTGCTAGACTGAAATCTCAAAAACTGTGGCTGTCTTGGATACTTTTCTGTTCTTAGCATGTGATGCATAGTGAATTTTCAATGCATAGTCAACGAATGAATGAATGAGCTCTAAGGATATAAGGGTCTCTTTGGGTGAAGACCTAGGTAACAGTATACAGAGTATAATCTAAGCCTAGGTGACAAAGTATAAAGATTCATAAATGGTAGCATCTGAAGGAAAAGGAAATGAGAAGGTTAAACTGATGAAGTAGATGGAAGCCACTTTATTAACTCCCAACCCAGTGCAAGGATATTGTATTTTTATGTTGTTATGCAAAGGTTGTGAGACTAAGACAAAGTGGAGGATGAATCTGGAGGACGGATAAGGAAACCTCGTGGCAGCTGAAGGAGGAGGTGCTCAGTGCTAAAGTCTCCTTTTCCTGGGGTTACCAAATAAATAAAAACAAATGAAAAATTGCAGGTTGCTGGAGAGATGAAATTACAGGGTTTCAAAATGTCTTAGGTACTGAAAAAGGCAATGTAGCCATCTAAAATGTCAAGTGTGAGTATCTGTGCTGTTGGCCTCACCTTTTGGGCGTCCCACATTACAGAGCCTGATGCTTCATCAGCACTGAGCTCTAATTATAGACGATCAGCGACTTTGAGGGAAAGAGAGAATGCGAGTGTGGGCATCAAGAATCAGCTGCAGAAATTACTTAGTTGTGTTTAACTCAATTGCTATTAAAGGTAGATATTTGAGAAACATATTTTAATGTTTTGGCCATATAGCATCTTTAGTTTTATCTTATTTTTAATAAAATTTCAACAAATACATCTGAATTAATCTTTTTACCCCACCATTTATTGAATGCATGTGTTAAACATATGGCAGGTATCAGGTACTCTGACAGACAGAAGGGGAATAATTGCAAAAAGTAACAATGTCTGTATCCCAGGCAGTTGGTCTCATGAGGCCAGTATAGAAGAAACCTTAGATTTAACTCTTTACAAAAAAAAAAATTATGTTTATGAAGTAAAAAACAGTATTACATACGTTTTGCTAAAATGTTGTCCAGGGTTTTGTTATTACCTTTATTCGATGAGCAATTGAGAAGGCGCTCCCAATGGTAACTGAACCCTCCACCTCAGACTATAGCCAAGCTCAGGTGAAATATATTAGAAATAAGAACTACTCTTTCTTTGATCAAGTGAATTCTAGTTGTAACATGGATATAGGAATTTAAACAGTGGAATTCATGTAGCTGTTAAAAATATTCAGCTGGCCAGGCATGGTGACTCACGCCCTGTAATCTCAAGCACTTTGGGAGGCCGAGGCGGGCAGACACGAGGTCAGGAGATCGAGACCACCCTGGCTAACATGACGAAACCCTGTCTCTACTAAAAATACAAAAAATTAGCCGGGCGTGGTGGTGGGCGCCTGTAATCCCAGCTACTTGGGAGGCTGAGGAAGGAGAATGTTGTGAACCTGGGAGGTGGAGCTTGCAGTGAGCTGAGATCACGCCACTGCACTCCAGCCTGGGTGACAGAGCAAGACTCCATCTCAAAAAAAAAAAAAAAAAAAAATTGAGCCATAATGTATCTGAAACTATGTCCAAAACATATTATACATGCCCAAAGCGGGTTACAGAATAGTGCATATAGCACAATCGGATATATGAGAGAGAAAGAGAGAATCCTTTTAACAGCCAACGGAGGATCTTGAAGACCAGATAAGAAATTTTCAACAGTGACTCAGGTTGGGGAAAAGGGGACCAGGTTTTGTAATTATTTTCTGTTTCCTTTTACAAATGACTTGAACATTTTAAATAAGAAACATGCGTGTTTCATATAATAAAACCAACATATAAAATTAGTTAAGACTGTTTTTATTCAAAGTTTAAATTTTGAATAATTTAATAATTTGGCTACTCAAACAAGAAAATGTGCTGCCCAAAACCGAGCTGCTCTTTGCTCTTCACCATCAGTTTCTCTAAAGGCTTGCATGCTATAAGAAGCAGAGATAATTAGCACCTTACTACAGTAGGGGTGGTTCAACAGCCTAATATCTTCAAAGTCTAGCAGAAAATAATGTATTTTGTAAAGAGGCAGAATATCAGGATTCTAGAGAAAATGCCTAGAGAAATATCTTATTTTTAAAAATGTCTAGGTATTAAAGAACAAAAATAGTTGCTGTGTGGAAGTTGTCCACCAGTAACCCTGCCCACCCACCTGGACATTGGCCATTGAACTCCAAGCCCCTTTTTTGCTTTCCTAGAAGAAAAAGAGCAAGAGCTACAAGGGCAGACTCTAGCAAGAACATCAATCACAGCAGAAGACAATATCCCCTCTGCACAGGAAGGTATTCCACACGGGGCCCCCACTCCACATCCTCCAAGGACCTCACAGGGGCTGTTCCTGCATGTTCCTTGGAGGATGTGGAATGGGGGCCCCATGGAGGATGCAGCAGCAGGAAGCAGAAGGCAGGCAAGGGGCAGGAAAGAGAGCGGGCACAGCCAGGCAAGTTGGGTGATACTGATGTCTGAGGGTGAGCGCTGCAGGGTGCTGCCTGTCGCTGGCAAACAGGCAATGGAGGGGCCACGGACTGTGAACAAGAGACTCTTCACATAACCCCAGGGGTGCAATTCAAGATTCAAAATCCTGGCTGGATGTGGCTTTTTTCAAATTCATTGTCTTTTGGGTCCTTGAGAACCATCACATCCATAACTGGAAAGTCCCTAGTTCAGAATTTTAGATCATTAGTGAGATATCCAGCTGAATCTTGGAAGAGAATCGTAACCTTGACCTGCCTGCGGATGTATTTTTATCATGACTCCCTGCATGCATGGCTTAGGGGACAAAAGGGCAACAGAAGAGCACATTGTGATGATGCTTTAAATGCTACTGGAAACCCAATGGATGAGTTTTCCATTTTTTAGGAATACACCACACGGGCCTGATTTGCTCTGCATCAGATGATCTAAGAAAGGCCCCAGTGAAGATAGCAACTAGATTTTGTGTTTCGTTTTGTTTTTATATCTTTGTAATAAGGACCCCAAATTATTAAGAATCAGAACTCTTTCCTGACAGGGTGAAGGCAGATAACAAGGCATTTTCCACAGACTTCTTATAGAATTATAGCTCCCCTAAGGAAACTTGCAGACATTCACCTTCAAAGCCACTGGTAACAAAATCTTTCCTGGAGAAACTAGAGTTTTGTAGCAAGAAAGGGTTTCCTTACTTATCAGCCTGAAACTCACCTACTTAGAAAGTCTTTCTTTAAGCAACCCTAATAATTTACATTACTCTCTAGATGTACCAAACTGCTTATAATTCCACAAATGGCTGATCCCATTCCTCCTCAATATCACTCAGGCTGTTTCTTACTTTGGGGAGCTCTACCGAGACGGGCCAGCAGCTCACCACGGTCCCATCTCAGCTTTCTGCCTGCGTCATCCCCCAGTTGTAGGTTGTTGGTCCTGAGGTGAGTTCTTGTTTATAATAGCCCTCTGGCTTAGCACAGCACTGGGGGCATAGTAGTTCCTCAGTGAATATGTACGTTTAACTAACAGATATATGAATGTCTCACCCCAGGCCGCACCCACTTGTTCACTGCCTCTTGATCCTTCAAGACAAGCTCCTGTGTTCCCGTATTCAATTATCCAATTCCTATCAGGCTATTAGGTACCTTCTGCTGTGACTCCATAGAATGCTATGTATACCTTTTATCATAAACCTCACAATATCAAACAGCACTATTTCTTAAGAGTAGTTACTACGTAATTCACCTTTATATATACCTTGCCAAGTACAGCTGGAATATAGTGTTGCCTAATAAAATCTAGAGAATTTAAAATGCAGCAAACCAGTGCTGCTGATGAAGGAGATTGGTTTACATTCACCCAAAAGGATAACAGGTTTTTAGGATTTTAAAATTTCTGGATGTGGTTCGGTGTTTAGAGTCTGGTTCAATTGGCTGGAAGCTGCGGCTCTCTGCAGTGCAAATAGAAATAATAAATATGATTCAACTCACAGCATTCTGGGTAGTTTATCTATGGCAAGATAATCTGGAGTATAATATTTGCCAGAGAGAAGATCATGAAAAGCAAAAATAAGTATGTTCAAGATAACACTACAGTGAATATGATCCTTCAATGTGACATGGTGGCAGAGAAGTGGACGAGAGTTTGCAAAGATTCAAGCACAGGCTGAAAGGGCCGGTCTGCGGTATTGCTGTTGAATAAAAACAAGCGTATGGAAGTTCCAGAATCATGTTAGATTTTGAGAAATTGCAATAAATTTAAATTTATTTTGCTACTGATATAAATTTATCTATTTTGTCCGCTACTTTTCTTCTCTCTCTGTCACTGTTTCTGACTTTCACTGTAGAAATGTTCTTTGAACTACTGAGAACTCATAAACATAGGACAAAAACATGGACTATATCTCACTCAAATTGTGCACCTCACGTCACTTCTTCTTCCCCCATAGCTACCTAAAAGTTCAGAGTTTTGTTGTTGTTGTTGTTTTTTAATTTACTGGTAGAACTGTGCCTGGCACATGACATTCACGAAGACAACCCTGGATCAAACTGGATGTTTCCTAGTAATTATTTCTCTAGTCTCCTCTGCCATGACTGCTCCGTAACCACTACAGAGAAGAGAAGGGGAAGCTTGCATTGTAAAACATGTAGACTTGTGAAAAGTCATGTTAAAATAGATCCAACGCTCATTTTAAAAATTGGTGAAAGATAACTCTTATGTATGAACCACAGAATTTGATTTGAATCTTCAGACTTGATGTGTGATTTGTAAATATTTGTAATGATTTTCTGATTTACTGAGTGATAGATTTCAGGGTCATTCATGATATGTTCATTAGCCAATCAGAAGGGCCAGGATCCAGAAACCACCCCTTACACCAAGACAGCAGAAAAAAAAAATTGACAATGCATTTTAAGTTCGAAGTTCCCTTTGCTTGTCATTTGGTTCCTATGATTTTCAGTACTTTCAGATGAATCAATAATGTGCATTGTGTTGAGTTTGTATATTAAGACATATTACCTTTGTTTAGAAAGTTACAAATGAAATAGTGCAGTACAAGAGAAGCTGTGAACTGCTGATGCTGTGTTGAAAAGATTTGTTGACACATTCTAACCACACGGTCAAAGCTTTGGACAACCTTTGAGGAAGGCCTTGCTCTCTCGTCACTTTGCTCTCTCAGTTTGTCTTAGGAGGCAGAATGAGGTATTGTAGTCATAGATTGGGATGCCAGAATTTAATATTTCAGAGTGAAGCCAGTCTTGCTAATACAAACCAGAGGTGTGGATAAAGATTGGTGGAGTCCAGGAGGGATGACATTTTGGGGTTCTTATGTGGAGTAAGTGGTATTGTTAACGCTTCCTCTGTTGATAGTGTTCAGGAGGGATGACATTTTGGGGATCTTATGTGGAGTAAGTGATATCATTAATGCTTCCTCTGTTGATGGTGTTCTAAGTGGAGAGAAGGATGTCATCATGGTCCCCAAGTCTTCCATGACAGAGAAGAGTGACCAGGTTGGGAGATGAGGTAGTACATAAGGATTGGGTAAATCTTAGAAAGAAGCACATCAATGTAAGCGTTCAGTGATTCCAGAAGAATCAATGATAAGCTCAGAAGATATCCAAGCTTTTTTAGTGCTCTGTGGAAGAATAAGTTTCCCTACACTGGACAAGGCTGCAGGAGAGATGGTGTTTTCAGAGAGGCTGACTTCCATTTAGGTTCTCTGGACATTTCCAGAAGTGGAAATTGGGCTGGGTTCGCATCATTCCATGGAGGGGAGTAATCTGTGGCCATGAAGGAATCTAGGAGCTTAGTTGATTAAAGGGCTTGGTAATTCAGGGCAGGCATCACAGGCAGGTTACCCATATAGTCACACGGGGCCTTCTTTTTAGAAAGGTACCATGCTTGATTTCACCCTCTGATATCACTATCTTGAAATCGTCAATAATTTTAAAACTGGAAGCCATGAATTTTCATTTTGCACTGGGTCCCACCTTAACTAGCTCTTCTTGGCATTTTGAGAGGTAAATGAAGGTGACAGCAGGAGCTTGGGGACCTGGCTCCAGGCTGCAGGTGGAGGACCTGGTGGTGTTGGAGTTCTGCTGGGCATGACAGAATGTGGGTTCAGTCACTTTCTTGGTGCCATAAAGTGTCACCAGAAAGTGGCTGACATAAGGAAGAACAACCTGAATTGGGAGGAATATTTCCTGGCTTGAAGAAAATTCTTTCTAGGGAAGTAGATTTACTACATAACAATATTATAAGAACATTGTAACAGGAATGTTCCACCATCACACTCTTTTCAGACAAGAGTGACTAGAAAGTATTTATTGCTGTCAAATTATTATTCATAATCCTCTGAAATGTGATTCCCAAAATTATATCACTTGAGAGGGGCTGATATCACTTTCAACACTGGATCTAATTAACTCTGTTTGGTGAAAGACAGTGAAAATCCAAGCTTCAGGTATCTGAATATAAATGTAGATTCCTGAGGTGCAGGTCGAGGATATCTTGACAGGCACAGAAGGAGGAGGTCACATCTTTATTGATTATACGCTGAGCTATCACAAAGCTAAAGAGAGCAGAAAAGGAATTACTTGCATATGAATTTCCTAAAATGAAGTAGATCCGGGCCTCACATTCTAACATCAAATTTATTGAACTTTCATACTGTGCCACTCACCTTCTGTGTCCTTGTACCCAAACCTGAAGCTCCAGGGGATGGGGCCTCAGTTCATACGGTCAAGGCACTGAGTCTAGTGACAGTTTTTTTATTGCTACACATCACCCAGAACATCAGATACAGAAAGACCTTAGTTCAAAACCAAAATTATTCTGTAAGAATTCGCATTTGTCATTGCACCTATTGCTTACTTGAATCCTAATAATGGTGTCTGCTAATACATTCCTCCATACTCTTCAGCGACCTCACACCATGCTTTTTCACGGTGGTTGTTGTACACTCTTGAGACGATCTGATAATAGGGGATGGTATGAGTATTCAGTTAGTGTATCATGATTGTGAACTGTAATTTGAACACCCATTTTTTTGGTGAAGTGAGAGATTAAATATTTTGCCTTATCTTTGAAGCTGTTTGTTTCTTTTGAAATACTGAATTTTGAGAGTTCTTTGTATATTCTTGATAAATGTCTTTAACAGATGGGTGTTTTGTGAATATTTTGTCTTAGGTTATGGCTTGTCTTTTTATTCACTGAGAAGTATCTTCTGAAGGGTAGAGGATTTTTGTTTTAATTAAATTCAATTTGCTAATATTTCCCCTGATAGGCTGCATTTTTAGTATCATACTAAGATTTTCTGTTATGTTCTTTTTAGAACTTTTGTAACTTTTGGTTTTACATTTTTTGCAATTTTACATTATGAGTAATATTTTTATATAGGACAAAATATAGGTCAAAAGTATTTTTATACATGTGTGTACCCAATTGTTTCAGTATAATTGACTGAAAGAACATTCTTTCTTCACTGAATTGCCCTTGCCAGTTTCTTGAAAATTAGTTGTCTATACATGAATTGATCTATTTCTAAATTCTCTATTATGTTTCATTGATTAATTTCATTTTATGCCAACACCACACTGCTTTGATTGCTATAACTTCATAACAAGTCTTGAAATTAGTTAGCTTTAGTCCATGAATTTTGGGTTCCACCACCCTAAAGTTCTTTGGGCAATTTTAGGTCCTTTGCATTAACTTATGAATTTTAGATTCAGCTTTTCAATATCTATAAAAAAAAACCCTTCTGGAATTATGACACATTTGGATTGAATCTACAGATCAATTTGGGAAGGACTGGTTTCTTAACAATATTGCATCTTCTGACCCAAGAACACACTAAATTTCCATTTATTTAGGTTTAAAAAATTATCTCACTAACGTTTTGTTGATTTTGGTGTGCAGGTCTTACTGATATTTTGTCAGATTTGTCCCTAAGTATTTCAATATTCTTAATGCTATCTTAATTTAAAAATTATTTTTCAAAGGCTTACCACTAGCATATAGAAATATCTTTGTTTTTTGTATAGTGATCTTGTATCTTTCAAATTTGCTATCTTAATTATTGGTTCTAATAACTTTGTATATTCCATTATATTTTCTACATAGATGATCATGTCATATGCGAATAATGGCAGTTTTAATATTTGCTTTTCAATCTAGATTAATTTGGCTTCTTATTCATTCCTTTTTGCCATGGCTAGTACTGCCAGTGGAATGTTGAAGGGAAGTGGTAAAAGTGAACATGCTTGTCATCTTCCTGGTTTCAGTGGAAGGGGTGGAAGTTTTCTTGGAGACAATTATTAGCTCTTGCTTTGTTATCCAGTCTAATACTCCCTGCCTTTTAACTGTGTCATTTAGAATATTTGCACTTACTTATATGGTTACTTATATGTTTGGTTGAAATCTACCATCTTCCTTTTTTTTAGTACTTGTGTCATTTGTTTTTCTTTCCTCTTTTTCTGCCTTCTTTAGGTTTGAGTATTTTTCGTGATTCAATTTTAACTCTTTAGCGGTATTACGCACGGTGCATGTTATTTTGGTGGTTGCTTTAGTATTTTTAGGATACATATTTGACATAACCCTCCCTTGTTTCAGGTGGCATCCTACCCATTCACATGTAGCATAAAAACATTCCTTACAATATTATGTTTTCATTTCTCCCCTTCCCGCCTTTGTTTTATTGCTGTGATATATTTTAATCTGTATAGATTATAAGCCTTATACTCTCTTGTGATTTTTAAACAATTATATTTTAAGTATACTAAATGAAAAAATATATATAACTCACAGTCACAATTCTCAGTGCTCTTCATTTTGATATAATCTTTTAAAAAGATCTCTCACAGATCACTGATGCTCTGCCATTTTTAAAAAATCATTTTTCTTTCCTTGTCATATTTTGTTTAATTTATGTTGCTGCTTTGGATTTCATTCATCTTTTCTTCTGAAATATCTAGTCTGCTGTTGATCCCATCTAAGCCATTAAAGTTCTCATCTCTGAAAGTTAAATTTGAGTCTTTTTAATATCTTTCATTTATGTACTTAACATCTTCAATAGATCCCCTCACTTTCTGAACATAGGGAATATAGTTATAAATACGGTTTTAACACCTGATTTGCTCATTCTAACAGGTGTATCTCTTCTTCATTTGTTTCCATTATCAATTTTTCTGTTCATTGTGGATCCTATTTTCCTGCTTTTTTGTATACTTGGCAATTTTTTTGGTGGATTCTAGACAGAGTAAATTTTGCCTTGTTGGGTATTCAATATTTTTGTAAATAATCCTGAACTCTTTGGGGGCTACTAAGTTATTTGGAAACAGTTTCATCTTTTCAGGGCCTGAATTTGAAATTTTTTAGTTGGGAACAGAACAGCATTTAGTTTAGGACTCATATTTCCCTCCACTGAAGCAAAACACATCTAGTACTCTACCCAGTGCTCTGTCAGTTACACGGTTTTCAGTCTGGTTGGCAGGAACAGGCACCGTTTCTTGCAACTTATGAGCCCTGAGTCCTCTTTCTTTTCAGGCAGTTCTTTGCCTGACCTTGGGCAGTTTCCTAGAGTGCAAGTGCTGATCATTATTCAGCTGAGCACTTGAGGGAGGCATTCTTTAAAACTTTAAAGTTTTTCTCTGTGCAGCTTTGTCCTCTCTGCTACTCTGCTCTGAAATTTAGCCACCCTGGTCTCTCAAGACATTTCAAGAGCCAGCCCTGGTCAAGCCAGGTTCTTCTCCCTGTGCTGTAGCTTGGGAACTCTCTCAAGGTAGGAGGCTGGAACAGTAGTAGGGCTTATTTTGTTTGCTGCCCATCATTCAGAGGTCATATATTTTGTTTTTCTTTTTTAGTTGATTCAAGCAGGAAGGTACATCTGGTCTCTGTTACAGGGAAGCAGAAATTCTACAATGATTTGTTTTTAATGGTACTATCCAGTAAATTGGTGGGTAAATTTGTGTGCCAGTGCTTCCAGTGGGATATTGATTGACATTCCTTTGGGGAGAGAAATCTGTTCTATGCATACACATCACAGAAAAAGTATGTATCTCATAACCCAGAAATTTTGCTGACCTATTTAATAATAGGTTTTTAAAAACTAATTGTACTAATATGCATTTAGCATTATGTAACTTATAGATGTAAATATGAAAGATACTCGTAAGGCTGGGTGTGGTGGTTCTCGCCTGTAATCCCAGCACTTTGGGAGGCCGAGGTGGGCGGATCACGATGTCAAGAGATTGAGACCATCCTGGCCAACATGGTGAAACCCCATCTCTACTAAAAATACAAAAATTAGCTGGGTGTGGTGGCATGCACCTCTAGTCCCAGCTACTCAGGAGGCTGAGGCAGGAGAATTACTTGAACCTGGGAAGTGGAGGTTGCAGTGAGCTGAGATCGCGCCACTGCACTCCATTCTGGTGACAAAGTGAGACTCTGTTTCAAAAAAAAAAAAAAAGAAAAAGAAAAAGAAAAATACTCATAAAAGGACTGGATGATTTGAAGAGGCCAATGCAAATAAATATCTGGGACTTTTCAAAATTGAACATTCAAGATGGTAAAGGCAGAACATCAAGGTACAGGACTCATCTAAGTGCAGTTGCATAGATTGTACACCCGTGATGCCAGCCCTGACTTATATATACAATATTTACCTGAGTTTGAACTATAAATAGTAAATAAAGTTAAGTTGCTGGATGGTTTGATTTAGTAAATTATTGAACATATATAAAATGCAACATTATAAAATCATTAAAATTCATTTTAGGAGACTCTTAAATTTCAGCTGTTAACTCTTACAATATGACATGCTGTGAAACGTGACTAGGGTGAAGGTTACAGATGGGAATGTTGAGGGATTAAGTTAGAGGGATTCTGAAGGGCCTTGTCTATCTTGGATGCCATTAAATAGTTACACTTTATTCTTTTGACAGTGACAAAGGATGCATGTTTTAGAGTAGAAGGGTATTATGATCAACTCTGTATTTTTAGAAAGATAATTATTGTGAATGGTTCAAGTTTTTTTTAAATAATCCTATCTACAAATGAAATAAAAACCAGTAAGTGAAGTACTTTTTTCGACCTTCCTACTATCTACCCTGATTTTCTTCTTTCTGTCTGCTGTTCCTTGACCCAGTTCCCCAGAAGTCTTGCGTATGTTCTTTTCCTTGTTGGTTAGTTGGGGAAATACATCTTTTCCCAGGTTAGCTTCACCTCTCAACTCCCAAAATTGGTATTGAAGTTTTTTTTTAAATCTGTGGACATTTGGAATAAGCCATATCACAGTTTGTAATAATTTGATATTTCCTTGTATTCTTTCTTTTAGTGTGCTCGGTATGATAATGCCTTCATTGCAGAAATTCTGATTGACAGAGGAGTCAACGTCAACCACCAGGATGAAGACTTCTGGACGCCCATGCACATTGCCTGTGCCTGCGATAACCCTGATATTGTCCTGCTTCTTGTATTAGTAAGTAAAGCAATTCAGTTTACCATTTGAAGATTTGATGGCATGTAAAAGGCTATATATTTAACTAATGCTATTTTACAATATGTAATATTTTGGTTGAGAAAAATCTGCATATGTTATCATGTATCTCCCTAGAACACAAGATAATTAGAGACTAAGGTTGTGGGTCACATAGTTTATAAAACAATTTGTGCAGATACTATGCCAAATGCAACTTCTCTTGCCTTTCCTTGGGAATTATATGCCTTGATACAAGTCAGTTTCAACTAAAATGGTTTGATAATTTTGCTTTTCAATTCATTCTCATTTTTAAATTTTTAGCCAAAGAGGCATAACATTATAAGGAGATATGGTTTATATTGAATCTTTTTTTTTCTTGGTTACATCTAGTAAAGAAGTGTCTACAATGTTTGTTTACATGAAAACGGGAACTTTAAATATAAAAAGCATTGGAGTTTGTTGTTTTGGTTGTTATTTTCAGTTAATCTTACATCCAGACGTTGATCCTCACACATACTTTATTTTGGAATAGTGATCTCTAGAAAGTATTTCAAGAAACTATTTACAATTTTTAGAAAACACACTGGAATATATGAGCAAGAATGATTTGCTTTTATTTTATTTATTTAAAAAATTAACTTCTTAATGCCTTGCTATTATGCAACTGGATTTTCACATTTTTTTATGTAGACTCTCAAGAATTTACACAAAAGCAAACTGATGCTCGAATATATTAAACAACTTGCCGTAAGCCAAAAGCAAACTATAGCTAAGAACTCAAGTTCATTGTCAGAAGTCCATTTTTTGTCACTGAGCCGTGCTACCAATGTTGGTTTCCCATGCCTGCCATACCAATTACCGCCTAGTTGGTGGCTGAACACAAGCACCCTTGCGGAGGTTAGGAGTCTGAAGTCAAGGTGTGGACAGGGCCGTGCTCCCCCTGTAGGCCCTAGTGATGAAACTTTCCTTGGTGCTTCCTAGTTACAGTGACCCCTGCAGTCCCTGATGTTCCTTAGATTATAGCAGCATCACTCCAGTCTCTGCCTCCATCAGCACATGACTTTCTTCTGTGTCAGTGTGTCCAAATCTCTCATTCTTTCCTTTCAGAAGATACCAGTCATAGGATTTAGGGCCCGCCCTAAGGCAGGTGGCCTCATTTAACTTGATCACATCTCCAAAGACCTTATTCCCCAATAAGATCGCATCTACACTACTAGGGAGCATAGCTTTTTTCTGGAAAACATTTTAAATACACCATACTGCCCCTCTTCCCCCCCTCTTAAAATTCTGAACAAAAATATTTTGGGATTAAAGGCTGTATATTGGGACTGTCTTAATCTTGTAGGAGGTTTAATTTTGTCTAGTTTTCTCTGATTTGTCCTTCAAGAATATGTACACTTTCTTTTTTTTTTTTTACAGTAGAAATATATGTCACTAAAAGTGTATTTCTTTCAAATTCTGGAAGATGGAGGGTATATTAAGGAAAGACAAAGGAAATAAAGATTATTTAGCTGAAATATAAATTTTTAGAGGGCTAGTACTGTATATAAAAAAGCATGAAAATCTACCTGACTCATTTATAAAACAAGATTTTTGTTTTGTAGATACAGAGCCTAAGAGGCACTAAATTGCCGGTTCACCATAAAGGCCATAGAATTTCTCCAGAATTGAAAAAAACTATAAAATATATTACAGAAAGGAACCAAATCGCCTTTCGAGTAATGCTGTGACCTGATCAACTTTAGACATCTTTAGAATGCTAACAACTCATAGAGCACGCAGCTGGGTCATTTAAGGAGGAACTACGTTCATAGTAGTTGTTTGATACATTTTTTGATAGTTCAACTAGCTGCTTTAATTATAAAAGAATGAGATAGGCTTGATTCATGGCTTTTGCAGTTTTTCTATGTTCTGATTTCTTTTTTTCTAAATACTTGTTTTAATTTTTTTCAAAGCCCATCCTTATTTCTTTTCTCTGACTAATTATTATTAATTAAATTAAGCCGTGCCAAAAGAAGCTCTTTCTTCCTGCATGCAAAATGGCCATACTTATTCTCACAAATGAATATTCATATGGTTGTGCTTAAAATTTTTAAATCCTGCTTCCATTTCCTCAATGCAAATGTCTGGACACAGGCTTCAGTTTCTTGAGTTCAGAAAGGTTTGTGAGATCTCAGTTTCACTGCCAGCCAGGATTCCCTTCCTCCATTCTGAATGTAGCAGTTTCTTATTTCTGATCGGAAAGAGCAAGAGGACTTGCCTTCTTTCTGTAGTCTCTACTGAGTCTAGATCGTGGTATCTCACATGATACTCACAATTAAATATTGCAGGAACAGCCCTGAATTGATGAACCAAATTATGACAAAGAAAAGAAGAGTCAGATCTGAGTTACATTTCAAGCAAAATAGCTCATAAAATAACAGTGTAGTGACTCAGGTGCAGTATCTATAAGTACATGAAATGACTCCCCTTCAGCATCTAGGAGACTGGTATCACAGGTAGCATATGATAAGGTTCGGCCATGTCCCCACTCCAATCTCATCTTGGAGTTCCCATAATCCCCACATGTCATAAGAGGTAACTGAATCATAGGCGTGGTTTCCCCCATGCTATTCTCATGACGGTAAGTTCTCATGAGATCCTATGGTTTCATAAGGGGCTTTCTCCTTCACTGGGCTCTCATTATTTCTCCTGCTGCCCTATGAAGAGGTGTCTTCCACCATGATTGTAAGTTTCCTGAGGCCTCCCCAGCCATGCAGAAGTGTGAGTCAGTTAAACCTCTTTTCTTTATAAATTACCCAGTCTAGGGTATTTCTTCATAGCAGCGTGAGAACAGGCTAATACAGCATAATTGTCAGAACTAACATTTATAGTCTAGAGGTAGCAAAACACTTAGACCACCTTGAGCACAAGAAGGAGGCATGTTTATAACCAGAGCTAGGATTGGGGCAGGCCATCAGGACTGGTATCTGGCGTAACAACATAATTATAAAAATAAATTAGATATACTGGCAAGTTATTCAGACCTTTCCTATGACTCCTTGTGTAACTGAGGTAATAGACATTAGCCTTCTTCATGTTGAGGCTAAGCAGCATCTTCCAAAGGAAATTTGATTAAAAAATGGCACCAATCCTGGTCTCCTAAATGAATGTTTAGAAAAAGGGTAACAATTTGGAGAAGTGTTATATTGTTGTCCTAACTAGGAATACCCTCACATCATTGTCAGACTCAGCGCTAAGTTCATTAGGATGTGGAGAGTTCTAGACACTCCTTCTCTGTACTTTTATTTTATCTTCCTATTCTTTGATACATGCCCGCATTTACTATTAAGATTACCAGTACATTATCTGTGTTCCTTGATATTTCATCCCATTACGAATATTATACTTGTTTAAATAATGACTTCTTTTTCTCTTTGTTCTTATGAGATACAGTTTCTGTAACTCCTATTTGTTCCCATGGCAACAACTCAATCACATTAATGGCCAGTTGCCTTTAAAATAAACGTCTCTTCTGCCTGGAAAAATTTGATGTATATTCAGTAATTCTTTGTCTAACTAACACCAGCTTCAGGTTAGGCATTTAATAAATAATTAGCTTCTAGCAAGTCACAGAAGTAGTTAGCACATGCATGCATTGCTGTTTGTTAAAACGGTGCCTAGCACTTGATAGATGCTTAGTGTATGCTTGAATATCATCTCTCAAGCTACATATATGAATCAACAAATGAATGAAAGAAAGCAGGCCAGTTTTTGGAATTCAGCCTGAAAAATATTGACAATATTAACTCATAGGTAATAAAAGCTGCCGTATAACCACATCCATCCTTTTACATATTCTAGACTTCTTTACCTCACGTGTTCTACACTTGTATTACAAGTGCTTGCTTTAGCACACAAATCATCTCAATATCTGATGAGTTTGCTTTTCCTTACCAAACAGAATTGAGGGGGAAAAAAACTAGTTGTGTTTCATGGATGATCATAGAGTTAAATGTATAATTTTCAAATTATTAGCAATATTTTCATGGCTCAGCAATGTCCTGTTTCTCACAGTGCAGAATAATCCAACCTAATATACAAAGTAATATATCTATTAGTTGCTCTCATTCAATGACTTCTACTAACCAATCATCATCTTCATTCACTTAATTAATATAAATTATCACCGATTATGTGTGAACATAAGGCCTGCCCTGAGGGAAATTACAGTTTGTTTATTCATTCATTCATTTACTAAATATTTATTGAATGACTACTATGTTTGAGATGCTGCACAGTGAATGAGAAGATATTTTATACTCTAATGGTGAAAACAAACAATGCAATTAATCAAATGAACCCCTGGGAAATTTGATTAATGGATTAAGCAAATCTGAGTAGCTGTATTCATACCGTGTTATAGCCAGCCTAAGTATCCATCCACAGAAGCAATTTACTCTGAATAAATGTTGATAAAATATGTTGTCATAAAAATTCTAATTATTGTAAAAATACATTCCTGCCAATAACCTCAAAAGATAAATGTATTTTACTTGCCAGATGAAACGCTATTGTCCAATGTGGAAGACTGTATGCTCCATCTTCTTTCCATTTTCCAGAGCTTGATGATGGGCCAGAGAGACTGTGCAGCATTGATTCATTTATTAAATCTGTGGTAGCCGTCTGTGTGTACTCAAGGGAGTCAGCAGTGAGCACAAGCAGAAAAAGCCCTGCCTTTTAGAGCTTACATTCTATTAAGGAAAAGCAGATAAAACACACAAATGACTAAAATTTATAGTATATCAACTAGTAAGAGGTTTTGGAAAGGTCAGGAAGAAAGGAACAGAGTATTAAGGATGGCTTCATGAAAAAGGTGACATGTGAGCCGGGAGCTACGTGGATACGTGGGTGCAAGTGTGCCAGCCAGAGGGGACGGTACATAGAAAGCTATGTGGCAGGGTCTGTGTATTGGAGGGACAGCAAGGAGACCAGCACAGCTGCAGTGAAGTGACAGGGGTCAGGGGATAGATGTACTCAGAATGGCATGGTGAGGTCAAGCCTTTGCAAGGACTTGAGAATCTGCTTTCAACTAGGTGATTAGGGAAGCCCTGGGAAGAAGGAGGTATGGAAAGAAGTGACGTGATGGCTTCAGTTTAAGAGGATCACGTTTGCTGCTCTGTTGAAATTCTACAACTGAGAAGAACAGGGAACATTTAGGTATCTATTGTCCAGACTAGAAGTGGTGGAGGTGGCAAGAAGTGGTTGACATCTGGATATACAGGATTTTGAAGGCAGAGTTGTCTGTATTTTGTGTGATTGGATTTAGGGTGGAGAGAAAGGAGTCACAGATGACTTCCACTTTTTTAGCCTGAAACCTGAAAAGTTGACGTTGTAATTTTTGTTTGCTGAGATAGAGAAAGTTAGAATAGAGTGAATGGCAGAAGATTGGGTGTAAAAATGAATGAAGGATATATTCAAGCCACATTTTTCAAGTTCTTCAGGAAGTCATCCATAAAAATAATTTTATTGATTTGTGAGGTGATTTATTCTGAGTTGCTAAGCAGAGACATGTGAGTGTGTGTGTAGAGGGGGCATCGTCTACCTAACAGCACTGGAACAGTGCTACTTGAATTGAACCACAAATGTGTTTTGTTTTGGAGGAGGCTCAGCTACTGTGAATGAAAACTCTAGCAGATACTAACAATTAACTTTTATGCAGCCCTCCCTATGCAGCAGGCATTTTTCACATGCTTTACAATTAGTAACTCCCTTGATTCTCACAGAATTCTATTATGAAAGTGCCAGCGTTTTCTGCTTTATGTAGCTGAGGCTACTGATTCAAGAACGAGGCAAATCTACATGCTGAAGTCCAGATAGTATTAGTCATAGGCACAAGATTTGATCCCATAAAGGCCAGCATCAGAACTTGGACCCCTGACCACTCTGATCTGGTGCTATATTGCTTATAATTCATTCAGAGCTAAGAGTCCCTAAGTGGGCTAATAATATCATGATTTTCACTGTAATATTATCATACATTTATTTTTAAAACACAGCTTTTTAACTTGATTATTTAAAATTGGGGAAGAATATTAAGAAATATTACACAGTAGAGGGCCGGGCGTGGTGGATCACACATGTAATCCCAGCACTTTGGGAGGCCGAGGTGGGCAGATTATGAGGTCAGGAGATCGAGACCATCCACCATCCTGGCTAACATGGTGAAACCCCGTCTCTACTAAAAATACGAAAAATTAGCTGGGCATGGTGGCAGGCACCTGTAGTCCCAGCTACTCGGGAGGCTGAGGCAGGAGAATGGTGTGAACATGGGAGGCGGAGCCTGCAGTGAGCCGAGATCGCGCCATTGCACTCCAGCCTGGGCGACAGAATGAGACTCCGTCTCAAAAAAAAATAAATAAATAACACAGTAGATTCTTCTTATTTAAGGTAGTGTGTTCTATAGAGTCATTATGAACACAGATACTTAGCAAATACTGAGCTTCGCTCCTAGAGGAAATACAAGGTTAGGTTCCTTCAAATCTCTGGTCATGATATTTTCATAAACAGATCAGCATATCACCAAATTTTATGTGTCTGTTTGCAGGCACCTTATTTAATATATAATATTGCTTTTTTTTTTTAGCACTTATACATATATTATTAAAAAATCTTTGATGCAATAAAACAAAGGCAGCATACTAAATAAAGACAAAAGCATTGCCCTGTTATATATCATACATTTGTAATAGCAGGAAGTGTGCAATTAATTTCTATTTACCATCCCTTCTTCTCTAGAAAAATTGATATCGCTTCCTCACAATTTCAGCAAGATGCTTGTAAATTCCCTTGGTTTGCTTATAGAACATGTTTAAAGATAATCATATTTTCAACATATTTTCATCTCTAGGAACTCTTCATGCCATGGGCTCCCCACCTATGTTGGACAGAGTTTTTACTAGTAGGCAACAAAATCCATACTAGTTAGAATAATCGGAAAGGGAATTTAAAAATCATATTAGTTTGCTTACAGGATCTCCAGGGAAACCAGGGAATGAACTTGGCTGCCACACAGCCAAGAAAATAGCCCAAGCATACACAGAACTGTTCTAGCAAAATATCAATGCTGCCGCCACCCACTGCTTGGCAGCATGGCACCAGGGCACTCAGAATTTCATCTCAGCTGCTGAGAAGAGTCAATTGCTTTTGCTATCAAGCTTTCTGGAAGGTATCATGTCCCATGGTGTGGGCAGGGCCTCTTGCTCTTCACTTCATTTTCCAGCGTGTCAGCTTGGTGGCCACTAGGTCGCATGTGGAATTCTGTCTGCAATGGAGCCTGGGAAATGTAGTTTCTAGCCTCCTAGAAAGTCCAGTGAGAAGGAAGTTGGCTACAAACTGCACACATGGTAGGAGAAAGGTAGTTATTAGCTAGAACCCCACGCCACCACTCAGCTGTGACTTTTTGGATTAATGTGTTCTTGTGTCCCTAGCAGGACAATAGTCTTGAGAGCCAAGATGTATAGAGAGAGAAAGCATCTTATAAGTTCTTTTTATTTATTTTTTATTATACTTTAAGTTCTAGGGTACATGTGCACAACCTGCAGGTTTGTTACATATGTATACATGTGACATGTTGGTGTGCTGCACCCATTAACTCGTCATTTACATTAGGTATATCTCCTAATGCTATCCCCCCTCCCGCCCCCACCCCACAACCGGCCCTGGTGTGTGATGTTCCCCTTCCTGTGTCCATGTGTTCTCATTGTTCAATTCCCACCTATGAGTGAGAACATGTGGTGTTTGGTTTTCTGTCCTTGTGATAATTTGCTCAGAATGATCATTTCCAGCTTCATCCATGTCCCTACAAAGGACATGAACTCATCCGTTTTTATGGCTGCATAGTATTCCATGGTATATACCATGTGTATTCCATGGTATACACCAAGAAATGTGCCACATTTTCTTAATCCAGTCTATCATTGATGGACATTTGGGTTGGTTCCAAGTCTTTGCTATTGTGAATAGTGCTGCAATAAACATACGTGTGCATGTGTCTTTATAGCAGCATGATTTATAGTCCTTTGGGTATATACCCAGTAATGGTATGGCTGGGTCAAATGGTATTTCTAGTTCTAGATCCCTGAGGAATCGCCACACTGACTTCCACAATGGTTGAACTAGTTTACAGTCCCACCAACAGTGTAAAAATGTTCCTATTTCTCCACATCCTCTCCAGCACCTGTTGTTTCCTGACTTTTTAATGATCACCATTCTAACTGGTGTGAGATGGTATCTCATTGTGGTTTTGATTTGCATTTCTCTGATGGCCAGTGATGATGAGCATTTGTTCATGTGTCTGTTAGCTGCATAAATGTCTTCTTTTGAGAAGTGTCTGTTCATGTCCTTTGCCCACTTTTTGATGGGGTTGTTTGTTTTTTTTCTTGTAAATTTGTTTGAGTTCTTTGTAGATCCTGGATATTAGCCCTTTGTCAGATGAGTAGGTTGCAAAAATTTTCTCCCATTCTGTAGGTTGCCCGTTCACTCTGATGGTAGTTTCTTTTGCTGTGCAGGAGCTCTTTTGTTTAATTAGATCCCATTTGTCAATTTTGGCTTTTGTTGCTGTTGCTTTTGATGTTTTATACATGAAGTCCTTGCCCATGCCTATGTCCTGAATGGTACTGCCTAGGTTTTCTTCTAGGGTTTTTATGGTTTTAGGTCTAACATTGAAGTCTTTAATCCATCTCGAATTAATTTTTGTATAAGGTGTAAGAAGGGATCCAGTTTCAGCTTTCTATGTATGGCTAGCCAGTTTTCCCAGCACCATTTATTAAATAGGGAATCCTTTCCCCATTTCTTGTTTTTGTCAGGTTTGTCAAAGATCAGATGGTTGTAGATGTGTGGTGTTATTTCTGAGGCCTCTGTTCGTTCCATTGGTCTATATCTCTGTTTTGGTACCAGTACCATGCTGTTTTGGTTACTATAACCTTGTAGTATAGTTTGAAGTCAGGTAGCGTGATGCCTCCAGCTTTGTTCTTTTTGCTTAGGATTGTCTTGGCAATGCGGGCTGTTTTTTGGTTCCATATGAACTTTAAAGTAGTTTTTCCCAATTCTCTGAAGAGAGTCATTGGTAGCTTGATGGGGATGGCATTGAATCTATAAATTACCTTGGGCAGTATGGCCATTTTCACAATATTGATTCTTCCTATCCATGAGCATGGAATGTTCTTCCATTTGTTTGTGTCCTCTTATTTCATTGAGCAGTGGTTTGTAGTTCTCCTTGAAGAGATCCTTCACATCCCTTGTAAGTTGGATTCCTAGGTATTTTATTCTCTTTGAAGCAATTGTGAATGAGAGATCCCTCATGATTTGGCTGTTTGTCTGTTATTCGTGTATAAGAATGCTTGAGATTTTTGCACATTGATTTTGTATCCTGAGATTTTGCTGAAGTTGCTTATCAGCTTAAGGAGATTTTGGGCTGAGACAATGGGGTTTTCTAGATATACAGTCATGTCATCTGCAAACAGGGACAATTTGACTTCCTCTTTTCCTAATTGAATACCCTTTATTTCTTTCTCCTGCCTGATTGCCCTGGACAGAACTTCCAACACTATGTTGAATAGGAGGGGTGAGAGAGGGCATCCCTGTCTTGTGCCAGTTTTTAAAGGGAATGCTTCTAGTTTTTGCCCATTCAGTATGATATTGGCTGTGGGCTTGTCATAAATAGCTGTTATTATTTTGAGCTACATCCCATCAATACCTAATTTATTGAGAGTTTTTAGCATGAAGGGCTGTTGAATTTTTTCAAAGGCCTTTTCTGCATCTATTGAGATAATCATGTGGTTTTTGTCTTTGGTTCTGTTTATATTCTGGATTACATTTAATGATTTGTGTATGTTGAATCAGCCTTGCATCCCAGGGATGAAGCCCACTTGATCATGGTGGATAAGCTTTTTGATGTGCTGCTGGATTCGGTTTGCCAGTATTTTATTGAGGATTTTTGCATCAATGTTCATCAAGGATATTGGTCTAAAATTCTTTTTTTGTTGTGTCTCTGCCAGGCTTTGGTATCAGGATGATGTTGGCCTCATAAAATGAGTTAGGGAGGATTCCCTCTTTTTCTATTGATTGGAATAGTTTCAGACAGAATGGTACCAGCTCCTCCTTGTACCTCTGGTAGAATTCAGCTGTGAATCCTTCTAGTCCTGGACCTTTTTTGGTTGGTAGGCTATTAATTATTGCCTCAATTTCAGAGCCTGTTATTGGTCTATTCAGAGATTCAACTTCTTCCTGGTTTAGTTTTGGGAGAGTGTATGTGTCCAGGAATTTATCCATTTCTTCTAGATTTTCTAGTTTATTTGTGTAGAGGTGTTTATAATATTCTCTGATGGTAGTTTGTATTTCTGTGGGAGTGGTTGTGATATCCCCTTTATAATTTTTATTGTGTCTATTTGATTCTTCTCTCTTCTTCTTTATTAGTCTTGCTAGTGGTCTATCAATTTTGTTGATCTTTTCAGAAAACCAGCTCCTGGATTCATTGATATTTTGAAGGATTTTTTTTGTGTTTCTATCTCCTTCAGTTCTGCTCTGATCTTAGTTATCTCTTGCGTTCTGCTAGCTTTTGAATGTTTTTCTCTTGCTTCTCTAGTTCTTTTAATTGAGATGTTAGGGTGTCAATTTTAGATCTTTCCTGCTTTCTCTTGTGGGCATTTAGTGCTATAAATTTCCCTCTACACGCTGCTTTAAATGTGTCCCAGAGATTCTGGTATACTGTGTCTTTGTTCTCATTGGTTTCAAAGAACATCTTTATTTCTGCCTTCATTTCGTTATGTACCCAGTAGTCATTCAGGAGCAGGTTGTGTTCAGTTTCCATGTAGTTGAGCGGTTTTGAGTGAGTTTCTCAATCCTGAGTTCTAGTTTGATTGCACTGTGGTCTGAGAGACAGTTTGTTACAATTCCTGTTCTTTTACATTTGCTGAGGAGTGCTTTACTTCCAACTATGTGGTCAATTTTGGAATAAGTCTGATGTGGTGCTGAGAAGAATGTATATTCTGTTGATTCGGGGTGAAGAGTTCTGTAGATGTCTATTAGGTCCACTTGGTGCAGAGCTGAGTTCAAATCCTGGATATCCTTGTTAACTTTCTGTCTCGTTGATCTGTGTAATATTGACAGTGGGGTATTAAAATCTCCCATTATTATTGTGTGCAAGTCTAAGTCTCTTTATAAGTCTCTAAGGACTTGCTTTATGAATCTGGGTGCTCCTGTATTGGGTGCATATATATTTAGGATAGTTAGCTCTTCTTGTTGAATTGATCCCTTTACTGTTATGTAATGGCCTTCTTTGTCTCTTTTGATCTTTGTTGGTTTAAGGTCTGTTTTATCAGAGACTAGGATTGCAACCCCTGCCTTTTTTTGTTTTCCATTTTCTTGGTAGATCTTCCTCCATCCCTTTGTTTTGAGCCTATGTGCATCTCTGCAGGTGAGATGGGTCTCCTGTATACAGCACACTGATGGGTCTTGACTCTATCCAATTTGCCAGTCTGTGTCTTTTAATTGGAGCATTTAGTCCATTTACATTTAAGGTTAATATTGTTATGTGTGAATTTGATCCTGTCATTATGATGTTAGCTGGTTATTTTGCTCATTAGTTGATGCAGTTTCTTCCTAGCATCGATGGTCTTTACATTTTGGCATGTTTTTTTCAGTGGCTGGTACCAGTTGTTCCTTTCCATGTTTAGTGTTTCCTTCAGGAGCTCTTGTAGGGCAGACCTGGTGGTGACAAAATCTCTCAGTGTTTGCTTATCTGTAAAGGATTTTATTTCTCCTTCACTTATGAAGCTTAGTTTGGCTGGATATGAAATTCTGGGTTGAGAATTCTTCTCTTTAAGAATGTTGAATATTGGCCCCCACTCTCTTCTGACTTGTAGAGTTTCTGCCGAGAGATGTGCTGATAGTCTGATAGGCTTCCCTTTGTGAGTAACCCGACCTTTCTCTCTGGCTGCCCTTAACATTTTCCCTTCATTTCATCTTTGGTGAATCTGCCAATTATGTGTCTTGGAGTTGCTCTTCTCGAGGAGTATCTCTGTGGCATTCTCTGTATTTCCTGAATTTGAATGTTGGCCTGCCTTGCTAGGTTGGGGAAGTTCTTCTGGATAATATCCTGCAGGGTGTTTTCCAACTTGGTTCCATTCTCCCCATCACTTTCAGGTACACCAGTCAGACATAGATTTGGTCTTTTCACATAGTCCCATATTTCTTGGAGGCTTTGTTCATTTCTTTTTACACTTTTTTCTCTAAACTTCTCTTCTCACTTCATTTCATTCATTTGATCTTCAGTCACTGATACCCTTTCTTCCAGTTGATCAAATCGGTTACTGAAGCTTGTGCATTCATCACGTGGTTCTCGTGCCATGGTTTTCAGCTCCATCAGGTCATTTAAGGACTTCTGTACACTGGTTATTCTAGTTAGCCATTCGTCTAATCTTTTTTAGAGGTTTTTAGCTTCTTTGTGATGGGTTGGAACTTCCTCCTTTAGCTCAGAGAAGTTTGGTTGTCTGAAGCCCTCTTCTCTCAACTCGTCACAGTCATTCTCTGTCCAGCTTTGTTCCATTGTTGGCAAGGAGCTGTGTTCCTTTGGAGGGGGAGAGGTGCTCTGATTTGTAGAATTTTCAGCTTTTTGGCTCTGTTTTTTCCCCATCTTTGTGTTTTGTCTACCTTTGGTCTTTGATGATGGTGACGTACAGATGGGGTTTTGGTGTGGATGTGCTTTCTGTTTGCTAGTTTTCCTTCTAACAGTCAGGACTCTCAGTTGCAGGTCTGTTGGAGTTTGCTGGAGGTTCACTCCAGACCCTATTTGCCTGGGTATCAGCAGTGGAGGCCGCAGAACAGTGAATATTGCTGAACAGCAAATGTTGCTGCCTGATCATTCCTCTGGAAGCTTCATCTCAGAGGGGTACCCAGCCTTGTGAGATGTCAGTCTGCCCCTACTGAGGGGTTCCTCCCAGTTAGGCTACTCGAGGGTCAGGGACTCACTTGTGGAGGCAGTCTGTCCGTTCTCAGATCTCAAACTCCGTGCTGGGAGAACCACTACTCTCTTCAAAGCTGTCAGACAGGGACATTTAAATCTGCAGAGGTTTCTGCTGCCTTTTGTTCAGCTATGTCCTGCCCCCAGAGGTGGAGTCTACAAAGGCAGGCAGGCCTCCTTGAGCTGTGGTGAGCTCCACCCAGTTCAAGCTTCCCGGCCATTTGTTTACCTACTCAAGCCTCAGCAATGGCAGGCACCCCTCCCCCAGCCTCACTGCCACCTTGCAGTTATATCTCAGGCTGCTGTGCTAGCAATGAGTGAGGCTCTGTGGGCGTGGGACCCTCTGAGCCATGTTGGGGATATAATCTCCTGGTGTGCCGTTTGCTAAGACCCTTGGAAAAGTGCAGTATTAGGGTGGGAGTGACCCGATTTTCCAGGTGCTGTCTGTCATGGCTTCCCTTGGCTAGGAAAGGGAATTCCCTGACCCCTTGTGCTTCCCAGGTGAAGCAATGCCTCGCCCTGCTTCAGCTCTTACTCGGTGGGCTTCACCCACTGTCCTGCACCCACCATCCGACACGCCCCAGTGAGATGAACTCGGTACCTCAGTTGGAAATGCAGAAATCACCCATCTTCTGCGTCGCTCACGCTGGGAGCTGTAGACTGGAGCTGTTCCTATTTGGCCATCTTGGAACCACCCCCTATAATATTGCTTTTTTAACATTGAACTCATTAAGTGAGTGCTATGACTCACTCCGAATGAAGACTAACACATATAGTTTCTTCATTAAAGCACATCAAAGCCTTCTCAATTAGGAACACTGGATAGCACCTTAGCAGTACACTTGGGGGCCACCTTTAAAAGCTCAAAAATGTGGAAAAAATGGCACTACAAAGACCACAGAAAGGACTTGTTTATTCTATGAGAGCTGAAACAACAGGCAGTTTTTTAACCTCAAAAAAGGTGTATTATTTGATCTCAGCTGTGAATGTGAACCCTGGTTGAATAAAATTTTTCATCATTCTGTTCAGGCTTACAAATTACCACAAAAGTGCCATGAGAAATTATTTTGGGGTTACAAATAAATATTACCAAGTAAGTAAATCTGCAAATATGGAATGCATGAAGAATGAGAATCAACTGTATTTATTATTAAACAAAACTATTGACACTTTTCTGAGTTTTAAGTATGAAATAGAAGTCATTGAAGCCCAGTATACTTTAGGAATTGGAGTGGGCCAAAAAATGATGGGTTTCTGCAATACATTTTCACAATTTGAGCAAAAGAGGGCCTCATCATAATTTACATCATATTGTTGAATAGGGCTTTGCAGATTCCTAGCTATATTATCTCACTGGGTATGAAGAATGCTTCTGTGCCATAAGCAATAAACTTATAATCCTTATTGTTTCCTTGTCTGTTTGTTTTTGAGACAGAATCTTACTTTGTTGCTAAGCTGGAGTGCAGTAGCATGATCTTGGCTGACTGCAACCTCCGTCCCCAGGGTACAAGCAATTTTTGGGTCTCAGCTGCCTGAAGAGCTGAGACTACAGGCGCATGTCACCACGCCCAGCTAGTTTTTTGTATTTTTAGTAGAGACGGGTTTTCACCATGTTGGCCAGGCTGGTCTTGAACTCCTGACCTCATGTAACCCAGCCAACTCAGCCTCCCAAAGTGCTGGGATTACAGATGTTTGCCACCACACCCGGCCCTAATCCTTATTGTTATAAAAAATCTAATATCAGAGAGGTTGGCAGTGGTGTGAAATCCCAAATACAAATGTTTTGGCTCCCCCAAAAGAATACTTTAATGCATGATAATTTTTATATGTACTCAGTTATATGATTATATAATTATATAAAATTTGTCCACTAAGAATTTTTTCACTTACATTTTTATTATTTGAGCATCTCAAATATGTTTTATTTTACAGTTTATATAATTTAATTTTTAAAATATTCTCCAACTTGTACCACATCCAAGCACCAATGCTCTATAACTCGAATGTGTTCTTCTAGTTTTTAAAAAAACAATTCCAAGGTATTTTACTTATTCTCAGATTGAGAAGCCTTTTTGTTACTCAATATTAAATTCACAAAGCTAAAAGTGATTTATTCTCTTAAAAATCTTGACTTCATGTTTATTTCAGCATGTACATATTTACATGTATTATTTCTAAGATGTTGAATCAATGCAGCTATGCCCTGAGTTAAATGCTTGTAAAATATCCTCAGAATCTGCTCAGTCACTTGCTTGCTGAGAGAGGAACAATGGACTTTTCTTTGCTATTTTGGATCATGTGGTTTTTATAGGGAATGGTCTCTGAATAGCACTGCTCAATTCTCACTTCTTTTCTGATACGATTTTAGATAAAAGGTTTCCATTTTGTCTTCAGCATGCCAGATCTAAATTTTCACATTTAATTTGACAAAGTGGCCACAGTTGCTAAGCTATTCGGTACAGTTAGCAATTCTAAAGCTGTGACAAATATGCACATTTTAATAGTTGCATTTCAAACCATAAGAAACAAAATACTTTTACATTGGTATTAATTACTTTAAAGGGGTATTAATTTCTTTAAATTGTGTAAACCACCTTATGATGCTTGTATTTAGGAAAATGGTCACCAATGTTACTGACTCATCTTCTCAGGCCTTTGCCTTTTTCTTATTGAAAAAAACATTTGGGGTGGAAGTAATTTGATACTTCCTGTGTCCTGGAGTCATTCACTAAATTTTTCTATAAAAATCCATCATACATAATTTCAAGAAATTGATACTAGAGAACTAAAGGACAAAATATTATTTTAAGTAGTTTTGTTTTTGAAAAGGGTGATAGGGAATATCAGATTACTGAATTCTTACCATTACATACAATGAGGAGCTCTTTAAAGATTTTTTCGCTGCTTGAAATAAGAAGTTGTAGGAGGAAATATTAGCCAATGTATAGTCATCTGCTGAGTGAGGCTCAGCAGTGACATTATCACTCTTTTACTTCAGTAACAATGGATTGATTACTGGAAATTGCAGGGAACATTTTCTTAATCCTTGGCCTTTTGTGTTTGAACATCTGATATTAGTAACGTCTTTGCCTGTACGGTGGAGTGTGCCCTGTTCTGTAAGTAATGGACAAAGTGGAACTAGATCATCTTAATGGGTGCTGCAGGCAACTGCTGGAACCAAAGCATTCTGTCATAGCTAAACATTTCGTACACATATGGCTTACTTTACATGAAGCGGCTTACATTGATAGATCAAAATCCAATCATTCCAAAACTTGACTCATTAGTTGTTTAGACAATTCCTAGGTTAAATACTACTACATAAAATTGTTTACAGTTTGGTTATAAATTACCCTTTTCATCACTTCAATTTCTTACATATCAAGACACAAGCTGCCCTTGCTATGTCAGGTGATACCCTTTCGTAGAGAATAAGTATACATTTAAATGGTTCAAGGTAAGTCTAATTTTCCTGTGAACTGTGGTAGAAAATCCCGGCCAAGCACCTGAATATCAACTTTTCATGTAAATGACCACACATACAATATTTAATATCTTTCTCATCAGTTGATCTTGCCTTTGACTGCACTGAGAAAATTGAAGTTTTCAGGCTTGAATGACTTCAACTTCCTACTAAGAAACGATTGATTTTTTCCTATTTATTTGCTGCCTTTTTTCCATTCTTAAAGAGGTGTTTATTATCCTTTTAAGCTGAATCTTTTCACATACTTGCTAAATTCTACTCATAGTCACCTCTCCAAGGATTTCTCCTTATTCCTCCCTTGTTTTCAGTCATTCTATAAGCCTTTTTCTTCAAATTCATATTTATGTCCCAGTATCTTTCATTAAGTTAAAAAAAGAAAAAAATAATCAAACTTGTTTCTTTAGTTGTTGCTTTATTGTTCCTCTCACGTTTACACTGAAGCTTCTCTGAAGAACAGTATGATTCTGCTGACCCAGGTTAGCAGCTCCCAGACAGTTCTCAATCCAGACAATCTGACTTCAGCCCACTGGAGCCCTTCAAATGGCCTTGGCCATGGACACTTTTGATACTTTTGTGGTGAAATCAGTGACTGCATCTTCATTTCATTGTTTATCTTACTTCATATATCTCACTTGATCTTAAGGCAAGTTGACCATAGAAGGAAACTGGGCAAATGTCCCATTTTTTACCCACGTTCATATATTTTGGCATGAACAGTAAAAATTTGAAAGAGGCTATTCAGCCTCCTATGCTGTTAGTGGCCTTTGAAGACAAGAGCCTTTTGGTTTTTAGTTTTTGATTTTATAAATCAGCTACTACTTAAACCTTACCATCACTAGAATCTATAGTGGAAAATTATTCTATCTTTGGTAAAAATGCTTACTTAATATTAACAGTGATTAGAACCATAATATTAGATTTTAGAAGACAAGCAATAAAGTGTCACTGAAAAAAATAAATCTGTAAGATTTCTAATTTCAAATCAGCTTCTAATTGTCACTCCTGTCTTAACAACAAGAACAAATCTGAACTGATTGAAAATCGGTGATGTTTCTTGGACCTATCAGAGAACTAAGTTTGTAAGAAAAAGCCTATCAACTCTAGAATCTGAGGGGATGAAGATGGTCTGGAGCGGAAGCACAGGAGCCCTATACTGGTAGGAATATTTAAATGGCAATGTGTTGACTTGCCAGAGGCTGAGTGCAGACTAGTATGGAGTGAGGAAACCCTGGGGGCCACAGTCTTAGGGGGCCCCACATTTTCCTGGGTTTTACCTCTAGGTAAAACGATAGAGGTTCTCGCAAGGAACTCACCAGGTTCCCACAAGGAAGATTGGAGAGAGGTCCTTTTATGTATAAAAGGATTTTATCCATAAAACAGATGTTTTGCAGAGAAGTACCTGGAAGCACAAAGTCAAGAGAGAGACAAAAACAAAGAAATATTGGAAGAGTCTGGCTTCTAGAGTTACAGCAAACATTAAACACAGCCCAGCTACTAGCCAGATCAAAATAGACTCTCACTTCCTAGACCTAATGACCTCAGTTACTAATACCTAATATCTGGCTTTCAATGAAAAATTAAAAGACATGTCAAAAGGCAAGGAAAACACAGTTTGAAGATATAAAAAAAACATCAGAACCAGTCACAGATATGACAGATATTAAAATTATCAGACAGGAGATTTAAAAGAACTATTATTAATATACAGAGGATTCTAATGAGAAAAAGTAGACAACTTACAAAAGAGATGGACGATGTAAGCAGAGAGATGGAAACTCTACTAAAGAAACCAAAGGAACTCTATAAATCAAAAGCACTGCAACAAAAATGAAGAATGCAGCCGGGCGCGGTGGCTCACGCCTGTAATCCCAGCACTTTGGGAGGCCGAGGCGGGCAGATCACGAGGTCAGGAGAACGAGACCATCCTGGCTAACACAGTGAAACCCCATCTCTACTAAAAAAATACAAAAAAAAAATTAGCCAGGAGTGGTGGCAGGCGCCTGTAGTCCCAGCTACTCGGGAGGCTGAGGCAGGAGAATGGCATGAACCCGGGAGGTGGGGCTTGCAGTGAGCCGAGATTGTGCCACTGCACTCCAGCCTGGGCTACGGAGCGAGACTCCATCTCAAAGAAATAAAATAAAAGATAAATAAAAAATAAAAAATAAAATAAAAATGAAGAATGCCTTTGATGGGCTCCTCAGTAGACTGGACATAGGCAAGGAACAGTGAGCCACCTCTGACAGCCAGCAGGACTTTCTAAACTGAAATGCAAAAAGAACAAGGTGGCAAGAAACAGTAATTTCAAAAGGTTTGACATGTGTAATGGGAGTACCAGAAGAGGAAGAGAGTAAGTATACACTTTCATAGAAGAAATAAGATGTAGAATTTAATAGATTAGTAGGGTGACTGTAATTTACAGTAATCTATTATATATATCAAAATGGCTAGAAGATAAGAATTAGAATGTTTCTAGCATAAAGAAAAGGCGACATTTATTATGATGGATTTCCCAATATACTGATATGATCCTTACATATTATATAAATTTATTAAATTGTCACATATACTCCCAAAATATGTACATCTATTTTGTATCAATTTAAAAAATAAAATTTAAAAACAAAAAGAAAAGGGCGGAAGACATATTTGGTTTAACAATGGCCAAACGCTTTCTGAAATTCATGACAGACACCAAGCCACACAGATCCGAGATGCTCAGAGAACACCAGGCAAGATAAACATAAAAAACAAACGATGAAAACCCAAAAAACAGCTTTACTTAAGTATAGCATATTTGAAATGCTGAATACCAAACAAAAAGGGAAAATCTTGAAAAAGCTAGGCAGGAAAGATACCTTATTTATAGAAGAAAAAAGATAAGAATCACAATGGGCTTCTCTCTAGAAATTATGAAAGCAAGAAGAGTGGAGTGAAATACTTAAAATGCTAAAAAGAAACACTGCCAACATAGAATTTTATTTCCAGCAAAATTATCCTTCAATTATCCTGTGAAAAAGAATAAAGTTTCTCAGACAAACAAAAGTTGAGCCAACACATTGCCAGCAGACCTCCAGCCTTGCAAGAAATGTTAAAATAAGTTGTTAAACAACATAAACAGGAAAATTGTATAGGTCAGAATCTTTGACTACATGAAGAATAGAGAACATTGAAGAAGAAATAAAGACAAAATTAACTCCACATGACTTTCGTTTTTCTTATTCGAAATTCATCTAAAAATGTCTATTTAAAGTAATGATAACAATATATTGGGTTATTATAGCGTAAGGATAAGTAAAACGAATGACTGTAATATCATAGCGGGTACAGAGAAGGGTGTGGGAATGCTGTCTTATAAGATACCTGTACTACATGTGAATTTATATAGTGTCATTTGAAGGTAGATTTGGATTAGTTAAAAATGTATATTGGAAACTTTAGAACAACCAGTAAAAATTTTTCAAAAGTATAATTGTCGTGCTAAGACAGGATATAAAATGGAATCATATAATATGCTCAATTAAATCAATGGTGGCAAAAGAAGAAGAGAAAATAGAAACGAAGAGCAAATGTAATACATGGAAATAGTTACAAACACACAGATTAACACAACTATGTCAACAATTGCTTCAAATTGAGTAGTCTAAACACACCAATTAAAAGAAACAGATCATTGGTACTGATACATATATATGATCCAACTCTAGGTCGTCTACTTGAAAACCACATTGAATATAAAGATGCAGACAGGATAAATGTAAATGAAAAAAGATCTATGATGCCAATATTAATCAAAAGACAGAGTAGCTATATTAATTTTAGGAGAAATAGTCAAACCCACTATTATAGACTTCATTACCCTTTTTTCAGGAATTGATAGATCAAACAGGCAAAAAGTGAGTAAATGTCCACTTTCATGAACAATAGCAGAAGTCAACTCTACTGAATTAACATTTACAGAATGTTCCAGCCAACTGCAGCAAAACACACATTCTTCTCAATCTCACATGAATAATTCATGTCGAGATAGACTGTCTCCTGAGCAATAAAACAGACCTTAAAAATTTTAAAGTAGAACAAACATACAAAATATGTTATCAGACCCCAATGAAGTTAACTAGAAATCAGTAATAGAAAGGTTTCTGGAAAATTGTCAAATATTTGGAGATTAAACAGCACACTTAAAAATTATATGTAGCCCAAAAAAGTCTCAGGATTATTTAAAATATATTTTCAGCTAAATAAAAACAGAAGTACAACTTATCAAAATGTATGGGATGCAGCAACATCAAAGCTTAGAGAGAAATTTATAGCATTAAATACGTGTATTAGAGAAGAAGACAGATATAAAAGCAATAATCTAAGCTTTCCCCTTTGGAAACTAGAGAAAGAAGAGCAATTAAAGCCTAAATCAAACAGAAGAAATAATAATAATTGGAGCATAAATAAACTAAAAATAGGAAAAAATAAAGACATTAAATCAATGAAACCACAAGCTACATTAAAAATGCTTATTATAAGACTACAGTAATCAACACAGGTTTTCCTGAAAGAATAGAAGGCTTTCATAGAGATCAATGAAACAAGGGAGAAAGCCCACAAGCAGACCGATATAAATATAGTCCAGTGATCATTGATGAAGAACAGCAATGCAAAAGAGAAAAAGTAGATTTTTAAATAAACAGTCCTGAAACAATTAGTGTTGTCTATGCAAAAGAATGAACCTGGAAACACATCTTAAACCTTTCACAAAATTAATTCAAAATGGGTCATGGACTTAAGCATAAAATGTAACACTTTAAAACTTCCAGAAGAAATTACATGCAGAATCTAGGTGACCTCTGATTTGGTGATAGGTTTTTATGTATATGCTAATATCAAAATTGTAGCCCATGAATGAAAAATTGATAAGTTGGACTATGATATGTAAAACAAGTATCTGATAATACTCTTTTTTCAGTTTGGCAGGGTTTTTTTGACATCTAAAATTGTATATATTTATAGTGTACAACATGACGTTTTGATATATGTATACACTATGGAATGGCTAAATCAAGCTAATTAACATATGCATTACCTCACAAACTTATTATTTTTTGCAGTGAGAACACTGAAAATATTAGCAATCCTCAACTATACAATATATTGTTATTAGCAATATATAGTCACTATGATATGTAATCAATCTCTTGAATTTATTCCGCCTATCTGGCTAAAGTGTTTTGTCCTTTGACCAACATCTCAATTCCCCCAACTCTCAGCCTCTAATAACCACTACTTTACTCTCTGTTCCTATGAATTTATCTCAGAAAGAACTTATAGCTGAAATATACAAAGAACTCGTAAACCTCAACAATAAGAAAACAAACAACCCAAATAAGAATGGGCAAAAGATCTTAACAGACACCTCAACCAAAGAAGATATACGATGGCAAATAAGCATACCAAAAGATGCTCAGTAGCATTTGTTATTAGACAGTTGTAAATTAAAACAAGATCCAGTACCACCGTATACTCATTCCAGTGGCTAAAAGACAAAACAAGGCCAAACCAAACCTAGTGAGACATTCAGAGGTAACGATGTGGAGCAACAGGAGCTCTCATTCACTGCTGGTGGGAACAAAATGGCACAGCCACTTTGGAGACACTTGGCAGTTCTTAACAAAGTTAAATATAGTCTTACAATACAACCCAGCAATCATGTTCCCGGGTTTTTACACAAATGAGTTGAAAACTTATGGCCATTTAAAAGCCTATACTCAAATATTTATAGCAGCTTTATTCATAATTGCCAAAACTTGGAAGCAGCCAAGATGTCCTTCTGTAAACAAGTGGATACACAAACTGTGGATCATCCATGTAATGGAACAGGAGTCAGCAATAAAACAGGACTGGCTAACAAGCCATGAGCAGACATGGATAGATCTTAAATGCATATGCCATCCAAATGAAAGAAGCCAGTTTTAAAAGGCTTCTGGAAAAGGCAAAAGCTATAGAGAGAATAAAAAAATGTCAGTGTTTGCCAGGGATTTGGAGATCGAAGAGGAAAGGCGAATAGGTGAATGAAGCTTAGGGGATTTTTTAGGGCAGTAAAACTAGTCTGTACGATATTGTGACAGCGGATACATGACACCCTGCCTTTGTGAACAAAAAAGAAACTTATAGCACAAAATGTGAACCTTAATGTATGTAAACAAAAACAATCATTTAGGCTGTCCTGGGATCCAAAGATGGAATACAGAATTTGACAAGATAATTTAAATGTATTGCAAACCTATGAAACAATTTTGCTGAAGAGGATGGAAAAAAGTAAGGTGCCGATAATGAGAGGGCTCTGTAAGGCTAAAGCCAAACATCTTTACGTAGTATTCTACTTCAAACCACAAAGTTACTTCTGGTGGAGGTATGAGTTAACAATTCTGGGCAGGGCACAGTGGCTCACACTTATATTCCCAGCACTTTGGGAGGCCGAGGTGGGCTGATCAGTTGAGGTCAGGAGTTCGAGACTGGCCTGGCCAACATGGTGATATGCCATCTCTACTAAAACTACAGAAAAAAAAAAAAAAAGAAAGAAAGAAAAGAAAAAAAGAAAATTAGCCAAGCGTGGTGGCGTGCACCTATAATCCCAGCTACTTAGGAGGCTGAGGCGGGGGAATCGTTTGAACCTAGGAAGCAGAGGTTGCAGTGAGCTGAGATCATGCCACTGCACTCCAGCCTGGGTGACAGAGCAAGACTCCATCTCAAACAACAAAAAAAATTCTGATACTGCCACACATGTACACTGGAAGCGGACAATTACATAAATGGATGTTGGGAGCCAGCTTTCTCATTGATGCAGTGGGAATTTGCAAATAAGCAAGGGGAGGAGGCTAGAGTGACTCATGCGGTGATGGATTAGAGTTGACAATATCAGTATGAACTCATGTTTAGCTTAATAGGGTTACAGATGCTTATGCATAGAAATATGTATGTGTATAAATATATATATATGTGTGTTCACACACACACACACACACACACACATACATTTCCCTCCCCTGTCAGTTGAGAGAACCCAAATCCATGACACTTTCATAGCCATGAGCACACTGACCTCCAAAATCTTGGTTCCCCATATAATTCTCCAATTAAAAAACAAACAAACAAAAACAGGGATTTTTGGAGAAACGACTGAATCTAGGTCTTGCATGAAATTTACAAGAAAAGCCTGCATCAGCTTGTAGTGCTTGAAACTTGGGAGGTGATTTTTTTTTAAGGAGTACATCAAAGAAATTCAGAGCCAATTGAAAGACCAATGGCTCACACTGGAACGATTTAAGCAACATGATAAAACAGTAGTATTGGATTATTACTTAAATATGAAATAAATATTAATCCATAAATAATATAAAGAAATGCGGTAGAATACACAAATCAACTGTGCTGAAGATTTCCAAATAAGTATGTAGCTTCTACATCCTCAGAGAATTTTAGCATAAACCCCCACTCCTGAAATTTGGGCTGCTCCAAGTGACTTCTTTGCAGAGTTTACAGTATGGAACGGGAGAAAAACAAGTGACTTTTCAGGGGAGAGACTTGATAAAGACTACGTCAGTCAAGTCTCAAGAGTGGCAAGCCATACCGATATTACACACCCTTCATGTGATGTCATGGGAATGGCTTTCTACCTCTGTGAGACACCTCCAAAATCACACAGGCACAGTCTGACTGTAAGAAAGTGTCATGAATACCCCAACTGAGGGTCAGTCTTCAAAATTCATCACTAGGGCTCTTCAAAACTGTCAATGTCATAAAAAACAAGGTCAGTCTGAGAAACTGTCACAGCCTAAAGGAACCCAAGGAGATAGGACTAAGAGATGTAATGTAGTATCCTGATGAGATCCTGGGACAGATATAAGATGTAAACCTAGAGGGATTTGCATGTAGTGAACACTTCAGTTCATGATCATGTATCTGTAGTAGTTCATTAATTATAATAGTTATACCATACTAATGTGAGAATTGGGAATTGAGGACACTGGTATGAGGTATATAGGAATGCTCTGTGGTATCTTCACAATTTCTTTTCAAGTTTAAAACTGTCTTCAAATAAAATATTAATTTAAAATGTATTTTTAAATGTGGGTTTTCCAACAAAAATTATACATAATTTTATGTTTCAGGAGACCAAGAAAGACCAAGTCTCATTGTGACTTGAGGAAAATATTATAGAAGTCAACATCTGTAATTTATGAAATTACAGATTTCTATGAAAATATCTGTACTAGGTTTCCCTATATAAACAGTCACCTACAAGCCATTACATATGTTTATATCTATTTGTTAGTAAGGGGCACAGATTCGTACAAAGGTTATACTTAATTTCATGAAGCAGCTATAAAGACAGGACTATTAAAATTCCCGGGATAACTCTGTAAGTGCAAATGTTATAGTCATTCGTCACTGGCAGAAATCCTAAGAGACATTTCATTAACCCACTGCTCATTGACATTAAGAAAGCTTATGCCATTAAACTTTTATGAGACTGGAGATTTCCTTTTTGTTTTGAAAGATTATATGGCCTTTACTTTTTTTTTTCTTTTCTTTTTTTTTTTTGAGACGGAGTCTCACTCTGCTGCCCAGGCTGGAGTGCAGTGGTATGATCTCAGCTCACTGCAACCTCTGCCGCCGGGGTTCAAGTGATTCTCCTGCCTCAGCCTCCTGAATAGCTGGGATTACAGACACCTGCCACCGTGCCCAGCTAATTTTTTTTTTTTTTTTTTTTTTTTTAGTAGAGACAGTGTTGGTCTCTACTAAAAAACCATGTTGGTCAGGCTGGTCTCGAACTCCTGACTTCGTGATCCACCTGCATATGGCCTTAACTTATAGATGAAAATGATTATGTAAAACACTATTAAGTTTTTGTATATCAGAAATGTATTAAATATGTTAATCAGGTTGATGTAAGAGATAGGATAGATGAGACATTACACCAATATTTCTACTCAAAAAGATAATAATGAAAATTTAGTAGCAATAAAATAATCCAGGCATGGTGGCTCATACCTGTAATCCCAGCATTTTGGGAGGCCGAGGTGGGTGGATCACGAGGTCAGCAGTTCGAGACCAGCCTGACCAACACAGTGAAACCCTGTCTCTACTAAGAATACAAAAAAATTAGCCGGGTGTGTTGGCGGGCGCCTGTAATCCCAGCGACTTGGGAGGCTGAGGCAGGAGAATCGCTTGAAACTGGAAGGTGGAGGTTGCAGTGAGTCAAGATTGTTCCACTGCACTCCAGCCTGGGCAATAAGAGCAAAACTCTGTGACAAAAAAAAAAAAAAAAAAAAAAAAACAATAAAATATAACCCTGTTTCTTGGAAGGATTATATGTTTTTTGTATTCGTTAAAAGGAGTCTGTCTCTTTATGAGTTATTTCTTTTTGGGAATGGCTTTATTGACTCATTCCGTAACCAAAAACATTAAGAGGATTCTACAAGAGATATGATCTCAGTAATAACATCAAATCATATGCACTCAAGGAAGCAAAATTGATTTTGACCTAGGTATTAATTAAAATGTATTTACTTTTTAAATTCTAAGAAAATATAGAAAGTATATGGTGTGTTTAAGTCTGCTACTGAGGCGCTCCTGGAGGTGCTCTTAAGGTGCATTTCTAAAAATAAATTCTTTCTGGGCCATCAGAATGAACTTATAAAATGACAATTAGCTGGAAAAGAATCAAGACCTACATTAACTTGCACAAAGTAGGAGTCAGCACCTTTCAAATTCTGCTACCTAAATAAATGGTCACTACAAAACATATATTTAAAAAGAGGCTATACTTTGAGGATTTGGCTGATCTCAGACAGTTGACAATGTGTGTGTGTTGATATTACAATAGATTTCATATCACCTTATCACGTCACCTGCATTTATATAATAAATAAGTGAAGAGATCAACAGTGATTTCTGGTAAAGCAGTCATTGCGTTCTAGTAGAAATGTTGCTGTCACAGCACTCAGCTATAGCATGCAGAACAAGCTGTAGCATGCAGGACAAGTTGTAGCATGCAGAACAAACTGTAGCATGCAGGACAAGCTGTAGCATGCAGGACAAGTTGTAGCATGCAGAACAAACTGTAGCATGCAGGACAAGCTGTAGCATGCAAGACAAGCTGTAGCATGCAGGACAAGCTGTAGCATGCAGGACAAGCAGTAGCATGAAAGACAAGCTGTAGCATGAAGAACAAGCTGTAGCATGCAGGACAAGCTGTAGCATGCAGAACAAGCAGAGAATATCTAAGAGATTGCTTAGGGAGAGGAAATGAGTGTTTACAAGCTGAGCCCAGCCAATGGTAAGGAATAAATTAATGCACAGATTATTGACATACATAGCTCTCTGACAGAAAACTATATTGACATACTGAACAACATTTTTGAGCATGAATAAAACTGCTAGTTACAGGTTTTGGCGTGTGTGTGTGTGTGTGTAATAAAAATTATAAAGTCTTAAAGTAAAAGAAATAGATTTAAAAATGGTTTCTTGACCTTAAGGTGGAAATAAAACATTGTGGCAAATGGCAAAGATTCTAGAGTTGTATACTCCTTAGTATAAATCCCAAATCATCCTCTTCCTAGCTGTGTGGCTTTGGTAAATTATGTTCTCACAAATAAACTTCAAAAAATCAAGAACTTTCTTGTCTGCCTGGTTCTGCCCCTGCATCCTCCAGCAGTGGAATGTCACATGAACTCCTCTATCCCTTTCCTCAAGAAGCATTTACAGTGTACATGGTATTAGTTTGGCATTACACTCTGCAATTTTAGTGAAGAATAAAAAATATAAAGAACATTCCTGTGTTAGGAAAACACAGCAGGACCATATACACTGTAAATACGTAATAAGTATGATGAATATATAGAGAGAGAGACAGAGAGAGAGAACATGTGGTTAATGTCATAAAAAGTTATAAAAAGTATAAAGTTTTGATGACAATAAATGTGAGACAGCATTCAGGAGAGAGGGGACCCATGCACACAAATGATCTGGAGCAGACATAGACTGGGAGAGAGGGGACTCATAATTTAAGTGAAGAGATCAACAGTGATTTCTGGTAAAGCAGTCATTGTGTTCTAGTAGAACTGCTGCTGTCACAGCACTCTGTGGTGTAGCATGCAGAACAAGCAGAGAATATGTGAGAGATTGCTTAGGGAGAGGAAATGAGTTTACAAGCTGAGCCCAGGGGACTCATGCACCACACATGATCTAGAGCAGACACAGACTGAAATTTTGCTGAATAAGTAAATGTGCAGCATTGAACATAGTGCAAATCATTCTACAACTACTAAAAGGTTTCATTTTTATGAGATAATTCTCAATACAATATTAGATCCTTTCACCTTACTACCAGTATATTTTTGAGTAAGAAAACACATCATTTTATCTTAACTTTAACATAATTATTAACATCAAATAGATGTCTTGCTAGTCTGTGATTTTTCTCTTCAAATTGCAAAAAAAAAAAAATCAAAGGCATAGATCCTAAAAAATATAATTATTTTAGTAATATTTATGATTGGTGTTTCGTTCAAATGTAGTGACACTATATTTAACTTCAAAAAAATGAAGTAATTTTAAAGAATGGCTGGATTTTATATTCTTCAAATCTGCTTTTTTGATCATTTATTATGATTGCCAACATATTTTTACTTAAGTTACTATGTGAAGTGGTTTGTGGCTAATGACACGTCAGTGCACTCAGTAGAGACTCAGCAGTGAACTCTAGATGTTCTTAAAGTGCTATGGGATAAAAACTTCAAATAAACCATCTTGTAAAGATGTATTAAATATTCAGGAATTTTCTTAATCATGGTTGCCAATGTTAGGATAGTAATACATTTTGAAGTGCTTCCGTTACTTCTGTGTTATATTGTGGCACAAAACTTAGCATTATAGTCACAGTCCTTTACAAGGAAAATTGTCTTATTTTGTCCATGATTTTTTATTGTCACTGAGTTCTCTAATTTTATTTTTCTGCTCAGTATAAGGTGTTTACACATGAAAATAAAAGGCTTGTATTTTCACATAGCATATGAGTTAATTTATTATAACACTGTTCACATTTTTAAAGACTTTCAATATTTATGGTTAAGATTTTCTTTTCTAGACTTATTTTTCAGTAGAAAAAAATGCTCTTTAAATATAAGAGCATACAATTCAAAAAGATGTACTTTATGAAGTTTCTATAATTTTATATAAAATCCTTTGAATTATATATGTATGAGAAATGTCAACATTGCAGCATTTCATGGGCATCCAACACAAATGTGGGCAAATGACATTTTTACCTGGGTTTCATAACTTTGAGAAACACATCTGTACCATCTATGCCCAAGGTCTAAGAAAAACTTTCTGTGATTTACTCTGTTCATTTATTTATGCTTTTATCTTTAATAAATTATATTCCTTCTTAAAAAGTGCTTTTCAAGATAATATTTTTCATTTATATTTTATTAGAGGAAATTTTAAAATTTGAATCATTTATGTTAATATTGTAAAGCACTTATATTTAATTTTTGAAAGTTCTTTTTGTAAGATGTTTTACTTTCCTAACTACAGAAGGAATTCACATTTATTTTAAAAGCATTGCAAAATATAGAAAAAAACAAAGGAAAATGAAAGGATGAGGGTATTCTGTACTCAGTCTATGGATTTGAATGCTAATCTCCCCAGAATTACTCTCATAGACACAACCAGAAACAATGTTTTACCAACTCTCTTGGCATCCATAGCCCAGTCAAGTTGACACGTAATTAACCATCATATATTCTATGGATAATTTTATGGAGTTTATATATGGTACCTATACTGTTTTACAACACAGTCTATGGGATGGCTTAATACGACAACTTGCTGTACTAAAATTTATTCAATAGCCCTTGGTGTATCTGTTCTTTAAATCACAATGAAGATGTTGAAATAGAATGCCATGATTGCTTTTGATATTTTTGCAAATTTCTAAAACAATGATGATTACAAATATAATAATACATTTAACTTTTAATACTAACTTCAAAATTTCTCAGGAACCTAGAGTGCAAAAGGCAAATTCTACCTATTGAACAAAAATGAACATTTTAGCATGGTTCATAAAAGCATTTTAAGAGGATATTTATTGCAGGAAAATTCTGAGAGAAATGTATTTATTCACTTCTGAGCACATTATGTCTGTGATGAATTCACCATGAGAGGAGCGCTTTGAAGTTTTGATCTTTGAGTTGTCTACGGAATATTTTATTCCTAATGCGGGAGAATCATTTATAACAGGAGTCTCTAACATATCCTTGATGGTTTGAAGGTAGAGACAGGTCAGAAATACCTTTCATCCAAAGACTTACAGTCATACTTAAAGTTGTTTTTATGACCAAGCTAGTTTTTTGGGGTTTTTTTTAATTATACTTTAAGTTTTAGGGTACATGTACACAACGTGCAGGTTAGTTACATATGTATACATGTGCCATGTTGGTGTGCTGCACCCAGTAACTCGTCATTTAACATTAGGTATATCTCCTAATGCTATCCCTCCCCCTTCTCCCCACCCCACAACAGGCCCCAGTGTGTGATGTTCCCCTTCCTGTGTCCAAGTGTTCTCATTGTTCAATTCCCACCTATGAGTGAGAACATGCGGTGTTTGGTTTTTTGTCCTTGCGACAGTTTGCTGAGCTAGTTTTAAAGTTTGATTATTTTTCAGTGTTTCATTTAGTTATAGTAACACATTCACTGCACCGTCAGACCATGTAGCTACTTCATATGAGGGCAATGCTACAAACGGAGTCCTGTGGATATGTATGCGACACAATGCCTGGATGCTATGGTCTGAATGTTTGTGTCCCTAAAAATTCATAGGTTGCAATTCTAAGCTCCAAGGTGATGGTATTAGGAGAGCCTCTTGGGAGGTGATAGTCGTGAGGATAGAGGCCTTCTAATTGAGATTAGTCCCCTCATACAGAGACTACAGAGAGCTAGCTGGCCCCTTCTGCCATGCGAAGATGCAGCAAAAAGGTGCTATCTGTGAACCAGAAAGCCCTCACCAGACACCAAATCTTCAGGCGACTTGGTCTCGGACATCCAGTCTCCAGAACTGTGAGAAATAAATTTCTGTTGTTTATAAGCCACCCAGTCTAAGGTATTTTGCTATAGTAGTCTGAATAAACTAAAACACTTGACTATTGGGATTTTTTTGGTTCAAATTGTATTTTTTAAATTTTTGTTTCCTATAAGTCAGTAACCGGTGCCATGTGTGGATTTGCCCGAGGTATGTGTCCCCTAGGTAGATTTTTTTCAGAGAATATTTTGCCACCAGTGACTTTTTATTGAAACATATCTGTAAGAGATCACTGTTATCAGGACTATCAGGACTGTTCAGTTCTACTATTGCTTGATTTTCACACATTCTTTTCAGCTAAAGGGAAGAGAAAAGGAGCAAGTCATTCCCATGTGCACAGGCAGATGGAGAAATGCTGGTCTTTCAATTTCAGTCATCAATTATCTCTCCTTTATCTTTTGACTCCATTAGAAGAACAGACATGACCGTCACACTAGCTGTTAGATGTAGATGACAGTGTATGTTTTATTCAATTTAGAACTCATCCTGGGGAGCTGAGTGGCATGTTTGTTAATAGATCAAGCTCCACAAAATACGATGTTCATACACATTTAAACTTAAAGAATCATGTCATCTTAAAGCCATATTCGAAAAGCATGTTATAATATCAGAATATTACATTTTGAGGACTCGGAAAAATACGTGATACAGAATAGTGGACATTCCTGATGTATGATTTAGTGTAATATCTTTTTCTTCTTTCAGAATTCTTGACATCCTTATTTCTTTTAAAATATTGTATCTATTACAACTGCTGCATTTTGGTACTTTAATATTAATAGAAATGTTAGGTAATTTATTTTTTAGCTTTTTATCATTTTCAATGAAGATATTATGAAATCTGAACTTTTCAGTAATTTATGTTAGAAAGCCTGAGCCAAATGAAAGGACTTGCCAAATGAAAATCACTCTTTGACAAAGATTTTGTGGACTATCTTCTTTTAATCATTGTAGTCTGTTAAAAAAAAAAAGTAACATCTAAACCTTCTAAAGATTTCTACTTTAAGAACTGTATAACTAGAGCAGATGTTTCAACAGAATTATGGAATTCTATGTTGAAGTGTGAATAGTTACCAGTTGTGTTTATGTAGATACGAGAGGAATTGCTGTTTTACAAAACACACACATCATTCTGCTGTATTTATAATACTATTCCTGTACTTTTGGTATTTTGTCTTGTTGGCATGTGTTATTATGTACTGTTTGTTAAATCATTGGCAAGTTAAGACGTGACTCAGGAGAAACGTAGCAATTCCTATCTTCTTTGAGATAGGAAATGAGAGAGTATTATATGAAAGAAATGAGGTGAACAAAGTATGATAAAGAACATATTTGGGCCGGGCGTGGTGGCTCACGCCTGTAATCCCAGCACTTTGGGAGGCCGAGGTGGGCGGATCACGAGGTCAGGAGATTGAGACCATCCTGGCTAACACGGTGAAACCCCGTCTCTACTAAAAATACAAAAAATTAGCCAGGCGTGGGGGCAGGCGCCTATAGTCCCAGCTACTCCGGAGGCTAAGGCAGGAGAATGGCGTGAACCCAGGAGGCGGAGTTGCAGTGAGCCGAGATCGCGCCACTGCACTCCAGCCTGGGCGACACAGCGAGACTCCGTCTCAAAAAAAAAAAAAAAAAATCTGAATTCAATTTAATTGGACTGCTCTAGGGATATGGAATATAAAAGTAAACAGTATGGAAATAATTTGGTAGACAAAAGGGCTTATACTTTTTTATTGACATATAGTAGTTCTTATTCTGGGGATGCATGTGATATTTTGATTCATGTATACAATGTGTAATGATCAGATCAGGGTAACTGGGGTATCTGTCACCTCAAACATTTATCTTTTATTGTGTGGGGGAGATTGAAATTCTTCTTTTCTAGCTATTTTGAAATATACAGTAAAGCATTGCTAACTATAATTTCCCTACCACACTATCGAATACTAGAATGTACTCCTTCTACCTAACTGTATTTTTGTACCCAAATCTGTTGGTTCTGAGAAACAGTTAAAGGGTGAAACAGCAGCAATTTAGGCTGGACCTATTTCTCACAGCTCCTTAAGAGAGCTCTATGGGCACTCTTACAGGTATTTTATCTCCTTTGTCTTGTGTTTCCTGGCAGAGTTATCTTATTTCTACCACTAACCTTATAGTCACATTGACAACACCATCACATGCCTCTTGCTTCTGTTACTTTTAGAAAACTTATAAATCTATTCCATATCTGCTTCTTCTTGGCTGACAGTAAATCCTTAATGATAACTTAGGGTTTTTTTTTTTATCATTTTGGCTTTTTAAATTTCATTTACTTGCTGGGGCAGTAAAAATATTTTTACTAGAAATATTCTTTATTTATGTGTTCATTTCCACCTGACATATAATCTTTGAAGTTTTAACCTAAAGTTTTTAAAGTCCTTTAGCCATTACAGAAAGAAGTATAAGTACTTTCAATGCCATATGTTCTCACTCATATGTGGGGACTAAAAAAGTGAAACTCCTGGAGGCAGACAGTAGATTGGTGGTTCACAGAGGCTGGGAAGGGGAAGAGGAAGGAGGAGGTGGCATGAGAACTGTTTGTTTGTACCTGTTAATCAATCGCTTTTTATCTTCTCTCCCACCCTTCCCAGCCTCTGGTAGCCACTATTCTACTCTCTACCTCCATAAGATCAACGTTTTTAGCTCCCGCATATGAGTGAGAACATGTGATATTTGTCTTTCTGTGTCTGGCTTATTTCACCTAATAATTTCACCTAATATAATGACCTGTATTTCCATCCATGTTACTGCAAATGACAAGGTTTCATTCTTTTTTGTGGTTGAATAATATTCCATTGTGCACGTGTGCACACATGCATCACACACACCTTTTTTTGCCGTTTATCTGTTGATGGATACCTAAATAAGGAAACCAATAAATGAGAGAGATAGTAAAGGGTTTCAGGGCTCCAAGCCAAGTGCATTTTATAGTGACCTTTACAGACTGTGCCTAGAACTTGCCTGCTGAGCCCAGCGTTGCCCAGAGCATTTGGATAAGCTCATCTGACCTTGACCCTTCCCAAAATACAGAGATGCGGCAGTGCTCTGATGTCTTATGCCGTCCTAAGAGGGACCTAGAGTACACAAGATTCCGCAAACAGATTTGATCATGGACACTAAAAAAGAAAAAGAAAAAAAAGCTCTCTTACAAAGATGGTGTGCCATAAAATGCAGATAAAAGCTGAGAAAACTTATTAGTGAAGCCGAGGGGGGAGAAGGAACACCTGTTATCATTTCTGTTACCATCTATGCACAGGGTTTAATAGGTAGCGAAAGTATAGGAGGGCAGCATGTTGGAGACTTTCAATCTGAGATTGGGAAAAATGATATGGAAGGTCACCAATAAAAGGAAAATCTTCACAAAAACAGATTTCAAGAAGGCATCCGCTTGAGTCTCATCTCAAAGTGAAATGACATTTGACCTGAACATTATTACCCAAGTTTACACAGGTAGTAAAATCTGAGGGCTGGGATTCACTGAGGGATCGTCTATTTCCAAAGGTCTGTTTGTCCCCACCTCCACCTTCTCTCTGTTTCTGTTGCCTTCCTTTTGCTGGTTGATACTGATGGGGATTATTTTGTAAATTTAACTAGACTCTTCTGGTAAGCTGTAAACATTTTTTAATTGTATACATTTATGGAGTACAAGTACAGTTTTGCTACATACATTGATTTCATAGTGGTGAAGTTGTGGCTTTTAGGGTATCCATCACCTAAATAGTTTAAGTTGTTATTCGTTAAGTACTTTCCTATCACCTAGTCCATACCTTTACAAGCCTCCAATGTCTATCATTCTGTGCTGTATGTCCATATGTACACATGAATTAGCTCCCATTTATAAGTGAGAACTTGTGGTTTTTGACTTTGTTTCTGATTTGTTTCACTTAAGATAGTGGCCTCCAGTTCCATCCGTGTTGCCGCAAAAGACACGATTTCATTCTTTTTGTGGCTAAGTAGTATTCCATCGTCTATAAATACCACATTTTCTTTATCCAGTAGTCCAGGGGTGGACACTCAGGTTGATTCCATGTCTTTGCTATTGTGAATGGTGCTGCAATAAACACATGAGGGCAGGCATCTTTTTGATATAATGATTTATTTTCCTTTGGGAAGATACCAAGTAGTGGGATTTTTGGATCAAATCGTAGTTCTGTTTTTAGTTCTTTGAGAAATATCCATACTGTTTTCCATAAAAGTTGTACTAAGTTACCTTCCCGCCAACAAGGTGTAAAGTTCCCTTATCTCTGCATCTTCACCAACATTTTTTTTTAACAATAGCCATTCTGACAGGAGTAAGATGATATCTCTTTGTGGTTTTGACTTGCATTTCTCTGATGATTAGTGATGTTGGGCATTTAAAACTGAAAATATCTCGAAGGTGGCATCTTCGACTTACAGTTCTTATACCACATTTGCATTCTCATTTGAAAACAGCTGATAATAAAATGTGGAAGAAAACCTCAAAAAATGCAACTACATTCTGGAATTTTAGAATTTGGCAGGGATCTTGTCCTGTTACCTCATTTAAAGAGAGACTTGAACTGTCCCAGTTAAAACAATGTTTAGGGGCTAGGTTTGGAGAAGAGCCTACGTCTTAACCTACGAGAACACCATTGATAGATGTGGTCTTTGCATTCTGAGGGGTTTACCTTTTCCCCATGGCAGTCAAATTTACCTGCTTTTCAAAAGTCCCAACTTCTGGATTAACATAAACACCAATTAATATTTTAGAATAAGAAATTAGTCCACAATGCATTGTAAGAAAGTCTCTAATCTTTCTCTCAAATTCAGGACAATACTGGAAATATTATTTTCCCAAATAACTCCAGTGAAATTATGATATGAATTCTTTAATTTGTTCATTCTTTTAACATCACATATTCTTTATTGAGGGTCTACTATGAGCCAGGAATGACGCTTGCTCTTGAGAGTACAGGAGTAACAAGGGAACAAGGTGCCTGTCTTAAACATTGATATACTTATGTGGTATACTAGTTCATGGAATGGTATATACTCACTAATGCATTTCTACAAATATTTTTATGCATGTCATGCATAAAATCTTAGCTTTCAGTGAGTTCTGTGATGGAGTAAGTAAACAATACTATAGAAACTCACATGGGGGATGCCCCACCTAGTCTAATGGACCCTGAGAGCAGTGTAGAGTAAGATTGCAGGGGAAATCTGCAGGTTCCGTCCTTGCAAGAACACTGCATAAAATCCTGGAAAGTGATTGTGGTGTTCAGAATGGTGATGAAGGAAATGAAGAAAATATTCATGGTAGAATTTGGCGTTGAAACCAATAGTAATATTGATATTTTAATACAGATGTTAAAGAAGATGGAGGGCGAGTTTAAGAATGACTTCCAGATGGGAGGGATGGTGCAGTTTACCATGAAAGCAAACACCAGTTAACGAAATCTTTTTGTGTGAGAGGGCCACGAGTTCCTTTTAGGATGTGTTAGGGTCAGGGTCCCTAGAAGACATCCACTTTGAGAAGTCTAAGAGACAGCTGGTCCTGGAACTCAGGGGAGAGAGAAAAGGAGTTGTGTGTGTGTGTGTGTGTGTGTGTGTGTGTGTGTGTCGTGTATGTATAGTGACAGAAGTCCTGGAGTAAATCAGATTAACCCATGGAAATGTGTAATCTGAAATAAGAAAGAAAATTTGACATAGTCCAAAGTAAACCAATTAAGAGATTTTTCGAGAAAAAGGCTACAAAAAAGACCGATAAACTCGATTCAAAAGGAAAGCCAGATGTTTGTATGGTCATGAAAGTCAAGAGAAAAATAAATTGAGAGTTTTTTTGTGGAAATGGGAGTGATATCATTCCAGGAGAAGCTAGCCATTCCAGCACAGAGACACAAACTCTGAAATAAAGTTGCGAACTGCAGCCTCAGCACAAACATGAAGACAGATTCAACTTTGTGAGCTTTCTCCCTCCTATGTACATACATTTTACTGTGTGAAACATTATAATAGGAAAAGAATGTTTTAGACTAAAGAAAGCAAAAGAAATATAGGTGTTGGTGCCATAATGTGGTAGAGATGAAGTACACATTCGGGACATCAATGCGACACATTGAGAGACAGAAAATAGCAACTGCTCATATTTTTAATTTGTTGGTAAACAGACCTGGAAAGGGCTGTATATCCTCAGAGCAGATATAGAGTGTTCATATTAGAAAAATATGCTTTGTAAAAAGCAGAGTAAACAGACTGCTATTGAAGAATAATTAAATGAATTATTAATGAGGTAAGTGGGCACCGGCTGGTTTCATTCAAGGCTTTAGTCAATAAATAAATAAATACCAAATACTTACCTGTGGTACGTATCAGGGGAGATGACTGGCTTAGTAGGAAATGCAATATAAATGACTCAAAATTATGTTGAATTTAGCCTAACCATATGGGGCTCTTTACTAGCCCTGGAACCCATGATTTCTTTTCTTAGCTTTTTCTCAGAAGCACTTACTCAGTAGACTTCCTTGTGAAATTGTATCTTTTAATTGGATGGTTGACCTTTAATTATATTCTGGCCATTAATTGATTCAAATGTCACTCAAGCTGGCTCCCCAGAAAATCGTTCGCTTGCCTAAAGTTTTACTCCTCACCTCTGAATTTAGTAGATTTGAAACTTGAAACTATGGACACAACAGAACAGTCATACACTTTCATCTTGTTTCACAGTTTTGTTCATTTTGAGAAATATTTTCTCAATAAATATAACATGTTTATTGCAGAAAATTGAAAAATACCTAAACATGTAAATAATACAATTCAGAATCACACATAATTTCATCACATAGAGATAATCATTGAATCTTTTGATGTATTTCTTAATCAGTCTCTCTCCACTCTCCCTCTTCCACACACATAGGTAAATCATACAAAAAGTAGGTGTCATGCATATCTGTATAGCCTATCCTTTCATATGCATTTTCTGCACTTCTCCAGACCTTAAGATTTTCTTCTCAACATGATTTTTAATGGTATGCAGTTGCATTATATAAATATCATTAAGTATTGTTAATTAATAATTTTTCACTACTTTTATATACATTTTTACTACTTTTTTCTAATGATATTACACTATTCTATTATGACAAAACTATTTTCACACATGGTGTTATTGCTTTTCACTTCAGATTTTTATCTGTCATACATACCCATGTTCTAAAAGTCAGGTCATCCCCAGAGCTTGTTGGAAAATAACAATATTCCCTTCAGTGCTTCCCTTCTGAATTTTGTTTCTAGATACAGTAACTTTCAACTCTTTTAGATGGTTCTCCTGGGTTTTTTACTCATTTTACACTAAATAATTATGCTTCTGTTGCTACACCATGACTTTCTGTCTGCAGTATGGAGGATGGGATGGCTCTGTTCACACATCTCATCCCCATCAGATACACACGCTTTGCCCGGGGACCCATCCTCCCCTTTTCACCATGGCAAACGTTTTACTGTCAATATGTGGGGACTTCTGAGTATGACTGTAAATCCTTTTTGCATCCTACTCACTTAGGATTATTCCCTTTTGTTACCTTTTCTTTCTTACACATTTAGTTTTGTTATTTCGTGTGGCAGCGTGTTCTACATCACTATTTATGTTTCCTGAGGTCATAAGTACTGACCTCCGGCAGTTTACAAAGGGAGCTTTAGGAATGTGTTCAATATATAATTCAACTGCTATAAGATTTTAAATGGCTGTAATAAAGGTTTTACATTTTTATGACCATAAAAATGTGTCATCACAAACATCTCAAAGAATATTTTAGCCATTTATTATGGATAAAATTATTATTTATTAGGGCTTGGTACATAGTTCCTTAATGAATAAATGGACTCCCCACCATATAACCTCCTACATTATCTGCCAAAAATCTAGAACCTAAAGGGATACTGTGTGCTTCTAGTTTTTTCTCTGTGAAAACAGTGGGAACCTGTGGGAAGTCTCTGTTGGAGACCAGAGAGGCATGACTCTGCTCATTCCCCTTTGCTTCTTGATCACGAACAGATGGAAGCTCAGCAGTTATCTGGTTGATTTGACTCAAGTACGATAGAGATAGCCTGTCCTGAGATGTTCATTTGCTGCTGGTTATCAAGAATAATTCCCTCGTTTATTTTCTGCAGGTGCACATGCTACCTGGCAGCCTCTCCCCTGACTGCCATGGGGCCTTCAACTGTGACATGTGTCATCTGAGCTTTGGGAAAAGAGATAGCAGTTCAATGGCTTTGGGTAGAGAGGTTTAAGCATTTCTTTACCAGTTCCAATTAGTGGCTTAAATTTCAGAGCAAGGGGGGTTGCTTTTGGAATGACCCTTATAAAATCGCCTTCATACCAATTGCCTGCATCAACAACAGTAAAGAATGTAACATTTTACAAGGCAGAGCGGGTAAATAGCGCCCAACAAGATGTGCGTCTGTTATTACTGACTGCATTTGGTTGCCTTTTGGGGTCTTTGTCTAATATTCATTTTCAGTCATTTTCAGGGTTTTTCTTTTAAAGACTCATAGGTTTGCTTGTCTTTTTATGAAAACAGTTTGCTGGCTTTGGCCTGATTCATTTGAAGGTTTAACAGCTCTTTGGAGTTTGTCCTTGAAGATAAAGGGCAGAGCTGTGAAAAATGCTCTTTTCATTCTCACAGATTTGGTTGTAAGCAATAGAGAAAGCTCTGCAGTGGTTTTCTGGGTGAGTAGCTGGGATACACACTTTAAAAACTAAGTAGGGAATTGCCTGGAAATAGATAAATTGAATACATGTTTTGAAGATGTCTTTCAGAGGTACCTGCAGGTTTCTACTTGAACTTCCATAAATATATTTTTGTTCTTGTTGTATCTGGGTTTTTGTTTGTTTGTTTGTTTTGTTTTGTTTTGTTTTGAGACAGGGAGTCTCTCTCTGTCGCCCAGGCTGGAGTGCAGTGGTGCGATCTCGGCTCACTGCAAGCTCCGCCTCCCGGGTTCACGCCATTCTCCTGCCTCAGTCTCCCTAGTAGCTGGGACTACAGGCGCCCGCCACCATGCCCGGTTAATATTTTGTATTTTTAGTGGAGACAAGGTTTCACCATGTTAGCCAGGACGGTCTCGATCTCCTGACCTCGTGATCCATCCGCCTCAGCCTCCCAAAGTGCTGGGATTACAGGCATGAGCCACTGCGCCTGGCTGTATCTGGGTATTTTTTTAAGAAACACATTTATAAAGGGCTCTTTTATACATCTCAGGACATGGTACATTTTTTTCAATAAAGGTAGTTATAGAGGGCATTTTGTTATTTGTTCTGGTCTGCTGTAAACACTGCACTAGAAATTGTTAACATGGTTGGGTCTCAGTATTCTGGGAATACCATTTGCAAGCATTTCTTGCCTTTAATTGAAATTATGTTATTTCCCCATTGCCAGTTTTGTTAAATACATTGATGGTAAGAGTGAAGGGAAGAAGGCAGGTAATCAAACCAAATCTACTGCCTTCAACATTTCCTGGAGCCCTAGGCTGAGCATTTTCCAGTCTCCCTTCCTATTTTATTCCAATACATGTTTTTCAGAATATGAATTTTTACACTTAGCCCCAAAGTGTGCAGTCAGAGAGGAATGTGTGGTTTGATATATTGGTTCATGATTGTCTTTGCAAAAATACACTTTAATATGGTATTCTTTCCCTTACCACTGTTTTATTCATGTAGCAACAATTTGTTAGCTGCATACTGTATTGCCAAGTAATGGGCTGGGTATTTCATGGGCTTATACTGACCATTTACTGCAATGTGCATTAAATACTAACAGTTGTCTGTAGTTTGCAAATGGAAGCATAGAGTGAAGTGATCTGCTCCGATTGCAGAACCAGCGAGTAATAAACCTGAGATTCCAGCCCAGGCTTCTCAGACTCCAAGCCTTATTCCTTTTCACTATGCCATGTGTCATCTTCTCCCTCTTTTCCTCTCTGTCCGTTTGAATCTTTTCCTACCGCCCCTGGCTCCAGCACTCCTCGGCTCCTTTGTGTTCCTATTACTCAGCTCTTGGAGTTTCCATATTCCATTTTCTAATAGTTTCATCAGCCTACTGCCTTGATGAATGCAAGGTAGTAGAAAATACAAGATGAAACTGTTATGAGCTGTTTCCATGTAGGAAGCCTCACTTAGACTTCTTGTTCTCTTCTAAATAGCTGTTTCTTTCTTTGGGATCTGCATTTCTTCTAGAATGGCAACTTTTGTTGTTTAATTAATGAGACTGCATGAATAGCTGAGCAGTGAATATTGTTGAATTTCCAAAACATAGAATAATTTTGGTCAAATTAATTTGAAAATATAATATTTGAAAAGATCTTAAACTACTTTTGTAAGTTCAGGGCTTTTCCAAGATCTTAATATGCTAACATGCCCCAAAACCTTATAGGACACAGACATAGTGTAAAATATTTTCCAATATACGTCTTTGAAGTGAGTTTTAATAAAACAATTAATGTGATGCATTTGATGAGCATATTTGAGGAAAACATAATGAAAATGAAGTTAAATTATATTCGTCTTATGGTTTATAATGTCTGAACACTCAGCCATTCCAAACAGCTTGGGCTTAAAATTGACAAGTACTTTTTAATATTAGTAACAAGCACAACCCTAATATTTAAATAAATAGCCAAAACCCTTGAACAGATAATTTATGAAAGAAGAAATCAAATGGCCATGAACATGTGAAGAAATAGGTAGCTTTTCCTGGAATTAAAGATGCTAACTAAAAACTGTTCTAATATATTATCAGTAATATAAATATGTTAGTTAATATTATTAATAATGTATTTATTCACTTACAGTTATTTCCTCAGCACCCAAAGGATATTCTCTCACAGATCTTGCAATCCAGGAGGGTATACTATCAGTTAGTAAACATATGTGTGTTTAAAACATTGAATAGTAACCATCGCTGGGAGGAAATGAGAACGGTAAGGGAATATGAAGTGAGGTGTGAGGGAAAGAAGCCCTTGGACGAGTGGCTCTAGGAAGAAGCTGTAAAGGAACAAGCAATTCCAAGACACCCTTGGTGGCACCAGGATGGGCCAGAGAGGTTGGGGCAGAAGGGACAAAGTCAGTGGGAGCCACGTGTGTGAGGGACAGGAGAAGATCTGTGTGGCCAGAATGGAGCACGCTAGAGGCTGGTGGAAGTGTGAAGTTCAGAGAGAGGGTTGGGAGCAGAAGGCTGAATCCACAGAGACACTTGAAAACCAAGGGAAAGGGGAGCTTTCATTCTGGGGATCATGGTGGATTTTGACTGAGAGGGGGAGGCAATGAAAAGTGTCTTTTAAACATCCCTCTGGCTATTCTGTGAAAAATTAACTCTGCAAAAGGTTTTGAGGTGGGGCTGTGGTTTTGATAAACTAGAAGCAAGTAAACCTGTTAAGCAACCGCTAGAGCAATCTGAGCAAGACCGGGTGGTTCTGGAATAACAGATTAGAAAGACAGTTGGTGAGAATGGTCAGGTATGATTCATCAGGAAGGAAAGAGGAGGCCAAACTCGCCGATTGATTTGACAAGTATGGCAAGAGAGAGAAATCAAGAATTTCCTTATCTGGGGCTAAGTAACTAGGTGGTTAAAAAGTCAGTGAGGCGGAGGCACTGAGCACTTAAGCAGAATGTATTAAGCACCCTAATAATTTTATATGATTTGGTATAATAGTAATTCTAGTGATGGAAACGCTTTAAATGTGGTAAAGGGAAATGTTGCCTAGATATATGTATAATAATGTTATTTATAGTAATGATGTATAAAAATCAATGTGTAAAAATAAAATGGCTAAGTGAATTGGTATATAAATGTAATGGAATGTGGCGTAGTAATTTAGGTACTGCCTAGTGACACGGGAAAGAAAATTTTGATGATAAACTACTAAAAAATGATTATATAAAACTATAGGCATGTAATATTCTCAATTTATTTTCAATAAATGCACTCAATAAATATTTTCAATAAATGAATATGCATTGAATGCTTACAGCATGTCTCTGAACACATAAAAAATAAACTCATTGAAATATTAATAGTATTTACCTTTGGAGAGATTAGAAATTTGTTTTATTTTATTTTTACTGTCTTTAAATTTTCAGATAACTGTATTAATGTAATAATTTTAAAAGCTTTAAAAAAGCAATATTTTATAAAAGCAAATTATATAAACTGGTAACTTTTCTAAACTTTCTGTAAAATATATATTAAATACACAATTTCCTCATCGGGATGTTTTAAAATTATGAGGCATTCGTGCCTTTTAAAAAATCTGTGAACTCCTCCTCAGCAATATCTCCCAAACTGTCACATTAGCCTCTCTGATCATGGCTGCTTGCCTTTTCCAGTTCATATCTTAAAGCTCAAAGTTACCACCTCATAACTCTCTTTGGGGGCATGTACATAGGAAAATGAAGCCACTGAGGAAATAATGTATTTATTCACTTACAGTTATTTCCTAAGCACCCAAAGGATATTCTCTCACAGATCTTGCAATCCAGGAGAGCCCAGGTGAGAAAATAAGAACCATTTCCAATATAAATTCCAACATAAAGAACTTTTCTCACATAATGACAACGACTACACATTCGAATGTGGTGAGATCAGCCCCTACCTAGACAACAAGTCTAGGTCATCCACTAACCAAAGAACACTCTCACTGGTTACAAAACAAGTTTTCTAAAATGGAGTGAGCTATAGGCTAGTGGAAATGATGAGGTTGGAAAGAGTTGGGTCCAGATGAAGTGGATACTTGTAAACCTCTAGTATCACAATGCAATTCCCTGTGTTATTAACATAAAAGCTTGCAAAATGCTAATGGCGTATTTTCTGATCTAAAGTGTATATATTTAGGACTATAAAGGGGAGGACTATAAAAACAGAGGACTGTCCTCTCAGTGGGGAGAGGTAGGGCGTAGAGGATAGTTCTCACTTTATCAGTCTATGTCTATATAGATATATACACGGGGGGAGAGGGTAGTCCTCACTTTTTTCTATTAGCGCATGAATACAAAATTTGCTACGGAGAGAGAAAAACTATGTAAGCATAAAACATCCACTCATAGAGCTTATTTTCTACTTTTCCTTTTATGTGAGATGCCATCATTTATTTAGACTTTTTTTAGAGCAGTTTTAGGTTCACAGCAAAATTTGAGAGAAATTTCACACGTGCTCCCTGACCCCACACACGCAAAGCCTCGCCTCTTTCCAGCATCCCCACCAGAGTAGTTCATTTGTTACAACTGATGAACCTACCTTGACCTATCGTTAGCACCCTAAGTTCATAGTTAACATTAGGGTTCATTCTTGGTGGTGCATAGTCTATGGATTTGGACAAATGCAGTGACATGGATCCACCCGTACAGAAATTTGCGGAGTGTTTTTACTGCCCTAACAACCCTCTGTGCTCTGTCCGTTGATCACCACCCGACCCATCTCCTGACAATTACCAAGCGATCTTTCTGTTGTCTCCATAGTTTTATCTTTTCCAGAATGCTGTATACTTGAAATCATACAATGTTTAGACTTTTCAGACTGGCTTTTTTTTCACTTGGTAATATGCATTTAAGGTTTCTCCATGTCTTTTCATGGCTTCATAGCTCATTTTTGTATAACTGTGACTACTATTCCAATGTCTGGATGTACCACAGTTTTATTCATTTAGCTACTAAAGGATATCTTGGTTGCTTCTAAGTTTTGGCAGTTATAAATAAAGCTGACACAGACATCTGTGTGTAGGTGTTTGTGTGGATGTAAGTTTTCAACTCCTTTGGGCAAATACCAAGGGGCATGATTTCTGGGTCATGTAGTAAGAGTAGGTTTACTTTGTAAGAGATAACCAGGCTGGTGGGGTGGCTCATGCCTGTAGTCCAGCACTTTGGGAAGATGAGGAAGGGATTGCTTGAGCCCACAAATTAGAGACAAGCCGGGGCAACATGGTGAGACCCAGTTTCTGCAAAAAAAATATTACATAGAAAGAAATAGCCGAGCATGGTGGTGCACACCTGTGGTCCCAGCTACTTGGGAGGCTGAGGCAGGAGAGCCTGGGAGGTTTAGCCTGCAGTGAACCATGATAGCACCACTGCACTCCAGCCTGGGCAACAGAGCAAGACCCTGTCTCAAAAGAAAGAAAAAAGAAAAGAAAAGAAAAGAAATCACCAAACTGTCTTCCAAAGTGCCTGTACCATTTTGCATTCCCACAAGCAATGAAAAAGAGTGTCTGTTGCTCCACATTCTCACAAGCATTTGGTGCATCAGTGTTCTACGTTTTGGCCATGTTAATAGGTATGTGGTGTTGAAGGAGACTAAAGAGAAAGGACCTCAAATGCAATGGGTGATCCTGAATTACATCCTAAGCCTTGGAAAAAAAAAATGCGATCAAGTGCATACTTGGAAAAAAATAATGAAATTTGAATGTTAACTGTGGTTTAAGTAATTCAACATGTTGATGTTGAATTTTCTGGTTTTGATCACTGTTGTGTAAGAGAATATCCTTGTTCTTATAAAATACATACTAAAATATTTAGGGATAAAGAAGCATGATGCCTGTAACCCGCTTTCAAGCAGTTCAAAAATTGTGCATGTGTGTCGGGGGAGGATAAAAAAGAAAAGGGAGGAGGAGAGAGAGCATGAACAAAAATAGGGGAAAATATAAATGATGGGTGAGTTTGGATGTCTTAGTCTGTTTGGGCTGTTATAACAAAACACTATAAACTGGGTGGCTTATAAACAACAGAACCTTATTTCTCACAGTTCTGAAGGCTGGGAAATCCAAGATCAAGTGCCAGATTTGATGTTTGGTGAAAGCCCACTTCCTAGTCTTCATAGTTGGCTATCTTCGTACTGTATCCTTACATGGTAGAAAAGGCGAGGGAGCCGTTTAGGGTCTCTTTTATAAAGGCACCAATCCCAATCCTGAGAGCTTCACCCTCATGACTTGACCATCTTCCAAAGGCCCCACCTTCTGACATCATAATCCTGGAAGTTAAAATGTTAGCATATAAATTTGGGGCAGTATCTCTATACATGTAAACATATAGTCCGTTGTATTAGATAAAGAGTATTGTGATAGTTTCTTAAGGTTGCCATAATAGAATACCACAAACTAGATGGCTTCAAACAATAGAAATTTATTCTCGTATAGTTTTGGAGGCTAGAAGTCTGAAATCAAGATGTCAGCACTGTGATTCCTCTAAAATCTCTAGGGGGACTCCCTCTCTCACATCTTCAAGATCCTGGTAGCCCCAGGTCTTCCTCAGCTTGTGACAGCATCACCCCAATCTCTGCCTTCATCCTCACGTGGCTGCCTTCCCTCTGCGTGTGTGTCCATTTTCAAATTTCTCTCTTCTTACAAGGATACTAGTCAGATTGGATTAAGGCCCATCCTACTCCAGTGTGACTCATCTTAACTAATTACATCTGCAGTGATCCTATTTCCAAATAAAGCCACATTCACAGGTACTTGGGGGTAAGGCTTAAATATATCTTTCAGTTCAAACCATAACAGGTACATAGGGGTTCTTTGCATTACTCTTGCAACTTTCCATAAATTTGAAATTATATTTTAAAAAGTTACCAAAATGTGTTAGCATGTAAAAAAAAAAGTGGCCTTTGTTTCCTAAAATGCCATTAGATAGATAATTCACACTTAAAATGTGATTATTCCAGCCTGGCCAACATAGCAAAACCCTGTCTCTACTAAAAAATACAAAAATTAGCTGGGCATGGTGGTGAGTGCCTGTAATCCAAGCCCTTGGGAGTCTGTGGCAGGAGAATCGCTTTCACCTGGGAGGAGGAGGTTGCAGTGACCCGAGATTGCGCCACTGCACTCCAGTCTGAGTGACAGAGCGAGACTCTGTCTCAAAAATGAAAATAAATAACAATAAAATAAAATAAAATAAAATGTGAGTATTAATGTGTTAGAGAACTATAACTAAATGAAACAATTGACAAGTATATTCTTGGAGATTAAATTGTTATATAACATAAACCAATAAATTCTTGGGGAAATATACACCTCTTGGTTCATATGCCATATGGCATGTGGTAAATTAAATTTCCATTTGTAGGGAATGATATATTTGAGTTTCATGTGGGGAATGATATATTTGAGTTTCATCTCCAACACTCCAGAAACATAGTTTAGGACAAATTGGAAGTTAAGCAGTCTTCCAGTTTCAATAATTAGACAAGAAATTTGCTCAGGGCTCCCTATAGGAACTATGCAGTCTTCAGCTGCAGAAAGTATTTGAGGGGTTGCATTGATTTTGCACATATAACATTGATTAATTTTATTTCTCTGATGAAAATCAATTATGATGTGATTGATTTTTTTTTTCGGAGCCAAACTTAGAGACGTGCCTTACAGTCTATGTTGTACAAATACAGCATTTTTTTATTGAGCTGCATAAGGTTTTTCTAAATTTGGAATTACTTCTTTCACTAAGACAAAGGCTAACAAGTACTGTCAGTATGAGAAATTTCACATCTAGTGATTAGATGTAAGAATATATATTATGAAGATATTACATGTACGTGCACACACATGTGCACAAACCCTTAAGGTTTAGGCTGTTAGTAGGCACCAAATATCAATATGTTCTCTTACATCATGAGAAAGTATATATGTTTTTCATTTATTCTCACTTTCAGTATCCTTTTCACACACCCACTTCCTAATCCATATGTTCTTATAAAGTACAGCATTCAGTCGTTTAAAAATATTACTTAAGATTTAGAAAATGTAGAGTGATTGCTAATGCTATTGTTCCTGTATTATGAAGTAAGTTTAGGCTTGGATATTTGTTTTATATTGAAAATCTTCTCTGAAACCCTCAACTCCCCCTGCTTCTCATCCTCTGAAATAAAACAACCATGTGTATGGTCAAATACACACACCAATACATGAAATTAACATCAGCGTGAATGTTTAGTGTGGCTCTTCATTCTGTACAGAAAATATTGATCCATTTACTCAAGGAATCAATATGGACAGTGATTCAGAATCATTTTTCTCTCAGTTTTTTTATTCACAGCTGAAAAATTATATACTGGAGTCTTTCTTCAGAGGAATGAAATTTGAAATGTAAAAAGAACATTTTTAAAAGATATTTTAAAATATCAAGTTTGTATTTTGGAAGAGAAAAATTATATTGTAGAACACATAGATTTTTTAATTCTCATTATAAATGGGCAATGTCAAAAGAAATTATTGAATCTGATTGTTTTCATTTCACAAAATTTAGTAGATAGATTTGCTATGCCTGAGTGGTTCAAAATGGAGTTTTGGTTTTTTTTAAATAAAAGCTAACATAATACCTTATAAATGCTACTGATTCCTAACCTCGTGGGTCATATCACCTTTGATATGCTGAAAACTAGATTTTCTGAGGTTTTCTGACATTTGGATGAAGTCTTGCTTTGCAACTCATCAGCTCCTTAGTTCCAGTGGGACCCATTACCAGCTAAAATTGCGCATTTACTTCTAAGTTAGCTAGAGTGATGCCAAAAATCAGCTGTGGGTCTTCTGAGCGGTGCACACAGTAATCTCAATGTGCAGTACAAGTAAGGAACCTGAAATGCAATTAATTCATTCAACGGGAAGAATTATGGTGTTTGCACATGTGCGAGGGTGAGACATTAATCAAGTTTTCTGGGGCTCTTTGGAGTATTCGAAGCACGTCACCTTAGCTTTGTCCTCTATCATGCCTTCGTCCAGTGCAAAAATGGGTTTGAAATCCCTGAGTCTCAAAGGGGCGGGTTTTGCCTATACAACTTCCATGAATTGTTATAACCTGAGAAACAGCAAAAGCTTCACTTGGTAAAATATTTTACTCTAGCCTGCCAAGGAATCTACATTCCCAGCTTCAAAGAATCCCCTTTGTATCAAGGTGTTATCTCCAAATGCAAATATTTTACACAATTGTGGGAAATATCATGGCCAGCTTTCCTAAGGACACTTACCTTTTTCACAACAGGGCATGGGAAGAATCTGTTTTTATTCATGGAGGCGAGACAGAGGACTCTGCACATAGCATGAATTGGGAAGTCAGGGGCATCCAGAAAAAAGCATGGGAAACTAAGGCATAGATTACATAGAGAGGTGGATACAGAGAGACACCACTGGCCTAGTCTAGAAGATTCCAGAGGCCCACTGTTAACACCATTCCACAAGCTCTAGACCTTTTGACCTCAGTTCACACCTCCTTGGTATAGTTAGCTACCTAATGAATGGCGGATGGCGGCTCAAGCTTTGCCATAGGCACAGTAAGCATTTCGATTATTTCCTATATTCCTTAATGGAGTATTATGCCAATGGGTGTCTGTCTGTACATGCGTGTATCCTTATCTGTAGCACTCCAATAAAACTGCTTCAAATAGGCACCTACAATGCCCTCCTGAGTTTTAATATCAGGAAAACTGGATATTTTTAAAAAGACACACTGGCCATTTTGCAGGTTGCACTATAGCCTATTATCTAAAGCCTGATACAGAGCTATCCTTGCACCAGTAATATATTATCAAGATTTTTTATACTTTACCAGCATTAACCCGTTTTATCTTCACAACAACTCTGGGAGAATTAAAGACAGAGAGGGCAAGCAGTTTCTCCAAGGTCACGTGACTGTTAAGTTTTGAGCAGAGATTTGAACTGGATTTGTGTCCTTAAACGCTCAGCTATGCTGCCTCTGGGTGGAGAACAGTGGGTGTATGCCTTGAGAGCATCACAGACACAGAGTCTGTGTCTGTGGCTTAACACATTTGTTAAATGCAATAGCTAAGATAGGCTGTGTGTACCTAGAAGCATACATGCAAAGTGCCATGAGTCTCCTGCATGCCACCTTTCCAAGTGGTGCTTATAATTAGTATAGCCTGCTTTTACCTCCGAGGAAACTGGGGCATAAAACCCTTAAGAATTTGCCCTAGGCCGTAAAGTTCATGAGGAGGGGCACCGGGATTGAATCTCAAACCATTAACTCTGTATTACTGTGCAATACTCACTTTCTAATAGAAAGGCACGACATAGGTACTAGCCAGCGTCCAGTAGAAGACAAAAAGTCCACCAAAGAAGGTAGTTTGAATAGGATGCATTTAATATTAATATTATCTAATAAAGGTAGATTAATTACAAAGGCGGGGGGTAAAGATAATGCTGAAAACTAACAGAACAACAGATATAGGAAGCAGCCACTGTTCCCCACATCGGGGAGAGTATCTGGAAGAGGACCCTCAGGGATTGAAATGTAGACCCTTTTAGAGAGGATGTGGCAGTGGCCTCTGCATGGTGGGGAAATTCACGGAGGCTGGTTCTGGCAATCAGGAAGCTATTGGCTAAGTGGCAGCAAACCTGGCTGGAGGGTGTGCACCACTGGGTACCCACCACAGTGGGCAAGAACAAGAAGGAACATCCTGGGCCAGTGAGAGGAGCCTGTTCCTCCTGCAGTGCCTCTCCTCCCTCAACTGCCAGAGCCACCACTGTAAATCTGAAATCTCTTCTAAGTGGTCCAATGTCAGTGAATTAATATTCTGCCCTTGTTTGTCTAATGTTGTAAGAATCCACGTTTACCTGTGTTCCCCAGGTATGTAGGTATGTTAACATTTTTGCATACATACCTTCATACCTGGGGAATGTCTCCTTCAGCCACAGAAGTAATATCTGCACCCTGCATCTGCTATTCCCATATTCTTCAGAGTTCTCCAGATTACATTCAGTAGTTATTTCCTTTTTACTCGTTAATTATTCATATCCAGTCTCTCTTGTTAAAATTATTGGTGGAAATTCTGGCTCCTAGAGAAAGATATATGTCATATAAATGTAAAATCTTTCAGTTCTCTTGATGAGTCAGCGGCCTCCTGCAGAGTCCTAATATTTACTTTCCCCAGACGATACTGGGATTTCACTCTAGGCATGAATCTAGCAGAAACAGGGGGTAGTTACGGTGGGACTAGAAGAAAATAAGTATCCTCTTTCAAGGCATTTTTTCCCGGTGAAGTCATCACAGTTTTTCAGTGAACAATGGGACATCTCCTCAGTCACAGGAGGTCAAGCTGCTTCCCCTGGCGAGGAAGACTCAGGGTGACTTCAGGGCTCAAGATTGTCTGTTTCACAGTTGGGTGCAGTGGCTCATGCCTGTGATCCCAACACTTTGGGAGGCCAAGGCAAGTGGATCACTTGAGGTCAGGAGTTCAAGACCAGCCTGGCCAACATGGCGAAACCCCGTCTCTACTAAAAATACAAAAATTAGCTGGGCGTAGTGGTACACACCTATAGTCCCAGCTACCTGGGAGGCTGAGGCAGGAGAATCGCTTGAACCCGGGAGGCGAAGGTTGCAATCAGCCAAGATCGCGCCACTGCACTCCAGCCTGAGTGACAGGGCGAGACTCCATCTAAAAAAATATATATTTTTTTTCTGTTTCACTGGAGTCTAACCAGATATTGCCATTTCAGGTCTCAGGACACTAGTCCATCGCAATTAACAAGAACTTTCAGAAAATAATTTGATAAGACAGTGAATTCACTGGACATGGTACTTCAGCAACCTACACAATTACATTAAATTTTGTATTGAACAGTCAGCAATATGAACTCTCAATATGAAAAATTCTTCCAAGGCTGGCATAGAACCTCTCTGGTTCTCCTATTATGACTTGAGCTTATGGTTAAAGGACTTGGCCTTGGCTTATCTGTTGTTTGTTTGTTTGTTTGTTTGTAAGACTTCCACTGCACTCGTGGGGGGATGCCATGACACACCACAGTCCTTGTCATCATTATTTCTGCCATAATGGCCGAGTGCCAGAGTCTTGGCCACTATGGCAGAAATAACTCCCAAGACACTTGCTTCAGTTTACCCTTCAGGACAGTCAACCACAGGTAACAGCTTGATTACCTTGATTATTTTAGTAATCCAAGCGGGGGTTTCCTAAGATCCTGTTTCCCACTGGCATGCGCCTCAGCAGTGTACTCACACTAGGCTAACGACACCCCTCACCAAATCCTATCATTGAGGGCCTGGGACCACCCCATTCTTGAAAGGTGTCTTGTTAGCATCCAGCCAGGATCCAGAATTACCACCAATCATTTGAAAAAGAAAGATTGATGATAAATAACTACTAACTAGTAAAAAAACAAACAAAACTATTTAATGTGATCAAGATAACTGAAGAATGCAGGAATAGCAGATTCAGGGAGCAGATACTGCTTCTGGGGCTGAAGGAGACAACTTTGGGGAGGAGCCTTCTTGGAAGTGACCCCTCCCCCAAGGCTGAGAGTCAGACCTCATTGGAGAGGGTGCAGCTGTGACCACAGGGTGGCCAGAAGCTTCAGGGAGGTGGCTCAGGCCTAGGCTGCAAGCAGGGAACAGGTACCAGCAAAATATGCTAGGAAGCTTCTCGCTGGGAGGCTAATATAAATGGGTGGGCCATTTGCTAGGATACAAGAGAAACTTGCCATTGGGCTGCTAGGGAAACTCGCCCAGGGACGTGCGCCCCTGGGTCTCCCACACGCCAGTGACAAGGAGACCTGGGGCTCTCTGGCAAGAACCACAAGAAGCCCCTTCTTCCTGCTGTGTCCCTCCAGGGCCCTCTACTGACAGACCCAACACCGTTCCAGCTGGTAAAGGAGGACCCTCCGGAGGCCCAGCCCCAGGATCAAGAAAACAGAGCAAAACATGGGTCGACCTGGAGTTGATCCTTAATTGATGATGGGCACAACATGGAGCCTGAAATCATTTATTTCATTTTCAAGTTTCAGGCTTTCTGACAGAGGCAAAGCACCTAGCCATAAATTGCAGAAATGCTTCATTGACCACGGATTACCATGGTGGGGTAAGAAGAGCAAAGCGTCCTTTCCTTTTGGTTAAGTGTCATGTGTGGCAGCTCAAAGAAACAGTAGCAACATTATTTTTCATTTTTTGTTTAGCCAAAGTTTGTGCCATCACAAAGGCAGTATGAGAAACAACTCCCTGGGCTTAAAATTTAGAAGAAAAATGAAGATATATTAGAATGAATTTGTGTAGTTTAAAGAATGAAAGCAAGGCATTTTTTTCAAATGTTGGGAAAGTTAGTAATCATGGAAGATTGAAGACCATGAGCTCTCAGGTATGTTAGTCATAAAATTACTGACGTCTGATTTAAAAAAAAAAAAAACTGCCCAGTGACCGACTCATTCATTAGGCTTTTTGCATCTCTTCAATTAAACAAAGAGAGGGAAAAAGAAAAGGGAAGAAGAAAAAGAAAGAGAGGAAGGAAGGAAGGGAGGGAGAGAAGGAAAGAAGGAGTCTCTCACAAATATCTATCTGGAATGATTGAAGGTAGGTAAGGTAAGTAGGAGTATAGTGATTTTGTAACTATATAAACCCTTGAAAAGGAAGGTCAGAAAATTTAGTTAAAAAGAATTGCCGTACAAATTATAATTCTTTGCCTTAATTTTTAATGATTAGTTTAAGTTCAGTTTTTGACTATTATGAATACGTTTCAATAAATCTTTTCTAGCACTTCACATGCACCAGGCACTATGGTAGGTGTTGGGAACAGAAAGGAGATGAAAACAAGATCTGTGAGCAAGAAAGTTAGCAACTCTCAGAAAGGCCGGCTTCTGTATTGGGAATAATACCAGGTAATAAGGCCGGCTTCTATATTGGGAATAATACCAGGTAACTTAGCAGCACAGAAGAATGAGTGACTCATAAGTTGAAACTTCAGTAAATGACCCCAGCTAAATTATTCAGCCCCACGCTTCAGGTGCAGAATTTCTCTAAAAGAGCCTGATGACTTCTTTAAGCACAGACAATATTCTTTCTAAGTGTACATCTCTTTCAATGCCAAGTTCCTTTTCTATTTGTTTTGTTGTAATTAAGAATACATGACTCCTAATTGTATTCACTATCACCTGTGCCCAGGTGTTTCGCATATATAGTATTTCACTGGGAACATTTATGAATTGGGAAGGATTCTCTACCACTGATAAGTGGAGTGCGGTAGATTTTACAATTAATTATTGAAAACAGTAATGGCATCCCTGCAGTTCTGTCTGTTGTTAATTGATTGTTTAGCAGTCGATATTTGAACAGAAACTGTCAGGTTTAAGTCCAGGTTCCAGCCTATGCTGAGGTCTGAGGGCAGTGGGTAGATGAATGGCAGATAGCTGAAAGAACACTAGGGAGGTGGGGTGGCATAGGTAGGTGAAATATGGCTTTATTCAGCAGCTCTCTCAGCAGCAGCTCTCTTACAGTTTGCTCTGTCTCAGCTGCTTGGTCCAGCCAACTCCCATGCACAGCTGCACGGCCGGTTCTCCATTGCCTTCGGGGTCAGTAGCTTAACTCTTTCTCTCTCTGGGCATTAGCGAGCCAAGCTTGGCCCTGGCTCCCCTCTGTTCATCTCCAAAGACAGAGAGCTCTGGCTCTTTTACTGTCTTTCTCTGGGAGCAAGCATGCCTGATATGGTTTGCCTGTGTCCCCACCCAAATCTCAATTTGAATTGTATCTCACACAGAATTCCCACTTCTTGTGGGAGGGACCCAGGGGGAGGTAATTGAATCCTGGGGGCCGGTCTTTCCTGTGCTGGTCTCATGATAGTGAAGAAGTCTCATGAGATTTGATGGGTTTATCAGGGATTTCCCTTTTTGCTTCATCCTCATTTTCTCTTACCACTGCCATGTAAGAAGAGCCTTTTACCTCCTGCCATGATTCTGACGCCTCCCCAGCCATGTGGAACTGTAAGTCCAATTAAACCTCCTTTTGTTCCCAGTTTCAGGTATGGCTTTATTAGCAGTGTAAAAACGAACTGATACAGTAAATTGGTACCAGTAGAGTGGGGCATTGCTGAAAAGATACCCAAAAATGTGGAAGCAACTTTGGAACTGGGTAACAGGCAGAGGTTGGAGCAATTTGGAGGGCTCAGAAGAAGACAGGAAAATGTGGGAAAGTTTGGAACTTCCTAGAGACTTGTTGAATGGCTTTGACAAAAATGCTGATAGTGATATGAACAATAAGTTCCAGACTGAGGTGGCCTCAGATGGAGTTGAGGAATTTATTGGGAACTGGAGTGAAGGTGACTCTTGTTACGTTTTAGCAAAGAGACTGGTGGCATTTTGCCCCTGCCCTAGAAATTTGTGGAACTTTGAACTTGAGAGAGATGATTTCGGGTATCTGGCAGAAGAAATGTCTAAGCTTCAAAGCATTCAAGAGGTGACTTGGGTGTTGTTAAAAGCATTCCTTTTTAAAAGGGAAACAGCATAAAAGTTCAGAAAATTTGCAGCCTGACGATGTGGTAGAAAAGAAAAACCCATTTTTTGAGGAGAAATTCAAGCTGGCTGCAGAAATTTGCATAAGTGGCAAGGAGCCTAATGTTAATCCCCAAGACAATGGGGAAAATTTCTCCAGGCCATGTCAGAGACCTTCATGGCAGTCCCTCCCATCACAGGCCCAGAGGCCCAGGAGGAAAAAGTGGTTTCATGGGCCAGGCACAGGGTCCCCGTGCTGTTTGCAGCCTGGGGACTTGGTGCCATGTGTCCCAGCTGCTCCAGCCATGGTTGAATGGGGCCAATGTAGAGCTTGGGCCATGGCTTCAGAGGGTGGAAGCCCCAAGCCTTGGCAGCTTCCATGTGGTATTGAGCCTGCAGGTAGACAGAAGTCAAGAATTGAGGTTTAGGAATCTCAGCCTAGATTTCAGAAGGTGTATGGAAACACCTGGATTCCCAAGCAAAAGTTTGCTGCAGGGGCGAGGCCCTCATGGAGAACCTCTACAGCAGTGCAAAAGGGAAATGTGGGGCTGGAGCCCCCACACAGAGTCTCTACTGGGCCACTGCCTAGTGGAGCTGTGAGAAGATGGCCATCATCCTCCAGACCCCAGAATGGTAGGTCCACTGACAGCTTGCACCATGAGCCTGGAAAAGCCACAGACACTCAACACTAGCTCGTGAAAGCAGCCAGGAGGGAGGCTGAACCCTGCAAAGCCACAGGGTGGAGCTGCCCAAGACCATGGAAACCCACATTTTAGATCAGCATGACCTGGATGTGAGACTTGGAGTAAAAGGAGATCATTTTGGAGCTTTAAAATGTGACTGCCCTACTAAATTTCAGACTTGCTTGGGCCCTGTAACCCCTTTGTTTTGACCAATTTCTCCCATTTCGAATGGTTGTATTTACACAATGCCTGTACCAGCATTATATCTAAGAAGTAAGTAGCTTGCTTTTGATTTTACAGGCTCATAGGCAGAAGGGACTTGCCTTGTCTCAGATGAAACTTTGGACTGTGAACTTTTGGGTTAATGCTGAATTGAGTTAAGACTTTGGGGGACTGTTGAGAAGGCATCATTGGTTTTGAAATGTGAGGACATGAGATTTGTAGGGACCAGGGGCAGAATGATGTAGTTTGGCTGTGTCCTCACCCAAATCTCAACTTGAATTGTATCTCCCAGAATTCCCACGTGTTGTGGGACAGACCCAGGGAGAGGTCATTGAATCATGGGGGTCGGTCTTTCCCATGCTATTCTCGTGATAGTGAATAAGTCTCATGAGATCTGATGGGTTTATCAGGAACTTCTGCTTTTGCTTCCTCCTCATTTTACTGACGCCTTGTAAGAAGTGCCTTTCGCCTCCTGCCATGATTCTGAGGCCTCCCCAGGCTTGTGAAACTGTGAGTCCAATTAAACCTCCTTTTGTTCCCAGTTTTGGGTATGTCTCTAACAGCAGTGTGAAAATGAACCAATACAGCGCCTGTACAGTGTCAGCAGGCAACCATATGTTCTACAGACAATAGTGATGTAGGGCCAAGGCATGGCCTTCCCATGTTATGGCTACATGGCTGTGATAACAAGCAGAGTTATATGCCTGTGCTGTGCTCTAAACTCACTGAGTCACTCTGGATGTTTACCTCGGCCTGCCTATCCTTGACCAAAGCACTGCCGTGTTCGTTACAGGAACACAAAATCTTATTCTTGCAGCTTGGAGACTAAAGGAAAAGAATCATTAGCAAAGTCTACTGAAGAATATCCCTGAAGTCAGGGTTTTTTTTTTCAAACTCTGAATAATTAAAATAAAACTAAATGCACTAACAAGATAATTTGAATCTTGAGGACCTTAAAATTATAAAGGTCCTTAGATAAGTAAAACATCTGAAATATATGACTTGCTTTGTTCAGATAAAGTAATATCTTTACATGGTTATAGAAAATATAGCATAGTACACTCAATATAGTGAGATAAGAAACTCAACTTATCTTGGGGGAAAATGTTAAGATACGGAATATTTTACCACGTTAAGCTACTTTTTTGTTTGTTTTGGGTTTTTAAAAATAATATATTTAGAGCCGTTCTTTGGAAATCTGTGCAGACTTGCTAAAGTATAGAAAATCTCTTTGCAAATAAAGAATAATAGAAAAAACTCTAAATATTAACACATAAAATTTTAAATGTGAATCATATTTTATGTAAAGTTATAAATTGGTATATAAGAACTATGCTAGTATTGCAACACAGAATACTATTTTGTAAAAGGAACGGGGAAAACTTTCCTTTGTCTGGCCTGAGTTTAATGACATGTTACTGGGAGGTGTGTGGGAAATCTTGGACAATGGGCATATGTTCACGCCATGCCCTAAAAGAAGTGATGTTAGCCATGCCTGATACATTTTTATGGAGCTCATTAGGGAATGTGGGGCAATGGAGACAGTTCATGTGAGTGATTCCTGAAGAGTGCAAGCAAATCTACCATTGTATTGAAGCTGAGAGGGGCAAGGGGTGAAACAGAGTGCCCAGAGGTGCTGGGCTGATGAAGGGACCTTGGAAGCTAAAACATGGAATGGCCATATTTAATACAGTCAGCCCATTGAGATTTACAGATCATGCCTTTTGTTAGAAGATAGTTGCTGGAAAGAGAAAAATCAGCCTGTAGTCATTAACACAGGCCTTGATTAAAATGTCGTAGTGTGAGAAGAGCTCCCAGATGAGTTTCTGTGGAGAAAAAGGAGGTTAAAGATTTGATAGGACAGATTGGGGAACTTTGGCCAAAGTTCAGCTTGCTCCTTGAAGAGTTCTTTCAGAATCTTTGAAGGCATCAGACACCTCTATTATATTAGAAACAAGACAGGATATAGGGCAGCCAGCACAGAGGCATGGGTTTGCAGCCACACACTAGAGATGCTGGGTTTAGCAAAGGGGTGAGGAGAGGCAGCTGGGGCCAAAGTTTTGCAAGAGTCAGTGGAAGGTTTTCAGAACGTTAGAGTCTCCACAAGTCATTTAATATATTTGTCTTAAAAAATAATTCGAGCTTCCTACCCGATTCTTCAGGGTGATATCTACCGTAGACTATTTCTGCATCTGTTTCCCAACTAAGATTGAAGTACAACTCCTAATCTGCTTTTAATTTAAACAGTATATATGATGTTATATTTTTTTCTTTTTATCTAGGCTGGAGCCAATGTCCTTCTCCAGGATGTGAATGGAAATATCCCATTAGATTATGCTGTAGAAGGGACAGAATCCAGCTCTATCCTGTTGACCTATCTGGATGAAAATGGTAGGCAAAAACTTTTAAAACCATAGAAAAAAATAGATTGGGAGAATTGTAAGTGTGTATTCATTTTCACAGGTTTGCTTACATGATTTCCGATGGATGTAGTTTCCGCACGTGGTGTAGAAGATGGTATTTTTTCCCTTCAGCTTTCCATTGCTCTCACTGCACTGCATTGTGGTTTAGTCAATGCTGGTTTTTTTGCAAGCCAGCAGAAATCTAGAGGCCAACAATGAAGGGACATTTTAACAGGCATCTAAAGTCCATAATTAGTGGGACTGGGTTTGTAATTATAATCTGTTCTCCCCTGGGAGGGGAAGGGAAGTCAACCAACACAATTGAATTTTGAGCTAATGAGAACAAGGTCATCTGAAGTGTATTCTCTTAGAAGCAGGTGGTCCTAGCTGGAATTAGAGGCAAGGAAGTGAGGGCTTAAGTCAAGGACACTTGTCTGCAAATCGACCCTTTGTGACACTTTAGAACACAAAGGTCATCAGAAGAAAGCCCTATGGCCATGATGCTAGCCTGAAAAGATGAGGCTGAGCCCCTAAATGCATTCACCGACAAAGGATGTTTAATTATACAGGTCCAGCATATAATTTCATCAGTAAGTGCAGCCTTGGGAAAGTGGGAGGTATGAGAATCCCTGAGCACAATATAGTATTAAACTAAAGAATTATGCCCCTCCTTTTTTCCCCTGCTGTTTAGGTATAAATAACAATAAAGAAATTCCAATCCCTTCAAAATGACCCTTGGCCAGAGAAAAGTTTACAGTTTTTAAGAGCCACACGGAGCTTATGCAGATACTCTTTTTGCCTCTAAGAAAACCTCACATCTGCCTCATTGTTCCCTTGTGCTCTCTGCCTCCTCCAGATTGCTTTTATGAAAAAGGTTTATTCCGAGGATGGCTTAGAATAATAATAATTAGCACTTAGCAGCAATGAGTTCGCAGATAAAATAGTCTTATTCTCTGTGAAAGCAAGGTAGGTGTGGTTACCACGACAGGGGATGATGTGAGCATTGCCGTGCTGCTCACATCGTCACCAAGTGGGGGTCTCAGGCAGAAGCAAGCTGGGTTGGGTTAGCAGTGCATTCAGTTGACCACTCTGCAGCTCAGTCGTGCCTGGGCACTGTCACCTGTGGGAACGCTCACTCACTTTCTCCAAGTCTTGTTAGCTGTGCCTCGTAGGAGGCAGATTCCATTACTTCTAAAGGGAATGAAGCTTGAAGTTATACAGACTTCTTAGTTGGGAAGTTAATTATTTGGATCCTTGCCAGACTTCGCATGTGGCCTGCAATTGTGAATTGACATGAAAAACTTGGCGCAATGGTGCCTATAGTTAATGATACTGTATTGCATACTTTGAAATTTGCTGAGATCATAGTTTGTATGTTAAGTGTTATCACCAAATAATAGTAAAAATAACAGTAAATAAAGAGTGTGGGAGGAAATTTGAAGGTGATGGATATATTTATGGCATATAATGTGGTGATGGTTTCAGGGATGTATACTTACAAACATCAAGCTGTATACAATAAATATGTACAGCTTTGGTATGTTGGTCATACTGCAATGAATGGTTTAAAAAAATAAAACCAGTGATGTCAAATTTTTAAAAAGTACTTGACCATGTTTTGTTTAGCTGTGCCAGTTCTATGTTATTATTTCCTGCTTTTTCTGTTGTTCTGAATTTTTAAAAGCTACAGTAATAAATGTTTCTTTTAGAAAATAAAACGACATTTATTTGCAAATGCATTCACATTGCTTATAAACCTCTCCAACTCATTACAGCATTTCGTTTGATAGGAAATTTTAGTATTGCAAGATCAGTGTTTTATATCCTATGTAAAGAATAAAAATAAATGTGTTCCTTTGAGAGGCTGATATTAAAAAGGAGTATGCAAAAACAAAACAAAACAAAACAAAACAAGAGGAAAGTACTAACTCTTAAATGGCTGGTAGAAAATCTGTCACTACTATGGCTGTCACAGTCAGCTTGTTAAATACATGTTTGCTGGAACAAACTCAATTTAATATCTCTTAAATTTTTAATTCTGTTTGCCATTTGTCACTGCAGTCGCTCTGGCCCATGCCTTCACATCCATCTGCCCTTCCCTCAGCTCATTCACAATCTGCTTCTGCTTATGTTGGTCTTCCTCCCACTATCTCCATCATCTGCCGCCATTCCCAGTAAATACTGTCTAATTCGATTTATTCTCTGGCCCTCTGCTTGGTGTACTTTTACAGTTATCTATTGTGACAGCATGGGCTGATGTCTTTAGAAATTCCTACTATTTCAAGATGAGATTTTTATTATTATTTGGCTCTGGGTATTTCAGCATCGCCTTTTTATAACCAGGTGGTTGCAATCTTAGAATTTTCATTTTGCGTTGTGCAGTTTCGCATCCGAGTACTTATCACCTGTCACATCAGGATGCACGTGGCAGAAGAGGCTGCAACGTCTTGAACAAGTTGATTACATGGAAACTCGCTGGTCACAAGTCCTAATTGTGCTGTCACCACCGACTTACACTGTAAACTCGGGGACAGCAATTAACCTCGGCTCACTGCCTGAGCCTGCCAGGCTGTGAAATGAGACAACCACGGAGAGCTGATGGAGCATTTGATGAATATTAGATCTCTAGTGCAAGGAGAACCAGCTGGCATGCAAGGAAGGCAGTCGATTAGAAAGTGAGCCAGCATGGAAAGAAAGCACTGACAGGAGAGCCCAAGGAGCACCCAGGACAAAAGATCAGCATAATGGATACATTATACACACACATACAGAAATATTCATGTCCCTGAAAGACACCAAAAGCTTTAGTTGGCTCTGCATACACCACCATTCACTGTCGTTTCTTCTTTCAAACCCATTCTTCTAACAGTCATAGCTCACATTTATTTTATTGAGTTCCTAGTATCCTGTGGTTCAGCCCACTGAAGTTCAGTTTCTAAACCTACAAACCCATTGGAAATGCCCTTGCAACAATTGCTATTACCTTCCTTAGTTTTCTATCCAGTGATAGCTTTCTTTCCTTTTTTATTACCTTATCTCTCTTTGACATTCGATGACCTTTGTGACACTCTCTTAGGAACAGTCTCTCTCCTGCCATCTTCCCACAGTTTTCCTTCCTCTCTTTGAGCTTCTACTTAGGTTTCCTTCGAATGCTTCCCGTGTCTGTCCAAATTGCTAAATGTTGGTCCCTCCTGGGGCTTTGTCTTTGAGAATCTTCCATGTCCCTCCATGCTGTTGCTGGGTTGTCTCACCCTTTTGCTTGTGTTGTTACCACTTGCTGGTTCTCAAGAATATCCTTGTAGCTTAATTATCTTTCCAGACCTTCACTCCTGCATACGCAGTTTTATTAAGTATCTCGACTTGAGTGTCAGATAGTTTGAAACAACATGTCTCTGTGGAATGTGTTATTGTCCTTTCACTGTGTGTATTTCATATTTTCCCATTATCACCAGGAACATCACTTTTCTTCTCCCATATCGTCATGTCTGATTGTTGCCAATTCTTACAGATTCTCCTTATTTGATATCCTTCTAATATGTCCACCCAGATCACAAATCATGCTGTCACTGCCTTAATTAACATGCTGGTCTTTCTATTTTACATTACTACAGTAGCTTCCAAAACTGGTCTTCTTGCCCCCAGTATTAGCCCTCCCCCTTCATTTTTCAGAGGACTCCCAGGTGAATCAGTTCATGAATGTCATGTGTTTTTCTTTTGTTTAAGGCAGTTTATTTGAAATGCTGTCCCTGCACCAGCCTCTTCAAAATCATACATAGTTGGGGTTACAGTCTGCATGACTACATAAGATGGTCGCAAGTCGTGCCTGCTGTTAGGGTTGGGAGAAAGCAATGGGTAGAGGGTAGCTGCACCCTTCCTGTTTATTTCTGTTTGCTGGAACTACTTTATTTGCCTGCTCAGCTCTTTTACTTCTGTGCATCTCTTAGAACACTTATTATGAAGATAAAAATTTGGGTTAGTGGCAGTTCTATGAGCACAGAGGATCCCATGCTAAAATCATGGGATAGGTCATATTATAGTGAATTGCAAATGCCTGTTTAGCTTTGTTTCCTTTTTGAGGGCAAAAATGATGTTTTATGTATGACCAAATGATGATACAATGGCATATGATAATGAATAAAAATAAGGCATATGCGGATCTTATAAAAACACCAAGGAGGAAGGATATGATTTTCCTTACAAGTACCACAGAAGGCATCACAGAAGTGTCACCTACACTAAGCTGAAGGTGAGGGGCTGGGTTACCCTAGGGAAACCAACCGTGGTGGTCTGACCCAGGCATAGGGAGTAGCATAAGCAAAGGCAAGAAGGTTGGAAAAGCCACGGAAGAGAGGTGGCGCAGATCCTCCCACAACTCGGGAGAGCGCGCAGCTGTGCAGCTCAGCATGGTCATAAAACCATCACAATAGCGGCAAAGAGTAGCCCTAATATCATCAGAGAAAAGGAAAAGTTGAATTCTTACAAAAACAATATTACCTTAAGAGGGACGGTTAAGGGAAGTTAAGTTAGGGTTCAGATTGACTTCGGGAGTTGACGTAATTTCAGTTTTGCCCAAGTATCCACTGATATTATCAGATTAAACCAGGCAGTAATAATATCACAAGTAATAATGTGTGGATTTCAGGTAAATTATTTTGTTTCTTAATTCTTATATTAAAATAAATTACTAAATTTCTTTCAAAATAATAAATCTAAATGGACCTTCCATTAATTTGTTTTCAAAAAACAATACGAAAATCTATATTTTGTACATAAATGAGAATGGACCCATTATCCGTTACAACGTAGACTTATGGGCTATATCCATCTTGGTTGGTTTTATCCAGGAGCATTAAAGAAATTTGTTTGACAACGAAGAGAGGGAGTTTCTGTTGTGTTGTATTAACCAAAAGTGATTTGGGCTACTTTCCTGAATATATATTTTAAAAAAATCTAAAATTCACATTTTAATTGGCATCATATCTAATTCAAAATTAAGTTTTCAAATATTAGGATACAATGTAATAATATTCCCCTGTGATGTCTTCACAACAGGGACCAGAAATAGATATATTTTCTTAATAAAATGAGTCTGCAGTGAGTGATGTCTTATCTCTGTTTTAATTTGTTACTTGTTTTTAATCTTGTTGTGTTTTTATCACTCCATTTTAAATACATAATTATATAAAAGATACATACAACTTTAGTAGACGTTGTAACATCCTAAAAGTTAACAAAATAACTTAAGAGTGACTATCAGATTCTTGTGCTACTTTAGCATGCAAAATTGAAGGCTGACATCTGAGAAATGATATTTGCCAAAATAAAATCACACATGAAATTTCATAATCCTAAAAGTCAGAATAAGTGACAGTTTTAGCTGGTTCATAACAGACCTCAAATGACTCTATAAGGGAAATGTTAGTTCTAAAATGGCATGTCCATGATTCAGAAGCTGAGGAATGGTCACGGGTGTTTCTATTTCATGTTTCTACTAAAATGGACTAGTTTGAACAGAATATTTGAAACAAGATACATTATTCAAATACTGCATTTTGCTTTATTTTGTTTGGTTACTCCATGCCTCCTAAATGACCAAATAATAGTATATGACACACCTAAATGAGAGGCATGAAAAACACATGTTAGAAAGCTGACTAATCACAGATCACTTTTATTTAGTGCTTACTGAAAGCTAAATACATATTATATGTTTTATGTGTTTTAACTTACTATCAAGCAACGGACAAATCAAATACTATCAACACCATTTTGCAGTTGAAGAAACAGAGGCAGAGGATAAGTTACTTGCCCACATTGGCACAAGTAGTCATTGATACACACAGCACTAACACCCAAGCAGGTTGAGTCCAGAGCTCCTCTTCTCTATTGCTCATCCAGGCTCGGAGAAGGAGCTGTGGCACGAGGCAGAGTTGAAGTGCCCCATGGGGAGAAAAGATACCAGATATGCAACACGCTTGATGTGGTTTCTGCTATAGAGCTACATCTTAAAAGTATGAACTATTATCTGAGGGACTAAGCACATTGAAGCCCACACAGTTTAAATAACTTTCGCAGAGTCAACCTGAGGAAGGAAACTACAGACAGTCATGTTCAGGAGCATCAATCCAGAGTGTATTCTTGGGTCCGCTGTGCTAGGCTTTCTCTTGATGTTTGCTGCCAGGATGAAATCAGATAAGAGACAAAGTGCTCAGAAGAGTGGCTGGTTCATAGCAAACACTTGCTGTGAGGGAGGTATCACCATCATTATCATTTTTCCCTTGGAAGAAGATGAATTAATTCTCCTTAGTAAATACATATTTTGTTCAGGAACCAATGCTAGGAATAGGGGACACATCAATGAAGAGACACAGCCACAGATGAAACATCATGAAACTTCAGGTTAAAATATATGCTGAGTAGAGGTATAGACCTGAGCCTTCTGTGCACCACCTACCCACCTGGGTGAAGTCAGACTGTGGATTCCGCACTCAATATTAGTTATCTTTATTAACATTAGTAGTCATGAAATGTTCAACTGATGCATCATTTTTAAAAACTTATTTTAAAATCATTTTAGATTACAAGAAAGTCTAAAGACAGCGCAGAGTTCCCAAATGCCCTCCACAGAGCTTCCCCTAATGTTAACACTCGCATAGCCATGGTACACTTATCAAAACTAAAAAGTTAACATTGGGACAATATTAACTGTACTAAACTACAGACTTTATTCATAGTTTTCCAGTTTTTATACTAATGTCTTTTTTTTTTTTTTTTGAGATGGAGTTTTGCTCTTGGTGCCCAGGCTGGAGTGCAGTGGTGCAATCTTGGCTCACTGCAACCTCTGCCTCCTGGGTTCAAGCAATTCTTCTGCCTCAGCCTCTCGAGTAGCTGGGATTATAGACACTTGCCACCACAACCAGCTAATGTTTGTACTTTTATTAGAGATGGGGTTTTGCTATGTTGGCCAGGCTGGTCTTCAGCTCTTGCCCTCAGGTGATCTGCCCACCTTGGCCTCCTAAAATGCTGGGATTACAGGTGTGACCCACAGTGCCCAGCCTAAAGTCTTTTCTTCTATTCCAGGATACTAGATTGCTTTTAGGAGCAACTATTTTGGCCAGAAAAATCAAAGAGATCAAAAACTGTATCTTTGTTATTTGTTTCCATTTAAGTACTTTAAAATACTTTGAGTAATGTATGTTGATGATTTATACTAAAACAGATATTAATTGAAAACCTGCCATTATAAGGCATCATATCATACTTTAGAACATAACATCCCAGCACTTTGGGAAGCCGAGGTGGGAGGATCACGAGGTCAGGATATCGAGACCATCCTGGCTAACACCGTGAAACCCCATCTCTACTAAAAATACAAAAAAAAATTAGCCGGGCGCAGTGGCGGGCGCCTGTAGTCCCAGCTACTCAGAAGGCTGAGGCAGGAGAATGGCGTGAACCCGGGAGGTGGAGCTTGCGGTGAGCAGCGATCGCACCACTGCACTCCAGCCTGGGCAACAGAGCAAGACTCTGTCTCAAAAAAAAAAAAAAAAAAAACATAACAAGAGATAATTTTATATTTTTTAAAGACTATAGTTGGAAATAGAATATGTACAAAGATAATCAATTCTTTGAATGAGTGTTCAAAGTGGAAGAGAAGCTTCAAAGAAAAACACATTGAAAGAATAGGTTATAAAGCTAGGCTTTGACCCCCAGGAACTGAGAAGTATCTCTCCATTCTGGTTGAAAGGCTCTTTCTCCCCACAGGAGTGGATTTGACCTCACTGCGCCAGATGAAGCTTCAGAGACCAATGAGTATGTTAACAGATGTCAAACACTTCTTATCATCTGGAGGAAATGTCAATGAGAAAAACGATGAAGGAGTAACCCTGGTAAGTTCATATATTTGACTCAGAAACTATTTGAATAGAGAATTTAAGTTGATCTATAAAACATAGAATTCATTAAATTAACCTTTAAATAATTGTTGTGATCATAAAGTAATACATGTCAATTGTAGAAGTTTTGGAAAACACCTAAGTAAGCAAAGAAGAAAATGCAGACCCGGCAGTCCCATTATTGGGTGTCTACCCAAGGAATATATATCATTCTACCATAGACACACGCATGCGTATGTTCATCCCAGTGCCGTTTATAATAGCAAAGACATGGAATCAACCTAGATGTCCGTCAAGGTGGACGGGATAAAGAAAACATCATCCATATACACCATGGAATACTACACAGCTGTGAAAAGAACAAAACCATGTCCTTCATAGCCACATGGATGCAGCTGAAGGCCATTACCTAAGAGAATTACCATAAGAACAGAAAACCAAATATCACATTTTCTTACTCATAAGTGGGAGCTAAACACTGAGTCCACATGGACACAAAGAAGGAGACGAGACACCAGGGCCCACTTAAGGGTGGAGGGTGGGAGGAGGGTGAGAATGACAAACCCCTAAGGGGTACTATGCTTGTTACCTGCGTAATGAAATAATCTGTACATCAAGCCACTAAAACACACAATTTACCCATGTAACAACATACACCTGCATCCCACTGAGCCTAAAATAAAATTTGGAAGGAAAAAATGCAAAATGCTTATGCCACTACCCAATATCTCTAGGTTGATATATTTTCTTCAAGCCTTCCTCCTATGTATGTTTTTCCTAAGAATTTAAAATAATTTTTATGCAGTACTTAGTCCATGTAGTTTTTGAAATGTAACTTATAGGAGCATGCTTTCATTTTAGTGTTCAGTAAAACAAACTATGGATGACTTTGGTGAGTGAATTTCTAAATTCAAGCAAACTCCTGTCATTACTTTTTATGGCTCTCAAGCACTGTTGCAGTAAATTATTAAAAGATCAACAAAATTTGGATTAATTTGTATATATTTGATGTCTAATCACCGAAATAAGAACATTTTGCCCTACTGACCCATAAAACTTACCTGGGTTAGTGTGAGTTAAAATTAATAATGACAGAAAGAAATGTAAGACCCAGGGGAAAAAAATTTGAGAGAAAGTAAACTAGAATAGGAGAAGGGAATTTGGAGTTCTGAAGTGTGAATTGAATTGAAATGCTTCAAATCAGTGATTCATTACTCCCATGAAAAAAACATGGTGTGAGGTTGAAGACAGTTGATAAGGAAAGTGATTTAACTAAATAGGTAAAAGTTTTGTTGTCTGAAAAGTTTCCTTGAGTAATAAATGTAAATATATTTTTACATTTATTAAATTTTTGCATTTATTAAGTGCCTGTGACCTCTAGAGGGTCACATTCTAAAAATGTGTTGTTTTCTTATGACTTAGAGTTACGTTGTTATAGTCTCCTAAAGTTTATAAATTTATAAATATTTATTCTGGAAGATAAAATTTAGAAAAGTCTAACTTCAAAATGTTATAGTTGTATAGGCTTCTAAAATTTCCCTTTTCTTACTTTCTTTTTTTTTTTAAATGGAATCTTTCCCTGTCACCCAGGCTGGAGTGCAATGGCATGGTCTTGGCTCACTGCAACCTCCACCTCCCAGGTTCAAGTGATTCTCGTGTCCAAGTGATTTTCCTACCTCAGCCTCCCGAGTAGCTGGGACTACAGGCGCATGTCACCACGCCCAGCTAATTTTTTGTATTTTTATTAGAGACGGGGTTTCACCATGTTAGCCAGGCTGGTCTCGATCTTCTGACCTCGTGATCCGCCCGCCTTGGCCTCCCAAAGTGCTGGGATTACAGGTGTGAGTTACCGCGCCTGGCCAGCTTCTAAAATTTTTAAATCATACTTTCCTAAATTTTGTCTTCCAAAATCGATATTTATAAATTTGTAAACTTTAGAAGACTATAACAACGTAACTCTGTCATAAGAAAAGAAAGCAAAGCATATTTAGAGTGTTTTGAAAAATAACACATTCAAATGGCAAAAGCATTCTAAATTAATGAAGAAATATAATTGGCCACATGCTATGAACAAAATAATAGTGACCAAAATTCTTTTGTCATGGATCCACATTTCAGTTGGGAAAGTGGGTAATATACACTATAAATAAGCTAAATATATAGTATCCTAGTAATAAATGCAAGGGAAAAAACAACACAGGGACATGTTGGTCATATTGTTGCCATTTTGGATAGATAGAGAGGAAAGATCTAACCAACAAGGGTGTTTTGAATAATGACTTCAAAGAAGAGACAGCACAGTGGGGCTGTGAAGGGAAAGCATTCCAGGCTGAGAGTCAGAAGTGCAAACCACAAACTCCTACAGTGTCAGGGGCGAGTGTGGTGTGCTTGGGAAACAGCAAGGAGCCCATATGGCTGAAGCAGTGTCAGCAGGGAGGGAGAGGCGCTGGGACCAGATCACACAAGCTTTTATGGGCCTATATGAGGACCACGGCTATGACTCTGCATGGGATGGGAAGACAGTGGGAAGTTCAGAAGAGAGGAGGGGCATGAGCCTGCTCCGTTTTAAAAGGATCACCTACCCTGGCTGTTGTGTTAAGAACTGACTGAACAGGAAACAACAGGTGCTGGATAAGATGTGGAGAAATAGGAACACTCTTACACTGTTGGTGGGACTGTAAACTAGTTCAACCATTGTGGAAGTCAGTGTGGCAATTCCTCAGGGATCTAGAACTAGAAATACCATTTGACCCAGTCATCCCATTACTGGGTGTATACCCAAAGGATTATAAATCATGCTGCTATAAAGACACATGCACAGGTATGTTTATTGTGGCACTATTCACAATGGCAAAGACTTGGAACCAATCCAAATATCCAACAATGATAGACTGGATTAAGAAAATGTGGCACATGTACACCATGGAATACTATGCATCCATAAAAAATGATGAGTTCATGTCCTTTGTAGGGACATGGATGAAGCTGGAAACCATCATTTTCAGCAAACTATCGCAAGGACAAAAAACTAAACACCACATGTTCTCACTCATAGGTGGGAATTGAATAATGAGAACACATGGACACAGGAAGGGGAACATCACACACTGGGGCCTGTTGTGGGGTGGGGGGAGCGGGGAGGGATAGCATTAGGAGATATACCTAATGTAAAATGACGAGTTAATGGGTGCAGCACACCAACATGGCACATGTATATATACATGTAACAAACCTGCACGTTGTGCACATGTACCCTAAAACTTAAAGTATAATTTAAAAAAATTAAAATTAAAATTAAAATTAAAAAAAAAGAACTGACTGAAAAGGACAGGGGTAAACCGGAGAGTTTGTTTAGGAGGCTTTTCCAGTAATCTAGGCAATCAGTAATGTGGCTCAGACAACAGGGGTAGAATGGTAGTGCAATTGGACCTCCTAATAAATGTGTTGTGTGATTAGAATGACTCCAAGCATTTTTAGCTTAAACTACCAGTGTGATGGAGATGGCATCAAATGAGATGAGGCTGAAGAAGACACAAACCTAAAGCAGGAAAGACCACATCAGTTCTGGAGATATTAAGTTTGAAGTGTCTCTTAGCCATCTTAATGGAACTGTTGGATTTGTGGTTGGACATTGGAGTCTGGAACTCAGATCTCTAGATGAAAGAAAGAATTTGAGGAACATTAGCATATATGTGATGTTGAAAGCTTTGATACTGGATGAAGTCACTACTTGTATGCAGAAGGAAAGAAATTTGGGACCAAGCCATGGAGATGAAGAAGAGGAGGCTCCAGAAATGGGATGAGAAGGAGCAAGCACTGAGGAAGGAGGAAAACCAAGAGGACGAAATGTCCTCGGAACCAAGTGAAAACTTTGAGGAAGCAGGAGGAATGATAGACTACCAAATACTGCTGAGTGGTCAGTTAAATGGGAATTGTGAATTGGTTATTGGACTTAGTAACTTGGAGGTCATTGACTTTCTCTTGGAGGACAGTTTCAGTGGACTAGTAGGGTCAAAAATCTGATTGGATTGAGTTATTTAATTAATTCATTTATTACACATAATGAATTAATGCCTAACACATAATAGAAACGCAATAGAGCCTTTGTTTCTTTGTATGGTAGAATATATTACAACTTCATAGTTCTTTAAAAAAATACTGCTAAGTAAAAACAAAATGCATACTTCAACCACTGCTAAATAAAAGAGCATACACACTTCAGTAGAGAAGCTATTGAAGTAATCAATACAGAGCAATAAATAGCTATCATTTTCAATCATTTTCAGTTTTTACTTTCCTTGTGACCTTCTTTTTATTGAACAGAGAGCATAAATATTGCAAATAATTGTTCTAAAATAACCAAATCTTGTGGTCATTATCTTTGAGCTTTTAACAAGAAAGTAACAATGAACAAAAGGCTAGGATGCTGTCCCTTGAAGATTACAGCATTTAACAGCCAGTGGTTTGGTTTGATTCACATGTCTGAATTGGTTAGTCTGTATATGTTAATGACTGTCATTTCCTTGTGTTTTCTGTTCTGTAAGGTATATAGTGTATTTATCTATTGTGGAGATAAGGAGAAGAAGACAGTTTTGTTCAGATTGATTTCCATACCTGCGATGGAATGCCAGTTGTGGTTCAAAATTAGGCATAAATTTTCACAGTGTTAAATTGTTATGTGCAAAAGAGAGGAAACTAACAACAAAAGGCTCAATGGGAATAAAATTCTAATAAGACGGGTTTGGAGTTGCCTTTACCTTCTTTATTAGAATTGCAACAAAATAACTAAATATAACATATCTCTTTTTAAAAGGGATCTTTTAGTTTACATTATCTTCTTGTTAAATAGGGGCCTCAGAAAATGATACAATTTTAATAAACACCATGTTACAGAGTATATGAAGGTGAATTCATCAGTTTGAGAATATAGTCTTTGAAAATATTAATGCGATAACTGGCATATATATTATGAAGACATTGTTGTTTTATTATTTACTGTGTTAGCACATAATTTGATATATCACATCTGGCCCCGAGGCTTATTTTTTTTTTTTTTTTTTTTTTTTTTTTGAGATGGAGTCTCGCTCTGTCGCCCAGGCCGGACTGCGGACTGCAGTGGCGGAATCTCGGCTCACTGCAAGCTCCGCCTCCCGGGTTCACGCCATTCTCCTGCCTCAGCCTCCCGAGTAGCTGGGACTACAGGCGCCCGCCACCGCGCCCGGCTAATTTTTTGTATTTTTAGTAGAGACGGGGTTTCACCTTGTTAGCCGGGATGGTCTCGATCTCCCGACCTCATGATCCACCCGCCTCGGCCTCCCAAAGTGCTGGGATTACAGGCGTGAGCCACCGCGCCCGGCCCCCGAGGCTTATTTATTTGGTTTGTTAGGAAAGAATTATTCAGGAGAGGCAAGTATCAAGCAATTTTATTTTTTTCACCTTTATTTCAGTAATGCTGGTTCATCCCTTAGTTATGGATGGAGACAGCCATTGATTTTATGGTCATTTTTAAAGAATACAACTTCTGTGATCACTTTATGTCACAAACCAACCTCAAATTAAAGTGTCCAATCCCATATTATAATTAAAACTCTCAAGTCAGGAGTTGTAGAAGTTTTGTGCCATACTTCCCAGTGACCCTTGGGTGGAACCCATGGATCACCTTTCAAAATAATGTTTAAAATGCAATAAAAATGGTGCCTAGAAAATAAATTATGTTGAAATACAGTCATCATAATATTAAAAGTAAATGTGTGATATATAATGCATGTGCTTCTATATCATTCCACTAAGCAACAGATCTAGTAATTACCATGATTTTAAGGTGGCATTGACCATGAATGCTATCTTGAGGTATTTGCTGCAACCGAACAGTGATATGAAAATGTCAGGACTTTTATTGATGATGACATCACGGCTTTGCTTTTTGTGCTCATTGTTGAAGAATTTGCTAAACTTCAATTAAGGAGTCGAAGAAAATAAAGCTATTTTCTCACCCAAGTTTTCACCCCCAGCCCCCGAATTTTATCCACAAATCCTGCAGAGGTCAGTGGGCCCAGGTGTTAAGGGCTGTGAGTTTAGTTAAATGTTAAATCCATTCCCAACTTAGTGCTGTACCAGGTTGGGAAGTCCGTAGAAGGGAAGGTGGACATGGGTTACTATTTTTCCTCTTGGCGCTTTTCTTCATCCATCATTCCCTTACTAAACTCCACTGAAGTTAAGAGGAAGAAGAAGGGAGGAGGGAGCAGATAGGGAAGAGGAGAGGCAATAAGAGCAAGGTTTTTAACTGAGCCCTCTTTAGATGGTATCTAGCTCTCTGACCAAGAATTTGAGTCTTTTTGTGAGAATTTGGGGGTGTTTTGGATCCCACCCGCCCGCCATCATCATGGGGAAGCCTTAGCCTGTACCAGGTCTGGGTGATGCGCTCTTCCAAATGGTCCTTTATGCTCACTCAGCTTTTGGGAGTTTGAGGACACTCCAGATTTTCTCTGCTAAGCTGTGCTTGCTCCATGAGGCACCCCCTAAAATAGAACCAGAAATGACCACAGCTTCATGGGTAAAAGCCCATCTCTTGCCGTTTACTTTGTGCATGCAAGAATCAAAACCAGTTTATTCTGTGTCCACCAAACTACTCAGGATATGTAGCTTCTCAGAGTGGTCTCTACAGCCTCTCTTTGCCATAAAATTGGGAGGAACTCTCATCCACCTTGATACCTACACACAGTGGGAAGGGAAAGTGGACTCCTAACACACTAAGAGTGCTCTTTAAAAATTGTTCAACACTTTTTCTCCTTTTGTCTTTAATTTCTGACCTAGTGTGCCCTCAGTCTCGAGGTAGAGTTCAAAAGTCATCTGAGCAGTTTTAGGGCAACTATTTTCCAATTTACATATATAGTCTCACTTTGGGATATGATTTATAGTATTTTCATACTTCTGTCAAAGCTGAGATAGTAAAAATCCTGTGTTAGTGTTATGATGAAATACATGAAGAAGACCTGAAATTATTGGTCAACAATCCTGACTGAACCTAAGAGGTATTTGAATGGTCCTCAAGATTAGTTTTCATTTCTTCATAACATAGTTTTTATTAAAATATAGCATTAGCCTCAGCATGATCTTCTAGCTTCAGAGTGGCAGGGGTCACAAAGCTTCAGTAAGAACAGATCCAGTGGGAATATATCATAATATTTAACATTTTACATACAGATTAGTAAAAAATCAGATGCACAAATACAAGGGTAAGATAATTAAAAACAATTAACAGATATTTTCCAAGTTATACATGTGGAAAAAAGCCTCTGGCAAAGACCCTTACAATGTAAAAATATGAAAAAAACACAGAAATGTTAATATCGTTGATTATGTCAGAAATTATAATTAACATTTTGCATTAAAGAGTGAGCAAAATTAAGGGGCAACAGGTAATTTGCTGAGACTAATATTTGCAACAGGTTTCCCAAAATTTTAATATCTTCAAAATATGCCGAGTTCATAGAAATTAATTTAAAAAACCACCTCTTACTAGAAAATAAACAATAACAAGAGTCAATTCACAAAAGAAAAATATCCAACTAGCCTATGTATATGAAATGAGGACCACTGTTGGGAATTAAGTAAATGCAAATTATTTGAAATCATTTTAGAAATAAATAATAGTGAAGATCAGAAAAGCTAAGGGTCTGTGCAAATACATTCTTTCATACACTGCTGGACTGTAGGTGAATTGGTACATTCTAGAACTCTGCATGGCAGCATGCCACAGGAACTTGAAAAAATGCTCATTATTTTAGAATCAGGATGTATCAAATGGAAATCACTACGGACATATATGATAATCACCAACAAAACATTTTTAAAATCAATATCAAAAATGGTAACTACATAAATATCCCACAATTAGGAATTAGCCCAGTCAATGAAAATGTGTCTGTATAATTGTATACTATGCTTTCCTAAAAATCTAGGGTTTAGAAGCCCAATAGCACCATGATGAAGAGGCCAGATAGACCCAAGTCGGTGCTCATCCTGGAAGCCTCCATCACTTCCAAGCTGTGACTTGTGCTGGCTCCTTAAACTCTGAGTTATCATCTTCTCATCTTTTAAACTGGAATAATAAGAGTGCCACATTATAAGATAACCAGGCCCAAAGAGACCGTGCATGTAAATCACTCAGCTTATTGTCTAGTTAGTACACAGTGAGCTCTCGATCAAAGTTAGCCTTTAAGTGATCCAAACATTCAACGGCATGGAAAATATTAACTGTATTTGAATAAAATAAATTGCTAGGTACACAGTGATTCTAATTTTATTTAATATTATTTTAAATTGACAAATAATACTTATATGCATTTATGGGGTACAGTGTGAATTTTCGATATATGTATACACTGTGAAATGATTAAATCACACTAAGTTAACCTATCCACCACTTTTCTTACCATTTTTGTGTTGAGACACTGGAAATGTATTCTTTGTTATTTTAACATGTATAATACATTTTTTGTTGACAATAGTCATCCTGCTTTGCAACGGATCTCAAAACATATTTCTGCTGTCTAGTTGAAACTTCGAACCCTTCGACCAACAACTCTTCATTTTCTCTCTTCCCCTCCCCGAGTCCCTGGCAACCATCATTCTTCTCTCTACTTTTATGAGTTTTACTGATTTAGATTTCACTTAGAAGCGAGATCATGCAGTATTTGTCTTTCTGTGCCTGACTTATTTCACTTAACATAATGTCCTTCAGTTTCATCCATGTTGTTGCAAATGACAGGGTTTCTTTCTTTTTTAAGGGTGACTAGTATTCCATTATGTATATATGCTACATTTTCTTCACGTATTTTCCTGTTGATGAACAGTGAACTTGGCTATTATGAATAGTGCTGCAGTGAGCATGGGAGTATGAATATCCCTATGACATAGCAACTTCCATTCCTTAGGATATATACCAGAGTGGGGTTTGTGGATCATAAGGTAGCTGTATTTTTAGTTTTTTGAGGAATATCTATACCATTTTCCATAATGGCTGTGCTAACTTACATTTCTACCAGTAACATACAGATATTCCCCTTTCTCTGTGTCCTTGCCAGCACTTACTTGTCATCTTTTTGAACAGCCATCCAAACAGGCATGTGGTGATATTTCATTGTAGTTTTAATTTGCAGCACCCTAATGATTAGTAATGATGAGCATTTTTTCTTGAGCCCATTAGCCAATTGTATATCTTCTTTTGATAAATGTCTGTTCAAGTCCTTTGGCCATTTTTAAATTGGGTTATTTGTTTTCTTGTTATTCAGCTGTTTGAGGGGCCTACTTTTATCAAGGGAGTGGCATCGTTAAATAGAAATAAATGACCAGAATCTGAGAAGCGAAGCATTTATCTAGAAAGTCCAATTGTCAGTATCTTTAGTGTCTTTTTATATTTTACATATCTTAAACTCTTAAAAATAAATACAAAGTAATTTAAAGTTAGAAAAACCTTTCTGGATTTTACCTGAATACATGCTTGAAAGGGCCCAAGAGTGTTTTGCTGTTGAAACCAGGCGGGGCCATCTTGGTATTCATCTGTGGACATTTGCTCTGTGCTGCCTTAAACCCTGTCCAGAGCAATTGATCCAGCTGAGAACCAACATTGAAAACAATGATAGTGCTACTTATTTTAATTTCTATAAATATTGGGTTGAGGTACTGTTTTTCAAATATTAGAACTATCTTTTATTTGGGAAAATGAAAATCTCAAACTTCAGAAATAATTGGTAGTCCACAGTATGTTTTCTAGCAATTAACACTATCAGTAAATGAAACGAACAGGCTGTCAAAGACTGAGATGCTATAATATGAAATGGGCACAGTGTTGGGGGCTTTGACCGGATGCAATGAAAACTGATCCTTATATGGGATCATAAGAAGAGAAGATGTTCTAATGACCAAATGACCCTGTTGTCTGTTTTTACCCAGGCCTACATCACACTGGATATGTGTGTGTTAGGGTGCAGTTTTACAGGAGATCCCTTCTAGAGTAGACTCAGACTCCCAAATGTGGAGCCTGGGATGCTCCTGTGCTTTCATAGCTGAAAAACACTAAGACTTGGTGATGGTTTTGCAAAGCATACCAGGAGGCAATATGCCACATTTACCAAACAAGACTGCCTGCACTGATGGAGAGCCATGGGAAGGCCAAAGCAAGCATATAGATATTGTGTATCATCCAGAGACTAAAATGTTAATATAAAATTAGTATGTGGAAGGGTGAGGGACATAGAAGTGGTTTACAGAAATAAGAAAAAAATTATATTAACATACAAAAATGATGGTATGAATGCAAGATGTATTAGGAGCCTCAGTATGTTAGTGTTATCCTTGTGGCTTGACCTCACTGTGTGTCCACTCTTCTGTGCTATTTCAAATCTGAGTGCTGGAGGCTGCAGAGCGTGGCTTCGGATCTCAGTAACCATGCTTCTTCCTTGGGCCAGTTACCTAAACTCTAAACCACTGCTTCTCCATCTGCAAAATAAGGGCAACAATCATGTCACAGATGGTAAAGATTAGAAGAAATAATTCACGGCTTTTATACCTAATGTTTTAGAAGCCACTCTGACCACCTGTCCTGCTTTGTAGCTAGATAGGTGATTTCCAAATTGTAATTTTTCGTGGGAACTGTGTTTGCTAATATGCTGCTGCTAGTTCACAGCAGAAATGATAACCACCTCTGTGTTTCTCACAGGGCCCTTAAAGTAGCAGGAGAGGAATGTTCTGAGACACCACAGGGATCAACACTGTTGCAGTTGGGCACCTGATATCCTCTAGTCATAGTCAGGACAAGTAGTAGGAGTATAAATTCCATTTCATAAATAGACATTTTTGTTGTTGTTGTTGTTGTTTTTAATCTTTTAACTCTAGGTCTAACATGTTCTTAGTGATGAGAAACTATATCCCACAGAGGCTAGCTGTTTGCTTATGGATTCAGAGGTTGATTGCCAGTAGACTCAAAATAATGCTCTTAACTCCTGCTATTGTATTATGATAATTGAAAAGTTGGTTATCTCATGTGATTAAGTAGAAGTATTCAATTAGGGTTTTCATTTGTTTGTTTATTTTGGTTTTGGGATTACCTAGAAGTAAACTTGCCAGCCTCCACAAAGGTCACTGGTAGTAACACTTTGGATAGAGTCTCTAGTGAGTGAGCCAGGACTTCTAGTCTTCCTTCCCAGCTGTGCTTGTGGTAAGTGGCCCAGGGTTGGACTAAGTTCTAAATGGTGAGAGCCAATTTTTGCTGTATGGAAAGCAAATCTAATCCTGCAGGGATTGGCCCTGTGAACTTGACATCGTTAGTATCAATTGCTAACCAGAAAATTGATTCATTCTTGATTCCATTTGTAGACTCTGCTTTATGCTAAAAATTAGTATCTTCTGAGATTCAGATTATTGCATATAGCACAGAGTAACTGCCAATCATTTACTGATTATTCAGATAACGTAGAATCAATTTAGAAGCAGATGAATAGATCAATTCTCTAGGAGAGCAAGTATGTAAAATTATATTTTCTAAAATACTTATGGATATATCATTTTGGGGACTGTTTCCTAGAATATTAATAAGATTAATTCTGTATGTAGCAAGCATGGGAAAATGTATGTGAAACAGTGTCTTCATTTAGATGAATATATTTATTCTAATGTAGCTGAGTTACAAGAAATAAACATATATTTACACTCCGTAGATTGAAGAGCCTAATTAGGTCCAAAGCTATAAAAATAAATGTTTTTGTTAGATTTTATCAAAATGTACACATTGAATAAGCCTTTTTGACTTTAATTTTGTCTTTGTAATAAAAACACAATGGAACAGAGCTACAAAATTCCGTGCTATCAAACCTAGAAGATGGCATTGATTTTACTACTTTTAAGGTTTTTTTTTCTTTCTTTTCTGATAGTTTCTTCTTCCTAATTCTTATGTTTATAAAATACATCATGTAGTTGCTTAGTAATGTCATTTGAGTGTGATGATAGTTTATATAGAAATACAGGCTGCTACCTTAGAAACAGGAATTCCCTCACCTGAAAAATGTAAAACATTCTCCAAACCCCGATCTCATCATTATTGTTCCAAAGGCCTTATTTCTAAACTTAAGATTCCATTAAAAAACTAATCTGGGGCTGGACATGGTGGATCATGCCTGTAACCCCAGCACTTTGGGAAGCCAAGCCAGATGGATTGCTTGACCCCAGGAGTTCAAGACTAGTCTAGGTAACACACAACATGGTTAAAACTAGTCTCTACCAAAATAAATAAATAAATAAATAAATAAATAAATAAAATTAGCTGGGTTTAGTGGCACGTACCTGTATTCCCAGCTACTTAGTAGGGAGAGGTGGCAGGATCACTTGAGCCCTGGAGATTAAGGCTGCAGTAAGACATGATTCCACCACTGCACTCCAGCCTAGGTGACAGAGAGAGACCCTGTCTCAAAAATATAATTAAAAAAGAAACTAAAACTGGGAGAATGTTACAATGGTAGCTACACAATCATTTTTAAGCCGCCGGGATTAGTTAATCCTTTTCAGTGTTTCTGTGCCTTTTACACATACAGAAGCATCACAATGACCACATTTCCTGCTTTTAGTTATTCTTTGAATCACTTTCTATAGCACTAATACAATGCCTGGAATATAGAGCTAATCAGCAAATATTTTACCTTTGGGCAAGAAGTGGTAAGCTTTTCAATTATTATATTCTGTATTTTAAAATATTCAGATTGCATTGAAATGGAACTCGGAGGGGGATGGGAGTTACATGAAAAAGTGCACACTATCAAAGTTGGAAGGAAAATTAATAAACATAAGCGTACTTTCAAAGACTGATAATTACACCCATTTATACCAAATAAATAAAATTGCATGTATGTTCTTTTGTTTTTATGGTCTCTGTATTTTAGATCCACCATTTCATTAAGTAGCTCTCTTTAAACCACTGAGTGAACTGCATGAATATCACTACTTTAAAAAAATGAATAATAAGATGTCTCTTCGCTGCAGTTACACATGGCGTGTGCGAGTGGCTACAAGGAGGTGGTGTCTCTTATCCTGGAACATGGTGGAGACCTCAACATAGTAGATGATCAGTACTGGACTCCCCTCCACTTGGCAGCCAAATATGGCCAGGTAGAGTGATTTGCTGAATTCTTTAAAAAATAATTTTATATAATTAATGAATAATTTCATATTCAATTTTGATTTGATTTTAAATTACGTACTAATCATTATTGTAATTTGACTTTTAATAGTGTCTTCTTACTGAACAAATATTTTTATGGTTAAAGGAAAATGCTTATACAAGAGCACATGTTCCTTATGTATCTGAATATTGTAGTCAAGTCATTGAAGAAATAATCAAAATCTGTAAACATTTGTCATAATACGGATTTAAAATGTTTTTCATATTATATAGACTTCATATGCTTGCAGTCTCATGAATCTGTAATAATTATGTGTTTTCTACGGCAAATATTTTATTCATCGCAATAGTAGGAAAAGTAACTTAGTTTTACACTATATGGAGATTTAAGTTAATGTGTTCATTTCAGAACATTACTTTGGGGTAACAATCACATCTAGTAAATTTGTAGTAAGTTAGATCTTTAAGAGACTAATCATTATGTAAAATAATCTATCATAAATTTCAGTAGTGTAACTATCAAAAGAATGGAAAGAGTTTGCATTTCACGTATTTTAGAAAAAAAATCATATTGCGTGGGGAAGTTCTTTCAAACAAACAAGAACATTGTTTGTTTTGACAGCACCTCCTGTAAAAAAAGATCTATTTATTCAATAAATATATTTAAGGATCTGCTAAATATCCCTGAATTGTGCTTCTATGGTGATTCAGTCTCCTTATTTGTTGCTGGTCTGTTCCAGCTTTTTATTTCTCCTTGATTGAGTCTTGATGGATTGTATGTTTTTAGGAATGTGTCAGTTTCTTCGAGGCTATCCCATTGGTTCAATATATTTGCTCATAATATTCCATCATGATGCTTTTAAATTTCTGAGCCGTCCATTGTACTGTCTCCTCCACCAGTTCTTTTTGAGTTGCTTGCTCTTCCCAGGGTTATTGTCATAATTAATGGGGAGGAGCAGAAAGAAAAGTCTAAGTTGGTGAATTTTAAAGCAGCTGTTTCTTCTTCTAAAAATACTAATTTCTTAAAGTCTTGTTAAGCTTGGTAAAGAATGATAAAAGAAAATTAATTTATCATTATTTTCACATGAAACCCACCTGAAAAGCAGGGAAATGAGTATACATTTCTGCAACTGTTCTATTGTAAAGTGTCTATTGCAATCTTTGGCTCTGCATGTTGAGGGTGACTAAATGAAATCAGTTTTTCCTGACTCATAAGGAGAATCTAGATATTTATTTTCCACATCCTGGAAGCAGTAATGACCAAGGCAGAAAAAATTAGATTCTGATTAGAATCCAAAATTCTGATTAGAATCAGAAATTTTATCCCTCAAGCCATCAGATGAAGCTACTGACCTTTTTCTCAGAAATGCATAGACACAAAAAGTATCCCTACAATTTCAGAGGTTGAGTCCTCTATGAAAACTAGGCATAGACCTTCCAGAGGCCCATAAGAAACCTACAGAAATAGAACCTTCTTCTTTGCTTTTTTTTTTTAATGAACCTTCTTTTTTTAATAGAACCTTCTTTTTTTTTGCCCAGGCTATAGTGCAGTGGTGTGATCTCAGATCACTGCAACCTCCGCCTCCTGAGTTCAAGCAGTTCTTGTGCCTCAGCCTCCCAAGTAGCTGGGACTACAGGCGCTCACCACCACGCCTGGCTAATTTTTTCTATTTTTAGTGGAGACAGGGTTTCGCTATGTTGCCCAGGCTGGTCTCGAACTCCTGACCTCAGGTGATCCACCTGCCTCACCCTCCCAAAGTGCTGGGTTTACAGGCGTGAGCCACCATGCCCTGCCAGAAATGGAAGCTTCTATCCAGGAAATTATGCTTCTAGTAAAGCTATACTATATAGTAAGAATTGAGAGACAAGATCAGCCAGATAAAATTTGTGTTATGTGGTAAAAAAAAATCTGTAATTAGTTTGAGTGATGAAAATGGATTTTTAAATGTTAATTTATATAGTTAGATTTAACAATTAAAAAAACCCTTTAATGATTAACATATATGCCACACATGATACATGCCATGCGTCAGTGGTAGAGGAAACATAAGCCCAATCTAATTGTCACTTCTTTCAGAAACCTTCCTAGAGAATCCTGTCCCTCAAAAGTCATAAGACACAGGAATCACCAAATGATAAGGCAGAGAATTAGTGGCTATCAGTGTTATTACCTGCCTTTACCTGTCACATTCCAAAAACTTCCCAAACTTTTTAAAATCTGTTCTTTCAAATTAGAGAAACACAGTCATGAACTCACATGACAACTATGCTGCAGAAGCCATGTTGACTTTGTCAGATGCAAAGGAATTAAGATTGTTTTTATTACTCCCTCTCCAGTGTGCCTACTAGGTTTCCAACATTCATCATTTATTCGTGATAAGTCAGTTAAGAAACACTTCCCAACTACTTCATTTCTTCAAAACCAGCTACAAAACATTTGACCTGAAAATTTAAGCACACCGTAGCTTTCATATACTTCCTTCTATTTTCTCACGCATTTGATTCTGCTTATTTAAGGGATTGCATTAGGCAGTTTTTGCATTGTTATAACTTCCTGAGACTGGGTAATTTATAAAGAAAGCAGGTTTAATTGGCTCACAGTCTGCAGACTGTACAAGCATGGCTCTGGCATCTGCTGGGCTTCTGGGGAGGCCTCAGGGAGCTTTGACTCATTGCAGAATGTGAAGCGGGAACAGGCACATCACACGGTGGAAGCAGGAGCAGAAAGAGAGTTGGGGGATGTATGCTTCGGGCGGGCAGCAGATGCCACACACTTAAACAATGAGATCTTTTGAGAACTCACTCATTATCGTGAGGACAGCACTGAACCATGAGACATCTGCCCCATGACCCAATCACCCCCAACCAGGCCACGCTTCCAACACTGGGGCTTGCAATTCAACATGAGATTTGGTGCAGACAAACATCCAAACTATATCAGGCATTATGCCAGCTTTGTTGTGAGGCCTCCATGGCCTTCTCACTGGAATAGAAAGGGCCAGCGCTGGGTACCAGCCCCACCACTCACTGACTGTGGACTCAACAAGCCTTGATTGTTCTTTTTCCACAGAGCCCAACCTTGGGGCCACCAATTATTGAGAACCATAAACATCTATAGAAAGGGGAGACTTTTACTTAGTTCAGCAGATTTTTGCGAATCATGAAGATGAATGCCTCGTGTGTGTATGGATCATCAGTCAGCACGTGTCCTGATCCATTGATGGTTGCTTGATTGGTACAGACAGATATCTTACTCAAAGGTTTCCAGAAATGGCCATTTACAATGTGCAGATGAGGCAGGTTTTTAAAACACATTATTTTTATCCTCTGCTTCGCTAGACTTGCCTTTAATTTTCTAACTTCTGATACATTTTAGTACTGAGGAAAGTGTCTGAAGATCGTATGTCTTTACTACTTTGTTCCATTAAGCCTACTCAAGTAGTGTCTCCACTGGAATGCACGCTTCAGAATGACAGACTTTGAGTTCTCCACTGTGCTAGCCCATTGTCCAGCACAGTGACCGAAAGACAAAGGCAACCAACACAGAATCAGGTGCAAAACTGGAAATATTGAGTGTAGATGAGGCTTTTGTTTCAGAATATAAGGCATCAAAACCAAGATACTCTTCTTTTACTCAGACTGAAAAAACAACTGGAGATTTATGATAATAGAAGATTTTCAGTAAATTGCATCTCAATTATTTCACCAAGAAAAATAGTATATGACATCTAGAATTATTCTAAAAAATTGTTCTCTCAAAAAGATGTCATTTAGTATGCACTTCGGAAATTATATTTTAGAAACAGGTTTATTTGAATATCAATTTATATGCATGGAAGATTTATAACTCTCTCTGAAGAAATTTGCTGTAAATATATTGTATCTGTGTTTAGGGGAAAAAGCGTTAGAAATGTGAACATTTTAGAGAGACTAATGGCATTTTTAGAGACATTCACAGTAATTTCACTCTTATAAAGACCTTATAAATGTAAATACCTTTATGGAGAAGGAGGTAGCTCACAATCTATAACTGTACTTATTATTTACATTTATAGTGGGATGATGTACATATTTTAAAACTGCCTTTTATAAATATATTAACTTTTGCAATGGAAAACAAAAGAGATGCTTGTTCTTTCAAAAACTAGGAACTGAATAAATTATGTGAGCAATAAGTCTTTTGGTTTTACAACTCTTTCGTGAGTTGTACGTGAAGTAAAATTTCATTCTAGTCTTGTATGTATTTACTATATTTAGTATTTACAACAGAATTGGCAATACTACACCCAAAGATAAAAAAATATTTGTACAAATGCTGGAATCTAAGTATTTTTGTTTCCCAAAGTATTTTGTATGACATAACTCATACATCTTAATGTTTAAAAACCCATTTTTATTCTCAAATACATTTTTACCCAAGTGTATAAAAATTAAGCTATATTCAGAACTTTAATTTTTTTGTGATTTATTTCTTCTTTGCTTTGGGGAAAACAGTCTGGTTATGCCCCTACCCCTCTGACCAGGGAGTATTAACAAGCTTCATGTGCCATCCTAGGCTCCTTTTTGATGTTTGCCATGTCTTTGAGAAATATTCTCACACCCTCAGCTTCAAATGCTGTCTACATGCTCATGGCTACCCAAGCCTCCTCTCTGTTCCTCTCCCAAATTCTGCATCTGTGTATACCCAGGGGCTGTCTCTTTTTTTCTGTCCTCTAACACCACCTGTTTAAAAAAAAAAAAACCATCATCTTCTCTTTCCCATCCCCATCTGTTGCTCTTCTGTTTTGTCATTTGTTCACCACAAAACTAATCCTTTGCCATTTTCCTACTTCTCTCTCCTCTCTCATGCCTAACAGAACACTGAGCCTACAAACTCCTACCCAGTGGACTGTGTCGAGATACTTAAGCTATAATCACCACCAGTCAATCTGTGCCTCCTCACTGCCTCTCCCCTCATCCAGGACACTAGCATCTCTACATCTGGGTTAACCCATCAGCCTCTAACAGGTTTTTATCCCCCTCCCCCACTCTTCTGTCAATGACGAGGCTACAGTAATCATTCTACATGCAGACATAGTCATACTGTGTCAACACAGTATCCTTTCCATTGCTGTTGAAATAAAATACTTATTCCTTAGCACCATTTATAAGTCCCCATGTGTCAGAGGCCCTGCTTAGGTCTCGTGTTTTATTTCTCCAGCCTCACCCCACCATATGTGAGGTTAAAGCTATACTGAATGTATCTTCATTTCTAGAATGCACCACCACATATAGCCTATTCTTTGCTCTTCCTGAAATTGTTAAATTTTACCTTGCACGGCTACATTGAGATGTCACTTCACTGGCCGTCTTTCCTAATGCTCGGAATTTGCATATGATGGTTCCTCTCCTGTCCCTGTACAAGCACCCTGCATATCCCGTATCATAAACACAGCCTTACCACAACTTGCGGTAGTTGTCAGTTCATTCATCTGTATCACCTTTTAGTCTGTAAGAAGTGAATGCAGGAACATTTGTTTGGCTTGTCAAAATATCATCATATCTCAGACAGGAGCCAACACAGAATACTGGCTAAGTTACTATTTATTTAATGAGAGAATCAATAAATGCCCTAATGATCACTGAATAAATGTGTGAGCAGTAGGTGAGTGCGCACGCCCCTTGAGACTGGTTCTTGCAGGAAATCATCCTGGAGATTTCCATGAGAAACCCAGGCACATGCAAGGGCTTTGGTAGCACTGGAAATAATTTGCATTTGGGATGTATTACTAAAAGAAATCATGCACAAATGAAAGGGATTTCAACCAAAGGCAATATCTTGTGAGCAACACCGTATTTAATGGTTGCTATGTGTCTCCCCAAAATTTGTGTGTTTCAAAATTAATCCCCAGTGCAGCAAAATTAGGACGTGAGGCCTAATGAGGGGTGTTTAGGTCATGAGGGTTTCACCCTCATGAAAGGATTAATACGACTATAAAAAGAAATTGCAGGAGTGTTTCTCTCTCCTGCTTTTCCACCATGTGAGGATATAATGATCTTTCCCTCTGGAGGGTGCAACATTTAATGGGGCATCTTGAAAGAAGAGAGACTAAGGCCTGCTGGTGCTTTGATCTTAGACTTCCTAACCTCCAGAACTGTGAGCAATAAATTTCTGTTCATTATAAATTACCCAGTCTCAGATATTCCATTATAGCTACACAAATACAACTATGACAACTGTATAAAAGGAAAGTTCCATAAAAGGAGACTGAGGAGGGGTTGGACACGGGCAGAGGAGGATTATGAGATTTGCGAATGGAAATAAAAGAGGAGTGTTTCAGAAAAGAAATACAAGGACAATTACATGGAAAACTGCAGTGATTAGAAAGTATTTATTTTGTGGTATGAGGGCAGAACTGTTTGGTTAATAAGAAATCATAGTTGAATCATTAAAAGTAGTAATGTATTAGACTTTCTAAAGTATTAGATCTGAAATAGTTCACATGGTTCTCAGAGTTAGAGACATTTACTCATTGCAATGTAGAGTATGCACCATTGAGCTTAGGTATATGTAATTCAAGTGGGGTATGCAAGTACTGAGTTTCTGAGAGACTTTAACATTATATTTTCCTCTTTATTAAATTAAATCAATCATTTTTAGCTTCTGAACTAGGAAGGAATGAGTGCTGGCTCCAAATACTCACTGCTATATTTTAACTTTTTAAAGAGATACTTTCACTCTCAAGAAATTAATCTTGATAAATTTAGCCACACTGAAATACAACTATTTGAAGAATAAGTAAAGTCTATATCCAGTAACTAATATTAATTCAAATTTCAGCTTAAATACACTTTCTTTGTTAGCCACTTAGTGTTTCCTTTTATACAGACACACAACACATACACACTCTCTCTCTTTCTCTCTGAATATTAGTCACCTTAACCTCTGATAACTTTGCTGATTATGAAATTCTTTTAATAGCAAAGATGAGTTGCAGTTGAACAGCACACTCTACCTGCTCACATTTTAAGTAATTTACCTAAAGATGTTTTGTGAGGTTAAAACAGATGTTCCAGAGTAGAGTAATTGGAATTAGCCCTGGCCTGCTTAATTCAGTTTTGTGAAGTGCCTCAGTGATTTCTAATTGGAAGCACATAGGAAATATTGACTTTACGAAAAGAAAGGAATTCCCCTAGTAGGAGAAACTTCCTTATTTCACACATGAATGTTTATTTTTACAGGCCTGAAATAAAATGGAATTACTTTTAGTGTTAAAGATTTTCTTGTGGGAAACATTTACTTTTATGATTTAAATGCTTTCCGCAGTTGAAGCTGTAGAGAACAGTAGTTTGTTGGGAGATTGCACATGATTTTATTTGGAGTTCTATAAACAGCAAATTGAATTTAGTAATGCAACATAATTATTAGACTCTCTGATACTCTAACCTTTTTGCAAAGATATAAAAGCTTTAGCATTATTGCCATTCTTTCAAATTTGTGGAAAACAAAGGCAATCTTAACTAATTTTTGACTTTCATTGTTTTTCTTTTCTTTCTGAATTTCTCTTTCCCTTCCTTCCTCCTGCCTTAATTTTTCCCTACCTTACTCCATATTTTATTTTTTTGTTCTTTCATTTTCTTCTTTCCTTCCTTCCTTCATTTCTGACATATGATATAAAAGCAAGAAAATGCCTCGAATCTTTAATATAAAGCAATACTCATTTTTGCAACTATTTTAATGTCCTGGGAACCTACAATATATATTTTATCTTTCAGATTTAAAGATAGCTTCTCTTTCTTTAGCAAATGATATATTTGGAAGTCAAAATAACTTCTAAGTATAAGCACCCTGCTATAACATGAATAAGTACTATTGAAATAATTTGTGTTCTGCAAAACCAAACACTAATTTTGAATGGGCCTGTAGGGAATCTAGCAATAGGGCATACTATTGAAAACCTAATTATTTTTATAGTGAGAACACTGGCAAGAGCCATAATTATTTAAGGAGATCTCTTGGAATGCCTGGGCAAAATGCTCAGCATGAATGAAAAATGCCACAGAAAATGTTACAAACGCAAACAAACAAACCCCACCGCAGATTGAAGAAACCATTGTCATTCTAACAAGTAAAATAATGCAAGAAATGAAAATGAAAGGCAAGGTTAGGAAAGGAGAAAGGATAATGAAAATAGCAAAGAATCTCCAAAAAACTTTAAAAATTAGAACTGTTAAGTGAATTTATCAATTTTTTTACAGTAGTGTTACAAGCATAACATAGATAGTAATATGTTTAACAAATAATGTGCAATATTTGTACACTTCACACTACAAAATGTTGCAGTGACAATTGAAAACTTATGCAAATAGAGAGGTAAGCCACACTCATTGATATGCAGTTGTCATTGAGACACTGAATATTGTTAAGGTATCTGGGAAGGCAGAATAGTGCCCCCAACGATGTCCATGTCCTAATCCGCAGAACCTGTCAATATATTACAAGGCTAAATAAAGAACTTTGCATTGTAACTAAGCTAAGGATCATCAGCTGGAAAGATTTTCCTGGATTCTCTAGATGGGCCCAGTGTAATCACATGGGACCTTAGAAGCAGAGCCTTGTTCTTGGCTGAGAGACAGAGGGAGTGTGACTGTGGAAAAATGGTCAGAGACATGCAATATTGCTGCTTTGAAGATGGTGGAAGGGGAGGGACCATTAACCAAGGAATGTGGGTGACCTCAAAACTGGAGAAGCCAGAAACAAATTCTCCCTTATAGCCAGAAAGGAACATGTAACCAGAGCCCTGGTGTCAGCCCAGTGATACCTGTGTCAGACTTCTGACCTACAGAATTGTAAGGCAATACATTTTTATTGTTTAAGCCACGAACCTTGTGGTGATTTGTTAAAGCATGTCAAACTAATATAGTAGCTACCTATTTAAAACAATCCCAACCTAAAGCCTGGCAGTATTTTTTATAGAAATTGGAAAATTCATCCTAAAAATTATGGAATGCAAAGTACCTATAATAGACAAAATGTTCTTGAAGGAATAAGACACAGACTATTTTCAAGACTTACTATAAGTCTTCCACTTGTAAGATTTCAAAACTTGCTATAAATCTATACACATAAAGTTGTTAGGTAATACAGCAAGGGTACACCAGTAGATCAATGGAACCTAAAATATAGTGGCTACAAATGAACATAACAAGCCAGTTGATTTCCTATGAAAGTCTCAAGGCAATTCAATAAGAAAAAATGGTCTTCTCCAAAAATGTTGCTGAAAAACAAATGGTGCTGGACCGTCCGGGCCTTTACATGGCATTCACAAAAACTCACTTGAAATGTACCACAAATATAAAAGTTAAAATTATAAAGCTTTCAGAAGAAACTATAGTATAATATTATGATGAACTTTGAGTAGATAAAAATAGGTACAGATATTGTACTTAAAAGAAAATAAATAAAAGTGTCTTTCTGCTCATCAAAAGACATTTTTTTAGAATATGACGAGGCAAGCCACAGAATGGGATGAAATATATGTAATACTAAACTTGAAAAATTAAAAGAAATTAAGTTTACCGTTTAAGTTTACGCTAGAATGGGCATGAAGTAGCGCCCCCCACCCACCCCAAGTAAGAGTTAAGAAAAAATATTAACTGCTTCTCTGTAAGGTCTGTGCAGCATTAACCATATCTCTCCCCCACATATTTTGTAAGTTCTGTAAGCTGTTTTTCTTGCTGTGCAACCGCAAGGTCACACGATCCATAAGCATGAGTTGCAAGATAAGTTTCCCAATATGTCAGCTGAGTCCTAAGAATGTCACCTGATAATTAACTACTTTGTTCTCGCTTTTGTAAGCCAGCTTCCTGCATCATGTAATTCCCGCCTCAAGGTGCATAAAAGGTGTTTGTTTTCTTTGTTTGCTGCTCAGACTTTCAGGATGCCTGTCCGCTGAGCCAGTGTACACCTAAAATATGCCCTCCTGAACACCACTTGGTCTCTCCAGTCGCTGATTTCCCACTACAATACATATATCCGAAAAATTCATCCAGATCATATAAAAATGCAGATAGACTAATAGTAAAAAGTTAAACAATGCAGTAATAAATGGACAAGAAATTATTGAGTAGACAATTCACAAAAGATGGTCATTAAGCACATGAAAGTGTTCAATGTCACTAGTCATCAGGGAAATGTAAATTAACCTACGGTGAGATAGTACTTCAGTGGCTAAAATTGTTTTACTATGACAATATCAAGTGTTGGAGAGCATGTGGCAAAATTGCCAGTGAGGATAAAAAAAAAATAGTAAAACCACTTGGTAAACTTTTCTGGCAATTTCTTATAAAGTTAAGTATACACTTACCAGATTACCCAGAATTCTATTTTAGAATGTTCAAAAGAGAAAAATGAAAAACTACATTGACTGAAATGACATATGTCTATAGTAGCCTTATTCAAAGAGCCAGAAACAAATGGCTCAACTCTCAAGAAGAAAATGATGAACATATTGTAATGTAGTTGTACAGTGGACTACAACTCAACAATGAAGAGAGAAAGTGTCAATGCATGCACAAGCATGGACGAATCTCAAGAATATTATATTGGGCAAACATATACATTTCTGTGTTTTATTTATCTGAAGTTTAAGAATAGACAAAACTAATCTGGGGTGCTATAAATCACACTGTGTTTTCTTGTATGGGATGAACACTGACCACAGTGGGACGGGGGGAACTGTTGGTGATGAGAAATGTTCTATATCTTATTTGTGGTGCTGATTACACAGGTACACACATTTGCCCAAATTTTATAACTGTGCGCTTATTAGTGTCCATTTTATTGCCTTTAAATTACTTCATTGTTTAAAAAAAGAATATTCGTAGAAATACAGCTAAGACGGCTTCAGTGTCCAGCACAACACAGTTGAGGTCTTTTAATTTTATGATTTGACTTCCGTTGTTTTGACTCCTCTTGCCTAGGAAAAAATAGTACCACCAACGTTTATCAATTGAGTATGAGCTACTTTGTATTACAGAAACACACATTATTTCAGGACTTACTATTCTCTATAAATCAAAAAGACATACAATGACCATTTTAAAATATCTGGAACAGAATCATAATAAAAAATTGCTTTTTCTCTGTCCCTATTTGAGACATAAAGAAAGTGGTGGTAATTTTCACTTGATGAAAATTTACAGCCTTTAAGGTTGCATAGCAACCTTAAATGTCTATATTGTAAAAGACAAGTTTGAAAAATAATGTTACAACTTACAAAGTTTTTAAGACGTTAGTAAAACAGGCCAGGCTCGGTGGCTCACGCGTGTAATCTCAGCAATTTGGGAGACCAAGTCGGGCTGATCACTTGAGGTTAGGAGTTCAAGACCATCCTGGCCAACATGACAAAACCCCAACTCTATTAAAAATATAAAAATTATCTAGGTGCGGTGGTGCATGCCGGCAATCCCAGCTACTCTGGAGGCTGAGACATGAGAATCGCTTGAACCTGGGAGAAGGCGGTTGCGGTGAGCCAAGATGGCGCCACTGCACTCCAGCCTGGGTGAGAAAGTGAAACAACGTCTCAAAAAAAAAATAATAATAATAAATAAAAATAAAAAAGAGAGAGATTAATAAAACAAACACAATAATAAATAAAAATAAAAAAGAGAGAGATTAATAAAACAAACACAGAATGCATAAATGAGAATATAAAACAGATAAAAGTCAAAGTGATTGAACTGTTAAGCAAAAATACCATAGAAAAAATCAACAATACCTCAAATTGGTTCTTGTAAGCATTAATGAGATGAACCAAGTTTTGGAAATATTGGTCAGAAAGATGGATAGGGCATGCATAAAATGACTGATAGTGTGCATGCAAATGGAAACATAACTACACAAACAGCACAGCTATTAAAAAGAGAATAAAAGGAAAAGCACAATAAGAAGATATAACCAACAACATCATGCCAGCACATTTGGAAACTTAGGCAAAACTGGCAAATCCCTAGAAAGTAATAACTTTAAAAAGCATAATATAAAATCATACCAAAAAGAAATCCAGGAGAAGCCTGCTCCATTTTCAAAGCAATGTGCCATAAACCACAATGCTCTATTCTTTTACACCCAAGAATTTAACAACAAGTAAATGCCTGGTAATAAAGCTATTAAGTAGAACGTAGAGCAGCAGAAAGCCTTGTTAGGAGTAGGAGTGTAAATCTGAGCAATCTCTTGGAAAAAAATATATTAGCACTATCTAGTCACTTTGATGCTGTCCAAACTGATATCCCAGCAATTTCATTTCTAAGTACATATATCCTGAAGAAAGTATTGTATGTGTGCACCAAGAGATATAAATGAGAATACTTATGGGAACATTATTTGTAAAAACAAATAAATGACTGCAAATGGCTTGAATACTCACTGGGAGAAAGGTGGATCAATTGTGATATATTTGTACAATACTATTCCATGCAGCCAAAAGAATGAGCCTTGGTTAAACCCATCAAGTCTGATGACTCAAAAATTTCGCGGTAAGCCATGAAAACAAGGCCCGCAAGAATCTATACGATAGGATTTCATTTCTATGAATGTCACAAACAGGTTAAGCAATATGTTGCTTAGGGATACTTTCATATGTGTGTGCTAAGCATATAGAGAAGATATTAATGGTTAGCCGAAAAGTCACGATAGTGGCCAACTCTGGGAAATAGAGAGAAACATAGTTTTGGGGAGAAACACATGAAGATGTCATTAAAAAAAATGTTGAGTACATATTTTTAAAAGTGGAGTATACAGAAATTTATTTCATTATTGCCCTTTCAATAACACATGTATATTATATATACCCTTTATATGTGTGATATATTATAATAATTTAAAATATATGTTAATTTATCAAGTCACTTAACTCTTAGAACTTGAGACTGCATTTTTCTAATGGTCCAATGTGACTTTAGGTTCCTGCTGCCCATGTTGCTGTCATAGAGCAACAATGCCAACAAGTTAGACTTCGATGAATTGCTCAATTAAAACAGAACAAAACACACTATACCATATAATTCCTCACATAAGGAGTATAGCTTATGTACTTTCGGGTTATATTATGGCATATAGTCTACACTGTCCTGTTGTACTTTGTTGTATTTTGCCTTTCACGTTTTAAAGTTTCAGTGTAGTGATTCATTCAGTGTAACTTACTTTAAAATACATTTTTACTGTTATGTAACTAGTTTCTCATCCTAAAAATACGTATAATATAAACCTGAAAGTTATAAAGTGTCCTTTTCAAATCTTCAGTGATTAAATCCTTATTGGATAAATAATTTTTGTTCTGAATCCAGAAAGGGCTGAAATAATTTGAGTATCTGACATTTTTAGAAAAGGCACTGGGAAAGGGGACAGGAAGGACTTCTGAGTGGGAATGCTGATACTGTCTCATGCCGGCTGTTAGTTGGACAGCACAGTGTATGACTTACTGATGTATCCTAGCTTCTGCCATGGTGGTTCCCATTTCAATTATCTTTAATATTTCAGACAAATCTGGTGAAACTTCTCCTGATGCATCAGGCAAACCCACACCTCGTGAACTGTAATGAGGAGAAGGCGTCAGGTAGGTTAGGAGCATCCTTGGACCATTGAGCAGGTACTGTTTTCTTCCTTTCATATTGGAGTAGCCATCCATCTTCAGCACAGCTACAAAGTGAGAGCTGGACATGCCTGTGAAGCTGTGTAACAACCAGCCCAGTTCAAGCACAATTCATCATCGCCTATGTACGATGATATAGGCGATGTGAATAGCCTCCATTGCAAGAGGCTATTCACAGTTTAATCTACACTGTACTGTTGTACTTTGTTGTATTTTGCCTTTCATGTTTTAAACTTTCAGGATAGTGATTCATTCAGTGTAACGTACTTTAAAATACATTTTTACTGTTATTTAACTAATATCTCATCCTACCAAATACATGCTTATCCGTTAAGGTATTTTTGAAAAATAATAGCGTTATTATCTGTGCAGATATTTAAACTACAAGAAAAATACAGAGGCTGACATTCTTATGCAAATTTAAAACTTTGAAAATCTTGACTTAATGTTACTTATTTTTTAATAAATATATTTTTGAAGATTTCTAAAATTATTTTAGTCACTGACCTTTTGTATATTCATATACTTATTTAATAAATGGATGCTACATTAATTTTGTGGCTTTCAAAATTTAACAGAAAGTTACTATTCATAATTATTTTTGCAATAGTAAAAAGAGTTCTGAATAACAAAGAGAAAAATCTAGCATAGGTAATACCATAACATCAAAATATTGAAGACAGTAATTGATCTGAATAACTTTATAAATACATTATTCCTCTTGCTATACCTCTGCTGACTTAAATGTACTTTACTTTTGAGATTTGTCATTTGATATACTTTCAGGAGTATGAATTTCTAATAAATCTCCAGTTAAAGCCAGAAGAAGGGATTTTTCTCTATTTGTTATTTATTGGAATTAAGTATCATTGTCTAATGTTTATTACTTCATCTTCTCTGTTAAACTGAATATTTACCAAACAGAAATTTTACACAGCTTAATAGTCACAAACTTGAGAATCAAGCTAATATTACTTATAGTCTAGTAATCTTAACATTAACTATATTAGTATGCTAATGATAAATATCAAAAGAACAAATAGACATTTTTAGATATTTTCTTTTTAAAAACGTGTTTACTGTGAGTACAAGTCACATCCTCGGCTAACTCTAGTCTGGTTCTAACAGTAGCTCACACTTTTCAAGTTCGTATTCCTGGCTTATTTCCCAGACAAGGGAGGATATGACTGACCTTTGACTACATGGACTCCCATGGCATACTCTCACCATTTAGGTCTAGTGTCATTTCAAACAGATGTCCAGGCATGGCAGTTGACAATCTTAGGAACGGAGGCAATGAATGCACTTCTGGTCTAGACTCAGCACTGGTCATCTCAGCACAGTGCATGAGGACTCTCTCAGGCAACTTTTACCACATTGGTCATGCAAAGTCGACCAGCAACCTAGTACCTTATTCATGGCCTGTTGGCAATATGAGACACAGTGCTGGGCCCATAATAGATCCTCAGTAAAGATTTGCTACTTGAATAAAAATACTTTTATCACATGCAAAACGCAAAGAGTTATAATGCAGTGAAAGGTTTCAACTAAAGCAGATATGCCAATAATCTAGGCAGCAAGAAGATAAAACTAGATAAAACCAGATGCAAGAATAGAGCAGAGAACAGTAAACCAGAAACCCATGCTATAACTGAGCAAATGAAAGTCGTCATCAGTACTATAGTATATTGCTGTTATTTTATGTTTCTTGAATTTGGAATAGATTTATGAAAAAAATCTGTGGGAAAAACAATTTGTTAAGTGGGACATAAATTTAATCTCCCAAAGTAAGAAAGCTGAGCACTCACCTACTTTTTACATGTATATAATTTAATCTGAGGCAAATAATGATAAAATCTTTACATAAATATCTTCTTGTGGCAGCTACATTACTGTGACCATCCCAGAAGGCCACATAACTCTAATTGATAGACATAGGTGGTCACACAGTCTGGTCCTGACGATTGAGAAGAAGCAGCTGCCTCCAGTAGGTTCTTAATTGATATGAATGTTGATTTTTTCCTCATGATCTGTATCAATTTCTATATCAGTAATTGTTGTTAGTATAAACTTGATTGATACATAACTATGTTGCTGCCCAAACGTGTTCAGATGTTACTGTTATGTGTAATTTGTAAGGAAATATATTTATTTATATTTGCAATTGATAAAGGTAAAAATATTATGGCTAGAGGGCAGACCCCTTGTTTAAATAATACAACTGAGTATTTACTTGTACAACTACCCATTTAGTAGAATGTTTATAGGAGGCCAGTTACATGCTTTATAACCCAGTTGATGGGAAAGTGTAACTCTTTCTGTAATTTTGGTTCATAGTCGCCAAGATGCAGGACAAGTTTTACTGAAAATGAAATGACATTAAGTTTGCTCAAGCTTAGATTCTCAATGATTTTTTATTTTACATATCACCATCCAGTCTATACTATTTTCTATTTCATTTATAATTAAATGTGTCACTGATGTAAAACAAAATAGTCTTTTAAAATGACAGTACTTCAATTTTATCCCAGCCGTAAACTTTTAAGGTTTTTTGTTTTGATTCATACATTGATAAATTTTTAGCATTTTAAGCATATCGGAATTATTGAAAGTAAATAGATTTATGTGCTATCACCACCCATCATTTTTCTGATTTTTCTTATTTTTTTCTTGTAGATATTGCTGCCTCTGAGTTTATTGAGGAAATGCTGCTGAAAGCCGAAATTGCCTGGGAAGAAAAAATGAAAGAGCCTTTATCTGCTTCTACCTTAGCTCAAGAAGAGCCCTATGAAGAGATCATTCACGATCTTCCCGTACTGTCGAGTAAGCTGTAAGTGTCTTCCTGCTTATTCTCTTTTGCCATCTTCTCTACCTGCTGGTCATTTTAGAGCCCATATTAAGTCTGACTCTCAGCCAAAGAGTTAGAACAATTAAAATGGTTTATCAATGTATATACCAAAGAATACTTGTTTACAGTGATGAGTTAAACATAATTTTATTTTATAAAAACCCTCTGATTTAAAAACAATCTTACTATATCAGTTATTAAATCAATTTCATGTGCCATGAGACCAAATAATATTTTAAACACATTCCAAGATTTTAGCTAAACTGATAGTGAAGTTTCCAGTGATTATCATTATGGCTGACTTTCCTGAAATAGAAAATACTGATATATGTTTCTTTCTCTCATAAGCATAAAACTAATCATTTATTGTTGTGTGTGTTATCTCCTAAAAATAACTTCCTGTTGCATTGAAAATATCAAATGGATTGACATCATTTTCAAGGTCTGAAAAAGGGACACAAAGTGTGATTAATAAGAATGACAAATAACAACTTACATTCAAATTCATGTTAAATTTACTGAAGAATAAGTGTTCATTTAACTCATAAGATAATGCTTATTTTCCAGAGTTTCTCTTTGCCAGCATATGGATATACAAACACAGGTGTTATGTATATAACTTAGGTATGCTTACATATTCATTCATTTTCAAATATCTGAAATATTTGTTCGGAATCTACTGACTGTGGGGCTTGGAATGTATAATAAAACAGATAGCAAACATTGTCAGGTAGAGATGGACTGTGAATATCTAAATCAATAAGTAAATCTGTATGAATAAATAACATTGCATGTAACGTGTGGGACCTTGTAAAATCTGTCACATCATTTTAAAGGCCTTCATGAACAGCAGTCAGGTAAAGAAATTGTGTACCCAGAGCAATATTATAAAAAATTGATAGCACCTGTAAAATTACTGAAAGATAAATTATTAAACATTGGAAAGCTTGTTACCTCCAGAATGCTACTGCTAAAATATGCATTAAAAGATGTAAGACAAACATGGAAAACTTTATGAAGTGTTTTAACATGATATACAAGTTCATTGAAAAGCATAGAAATACCCATGGTGAAAATGTACAAAAAGCAAATATATGAAAATCTGGATATTCTAATACAACCCCTCTAAAACAGATCTCTATGAATTTATATATTCATATTCTTCAGAGGTAGTGTTGTGGTTGCTGGAAAGAGCTTTGCCTTATGGCTAATATTTAGTTTGAATGGTTAAAGATGTTAATGCCCAACTTTCAAAAACAAATAGAACAAGTGGGCAAAATATCAACAAGGGAATAGAAGACTTAAATAGCACTATAAACAACCAGATCTAACAGACATATTTAGAGCACTTCATCCAGAAATAGTGGAATACATATTCTTTTCAATTGAACATGGAACATTCTTTTACTAAAATCAGAAATGAAAGAGGAACATTACTCCTGGATTTACAGAAACAAAAATAATTAAAAGGAAATATTATGAACAATTGTATACCAAAATATTAGATAACCTAGATGAAATTGATGAATTCCAAGGAAACACCAAGAAACAAAACTAACTCAAGAAGAAAGAGAACATTGGAATAGACCTACAGCAAGTAAAGAGATTGAATTAGTCATCAAAAACTTCTCACAGAGAAAAGCTAATATCCACATGGCTTCGAGGCTGAATTCTTCCAAATGTTTAAAGAATTAACGCCAATCTGTCACAAACACTTTCAAAAACAGAAGAGCAGGGAATTGTTTTTGACTCATTCTATCAGGTCAGAATTACCCGGATACAAAAATCAGATAAAAATATCAGATAAAAAGAAAACAACAACCTTATGAATATAGCTTTAAGACACCTAAATAAAACACCAGCAAATCAGGTTGAGCCACATATAAAAAGGACTTCACAATATGTCTTTGTGAGATTTATGACAAGAAAGCAAGGCTGAGCATTCAAAAATCAGAAAATATGGTATATCATGTTAATAGAATAAAGAACAAAATCACATGATTATCTCAATATATGCAGAAAAAGCATTTGACAAAGCCCAACACCCTTTTATGAGAAAAAAGTAAATAAACTAAGAATGGCAGGAAATTTTCTCAACCTGATAAGGGGCAAGTACCAAAAAATAAAAAAAAGAAACAAAACAAAAACAAAACAGGGCTAACGTCATACTCAATGGTGACTGATCAGTTACCCCATAAGATGAGGACAAAGGCAAGAGTGTCTGCTGTCACCAGCTCAGTTCAACATTGTATTGCGGTTTTAGCTTGAGCAACCTAGCAAGAAAATAAATAAATAAATAAATAAATAAATGAATAGTATCCAAACTGGAAATGAAGAAGTAAAACTATCTCTATGTTCAGATGACATAATCTTGTGTATAGAAAATTCTAAGGAATTTACAAAAATATCTTATTTGAACTAAGAATATAGTTCAAGAGGATGGCAATACCCATGATCAAGGCACAGAAACAATCTGTATTTCTATACACAGCAATTCATAATTCAAAAATGAGATTGAAAACATGCTTACCCAGTAGGTTAGAAAAAAAAGGAAAAATTAAAAATAATTTACAACAACATAAGAAAAACAAAATACAAGAAAATTTAAGAAAAGAACGGCAAGTTTTTACACTGAAAACTACAAAACATCACTGAAAGAGATTAAAGAGCCTAAATATATGGAAAGAAATATTAAATTCATGGATTAGAAGACTTAATATTGTTAACACAATCTCTATAAAAATACCAGATGACTTTTTGCAAAAATTGATAGGCCAATATTTAAAATCACATAACAATTCAAGGACCCAGAATCCCTAAAATAATTATGTGAAAAAAGAACAAAGTTGGAGAACTCACACAACCCTATTTCAAAACTTACTTAAAATCTATAGTAACTAAGACATTGTGATACTGGCATAGGATGGAAATATATCAACAGAATAGAACTGAGAATCCAAAAAGAACCCCTTACATTTCTGGTTAACTGATTTTTGCAAAGAATGCCAAGATGATTCTATGGGAAAGAATAGCCTTTTACAATAAACAGTACTGAGACAACTGGATATTCACATGCAAAATAATGAGTTGGACCTGAACTTTATGTCATACATAAAAATTAACTCAAAATGGATCATTGACCTAATGTAAGAGCTAAAACTATAAAACTCTCTTTAAAAAATGTAAATCTTTCTGACTTTGGATGAGGCAATGGTTTCTTAGATATGACACCGAAAGATAAGCAATAAAAGCAAAAATAGATAAACTAAAGATTTTAGTGGTTTCAAAGACAGTAATAAGAAAGTGAAAAAAAAGACACACAATGGGAGAAAATTTCTTCAGTGCTATATCTAACAAAATGTAAAGGGATGCTTACAACTGAACAATAAAAAGACAAATAACTCCCTTAAAAATGGGCAATGCATTTGGATATATGTTTCTTCAAAGAAGATACAATCATAGCCCACAAGCACACACAAAAATACTCTACATTATTTATCAGGAAAAGCCAAATGGAAACCACCATGAGATACCACTTTATACTTCCTAGAATGGCCATTAATAAAGAACAAAAAAATAAAGGTAAATCAGTGTTGGCAAGGATGTGGAGGAACTGCCACTCTCGTATGGTGGTAGTGGGAATGTCAAATGGTGAGGCAGTGATGAAAAACAATCTGGCAGTTCTCAAACAGTTGAACGTAGGTTTACCACGTGACCCATAAATTCTTCTCCTAGGGGCATTGTTTATCTCCCAGATAATGAAAATATATGTCTACACAAAAACCTGTACATAAATATTCATAGGAGTTTTATATATAAGAACAATAAAAAAGGGGGAACAACTGTCCATGACTTCACCATGTATTCCGTCATCTGAATCATGGCTGCTCATTTTTCTTTGTCAGTCTTAACCCCAGCTTCCTATTCCTTTGCATTCTAAAGGTGATTTGTTTTTTTTTCCCCCAGAATATATTTTGCTACAATTGCAAGAAAGAATGGAATAGTTCATTTTTCTGCTATCTCAGGATACAAGCCAAATTTCTGCTTTACAGTAAACTCATATTTATTGTTTCAGTGAGCATTTTGTGCAGTAAATCATGATTTAGTAAGGTTAAGGACATCACTTCCACTATGGCCTGCTGTCAGTAAACACTGCCTGTCTTTAAATATTTGATGAATTGGAAATGCCTATGCTATTTGATTATCCCATATTTCACGTTTTCTAAGGTGTCTCCTATCCAATCAGCATTCCTAAGTTTTCCCCATGTTGCCTGACTTTCAAGCTCATGTCTAAAAATGTGCAGCTTTAATTTCAAAGGCCCTTCCACCTGTAACATTCTGTATCTGTAAGGACAGATCCCTGTAAGCCTGCTTTGTCTTCCTTCCATACTTGACTGCTCTTCACTCTGCTCCTCAGTTCCTTCTGACTGGGCGCCTCCTCTCTGTGTTGCCTTTCTGTCTTCAGATGTATTTAAGTGCCTCACTTGCTGTTATTGCCACTAATGAAACAGCTGCTGCTGAATATGCCCTTTAGCGTCTGAGCATGGACGTGCTCACCCAGGGTTTTTCATCACTGAGCAGTTTGGATATGTGCCAACTTGCATCTCTAATATTCTAGTTCATGGAGCCCGTGAGATAAAGCCCACAGAAATTCTACATGTTGCCTAAGTGGAGTAGTTCATTGATGAAAGGGTTTTTTTTACTTATTATTTGTAATAATAACAACAGTTTTGACAACTGATATTTTTTACTACAGTTACCAGGTGTTGAATCTTGAGCAAACTAGTTTGGATTATTTCATTTAACTCTCAGAACAACACCTGGACGCATGTCCTGTTACTTAACCATTTGATACACACCTAGCTGAGGCTTGGAGCTTCAAGAACATGACTCATGCCAGGCGTGTGCTAACTCTGTTATTGTTTCAGCGAGGAGGTCATTTTTATTTGTAATTCCAAAGCTTATCAATTTGGCTTTAAAAAGGAAATTGATAGTGCCTGAACTCCCTCTCTGAGTGTTCCTGGTGAGGCCCGGTGGTGTGGTGCTTATGGGCAGAGACTCCAGAGCCACTATCCAGTTTCAGATCCTGGCTCTGCCATTTACTGGCTCTATGACCTTGAGCAATTCAGTCAACCTCTTTGTGACATTTTTACTGAAGTACAAAATGTGGGTGTTGTTTTGTAAAGAATCTGGCTGATTTTTATCCTTGATTTCTGGGTGGGAACCAAATCCTTGGAATTTCCCATGGAATAACAGTGCCTTTGTTACTCATGAGCCCTTTGGATCGCATCTGAGTTTATCCTACCAGGTGAGATGACGCAGGGTAGGGGCCTAGTCATGCCAGAAAAACCAACAATGTGATTAAAGACCAACCATGTGATTAAAACCAGCCCAACCTCCAGGAGGAGCAGGACAGGCTCGAGATGGAGTTCAAACATGTGGCCAATGATGGCATCATTGATGCCTATGTGACGAGACACCAATAAAAACTGTGGACATTGAAGCTCCGTGGAGACTCCGAATTGGTGAGCACATCAGTGGGCTGGAGTTTGATGTACCCTGCATCCTTGGGGAGGGGGCTCAGAAGCTCTGCATTTGGGACCCTCTCAGACTTTTTCATATGTATTTGTTTGCCAGTCTTGTCTTAATTTGTATCCTTTATGATAAAGCTGTATTAGTACTTTGGTGAGTTTTGTAAGCCATTCTAGTAGTTTGTCAAACCTCAGGGGCTTGTGAGAATCTCAGAATTTGTAGCTCGTTGCTCAAAAGTTCAAGTGGCCTGGGGACCCCCAAACTTTTGGCTGGAATCTAAAATGGGGGCAGTCTTGATGAGGACTGTGCCCTTAACCTGTAGGCTCTGGTCTAACCCTTGGCGGTTAGCATAATTGTACTGCAGGACATCAGAGTTTGATGATGATAGTAATAATAACTGTATCTTAGGGTTGTTCTTCATAACTGAGTTAATATTTATAGAGCATTTAGAGCAATATCTGCCTCATTGTAAGTACTAAATAATTGCTTAAGAAATGACCAGAAAAAGATGTTCTTCACTTATCTTTGAACTGGCAGCAAAAGCATCTAAAGAAGAATGGCTTTGTAGCTGTAGGCTGAGACAAAAATAGTGGTAGGCCTTCCGCTGGGTGCTTTTAAACTGATTATAACCATATGGAGAAAATCTTATTTTCTAAGCAGCTGGAAAGAACATCTAATATCATAAAAAACCAGCTTTGGTTGGGTGAATACTCTGATGAGGTTGTGTGGGGGCTGAGTCGCCAGAGTTTCTGAGTCATCTGTGACCTGGGATAGAGAAGAAATGCCACTTTCCTAGGGATGAGAAAAGACTATGAGGAGGGGACCTAAGCAGGGCTGAGGGCCACAGGAAAAGGGACTGCTTGGAGTTGATCCCAGGGTGGCCTCAGCCAAGTGACTCTTGGGGAGGAGAAATACCCCATGGGGATTTTTGAATGAAATAATATATAAGGCAGTGTGCCCCTTTTGACCTTAATAAAAGGATAAGACTCACAATAGATTTGGGAAAGCTCTGAAAAATCACAACCTACTCATCTGACAAAGGGCTAATATCCAGAATCTACAATGAACTCAAACAAATTTACAAGAAAAAAACAAACAACCCCATCAAAAAGTGGGCAAAGGACATGAACAGACACTTCTCAAAAGAAGACATTTATGCAGCCAAAAAACACATGAAAAAATGCTCACCATCACTGGCCATCAGAGAAATGCAAATCAAAACCACAATGAGATACCATCTCACACCAGTTAGAATGGCAATCATTAAAAAGTCAGGAAACAACAGATGCTGGAGAGGATGTGGAGAAATAGGAACACTTTTACACTGCTGGTGGGACTGTAAACTAGTTCAACCATTGTGGAAGTCAGTGTGGCGATTCCTCAGGGATCTAGAACTAGAAATACCATTTGACCCAGCCATCCCATTACTGGGTATATACCCAAAGGACTATAAATCATGCTGCTATAAAGACACATGCACACGTATGTTTATTGTGGCACTATTCACAATAGCAAAGACCTGGAACCAACCCAAATGTCCAACAATGATAGACTGGATTAACAAAATGTGGCACATATACACGATGGAATACTGTGCAGCCATAAAAAAGGATGAGTTCATGTCCTTTGTAGGGACATGGATGAAATTGGAAATCATCATTCTCAGTAAACTATCGCAAGAACAGAAAACCAAACACCGCATATTCTCACTCATAGGTGGGAATTGAACAATGAGAACACATGGACACAGGAAGGGGAACATCACAGTCTGGGGACTGTTGTGGGGTGGGGGGAGGGGGGAGGGATAGTATTGGGAGATATACCTAATGCTAGATGACGAGTTAGTGGGTGCAGCGCACCAGCATGGCACATGTATACATATGTAACTAACCGGCCCATTGTGCACAGGTACCCTAAAACTTAAAGTATAATAATAAAACGTCAGATATTAATATTAATCTTTGGATCTTTATCTTATTTTATAAAAGCAGGAAAAAAAGTTCATTGTATTTTCTACAGTGAACAATTTATGTAGCTATGTTTCTAGGGGTAACATTGAGAACTGTCTATTCAGTCCATTATTTTAAGTGCCAAAATAACCAAATCACATATGCCATATCTTTACATCTGTTTCTGTTAGTAATAATATTTTTATTACAAATTCAAATTCAGCTGGACCCATTTCTCATGAACAGTGCCTTCACAGTGTCCTCACATGGTGGAAGAGGGACACAGTGATCTCGGGGCAGTTTTATAGAGGCTTTAATCCTCCTGAGAGTTCCACCCTCATGACTTAGTCACCTCGTAAAACCCCTACTTCTTAATGCTATCACTTTGAGGATTGGGTTTCAATAGATAAATGTAGGGGCCACACAACATACCAGCCACTGTCCTGGCCACTAAAACACATGCAGAAGTCTACCGGGCATAGAGTTGCCAGGTAAAATGCAAGAAATGCAGCTAAATTTGAATTTGTAATTTAAAAAATCATTTATTATTTGTAATTGTCAAAGATTTTTTATTTGCTAAATCTAGCAAGCCTTTAACAGGATAGGGCTTCAAGGAATTAAAAAGGACAGATTTCTCTGGTAAGCATCATTGTTTCTTTCCTTCTATTGCCTTCCTTCTTGGTACAGAAGTGTGTGATCTGGTAATGCCAAGTAATCTTGCAACCAAAAAATGAAAGTTACTTTCTTTTTTCCAGACAGAGTTTCGCTCTTGTTGCCCAGGCTGGAGTGCCATGGCACAATCTCAGCTCACTGCAACCTCTGCTTCCTGGGTTCAAGCGATTCTCTGGCCTCACCTTCCCAAGTAGCTGGGATTACAGGCATCCACCACCACACCCAGCTAATTTTTGTAATTTTACTAGAGACAGGGTTTTACCACCTTGGCCAGGCTGGTCTCGAACTCCTGACCTCAGGTCATCCACCCGCTTTGGCATTCCAAAGTGCTGAGATTACAGGCGTAAGCCACCATGCCCAGCTGAAAGTTACTTTCTAAGAATAACAGAGCAGGAAGCTAGAACAAATCAAAGGCCCAGAAGATCTGGAGAAGGTTACCATCCCTGGGCTGCCTATTTCTGCTTTTCTTGTTATGTGAGAAAAATCAATGTCCATTTCCTTAAGATACTATTCTTAGTTTCTGAGGTGGGCAGCCTAAAGGAATATTGGCTGGTGCTACAGCTGCTGTAACTTTGGGGTATCATGCTCTTGGGGTATCTTGCTTCTTGTGCCAAAGTTTTAGGACTCCAAAGATTTAGAAGTTGTGGAAATGATACTACTTTGACTTTCCAGTGTATTTCAATGTTCCGTATGGATTTTTTTTTTTTTTTTGAGACAGAGTCTCGCTCTATCGCCCAGGCTGGAGGGCAATGGCACAATCTTGGCTTACTGCAACCTCCGCCTCCTGGGCTCAAGAGATTCTCCTGCCTCAGCCTCTTGAGTAGCTGGGATTATAGGTGTGCACCACCGTGCCCAGCTAATTTTTGTATTTTTAGTAGAACAGGGTTTCACCATGTTGGCCAGGCTGGTCTTGAACTCCTGACCTCAGGTGATCCACCCGCCTCAGCCTCCCAAAGTGCTAGGATTACAGGCGTGAGCCACCGTGCCCAGCCCCATGTGGATTTGTATGTCCTGAATACCTCTTTTTCACAAGCAGAAGAAATTTCTCATAACTAGAGTGGCCATAGGTGCCCATTTGGTCCAGTCTGGTTTCTGCTTGTTTCCCCAGCATGATGATGAATAAAATCCTCTTTCAGTATTAAAATGTCCCAGTTGGCACCTTAAGTTCTACTTTCGCAGAATCAGAAAACTGTGGCATAAAATTTCTTGTATAGTTTCACTTCACATTAATATATTAAAGAATATTAATGCATAGTATTTAAGCAATAATAAATCATATTTGTATATAGTCTTTTAGATTACAAATGACTTTTATATCAAATAAGTCATTTGATATGTATGTGTAATTTTTTTATTTAGTAATCTATAAAACATCAAGCCTTTTTAATCAAATATTACAACTACATTGTTAAATTCTACAGAATGTGTTTACAAAATATTGATAAACCTGTCAATAAGTTCCTTAATTATTTTCACTTAGGTATTCTGAAGTCCAGTAGTGCACAAAGAGAAATGTCATAGAATACAGGGACAGAATGATACATTCAGGGAGCATTCCTAGCAAAGCTAACACTTGGAACTTTCAGAATCTTCCTTCATATATACATAAAACTACTAAATTATACTTAATTTCCAGATTTTCCCTTAAACAAGCTATTAAAAATTTTTTTGCATATATCTGTTGAGAGCTGTTAGATTAATATGTCTCAAAAACAATACAAACTCCAGTTCAGCCAATGACACATTGAAAGTTTTATTTGCTTTTTAGACACAGGTAATATTTTACCATAATGGTCTTTAAATTGTAAAAAAAAAAAACTTACAAAAATGAATTTTTGGAAGGACCAAACATACAGCAATTAATTCAAATCTCTCCAAGAGCTCTTTCATTTAATATTAATATTTGGATCTTTATCTTATTTTATAGAAGCAGAAAAAAAACAAAAATGTAATTGAATTTTCTACGGTGAAAAATTGATGTAGCTATGTTTGTAGGAGTAACGTTGAGAACTGTCTATTCAGTCAATTATTTTAAGCACCAAAATAACCAAGTCACACATGCCATATCTTTACATCTGTTTCTGTTAGTTTTTGTTGTTGTTGTCCTCATGTATCTCAATAGATTCCATTTTATTTCATCTCTATGGTTTTCTAAGATTGCTTTAGTTATAATGGGCGATAATTGTTGCCTTTGTTAGTTTCATTTTATTACATTCCTGTTTCCATTTTCAGAAATAAAATCCTATTTCCTACAGGCACATTTTCTCTGCATGAAGTTACTTTGATGTTTGTCAAAATAAGTAAGTCTGGCATAAATCCAGTAGAGTTCAGAAATTGGTTGTCTGCTGGTATATTCTCATCTATTTTTTTTCACAGTCAGAGTTAAATCTGTCTCTACTGTATTAATCTAAGCTACCCTTGGATGGTACTGATTTTCTTTTTTAAAATGTTTATGGGATCTGTCTTACCAATAGAAAATATACTCTCTCATTTCCATTTTTTCTCACCAAATAAAGTTCTATTACTAATAATTTATTTTTCATAATCAGAATAACAATTTCTTGTTGAATAAAATTTGGAAAGTGCAGAAAAACATATAGAAACATGAAAAAAATGACTCATTTGCTTCAAAGAAAAACTGCACCAGAGAAGTTATACAGGAAAGAAAGACTTTACTAAAAACTATTGCACCAAGGGAGAATGATTGAGCTCAATTCTACTGAACAAAAAGTAGGAGAGTTTCTAAGTGCTGGGGTGAGCTAGGGGGAAAGTACGTAGCACTTTAGGAGGGACTTTCATCAAGGTGATTAAGCCATGGGCATTTGCTAATTGTCCTTTATAGGCTCCTGTGCTCCACAAAAACTGGGAAATATGTGGGCTATGTTCTTCCCTGTTTAGATTTCAAAGGGATGACTCCCAGGTCATAAAGACATTCCTGGGTTGTAAAACTGGCCAGAGGCTGGGAGAAGATATACATCTCAAAGGGGCAGAGAAAAAAATTGCAGTTCAGTTTTCTAAAGACATTGCTCCAAGAAAAGGGAGTTCAGAGGACTAGAGATAGTCCAAAGTTGAGCTGAGAGAAGAAGGTTAAGGCCTTCTGGGTCACTACCCCACCTTTGTGATGAAACTGCTATTAACTTGGAATTTTTCCTTTTGCCCTTTATGTTTCCTGTTTTATTCAGTCTTGTACTCTCTCTCTCTCTCTCTCTCTCTCTCTCTCACACATATATATATGTGAATATATATATATATTCACATCCTATTTTAAAACATAATCTGATAAATGTTTTTCCAATCAATGAACATTTAATGTGTATTAAGAAAATACCAGTGATTAAAATTATTTCTTTTTTTTAACAAATAGCATTTTACTATGTGTGTCCTTAAATTCTACAAATGCATAGTAAATGAAAATTTAAATATATTGAAGTTAAATTTTCTGAATGCTATTATTAATCACAGTGATTATAGATAAAAATGTTTTATTGTTAAAGAAAGAGAGAAACCTAAACAATTGTTCTATGGAAATGTAAAATATTGTATGCCATCAGCCTAGCTGTACAATTTGCACTTTTCTTGTAGAAAATAACGCATAACTAATTAATATACTGCCTTTCAAAACAAGTATATTACTTAGAATTTTTTTTTTCTTATATGAATAAGAGAGTAATATGGTTTAGATGTGTCCCCACCCAAATCTCATCTTGAATTATAGTTCCCATAATCCCCGCATTCCCTGGGAGGGACCTGGTGGGAGGTAATTGAATCATGAGGACAGTTTCCCCCATGCTGTTCCCTTGATAGTGAACGAGTTCTCACAAGATCTGATGGTTTTATAAGCATCTGGCATTTCCCCCTGCTGGCACTCATTCTCTCTCCTGTCACCTTGTGAAGAGATTCCTCCTGCAATTATTGTAATTTTCCTGAGGCCTCTTCAGCCATGTGGAACTGCAAATCAATTAAACCTCTTTCCTTTATAAATTACCCAGTCTCAGGTACGTCCTTATAGCAGCATGAGAACAGACTAATACAGTAAATATGTACTGGGAGTGGGGTGCTGCTGTAAAGATTCCCAAAAGTGTGTAAGCAACTTTGTAACCGGGTAACAGGCAGAGGCTGGAACAGTTTGAAGGGCTGAGAAGAAGACAGGAAGATGAGGGAAAGTTTGGAACTTCTGAGAGACTTGTTGAATAGCTTTGACCAAAATGCAGATAGTGATATGGACAATGAAGTCCAGGCTGAGGTGGTCTCAGATGGAGATGAGGAACTTGTTGGGAACTGGAACAAAGGTGACACTTGCTATGCTTTAGCAAAGAAACTGGCAGCATTTTGCCACGCCCTAAAGAACTGTGAAACTTTGAACTTGAGAGAGATGATTTAGGGTATCTGGCAGAATAAATTTCTAAGCAGCAAAGCGTTCAAAAGGAAACAGAGCATAAAAGTTTGGAAAATTTGCAGCCTGATGATGCAGTAGAAAAGAAAAATCTATTTCTTGGGGAAAAATTCAAGCCTCCTGCAGAAATTTGCATAAGTAACAAGGAGCCAAGTGCTAGTCACCAAGACAATGGGGAAAATGTCTCCAGGGCATGTCAGAGACCTTCACAGCAGCCCCTCTCATCACAGGCCAGGAAGTCTGGGAGGCAAAAATGGTTTTGTGTTTTGTGAGCTGAGCCCAGGACCTCACTGCTGTGTGCTGCTGAGGGACTTGATGTCCTGCACCCCAGCAACTTCAGCCTCAGCTGCAGCTCAAAGGGGCCAAAGTATAGCTTGGGCCTTGCTTCGGAGGGTGCAAGCCCCAAGCCTTGGTGGAATACATGTGGTGTTGGGCCTGTGGGTGCTCAGAAGTCAAGAATTGGGATTTGGGAAACTTAGCCTAGACTTCAGAGGATGTATGGAAACATCTGAATTTCCAGGCAGAAGTTTGCTGCAGGAGCAGAGCCCTCATTGGAGAAGCCCTGCTAGGGCAGTGTGGAAGGGAAATGTGGGGTTGGAGCCTCCACACAGAGTCCCCACTTGGGCACTGCTTAATGGAGCTATGAGAAGTGGGCCATGTTCCTCCAGACCCCAGAATGGTAGAACCACTGAAAGCTTGCACCATGCACCTGGAAAAGCTGCAGACCCTCAATGCCAGCCCATGAAAGCAGCCGGGTGCAGGGCCATACCCAGCAAAACCACAGGGACAGAGCTACCCAAGGCCATGGGAGCCCACCTCTTGCATCAGTGTAACCTGGATGTGAGACGTGGAGTCAAAAGAGAATCGTTATGGAACGTTAAGGTTTAATGACTGCCCTGTTGTATTTTGGACTTGCATGGGGCCTGTACCCCTTTCTTTTGGCAAATTTCTCCCATTTGGAATGGGGTTATTTACCCAATGCCTGTACCCCTAGTGTATCTAGGAAGTAACTAACTTGCTTTCAAATTTACAGGCTCATAGATGGTGGGGACTTACCTTGACTCAGATGAGACTTTGGACTTGGACTTTTGCGTTAATGCTGGAATGAGTTAAGACTTTGGGGGACTGTTGAAAAGGCATGATGTTTGAAATGTGAGAACATGAGATTTGGGAGGGGCCGGGGTGAAATGATATGGTTTACCTGTGTCACCACCCAAACATCATCTTGAATTGTAGTTCCCATAATCCCCACGTGTGGTGGGAGGGATCCAGTGGGAGGTAATTGAATGATCAGGGTGGTTTCCCCCATGCTGTTCTCATGATAGTGAGTGGAGTGCTCATGAGATCTGCTGGTTTTATAAGCATCTGGCTTTTCCCCTGTTGGCACTTGTTCTTCCTCCTGCCACCCTGTGAAGAGGTGCCTTCTGCCATGATTGTAAGTTTCCTGAGGCCTCCCCAGCCATGTGGAACTGTGAGTGAATTAAACCTCTTTCCTTTATAAATACTCAGTCTCAAGTGTGTCCTTATAGCAGCATGCAAATGGACTAATACAGAGAGTCTTTGTGACTATTTATTTGCGATTATTGTTAGTGGTATATCTTATATAAGCTATGATATAATTGAGTGAGTTAGTGACTTATTTTTGAGATGCAGGTGAAAAGTTCTATGAGAGATGATTTATTAAGAATACAAAACTGTAGGGCTTGATACATACTTAGATATTACCTAGTTTAACTCTTGCATTTTGCAAAGGTGAAACTGTGACCCAGAGATTTCAAAGGGCTTAAAGGTTCAGGTGGTAGCCAACTTGAACCAACTTGAGGTAAAATCTGATTTAAATCTGATTTAAAATGATGTCTCCATAGTCTTAAGCCAATCTTTTTTCCAACTATAGCTCTCATGGAGTCTGCCAGTGATACTGCACTTAGATTTGAGATATGAAAGGAATATTTCAACTATTTTACTAAACTCAGTACTTCTTCTAAAGAAAAGTATTTATTCTAAAGAAATCTTTCTACTTGGTGATTTTTTTTGTACTTCATAAACTATCTTCTTTGTTCGTAGCTTGACCAATCTACTCTTTTATTAATCACCCTAGACTCAAAAAATTTGGTATATGCAAACCCTGTCTTTAGTTTATAAAACTCTCTGATAAAGAAGAAAAAAATATGATTGATAGATGAAGAAAAATACAGAAAATATTTTTATATGAGAGTAGATGTAGACAGTGTGGCACATGGGTAAGCACACAGGTTCTGGAGCTTAGAACTGACAGATTCAAACCTCAGCTCCAGTAGCACCTGCTGTGTGTCCAGAGCAAGTTCTTCTCCTCTGTGCCCTCAGTTTACTCATTCATAAAACAAACAGACATTATAAAATAATGAACACTTTATAATGTTGTTGTGAAAATGAAAAAAAAATTTAATACATGCAGCGTGTTTAGAACAGAAGACTATCACATGTTAAATGTCATATAATTAATATAACATTTTGCAGATAGTTCACTCAAATTATAAAAAAAATAGGGAAAGGCCATGAACGGTGGCTTACGCCTGTAATCCCAGCACTTTGGGAGGCCAAGGCAGGTGGATCACTTGAGGACAGGAGTTTGAGACCAGCCTGGCCTCAGAATTTCATAATGAAACCCTGTCTCTAGTAAAAATTAAAAAAAAAAAAAAAGCTTGGCATGGTGGTTCATGCCTGTAGTCCCAGCTATTCAGGAGGCTGAGGCAGGAGAATCACTTGAACCTGGGAGGCAGAGGTTGCAGTGAGCCAAGATCACACCACTGCACTCCAGCCTGGGTGACAGAGTGAGACTGTCTCAAAAAAAAAAAAAATATATATATATACACACACACACACACACACTATACATATACACGCACACTATATATATACACTATATATATATACACACACACACAAATGCACACACACACACACACACACCATAACAACTATTTTAAAATACGTGAAGGGGTTTTATTTCAAAGAAGCGTAGAACATATTCTTGGGAACTCTATGAATGATGAATGAAGTTACAGCAGACAGGCATTGTCCCAGTGGTGCTTGTGGAAGGAAGAAGGTCTCTTTGGAAGTAATATTTTATCATTTGATGGTATTTGTCTTAGTTCATTTTTTGTTACCTATAACAGGATACCTAAAACTGGATAATTTATAAGAAATGAAAGGTATTTCTTATGGTTCTGGAGGCTGAGAAGTCCAAGGTTGAGGGATGACATCTCATGAGTGCCTCCTTGCTGAGGGGACTCTGCAGAGTCCTGAGGTGGCACAGCATATCTCATGATGAGGGGCTCAGAGTGCTAGCTCATGCCTCTCTTCCTCTTCTTATAAAGCCATCAGTCCCACTCCCATTAATCCATTAACCCAATAATCTATTAATCCATGAATGGATTAACTTATTCATGGGGGCAAAGGCCTCATTACCTAATCGCCTCCTAAAAGTTCCACCTCTCAATACTGCCACACTGGGGACAAATATTCAAATCACAGCAGTATCAAGCAGATCTGGCTATGAAATTTTTATGAGCATTATAAGCCTTTTCTTTTCATAGTAATTTTTTTTTCAATTAATAACTATACTATTGAGAAGAACAGTCTACCTTGGTCCATGAGCATCCTTCACATTCTTGCTCAGTTTGTCAGACTGCAAGGCATATGTAGATAGCTACATAGACAACTGAGTAAATTTAAAGAATCATATCATTCACTCCCAAAAAGAGGGGACTGACTTATTTGCTCCTTGATACAATGTTTGTTGCTTGCTCAAAAGATACTTGATATCTAGCTGGCTTTCTCTCCTGTAACAGCACTTTCTCTAGTGTTGGCATCCATTAAGATCCAACTGTTTTGTGTTCTTCCTACTTCCTCCTCCTCACTACATGGAACAGAAGATAAAGGAGAACTGATATAAACATAAAGCTCTGTGTCTTCCATGAGTAATAAAGTCTTTTATCTCTCCTCCAGGGAACTCTTGTCTTCTGCAACTAACCATGGAATAGTAACAAGCTAACTTATTAGATTGTAAATAGGGTGAAATCTCAGAAGCATGACAGTTCTAGACACATAAAAACAGCAGCTGATTTATTCCCTGCTTATGGCCATAGTCATGATGCTAATCTCTTTATGTGCATTATGTTATTAATCCTTCACTATAGTCCTTTTGCAATTTGGTTTTGCAGAATGGCTACATAACTCACCCAAACTGGTAGAACCAGACATCAAACATGGTAGTTTTACTGACTTGAAAATGCATGCCCATACATCTGTACTGTACCATGCTATCTCATGTTAATATATGATCCTCTGTCCCCTCACCTACTTGCAAGTATTTTCATTGGCTAAAACACTATAAAACATCATTATCCAGAGTTCAAACTAAGGAAAACTCACCTTGCATTTCTGTAAATTTATTTCTTAATATTCCCGACTTTCCATCAGGCCTGACCTATTTGGTAGTCTCTTTTTTTATTCATGCTTTCCTAGGTTCTATGGTTCAGTTGGAAGGCAGGGCATAGAGATGGGCTGCAAAGTGGTGAGACTGTGGTGGTTACTGAAAGCAACCCTTCAATTTACTCTCTTCTTGCTATGTCAAGGTTAATATACAAAATCATTTGTGTATTTATATACTAAAATTCAATAAATGGAAATTGGAATTTTATTCTTATTTATTCATTTGTTTCATTATTTTTTGAGACCAGGTATCACTCTGTCACTCAGGCTGGAGCATACTGATGCAATCACAGTTCACTGCAGCCTCGACCTCATAGGCCCAAGTGATCCTCCCACCTCAGCCTCCTGAGTAGCTGGGACTACAGGCATGCACCACCACAGCTGGCTAACTTTTTACTTTTTGTAGAGAAGGGGCTCACTATGTTGCCCAGGCTGGTCTCAGTCTCCTAGACTTAAGCAATCCTTCTACAGTCAGCCTCGGCATTTTAAAATACATTCTTAAAACCATAAAACAGAATAAATCTAAAAATTATTTGGAAGATTTTCATTCTGAAAGCTAAAACATATTGATGAAGGAAATTGACAAAGATCAAAATAAAGGTACTTGTTTTCATGCATGACACAAGTTGAGATTGTCAGTATTTCAATCCTCACCAAACTGATTTATCAATTGAATGCAATGCTAATCAAAATCACAACAGGTATTTTTGTAAAAATTCACAAACAAATTCAAAATGTATATGAAAATGCTAAAGATCTCTAATTGCCAGATAATTTTCAAAGTGAAAACAAAGTTGGATGACTCACATGACTGGTTTCAAGGCTAAATGAGGAGATACATGAATCAAGACAGTGTAGTGTTGATTTAAGAATGAATGATTACATCAATGAATGATAATGAATGATTATATCAATGAAACACACTAGAGAGTCCCAAAGTAAACCCACACAGATATGGTCAATTGATTTTTCACAAATATGTCCCGCTAAATGAAAGTGAAAGTCATTTTTTAAAAAACAATGCTGAAACATTTGGACATCCATATGAGAAAATAATGTACTTCAACTCATATACAGCACTGTATACAAAAAGCAACTCACAATGGATCGTAGGTCAAAGTGTAAAGCTTAAAATTGTACAAATCCTAGAGTAAAACCCAGGAGAAATTTTTGGTAACATTGGGTTATGAAAGGAACTTAGATAAGTCACAGAAGCACAAACTGTAAGAGAATTTTTTTCTTTGAAACACAATTATGCAAATAAAACTACAAAGATGCTGAGTGGGAGAGAATATTTGCCAAGAGCTTATCTGATAAATGAGTTGGATACAGAATATATAAAGTCAATAATCTGAAAACAAAGAAACCAATATAAATAGTCAAAAGATTTGAGCCCACATTTTACCAAAGAAGAGAAACTTTGTATGGAACTACAAAAACTCTAAATAGCAAAAGCTATTTATTTCAGAAGGAGCAAAGTTGAAAGCATCACATCCCCTGATTTCAAACTATATTACAAAGCTATAGTAATCAAAATAGTATGATAGTGGCAATAAAACAGACACATAGACCATTGGAACAGAATGGAAAGTGCAGAAATAAACCCAAGCATATATTGTCAACTGATCTTTGACAGGACTGCCAAGACCCAATAGGGAAAAGAAAGTTACTTTAATAATTGGTACTAGGAAAACTGGATATTCACATACAAAAGAATGAAATTGGACCCTTTTCTTACACCATGTAGAAAAATTAAGTCAAAATGGATGAAAGACTTAAATATAAAAACCATAAACCTCAAAAAAAATCAAGAAGCTCCTCAACAACTTTTGTGGCAGTGAGTTTTATGGATATGACACCAGAAGAAAAAAGCACAGATGACAAAAGAAAAAATAAGTCAGTTACATCAGACTATAAGGCTTCTGCACAGCAAAGAAAACAATAAAATCAACAAAATGAAAAAGTAGCATGTTGAATGGGAGAAAATAATTGCAAACCATATACTTAGGTATATATACATATATGTGCATATGTATGTGCAAATATATATGATAAGGGGTAAATATCTAAAGTATGTAATGAACTCACACAGCTCACTGTAAAAAAAAACCTCTAAGTTTTTAATATGAGCAAAGAACCTGAACAGACATTTTTCCAAAGAAGATATACAATTTTGTCCAACAGGTATATGAAAAGGTACTCAACATCAGAGAAATTTAAATTTAAAGCACAACAAAATACCACCTCACACCTGTAAGGAAGACAATTATCAAAAAGACAAGAGATAACTAGTGTTGGTGAGGGTGTGTAGAAAAGGGACCCCTTGAACACTGTTTGTGGGGATGCAAAGTGGTATAGTTGCTACGGAAACAAGTATGGAGTTTCCTCAAAAAATTAAAAAATAGAACTACCACATGATCCAGTATTACAATTCTGGATATTTTATTCAAAAGAAATGAAATCAAGATCTCAAAGAGGTATGTACTGTCCCATGTTCATTTCAGCATTATTCACGATAGTAATAATGGAAACAATCTAAGGCCCACGAACAGATGAAAGGGTAAAGAAATTGTGGTACATATCTACAGAATATTATTCAGCTACCAAAAAATAAAAAGAAATTCTATCATTTGCAGTGGATCAACATGGAAGACATTAGGCCAAGTGAAGTAAGCCAGACACAGACCGACAAATATTACATGATCTTGCTTATGTGTGGACTCTTAAAAACCTGAAAATCACAGAAGCAGAGAGTAGAACCGTGGCTGCCAGTTATTGGAGAGTGGGAGCAAGGGAAGGTGTCAGTCACAGAGCACACACTTGGAGTCATAAGATGAGCAAATTTTGGAGATCTAGTGTGACATGTTAATTAATAGAATTGTAGTTGCCTTTACAAAATGTATATCTAATCACATTATACACCTTAAATATATTCCATTTTTATTTAATAAGTATTTTAAAATAAGAAAATGAAATTCAAATAAAAATCACAGTGTGAGAAGCCACTAACACATCTAATAATAATTGACTCCAAGGAGCACAAAGGGTCTCTTGGAGGTGATAAAGTATTCTATACATTGCTGGTTATTTTGCCTATGCAACTATGTATATCAGTCCAATCTCACTGAACTAAACAACAAAGGGTGAATTTTACTGTATGTAAACTAGACCTCAAACAAATAGAAGTTTAAAAGAGGCAAAAAAAAAATTGCACTTAGCTCTTATTAGAATCCCAGTGACTATGGTAGACTACATGAAATAATTATGTTTACATAGATTGCACTTGATTAAATACACGTGCATTTCTGCTTATAAGGTAACAATTTAGGAGGCACATTTTTAAATCTTAGTGATACAATGCAACATTTATCATTTATTTTCTATTTATTTTTAATGAACATTATAAAAATAATGGCTGTATTTTGGGAATAAAGTCAATAGAAAAATAAAAAGTTAAGTATCTTTTATTTTTTGGCTTTGTTTGAGCTGTATAGAATTAACAAAAGTTACTCTGCTTGTAATATTGCAGTCCTTAAAGATATTATTATTTTTAATTCTCATATTATTATTCCATCGCAAACTTGAAGTTTTGCCCATGATTTTGTATTTTAAATCCTAAATGAGTAATTTTTAAACTAATTATACAATTATGCCTTTATTCAGTTGTTTGCAATCCATTTTTGCATTTACATGTTAAATCTTGTCTAGTTCAGCCATGCATTTCAATCCCAGCTCTTAAGTTGTTTATTGATTCATCTATTATAGTCAGATATACATGTGTAAACATTTTCTTCTGGAGTTCAAATAAGTATATACTTTTTTCTTTTAAAATTAAAGTTGAATAAAGTTTGGAATTAATTTTTTAAAAGTTTACAGATTTCTTACTAATTTTTTTCCTGCAGTTTATAAGAAATATTTCTTATCTGAATAAAACCACCGTCATAGTCCAACTATCCTGTATTGGTAATTTTCGATTGATAAAACATTAGAAAGAGACTAATTGTAGTATTGATTTTTTTTCCTGTAGCAGTCCCCTGGTGTTACCAATTGCCAAGCAAGACAGTTTGTTGGAAAAAGACATTATGTTCAAAGATGCAACAAAAGGTCTGTGTAAGCAGCAGTCTCAGGACAGCATCCCTGAAAACCCCATGATGAGCGGTTCCACCAAACCCGAGCAGGTAATCATGCTTTCACTGTGTGTCTACCAGTACTTTTTCATATCAAGTAATGTATTATAAAATCCAACATATTTCAAAAACAAATGCGCACTAATTTGCATTCAAAGACAATTAATGCATAGATTAATATTTTGCTTGCAGTTTTCATAAACAATTAGTGCATTCTGCTGATCAACAAACATAATTGCTATTGTGCTTTACAATTTGAATTTTGGTTTTGACTTATAACCAGGAATATAAGCTCAGCCAGCGCATTAGTTCTTGAATATTTCCAGTTGAGTCATTTGTCATTATTTTGATTTTTATGTATTCTGTGTTTTCTTGGTTTATTTCAATGACCCAAATATTTATGAACAAGAAGGGCAAACCAGTCACTGAATCATTTATTCTTAAAAGTAACTGTGGTCATGCATTGCATGTGTATCTGTACGTGTCTGTGTGTTTATGTTGCGTGTGTGTGTGTGCATATGTGTACTTGTCTGGTGCCTAAGTTATGGGAGGTAATTTTGGATTTGAAGGGGGAGAGGGGAATGAGCTTGGAGTTATGGCAATTAATGTATTTTATTATGGCCACAGAAATAAATGATTTTGTATATTTCTGTTTTATAAGTGGCAGAATAACTTGCATCCTTGAAAATAGCTTTCTTCAGTGTATCTAATTTTTAATATTTTATAGATATTTTAGCCAGGTTTTCTAAAGATCTTCTTCTTAAAATTTAATTTTAACTTTATTAATTTTTGTTATTTCAAGTAACTAAAGCAGATAAACAAAACATCTGAAACACTTTTAAATTTTAGCAGGTGTATTCATCTGCTCAAGCTGCCATGACAAAACACCACAGTCTGGGTGGCTTGGACAACAGAAATGCATTTCTCACAGTCGTGGAGGCATCTGGATTCTGAGGGTCCAAGGTCAAGGTGCAGGTTGACTGAAGGTGCAGGGTGCCTTCCCACTGCTGTGTCCTTGCAGGGCGGACAGCAGGAGGCAGGGAAAATGGGAAGGAGGAAGAGGCAGGGAGGAGCAGGGAGAGGGCACTCTCTGGAGCAATCTTGTAGGCTTAGGATCCCACCCTTATGATTTCATTTAACCTAAATCACTTCCTTATAGGCTCTATCTCCAAATACAGTTGCATTAGGGATGGGGGCTTCCACATATGAGTTTGGAGAAATACAATTAGTCCACAGTTCTAGACAAATCAAAGGTTAGGTAAAATTTAAGAGAAAATATGTATATATTTTTTGAGACAGAAGATTGCTGTGTCACTCAGGCTGTAGTGCAGTGTCACAATCATGGCTCATTGCAGCCTCAACCTCACAGGCTCTAGTGATGCTTCTGCCTCAGCTTCAGAGAGCTAGGACTAGGGTGTGTGCCACCATTCTCTGCCATTTTTTTTTTTAAGAGATAGGGTCTCACTATGTTGCCCAGGTTGATCTTGAGTTCCTGGGCTCAGGTGATCCTCCCACCTTAGCCTCCCAAAGTGCTTGGATTATAGGTGTGAGCCACCACACCTGGCAAAATATTCTTAACTTTCTTAAGGATCCTATTAACTTCTGTTGACATTCCAAGTGTTTCTGAGCCATATAATTTGTGTACTTTAGTGTCTGGCATAACTTTCCATTTCTGGTTATGATTTAATACTATCCTGTATAGAGGAAAAATGACTATTAATTAACTAGTGTCTAGCACCCTCTTACTCCTCATACATTTTAACACTTATGCCCATAAATTTAGTAATTTAAAAGTTTGGTTTTTGTTTTCATTACAGATATTTAAGACTCAAATTAGTTTGCAGTGAGTGTTGAGGAAACAAATTTCTGAGTTATTTTACAACAGTTGAAACTCAAGAATGAGTTCTGTTTCCTAATTGTTTTCATGGGAAGCCACTTTGAATAAAGTCTTATGGGTGCTTTCTCTTGTTATATATAAACCCATTACTGCTCACCTTTAGCTTTTACAAAATAATATCATTATATATATATACATACATATATATACACACACATACATGTGTGTATATACATATATCCTTTGGGGGGGAATATTTTATTTTTAATAATTTGTTTATTGATTAAAATATTACATTGTAGGATTCTATTAGAATAGTTATGTGAGCAAAGAAATTGAGTGTGACTGACAATTGAACACTATTTTTAAACTTATGGAGTTATTTTCCTCATATTTTAATTTGTTATTAAGAATGGGAATATTAATGTTATTTATTACATAACCTAGAGAAATTAAAGATAACTTTAAAATGTATTTTTGTTTTTACTGGCATTGTTTTGAAGTATTTTTTCTTAATTCATTTATATAAATTGTGGGAAATCTCAGGCTAATTGATTTCCTACTGTTCAAATTAACTAACATTCAAAAACTTTTGAATGCAATTATTGATATGGCATGACTTTTAGTCAATGTGTATATGTGAAATTATTGTACATTTCTATTAATTTGCTTTCAAGCTGTATTAATTAGGTGTTTGAGTTTAGCAGTAGTAAGTACAATGATAATCATTTATTTAATTAAAGAAGAGCAAACTAGGTCAACCATTTCATCAAGGTACTGAGATTTCTCCCTCTGTGGAGTTAAAACAATTTCTGATTAGCAGATTGATTGCTTTTTAAGTGGTAATTTAATAAGACGTTTCTAAAAGACATAAAGTGTTCTTCAAATATAAGACATTCACGACATAAAAATATCAAGTGTAATCTTCACAGGATAACTTTTCTGTTTTGATGTAGACTTTTTATAATTGTATCCTAGACATAAAAAGTAATTGTAACCATGCTCTATTTATGCATTATTAGAGAGGAAGTGGCAGCTACACAGGCTTTATGCTCCTGTGTATTTATGTCCTAATATTCACCCAGTAATATGCCGCATGGTATCCATCATGTTCTCATATGTTCTTGCCCACAAGGTGCTAGCTGTATGGTTCTCTCCAGGGAAGAGCAGCGTGGTAAACTGAGTGGATTATATATTCACATTTCATAGGAAAGCTTTCCAAAACACTTTTCAAAGCCATAAAGCTCTAATTAACATTTTAGAGATAAATACATCATGTGGAAAATTTTAAAAAATTAAAATAAAAACTACTTTGCATCTCTCTTTCCAGATTTTTATAAAGTGTAGGTCTTATCAAATGGTAACTGTGTAAATGAATACTAAAGGCTTGATTTGACATTTTATTTTTTTTAATTTCCGAGAACCACTAAAATTAACATTTGTTTTTATAATATCTCTGAGAACACAGAATGTTTCTTAAATTGATTATAATGTGCAAGACTTCCTTCTCTTCCCTTTCCCTCCTGGTTTCCTTTCCCATCCCATCCCTCCCCGACCTCCTGGGTTTTTTCATTTTTTTCTTGGTTCCCTAACTTCTTATTTTCCCTCTTTCCTCTCTTTCTCCCTTCAGACATTTTTATTTAAATTAGGTTTAAGGTTGAAATTGAAGTCAAGTCTTCATTCCGTTTGGTGAAGTTATGACAGCCTGGAGTAGAGAGAGAGCGGGAAAGAGGCGTGCAGCTTTGCCGTGGTTCAGGTCTGCAGCTCTGGAGCTCTATGGAAGTCCCATAGCCTTACTGAGCCTCATGTGCAAAATGGGTACATAGGACTGGGCTTGTATGGTTGTTAGGAAGATGACAGGAGATGGATGTATTATTTGTACTATCATTATTATATAGACTGACTGTATGTGACTGACTGGAATTGCATACTCCGGTTTTGCCAGAGCAGTAGTCTTCTACTCCCTGCCCGGATCTGTTCTAAATTCATGTAGTTCCACTCAACATATCCACAGGACTTTATACTTTTCAATGTAAATGTAGATTATTTTAGAAAATAATAATGCAAAATAATGTGTTATGTTGGTTAACATTTCAAAGCTTAGAAATGCGTTCACCTGCACTATCTTAATCCTCAAAATGTCACTGTGAGCAGGTTATTTTCTGCTTTCACTACATAACTAAAACTCAAGTTTCAAACTGAATTTCAAGCTGACCAAACTTAAACTCAAGAAAGTTAAGCAGGCTGGGAGTGGTGGCTTACTCCAATGATCCCAGCACTAGAGGCCAAGGTGGGAGGATTGCTTGAGGCCAGCAGTTCAAGACCAGCCCGGCAACATAGCAAAACCCCATCTCTACAAAATATTTAAAACGTAGCAGGGTTTGGTGGCGCAGGGCCTGGTGGCACACACCGGTGGTCCCACCAACTCAAGAGACTGAGGTGGGAGGATTGCTTGAGTTCAGAAGTTGGAGGCTGCGGTGAGCTAGGACGTCATCACTGCACTCCAGCATGTACTATAAAGTGCGAGCCTGTCTTGACGAAAAAAAGTTAAGCAAATTGTCTAGAATCACAAATGTTTCTTTTATTTTGTATCCAGTGCTCTTTTGGGGGCACCACAGCAGGTTTCTAAGATCCGCTAAAACTTTCTTCCTGTAGTCCACAGAGACACAAGCACATGTGTGCACGAGCACACAGATCTGCAGCCAGGGAAAGGGAAAGGGCCTGGTAGACTTCACTATTTAAGAAACACTTGGCAGAATAACAAAAGGAGGGCAAAACTACACACGACTGTCCAGGCATGGCATGGGTGGAAGCCTTGGGAAGCGAAGTAAAGTATGTGTCACATGATCACCCTTTCCTAATCTGGTCATTCCGGTCAACACGAAGTTTTTTTCTGTTTTTTTGTTTTTGTTTTTGTTTTTGTTTTTCTGAGATGACGTCTTACTCTGTCGCCCAGACTGGAGTACAATGGTGCCATCTCAGCTCACTGCAACCTCCGCCTCCCGGGTTCAAGCGATTCTCCTGCCTGAGCCTTCCAAGTAGCTGGGATTATAGGTGCCTGCCACCACGCCCAGCTAATTTTTGTATTTTTAGTAGAGACAGGGTTTCACCACGTTAGTCAGGCTGGTCTAGAACTCCTGACCTCAGGTGATCTGCCTGCCTCTGCCTCCCAAAGTGCTGGGATTACAGGCATGAGCCACTGTGCCCATCTAACACACAGTCTTTTTTTTTTTTAATTTCCTCCTTTGTGTGTGTGTGTGTGTGTGTGTGTGTAACTTATCCATACTGGGTTATTTGCCCCTAGACTGCCTTCCTCCAAATCCTGTTGAATTTCCTCTTTTGTGTGTGTGTGTGTGTGTGTGTGTGTGTGTGTGTGTGTGTGTGTGTAACTTATCCATACTGGGTTATTTGTGCCTAGACTGCCTTCTTCCAAATCCTGTTGAATTTCCTCTTTTTTTTTTTTTAACTCATCCATACTGGGTTATTTGCCCCTAGACTGCCTTCCTCCAAATCCTGTTGAATTTCCTCTTTTTTTGTGTGTGTAACTTATCCATACTGGATTATTTGCACCTAGACTGCCTTCCTCCAAATCCTGTTGAATTTCCTCTTTTTTTTTTTTTAACTCATCCATACTGGGTTATTTGCGCCTAGACTGCCTTCCTCCAAATCCTGTTGAATTTCCTCTTTTTTTGTGTGTGTAACTTATCCATACTGGGTTATTTGTGCCTAGACTGCCTTCCTCCAAATCCTGTTGAATTTCCTCTTTTTTTGTGTGTGTAACTTATCCATACTGGGTTATTTGCGCCTAGACTGCCTTCCTCCAAATCCTGTTGAATTTCCTCTTTTTGTGTGTGTAACTTATCCATACTGGGTTATTTGCGCCTAGACTGCCTTCCTCCAAATCCTGTTGCCCTGATCCCACAGGTCAGACCATCTCTGTTGCCCCCTGGGCTTCTACTCCCTGGACATGTGCTACCAACCTCCCAGAGAGAAATCACAAACAAGCAAACGCAAGACAACATGGTAAAGCCCATGGTACTCAAAACAGCGTCCACACAATGGAGACGAGGGATCAGCAAATTCAGAATACTTTCAAAACTTAAATTAGCTTTGGATCGCAAAACATTTCTCAAGGTGTTTCCCCTGAATTCTTCCTTGTCTTCTAAATTATGCCTATCTTGTGTTTTAGATCTCTCCTTTTAGAAATATATAGAATAAAAACCATAATGGTCAATTTTGGAGAGGACAGGCAATCTTTTGTACTTATCTGGTAATTATTGTTATAATTGTTTGGTAGACATTGGTGGTGCCCACTTTTCAGCCTACAACTGCAACATAAAAACATTCACAGACATATTTTTTACTTTTCTTTCTACTTGTCAGCTGTCACAATGCTTTTGAAATCTATAAAGAATCTGCTCCTTTGATAGCCTCGCTTAAGATTGATTATCAAAGCTTCCTTTCAGGTCATTTTGGAATCTTGACGTGAGAAATGCAAGGAACTCTTCCCTTGATCTGCTCTCACACTGGCTCTGCCCCACTGTGTAACTATAAACAGGCTAGGGAGTAGTCACATTTTTAGTGTCAGCCTAGTACTTTCTCTGACCCATGTAACAGCTGTGCCACTGAAAACGAGAATCCACAGGAATACCAATGAGATGTCTGTGATAGCTGTTCCAGGCTTGCTGGAACAAATGCAGAACTTCTGTTAGTACTATTCATGTTTTTGCTAAATGTGCACACAGAAATTTGCATTGAAATTGTTAGCATCGTGACTGTAAGAAGGATCTTATTATCTTAGCATAAATCATTACTCCTGAAGAAAACACAAATCTTACTCTTGATTTTCCTCTTTTTATGATTTCTTTAGGAGTTAAAGATGTATGCTAACTTGCTGGAGAGTTTTGCCTTCTTTTTGCATTACTCAAAGTTACTGCAATCATTTATTGATTTACATCAAATTATGTACATGTATGAATATGCATATGGATTAATTTTTGTACATGCATACGTGCATGCCTACATAGTTTTGGGGGTTGTCTATATGTGTGTGTAAGTTTATGTACTTTGCAGAAATGTTGCAAAGATATTAAAAAGAAAATATATTTACATCCATCCCTAAATTGATGGTGAAAGCTCCCTTTCATGTGTCTCTCTACATAATGACTTTTGCCACAAGTGATTTCTCCTCTAGAAAATACATTCTTACCTAATTGCACATGTTTTCTAGATTCCTTTTATATCCAAAGGCAAGCATTCCAGTCTGTGATCCTGGACTGCGTAAAAATTATCCATCTCTATAAGAAAACCTTCAATCTTGTCTAAATCAATTCTAGTTAGGAAATCAAGTGCAACTTAGTTGCATACAGTTGCATATGGCAGCTCCTCTTTTTCTTAAATTAATCAAAGTCCAATCCATTCCTCCTCCTCTTTGACCTCTTCCTTGGGCCACCTTTTTCTAGAGCTTGCTAGCTGGTCTCACCACTCCCGCCTTTTCTCTGCTGTAGCTGCCAGGGTGTCATCTTAGCACCGTGAAACTGGTCTTGTGGTCCCCATGCTCAGTCCCCTCCATGACTTTCACTAATTCCTGGAATGTAGCAGCTCTTCCTCAGGGCCCAGGAAGCTTTTCCAGCTCCTTCAATATCCCCTGCTGCTGCCTCCTCCCACCTCCTCCACGCCAGGGCATGTTCTAGGGCCTCCCACACACCCATCTCCTCCCGACCTTACAGCCCTCACCATGTCCTTCCCTCTCCCAGAGACATCTCTCCCCACATCCCACAGTACTGCCTTTTAAAATTATGTCCAATTTCAGTGTCAACGTGACCTCTTCAAAGACGACTTCTCAGATAATCTAAAGTGAAATTTTTCTCTTTTCAAAGCATCCTGTTTTTCCCTTCACGTACATTTTGTACTTGTCATTTCTTATTTCTGTCCTAACTTCTCCCCCCAGCCCCCCAGTAGGGGAAGTCACAAACATCATTCCTTTTTTCCTCTTTGTGCTAAACCTCTAGCACAATGGCCAACAAAGAAGGTAAGCAAGGGAAATTTGGCCCATTATTGAATAGATGTCATCAGATGTTTCCATTATCCACTGGAATTCCGCCTGTTCCCCAGTGGTTATCATGCCAGTTTTGCTTCTGACTTATCAGCTGTGTGACCCTAGAAAAACTACATGTCCTCTCTGGGCCTTAAGTTCTTCATCCTTTAAATAAGGATGCTATAACAATGAATGCCAAAATTTTAAAAAAATGTTATTCAGCAGAAGAACCTTCCTCAGAAAGAAATACGTGAACGAGAACTCTGATTCCTAAAGCAAAGGAAAGCTGAGCATCTTTGCTGAGAACAGCGCGGACAGACCCAGGGCCCTCCACACTCACCCGCATCCCTCCCGCCAACAGCTCCAAGGGAAGCTGGTAGGAAGTTACATGGTCTCCGTGGCCCCTACATGTGTTACTAAGGGCACTAATGAGGCACACTTAGCTGCAGAGGAGGCACTGGGCCAAATTTTCCTCATATATTTAATTCCCTCAACCACTTTATGAAGTATAGACTATGTTTCATCACATAGAGAATGAAAAGCAGCTTCATGATGTTAAGGTAGAAAAATATTCAAGAACTCACAGATTGGAAGATGTACAACTGGGGTTTAAACACTGTTGTTCATACAGCTGAATACAAATAATTGATGTTTCAGAGGTAGATGAGCTCGCATTTTCTAACATTTGAAGTAGGGAAGCTCAAATTCATGTCTAAGATATTGACCTGAATTTGTGTGACCGATGAAAGCAGAATTAAAAACTGCCTGGATCAAGACCACCAGTTCCTTCGCCTAAGGGCTACGCCGAAGGCAGCATCACTTCTATGGTCGCGCCTCTCTCTGAGAGCTGTCAGTCTAGGTAGCGCTCGGTGCCTATGAGACTCCGCAAAGTGGAACTCAGTGTATAATGTGAAAAAGTTGATATCAAACAATTTCAAAATTGTTTTGACAACCCAGGAAACACTGGCATAGCTGGAACATTATGACTTCTATTTTTATCAACAAAAAGTACCAGTTTTTGGCTGCAACTCCTGAACGATTCAAGTAGATAATTCTGACAGCATCAAAGCCTTAAAGCTATGCCCCTAACCCAACATTAAATAACTAATTTTAGGAAAACTATATTATATGCTTGGTGTAGGTTAATGCTGAAAGATATTTGGAAATACGTTTCCTTTAAATGTTGCAAAGTAGTTAAAATAATGAACTCAGGGTGTTTGAGTTTGTGCATCTTGGTGGGGAAGGGTACAGGCTTGTTGTTGATATTTCTGAGATCTAGATTTTTTTTTTTTTTTTTTGAGACAGGGCCTAGCTCTGTCACCCAGGCTGGAGTGTAGTGGCACTATCATGACTCACGGCAGCCTCAAACCCAAACCCCTAGGTTTAAATAACCCAAACCCCTCAGCCTTCCAAGTAGCTGGGACTACAGTGCACATCACCATGCCCAGCTAATGGAATATTTTACAAATTAGTTTTTAATAAGCATTCATCTATTGGAATATTGTGTTTCCTGCTTATAGAAATGGTTTGAACTCCAGTGCCATAAAGCTTGCTGCCTGCCACCATTCTAACTAGAGTTCATAAAAAAAATGTTCTGACCTTTCAACATGCCCACTACTCAATTTGTGTTTCTATTATTGTGTGTGTGTGTGTGTGTGTGTGTGTGTGTGTATTTTTGTTTGTTTGTTTGCTTTTGAGACGGAGTCTTGCTCTGTTGTCCAGGCTGGAGTGCAGTGGCTGGATTTCGGCTCACTGCAACCTGTACCTCCTGGGTTCAAGCAATTCTCGTGCCTCAGCTTCCTGAGTAGCTGAGATTACAGGCATGTGCCACCATGCCCGGCTAATTTTTTTTGTATTTTTAGTAGAGGTGAGGTTTCGCCGCGTTGGTCAGGCTGGTCTCAAACTCCTGACCTCAAGTGATCCACCCACCACAGTCTCCCTGTGCTGGGATTACAGGTGTAAGCCACCACACCGGCCTGTGTTTCTATTATTAATGCATTAGGTTTAGAAAGCCTGGGGAGAAAATAAGCCCACTTTATGAACTCATGGGAAAGATTTTACTTTGCGAAATATCCACTAATATCAGAAAAAATAGTCCTAAATTTAGTTTTATTAAAGATGTTTAGTATTTTTTACACTACATAGACATGATAAGCAGAAATATTTATGTTCAAATTATTTAACAATGGCATATGCTGTTAATAATATATAATACAGATACAAATACAAAATGCAAATATAGACTACAAACATGAATACAAATGATAATTATTAAAAATTTACTAGGAGTATCAAAGAACTCACATTGATAAGAATATTCTTATTCTTTTGCTCCTCTGTGTGTGATATTAAAAAAACACTACTACCATATTACATCAAATGACTACTTTTCTGAGCATGTTCTGGGTATATAAAATTAAAATTGCCCATTTCTAATTTGAAAATAATGGATTTTCATTTAATTGAAGAATCCAAATTTATCTTTTTTATTTGAAATGTTGCAGTCTTTAAACATTCATGGCATATTAAATTGAATAGGAAAGTATTTTTTCTTTATGACAGTTATTTAATCTCATAGCTACCTTAATCTTAAAAGTAATGTAGAGCAGAATAGAAAGATCTGAAGTCTACCTTTAAAACCTGGCCTCATCCTACATGAATGCAGAATCTAAATTCCGTACACATTTCTTCCTTACCATGCCAACAATGGTAACATGAAAAGTTTTGCTTTAGCTTAGGGAACACTACGGATATATGAGGTGTTCCACTGCTTATCTTCCAGAGAACTGAGAACAGTACAGAGCTGTCTAAATTATCAGTAGGGAATAAGAAAAGTCAACATGCTGAACTCATCTTGACAGACCTAATGCCTGGGCTAACAGACAGGGTGTGTGCACCTGCACACTGGGGAGTATAGCACAAAAATTCTCATCTGAATACATTGCTCTGTGGCTTTAGAGTTTTTTTTTTTTTTCTTTTTCATTGAACCATTTCATCTCTTAATAACAGTTCCTAACTCAGGTTGTCTTCAAATGTTTGACAGGTAATTGAAAGTGGAACATCCAACTGTGAAGAAAGTTGATTGGAAAGCAATTAGAATTGATCATACTTTCGGTTCTTCCCCAGGTCAAGCTAATGCCTCCTGCCCCAAACGATGACCTGGCAACGCTCAGCGAGCTCAATGATGGCAGCCTGCTCTATGAGATTCAGAAGCGCTTTGGGAACAATCAGATCTATGTGAGTGCCCTGGAAATTGCCTTTTGCACTGTTTTTCTCTTGCTGCATATTTTTATCACCCTTCAGTGCTTCAAATGTTGCAAGTAAAGGGCTCATTGGAGCTTCTGGTAGTGGTGATAGCTGAAGTTGAATTTCTTAAGGTGAGTTTAGCTTCATTCTGGCTCAGTTATAAGGCAAATTCAGCACAGTTCCAAATTCTGGAGCTGAGTATGAACTAATACCCTGTGGACAGACACAAGTACTGCTATTAAACTTTCCTGTTGTCATGATTGCTGTGGAAGATCTTGCTAGAACCAGCAGGATCTGCACATGACTTATAAAATTGCTGTCTGTCTCCTCTACTTTTCTTGAACCTGCTAGATCAGGAACAGGAAGCGAAAGAGCATACATTGACTATGCAGGTAAGACTGCATCTCTATTTGCATAAGAAGAGAAACTGTTGTGGCTCAGAATTACCAGGAAATGTCTTTGTAAAGTAAATAATTTATACACAGATTCCTGATAGTAGAATCCGAAAATATTACTCAAATGACAGCATGGAGAATTTATTTACTGCGGTTCTATCGTTATTTGTATGTTACTTTCCCAGCACTGATAACAGTTTAGGCACCTTGTAACATCAAAATCAATCTCTTTCTCTTTCTCTTTCTTTTTCTCTTCCACTCTCTGATTTTGTTATATTCTACACAGAGCACAGAGTAATTCAATCAGAATGTCTATAAAGAAATCTGATTATGCATATACCAGCTATCCCTTTTTGATAACACTTGTTTTTTTTCTAGTCTACTGAGGAACTGATTAAGTAATTTTCATGTAAATGTGAAGTCTGAGATTTCCTTACAAGTAATAAATTGTCAAATGCTAATTAGCCTATGAAAATGCAATGTAGCATCTTAATGCTTAGAAAAATTGCCTGCCACTGTAAATACACTTAAAATTAAGTACTTCTGTTAAAATTAATGAAATCATGTCATTGGCATAAAGTGGTGAGAGCTGATTACTTTGGTCTCTGTTATCACCCTGTTACTTTTGTAAAGTGTGTATTTTTATAACATTTTTTCATCTTTTTTCCCAGTATTGTGTTGATTTTTTTTGTCTTAATTATAGAAGCCTGGAAGACCATTGCCTAATTTCTTTTGTCTTTCTTTACCCATTTGTGCCTTTAAAGTGACATTTCATCTAAATATGCATTTAATCTGGTTCTCTCCACCCCGGTGGTAAGCACCCTCATCAAAGCCATTACCTTCCCTTCTCTAACAACCTCCTAACTTTCTAGGGGAGGCTTCATCATTCTTTTTCAATCCAATCTCACAATGAACTAGAGTAAGTTTTATAAAGCACAAATGTAATCTCAAAACTCCCAGTCTTGAATCTTCTCTATGGCCCACCACTTTTCATGGAACAAAGAGCGCAACCCTTCTTCCAGAGGCTAGAATCCTCATGATATGCCCTGAACAGTCACTGAGGACTCTTCCTCACTTATATCTAAATTACCTGATTATCGCCTGCCTTCCTGCATCAAGGACTTTCCTTAGACTGTTTTTTTGTTTGTTTGTTTCTCCTAGAGTTATCTTTCTGCTCCACAAAATAGTTAGCTTTATAAACTCCCACTCAAATAATCCCACTCTTTAAGTAAACCTTCCCAGAGCTTCTAGATTACATCATCATGGACTATCTGCCTTTAGAGAATTTATCACAGTTGGTTATTCTGTAACTCATTGGTAGTTTGTTAACATCTGGTTCCTGGGCTGCTCAAAAGCCAAACACCAGAGACAAGGTTGATGGGAGGAAAAGCAGGTTTATTTGGAAAGCCAGCAAAACTGAAAAGATGGTACACTAGTGTTCTAACGTACCTTCTCCAATTTTTCAGGCTGGCCAGAGGGTGTTTATGGGAGGGACATATGCAGAAGAGGAGGGTGTTGGTATCAAATGGTGAATAAGGACTATAGACATCTGGGGACCAGGGAGGGTCTAAGGACTTGGGAACTTTGTCCTTGTCAGGCTACAACTTTCCTAGAAATCTTTGACAAAACATAGTTGTTTATGCACTTCTCCTTTAATCCCAGAGTAAAAACTACACAATTGCTATTTTTGCATTATTATCTCAGTGCTTTAAGATGATCCTAGCCCATGTGCAAGAATAGGTAAAGCAGCTTAACAAAATGGAGTTCGTTATGTGAGTTTTTCTGCTGTTTCCCTCTTAAACAGCAAATACTTCCTATGTTTTTATCAAACTCCTGCCTCTAGCTCCTCCACACAGTGGACTATCTTCTTAAATAATTTTTTTCTAGTCAGTTTCTCTCTCTTTCTTGATCACCTGAACTATTAATACTACTCTCTGCTTTCCGAATGTTCATATAACATAAATTTGCCACTGTGCGAGGCACGGGTTTCTTCTGCTCAATTCCTAAAATACAGAAAAGCTCAATCGATTAGGATCAATTTTGTAATAGGAATGCTTTACATTATGGTGTCTGAAATCCCCTCTAATGGGTAGACAAGCAATTTAAACATTATGGATTAAATGACAATATGTGCTTCCCAATGTGTTGTCTGTGGACTAGTAGATATATGAATATTTTATGACCAGTGTGTAGTGAAAATAAGTGTTTTTACAGAAACTCTTCCAGCAGTTTGTTGGTTTAATCCCTATCTGTTGGAGTTAATAAGAATCAGAGTTTGAACTTCGTATGTCTTTTAATCACATTTTTTAGTAATTCTTTTTATTATGTTTTACAAAGGTATCAGTCCATGATTAATTGGGACTAAAAACAAGTGATCCTTCCCCACAAATAGAAAATCACTAGTTTAACAGAAATCTCAAAATTCAAATACCCGAATTTGGTCATTTGAGCTCTTCCAACCTGCACGTCTCATGGCCTTTCCTCCCTGGCTCATGGCAGCCCCACTCTTGTCACTTCTTGGGCCAATGCATTTGGTGAGACTGTTGATGCTGGTTTTCCTTCCACACCCCACATCTGATTTCCCTGCAAATGTCACCGGCCCTACCTTCAAGTTATACACAGAAGGCCACCCCCACTGCTGCCTCCAGGTACATATCTTCCTACAGCAATTGCATTTTGCACTTGCATTTTATCCTGCAAATAAGTGTCTGGGCTTCTCTTGACCTCCCCTCTGTCTATTCTCAACACAAAAATTCAGAGTAACAGTGTTAGAATGCACATTGCATTATGACACTTCTCTGCTAAAAAGATGCCCAATTCACTCAGTAAAGCCAGAGTCTGAGGAAAGGCTCATAAAGCCGCAACGCTTTCCCCCTACCTTTTGAATTTCTGACGTCAGATGCTGGCACCCTACCCTGGGTGCCTCTACCCTGGCCACATTGCTGGCCTTGGTGTCTCATGAGTATGGGCAGCACTTCGGTGCAGGGCTTTGCCTGAGTAATTTGACCACCATATGCCCATTCCTCCCTCCCTTCAGGTCTTCATATCAATGTCATTGCTTCTGGAGGCCAGCCCCCAGTCTATTTGAAATCGCAAAATGCACTTCCTATCCTTCTGCCTTCATATGTTTTCCTCCACAAACTTACCACTCTCTAACATACTGTATATTTTTCTTATTTAGATTCTTATAAATACCATGTGCTGATTCTCCCTACAAACACAGACTGTCTGTCTCTCTCTTTCTATCATGCCCATACCCACTAGAATGCAAGTTCTATAAGGAAAATAATTCTTGTTTTGTTCACTGCTATGTATGACCCATAATAGGTTCCCAATAAATATTGAATAAATAAGTAGACTTCCTCAACCAAAACCCTAATTTTAGACGAGAGAAAGAAGTTAATATTTACTCATCCATACCAAATAACTGAGGGTTGAGCAATGATTTGTTTTCAGAGCCAAGATAAAATATTTTAGCTGACTTAATCATTTGACCAGGATTTTCATCTCTTTTTGCTACAGTCCGATTTTTTTTATAGTATGATCTTTCAAAACAGATTGTAAATTGCCTTTTTACTAAGTATATAACCTTCTATTTGGACGTTAGATTAGGGAGTTTCCACAGTCTGCAGTATTAGGGAGTTCTCCAACCTTCAAACAGAAAATGAAATGCGTGTGATGAGACACATGCTCGCCAGGAAATGCACAGAATACAAGCGTTGCATTCTCTGAATACTTACTGCCAGCAGCCCCAGAGAGAACAGAATATGCAGTCAAATTCCTTTATGGACAGCAAAGAAGTTTGCTGGAAGTATTTATTTTACAAGCACATTAGTGGGACTTGAGACTCATAAAAAAAACCCCACAAAGTAAACACAAGACCTCCTGTAACATCTGGTTAGCCAAGAGAATTCTGAAACAAATATATTGTAATTGGATAAAAGCAAACCAGAGCAATAAAGCATCGCATGACAGCTCCTAGTACACAGCCTCACTCATTTCAGCCACTTAACATGCCACTCCGGGTGACCCAGGTTAATGTAGCAGAGCCTCTTTTTTTTTTTAACTTTTATTTTAGGTTTGGGTTGTAAAGGTTTGTTATACAGGTAAACACGTGTCATAGAGGTTTGTTGTACAGATTATTTTATAACCCAGGTATTAAGTCCAGTACCCAATAGTTATATTTTCTGCTCCTCTCCCCCATTCCAGCCTCCTTGGCCAAGTAGGCCCTGGTGACTACCGTTTCCTTCTTTGCATTCATAAGTTCCTATCATTTACCTCCCATTTATAAGGAGAACATGAGTTTGGTTTTCTGTTCCTGTGTTAGTTTGCTAAGGATAATAGCCTCCAGCTCCATCCATGTTTCCATAAAAGACATGATCTTGTTCTTTTTTATGGCTGCATAGTCCTCTATGATGCACATGTACCATTCTTTCTTTATCCAATCTGTCATTTATGGGCATTGAAATTGATTCTATGTCTTTGCTATTGTGAATAGTGCTGCCATGAACATTCGTGTGCATGTATGTTTATGGTAGAGTGATTTATAATTCTTTGGGTATATACCCGGTAATGGGATTGCTGGGTTGAATAGTAATTCTGCTTTTAGCTCTTTGAGGTATCACAGTACTGCTTTCCAGAATGTTTGAACTAATTTACACTCCCAACAACAGTGTACTGCTGCACATCTGTGACCATCTGTTCTTGGACAGAGCTGATAAAAACAAGCAATGAGGAAAAGATTCCCTCTTCAATAAATGGTGCTGGGACAACCGGCTAACCATAAGCAGAAGAGTGAAGCTAGACCCCTTCCTTGCCCCATATACAAAAATTAACTCAAGATGGATTGAAGACATAAATGTAAAACCCAAAACTATAAAAACCCAGGAAGACAACCTAGGCAGTACCATTCTGGACATCTTTCTTAATCAACAGATTTCTAAATTCACTCACAATCTGCTTTCTAGCTCAATTTTTCTTCTCTGGAATTTAACAGGAGTTTTCAGATACTACATTAGTAAGGTCCTTGCAGATGTATTATTTCACTTTTATTTATTTTCTTATTTACTTGGGTATAGAATACTGAGCAATCATTTTTTCCCATAAATGTTGTATTAAATAACGACAAACAAACAAGGTAATATACAACTCATTAATATATGGCTTAATGAACTTTTACTTCATGAACACACCCACGTAACCTGCAGCTTCATAATGTAATAGAAGAGAGAAGTCCTCTCCCAATCCACACTTAGTCATTACAAAATATTCTGACATTTACAGCTATAGATTGGTTTTGTCTGTGTTTTTTAACTTTATATAAATGCAATCTGTTTTGTAGTATTCCTCTCATTATTATGTTTCTAATATTCAGCTATACTGTTGCTTGTAAAAGCATTTACTAATTTTTGTTTATGTACAATAAACTACTATATGAGTATATTCTAATTTATCCACTCTATACTTGAGGAAACTTTGAGTTGTTTCCACTTTTTTAGTAATTACGAATAATATAAACAGTTTTGCACCTTTTTATTTTTTGGCCCACATAAGTACTTCTATGGGGTCTTTACCTAGGAGTGGAATGCCAGCATCATAAAATATGTTCAGCTTTGGTAGATACAACCCAATTGCTTTTGACATAAATGGTGTTTTTGTTTCACTAAGAGTTTTTCAAATTCCAGCTATTCTGGCAGTTGTAGAGTGGTAGCTTATTGTGTTTCTAATTTCTATTTCTCTGATTTAACAAATGAAAATATTAATATGTGTTTGTTGTTCATTTGATTATCTTCTTTTGTGAACTGCCTGTTCAGTTATAGTGCCATTAAAATTGGGTTTTCTTTCTTCTTCTTGATATATAGGAGTTTTTATGTATTCACGATATTCTTTTTGTTGTGAAACATACATATTGCATTTTCTTCCAGTTTATGGCTTGTATTGTACTCTTCAAATAGCGTATTTAAAAGAAGCAAAGTGTACAATTTTACAGATTCTTTAGGGTTCATACTTTTTGTGACCTGTTTAAGAAAGCTTGGCATTAGTTATGAAAATGTTTTCCTACATTTTCTTTATAACATTTTATTATTTTAGCATTTACAGTTAAGATATTTTGGTGCTGATCATAATCCTGAAAGACACAATCCCCAATGCCATAATTTAGAATGTTGAAATCTCAAAAGATCGAAATCCTCAAAAATCAAAATCCCCAAAGTCTGAAATGCCAAACATCTATAATCCTGCAAATCACAATCCTGAAAGAATAAAATTCTGAATGTTAAAATCCTGAAAGCTGAATTCTAGGGAAAGGATTATTGTGGTTTTGGTTGTATGCAGAAGAGTTGCATCATGATTTTGACTTGCAGGATTTTGGACTTTAGGTATTTCACTCTCTTGGGATTTCAGCATCCAGGATTATGTTGTTTAGGGTGGTGTCTTTTGGGATTATGGCCCAAACCCAAGGCTACCATATTACCCATGTGGAAAAGATTTCACAATTGTGAAGGAGGAGGATCCAGATTAAAACTGTTCCCACATGTGTCTCCCTGCTGCATGATCACAGCACCTTTGTCCTAAACAGGTGACCCCAGGGAGTGGGTGCATTTCTAGGATCTGTTTTCTTTTGTATTGGTCCGTGTGTTCCTAAACAAATCACCAAATATCTTGATCATTACAGCTATATAGTCAATCCTGACAAATAGAAAGTCCCCTAAGTTTGTTCTTAAACATGTGTTAGCTAATCATGACCTTTGGTTCATGTATACTTTAAAGTTAATTTAACAATTTCAATTGGATTTGTATTGGTATTGCATTGAATATATAGATTAAGTGGAAATAATTGAGAGTTTTACAATATTTGATTTTTCATTTCACAAAATGTTATAGCCCTTTTATTGGCCATCTTTAATTTCTCTGGAGCAATTTTGATTTTTTGGTATAGAAGTCTTTCCCATATTATTAAATTTGCTTATTGGCGTTCTTCATATTTTGAGGACATAATAAATGTTTGCTTGTTTGTTTTATGGAAAATAAGAAGAAAAAATTATTTTCTAATTGTTCACGGGTAATATATAGAGAATACAATTTTGATTTTTTCATATTCATTTTTTATCCATCAAACTTGCTAAAGTTATATGTCAGTATTAATTTACATAAACAGTCCATTGGTTTTCTGCATCAATGCCATATAGTCTGCAAATGATGACTTTTATTTCTTTTTTTGAAAAAGTCATACCTTTTTTTCTTGCATTACTTCATGAGATAGAACTTCACTAAAAAGACTGGAAGTGTCGATAATAAGTGCCCTATCCATTGCCAATCCCAGAAAAAAGCTTTGAGTGTTTCATCATGAAGAAATTTGTGGTAGCTATGCCATAGGTATCATTACTTTTCATTAGATTAAGGAAGTCCCATTATATTCATGATTTTCAAAGTTATTTTTTAATCAATAATGAGCATTGGATATTATTAAATGCTTTATCTCTGTTTATGCAGATGATCATATGTCTTTTTAAGTTTTTTAAAATATTATTAGTTACAATTATTGATCTTCAATTAGAAACCAACCTTGCATTTCTAGAATAAAGCTATTTGAGGTGTATTATCATTATTACTAAATTGCTGGATTCAATTTGTTAATATTTTGCTTAGGATTTTTACATGTATTTTAATGAGAGAGTTCAGCCTGTAATTTTCCTTTATTGCAATATTCCTATTAGAGTCTAATGTCAATTTTGTGTGTTGTTCTTAAAATGGGAAGTGTTCCTTTTTCTGTTATCTTCTGAAATAATCTGTAGAATGTTTGTTTATTTTGTACATCAATGTTGGGAAGAATTCACCAGTGAAGCCTAAGTTTTCTTTGTGGAAAACTATTTTAGACATAGATTCAGCTCACTTTATAGGGAAATAACTAATTAGAATTTCTGTTTCTTATTGTGTTAGCTTTGGTATGATGTATTTTCCTAGGATTGTTGTCTACTTGACCTTAATTTCTAAATTTAGTGGCTACACTATGGTTCATAATACCATCTTCATCTGTTTTTACATCCATACAATCTGTCTTGATGTCATATTACTGATTGCTATTGGTAGTTGGTGCATTTCCTCTTGTTTTCTGAATGAGTTTTGCTGGGGTAAATTGTACATTTTTCAAAGGATCACCTTTTGGCTTTTTTCACCCTATTCCATTGATTTCTGCTTTGATATTATTTCATTCATTTTACTCATTTATTTCTTTATAATTGATGTAATTTTTTAAACTCCTTGAAGTTGATACTTAGATCATTAATTATCACTCCTTTTTTCCTTTTCTAACAAGTATTCTAGGCTATAATTTTTATCTTAAGTAGACCTTTAGTTGCATCCCACAAGTTATGATATAATAGAAATAGTCTTATTTGCATTTTAATTCCTTTTTAACTCATTAGTTATTTGCAGATATATTGTAAAATTTCAAAATGTTTGGTGATTTTCTAGGTACCTACTAGTGACTTCAGTATCTTTTTAATTAAAATAACCTATTTTAAAATTGTATATTTTTAAGGGATACAACATGAGTTTTGTTTGGATTTTTGTTTTTGTTTTTGTGTTTTTGAGACAGGATCTCACTCTTTCACCCAGGCTGGAATACATTGGTGAGATATCAGCTTACTGCAGCCTCAACCTTCCAGGATCAAGTGATCCTCCTGCCTCAGCTTCCTGAGTAGCTGGGATGACAGGCATGCACCACCATGCCCAGATAATTAAAAAAAAAAATTGTAGAGATAGCATCTCACCATGTTACCCAGGCTAATCTTGAACTCCAGGGCTCAAACAATCCTCCTATCCTCCTGCCTCATCCTCCCAAAGTGCTGGGATTATAGGCCTGAGCCACTGCACCTGCCCATGATGCCTTGATGTACATACACTTAGTGAAATGAGTTCTACAGTGCAGCACATTAACATATCCATCACCTCACATAGTTATCTTTTTCTTTTGTAGTAAGAGCACCAAAACTCTACTCTCTTAGCTAATTTTTAACACCAGTATAATATTCTTTTTTTTAAAAAAAGGGAAAGCATTTATTCGGATTTAGTTTTCTGGTGGGTGACATTAAGGCCCTTCACACAGAGTTCAGAAGACAATATTCTATCCTAATTCTACCGTAATAGAACATACTCTGTGTGACTCAAATCTTTTAAGTTTAATGAAACAAGCCAGTGTTCAACTTGTCAGTAACAGTGTTTTATATAAATAAATTGATCAATGTGGTAATTACTACTTTAAAATTTTGTCTGCTTGTTCCATGAATTACTAAGAAAAATGGTTAAAATGTTCCACTATAATTGTGAACTCATATTTTTCTCCTTATATGTTATTTCTTTATATATGTGATGCTAGATTTTAGTCTTCTAGAAATTTAGAAATGTTGTTTCTTCCTGATTGATTTATCATTTTACTCTGAAATGTTTCTTTTTATTTCTGGTACTGCTTCCAAAAGCACATTTTCTATAAATTAATTATTTCCATAGTCACCTTCTTTGCTGTTATTATTGTTTGCATGCATACCTTGCTTCATCCTTTTCCCTTTTTTTTTAGTCTATATGTTTAGGATGTTTCTCTTTAAAGTAGTCATCTTTCATATTTTAATACAATTTATAATCTTTGTATTTTAATTGGAGTATTTGGTACCTTTACAACTGATGTTGTTGCTGGTGTTTGGGTTTAAATCTATCATTTTATTATTTTTATTTGTTCCATCTGTACTTTGTGCCTTTGTATCTCATTGTCACTTTTTAATTGAAACAAAGTATTTTATTTGATTATTGTGCTTTACTAACTTCTCACTTATGCAGTTTATTATTCTGTAGCAGAATAACAGAATTTGTTACTCCATTGACTTTTTCGTAGGCATTTTGTCATATGTTTTAAGTCTATATTTTTTCATTGTTTCATTCTCACAGAATCTTTTAAGAAAAGAAATTCTTAGAATTTAACTATTTCATTTCTCTTATGTTCAGTGAAATAAAGCCTGTTTTATTTAATTTGAATTATTTAATTCATTTAATATTTTAAATTCCAAACTTTAAAAAAATTGCAAAATATTAAAAAATAGCAAAATACTAAAGTAGATTTTTTCTTATTATTTATATTTCATACACTGGTTTTTAAATTGTATGATTTTTATTGTTTAAAGATGCTATTTATATGACTCATGAACTGTTTGCATCCCTTTTTTCACAGACATTCATTGGAGACATTCTTTTGCTTGTTAACCCATACAAGGAGCTTCCAATTTATTCTTCCATGGTGAGCACAAAATTTTAAATATCATTGAATAATGTAGAGTAATACTTTCTAGTCATACATGTTTGTATCAAATGACTAAAAAAAACAGGCAAACTTCTAAAAAACATTTTTAAATTCTGAATTGAATGATTGTGTAGCAGTGACTTTAATTCATTTTGAGCAACCTTGAAAATCGAAGTTATTTTATCAAAATGTTTCTTTGCACTTAAAATGTGTAATTTGTTTATGACTATAGCCATTAGACAGACTTCTAAAATTAAATAATATGTAAGTATATTTTCCATACATTTTTCACTAACTCAAGATCATTTGGCTTAGAGCCCTTATTTGGACACGTGACTTATTTCTGAAGAGTTCTATAATGTTAAAGCAATGGGAATAAAAAAGGGTAATATTGCATGTTTACGTTTTCCCAAATGACTTGCCAAGTGTAATTATGAGGCCCTAAAAATTAAAAGAGAAATTACTTGTAGAAAATTATTCCAGTCAATTGAAAATGCAGTATGATTTTTGAGTAGAAATGGGTCAAAAATACTATATCATAGGAGCTATTTTTTGTGTAACAACAAGGCTGGTTCCGCTAATACAGAACAGGAGGCTGCCTGAAACCAGGAGGCAGGGAGTGGGTATATGTTCCTGAAGCCGGGGCTCACTCATAAGATGTGGCGGGCAGGGAGGAGGACAGAGAGAGGAGAGAAAAAAAGAGAAATTCCTCCAACTTCCTAGGAAATCAAATATGTATTTTCACAGAAATAGTTCATGAGAACAAGAGAGCATCCACCACCCCACCCTCCACCCATCTTATCAAAAGTCAATTCTGGCTGGACTCGGTGGTTCATGCCTGTAATTCTAGCACTTTGGAGGACCAAGGCTGGTGGATCACTTGAGGCCAGGAGTTTGAGACCATCCTGGGCAACATAATGAGAGACCCATCTCTGCAAAAAACAAAACAAAACAAAACAAAACAAAAACAATTAGCCAGCTGTGGTGGTGTGTGCCTGTGGTTACAGCTACTCAGGAGGCTGAGGCAGGAGGATCACTTGGGCCCAAGAAGTTGAAGCTACAGGGAGCTGTGATTGTATTACTGCACTCCAGCCTGGGAGACAGATTGAGATCCCGTCTCTAAATAGAATAAAGTAAAATTAAATTAAATTAAAAAGTCAGTGCCATGGTTACTTTAAAGCTGTGTTGAAACCTGCCTACCCTCCTCATTCCTCCCAATCCTATGCCAACCTCACCCTGTGCAATCTAAGGGTGTGTGTGAGCATGAGACGCTAGGGCAAGGGAATCACCCATGATCATTTCAGGAGTTTCATCCAAGGACTGAAATTAATCTGACATGTGGTTATTAAATGGTTTTGAGAAAAAGCTCAGTTCTGTATCTTTCACTTTGTGAGTCCTAATTAATATTTCTGTGAATATGTGTATTGACGTATAATATAAATATTGCATAGCATACAAATATTAAATCTTCTGTTCAACTAATTTATAAAAGTCATGACACTCTAAAAACCATCATGCAGATGAAGAAATAGAGCATTAGCAGGATCATAGATGTCTCCCATGCCCTGTGTCAAACGTGACATACCTCCCCAAAAGACAGTACAATTCCAACTACTCTCGCCCTCCGCTTTGCATGGTTGAACTTTATATGGGTGAAATCTTGCAGACTATCTTTCTCTGTACCTGGCTGCTTCCTTTCAATATTAGGGAAGGTAGATTCACCCATGTTTTTGTGTGTAGCAATACAATAAGTACAATAGGTTATTGTATTTTGTATGGCTGTATAAAATTTCCTTTTGTGGATATATGGCAGTTTAATTAACTATTGACAGAGATTTTGTCTTTTGAAGCAAGAATATTACTGCTATGAACATCCTCACAATTTTTTTTTGATAACATATGTATTTCTTTTGTTGGAAAGAGTGGAATTGGTACATCAAAGTGTATACATACAATCAGTTTTGATAAATATCGACAATTTTCTGCGTGGTTGTACTAAGGTATATCTACAACTTAATACAGAAATTCTAGTTGCTTCTCTTCCTTGGTCATATTTCATTTGTTTACTTATCATTCTACTGGGTATATATAGTGGAATCTTATTGCTCTAATTTGTGTTTCTCTGACAGACAATGAGATTAACCACATTTTCACATAATTACTGTACAGTTATATCCTGTTTCGTGATGCGTGTATTTCAGGATTTTATCCTGCTTAAAAATTAAAAACTTTAAAATTGGTTCATCTACCTTTTTTATTGACTTGAAAGATCTTTAAGCATTCTGGATTCTCAATGCATATTGAAAACATCTTGCAAGAAGTAGGGGTCAAGATTCATTTTTAAAAAATGTATATTAACCTGAAACCGTACTGTTTATTAAAAAGACCATCTTTCAGCTGGGCTCGGTGGCTCACGCCTGTAATCTCAGCACTTTGAGAAGCCAAGGCAGGTGGATCATGAGGTCAGGAGTTCAAGACCAGCCTGGCCAAGAAGATGAAACCCCATCTCTACTAAAAATACAAAAATTAGCCGAGCATGGTGGCAGGTGACGTAAACCCAGCTACTTGGGAGGCTGAGGCAGGAGAATCGCTTGAACCCGGGTGGCAGAGGTTGCAGTGAGCCGAGATCGTGCCACTGCACTCCAGGCTGGGCAACAGAGTGAGACTCTGTCAAAAAAAAAAAAAAAATCCTTTCTCTGGGACATTATGTTGGCACTTTTGCATAAAACTAGTAACTATACATAAATGGATATAGAATTTCCATTCAGTTTGATTGGTCTGTTAAAATACATTTTTATGCCTCGTACTCTTAAGTCATCCACCTTTGGTCTTCAAATTTGCCCTAGCAATTAATTACTGGCCTTTTCCTTTAAGGTTTAGAATCAGCTTGTCAATTTTGGGGCGCTGAGGGGACTCCCCCTAGGATTTTGAATTTGATTGCATTATATTTACAGTTCAATTTAGAAACAGACAAAAAATGTTAGTAGTACTGAGTCTTTTAACTATATTCATTTATTAAGGTCTTTAAAATGTGAAATTCCTCTCAGTGTATCATCCCGTGTGCTCTTCTGGAGGATATATTGCATAGTGTTCATTAAATGTTTTTAAATGCTGTTATAAATAATCATTTAAAAATGTTATTTTCCACTGGTGTGTTCTCCATGTATGTATAAAAACAGTTTAAAAAATCTTACCTTGGCCGGGCGCGGTGGCTCACTCCTGTAATCCCAGCACTTTGGGAGGCCGAGGCGGGCGAATCACGAGGTCAGGAGATCGAGACCATCCTGGCTAACACGATGAAACCCCGTCTCTACTAAAAATACAAAAAAAAAAAAGTTAGCCGGGCGTCGTGGCGGGCGTCTGTAGTCCCAGCTACTCGGGAGGCTGAGGCAGCAGAATGGCGTGAACCCGGGAGGCGGAGGTTGCAGTGAGCCGAGATCGTGCCACTGCACTCCAGCCTGGGCGACAGAGCGAGACTCCGTTTCTAAAAAAAAAAAAAAAAAAAAAAAAAAAAAGAAACCACACATAAAAAATCTTACCTTAAACTAGCAAGTTTGTAAAATTTATTAGCTATAAAATTATCTAGTGTGTTTTAAAAATACTCTGTGTACACAATCTTATTGCCTGAAACAATAATAATTTTCTTTCTTTCTTTAAAATCCTATTATTAATCTGTTCTTATGTTATTGGATTGGATCACCAGAATAATGTCAGATACTATTAATAATTTCATTTAAAAATATATATATATTTCTTATCTCAGGAGAAATCTTTAGTAATTAAACCTTAAGAATAAAAATCATTATAAATTTTACATAGATACCAGTTATCAGATTAAGGAAATTTCATTTTATTGCTGTTTTAAGAAGTCTTTTTCATAGAAAACGTATTGAATTTTATCAAATGTAAGTATTTTTTCTGTACCAATTGTTGATATGAATATTTTTCTCCTTTATTTTGTTTGTGAATTATAATTCCTGATTTTGAAATATTAAACCTACCTTACATTTTGATGTTTTATCCTTTTCTTTATATTACTGACGTCTATTAAATAATATTTTGCTGAGGGCATCTATGTTCATGAAAAAGATAAGCCTCCAATTTTTCTTTTTTTTATTAAAAAAATCTTCTATGTCAAAATTATGCTAGTTTCATAAAGAGAATTGGAAGGTGTACTCTGTTTTCTAGTCTCTGAAAGAGTTTGTAAATTTGGTGGTGTTTCTCTCTTAAATGTTTGGAAGAATTCACAACTGAAACCATTAAGGCCTGGTATTTTCTTTGCAAGAAGGTTTTAGTTCTGGATTTAATTTCTTTGACATACATAGGACAGTTCATATTCTTTCTGTGCTAGTTTTTAATGATTGCATTTTTAAAAAATTATGTTATATTTAATCTTCAAAAGTTTTTGGCATAGAATTATTCATAGTTCTATTTATCTTTTTAAAATTTGTAGAATTTTGAGTGCCTTCTTTTTATTCCATATGTTGGTAATTTGTGACTTTTCTGAGTTTTTAAAATTTCCTTCTTTCTAATTTATTTGGGTATAATTTGATTATTGTTTATGTTGTATAGATATATCCTTGATTTCCTGCCTTTCCTAAAATAAGTATTTGGGGGTTTTAAATTTTACTTTAAATGTAGCTTTACTGAATTCTACATGTTTGCTATTTTATAAATTCATTATCAATTAGTTTAAGGTATTATCTGTTTCTATTTGTGATTTCTTTCTATAAAAAATATATATGTATATATGTAGAAAGTCTGTAGAAATATAAACCGAATTAATCTTCGTTTTCTACTTTTGTTTCTCTTTGACCACAGTCTGGATAATTGCTTGGCCATATTTTAAATTCTCTTTTCTGCTGTTTTGAATCTGCTGATAAAATCATTCCTTAAAATGCAGATGTCTGTTATATGATTTTTTTCAATGCTAACATTTTTATTTTAAACTCTTAGGGTTTCCAGTTTTCTGGTGAAATTCTTCGTCTTCATCATGCCACTTATTTTCTTGAACATGTCATTTTTAATCCTGTGTCTTATGACTCTAATATTGAGGTCTGTTTCTACTATGTGACTTTGTGTGTGTGTGTGTGTGTGTGTGTGTGTGTGTGTGTGTGTCTGTGTGTTGGTTTTACATATATGGATATATTTACTGACATCCACGGAGATTTTTGATGGAGTATTGAACTTTCCATATAAAAAAACCATAGGGCCCAGGAAGACATTATCTTCCTTCCAAGAAGATTTGACTTTTCCTCCTAGCAGGCACATAAGTTGTAGACAAACCGCCTTGACCTTGTGAAGTCTCGTTTAATTTTTTTATTTGCTCCCTTCAAAAAGTTGAGCCCCCTTACGGGTCTCAGGTGGAAAGTTGGGCTGATATTCATTTGGCTTTCCTCTGTTTCTGAACCCTGAACTTGGATTTTTGTCTCCCCAGTACTGTGTGAGGCTGCTCAAATCTCTGCTGAGTGTGAGACACTTAGGGTGACTTTCTGTGATGCTGCTGAGAGACACTCAGCACAGCGGCACTGTGTGCTGGGAGGAGGGGATGGAAAAGATCCCGTGTGGCCCGGTGCATCCTGATTTTCTTCAAGATCTTAGCTCCCTAAGACATTGCTGCTTTGGTGATTTTACTATCCCTGCCATTAGATGCTTGATTTGTATTTTATCCAGTCTTTGTAATTGTTCATGGTTAGGAGAATTTGACTGATACTAGCTGCTTCATTACAGCTATAGGGTAAAGGAGACTACATCTGTTTTTATTGCATTGGTGTCAGAAGATTATTTGCCCTCAGATACCTAGATTAGTTTGGCATTTCATGCCTCTAATTTTTTAATTCTGTATGCACCAAGGGGTGGGAGGGGAAAGAGAGAGAGAAACGCACCCAATTTAAAGTTACTATTGATAATATTATTTCTGGCTTATGTTTATGGTAACAGTTGATTGTAGAGTTAACAAGAATTAACAGTGAGACAAAAGTCAGCTTTGAATAATTGAATGAAACGTTAAAAAATGACTCTTATTTGGATGCTTCTATGGATCTAGAGGTAAAGTTTTGAGTATTAGCCAAACTTTAACATAATATTTTTTATAGTATGACACAGTTTGTCATACTATATTGTATCTTGTGATGGGAAAAAAACTGTTAACTTGTGGTATGTTTGTTTTTAAAGTACTGACACTATAGTAGTATTAGGGCTTCAGATAATACGTTGTATTTGCAGTTTTTTCAGAAATACACATTCATAGAGAAAAGGAGAAACACATTAAGAGACATATTTGTTTATTAATGTAAGAATAAGATACAATACATTGAGATCATTACCAGAATAGTTTATTAAAACTGAAAATGGCTAATGCAACTTATAATTTATGTAATTATATAAATAAAATCTATATATGTTTCAATATATATGAATTAAGTATTTAATATATAAGTATTATGATTTTATAAAATGAATTTGCATATGTATATATACACACACACACCACCTTTTATATTCATCATTTCTAAATGTCATAAAATAAAAATGGAAAATAAATACAAAAAATATATCAGGTAAAAGATGCACTGATATAAAGCTTACAATAAAATTACCTGCTTTTTATAGGTCATGAGAAAAGGTGAAAGTGTCTAGTCCTTCTGGACTTGACATCCATTATGTAGAATCAAATAGTTTGTGCTCTCCTTGCCTACAGGTAACAACCCATAAAATTGTAGATATTAGGTTGCTGCAAGGACATACATTTTACATTGAATTAGTGGTTATTCCCTGTAGCAATATTAGTGCCTAGTAAATAATATCAAGTAGTCACCTATCAGATATTCATTAAAACGATCTTGTTGTCCTCAGGCCACACAACAAAAATTTATTTCTTTTTGTTTCTAGTTATTATCATTGTATTATGTCTGTTGTTTTAAATGACAAATTTTGTTCAAATATTTGGGTTTCTTCCCATGTCAATTACTTTACAAGAAAAAAATAAAACATTAAATATGATTATATCTGTAAAGATTATAAAGACGAGGAGAATGACTTCTCCATTTCATATTTAAAAAGAAATTCACATATAACATCTGCATTTTAGTTTTATTTCATTATCATTAACTCTGTTATATTAAGCCTTTGCATAACATTCATTTTTATTTCTAGCAAGTTATTAATCATGGACGGAGAACACTCTTGAGGCAAACTTCATTTCGAGACTGATGTCTACACAAGGCGGCAGGCAGCCCTCCCAGTTAGATTGCTTGCTGCCACAGCAGTGCTGATCTGACACTAACAACCACCACTGCCGAGATGCGGGTCACAGCGGGCGAGTCAGCAGGCCGTTCCACCAACCGGGACAGGGTCCATGCCAACCACCAGGACAGGGTCCAGGCCAACCAACCAGGACAGGGTCCATGCCAACCAACCAGGACAGGGTCCATGCCAACCAACAGGACAGGGTCCATGCCAACCAACCAGGACAGGGCCCATGCCAACCACCAGGACAGGGTCCATCCCAACCAACCAGGACAGGGTCCATGCCAACCAACCAGGACAGGGTCCATGCCAACCAACCAGGACAGGGTCCATGATTGTGCTGCCTATTTATGTTGGAGACACGTAATATCATTCATTTTAAACATGTTACATGTAGGGGAGAAAGAGAAAATAGAAAGCCAGATGTTCCTGCATGGGCTTTACAAAAAAGCAACCTTAAAATCAGAAACAAAAATGCATCATCAAGCCAACAAACATCTGTTGACTCTATAAGGAAATACATTGCCTTAGGTACTTACAGTGTCCTCATCCTTGAGCACTGTGTAGACATGCTAGAGACAAAACACAAATAACAATGAAAAAATCACATACTTCACTTCTAGCTGAGAACAACAATTAAATAGCTGTATTGAGGGTGTGTAACCCTAATTGGCAAGTCAAGAGGTTAGAAGGGAGTAAATCCTATCAGGTTTTTTTTTAAAAAGCATCACAATAAAAAAAGAAATGTGATCGGGGCAAATCTTAAAAAATTAGTAAGATTCTGATGAGCAGAAGAATGGACTAGAGCCACATTATGGGGTTTAAAAAATATATAGGACTATTTAGAGAAATACGCCATGCAATTTGATATGAGCAAGAAGTTAAAAAAATTATAATATTTGAAATTCTAGGAAATGAAAACAGCTGCCATTGTTTAGTGCTTATTACATGGCAGAACTGCCTCAAATGGCTTTACATTTATTGTCACATCTCAAAAGGCAAGCAAATCAGTATAAGAATTGTTATTTCTATTCTGCAGTTGAATAAGCTGAGACTTGAGGTTAAACAGATTTTCTAAAGTCTTCCCATGAGTGGCAGAGCTAGCATTAAAGTCCAGGTCATGCAGCTCCAGAGCGAATGCTTGGCAGGCTTCTCTCAGCAGCACAAGTGCTGCGCCCAGAGGCAGACAGTTTCATCATCATCATTATTATTATTATTATTATTATTATTATTATTATTATTATATGTGATCTTTTGTAAACACAAACACATACTTTCTCAAAACATGTCACCTATACATAGGTATACAGTTCACAAATAGGACACCTACCCAGGCCTACAGAGTGAGATGTTCATAGCATAGTGCGAAACCAGCAGCCCAGGGCACTTGGAGCCTCTGGCATCTGGGAGGTTCCACAAAGTTTCTAGGCTCGCCAGAGATGGAGGCCAGTGGCTCAGTGGCTGTCTCATAAGCTGTGGAAGCATTGGTGGCTTTAGAAATTAACATGGCAGGATTCTGCAATCTGCTAGTGGTTTATGGAGAAATATAATGACCAGTGAAGAAAAGGAGGGACTTTATCCATTAAGAAGGAAGGAACCTGTTATCTGGAACTAGAGTCCATCTAAGATTAGCAAGACTGAGTGCTTGTCATCTCACCTATGAGCTAAAATGGAGTGTTTAAAATATCCCCTGACCAAGAATCCTCTTGTTTCAATTGATACAAATAAGGAAAGAAGACAGTGAAGTGAAGAGAAAAGACAGGTGGGGAAGGAAGTGTCTGGCCCTGATGATATTCGCTGGACCCAATGAGAAAGTGCAATTTTAACTATGAGAAGGGTAACCAATAAAAAAGTTAGATGGCTTGTCAGTCACTCAGAAAACAGGGACTGCATAAGTGGAAATCCTCAAAGTTTTATAGAATTACACTGTCATTATTATTTCCATAATTATATTATGTATAAAGCATAGAATTGGCATCAGGTAATGTGTTGCCAGGTGGTAGTAATGGACTATTCCACAACATGAACTGTAACACTGCATGGGAAAGAGACTTACAAGAAAGGGGAGCTGAGAGAGGTTATGAGTTTATCAGGAAATAACTTTCTTTAGACACTCAAGGCTCATCACCCACATCTACTCTCTAGTAAAATTTGGCATAAAGAGAATATCTAAGCCCAAATAGATTTAAATAAATAAAATTTAAAAACCCTAGCCAGCTGTGGCCTAGGGTTTTTAAATTGAAAACCCTAGCCACCTGTAGTCCTAGCTACTTGGGAGGTTAAGGCAGGAGGATCGCTTGACCCCAGGGGGTGGAGTCTGCAGTGATCTGTACTTGGGCCACTGCACTCCAGCCTGGGCAGCTGAGCGAGACCCTGTCTCAAAAAAATGAAAACGAAAAAATGTTAGAGAAATGAATCCCATGTACACACAGATGGATGCATAATCCAGGCTGTCTCTTGTGTCTGTTGAACATCTAATGAAATTCTCATTTACAAAATAGAGAGTTGAAAAACATTTTGTCACATGAGAGTCTAAGTCTATGTTGGACTTGGGGAGGAGTGAAACAGTGTTAGTACAAGTTTTCAAACAAGAACAGAAATTAGATCTGCTGGACAAGCTGGACTAAAACTCCTCAGTTTTATGAATTATAATGTGTATATCACTATCATTTAATTATTCTTAATATTCATTGCAACTTCTGGAATAATTAAAAATGAAAAAAGTTCAAGCAGAATGCAACAGACAGTTGTGTGCCCACCACCCATATTGGTTTCATATCTCTTTTAAAAACATTTAAAATTAAAAGTGCTGTATTTTTTTTTCACATGTACTTTTGTGATTGGGATGCATCTTTAAGGGTATGGTAAGAAAACACTGTGTCCTAATTTAACTGTAACATTTATTTTCTGAGTGGTACAAAAAATAACAGTATGTTTTAATTATATGATGTCTTAGATAGATGACATATTGTTCTATAAACATAGGGTAAGTACCACTTCAACTTCAACCTACTTATTTTCGTAAGCAGTGATAATGGTTATCTTGAAGTTATCCTTCCATCCAGTGTTTTATATGTTTACTATATACATGAACACATATATACATTCAAAAAGTGGGTATACCACTATTTTTTATATTTTAATTAACTCATAACATAGTAACTATATTCTCTCTCTTTTTTTTTTTTTTTGAGATGAGATCTTAGTCTATTGCCCAGGCTGGAGTGCAGTGGCACAATCTTGGCTCACTGCAACCTCTGCCTCCCAGGTTCAAGCGATTCTCCTGCCTCAGCCTCCCAAGTAGCTGATAGTACAGGCGTGTGCCACCACACCCACCTAATTTTTTATAGTTTTAGTAGAGATGGGGTTTTCCCAAGTTAGCCGGGATGGTCTCAATCTCCTGACCTCATGATCTGCTCACCTCAGTCCCCCAAAGTGCTGGGATTACAGGCGTGAGTCACCGCGCCCAGCCATTAACTGTATTCTTTTACAAAAAAGCTGTTGATCAGCCCTCACGCTTTCAAAAATTTTCCATCTTGAAAATTTGAGACCTAATTTATTCTAAAGTCCCTCTAGAATTTTCTTGTAACGACACACAACCGGTTATATTTGTCTATTAATCTTTATTATAGACTTTTAACTTATTTCTGTATTTTCTGCTCTTACAAAGAGTCCTAAGAATTGTTTTATAAATGCTCTTTTTGCTCATGTTTGAGAGTTTCAACAGAGATATTCCCAGTTGAACATGAATCTTCAAATTTAGAAGATATTGCCAGATGATTCTTCCAATTAGTTAAAACTACAAGACTCAGTAGTATAGACTTGTTTTCCCAGCCCAAGAGACAACTTCATTTGGAAATCAAGCTCTGCCACCAACTAGCCCTGTCCCCTTGGGCCTGTCACTGACTTCTGTTGGCACCAATTCTCTTGCCTGTAAACATAGAAATACTTCTCTGACTCCAGTCATAGGTTCTGGAGGACTGCATGAGTGAGTGCCTGTGAGGTGCTGAGGACAGCACCATGCACAGAGTGCCTGTAAGCTATTATTGTCATTATGACTAAACTATGATTAATTCTGCTAGGATTTTGTGTGTAATATAGCATCTTATAGTTTGAAATAGCACGAGAGAGCTTTCCAACCTTTCTCATATTTATTTTCCATCTTTTTAGTTTATATTTTTGCCCGAATTTGTATTATAGTTCCATTTTTAAATTGATTTGTAGGAATATGTTTTAAATTGCTGCTGATCTATTGATTACATGCACAGCTTATACACTTCTCTGTCTTTGCTTATTTTCTATTATTATATGGTTGACCAGTGCTTGTTAAATTTAATGTAGTAAGATCGCTCCATCATTCTCATTATAATTTATATTTTTGAATCCTATTTCCTTGTTTACATACAAATCATGAGAGTACCATTCTATATGCTTGTCTAAATGCTTTAAACTTTGCTGCTCATATCTGGGATTTAAATTCACTTGTAAGTAATTTTTAAACATGCTACAGAATAGAGATCAACACTTGTTTTCTTTACCTAAATAGATGATTAGTCCTCTCAGCAGCACCCTTTACCACTGATAGGTGGTGCAGCCTGGTTGGTCATACACTGTATCTTTGATAAGGACAGGAGGCAGGGAGACACTGGGTAGAAGAGAGCAGTTCCCCGGCAAAGGCCCCACCCTCAAGCCTGGTAACCCACAGCCCTAAATGGGAACAGATATTCCTGTTTTCGTGCCAAAAAGTTGCCTTTGGCCCACCATGACCCCATCCTGTACCCCCAAACACCAGACTCCACAAGCAGATGAACAGAAGAGCAGAAGAGTGGCAGAGAAGGAGAGAAGAGAAGGAGCATCTGAATGTTGAGAGGAGTTCAGCTAGGGATGGTTGGAGAGGAGATAGGCCACTGGATGGCCAAACTCCAGGGAAGATCATCTTCCCACTCTATCCCCTTTCCAGCTCCCCATCCATCCCACTGAGAGCCACCTCCACCACTCAATAAAACCCCTGCATTCACCATCCTTCAAGTCCGTGTGTGATCTGATTTTTCCTGGATGCCAGACAAGAGCTTAGGATACAGAAAGCTGTCACACTGGCCCTCTGCCCTTGCAAAAAAGGCAGAAGGTCCATTGAACTGTTTAACACTTAAGCTGTCCATGGACAGCAAAGCTAAAAGAGTACACTGTAACACATGCCCACTTGGGCTTCAGAAGTTGCAGGCACCCACCCCTAGACGCTACTATGGGGCCAAAGCCCAAAGGTGCTGGCCCAGGCTCCTGTACCTGCCCATCTGCATGCTCCCCCTCCCATAAGGGGTTTGAGCACACACAGTGGCCAAACAGATGAGCCACACCCCGTCACACATCCTGCGAGCAGGATTAGGGAACTCTCCCATTTCATCTTCACCAACATGTAGGGTTGCACTGAATTATCTAGTCTGTTTCAAGTGATCTGTGATCCATTTATCTAGTCTTTGCACCAGCACCACACTGTGTGATGACTTCAGTTTTTTGTAGTTTTGGTTGAGGTGTAATGTTTGTAGGAAAGTGCTTATGTTGCTAAGCATGCAGGTGGGTGGTACTCAGCTCCAGAACATTATCAACACTCCAGAAGTCCCTTAAACATTAGCACTTCCCCTGCTACTGCCAATTTGACTTCTAACAGCAAGGATTGGTTACCTGTGTTTGTACTTGATGTAAGTGAAGACATACAGTGTGTTCTTTTATGTATCTCACACTCAACATTGTGAGATTCATCCAGTTAACTCTCATTGTGGATCATGTATTCTACTTTAAAAATTATTTTTGCTATAATTTTAAATGTGTGTAAAATGTGTAGATAAATTGTACAGGCAACTTTTAACATCAACCTTTTTTTTATTATTATACTTTAAGTTCTAGGGTACATGTGCACAATGTGCAGGTTTATTACATATGTATATATGTGCCATGTTGGTGTGCTGCACCCGTTAATTCATCATTTACATTAGGTATATCTCCTAATGCTATCCCTCCCCACTCCCCCAACCCCAGACAGGCCCCAGTGTGTGATGTTCCCCACCCTGTGTCCAAGCGTTCTCACTGTTCAATTCCCACCTATGAGTGAGAACATGAGGTGTTTGGTTTTCTGTCCTTGCAATAGTTTGCTCAGAATGATGGTTTCCAGCTTCATCTATGTCCCTACAAAGGACATGAACTCATCCTTTTTTATGGCTGCATAGTATTCCATGGTGTGTATGTGCCACATTTTCTTAATTCAGTCTATCATTGATGGACATTTGGGTTGATTCCAAGTCTTTGCCATTGTGAGTAGTGCCGCAATAAACATACATGTGCACGTAACTTTATAGCAGTATGATTTATAATCCTTTGGGTATATGCCCAGTAATGGGATGGCTGGGTCAAATGGTATTTCTAGTTCTAGATCCTTGTGGAATGGCCACACTGTCTTCCACAATGGTTGAACTAGTTTACAGTCCCACAAACAGTGTAAAAGTGTTCCTATTTCTCCACATCCTCTCCAGCACCTGTTGTTTCCTGACTTTTTAATGATCGCCATTCTAACTGGTGTGAGATGGTATCTCATTGCGGTTTTGATTTGCATTTCTCTGATGGCCAGTGATGATGAGCATTTGTTCATGTGTCTGTTGGCTGCATAAATGTCTTCTTTTGGGAAGTGTCTGTTCATATCCTTTGGCCACTTTTTGATGGGGTTATTTGATTTTTTCTTGTAAATTTGTTTGAATTCTTTGTAGATTCTGGATATTAGCCCTTTGTCAGTTGGGTAGATTGCAAAAATTTTCTCCCATTCTGTAGGTTGCCTGTTCACTCTGATGGTAGTTTCTTTTGCTGTGCAGAAGCTCTTTAGTTTAATTAGATCCCATTTGTCAATTTTGACTTTTGTTGCCATTGCTTTTGGTGTTTTAGTCATGAAGTCTTTGCCCATGCCTATGACCTAAATGGTATTGCCTAGGTTTTCTTCTAGGGTTTTTATGGTTTTAGGTCTAACATTTAAGTCTTTAATCCATCTGGAATTAATTTTTGTATAAGGTGTAAGGAAGGGATCCAGTTTCAGCTTTCTACATATGGCTAGCCAGTTTTCCCAGCACCATTTATTAAATAGGGAATCCTTTCCCCATTTCTTGTTTTTGTCAGGTTTGTCAAAGATCAGATGGTTGTAGATGTGTGGTATTATTTCCGGGGGCTCTATTCTGTTCCATTGGTCTATATCTCTGTTTTGGGACCAGTACCATGCTGTTTTGGTTACTGTAGCCTTGTAGTATAGTTTGAAGTCAGGTAGCATGATGCCTCCCGCTTTGTTCTTTTGGTTTAGGATTGTCTTGGCAATGTAGGCTCTTTCTTGGTTCCATATGAACTTTAAAGTAGTTTTTTCCAATTCTGTGAAGAAAGTCATTGGTAGCTTGATGAAGATGGCATTGAATCTATAAATTACCTTGGGCATGGAGTTTGAGATCTGAGAACGGACAGACTGACTCCCCAAGTGGGTCCCTGACCCCTGAGTAGCCTAATTGGGAGACACCTCCCAGTAGCGGATGACTGACACGTCATACAGCCAGGTGTCCCTCTGAGACGAAGCTTCCAGAGGAAGGATCAGGCAGCAACATTTGCCATTCTGTAATATTTGCTTTTCTGCAGCCTCTGCTGGTGATATCCAGGCAAACAGGGTCTGGAGTGGACCTCCAGCAAATTTCAACAGACCTGCAGCTGAGGGTCCTGACTGTTAGAAGGAAACTAACAAACAGAAAGGACATCCACACCAAAACCCCATCTGTACATCACTATCATCAATGACCAAAGGTAGATAAAACCACCAAGATGGGGAGAAACCAGAGCAGAAAAGCTGAAAATTCTAAAAATCAGAGCGCTTCTTCTCTTCCAAAGGAACGCAGCTCCTCGCCAGCAATGGAACAAAGCTGGATGGAGAATGACTTTGACGAGTTGAGAGAAGAAGGCTTCAGATGATAGGTAATAACAAACTTCTCCGAGCTAAAGGAGGATGTTGGAACCCATTGCAAAGAAGCTAAAAACCTCGAAAAAAGATTAGACAAATGGCTAACCAGAATAAAAAGCATAGACAAGGTCTTAAATGACCTGATGGAGCTGAAAACCATGGCACGAGAACTACGTGACTCATGCACAAGCTTCAGTAGCCGATTTGATCAAGTGGAAGAAAGGGTATCAGTGATTGAAGATCAAATGAATGAAATGAAGTGAGAAGAGAAGTTTAGAGAAAAAAGAGTAAAAAGAAATGAACAAAGCCTCCAAGAAATATGGGACTATGTGAAAAGACCAAATCTATGTCTGACTGGTGTACCTGAAAGTGACGAGGAGAATGGAACCAAGTTGGAAAACACTGTTCAGGATATTATCCAGGAGAACTTCCCCAACATAGCGAGTCAGGCCAACATTCAAATTCTGGAAATACAAAGAATGCCACAAAGATACTCCTTGAGAAGAGCAACTCCAAGACACATAATTGTCAGATTCACCAAAGTTGAAATGAAGGAAAAACTGTAAAGGGCAGCCAGAGAGAAAGGTCAGTTTGCCCACAAAGAGAAGCCCATCAGACTAATAGCAGATCCCTGAGCATCAAGCATTTTAAAATACTTTTCTGGCATGTGGTCCCATCAACCTTAAATATGTTTACTGTGTATTTAAACAAAGGTATTCTCCTGTGTAACCTCCCTACAGTCATCAAAATGGGAAAATTATTACTGATGCACTGGTGTCACTGAATCAAGAGACCTCGTTCAGGATTTCCCATTGTCTCAGTAATGCCCATAGAGCTAGAGATTCAGGCCAGCGCTGCACGTTGCATTTTGAACCACCATGCCCTTGACTCTCCTTCAGTATGGACCAGTTCTGCAGTCTTCTTTTGACTTTTCTGACCTTGACATCTTTGAAGATACAGGCCAGTTATTTTGTACAATAAAAATAACTTTGATTTCTTCACAACTAAGAAGTCTTCCTACTCTTGAGTTTTTATTCTAAAGTAATAAAATTTACTAGAAATTTAAAAGGACTAAAACTACTGGAAATGAATCATTATGGCAATAATTATAAATCACCGTTTCTCTAAAATTAATTAATTTTTGTTTTTCTGAGAAATTTGTAAACTTATATGCATTTCAGCTGCAACTGCCTCTCACATTCAAGTTTAAAACCTTGGCTATCTTATGGTATTGAAATTAAATACTGCTGAGAGAAATTGTATTTGTTGTAAATTACCACAGTTTCAGCTTACTGCACAGATATCTATTAAAGAACATATTTTGTGAGTTGCTCTTCTTAAAGACAGCAGAATAATTAAAGCCTGTGGACCAAGTAATGAAGGATAAAGTATAAGCCTCCATTTTGTCATTATGCATGCTGAAAATGTGCTGAGAAGGGTGTAATTTTACAAATGTTTTTACATACCAATGAGATTCAGAATTAGGGATTCATTCACTTCTGTATCTTGGACAGAAGTCACTCTCATTATGGGATGAGGAATACTGGCGCCTTTTCACTGAGGTTTTCCCCTTGCTGCTGCCCTGTTTTCCAGGTGTCCCAGCTGTATTTCAGCTCCTCAGGGAAGCTGTGTTCCTCGCTGCCTCCTCACCTCTTCTCCTGTGTGGAGAGAGCCTTTCACCAGCTCTTCCGGGAACAGCGGCCTCAGTGTTTCATCCTCAGGTGAGTCCTCCTCAACCTTGTCTGCCAGGCTCAGGTTTGCCACGGGGCTTGGCAGTAAAGATGTACTCATTTCCTATGGTTTACCTTTATTTACTTTCTCAGCACCTTGAGGTCCAGTATATCTTTGCAATAAGTACATTTGACTCGTTACAAAGGAGAAACATCTTGGCTGTTAGGAGTAGCCCCAAGTGTAGCTGGATCAATATTAATAAACTTAACCTGAAACTCATTTCCTTTTGAAGATTTAAAGCTTAGATAAAAAGTTTTTGCTTTTGAACCTAAGAAAACATGGAGAAAGAAAAACTACCAATATTACGGAACCTAAGCCACTGTTCTTCAAAATCCAGGGCTGCCCCAAATATCATTTTATTTCTTTCCAAAGGTATGTTTTCTCAGCCTGTTTCTTGTTATTTACCTTTGCTCACAATTCACTGTACTCTACTTCCTAAACTTTTTTTTTTTTTTTGAGACAGGGTCTTGCTCTGTCACCCAGGCTGGAATTTAGTGGCATGATCACCAGTCACTGCAGCCAAGGCTCAAGTGATCCTCCCACCTCAGCCTCCCAAGTAGCTGGGACTACAGGCACATGCCACCACACTTGGCTAATTTTTTAATTTTTGTAGAGATGAGATCTCACTATATTGCCCAGGCTGGTCTCAAACTCCTGGGCTCAAGCGATCCTCTTGTCACAGCCTCTCAAAGTGCTGGGATTACAGACATGGGCCACTGCATTTGGCCCAGAATATTTTTTGAATTTGAAATGTAATGCTAGATTTAACTCACCAATTAATAGAAAATTAAAGAAACATTTAAATGTTAAAATCTGCATCAGAGACCTATATTTTATATTCAGCCAAACCTCTACAAGGGAGGGAAAGCTCTATAAATACTCACTCACGGTAGCGCCTTAGTTGTTGTCAGTAGTGCTGGTTGGAACTCAACGGATAAGTACAGTAGCACACAACTCGAGTCAAAGTGAAATGAAAATGGTATAAAGTTAGAACCTGGATAGAATTCAAAAGGCTTATTTAAATATTAAAATGAGAGCTTATATGTTTATATGCATTTCATCAAAAATTCTATGGAGGGTGGAGGGACAGACTGATGGGCGCACACTTTAGTTTTCTAGTTTTCAAAGCAGCATGCTAGCGGTTGTTTTCGTGCTGGGTTCAGATGCATCCCAAGGATGAGGAAGGTGCTGAGGCAGGGGCTTCGACACATTCTAAACTCTAGGATAAGAAAGGCACTGAGGCATGGGATTCCACCCATTCTAGACTCAAAAATGAGAAAGGCGCTGAGGCAGGGAATTCCACCCATTGTAGACTCAAGGATGAGAAAAGCACTGAGGCAGGGGCTTCTGCCCATTCTAGGCTCAAGGATGAGAAAGACGCCGAGACAGGGGCTCTCACCCATTCTAGACACAAGGATGAGAAGGGCGTCAAGGTGGGGGCTCCAACCCATTCTAGACACAAGGATGAGAAAGGCACCGAGGCAGGGGCTTCCACCCATTCTAAACTCAATGATGAGAAAGGCTCTGAGACACGGGCTCTCACCCATTCTAGACACAAGGATGAGAAAGGCACTGAGGCGGGGGCTCCAACCCATTCTAAACTCAAGGATGAGAAAGGCGCTGAGACAGGGGCTCTCACCCATTCTAGACATGAGGATGAGAAAGGCTCTGAGACAGGGGCTCTCATCCATTCTAGACACAAGGATGAGAAAGGCACTGAGACAGGGGCTCTCACCCATTCTAGACACGAGGGTGATAAAGATGCTGAGACAGGGGCTCTCATCCATTCTAAACTCAAAGGAAGAGAAAGACGCTGAGACGGGCTCTCACCAATTCTAGACACGAGGATGAGAAAGGCACTGAGGTGGGGGCTCCAACCCATTCTAGACTCAAGGATGAGAAAGGCACCAAGGCAGGGGCTTCCACCCATTCTTTCTTTTGATACGGAGTTTCGTTCTTGTTGCCCAGGCTGGAGTGCAATGGCACAATCTCAGCTCACCGCTACCTCTGCCTCCTGGGTTCAAGTGATTCTCCTGCTTCAGCCTCCTGAGTAGCTGGAATTACAGGCATGTGCCACCACGCCCGGCTAATTTTGTATTTTTAGTAGAGTCGGGGGTGTCACCACGTTGGTCAGGCTGGTCTCGAACTCCTGAGCTCAGGTGATCCACCTGCCTCGGCCTGCCAAAGTGCTGGGATTACAGGTGTGAGCTACTGTACCTGGCCACTCATTCTGGACTCAAGGATGAGAAAGGCGCAGAGATGGGGGCTTCCACCCGTTCTAGACTCAGGCAACCCTATTTTTATCTGCTTTGTCTGTCCAGTTTCCTGGTCTTCCTTTGATAAATAGGGAAAACTTTTTAAAAGTTGCTTAGAAAAAACACTGTCAATTGGTGAGACAGGGAGAGTTTAACACTGTTGACAATAACAACTAATGTTTATTGAGAATTTACTGGCTGCCAGACCCTTGACTAGATTATTTCTATGTATTATTTATTTCTTTAGAATTTACATAACTTTTGAGTGCTCCCACTTAATTCTAGGATGATCATTGCAGCTGTTATAGGTCAGTTTTTGAAAGCGTGGGTCCTGAGCAAGGCTCTAAGGGGAGAAAAGGAGGAGCAGCAGGCCCATGCGCTTTGGGAGTCCGCCCGGGAGATGGCACACAGCGGCCAGCAAGTTTTCTTATGAAGAACCCCGTTTATCTTAGTTTAACCCAACAGTTTTGACAGGTATTTGCTCATGGAACTTTTTATCCAGTATATATTCTGCAGAACTAGTTTTGCTTTGGGTCTTTTTTTTTTTGATATGGAGTCTTGAGTCTCGCTCTGTCGCCCAGGCTGGAGTGCAGTGGCGCGATCTGGGCTCACTGCAAGCTCCGCCTCCCGGGTTGACGTCATTCTCCTGCCTCAGCCTCCCGAATAGCTGGGACTACAGGCGCCCGCCATCACGCCCGGCTAATTTTTTGTATTTTTAGTAGAGACGAGGTTTCACCGTGTTAGCCAGGATGGTCTCGATCTCCTGACCTTGTGATCCGCCCACCACAGCCTCTCAAAGTGCTGGGATTACAGGCGTGAGCCACCGCGCCCGGCCCTCCTTTGGGTCATTTTTTAAAGTTAATGATTCCCTGTACCAACCCCTTATTTTGAAAAAATACCTCTTCATTCAAGTTTCAAGAAGGTGTTGATGCAGGATTTTGCTCCTTAGCTCGGCTACGTCCAGGTTCTTGCCTCACGACCTGGAAAAATGAGGCGTGCGGACACGAGAGAGTAAGTGGAGTAGAATTTATTATGCGAAAGGGAAGCTCTCAGCAGAGAGGGGTCCTGAAGCAGGGTGCCTGGTGCCCCCTTCTCAGTTGAATACCACCAGAGCTTAGGGCGCAAACTGCTGGCGGCTCCACCCCCCGTCCTTCCAGTGCGCATGCTGAGGCCGAGCTGCTCCATATTGATTGATTTCCCTTGCTGCACGTGTGCTAAGGAACGGACTCTTCCACCGCAGGCTTGTTTAGGCAAAGCCCCCTGTGCAAGTTCCCTTATCGGCACAAAACATCTGACGTAAGCACTCGTGGGGCGGGTCGGAGCTTCTCGGGGGACCCTTCCCTGACTGTCTGCCTGAAGCAAGCTGGAGAACTCCTTTCGGTATCGCTAGTCCTGATATACAGAATGGAAGAGCAAATCTCTGGTTACTAGGACTTACTGTTTTAGTGATTCTCTTTCTTCTTTCAAAATTGTGTGTGCTTTCATACAGCTTTGCCACATCCTTGATTGTGTGGGCTAAGATACATGCTTTCTCCATTTTTACGAATATGATAAAATTAGCCATTTGAAATTCAACTTAATAAGTTGTTAACGGATCATTATTGAGTGTCAGTTGTGTCCCAGAACGAGCACTTACAAAGGGTAATTTAAGATTTAGCAATCAAAACGCAAGTAGTCCTGGAATGGATGTCCCAAAACTCAGTACCAGACCAGAAAAAATTTCATTTTGTTTTCTAATATTAACTTAATACCTCATTTGTTGATACTCTTAGGCCCCAGTAGTTCAAAAGTCTGCACAAGTGAGTGGAAGCATCCATTAACGACTCGACACTTTAAACAAATAATTAAATTTCAACTTACTTCTTTTCTGGCAAACACTGTTAATTAACTTTGTTAAAATAGATGTTTCCAGGCAGAAAACCAAGGAAGCTCTCCTAAAAGGGCTTTAAAAAGTTTTTCTGGTTACCAAATAAGTAAAGGCTGTTTTTATGAATTTTTCATCTGGATGAAGTAATAACTTTATTGTAGATCACATCACTTTGAAATAATAATTATTTTGTGGGAATTTTATGTCAATCCTATATCATATAGTGTCAGGAATATAATATTTACCATTTTTAAAAATTGGGTGAGTTAATGAAGTATGCCTGGGATGTATTAAAAGTGATGCCCTTATAAATAAAAGTTCAGTGATCTTTCCTAGATTAAAGAAAAATGCAAACTAGAGAACATCAGAACTGAAAGCAAGCGGAAAAGGAAACCTAAGCAGGTCAGGTTTAGTAGGATCTGCGGAATGACAGATCCACATCTGAAGACCTTACTGCCTTAGTTTTTGTAGCTAGGCACTTTATGTTCATTTCAAAGAACAGAGAAGGAATGCTCAGAAAGATGTCACAGCTTTTCCACAGAAGAGGTAACGTCTCTCCTGTAAGGCCCATGAAGCATGAACAGTTTTCCCAAGGCCATGTGTGAGCCTGCATGTCTCAACACAGCATGCTGTCTCGGGATCGCCTCACTTTATGTTGACTTGCTAAGCTGAGTCAAGTTGGTTATGTCTTCTTCTCAGCCTGACACCTTTCTGGCATAATTCACCTACACTAGGTGGTTCTACCCTGTGAGATACTGAATGGCAGAACTTGTGTCATATTCATTTGTAATGCCAGCATCTGAAACACCATCAGGGACATGACACAGTCAACATATACTGGGTATTTCAGACAAATGAATCAAATTGAAGTGTGAACGGAGACCACAAACTCATTGCAAGTAGATGTGCCATTCCCTCCTCATTTCTGTGTCTGAGAAATATCTCCAGTTAATTTTTTTACTTGTTCCTTCAAAGTAGTTTCAAAGGAACAAAGGAACAAGCTTTGAAGCAAAGTTCCTTCAAACTTATGTTTTTCCTCTCTGTTTTCCTTAGTGGAGAAAGGGGATCAGGAAAGTCTGAAGCCAGCAAACAAATCATAAGACACCTCACCTGCAGGGCTGGCGCCAGCAGGGCCACACTGGATTCCAGATTCAAACATGTAAGTTTTTTGTTTGGGTTGGCAAATATGTGAATGAAGATGTTCAGCCAGTTGTCATTTACAAATAGGGGAGGGGACATCATAATAGATACAAGGGGGTTCAAAATTTGTGGAAATAAAGAATAAAAAATTATTGAGCTTGGGTTCAAATAAATACTGTTCGAGTGAACATTTATTTATTTTACATATTTAAAATATTTTGTACATACTTTCTTTTTGTATTTGCTCCGAATAGTTGGATCTAAAACACGTAATATAGGTAGATGTTGTTGTTCACAAAGAAAGTGCACTTTGAGGCTGAGCGCAGGGGCTCACGACTATAATCCCAGCACTCTGGGAGGCCGAGGCATGTGAATCACCTGAGGTCAGGAGTTCGAGATCGGCCTGGCCAACATTGTGAAACCTCGTCTCTACTAAAAATACAAAAATTAGCCAGGAGTGGTGGCTGGTGCCTGTAATCCCAGCTACTCAGGAGGCTGAGGCAGGAGAATTGCTTGAAGCCGGGAGGCAGAGGTTGCGGTGAGCTGAGATCATGCTGTTGCATTCCAGCTGGACAAGAGCAAAACTCTGTCTCAAAAAAAAAAAGAAAAGAAAAAGAAAGTGCACTTTGGTGTGTTAGGACATTTTGGGGAGCTGGCCAGAAAAGAAATTATTGTGAGGGATCACTGGGGCCTGATAATAAATCTTTGGTGTATCTGAAAGAATTGGCAATAGTTATCCTTAAAGACTTCGATGGGCAGGCCATGCACCTTTGGGGCCAAAACAGATTTTAAACTATTTGGAAACATTTGCAGTGTTAACTGTCCCGCTAATTCATCATTCTAAAATATGACCGTGATTCAAGGAGGAAGCAAAAAGACCTGTTAGCAGCTAAGATAAAGCTAAAAACATCCCACATAATCAAACTCAGAAATTTTACTCAAGGAGGCCACCACAGGTGCTTATCCATAGACTGATTCTGTTGTTTATACATAGTTCTAGCAAGTTTTGTTAAAAGGTTTGTTCAGACCATAGCAGATCAGAAGAAGACATTGAAAGGCCACTGGAAGGAATGGCTAACAGTGGGGGGAACAGACAGGACAGGAACCAATAACCAATCCAAAAGAATGGAAATCAACAGTCTGCTCTCTAGGGGCCTCTACCTAGAGATGGAACCCTCTCCATTTCTATATTTCTTTTGGAAATCACTCCAGATGCCTGGAAGTTCATGATGATTTTCCTAAGGTTGAAATAAAATATTATTTTAGAGGATACTCCACCCTTGCTTATGCTGATGATCATGACTCAGTGCCATGGGTACACCAGCAGCTCTGGATCCTAATCTCCATACTGCCTCTCATTCTTAAGATGCAGACCTGCCTGTCCAACGAATTTCCTGGACATGCCACAGTGTACTGCAAACACGTGGCCAAAATTGAAGTCTTTCTTTTTTATTTTCACTTATTTATTTACTATTATTGTTATTTATTTTTGAGACAGGGTCTTGCTCTGTCACACAGGCTGGAGTACAGTGATACGATCACCATTCACCGCAGCCTCAACTTCCTGGGCTCAAGTGATCCTCCCACCTCATCCTTCCAAGTAGCTGGGACCACAGGCATGTGTCTCTGCCTAGCTAATTTTTGTATTTTTTTTTTTTTTTTTTTTTGTGGAGACTGGGTCTCCTGTGTTTCCCAAGCTGGTCTCGAACTCCTGGGCTCAAGTGATCCACCTGCCTCAGCCTCCCAAAGTGCTAGGATTACAGGCGTGAACCACTGCATCGTACTAAGTTTCTCTATTTCCAACACATTCTGAATATCCTATTACTCCTAGCTCTTTAGTCTGTCCAGTTTCCTTCAGGTCCACAGTCATTGCTGCTGTGGAGTCATCTTCTCACATGGCATTATCTTTGAGACTGTTCTAAGTTGCTCTCTTTCTTTTTCCATCCTTGGCCATCCTCCAGTGCATGTCCCTGTGGCAGGCCGTGGTTGATAGCTCTGCTCCCCAGGGTCAGGTAGGGCCCAGGCCCTGTCGCTCCCCAGACACTTTCTCACCTGCTCAGAGGAAGGGAGCAGCAAACCCCAGTCCAGGCAGAAGGCTCATCATATGCAGAGGGGCTACCTGTCTTCTCATCACAGTTATGGGCTTGAACTTAGTCATGCTGCTATCTAGTTCGGACTCATTGATAACTAGGCAGCCATGTATTCAACTTCAACTAGTAAATGGAAGAAGAGGAGAGTTGATGCTGGTGAACTGCCATCAGCCTGTATCACCAGAGACTCCTTTGCTCAAAGCCCTTGAGTGAGTCTCTGTTCCCTTTACATCAAGTCCAATAAATCAGCATGGCCTGGCATTCTTTCTGGCAATGTTACATTTGTTGTGGTTTTTATTTTCTTCTCTGATCTTAGAACACTATATCCCCTTCCTCTTACTCTCTGCTGAAGCCACCTTTGAGCATGTATCTCTCTCAGCCTGGCCCGTGCAGTCTCATTCATTTGCTTTCTCACTCCACAAGCATCTATTAACAAAGGGCTACCCAGTGCCTGTCCCTGGAATTCAGAGCTGCTGTCCCAACAGCATGGTAGGAGCTCAGTTTCTATGTGGGGAATAAATGAATATACTAAAATAAGTATCGTGACCGTATAGGAGAAACATTTCATTACCCCCAGTTTCCTAAGTTAAGTTCCTTAGTTAACTTTACATTATCAAATACATTTAATGTGGACAACCCATTTGTATGTCATCAGGAGGCTGTACATTTGGCCTGTGTGTGTTTCCTTATATGTGATTTATAGAACTAACATTGACATTTTCTTCAATTTGTCTTACCTGCCCTGCTTTTGTTAGATAGTGGGATTTTTCTACCTCTCTTCCTTTTTATACAACCTTTTGTTTTTCATTCCAGTGTAGGGAAGACACATTTGTTAAAAAATGTCTTATCTCGCAGGTCAAGAGACCACTAAATGCATATATGGAAAATCGTGTTCAATTCCACATATACACTAACAGAACATAAGATTTTCTATAGATAAATCAATATTCTATGTGTAACATTCAAGAAATAATGTACATATGTGCTATATCATTGCCTTGACAAAAAATAATGCATGTACACATCATAGGCCATGTTACAATAGTATAAAACTTTCTATTGGCACTGATTTCAAAGTGCGATATTGCTGCAGTGTGAAATTTCCACGGAGGTGCCTCTGATGCTGACATGTGTCTGGCCGTACACACATTTACAGAAAGATGCCTGCATTTCAGTCATAATTTTATATTTAAAAGTGTCTGATTATATTCATGCAAGACAGCTGCACTTATATCGTTTCCTAAATCAATGCCATCTAAAGGTTCAAAAGTTAAAAATACGGAAATATACTGCACAATGAATATTGTGCTATTTGTGTTTGTTTCTGTGGCACCTGCTTTTTTATCTGGCTGCTACAGTTTAGAGTGATTTCTACCATGGTGGCGGTTAGTTGGCATGTTCTTTAAATTTATAGTATCTGATTCCTTATTTAGAAATGAGAATAACTGATTTTTAATTAATAAATTAGTATTATTTTGCATATTTTATACTTGTGAATTATAAGTAATTTTAAAATTTATTCTTCTCTAATAGATCCCCAAGCTTATGTCTGATTCTGTAGACTTTTCTCTTTAAAAAGAATGCATAATTAGTTTTTTGAATATCTGTGGTATCATGTGTGTTCATTAATGACTTTAATTTATAACCATTTATTAAGCTCATACCATATTGAGCACCTGCATAATTCTACAACAAGCTCAAAATAATTTTTTTTTTGAAATGGAGTCTTGCTCTGTCACCCAGGCTGGAGTATAGTGGCACAATCTTTGCTCACTCCATTTCCCAGGTTCAAGCAATTCTCCTGCCTCAGCCTCCCAAGCAGCTGGGATTACAGGCGTGTGCCACCACACCTGCCTAATTTTTGTAGTTTTTAGTAGAGATGGGGTTGCACCATGTTGGCCAGGCTGGTCTTGAACTCCTGACCTCAAGTGATCTACCCACCTCAGCCTCCCAAAGTGCTGGGATTACGGACATGAGCCACTGCACCTGGCCGGTCAAAATAATTTAATATTGAGAGTCAATTTGGGAGAATAGCATAACCTATCTTCTTTGTTCAAATATGTTAATATCCTGACAACTGACACTTAAGAGTTAGAGTACGTGTAAAACAACATGGTTATAAAATAGCCTCAAGTTAACTAACGGAAATAACAGAAACTGATGACTTACTCATAATGAAAAGGAACAATAGTTTCCCCTCTAAATTATATACAATCATCTATTAAAATGATCATCTGGGAGACAGCAGGCTGTATAATTTCTGTAATGCATTCTCTATTACCTTATGTAAATTGGCTTTAAATTTTAGTTCAAACAAATACATTCTAAAGTGCATTCCTTTGGATCAGGTAGATATAACCCTCCCAAATCAGTTAGCATCTGGGAGTCCAGATTATAATATCAGTGCATATTTCAAGTAAAACTAATTCTAGTTAACTTGTGTGTTTTATTCACTCCTCATGACACATAAAAGATTCATAAATAAATGACTTCTAGTCTCATGAAAAAATATTGCCCAGGTTTGAGCATGGCTTAAATTCCATGTCAGCTGTGGTTTTATTGTTTCCCTTTAGATCATTATCCACATGAATATCATTCAGTGTCCAAGATGTTCATGAAAATCATCAGTCATTATATCTGTAAATCATCCGAGTATATGTACAGGAATTAAATACAAGCATTGAATACATTTTTTAATTTACCATAAATCTTTATAAAATTAGAGGGTTTAGTGAAATTAAGTATATTTAAGAGATGAACCAGTACAATAAATCTTCACAATGTCATTGATGGGTTCTTGGAAACTGTGACTTTAAGCAAAACTATTTCCTGTCTGCTGTAAGAATTTAACTCTTGTTTATATTAATTAGTCTGTGATAAAATTGGTTGCATTAGAAGGTACGTTGTTTTGCTTAAAGTAGAAATTTCCAAGAACCTATTGATGATACTAAGTGAGCACTTCCTATACTTCCTGAAAGGAAAATCTGATTAAGGAAATGAGTAGAAAAGAACATCCTTGAACAGCCTTGATTTATGGAGCTATCTAGTAGAAAGTTTGAGGGTCAGGATAAGATGAAAGGAAAGTTCACTAGGTGGCCCTAAGAGGAGAGGACAATGTGCTGATTAGAGACACGGTTTAGCCATATTTGGTTGTGAGACTGCATTCTGGAATATCACACAGGCCATCATGGGGAGTGCTGGCAGGCGGGATCAGGTGTGTAGCAAGCACACAAACTGTACATTCCACTGAGAGAGCCTGGTTCATTCTAAAGGAGACAATTTTGCCTCAAATCCTAGGAAAATACTCATTGGGGGTCATTTGGATCAGCAGTTGCCAAATAATGTGTAGTAAAAGAATGATAGAGAAAGAAAAGTCAGTGTACTAGTCTGTTCTCATACTGCCATAAAGATACCACCTGAGACTAGGAAATTTATTTTTTAAAAAAAGGAGGTTTAATTGACTCACAGTTCTGCATGGCTGGGGAAGCCTCAGGAAATTTACAGTCATGGCAGGAGGTGAAGAAGAAAGAAGCAAGGCACATCTTACATGATGGCAGGAGAGAGAGCATGCGCAGGGGAAACTGCCAGTTTTAAACCATAGATCTCATGCGAATGCCTTCACGATCATGAGAGCAGCATGGGGAAAACTGCCCCCATGACTCAATCACCCCCCACCGGGTCTCTCCTTTGACATGTGGGGATTACAATTCGACTCGAGATTTGGGTGGGGAAACAGAGCCAAACCATATCAGTGAGGATGTATTGGGGTGGTCTTCATTGTAGTATTGTGCAGACACTGAGGAGTAGAGAAACTCTTCCTGTGGTTGATAATAATGGCATCATTGTTAAAATTAAAGATTGCCATCTCAGTGGAGTATGGGAAGCCAGAGAACCCAAAATGAAAGGGTTTGGGTGGAAACTAGAAGTTCACACTGTCACAACACACAGTACTCTCCCTGAAGGAGGTTTTGGGAGAAGAGAGAGAAGGAGGAAGATTCAGTTGGTAACATCTAGTAAGTGAGAGAGTGCAGCATTGAGGTCCAGAAATGACTTTTGGTGATTATATGCAGGTCAAACACTTATTCTTACGAGAAGTGACTGAAATCTTTCTGTCAGTCTTACACCTCATTTGGCCCATCTTAAAAGCCTGCATGAGCTCACCTGCCTTTGTCCTGGGCTTCAAGTGCACTTTACCCACTGGGTAGATGGACGGATGGAACCCGATCACCACAGACATGGCTTTGTTCCCCCACAAAGTTTCAGAGCAGCTAAGAGCAGTTAGGAAGGGCTGTTTTGTTTCTAACCCCTGCATTTGAATTTCAAACATTGGAAGCAGGGCATTTTCCATGACATTAAATTTATTGGAACAGAAAAGTCATGTTTCAGGAAGAAACTACCTGGAACCTTCACCAACTCTGGTCCAAATGAATTTCAACTTTAAGAATATTCAATTCCATTGAAATCACTTAAATAAGCATTCACTATGCAATAGCTTTCAGAGAGCAGACTGATGGGTTGATATCGATTGAGTTAATATTTTTTATAGAGGATGCCACAAGTCTTTACTTTCAGAAAATACAGTAGATTAACTCCTACCATAATAGTCCATGACTTATATAGGGACATAAATTTATAGAAAAAATACCATACATTATAAATACAAAAAAAAAGTCAATAAAATTTGAATAAGTAAATATTGAGGAAAATATATATATTTAATTTTCTTCATTTATATTTTTATTTAAATTTTGTTACTGTGCAACGTTGTCATTGTTGTTTTTGAAATCAAGGTGAGCAGCGGAATAATGCCAGTTTTGTTTAGCTCAGTATTTCTCTTAATACATTTATTTAGTGCCACCTATCGGCCAAGTGGCTAATTAAAGATAAAAAACTGGTTATTGCATAGTTTATTTAGCATTTTAATCTTGACTCATGGATGACAACGTACAGTGAAAGAATGCCATGGGGTATTTACATTTTGTTAAGTAGTTGTAGTTTTATATTCGTTTCATGCCTTCTATGTCTTTATTGGTATTTCAGCAGTAATTACTGCATAGTGCAGTGGTTAAGTGTGTGATTCTGAAAGCCAACTCACCTGGGTTCAACTCCCAGCTTCATTGTTGACAACCTTTGAGCCTTGGGAAAACTAATTGGTCTATGTCCTTTTTTCTGTAAAGCAGTGTAAAATATACACTGGTTCCGAGAGTTAACAGAGAACACACATGCACAGACACATCACCCGTTAGAACACTGCCTGGTACATAGTGAGCAGGACGGGAACATTGTCTATTGCTATTCACAAAAGTAAAATTCACTGTTGTTATTTGCTGAATGTTTTCTCTGTGCCAGACGTAAAGCTGAGTGCTTTACACAGCGGACACTGACAAACACTGAAGGAGTTATTCCAGCGTGAGAATTAAGGAAAATGAGGTTTGAGGAATTCAGAGGACCTCCTCAGCGTTACATAATTTCTCATTAGCAGTGTTGGGGTGTGGGGGTAGCTCCTTCTCACTCCCAGGCACATGCATTTAACCATTTCCCTATATTGACTGTTAGGGGAACAAGTTATTAATTACCTGTAATGTCCTTTTTCCAAGAATAATCAAAACATTACTTATCAGACACAACACCAGAATAACTAGAAGCAAAATATTTTTAAAGATTATCCTATTTTTATGACTTTAAAAATAATTGTTTAATGTAATATTATTAATATTTAAAATGTGCTATCATTACCCTCTTATTTTCACCGTATGTATATAACTACATATTTCATATTAGATTATAGGAAAAGATACAAAAACGAAGAGTTACTAAGTACTATTTCATTTTTTTCCCAGAAAACATTGCTATCATCACTGCTATCAATTTACTTTTATCATCTTTAAAATTAGATTATTATATACAGACCTAAACCATAAAGTTTTTGTAAGGAATTAATATATGTTTGTCTCCAAAATTCAAACTTCAAACACAGAAGTTTTAACATACTTCACTATTATCACAACTTGTAGCATTTTTTAATTTGTGGTTAGCGTCAAACTATTTTATAATCTTTCACAGTATAAAATACTTCCAGGTTAATTCAACACCTTAATGTAGCAGATGCCAGGAAATTTAAAAGTGGGATCAAAGCAGCCGCGCGTGGTGGCTCATGCCTGTAATGCCAGCACTTTTTGGGAGGCCGAGGTGGGCGGATCACCTGAGGTCAGGAGTTTGAGACCAGCCTGGCCAACATGGCGAAACCCTGTCTCTACTACTAAAACTACAAAAATTGGCCTGGTGTAACGGCATGCCCTTGTAATCCCAGCTACTCCAGAGGCTGAGGCAGGAGAATTGCTTGAATCCAGGAGGCAGAGGTTGCAGTAAGCCGAGATCACACCACTGCAGTGAGCCGAGATCACATCACTGCACTCCAGCCTGGATGACAGAGTGAGACTCTGTCTCAAAAAATAAAATAAAAAGTAAATTTTTTAAAAAAAGTGGGATCAAAGCACTTAAAAAAAAGTAGGATAGTGTTCTCAAAAAAACACTATTAGAAACACTAGGGAACAGGAAAACTAGTCCGTGTATCAATAAGGTGTTATTGTACTCCCTCCTGTGGCTGATGCAGAAACCGCATGGAACATAACTATCATGCAAGAGATACCCTTGAACCCTCCAGATTTTCATACATTTTGGAGAATTGCTTGGTCCCCATCACCTTCACAGGCAGAGTCAATTGATGAAGAAGCAGTGGCTTTTATTCTACTGTGAATGCTTAAGGAAACATGTCAAGGAAGAATTTCAGCCCCCAGGGTTGGCCTGAGGAGCTTTATCATAGCGTTGCAAAGCCACAAACTTGCCAGTCTGCAACAAAGCACAGGGCAGCGAGAGAAGGCGGCATGGCAGCTCAGCTGGGAGTTTCACCGCTGCCCTGTGGAAGAGAATAGTTGGTGTGAGGCAAAAGCACGGTACAGGGAGGATAAATGGGGGTCAGGGTTGAAAAAGAGTATGAGTGGAAAGTAAATAAGGATTCAAAGGAATGTTCTATGCCAATGTTTAAATAAATGTATTATTGTAAAATGAATTCTGACTTTTGCCTATATTAATTCAGATGACTCCTTCCCTTCCAAAATGCAAACGCTATTTTACTGTTCTATTCAGGTTTGAAATCTTGATAACATTTGTTAAGCTTGGGGCTGTGTGTGTAGAGAATGGCTTTCCTTCTTTTATGTGCAGGAGAGTGCAGTGTCGTCAAGCAATCTGTCTATTATTGCTTCATGAACAGTAGCCACAATTTGAGACATAGGATGCTAGTGGCTTGCCTTTGAGGAAAAAGGGGTCTTAAAAATTCAATATAGCATTCTATGAGCAGGATAGAAACTTTCAGACCAAGAAGTATTATTCACTGCATCGTCGCTATTACTCATCAATTTTATTTCTTAAAATATGAGCAGTTCAGTAAAATGTTCTCCTCTCCCACAGGTCGTGTGCATCTTAGAAGCCTTTGGACATGCCAAGACCACACTTAATGATTTGTCCAGTTGCTTCATCAAGTATTTTGAACTGCAGTTCTGTGAGAGGAAACAACAGCTAACCGGAGGTAAGTGCAGTATTTGACAACGTGGATTTCCTGTGCCGAGCCAGCATGCGACCACGTCACACACAGGCACGCTATGGACACACTGTGTATGAATCAATGCTGGGAGAGAAAACCTATTCTTCATGACCGTGTCTGGAAACAGCTTAAGATACTTCTGGAAAGTTTGTATTACATTAGAACAAGGATCAATACTCAGGCACTCAGTTGAGGGTGTGTGAGTGTGTGTGTGTGTGTGTGTGTGTGTGTGTGTGTGTGTATACATACCTAGGATGTCAGGTGATAAGTGCTGAAGTTATTGTGAATTAAAAAATATTCTCAAATGCAAGCTGAACCTTTTCAAAATGATTATTGTATGGGCTATATAATGAGAAACCAAACCCAGACCAAACGTAGCTGAATTATCCTTGCTGAACATAGAAACAAACTCAAATACTTTAATTAAATAAATAATACCTTAGTATTATATATAATTTCTTCACATAATACACATTGAAATCTATTTGAAATAAAACTGAATCCATATAGTTAAATGACTGAATTAAATCTAAACATCAAAATAATTGCCAAACTAAACCCAAGCAGACACTGTTTCGTATTTGATTTAAATACTTAAAGTATATTTTATAAAAACTCCTTATTTAAAATTCAACTAATTTAGAATTCACCTAGAATTTTACATCTTTCCAATTAAAACAGATTATTAATGCAAATTAATAATATAAATACAATTGTAGGTAGAATTTTGATATACTTGAAGTAATCAGATATTTTTAAAAAACTTTTACAACAGCTGTCAGCACATAAACATTTGCCAATTATTATAAATGATTTCTGAAAGAGTTTAATTTTACTTGGCTTTTTAAAGTTACCCTATTTTCCCTTCAGGAAAAAAAAAGTTAGTTTTGACCATAATCTAGAAACAAAAACATTGTATTTTGCAGCAAGTCTATGTCAGAATCAGTTTTCTACTAATAAAATGTGATAAATAACATGCATAAAAACAGTATGAGCCTGGTGCAGTGGCTCACGCCTGAAATCCCAGCACTTTGGGAGGCCGAGGCGGGTGGATTTCCTGAGGTCAGGAGTTTGAGACCAGCCTGACTAACATGGAGAAACCCCGTCTCTACTAAAAATACAAAATTATCCAGGTGTGGTGGCGCATGCCTGTAATCCCAGCTACTTGGGAGGCTGAGACAGGAGAATCACTTGAACCCAGGAGGCGGAGGTTGCAGTAAGCAGATATCACACCATTGCACTCCAGCCTGGGCAACGAGAGCCAAACTCCATCTCAAAAAAAAAAAAAGAAAGAAAGAAAAGATGCTTTTAGATGTTTAGATGTTGAAGTTAGAAGGTTAACTTATACAAAAGGAAAGCTATTCAATCATTTATTGGTTTTTTAAACCCATGGCTTAGAGTTCTGAAGGTCTGCCATTTTATGAAGACCTCATCGGAGAACTGTCGTGAGCCTCAAGCTCTGGTTTTCAAGTCTCAGTTTCCTAACACCTGGCTGGGTGTGCTCCTCCAAGGGAAGGGGCCGGATTTACTTCTGTAATACTGAGCACAGTTTTCCCCCTGAGCTCTCAGTGACTGGTGGGCTGTGGCGATGTTCTCTAAGTGGATAGAAGTTCTCCAAAAGTAGGAAGCTGAAACATTGAAAGCTCCGTGTTCCAGCCCCTTGCCACTCAAATGTGTGGCCCAAGGATGAGCACTGCGTCATCACTTGGGAGTTTGTTATAGATGCAGAATCTGAGGCCATACTCCAGACTGGCTGATGGAGACTGCAGTTTAACAAGATTCCAGGTGATTCATGGGACGTGAGTGTCTGAGAGCTCTGAGAGCTGAAAGCAGGCCATTCGTGTTTATGCACAACTAGTGCAAGGAGGAGAAGCTCATCTGGGGTGTCACCAGCATGACTTTTTCTTCTCAATTTCATGTTTCCTTTAGCAAGAGGGAGAGAAAATAACTGGCTTCTGAAGGTGTCATCCATTACTAACATTTTTTTTCCTCTTTTTTATTTTTCTGGATAGAGTTTAGAGGGTCCTTTTCTTTAGGAATGTTGATTTAGAAAATAATTATGTACACATATTAAAAAGAACTAGAAAACTTTGTTGTAAACACTGATTAACTGAGCCTTCTGTTAATCAACAATCTCTATGAACACTTGGTCCCTCACATCTTTAGCATAATTAGCCCCACATATACCTCTCAGGCAGCTTGTCCAGGCAGCATTGAGACCCAGAGGTGATACATATTCATAATGATGGGCCTGGAGCAGTTCAATGTTGCAGGAAGTCAGGGACCCCGAACGGAGGGACCAGCTGAAGCCATGGTGGAAGAACATAAATTGTGAAGATTTCATGGACATTTATTAGTTCCCCAAATTAATACTTTTATAATTTCTTACGCCTGTCTTTACTGCAGTCTCTGAACATAAATTGTGAAGATTTCATGGACACTTATCACTTCCCCAATCAATACCCTTGTGATTTCCTATGCCTGTCTTTACTTTAACCTCTTAATCCCTACATCTTCGAGGAGGATGTAGGTTGCCTCAGGACCCTGTGATGGTTGCGTTAACTGTACGAATTGTTTGTAGAGCATGTGTGTTTGAACAATATGAAATCTGGGCACCTTGAAAAAAGAACAGGATAACAGCAATGTTCAGGGAACAAGAGAGATAACCTTAAACTCTGACTGCCAGTGAGCCAGGTGGAGCCATATTTCTCTTCTTTCAAAAGCAAATGGGAGAAATATCGCTGAATTCTTTTTCTCAGCAAGGAACATCCCTGAGAAAGAGAATGTGTCCCTGAGGGGAGGCCTCTGAAATGGCCGCTTTGGGGATGGCTGTCTTTTACGGTTGTAGCAGAGGGATGAAATAAGCCCCGGTCTCCCACAGCACTCCCAGGCTTATTAGGACGAGGAAATTCCCGCCTAATAAATTTTGGTCAGACCGGTTGTCTGCTCTCAAACCCTGTTTCCTGATAAGATGTTATCAATGACAATGGGTGCCCAAAACTTCATTAGCAATTTTAATTTCGCCCCAGTCCTGTGGTCCTGTGATCTCGCCCTGCCTCCATTTACCTTGTGATATTTTATTACCTTGTGAAACATGTGATTTCTGTGACCCACACCCTATTTGTACACTCCCTCCCCTTTTGAAAATCACTAATAAAAACTTGCTGGTTTTACGGCTCAGGGGGCATCACAGAACCTGCTGACATGTGATGTCTCCCCCAGACACCCAGCTTTAAATTTTCTCTCTTTTGTACTCTGTCCCTTTATTTCTCAGACCGGCCGACTCTTAGGGAAATTAGAAAAGAACCTACGTGAAATATCGGGGGTGAATTTCACCTGATAGTTCAAGGCCCAGAAAAGTTCTCTGAATCATTAAGGAACTGTGACCGTAAATTCAATATAATTTCAGACTTGCGTAGGGTTTATTTTTCTCTTATGGAAATGGCAATCAGGGCATCTATGACAGGCATGCTCCACCTTTCTCCACTTTCCGTATGGCCTTTCTACTCATTTTGTTCCCCTAATTAACATCCTTAATTTAGTTCTTATCACTTGTATTTGTTTGTTTCATAGCTTCCTGCTGTGTTCTTTTAAAACTCTGGCCAAATGATTTGGTGATCGTTTTTTATGTTTTTTATTTAAGAGTAATAAACTGCTATAAAACAAAGTAACAAAGCTAGTGCTGAGATTGCATTCGTAGAAGTCTACCACCTAGATCATAAACGTGGTAGGACCCACAGTGCCCTGAAGGGGTGAGACTGGGAATCAGTTGTTTCCTGGTTTTAAGAAGAGAAATAAAAGGAATATGTTCAGAAAATGTTTATCAGGAGAGTGAAAGTTCCAATGTCATGTTTTTGGAGTAAAGTGTTGACAAAACTAAAAATATTTACACTGAAAAAGAAATAACTCAAGAGAAATAGGACAAATTTGTTCAAGTATCCCTTACCACGTGGAAAGGGTGTTGAGTACAAAGGTATATTATGCGTACTATAAAGAGCAGGTCGATGTTTCCGAGAAGGAACATCTTCACTCAGTCATCAGAAGCTGCCATGGAACATCCTCACGTCTGCCACGCACTCTCTCATGCCAACGCTGGCTGTGTCTAAGCAAGAGGAAGGGGCAGACACCAGCTGGACCAGATAATTTTACAGATGCTGCCTAGTGCTCAACATTGTTTAAGTCCAAAAATGAAAGCACTCTTTTAGCTGTGGATCTGATGTTCCCATGTCTCCCAGAGTAGCTTAATAGCATGTACTTGTCTCCTGTGCCTGTTAGCATAGACTGAACGGGGTTGATATTAGAATGTGTTAGATTATGTCAGTGTTCAAAAGCTGCAGTAGCAAATGAACACCAGTGTGGTGGCTGGAAACAACATAAATTAATTGTCTCACAGTTCTGGAGGTTAGAAGTCTGGAATTCAGGTGTCTGTAGACGCACGAGCTCTTGACCTCTCTGGGGGGACCTCCCCTGCCCATTCCTAGCTCTGATGGTTGCTGCTGATCTTTAGTGTTCCTTGGCTTGGAGATGCATTGCTCCAGTCTCTGCCTCTATTGACTCATGACCTTCTCCCTGTGCCTCTTCTCTTCTCCAAAGGACACTGGTCACATTGGATTAGGACACACCCTACTCCAGTATGACCTTATTGTAACTTGAGTACAGTAGTTTCACCCTAAACTAAGGTTTTGCTTTCTATGGTTTCAGTTACCGGAGTTCAACTGTGGTCCAAAAATTTTAAATAGAAAATTCTCAAAACAAACAGTTCATAAGTTTTCAATTGCATGTTATTCTGAGTAACGTGATGAAATCTCCTGCCCTCTGGCTCCATCCAGCCTGGAAAGTGAATCACCCCTTTGTTCAGTGTATCCACGATGTCTCCGCTACCCACCTGTTAATCACTTAGAAGCTCTCTCAGTTATCAGATGGTGCCAGTTTCCTGGCTTGTGTTCAAGTAACTCTTATTTTACTTAATAATGGCCTCAGCTTCCTTTTAATGAAAAGGTGAAAGTTCTCAACTTAATAAGGAAAGAAAACAAATTGTATGCTGAGGTTGCTAAGATCCATGGTAGGAAACAATCTCCTACCCCTGGAATTGCGAACAGCATATTGTTATAATTATTCTGTTGCATTATTAGTTGCTGTGTTAATTTCTTGCTGTGCCTAATTTATAAATTAAATTTTATCATAGATGTGTATGTATAGGAAAAACATCATGTATACAGGGTTTGGTACTATCCTCAGTTTTCAGGGGTCCACTGGGGATCTTAGAATGTATCCACTGAAGGTAAAGGGTGACTACTGTATCTCTGTATTGATGCTATTCCCAAAGAAGGTTACATTCCAAGGTATTGAGGATGAAGACTTCAATATGTATATGTATTTTTTGTAGGGCAAAATCCATCCTGCAACAAAGAGTAACAGAGATCTATTGTATGAATTTTTACTTTAAAATGATTTTCAGTTTAAGAATGAAATCATCACTGCTCAAAAAAATAGGCACTGAACACTTTAAGAAGCTATCAGTAAATACTTTTGTTATACGTTAGTGATACTTTTAAATAATTCCATCTGCTGCCAAGACTCTTATGAAAGAAAAATGAAAAAACACATTAACTTTAACTACTTAACATACATTTTAAAGAGAGCTGAGTCATTTAAGTCAGTCCCCTGTAAAAGCATTCTGAATTGTAAATGTTCACTAAAATAGTTAATCAAATTGGAGTGAGGCTGCTCTATCTCAAACCAGGTCAAATAAGTGTTGATTACAGATTGAGTTTATACTTTATGGTGGATTGTTTTTCTTTAAATTATCAGCATTTAGGAAATAGTTGTTACCATTTTATTGGACAGGGAGTATCATCATACTAATTTGAAGGTTGATAGGTGCTGTTACTTTCATTGTTACTATTAGTTACACTTTTATAATTTAATGTCAATCTTTCATCAGCAATGTAACCACAGATCATAGTATAAAAAATACCAGGCTCAGCTTTATGAAACATGAGCTGTATATAAGTAAGGACTTTCTTGTTTGGGGGAAAATGTAATTTATAAATAGCATTCTAGTCTGGCTTCTAGTCCAGTATTTTCCCTGATCTGATTATTTATTTTAGAATATAATTATTTAGGTTCACTGGTGCAAGTGCCACTCTCCCTCAGGATTGAGTGACTTATAAAACATCGTACTATCATCACACAGACAAGTTTATAAAAAGTTACTGTATAAGTAAAAGGAAAACTTTGCCAACAATGACTTAGTTTTAGCCATACAGTACCTTTTATTTGAGACTCGAGGTAATTTGCTAATACATTGCCTGAATCCCTACAAATTTGTATTTTTCATCTGAGCATGCAAAGAGGTTTACATTGTGTGACATACAAGTCAGTTTATGATATTAATGGCATATTCATGTATGTTTTCCAAAAAGTTTTGGTCCTGAAAATATGTGTTTACAGATTATATGTAACATAACATGCAATAAAGTATTTTGTAGGGCTATACGGTTTTTGTTCATTATGAAAAAAAGTGGGGAAATAAACTTTCTTCTCCTTCAAGAAAAAAAAAGTTCCTGCCCTTGTCTTTCCCATTGACTTCCAGAAACTTCCAACACCCACTCTCATCCTGTTGCATCCATCCCCTTATGGATACATGACCACTTAGGGCCTGTTCCTGGAAAGGGAATGACAATTCTTTCTCTTCTACACAAGATCGTTCCTTGTCTTTTAAGGGTACTATAAAGTTTTCATTCACTTTAGAGTGTACGCAGTTTTTTATATAGTACACAAAACTGTCTCACCAAACATACGCAGATAAAGTAAAATAATATACTGTCTTCATTCTTATCAAATAATCACTTTATTTTTTTCGATCTTCAAAAATATGTGATAGCAAGATTTTTAATTAGCTCTTTCTTTTTCTAATTTACTCGCAAGTCACCTGTTTTCTGGGAGCAACAAATCAAGTTGTAAAACCATCTTCATACAGGGTAGCTGGGCACATGGAAAAGGGCCTTCTAGATCGAACTGCAGGTTGGCCATCGGTTTGTAAACTCAGGTGAATAGGTGAATGTCACTGATTCTCTTTACCCTGTTATAAAACTAGGGGACCAGACTCCATGGTCTCCTGTGTTCCTTTCAGCTGCTTTTCAGGTAATTGGAAATAAACCACTTTTGAAGTTGACTATTTCTAGTATCATGATGGAGCTATTAATGGTTTAATCGGGCTGCCTCTGCAAAGGAGCCAGTGCTAATAAAGGGTTGCCAAGAACACTGGCCTCGGTGCATCTTCATGAATCTTATTTGGCTGAGGGGGATTGTGAAAAGAGCATAGGACCAGCCATGTCCCAAATCTCACTTAGCAGCTAGATATTCAAAATGGAGTCATTCTGTTTATCCAAGGTAAATCTTAGCTATTGACCAGATAAGTTCTCAGACAAGAAAATGATCTCCTCTTCTGGAATATTGATTATTGAAGAGAATTCTGTTCACCAAAAACAGGTTGAAGGACTTTTAGAAGGTCACCAGGAAATACAGTATTTTATGGTCTCATATGGCTACTGTGGGTTAGGGGATGGTTTCTTTTGATGATATTGTTTCCTTTTCTTACACTTTCCTCAGGAGCTTACTTTTCTTAAACTTTCCTCAAGAGCTTACTTGTAAAGGACTGGAAGACATAGAGAGTCCATAAGGCCATGCTTTTAACTGCACCCAGAATGTGCAGAGGGCCAAATTCATCACCATCAGCAAGCATTCGGCAAGCTCAAAAGGCAGATATTTGCTTGACTCGAAGCTCTGATTTCCCTCTGTAGTCCTTACGAGCCACAAGGCCTGGGGTTGAGTCCTGGCTCATTTACTTTGTGCCCGCTGGCCTTGGGCAGCTCACTGGATCTTCCATGCCTCATTTTCTTCTTCTGTCCAAGGGGGATAACCATCACCCCAAACTCTTAGCGTTCCCATGAATATTCAGTATGTTAACATTGCTCTTTAAATCACTCACTGTTTTCTTTTTCTTTCACTTTTATTTCAAGTCTTAGGTTCTCCCATTCCCAGAAATAAGTGGGAGGAACTCAAAAGGGAGGGATGTCCAGAGTCCCCCTGAGGAATGTCGAGAATACTTGCCTTTTGATGTTTGTGCCCTGAAGGTATCCAAGGGTATTTAAGTTGAAATTGAAATTTACTAACAATAAAAAATATCTTCCAGTAAATATAGCCAGGCTATGTGTTCTATTTAGGAAATTTAAACCTTAAAATTACTGCAAATGAAATGGAAAATATATTAAGGCCTTTGCTTTGTGTTTTTTTCCCCAAATCCTGATGTTAAATAAACTAGAGGTGTAATAACAGATGAATAATCATCTTTGTTACCATCATCAATTAGTCTTAGAATTATATACTTAGCAGGACATTCTTTTAAAAGTTTTGAAATGCTTTAGTTGATCTTATGTGAAGAGCAGCATCCTTTATTGCAAACAGCCTGGGCTTAGGAGACAAGACAGTTGGGCTTAAATGTGAAAAGGCCTGCAACAGAATTTAAATGAGGCAATGTTAGAAGGACACTAGAATAGTGTATGGTACACGGTAGGTGCTTTAAGTGGTAGCATCTTCCTCTTGGAGTCCAGAGGGGCCTTGGGACACTTGCGTCTTTTCTTCTTCATGTTACTGATAGGAAAAATGAAGCCCAGAGGGCTGCAGGGATTGGCAGCATCAGACTCCAGAGTAGGATCCGTCATTTGACTCCTGTGGGAGGCACTTTCACTTAGGTTATACCACCAAAGTGATGACCACCTTGATCATGAATAATGAGATGGAAAGAAATGCATAGTTGTGAAAGAGAAAATATTTGGCTATCCGAATTCGTTGATAGTATGTTTTTGGTGCTTGCTAATTGAAGGCATGACAATACTTTCTGGAAACAGGCCCTAAGTGGTCGTGTACCCATAACTAGATGGGTGAGACATGGTGAGAGTGGGTGTTGGAAATTTCTGGAAGTCAATGGGAAGAACAAAGGCAGGAATTTTTCTTTCTTGAAAGAGCAAAGTTTATTTCCACCACTTTTTTTTTATATAATGAACAAAAGCTGTATAGCCCTATGAAATACTTTATTGCATTTTATGTTACATGTAATCTGCAAACATATATATTTTTCAACACCAAAACTTTTTGGAACGCATATATGAATATATGGACACTTGTAGAGAATTATAAGCATGTTTCTAGTCAAAAGTATTTCTGACATAAAAGAGCTTTTAAAACATACAAGTCTTGAGAAGTCAGGAGCTCAGTTAGTAGAATGTTTCTTTTTATGTATGAACACTTACATGAATGCGTCCTGAAACCTTTTTAACTTAGAAGCCCATCATACTCCTTCCATTTTTACCGTTTCACTTCAGACACAACAGAAAGATCTGCATTTCTCCATTTGAAAGAATATTAGAGTTTCATGGCAATTTGAATTTTGGGCTGTCTTGTGTTTGCTTCCATCTAAAAGCTCACTCAAGATGTATACATATTTTGAAACCCTGCTGATCAGAATTCCACTAATCCACAGCAATTTTATTCACTGCTGGAGATGAGCTAACCAGGTTGATTAATAATTACACTGTTTTTGAATTTAGATGAAATGTATTGAAGTGACTCCATGATGTGGAATTTGATTAGTTTTGAATACTGCTTCAATCAGGGCTTGCATATTGGCTGGGATAGATGGGGGTTAGCCAACCATTTCTCCAAGAACAAGATGACTATTCATTCTCCCTTCTCATCTGATATTTCATGCCTAAAGGCTAGAAAAAATGGAAGATAATTTCATTTAAAATGTCTTTAGGTTTTTAAAAAATATCCTCTTAAGTAGTAAATTAATTCAAGATGAATATTATTAATATTAAACAGAAAATGTTTTCAGCAAAGAATTTAAGGGGGAAAAAAGAAAAAAATATTTAAAACTTAACTTGAAATTGCCACCTAATTGATTCTCATAGAGACCTGTGCACACACATTCAAGCACACATGCTCATCCACTGAGGTTTACTGCTAATTCAGGGCTCCACACCACCCCCATTCTAATTTTACCATCACCTTTGGGCTTTACTGTCACCAATGAAAGGAATATTTTGAAAGACCTTTTCTTTATGCACTCCTGGCAACTTTTCCCAAAGTTGTCTCTTTATACAACTTTTCTTACTAAGGGATATTAATTTTGAAATTTTTAAAAACTGTGATATCTGATTAGCTAAATTGACCACTTACTAAATGCATTGGAAGGCATTGTAAATAGTGGTTCTAGTTGTTAGAACAGATTTGCTGTAGACAATTAAATTGGGAGACATCACATTTTTGCTTTTAGTGCTGGACTTTAGAATAATTCTTAGCAAATTCATTACATGAGTTTTTTTAAAGTTCAAATGTATGAGATAATTATAACCATTTATTTGCCTTTCTAAGAACTGCCATTCTTTAACACCCCTCACCCAAATAATATTGACAATGGATTCTTACTTCAAAGAGGAAAACTGTAATAATTCACATTTGCATTTAAAATTGAAATGCAGGTCTGGCGTGATGGCTCACCCCTGTAATCCTGGCACTTTGGGAGGCCGAGGTGGGCAGATCACTTGAGGTTAGGAGTTCAATACCAGCCTGGCCAATATGGCAAAAGCCTGTCTCTACTAAAAATACAAAAATTAGCTGGTGTGGTGACACACACCTGTGGTCCCAGCTACTGAGGAGGCTGAGGCAGGAGAATCACTTGAACCGGAGAGGCAGAGGTTACAGTGAGCCAAGATCGTGCCACTGCACTCCAGCCTGGGCAATAGAGTGAGACTGTGTCTCAAAAAAAATAAAATAAAATAAATAAATAAATAAATAAATAAAAATATAATTGAAATACATAATCTGATTATTCATAATGATAAAAATAAACCTATATTAATATTTCAAATGCTCCAGAAACAATGAAATTTTCAGCATGCCAAACATACAGTCATAATTTTGACCAACGCTAGCTTCTGAATTGCTGATCTTCATATGTAAAGCAAAATTGAGGCTGTGATTACCATATTGCATCTTTTTGGCGTTGTTGATCAACTACTATCAAATAAATTTCAACACCTTGTATTTATGCATTGGGTTATATTTTATTTTATTTTGTAAAGTTTTGAAAACAGAGGACTAAATAAACATCAGCTAGTAGTCCTATTACCGCACATGTGTGGTGAGAATAAAAGAAGATGACTACACACTGTTCACACTGGACATGTGTTACTTAATAGACACCTCATCTACCTCATCCTCAAATACATTATGTGTATTAAACTATATCTGTGTGAATTCAAATTGCATTTTCCTTTGCTGCAGTGGGTTTCCTCCAGTGTTTCTGGCAGTGAGGGACCATGGTCTGTCTCCCTGGGCCTTCATAGTGCAGCCATATATAATTCTGATCTAGTTGCTGGGAATGCTTATCAGTGCCTTTAGTGGGGCACTTTTTGAACAGTGTAAGTTAATATCCATCATACCAACATGGCCGGGACTCTCAAACAGTGGGATATTAATGAGGAAAATTCCAAAGCTTATTTCAAAGCCTTTGTTACAGACAAGAGCAAATCTTGTTTCAAATTACATTTGTGCACCAAGTTCTTTGTTGGATATGGGACAAGGAAGGATGTCCCCTTAAACCATGTCTTTTCAGCATCGTATTGAAAGTCCTAGCTAATGCAAAAAGACAATAAAATAAAATGTAAATAGATGGGAAAGGGAGAACTCAACAGTCCTTGTATCTCTTGTAATTAATTAATATGTGTTAATTTATGGAAATGAAATGAATACTGCCATTTAACAGAATCACTTTTCTTTTCCCAACCAGCCAGAATTTATACATATTTGCTAGAGAAATCCAGACTTGTTTCACAACCTCTTGGCCAGAGCAATTTTCTCATTTTCTACTTGTTGATGGATGGGTTATCTGCTGAAGAAAAATATGGACTTCATCTTAATAATTTATGTGCACACCGGTGAGTGACTAAGTATTTTGTATCTAAAAGCTATGCCTTCAAATTGTGATTGCAATTTGGTAGTCTTAAATTATCTTCTTACTTTTCAGAGACAAAATGGTGAGTAAAAGATAACTGTTGGATACTGTTAGGTTGAAACCATCCACATAACAAGGTTCCCACTGTTTCTTGAATGGGTGAAGTTGTATGTGTGTGAACAAACTTATATTTTACTAGTTTTCAGATCAGAAAAAACTTGTGCAGATATAAACTCCTATACTCCTTTTAAGTATTTTGGCTATAACATGAGTTATGCACTCCTAATCCATGGCCCTGTTTTGAGATAATGGGCAATGTTATTTGAGTAAGTATGATTATTCATTGGTGTTGGATGAAGGTACATCATGGATTAAGATGCACAGCACACATAACCTCAGGGGCTGATTTCCTTTAATGGAGGCAGAAAGCACTTGTGTTAAAATTAGGATGCCTTGGTCATAGGAGAATGATGGGAGTGACAGGCTGTATAGACAGTGAGTGAAGAATGTATTCTCAATGTTTGCACTTCTGCTAACTGCCTGGTTTAGTGTGTCTCTGCCACAGGGATGGGTCCAGATTTGCATTAGGATGAGAACAAGAAACAATATGGGAAATGAATCCTGTTCTGAAGAGAAGTTGGTGGGAAAAGAGCACAAGAGAGAATTGGATTCTGATCCAAACTCAATTCAGTGGCGGTGGGGGGCGGTGGTGGGAACTAGACTCTGAGGACATGTGGATTGACTTCAGATACCTGCTGATACCTGATTTATGGCTTATTGGGTGTTTATTATTAGATCTAGGGGAACAGTGTGAGTTTGCACAATTTTAGGAGAACTTTTGTGAGAAAAAGGATGCTATAGGAGAAAACACACACACACACACACACACACACACACACAGAGAGAGAGAAGGGTTGCTTCACTCACCTTCATGTAGTCAAGACAGTGGTTAAGGCCAAGTGCTTATTGAGAGAACAAATTGGCGGGGGGCAACTTCCCCAGCAAGCCCTCCTCTTGAGTACACACATAGGCTGCTTTAAGCCTGCAAAAAAATATCTCCAGTTCTCTCTGCTTTGCTGTGCTATTTCCCCATCTGAAGCCATTATATTCTGGTTGGGGAGATATTAATAAACAGGTTGGTAATAGTTGAGGTGATATGATGAAAAATAAATGAGGGTTGGGGAACAGAGGAGCAGGTGGGTGTCCTGCTTTTAGATACGTTAATCGAGAGCCTCCTACCAGGTAGTACCTGTGGTAGAGACACCAGAGAGGGCCGTTCACAGATCTGATGTGGTGTCCAAGGGAGATGGAAGTGTACAAGGGGCCTGAGGAAACATACTCAATGTTTGAGGGACAACATGAAGGCCAGGATCTCAGATTAGAGTTGTATGGGAAAGAGGGAGGGTAATAGAGACAACATGAAAAGAACAGCCATGGTCAGAAATTTAGATTTCCTTCAGAGTTGTCTGGAAGTGATTGGGGGTTTTGAGTATGCAAGAGAATTGGTTTTCACTTCGAAGGTGATTTGCATCTGTGGAGATGTCCCTATGGTATTCCCAGCTGGAACCAGAGAGCTAAATTCCTGGTATGGTAGTGGGGAGGTGGTGTTAGCACTCATGGTAATGGTGGTGCAGGCGATGAGGAATGGGAAAACATGGGTTATGCTCTGAAGGTAGGAAGGTCAGGATTGAAGGATGCACTGAACAAGGGATATGAGGTAAAGAGATCAAGAATGATTCCTGTGGCTGTGGCCTGAGCAACACATGGTGTTATTGTGCCATTTACCTCGTGACAAGGCTAGGAGGGAACCAGGGTGCTGGGGAGGAGAAGAGTGGCCAGAGAACCAGTCCTGCTGGTTTTAAGACAGCAAGGTGGAGATGCAGGAGTGTCAGCAGGGTACTGGAGAGAGGAGGGACTTTCCAGTGTGATGGAGCCAATGTGAGGCTGAACTCCTAGAACTGCTTGGAGAAATTACAGGACAACCTCTGTCCCGCCACTGCTGTGAGGGGTGAGTGATAGTGCAGGTGGGCTCAGAGGAAGAGAATGAATTGGCCTAATTTACAATCACATTACTAATTATTATCATTAAATTTCAGTGAAGACATCCAGGGCTATGGATATGGTTTGTCATGTTGTGTAGGTAGAAAGTAGTCAGGAAGTGTAAAAGGCCTTATCAAAATTGTGTTTTATTTACAAAGAAAGACTGTTTTAGGGTTTTCTGTTCCCAAAATACAATAGAAGTTTAGAAGAAAAAGCTAATATTAAAGTATGGTAACCCAGGCAAAAGTGATAGAAATATAAAAATTCCAAGCTTCTAGGACATTAGAAATATTTTAAATCAAATCCCTTTATATTATAAAGGAGGAAATCAAAGCCAGAGACATGAAGAAGCTTGTACTCAAGTGAATACCTTTTATGCAGCAGCAGTATTGACAAAACCCACCACCTGAGATTAACTTTGTGATTTTCTACCTTGAACATCGCTAATTGAACATGTTGACCCTGGGAGGAAGCACCTAACTGGATTCTGGGGATTGCATGTTGAGAGATAGCCTGTGAGGAAGAGAAGAGTTTTGGGTTTCTCTGCTCCCAATCCTTCTAACGAGCAACAGCTCAAAGCCTCAAGCAGATACGTAGCTTAGAGTGCATCTGTGTCTATGTGTGTGTGTCTGTGTGTGTGCACGTGGGTATGTGCTTGGCATTGCAGACGTATGGCCACTGATGAAGAAAAAGGAATAATGTAACCTATAATTTAAATAAACAATTTAACTTCTTGATCTGTGGTTTGGATGAGTCTGTTGAAGTGTGTGAGTGTGTGGGAGAAAACAAGGATTTCTGTATTGAGCTTCAATTCTGACATTCATTTCTCTTTGCAAAAAAGAGTTTGGAGTCACTTAGGCTATTTAGAAAGTCAAACAGTCAGGGGTGACTTTATGAGGAGTTCCAACAGGAAAGAACTTAGGAAGATCGTGAATAATTCAGTTCTCTTGGACAAAGCAGTTATTTTATTGAAATGTATCATAAGTATCTAATGGGTGCAAAACAACATTTTCCATGAAAATATTCACCACCCACCACCCTCCAGATTCATGAATACATCAGTTGGAGCATTTGTACAATGACAATTTCACAGGAAAACTTTAACGGTAAAGCAAGCTGTTTTTCAAGTTATAACATAGTATGTATACAGTATTTTTTGTTGTTTATGTTATACAGGTCTTCTCACATTTATAATGTTGGTGGATCTTCTCACTTTTGCAATGTCGGTTGGGTTTGAGAAGTTCATATTTGTTTAATGTTTAAATTTAGGTTGGTATCTAATCTTTATTTGGTAATTATGAGTATTAAGTTCCATAGTTTTGGAAACTGTTTGGCTTGTTCACAATTAGAAATGTAAACCTGAATTTGCGAGCTTTCTAACCTTTCACAAACTGATGGTCTTCTGAATCCCTTCCTTAAAATTGGTACCCATAGGTAAAGGATATTGCTATTTGTAAAATGCTCAATACCATATGTTAAAGCAAACTAAATATGGCTGGAGGAGGACTCCGTGCTTCTGTATTTGAGTCCTTGTGGACGAACTATAACCTAGCTTAATAGGCAGACAAGACTGAAAACCCAACTTAGGTGTATGTGCCTGTAACAATAGCTGAGTCTTGGCCAATCCCAGCGGCCATACTTCAACCACTGATAGACTGCTGAGTGTTCAGTTGTTCAAATAGAGCAAACACCAACCTGTAACCAATCCAGCTGTTTCTATACCTCACTGCCGATTTCTTTATGGCACTTCCCTTTTTTTGTCTATAAATTTGTTCTGACCACGAGGCATCCCTGGAGTCTCTCTGAATCTGCTGTGATTCTGGGGGCTGCCTGATTCTACATATATGTAGTATATCTACTATTATTAAGTAGATAATTATATCTACTATTGTTAATAATTAGTGTATTTACTATTGTTAATATATGTATTATATATACTATATTATATGTAGTATATCTACTATTATTAAGTAGATAATTATATCTACTATTGTTAATAATTACTGTATCTACTATTGTTAATATATGTATTATATTTACTATATTATATGTAGTATATCTACTATTATTAAGAATGGCATTATTATTGTCACATCTTCTTGTCTGATGTTTTTCAAAATAATATTGCTATTCCTATGATGTAGAATAAACCAGCCTACATGTGACCACATGAACACAGCATCTCTTTGCTCACTCACTTATCCCACAGTGTAGCTTTTAGTGGAATTTGGATGAAGTACACTAAGTCCTAAAGCAAACACTACAAAACTTACAAGCCTTCTTCCTTCAAATTCATTCTCTCTCTTCTTCCTTCATAGCAACTCACTAGATACATGAATCAAAATAAAATATACATGCATCAGTAACTGTGAGCTAAAGGCATATTCAATACTTATCGTATCTTATGTGATTAGACCTCCAGAGAGAAGAAAACATTGCTGTAATTCCCTTTTTTTTCTTTTATTTGCTCTGTCGCCCAGGCTGGAGTGCAGTGGTGCTATCTTGGCTCACTGCAACCTCTGCCTCCCTGGCTCAAGCGATTCTCCTGTATCGGCCTCCTGAATAGCTGGGATTACAGGTACATGACACCCCATCTGGCTGATTTTTGTATTTTTAGTAGGGACGGGGTTTCACCATGTTGGCCAGGCTGGTCTTGAACTCCTGACCTCAAGTGATCCACCTGCTTCAGCCTCCCAAAGTGCTGGGATCACAAGCATGAACCACTGCGCCCGACCTGTAATTTGGTTTTATCATTAAAGCTACAAAAGTGCTGTTTAGCTTTGACTCTGTTTTTAGAACTAAAAATGTTGAAAGTATCACATGAAAATTTATGGAGGTTTATTTCAGCATAAAATGAATGTAAAACTACTTTCCTGTTTGTAACATAGGAATGATATCTAGAAACAGCAGATAGGACGTGTGCCTAACTTTAGAATATAAGTGATACAGATATAGACATCACCTCCTAAGGCTTAGCTGCATGAAAACAGTATTTATAACACTTTGCATAAGCATCTTCCTCCACAGATTATTAAAACAACAAGAAAAAAAGTCTGTAGGTTTCTATATTTTGAGCTGTGGCAGTAAGACTGCACGGATCTGGAATTCCACAAGATGGCGAGCTCTCCATAAAGTCAGACGAGAAAAACAAAACAAAACAAAAATCCAAACCAAGAAATTAAAATAAAAACAGAAAAATGAAGAAACACAAACACAAATGCTTGTTACCAAAAGTTTCTTTTTCACTTACGGTTCTTCCTATATTGACTGCTTCCCCCTAACCCCCTCACCAGCAGCTGTTTGTTTTACAAGGGCTATTTCAATTTTTCTTACCCTTTGTATATTATACAAACGTTACATTTGGGGAACGAATGTAATTTCTGCTTTTGGGAATTGAGATTTAATGAAAGCCAGAAATAGTCATTCATTGTTTATCTTCAGCATACTTTAAATAGCTTAGATGGGTTTAGTCCCAGAAAAGCTAGGTTCCTAAATCCAAAAAGTTATTCTGAATCTCTTTTTGTATTGATTAATGGTGGAAATGATTGTGGTGCTGCAGGATAACATTTGTGAGTAAAGGTCAAATTTTGAATGCTAAGTTGAAAACAAGCAGTGTTTGACTCAGAGCATGTGACCTGTTTCTAACCCATGTGGCCATGAAAGGAAAAGCTGAGTCACCGCGCGCTTGAACTTGTGATCCTGCTGGGAGCCGTACCTGTCACGGGGAAGCCACGGCAAGCAGCTCCCGTGAAGGTTTGGTTTCTGCTAAGGGCTTATTATGAACAGGGAACCTAATCTGAGAGTGTCACATAATGTTTAAAAAGAGGTAAGGGAAAACTTAAATACTATTTGGAGGTGAGTCTTCATAATTATGTGCTATAATAAGCTGTTTACTTAGTAAGTAGCTTGAAGGTGCTCCCAAGACAAAAGTTCAAGACAGGAGGTGCTTTCACCAGATTCTCACAGACTCCATTATTAATAACCTAAGTGACAGTCACAGTCATGATCAGCACAGTTCATGGGGCACTTCCCATGTGCCAGGCACTCTCTGAAGTGTTTGTTCACTCACTGAATCCTCACCCGCAGCTAAGCAGAGGGTGCAAGGCTGTGTCTGTATTGTATAGTGAGATGTCACCCAGTAGCCAAGATCTGAATCCAGGCCCTGCTGAATTTATGCCTAAATTGTCTCCACAACAATGCTGCCTACAAAATGGCAATACTGTCTTTATCTCCTCGTGTCACTGAGATTTTAAGGCAAATGAAAGAGAAAGCACAAAGTCAAAGTCTGCATGTCTGTCTTTATTTTGCATTGCTGAAGCAAAACTAACTTACGACGTTCTAGGGATTGCCACCTCTAATGACTATAAAAACAAACTACGCTAGGTCTTTATTTTAATCTAGAAGATCATAAAAATTTTAGAACTAACAGAGCTTTTGTTACCCTAGGTGGACAGTGTAGCCATTATATGAGTGTTAGACTACCTGTGTAAGTTAGCAAGGACATTTCACTTTGAAATGAGAATGAGAGGAATTGGGTCAGTGGCTTCCGTCCTGCCTTCTGTTCTTGATGTTATATATAATAAATCAGAAGCCAGATATGTCACTTGTTCAAGGATATTTAGCTGGAATATTTGGTAAATGACAGAGGTGGATTTCAAACTAAGGTACGTTTGGTTTCAAATTTCTGTTCATTGGAACTTCTTGATTGGTAGTGTTAGATTCCCAACTCTAACACATTTAAAGAAAAAAGAAAAAGGGGGAGTGTTGAGATGAGGGCGTAGCTGAAGAGAGCGGAGGTTATGTTTGCCCCAGGAATGTGAGATGCAGAAACTCGAATGTGAGATGCAGAAACTCAAATGCGGCTTCTCTCTGTCACACTCATGCACATGGCACATGCACGCACGCACACACACACATCAGTTTTACTTTGTATGTGTTTTCTAACACAGAAGAGAACGTGACCACGTGCTGCCCTAGGCCCCCTAACTTAAGAGCAACTCGTCTCTCTGCCAAAAGGCCATCTTGGTGGCTCAGCCCAGGTCTTAGGCCCATCCCGGGCCCCTAAGTTAAGGACAGAAGGAAGAAATACATTTGGCTCCTGCGTAGGGATGGGAGCTATTTAACAGGAGGAAGGGGAAGGGAGAGCTGAGCACTAATGAGCAAGGAGCAACATGAGGCCCTGTGCTTTCCCCTGCATGGCACTCCAACTACCTGAAAGACTCCCAGCCCGGCAGGTGAAGGTCAGAATGCAAGTGTCAGTAAGTCTGGGTACCAGTTATTCAGCACTCTCTATTAGTAACTCTGGCCAAACTTATCACCTTGATTTCCAGCTACTCATACAGGACCATCAATAGTGTAGATCTATTGCATGAAGCCTATAGATGAATATTGCAATGTATTTCCACATGACTTTGATTCGTATGGATGTTTTCAAAAAATATTGTATGAGGTTAAGACAGCAGCATGATCTGCCTAAGCCACAATGTCATTAAATAGTTAGCATAAGAGAATTTTGGCCAGAGGCCCTATATTTGTGGTCTGAATATATCTCAAAAATTCAGACTTCTACATTACTTTTAAATGGTCAAATTTATTATGTGATGACACATTGTTTTGGCTGCTGTGTTGGTTTTGTTGTCACCCTTGTGATACTTCTGAAGCTAATAACAGCTGTCATTGAGCACTTCTCATAGATTTTCTCTTTGTCTACTCATGATAATTGTGGAAGATTATAATTGATTTCCCCGTGTTGCAGACGAAGTGACTGAGAACTGCGGTTGCTTTGTTAACTAACCAGCATGGGGCAGAGTTGATGTTTGAACTTCAACCTGTTCGATTCTCAATTATTTTTGTGAATGGTTTTCAAATGATTCCATATAGTAAAGGAATTTGCATCACAGATAAATTTAACTGCCTCTGCTTCAGCAAGAGAACTATTTGCTAAAATCAGCATCTTAACCCTTCTCCTTTCTTTTTCATATTTTGGATGATAGTAGCATAATTATGATTTTTATTATGAAAATAGACCATCATTAAGCCAAATATAAATATACCAAATACAACGTCATTAAGATGGTGTATTCACATAATAAACACATAAATAAACGTGTGCACACAACTGCACATGCATATAAAATTGCGCAAGAAACTACCTTCACTAAAATTTTGAGTGTCAGGCACAACACTCAGTAATTAATTCTCACTTAATTCTTCTAATAACTCTATGAGACTGTTACTAATATTGTCCCTATTTGATGAATGAGGACACTGAGTCCTAGAGGTTAAGTAGCAGCCTGCTCAAGGTCAGGCAAGGCAGGAGGCCAGAGATGGTGCCCAGTGGCCCATCTCTCAGCAGAGAGGGAGGGCCTATCTCCAGCAGTCCTGGCCACTGACTGCTAATGCTGTTTGTCCTTGAGGAGGTGACGGCCAGCTGTGTTGTTTAGAAACTTGGTCTGATGCTATGGCTCACGCCTGTAATCGCAGCACTTTGGGAGGCCGAGGCGGGCAGATCACCAGAGGTCCGGAGTTCGAGACCAACCTGGCCAACATGGTGAAACCCCATCTCTACTAAAAATACAAAAATTAGCCAGACTTGGAGGCAGGTGCCTGCAGTCCCAGCTACTTGGGAGGCTGAGGCAAGAGAATCGCGGGAACCTGGGAGGAGGTGGGGGTTGCAGTGAGCCAAGATCACACCACTGCACTCCAGCCTGGGCAACAAGAGCGAGACTCTGTCTCAGAAAACAGAACAAAAAAAAAAAAAAAAACTTACACTCAAACTTATACTCTGTTTTGACATAAAAACCTGAGGCCAATGTCCAGATAGTCACGATTTGGGGAAAACAGCTGGAAATAGACTTTTTCTCCAGATACTCAGGCTCTTTTCAGAGTTTTGTTTCTGGCCCTTGTACTTCCTATTTGAGCGAGGCCGTCTTCCCAGTCATGTGTATAAAAAAGAGGTGCCACGAGCATTGTGGCTATCATGTCTTTTTCTCCTGAGGCAGGGCAGGTGCTGGCATATTGCCATGCAGTCCCATGGCCCTGGCTGGGCCCTTCCTGCCCCACCTTCCCTCACTGCACAGCATCTTACCTTGGTGCCTCTTCAATCTCACCCTTTAATCTCAGGTCAGATTAACATATTTTGAATTTCAATTTAACTATAAAACCTCCTAACTCAAAAATCTTTAATAAATATTGCTTTTCTGTCACATCCAATGCAGTCTGCTTGATGACGCAAGGCGACAGAGATGGCTGGGCCTTGGGGAATTTGGCGTGAGCGATTGTCGTTAACCGGTTCTTTGACATCTTCTCCTTTAGGGGTGGAGTTGGTTATCATTGAGGTGACACAGTTCTTGGCTGAGTAAAGATGTTTGCTTGATGCTAGATGTGCAAGCAGTGTATTTACCTTCAGGGTATAAAAGGGAAAGTCCTTCTTGTGTTGAGAGAGAGTCAAACACTCCAGCCTCACTTCTGCAGTCAGTCAGTTAAATGTCACAAACATTCTCAGGGTTGTTATGAGTAAATAAAATTATGAATTTAAGGCATGTTGGTCTACGTCCTTGATTGCTTACTTTTAATTTCAAATTCCCAAAAGTTCTGAAAACCAAACATTCACGTATGACTCATGTGCTCATAAAAAACATGACCCAACCTGAACTTACTTAGCAACAAAATCTAAACTTGATTGATGTAAGTGTATTTATAATTCTTACATATTTCTCTGACTGTGAATATTCATATGGGGTTCTCCCCAAATTAAAATATTTGACTGGGGACACTGCTTCAAACCTACCAAGGATATAAACACTACATTCACTTTTTTAAAATCTGGATTTCAGAACATATTTGTCTTCAGAAGTTTAGGAGAAGGGGCTGTGAACTGTGTAATCCAGCTTGTTGAGGACTGAAAACATGGCAGTCATTATGTTTCTCACCAAGTTAAGGACTTACCTTACGTTGAAGGACCACGACGCAGATGTTTGCTAAAAATGGTTGATAAACCTGCTTCTGTGTCTGGACAAGGAGGCTCTGAATTCGCTTCCAAAATAGACCTCTGCCTTTTGTTCCACTCCTTTTTTTCTCTTTCTCTTTCTTTCTCTTTCTCTTTCTCCTTCCTTCCTTCTTTCCCTCCCTTCTTTTTCTTTCTTTTTTCTTTCTTTCTCTCTTTCTTTCCTTCTCTCTCTCTCCTTCCTTCCTTCCTTCTCTCTCTCTTTCTTTCTTTCCTTCCCTGTCATCTCTTTCTGTCTCTGTCTCTCTTTCTTTTTAAAAACAAAAACAGAGTTTCACTATTATCACCCAGGCTGGAATGCAATGGTGCCATCTCAGCTCACTGCAATCTCCACCTCTCAGGTTCAAGCGATTCTCCAGCCTCAGCCTCCCGAGTAGCTGGGATTACAGGTGCCTGCCACCACGCCCGGCTAATTTTTGTATTATTAGTAGAGACGGGGTTTCACCATGTTGGCCAGGCTGGTCTCAAACTCCTTACCTCTGGTGATCTGCCCACCTTGGCCTCCCAAAGTGCTGAGATTACAGGCGTGAGCCACTATGCCCAGCCATCTGTCTCTGTCTCTTTAACATTGTTTATTCCGTATAAATAAGAGATATTTATTTTCGTATCTTAAATAATGAACCATATGGAGATGTGAAAGAGGCTCAGATTTTAGAGGACACTTGCTTGACTTTGCCAGTGATTGTGATGTGGCTGGTCACTGGAGGTGTGGCCCTCATAGACCAATGCAGTTTGCAGAGCGTGGCCCAAATGTCTGCTTGGAGACCCCACTGCCATTTGAGAGGGACACCTGCACAGTTCCACATGTGTGTGTGAACCTGTCTCCTTCTTTCCAAAACCTGCCCATGTGGCTGTAGCAAACAGCATCACACACTGGACCAAGCCCGTCTGCCTCACCAGTGTAGTCACTGTTCAGCTGATATAGTCGGTGTTTCTTTTTCTCTCAACCTCTCCTGCCAGTCTCTTCCCACCTCATAGGACATCCTGCCGCTTGTACCGGGCAACCCCAAGCCACCTTGTCCACCGGGCCTTCCTCTGGGTCTGGAGTGACCACCTCTTTCTGACAGACCTGCTGGGTGGGTTGGCCTGAGCTCCTAGGAACCTGGGTGGATCATGGTCCATGTCCCAGTCCAAATCTACTCCAGCCTGGCCTTGTCCCCTTGCTGACACAGTGACCATTGGTGACCATTCTTACACATGATACATAAAATGCTCTCTTATCAGTGTGTTCCATATGCACTCCCCATCTTTGAAGTTTCCTTTGTAGCTTGCAGGACATATAGTATACATGTGGCACAGTTGAAGATAAAATGCTTTTCTTTGTCCTATTGATATAGGACATTGCAAAAATCAATTGATATACATCAATAGCTGTTAGCAAAATCATAGCTTTTAGGTGTGTAGGCCTATAAAATCGAATCTTCCATGACTGCAGCCATTTAGAGAGATTATATCCTCAATACAGGGTGACTGACTGTCTTTTGCAATTTGTGAGTATTCATTGATAACTATGCTTGAACTGTTAAAAGCAGCAGGCTTATTAGTTGAAGGCACAGAGTTTACTTAATCCAGGATCTACATCTCCCTGGCTGGGGGGTTTGGGAAAATCATGCAACCTCTCTGTGCTTCCCTTTGCTCATCTGTAGGCCAGGAGTAGCCTCAGAGTATGGTTGTGAGTGACGGAGTGAGTGCAGTGGAAGCGTTGGCTAGTATTGTCACTATTAGTGTAGAAGGCTCCTTCCCATTGGAGTCATGTGAGAATAACTGAAATAATAATTGTTATGCAAAAGTTATGATTTGGAGTTAGAGGTTTATAATACGTGGAATAAGTGGGGTCTGGTCTTGCTCCTAGCGTACGTCTCTGCCTCTGTGCGGCTCTGTCCAGAGCTGTGTCCACCCTCTCTTGTTGGACATCAACTGGGGTCTGGACTTGGATTCATCATGTAGCTGTGAGGAATTACGAATTTAAATGATTTAAAACCTAATGATGAAAATCAACCCAGCATTTTGAAGTGAGGGTGGCTGAGAATGGACAAGGAGAGGAAAGAGGAGGAAAGAGGACTGCAGAGCCCTGGGAGGCCTGTTGGGTGGGGCAGCCAGAACCTGGTTACATGCCAGCGCAAGGCTCAGCTTCTGTGTGTCCCTCATGGCACAGGGACAGAGAGGGCCACGCTGCTGAGAGAGATCTTTAAAAAGGCAGCAATCGAACACTTCTGTAAAACTCCCTCTTTCACGTCTTCCCTGGTACAAAAAAAATTCCATTCTCATGGCTTAAAATGCTTTGATTTTCTGTACCAGCTAGAGGAGGAAAAAAGAGAGACTTTCTTCACGTCTAAAATCCGGTGCTTATGTAATCAGAGATGGCGAAGTCAATAAGATTTGGAATGTGCGATTTGCTGTCATCTGTCAAACTCTTCAGGTGGAGCCTATCAGGTTCAAACCAGACATACGTCGTAGGAGTTATGGGTGGTTTTGGAGTTGATGACATATTGTGGATATTTAGGTAGAATCCTATGATAAAAACAAAATGTGTGTTTATGTGTGTGCACAGGAATCTGAAATGACCTTCTATGCCATAATAGGAATTAGCACTTTGAATCTAATACTTTAAATCATGTAATTAAAATGACAATAACCAACATTTGTTCAGCACTGAGTTTAGGAGGGAGACTATACGAAAACCTTGACATATGTTATCTCCCCCTATCCACAGCCCAGTCTAGAAGCAGGTTGCTCCCCTTGCTACTCATGAAAAAGCAAACACAAAGAGAGGTTCCATGAACCTCCCAGTCACATGCTAGGAGCGTGAGAGCCACGGTTTTGTTTGGGCTTCTCTTACGCACTTCACAATTTGCCTTTCAAACCCTGATTCGTAAAAACAGGTGAAAGATTTTGTGGCGGTATTTGCAATGACCCACAAAAGGACAGGAGCACCTAGAGTAAGGGCCACTCACAGGGAAGGAGAGGCCTGAGCCCCTGAAGACCTGGGGGCTGCGTGTATCCATCTTGTGCCCCAGTCCAAGGTGTCACTCTCGCAAGATGCGGGATGACCTCAGAACACGGTTGAAAACAGATAGGAATGGGAAATTCAGACACAGGAGAGAAGGGAGCAATTACAGGAACTTGTAATAAGGTGAAGGCAGTACAGCTCAGTCATTGCTTTTGCTAGCAGTTACTGACACTAGGAGAGTTATTTCAGAGGAGGGGGACAGGTGAAGCCAGCACTGTTTGGAGCAGTGGAGGGATCCGTCCAGGCAGACTGGTAAGGGCAGTGGGGTTTCCCACACAGCAGGCGCTGCCTGGACAGCGAGGAAGGAGAAAGGAGAGGGAACACCAGCTCGGGCTGGTATGGCCAACCCGCTGGCCAGCGCCTCACTACCCACCTCGGTGTGGGGCCCTCGCCTTCCTGCTTTCACTGCCCCAATGCGGCCGGGGTGTTTGGGTCCGGAGCCCTCAGCCTGCAGACCTCTCTTCCCCCTCTGCTTCTTAGTGTCTCCTTTTCCTTGCAGATTCAGGATTCTCAGAATTCAGGCTGAGCACTTTTGGCTTTTCTGTCTTTGGCTTGTTTGTGTGATTCTGCCACACCGTGACTTCATAGTAAACCTCATCAACAAGCATACGTAGATTTTGCATTTTACATGAATTATTCTTAGATCAGCATTTTTTCCCAGCCAGCATTTGCATACTGTGATTTTGGAACTGACATATTGGCATTGTTGTATAGGCCGTTACATTTCATGTTGTTAACTTTTTCCGTTTTGACATTGGTATCTTTTTACTATTGAACTCTTTGGGCCATGAAGCTTCCTCATAAAATCTTAGAGACAGAAAAGGGTTTCTGCCATCTTCCACCATCAGTTTAGGGCCATAAAGTCCAAAGATATGTTAAAATATGCCCAGTAATCTCTATGTTTATATACATTAAAAATTCATTTGAGTAGGATACTTGGCCCTATCATTTTGCCCAGCTGGACACAACAGAATATGTGCAAAGTGTCACGAGATATTGTAGCCATGTAAATAGTGATGTGATGCAGTCATGTGAATGTGTGTCAGACCATTCTTCCTGGGACTCCAATCTAAACGAAGCTTCCAAAACAGCTTAGAGCTGAGCTCCTGCTTTTCTGAGTCACGGGAAAGTCATTAACTGTGCTTCCCACCTTCCAACTCTACAGAGTATCTTCCCCTTTGCAAGTACAACCTGCTGAGCAATCATCCTAATAAGGTGCTCCAGGGAGCCACCCTCACCCCGTGTTGTCAGAATGGTCGATGATGCTTGAACTTCAATAGGAAGAAATGATCATTATTCAAGTCAGGTACTTGAATACATGATTCCTGAGTACGAATGGAATCGCTTAGATCCAGATTCAGTAGAACCATGTTCCCAGACGTACCCTGCTTACTGATTTATAAGTGCTGTGTTGTTTTTCATTACTTTAGTCTCTGTATTGCTAGCTAGGGCACTTCCTTGTTATACAAAGGAAGACAGTGGCAGTTGCCTGTGCACACCCACAGGGGTCTTCCCAGCAACACAGCATGGCATGGCGACTCACTCCTGACGTCACGTCTTCTGCTATCAGTCAGGCTAGAGGGTTTTGTTCAGCTTAACGTCTGTTGCCGCACCCTGACGTATTCAGTTTAACCTTTTCACGTTAATTCATAGCAGCGAATAAATGATTTCTGAATTTTGTTGCTCTGAATGTGTCATCTCTTCTTAAATATATTTTGGTGGCTAAAACAAACCCGTTTTCAACATAGGAAAGGGCCGTACTTGTCTTTCTGGGAATAGAAGGTGGGAGTTCATGGGCCCATGTGTTTTCCTGCCACTGTGTTGTTCAGAATTAAGTACACAGAGTCATTTTTTGGATTTTGCTGAGCATCATCCAGAGGCACCCAGAGCCAAGGGAAGTTGAAGGTGGAGTGACTTGGGTGTCCTTGATTCTGAAAGGGCGGCACTCTCTCACTGGTCCCGGCATCTCTCTGTGGGCATCCTTTAAGATGTTTAACTTATCTTTTAAAACAATGAAGTCATTGTGGTGTGTTTGCTTTCAGGAGTGACAATGGGGCAATTGGGGCGAGTGTCACAGAGATGAACTAGAGTTAAACCGAGCTCCGCCACTCCTCTTCCTGTGCTGCTGAGCACATTGCAGGCTCTCTCTGAACCTCACCTTTTACTTACTTGTTGGTAGAGGTAGTATGGATGGTCTTAAATTATTGACGGTGGGGCCAGAGATAAGTAAGTATAATATGATTTATAAGTGCAAGTAATTAAATAGTGGTAGTATAATATTTTATTGCAAATCTTTAATGGCTTTGGGTTGAACATTTTGACTTTCTCACCTAAAGAACCTGGTTCCCCCACCAAGTCTTCCCTGTCCCAGTAAATGGCATCTCCACTCACGCTAAAATCTGGAATGTTATTCTTGGCTCTCATCCTTCCTCTCACACCAGCCCATCGGCAAGTCCTTCTGGCTCTGCCTCCTGAACATGTAACAAACCCGTCTACGTCTCTCCATCTCTCTGCTGCAGTACAGGACTTCGCTCCCATCATCTCCCACCTGAAAGTCTTCAAGCCTTTCTGTTGGACTCCCTGACACTGACTGGCCCCCATGAAAAGTCATGCCCCACTGAGTGGTTCAGAGTGTGCTTTCTAAAGTAGAAGTCTGATCCTCTCACTGACCCCTTCCTGCCCCCATTAAAGGCTTCCAGTGTTTCCCTTGGACAGTAGAACAGAATTCATCCTCCTCCCCTGGGCCCTTGCAGCCTCCCTTCCAGTCTCTGCCACTGTCACCAGGATGCCACTGCAGCCACCTTGTTCTGACCGCACAAAGACTCAGAGCCGCGTGCTCCATGGCTCGTCCTCCAGACCTCCATTTGGAAACCTCCTTAATTTTCAGATCTCTACTCAGACATCCTGTGTTGACAGAGGCCTTCCCAGAATGAAATACACTGACGTGTTTCAGCGTGTGTACTGACCAGAGAAAGGGAGGTGTCTAGAAGACCAGCCATCCAAGAGGCTGCAGAGGCGACCAATACCAAGGAGTCTGTTGCACAGAGTCGCAGTCTTCACTCTTTCTATCTCCGATTCAAAGAGTAGCTATTATCTATTGTATTTGAAGTACAATGCTCCTTTCTGAAGATGAAAAAATAAGAGATGGTCCCTGCTCTAAAGTTGCTTAAAGTCAAATTGTTCAAAGTCTAAGTCATAGCATATAGGCATCAAATTGCAATGTGAGAAACATCCCCAACATATAACTGAAGAATCTCGGGTGCACTCAAGGAGGCATCGTGCTCAGGCGCAGGAGAAGTGAAAAGCAGGGGTCGGGAGCCAGCCAGAGAGAAACGAACACACAGGACTCTCCCGAGGGCTTCATGAAAAAGTCACCAGGAACAGGAGGGCGTGAGTGGAACCTGTCATCTAGAGACCAGCAGGCTAACATGGAAAAGGAGAAATAGGAGTGATGTTTTCTCAAGCAGTTTTTGGAGAGAAGTAAGAGCAGTGCCATCGACATTCACCAGGGGTGGTGGCCTCATCCCAGAAAGGCTCTTTCCTTACTGGAAGAATAAATCATCAACAGTGAAAGCACTGATGAAGTTGATCCAATTCACAATCAATGCTCCTTTTGAATAGACGGTGTTAAACAACATCTTTTAAAAAAAACATACCACAGAAATAATTTATTTTCAGATTGCACGTAGTTCTGTTTAGGCTACAGGCACTGTCAACTGTGATAAATACTAAAATGAATTTCTAGAGTCCCGGTATGGGAAAGGCCCCTGGCACGGTGCATATCTCAGAGTGTAGCATGACAACAAGGTACACACGTGGCCCTCAGTCAAGAGCCATGTCTTGGATAGCATGACTCCCGAGTGAACAGAGGTGAAGCCATCTGTCAACAACTGAAGAGAGAGAGAGAGAGAGAGAGACTGTCCCAGATGAAGATATAGCACAGGAAAAAACACACTTAGAGAAAATGAGTGTGCCAGCCCCAAATGCCAGTGATTCTCCTAAGTGAGATGGTGGTAAATAATGCATTATATTTGCATTTTCGGCATTTAGAATCTTTTCTCCTATTTGCCTTCCTCCACCCAACAACAAGGATGATCTTTCTAAATGAGTGATTTTTCAACATCCCTTGGCGAGTGTCATACCTCTGAGGCCTTTGACTTCCTGATGCCTCTGGTATAATGGGCCTGGGGCATGAGCCAGGCACTGGGACTTGCCATCCTTGATTCTCACATGCCCTGCTGAGGACCCCTGCTGCAGGCCAATTAGGTGCAGTGGGAGCCACCCTTCTAGAGCTTCCCAGAACACCCAAAGACATCCCAAGATTTCTGGATTGATTTTCAAATAAGGCTTTCTGACATGGAAGTATATTTATATTTTACATGATTTTTGAAATTTCATGAAATTTTCTCTGAGATGAGGGAGGAGACATGCCACATGCTCTGCAGCGTGTGAAAATGCCAAGCGGACGGACAGACATGGCTCTGTCCTTGCGCATGCCCTGGAGGTGTGGAGCCCTGCACAGGAATTCAACTAACCCGAGCCATCATGACAGTTCCACGAGGCAGGCGTTTCCTGCCCTCTCCACGGATAAGGAAATAAATGCAAGGCAGAGAGATCTGCACTCCGGAGTGCCCGAGGTCACCGGGCCAACGCGTGCACCTGGCCTGGAGCCTGAGCATGCGCTCTAGGCTGCACCATCTCGCGCCACCACACTGATTTCCACCAGTTCAGTAAAGGGGCCAGGAATTGCCCAGCAATGGCTCTGCCTGAAGCACTAGGGTAAGGTTTCTAGAACCTTCTACCCTTCCATCTCCAGCCTGTCTCCTTCTTTGCTCTGCGTTTCACAGTCACATCTTCCAACAGATGCCGATGCGCTTGCCTTCTGGGGCTTTTCTCCTTTCTCTACAAGGAGAGAGGGATGGGAGCAGCTTCCATGAAAGAGAGGAAGCTGGGCCACAGGGAGAGATGGGCAGAGATGATGGGACCAGCCTGGAGGTGAGGAAGTGTGTACCGACGACAGAGGGGCAGAAAGGCCAATGCAAGTGCCAGACGCCCCATCACGTGTCCGGTAAATGCAGGCGTCCATTCAGCTACTGGCAATATGGTTACGGCACTGTGTCATTATATTACATGATGTAGTCTATTAGCTAGGGATCTACAGCAATGTTATATAGAATATTATATGTTATGGCATAGGATGTATAATTACATATAATAAAATGGTAATTAATATTCATAATGCCATGTGTTTTATCTCTGAAGAGCAACATGGAATTCTTGCATTTGAATAAGTCATGTCCAGTGGATGTCAACGTATAAGCAAAGACTAACTTCTGATACACATAAAGAAGTAAATATACAAATGACTGAAAGAGAAAAGAATGGAGTCGTTTGTTAGGTAAAAGGAGTGTGTGTGAACTCCTGTGTACATTTACAATTTATGTCAAGGACCACACCCAATACTATAAAATAAAAATTCATAGAAAGGGAATGGACCTAAAGCTGTATTTTCTTTTCAGCTTAAAATGCCTAAAAGTAAAATAATGAGCAAAGATATGACAGGTAAGCCAATGATAGCTTCATACCAAAATCTGTACTTTTCATATCAAACTATATTTCAGACACGTGCAGTACAGTTATTTTAAAAATGGCCATATTCAGGTCATGGATTATAGCTTAATAAATTTACAAAATCAGAAATTGTACAGGGCATATTTTCCCTCCATAATGTAATAAAATTAGAAACTAAATACAGAAGTAAAGGTAAACAAAGTCACTAGAAAACTAAATGTTGATAATTGGTAATGAAAACAAAAGGTATAGTCACATATACAGTGATACTAAATAAATAAAAATGCTTTGTGCAGATCTAAAATTAACTGTAAATGAAATTTTTAAAAAATCAAATTATGTGAATAACATAGAAGAAACCAAGACTGTTTCCATCCTGAAGGAGCCAAACTCAGGAAGTTCCTAAACATGAACTTTTAAATCTTCAAAGAATACAAAATTGTTTAAACCATTACAAAAATTAAAGATGAAGAAATCCATGGTTCCTTTTCCAGAAGGCAGCATATGCACAAGTGAAAAGCTGAAGTTCCAATACATATGTGGAAAGATGCATATTCCCACAAGTAATGAAGGATTTGGAAATTGAAAGAATAATGAGGTACCATTTCACAATGAAAACATTTTCAATAATAACAAAAAGCAGGTAATATGAAAATAGACACACACACTCCTAATGAGGGTTTAAATTAGTACAACTAATTTGAAGAACAGTGCACAATATTTGGTAAAGTTGGAAATGTGCATAACACACCATCATACATATGATAGTTGATCTTACTCCACGGAGCACACCTGGCAATATCTGGAGATTTTTTTTGGCTGTCACAACTCAGGAGAGGGGATTCTGGAACCTAGTGGGTGGAGTCAAATTCCAGAATCTAGTGGGTGGAGCACAAGGTCCTGCCTTCCATGGGAGGACCCGACTGCAAAGAGCTATCCGACCTCACATGGCAGCTGCCCAGTGTTTGAGAAATCCTGGCACAGAGAAACCCACACATGCATTAAAAAAAAATGTACTTAGCTATTCACTGATGTGTCTCCTGAACATGCAAGTAAAGGGAAAAGAAAGTAAACCATCATAACTAGGGAAATGAATAAATTAATCTGATTATAATTGTGGCACTTTAAAATAGTTTAAATAAATGAACCTAAGCTATATGCATGAATAAGAATAGATCTATAAACCTAAAGTCAACAAAAAGCAATTTGCTGAATGATGCATGCACTATAAATAACATTTTCATAATTTTAAATGCCCATAATCTTATTTATTTTATAGGTATGTACACATATAATGTGAAAACAGTTTGAATAGACTGAAAGCATATTGCAAAATTGATCATTCTTACTTCACCAAATAAGGGGATAATTGTGTATAGATGGATTGTTAACTTTATCTGTGAAGTTTATTTGTAAAAAGCAAAACTGAAGTAAATATGGCTCAGTGTTGCTATTTTCACACTATTGGAGAATGACATTGGCTGTCTTTATAGTTCTCTGTATTTTTAAATTGTTCTCATTATCAATTTTTTAATTAAAAAATCCAGCATATCTATGACACCATGAAATGAAGAGATATATCAATAATAGATGGTTATTTGACTTACAAAGATAGAGACATAATTAAAACAGCAGCAAATATAATCTAGCAGTCCATTAAATACTCAATGATCAATCATAGGAAATTTAAGTCTTAGTATATATTACATCCATAAGTAAAAAAAGAAAAGTCAATTGGCCATTTCAAAAGGTGCCAAAAGGATGATAAACGTCACTTCCCAAATCTTATTTTAAATTAGAAGTAAAAGGAGTATTTCACACACAAAAAAATTATGCTAAGTTCCCAAGGAGATACCACCCTTAATTGTGAAGTAAACCCTGTATCTTTTTAGCATTGATCCTCAAGTTTTAATCAACATAAGAAAAGAAATGAAATGAATAAAAATTACCAAGAAAGTTAAGACTATAAATACCACTATTTGTAAATAATATGTTTGTCCACCTAGAAAAATCAAATATAAATAAACCAATGGGAAAGCATTTGCTCTATACTGTATTTTAGTAAAGTTTGAGTTATAAAGTAAACATATGCAAAATTGAAAATATCACATATATGTGAGCCGTAACAGTTTAGATTAAATAGATAAATGGAAATAGTTCTTTTTAAGATACTGCTGAAGTATAAAATATCTGTGAATGAAAATGAATCCAATGAAGACACTCCCAGAGAAACTGCAGTCATGAGAGGAGGATGTCTGAATCGCTGGGCTCCCCTGTAAATACACCCTTACACACTTGTGTACACTCACACACCTGCTCTTCCATCTGAACAGCTGTTTCACCTGTTTTATATGTTAGAATTCATATGATTCATATTTAAAGTTTTTATGATGGAAAAAATTCTAAAACCACTGCTCTCAGGCATTCCTGTCTGCCTAACAATTCTTTGTGTCTATCTCTGTCTATTCTCATTCAAGTTAATCCCCTACCAGTTCCCAGAAGCCTTCTGCCCTCCAATAGCAATGCACTCCATGCATCTCGCCAAACATGTCTGTGAATGAAGGACAGAAGGAATGCCTTGGTATACTCTTTCTTTTGCTTGGATTCTCCTCCTCCTCCAAGAAAACATTCTCATTCTGAAAACTCATCTTGAGGACCTTCTGCTATTTGTAGCTCTCTCCAACGCCTTTCCTTGTCATTTGTAGGCACAGGTAGTCCCCGCACCCCACTTCTGAATGTCAGCATCCTCTGTGTGTATCTGTACTGTGGAATTCATCAGGGGTGTATATTATTCGTTACATTCCTGGTATCCCCAATAAAGCACAAATTATAAGATTTGGGACCCTGACTTAAGAAACATTATGCCCATAAGTCCTGGCACCATCATTCACACATAATAGGTATGTGATAAAATGAGTGAATAAATGTTGCTCTGTGCATCTGTGTACATGGGGGTGGGTGGGCTTATATTTCTAGTTTTACCACAGGAACCCCAGATATTAGTTTTTAAAAATTAATCCTGCTTAAGGCTTCTTCTGATTTGCAAATCATCTGATGCATTTACTTTACCAGTTCGAAAAATTGTTGGCCATGATCCTTGTGAATGTTCCCCCTTCTTCATTTTTTTCTTCCTTTCTTTTGAGATTCCTTTTAGAAACATGCTGTCCTTTCTGATTCTCTCTGCTCCTCTAATTTCTGTTTTACATTTTCCATTTCTGTATCACTCTGTGCTTCATTCCGGATAATTTCTGCAGTGCTTTCTTACACTTCATTCCTTTGTGAACGGTGATTAATGTGAAGTTTAACTCATGCATTGCATTTTAATTTCAATGACTTTTGTTCACTTCTAAGAGTTCCACTTTGTTCTTTTTCAAATCTGTCTTTTTCTCAAATACTGTTTCTTGTTCTTTTCTCATATTTCTAGTTCTTTTTATATCCATAGTTGTTTTGTTAAAACCTGCTTATTACATAATCTATAAGCAATCATCGTATATGTGAAGTAATTGAGCTTCTCCTACTGCTGCTTATTCTGCCTGCCGATGGTTGCTCAGTGAGATTATTTCTCCATGTTTTGTGGTTTGGGGTGTGACTTGGTATTCCTCATTGGCTTGGCTGAGAAGGTCTTGTGTGGCCTAGGTCAAGGGTTAGCTCTCTAGAGATTGCTTTGGCATTGGTCAAGGCCTCCGGAGTGTTACCAACCAAGGACTATTTTTATGTTAATTCCATAAATACATTCATTAAATTCCTTCATTAAAATGATCAGGTGACGTGTGCAGTCTATGTTGAAACCTCTCAAACCAAGAGAGGGCTGGCTGTGGCCATGATTTCTCCAGGGATAGACATTTATTTTCCCACCCAGTATCTACCCAAGATAAGTTTCCTTGTTGTCTGGCTGTGCATCTGTGGGCAGAGATTTCATGGTATACCTTCCCACTGAGATAGTGACTTTTTGATCGTCAGGCTTACATAGTTTCTAGGGCCAATAATGTGCCCCCTTTCCGCACTGGTCCTTTGAAGCAGAACCTCTTGATTAATAAAATAAGCCAAAGTTCCCACAGACACTGAGAATCAGGTGGCAGTCTGTGGGGGGCCCATGGACTGTCCCTTACTTCCTGAGATGTCAGCTCTCCTTTTGAGCTGACAATATCTACCCCATGATGAATTCCACGGTAGAGATACCCTTGGAGGATGTTGGCATTCAGAAGGTGGAGGATGTGCCTGCGAACGACAGAGAAAGGCATCAGGGGGAGCTACAAATAACAGAAGGTCCTCATGATGAATTTTCAGAATGAGAATGTTCTCTTGGTGGAGCAGGAAAATCCAAGCAAAAGAAAGAGTATACCAAGGCATTCCTTCTGTCTTTCATTCACTAACTGTGTGTGGCAAGATGCATGGAGTGCATTGCTATTGGAGGACAGAAGACTTCTGGGAATTGGTAGGAGATTAACTTCAATGAGAATAGACAGAGATAGAAATAAAGAATTGTTATGCAGACAGGAATGCCTGAGAGCATGCTTTCAGCTGATCTGATCCACATGGTCTCAGAAGTGGACTAAACAAGTTGTTCTTTCCTAATAATATATTTCCTACTTGAAGAAATGAAGAAGCTCTTTGTTTCTCTTCATTGTAAGTCCAGAGTATACAGTGGACTTAGGTTATTTTAAGATATATTAGATATCGATAATGTAAGATCGATTATTTGGATGTGTGTGTGTGTGTGTGTGTATGTGTGTGTGTATGAGATTAAAAGCATCCCTGCAATAACCCCAGGAAATAGATCTTACTAAATTTTATTTTATTTTTATTTTTCAACTTTTGTTTTAGATTTGTGGAGTACCTGTGCAGGTTTTTTTATCTGAGTATATTATGTGATGCTGAGGTTTGTGGTACGAATGATCCCTTTACCCAGGTACTGAGCATAGTACGCAACAGTTATTTTTTCAGCTCTTTCCCCTATACCTTCCTCCCACCTCTGGTAGTCCCTAGTGTCTACCATTGCCATTTTTATTTCCATGAGCCCAGTGTTCAGTTCCCTCTTATAAGTAACAATGTGTGATATTTGCTTTTCTGTTTCTGACTTATTTCACTTAGGATAATGTCCTCCAGCTACATTCATGTTGCTGCAAAGGCCATGATTTCATTCTTTTTTATGGCTGTGTAGTATTCCATGGTGTATATGTACCACATTTTCTTTATTGAACTCACTGTTGATGGGCACCTAGGTTGATTTCAGGTCTTTGCTATTGAGAATAATGCTGCAAAGAACATGTGAGTGCATGTGCCTTTTTGGTAGAATGATTTCTTTTCCTTTGGATAACAAAGGAAATGGTGTTATCAGTGGTGAATGGTGTTCTGAGTTTCTTGAGAACTCTCCAAACTGCTTTCCACAGTGGCTGAACTAATTTATATTCCCACCAACAGTGTATAAGCAAGCCCTTTTCTCCTCATCCTCACCAATGTCTATTGTTTTTTGACTTTTTAATAATAGCCATTCTGATTGGTATGAAATGGTAGCTAATTGAGATTTTCATTTACATTTCTCTGATGATTAATGATGAAAAGCATTTTTTCTTATGATTGTTGGCTGCTTGGGTGTCATCGTTTGTGAAGTGTCCGTTGATGTCTTTTGCTCATTTTTCACAGGGGTTATTTGTTTTTTGCTTGTTCAATTGTTTAAGTTCCTTATAGATTCTGAATATTAGACTTTTGTCAAATGCATAGTTTGTAAATATATTCTTCCATTCTGTAGGTTGCCTGTTTACTCTGTTGATAGTTTTTTTCGTTGTTCAGAAGCTCTTTAGTTTAATAGGTCTCTCTCACTTGTCAATTTTTGTTTTTGTTGCAGTTGCTTTTGAGGATTTAATCATAAATTCTATCTCAAGGTCCATGCCCAGAATGGCATTTCCTAGGTTTTCATCTAGGATTCTTATTGCTGCAGGTATTACATTTATGAATTACCAGGTATTATAAAATGAATCTTTAATTCATTTTCAGTTAATTTTTATATATGGTGAAAGATAGGGGTCCATTGTAATTTTTCTGAATATGGCTAGATAGCTATCCCCACACTATTTATTGAATTGGGAGTCCTTTCTCCATTGTTTACTTTTGCTGACTTTGTTGAGATTAGATGACGGTGGTTAAGTGGCTATATTTCTGGGCTCTCTATTCTGTTCCATTGGTCTATGTGTCTGTTTTTGTACCAGTACCATCATGTTTGGGTTACTCTAGCCTTAGAGTATAGTATGAACTTGGGTAATGTGATGCTTCTGGCTTTGTTCTTTTTGTTAGCATTGCTTTGGCTATTCGTGCTCTTTTTTTGTTTCATATGAATTTTAAACAGTTTTTTCCAATTCTGTAAAAAGTGACATTGGTCGTTTAATAGGAATAGAATTGAATCTGTTGGTTGTTTGGGGCAGTATGGTCATATTAGTGATATTGATTCTTCTAATCCATGAGCATGGAATGTTTTCCCATTTGTTTGTGTCATCTGTAATTCCTTTTAGCAGTGTTTTGTAGTTACCCTTGGAGAGATCTTTCACCTCCTTGGTTATACATATTCCTAGGTATTTGCATGTGGCATTTGTAAAAGGGATTGCACTCTTGATTTGGCTCTCCGCTTGAACATTATTGGTGTATAGAAATGCTACAGATTTTTCTACATAACTTTCATATCCTGAAACTTTGCTAAAGTCTATCATTTATCAGCTTCAGGAGCCTTTTGGTGGAGTCTTCAGGGTTTTCAAGGCATAGAATCAAATTGTCAATAAAGAGAGATAGTTTGACTTCTTCTTTTCCAACTTGAATGCCTTTTCTTTCTCTTCCCTGATTTCTCTGGCTATGACTTCTGGTACTATGAAGTCCTAGTGAATAGAAGTGTTGAGAGTCGGCATCATTGGCTTGTTCCAGTTCTCAACAGGAATGCTTCCAACTTTTGCCTGTTCAGTACGATGTTGGCTGTAGGTTTATCATAGATGGCTCTTATTATTTTGAAGTGTATTCCTTTGATGCCTAGTTTCTTGAGGGTTTTTTTTTTTATCATGAAGGGATGTTGGATTTTATCAGAAACTTTTTTTCACATCTATTGAGATGATTATGTAATTTTTGTTTTTAATTCTGTTTATGTGGTGAGCCACATTTATTGATTTGTGTATATTGAACCAAATTTTCATCCCAGGAATGAAGCTTATTTGATCATGGTGACTTAACTTTTTGATGTACTATTGAATTTGTTTTGCTAGTATTTCGTTGAGATTTTTGTGTCTATGTTCATCAGGGATATTGGCTATAGTTTCCTTCCTTCCTTCCTTCCTTCCTTCCTTCCTTCCTTCCTTCCTTCCTTCCTTCCTTCCTTCTTTCCTTCCTTTCTCTCTCTTTCTCTTTCTTTCTTTCTAAAATTCTGTCTTTGCCAGCTTTTGTTATCAGGGTGCTGCTGACTTTGTAGAATGAATTAGAAAGAAGTCCTTCCTCACCAATTTTTTCTATAGTTTCATTAGAATTGATACCAGCTCTTCTTTGTATTTTGTATGGTAAAAATTTGCTGTGAATCAGTCTGGTCCAGAGCTTTTTTTGGTTGGTAGGTTTTTTATTATAGATTTAATTTCAGAAGTTGGTATTGGTCTGTTCAGTGTTTCAGTTTCTCCCTGATTCAATGTTGGGTGATTCTATGTTTCCAAGAATTTTTCTATTTCCTTTAGATTTTCTAGTTTGTGCACATAGAGCTATTTATAACAGTCTGTGAGGATCATTTGTATTTCTGTAGGAGTGGTTATAATGCCTTCTTTGTCCTTTTTTTACTGTTACTGATTTAAAATATATTTTATCTAATATAAGAATAGTGATCCCTGCTTTTTGTTTTGTTTTGCTTTATTTTCCATTTGCCTGGTAGATCTTTCTCCCACCCTTTACTTTGATTCTATAGCTGTTGTTACATGTGAGGTGGATCTCTTAAAGACAGTAGTTGGATGGGTCTTCTGTTTTTATACAACTTGCCACTCTGTGCCTTTTAAATTCTTACATTTAAGAGTGTAAATTGTGTTTAGACTATTTACATTCAAGGTTAATATTGATATGTGAGGTTTTAATCCTGTCATGAAGCTGTTAGCTCTATGCTTTGCCATTTCTATTGTGTTCTTGCTTTATAGTGTCTGTGTACTATGTACTTAAGTGTGTTTTTTTGGTATCAGGTATTGTTCTTTTGTCTGCATGTTTAGAACTCCCTTAAGGGTCTCTTATAAGGCTGGCCTATGTGTAATGAATTCCCTTAATGCTTGCTTGCCTGGAAAATATTTTATTTCCCCTTTGCTAATGAAGCTTAATTGAGCAGGATACGAAATTTTTGGTTGGAATTTCTTTTCTTTAAAAATACTGAAAACAGACCCCCAATTTTTCCTGGCTTGTAAAGTTTCTGCTGAGAAGTCTGCCATTAGCCTGATGGGGTTCCCCCTTTGTATATGATCTGCTTTTCTCTCTCTCTCTCTCTCTCTAGCTGGCTTTCAGATTTTTTTTTCTTTAGTATTGATTTTGGTTAGTCTGGTAACTATATACCTCGGTGTTGTTCATTTTATATAATATCTCACAGGTTTTCTCTAGATTTCTTGTATCTGGATGTCCACCTCTCTAGCCAAATTAAGGAATTTTTCTTGAATTATTCCTTCAAATATATTTTTCGACTTGTTTACTTTATATTCTTTTCTTTCAGAAATGCCAGTAATTCATAGGTTTGGTTGGTTTACATAATCCCATATTTCTCAAAGGCGTTGCTCATTTTTTAAAATTCTTTTTTAATTTTTGCCAGCTGTGTTAGCTCAAAAGACTGGCTTTCAAGCTCTGAAATTATTCTGCTTGCTTCAATCTATTGATAAAGCTTTCAGTTGTATTTTGACTTTCCTTAAGTAAGCTTTTAAATTTCAGAACCTCTGATACTCTGATTGATTTTAGAATCTCTGATTGATTTCTTTAAGATGTTTATCTCTTCTTTCATTTCCTTGATTGTTTTGGAACTTTCTTTGTGTTGATTTTCAACCTTGTCTTGGATCTCAATAAGCTTCCTTGCAATCCATGCTTTGAATGCTTTACCTGTCATTTCTGACTTTCCATTTTTGTTAGGGACCATTGATGGAGAGCTAATGCAATCCTTTGGTGGTGTCACTACATTCAGATTTGTTGTGGTAGCAGAATTATTGCAGTGGTTTCTTCTGATGTGGAGAAATTGGCACTTCTAATTTTTGTAATTATTTTTATGCATGTGTTTTTTTTCTTTCTTTCCCTATAATGTTGTTGTTGTTAATTATTATTATTATTATTGTGTTTTCTTTTCCTCTCCCTTTTCCCCCTCTCTAGGGGTGTGACTGTAGAGAATGTTGGGTACAGTATTTTGGCTTTGCCTGTGTACACCTATGTACTTTTTTTTGGCAGGTTTTATGCTGAACTTTGCAGTTCATCCTATAAGCCTGTAGCTGGTGCTTATAGCTAAGAGCTGTCTGAGGCCAACATTCATATATACTTGCTTATTGTTTGCTGGCTGAATCTCTCTGTTGCCTCAGGCACTGGGCTGATCCATGGAATGCACAGTGGTCTGAGCTCACTGCTCAGCCCTGGGGGTCAGGAGCCAGGAAGGGCTGGACTGGGCAGTTCCACCCACAGGTCCCCTCTTGGCAGGCACAAACCCCAATGCTAAGGGAGAATCCAGTGGATGGCCACCAAGCGCTCAGTGCCTAGAAATGGAGCTGGGAAACCACCTAGCCCCCAAGTTCTCTGCAGAGAGATGTGGGGGTGGCCTAACCTCCTACTCCAGGAGAGTGGGTGCTCCAGATGCCTGGAGATCTGCCTGGGCATGGAGCAGAGAGGGACCCCCTGCACGAAGTTCTCTGAACAGGCATTCTCCAGGCAAGCAGGTGCTGTGAATGCCTAAAGATCAGCCTAGGCATGGAGCAGAGAGGATCTCACTGCACCACCATCTATGTTCAGGTAAGGTGCGACAGCTCAGACTGCTGAACCAGGTGAATGAGTGTTCCAAATGTCCAGAGATCTGCCTGTGCATAGAGCAGAGAGAGCCTTGCTGCACCACAATCTCAGGGGAGTAGGCTGGTGAACCCATCAATGGCACACACAGATCAGATCCAGGTCACCAGGCTGGCCATGGCTGCAAGACTCACCGCTCAGGAGAAACTTCACCTGTAGCAGCTCCCCTCTTGCCCCAGGCCTGTGGAGAGAGCACAAAGCATCTACTGCTGAGGTACTTTCACAGTTCTGGCTGTGGAGGCCTTTACCCCACTCCAGAGCAGGCTCTCCAATCTCAGGCCCAAGACTAATATGCCTGCACAGCCACAGTGCAAGGTTGTTAAAGAATGGCTGCCTTTGTAGGTGCCTGGATTAAAAACGGCATCCTGTTCCCAGTCCTGGGTCTGGGGAATGTCTGAGTTTTTCCCAGCATCTTTTTCTCAGAGCATCTTTCCAAGCCTCTCCGCCAGGTAACTCCCCGAGTTAACTTCAGGGCTTGGGAAAAACAAAGTGCTCTCCCTCTGCCAGGGTTGCTGGGGTCCCCGGGGGAAAGGGGAGTCACAGAGGGATATTTTCTGCCTCTCTCATGCACTGGGGCTTCGCTCACTTTTATTAGTCACATGCCATCATTGAGGCTGTTTGCTGGTATCCTCCTCTCCAGGATTTGGGGTGTCTTCACAATTCTGCTAGATTCCTGTTTTCCTTACTGAATTAAAATGGGGTTTTAATTGGGTTGATCCTTCTGTACTATCTTGCTATTTCCAGGTGGCTGAGGCACACTGAATGCCTCTAATGTGTCATCTTGGAAATAAAAATCTAAATTTCATTATAGCTAAATATTCTGATAGATTCTAACCACTTTTCTTCTTATTTGAGAATATTATTGGAGATAATAATAACAAAACATATTCCTAATGTCTCTAATTCAGAGTTTTAGCTATTAAACAGATTAACACATTTATCAGAGAAAAGTACAGAAAACATCAATATCAATATAAGACACTGTGTGGTACTACCTATAGTGTTGTCATACTATCATACGTGATGCGTCATATATATAATATGTATATGTATATATACACACACACTTCATATCATATATTAGCTTTACTGTATCTGTGTGTGTGATATCTAAGTAGAGGAGAATTTGTCCTAGGCATGTTGCAGTATCTCACCTGGTTAAATATTTCTTGGTAAACAGAACAACATGCAATAATGACTGATTATTTTTCTTAATTGTCTCTTACACCAAATACATTACCATGGTAAAATAATTCACATATTGTACCTGTAAACTCTTCCCATGAAATTTCTGCTTGCTGATAATCTTAGAAAAATAAAAATTTAAAGACACCCTAAACACAAAGAACAGCAGAGAACACTTAGGAGTAATTGAGAAGTTAAGGGGACAAGATTCAGATATCACATTGAGTAGCTCTTCAGTGAGCCCTGGGAGATAAGATAAAATTCCGGTATTTTGGCCTATGTTGCCCAATAGGATGCTTCCTATTTCTCATAAGGAAGATTATTTGTACTATGTTCTGCCAAATGTGGGCCACTTCCCTGTCACGCTTCTGTGACAGGGAACCTCCCTGGGTCCCCTGTTCTAATAACAATTGACTTGATCAGAAACTCTCTATGTGCATTCCAATTAGTAATGGAGTAAAATGTTAACAATTCTGCAAATGCACTTACTCCCATCAGCACATTTTCTAAGGGGCTTTATGATCTTGGGAATTCTTCAAACATTATTAGCACAATCCCATGTCTAAGGGAAGTCCATTTAGAAGTAACACAGACGCTTAGAGTAAATGTGCTTGTAATAATAATTATATTATGTAATATGGAGAAAAATAGTCAAACAATAGGATTACTATTTGAAACAATGGATGAAGGATTAAAAAGCAAGTCTTTAATCACAGAAGAGTTAAATGAAGCACCAGCTGCACTGCCACAATCAACTATCAAATGCAGGCCTGTTAGCCTCTCTGGTATTCTCTGGAAGTGCAGAATTGTATATACTATACTGCAAATACAATTATATTTGTGCCAGTTAATCCACAAAATAGTTTACTGTATGTATGCATAATTAAATTAACTCTTAAGCATTTAAGAAAATTCAAAGTCAATTAAACAAAACAAAATTTGCTTTGAGTCAAGGAGTATAATGTGTCTGTAGTAACCAAAGCAGCAAAATATGTTAATTTTTAATTAATTTGAACTTTCATTGCTGCAGTGAGGTTTTCACACCAACAACAAAAACCAGTGAGCCACAGGCTGGAAACAAAAATGAGTGAGACACAGGCTGGAAACAAAAACGAGTGAGACACAGGCTGGAAAGGCTCAGCATGCCCCAGCTTCCCAGGGAGAAGCTGCTCTGGGCAAGGCCTTCTGTGCCTGATGAGTGGTTTTGGTAGAATCTGAAAGAGCATGAATCCATTTCCAGTAAGAAGCAGCCAGACAGGAGAGGTCACTGGGAGTCAGTTTCAGGAGACAGATCGAGGGGATGCTGACACTGACATTAGCCTTCTACGAGGGGCCTACTTCCTGCCATGCCCCAAAGCATTCTGGAGCGAAGACTGCCCATGGAATAAAATCACCCCGACAAGAATGAGCTATTAAAGTGCATGAAGAACTTTGGGAGGCCGAGGCGGGTGGACCATTTGAGGTCAGGAGTTCAAGACCAGCCTGGCCAACATGGTGAAACCCCGTGTCTACTAAAAATACAAAAATTAGCTGGGCATGGTGGTGTGCACCTGTAATCCCAGCTAATTGGGAGGCTGAGGCACAAGAATCATTTGAACCTGGGAGGCAGAGTTTGTAGTGAGCCAAAATCGCACCACTGCACTCCAGCCTAGGCGACAGAGCAAGACTCAGTCTCAAAAAAAAAAAAAAAAAAAGGTAAAAGAAAAAAAAAAGAAAGTGCATGAAGGGGCCAGAAAATGGCTATGGATGTCCATTTTCTCATTTGTTTTCTTAAAGAGTTTTCCTGAAACATTGATTCAAACAAGAGAAATGCTCTTTCGTGTTTGTTGTTGGTGTGAAAACCTCACTGCAGCAATGAAAGTTCAAATTAATTAAAAATTAACATATTTTGCTGCTTTGGTTACTACAGACACATTATACTCCTTGACTCAAAGCAAATTTTGTTTTGTTTAATTGACTTTGAATTTTCTTAAATGCCTAAGAGTTAATTTAATTATGCATACATACAGTAAACTATTTTGTGGATTAATTGGCACAAATATAATTGTATTTGCAGTATAGTATATACAATTCTGCACTTCCAGAGAATACCAGAGAGGCTAACAGGCCTGCATTTGATAGTTGATTGTGACAGTGCAGCTGGTGCTTCATTTAACTCTTCTGTGATTAAAGACTTGCTTTTTAATCCTTCATCCATTGTTTCCAACAGCAATCCTATTGTTTGACTATTTTTTCTCCATATTACATAATATAATTATTATTACAAGCACATTTACTCTAAGCATCTGTGTTACTTCTAAATGGACTTCCCTTAGACAAGGGATTGTGTTAATAATGTTTGAAGAATTCCCAAGATCATAAAGCCCCTTAGAAAATGTGCTGATGAGAGTAAGTGCATTTGCAGAATTGTTAACGTTTTACTCCATTACTAATTGGAATGCACACAGAGAGTTTCTGATCAAGTCAATTGTTTTTAGAACAGGCAGCAGCTTTCAGTGTTTAAAAAAAACTCATATTTTAAATATTAGTTTGCCTTCTCTGAATTAATAATTAAATGATCATTGATATTGTGCATATCACTATTCTGTATAATATATAATAAAATGTGGTATATGTATATCTTACTGTAATTTCGTCTTTACAGATCTGTTCCCTTGGCTGATTTGTTTGATGTCTCTGGATAAGCACTGAGTCTCATTCCTCTTTTAATTCCCCAATAATCTCAGTTCTTGGCACGTGTAGAAACCCAGTATTTTTGTTTCCTTGACTGAGGACTTACTATCTTAAATCAGCAGTTTATAATAACAAAACCACAAAACACTGTCTGTCACAAGTATACAATTTGTTCAAGTCGATCTTTATAAAGCTAATCTGCTTCCCCCAAGCAGCTTGGAGTACTACAGCCATTACCTCTATTCTGGCAATTTCCAGTCTAAAATTTAACATCTTCTGTGAGTAACAGGAGGGTAGGAACCTTGCTTTATTCAGGTCTATGACTCCAGTAAGGAAGCATGATTAGTATCAAATTAAACATTTAAAAGGATATCAATTGGTGAATGAGAAACAGTTGAATTTGCCGTGATGATAAGAATGTCCATCTAACGAAAGAAATGAGTATTCTGGCCCAAAAGAGGAAAGGTATGAAACATTTCTGGAAGTACCCATTGCCCAAACATAAACACTGTATTTTTACCTGTCCACACTAGGAAAATTAATTGGTGGTTGATAAACTGGTGCCTTTAACTTGCTGCTTTAACTACAAGAACATTGTTTACCAGGACCACATCCTTATTATATACAGTTGTTGCTGAAATGCAAAATGAGTTATGTAACATTTCATTAGACCCTACGACGAGTTCCTGATCTAGATCATTATATAGATGTAGTACTTTTGTTTAAGGGTGATATCATCAACATTTTTAAAATGTCAAATGAACCTTGTTTCCTCTTTTTTTTATTTTTTTTATTTTTTTTGAGACGGAGTCTCACTTTGTCGCCCAGGCTGGAGTGCAGTGACACGATCTCGGCTCACTGCAACCTCTGCCTCCTGGGTTTAAGCGATTCTCCTGCCTCCCAAGTCGCTGGGATTACAGGCGTGAGTCACCACACCCAGCTAATTTAGTATTTTTAGTAGAGATGAGGTTTCACCATGTTGGCCAGGCTGGTCTCGAACTCCTGACCTCAAGTGATCCACCTGCCTCGGCCTCCCAAAGTGCTGGGATTATAGGTGTGAGCCACCACGCCTGGCTAATTTTTTGTATTTTTAGTAGAGATGGGGTTTCACCATGTTGGCCAGAATGGTCTCAATCTCCTGACCTCGTGATCCGCCCGCCTCGGCCTCCCAGAGTGCTGGGATTACAGGCGAGAGCCACCGCCACCGGCTTTGTTTCTTCTTTAGCTAAAATATGTCATTGATTCCAGTTAGTGGTGATTTCAGTTTCCGCAGGAAGAGATGTCCTCTCTGAAAATGGAACTTAGTGGGAAGTGAGAAGGACATTTAGAACAGTTGCGTTAGCAAATCAGCTGATCAGGGTTCCAGCCCCAAATAATCCGAACACAGCACAGCACATGAGGCTGAACTGTACTACAGGGTATTGTACTTCTGACTCTGTCTCGTCTAGATTTCTTCTTTCTCTGCTGTGACCACATATAGAGTTAATGCTTTTGAGCAGTGCTTGTTGTAAGAACATTCTTCTGGGAGATAAAAAAAAAATAATATTAGGTTAGAGCAAAAGCAATTGCAGTTTTTGTCATTACTTTTAATTACTTTTGTACCAACCTAATAGTAATTAAAGAAAGTAGCCCACCTTATTCTTAAATAAAACTTTTTAGGATCACCTGTTAAGATTGAAGAGGAAAAGGGAAAAAGGGAAGGGCACTCTCAACTGCATTTGATAATGACAACATTAAGACTACTTTTTCACTTTATTGGTTCATTTGTGTAATTTAATTTCCACCCCCCACTTAAAGTTTTTAATTCCCTAACAAATCAGAAGTAAATGTCTACTGATATAAATCTTGCTAATTTAGTTTTTATTTTCGTAAATGTTGAGATTTGTTGTTAACTGTTTGAAGTATTTGATACCTTAAATGTAATTATTGAAGTTAAGGCATTAAAAGCAGAAAATTGGGTGGAAAGATAGTATGAGAGCGATTACTAAAGAATAATGTCTAAAGAGCCTACAATATCATAATTCCATTTCAATTTATTTCTAAAGAAATATATACTTTGCATGTTTTAAAATTGAAGATATATTTGTCAGAGATGAAGCACCTGAGTTTAATCATATTTTCCTTATAACACTTTTATTAGTATTTTTAATGGGTGTAATTGGTTTAGACAACTGTAGAGTTATTTTCTAAATAGGAACAATATTGCAAAATGGCAGTAGTAATAGTAAATGAGTAACCCAGTTTTTGCTAGGTCATAATATTGCTTCATTTCCTAAGTGCGTGAGAAAGATATAACAGAATGCTAATTATTTCTCTGAGTCAACAAACATATTAAGCCCAGTATGCGTGCTTGTCTCGAAGTTTCCAGAATCCATCTTTTGTAAAACAGGTTTTAAATATTTTGTATTGATTCAGTATCTTTCTATGTAACTGATTGCTTCACAATATTCTTGTGTAACTTACTTCGATTTCTCACACTAACATCTCTAAATTAGAATATTACAACTGGAGCTGAAGCACATCAGTCCAAACTTTACTGACAATTAGTTTCAGAATTTTTCACTTTCCATTAATTTTTTAATGTAAATGTATGATGACATTTAGACAATGTGATTGGGTCTTTCTGGAAAATTTCTTTAATGTAGAAGTGATTGTGACCTGAAAGCACAATTCATGGCCAGGGACCACTTATTTGGAGGGTTATTCATTATTTGAACTTTGTTATTTCATAACTAGCGTTTCTTATTGAAAATATGTAGCATATAAGTAATCACAACAATGGTTCTGAAACACATCCTTGACTAGAAATTATTTTTAAAATAGGAGCCAAATCCTATGCAATAGAACATTAGGTGTCAAAATGGAACCCACATTTCTATTCTTTTTTTATCTTGACTTATTAGGATTAATTATAATTAACTAGGCATTTTTACTCAGCTTTTACATTTAGCAGAAAAGAAAATTTAGATTATTTAGTTTTATTTACTTTATGAGTCTATTCTGAAATAGCCAGATCCAATATCCTATTACTGATGTCATTTAGTTACATACATTGTTTTGGATAAGTTTACCTCAGTAGGTACAGCCTATATTTGAATACGTTTTTGTGGTTGAAAAAAAATCTTCCTGAATTTTACTTTTAAAGATTGCCTGTAGAGTGTACACGTTTTACTCATTTTAAGTTCTTCATTAAAATCTCAATTTTAATGAATCTTTAAAGCTGGAGGTGCTGATGTTTCTAATTAACATGTCAGAAAGGTGTTTAGCATGCTTCCCCCATGATATCCTGAAGCCAGACTTCTGAGCTGTGTACCTGGAAGGTGCGTCTGTGTGCCTGGGGGTAGACATGCCATTTTTTGAAGATAAAATTTGCTGTTTGTCTAATTATCTTATCAGTGAAGGCAATCAGACTAAGTAAGTGGAGTATTTAAATTTCTGTTTGTCAGTATTTTATTGTATCTCCATCCCTTCCCTCCTCCCCATTTTGTCATACTTCCTTCCAGAGCATCTCTGATCAATATTTGTATGTTTGTTTCTTATACTAAACTCTCTTTACTAGATAACTTTTCCTAATACGTTCTTTGTTAGAGTATTTGTTTCTTTTGATTTTGGCAAAAAAAAAAGGGGGTTTGACTTTTATGGCATAAATTTTTCACTTATTTTGACAACCTTTGACCAAAGGAAACGAGTAGAGCTGGTGTTCACTATGGACTTATCAGCCAGCTATGTATGGCACTTCCAGATATACTGGGAACCTATTGGGTAAAAATGTAACCAACTAGGTATACATATGGAAACTTTGAAATACATATGGAAACTTCCAGGTATGTGTAAACCTTCTGTACACCCAATATTAATTTAAATTTTATGAGAATCCACCAGGAATTTTAAGACATGATCTTTATCTGTAAACAAGTTCATGACATTTAATTTTTTGTTAAATAGGAGTTATTAAATATTTAAATGTATGAATAAGTGAAATGCGGAGAAGAGAGTGTATTGGTCAGGGTTCTCCAGAAAAACAGAGCCAATAGCCAAGAGGGTATGGATCTATACAGAGATAGAGATGGATTTTTTTTTTTATTGAGATATAGTCTCGCTCTGTCACCCAGGCTTGAGTGCAGTGGCAGGATCACAGCTCACTGCAGCCCCAGCCTCCTAAGCCCAAGTGATCCTCCCACTTCAGCCTCCCAAATAGCAGGGACTACAGTTACAGGCCACTATGCCCAGCTAATTTTTGTATTTCTTGTAGAGACTGGGTAATTAAAATTTTCTTTTAGTCCTGCTAAGCTGAAAGAGGTTGCTTAATACATTTGTGGGTTACATTCAGCGCGATGTTGTTCACACCATACTTTATCAGCATTTGATGAAGGTCAGGGGTGGGCCTGGATGAACCTGCCTAAGAATACCTTTGTCAGTAGTAACTATCTGTACATGGTCATGTGTCTGAATCAAATAAACTATAATATTTGCATATTACTAAAGTTTTGGTGAAGATGCCTATGTTAGTCGGTATTTAAGACACAGGGTTGGGTTGAAGTTTATCCTTCCTGTTGGTGCTGTGGACATGGCCTTACACATGCTTTCTGGTCACCTTCTCCCCTGAGGAGGACTTCAGCACCTGTTCAGCCTCGCCTGCGGCATATTTCTGTGTGCATGCGCGCTGCCCTCTTCCTGTACAGAACCCTCCCTAGGCTGAGGATGTCTTGGTGTGAGTTAGAGAAAGTTCTGCCCACCTCTCCCTCCAGTCAGATGCAGCTCCCCAGGCCTTGAGTTGTTAAACTAATCCTACCATCTTCGAGGCCAGGCCAACCCACACTTTCTGAGCAAAAAGGTATTTTTCTCTCCATTTCACAGCTTCACTCACTGAAATATCAGCAGTTCTGGGTGTGTGTTTCTGGCTGTGTTTATGCTGGACACAAGGCTCGGGGATGAGTTCAGGCTGCGGTCAGCCCCTTAACCGTTGTCCAGGGCCTTCTGTGCAAGACACAGCCACCCTGTCTGTCTCCACCCCCCGGCTCTCCCAACTAGACGTTTCCAAGAAACAAATAATTGGCCATACGATCATTCACTATGTGTAAGGTGTCAAGAGTTTTGAATTTGTTTCACCAGATGTTTTGAAATATTTCAACTGATTAGAAAAATATGGATGAACTATTCTGGGAATGTCACAAGACCCGAAGACTTTCTGAATGTGTAATTTGTTAAAAGGATTCTGTTCTTTTCCTGAATTTATTAGATTCTGTTCTTTTCCTGGAGACCACTGACAAGATTTTCTCTTTCCAAACAAAACAGTTTGTGACTCATATATTAATACTTTCCAGGTGGAGACTTGTGTATCTGAACGCATGGTTAATAAAAAGTTGTACTCATATTCCTTGAGGAGGGGGAGACTTAAAATTTAAAATTAGTTAATATGTTTCAGATAGTTCGAAAACAATACAGAAAAGAATTTCTGTTTTAGGAGCAAAGTGAGGGTGCATGGGCAAAAAGCAGCACTTGGCCATCGTCATTAGCAAAGTGTGCTGTCTTTATTGATACCAACTGTTTAATTTTGCCTTATTTGGCTTCTGTTTATATATTAAACATCACCAAGTAAAAAATAGCTCTGCGCACAATAGAGAAGACACTGTTCCTTTGTATTCGCACAGCAGATAAAAAAACTGAGCAACACATTGTGTTTGTACTCTGCGAGTCTCTGACTTGGTGAATGGACTAAACAAGTTTGTCTTTAAGTAGTAACATTTTTATTTATACTTGAACCTTCAATCCCAGCATGCCTTGGGTACACAAGTAGGCACACAAGGATTGTTTCATGCGCGCTGATCTCTGCGCCTGCTGAGTGGGGCCACACCTGCACCCTGGAGACACAGTAGGTGCGGCCTCAGGGAGAGCACACAGGCCTTTGAAGTTCCATGGGGATGTTTTTGGCAAACAGTCAATGTTTGTATTTGATCTTTGAATCATATCTATTCCCACTCCTTAGAGTGATGCTTCATGCTGGATGGGAACATTTTTTGTCTGTGCCTCCACATAGCACTTCTTGAAAGAAATCTCCAGTGTGGACTCCTCTGTTCAAAAGGAAAACCCTCCTGTGATTTAGTCCATGGCTTAATCTTACTTATGCGTTCTCAGGTGACACAAGAAACTTATTCCAGAACTAGTTTTACTTTGCCTCAAAGCAAAAGTATTAGCACACACACCCACACTCACACCTCACACCTCACATATATACACAAATTATTTTGGCTATGTTATGGACTCACTTTGGAAGACATAGCATCAGCCTGCTCTTTGTTGTCAGGACAATAAACAAGTTGGTTAAATGGATGAGTTAATTAGAAATAGCACATAGTCAACAGTTGTTGTTACAGACTTATTTTCAATAAATTTAACTTGTAATGAAAACCATTTCTTGTCCAAAGCACAAGTCGAATTTTATACAATTGTAACACATATTCATCTGGTTTGCCACTGTTTCTTCTGTAAGAACGAAGATAACTGTATTGCTGGAGAAGGTGTGCTTTTTTCATACTGATTGATAAAATTTTAATTTAGAAACTTAGTCTAAAGAAGGCACCATCAGGCTTTGTGAAAAAGGGGAGTGCGAAGAACCAAGGAGCTTAAAAAGCAAAAGATCTCCTAAAACTAGTGAGTTCAGCGATTGACAGGATATGAGATCAGTGCGCAAAATCAATCACATATATTAATCATTATGTATTAACAGTGAACGTGTGAAAACTGCAATTTAAAACATAACACCCTTTCCAATTTCTCCAGGAAAATTAAATACTTAAGTATACACTTAACAAAACATGTACAGAATCTGGAGGCTGAAAATGAAAAAAAAATACCAATGAAAGAAAAAGAGACTTATAATGTTCATTTATTGGAAGATTCAATATAGTAAAAATGCCAATCATCCCTAAGGTGATTTATAGGTTTAGTGTAATTCCTGTTAAAATCTTAACAATATTAAGACACGTATGGAAGCTTATTCTAAAATTTGTATGTAAAGGCACAGAACTTCTAATAGCTAAAAAAAATAATGCAAAAGAAGAATAAAATCAGAGGAACTACTCTACCCATATTAAGGCCTACCATGCAGCTAGAGTAATCCAGACATTATGGTATTGGTAGACAGACAGACACAAAGATCAAAGGAAGAGAAGGGAGAATACAGAAATAGACTCACACAAATATACTCACACACCAAAAGGTGATTTTTTGATGAACATACAAAACAATCGAGTGGAGGAAAGATCAACTTCAACAAAAGGTGCTGGACAACTGGGCATCCATAGGCAAAACAAGCAAAAAAAAAAAATAGTAAAGCAAAGCCAAAATCTCACATATTATGGAAAAAATCAAGATGATCAGAGACCTAAATGTAAAGCATAAAGCAATACAATTTTTAGGGAACAAAAGAAGGAAATATTTGGGATCCATGACTAAGCAAAAAGAACTTAAGCTTGACATCAAAATCATAATCCACATTAGGAAAAATTGATAAATTATATGACATCAAAATTTAAAACTCTTATTCAGAAGACTTCATTAAAAATATCAGACAAGGTTCAGGCTGGGAGAAAATATTGCAACCTTCATATCCAACAAAGGACTAATATTTAGAATATATAAACAGCACTCCAAATTAACAGTAGGAAAATAAAAATTGTTCTAGTCCAATTAGAAATGGGCAAAAGACATGAAGGGATATTTCACCAAATATGAATATACGGATAGCACATAAGCATGTGGAAAGGTGTTGAGTGTTATTAACCACTAGATAAACACACATTAAAACCCTGATAAGATACCACCACATACCTATCAGAACAGCTCATGAAAAAACATTGTGACAGCATCAAATGCTGGTGAGGATGTGAAGAAACTCACTGCCCCCTGCATTGCTGGTGGGAATGTAAAATAGTGTACAGCCGTGCTAGAAAAGAGTGTGACAGTTTCTTATAAAACTATAGATGCAACTACCGTATGACCCAGATATTGCACTTCTCAGCATCCGACCAAGAGAAGTGAAGGTGTATGTTTACATAAACACCTCTATGTAAATGTTCATAGTAGCCTTATTCATAAGAGCCCCACTAGGAACACTCTAGATGTTTCTCAGACGGGTAAGTGGCTAGACACACTGCTGTGTGTTAACACTGGAATACTGCTCGGCAGCAGAGTGGAACAGTTTAGCCGTACACAGCATGAATCCACAGAAAACTGTGCTCCCAGTTTTTGATTCATAGTTTGGTAGAGCTTCTTTATTTTTCCCTTTCGAAAAATTTGTATTGAGAACTTTATAAACTTGATAACAGATGTAGGGATGATTTAAAAGCATTACCTTCCTCAAAACGTTTTTTTGTTTTTGTTTTTTACTTTAAGTTCTGGGATACATGTGCAGAGCTTCTTTTTCTTATGATTACGCGTAATACTTTTTGATATTTAGAAAGACTGGGGAATATGGAAAAGAACAAAAAAAGAAGAAAACGATTGGTATGCACCACGAACACCTGTCTTGGAGAAACCCCTGTAGATGGGTGCTCAGATTCTTCCAGCTGCTGTCTATTCCTTCCTTTTAGTTGCACTTGGTTTTCTTGGGACTTTTGTGACTAGCTCATAGGGAGACAGAAAAAATGCCAAAACCTCATGATATGAAGTTAATCAATGGAAAGTGAATTATGCATCAACCTAGAGGCCGTGGAGAGCTGGGAGGAGTGGGCGTCTGATGATGAACACTGTGAGGGCAAAGGCTGTGGGGTTGGCTGGACGCCTTCCCCAGGGCCTGTATGTTCCCCAGGATATCCCTGCCAATTAAATACCTGTTGAAATTATGTTATTAAGTGGCACTTTTCACAGCAATTATGACTTTTATGTGATTTGACACTTTAAGAACATAGAAGTTTATTTTTCCTAGAATTTGCTGTAAGGAGAAATAACCATGCAATTATTATTTAACCAAATAATAATTGGTTAAAATTTGGAGTGAAGAAATGAACAGTATATAAATTAATAAACAATGGCGATGTAGACAGATTTCTGGTGAGGAAAGATATTAACTAGTCTCCTTCAGTTGCCAACTCAACCCAGCACTTAAGATCAAGACACCTCTTCACTGCTTAAAAAATACAACTATCGGCCTGGCGTGGTGGCGCATGCCTGTAATCCCAGCACTTTGGGAGGCTGAGGCAGGCCAGATCACCTGAGGTCAGGAGTTTGAGACTAGCCTTGCCAACATGGCGAAATGCCATCACTACTAAAAAAACACAAAAATTCGCCAGACGTGGTGGTGGGCGCCTGTAGTCCCAGCCACTCCACTCAGGAGACTGAGACAGGAGAATTGCTTGAACCTGGGAGGCGGAGGTTGCAGTGAGCTGAGATCATGCCATTGCACTCCAGCCTGGGAAAAACGAGTGAGACTCCATCTCAATAAATAAATAAATAAATAAATAAATAAATAAATAAATAAATAAATAAAACGATATATAGTTGATATCAGTGTTATTAAAATTTCTATGGAATTGGACTACCAAATTTCTACAGTGTTTTTATCCTTTTTCTGTAAATGAAATGTAGGAGGCTTTAGGAATTGCTGACTTTCAGGAGAGGTGGAACAGAAAGACCTTCAGTGCGTCCCATCCGCCTTGCAGGAAACTCCTAAGCTTGAGAGACACTGGGCTCAGGGGCAAGACGGGGTGTGTTGGTTCGCCAATGACTAGCTTCACAACTTTAAACAAACTTCAGTGCCCTTATTTCTGAAATATGTAAAATAATGGCTTCTTTTGTGAATTGTTGTGGAGACTAATGGAGGAAGTGCCTCAAAAACACCCAGTGGAGAATTTGGCCCATCAGTATCAAGAAATACTAGTTCCCATCGCCTTTCCCTTTGAGTGGAATTAAACAGTATTAATCCATCTGTAGTTTTTATTCCTCTATAGCACCAATGTTAACAGTCTTCTACCCCATGATAGAAACAACAGCCAGAATATTCCCTTGATCTGCCAATCTTTTAAAAACAAAACAGCAATTACTCTTCACAAATGCTCTCTGAAATTTCTGACTCTGCACATGGAGATATCTAGATACTGCCAGTGTTCCAAGTTCCAAAGAGGATAAGAAAATAGGCTTAAGCTATAGATATGCAATTTTGACTCATAGAAGAATAATATAGAAGATACTGAATATTAAGTTAAAGGGTATGAACGCTAGAGGTTATGTGACCATGAATCAATAATGGGGCAAAATTGGAAACTCTCAGATGAAACTCTTGCTTTGATTTATCTAGGATGTTTCTCAACCACTGTGTTGAGATTAGTGGGATAACATCTGTGGAGCTGAAGCGAGTCCACTGGCCACTGGGAAGTCCATGACCCATTACCCACCATTATTCTTACCTATTTCAAACTGTTAAAAAACAAAAAAAGTCTGGGAATGCCATTGTAACATTGCATCAATGATTGTCAACTTTCAGGTGATTCACGTCAGTATACAACAGCCAAGTGTAAACTACGATCTTTTCCTTTTACCTATTTGTTACTTTTATCTGTCTGAGGAGTATAGAAAAGCATATTTTATGGTTTAAGATGATTAAAATTTTTCAAAATGTTTATTTTACTCGGCACAGTTATTTATTTGATTAAGAGCTTCATTAATGACAGAGTACATTGACTAAAAGTTGCCTGCATAGGCAAGATGTAGTCATTCTGGGAAATACTCACATTCTGTACATGCATTGCAACCTGAGTGTAGGAGGCATACCACATGCAATATCTCATTTGTCATTCACAAAATCACTGTGAACTAGAAATGGAGAATTTTTAAACCTATTTTTAATATATTTTTACTCTGTTTTACCGATAATAAAGATTTAAATGTTTTGAGTTTTGTTTTTTTTTTTTTAGAAATTGTCAAATATTACTTAAATATGTCTCCAGATTCTTGGTTTCCATATTTTACCATGCATATTTTCCAAGTTTTTTTGCCCTTATGTGAGATTTCGTGATGGAGTGATGTCAAAGGGAAAATTAGTATTTTTAATCTCCAAAAAATAAACATGTAGTTTTTTTAATTCCCATTTTAAGATATAGTTTTGCTGATAATTAAGAACCTCATTTCTAGTGAAATCATCCTAGATGCTTTTGAATAGTGGGAGAAGTTTAAGCATTGTATAAAAGGCATTGTGTTTTTTTCTTCGTCTTTATGACAAGTTTTCTGGCTACAGAGGAAAATGCTCACAACCAAGCTGAAGCCATCTTTCCTGCCATCAGGCAAACTGCCCTTTCAGATTGTCTGTTTTGAATTGGTTCCCACCTGACCCATTACGTAGTTAACAGACCTGTCTGCAACTACCGGGATTTCTTCACAGGGCTTCGTCTACCCAGAATTAACTGAAATAAACATGCCGCTGTATTCGCACTTTCTCATGGAGCAGGTCATAGCTGCTGTAAATTCTAGGCTAAAAAGTAAAATAAAATGGAGGATGGGGAGGTTTAAAGAAATACTTAAGCTAGCTGGTGCAGGGCTGCAGGGAGCTTACTAATTAATTACTTATCAAGAATTGTAAAAGAAATTTTTTTTTGCCCCTTTGACTCTAATGAAAACAGGAGCCAATTGTTATTTGCAAAACAAGTGGCCCCTCAATGGATTATTAACCTGTGCAATGATCAAGTAAGTCAGAAAAAAAGAGAATGTCAGGAAGATGCATAGAAACCTGCTGCGAGGACCAGAAGTATGGAGAGGGGTTACAGTTTTTTATCATTAAGGTTTATCACTAGGGCCAGCGTGTGGTGGCTCACACCTGTAATTCCAGCACTTTGGGAGGCCAAGGCATGCAGACTGCTTGGGATCAGGAGTTCAAGACCAGCCTGGGCAACATGGCAAGACCCTGTCTCTACTAAAAATACAAAGAATTAGCCAGGCGTGGCGACATGTGCCTGTGATCCCAGCTATTCGGGAGGCTGAGGTGGGAGGGTCACTTGTGCCTGGGAGGCAGAGCTGCACTGAGTTGAGGTCACACCATGCCCTCCAGCCTGGAGACAGAGCAAGACCCTGTATAATAATAGTAATAATAATAATAAACATTTATTGCTAAAGGTTTATAGATTGCAGACAGAAAGACCCTCTGACCATGGTAAGCCAGTTTCTTACTGATATCATTGTCCTTGACCTTTTCCTGTTCCACTGCTCCAAACCCCAGCTTGCTCACCCTCCATCAGGCATTTGAGGAGCCCTAGAAGAAGTAACACCACCCCAGGAGCTGGTCGCCACTGCCACCTGGGCACGGCATCCTGCGGCATCAGCTGAGCTCCTGCTGCTCTCTGCTCCGCAGCTGTGTCCCTTCTCCGCAGCAAATGTCTTAGGTTCCCACGACCTTCACCTAGTCATCGAAACCTCCAACCTCTTTCTCTCCTGGAAAAACCAAAGCCACAACCATTGGTTGCCCTGCTCCCCTGAGATGGCACCAGCCTTCAGGGTCATGTTTGTCACCTTACCTGTGTCGTCCTAGAAAGTCAGGTCATTTCTGCAGCGAGAGGCAGACCTTCCCTGTGCACCAACTCCACACCCTCTCCTTACCTCATCCATGTCCCCCTCTTCAGGATTTTCCGCAGCTCCTTTTCTTGAAGTCTTTTATGTGGTTTTTTGGTGCTTCTATCTCAGCAGATTCATATTCCAAAGTCTCTCCCACACCCCACTCCAGCCCCTAGATTGTTCTTCCACCATCAGCCGAGATTGGGGAAAAAGAAGTTCTCACAGATCCAGCTCACATGGCCACCATGGTCTGCTTCTCCCTTCCAATTCCAGGAAACATTCCCTTTGTCAAGGGCACAATTTCCTGGTTTCTGTGGTCTCTTTTCCATCACTATCATTCAGTCTTAAAGTCACCTTCTCCAGCCAGGCGCGGTGGCTCATGCCTGTAAACCCAGCATTTTGGAAGGCCAAGGCGGGTGGATCACGAGGTAAGGAGTTCAACCAGCCTGGCCAAGATGGTGAAAACTCGTCTCTACTAAAAATACAAAAATTAGCCGGGCACGGTGGCAGGCGCCTGTAATCCCAGCTACCCAGGAGGCTGAGGCAGCGGAATTGCTTGAACCCGGGAGGTGAAGGTTGCAGTGAGCCAAGATTGCCCCACTGCACTCCAGCCTGGGCAACAGAGGGAGATTCTATCTCAAAACAAAACAAAACAAAACAAAAAACACCTTCTCCTTTTGTTTTAATGACTCAGATTTTTTGTAACATTCTTACTCTGTCCTGGACACGCCATTCTTTCCTCAGCCCTAATTCCAGCGTCTCATTTTGAGTGAGCTCACCCACTCCCATGGTTTTAGCCTTCTGCGTATTGATGACTTCCAGATCCTATTCTCTAGTGTTTTTCTGAATTCCAGATCTTTATAGCTATTATTTCTTGGGACTACATTTAAACTTTAACAAGTAATTTAAAGTCAATATGTCTAATATCAAATATAAGACTTTATCTCTCCAGAAACCTATTCCTCCTCTTGAGAATGTTTTCCAGTTGAATGGGCCCGCAATCCACCCTGTTTTCCCAGACAGAGACTTGCTACTCATCATGAGCTCCCTGCTTTCCACCTCCCCGTGCCCAGTTCACCCCCTTGTACTGCCAGCTCTCTCTCCTCCCTTCCCCTCTCCCCATCCGTCCTCTTCTTCACCACTGCTGGCCTCTCACTGGGCCACACACTCCCCTTACTTGCCTTACCTCTTTGCAGGTAATCTTGCCCTGGGCTACCAGGATATTCTTTCCAAGGCGCCAACATGATCATGCCACTTCTTTGTTGCAAGGCCCTCAGAGCTGCCTGTCACTTCCAAGACATGACAAACTCTTTTTTTTTCCAAGCTATACAAAGCCCTGGCTACTTCTCCAATCTCATCAATCTTTGCTCATCTCACCGTAGGCTCCAATTTTGCACACATGGATATATTTTCCCCGTATGCATCATGCTTGACCAATTCTTTCTGCTTTGTACATATTCTAATTATTCCAGGGATAACCTGAAAGCCTGGGAGTTGCTTGGCAAATTCTTGGAATCACAGCCTGCCTTTCGCCACTGTGTTTCCTCATTGCCTACTTCTGGTTGCAGCCCCTTCCTGCACACTTATACCTAGACTCTATCTCTCTGATTTTACCTCCCTTATCTGTGCCCCTGGATAGTTTATTTTGCTGTTGTTGAGTCCTTTTCCTTCACATTCTCAGCTGCTTGGTATTGCCTGTATTAGATAGGTGATTCGTACATGTTTGTTGAGGGAAAGGAGTAAATCAATGGCATAATCAACCATCTCATTATTGAAAAGTACCAACAAGGAAAAATAATAACTTACTATAAACTAGGCATCTTTAGTTCAAATATTAATTACAAACCATATGATAGAACCTGTTGAATTTTTGTATGAAATTCATGAGTCACGGCCAGGTGCGGTGGCTCACGCCTGTAATCCCAGCACTTTGGGAGGCCGAGGTGGGTGGATCACAAGGTCAGGAGTTTGAGACCAGCCTGAACAACATGGTGAAACCCCGTCTCTACTAAAAATACAAAAATTAGCCGGGCGTGGTGGCACGCACCTGTAATCCCAGCTAGTCAAGAGGTTGAGGCAGGAGAAACGCTTGAACCTGGGAGGTGGAGGTTGCAGTGAGCCAAGACTGTGCACTGTGCTCCAGCCTGGATGACAAGAGTGAAACTCCATCTCAAAAAAAAAAAAAAAAAACAAAAACATGAATCACTTGTGACCTTCTCCTGTCACAAGGAAAGGTGCAGCTAAGATGAAAACCGAGTAAAGCAATGTAAATATGTCCTGGTACAACAAGAACTAATGTTTTCCTTTCCTGAGATATCATGTGCTGTGATGCACCAAATGCTTTGAAAACACGTGGGGACACCATGTCCAGGTGATTCCCATCATTTTAGAGATCAAATACGGCAGAAGTGACTTTTAACCACAGAAGTCTGACCGGAAGCCAGGCGATAACGTTACGTGCCTTGTCTCCTAACAGGTATTTGAACCAGACCATACAGGATGATGCATCCACAGGGGAGCGTTCTCTGAACAGGGAGAAATTGGCTGTTTTGAAACGAGCCCTGAATGTAGTTGGCTTCAGCAGCTTGGTGAGTCATGTCATAAATATTTCACTGAGAAAATCAACCTTCTACTAATTTATAAAAGTTATTCATTCAAAAGCATTTACTGAGCCCCTATGACATTCCAGATGTTGCCGAGGACACTGATGATTCGGCAGACAACAAGCCCCAATCCCTGCCTCCTAGAGCTGACATGCTAGTGGAGGCAGGGGGCAGGACTTCATCCACATGTTGAGGAAGAAAGGAACTAGGAAGAAAACAGAGCAGTCAGCAGAGAGTGGCAAGAGGAGAGGGTGCAGTTTCCAAGAGGGTGGACAAGGAGCCCTTTCCCAAAATGAATATAATATATACATTATATATATTTTTAAATATATATTTATAATATATCATTTTAAAATATTTAAAATATATTTTAATCATAAACTTTATAAATTATATTTATAAAATATAATTTAATATATTTAAATATATATAATATTCAACATATATATTTTATATATGTATCCAAAACAGATCAAATAACTTTATACTTGATCAACTCATGAAAAAACTGGTAAACCTGAAGTAACTGTTCATGTAAAGAATCACTTGAAAATTAACATAATCACCTTGTTAAAACATCTTCTTGAACAATATAAATGTTTTAATATTGTCATATTTAATTGCACAGAATGGCCAAGTACCTGCAAGCATTATGAAGCTGAAAAATTACACTTTAAAACTTTTAGATCATGGCCGTGCCGTAGAAACATCTATGATGATGGAAAAGTTAGTGACCTGCATGGTGCTGTACCACAGGGTAGTTTCCAGCCACGTGTGGCTCCTGGATGCTTGAAGTGTGGCTAGTGGGCTGAAGAAATAAATGTTTAATATTTCTTTATTTTAATTAATGTAAATTGACATAGCCATGTGTGGTTAGTGGTTACTGAATCAAACAGCACCCAGCCAGTGAATAAGACATAAGAAATGGTCTAAGACTTGAGAGAAACCTCTCAGAATTCCCTTCAATCTCTATTTCCCAGAGGCATTATCTCTGCCTCCATTCAACATGGTGGTGTTTTGGATTATGGTCAATTTACGGCCAATTCCTCAAGAATATTTAATATAATATCACAGGGATAACTTGGACATGCCAGTAGTTCACAAGCCCAGATTAGGTCACAGATTTAAATCTCTTCTATTTATTTTTCTGAAGCCAATACATGGATGGATTTGGGTCTGTGTTTATTTCCCTGCCCACACCGTTATGGCTGACGGGGCAGTGAGTAGGTGGGGAGGGTGGAGAGGTCCACAGGAGGAAGGGGAAGGAAGTGAGGCCCACCCTAAATGAGTGAATGCAGGGGCACCTTGCTGCACCCACCCTTGCTGTTTTGAGAGACTGGAACTCGAGGAGCCTGCAATCACATGGCATCTCATTCTTTTTGGCTCTGATTACCCGGCCTCTGTTTTTCTCCTTTAGTTTTTCTCCTTTACTGAGTCCTACCCACTGGCACTGTTCTGTCTTTGCACTTGCTGCTGTGGTACTTTTTTGTTTTGATTTTTTTCCCTCCTTCCATGCCTGAAATGTCTGCTTCCTCATAGGAAGTGAAGCTAGAGATATGGATAGAAACCATTCTGCCAAAATATCAGTTGCCTGGAAACAGGGCTTTGAAAATTCATGACTGATCCTCAAAGGCAGGGCAAGCAAAGTACACTTTCTGACTAAGGTAACCCAGGGAGACTCATAGCCTTCTTGGTAAAAGAAGTATGCACACCCTAGCAAAAAACATGAAATTAATTTCTTCATCCTGACCCTGGGAGTGACTTGAATGGTGAGTTGAGTCCACTTTAGAGGGATAGATTATGTCCAGTAAGATTCAAAGGAAGGTATTTCTGGGCCAGTGAAGTCCTTGAATCAACACTGGTGATTGTGGTCCTGACAGATCTGTTCGTAACAGTGCCTCCAGCTCTCCCGTCTAGCCGGGCGGCAGGGATGGCTGCTCACTACACAGAGACGCAGAAGCACAGCCTCCTTTCTGCTCAGGAAGGAGTTTATTTTTACTTTTGTCATAGGGTCCACCACACTGTAATGCACATTATAGCTATTTTCACAGCTCTGTAAATTGTGAGGTTCTTGAGGACAGCACAGAGTCTTCGGCTGTCTATCCAGAGGTGCCTATCTTGTAGGTACCGGAACCTTTCATGAAGACTAATTGATTTAAAGGAAAAAAAAAAAAAAAGCTGGGCATGGTGGTGCACGCCTGTAATCCCAGCACTTTGGGAGACCAAGATGAGCGGATTGCTTGAGGCCAGGAGTTCGAGACCAACCTGAACAGCATAGTGAGACCTCCATCTCTACAATTTTTTTCAAAAACATTAGCTGGACACTATTTTTTGCCTGTAGTCCCAGCTACTCAAGAGGCTGAAGTGGGAGGATCACTTGAGCCCGGGAGGTCAAGGCCGTAGTAAGTTATGATTGCGCCACTACACTCCAGCCTGGGCAACAGAGTGAAACCCTGTCTCAAAAAAAAAAAAAAAGGAAAAAAAATAAGTTGACAAGTAGTTAAGAAATTTGAGAGGCTTGAATAATGCCATTTTATACAGCATAAGTAAATTAAATTTGAAAAACAAATTTATGATTTAGGGGTTAACCAAAAACATTTTTATATGTATATCACTTTCATAAAATATTATTATACCTGAAAATTAGAGATCATTCTTTTCAATGCTCTCACTTTAAAATTGGTAAAATCATACCTTATTATGAAAACTACAAGCTCTGGGGAAAATCACGGAAGTCTCAAGAAGTGTATTGTTTCCACTGTGTATTTATAAAGCACATCAGCATTGTTCTTAGAACCGCTTCCACAGTAGTTAGGGAAGGAGTTTTTGTTCTCAAATTACAGATTAGGAGACTGAGAACAGAACAGGCTATGCCACTTGCCCTTCACGGGGCTCAACCTGTTTTACTGTTGATATCATCATGCTAAATATTTGACATTCTAGAAAAGTACAGTTTAACTTGCAGCTTTTTCTTGATTTTTCATTCTTGCCAAAAAATGACTATCCAAAATCAAATTTAAGGTCTCATTTTTTTTATGCAGCGTTCCAGATTCTCTTTCAGCATTCTCTTACTTCCTGCTACCCTCTGCTCAAAGATAGCTCTTGCCAACATCCATTTTTTTCTGTTTTCCTTAAAATACCTTAAAAAACAATTAGCATTTTTTGAGTCTAGGCACAGTTGTTTTCATTAGGCCTCCTTTAGTTTTTCCAGGAGAAGTAAACAATTCTGTAATCATCGTGTTAATTTATCTCATAAGAGAGATAGCGAAGAAATGAACACCATGATGTAGGTTCTTGAATGAAGCGGCCACAGCAACTGCAAAGTCTAAATAGCGTCCAACGTGAGCCTGGAGAGGAGGGGGAGTGAAGTCTAACCTTACAAGTGAAGCCCAGCCAGTCAAACCCTAAGCACACAATTATTCATTTTTGTTATTACAATTATCTACAAGCTGTTAATTTATATCAGAATATTATTTCCTGACTCTCTTATATTTCAGGAACAGGAACATTGATTTAGAGAAAATATGTTTTGAATTATGAGGTTTTGATGTTGAGGTAGAGACTGGTAGTTTTCTTGCCATATCGAACATTTGGGATCTGCAAACTCCCAACCTCATTAATAGGGTCATCATTTTTGTAACTTACTTTTAGATATTTAAAAATTTTGCCTTTTAATCTTTCTTCTAAGCACCCTATTCATTCTCTCTGTTTGTAAAATGCATAGGAGGTGGAGAATCTGTTCGTAATTCTAGCAGCAATATTGCACCTTGGAGACATTCGGTTTACTGCCCTGAATGAGGGGAACTCCGCCTTCGTTTCTGACCTCCAGCTCCTGGAACAAGGTCAGTGGAACATGACCTTCTGACATTAACCACATTGATGTGCAATTTTGTAGATCTACCAGTAGATGGCGACATAGTACAGAAAAGCCAGTTGGCTTAAACCCTTTCCTCTATAGTAGAATTCAGTGAGGGGGGGAAATTGTCTACTTTGTTTTTTCTTAAAATCTGTTGTGGAAATGAGTAGCAAGATGTACTTTTATGTTCTCATTCTGTGCACCACATTAGCAACACTGATTCTTTAGCACATACTTGTTGTTTATTTATATTGTTCTAAGTACCCTTCACCCCACTACCCAGTGTATTTTGGGAGCATGTTATTAGCTCAACATTTTAAACAGAATGTAATTAATTCCCTTTCAAAGATCTTGCCAAAAATCTCTCTCTTTGAAGTTGCCTCGTTAGTCGCTCCCAGATTTTTAAAAAATACCTTAAAACCACAGATTGTCAGGAAACAACATATCTTCACCTATATCAAAGAGATTTAACCAGGTACCTGGAAAAAAACAATTCCATACCATCTGTGAGGACAGGGAGGAAAAACATCCGCTGTGATTTAATGCACAGAACTGTAAGAACTCATTAATATTTTGATTACTGTAAGATGTTTCTCTAGTTGAATTTGACAATTACAGTGGTAATGACTTTTTAAAATACTCATGTTTTGTAATGTGCCTATATAAAACTTATCAATTATGGCCATAAAATTCAATGTTCTTGGTATCAAAAAATATACTAACTTTATGTTTATAATGCTGATTTAATTTTAGTGGCTGGAATGTTACAAGTATCAACAGATGAATTGGCATCTGCCTTAACAACTGATATTCAATATTTTAAAGGTAATTTTTTTATGCTCTAACATCTTTGTGCAATTTAGAATCAAATATGAAAATTAAATACAGTTTGACTTGTCCCCACTTAGTGAAACTATTTCTATGAATTGAATGCCAAATGAGGAAAGCATTCTGAGCCTGTTTGGTCATTTGACATGACTATAGTGTAGACTCTTTATGCTCCTGAGAGACCATTTTGCCTAACTGGTCACCCTTTCTAGATAATCTGTCACCTTAGAAAAACAAAACCATCAATCCAAGAGGGTTTCTTCAAAGAAAATATTGGATCCATTTGCATGTGTGGTGCCATGCTGCACTCTTCAATGAAGGACCAACCTTTTCCTGCTACCTCATTGGTTAGAACAGCTGTCATTTATTGGACATATATAAACTGATAGGCATTGTGCCAAGTCCTATAAAAATTGTAGTGTTTGAATTCTCACAGATTGCTCTGATGTGGGCATTACTATTTCCATTTTAACAGAGGGGAAAACTAAAATTCAAATAAGTTAAATAACTTTGAACCTCAAATCACTAGTAAGTGACATGTTTGGAATTAGAATCTAGCGCTGTCTGACTCCCAGATGACATGCTTAATCTCTATGCTACATGCATCTCTACTCAGTGAACAAAGAGAGTGGTTTTCCCACATGATCTTCAAGTACTCACTCTAAATGATGGCCTTACTATTTTCCTCTTTATTGTGATTGTGAGAACTCACCATTCATCTAATCTTTTTTCTCTAAATCGCTACTATTCTTTCTCTATGGCCTTTTGGGCCTATGTGCATGTATTTAGGTAGGTGAGTCATTATTCCTGCCTCACTTCTACTCTCAGAATATCCCCAAACGTAATGAATCTCCCCATTGTTCACTCAGTTGCCCAAAAGTTATACTTGATAGCTCTTTCTCTTCTACCTCCTCCATGCATAGGTCAGACACACGCCATAAATATCTCCCATTCCTACTGCCTTCCCTTCATTTTCATCAGCACTGCTGAATTTATCATTCTTTCCCTGCCTTACAGCAAGACACTCCTGGTTCCTCTTTTATCTCACCTTATCTCAACTTGCCCTCCTTCCACACTACTTCTGAAATAATCTTTCTGAAATGCAATAGGCATTTCAGGAATAAGGCCAACAGTCTTTCAAAGATACACCAGCTCATCACTTTAGATGGCTTAGGAGGCCCCACTGGCACCCTTGCCTCCAGCCACACTAAGCATCTTGAAGACATTGTTCTTCTTCGCACCTTCTTTTGAGAAACATTGAGCTCACTATTAGTATCTATGATTTCCTCTGCTTACACCACCCTCACTTGCTACCACCACCCTGTGGGTGACCCACCTGCCCTCCTCAGTCACATGGCTCTAGGAACGTCAATTTCACAATGTCATAAATGGCCACACCCACTTTCACTGCCCCTTCCCCTTGTGTTGTTCCATCTCGATGGCCTTGAACTTGCAGCTCTCTGACTACATTTTCCGCCAGTATCAGTAGGTATCCTTCCTCACCCGTGCTTCTAACAGATTGGAAACACCTCAACCCGCATTGCACGTGGACCCCGCCCTGTTCCTAGTCTCCTGCTCTGCCTGAGACGCAATGGTCAGCAAGTTTGGCCAAGGCCATAGAATATGAATTCTAGGCTCCCATTCACACTCAGCCCTCCTGCAACAGTGATGGGATAGGCTCAATGCCAAACCACCCTTGCTCTTTTTTCCTTGGGCCCACCTCTATTCTAGTCCCTTCCCCAAACCTATCACTCAAGAGTTCAATCACTGTCTCTTTGAGAATGACATAGAAATTCCTACCTAAGGCCCAATCTTCTTTCCAAACTCCAGAACCACATTCTTGTTGATGAGATCATGCCTTTGAAAATATTTAAAATATATCTGATTTTCCAGAAAGCCCGTTTCCACATGCCTTAGGATGATTCAGTATCCAAACCAGTGAGTTGTTATCAAAAGCCTTGCCAGGAGGGACCCTGTGAAGAACTGTTTCCCTAACTGAGGTGAAATTACACAACCTACAATAAAGGTGGAACGCTGTGGTCAACAATTCTAACAAAGAAGATTGCAATGTACATGACTTCTGCTTTAGGAAACATTTTGCATAATAACTGACGGAGACCTCATTTATGAGAATCCGTATAATTTTTATACATCACTTGTCTTGTGGATGTGTGGGGAATTAATAGGATATGTGGAGTTTTGGTTGGCTTCTAAATGAGGGAACCCTTGTGCTCACTCCTCCTTTTCTTTCTACCATTTTAGGGGATATGATAATACGACGACATACCATACAGATTGCTGAGTTTTTCCGAGACCTCTTGGCCAAGTCCCTGTACAGTCGTTTGTTTAGCTTTTTGGTGAATACCATGAATTCTTGCCTCCACAGTCAAGATGAACAGAAAAGGTAGGAGTTGATGGATGTTCGGTTCTGTTGTCATTACTGTAATAAATAACTTAAAGGCTCAACTCCAAAAGCAGCTTCATATTACAGGGTAACCAATAAGTTAAACTTCATTAATATATTTTATTTTAACAAGGTAATCTGACTTGATGGGTTTTAATGATTATTCTTTAGGAAGTGAAACCCTCTCCCTGGGGTACCCTCCCGTTTACACTGATGAATTAATAATTTCCTATGCATAGATATGCAAATGCATTCTTTATGGACTGAAGGTAGATGTGGCCTTTTGTGCACCAATAAATCTAAAAATTTTATAAATCCAGGAAGAAGACACTCTAAGAACAGGTAAGGCACTGGAATTTGTGGAGTAACTCATGCCTCCTTCGGAACCTATTTCATGATGGGTTTTGGATCAGTAATTCTTCATCTTATTTCTTCACTTATTTCGTGGATTATGGATAGAGGGTCTCTATGGTAATCATTTTGGTTCATATCCCTAATCTTTTTTTTATTTTTCTTTTTCTGAGACGGAGTTTCACTCTTGTTGCCCAGGCGGGAGTGCACGGGCACAATCTGGACTCACTGCAACCTCTGCCTCCCGGGTTCAAGTGATTCTCCTACCTCAGCCTCCCAAGTAGCTGGGATTACAGGCATGCGCCACCACACCCGGCTAATTTTGTATTTTTAGTAGAGATGGGGTTTCTCCATGTTGGTCAGGCTGGTCTTGAACTCCTGACCTCAGGTGATCCGCCTGCCTCGGCCTCCCAAAGTGCTGGGATTACAGGCATGAGCCACTGCGCCCGGCCCCTAAACATCTTAAACAGTAGATTTTCAGGGCTATTTCATCATCTAAAAATTATATCTCTCCATTACATATTATCAGTGGAAAACTTTCTTGTTATTCTTGTCACTAATAGTGACCTTGAGCAGACAATTGAGAGCACAGTCATATTCACAAGTCTTCACGTACTTGTCTTCGAATGAAACCTGAGAATTTCTTAGTCATCCGTATAGACTTCTTAAATTTAAATTAAATTCCTGAAAATTGATGCCTTTAGAGGTTTCTTGGAAAACATTAGAACTAATATATATTAATGGGAAAGTTCTTAAATAAATATAGACATCTCAGAAGATTTCAAAGACAAGAGGACACTGAAATTCTTATTAAAATGTACACATCTCAAATCCCACTGAACATTGATCAACATATTCAATAGTCTGTGATTTGAGAGTAGCTATGGTATAATCCATATTTCAGCAGAAATATTGTAGTATTTACTATGATGAGGACTCTTGATTTTGCTATTGTTTATTGTTATCAGTTAATTTGTTAATTTCCTATAAGTATAAAGATGATTCACAGAATGATACTAATATGCTAAATCTACCAAATTAGCTATGTATAAAATTATTGACAGCTCTGCTGAAGTTGACACTGAAAAAATGAATATATAAGTCCAGCTGTACATAGAAACTTCTAGAAAATTTTCATTTGACATTTAAATTTTACAGAGCCTTAAATTTATATAATTGGAAATACTTATATAATGGTCTACAGTTTTTGCTACAAACACACACCCAGAGAAAAACTACAAACATAAACCGTGGAAAACACATTATTTGTCTTTGCATGGGAATATTGCCACTGTGGCAATGTGTAAATTCATAAGGATGGTCTTATCTTTTAAAACTTATTACTAAGCATATGAATGAGAATAGAGATTAATGGGAAATTAGAGGTGAATCAACACATTAGAAGTTTGACTTATAAGAGACAGTATTCTCATTTCTGTCGTAACTCCCATATTTTCTTCTCTATTTCTCCCATGAGTCACCCAAACCTGAATTTAAATCCCCAGATAATGCAAGAAAAGGTTATATTTGCAGTATTTCTAATTCATTTAAATTCATGGAAAGCTTATGGTTTTGCAGATTTATAGGCCCATTTCCTAAGTCACAGAAAAGTCTCAAAAATTTGGATAACCTTAGAATAGGCTCTTGTTGTTTACCAATCCTGTGTTTTTGAAATGTTGTAATCGTGTCAAAAAAGATTATATAAATAAATAATATCCTTATGGTCAAAGTTGTAGAGCACATTGATTGTGATAGAATAGACATATTTTTCACAGTATATATGTATTTATTACTGTATATATATATACACACAGTAAATATACCTTGCGATAGAATAGACATACTTTTCATCCAGACATGTATATACATATAGTATACAGACATGTATACTGACTATATATATGTGTGTGTGTGTGTGTGTGTGTGTGTATGTATTTGTAAATTTGGCAAGAGAGAATAAATATCACTACAATTTACTCTAACAAGTTATAAAGGGAAAATGAGTGAAATTGAAGCAGGTGAATGTCTATTTGTTACACGATGGATTCATTTCTTGGATTACAGTAAAATAGGCCCAATATTAATCATATAGCATTTTAAAATAATTCTACTTTCTCTACCTGGATCCAAATAGGTTTTGCTTCTAAACAAAAACCCTGGGTATCTTGCAGGTGAGGTTGATGCGATTAATTAAAATGAGCAGAAGTGTTTGCCACGTTTGCTGGATCAGAATCCAGTCTACAAGTAATGTGTGGCTGCCTACTGGGGTGTTGTCCTCTGTGAGCCTGACTGCTGTGCAGTGCTTGGCCCGGACCCTGCGGGCTGGGGACCACTGAGGGCCACACGTAGTGGCACTTTAAATATTGAAACACACTGAAATTTTATTTATTAGGCTTAGCTGAAAATGATTTGGTCCAAACAGGTAAAATAATAACAGTAATAAAAAAATAGCAATAATATAATGCCGTATATTTGCTTAAAACTTTGTTGTTCACCAAGCATGTACATGTAAATTACCTGGGGAAGAAATGTTGTTAAATAGCTAAAAATGACACAGTTTATTGTTAAAACGATGACTCTAGGAAAATGGGAAGCACTGCTCACAGTTGTGACTACAGTCTGCTTCCTCACATCTCCTCCCAATGCCCTTCCTGTGGAGAAACTCATGTAAAAACCAAAGGCTTACTATTTTCATCATTTTCTGAGGCATTTCTTTTTCTAAACTATAATTTTATGACTTCTAAAATAAAGGATATTGCATATCATTTACATTTGTATGCGAATGTCATTATTACAAAACTCATGATTACAGTCTCCAGTAACGCAAGCACAGTTTCGCTCCATCCACTCCACCTTGGTCTCCCGCACACAGACAGAGCGTCAGCCTCTCACGGCAGTACCTGTGCTCTCCTCACCGTGTCTTCACCTCTCGTATGCTCCTGCTGCATCAGACACTCATGTGCTCAACTTTGCTCAGTGCTATCATGGTCTTTCGATGAGGGGGGGATTACTTAATAGCACCCATTTCCATCTCTGATTCTTAATTGATTGAGGAATAAGACAATGTAGTAAGAGGCCAGGCACAGTGGCTCATGCCTGTAATCCCAGCACTTTGGGAGGCCAACGCGGGTGGATCACCTGAGGTCAGAAATTCAAGACCAGGCTGAACAACATGGCGAAACCCCATCTCTACTAAAAATACAAAATACAAAAATACAAAAAATTAGCCAGGCGTGGTGGTGCATCCCTGTAGACCCAGCTACTCGGGAGGCTGAGGCAGGAGAATCACTTGAACCTGGGAGGCGGAGGTTGCAGTAAGCCGAGATCGTGCCACTGTAGTCCCACCTGGGCAACAAGAGCAAAATTCCATCTCAAAAGAAAAAAAAAGACAATGGAGTAAGGCATTTGGGAGTCAAAATAGCAATTTGATGAGTGACACAGCAGACATGAGAAGATGCCATTTACACCATGAACCAGTTGCTCCTGCCTGCTGCGCCCCTGACTCAGATCGACATCACCACCAGTTCCAGTAAGCCCTGAAGTGGCCAGTGCCCTCTTAGAGCTTGGAGGAGCAGAGGCCATGACGTGCTCCCCACGAACGCAGGAAGACTGCCCTGAGCCCTCCTTGTCCAGGCTTCCTCCTAGACTCTGAGGGAATAAGTTGGTCTTCCAGAAGCCAAGAGACTTACAGCTAAAGGGGCTTCCTTTTCCTGTAAGAAAACCTCAAGACTGTGAATAAGCATCTCCACCTAGCACATGTGAGTCCATGAACTTGAAAGATTGAGGGACAGTCTAATGCACAAAGGTATGTGGGCTTTGAGACTCCCATTTTGAGTGAGTTGGATCTTTTTTTGTTGTTGTTCTCTAGTGTTTTCGAGAGTATAGCCCTGAACTTGTCTGGCCACTAGGCATATGGAAGACCCATGTAGTTTATTCATAACTTGCCATCAGTTCACATTAAATTGATCACATTTAGCAATGAAAATATAATCTTAAATTACATCAAATTATTTCTAAAGAAAAACTAATAAAGTTGTTAAGTTTGTTTTGACTTTTCTAAAATTGTTTAGCCTCTGCATCTCTGTGAATTGTCAGCTGACACCCAATGACCACCGAAGGTATTAACAAAGTCCTTGTTTAAACCATTTGGAGAACCCATACATAGATTCCCATAATTTCACATATAGAAAATTGGCACCCACTGATGAACAGGGATGCCATGGATCTTCCATTCCACTCTCTTCACTGTCCACTTTTCCCCCAGTGGATCCAAAGGCGTGTGGCCCTCTCTTCCCACAGATAACAGCCATTCTCCCCAAGGAGGCATCACCTCCACTCGGGTGTTTCATGAATTCCACCCAGACCAAAGCCATGCTCTGCTCATTCTTTTTAGGAATTGTGAGGTTGCCAGGGCTTCTTTTACAGTGTTAGCACGTTTGAGAGGCAAACAGCACCATTGTAGGGCTTCCCAAATGAGCTCAATCACCTCTCTGCCCGACTACAGCAATCACATCGAGAACTGCGGATTGTTAAATATTTTTTTTTCTATAGCTCTGAATAGGTTTCTACCCAGGGTTTCACCACTGTGATTTAGAGCATCATCTTAAGAACACACCTTGTGAGACAGAGAGGATTTGGTGTAGAATTTTCTTAACACTTCTCCTCTTTCATGGTCTGTTTTGCCTCATTACTGAAGAAACCCTTTTCCATTTTGTGATACTAGCTGGCTGTTTCTAATGTAATATTGAAAGGCTTCCATTAAGTATTTGCCATTCTTTTGCTTAAGAAAATTGCAAACCTTTGAACCAGATAGCTGGGGGAACACGTTAAAATTACTGTTGATCTGAAAGGGCAGCATTATGGATAATATTATGGTGGCTGCCAGAAATGTGTCTGTTTTATGGTGGTCAACATTATAGGCAGAATTGTTCACAACTTTTCAAACTGAGTTGCCTTATACTTATTTCAGTGTAACCAAATTAACCATTATATGAAACCATTCTCACTTGTTTTGGTGTAACGCTATTAAAAAAGCATGACTTGTGGTATAATGAAAACATGTTTTCTAATGTCCCACCTCCTTTTCACATTTATTCAATGGGGGTAATATTTTTCTGACTCTGAGATAAAACTTAATCAGGTCCCGAGACTTTTCTGGTCACTTTTAAATAAATCACAGTTCTATGGACGCTTTAATCCTGAAATAGCCAGCATTGGAGCAGAAATTAAGTATGTTCAAAGGTGAGAGTTCCCCTCCCTCTCCCACAGGCAAGGCCTGCGGGGGCAGCTGTCATGCTCCTGGGCTGCCGCACCCCAGTGTCGAGGTAAAATAGGGACAGGAACAAGGAGGTGAGGGATTTCTGGACTTGCTGATTGACATCTTAAGGCTTTCCTGGCCACGAACATGGCTGTCACTGACCCTTTCTCTTCAAATCCTCATAAATTGTCATCACTGGGATTCCTTTCCCTGCAATCCTCAAGACGTGTGAAATGCATGTGTGTGTGCTGGTTGCTCCCACCCCCTCCGATAGTCCAGGGCAACCCTTCAGACTCAGGTTCACCTGGCTAATAGGTTGAGGCCCCACACTTTCCCAAGTGTGCCTCTTAGACAAGAATTCTTGGGGTTGAAGGTAGAGAGGGGCTAAAGAATGGGAAAGTGTCTTGAGGAGTTGTACACACTCCAGTTGCTCACTTTTTATAAACAAAGTCCATGATCTAAAGTGTATTTAATTTTTATAAAGGATATCATCCATAGGATTCTGAAATGAGATACATGATTGGAGCTACTAAAGTATAATGAAAAATAACTGTTTTAAAAAAAGATCAATAATTTTTGCAAGCTCTAAAATTGGGCCTATTTTATAACGCAGCACTTACATCCCCAAGATTGAATTAGCAAATGTTAAATTCAATGTTAAATTTAAAATTATTGTTTTTCCTCATTTGAATCCTTCTTCAGGGTTTTGCAAGCACATAGAAGTTTGGGCAAGTACAGGGTTATAGAAACTTTGGAGTGTTCTCCAAATGCCTTCAAACATCAAAACCTATCATTTATTTCAACATCAGTTCTGAATAAAATGGTGTGTGTGTGTTGATTATATATATATATATATATATATATACACATATAATCTACATGTATGTGGATATATTATCTATATCTGTCTATCTATCTATCAGTCATCTCTCTATCTATCTAGTCTACAGTAATCCTATAGAGGGTTATTTGAGTATACTTTTATTCATTCATTCATTCTTGTCAACTTGATATGACATCCACTTTTTTGGGCAGCATAACTGGACTAATATATTATTAATAATGTTAAATATTATGTATATTAATACATTAAAATAAGTTGAGTTTCTAACATATATATGGAGATCATTTTTTCACTAAGCCTTTGGTTTCTTATGAATTCTTATATTACATTCTTATAGTATTTTAGTTGACCTAAACATAAACATTTAAAAATATTATGATTAATCGCATTGATTTCTCATGAGTTAGTTATTTGGTTATCCAAGCCTGTTTCTTTGACACCCAGGTTACAAAAACTTGTTTATTTTTCAGGGTTATTTGAAGGTTAAATGAGGTGGTGCATATTAAGTTGTTAGGAGAGTATCTGACACAATGGGAATGGTGGCTGTAATGATAATAGTGATGGGGCTAGGCGTGGTGGCTCATGCCTGTAATCCCAGCATTTTGGAAGGCTGAGGTGGGTGGATCACTTAGGTGTTTGAGACCATGTTAGGCAACATGGTGAAACCCCATCTCTACCCCACCCCCCAAAAAAATACAAAAAAGTTAGCCAGGTGTGATGGTACATACCTGTGGTCCCAGCTACTTGGGAACTGCTGAGGTGGGAGAATTGCTTCAGCCCAGGACGGTGAGTCTGCAGTGAGTCATGATTGCACCACTCCACTCCAGCCTGGATGACAGACTGAGACCCTGTCTCTCTCTCTCTCTCTCTCTCTCTCTCTCTCTCTCTCTCTCTCTATATATATATATATATATATATATATATATTTACCAGCCACAGCCATCACTATATGTATGTGTGTATATATATAGCCATCTATATATATATATATATAGCCATATATATATATATATATATATATATATATATATATATATATATATAGTGGCTGGTAAGAAAGCATCTTAGTTTATATTAGCTTATTTATGGGGAAGGGGAGAGTTGTAGAAAACAATGCAGATGACTCACATGGTGGACACCCAAGATGCAGCCCAGTCTTCCTTTTACATTTCACTCGTGATCTTTTTGTTTCACAGAGTAGCAGATAAGGGAGATATTTTGTTCTTGGGAAATAGATATATCAGGATTCACAGAACACTATTAGAGATAGGGGCATTGTTTTTTAGTGTTTTGCTCGGGTGTGACTTGTAGTAAGCGAGGATCATCGATTTGCATTGCTCAACTGCCACTCTTTCTCTTAGGGCACAGGTCTGACATGTTTGTAACATGCCTGTCTAGGGTCCAGAGTGGTTTGTGGTTTTTTAGTATTGCAAAAATAAGGTCCACATGGGTTAGAAACAATGATATTTCCTAAACGGTAGGGATTTTTTGTGGGTTTTCTTTTTTTGTTTTTTGGTTTTTTTCTTTTAAGAAAAATAAGATACGGAATGACACAAGGTCCTGCCAGTGGACAGGGGCTCACGCAGTGCCTGAACGAAGGAACTGGCATGCTGAGATGGGGAAGATATTGGGAACAGCGGACAGGTGCTCTGTAGAGATGGGGATCCCATGGAGCATCTGGGAGCAGGTGGGAGAATGAAGTGAAACAGGAATGAAAGCTCAAGGATTTAAGTATAAAAGTAGCAATGTCTTTCACCGAGAAGCAAGGGGTTCCCATTCCAGTATCTGTCTGGAGCCTTAGTTTTTTTGTTTCACAAGTCGAAACTGATTATGGAGGGAAAAAATGAAGGCTTTTGACAATATATCACTTGTGAAATTTCTCAAACTATTAAATCTTCTCTTTGCTACCCAGTATAATTGTATTATGGGTTTAAATAACAGAAGGAAGTATTGAACAGATCCTATACCAATGAAAAAAGAGAGAATGTTTCAAAGAGAGGTGGAAGTCATTTTCTCTTAAGGTTATTATTTGTTTAATTCACATGTTAATCCAATGATTCAATTCCTGAAATCATCAGCAGGATAATTTTTGCATCTTACCACATTTCTAAATTCACATATTTTGATAATAAGGGAAATTATTTTTAAGCCAATGTGAGATTTCCTAGAGATCCAGATTTTCATCAGCACATTCACAACGTTGCCCCTGTGTCCCCAAGTCCGACTGAGGTGATCTGTAGAAGGTGGCAATATTGACAGTGAATCACAGCTTCCTAGGGTCTCAAAACTAGTGACTCCACTCAGAAAAGAGAAAAAAGAACACATCCAGTAGGATGTAAATTAAAGGTGATATCAGTGTATTAGGTGAGTACATTCATCCCTAGCATCTGACAGCACTTAAGAGAATGTTAGTGTCTAAATGAACATAGAGAATCGGCACTAATAAGATTGTAACAAGCAATTTAATATTCTTCAGAAAAATTGTACTTCTTCATTAGGTGAGACTTGTTATCTTTACTTAATTAGAGGGAAAAATATTCCATATAGAGAAAACATAATTATAGCTTTGAAGAATTCTGCTGGCTGGTTAAAAAAAAAAACTCCCAGTGGCATTTTGGATAATCCATGTTTGGTCTGAAGACTGTCTAACCAAATGACAGAAAAGGCTGATCTTTACCTTGATGCTCTGAAAGTGAGGTGAATTAATCGGTTTAAGTGGATTAAGTTAAATTGGCTTACGTTCTCATTTCCTAATTCTGCACTTTGATTTTGTTCTACTAAGAATTCAGTTTGTATACTATTAGTTTTTAATATGTATAGGTGTATCTTAATGTGCTTTTCGGGTATCCAAGGATTTCAAATATAAGAGAATATTTTTTGCTGTTCATATTAAGTGATAGAATTTTCTATGATTTCATATGTCTCTGATTGATACAATCAGGTAGCACTTAATATACTTATGAAACTTTATAGTGTATCTCAACCTCTTCTAGGTCAAGGTCTAATGTGGGAATTCAGTGAATACCATAAACATACACACACAAACACGCACACACACATAAATACAGTTTTCCATATAACTTCTGGGGATTCATTGTTCCTCCTCCCCCAAAAATCCATAAAATTGGGTTATAATAATTTCTTAGTTTATTGATTAGAAAACTAATACATTCTGAATTAATATCCTCAATGTTGTTCATAGTCTCCTTTTAGTTCTTGAGGATTTTTAAGGCTAAGTCTTTTGTATAATGATTTTGTCATTGACTTTGTAAATTGAAGAATTCTATTTTTGTATTTTAGGTAAAATTTGTGATTTTAAAAACATATTCTGAGATACCTCCTAATAGATGGATAACATAATTTTTAAAACAGTAAAATGACACTAAGCATGTTAAGCCTATTTTATAAGATTATTTTTAATGGATTTGATTTTCAGCTCTAAGAGAGTATTTCTCAAGGATCTTGGTCATTAGGGACAGTAAACCAGAACTTTGTTTATAAAATATTCTCTGAGCCTGAAGATGGAGCTAAGGAGGGAACATCTTTCAGCTGCACTGTAGGCAAGCTATTAAAATACCTTTTGAATTACAGTTTACATCTATACTATTTGTACAGATCACTTATGAAGACTTTACCTAGCATCTCATGACTGTTTTCAAATTTCATCTCATAGGTTTATTCATGTATTTATTTATTTGCTTTCTATGCAGGGTGGGTTGCCATTACTTCTGCAGAAAAATTACCCATCTTTACTGTAAAATCCTTGGTATGCTTGCTAAGTACAATAGCATTTGGAGATATATCAGTATGCTTTAAGCTTTGGGATACTGTTTTTGTTTTTTTTTTTATTAAAAAGGCCACTATTGCGGTCTTCAGGGTTCACAATTTTCTCATGTTTTGCTGGATTAAGCATAGGCCCCCAATTCCAGTCAGGTGTGTGTGTGCTTGGGGCTCTATGTGTAAATGCTTGTGATTATTTTATTCTCAAATTATTCAACAAAGAGGTTTTTTATAAAATAAATCAGATGCAATTTATGACTTTTTAAAAGGACTGGAATGTAGCCATATGAGCAATTAATTGTTCTTATAAAGCATAAATAGTAGTTTGCAAGTAATTGAGGTCAACTTGGGCAGGTTAAATCTTTGAGTTAAAACTTTGAAGATTAATCTCTTTCAAGGGACGCAGCCATCAGGAGCATCTCAGGTATGATGAGGGAATTTTTTGTTTTGGAAAATCTCAAAAGGGTGTAAACACCTCATTTTCCCAGCCATGCTTCCTTATAGACACGTCTCCTTTGCTTTACATGAAGGCTTGCCATTATTCTCTCTACCAGGAGCCTAAAGTGGAGAGTACACCCTCCTTTTTGAGGCAGGTGGTTGGGAAATATTTTAATGAAAAAAAGCAGCATGATTTTTTAGAATGTATATGCCTTCCACCCTCCATGTGAAATGGAACTTGTATAATAAGCATCACCTAACTTCACATTTAAGTGTTTTCTGCCCTTTGGGACTATCCATGTCATTAACTAGATGATCTATAATGATTGTTAGTAGTATGGAGTGAGGTGGGATCAGTGGCTATTCATTACAAAGCAGAGACATATTAAAATTAAGTATTTTTTGTCAACCCACATGCAATTCACCCTTAACATTCCAGGAATCATGGTAAGAGAGAATATGCAATGTTTCTCAGTTTTCTGAGGATGAAATAAGTTTAAAAACTTAATCTAAATGGTAGACTAGATGATAGAAAAGCAGAGCAATAAGAAAACATCTAGAAACTGCAGAATAATAAGAAAACTTCCAGAAATTAAACTTTTTTCACTTTTTGATGATAATATTGGAAATTAATGTTCCCAGGAAAATATCTGACCATATGACATATTTAACATCTCCTAAGTGAAGTTTTATCTCTCTCTCTCTCTGATGTGATGTATGTTTTATCAATTGCTGTTAAACATTTGGAAAAGGACAGGAGATATAATCTATTTTCATTTAACAGGGACAAAAACTGGGAAAAAAATTGAAACTTGCTTCTGAAGCAGGGATTGAACACAGATAAATGAATCTGATTAAAACCAAACGTTTTTTATGTATGTTTCCACTTTCCTTGTATCAGTTATTTTATTGAAATGATTATCAAGATTCAAACTCTTTGGTGGGAATTACAAACCAAAGGATATGTGTAAGAAAGATGAGAATCCCAAAATCTAGACCATCCATTTATGAGTAATTGAGTGTTGGTATAAAATACATTTTATGCATTACTGTATCAATTATAATGAAAGTACTTAATTCGTAATAAATGAATTTATGTTTATAATTTTCAAATGCATTATAGAATAATAACATTTCCTGTGCATTTGTGAGAAAATAAAAATACGCTTATCCCGACTTTTCTTTGTCCATTTCATGCATAAAAGCCTCTCTTTTTATATGCTATCTTTTTTGGGAAAAATTCAGTAGTCAAGAAGAGTACAAAAGGAATCCAGGCAAGCAACCCATTTACCTACTACCTTGAATTAATACTATTGACATTTTTCAACTTTTGCCTCAGGTTTTCGTTATCATAAAAGACGTAGATGATTACAACTAAAAGCCAAGATTCCTTTTGTTTTCCTGTAGAGATACATTTTTCCCCTTCCCTCCCCAGAGACAACAATATTATCGAATACATGTAATCTTCCACATTTTTTAATTTTCTCTAGCCACTGGTTTTTCATAACAAATATATAACATTGTGAATAACTAAGAATTACAGAAACGCTATCCTATGGTGTATTTTATTCTGTACATCCTTTGCTAAGTTCATATGGTTTTTGAAATTTAACTATATTGATACCTCAAGACCTAGTTTATTCTTTTTAACTGCTGCACTACTTGTGGATAAAGAAATCTCAGTATACTCACCTAGTTCACTATTGGTGGACACTGAAGTCTCTTTTCATTTTTTTTCTCAGTTACAAACAGCGCTGTATCCTCATACTTGTCTCTTGAGATATATGTTTAGAATTTTCCCGAGGTGTATATTTAGTGGCAGAATTGCAAGGAGAACGATTATTTGCATTTTCTTGATTGCAAGCGAAGTCGACGTCTTCTGGCAAGACAAGTTGTGCCCTGCATCCTGGCACATGCCCACGGATGTTCACTGGGCTTTATGCAATCATATACCATGCTCCAACTTCAGGCCTTATCATAGACATTCTGTTCCTACCGCAAGGTCATCTTATATTTTTTTAAAAAAAACCTTTAAATTTTCAGCACAGCAGGAAAATTATTGTGTATGTGAGGAGTTGATAGTTTAATTTTTAGTTGAATATTCGATGATCCCTTCCCTGTTTGTTAGCAATGTTTCTTTACCCCTCTCTAGATTTTTAATCTATTTTACTAAAACTGTATCAATGATATATTGCTTTAATTACTTCTCATAAGTTCTATTTTTCTTATGTGTTTTGGTTATTTTGGGGTCTTTATTTTCACATATTAATTTTATAATCAGTTTGACTCTATCCATAAAACAATTCTTCTGGGATGTTGACTACAAATTAATTTATAGATTAATATGGGAAAAATTATACCATTTAGGCTATTGATTTTTTTCTTCCGCAAATATATTTCAACATTTATTATTGTATTCCTTAAATAATATTTGATTTTTTTCTATCAATTTCATGCACACCTTTATTTTATTTCTTTTTCTATGAATCTTTTTTTTGTGTGGCTATAATGAGTTCTATTCTATTATACATTAATTTATTGGAATACTGAACCTTGAGTTTCTTATGTTGATCTCATATGTAGAAATCCTGCTGACTTTTCTTATTAGTTCTAATAAATTTCCTGTGAAATGGCTTACTACTTTCTTATGTAAATGATCGTAATTATCTTTTTGTCTTTATGTATCTTACTTCTTCTTATTTTATTGCATTGGCTAGCACTGCCAATACATGTGGGAAATTTGTGATGATAATGGATCTTATTGTTTAGTTTACAAAATAATGGCAACTAAATATTTGCCATTAAGTAATACATTTACTTAGCATTCCAGTAAATAACCTCTGCC